>NC_000009.12:2510000-5010000 GCF_000001405.40 Homo sapiens
CTATTCTCCCTTTGCTGACTCCTTTTTCGTACTCAGCCCGCCTGCACCCAGGTGATTAAAAAGCTTTATTGCTCACACAAAGCCTGTTTGGTGGTCTCTTCACACAGACTCATGTAACATTTGGTGCCAAAGACCCGGGACAGGGGGACTCCTTCGGGAGACCAGTGCCCTGTCCTTGCCCTCTCTCCTTGAGGAGATCCACCTACAACCTTGGGTCCTCAGACCAGCCCAAGGAACATCTCACCAATTTTAAATTGGGTAAGCAGCCTCGTTTTATTCTCTTCTCCAACCTCTCTGGCTATGCCTCCACCTTTCAATCTCTCCCTTAATTTCGGTTCCTTTCCCTTTCTGGTAGAGACAGAGGAGATGCATTTTATCCGTGAACTCAAAACTCTGGTGCCGGTCATGGACTTGGGAAGACAGTCTTCCCTTGGTGTCTAATCACTGCTGGAACACCTGCCTGATTATTCACCACATTCTAGAGGTGTCTGATCACGGCGGGGATGCCTGCCTTGATCCTTCACCTTGGTGGCAAGTGCCACCTGCCCTTGGTGTCAGGTACCACCTCCCCCTGGTGGCAACTACCACCTCCCCTCTCTCCGTGTCTCTACCCTCTCTTTTTTCTAAACTTGCCTTTTTACTATGGGCAACCTTCCACTCTCCATTCCTCCTTCTTCTCCCTTAGCCTGTGTTCTAAAACACTTAAAACCTCTTCAACTTTCATCTGACCTAAAACCTAAGAGTCTTATTTTCTTCTGCAACACCGCTTGGCCCCAATACAAACTTGGCAATGGTTCTAAATGGCCAGAAAATGGCACTTTTGATTTCTCCATCCTACAAGATCTAGATAATTTTTGTCGAAAAATGTGCAAATGGTCTGAGGTGCCTGATGTCCAGGCATTCTTTACACATTTGTCCCTCCCTAGTCTCTGCTCCCAATGCCACTCATCCCAAATCTTTCTTCTTTCTCTCCTGTCTGTTCCTTCAGTCTTCACCCCAAGCTCTGAGTCCTTTGAATCCTCCTTTTCTATGGACCCATCTAACCTCTCTCCTCCTCCCCAGGCTGCTCCTCACCAGGCCAAGCCAGGTCCCAATTCTTCCTCAGCCTCAGCTCCCCCACCCTATAATCCTTCTATCACCTCCCCACCTCACACCTGGTCCGGCTTACAGTTTCATTCTGTGACTAGCCCTCCCCCACCTGCCCAACAATTTCTTCTTAGGTGGCTGGAGCTGAAGGCATAGTCAAGGTTAATGCTCCTTTTTTTTTTTTTTTTTTTTTTTAGCCGACCTCTCCCAAATCAGTTGGTTTTTAGGCTCTTTTTAATCAAATATAAAAACCCAGCCCAGTCCATGGTCCATTTGGCAACAACCCTTAGATGCTTTACCACCCTAGACCCATAGGGTCCAGAAGGTCATCTTATTCTCAATATGCATTTTATTACCCAATCTGCTCCCAACATTAGAAAAACCTCCAAAAATTAGATTCCAGCCCTCATACCCCACAACAGGACTTAATTAACCTCGCCTTCAAGGTGTACAATAACAGAGAAGAGGCAGCCAAGCGGCAACATATTTCTGAGTTGCAATTACTTGCCTCCACTGTGAGACAAACCCCAACCACTCTCCAGCACATAAGAACTTCAAAATGCCTAAACCGCAGTAGCCAGGTGTTCCTCCAGGACCTCCTCCCACAGGATCTTGCTTCAAGTGCTGGAAATCTGGTCACTGGGACAAGGAATGCCCACAGCCCAGGATTCCCCTTAAGCTGTATCCCATGTGTGCAGGACCCCACTGGAAATCAGACTGTCCAACTTGCCCAGCAGCCACTCCCAGAGCCACTGGAACTCTGGCCCAAGGGTCTCTGACTGACTCCTTCCCAGATCTTTTTTGCTTAGTGGCTGAAGACTGACACTGCCCAATTGCCTCGGAAGGCTTCTGGACCATCACTGACGCTTTGGGTAAATCTTATATTGGAGGGTAAGTCTGTCCCCTTCTTAATCAATATGGAAGCTACCCACTGCACATTACCTTCTTTTCAAGGGCCTGTTTCCCTTGCCTCCATAACTGTTGTGGATATTGATGGCCAAGTTTCTAAACCTCTTAAAACTCCCCAACTTTGGTGCCAACTTGGACAACATTCTTTTATGCACTCCTTTTTAGTTATCCCCACCTGCCCAGTTCCTTTATTAGGTTGAGAGGTTTTAACAAAATTATCCTCTACCCTGACTATTCCTGGACTACAGCCACATCTATTGCTGCCCTTCTCCCCAAACCAAAGCCTCCTTCATGTCTTCCTCTTGTATCCCCCTACCTTAACCCACAAGTATGGGATGCCTCTACTCCCTCCCTGGCAACCGATCACACACCCATTACTATCCCATTAAAACTTGATTACCTTTACCCTGCTCAATGCCAGTACCCCATCCCACAACAGGCTTTAAGGGGACTAAAGCCTGTTATCATTCGCCTGCTGCAGCATGGCCTTCTAAAGCCTATAAACTCCCTTTACAATTCCCCCATTTTACCTGTCCAAAAACCAGACAAGTCTTACAGGTTAGTTCAGAATCTGTGCCTTATCAACCAAATTGTTTTTCCTATCCACCCTGTGGTGCCCAACCTGTACACTCTTTTGTCCTCAATACCTTCCTCCACAACTCACTATTCTGTTCTTGATATTAAAGATGCTTTTTTCACTATTCCCCTGCACCCCTCATCCCAGCTTTTACCTCGTCTTTGCTTTTACCTGGACTGAACCTGACACCCATCAGTCCCAGCAGCTTACCTGGGCTGTACTGCCACAAGGCTTCAGGGACAGCCCTCATTACTTCAGCCAAGCTCTTTCTCATGATTTACTTTCTTTCTACCCCTCTGCTTCTCGCCTTATTCAATATTTTGATGATCTTCTTCTTTGCAGCCCCTCTTACTAATCTTCCCAGCAAGACACTATCCTGCTTCTTCAACATCTCTACTCAAAGAGGTACCAAGTATCCCCCTCCAAGGAACAAATGTCATCCCCTGGCGTTACCTATTTCGGTATAATCCTCCAACAACATACACGTGCCCTTCCTGCAGACCATGTTCAGTTAATCTCCCAGACCCCAATCCCCATCACCAAACAACAACTCCTTTCCTTCTTAGGCATTGTTAAATATTTCTGACTCTGGATACCAGGCTTTGCTATCCTAACCAAAACCACTTTACAAGCTCACAAAGGGTAACTTAACTGATCCCATAGACCCTAAGTCTTTTCCCCATTCTTCCTTTTGCTCTCTCTCAAAAAGGCCCCGGAGACAGCTCCCACACTAGCACTCCCCAACTCATCCCAAACTTTTTCCTTACACACAGCTGAAATACAAGGCTGTGCTGCTGGAGTCCTCACACAGGAGCCAAGCCCATGACCTGTTGTCTTTCTATCAAAACAACTTGACCTCACAGTTCTAGGCTGGCCCTCATGTCTGTGTGGGGCAGCAGCCACCACTTTAATACTTCTAGAGGCCCTCAAAATCACAAGCTATGCTCCACTTACCCTCTACAGTTCTCACAATCTTCAAGCATTAATATCCTTCTCATACCTTTCACATTTATTGTCTGCCCCTCAACTCCTCCAGCTCTATTCACTCTTTGTTAAAACTCCAACAGTAACTATTACCCATGGGCCTGATTTCAGCCCAGCTTCTCACTTAGCACCCAACACAAGTCCTGAATCACATGACTGTATTTCTTTAATACACATAGCATCTTCCCCTTTTCCTCATATTTCTACTCTTCCAATTCCAAACACAGACCACACTTAGTTAATCTATGGCAATTCTTCTAAACTCAATCAATTTTCACCAGCTAAAGCTGGATATGCTGTCATGTCCCATACCTCTATTATCGAAGCTGCTGCACTTCCTCCCTCCACTACTTCCCAACAAGCCGAACTGATTGCTTTAACTCATGTGCTCTCTCTCGCTAAAGGAATGCACATTAACATTTACACTGACTCCAAATATGCTTTCCACATCCTCCATAAACATGCTGCCATTTGGGCTAAAAGAGGTTTTCTCACCACACAAGGCTCTTCCATTATCAATGCCTCCCTAATAAAGGCCCTCCTTAAGGCTGCTCTTCTGCCAGCCGAGGCTGGAATCATTCATTATAAAGGACACCAGAAACCTACTGATCTTATTGCAAAGGGAAATGCCTACGCTGACAGGACAGCTAAAAAAAAAAAAAAAAAAAAAAAAAGCCAATTCCTCCACACCCACTAATATTTCAGCCCCCACTCCAGAGGGCCAGTATTTTTCTTTCTCCTCTATCATTCCCACCTACTCTTCTTCTGAAAACCTGCTCTACCAGTCTTTTCCAACTCAGGACAAGTGGTTCTTAGATCATGGAAAATTCATTCTTCCTGCCTCACAAGCTCAGTCCATTCTTTCTTACCTTCATGACCACTGCCACGTGGGATACAAGCCTCTGGCTTGCCCTTCTGCAGCCCTTCATCCCCTTCCCTTCATGGAAATCCATCCTTAAGACCTTCACCTCTCAATGCTCTGTCTGCCACGCCAGCAGCCCCCAAGGCTTTCTCAGGCCTCCTCCTTTTCCTACACATCAGGCCCATGGATTTACTCCAACACAAGATTGGCAGATTGACTTTACTCCTATGCCCCATGTCCATAAATTTAAGTATCTCCTGGTTCAGTCGACAACTTCAACAGATAGGTCAAGGCCTTTCCCACTAGCTCCAAAAAGGCTACTGCAGTCATCTCTTCCCTTCTAACAGATATGATTCCCTGATTTGGCCTCCCTTCTTCTATTCAATCTGACAATGGTCTGGCTTTTATTAGTCAAATCACCCAAGCAGTTTCTCAGGCTCTTGGTATTCAGTGAAACCTTCATACCGCTTACCGTCCTCAATCTTCAGGAAAGGTAGAACAGACTAATGGTCTTTTAAAAACACACCACACCAAGCTCAGCCTCCAACTTAAAAAGGAAAACTCTGTATATTTTTAAATGAAGAGTGTTGTTTTTACCTAAATCAATCTGGCCTGGTATATGACAACATAAAAAAAAAAAAAAAAACTCAAGGGCAGAGCCCAAAAACTCACCAACCAAGCAAATAATTACACTGAACCCCCTTAGGCACTCTCTAATTGGATGTCTTGGGACCACCCAATTCTTAGTCCTTTAATACCTGTTTTTCTCCTTCTCTTATTCGGGCCTTGTGTCTTCCGTTTAGTTTCTCAATTCATACAAAACTGCATCTAGGCCATCATCAATCATTCTATACAACAAATGCTCCTTCTAACAACCCTACGATATCACCCCTTACCATAAAATCTTTCTTCAGTTTAATCTCTCCCACTCTAGGTTCCCATGCTGCCCCTAATCCCACTCGAAACAGCCCTGGGAAACATCGCCCTTTCTCTCTCCATACCACCCCCAAGAATTTTCACTGCCTCAACACTTCACCACTATTTTATTTTGTTTTTCTTATTAATATAAGAAGACAGGAATGTCAGGCCTCTGAGCCCAAGCTAAGCCATCATATCCCCTGTGACCTGCCTTATAGTAAGTCTTGAAGTCAGGTAGTGTGACTCCTCCAATTTTGTTCTCCTTCTTTATTATTGTGACAGGTTTTTTTTTTTGTTTTTTTTTTTTTTTAGTATACTTTAAGTTCCGGGATTCATGTGCAGAACGTGCAGGTTTGTTACATAGGTATACTTGTGCCGTGGCAGTTTGCTGCACCCAACTACCCATCATCTACATTAGGTATTTCTTCTAATGCTATCCCTCCCCTAGCCCCACACCCCTGACAGGCCCCGGTGTGTGATGTTCCCCTCCCTGTGTCCAAATGTTCTCATTGTTCAACTCCCACTTATGAGTGAGAACATGCGGTGTTTGGTTTTCTGTTCCTGTGTCAGTTTGCTGAGAATGATGGTTTCCAGCTTCATCCATGTCTCTGCAAAGGACATAAACTCATCATTTTTTATGGCTGCATAGTATTCCATGGTGTATATGTGCCACATTTTCTTTTTCTTTCTTTTTTTTTTTCACAAGACAAAAATCCACTTCACATTTTCTTTATCCAGTCTATCACTGATGGGCATTTGGGTTGGTTCCAAGTCTTTTTTGCTATTGTGAATAGTGCTGCAATAAATATACATGTGCATGTGTCTTTGTAGTAGAATGATTTATAATCCTTTGGGTATATACCCAGTAATAGGATTGCTGGGTCAAATGGTATTTCTGGTTCTAGATCCTTGAGGAATTGCCACACTGTCTTCCACAATGGCTGAACTAATTTACACTCCCACCAACAGTGTAAAAGCATTCCTATTTCTCCACATCCCCTCCAGGATCTGTTGTTTCCTGATTTTTTAATGATCGCCATTCTAACTGGTATGAGATGGTATCTCATTATGGTTTTGATTTGCATTTCTCTAATGATCAGTGATGATGAGCTTTTTTTTTTTTTCATATATTTGTTGGCTGCATAAATGTCTTCTTTTGAGAAGTGCCTGTTCATATCCTTCACCCACTTTTTGATGGGACTGTTTGTTTTCTTCTCGTAAATTTGTTTATTTGTAGATTCTGGATATTAGCCCTTTGTCAGATGTATAGATTGCAAAAATTTTCTCCCATCCTGTAGGTTGCTTGCTGACTCCAGTGATAGTTTCTTTTGCTGTGCAGAAGTTCTTTAGTTTAATTAGATCCCAGTTGTCAATTTTGGCTTTTGTTGCAATTGCTTTTGGTGTTTTAGTCTTTGCCCATGTCTATGTCCTGAATGGGATTGTCTAGGTTTTCTTCTGGGTATTTAGGGTTTTAGGTCTTATGTTTAAGTCTTTAATCCATCTTGAGTTAATTTTTGTATAAGGTGTAAGAAAGGGGTCCAGTTTCTGTTTTCTGCATATGGCTAGCCAGTTTTCTCAACACCATTTATTAAATAGGGAATCCTTTCTCCATTGCTTGTTTTTGTCAGGTTTGTCAAAGAGCCGATGGTTGTAGATGTATGGCATTATTTCTGAGGCCTCTGTTCTGTTCCATTGGTCTATACATCTGTTTTGGTACCAGTACCATGCTGTTGTGGTTACTCTAGCCATGTAGTATAATTTGAAGTCAGGTAGCATGATGCCTCCAACTTTGTCCTTTTGCTTACGATTGTCTTGGCTATATGACTCTTCTTTGATTCCATATGAAATTTAAAGTAGATTTTTCTAATTCTGTGAAGAAAGTCAATGGCAACTTGATGGGATAGCATTGAATCTATAAACTACTTTGGGCAGTATGGCCATTTTCATGACATGGATTCTTCCTATCCATGAGCATGGAATGTTTTTCCATTTGTTAGTGTCCTCTCTTATTTCCTTGAGCAGTGGTTTGTAGTTCTCCTTGAAGAGGTCCTTCACATCCCTTCTAAGTTGTATTTCTAAGTATTTTATTCTCTTTGTAGCAACTGTGAGTGGGAGTTCACTCATGATTTGGCTCTCTGTTTGTCTATTGTTGGTGTACAGGAATGCTTGTGATTTTTGCACATCGATTTTGTATGCTGACACTTTGCTGAAGTTTCTTATCAGTTTAAGGAGATTTTGGGCTGAGACAGTGGGGTTTTCTAAATATACAGTCATGTCATCTGCAAACAGAGACAATTTGACTTTCTCTCTTCCTATTTGAATACACTTTCTTCTTTTCTCTTGCCTGATTGCCCTGGGCAGAATTTCTAATACTATGTTGAATAGGAGTGGTGAGAGAGGGCACCCTTGTCTTATGCCAGTTTTCAAAGAGAATGCTTCCAGATTTTGCCCATTCAGTATGATATTGGCTGTAGGTTTGTCATAAGTAGCTCTTATTATTTTGAGATCTATTCCATCAATACCAAGTTTATCGAGAGTTTTTAGCATGAAGGGGTGTTGAATTTTATCGAAGGCCTTTTCTGCATTTATCAAGATAATCATGTGGTTTTTGTCATTGGTTTTGTTTATGTGATGGATTACATTTATTGATTTGCATATGTTGAACCATCCTTGCATCCCAGGGATGAAGCTGACTTGATCATGGTGGATAAGCTTTTTGATGTGCTGCTGTATTCAGTTTGCCAGTATTTTATTGAGGATTTTCACATGATGTTCATAAAATGAGCTAGGGAGGAGTCCCTATTGTTTGGAATAGTTTCAGAAGGAACAGTACCAGCTCCTCTTTGTACCTCTGGTAGAATTCAGCTGTGACCCTGTCTGGTCCTGGGCTTTTTTTGGTTGGTAGGCTATTAATTACTGCCTCAATTTCAGAACTTGTTATTGGTCTATTCAGGGATTCAACTTCTTCCTGGTTTAGTCATGGTAGGATGTATGTGTCCAGAAATTTATCCATTTCTTCTAGAGTTTCTAGTTTATTTGCATAGAGGTGTTTATAGTATTGTCTGATGGTAGTTTATATTTCTGTGGGATCAGTGGTGATATCCCTTTTATCATTTTCTGTTGTGTCTATTTGATTCTTCTCTCTTTTCTTCTTTGTCTAAATAACATTCTATCTATTTTGTTACTTTTCAAAAAACAAGCTCCTGCATTCACTGATTTTTAAAGGGTTTTTTGTCTCTATCTCCTTCAGTTCTTCTCTGATCTTAGTTATTTCTTGTCTTCTGCTAGCTTTTGAATTTGTTTGCTCTTGCTTCTCTAGTTCTTTTAATTGTGATGTTAGGGTGCCAATTTTAGATCTTTCCCATTTTCTCCTGTGGGCATTTAGTGCTATAAATTTCCCTCTAAACACTGCTTTAGCTGTCCCAGAGATTCTGGTACTTTGTGTCTTTGTTCTCATTCGTTTCAAAGAACTTATTTATTTCTGTCTTAATTTCATTATTTACCCAGTAGTCATTCAGGAGAAGATTGTTCAGTTTCCATGTAGTTGTGCAGTTTTGAGTGAGTTTTTAAATTCTGAGTTCTAATTTGATGGCACTGTGGTCTGAGAGACTGTTATGATTTCCATTCTTTTGCATTTGCTGAGGAGTGTTTTACTTCCAATTACATGGTCAATTTTAGAATAAGTGCGATGTGGTGGCAAGAAGAATATATATGCTATTGATTCGGGGTGGAGAGTTCTGTAGATGTCTGTTAGTTCTGCTTGGTCCAGAGCTGCGTTCAAGTCCTGAATATCATTGTTAATTTTCTGTTTCATTGATCTAACATTGACAGTGGGGTGTTAAAGTCTCCCACTATTATTGTGTGGGAGTCTAAGTCTCTTTGTAGGTCTCTAAGAACTTGCTTTATGAATCTGGGTGCTCCTGTATTAGGTGCATATATATTTAGGACAGTTAGCTCTTCTTGTTGCATTGATCTCTTTACCATTATGTAATGCCCTTCTTTGTCTTTTTCGATCTTTGTTAGTTTAAAGTCTATTTTATCAGAGTCTAGGATTGCAACCCCTGTTGTTTTTTGCTTTCCATTTGCTTAGTATATCTTCCTCCATCCCTTTATTTTGAGCCTATGTGTGTCTTTGCACGTGAGATGGGTCTCCTGAATACAGCACACCAATGGGTCTTGACTCTTTATCCAATTTGCCAGTCTGTGGCTTTTAATTGGGACATTTAGCAAGTTTATTTTTAAGGCTAATATTTGTTACGTGGGAATTTGATCCTGCCATTATGACGCTAGCTGGTTATTTGCCCATTAGTTGATGCAGTTTTTGCTTAGTGTCAATGGTCTTTACAATTTGGTATGTTTTTTGCAGTGGCTGGTACCAATTTTTCCTTTCCATATTTAGTGCTTCCTTCAGGAGCTCTTGTAAGGCAGGCCTAGTGGTGACAAAATCTCTCAGCATTTGCTTGTCTGTAAATAATTTTATTTCTCCTTTGCCTATGAAGCTTAGTTTGGCTGGATATGAAATTCTGGGTTGAAAATTATTTTCTTTAAGAATGTTGAATATTGGCCCCCACTCTCTTCTGGCTTGTAGGGTTTCTGCAGAGATATCTGCTGTTAGTCTGATTGGCTTCCCTTTGTGGGTAATCTGACCTTTCTCTCTGGCAGCCCTTCACATTTTTTCTTTCTGGTGTTCTCTGTATTTCCTGAATTTGAATGTTGGCCTGTCTTGCTAGGTTGGGGAAGTTCTCCTGGATAATATCCTGAAGAGTGTTTTCCAACTTGATTCCATTCTCCCCATCACTTTTAGGTCCATCAATCAAATGTAGGTTTGGTCTTTTCACATAGTCCCATATTTCTTGGAAGCTTTGTTAGTTCCTTTTCATTCCTTTTTCTTTAACCTTGTCTTCATGCTTTATTTGATTAAGTTGATCTTCAATCTCTGATATCTTTTCTTCTGCTTGATCGATTCAGCTATTGATATGTGTGTACGCTTCACAAAGTTCTCGTGTTGTGTTTTTCAGCTCTATCATGTCATTTATGATCTTCTCTAAACTGGGTTTTCTAGTTAGCAATTTGTCTAACTGTTTTCAAAGTTCTTGGCTTCCTTGTATTGGGTTAGAACATGCTCCTTTAGCTCGGAAGAGTTTGTTATTACCCACCTTCTGAAGCCTATTTCTGTCAATTTGTCAAACTAATTCTCCATCCAGTTTTGTTCCCTTGCTGGCGACGAGTTGTGATCCTTTGGAGGAGGAGAGGTGTTCTGGTTTTGGAATTTTCAGCCTTTTTGTGCTGGTTTTTCCTCATCTTTGTGGATTTGTCTACCTTTGGTCTTTGATGTTAGTGACCTGCAGATGGGGTTTTTGTGTGGACATCCTTTTTATTGATGTTGATGCTATTCCTTTCTGTTTGTTAGTTTTCCTTCTAATATTCAGTCCCCTCTGCCGCAGGTCTGCTGGAGTTTGCTGGAGGTTCACTCCAGACCCTGTGTGCCTGGGGGAGGCTGCAGAACAGCAAAGATTGCTGCCTGTTCCTTCCTCTGGAAGCTTCTTTCCAGAGGGGCACCTGCCAGATGCCAGCTGGAGCTCTCCTGTATGAAGTGTCTGTCGACCCCTGCTGGGAGGTGTCTCCCATTCAGCAGGCACGAGGGTCAGGGACCCACTTGAGGAGTCAGTCTGTCCCTTAGCAGAGCTCAAACGCTGTGCTAGGAGATACACTGCTCTCTTCAGAGCCTACAGGCAGGAACGTTTAAGTCTGCTGAAGCTGTGCCCATAGCTGCCCCTTCCCCCAGGTCTTCTGTCCCAGGGAGATGGGAATTTTATCTATAAGCCCCTGACTGGGGCTGCTGCCTTTCTTTCAGAGATGGCCTGCCCAGAGAGAAGGAATCTAGAGAGGCAGTGTGGCTACGGCAGCTTTGCGGTGCTGTGGTGGGCTCTGCCCAGTTCGAACTTCCTGGTAGCTTTATTTACACCGTGAGGGGGAAAACTGCCTACTCAAGCCTCAGTAATGGCAGATGCTCCTTCTCCCACCAAGCTCGAGTGTCCCAGGCCAACTTCAGACTGCTGTGCTGGCAGTGAGAATTTCAAGCCAGTGGATCTTAGCTTGCTGGGCTTTGTGGGGGTGAGATCTGCTAAATTAGACCACTTGGCTCTCTGGCTTCAGCCCCCTTTCCAGGGGAGCAAACACTTCTCTCTCACTGGTGTTCCAGGTGCCACTGGGGGTATGAAAAAAAACTCCTGCAACTAGCTCAGTTTCTGCCCAAATAGCCGCCCAGTTTTGTGCTTGAAACCCAGAGCCCAGGTAGTGTAGGCACCCGAGGGAATCTCCTGGTCTGCGCGTTGCAAAGACTGTGGGAAAAGCATAGTATCTGGGCCAGAATGTACCATTCATCACGGCACAGTCTTTCACAGCTTCCCTTAGTGAGGGGAGGGAGTTCCCCAAACCCTTTCGCTTCCTGGGTAAGGCGATGCCCTACCCTGCTTCTGCTCGCCCTCTGTGGGCTGCCCCCACTGTCTAACCAGTCCCAGTGAGATGAGCCAGGTACCTCAGTTGGAAATGCAGAAATTACTTGCCTTCTGCGTTGATCTTGCTAGGAACTGCAGACCAGAGCTGTTCTTATTCAGCCGTCTTGCCCAGGTCCTGGGCATTTTTTTTTTCTAGCTTCCCAAATGACTCCAATGTGTAGCCAAGGGTAAGAATCACTGCCTTGGAGACAGCTGGGAATAGAAATAAGAACATAGATTTTAAAGTCAAGCAGCCCTTTGTTCAAATTCATGGTCTGTGTTTCAAGCCATTTGAATTATTGGGGCTTTAGTTTCATGTTCAGAAAATGGAAGATTAAAGGGCTTACTCAGGGTGTTTTGTCAAAGCGACATTTTGGAAGAACCCAACGGAAGGATGAGCATGTAGCAACTGCCCAGTCAAGACAAGTTCTCTTTCCTCTACTTTGAGTGCTTTCTTGACTGTTTTCTTAGTGTACTCTGCTTTGACCAAATATTATGAAAGATTGGCATAATTATTACCATGAAATATCTCTCCATAGATGCATGAACACACAAAATGGGTTATAATCCAGCATTTTGCTTCTCCTAGAAAATGGCTGCATAGATTAAAGAAATAAGCTTGTTTGACATTTTTTTTTTTTGGAAGGGAGTGATTCATGTTAAGCCCAGGGGACTTAACTGGTCTATTTTTATTAATGATTTGAGGAAGGGAATAATCTGACTACATGAAAACATTAATAGGAGAATAAGAAGCAAATAGCACAAGTGATTTTTAAAAATAAGGGTGAAGACAGTATTTGCTTTTTAAAATAAGGCAAGCAGCAAAATGATCAGGAAGGACATATTTGAAGCAATGATGGATTGCTATGACTATAACTCTGTACTTTTTTATTTGAACCATTATATTAGCACACATTTACATAAAGAAAATTATTAGGTAAAAAGTACAGTTTAAAGATTTTTGTATAAATGCCGTCTTGCTTTCTAAAAACTAATCCTTTGCTCTACAGAGTAAAAAATTACATCTACGAGCAAGCAAACAACAATAAAACACAAAGTCAGAAAAGGCAAAAAGAGAACTAACACTCATCAAGTTACTTGCTCCAGGTTTCATGTTAGGAATTACATACATTTAAATTACTTAATCCTATGACAAATTTAATACCATTCTCACTTCACAAAATCTCAGAAAAGCTAAATAACTTGCCATGAGGCATACCTTTAACATGGCATGGCCAGGACGCTTCCCAACTGTGCCACAAATCCAGGCATTCCATTCCCATTCCAGGATTCGTTCTGCTATAATGCTCTGGTTCTTTCATTTCTGAAGAGGAAAAAGAGTGTGGGGTCACAAAAATATCTTCAAAGTTTCTATATATCTTATTTTTTCATTTTTATTTTTAAAATGGATTACCTATTGAAATGATAAAATTTTGGAGACATAAAACTTTCAACTTTGGTTACGAAGTACACTAATAAAATTTTCAGCAATTTCTTTTTGTTTTTTATTTTTAAATTTTTATTTTTTAAATTTTATTTTCTATTTTAGATTTAGGGGGTTTGTTACATGAGTATATTGTGTGATGCTGACATTTGGGTTTCTAATGATCGCCCAAGTAGCGAACACAGTACCCAATAGGTAGTTTTTCAGCCCTTGCTCCTCTCCTTCCCTCTCTCCCTCCCCACTTTTGGAATTCTCACTGGGGATTCTATACATTTTATAAACTGAATTTTAAATCCTGCTTATTTTCCTGTATGGATATCCCAAAAATTCTGGTTCTAAGCAGTTATGAGAGGAAAGAAATCTGTCATTACTTGCAGGACACAGGCACGCACACTTTCACAATGATGCCCCAAGACAGTAAACTCCTGTCGCATCTCCTCAGCTGTCATTAGTGAATCCCAGAGGCCTCCATTCTGCTTTCAAATGATCTGCCAGCCCAGCAGCAATGGCCATAATGAGACTCAGCCGCAGCGTAAGAGATGCTGGCTTCTCACAGGACCGTGGGACCAGGCCCACCTGTGCCTCTCCCTCAGCCACAAGCATTAAGCCCAGACAAATTCCTCACAACAAAACTGAAGACAAAACGCAAATGAAAATATCAGGAGGTCAGAACTGGTCACAGAAAGCATGGAAGAACCCAGTTAAAAGTTGCTGTTTCCCAGCTTCCCTTATGACAGGTACTTTTGTGCATAACCCCGCTTCATTTCCCTGAGGCGAGGTGATGAGACATAGACCAACAGCATGGAAGACGCAGCTCTAAGAAAGGAGCTGTTAGAGAACTCACAGCAGCTAGCAGGTGTGAAGCAATGCAGGAGGAATTAAAGATACTCTAAGAGAAAACAACCTTCTGTCATGTAAACTAAGAGGGAATGGGGAATTGGTGACTTAAATTTTATGATATTTTATTCACAATAGAGCTGAATGGCATTACCCTCATACGCATGCTGGGAATTCCGGGTGGGGTGATTTGTAAGTCATTTGTCTAGGATCTGACTGTCCATCTGGAAAGCCAGAAATTTAGCTTTGTCCACCTCTTCAGAGCTACTCATGTTCTCCAAAACTTTCATGCTAGCTGACTTATAAGATCCTACAACACATACTAAAATGCTCAGGTTTTTGTTTTCAATTTATAATATTCTTGTTTTTATTTTAATAGGACAGAATTTTCTATTAGTTATTACACTCACATCAGGATACCATCCTAATAGCAGCTAGCTCTTGCTGTGTAACAGCCACGCAAAACTCAGAGACTTTTTTTGTACTTTAATGGATGCAAATCAGAGACTTAAAACAAGGTATCATTTGTTTTTTACTCACGTATCTAAGAGCAGCTGGAAAATGTTGACAATCTGAGCCAGGTTCAGTTAATCTCTCCTGGGCTTTCTCAGGCCTTTATGGTCAGCCAGTGGTTGGACTACAGGCTGGCTGATCAAAGAAGGCCCCACATACGTGTCTGGTGTTGCTTGGCCATCATCCAGAGTAACAGGAGTCAACAGGCCTCATTTCTCATCACTGAACAGGTTGGCCTGAGTATGACCCCATGGTGGTTGTGCAGGGTTCAGAGAGAGAGAGAGTTAAGCATTCAAGGCCTCTTGACGCCTAGGCTTAGAACTGACACACTATTCTTAGTTACTCCATCTTGAATAGGGGCTAGGTAAAGTGAGTAACTCCATCTTGAATAGGGGCCAGGTAAAGTGAGGATGAGACCTGCTGGGCTTCATTCCCAGGAGGTTAGGCATTCTTAGTCAAAGGATGCTATAGAAGGTTGGCAGGACGGGTACCACAAGATGCAGGTCATAAAGACCCCGCTGATAAAACAGGATGTGGTAAGGATTCCAGCAAAAACCCACCAAAACCAAGATGGGGATGAAAGTGACCTCTGGTCATCCTCACTGCTCATTATACATTAATTATAATATATTAGCATGATAAAAGACACTCCCATTAACGCCATGACAGTTTACAAATGTCATGACAATGTCTGAGCTACTGTATATAGTCTAAAAGGGGGAAGAACCCTCCGTTCCAGGAATTGCCTGCCCCTTTCTTGGAAAACTCATGAATAATCCACTCCTTGTTTAGCATATAATCAAGAAATAACCATAAATTTACTCAGTCAAGCAGCCCATGCCACTGCTCTGCCTACAGAGTAGCCATTCTTTTCTTTCTTAATAAACTTGCTTTCATTTTATGGACTCACCTCAAATTCTTTCTCGCACGAGTCTGGATTGGGAACTCTTTCTGGTAACACCATCACTTCCACCACATTCTATTGGCCAAAACAAATTACAAAGCCAGCCCAGGTTCAAGGGGGTGAAGAAATAGTTTCCATCCTCTGATGGGATGAGTTGCAAAGTCATATTGCATGTGGGCCTAGATACTGGGAGGGAAATAGTTACAGTTTTTAGGCATCAATCTATGACACTACCCATTCTCAGGCTCTTGGAAACTGAATTAATAAGCAGAGGTTGCTTGATGAATACAAAATCAAATATAATTGAATGATGCTCAGGGATTATTTCAACCAAGCGTCAAAAGAACTTAATGAGCACCCTTGCTCCAAAACTGGAATGTACCAGAATACCAGACTCACACTTTCTCTCTTTCTCTCTCTCTCTCTCTCTCTCTCACACACACACGAACACACACACGCACACACACACCTTACATGTCCCTTTGGAGATAATCTCTCAGTGTGGATTCCTTCTTCAGATGTCTGCCACTAAACTCTTCTACTATGCATTGCTTTTTGCTGGTTTTACTCTTAGGGTGACACCTGTTTTCACATAGTAGATTTACTTTCTGTGATCTGTATATCAATGACAATGTTTGTTTTTTAGTCAGTTATGGCTACTGAAATTGTTTCAGGAAGAAAGGAGGAAGACATTCTCTCCTTAACTACCACCTACCTCCTCAGGAGTATAAAGGCAGTGGCACTCCTGGAATCTGGAATAATAATCCCTCTTTTTTCTTTCATTCTTTATGACTATGATCAGGAATTTCTGGCTCAGTCAAATGGAAGAGCCCAATCTCTGTGGGCCATAGCTTTATTGCACAATTAGGAATGTTTCCTGAACTAATTTGAAACTGAAACCTGGTAATTTTGTGGAAATTCAAGGAGCCCAAAATCTGTTAGAATAAATTAACATTTTGGTTTTCCATATTGCTTTGGAATGAGTCATTCTGTAGAAATTAGTTTTCTAGGTCGCTATTTCATTACACAGTGCCCTCCTTATAAGATCCCAAGGGAGAAATTTCTCTCTGATCTCAGAATGGGAAATGCACGCTGCTTTCTAGTACTTAGAATGGTTTGGTGGTGACTCTTATTACAGATAATGAGGATCATGGACATAAGGGCATTGCCTTCTTTGCATTTCCTGCTGGACAGCTTAGCACCAAACCAGAGACCCATTTATAGCTGACTGACAGGCCTTTTTGGTGTGAATTTTAGATGTTAACCTTGTGCTAGCTTTGCCTTATCTTTCTTATTTCTATATACAATCTGTTCTGCTTCCTCATTCAAATATTTTTATATTTATATTTTTCTACTTAAGATACTTATTAAGCAGCCTTAAATATCCTTGGAACCTCAAAGAGAATAAATAAATTAAATATATAAATACTAACTTCACAATCATCTATTTTGGTGGAACCCTTACTTTTTGAATTCAGATACTAAAGCTGAGTTAATCACCCTTCTCAATGGTTTATTTCATAATCTTTGGTCCAACAAGATCTCTATCATTTTATTTATTTTCCCTTTATCCCACTCGAACCCCTCTGCTGCCCCAAGGCAATCATTCAAACTATGTCCTTTTGTTAGTAAGTGTTCTTATAAAGCATATAGTTTTATATAAACATGGACCTTAACTATATGCAAATGTCATTGTTATCTACCTCAACCTGTTTCTTTTTTCATCCAGCTTTCTGCTGAATAGTGTGAATCGAATGCATTTTGCCTCTCCACTCCCCACATTGCCTCTAGTTCCCCACCACCAAGAATAGCCTGCGATGACCAGCCTTAATCACAGGGAGAACACTTTTGAGAATGAAAGGGTGATATTAATAATTACACTAGGACAGCAGTTGTACACTATGACTGTCCCAGGCAAGTTAGGATGCGTCATCACCCTATTCCTATAGGGCCCTTGGAAACTCTTGGATAATTTTTTGTGATATGGTTTGGCTGTGTCCCCACCCAAATCTCATCTTGAATTGTAGTTTCCATAATCCCCATGTGTCATGGGAGGGACCCGGTGGAAGGTAATTGAATCATGAGGGCAGGTTTTCCCATGCTCTCATGATAGTGAATAAGGTTTTTCCATGTTCTTGTGATAGTGAATAAGTCTCATGAGATTTGATGGTTTCATAAAGGGCAGTTCCCCTGCACATGCTCTCTTGCCTGCCACCATGTAAGACATGCCTTTGCTCCTCCTTCACCTCCCACCATGATGCTGAGGCCTCCCCAGCCATGTGGAAGTGTGAATCCATTAAATTTCTTTTCTTTATAAATTATCCAGTCTTGGGTATGTCTTTATTAGCAGCATGAGAACAGACTAACACATTTTGTGGTATACATATGCAGGAATGGATTTGGCTTGCCAGGTCAGAAAGTATACATAGGTCTAATCTGCCCTTACCAATAGAGTCCTCTGTAGAATTTCTACACCAGTCTACAATCCCATCAGCGGTGTGTAAGCATTCCCATGGCCCCACATCCCTGTTAACACTTGGCATTATCCAGCTTCCTAATTTTCGCCAGTCTAATACATGTAAAGGAGTATCTCATTGTTTATTTTACATTTTTCTGTCATCTAAGTTTGAACAACTCTTTACAGTCTTGCTAGCTTTTTGTATTTTCTCTTCTCTGAAGTTTAACTCTTCATTATCTTTGCCCATTTTCCATTGATTTGTCAGAGATGAAATTTTTCTACAGTGAGTACATATTTCGTTGTCTTAAATGGTGCATAGCAAGCATAACTATACTTTCTTGAAGAACTAGGTCACATGATGATGATATAAGTAACAATGCTGTAATTATAAGATACTATAGACCACACCTGTAATCTCAGGACTTTGGGAGGTCAAGGTGGGTAGATCACTTGAGGTCAGGAGTTTGAGACCAGCCTGGCCAACATGGTGAAACCCCATCTCTATAAAAACACAAAAATTAGCAAGGTGTGGTAGCAAATGCTTGTAATCCCAGCTACTCGGGCAGCGGAGGCAGGAGAATCACTTGAACCCAGGAGGCAGAGGTTGCAGTGAACCAAGATCACGCCACTGCACTCCAGCCTGGGCAACAGAGTGAAACCATCTCAAAAATGAATAAATAAATAAAAAGATACTATAGAGTCTAGAGTTAAATGGGTAGCAACAAATCAACCTCTAGGAACACTTTTCACATTTAGCCATTTTTATCTTTCTCTTAAGATAAAATGAAAGATGCTCAGCTCTATGATCTACTAGATAGTATAACCTGGCTGTCTTTCCAGAAAATTATTCACTGAGTCAACAACTAAGGAAACCACATTCCAAAGGATTTCTTTAGACTCTAGCAAATTTTTTTAAATTGCAGCTATCAATGTCATCTGTCTTAGCAGCATCTTCCCAAGAAGCACAAAAAATAGATTATGGGTACTGCCAGTCAACTTTTTTTGTCTCTTTTATATAACTCACCCTGCTTAAGGATATGAGGGATGATTATTTTGCATCATTTAAAAGTTTGATTGGGGCTGGGCACCGTGGTTCATGCCTATAATCTCAGTCAGCACTTTGGGAGGCTGAGGCGGTTGGATCACTTGAGGTCAGGAGTTCGAGACCAGCCTGGCCAACATGGTGAAACCCCATCTCTACTAAAACTACAAAAATTAGCTGGGCGTGGTGGCAGACACCTATAATCCCAGCTACTTGGGAGTGTGAGGCAGGAGAATCACACGAACCTGGGAGGCAGAGGATGCAGTGAGCTGAGATCACACCACTGCACTCCAGCTTGGGCGACAGAACAAGACTCTGTCACAAAAAAAAAAAAAAAAAAAAAAAAAGTGTGATTGGGACTTCAATAGAGGGGTTTTACTTGAAAACCTATACATTTTTTATCCTTCAGGGAAAATAACACCTTTAAAGAGATGACAGTGGAACAAAGATGGAAAATAAGTTTATTTCACATAATACCAATCAAACTGACAATGCTTGCCCAGAATATTATGTTGAGAAAAATTCAGAAGCTGAGTGTAAACTCAGTAGGCAAGAAAGCCAAGATGGATTAATAATGTCTGCCACAGTCCTGTTGTTGGGTGTTAGTATGTATGTCATGTAATTGTTATTTCTACCTAAATAGACCCTCACTTTGTCTTTAATGTTTGACTATGAAAAAGAATTCTGGCATACGTATCCTTCAGCATTTCATCTTGAATGTTATGAGATTCAAAGCTCAGTATATTATTTACAGGATGAAGAAAAATGCTTCATGGTATCACCTCTTAACTTCATTTTCTTTTCTGGGAAATGCTTCATTAACAGTACAAGTCAATGACCGTGAAGCACTGAATACTTTCTATGTGCCTGGCACTGATGTGAGCACTTCGTTATCTATTACCTCATTTAAACTACACAGAATACCCATTTTACAGATAAAGGCACCAAGGCCCAAAGAGGTTAAACACCTTTTTAAGGTGCCAGTAAGTGAGGATTCAAACTCAGAAGTCTGACATTGTAATTATTGCTCTTAAATATTACATCATGTTGATGCCTATAAACACCTTATCAAAAATGAATGCTGTTTTTTGAGTAAGCTACTAATGAAAATGGTTCCCAATCCCTAGGCACTTGGGTACTGAGTGGGTACTCAGGTTCGAAGCTCATGGTACTGATGTGGAAATTAGAAAGACAATATATAGAACTAATTAGAAAAAAATGTTGCTTATCAATCCATTTGTTTCTGGAACATTCACAATGTTTATTTTATCATTCCCTGTGATGAGGTTTACAAAGATTATTTTATTTAATCATCAGGATCATCCTATGAAGTAATTATTCCTATTAAATGAATGAAGAAATGGAGGCAAGAGAAGTAGCTTGCCCCTAGATCACACAGCTGATGAATGATGGAGCCAGGATCCCAAGCTAGGTGGCCTGACTCTAGAAACCAAGTCTTTCTCTTTTCTTTTTTTTTTGAGATGGAGTTTCACTGTCATCACCCAGGCTAGAGTGCAATGGCACCATCTCGGCTCACTGCAACTTCTGCTCCAGGTTCAAGTGATTCTCCTGCCTCAGCCTCCCAAGTAGCTGGAATTACAGGTGTGTGCCACCATGCCCAGCTAATTTTTGTATTTTTAGTAGAGACGGAGTTTCACCATGTTGTCCAGGCTGGTCTCGAACTCCTGACCTCAGTCCACCCACCTCAGCCTCCCAAAGTGCTGGGATTACAGGGGTGAGCCACCACACCCGGCCTGAACCCAAGTCTTAAAAGTACTCTGTTACTCTCTACTCAAAATTTACAAAGCTTTACTTTAGGTTTACTCCAGTTTAGATACAGGTAAATATCTGAAACTCACTTCAATTGCTTACCTCATCGTCCAGTTGGAAGCATCAAAACTTGCTGTGTAACACTTTGAATGCTTATTAAAAATCAATCAGTTACATCATTTCTACAAAATAGTTCAGGATAATGACTGTTCATAAATCAGGTACTTCTTTCCCTGCAAAAGTCACTGAATTCTTCAACTTTATGACTTCTACTTTTAAAAAAACTTGTTTTCCAACATGATGACCTCCTCTGATAGCACCAAGTCCCCTAGAGGAAAATACACATAGCTCAAACACCTGTGCTGCTCTTATAACCCTTTCTCTTCTGCAATTAACAGTGGGCCAGAGATAAAGGGGCGAACCTAAGATTTTTCCAATGGGCACAAGTTTGTCATAGATCCCATAGGATGGTTGCAGGGATGGTGCTAATTACTTTGCTGCTTGTAGGCATCTTACCAGCAACTCATATAACCCCAAGCATTATGATCTGTTCCTGTGAACCTGTGGAGAACTAACTGTGATTTTTCCAAAGCCAGAAAAAACAGAAGCAGGAGTTGAACCCAGATCTGTCTGGTATCCAAATCGAGGCTTTTCTCACTGTTTCAACGGACTCAAGATAGTGTTTGGTCTGTTATGGATATGCCTACGTAACAGTTTCCCACAATTCTTCTATAGGTGTCCTTCGCTATTGGAGCCTCAGAAAACCCCTTTTAAAGCCACATCTCTCTCCCGCTTAGCATTGTGAATGCTTCCTGAAAGAGTCTATTCTCTCAGCAGCTGGTGATATTTGATTTGACTAACACCCTGGGACCTATCACCAGACTTAAAGATGATGCCTAATTAACTGCTTACATTAAAGAGCTGGCACTTTCTGCATTTGGTTCACACTTCCAGCCTCAATCATGTTTTCGTTACAGTAATAATATTTACATGATTAGCAAATAGTCAATTCATACTCTGGTGTGGACCTAAGCTGTGTTTGGGACTTCCCAAAGCAGATGTCCTTGACAGGTGTAAAGATATAGGCTTTTTTCACAGTAAGAGTCATAAGCAAGATCTTCTGCTCATTTGTCAATGAAAAATTATGTTTGGATCAACAAATATTAGTTGAGCACTGACCTATTCTAAGTGCCAGTCATTATATTTCCAAGGCCCCCATACACCCTCACTAGTCATGTTAGACATCTCAGTTTTGTTATCCTTTTTCTTTCTTTCATTATATATTTCTTTTATATACAAATTTATCTATTTAGATGCATAGATTAGGAAAAGTCATTCTACATTAGACATTCAAAGTTTTAAAAGGCATTTACAAAGGTCTCTCAAGTGATTTTCATGCAAAAACCAGAAATACATAGCCTTAATGATACTACAATTAAGTAAGCTTGGGATGTTAAATGACCCCCAAGATGTGAAAGGACATTGAAGGAGCACAGAGAGTTTCACCCCAAAATATGGCTCCCTGATATAATGAATATTTTTAATTGGAAATCCTTTGAAATCAACAGGCCTTGGAAGAGACTTTTTCCCTGTCTTCATAAGGACTGGATGCAACCACCAAGATGAACAATTGCTTTTCCTTTCTTTCCTTGTAATCTTATCATCTATTTCAAGAAAGGAGAGGAAGAACGTAACCAGACCAGACCCAACCTTTTTACAAAACAATGTCTGTCTCTCAGGTTCATTCAACTTCCAAAGAGAACCACAAGTCAATCTGTCCACCACACACCCCCTCTGCAATCCACTCATTCTCCCAAGTCTCTATTCATTTTCGCCAGTAATCATTTAACGGCCCTCAACAGAATTACCTGTATTCTCGATGTTCCTTCCCCCTCGCCTCTAAAAGGTTATATAAGTGTTTGGGCCTCATTGGGAGATAGGGAAATCCTCTGATTCTCCCTGTGTGCATGATTAAATAAATTTGTATGCCTTTTCTCTTATTAATCTGCCTTACTATAAGTTGATTTTTCAGTGCACCCTCTGAGGGCAAGGGGGAAGATTCCCCTTGGCTCCAACAAGGTCAAACTAGAAAGAAGCAAAGTGCCACAGGGCTATTCTATGCTTTACTTACTTATTTAGTTATTTAGTTATTTATTTATTTTTGAGACACAGTCTCGCCCTGTCACCCAGGCTGGAGTGCAATGGCACGATCTCGGCTCACTGCAACCTCCATCTCCTGGGTTCAAGCGATTCTCCTGCCTCAGCCTCCCAAGTGGCTCCAATTACAGGCACATGCCATCACGCCTGGCTAATTTTTTGTATTTTTAGTAGAGACGGGGTTTCACCATGTTGGCCAGGCTGGTCTCAAACTCCTGACCTCATGATCCTCCCGCCTCGGCCTCCCAAAGTGCTGAGATTACAGGCATGAGCCACCACGCCCAGCCCTATACAATATTTTTAAATCAAGAATTTGGGTAATGATATAGAAAAGCAAGATTATGTCTTCTGGTAACAGGAATTTGGAAGGGAGAAGCCAGCATTTTGGATGACAAAGTTCTTGACAGACTGGACAATGGGTTGAATCATAATGTCATGAAATTTAGTAGGAACAAATGCCAAAAAACCACCAGCACAAGTACTAGACGGGGAAGATGTGGCTTCATGGCAGCAAGGCTGGAAAAAACTTGAGGACTGCACTTACACGAGACAAGCTTATATGAGACAATGGTGTGACGTATGGACCAAGTCCCTAATGCATCTGTTTGGCTGCACCTGTAGTGTACCAAGGCTTAGAATGGTGAGAGCTCTGCCCTCACTTTTGCTAGTCAGCTCACTCTTAGATATTACATTCTGTTCAGTTGTATGTAGGTTAACCAAAAATGATATTCTAATGAGAACACTTTTGAGAATGAAAGAGTTGCTAGTAATAATGAAGCTCAGAAAATAGCCATAAACTAAGATCCCTGGACACATGGGACCTATGCTAGCTAGTTATAAAAGATGTAGACAAGTTGGAGGATATTTGGAGGAGAGGCTCAAGGAAAGGAAAGTTCTCAAAGAAACAGACTATGATAAAATTAAAGGGGTGTTCAGCCTGGAGAAGAGTGGCCTGAGGTTTATAAGAAAGTATTTTTTTTTTTGAGATATTTAAAGGCAACAGGTGGAAGAGGGATAGGGCTTGTAAATTATGGGTCTTGAAGTGTAGAGAAAATTACAGCTTCTCAGGCCAGCCCAAGAGGAAGGGAATGAAAAGCCAGTCTCCAACCCTAGATGTTACAATTTTATAAAACAAATTTGGAGTGCTTAAAAGACACCAAATCTCCAAACTGCACCCCCACCGCAATTCCAATTCAATGATGACTATTTTCTGTTGTTGTTGTAACTGTCCCCAGGATGGACCGTGTGAAAGACTTTTTGAACATCAGCGTAATTACCACCATCAGTTCCTGTTCACATGCCTACTTACTTCTTCAAAAAAAATCTAATAAAATAATTCTTTCTTAATGAAACCCAGCCATTTTTCTTTTAAAAATGTTATTTCATTGTCTAAATATATGGTGGTTCCTCTCTCTTTTTAAGATCTTGATAGCTGGACTTTATAGAAGTTAGACACCCACAGGTTTGTGATTCACTGGGCCCCCTCTATAGTTTCACATATGCCTTTTTCAGGGAACTATTTGGACTTGAGAATCTTCTTCAATATTCTTCTCTGTAAAGACCAATGCAAATATCATGTTATACTGAACCTAAGACACCAGTGGTTGTAAGATGCACCACTATTATGTACCAGTAAGAGAGAATAAAATGCTGCCAATTAAACTCTATTCCAAATTTCTTCACAAGTAGAGTATCCAACTCCTCTGAGTCACTTTCAACTCAGAATTGAAATATTTGTTCCCATTTTTCATACGATATTGGTATCCATGTCATCAAGAACATTGAGAATCCAGCATTTATTTACAAAACATTCTAATATTATCTTTGAATCTTCTTCCAAGCAACTAACACTTGATCTAGAAGCTTTGATGTTGTTACTTTTTAAAAAATCTAACCAGCAGATGACAACAGTAGATTTACTTTTTTTTCCAGTAAACCAGGATTTACCTTTTCTTAGTTTGTTGACTGAAACTTTGAGGGGTTGAAGTTGACCAGTTATGCCATTGTGACTAACAACAAAATTTATACTGCATGGGCAATGACACAACATTCCAGTGCCACCAGGCCAACAGATGTCCGGGATGTTAAAATGTAAAGTATGATTGTATTAGATTTGACATAATATAATAACTCCTTTTGCATATCTGCCTTCTTGTCTTAGGTGATACCCTTACCTGATAATCTGAGCACTGCTTTCCTAGCTGACTGGGATAACCTTTATTAGCTCCTTTTTACTTTAGCTGAGCATCTTCTCAAATGCTCTACTGGGTTGTCCTTATTTCTATCTTATGTACAACCTACTCTACTTTGATAATATTCCTAATCCTTTCATTTCAACTAATTTTCCATTTTATGGTCATCAACTAATAGAAAACAAAACAAAAATGAAAAGGTCAACCAAGATTTTGCATCTCAAAAGAAGACACACTTCATCTCTCACTGTTTTAAAGAAGAGCTATACAGCTTTATGGTAAAGAGACAGTTCTTAGCCATGGCTGTGAGAAAAAATAATTTGTAGAGATACTTAAAATGTAGACTGCAGCGGGATTACATAAGACCCACTCACTCTGACTCTTGGAATGAAGGGTGAGGCTTTCAAAGAAGCAGACATTTATGCCTTTCAAAAAGTTCCACAGATTAATGTGACATGTCATCTAAGTTGCAAACCCTCAGGAAGATAAGGAAATCAGGCATTTTTCAGTTCATGTAGGGACAACTTTATTGGCACATATGAACGTAATTTTGAAATTAAGAGGGCTTAAGTCTAAGTGGGCTGCAAAAAACAAGCCACACTGACAGACCATGGTTGCATTCAAACCATGATATTCACACCATCCTGTACTCAACATGATTCAGCTAAGGGCTGTGAAGGATGCTGTGATGACCAGACATGGGAATGGGTATGGTGAAAGCATAGGCAGAAAACAAAGGATGAGATGTCCTTTTATCAACATCCCAACATCCCAGTTGATGCCTGGTCTGAAGAAACAGAGAAAGTCATCTTTTCCTCCATTCTTCAGCCATAGCTTTCCAGGGCCATTTCAGGGGCAAGATGACCTACAGCATAATTAAGAAATAGTTTCATGAATTGGGGATATCCTACAGCTTTAGAGTGGAGGGTGCTACTAATGAGGGCTTCTACTTGGAAAAAATTCAAATCCCTGCACCAAAGGGCTCAGAAGGCAAGTTTATGGCTATGGCAGAGCTCTGATATCCTCTCCTAATCATCTCCATTTTTAGCAAAAGTTCTTCTGAATTTTAGATAGACATTAAGATCCCCCACGTTGCCCGGGTAAAGTAGATAATTGGTGATTCTACTGTTAGCTCTATTGCCTTTTAATTGTGCCAGGGAATTCAGAATGCAGTACCTACTCCAAAGCCCAGATCACCTCTTGCTCACCTGTAGATCCAGGGACCTCTTGTTTGTGACCATGGAAGAGTGTAAGACTGATTGTCTCCTGTAAGCTTCTTTTCCTTCTGGGCCTAAAGCAGAGGCTGGAAGCAAGAATACCAAAAGCACAAATCATTGCAAATCAGTGCTGATGGCTGAAATAAATACTTATGCTGTTCTTTTACTTTTGCTACCATGTATTGAACAAACACTATGTGTCAGGCCCTTTATATACAGTCTCATTTATTCCTCACCACAACCGATGTAGACATCATTGTTCACCCCCATTTTACAAAGAAAAAACAGACTCAAGTTAGGCAACACCCCCAAGGTCACAGAACAAGTAAGTGCTGAATCCAGGAATTAATCTCAGATCTGATTCCAAAGTCAAAGGTCTCTCAAGCGTTGGATGTATTTGAAAGGCAGTGGGGAAAAAATAATATGTATTGATGGATGGATAGCAGGATGAGTAGATGGACAGATATGATAACATAAATATAATAAAGGGCATATTATAGAAGCTAGGTGGTCATTACATGGGTGTTCAATGAATGATTTTTTAAACTGTTTTGTATGTTTGAAAAACATTGAAATAAGTTAGGGATAAAGAAGAAAATTGTGAGGAATTCAAAGACATTGCCAATTAAACATTCTTGCAAGCATCTGTCTCATGTTTCACTAACTATGTGTTTTAGAATTTTAAGTTAATTTAGTTTGACAAACATGTGTTAAGGCTTTATTACGTAACAGGTGCCAAGATACCTGCCAGCCTAGGATGCTAAATTCATTGTAGGTGCTGGGGCTGCACAAGATGGAGCTCTTCTGGGGTTTACAAATTAGCAGCTGACAATACCATGACCAAAAACCTGCAATACAAAGCTGACTTGATAAAGGCCTATCATGGACTTGTGAGGTGCTAAAGGAGCATGAGGATGGATAAGATAATAATAGCTGAGAGGTTTGGAAAAGTGTCAGGGAACAGACAAAATTGAAATTGCGCCTTAGAAACTGGGGAAGATGTCAAAAGGACAGGAAGAGGAGCAGTATCTGAAGTAGGGGCTTTGGAGCAAAGGCACAGAGGTGGGACAGGACCTGCAAAGAATGCACAGGAAAAGAAGAGACTGTTGGAAAAGAAGGAAGGAAGCACTGGGCATTACCCACCACAATGTGGAACCAACTTTCACAAAGGAAATGTTTGATAATTATTAGAATTCTCTCAGATTTCACTTTGTGGAGCCTTTGTTTACTTTTCAGTAAAATGGGAATAATATCTGGTCTCACAGACACTGTTTAAAGGATTAAATGAGGGAAAATGGTGAAAGTTCCTAGGAGAGTGCCAGCCACGTGGTCAGCACTTAACTAAGCAATGCAGACTGAGCTACACCCACGAACCTGAGGCTGCACATAGACTAACTACATAGCAATAGTCAAGATTTGTGTTAGGCTGTAAGACAAATCTTGATTGCGAATTGTGTTACAATCCTGCTAAATTCCAGAAAGGAGGAGCTAAATAGTTTTGTCAGGTATGACTGATCTTTTAATTAACTTATTGATTGAATGACTGGTTTTACTTTGGGTTCAGGACTCAATCAACAAATTCAATTGTACAAGAAGTGAAACTTTATTTTTCTGTAACCACTTAACTATTTTGAGCCTATCTTCAGTGTTAGAACCTAATTTCCCTCAGTTCTGCACCTCCACCCCTTTCACTGAGTTCCAGGGGTCTTACATTGTACCAGAGCAATGGGTGGAGGGAATTATCTCTTTCCCCGTGTGATGCTATCTCAGCACCAGCCTTGGCTGATATGACCTTATTCCTGGTGGGTCTTCACCACTGAGCTGTTCCCCAGCATGAGACTCCTTCAGACATGGCACATTTTCTCTCAACTGTTGCCAAGCCCCTTGTTGGCACAGGAAACTTTATTGCACTGCTCAGGCCACAGGGGCACCAGGAAGCTCTGTGGGTCCTTCATTACTATTCTGGTGGGACTTTTGAGCACAGAAGACTCATTCTAACACTTGTGGGCTGTGCTGGGGTACACTCAGTTCTTTGAGGCTGGCTCAGAGCATCTGTCCCCTGGATACCACTCAGCCATTTCTGTTCTGGGGTTTTGCAGTCTTCTTGAGCGCTACTTGGAGGTGATGACAACCCCAATCCATCTTCAGTTCTGTCATCCACAACCTTTTCCTCTAAGGAGCAGGGTAGAAAGTCTTTTTCTCAGAGGAGAGGGGAGCCACCAGCATCTAAGAGCTGTCTCTGCTTCCCCTTCCGCCTCCACCTTCCCTTCCCTCCTCCCCACCTCCCCACAGCATCTAACAGTTCCCTTTCCTCCCCTAGCTCTAGCACTGTCCTCACAGCATGCCTGGAAAACTTCAGGTCCTACAAGGGGTGGGAAGCCTTGCATCAATTCAGCTTAGTGTCTCTATGACAAGTTCCCTCAGGGTCTTGACTTTGGAAAATCAAAAGCCTTTTTTTCCTGCTCTCTGGTGAAACTTCTTTTTTTCCTGATAGAACAAATGATACCTAAATGGGTTTGGGGGAGGATGCAGAGGCAACAGGAGCTGCCAGAAGAGGAAAATCAGTTAATATATTTTAATATATTTAAAATATTCTGCCAGTATTCTCCTCATCCCTTTAAATTGACTTCATCCCTTGAACAAGGGAGGACATTTTTCCTCCTAGTTCTTACGTCTCAGAATTTCAGTTCCAGGTGACCTGCTGTAGGCTGGGCTGCAGTGGCACTAGGTGACCCTAATACTTAAAGAAGATGAATCACACTTCTTGAAAGCTGCCTCACCCTTAGAGTTATGGCCGACTCCCTGCAAGTTTCTTCAAGAAATTCAGCTGATGGCTCCCCAAGCTGCTAATCACCAAAGTGCATGATACTTTAGAAATAACACTTGATTTCTAGTATTTGTATGGCTGGTGTACCTACTGTACAGTCTTTGAAAAATTATAACAGAAGATTCTTTAGTCGGGGCTATGCACTTCACAAGCTTCACTTGCTAATAATCACAACAGGGAATTAAGTATTGCTCATACTACCACCTGTTCACGTACGGCTTCTTTCTTGCCTTGCTGGTAAGATTTCTGCTCCTCCTCATCCTTTAAGGCATGTCTTTAGCTTGATACTGGAGTCATTTCTTTGGTTTCAGTTACCCTTTCTGGTTCATATGATAGTCTTCTATATCAAGCTTGGAGCCTGAAAGAGAAGTAACTTGTCAGTTAAAAAAAAAAAAAAAAAAAAAGATAAATGCCAAAGATCAGGATGTTTGAGAAAAAAAAAATATTAACTTGGTTCTTTTCTTCCCTAATTACTCCCCCCAAACAAGACCCCAAGGAGTTTCATTTCTAAAACATAACTCTCTATATTAAGAAGACCCCCAGTTCAGGTTGATAAATACCCATAGGGCCTATCTCTCACCATGAACCTGCACAGGCAAGGGCAGAAAACTCTCTCTCCATTAAGTACTAAGAAACTTTCCTTGTCACAAATTAAAGTCCTCTCCAGTGGCCAAGGATTTATCAGCAACCTTGTTCGTAATGATCATCTTATGAATGGTGATTAAGAAAAATAAATCACTTCCTCTTGCTAATAAATTGCTCCAATTGCTTCAAAATGGCAGACTTTCTGCTGAAATGACCCTCCCCTGGGCCAATAATAATATTCCTAGAGAAAAACTGGGGAAGTAAGGGGTTGAAGTGGGGTGGGGCCCATATTTCCAGCATCTGAAGGGAAACAGCAACACATGGCTTCATCACCTGACCTATATTCTTCAACAGTCCCTAGAAGAAATGTTGACCTCAGATGAGCTGAGATTTTGTTCATCTTCACCCATCCAAAGAGTTACACCTTAATTATTCAGTTGAACTTGTATTATTTAGTAAACAAGAATATAAACGCCCAAGATTTGGTGTTTTATCAATTACAGCCTTTGTCTTCTGAATTCTGTACAAAATACACAGACATTTCGCTCCTAACATCCTCCCTCAAAATAAAGCACATGCTTAAAAAAAAAAATCACCTAAGCAGACTTTTTCCAAGAAGCACATATAGTACTTTTTATTCAAGGCAACATGCAGACCTGTTAAACATTTTTTTTTTAATTTTTTTAAGTTTGCAGTCTTCTCTGAAGACTTCAATAAAGCAAAGGGAGCTCATATGCCTCACCCAGTCTGCCTGACTTAAAGTAGTGTGAGGCAAGAATCATCCACATGTAGAGTTAAACAATGAAATTTTCCAAGTATATACATGCTGTGAGAATCAATAACCTCTTCTCAAACCAGCAAATTGGTTTCAAGTATTCGGTTCACTGGTTACATCCAACAGCCACAATAAGAGGCCACCTTCCGAGTGAAAGGGAAGGTGAAGATGAATTCTTGAAAAATGCGTTCTCATCAGAATTCCTGTGCTTCTTACTGCATGGAGGGTATTTGTAAAACTCTTCAGAAAGAACACTGAGTTTAATTTCAGGCAATCTTTTTTGTTGATTTTTTTTCACTAACTTTAATTTTCTTATGTGAACTGTGATATACAAAGGCAATCACTTTCGGAGTAAAATTAAGAATGGCAAAAGTAATTTTACAAAAACTTCTATAGAAATAACATTGTTCAATTAAGTTTATAGAGTATGCCCAAAAGAAAAATATAAGAATATTCACATGAAGAAATATTAATCTAGTGCTCCAAAGACCAGAATATGTACTCCAGGGGCGTCAGGGGCAGGAACCATGAAACAGAGATAAAAGTTGCTTTTTGAGATTTTTCTCGCCTTAGCCCTGAATGCTGCATGCTCTGAAAGAATCCAGTTATGGGAACACAAATTACCTCATCCTCAGTTTCACTTTAAAATAAAATAAATAGGTTACATTTTCTTTTTTTCTTTCTTTTTTTTTTTCTTTTTATGAGATAGAATTTTGCTCTTGTCACCCAGGCTGGAGTGCAATGATGCGATCTCAGCTCACTGCAACCTCTGCCTCCCGGGTTCAAGCAATTCTCCTGCCTCAGCCTCCTGAGTAGCTGGGACTACAGGCACCTGCCACCAGGCCTGGCTGATTTTTGTATTTTTTTTTAGTAGAGGCAGGGTTTCCCCACATTGGCCAGGCTGGTGTGGAACTCCTGACCTCAGGTGACCCGCCCGCCTCGGCTTCCCAAAGTGCTGGGATTACAGGCATGAGCCACCTTGCCTTGCCACAGGTTAGATTTTCAAGTGTTATTAAGTTGCTTACACAAATTTAAAGTCATGAGCATGACTTTAGGATCTGTGCTTTTTATGTCAAGTGCTCCTCTTTCTCGGAATTTTAACAATAAAGTTTTTTTCAGAGTGCTGTGCAGTATCTCATTTCATGAAAATAACTCATGGCATAATTTGATGTTTTCTCGATCTTAGATTTCTCTTTGCAGCCAGGCTATTCTTTCTAAAATAAAACTGATATTCTCTAGAAAGGTTTGCCTGACGCAATTGGCATTTCTACTGAGCTATGTTCTGGGAATATTTGTCAGAAAATCTGGTCATTGAAAGCAGAATTGTCTGTGTCCTTCATTCCCAGGCAAATAACCTGTGTTTTCTCTCTTCCTCCTTCCTTCCTTCTCATTCCCTGAGGGCATCCACCCTTCTCTCCAGCAATCCATGTGTCATCACCTCCTCAAACTGCCTTTCCTCCCATGCTCTCAGAGGGCTTCTGCACTAATCCTTCTACCCTTGGAATCTCCTTTTCTTTTCTTCCTCTTGACATGGAATGTTAATACAGAAATTCTTGCAAAAATATGGCTACCTTTATAGTCTAGATAAAAGAAAAATCTTCCTCCAGCAGGGTAACTTGTGTTTTCTTTTTTTAAAATTTTTCTGGGGGGTTGTTTTTTTAAGTTCCAGGATACATGTGCAGGGTGTGCAGGTTTGTTACATAGGTAAACATGTGCCATGTGGTTTGCTGCATCCATCAACCTATCACCTAGGCATTAAACCCAGCATGCAGTAGCTATTTTTCCTGATGTTCTCCCTCCTGCTGCCATACACAATAGGCCCTGGTGTGTGTTGTTCCCCTCCCTGTCTCCATGTGTTCTCATCATTCAGCTCTCACTTATAAGTAAGAAAATGTGGTATTTGGTTTTCTGTTCCTGAGTTAGTTTGCTGAGGATGATGGTTCCCAGTTCCATCCATGTCCCTGCAAAGGACATGATCTCATTCCTTTTTATGGCTGCATAGTATTCCATGGTGCATATGTACCATGTTTTCTTTATCCAGTCTATCATTGATGGGCATTTGGGTTGGTTAATGGGATCTAATTAAATGGGATCATTGATGGGCAATTGGGTTGATTCCATGTCTTTGCTACTGTGAATAGTGCTGCAGTGAACATAGTGTGCATGTATCTTCATAACAGAATGATTTATGTTCCTTTGCGCATATACCCAGTAATGGGATTGCTGGGTCAATGATATTTCTGGTTCTAGATCTTTGAGGAATTGCCACACTGTCTTCTAAATTTACATTCCCATCAATAGTGTAAAAGCAATCCTATTTCCCTGCAACCTCGCCAGCATCTGTTGTTTCTTGACTTAATAATCGTCATTCTGACTGGCATGAGATGGCATCCCATTGTGGTTTTGATTTGCATTTCTCTAATGATCAGTGTTGTTGAGCTTTTTTCATATGTTTGTTGGTGGCAGAAATGTCTTCTTTTGAGAAGTGTCTGTTCATGCTCTTTGCCCACTTTTTAGTGGGGTTGTTTTTTTTCTGGTAAATTTGTTTAAGTTTCTTGTAGACCCTGGATATTAGCTCTTTGTCAGATGGATAGACTGCAAAAATTTTCTCCCATTCTGTAGGATGTCTGTTCACTCTGATGCTCGTTTCTTTTGCTGTGCAGAAGCTGTTTAGTTTAATTAGATCCCATTTGTCAAATACTTGCTTTTGGTGCAATTGCTTTTGGCGTTTTTGTCATAAAATCTTTGCCAGTGCCTATGTCCTGAGTGGTATTGCCTTGGTTTTCTTCTAGGATTTTTGTAGTTTTGAGTTCTACATTTAAGTCTTTAATCCATCTTGAATTAATTTTTGTATAAGGTGTAAGGAAGGGGTCCAGTTTCAATTTTCTGCAGATGGCTAGCCAGTTCTCCCAGCACCATTTGTTAAATAGGGAATCGTTTCTCCATTGCTTGTTTTTGTCAGGTTTGTCAAAAATCAGATACTCGTAGATGTGCAGTCTTACTTCTGAGATCTCTATCTTGTTCCATTGGTGTATGTGTCTGTTTTTGTACCAGTACCATGCTGTTTTGGTTGCTGTAACCTGTAGCATAGTTTGGAGTTGGGTAGCGTAATGCCAGCTTTGTTCTGTTTGCTTAAGATTGTCTTGGCTATACAGGCTCTTTTTTGGTTCTGTATAAATTTTAAAATAGTTTTTTTCTAATTCTGTGAAGAATGTCAATGATGGTTTAATGGGAATAGCATTGATTCTGTAAATTACTTTGGACAGTATTTTCTACTTAAGTGCACATACCTTCAAAGGGACATATATAGAAGAAAAGGAAAAGGGACCTATCCTAGCCAGCATATCACAGGGCTCATGAGCAGCTTCTTCCTTTGAATGGTCCCTGGGCTCTCCTCCATTCCCATCACTCTGGCCCATCCCACACTCACTACTAGAATTGCAGACCTCAGAACATGTCTTGATGACATCTTTCATCTCTGAAGCTCTGGAAATTGCTAGTAATTGGAATTCTCTTTCCCTTCATAGCCTCCAAGTCCTTCTCAAAGGTCATAGGGACTTAGTAAATGTTAGGGTTTAAAACTACTATTTTAGGGACACCTCATCCATTCAACAGGCCTTTATGGACTGACCTAGAAGTACTACTAACACTAATTATATTTTATTTACTGATAACCTTAAACCCTTATTTGTTAAAGGAATTTTAGCATTATTAATAGGACTGTTGATGACAAGCCTAGCACCTAAGAAAAACTATGAGTTAGAACCAACTGAATTATACACCTAATCTCTGATAAAGAGTATATAAGTTGAAGGCTCCTCCTTGTGTGTTTGCTTGCTTTTCACATTTTTTACCTTTCTGCATATTTATTTATTCAACAAATATTTGATAATCCCCTGCTACACATTCTATTAGGTGCTATGACTAAAACAATAGGCTAAAGCAGAGAGCTCCTGCCCTTGTGGAGCTTACAGTCTAGTAGAATAGACAGACAACCAAATACTGCGGGAGTGGGGAGAAAAGCTGCTACAAAAACAAATGATTAAAAGGATGGGTACACAGTGCTATACTAAGAATAATCAGTCTAGTCAGAGAGGCCAAGGAAAGCTGAGTAAAGGTGGCAGAAAAGAATGTTCCAGGAGGAATAACATGCGCAAAAGCCCCATAGCAAAGGCAGCTTGGCAAGGCAAGGGCCTGAGGAGAAGTTGATGTTGGCTGGGTGCGGTGGCTCACACACATCATCTCAGCATTTCGGGAGGCTGAGGTGAGCGGATTGCTTTAGCCCAAGAGTTCAAGGCTAGCCTGGGCAACACAGTGAGACTCCATCTTTACCAAAAAAGAAAAAAAAAATTACCCAAGCATGGTGGCACATGCCTGTGGCACATGCCAGCTACTGAGGAAGCTGAGGAGGGAAAATTGCTTGATTCTGGGGAGTCGAGGCTGCAGTGAGCCATGATCACACCACTGCACTCCAGCCTGAGCAACAGAGAGACCCTGTCTAACAAGAAAAAAAGAAGCTGATAATCAGGAACATATATAAGCAGTGGAGTGGGGTGCATGATGAGGTTGCACAGGCTGAACTTTATGGGGCTTTATGAGGAAGAGTGAAGGAAGCCACTAAAATTACCTGAAAAACTTTTGACAGGATCAGTTAGGAACTTTAGATCAGCTCTATAGTCACAGCATAGAGAACCATTGGTGGCAAGAGCAGCTGTCCACCATCTACGTCTTGAAGGCCATTGCTGGAGTTCTCATGAGAAATAAAGGTCACTTAGACTAGAGTGGATGGAAACAGACTCAAGATAATGGTAGATGGGGAAACTCACAGGATCTGGTGGTGGGTTGGATAAGAGGGCTGAAGCTCAAGAAGCATGGTCAAATGATGCTTAGGTTTCTGATGGATCCTAGTTTAACTATTTGGTGCTTTGCTCCGTCGTTGGCTGTTGCCTATGGTTTTTAAGCATGAAATATTTTTTTCTTCATGCTCCTACTCCATCTTGAAGGGAAAATTCTCTATTGCTTCAAACCTAACAATGCAGAGAGTCCCTCAGCATTATTCCACCAAATTCCCCAAATAAGATTCCCAAACAATTTGTTTCTAATATTTTAAGTAAGTTTGATCTCTCCCCCGTATATATTATTTCTGTCTAGTATAATATCCTTCATTGAAATGGGAAATCAGAAAGTGTGATATAGTGGTGAAAGATTTTTTGCTACAAGTCATTGAAATCAACTTGAACTAACTTTGACACTAAAGAGAATTTATTACAAGAATATGAGAGTGTCTCATGCAATCAAATGCAGAAATGCAAGCAAAACATAGGAGTAGGAGGGAATCCCTCAGATTCTCTCTCCATATTATCTGTTCTTCTCTGTATGGTGGCTTCAGTCTCATCTTGGAAGGCTGGTTTTCTCCGCACTTAAATCCACAAGATTGCCCCATAATAGCTCCTGTGTTTATATGCTCTGGTTTTAACCACAAGGACTGACCTTGTGGTTTGTTTGTCCTCAGTGTCTCAAGGATGGAAATGTAGCCTAGCTATGGGTCAGGTGTTCACCATCACTTAACTCTGGCTGGGGGATGAGTGGATACAAGAGTTCAAGGAAGAACTAGCCAACACCAATTCTGAGTTTTGAGAGAAGGGAGAATTGTTATAAACTTGACAGGCCACATGGAGAAGGAGGGAAACAATAGCTCCTTTGCTTCAGTGAACATGTGTTAAGCACCAACCGTGCTCCAGGGCCAGGCTAGGCTTGTGGATATAAAAACAAGTACAAAAACTTCTACTTTCAAGGAACGTAACATGCAGCACTGACCGTGAACACACCTGTAAAGCAAGGCTTATTCTTATCCCCTCATTGTCAGTGTGGGGAAGAGGCAATTAAAAGGAATACAGAGCATAAGGGTAGGCAACGAAGTCCCGAGAAAGCAGTCCAAATCAAGTACCGATAATAAGCAAAAGTAAAGAATTGGGACCCGTAAGAACTGCTGGAAGTTTGGGTGGCTGAGCTGACAAGAGTACGGTGTCTGTGTAGTTGATGTGGTAAGAAATGAGGCTGAAAATTTATACAGGAGCCTTTACTGAGGATTTATAAGTAAGGGGGAGGGATGAGTGAAGAACAAAGGGAATAGATACACACAGGCCAGGCAATAGAAAGATCCCTTCCAGACTTGTGGCTTGATTACCAGGTAGTTAACCTGCAGGCTATACATTTCCAATCTTCCCCAATGTGTGACATGCCTGTCACTTTGCAGATTTAGTTGTGTTTAATCTTTCCTTTTCAAACAATGCAGAAACAAGCTACATAGTTAATGTAGTGACTATGACCTACAAAAAAGAAAAGCTCATATTATTTCCTTCAGCTTCCTTATCCGGTACAATTTCCCTTCCATCCTTTATCCTCTCAAGCTCCTTGTTCCCTTTTATGATAAGTTTACATTCAGATTAGCTACCTCTCTAGAAAGCTTTTGTCTCCTTTTCAACTTCTTTTATTTCTGGCCTTACCAGTTTTTATTTTTGCATTTTCAGCACTCACTAAATTTCTATTCATTTCTCTGAGCTTTGCTGTCCATTTTAAATGCCTATAGCGTTTTAAATCAATAGTATTATTTTTCACTTTTCCATTGCTCTCTCAATATGATCTCAAAGTGCAGAACAGGAGATATTAAGCCAATTTTAATTGAATAAGTAATTTAAGCATCATTCTTAAAAAAACAAAAACACTTTTAGAATTCACTCCTCTTTTACTTAGAATATTTCCCCATAGGGATGAAAATTGGTTCTTAGGGGGCAAAAATATCTTAGCTATCACAGTGGGTTGTAATCCTCCAATCCTTAACCCTATCCAACTGCATAAACAGATATATACTATATCTGTTGTATAAAATTTCATGGGAAGAGGAGGCAATTTTTTTAAGTCTTAAAAGTCTCCTTAACGGGGCAATAATAAAAAGAAATAGAAAACACAGAAGAAAACAGGTTTAGCTCTAACTTATACTTACATAATGTATAAATATACAAAAGTTAAATGCAATCTTTCATTTGATTTCTACAAAAATCGAGGTGAATTGGCTATTTATTAACATCTTTCTCAACATGTAGATTGATTACCAGGAAGGTAACTTCCTAGTTGTGTGACTTTGATGGCAAATTCCCCTCCATCTATGATAACATAAAATACACATTTCTTTAAAGCAGGGATTCTCAGCTTCAGAACTACTGATATCTCGGGCAAGATAATTCTCTGTTGGGAGGGTGCATCCCTTGCACCGTAGGATGTTCAGCACATCCCTAGCCTCTACACAGTACATGCCAGTAGGAACTTCCTATCACCAACTGATGGGACAACCAAAAATGTCTCCAGACATTGCCAAATGTCCCCCAGGTAGTGGGGTGGAAGAAAACACTCCTGATTTAGAACCACTGATTTACAGCCTACTTAAAAGAAAGATTACTGTTTTTAAATTCACACGCAGTTTCATAATAGCCCAAAGTTACTGAGCATTTACTATATACCAGGCACTTTATATGAATTGGCTCAATAATCCTCCCAACAACCCTGTGGGGCAGATACTAGTATCATGCCTATTTATGAATAAGAAAACCTAGGCCATAAGCATTGCAGTTTGTAAGTGGCAAAGCTGGGATATATGGGTACTTGTGTTGCATTTATATCACAAAGAAGTGCTTGAACTGTTGACTCAAATATAACTATTTTCATTTATACAAAATTATCTGCATCATGATTATGATTATGATGTTGACTTTAATTTAAACCCAGGTCTGAGAAATGAACCATCATGCTACACTATTGCTTTCAGAACTAAAATGTCCTCAGCTATTCTCCTCAATTCTATATGCTTAGTATAAACTATATGCTTAGTATAATTTCATTGTTGTAGAGATTACATATACTGTCACACATCCACAAATATATGCAGAAAAAGGCTGCAAATGCACATATCGATTTAACAGGATTTATCTATGGGAAGTAGGATAACGAACATTTCTAATTTTTATCTTTTTGCTTACCCATATTTTCAACCTTTGCTACAATGAATAAACTTTCAAAATTATAAAAGCAATAATTTTTAAAAAGATTTGATGAGTTAGGTGAATAAGGATAGAGTTTCGGGGGGTAGAGAAAAAAAATATTTTGTTAGATAAGTTCCCTAAATTTGCATTGCTTACACACTAACAGGAGTACCATGTCCACAGATGACTAGAAACTAGACCAGTGGTTCTTTGTTCTCTAATTTTCTACTGAGACTAAATAATACCCTTTTCCAAATTTTCAAGAAGAATTAAATTTAGGGACAACATTTAAAGTTTTGTCCCTGTATATTTTCTTTAAATCTTAGATATTTGCCTCTACTTGTTTCCAGAAAGACTACAAAAAGGCAAAATAAATAACTGAACTAGAAGCAAATAAGTATTTGGGAAAAACTTGGACATCTAAGTAGATTACTTAATTTGTAGGATTGGTAGTCATACAATAATATTATTTTCTTTTTGGATGATTGAATTAAAAACAAGTACTTCAGGACTTCCAAATACAGTGACAGCTAAACAAGGTTGAACTAGATTGAGTTCAAGGGCAGGCCCTGCACCTGATTTTTCTTTATAACTCCCATCAATTGGCATGCTGTGGAAGCCCATCATGATGTTAATGAATTTTAATGAATGAATACAATGAAGAAAGTGTTAATGTCTTAAGAAGAATAAGTAAAACAACTGACATGAGAACTGAGAGGACAGATGCCAGACTGAGTTGTGTGGACAGAGACTGGCTAGTTGTTCACCAAACAATATCTCCTTTCTCACCTGGAAATGCAGTTAGACAATATTCCCGGCATGCCCTGCATTTAGGTGTGGAAATGTGATCCGTTTACATCCATAGGAATGTGGGCAGAAGGCAAGAAACTACTTCTCGACCTGGCCCATAAAACCTACCAGCTGAAGAAAGAAGACCATGGGCACCTGGTGGAAGGTAGAGCCATGGAATGGAAGAAGCCCGAGTCCGTGAAACTCTGCCAAGATAGAAACTGCCCGACTGGGAACACCTACACTGGACCGTTCAGACACAAGAAAATAGGTATGTTATGCCTCTGGAATTTTGGAACTGTTTGTTACATCAGTTGTCTACCCTGACTAATACATTTGTTTCAACCTGAAACCACAAATGCTCAGAAACAACCCTGGAACTGGAAGCTTTTTCCATTCAGCGGATTTATAAAATCTCTAACTAATGCTGCCATCAATCTGTTTTGCCTCCGGAGACAGCAGTACCACTGTTATTGGGATAAAGGCAAGTGTGTGAATAAAGCACTTAAGGTCACAGCTGAACTTAGACTTATGGAATAAGAAAATTCCCTTGAACCAAATGTACTTAAAGAGGCCTGTCTTCATTTTCATGTACCTTTAAATACTACAGAGGGTTTGCTTGTTTTCATCATTGGCAGAAGATAAGCATTAGCAAGAAACATTGCCAGAAATACAGCAAGAACAAAAATGCATCTGGAAAAAATATGGAGAGGGGGTTGCCCAACAGACCCAGGGTATCATCCCATCCCATCTATGCCATCCCATTCCCAATGAACATTTACTGAGTACACCCATGTGAGTCAATGTACTTGTTACTGGAGATATAAAGATGAAAGAGGCAGCCCCTGCACTCAGGAAGCACCACGTGCAGGAGAAAGCATGTGCACAACCAACTCTATAGTGTGAAAATATTTCCAGGCTATTCAAATAGGCATAGTGGGACACTGAAGACCAAGTGCTCTACCTGGGATGATTTCACAGAAGCAAGTGGTTCTTAAGAGTCCCAAGTCTACCCTTGATAAAATAGCAACTTCTTTGCCTTTTCTCCTATTATACATAAATTAACAGCTTTGGCTGAACACTAGCTGATTATCCAGAGAAGATAATAAAAAAAAATAAAAAAAATGGAGGCTCCCTTATTATCAAGAATTTGAGCACATGCCACCTATTTATCTGTATTTGCTAGTCAACATCTGCTAATGCTATATAAATGCTAGAAAAAATAAAGAACTTACACCTTATTAAATTTACAATAAACATAAATTTACTGTATTTCTCCCTGTAGTCAACAAATATCTTGAGGGAGACACTTTGAGACTATGCAAATTTCTTTGTTCCTCAAACCTTTGCCCACTGCATCTGGCATACATTGGTGGATCCATCTACAACAATCACCACTGTGGAGGTGGCCTGGGGTAGTTTTCTCTCATTCGTTCCACATTTATTAATTGAAATTCTATGCAAAAAAAAGAGAGCTGCCACTTCTCCATATGCAATCAATCTTTATTCTCATGGATTACATATTTGAGAATTCACCTGCTTGCTAAAATTTATTTGTAACTCGAAAATCAATACTCATGTCATTTTCTCGGTCATTCACAGATGTGTGCAGAACAGCAAAAATTTGAGAACTCAATGTGCATGTTCCCAGCTGAAATCAAACAAGGTGATACTCTGCCTTTGTTTCAGCTCTCATCCTGTAAACAAGTGCCCTTTTTGCAGTCTATCGAGTGCCATATTTTTCATATTTTTGTGCGTTTTGTTGGTCATTTTGCTGTTTAAAATGCCCTCAAGCATAATGCTGATGTGCTGACTCGTATTCCTAAGTGCAAGAAGGCTATGACAGGCCTGCCAAGGAAAATAACATCCATTAGAGAAGCTTCATTCAGGCATGGGTTATGGCGCTGTTGGTGGTGAGTTCAATGTTAACGAATCAACAAAAAATATTAAATAAGGTGTTTTTAAACAGAAACACACATGAAGCAAGATTATCTATTGATTAGTTGACAATAGCTCACAGAAATCTAAACCTATGTTTCCCTTAAGAGCAATGGGTCAGTGTTCGCTAATTCAGTGTTCATAGTGACTTTATAAAACACAATTACCATGAATAATGAGAAGTGACTATATCTATTCAACCAATTATTTATTTGTGTCCCTATGAACTCATGGTTCATATTTATATTATTTTATAGACTACAATCCAGTACTATCATTATGTATTTTGTGGCTTAATTTTTTCCATCTTTGGCCATTTGAATAGCAACTTTATAGTGGAAAAGTCTAGTGGTGACCATTTCCACCAGGTGATCAATACCAGTATCACCAATAACAATACATGCTGACATCATGAAGGCCATGATTTGATGCACCTAGAAGGATGAGGCACCATTTCTATGGTAGTCTTGACAGGGATGCATAATCTCACTTCAATCATGAGAAGATTCCAAATGGCCCAAACTGATGAACTGATGTGCAGCAAAATAACAGATCAGTACCGTTCCAGTTGTCAGAATCATGAAAGACAAGGAAAGATGGAGAAGCTGTTGCACACGACAGGAGACCAGAGAGAAATAACAACTAAATGCCACATGGAATCCTGAGTGGCATATTGGAAACAACAACAACAAAGAGACATGAATGGGAACCTTCAAAGTGAAGTTCAACTGAAATCTTTAGTTTATGGTACTGTACAAATATTAATTTCCTTGTTGTGATAATTATACTATGGTATGTAAGATGTTAACAATGGAGTGGCACAAGGACATATAGAAACTCTCTGTACTGTTTCTGCAATTTTTTTTGAAAGTCTAAAAGTAGTTCAGAATTTTAACCATTGGGTCACCTTGCACACTCCTGGTTGCAGAATTTGTGGAAGGCAGCAGGGAGGAGGTGGGTGAGAAATTCAGTTTCGGAGACCATTAATTTAGTGAAGTGTTCCATCTTCCAGATAGTTTCTCTAAATCCAAAAAAAATGTGAGGAATAGTACAGTAAATAAATGCCCTCTATTTTAAGATATTACAGAAGGCTTAGTTGTTTCTAGGCAGGATACTTCACTTCTAGCCGGTGACCTTAGGCAAGCCATCATTTCAGTTTCCTCATCCATAAAATGAAGGGACTGAAAGAAATAATCTTATATCTCATATTCCTTAGAACATAAATTCTTATGATTCTAAATTAAACTTGTTATTCAGCATTTGAAATCAGGTTCTGCAAGAATACTCTTTTGGATGGTTATTTTTTCTGCTTTCTTAGTAAAAAGCAGCAGTATTGACATATTACAGAAAATCTAGTAAACAAATCATCATCGTTTGAGGAAATTCTGTGGCAGTGCTCCCTGAAGCTCATCTACAAGATAGATACAAATTACATACTCATAAACAATATAAACATACCTAAGAGATCAAGAATTATGCAGCTCTTTAAAAAGTATAAGTTACTAGGCCGGGCGCGGTGGCTCACGCCTGTAATCCCAGCACTTTGGGAGACCGAGGCAGGCAGATCACGAGGTCAGGAGATCGAGACCATCCTGGCTAACACGGTGAAACCCTGTCTCTACTGAAAATACAAAAAAATTATCCAGGCGTCGTGGCGGGCACCTGTAGTCCCAGCTACTCGGGAGGCTGAGGCAGGAGAATGGCGTGAACCCTGGAGGGGGAGCTTGCAGTGAGCCAAGACTGTGCCACTGCACTCCAGCCTGGGCAATTGAGCGAGACTCCGTCTCAAAAAAAAGAAAAAAAAAAGTATAAGTTGCTAAAACATTACATGGGAAAGCAGGTTATAAAAATGCACATATGCACATATATAACGATCCCAGATAAACATTTTCTCACCCAAATATTTTTAGATGGGGGTGTGGTAGAACTTCTAATAGTCTTGTTGACTGTTATTTTATGAGACATAAGTCATTGATATAAGAAAAACATATGCTATATACTGATAAAATGTAGCACTCAGAATAAACAATAAAATATCTATATACATTAATCGTCATCATATCATAATGGAAATCATAATTTTGTTGGACATTGTTAAATCAGCTGAGAACTTTAACTTCTGCCTATTTCATGAGTGATTCCATTGGGAAAATACTAGGAGGGTAGGATGAGAAATAAAGCAATGGATTTAATAGTGCTCAGTGTGTGATCACTTTACCAGGGTTTCAGAGGGAGGCAGGAGATGGGGAGATTGAATGTGAATCATTTGTGGGTTCATGAGACAATTTCTCTTCCTCCTTTTTTCATGTGACAAATCCATCAGTTTAGTTGAATAGTAAAGAAGGAAGGAGAAACAAGGTTAAAGACAAGGATGGAGTTCAGTTTGTGGCCTTTCGCATGGGTAGTAATTCTCTGCCTCATTTAGTAGAGGCAAGAAAGGTACTCTGTTAAGAATTATAAATTTAAATATTTTGAGCTATAATTAATACACATTAACTTATTTATTTAAAAGCTAATAACTCATTAGGTTTAAAATAATCCTCTAATCACTAATAAATTCAATTTAAATATTAAGATCTATTATTAATAAAACAAATATGGTGACCAAATTAGCATAGGATAAATATCATGGACTCTTGTCGTCCTTAATTAACTTGGTCAAATAATTTCATTCTCTGGGCTCTATTTCAGCATCTCTAGCATGGAAATAATGTAGGTTATATCACATTCGATTATAGTGAAGATTAAATTAAATAATGTACATAAAATGCTTAGCACAGTATCTAATAAATGCTCTATATGTATAAACTATTAGCATAAAGTAACTTTTAAACAGATAAATTATGTATGTATATGTATGCTTAATAAATGTGTGAAGAAGATGGGAAAGAAATATAGCAAAATATTAACAGTGGTTATGTATGGGCAGTAGGGTTATGGTACTTATGTTTTTATTTATTAGATTTCTTTATTTTGCCAAACTTCCTACAACAGACAGATGTTTCCTGTATAATGAAAAAATATATTGTTTTACAAACTAAGCTAAGTAAACAAGAACTGTAAACCCACAAATACATTTATTTATATCTTTTTAAAATTCTCAATGATCCATTATCTAATCATTTCTGACCCAGAGAAAAAGATAGATATTGACAGCGCATTTTCACTTTATCTTAATAGAAGTTGGGATGGGTTTACCAGGCATCTGCATAGACAGAAATGCAGGATAATAAAAAATTAATTGGGGAAAGATGAAGAGCAAAGGAAGAAGATCTCCAGGAAGAGGCCGAACTAGAAAAAAATGAAGAGACAGGAAAAGAACTAAGAAAGAGGGCATTGCCAAAATTCTCACAGACCAAAGAGAGGTTGCCAACAGAGCATCAGAAGAAAGAAAAGACCAGAGTTTACTGTGGAGTATTTTGTGCAAGAACCATCCATAGGAATTTTTAAAACTCTATTGGAGACTTTTGGACTCCAGGCCTACATGTATGGAGCTTGGAAGTTGCTATTCCACCTTAACAAACATTAAGCTGAACAAACTAAAACATCAAAAACTCTTCTTAAGTTTGAAAAAGAAGTGAGATCACAATTGCCACAAATAAATCAAATACCTGGTAATACAGCTAACAAGGGAAGTGAACGATCTCTACAAGGAAAACTACAAACCATGGCTCAAAGAAATCAGAGATGACACAAACAAATGAAAAAATTTCTCGTGCTCACGGATAGGAAGAGTCAATATTGTTAAAATGGCCGTACTGCCCAAAGCAATTTATAGATTCAATTCTATTCCCATTAAACTACCATTGACATTCTTCAGAGAACTAGAAAAACCTTTTTTTTGTTTTTGAGACAGAGTCTCACTCTGCCACCCAGGCTGGAGTGCAGTAGAACAATCTCGGCTCACTGCAACCTCCACCTTCTGGGTTCAAGTGATTCTTGTGCCTCAGCCTTCCAAGCAGCTGGGATTACAGGTGTGCACCACCATGCCCAGCTAACTTTTGTATTTTTAGTAGAGATGGGGTGTCACTGTGTTGGCCAAGCTGGTCTCAAACTCCTGGCCTTAAGTGATCTGCCCGCCTTGGCCTCCCAAAGTGCTGGAATTACAGGTGTGAGCCACCGCACCTGGCCCAAAACTGTTTTAAAATTCATATGGAACAAAAGAAGAGCCCAAATAGTCAAGGTAATCCTAAGGAAAAAAAAAAAAAAAGCTGGAGGCATCACACTACTCAACGTCAAACTATACTACAGGGTTACAGTAATCAAAACAGCATAGTACTGGTACAAGAATAGACACATAGACCACTGGAACAGAATAGAGAACCCAGAAATAAGACTGCACACCCACAACTATCTGATCTTTGATAAACCTGTCAAAAACAAGCAATGGGGAAAGAATTTCCTATTCAATAAATGGTGCTGGAAGAACTGGCTTAGCCATTAGCAGAAAATTGAAACTGGACCCTTTCCTTACACCACATAAAAAAATTAACCCAAGATGGATTAAAGACTTAAATATAAAACCTAAAACTATAAAAACCCTGGAAGACAACCTAGGCAATACCATCCAGGACATGGGCATGAGCAAATATTTCATGATAACACCAACAGCAATTGCAACAAAAGCAAAAATTGACAAATGGAATCTAATTAAACTAAAGAGCTTCTGCACAGCAAATGAAACTATCAATAGAGGAAACAGATAACCTACAGAATGGGAAAAAATTTTTGCAAACTATGTGTTGGGGTGATCAGACCCAACACCAGGTCGTGGGGGCGGCGAAGTCTGGTGGAGTCAAAGGATTGAGAAAAAGACAGTTTGAGAAGTAAAGTGGGACCAAAGGGCCATCGTGATTGTGGAGGCTGTGAAGGCCCTGAGCTCTGGGAGCCCACCCTATTTATTGGTAATCCAACAAAGAAACAGGTGGTGAGAATGTGGGGGTCAAAAGGGCGTGTTGCATTAAGCACATGATTTAGCATGTGACGGTTTAGCATTTGCTCTGCTACTTGAGATAATGGAGAGGAGGTTCTTTTAACTAAAGATACAATTGATCCCAGGAGAGCAAGGGGCAAGGAGCCAGCAAGTCTAGACACATTCCAGAGCCACAAGCCCTGGATTCTATCCAAGCCACAAGGGATTTTATGCCCTGGGCTTAGATTATGGTGAGTCAGGGTAGCCTTCCACCCTTTAGCACAGAGCTTGGTGTTCCAAAGGCCACAAGGTGTTTTAGACCCTGGACCCCGGACATGTTCCAAGACTCTTTTACATTATGTCAGACATGCAAGCCCTGCCTCAGCTTCTCCCAACACTCAGCTTTTCCCAACAACTATGCATCTGACAAAGGTCTAATATCCTGCATCTATAAGGAACTTAAACAAATTTATAAGAAAAAACAACCCCATTAAAAAGTAGGCAAAGAACATAGACACTTTTCAAAAAGAAGACATGCATACAGCAGCAAGCATATGAAAAGAAGCTCAGCATCACTGATCATTAGAGAAATGCAAATTGAAACCACAATGAGATACTATCACACACAAATCAGAATGGCTATTATTAAAAAGTCCAAAAATAATAGATGCTGGTGAGGTTGTAGAGAAATAGGAATGCTTTTCCACTCTTGGTGGTAATGTAAATTAGTTCAACCATTGTGAAAGAGTAGCGATTCCTCAAAGACCTAAAGACAGAAATATCATCTGACCCAGCAATCCCATCACTGGGTATATACCCAAAGGAATATAAATCATTCTATTATAAAGACATATGCATATGTATGTTCATTGCATTACTATTCACAATAACAAAGAAATAGAATCAACCCAAATGCCCATTAATGATAGACTGGATAAAGAAAATGTGGTACATATACCTCATGGAATACTATGCAGCCATAAAAAAGAATGAGATCATGTCCTTTGCAGGGGACATGGATGGAGCTGGAGGCATTATTCCTTAGCAAACTAACAGAGGAACAGAAAACCAAATATCGCATGTTGTCACTTATAAGTGGGAGCTGCGCAATGAGAACACAGGGACACATAGAGGGAAACAACATACACTGGGGCCTATCAGACGTGGGAATGGAGGAAAGAGGGGATCAGGAAAAATAACTAATGGATACTAGGTTCAATACCTGGTGATGAAATAATCTGTTCAACAACCAACCATGACACATGGTTACCTATGTAATAGACCTGTACATCCTGCACATGTATCCAGAACTTAAAAGTTTAAAAATAAAATTATTTCCTTTGTGTTGACTTTAGATCGCCTGATGACTATACACCTTGGTGTTATCTTTTTGCAATGAATCTCTCAGAAGTTCTTTGAGCTTCTTGTATTTGGATGTATAAATCTCTAGCAAAACAAGGAAAGTTTTCTTCAATTGTTCCCTCAGATAGGTTTTCCAAATTTTTGCTTTTTCTTTCCCTTCATGAACGCTAATTATTCTTAGGTTTGGCCATTTTACATAATTCCATATTTTTTGGAAACTTTGTTCATTTCTTTTTTTTGTTTATTTTTGTCTGATTGGTTTAATTCAAAAGCCTTGTCTTCAAGCTCTGAAATTCTCTCTTCTACTTGGTCTAGTCTGCTGTTAACACTTTCCACTGCATTTTGTAATTCTTTAAAGGTGTCTTTCATTTCCAGAAATTTTGATTGGTATTTCTTTAAAATATCTATCTCTTTAGAAAATTTTTTCATTCACATCCTGAATTGTTTTTTAAATTTCTTTATGTTGGTTTTTACCTTTCTCTTGCATTTTCTTGAGTAACTTAACAATCAACCTTTTGATTTCTTTATCTGGTATTTCAAATATTTCATCTTGGAAAAAACTCACTTTAAATATAAAGATGCATGTAAATTAAAAGTAAATGGATGAAGAAAGATATAACATGCTTACACTAATCAAAAGAAAGTGAGATTCACTATATCAATTTCAGACAGAGCAGACTTTAGAGCAAAGAAAATTATTAGGGATAAAAAATGTATTACATAATGATAAAGGAGTAAATTCACCAAAAAAACATAATAATCCTTATATGTATGTACCTAACAACAGAGTGTCAAAATATGTGCGGCAAAAACTGATAGAGCTGTAAGGAGAAATAGATTCATCCACTATTGTAGTTAAAGACTTCAACACTCTTGTATCAGGAATGAACAGATCTAGCAGGCAGAAAATCAGTAAGGGTATAGCTGAACTCAACGATACCATCAATTAAATGGAAATAATGGGCATCTATGGAATACTTTATCCAGTACAGCAGAATGTACACTCCCGCCAATCTCACATGGAAAATTCACGAAGATAGACCACAAAGGAAGAAAGGCTATTACAAGGAAGAAAAGATAGTCTTTCAATAAGTTGTGCTATAACAACTGGACATCCACATGCAAAACAAAACAATACAAAACAAAACTAGAAACAGACCTTACTCCCATCAGAAAAATTAACGTGAATAGGTTATAAACTTAAATGTAAAACTATAAAATCTTTAGAAGATAACATAGGAGAAAATCTAGACAACATTGGTTTTTTAGATGAGTTTTTAGATACAACACCAAAGGCGTGAACTGTGAAGGAAATAATTAATAAGCTAGACTTCATTAAAACTATAACTTGCTGCTCTATGAAGGACATTGTCAAGAAAATGAAATGGCAAGACACAGACTGGGAGAAAATATTTGAAAAGACAAATGTGATAAAGAACTATTATCTGAAATATACAAAAAACTCTTAAAACTCAACCATAAGAAAATAAACAACCTAACTAAAAAATTGTCTAGAGAGGTAGAGCAAGATCTACAAATAGAAGGCTCCACCAATTGACCTCTAAAGGAACACAAAATTTAACAACAATCTCCACAAAAAAAGCACCTTCATAAGAACAAAATCAGGTGAGCAATCACAGTACCTGGCTTGAACTTCATATCATTGAAAGAGGCACTGAAGAGGATAGGAAAGACAGTCTTGAACTGCCAATGCCACCCCTCCCACACCCCCTGGCAGCAGCCGTGTAGCACAAAAAGAGAATATGTGTGTTGGAGGAGGGAGAGCACAGTAATTTAGGGAATTTACATTGGAATTCAGTGCTGCCCTGTTACAGTGGGAAGCAACACTGGGAAGAACTCAGCTGACGTCCACAGAGGGAACGTTTAGACCACCCCTAGCTAGAAAAAAATTGTCCATCTCAATGGTCAAAACTCAAGTTCCAGCAAGCCTCACCATCGCAGGCTAAAGTGTTCTGGGGTCCTAAATAACAGTGAAATGCAGTCTAGGCCACAAGAACAGCAACTCCTAGGCAAATCCTAATGCTGTGCTGGGCTCAGAGCCAGTGGACTTGGGAAGCATGTGACTAAGTGCAATACCATCTGGGGCAGCCAAGAAAGTGTCTGTGCTATCTCTCCCTCAACCCTGCACAGTGCAGCTTGCAGCCTCTGAAAGAGACTCTTTCCTTCTGTTTGTGGGGAGGAGAGGGAAGAATAAAGAAGACTTTGTCTTACAGCTTGGATACCAGCTCAGCCACAATAGAATAGGGCACTGCCCAGAGTCCTGAGGCACCCATTCCAGGCCCTAGCTCTAAGATGACATTTCTAGACATATCCTGGGCCAGAAGGGAATCTGTTGCGTTGAGGGGAGGGACACAATCCTGATTGGATTCATCACCTGCTGACTACAGAGCCCATGGGCCCTGAATAATCAGCAGCAGTAGCCAGGCAGTACCTGCCATGGGTCTAGTGTTTAACTCTAAGATGGACCAGTTGTGGTGGCTACAAGGAGAGCCTCCTTCTGATAGAGAAAAGCAGAAGAAAGAGTAAAGGGGACTTTGTCTTGCAGCCTAGGTACCAGCTTGGCCACAGAAGGTACCAAGCAGGATCTTAGGGTCCCTGAGGCTAAGGGACATCCTTGGCCTTGGCTCTTAGACAGAATTTCTGACCTGCTCTGGGCCAAAGGGAAGCCCCCTTCCCTGAAGGAAGAGTCCCAGGAGTGGCAGCATTCACCACAAGCCAACTGAAGGGCTCCTGAGCCTTGAGTAAACATTGACAGTAGCCAGGCAGTGCTTCCCATGTGTCTGGAGCAGTGGTGGCCATGGGGACAGACTCCTCTGTTTGTGGAAAGGGTAGATAAAAGTGGGAAGGACTTTTTCTTGTTGCTTGGGTGACAGCTTAGCTGCAGTAGAACAGAGCACCAGCTAGATTCCTAAGGTTTCTGATTCCAGGCCCTGCTCCCAAATGGCACCTCTGGACCTACCTAGGACCAAGGGGAACTCATCACCCTGAAGGGAAGAACAAAAGCCTGGCTGGCTTTGCCACCTGCTGATCGTAGAGCCCTAAGGTCTTGAGTGAACATAGGCAGTAGCCATGTAGTGGTTATAGTGAGCCTTGGGTGAGACTAGTGCTGTGCTGGCTTCAGGTCTGCCTCAGTACAGTCCTAGTGGTCGTCATAAGGATGATTGTGTCACCCCTCCCCCAGCTCCAGGCAGCTCTGCACAGAAAGAGAGAAAGACTCTGTTTGGGAGAAAGTAAGAGAAGAGAGTAAGAGTCTCTGCCTGGTAATCCAGAGAATTCTTCTGGATCCTATCGAAGACCACCACGGCAGTACCTCTACAAGGCTGCAAGAGCCACAGCGTTACTGGACGCGTGGTGCACCCCCAATGCAGACATGGCTGCGGTGGCCAAAAACATAGATAACAATACCCAAGTCCCTTTGAATATCTGAAAAGCCTTCTCCAGAAGGATGGGTATAAAAAAAGCCAAGACTGCAAAGACTACAATAAATACCTAACTCTCCAATGCCCAGACACCAGCAAACATCTATAAACATCAAGACCATCCAGGAAAACATGATCTCACCAAATGAACTAAATAAGACACCAGGGACCAATCCTGGAGAGCCAAATATGTGACCTTTCAGACAGATAATTCAAAATAGCTGTGTTGAGGATCACAGACAAGGATTTCAGTATGCTATCGGATAAATTTAACAGAGACTGAAATAATTAAAAAGAATCAGACATTCTGAAGCTGAAAAATGCAATTGATATACTGAAGAATGCATGAGAGTCTCTTGGTAGCAGAAATTACCAAGCAGAAGAAAGAATTAGTGAGCTTGAAGACAGACTATTTGAAAATACAGAGGAGACAAAAGAAAAAAGAATAAAAAAACAATGAAGCAGGCCTACAAAATCTAGAAAGTAGCATCAAAAGGGCAAATCTAAGAGTTACTGGCCTTAAAAGGGAGGTAGAGAGTGAGATATGGGTAAAAAGTTCATTCAGAGATAATAACAAAAAACTTCCCAAAACTAGAGAAAGATATCAATATTCAAGTACAGGAAGGTTATAGAACACTAAGCAGATTTAACCCAAAAAAGATTACCTTAAGTCATTTAATAATCAAACTTCCAAAGGTCAAGGACAAAGAAAGGATCCTAAAAGCAGCAAGAGAAGAGAAACAAATAACATACAATGGACCTCCAATATGGCTGGCAGCAGACTTTTCAGTGGAAACCTTACAGGCCAGGAGAGAGTAGCATGACATATTTTAAGTGCTGAAGGAAAAAAAAGTTCTATGTTACCCTAGAATAGTTTATCCAGCAAAAATACCTTTCCATCATGAAGGAGAAATAAAGACTTTCCCAGACAAAAAAAAAACCTCAGGGATTCCATCAACACCAGACCTGTCCCACAAGAAATGCTAAGGGGAGTTCTTCCGTCAGAAAGCAAAGGATGTTAACAAGCAATAGGAAATCACCTGAAGATACAGAATCACTGGTATTAGTAAGTGCAGAATAAAACACAGAATATTCTAGCACTGTAATTGTGGTGTGCGAACTACTCATGTCTTAAGTAAAAAGACTAAAAGATGAAATGATAAAATAGAATTACAACAACTTTTCAAGACATAGGCAATACAATAAAACATAAATTGAAACAACAAAAAGTTAAAAAGCAGAAGGACGAAGTTAAAGCATAGGTTTTTTAAAATTAATTTTCTCTTTGCTTGTTTGTTAGTTTGTTTATGCAGTCATTGGGGCCTACTTGAGGGTGGAGGGTGGGAGGTAGCTGAGGACAGAAAAACTGCCTATCAGGTACTATGCTTATTATCTTGGTGACAACATACCATGTACACCAAACCCCCATGACATGCAATTTATCCATAGAACCAACTTGCACATGTACCCCTAAAACTAAATTAAATTAAATTAAACTAAAATAGAGATAGCATATGATCCAACAATCCCACTGCTATGTATATATCCAAAAGAAAGGAAATCAATATATTAAAGAGCTATTTGCAGTCCTATGTTTATTGCAGCACTACTCACAATAGCCAAGACTTGGAAGCGAGCTCAGTGTCCATCAACAGATGAATGGATTTAAAAAATGTGGCACATATACACAATGGAGTGCTATTCAGCCATAAAAAAATCATGAGATCCTATCATTTGCAACAACATAGATGGAACTTGAGGTCATTATGTAAAGTGAAAAAAGCCAGGCACAGAAAGACAAACTTTGCATGTCCCCACTTATTTGTGGGAGCTTAAAATTAAAACAATTGAACTCATGGAGATAGAGAATAGAATGATGGTTACCAGAGGCTGTGAAGGGTAGTGACGGGGGGTACTGGGGTTGGTTAACGGGTACAAAAAAATAGTTAGAATGAATAATATCCAATATTTGATAGTACAATAGGGGGACTAGTCAATAATAATTTGACTACATTTTAAAATAACTGAAAGAATATAATTGGATTGTTTGTAACTCAAAGGGTAAATGCTTGTGGTAATGGATATCTTGTTTACCATGATGTGATTATGCACTGCATATCTATACCAAAACATCTCATGTACTGCCTATAATTATATATACCTACTATATGCCCACAAAAATTAAAAATTTAAAAGGACTAAATATGGCCGGGTGTGGTGGCTCATGCCTGTAATCCCAGCACTTTGGGAGGCCAAGGTGGGTGGATCATCTGAGGTCAGGAGTTCAAGACCAGCCTGATCAACATGGAGAAACCCCATCTCTACTAAAAGTACAAAATTAGCCAGGCGTGGTGGTGCCTGCCTGTAATCCCCACTACTCAGGAGGCTGAGGCTGAAGAATCACTTGAATCCAGGAGGTGGAGGTTGAGGTGAGCCGAGATCACACCATTGCACTCCAGCCTGGGCAACAAGAACGAAACTGTCTCAAAAAACAAAGAAAAAGGTTTAAATACTTTAAAAAATGCCTTATCAAAGAAGATATACAGATGGCAAAATAAGCATAGGAAAAGATGCTCTACATCCTGTGCCATCAATAAAATGAAAAGGAAAATGAGATACCTCTCCACACCTATTAGAATGGCCAAAATCAAGAACACTGACACCACCAAATGCTGGCAAAGATGTAGAGCAACAAGAGCTCTCATTTATTGCTGGTGGGAATTCAAAATACATCCACTTTGAAAGACAATTTGGAAGTTTCTTAAAAAACTAATCATATGACCATAAGATCCAGCAATCATGTCCATGATATTTACCCAAAGGAAGTGAACACTTATGTCAACATAAAACACGCACATGGATATTGATAGCAGCTTAATGCACAATTTGCAAAACTTGGAAGCTACCAAGATATCCTTCAGTGGGTGAATGGATAAACTGTCCTAAATCAGACAATGGAATATTATTCAGCACTAAAAATAAATGAGTTATCAAACTATGAAATGACATGAAAGAAACTTAAATGAATATTAATAAGTGAAAGAAGCCAATCTGAACAGACTATATACTGTATGATTTCAACTATATTATATTCTGGAAAAAGTGAAACTATAGACAGTAAAAAGATCAGTTGTTTCAAAAAGCTAGGGGAGATAAATAGGTCGAGCACAGAAGATTTTTAGGGCAGGGAAACTGCCCTATATGATATTCTGATGATGAATACATGTTATACATTTGTCCAAAACCATAGAATGTACAACACCAAGAGTCAACCCAAAGGTAAACTATGGACTCTGGGTGATAATGATGTAGGTTCATCCACTGTAACAAATGTGCTACTCTGATGAGGGATGTTGATAATGGGTGAGGCTATTCATGTGTGGGAATAGGGGCATATCAGAAATCTCTGTACCATCTAATCAATTTTGCTGTGAACATAAAACTTCTCAAAAGAAGTCTGTTAAAAATCTATTGAATGTCTGAAAAAGAAAATACAATTAGCATTAACTGTTGTATTAGTCAGGGTTCTCCAGTTGCACAGAACTAATAGGATATATATATATGGGAGTTTATTAAGGAGCATTAACTCACATGATCACAAGGTCCCATAATATGCCATCTGTAAGCTGAGGAGCAAGGAAGCCAGTCCGAGTCCCAAAGCTGAAGAACTTGAAATCTGATGTTCAAGATCAGGAGGCATTCAGCACAGGAGAAAGATGTAGGCTGGAAGGCTAAGCCAGTATAGTCTTTTCATGTTCTTCTGCCTGCTTTTTACTCTGGCTGTGCTGGGAGCTGATTACATTGTGCCCACCAAGATTAAGGGTGGGTCTGCCTTTCCCAGCCCACTGACTCAAATGTTAATCTCCTTTGGCAACACCCTCAACAGACACACCTAGGATCAATACTTTGCATCCTTCAATCCAATCAAGTTGGATTAACCAATTAATTAACCAATTAACAGTGTGCCGTGCCTCTGAGTAACCATTCTTGAGGAGTCTTTTGTAGTCATGCTCACAAGTTAATGACTGTTTGTGTTTCATTTTGAAACTTCATAAAGAGACTTCAGACAGTGATAAGGATCCAAACAACCAGCAGATTAGACAAGACACATTATTTTTTCTTATTGTTTAGAGACAGGGTCTCACACTCACCCAGGCTGGAGCACAGTGGCTACCATAGCTCACTGCAACCTTGCACTCCTGGGCTCAAGCGATCCTCTACTTCAGTTTCTGAAGTAGCTAGGACTACAGGCTCATGCCACCACATCCATTTACTTTTTAGTTTTTTGTAAAGATGAGGTCTTGCTATGTTGCTCAGGCTGGTCTCAAACTCCTGGCCTCAAGCAGTCCTCCCACTTTGGCCTCCCAAAGTGCTGGGATTACAGGCGTGAGCCTCCACACCTGGCCTTAGACAAGAAACTTTCTATTCACACTTCCTACTCCTAATTAAGCATCTATTTTTTTTAAGACTGCTATTTCCAGTGTTACATATACAATTGCAAAACTAACCCCTTATGTAAAGAACTGCCAATGACCTTACATAACCCATTGGTAGACTGGGGAGTAATCTCTGCAGGCCTTCTCCCTTGGATTATGAACTTCCCTTAACAAACCATGATGCTACTGATGAACCATTCATCACTGAAAGATATTTTCCAGTGGGGCTAAAATATTGACGCTTACCTAACTACTAGTAATACTATTTAATCTTCTTCGGGGGCAAATTTGCCACAGCCACGTATGGCGAAAGGTACAGCCAGTGACTGTAAGAGAGAATCAAGCAGATAACATAGGGATTGAATCCATGAATGGTTTCATTGAATCCATGTACCAGATGGCTGCTCATCATCCAGTCAGAAAAGAGTTAGGCTTAGACAGTTTCAAAATATAAACTGGTAGGCTATGAACAGAACTAAAAATATAATTTAATTCCACTGAGTTCTATTTTTGGGAATAGCTAGGGGCTATTTACTGGTACATCCTTGGTGAATTACTAAGGGTTACTAAATAAATTAAACTTAGTATATTGCCTGAATTTACCAAGGATTTAGTCTATATTTTCCTAAAATGGCTTAGTACCAAGCAATACTTGCCAATGTTTGAAAGCTCCCACTGGGCATGCCCCACATATAAATAGAATTCCTGCAAATTTTTAGAAACGGTACATAGGGAGGAGCCTCACCGCTGTTGATTTGAGTTGGTCAGGTTTTTAATCACTGTTAATTTTCCTTTTTAATTATAAATTCCTCTCAGTTTAGCATCTTCATTATGGATTTAGTTTGTGCAGGGTTGTTCAGTAGTAATAGCAACTACTATTTGAGTGTTTAGTCCAGGCCCTAGGCTGAGATCTTTACATGTTCATTTGCTGCTCTTAACACCCTTTCAAGACAGATAATAGTATCATCCTCATTTTACAGATGAGGAAACTAAGGCACAGAGAAACTAGACAACTTGCCTATGATCATACAGATAGACACTGCAGAAGCAGGACCCAAACTCAGGGATCTTCACGGTAGGTCGGAGGTCAGCAAACTTTCTGTAAAGGGCCAGATACTAAGTATTTGGGGCTCTGTAGACTGTAGGGTCCCTACTGAACTACGTCGTTGTAGCCCCAAAGCAGCCTTAAACATTACATAAACAAATTGGTATGGCTGTGTTCCAATAAAACTTTATTTACAAAAACAGACAGTAGGCAGGATTTGGTCTCTGGGCCACAGTTTGCTGACTCTTGCTCTAGATCCCTTGCTCTTAACCACTATGCCAATAATATTTGTTCTCTTAGGTTTCAGTGAAACACATATACAGACTAGGAAACTAAAATGCTCCAAGAGCTATATACTGAGACAGAAAGGCATTGCAATTCAAATATTAATCAACTGTGCCTTTATCGATCAAGAAGATATGAAATGTATGCCTGTATAGCAGTACGTTCATTGCTGATGTGAAGAAATTTTGCTTGCCTTTTTTTAGCTGCAAATTATTTGATTAAACTTATACTGCAGCATTCTAGAATGCAAAATCGATACATAAGCTTACTATTTTAAAGTAGGCATAAAATCCACATATTTTGGGCCTCAATGCTTTATATAATCTAGTTTGAACATATAAGGTAGAGAGTCAAGAGGTCGTTTGAACCACTGGGATGGCTATAGTCCAAAAATATTTGAGAGCCATCACTCTGAAGAAATGAGTAGGAAAGGTTCTGGGGCCAAATCATATCTTGGAGGAGATCCCAAATGGCAACAGCAAGGAGTGAGGGCATTTTATACTCAGCAATAGTTTAACACAATGGTTCCTGTTAAGGGCTAAATTGTGTTCCCCCAAAATTCATGTTTGAAGACCTAATTCCCATGTGACTATATGTGGAGACAGGGCCTTTACTGAGATAATTAAGTTTAAATGAGATCACTGGGTTGGGTCCCAAATCCAAGAAGACTGATGTCCTTCTAAGAAGAAGAAAGGACACCAGAGCTAACACTTTGCCCATGAATACACAGAGAAAAAGTCATGTGAAGACACAGAAAGAAAGCAGCCATCTACAAGACAGGGAGAGGGGCCTGACCAGAAATCAACCCTCTTGGAACTTTCATATTGGACTTCCAGCCTTCAGGATTGTGAGAAAATAAATTGTTATTTAAGCCATTCAGTCTATGTTATTTTGTTATGGCAGCCAGAGCAGCCCAGTAAGTGTCCAACTTGTGAATGTAAAAAATTATATGAACTTCCACAAGCTATTAGTTATTCTATCTTCATTAACTGTTGACTGAAATGATATATAAATACATATATACACATACAAATAACTAGATATAATGAATTCAGCAATACCTATATGTTACTAATCATAACAACATATAAATAGATTTGTGGGAAAAAGTTGTATACATATTTGGGAGATTTGATTTTATTCAGGTTCAGATAATGCTTGATATTAATGTGTTTTCACAGTCAACACCCTTACAACAGTTACTCCATTGACTTCTTGGGATCCTCAGTCTCTGGGGTAGTAATCATCTATTCCCCACCCCTTTTAAGTCTGGCTATATTAGGATTAACTTGGGCTCAGTCCCTCTTCTGCAGCTGCTTCTCTTGATAGAGGGCATGGCACACACACACCCAGAATAAAATGTGTTAGTCACAGTTTGAGTAAATGATCTAATTGCAGGGATCCCATGAGCCAGGACAGATTTTAAGCCAGGAAAGAGGCATGGCAGCAATGAGATTAAAAGCTGACCTGTTGCTATCTATCTTACCATCTTATTTGCCTGAGACTAGAAGCTCATTAGGAAGAAGCACCAACATCTTCATCTTAAACCTCTTTCTATATCCCTTATGGAATTTATAACTGCATGAGCTTAGTTAACATTGTTTAATAAAAGAGGAGTCCAAACCAGGTGTTTCCAAACCTGGCTCATCATCAGTGTTACCTAAGGAGTTTTTAAAACTGTGGGTGACCAATCCTACCCTGTGCATGTCTGAAGGGTAGAGATCAGAGGACCTGCATTTTTACTATGCTTCCTCTGTTAATTCTGATGTAGCCATTTCAGCACCATTTCTCAGATTTGCATTTGATAACTGCATTAGATGAATATAGCCAATGGCCTCAATTAATGGTCACCCCATATCCTCCCCCTTTGCCCTATAACTGTAGTGCCATGCCACTGTGACTCTGAGCTTGCCCCAAGTGACTTGTTTTGGCCAACAGAATTTCAGCAAACTTGATGCAAGGAGAGACTTGGAAAAGTGCTTGCCTGCATGTCTCCATTTTCTCTCTTCAACCCCTGTCACTGCAATGAGACTATCCAAGGCTAGCCAGGTGAAAGGGTATGAGAGACACATAAAATAGGGCTGAGTCATCCCAGCCAAGGCCACACTAGACCAGCCATCCCCTAGCCTACTTACCAGCTGGCTGAAGATGCATAAGTAAACCCAGTTGAGATCAGTCAAGACCCATTTCAGACAGCAGTATCACCCAGTGAACTGTAGACTTGGGAGAAATAATAAATGGCTATTATTTTAAGCTACTAAAGATTGGGGTGGTTTGTTCCAAAACACAGCTTACTGATACAACAACCATGATGCAGACCAACTGGAGGGATGGAACGTCTAAACTAAAGGCTGGTGTCAGAGAGACTTGTAGAAATTTTCAATGTCTATTGCACAGGATGAAGAAAGACAATTTTCCAAGGTCACGTATATGAGAAGTGCCAGGCTACAGTTTAGTTTAGTTGGTTTGTGTCTTCCAAAGCAACAGCATGTAAGCAATGTTTCCCAAATTTATTTGACCACAGAGCCTTCTTTATCCCTCACTCCTAAACTAAGAATCAGACAAAATGAATATTCCATACAGCATACGTTGGGACATTATTTAAGATCAATTGGTCTTCATCCTGCTTCCATGTTGTTCCAAGGGGTAGAGCTGCATTTAAGGCATTATAGTTACAGGGAGAAGAATTGGGATTAAACATATTCAAGCAAGGATTTGTCAACTATGAGAGTTATCCAAAGATGAACTTGCTGGCCTTGTGAAACAGTGACTGCAAACCCCAAGACTAAAGGTATTCAAAGAGAGAGAAATCTGAAGTGACAAGTTAACTTCCTTGAAATCTTTATTCCCCAATAACATGACAAAGGCTTCCGATTACTTCTTTCAGTTCTAAGTGGTGTGACAGTTCATTTTATGTGTCATCTCGGCTAGGCTATGGTGCCCTCTTGTTTGGTTAAACACTAGTCTAGATGGGATGTGAAGGTATTTTGTAGATGTAATTAATATTTGTAATCTGTAGATTTTTTAGGTAAAGCAGATTACGCCCCATAATGTGGGTAGGTCTTATCTAATCAGTTGAGGGCCTTTTAACAACTGAGGCTTCCCACAGAAAAAAGAATTCTGCTTCAAGACTGCAACATAGAAATCCTGTTTGAGTTTCTCTCCTACCGCCCTGCCCTGCGGATTTTGGACATACCAGACCCCATAATTATGTGAGCAAATTCCTTAAAATAACTAGAATAATTCTCCCTTTTTCCCTCTCTCTGCCCCACCACACACACACACACACACACACACACACACACACACACACACACGTATATGTACATATGTGTGCACACACATATGTATAGATGTGTATGTATATATGTGTGCACACACATGTGTATAGATGTGTATGTATATATGTGTGCACACACATGTGTATAGATGTGTATGTATATATGTGTGCACACACATGTGTACAGATGTGTATGTATATATGTGTGCATACACATATGTATAGATGTGCATGTATATATGTGTGTATATATGTATATACATATATACATATATACATATATACATATATACATACATATATACATATATACATATATATACATATATACATATATACATATATATATACATATATATACATATATACATATATACATATATATATACATATATACATATATACATATATATACATATATCCTATTGGTTCTGTTTCTCTGGAAAACCCTGACTAATACAAGTAAATATCAAACATCGTTTATATTTTATCACAATCCTGGACTAAAATACCCAGAAGTTCTACCCTGCTTCCTAATACTTGCCTTGGAATCAGAGTGTTAGGTTTCCCAGGTTTCCTGTGTGGTTCCTCTAAGGACTCCTGTGGGTAGTCAGCGGAGAACCAGAACTCCTAGTTGCATTATTGTGGTAGCCAGGAGGTGACATTTCTCATATTCCCTTTTTAAGAGGGACAGATTTTATGAGTCACCTTGGGTGGCATAGCAATTTTGCAGCTGCGTAATGTTTGTAAGAAACTGACAGTCCCTCATGAACCACAGTGACCCAACTTGGCAGGGCCCCAGCACCTATTTATGGCCTGAGATACAGGGGAAGAGGTCACAGGAGGAGGTTCTCTCTTCTGGAATTGAGCCAGACAGACGATAACACTCTAGGTCAGAGTTAACACAGTCTGATTCACTGCAACACGTTCTCTGAATGACTTCCTAGGAGCCTAACTGAACTACTACAAATCCAGTGTTGATATCCAGTATGTAGCCACTTAGAAAAAGATAAAAAATAAAATAAAAAAGAGAAGGTCAATAATAAAAAAGAAGGCTTTAAGAGAAATAAACAAAAAATACCAAGTGTAGCCCAGTGATAGTGGGAATACAGACCTGGAACAACCCCCTTGCTCAGTTATGTGCCCTGTTCACATTACTCAGAAGACCTCACACTGCAGCTGCCGCCAACAGTAACTAGTGCCTCGAGGACAAATTCTTGTTTTTCCTTGCCTAGTTCAATACCTAGCACATAGCAGGAGCTTAAAAACTATTCACTGAGTCAATGAGCTACTAAGGACATAGAGCCCTTCACATCCACGTAGCTATTCAGCCAGGATTGTTTTTCATCCTGTCATTGAGCTTCACAAGCCCAGTATGATCCAGCACCTGAGAATATTTCTTTCTAAACTAGCCCTGATACATGTGTGCAGTTTCTGGGTTCTTAAAATCTTTAGAACTAAGGTCCTTATATTTGGATACTGTGTTTGTATTCATTTTCTAGGGCTGCCAAAACAAAGTAGCATACACTGAGTGGCTTAAACAACAGAAATTTATTTTCTCAGAGCCACGGCTAGAAGTCTGAGATTAAGATGTTGACAGGGTCGGTTTCATCTGAGGCTGCTGTCTTTGACTTGCGGATAGCCATCTTCTGTTTTTATCCTCACATGATTTTCCCTCTGTAACTGTCTGCATCCTAGTCTCATCTTCTTCAAAGGACACCAACCACATTGGATTAGGGCCCACTCTAATTATCTCATTTTATTTCATTATCTCTTTAAAGATCTGTCTCCAAATTTAGTCACATTCTGAAATACTAGGGCTTAGGAATTTGACATACACACTTCGGAGGGTCACAAACACATATACACACACATATAAGATACATGTAATAGGTAAATAAATCTTTTCACAGCTTTAAGGTCAGAAAGGGAAAGTCTTTACATCTGTTCTATCTTAATATCTTTCTCTGATTGCATACTTAGAACCCTCCATTAAGTGTGAAGGAAGAAAAACTATAGGATACAATCTCTGTATCTTTCCTCTAATTAACAATTAAACTAACTTTAAACTAATTAATTGATTTCTTTTTCATGTATCTCAAATTTTTATTTCCTCTTTGTATTAAGCTGTTCTTGCCTTGCTACAAAGAAATACCTGAGACTGGATAATTTATTTAAAAAGGGGTTTAATTGGCTCACAGTTCTGTAGGCGTACAGGAAGTACAGCAGCATGTGCTTCTGGAGAGACCTCAGGAAGCTTCCAATCATGGCAGAAGGCAAAGGGGGTACAGGCACATCACAGGCGGGAGCAAGAGAGAGTGGAGGTGGTAGGTGCCACACTCTTTTAAAGGATCAGATCTTGCCAGAATTCACTGTCATGAAGATGGCACCAGGCCATGAGGGATTCACCCCATGACCAAACACCTCCCACCAGGCCCCACCTCCAGCACTGGGGATTACAATTCAACATGAGATTTGGGCAGCAATAAATATCCAAACCATATCACTCTTTTAGAATTCTTGTAAGCTGAAAGAAACAGAAACACAGGAGTCTAGAAGTGGCCCACGGAGAAGTTGTTATGTCCTGAGCTCCTTGAGAACAGGCTGGGTCTTATGTCTGTATACTGTGAGCATATACTACATTACCTGGCATGGAATGGTTGTTCTAAAAATATATAGGTAAACGATGTGTGCAGGAAAACAAACCTCATGCTAGGTTCCTAGTTTTATGTTCCAGAAACACATTTGCCCCCTAAGCAATGTTAATATATGCTGACTTACGTTGGCCCATTGCATGCTTAACTTTTTAAAACACATTTATATATAATTACCTATTTCCTGGTGTTTCAACAGACTTGTTTGCAGCCATTTAAGTTAAAACAAAAGATAAATGTCTGCAGAGTATTATCTACACATAAACAAAACCCTAATAGCATCAATCTGTGAGACAACATTGTCCATTCAGAGATGAACTTCACCAAAACATACACTAACTGTCACTCATGGGGCTCCCTTGACTCCCCATTGCTAAGAGAGTGTATTCAAGAGTCACATACCTGTCAGGGTCAGCCTTGCATCTGACCTTGGCTTTGCCCTGGCCAAAGAGGCAGCAGTAAGAGGCAAGTGTGGGAACTTGGTTAATCTTCAGCACCTTTCTTGTTTAATACTATCAAGGTATTCCTTTAATGGGCCACTGATAAGGAGACTTTGTTGCTGAAAATCTTAAAAATTGAATGTCTAACATTCTATATCTGACCTGTGGCTGGTTATATAACTCTGATCCTTGAATGAATGATTCTGATCTGGTTAACCTCCTATCTTCTGTCTCTGGACCAGACTACGTATACTCTAGATCCTGTTATGACATGGTTGTCTATCTAGAAGGGGGATGTGGAAATAAATGATAATTACTACAACACAGTGACTAATCAGCAAGTTGTTTTCTATTTGTTCATTCAGAACAAAATTAAAACAAAGAAAACGTAAACTGGCTGGGCATGGTGGCTCATGCCTGTAATCCCAGCACTTTGGGAGGCTGAGGCAGTTGGATCACTTGAGGTCAGGAGTTCGAGACCAGCCTGGCCAACATGGTGAAACCCCATCTCTACTAAAAAAATACAAAAATTAGTTGGGTGTGGTGGTGCATGCCTGTAATCCCAGCTACTCAGGAGGCTGAGGCAAGAGAATTGCTTGAACCTAGGAGGTGGAGATTGCAGCAAGCTGGGATTGAGCCACTGCACTCCAGCCTGGGTGATAGAGTAAGACTCTGTCTCAAAAACAAACAAAAACTAAATTTATTATCCTCCCTGTTGAGACTGAGGAATCTTGATTAATAGATACATAGATGGGTCACAACTTAATTTCTTGAAAAAATTCATTATCAGCTGTAAATCTGCTGTAACCTAATGATTCTGTCCTCCCATTAAACATCAATGACCAAATCCTGGAATGCCACTTGCCAGCACTCACTAGCATTGCCATATAGTTCCACATCACTAGGTGGGGTTAAAAGTGTGATATGATGAATGCTGAACTCAGAGTCATAAGGACAAAAGTTCAAAACTCAGCTCCATAGTAGCTGTATTCTCTCAGCAAGTTACTGAGCCTGCTTTCTCAGTTCATCAAATCAAAATACCAGCATCCAACCCATAAAAGAAGTGCCACAAGGATTAAATAAGATAAGGAATTATGCCATCAATTAGTCAACATATATTTACCGAGTGCATACTAAGTGCCAGGCACTGTTCTGGGACCTAGGGAGAACATCACTGTGAACATCCCTGGTGGGACTCTTATGTTGGTAGGGGTAGAGGAAGTGATGGAATAGACAATAAATGAGCAGGGCAAAGAGAGACGATGAGTAATACAGCCTGGGGATAGAAGTCTGTTATTTTATTAATAGGGTGACCAGGGAAGGCTTCTCCAATGAGAGAACATGCACAGAGCTTAGAATGAGGTGCAGGAATGAAGCGTGCACTTATGAGAGGGAAAGAACTTCCCTATGCCCTAGAGAGAAGAGCAGGCACAGATGACCCAAGGCATTGTTCCTTTGCATAAGAAAGCACTGTAATCACTATTTTCAACCTTGGTGCTAGGCAGTGAAGAACCTAGTGGATTATTTTCAAGGACTGAAATACCAACATTAAATTTTGTTATCTCTTGCATAATTCAGAAGAAAACAATTGTTCCTACTGACTGACCCTAGAAAATACTTATTAAGTGTTTGTTAATGCATAAGATTTATCAGGCTTTAGAAAACCATTCCACATAAATGGATATTTCAAATGATTGATTACAACCCACAGACACACCAATACTTTAGGTACATTGACAAAAATAATCCTAAAATAGATTACACTCTTCCTTGCCCTCTTAAACAAAGGACACTGAATATAGTTCCTAGAGACTCAGAATCATTACTGTGAACATTAGTCATTATGATGCTCACAGGAACCACTGACCTCCATAGAGGGATATGTCCCTGCACTAAACGGCCACTCTTAAAAATAAAATATTAGCTGGGTGCAGTGGCTCATGCATGTAATCCCAATACTTTAGGAAGCCAAGGCAAGGGGTTGAGGGAAGGGAGGGTGGCGATTGCTTAAGTCCAGGAGTTCAAGGCTATGGTGAGCTATGATCGCACCTCTGCACTCCAGTTTAGGTGACAGAGGAAGATCCTGTCTTTAAAAAACAAAACACAAAACTTAAAAAAAATAGATAACAATTTTTCTTTGGTCCTTCCCTAGCAAACAACAACTTTCTTTTGATTGCTATTGTTATGTCTGACTTTGCAGGGTGCTATGGGCTGAATTGTATCTCCCCCAAATTCATATGTCGAATCCCTAACCCAATGTGATGTGTTTGAAGGTGAGGCTTTGGGGAGGTAATTAGGGACCAATGAGGTCATGAGAGTGGGGCCTATATGCTGGCATAGTGCCCTTATAAGAAGAGACATGCAAGAGCTCACTCTTATTCTCTCTCCATGTGCACATACCTAGCAAAGGCCATGCAAGAAGGGGGTCATCTGCAAGACAAGAAGAGAGCCCTCACCATAAACCTAAATTGACCAGCACCTTGATCTTGGACTCCTAACCTCTAGAGCTATAAGAAAAAAAATTCTATTGTTTAAGTTACCCGGTTGACAGTATTTTGTTATGGCAGCCTGACCTGACTAGACATAGGGTGACTGCATTTCCATTTCTGATTCACTGCTTCTAATCTCCTGTGAACTGCTTGATTAAATTTTGCTTAAAATAAACATTTGGATATGCTCCATGGGTGCTGTTTCGTTTACTTTGACTGTTTAGGTGTCTTCATTGTCTACTTTCAAACTCCAAGTTAAATTCTGGCATTTGGAAGTTCAGTATTTACATTTGTTTTCTAGGCTGCTAATAACTAAAAGCTGTTTGGGAAAGTGAACAATGCAGACCATGATTTCTGTTTTTTGTTTTTAACTTAAGGAAAAAGGGAAAAGCCTTCAATTGTTCCTCACATCTGAGTTAGGAGAAGAATCTTGAAGCCCTCTCAAATTCAGACAGAAAAGAGTTCCCTTTGAGAAATCATAATTATATTCTGACTGTTAACATTTTTGGTGCGAATGGTTGAAAGATGGGGGCAGGAGGAGCAAACATTAAATGCATATGCTAGCATTTATTTTATCTTCAGGGATATACTTAAGATGATATTTTTAGATGTTAGCCCTTCCTCAGAGTGTGAGAGTATTTGGGAGCAAGGGAGGATTGTTGCTTATGAAACCTCTGGAATAATAAAAATAATTAGTGTGCAGTTCACATCAAACCTATAATTACTGTGGTTGGGTGACAAGATATGCATCAACTGCAAAAGACTATTATTCTCAGAGTAAATAATATAACTTCTGACCAGTTTTAACATTTGCTGTAGGTAGAAGAAGCTAGAAGCTTGTGGGGGTGGGGGATGGGGTAGGAGAAGGCTGAAATATTTTTCTAAGATTTTAGCAGTTGGCTTAACAATGAGTGGCTAAGACACTTAACATAGGGGGGTCAAGGAATATCTGATAAGGACCCTGCTTAGGAGATGAAATTTTAAGATTGCCAATTGCTAATAAGGCTCTGAGGAGAAAAAAAATGTACTTTTTGAGTAGTGACTTGTTATTTCATGTACATTTTACGCCACGTATATATTATTGAGGGTTCCAGGATATAAGAGAGGAAAGGAAATGGAGCTTAGTTATAAAGCAAATAAGGAGAACATTTACTGATTTCAACTTCCACCTCTGGAGCACAGCCAAGTGTGTCATGTGGGTAATATATAAAATGGATACAAATACTCTATGGGCCAGGTGCCAGAACTTTAGGAGTGGCAATTGAAAAATTTAAAAATCCAAGAAGAAAATGATTTGACTCTCCCTTGTCTATCTCATAAGCACAGGTTCCTAGTAGTGCAGTTAGGTGTCTACTATCTGTCTCCCCAGCAAACTTTAGCATCTGGCCAAGCATAATAGCTTAGAGACAGTAGGGCAGCTAACAAATGTTTGTGTAAGAAATAGCTACATTTGTGAGACAGTTTACTAAACACTCTCACCTAAATTATTACTATAGCCTCCTATAAGAGAGAATGTGTTATTCTTCCCAATTCACAGATGATGAAGGCAAAACTCAAGAAGTTGAGTTCTTTGCCCAAGATCAAACAGCTTAAAAAGGGATCAAAGAGAGGTTTCTAACTCATACCTACCTCTAAATTCAGTGCTCTTTTCAATCACTGTTTGAAAACAATATACTAGTTGTAATTCTGTTACATTAGTATACACACTATGTTTTGTAACTGCTATGTCTGTGTATAATGTTGGCTTTTATAATGTGAGTTAATTGTCAAACAAATCACTTTCATGCTGAAGATGGTGTAGAGAAAATAAATCAAGTCCAAATCCAAAAAAAAAAGAAAACAATACACACCAAATAAAGAGGCATATTGATCCTACAGCCCTGGGCTTGAGCACAGCCTGGCAGCACAATAAATATTAGCTTCAGAGTAACAATCCACATCCAAATAATTGGTTTCATATTCTACCTTCCACTCCTAACTTATTTCAGATACCTAAGTCTACCCAAAAGTACCATGACATCCTGGCTTAGAAAGAGCATTTCATTATATACCCCATCATGCACCTTTTTCACTAGGAAAATATGTATTTGTTTACAAGCTTTCTGACTGTAATTCATTGCACAACTCTCAATCGATTGTCTGTGGGCAGCACCTGAAAGACAGAGCTTATTTGCAATGAATGACAGAGTAATTTCTAGTGATGCTCAAGCTTATGGACCAGCAAGACCAAATGTCTTAAGTGAGATTGAAAATGCCACCAAATCAAATGGTTTTGAAAGTTTTTCAAAGTTTTAAGACTTTCCAAAGCATGCACAAGAATCACCAAGTTACTCATCTATGCCAGTAGTTTGCATTGAAAATAATTTCAAAGGCTACTTTTACATGGTGATTCTGACCCAAGATTTTGTTTTCCAGAAATGTCTTATTTCAACTCTTTGATCCTATCTTCTACCTGGAGTATTTTGTATTCTATTCTACCACACATCCTTTACAGCGAATTTATCTCACCTCCACCAAAAGGTCATGAGAATTTCAGGGGTTTCTTCCTTTCTTGAGTTGCATTAACCTCCTCATTTAAATCATTAAGTTTGACACTTAACGTGTGATCATCTGTAATTTCTTCACGCATATAGTGTTTTATTTCTTGTCAAGGTAATACCTTCTCTAAGGATAAGGACTATGTATTCTAGACTTCATACTATAGCAAAACCCCACAGATGGATAAAGTAACTACATTAATTCTTTACAATAGTGGGAACATAAAGGGAACTGATTACACAGAGATAGAAGAGTTGAGAAGCCAAACGGAGTATGGCAACCCACAAGATAGCAACAGTAGGAAGCCTCTACCATCCTTAGAGGTGGGGGAAGTAACGGAAAGAATGGGATCAGCATAACTCAGGTGGCAGGGCCTTCCAGTAAGAGCTGGAACCTTGAAGGAGACAGAGCTACTGTCAGAGAAACCATAGAAAACAAAAACAGAAGTGAGAATACCTTGACTTCTCTTCCCTGCTCTCACTCTCCAACTTTCTACCAGTGCCTCCTTTTGGTCACATATCCTTGGAAACCAAAGAGTGAGGGAGCTTCTATCTATGATACACATCAGAGAAGAAAAGGAGTATATCTGAGAAGAAATATACTGAGAAATATATCTGAGTATCTCTCAGAAGTATATCTGAGAAGAAAAGGACTAGATCTGAGTATAAACGAGCAATTTACAGAATGGTTATCAACAAATTCTCACAGGTAGATACAGACATAAATGAATTCAGATGCAATCATTGTATATTACAATTCAATTTTTCCCTTTAAAAATGATTAGTATGAAAAACTGCAGGATGATAGACTGTTTAAGGAATGTATAGAACAGGATTTTGCTTCTGGTAATGGTAGACCAGGAGATATGGACTAATTATCCTGCTGAGGATAACTAAGATATACACACTCATACACATATACATATTCTACTTCACAGCATTAGAGAGCTAACATAATAGTAAAGATCCAATGTTTGAGGTTTTCCTCTGGGGCATTTTCCAATTCAGGAAGTGGTAGCCAAATGCATAGGTAGCACTTTTGGCAGTCTCATGGGGATAAAGTCACAAATGTTGGATTATTGGGCTTGGTAACAAAGCCTGGGTCACCCTAACAGTGTTGATCCAGATGTAGACCAGCTCTTCTAGGAACTTTAGTTCAGCTTTAAATCATCTTTATCCCTGAAATTAGATTACAGTGATTCTAGATACAAGAACCACCAGGCACTTAGAAGAAAACATAAACCTTCCCTGCAGAAAGAAATTATTATAGGCATCAAATTATTTAAGCAAATAATTTTTCAATACAATTTCTGAAACAAAATAAAAGCAAGAAGCCAAGAACGAGAGACAGTAGAACCAACAGATAGTGGAAATAGACCCACTGTGGATCCAGATATTAGACTTTCAGGCATGAATTTTAAAATAACTACAGTCACTAAATATTGATAATTGCTGGAACTGGGTGATGAGGTCTTTCAGGTTCATATACTTTTCTCTCTACTTCAATATATATCATAATTTTTATATGGAAAATGAAAAAAAGTCTATGAGCCAATCCAAAGAGAATTTTAGTTGCCGCCTTTGCTGCTACCTCATCAAGAACACACTGAATACCACTGCCTGAGGAAACACCATATCATCTCTCTGACATTCATTGGTATGGCATAAATAGCAATGAACATAGACTACTTAAGAACATAACTATGTGTACTCTTTCAAGGAAATAAAAAGAATTCAGCTCAGATTATAAATTATTTCTTAAAGGACTTAAGAGATTGGAAAATAACCAAGTAAAAATTCCGTAATTGAAAAATACAATAGGCTGGGCGCAGTGGCTCACGCCTGTAATCCCAGCACTTTGGGAGGCCTAGGCGGGCGGATCACGAGGTCAGGAGATCGAGGCCATCCTGGCTAACACAGTGAAACCCCGTCTCTACTGAAAATACAAAAAATTAGCCCGGCGTGGCGGTGGCCGCCTGTAGTCCCAGCTACTCCAGAGGCTGAGGCCGGAGAATGGCGTAAACCCAGGAGGCGGAGCTTGCAGTGAGCCGAGATCGCGCCATTGCACTCCAGCCTGGGCGACAGAGCGAGACTCCGTCTCAAAAACAAAACAAAACACAACAAAACAAGACAAAACAAAAAAAAAACAAAAAAGAAAAATACAATAAACAAAATTAAAATGTCAGTGGATCAGTTTAGAGCAGTTTATACCACAGCTCAAGAAAGATTTAATGATAGATAACTAGTGCACAGGATCAGAAAAAAAAATCCTCAGATTTAAGCATAAAGAAACAAAAAGTTGGCAAATATTTTTAAAAGAAAGTAAGTGGGTAGTGAAAATAGTGAAAATCTCTAAGACACATCTGAAATACTGAAGAGAAAGGAGAGAAAGAATGACACCAAAACAGCAGTTGAAGAAACATTAGCTGAGAATTTTCCAAAATGATGAAAAACAACAAATTGTGGGTTCAAGAAGTTTTATGAACTCCAAGCAGGTTAAAGAATCAGTTTAAAGGAAAAACTTTGAAGATAAGTTTTAGGCACGTCATGGTAAAACTATTAAACCTCAGATATAAAGACAGAACATTTAAATACAGCCAGAGTAAAAATAAAATTGCTTTCTGTGATGGTTAATACTGAGTGTCAACTTGATTGGATTGAAGGATGCAATATTGATCCTGGGTGTGTCTGTGAGGGTGCTCCCAACAGAGACTAACATTTGAGTCAGTGGGCTGGGGAAGGCGGACCCACCCTTAATGGGATGGGCCCCATCTAATCAGCCACCAGAGAATATAAAGCAGTCAGAAACACGTGAAACGATGAGACAAGCCTAGCCTCCCAGCCTGCATCTTTCTCCTGTGCTGAATGCTTCCTGTCCTCGAACATCAGACTCCAAGTTCTTCAGTTTTGGGTCTTGGACTGGCTCTCCTTGCTCCTCAGCTTGCAGACCGCCTATTGTGGGACCTTGTGATAGTGTAAGTTAATACTTAATAAACTCCCCTATCTGTCTACCTACCTACCTACCTGTCTATCTGTCTATCTCCTATTAGTTCTGTCCCTCTAAGAGAACCCTGACTAATATACTTTCAAAGAAGCAATGAGAACAATAGCCATCTTCTCAAACCATAAAAATCAAAGTTGAATGTCACTGGAACAATTTCTTCAAAGCAGTAGCGTTTTTGAGGCAGGAAGGAGTGACTGGGAGAACCTAAGAGGAGGACTTCTGGGCCTCTGTCAGTGCTTTACTTCTTGATCTGAGGTTGACTGTGATAACTCATTGAGCTAGATATTTATATGTTTTGTGCACTTTTATGTATGTTTTTAATAATTCACAATAACTTTAAAAAATAGATTGTGGTAGAAAGAATTCTAATTATTCAGTAATCATACAATAACTATCATACTGCTCTGGCTCTATTTGAAAGCACACTATATTACATTCTAAAATTTTAGACTACAGAAGGAAAAGGCTGAATATTTGGGAAAAAAAGTTTTATGGGTTCCAGATTTATAATTAAAGCTAGACTAACCTCATCTTTCTTATTTGTGATTTAAAAAAAAAGCCTGATTGTAATGACTGAATAAGTCTGCCAATCACAAATATTCACATCAACAATATGTTAAAGATGCTTCTAAAGTGGGTAGTTTAGATGTTTGAAAGACATTTGTCTCTAAACCCTTAACTATCCACCATCTATGCTCTTTGTATTGTTTGTCAAAATGTAATAAACAAAGGGGAAAGACTAGGTCTTTTAACATTATCACAAATGTAGAGTAAAGCATCATTGGTTGTACTGTCTTACTTTGCTTTTCTCTATAATAAATTTGCATGCTCTCAAAATTACAGGAATAGAAATGGATTGACACTATTCATTGCAGTGGTGGTAAGGCCATATCCATGCTGCCTGTTACACTCTCCAGGGTTGCCATGAAAACATGAAGAGAAGCTAATTGCACATAGTAAGAGTTTTAATTGACAAGTACCTGACCATTACAGCAATTTCTACTTCCAGAAGTATCCCAGCTGACATTGTTATAGAGTAGTGGAACTGAAAAAAGTAAGACTAATTGGAGCAATTAATTAAAAACACACAATTAGTTTCCATGGCAGACTTTTTTTTTTTTTTAACTTCTTTTCCTCATTGCTTGAGGCCTGTGAGGGTTTTATTGAGTTTTACCACATTGGGGGTTGTCTGTGCTGATAATTAACAAGGAAAGACTGGAAAAAGAGGGATTCAGCCTGCAGCCGAACCAGGTGAGAAGGCTTGGCCACTTTTCTCTCTGGCAAGCCAAAAACAGAGCAAAGATCTGAAGCCTAATTAGGAATACAGGATGGGGTCTAAATAAGAGCTGCTGAAACTGAGTATTTTGATAGCTCTTGCCAGATCCTCGATCTGTAAAAAAGTACGAGAAGGATTACTTGTTTATTTCCCAAGAACATGGAGAAGACTCTTCAATGATTATGGTGTTGGCAGAAAAGAATACTGTCCCTTTGCAGCTGACCATTGCTGCTGGCCAGCCTAAGTTGGGCTATTTCAAGATTTGGCAGCTGGCTTCTAGAATCAAGTTTGATTTTCCTTTTTTTTTCTTTCATTTATTTATTTATTTATTTATTTATTTATTTATTTATTTATTTGGCTGCACCTCTGAGTGTTATGAAGGAATCAAAACACCTCTAAAAAGACATGAAGAGTCAAGAAAGGGACATATTCTCCTTCATTCACAACCCAGTCTCACAGAGACCTGACCCAGTTCTTACCTGAAAACATGCCTAGAACATGCCAATAAGCCTGGAGTACAGGATAAATCACAAAAATCTCTAATATATTTAAAGTCAAGGTGTCAGGCTGAAGCTTGCACCCAGTTACCTGGCCACAAAGGAAGCTGAAAGTGAATGAGTGAATTGAAAGTAAAAATCCTTATTAGTAAAACCCTTCTCTGGAAAAGGTCACTACTTGATTTCACGTGTCAATCTGTAACACCTTCCAAAGTTTCGCACCAAAACACCATCACACTGGGCCTAGCAGTCAACATATTTGGGGAAAATAAATATTCAGTCCATAACAATACTCATATGTTTAATGAATAAATTGTACAGATAAAGCTCTAGATTGACTGTAAGAACAAACCAGCAATCCTGAGAGGATCCACCTCTGAAGGAAGCGGGCTGCTCCTGCAGGACCCGGGAGATACCCCAAATACTCCTTGGAGGCAGAAAGCCTCGGGCAAGTTTTCAAGCCCATCTTCCCTGCACTTGGAAACAGACTTGGGGCTGCTATGGAGGGCATGGTGGGAGTGACACTGGCCCGTTGGTTTGCGTGGGAGCTGGGCGAGGCCTGTGGTTGCCAGCTGTGATACCACTTCCCTGACAAACTGCGTGACTCAGCAGAGGCAGCCATAATCCTCCTAGGTACACAACTCCAGTGACCTGGGAATCTCACCCCCATCCCCCACAGCAGCTACAACAAGACCTGCCCAAGGAGAGACTGAGCTCACTCATGCCTAGCCCCGCCCCGACCTGATGGTCCTTACCTACCCACCCTGGTAGTGGACGACAAAGGGCATATAATCTTGGGAGTTCTAGGGCCCCACATACCGCCAGTCCCTCTCCATATTACTACATCTGATGCTTTCAGGAAACTGCCACCTCCTGGCAGGAGGCCAACCAGCACAAAAATAGAGCATTAAACCACCAAAGCTAAGGACACTCAATGGAGTTCATCGCATCAACCACCACCTCCACTGGAACAGGCACTGATATCCATGGCTGAGAGACCCGTAGACAGTTCACATCACAGGACTCTGTGCAGACAACCCCCAGTACCAGCCCCGAGCCAGGTAGACTCACTGGGTGGCTGGACCCAGAAGAAAGACAACAATCACTGCAGTTCGGCTCACAAGAAGTCACATCCACAGGAAAAGAGGGAGAGTACTACATCAAGGGAAAACACTGTGGGACAAAAAAAAATCTGAACAACAGCCTTCAGCCCTAGACTTTCCTTCTGACAGAGCCTACCCAAATGAGAAGGAACCAGAAAACTAACTCTGCTAATATGATAAAACAAGGCTCGTCAACACCCCCCAAAATTCACACTAGTTCACCAGCAATGGATCCAAGCCAAGAAGAAATCCCTGATTTACTTGAAAAATAATTCAGGAGGTTAGTTATTAAGCTAATCAGGAAGGGACCAGAGAAAGGTGAAGCCCAATGCAAGGAAATCCAAAAAATGATACAAGAAGTGAAGGGAGAAATATTCAATAAAATAGATAGCTTAAAGAAAAAACAAACAAAAATTCAGGAAACTTTGGACATACTTTTAGAAATGTGAAATGCTCTGGAAAGTCTCGCAGTAGAATTGAACAAGTAGGGGAAAGAAATTCAGAGCCCAAAGACAAGGTGTTTGAATTAACCCAATCCAACAAAGACAAAGGAAAAAAATAAGAAAATATGAACAAAGCCTCCAAGAAGTTTGGGATTATGTTAAACTACCAAACCTGAGAAGGATCGGTGTTCCTGAGGAAGAAGACAATTCTAAAAGCTTGGAAAACATATTTGGGGGAATAATCAAAGAAGACTTCCTTGGTCTTGATAGCGACCTAGGCATGCAAATACAAGAAGCACAAAGAATACCTGGGAAATTCATCACAAAAATATCTTCATCTAGGCACACTGTCATCAGGTTATTCAAAGTTAAGACAAAGGAAAGAATCTTAAGAGCTGTGAGATAGAAGCACCAGGTGACCTATAAAGAAAAACCTATCAGATTAACAGCAGATTTCTCAGCAAAGACCCTACAAGGTAGAAGGGATTGGGGCCCTATCTTCAGCCTCCTCAAACAAAACAATTATCAGCCGAGAATTTTGTATCCAGTGAAACTAAGCATCATATGTGAAGGAAAGATGCAGTCACTTTCAAACAAACAAATGCTGAGAGAATTCAGCATTACCAAGCCACGACTACAAGAACTGCTAAAAGGAGCTCTAAATCTTGAAACAAATCCTGGAAACACATCAGAACAGAACCTCTTTAAAGCATAAATCACACAGGACCTATAAAACAAAAATACAAGTTAAAAAGCAAAAACAAAAAAACGAAAAAATCAAAGTAGACAGCCAACAAAGAGCATGATTAATGCAAAAGTACCTCACATTTCAATACTAATATTGAATGTAAGTGGCCTAAATGCTTCACTTAAAAGATACAGAACAGCAGAATGGATAAGAACTCACAAACCAACTATCTTCTGCCTTTAGGAACCTCACCTAACACATAAGGACTCACATAAACTTAAAGTAAAGGGGTAGAAAAAGGCATTTCATTCAAACAGACACCAAAAGCAAGCAGGAGTAGCTGTTCTTAGTCCAGACAAAACAAACTTCAAAGCAACAGCAGTTAAAATGGACAAAGAGGGACATTATATAGTGGTAAAAGGCCTTGTCCAACAGGAAAATATCACAGTCCTAAACATATATGCACCTAACACTGGAACTCCCAAATTTATAAAACAATTACTATCGACCTAAGAAATGAGATAGATAGCAACACCATCACAGTGGGGGACTTCAATACTCCACTGACAGCACTAGACAGGCCATCAAGACAGAAAGTCAACAAAGAAACAATGGACTTAAACAATACCCTGGAACAAATAGACTCAACAGATATATAGAGAACATTTCATCCAACAACCACAGAACACTCATCTATTCAACAGCTCATGGAACTTTCTCCAAGATAGACCATATGATAGGCCATAAAATGAGCCTCAATCAATTTAAAAAAATTGAAATTATACCAACACTCTCTCAGACCACAGTGGAATAAAACTGGAAATCAACTCAAAAGGAACCGTCAAAACCATGTAAATACATGGAAATTAAATAACTGCTCCTGGATGAGCATTGGGTCAAAAATGAAATCAAGATGGAAATTTTAAAAATTATTTAAAATGAATGACAATAATGACACAACCTATCAAAACCTCTGAAATACAGCTAATGCAGTGCTAAGAGGAAAGTTCCTAGCCCTAAATGCCTACATCAAAAAGTCTGAAAGAGCACAAAGAGACAATCTAAGGTCACATCTCAATAAACTAGAGAAACAAGAATAAACCAAACCCAAACCTAGCAGAAGAAAGGAAATCACCAGGATCAGAGAAGAACTAAATGAAATTGAAACAAACAAACAAACAAACAAAAAATACAAAAGATAAATGAAACAAAAAGCTGGTTCTTTGAAAACATAAATGTAATTGATATACCATTACCAAGATTAACTAAGAAAAGAAGAGAGAAAATCCAAATGACCTCACTAAGAAATGAAACAGGAGATGTTACAACTGACACCACTGAAATATAAAAGATCATTCAAAGCTACTATGAACACCTTTACGCACATAACTAGAAAACCTAGAAGAGATGGATAAATTCCTGGAAAAATACAACCCTCCTAGCTTAAATCAGGAAGAATTAGACACCCTGAACAGACCAATAACAAGCAGTGAGACTGAAATGGTAATTTAAAAATTACCAACAAAAAAAAAAAGTCCAAGACTAGACAGATTAACAGCAGAATTCTAACAGACATTCAAAGAAGAATTGGTATTCTTTTGACACTGTTCCACAAGATAGAGAAAGAAGGAACCCTCACTAATTCATTCTATGAAATCAGCATCACCCTAATACCAAAACCAGGAAAGGATACAAGCAAAAAAGAAAACTACATACCAATATCCTCGATGAACATAGATACTAAAATCCTTAACAAAAGACTACCTAACCAAATCCAGCAACATATCAAAAAGATAATCCACCATGATAAAGTAGGTTTCATGCCAGGGATGCAGGGATGGTTTAACATACACAAGTCAATAAATGTGATACATGACATAAACAGAATTAAAAACAAAAATCACATGATCATCTCAATAGATGCAGGAAAAACATTTGACAAAATCCAACATCCTTTTATGATTAAAAGCCTCAGCAAAACCAGCATTCAAGGGACATATCTTAATTTAATAAAAGCCATCTATGACAAACCCACAGCCAACATAATACTGAATAGGGAAAAATTGAAAGCATTCCCTCTGAGAAAGGGAACAAGACAAGGATGCCCACTCTCACCACTCCTCTTCAACATAGTACTGGAAGTCCTAGCCAGAGCAATCAGACAAGAGAAAGAAATAAATGGCATCCAAATCAGTAAAGAGGAAGTCAAACTGTCACTGTTTGTTGACAATATGATCATTTTCCTTGAAAACCCTTAAGGCTCCTCCAGAAAGCTCCTAGAACTGATAAAAGAATTCAGCAAAGTTTCCAGACACAAGATTAATGGAGACAAATCAGTAGCTCTTCTATACACCAACAGTGACCAAGCAGAGAATCAAATCAAGAACTCAACCCCTTTCACAATAGCTGCAAAAATAAATAAGTAAATAAAACACTTAGGAATATATCTAACAAAGGAGTCAAAAGACCTCTATAAGGAAAACTACAAAACACTGCTGAAAGAAATCACAGATTACACAAACAAATGGAAACATATCCCATGCTCATGGATGAGTAGAATCAATATTGTGAAAATGACCATACTGTCAAAAGCAATCTACGAATTCAACACAATCCCCATCAAAATACTGCCATCATTCTTCACAGAGTTAGAAAACACAATTCTAAAGTTCATATGGAACCAAAAAAGAGCCCACATAGCCAAAGCAAGACTAAGCAAAAAGAACAAATCTGGAGGCATCAAGCTACCTGATTTCAAACTATACTATAAGGCTATAGTCACCAAAATAGTGTGGTACCGGTATAAAAATAGGCACATAGACCAACGGGACAGAATAGAGAACCCAGAAATAAACCCAAATACTTACAGCCAACTGATCTTCAACAAAGCAAACAAAAACATAAAGTTGGGAAAAGACAGCCTTTGCAACAAATGGTGCTGGGATAATTGGCTAGCCACATGTAAATGAAACTGGATCCTCATCTCTCACCTTATACAAAAATCAACTCAAGACAGATTAAGGACTTAAACCTAAGACCTGAAACTATAAAAATTCTAGAAGATAACATTGGAAAAACCCTTCTAGACATTGGCTTAGGCAAGGATTTCATGACCAAGAACCCAAAAGCAAATATAATAAAAACAAAGATCAATAGCTGGGACCCAATTAAACTAAACAGCTTTTGCATGGCAAAAGGAACAGTCAGCAGAGTAAAGAGACAACCCACAGAGTGGGAGAAAATCTTCACAATCTACACATCTAACAAAAGATTAATATCCAGAATCTGCAATGAACTCAAACAAATCAGAAAGAAAAAAAACAAGCAATCCCATCAAAAAATGGCCTGAGGACAAGAATAGACAATTCTCAAAAGAAGATATACAAATGGACAACAAACATATGAAAAAATGCTCAACATCACTAATGATCAGGGAAATGCAAATCAAAACCACAATGCGATACTACCTTACTACTGCAAGAATGGCTGTAATCAAAACATCAAAAAACAGTAGAGGTTGGTGTGGATGAAGTGGTCAGGGAACACTTCTGCACTGCTGGTGGGAATCTAAACTAGTACAGCCATTGTGGAAAACAGTGTGAAGATTCCTTAAAGAACTAAAAGTAGAACTACCATTTGATCCAGTAATCACACTACTGGGTATCTACCCAGAGGAAAATAAGTCATTGTTCAAAAAAGATACTTGCACGCTCATGTTTATAGCAGCACAATTCACAATTGCAAAATCGTGGAATCAGCCCAAACACCCATCAATCAACAAATGGACAAAGAAACGTTGAGATATATATATATATATATATATATACATATATATATGTGTGTGTATATATATCACATATATATGTGATATATATATTCATATATATATGTCTATGGATATATATATGGATATATATATCCATATATATATGTGGATGAAGTGATCAGGGAACACTTCTGGACTGCTGGTGGGTATGTAAACCATATATATATATATGTCTCCAATCTCATCCAGGTCACTGTAAATGCTTTTAATTCATTCCTTTTCATGGCTGTGTAGTATATATGGATATATATATCACATATATATGTGATATGGATATATAGTACACAGCCATAAAAAGGAATGAATTAAAAGCATTTACAGTGACCTGGATGAGATTGGAGACTTATTCTAAGTGAAGTAACTCAGAAATGAAAAACCAAACACCATATGTTCTTGCTGATATGTGGAGGCTAAACTATGAGGAGGTGAAGGCATAGGAATGATACAATGGACTTTGGGAACTTGGGGGTGGAGAGTGGGAAGGGGGCAAGGAATAAAAGACAACAAATATGGTGCAGTGTATACTGCTCGGGTGATAGGTACACCAAAACCTCACAAATCACCACTAAAGAACGTACTCATGTAACCAAACACCACCTGTACCCCAATAACTTACAGAAAAATAAAAATTAAAATTAAAAAACAAAGTGCCAGTCTGCAAAGGATGTACTCGGGTTTTCCTTTGCAACCTTTTCCTAGATACTTTGGTAGGAAATAACATACTACAAGGCTCCCTTCTAGCCATCATCAGTTTCTGTTCCCATCAGGTGGAGCTAGAATCATGATGACAAGGTTATGTAAAGAGTGTGCACCAGTAAGCAAGCAATATGAGTTAGGCTTCAAAGAAAGCTCTTTTTCATAACTGCTTTCATGATCTAGTACATGTTACATCTGAAAAAGAAGATGAACATAGTGATTTTTGGTCACAAGTAAACCAAGTCTTTCTTTCAGTATTTTAGTTCAAGCCCAGAATTGTAATTACATATTTTTGCCTTTTACTTTCACATATTTAAGATGAATAAAGCATTATGTAGTGGCAAAATGCCGACCAGTTCTATGCATCCCTACTTATCTTAAGAGAAACAATAGTGCACAGCCAGAAAACAAGGCAAAACCTGCCTGAAAATCTCTCACCTAAAAATCTGGACTAGGTAAAGCTTGTGAGTATTATACAGAGGTAAGAGGTTAAGTTCGCCTTTATTTTCCAACGTGGTTCAACACCTAGCTGTCATAGCAATGACTGAACATTTGATAGATTTCTCTTTAACTTCAAACAATTTGCATTTTCTTGGCCATCCCTCAGTTGAATGCACACAAATCAAAACTACTTGTGTTCAGTAAATATGTACATCACATAGTTGATCAAAAATTGATGATGCTCCAGTGATTGATGCAAAATGCCTAAAGGTATTAATTGCTTTATATACCCAAGGCTTTGACCTCACTCCAACAAAATCAATTAAGGCACTGGCATAAGAGTTTCCAGCACAGAATAAATCTATGTAACCTCAAATTACATTCATTACCCAAACTGTTGCAATCATTGTGTCAAAATCAGAGTAGTATACTGGTAGTTAGGTGGCAAAAGGTACCAAGATCAGCCTCCTCACCTTACCAGGACTTAGAGGAGAGATATCTACAGAAACAATGGTAATTAGGAAACAAATACCTATCATTCTCTATGTTTGTGGGCCACAATTCAAAGCTGAAAGTTTGAAGAAGTTGTTATAGACAATCACTCTCCACCATTTGTTTCTATTTGAATCAGGCCTACATAGCTTTAGGCTGAATCAAGGTGACTTACTGGAATAAGGCAATATGTTAGTTAGTTTTTATTAATATAAAGGAATACCAGAGAATGGGTAATTTATAAAGAAAAGAGGCTTATTTTGGCTAACAGTTATGTGGGATGTACAGGAAGTGTGGTGCTGGCATCTGCTTTGGGTGTGGGCCTCAGGGAGCTAATTACAATCATGGTGGAAGACAAAGGGGGAGCCAGTGTATCATACCTTGAGAGGGAATAAGGCAGGGGCAGGTGCCAGGCTCTTTTAAACAACCAGATTTGCTTGAACCACTAGAGCAAGAACTCACTCATTGCTGCGGGGATGACACCAAGCCATTCATAAGGAACCTGCCCCCATGACCCAAACACCTCCCATCAGGCCCACCTCCAACATTGGAGGTCACATTTCAACATGAGATGTAGAGGGGACACACATTCAAACTATGTCATTCTGCCCCTGGCCCCCCAAATCTCATGTTCTTCTCACATTGCAAAATACAATCATCCTTCCCAATAGTCCTCCAAAGTCTTAATTCATTCCATCATTACCTCAAAGTCCAAAGTCTCAACTGAGACTTAAGACCAAGTTCCTTCCACCTATGAGCCTATAAAATAACTCTTGGGAGTTATTTACTCCCAAGATACAATGGTGGTACAGACATTGGGTAGACATTCCCATTCCAAAAGGAAAAAATCAGCCAAAAAAAAGGGACAAAAAACCCCATGCAGGTCTGAAGCCCAGCAAGGTATTCATTAAATCTTACAGCTCCAACATAATCTCCTTTGACTCAATGTTCTGCATACAGGACACACTAGTGCCACAGGTGGGCTCCCAAGGTCTTGGGCAGCTCTGCCTCTGTGGCTGCTCTCACAGTTTGGAATCTGGTACCTGAAGCCTTTCCATGCTGAGGGTGCAAGCTGCCAGTGGCTCTACCATCCTGGTGTCTGGAGAGTGAGAGACTTGTTTCCACAGCTCCACTAGGCAATACCCTGGTGGGGACTCTGTGTGAGGGCTCCAACCCCACCTTTCCCCTTGGCACTGCCCCAGTAGAGGCTCTTTGCAGGGTTCCACCACTGTAGCAGGCTTCTGCCTAGGCACCCAGACTTTGATACATCTGAAATCTAGGGAAAATCTGCCAAACTCCTTTCATGTTTGCATTTTGTGTGCCTACAGACTTAACATCATGTGGAAGCTGCCAAGACTTACAGCTTGTGCTCTCAGGAGTGGTAGCCCCAGCTGTAGCTGGAGCACTTTGAGCCATGGCTGAAACAGGACCAGTCAGGATGCAGGAGGCAGTATGCCAAGGATGACTAGGGCAGCAGGACCCAGAACCTGGTCCCTGAAACCATTCTTTCCTCCTAGGCCCCTGGGCCTGCGATGGGGCCATTCAGATCTCTGAAATGCCTTCAAGGTCTTTTTCCCATTGTCATAAATATTAGCACTTGGCTCCCATTCAGTCATGCTAGTGTCTCTAGCAAGTGGTTGCTGCATAGCCTGCTTGTGTTCCTTGCCTGAAAATGCTCTTTCCTTCTCTATCACATGACTAGGCTGCAAATTTTCCAAACTTCTATGCTCTGCTGCCCTTTTAAATATAAGTTCTAACTTTAAGTTATTCCTTTACTCCCATGTCTTATCATAGGCTGTTAGAAACAGCCACGCCACTTCTTGAATGCTTTGCTGCTTAGAAATTTATTTCACTAGATACTGTGGGACATCACTCTTAAGCTCAAGTTTCCACAAAGCTCTAGGTCATGGATACAATGCAACCATGTTCTTTGCTAGGGCATAACATAGGTGATCTATGCTTCAGTTCCTCATTTCCATTTGAGGCCTCATTAGCCCAGCCTTCACTGTCCATATTTATATCAGAATTTTTGTCACAACTATTTAACCAGTCTCTAAGAAGTTTCAAATTTTCCCTCATTTTCCTGTCTTCTTTTGAGCCCTCCAAACTCTTCCAACCTCTGCCCATTACCCAGTTCCAAAACTGCTTCCACATTTTCAGGTATCTTTATAGCAACACCCCACTCATTGGTAACAATTTTCTCCATTAGTCCATTTTCATTGCTGTAAAGGAACATCTGAGTCTGGATAATTTGCAAAGAAAAGAGGTTTATTTTAGCTCACAGTTCTGTGGGCTGTATAGGAAGTGTGGTGCTGGCATCTGCTTCTAGTGAGGACCTCAGGGAGCTTGCAATCATGGTGGAAGGTGATGGGGAAGTTGATCTATCACGTGGCAAGAGAGGAAGCAAGAGAGATTGGGGAGGTGGTTGCCAGACTACTTTAAACCACCAGCTTTTGCATGAACTACCAGAGCAAGAACTCACTCACTACCATTGGGAGGCCATCAAGCCATTCATGAGGGATCCACCCCCATGACCCAAATACCTCCCACTTCTCCCTGCTTCAATCAAAAGCAGGACTCAGAACAAACACCTCCCAGACCCACCTCCAAAACTGGAGGTCACATTTCAACATGAGATTTGAAGAGGGTGCACATCCCAAATATATCAGGCAGAAACAATCAGGAACAGACAACACTAAGAAGCAATGATTTTCCCTAGTTCTTTGCCCAAGACCGAGCATTGCCACTAGGGTGAAGAAAATAAAAGGAAGATAAAGTAGGTGGGCCTCATCCCATTTAGGAACAGCCTTGGCCTTTTAATTCCATTCTTACATGGAATATTTATAAAATGGCAAGCTATAATCGATAGCTAAATGTGATATTGACTAGTATTTGGGTGAACCAGAAATGCTTTCTGCTGAAAGTAACAAAAAAGCCATCTAACACTGACTTAACCAACGGTGTATTTTCCTCATGCAAGAAGGCTGCAGGTGGGCAATGGTTAGTGTTGGTTCAGGAGGTTAAAGATGGCAGAGATGGAATCTCCAGCATTCTCTTGATCTGCCAGTTCCATTACCTTATGGTTACAAAGTGGCCACCAAAGTCCAGGCATCACATGTGAATTCAAGCCTAGAAGTTAGAGAAGAGGGTTCCAGTATCAGTATGCCTTTATTGAGAAAATGAGCCTCTTCCCCAAAGCTCTCAGTAGAATTCAGTTTACATACAATTGGACAGAATTTTGTCATATCACCACTGTCAGCTGCAAGAGAGTATGGAGAAGTGAATATTTGGACAGGAACACAAGGGAGGTCTCCTTCTTGGGGAAGAACAAGAAGTAGGGCTAGAGGCATGATAGAAATGAGGAAATGAGAGCCTTTAGGAAGATCACATAGTAAATATCTGGCATCAGATTTTGAAGTAAGATCAATAGAAGAGAGAAGGAAACATTCTCTTCCCTTATTTCATACACATAGGAAAATAATTTCAAGAAAGAATGGAACAATACACATCAGCATACATTAGCAGGATGAGTGAAAAGGGCTTCCCTAGACTAACTCAATCAAAAGCAGGACTCAGATCATATCTGGAGCTTCACTGAACCTTCCTCAAAACAGGCAGGCCAAAGTCACAGGCAATTACAGTCTTCTTTAGTATTTTAATCTACCAAACAATAAGATATGGGTAAATAATGCCACACTAAGACACTGAAGAAACCCTCGCATTTGACAATGCATGTCCTGGTATTGAAAATGCCTAAATAAATTACATATTTCATAATCAATTGAAGAGTGATGAGAAAGACAAGACAAGTGGCATTTGCTACTTCTTAAAGAATTTCAAATATAAAACTTAAAGACGAAATATAAAAAAGTGGAAAGGGCTCTACAAAGCTTTTCTAAGAACTAATTGACAACATGGTAAGGCTATGGGGGGTAGGGCATGCTATTTGTCCTTACTTTTTCCATGTATATGAAAATCCAATTGAGGCAAAATATTTTGGCCATGAGCATAATTTCACAGTATATTTTTCAAGCTAATGAGACAAAGCATATACTACTTAAATTCTAAGTACCCTGATACCAAAAGGGTGTTGAAGAAGAATATTTTTCATTTACACAGTTAGCAAAATGGTTCTGAACCCTTTCTATCAACTAGAGTCATTGGGAGCTTTTAAAATTACAGATGCATTGGCAATCTCACTGCTTAAAAATTCTAATGTAATTGGTTTGGGGTAGAGCCCAGGCATAGACATGTCTATTTGTTTGTTTGTTGCCCCTGTGTTGATTCCAAAGTGAAGCCAGAGTTGAGAACCATTGGATGAAGAAAATAATACTCAACAGCGTTGAAGATGCAGTCAAGTTGGAGCACACAGAAACACTGAGTAAAAATTAGTATCATCTGTCTAAAATGTAATTTGGCAATATCTTATATGCCCAAACAATTGACTCTCTTTCTAAGAATATACTCTAAAGAAACAGGCAAAGAATCAGAGATTAATATACTGAAATATTCACTGCAACATCAGTAGTAAAAACATCCAATAACCATATAATTAAATAGCCTGACACATTTGCATTAAATATTTTCAAATAAAAATTTCAAAAATGAGAAACTACTAATGAAGTTTATATAAAAGTAGAATACAAGTGTATATATTATGGTATAAATAAAATTATATGAAAAATGCATACAAAAAAGCAAAGTAAGAACATTAAGGTAGTAGTAGCAAAGTATTAACAGTAGTCTTATGGTGTGATTACATTGGTAATGTTTATTTGTATACTTTATGTATTTTTTGAATAATCTATATACATGTTAATTTTATAATCAGAAAAGCAAACATTTCTTTCCAAAGTCTTTGGTTGTAGCATTTGCAGATCCTTCATTTGTTTAGAAAACCCTAATCTGATTGCTGCCATATGAACTGAGTATAGGGACTTCTAGTTTGAAGAAAAATGTAGTTTTTCATCATTAAATGATGAGGTCAATAAGTTGGGGAGGTAGTTCTCAAAATACTTTTTAAGCTTCCATAGCTTCTTTATGAAATGAGCTCTTTTATTTTATATAAAATATAATTTAATCTCAAAATGTAATTCTAAAATGAGTATAACTGTATGTAGTCAGAACGTATAACAAGATTAGACCAATTTTCTATACTATTATTGTCAAGGATGTTAACATCCTAGGGGAAATTTAACCAGCACTGTTTCTCAATTTGTTAAATATACTAAATAATCTGTGATATAATAAACAACAAAGTTGTAGATATTCATTTGTAAAGATATTCCCCTAGACATAGATACTTTTACTTCTTACTCTCCTATTTGTTTCCCTTTGTTCCAATCATCTTCCTCCCAAAAAGAAATCAAGTACATTGCCTCTCTGAATGTAAATATTTACAACATTTACATTTGCAATATTTAGTTTTGCTTCATGGGAGTTCATGGCTGAGCCAAGCACACTGTAGCATTGGTTTTCAATTTTACAGTCCCAAAGGAGACAGCTGGCTTCATGTCATGGTTATTGAGTTAATTGCTGTTTTGATGACTTGGCGTAATGACTTGTATAACCCTTTAATTTAAAGCATTTCAGAAAACATACACAGACGCTGTTGGGTATGGACAAGGGTCCAGTCTGAGTCTCCATGCTACACAAAAGATGGAAGAGAAAAGCCTCCACTTCCATGCCAGGCTGAGAATTTAGGAGGAGAACCTGACCACGCTACTACCTCTGTAGTGTAAGAGCCTCTTGCTATTAACTTGTCAGCCATGAGTAAGAAAAGGGGCTCTTGCTCAATGATTTGGGGGAGCTAGACTTGAGCTTCTACTATTCAAGTCATGAGGCTTGAATACACTAAAGGGAAGGGGTGGGTAGTTACCATGAGACACACAGAGGAATATTACAGCTTATATGGATTAAGGTCAGCCTAATTAGTGCATGGAAACAGCCAAACTCAAAGCTGTGTGATTAGAGAGTCTACGTGTGTTAAGGGCAAAGATAATGGGCTATAGATTGTATTTTAGGGAGGCCTAGCAAAGGAGCGACATGTAAATGAGCTCACCATAACCTACACAACAGGCGGTTTGTCTCTGGGCACTTCTCACCTGCTCTACAAGCTGTCTTTTCTCCAGCACCAATCCTGAGATCTTGTTTTTGCTTTCAAACAATCGTCTGCCTAATTCCCACTAACTCTAAAACAGCAAAGGGGCTGGCTGGCAACACCCCAAGTGGTGATGCCCCTCGGGTCTATTCACATTGTGGAGCAAGAGGAGAGGGGAAGGTGGAGAAGTCCAGAAAAAAGAACCTGTCTGCGGCCTTGCAGGATCAGCGGCTTCTGTGAAGGGGCCTAAAGCAGCTCCATCTCACTGTCATCATCCCAGGACATTAGGGGGAGATGGGGACTATGCAACAATGAAAGAAACCTAGAGATGACTTGAGACCTCACTTAAATTTAAATGAACAAATCAAGACAATACTGTCATTTCAGAAAAGCTGCTGACTGTTCATCTAAACTTTATAGTTTAACCTACCCCCATCTCAACTCTGCCAGACCCCAGAAATTCAGCAGGGATTTAAGACTTTGCTCGGGGAGAAAATATTAATAATCGTGCTATAATAAATAACTATTGAACATTTACTATGCTTCAAGCACTATGTTACAACTTTAAATGAACTTGGGTAGGTATATTATCAGCATCATCATCAATTCTGAGATGCAAAAATGACCTCAGAAAGGTGGATGGTTCTGTTCTGAACCAAATAGGAGGAATGGGTGGGACCAAGATCAAATGCAGGCAGCCCCATGACAGGGCTGTGTTGTGAACCACTGTAGGAGGAAGGAGAGGAGTGGGAGAAAGAGAGGGGCAGCAGAACAGTAACTGTGAGGCAGCCACACCTGAGTGCTAATTCTATGCCAACCTCTTTGCTGTCATCACACAGCATAACAACTTAAGATAGTTTCATGTTTCATCAACCCTCCATTTTACACATGAGGAAAAGGAGGTTTTAAGGGATTATATGACCCCCAGCTGGTAAATGCTGGAACTAGCATTAGAATCCAGGCAGATGCTCTAGTGACATTTGACTCATATTCTTGCTGCTGCCCGGAAGAGGCACTTACTGAGCAGTCTGGCTGGAAATTTGAACTTTGAGGATCTTCTAACTTCTAGTAGGATGAGGAAAGTTTTCACTTCAGTCTCACTTTGTTTGATGTTTTATGTTTGTTTTCCTTAAAAAGCATGAAATTGGGGTTAAACGCCCTCAAACACTATAACTTAATCCTGAATAAAGATGGCTTAACAGCACGGAGAGAAAGTGGATCAATTACTCTTCCTCAGGAACACAAGTCCAATCACTAGGAAGTAATAAGACCAAAGAAAGCTAAAAATGGAACATGTAAAAACAAAGAAATGATTGTTCTTTAGTTTTATTATTTTTCATGGACTACATCAAGTCTTTTCCCCCACAGCAAGTACCATCTACAGCAGGAGCCTCGAATCTCAGATGCTTGTGGGAGTCTATTACCCATCACATAATTTCCCTGGTATTCAGTCAAAGTGAGAAGGGATGATGAAAATTTTGGCAGGCTTTATACAAGGCTGATCAATATTTTTCATTTCCCCATTTATGTGTCACTACAATTCACAGCTGAGAGGACAAGTTAACCGGATACAGCATAGGACAGAAAGCCAAGCAGATACTCAAGTCAAGGCAAAGAGAGAAGGAAAAAAGTAATGGAAAGAAGCTGAAGCAAGAATGGTTAAAAGAAGCAAAACAGGCCAGGCATGACGGCTCACACCTGTAATTCCAGCACTTTGGGAGGCCCAAGAGGGAGGATCGCTTAAGCCCAGGAGTTCAAGACCAGCCTAAGCAATGTGGCAAAACCCTGTCTCTACAAAAAGTACAAAAATAAGCAGGAATGATAGTGCACGCCTGTAGTCCCAGCTACTTGGGGGGCTGAAGCAAGAAGATTGCCTGAGCCCAGGAGGTCAAGGCTGCAGTGAGTCATGTTAGTGCCACTGCACTCCAGCCTGGGTGACATAGTAAGACCTTGTCTCAAGAAAAAAAAAAAAGGAAGAAGAAGGAGGAGGAGGAGGAAGAGGAAAAGGAGGAGGAGAAGGAGAAGAAGGACAAGAAGCTCATAAAAAGCTTACAAATTCACCACTGCACATACAATGAAGGTGGTGGACCCAGTCTAGCCAGGACTAGAGTGTCCCCACATACACCCAGCACTAGCCCAGCATCATCAGTCTCATTATCTGTGTCACTGTCAATGATGACAGTGGCTTCAGGTCCTAGAGTCAATACCAAGAGAGGACCTAGAAGAGAACCTTGGAACTGTGGCCAATTTCAACATGCCTCCCACTAAGATCTGTCTTGGTAGGCAACAAGTTGATGTTGACACCTCAGGCTCTAGGTTCCCTGGCACTGCTAAGTTTTGGTGCCTTTCTTCTTACCCTTAGGGACAGGAAAATTGGCAATAATGGGACAAAGCTGTGCAGATCTAGGGGCACAGTCAACGTTTAAGTCAGTTATATAGCCAACCTCTGTCTACCTTCAAGCTTGCCCTGATGGGTTAGGATGAGGAGACTGTATCTGAGCCCATTGATTGTGCCTTCAACTAAATTAAGCAGAGCTTGGGGATGGTGTAGATTTAAGAACATCAAATTCAAACCATCACATAGCCATAAAATCAAAAAAACAGCCATGAGGCCAGGGTTAGATATACAAACATTAAAACCATTTAAAAAAAAAAAAAAAGAACTATGAAGAATGAGATCAGGAATGCTGAAGACCCAAGTCAGGTTTCCTGGAAAGGAAATGGGAATTAGGAGCAGTCACTAATTCTGCTAAAGTCTCCTGCACTTGATTCTTCCTCACAAGTTTACCCCATGGCACATCAAATCTACTTATTTTCCCATACAATTTGCTTCTGGACTACTCACTGCCCCCATTTAGCAAAGCACCCCCATCAACATCTAATAAATAAATGTCCTAAAGCAAGAGAACACCCTCCCATGAGGCTTCTGGTAACACAGCTGTGCAAAGGGTCATCAGATGGATCTTTTGGCTTTGTGAGATATTTAATAGAGCAAGAGGAAGAGAATGGAGCCTGAGCATCAAAAAGGACTTTAATTGTATTTGTTATGTTTTCTTGTATTAAAAAAAAATTGTGGGTATAAACTGTTAATTAAATTTTACATGACATTGCTATTTTTAAAAAATATGTCAAAATGAAAAAGAAGAAACCAAAAGGATGATGAGACTGAGGGAGGGCAAAGGAGTGGGAGAGAGAGAGGGGTAGGACTAGAGGGGGAAAATGAGAGAGAGAGGGAGTGAGACTGATAAAGAAGGGGAGGAAACTTCCATTTGAAAGGCTCTATGAGGCGCTTAGTAAGCCCCATGGTGAAATGATATGGAATCCAGCTCTGTCAGAGGTTGTAAGTACTCAAAGTAAGGAATAAACAAAGATAAAGTTCTAGAAGCCACAAATATGAGACAGAAATTCTTCGGATACAGGGAAGGACCCAGGGAAGTCCTTCTAGGAAGTACTACCAGAGGCTCCAAAGGAGAGAAGAGAAGTATAGTCAATGGGTAAATTCCACCCATGTTCCCAGAATTCCAGGGACCTGGTCAACACCAGAACCTCCCATCAGACATTTTCAATGCATTTATATAGTTCAGTAAGGAAATGTTATTCTGGCTTTAAAATAGGAGCCAATAAAGAAAGATAATTCTCTTTACAGTTAAATTATGAATTTTTCAGGAAATCGAACTTTTGTATGATGGGGTACCTATACTGCATTTACATCTCCGAAACCTAAGTATGGGCAATAAGGAAACATACCACCTAGTGGCAGACTACCTGTTGTGCTAGAAACACAAAATCCATTCCCTTTTGATATAAAAAAGGGTTTTTTTTCCTTATAAGACTTTAATATCCAGTAGTGAAACTAGCAGCTTACAAAATTTGCAGTATTGGAGAGAAGAAAAAATTCCAAATATATATTATTTCCTTTCATTAACTGAATACTAGAGAATGAAAGAGACTTTATAACTGCAGGAAGAATACATCCTCTCATTAATCCCAGCTGCTTAATTAAATCAATTGGAAGTTGCTAATTTCATTGTGTCTTTTCAGATACTTAAACCCATTTATTGGGAGAAGATTTGAGATGGCTAAAGTCACATTTGGTTGAATTTCTTTAGAAGACATAATCTCTTAGTGCAGAAAGGGATTGTCTGAGACAATCAACTGACAGATTCCCTCCCAGTACTTTTGAAGACTGTCAGAGGACAAAGTAATCATCATACACAGTGGGGCTGATTCCTATACGCCACATATGATAAAAAGAAAAAAAGATTAGCCTCCTCATTCAATAGTCACACTTTAGTCCCTGGAGAAGGTAGAATTTTACCACAACATCTGGCCAGCAGAAAACTACCAGGATTGAAGAAAATGTATTTACCCGTCCCTTCCTGGAACAGAAGGTAATTCAAAGTAGCAAAGAAAAAAGTGACACATTTCAAAACAATAAGAGGAGAAAAAAGTCTGTACAAGGTCAAAGAAGGAATATCAGAGCCTAATGGTCATTCAAGATATGTCTTCAATGACTTTGTGGTTGTATTTAAGCATCAGCAACATTTCTATTTCGGGAAGGCGAGATACAAAATTTAACAAAGTAAGCGGTAGATAATTAAGAAGTGTCTGTATATGGGGCTGATTTGAGTGTAAACACCAGTCTTCCTCTGTAAGTAACAGATTACTGGCCGGACTTGGTGGCTCCCGCCTGTAATCCCAACACTTTGGGAGGCCGAGGCAGGTAGATCTCCTGAGGTCAGGAGTTCGAGACCAGCCTGGCCAACATGGTAAAACCCCGTCTCCACTAAAAGTACAAAAAATTAGCTGGGCCTGGTGGCGAGTGCCTGTAATCCCAGCTACTCAGGAGCCTGAGGCAGGAGAATCGCTTGAACCGAGGAGGCAGAAGTTGCAGTGAGCTGGGATCACACCACTGCACTCCAGCCTGGGTGATAGAACGAAACTCCATCTCAAAAAAAAAGTAATACTTTTGCTACCCGCCACACCCCCCCAAAAAAGAGAAATTCTTGACTATGGTAAAATGTGATTTCTGGAAAGCTGCTTTTAAAAGAGAAAAATCTTGCCAAATTGTACTACCATATTATCATGACCCATCACTGTTCTATTTCTACCTCTTTTTATGAAAGGGCAGAACTTAGGCATGTTTATATTTTAAAAAACATTACAAAAGGTGCACTTGTTCCGTCTTGAGATAAAATTGAATCACTAATGCCACATTCATGGGGAGCCCCACGTGGTTAGTAAATTCTCTTGGGGTTTATGTTCTCCCAGTCATTTCCCCTTCTGATTCTCTGTTTCTGCTGAATAACTCCCCACACTCAGCTCTCACCTCCTACATCCCCTCTGGCCTCTTTATTGATTCCCAGTCTATTTAAACAGCCTCTTTTCCTAATTTTCCTAAAGCATCACTTACTCATGGCAGGGGGTATATGATACATTTTATAGAAGGTCAGAAGCCATGATGGGGATTATATTACAGCAGCCCAAAAATCCCGATAAAACAAACTATAATAACTAATTTTATGGTGCTTAATTGAGTGAAAAATGATTTATAAAATTGTATGCCTAGTCTTTTGGGGGGGGTCAGGGGGAAGGGTCTTGCTCTGTCACCCAGGCTGGAGTGCAGTGGTGCTATCACAACTCACCACAGCCTTGAACTCCTGGGCTCACCACAGCCTCCCACCTCAGCCTCCCAAAGTGCTGAGATTACAGGTGTGAGCCACTGCACCCAGCCTGTGTGCGTATTCTGATTGTTAACATTACCCACTAGGAGGACAAAAAAAAAAAGAAGGAAATATACAAAAGTGTGAATAGTGGTTATCTTAAGTTAATAAAATTATTGTTCATTTTTTTTCTTCCCCTTCCTCTCAAACTTTCTACATCTTCTTTGATGCACTTTCCTCTCTACATGGCAAGGTGGGTGACCTTCTCTTCCAGCCCCCATATCTTTGGGCGTCCTTTTCATATTTATAATGCAATGTCATTTCTGCCCAGCTTAGTGAACTGTTGCAAGCCTGTGGCTTTGCACTTTCCCATCTGCTGAGAAGAGTTGCATTCCAGGTACTTACCAGAGATGACCTCTAACTCTGTGCTGCTCAATATTTCGCAAAACTTCAGTTGAAAATAAATAGTATAAATGGAAGATTGCCTGGAGGTTCTTTCTTTCCCTTTATAGAATTATACTTTGGCAAAATGCCAAGAATGAGGGACGTTATACAAAGAGGTCTGACACAATTCAGTCGCAGTCACTGCAGGGCATTTTAGGAACCTGATCATCAGAGCTCAAAATACTTTTTATGAGTAACTGTGAGAAAACTCACTTCTGTTCTTAACACCAGGGACAACTGAGCTCCTCCTAAAAAACTTCATTTTTTTAAATCACATAACCAAATGGGATTTTCCTCTTTGCTCTAGTCACTAGGAAGCCTACAGTCAAATTTTTATTCCACAGGTATACATTTTCCATACTTACCTTTGCCATATTTATCCTTCCCCTTAGTCCTCATTTATTTTATATTCTTATTTTGTATTGTCTTAAAGTTTTTATGAACCAAGACAGTTATAAGAAAAGCACTTGCCCCACTGTTATAAGGGAAAACAAATTTGAACAATTGCCCATGGAGTGATGGAGACATATGGTCAGAACTTCTTTCACTCTTCAGTGAAAAAGACAGACAGCATCTTCTTTGGCAAAACAACACTGATCAAGGAAAAGAAGAATACTTCAATATTTTCTCTATGAATCCTGGGCTGTTTTCCATAGGAAAGCTGGATCTCTTTAAGAAGTTTTGAGCTGGGAAATGTTTTCATTAAACATATTCAAACAGTTTTTCTTTGTGGTTTGTCCTAGGAAAATGCGTGTGCATGAGCGTACCTGGTTGCTTGTTTTGCATCAACAAAAGGACACCTTAATATTCACTTTTTAGGAAAAGCACATATATAAGAAACAATCACATGAGTTTCTGTTCCAGGGCCCTTGCAGAGCAGTGATAGGTTCTAGCTCTGCTTAGCTGGGGAGAAGTCACATGAGACAGCAAACCTGGAATTTCATGGCAGAGCTTGTGTTTACCTCCTGTTGTATAAAGGTTATTGTGTGATCATCATACTGCCTTGTTACTCAGGCTCTTTGGAACTCAGTAGGAAGTATTAAAAGTACATAATCTTAAGTATTAAGGGTTATAGAGAAGATGTGCTATCATGTTTAAGACATTCCCTTCAATATAATCCAGAGCTGGCTTGTTTTTCCCCCTCAATGACTTTCTAGAAAAACTCTCACTCTTTTTTGCTGAGATGGAGCTGTACCTTGTCGCAGGATTGTTCTATAGAGCCTTAGTTGTCCCTAATGCCCTTCCCCACAAACATAAGCCCCCTATTATTAAAAAATCAAAAAGTAACAGATGGTGGCAAGATTGTCAAGCAAAAGGAACTCTTATATACTGCTGGTGGGAGCAAAAATTAGCTCAACCATTGTGGAAGACAGTGTGGTGATTCTTCAAAGACCTAAAGACAGAAATACCATTCAACCCAGCAATCTCATTACTGGGTATATACCTAAAGGCATATAAATAATTATATTATAAAGACACATGCACATGTATGTTCACTGCAACACTATTCACAATGGCAAAGATATGGAATCAACCTAAATGCCCAACAATGATAGGCTGGATAAAGAAAATGTGGTACATATACACCATGGAATACTATGTAGCCATAAAAAACAATGAGGTCATGTCCTTTGCAGGGACATGGATGGAGCTGGAGGCCATCATTCTCAGCAAACTAAGGCAGGAACAGGAAGCCAAATACCACATGATGTCAGGTATAAGTGGGAGCTAAATGATAAGAACACATGGATACATAGAGGGAAACAACACACAATGGGGCTGATCAGATGGTAAAAGGTGGGAAGAGGAAGAGGATCAGGAAAAATAATTAATAGATACTAGGATTAATATTTGGGTGATGAATAACCTGTACAACAAACCCCCATGACACAAGTTTACATATGTAACAAACCTGTACATGTATCCCTGAATTTAAAAGTTTTTAAAAGCCCCCAAAAGATGACTGTATGACTGTAAGCAACAACAGTTAAGTTGTTGGAGTTCACTGGAGTTAACTAAGTTCTTACTATGTGCCTGGAACAATGCAAAGCTCTTTATGAAGATCTCATTGTCCTTCACCACCAGCCTTCTAGGTAGGTGCTGTGGTCTGAATATTTGTGTCCCTTACAAATTCCTAAGCTGAGTCCTAATTGCCAACATGATAGTATTAGAATATGGGGCGTCTGGGAGATGATGAGGTCATGAGGGATTAGTGCCCTTATAAGAGGTGTGAGGATGCTGATTTGCTCCTTCTACTATATGAGGATGCCTAGAAGTTGCCATCTACAAGGAACAGGCCCACACCAGACACCAAATCTGCTGGTACCTTGATCTTGGACTTCCTAGCCTCTAGAATTATCAGCAATAAATTCTGTTGTTTATAGATTCCATTTAAGGTATTTTGTTAGAGCAGCAGGAATGGACTAAGACAGTAGGTCTATCTCCATTTTAGTGTTCAGGCTCAGACCACTGAGTAACTTGTCCAAAGTCAAACAGCTATCATATGAACAGAAACAGGATTCAAACCCAGATTTGTCCAACTCCCAAATAAATACTCTTAAACGTGACGTCATTGGGACTCCATTTGTCCAGAAGAGCAGAAAGTCTAAATCCTCTTTCCATGGCTTGTTCACCCCAATAGAGCTAAGAAGTTCCAGGTACTTGCTCATGGGCAGAGGGTCTGCCAGTCCTGCTTTCTCCCAGTTAGCCGCCAGAGCCAGAACTCAGTCATGCTTCTTTGATCTCCAGAGTACCATAATAGCTTGCAACAGAAGACAGTTGCTTTAGAAAACAAAATTAGTCCAGAAACCTGGTGTCCCATGAAGTTTAGAAAGGTCTTCCATTGACTAACCCTGACTTCACTAGAAGGCATGGTCACCTCCAGCTATGTCCAAAACAGTTGAAGTGAGGCTAGGCCTCTACCCTCGAGTTTCTTATGACAATGTTAGCATTCCCAGAGGGTGTCTTGGAAATATGAGGACACATTTTAGTTGTCATAATGACTGAAGGTTTTGTGTTGCTGGCTTTTAGTGGGCCAGGATTCCAGACATCCTGCAAAGCAGGTGACACATCCTACATATCAAGAAAAATGGTCTACAGGAGACTAAGGCAGGAGGGTCACTTAAGGCCAGGAGTTCAAGACCAAACTAGGCAACATAGCAAGACCTTGTCTCAAAAAATAAACAAATAAATAAAACCTTAGCCAGGCACAGTGACACATGCCTGGAGTCCCAGCTACTTGGGAGGCTGAGGAAGGAGGATGGCTGGGAGCTCAGAAGTTAAGGCTGTAGTAAGTTATGGTCATGCCACTGCACTCCAGCCTGAGCAAAATAGTGAGAACCTGAAAAAAAAAAAAAAAAAAAAAAAGGTCTACATGCCTCATATATCCAAAGATGTTCCAATAGGCATCAAGGGTTTCCCACTTATTTATAATTATCTGAGCAAAGGTTTTGATTTTGTCTTATATACAAGCAAAAATTACTTTTTTACAATTTTATGATAACTGAATTTTTCAGGATTACAGCTACTCTGTCTAGAAAAGGGAAGATTGCTATGTATTTAACTTGGAGCATCACCAATTGTGGCTCACCATTTCAGAAAATCATGTCACTAACAGTGACGCTACTTGTGATATGACAGTGTCCATTCTATTCTACTATACCAGTATCAGATGGATACGATGGCCTATGGGCTGCCACATTCATGAAGATCCTACATGTGCAATATCTGACCACTGCATGTTGTCTTCTGATGTGGTTTGGCCATATTGCTTTTTTATAAATTATTTTCCCTTCACGTTTCCTTTATATTATACTCAGGACATTATTTTGATTATTTTTTATAGATTATATATGTACATATATCTTATCTATGATTTTCATTTCAGGACAGGGAAAGGGCATTTCAAGATATTTCTTACCTGAAGGGGCAACTGATAGCATTGGGAATCACTCTACTCTCCTACCTAACAGAGTGCAAGTGAGTAATATGAGTAATGTGGATCTTCAGGTTAAAAAAAGGAGGCTTCTTTACTCATTGTTATCTCAGCTGAGGATGCTCTATGCCAAAAGTGATTTGCGCTACCAGCTGCCATCTTTTTAGATTCAAATGCCCGAGCCATTTGCTCAAAGCAGAATCCTTCACTTTTTGGAACAAGGCAGGATCCAATGCCATTGCTAACATCCAGCACAACTCTGTCTGTCCCCATAGGCACTTTAACACAGGGACCTTTTTTATATTCCTATGGCATTGGATCACCCAGCCCGCTCAAAGGTTTCTGTAATCTGAAATTACAAGAAGAGGAGTTTGAGAGATTTTGGTCCCTTCTCTCCCAGGAGGGCCATTAAAATCCTTATGGAAGTTTACTTACCTCTATCCTGCTTTCTTCCTTACAATTTTAAATTCTTAATATCTGTACACTGTCCCAGTGAAAACCTCACTGGACACTCCACCAAAACTACTGACAGTCACTTTATATACTCATCCTCCCTTTGGATCCAGATGAAATGCTATAAAAGGCCAGAGGTTGAGCAAGAATTATTTCCTTTCCCCAACTGAAGAAAGTGAGGCTCAGAAGGAGTTACGGGACTTTGTCAAGGACACAGAGCTCATGAATGGCAGAGCCTGGACAAAAACCCTGGCTTTTGAATCCAAATGCCAGCATGGATCACACCATAGTAAGGTGATGGAAAATTTTGCAAAGCCATCTCAGAGTCAGACAAGTTCCTTCTACAACACGTCTTTGAAAGTTTTTTCCTTCTTTCTTAAGCAAGGTAACTAGAGTCATCCTCTAGATAAGCAGAGAAAATATTACTTACAATTTAGATGGCACTTTATATTGAATGTGGGCCAGAAATCCTTCTAACACACACAACTCATGCACACTCATACCCAAACTCCCACCTGTTACATGCTCGGCTGCTTATTAATGGAATGGGACATTTACCTGCACAACCTAAAATCTTATCTGGGGGCTGCAGACTTCATATTGGAATTATCAAACATTTCCAGCTTATTAGCCCCTGCATTCCTGAACTCAAAGGTCCTACAGAGCCTGAGGAAGAGCCAGAAGTTTAAAGAGCGCATTTTTTAGTATGTTTTCCTGCTCTTAATGAGGGAGCTTAAGGTCTCTTTATGCTCTGAAATCCCATGTTGTTTTGACAAGGGCCACTCTTTCTTTCCCTTAACAAACACTGGGAACCCACCAGTCTCCTCTCAGGGCACCTCTGAACTCTGGAGAGCAAAGCAATGCTCTCCTGAGCACCTCTGAGAGCTCACCCAGATCCAAGAACCACACGCAGCTCTGCAAGGGAGAGTGGCTACAGGCTTCTGGGACCTGGAAAACTGGTGCTTGCTACTACCAATGGGAGCATCTTCAGGCTGAACATAGGACAGACATGGGTACCCCCATCTCCCCAGTGCCCACTTGTCAGAGTTTATATGTTAAGACTGGTACTTGATCCACATTTTCTATGTCAATGAACAAGTACCATAGATTCACATTCAGTGGTTAAAATTACACACAGTGGATCCTTAGTGTTAACTTCTTTTCATGAAACAACTTTAGTACAACATAAGTGTCTCTTGTATCTGGTCCAAGACTCTGTGCTGCCATGTTACACAAGGATTACAGTACAAAGTGTCATGTCTATGAGAGGTTCATGCTATGTCCTCCAAAGGACACAACTTTATCAAGGCTTTAAACATTTTCAGTCCAAGTTCTGATTGCAGTAGAATTTCAGTGGTTATGGAAGACACGATAAGTATAGTCTGGATACAGATTACCCTCGTTAGTCACTTAAAGGGTGCTTTAAGTGTGTGCATGCTGGGGCCTCCTACTGTGGGCTCTGTGGTTACGGTCCCAAACATCACAAATGTCAATGCGCTTGAAGAAAAGGTTAAAGACAACAAAAGGAAGACAAAGTTACATGGCAAAAAGAGAAATGCTCCTGGGATCTCCAACCTTATTAAACATGACAACATATATATAATGACAAAAATTCCACAGATCCACTCCCACATGATACTAGAGATCAAGACCAAAGGAAACACAGGACTGTAGCAGGTATTTCTGGGTGAGAAAAGGGAACATCATTTTTGGGGGGAAAAGGGAGTTTTTGTCGGGGTAGGAGTTTCCAAGTGCCCACATCAAGGGGTTGATTTAGGCTTGGGAAGGGAAGACACGGAAAATTTATCAGCAAGGATAATGTGTATGACAAAAAAAGTTGAGAAGATGAATTTGGCAGTGAAATTTTAAATAGATGCCACAAAACATCACAGTCTCTTATTTATTCCATATAAAGCAATAACTCCCACCAAACCCCCAAGAAGATTTTTAAAAATTAACCAGGGAGTCTTTGGGGAGAAAAATACAAAGACCCACCCCACCCCTGCACCCCCCACCCCCCAAATCCAGATAACCACATGAAAGGCACAGTCAACTTGCTACTTTGCTTGTAAATCCAAATATGTACACTGCCAAGTCTAGATACGGGACAAGTATTTACAGCTGAGCAAAATTTAAATGGCCAGTAACTTTTCCTACCAGAAATACTTTGGTGATTAAGGAAAAGATTCTGGCCAGGCACAGTGGCCCACACCTGTAATCCTAGCACTTTGGGAGGCCGAGGCGGGCGGATTATCTAAGGTCAGGAGTTCGAGACCAGCCTGACCAACATGGTGAAACACTGTCTCTACTAAAAATACAAAAAAAAAAAAAAAAAATAGCTGGGCATGGTGGCACGCGCCTGTAATCCCAGCTACTAGGGGGTGCTGAGGCAGGAGAATTGCTTAAACCCAGGAGGCAGAGGTAGCAGTGAGCCAAGATCGCGCCACTGCACTCCAGCCTGGGTGACAGAGTGAGACTCCATCTCAAAAAAAAGAAAAGAAAGATTCTGATGATGACCAGAGGCTGGGGGAGGTGGGGAGGGAGGGAATGGAAAGTTGTTGATCAAATTGAAGAACATATCAAACAGAAGGAATAGAGTTTGAGATCTATTGCACAACAGGGTGACTACAGTCAATAATCGTGCACTGTACATTTCAAAATAACTTTAACCATATGTCTCACCATAATTTCAAATGTCTCACCATAAAACATGATAGGTGAGTGAGGTAATAATAGATATGTTAATTAGGTTAATTTAACCATGTCACATTGTATACATATATCAAAACATCACATCATACTCCATAAATGTATACAATTATGATTTGTCAATTAAAAATAATATTAATAAATTTGAAAATACAGAAAAAAGGAAAAAAAAAGATTCTAATAGAAGAGCTATTCTATCTGACAGTATATTAGACCTGTTAGTACAAACCAACTGAAGCCAGTTCATATCAGAGACAAAGGAAATGGGAAAAGAATTTGACCTGATGAATAGTTCCTCTTTTCACCTTCAATTTCCAAATAATCCTTGCTGCAATATTTCAGGTAATTTCTCCAATGAATTGTCTCCTGAAGTGAACTTGATTAGAGGAAACAATATTAGATCTACAAGGCACAGCTCCATTTCTCTTCATATTCTATAAACTTTCTTCCATGGGTAGGGCCTCCTGAGATTTCTTAAGAGAGCCAAACAGAAGACAGGACAGAGATTAAGGGAGGGGAGCTAGAATCAAAAAAGGAAAATACAAGCAGCTTTAGTGGATGAGACTTAAATTTCTTAGTAAAAACAGAAAAAGAAGTTGTAACTACTGCAAATTATAACTATTGATTTATTTTTCCTTCAAGTTACTAACAGAATTTTTAACTGCCATACTTTGCTACAAGATCCTAATCAAAACAACAGAGGGAAAAAGGATGCTTCATTTCCCTCTCCAGGGGATCCTCTAAGACTCCAAGTTTTACCCGAGGTGATCCAATTTGGTAGCAAGTCATGCTAACATAAACACTACTTGGTATCTCTTGTTTTGTTGTCATTTTATTTTTGCCTTGCTCCACAAACGGATGTTAGAGGAAGGCCAGTTCTAAGAATGGCCACTGGCAAGAAAAAAATAAACTATAAAAGTTTACAGTGTGCCTTTTTAAAGTATAAGACATGGAGTTCATCAAGGATCTCACTTAGACTTCATCTAGCCACATTAAGTATTAATGCCATCCTTCTGTGTATGAGACTTAGAACAGTTAGGGGACACTTTGCACAAATTCACTGAGGAAGTTGATCTGTGCCTTAGCTCCTCCTAACTGCTGAAAAGGGATTATTCTCCTCAGAATTCACCTGCAGCCTCCTCCCAGGGAGTACTGATGTCATGTTTGCAAAGTACTTTGAACCTACTCAGAAGAAAGGCAACACACAAACTCAAGACATTCTTCCCATACTATGTAAGACATAGTGATCATTTTTTTGTTTCACATTTAGAAAACTGCCCCTCTAGCCAGGCAAGGTCTATGATGAAATCACTGCAAAGGAAAGACGAGATCTCCCAAGACCTTCATGTATCTTTTGTTGCTTGTTTTGAGGAGTCTTTTTAAAAACTGTTTTTACGGATATGAATACTTGACATATTTATAGAGTGCGTGTGATATTTTGTTATGTGCATAGATGGTGTAATGGTTCAATCAGGGTATTTGGGGTACTCATCACCTCAAGTATTTATCATTACTATGTGTCAGAAACATTTCAAGTTCTCCGTTCTAGCTATTTTGAAATATATAATACGTTCTTCTTAACTATGGTCACTTTACTATCAAACATTAGAGCTTATTGCTTGTGTCTAACTGCATATCTGTATCCATTAACCAGCCTCTCTTTACTGTCTCTCCATTCTCTTCCTAGCCTCTGCTATCTGTCATTCTACTCTCTATCTCCATGAGATCAACTTTTTTAGCTCCCTCATGAGTGTGAGAACATGAGGTATTTGTCTTTCTGTTCCTGGCTTATTTCACTCAGCATAATGACCTCCAGTTCCATCTATGTTACTGCAAATGACATAAACTTATTCTTTTTTTATAACTGAATAGGATTCCGTTGTGTAGCTATACCACATTTTCTTTGTCCATTCACCCATTGATGGGCACTTAGGTTGATTCCATGTCTTTGCTAATGTGAATAGTGCTGCAAGAAACATGCAAGTGCAGGTATCCCTTTGATATACTGACTTCTTTTCTCTTGGATAAATACCCAGTAATGAAATTGCTGGATAGTATGGTAGTTCTGTTTTCAGTTTATTGAGAAACTCCATACTATTTTCCATAGTGGCTGTACTAATTTACATTCCCACCAACACCATATAAGGGTTTCCTTTTCTCCGTATCCTTGCCAGCATCTGTCATTTTGTTTTGAGCAGTCTTTATGCCAGCCAACTCTCTCTCCATCTCTTCTTTGTCTTTTCTTGCAGTCCCTGGCAAATGGGAGGAAGGGAGGGAAGAAGAAATATAAAGAGAGAAAACTAAACAATGATCCATCCTCCTTGTAGATGCCCTGAAACGTGCCTAGAGTTCACCAAGAAAACCTGATTAAAAGATCTCTTCCCATATTCCAATTCAATTCCACAAACATTGTAAGCCCTTCAAGTATTTAAATCATAATTTTTGCCTTCACAGTATTTACTTCTCATAGCAGGAAAATAGAAAGCTTTGATTGCAAAGAAGGACACTGTTGATATTGTGGTGTTATCAATATCAATTGTGGTATTATGGCTAAGAATGCAAAAAGCAAATATTAGAGTCAATAGCAGTCTCAGGTATGTCTCATTCCCCAAGTTTCCTCTCCCAATCCCAACATTTCCCCTCTCCATCTCTATCCACAAAGAGACCTCTCTGGTGCTTCCGAATGACCTTTCATTTTCTTCTTCCCAAATCAAATCCAAGTCAATTTAGGAACGAGGTCTGATTTGGGTCATTAACAGTCAATTATCTTTTAATTTGGGTCAGTAACCATGACCAGTTCTTCAATTATACAAGGAAACTTCTCCCAAAGGGTGAAACTTCTTATTTCTCTCACATGCAAGCCTCGTCCATTCAGAAAAACAATGAGACTCTGAAAATTGCTGTGATAAACACGCCTTCTGAGAGAGTTCAAATGTCTCCTGAGGTCGGGGAAACGGAATTCCAAAATAGAATTCCACTTTCTACCAGATCTTAAATCTGCTCCCACCGTGGTTTAGCAATAAAACCACAGCCTACACCTTGTTATCCTATCACAGGAACAGCTGAAAATCACTTTTTTTTTTTTTTTTTTTTTTTTTTTTTGAGACGGAGTCTTGCTCTATTACCCAGGCTGGAGTGCAATGGTGCGATCTCAGCTCACTGCAACCTCCACCTCCCAGTTTCAAGCGATTCTCCTGCCTCAGCTTCCTGAGTAGTTGGTATTACAGGTGCCCACCACCACGCCTGGCTAATTTTAGTATTTTTAGTAGAGAGGGGGTTTTGCCACGCTGGTCAGGCTGGTCTCAAACTCCGACCTCAGGTGATCTGCCCGCCTCAGCCTCCCAAAGTGCTGGGATTACAGGCGTGAGCCACCGCACCTGGCCAAATCACTATTTCTTTATGTTCAAAAGCATACTTTCCCTCACACACAACTCATTCAAGAGCTCCTTTAAGATCTCAGTGGAAGACCTGGCTCCTGCTAAAAGTGCTTCTCCAATTACAATAGAATCCCCTTAACTCTTTGATCTGTCTATCCATTTATTCCTGACTTTTGACTCTAGGAATCATTAAGTGGTCTTTCCTCTTTTAGGTGGCAAACTCTGTCATGCCTCATAATTGAGTGAGCACTCGATAAATGAATGCTATAGTGCTCTGAGAAATAATTCTCTTCCTATTGGCAGCAAATCCAAGAGAAACTTCCTTAGAAGGACTGTCAATTACCACTTAACAAGCCTGAGTTTTGGCTCCTGCAGAAAAAGCAAACAAAACAATAACAACTCACCCCTGAGAGCAGCCACATTGCTATCTGGTTGCTGCCCTCCAGTCACCTGGCACACTGTAGGTCCCAAAAGAAGGTGCTCAACAAGTCCTTGTTGGTAGATTTATTTGTGAAGGCATGAGACCAGTGATATGTAATCCATCACCTGATAGGTAGACACCAGCTGGGTTCCAAACAGTCTAGCTGTGCCCAGCTTCTGACCTCCCATGGTTCTTGGCTCCCTTACAGCTGACAAATCTAGCTGGATGTGAGATGCTTGGCCAGGAGCAGGATGCATAAAGTGACGACTGGGAGGCTGTTGTGGAACACTAGGAGGAATTTGCATTTGTTTCTCCTGCCACAGTCACCACAACATCCCTGTCTGCCTAAGAGTGCATTCTCATTCAAAACCTACCACACAGCTCCCCTTCTATACCCCAGTGGCCACAGCTTCAGGCTTGACACCGAGTGAGTCACAGTTAGAATGCACATTAGACTCACCTGGAAAGCTAAAAACTGCTCGTGCCCAGGCCCCACTCCAGACATGTTATTCAGTTGGCCTAGATAGAGTTGTTCCTGTGTTGATATTCTTAAAAGCTCTCCAGGAGACTTTAATGTACCATCAGGGTTGAGGACCACAGTCTTACGTTGTTCAAATCCTAGGCCCATACCTGTAATTGCCTCTCTTATACATTGAAGCTGCTGATTTATTATATGCCAGGCACTGTTCTAAATGCTTTATTATAAATGTATCCAACCCTCATAAGAAGTGGGTGTTCTTCCCACCCCCATTTTTCAGATGAAAAAACTAAGGCATAAAGAGAGGCTAAATAATTTGCCTAAGATTTCACAGGGTCAGAGCCAGGCTTTGAACTGAGGAAGACTCACTCCAGCACCCACTCTCTTAACCATTAACCAATACTGCCTCTCTGCATTCATTCAACACACAAAGGCTTTCAGGTACCACAAGAATGCCCTCTGGATCCCATACAGCCATAATCACCTTTTCAGATAGTCATATTCATAAATACTCATATCCAAACAAATCATCTCTTGATCAAAAACCTTCAATGGCTTACTAAATGCTTTGCGGATAAACAAACAAACAATATACAAATGCCTTCCTTAATTGTACTTGCCTTCCTCTCCAGTATCTCCTCTGGAATCTGTCCTCCAAAAATTCTGAGTTACTTGCAGTTTTTACATGTACCGTATAACCCTAAAGCCAGGCTCAAAAACTGGGCCTCCCCTCCACTCTGCAGACATGGTCATTATCAGCATTAGAACTCCTCATAAATGTGTTTCCAAAACAATATAGAGATGCTAGGACATAACCCTCCCAAATAGCCAGGCTGGAAGGAAGCATATTCATTCAGAAACTCAGCCCTTCAAGGAATGTGAGCAGCAGTATAATATGAATTTAAACCTCCTTACATAACTAAGTAAGAAAACATTAAATAAATCAACTATCTACTTCCACAAAACTCTTAAAAGTTCAAAAACGAAATATCATGGTGAAATGGTAATACTTAAAGAACTTGCTTCATTACTCTAACTTGCAGATTAAAATTCTTATGTTCTAATAAGCAATCTATGCTTAACTAACTCGGTAGAGGCCACAATGCCTCTATTTCCATAGAAACTCCCATTGTAAGAGTGTTTTAAATGCTATAGCCCTATATTCCAAAACCTCCTATAAATTACATTTATGACAAGTGAGAACAATCAAATTTGGGGCCAGAGTCGTAGGAATTAATTATCAGGGCTTCCAAAAATAAGTGGTACAGTATTTCATTCCTGCATTGTAAACCAAAGGAAACAAAACTCAACGCTACAAAACAAAGAACCCTGGTGAGTTCACAATGCAGCCTAGAATGTGCCCTACACTGACCTATTTCAACTTAAAATGTAAACTACATGTGTTTTGCTTTACATCTCCCCGTTCTGTAAATCCACCCACAACCTCCTCTGACACTGCATTCACATCTGTCATTGACCGGACAAAACCCAGCTTGTCCTTGCTCTGTCGTGAGATAGAACATCTTTCTACTAGGCCGCCCAAGTCCTAAGTAATCTCCTTCCACCCAACCCAGATAAAAATCTCGCGCATACAGAGCCATCTGACTTCTCCTAAGTCTAGCTCAGAATGTCTCAACTGTGGCACCATTGACATTTTAGACTGAATAACTCATTGTGGGGCCCAGTCCTGTGCACTGTAGGATGTTCAGCAGCATCCCTGGCCTCTACCCAGTAGAGGGTACATCTCCCAGGAGTACCTCTCCCCAGGCATGACAGTGAAAAATGTCTCAAGACATTGACGAACATTGATTGGGTCTACAATTGCTTCCAGTTAATAATCATTTGTCTAGCCTCATATTCAACCCATTTTGGAATTTCCACTGTTTTTACATTTGGCCACATTTTTTACTTTCTGAAATTGTTCAAAAGCAGTGTGTAAAATTGTCTTTGGCCTTGGAATTTCAAAAACCTTGTCGTTACCAGATTGTAACCCTCAATCGGCATTCACTTATAATACGTCCACATTAACCCCTGATTTAGAGTGGGGAATTCATCTGGCCAGGTTACACAAGAATACAGTTGTTCAAAACTGTCCTTACTAATACCTGTATTCCTCTTCTGAATGCCCTCCAGGAGGGGTTAGCCATGTGCAGAGTTTTGCCTATTGCTTTCAGGTAAGCACATTCCATCCCTCAAGAGGGCACCTCTGTCATTTAGGTAGCAAGTAAGAGAAAACGCAATCTAAACCGACTTCAGCAACAAAGGGAATTTTTTGGTGCAGGTAAACAAGAAGTCCGATGGAATGGCAGCTTTTGAAACAAGCTGATCTGGGCTTGGGCTTACAAATATGAGTGCCATTTATTTCAGTTTCCTCTTCTCCATAAGTCAGTTTCGTCTTCCAACTGGCTTCCTTCAGGGTGGCAAAATGGCAGAAGCAGTTCTGGCCTTACGTCCACACATCTCATTACTTAGAAGATAATGCCTTTCTAGCCAAGCAAAAGCCCTGAGCTTCGTCGTAACTGAGCTAGCTTTTGTAATGTGCCTAAGGCTGAAGCATCCAATCAATGCCAACAGAGGAAGGTCATAGGTTGACTGGCTGAGGCCCTTAAACCAATTACAGTAGCTAAGGGGGGAAGTGATGTCAATGGGTTCAGAACAGTGGTTCTCAAAGTATGCTCCCTGACCAGTGGCATTAACATCATCTGGGAACTTACTAAAAATGCAAATTCTTGGGCCTACTGATCCAGAAACTCTGGAGGTGGGGCCCAGCAATCTATGTTTTAACAAGCCTTCCAAGTGATTCTGATGGAAGCTAAAATGCATGACCCACTGATTTTGACCATCAGGTCCTACTCATGGAGCCTAGAAGGGGGGAATCCCACTCATTTCCCTGGGCTGTCACACAATTAGAAAATAATGGAATGGAGGCCTGTGAAGTTACCATCGAAACACTTCAGAAGGGGATGGCCCCAGAAGAGGACAGCTCATTTCACATCTTACTTTCTATGCTGAGGCTGTGGGGTAGAAATCACAGTGATGAGTACTACAAATTAGCAAATTGGTTTGAAGATTATTTCAGATGCCAATATTATCAGTCTAAGGATCTTGAAGAAAAATAATGATAAGCATCAACCTTAGCATTTTCTATGGGTCCTAACCTACTCCCTTAGGAGAAATTTGACAAATTAATTTACACAAATATGACAGAAGTAAACCTACTTAGCAATTAAACGGCACTGAAGAAGTCATTCTCTAAAACAGTTTCTTAATCATGACTAATCCTAAGAATCAACTAGAATAGGGTTACATATACAGATTCCTGGGTTCTACCCTAGACCAATTGAATCAGGATCATCAACGGAGGGGCCTGAGAATCTGTACTTTTAGCAGACATAGCCAGTGATACACAGGGATTATATATGTTTGGAAAATGCTTCAAGGAGATAAAGCCAAAAAAATCAAGGAGAAAAATCTCATGGAGGAATTATTTGAATGCTTCTGACTAATCAAACGGTAGTTTCTTCCCCTTATTTTTATTATTATTTTTTTTGAGACACGGCTCCCTGAATCACCCAGGCAGCAGTACAATGGCATGATCACAGCTCACTGCAGCCTCACCCTCCAGGCCTCAAGCAATTCTCTTGCCTCAGGCCCCCCTCCACCCCCAGTAGCTGAGTCTATAGGTGCGCACCACCACGTCCAGCTAGTTTTTTGTATTTTTTGTGGGGTTTTGCCATGATGCCCAGGCTGGTCTTGAACTCCTGAGCTCAGGTGATCTGCCTGCCTCGGCCTCTCAAAGTGTTGGTATTACAGGTGTGAGCTACCACACCCAGCCTCCTCTACTTTCTTCAATGCACTCCCTCACTACTGGGGCCTCTAACTAATGTTTCTTCCTCTAGTCTGACCCTATCCCACACCCTAAACAAGTTGCTTTCCATACCATTGTCACAGTAAAAGAAACTGGATGTCAGGCCTCTGATCAAAATCTATCACAAGTCCTTACTATGGTTCACAGGATAAAATCCAAAGCCTTAGCATGACATCCTAGACTCCAGCTAATCCAGTCCTTGCCTTTCTTCTTCAGCCTTACTTCACATTGTTAGTCCATTTGAACCCCACCCTTGAATCACCCTGAATCCCTTCCATTGCCTTGAATAGATACTGCTGTTTTGCCTTTGTGCCCTCTGCTCACCATGGTTTTCCTTCCCTCTTCCCCTGGTGTATCAGTCAGGTTAACACTAGGTTATGCTGAGGTAACAAAATCTCAGTAGATGAAGATGACAAAGATTTACTACTCTCTCACCCGTTCTATGTTAGGGGTTGGCAAGTTTGTTTGATTTTTTTTTTTTTCTAAAGGACTAGATGGTAAATATTTTAGGCTTTGGGAGCAACATACAGTCTCTGTTGCACACTATTCCTCTTCTTTGTAAAACTCTTTTTAAATGTAAAGATCACTCTTATTTGTAGGCCATACAAAAGCAGGTGACTGGCTAGACTTGGCCCATGAGCCCTAGTTTGCTAACCTCTACTCTATGTGACCAGTGCTAAAGACACATAGACAGCAGGGAACTACTCACATGGGTAGTTCTAAATGAATCGAATCACTCGGAGACCTGGGCTAATGCAGCAGCCACCTCTTAAACATTTCTTGTCACCACGCAGACACAAAGAGAGGGTTTCACATAAGCAATTAAGTGCTCCGGTCTGAAAGTGGCACCCTGTAACTTAGGCTCACAAATAATTAGCCAAAGTTAGTCTTTCGACCCCATCCAACCATAAGGGGGCCAGGACGTCCAATCCTACCATGTGTCCAGAAGTAGGGAGAATTCAGATCACCGGGTAAAAATTATGAAAAAAGCTCAGAGACAAACGCTCTGTGAAGCCTTTTCTGATACCTTCATCCTGCAGCCAGAATAGCTGCTTCTTCCTTGCAATCTTCTAGCACTTTAAGCATCTCTTAATCAGAGTGCTATACATAGGGTACTACAGTTGCCCACTTGCCTGCCTCCCCTACCAGATGCTGAGCTTCCTAGATAAGCACTTCTGTATGCCCACTACTTTGCACAGTGCCCGTTAGCCAGGGATGCTCACTATGTGTTGCTTCAACAAATAAATGAATGTGGTGGATTGTAGGAGTGAATGGGATTGCCTCTGCATTTACCTGACGGCGTCGGGAATCCAGCAGTGTCAACTTCTCTGAACCCAGTTAGTTCAACCATTTCAGTCTCCACTTATGATCAATTAGCTCTGTTAGTTCAACCACTTCAATATCCACTTATCATCAATTTATCTTTTTAGTTATTAGCTACTTTCTATCATAATCCAATGAATTTCTCCATACAACCTTTTTCTTCTAATAAACAACACCTTGCAGAGAGCTGGTCCTTGAGGCCACGGAGCACTTTGATATAATGTGGCTTGGCTTTCTTTTCAGTTTACAGGCCAAAAGGCAGACACAGAGAGGCACAGTGATTTTTCCCAAGTTACACAGTCAATCAGAGATGGAGCCAAAAGTTATGCTTTCTTTTGAGTCAACAAAAAAGCTACAGGATTGAATACAGAGCTGCAGCTAAGTTCACTGAAAGTTTATTTATATCCCTTGGAGAATTAGAAAGTACTCACACACGTTTTTCAAAGTTAAGTCTTATTATACCATATCAATGTATAGCTTGTAGTATACCTGTATCTCTGAGTAAAGTATTAAAAACAAGTCATATGACTGTTTATTAATGCTGCCTCTTTTTGTATTGATTCCACCCATCCCTTCTACTCCTTTCCTCTTCTGTAAAGCAGTAGCTCATCAGATGGCATTTCAGAACCCTGAGAATATGAAAGACATCATGCACTAAGGTTTTCCTATCACATCTCAATGCCATTAGGTGAATAACACCGGCATGCATCTTCACTACTAAATGTCATACAAACAAATTTCAGTTGTTTCACATGCAACCTGTGTGGCTGCTGCAGTTTGTATCAACTATGTAACCACAGGGTGGGCAAAATAGCATTCAAAATGAGCTATAGTGCAAGATACCATCCATACGTAGAGTTAAGCCCTTTCATGCTTAGCAGTCACAATCAGGATATCTTTGGCCCACAGAAACCTATCCTGACTGGAATTTTCCTCTCCTGTGTGTCTCCTGGATATAGTAAGTTCCTAATAAACATCTCCTCTGATTGCTAGCCTTGACAAATTTCCAGGAGAACCAGGGCAAGGAGAAGACAGTGAGGCAGTGCCCGCTGCTCTTCAGATCACCAACAGAATAGAGTCAGAATATGATATTATTGAAACCTTCCAAGTTTGAATTAAGATAAAAACAACTTTTTCAAAATACCAAAAACCTTTTATTTAAGAAAGTGAAATCGCTCGATGTGCCCTCCCACTCTGGTTAGATGCTCAACAGACCACAGCAGACAATGCACCTCAACCAGGGCTAAGTGTGCAAGAAAACTGAAGTACACAAAAAGCAAATTATAGACTCAGGTACTGTCAGGCACAAAAGAAGAACCAACCCTTTCTAGGAGTCTTGTCTTTGCTTCCTTTATTCTTTCCTCGATTCTTGTAATTGAATGTTACAAAGTATATCAAGAGGAATAAACGTATGGGGCCCCTCTCTTCCAAACAAGAAAAGGTTAAGCTTTTAATTACAGGCCCTCAAACTATCATTTTGTGCAATTAGCAATTAACTATAATCGTTGATGAGCAAATGCAAAGCTGCGCTAGCAATTTCCCTTCTCCTCATCCCAGGCTGGGTTATTTCAGTCTTGTTCTATTACAGAGGACCAGCCACAACCGCGCGCACTCTCTTTCAAACATACACACTCTCTCACTTAAAGACACATTTAGTTTTCGGCAAAACGGCATCTCAGCGTGCGATTGAGACCGGCATCCCAAACCCCACTTTTGAGCAGCCCAAACGTTTGGAGCCCCTCCGCTTCATCACTTTCTGAGTGGATAGAGGAGGCCCGAAGAAGATGCTACCTACCAGCCTCTCTCAGGGGCGCAGGAGAGGGTGGTAGAGAGATGCTTGTTGCCCCTGGAAACTGCAAGTACCCCCCAGGTGCACGCCCCGTCAGTGGGGAGGCGGTGGCAACAGCAACGATAGTTGCATCAGCGCTAACTGCTGCTGCTGCTGCGTGTTCTGCCGGAGGCTGCCGGGAGGGTACAGTAATGACTGTAGGGAGCGCACAGCCGCTGCGGCGGCAGGTTCCCTGGATCAGGAAATTAGGACAGGCACCCGGGATTGGAGGCGAGGGCGGCGCGCGAGCCAACCAGCGGTCGCCCCGGGCCCCCGTGAGCCCCAGGCGAACGCGCGGAGCAGCCGGGCCCCTAGAGCGGTCCGGGTGGCGGCGGCGGCAGCCACGACCACGACCGCGGTCACTCACGCACGCTCACACTCGCACGCTCCCCGCGCGGGCACCCGGCTGCCCGGCGCGTGCAAGAGGAGCGCGTCGAGGGAAAGGAGGGCCGAAGCCGCCGCGCTCCCGCCCGCCCGCCGCGCCTCCCGTTGACCACGCCCCCTCCGGCCCCCTCCCCGCTGCTCACCCCGCTCTCCGGCCGCCGCCGGTGCGGGTGCTCCGCTACCGGCTCCTCTCCGTTCTGTGCTCTCTTCTGCTCTCGGCTCCCCACCCCCTCTCCCTTCCCTCCTCTCCCCTTGCCTCCCCTCCTCTGCAGCGCCTGCATTATTTTCTGCCCGCAGGCTCGGCTTGCACTGCTGCTGCAGCCCGGGGAGGTGGCTGGGTGGGTGGGGAGGAGACTGTGCAAGTTGTAGGGGAGGGGGTGCCCTCTTCTTCCCCGCTCCCTTCCCCCGCCAACTCCTTCCCCTCCTTCTCCCCCTTTCCCCTCCCCGCCCCCACCTTCTTCCTCCTTTCGGAAGGACTGGTAACTTGTCGTGCGGAGCGAACGGCGGCGGCGGCGGCGGCGGCGGCACCATCCAGGCGGGCACCATGGGCACGTCCGCGCTCTGGGCGCTCTGGCTGCTGCTCGCGCTGTGCTGGGCGCCCCGGGAGAGCGGCGCCACCGGAACCGGTGAGTGAGGACGCGCCCCTCCGCCGGCGGGCGGGACCCAGCCGGGGCACCGGGAGACCCCGAGGCGTAGGTCTCCGTTTGCCCACCCGCCTCCTAGGAGGCGCCTCTCGGTTCTCCTCGCCTTCCCTCCCTCCCCTCCGTGGTGGCGCCTCTGAGCTGTCAGCGCCGAGGCTAAAGGGAGCCGGGCTTGGGGAACAGCGGGGTTCGGGGTGCCCCGACGCCTCGCCTGAACTAGTCTTCTGCCCCTCACTCCGCCTCCCCCAGAGCCGCTGCTTCGCCTCGTTTCTCGCCCTCTTGACGGGCGCCGAGGTGCGTGGGCTTCTGAGCATTGAACAATGGTTCTGCCTCCTCTGCCAGGCGCAGTGTTGGGAAGGAGGCAGAGGGCCAAGACGTGTGCGGCAGCCTCGGGCGCACCCTCGAACCCCGGGGAGTGCGGGAGCGGACGGGGGGAGAAGGTGAGCGCCTCCGGGGACGCGGAGCGCCAGGGGCCGGCCGGGCTTCAGAGTCTTCCGGCGGCCGCGAGCTGGCGCACGTTCGGTGGGCGGCGGCCGGGAGGCTCCGCGGAGCCGAGGGCACCCGGACTGCGACTCCCCCGGCGCGGGGCCGCCTCTCCGGCGTGCGGGGTAGGGGAGCGGCGGGGCTTTACGCAGGACTCTGCTCTGGGCGCTTCTCCTCTCCCTTTTCCCCGCCTCGGGCGGCGTTTGGAAACCGCTCGGGTCTCCCGTGTAGCTGAACGCGGAGGGGGAGTGGAGGGGAGACTTAATCAGGTTAGTTTGCTGACCCTCCTTCCCGGTGACGTTTCCTCGAGAGGAATTGAGTCCTAGGCTAGTGACTGTAATTAGCCTTCATTCTACACAATAGCTCAAAGGAGCAGCGCGAGAGCGAGCGTGTGGCCCTGTCTTGTTGGGAAGGGCGGCGGTGACTACTGTCGGGTCCCCAGACTCTGCCGCGGGGGCCTGGGGGCCCCGCCTGGTCGTCAGCCACGTTCCCACTTGGGGCCTCGTAACTTTCCTGGACAGGCGACAGGAAGCCTTTCTGAGAGGACTCAGTCGGAATCCTAGCGCGTCCCCGAAGTGATCTTCAGATGTGACGCCGAGGGGCTTGCTTGCCAGCTGCAGGGAATTGGGACTGAAAGCCGCCCAGGCCCTTAACACCCGTTCCAGAGTCCCTGGCTCCCGTCGCCGGGTGGCTTCAGGGGCCCTGCCGGCCTGCAGTCACGTGCTCCTGAAGTGAGAGCGAACTTTAAAGCATGTGGTCAAGGAGCCTGTCGGGCAGCGCCTGGGGTTTTTACGTCTCCGAATGCCCCTGCCCTTTGGTTGCCACTGTCCGGAGCGTGTGAACTGGGACTGGCCTTTCCGCCCTCTGCGATTGGTTAGCGGTGCGATCACGTTTAGGTTGGTCACATGGTTCCGCGGACTCTTAAGTGGGCAGCATGGGCAGTGTTATTTTCAATGGAAAGTAGGAGACTCCACAGGCTCTTACGGGCTGTTCTCTCAAATGCCTTCCCCTGCCTGGACTCTTTGAAGAGGACGAATGTGTAGTGAACATGGAATCTGATGTGTAACAAGCCTGAGAGCCTAGAAAAGCTCTGCTTACAAGAGTTTCCAAACGCTAGCATTAATCATTAATAGATGAGTAATACTAACTTATTAAACGATTTCTCAGTATAGTGCCATGACTTGCATTATGCCTTTTGTAACATTTCAAAACGCTAAGGTATACCAGAAGGAGGGACAATTATCCAGGAAGGTGAGAGAAAAGTTTCGTTTTTGCTGCATGTCCCTTCCACTAGAGGTTAACTTTACCTTATAGAATGCTAGGAATGCACCTAAACTACTGACATGAGTTAGTCAAAGCCAGATGTTCACCTTGTATTGGGCAGGTGAGGATCCTTTTCACTTTGTCACATGTGAAATATTTGACATGCCATGAACAATGGAAAAACAAATTCTTCAAAGGAGAGGAAGCAGATTCTTCCAGAACTGGAGGAAATTTGGGCTGAGGCAGTTATTGACCCTAAACCAATCCCAACCGGCATCTGTCTTAAGTTCAAAGTCTCAGGGCATGTGGGCTGACTTTCTACCCTGGAGCTTCTACACATACCCCTTCTGTCCACTGGCACATGGTGCTGTTCCACAATACTCCTGGACAAGACAGGTGAACACTGAGACTCTGGCAAGGAACTTAAGGCTAACAAGAAGTTGGTATACCTGATTGCACAATTCCTGGGGGTTCTGGGACATTTTCCTTCAGCCTAAGTAGTCAAGATTAAGATCTGTGGTATGATATATTCTTTAAGGCCAGAGTCTAAAAGAACCAAGGTTTTTTGAGAGCTATTCATATATGGCTAGCAACTAGCCTAAGAATAGAAAGAAAATTCCCTCATTGTGAGAAGTGGGTTGGTGGTACTGGTGGTAGTAATAGACCTGGAGGTAGGAAACTGGTTGGCATGGAAAGTAAACTTGGCTCATCCAGATAGCACCAATGAAGGTATGACGATGATAGTACCCCTTATCAAAGACTGATCACTCATGTGAGCAGGGACTGCGTAAAGGAAGGTCACCAGCCAAGCCCTCCTTGGCAGTAACAGCTTCATGAAATCCAGTGTAGCTTTGTTCCCTGGATCACCCTCTTGCCCACTTTATGTGGCATTTACCTATAGTGCCTGTCCTGTGTCATTTTGATTGTTTGCTTTTATGGCCTGAGTCCCCAGATACTTAAAGCATGTATAAAGGTCAAGTAGAGCTGCCAAATATTAAGACTTTAGTACAATAGACTGCTATTTAACACTAAACATTGCTAGCAAAGGTGACAGTCTCCATGCTCAAAAGAAGTGAAGACCTGATCCAAGTGTCTCTACCTGTCATAAAATTGAATAACCGTAAACTTGACTTGAGTAGTTTCATTACAGTTTTGGAAGAGGAAAAAAGTTGTTACAAGCCCCTTCTGCTCCAGGAGAGGTATCAAATTGATAAGACTTAACAAGAACTCCTAGAGTAGAACATGACCATAAGATCAAGGGAACACATAGTACCCAGCCGTGTGGCTTCGGGTTTTGATCCCAAACCTTGAAGACTTGGCACACAGCATAGAAATACAGCTAATTCATTTTAAATATCTAGCCCATTTTCTGTTTCTCACAGAATGTAAATTTGTTCTTTTCAGTGCAGGGAAAAGTGTTTAAGACAAGGCAGTTGCCTACGTGACTTAAAGTAATGATTGCATTCACTTTGGATACTGACTTTCATTTGGAAAACCACCTTCACATACTAGCCTATAAGAAATTAAATGTATTAAAGGGCTTGATGAGGTCTATAATGATGTTCGTTGTAAATGTACCTGCCTTAGGGAGCTCCTTGTGGTGGCTAATACAACTGCCCTCTACATGGTTAGTTGATAAATTCAAAATTGCTTAGTTTGGTCCCTACTAATTTAATCTCAAAAGAATACTTGGACAACAGAGTGATAGACTACTTTCAAGGCAAACAGTCCAAAAATACTGTCTGCTGAGGTTATGGGCGAGATATACTTGTTAAGCGGAAGTAAGTAGTCCAGGGACAATTTTTTCTGCCACCTAAAGAGTTTTGGGCTAGAAAATCTGAGGACTGATAGTTTTTCTGAAGAGTTGGGGCAGAGTCTAACCTAGCTATAGGCGAATCTGGCTTTTAAGTAAAAATCATCTCAATTTTACTGTCTGCATTTTTCAAACTAAATCAGTGTCTCTTTGCTAAGTTCGTCTATTGGCTTGCAACAAAAACTCTAAACACTGTTAATACCACTTAGTTAAGTACACTAACTGCACTGCAGGAACCAAATGAGATGGCAGGTGATAACACAGGTTAAGTGTCCTTTATCTGAAATACTTGAAACCAGAAGGGTTCCACAGAGTTTAGATTTTTTCAGATTTTGGGACATTCACACATACATAATAAGGTATCTTGGGGATGGGACCCAAGTCTAAACATGAAATTCGTTTATATTTCACATACACCTTATACACATAGCCTGAAGGTAATTTTATAGACTATTTTTAATGATTTTATACAAGAAACAAAGTTTTGACTGCAACTTGTCACGTGATGTCAGGTGTGGAATTTCCACACTTACGGCATCATGTCAGCACTCAAAGTTTTGGATTTTGGAGCATCTCAGATTGCGGATTAGGGATGCTCAACCTGGACCATAAATTTAGCATACTTTTCCCCTTGAGTGAAGTCTCCTAGGAAAGCTTGGGCCCAACAGTTATTTTGAGTCTCTAAGCAAGAGAATGCCTGTTAGGTCCTGTGAGAGTAAGTGTGGAGATTCTGTTAGAAATGTTTCAATGCTTGCTTAGAGATCCTTTGCCTACTTTGTAGTTTAGAGATGCTGGAAACTATAAGATGAAGCCTCTGGCTAGAGCAGCTGATTTTGCCAACTTGGGGGCCATCTGGGGAGCCTTTATGTATGTAGACGAGGTGGTGGGGATGGGGGGACTTGCAATTTGCCAACCAAGGGACATAACAAAGCCTCGGCGATAGACAGCATTTGTGAGTTACATCACAAGTTTGTTAGAACTTAATAGTTCTCCCACATGCTGTGAGTAAACAGGGTTTCTATTTTATAGACTGCCTCTAATCTTTCATTTTCTTAAGAAAGACTTCCCCACATCTGAGGTATTAACTGATCTGTATGTTCACTAAGTAGGTTGCAGATTGATGTTGGTCATCTTTGTGCATCTTCTGGAAACCACTTAATGTACATCTACTGAGTACCTACCATATGGCACCAGGCATGGGGACAGAGTGACCATAGCACTGGTTCCTTCCTTTGTGGCACTTAGTCTAGTAGGGGAATCAAAGCAGGAAACAGCCAAAGACCGCTTGGAATAGAAGCTCTGAAGAGGAGTGAGCAGATCCAGTGTTTAAGACTTAATCATAAAAGAGGCAGATAGCAGCTGGAGATTTCTGGAATTTCCATATGCTATCTGGGTTCTAGCTTATGAAGTTTCCCTAAAATTACCAAGAACTTAGACTTTAATTTCAAAAAGCCAGAAATAATTCTATGTCTGCAGATAATCCTACAAAAGTGATATGACTAAAGCAACAATGGATTACTGCCAGTATTACCAAAGAGCATTAAAACATGTCAGAAGTAAAATCTGCGTCTGATATATCACACTCAACTTTACCAGTTAGCCGCTGCTAACCTTCTCAGGTGTTGGAACCTCTCTTTTCACATGGAAATGAAGCCAACACACCCAAAGGGACACACTCATTCTGACAGACAAGTGTGTGAAAATGCACTGTTTTTAAATGATAAATTGCAACAAAGAGGCCGGGCGCGGTGGCTCAAACCTATAATCCCAGTGCTTTTGGAGGCCGAGGCAGGCAGATCACGAGGTCAGGAGTTCGAGACCAGCCTGGCCAACATAGTGAAAGCCCATCTCTACTAAAAATACAAAAAAATTAGCTGGGTGTGGTGGTGCGAGCCTGTAATCCCAGCTACTCAGGAGGCTGAGGCAGGAGAATCGCTTGAACCCGGGTGGCAGAGATTTCAGTGAGCCGAGATAACGCCACTGCACTCCAGCCTGGGCTACAGTGCGAGAATCCATCTCAAAAAAAAAAAAAAAAAATTGCTACAAAGATGAGGTGAAGGTACCCTCATAGGCCTAGGGAACAGGGACCTTTATAACCTAGAGTCTTTCAAAGTATTCTAGCTAGTAAAACAACCAGTCACACTTGGTTTCAAGTTCTGAAAAAGCTGGGGGAAATGTTTTTGACAAAAGTTTTTAGTTCAGACCAGCTTTATTAGTAAACTAATAAATCAACTCATGCACCCAAGACTACCAACTAGTGCCTAGAGAATATAGGATGTCAGGCACCAGGTCCTGAGTTACAAATGTGAACTGCAGCCCATGCCTTAGGGGATCTCTGTGTCTAAAGGTGAAAAATGGTAGCTGAACTCATCTCCTTGGGTGATGGCTCTGTGACAGGGACTATTATGAGAAAGCAGCCAGACCATACCTAGTTTTTCCAAAAAAGGCATTGAGGCCTCATTCAAGAATACAATCTGAGCCCACTCCTGGTGAATGGGTGGACAAGGGCAACATGAACAAACTGAGACAAAGCAGCCATGAGGAAGGGCAAAGCCATGGGGAAGTGAGTGGGTCCCCTTTGAGCTGTTAGCTCAGCCCGTATAGCAGATGGTGGGTAGTGACCAATAGGGAAAAGTCTGAGGAAATTAGTAGGGAACTTAATCCTAGAGATAGTGGTAAGCCAAGAAATGACCCCATTCTTGGCTATTCTAGGTTGCTTGAATCACTAGGTTGCTTGATATGGGTAGAGAATGTGGCAGCCTGGAGGCAAAGGAACAAGACATTTAAATTGACATCAGGTGAGAGGAGGGCTTGGGCATAGCCAGGGATTGATGGCCAAATGTCAGGGAAGAATTTGGGCTCATTTCTGGAGTACTGATTTAGAGTAAGTAATGGGGCCAATCAAAGATAGACTACACAGGGAGGGAAGGATGGATTTTAGAAGAACCTCTGCCTAGTAAGACACCCAAATAAATTTTTTCTGCAAAATAGTTTTGAGGGCTTTACTCACATGTTACTATCATGTGTATTGTAAAAGAGGCATTTATCTCCTGTGTCCCTCCTGTGATGAACATTAGGCCTTATGAGGGTGTTATTGGTATATGCTACAACCCTGAAAATGAAAGAGCCACTTACATTATGGGTAGAAGCTGTAGCTTCTTAACCTTAGTGCAGTGGTTCTCAAAGTGTGGACCGAAATTGGCAACATTAATTCAATGTTAATTGAGTTCATGTGTCAACATTGACTCATTAGAAATGCAAACTTAGGCCCTGTTCTAGACCTGCTGAATCAGAATCCAGGCTGGGGCCCAGCATTCTGTGTTTTAACAAGCCTTCCTGGGGATTCTGATGCACACGGGAGCTTGAGAACGACTGACTTAGTTTACCACTCACAGAAGCTAACGATTTTCAAGGTATATCCGATGGAGGGCCTTTCCTCTGACTTGAACCCTAGACAAGAAAACCAAGAGCTATAATCCTTTTAGAAGACTTGCTGAGGAATTCTAGAAACATTTTTAAAAACTTAGAATGAGGAAGGAAAGCAGGCCTCCATCTCAACAACAAGGCTAAATCTAAGTTGATGCTTAGTAACACAGTATCTAGAGCCAGTGCCTGGGTTCAACTCCTAGCTCTGCCCAGGGCAATCTGGGACAAGTGACTGTACTTTCCTTCTCTACCAGGTTTCCTGATCTGTAAAAGAGGAATAATAGGGCCAACTGTGCAGGATTAAGAATTTTAAAAGCTAAGAGATGTGAAGTCTTAGAGCAGTGTTTGACCAACAACAAAAACGATTTGATTATGTCCATGATTCTTAAGATCAATTTGATGTAAATGGAAATTGAATGTAACTGACAATTGAACTGTAAAATTCACTTATTTCCATGACTCAGAAGAATTAGCCTACATATTCACCACTTTTTAGTGGCCCCCGAACTAGTGTTTTTGTTGCTGTTTGTTTGTTTGTTTTCGAGATGGAGTTTCACTCTTGTTGCCCAGGCTGGAGTGCAATGGCACTATCTCGGCTCACTGCAACTTCTACCTCCCAGGTTCAAACAATTCTCCTGCATCAGCCTCCCAAGGAGCTGGGATTACAGGTGTGTGTAATGCCTGGCTAATTTTTGTATTTTTAGCAGACACTGGGTTTCACCATGTTGACCAGGCTGGTCTTGAACCCCTGACCTCAGGTGATCTGCCCGCCTCAGCCTCCCAAAGTGCTGGGATTACAGGCATGAGCCACCGTGCCTGGCCCAAACTGGTTCTTACAATGTTTCAGAGGCTGACTTTAAGGCCAGAGCACAATCTTTGTGCTTGACAGCTCAGAACATTTCCCTTAACACCTGTTGTGGTACTTTGCCTCTTACAAACCCTTCTCCCCTTAGGAAAACTTTTTTGCTGACTCAGAAATTTGCTTGTCCTGAAAGGAGTTTTAGCTTACAAATAGAAACACTGTCATTAAAGTGGCAAGCAGTAGAAGTGAACTAGACTAAAAATAAATGCCCTTGGTGGCCCCAGAAGTGCCAAAACAAATGGACGGAAGGAATTCCAGCAAGTAACACCCATATGCTCAAGCAATGAGTAAGGGCATGAGAGATGTAAATGCTTGGCCCTGGTGGCCCCAGCAGTGTGGCAGCATGAGCCTCTGTGCAGGCTGAAGTACGCTCTGAGCCTGGTACCCAGAGACACTTTCTCTATATTCTGGGCATGCATCTTGGAGTGCTCCTGCCAGGGTGCTGCTCGGAGCCCCATAGGGAGATTTGTAGTCCGTTTGGAAGGCTTGGTATTTACTCGAAGGCCTATGCAGTTTTTTACTGAAGCTTATGTATTAGTCCTCCATGTCAACCGCTACAGGGAAAATTAGACAATGGCGGCTGACTTCTATATGCATTAAAAACCCTGAGTTTCCCTCTAGGACATTGGTCTAGACAAGGAATTTATGAAAGAGACCTCAAAAGCTTAGGCCACAAAAACAAAATAGACAAATGGGACTTAATTAAACTAAAAAGCTTCTGCACAGCAAAAGAAATAATCAACAAAGTGAAGAACAACCTGCCGAATGGGAGAAAATATTTGCAAACTATTATCTGACAGGAGACTAATATCCAGAATATACAAACTCAAACAATGGGGAAAAAATAATCCCATTAAAAAGTGGAGAAAGGACATGAATAGACATTTCTCAAAAGAGGACATAAAAATAACCAACAGATACATGAAAAAATCGTTACCATTACTAATCATTAGAGAAATGCAAACCAAAACCAAAATGACATATAATCTTATACCAGTCAGAATGGCTATTAATAAAAAGACAAAATACAACAGATGTTGCTGAGGATATGGAGAAAAGGGAAGTCTTATACACTGCTGGTGAGAATGTAAACTAATACAGCCACCAAGGAAAACAATATGCAGATTTCCCAAAAAACTAAAACTGGAATTAACATTTGATCCAGCAATCCCTCTACTGGGTATCTACCCAAAGGAAAAATCAGTATATCCAAGGGATACCTGCACTGGCATGTTTATTGCAGCACTATTCACAGTAACAAAGATACAGAATCAACCTAAATGCCCATCAATAATGAAAGGGTAAAGAAAATATGGTACATATACACAATGGAATACTATTCAGCCATGAAAATGAATGAAATCATGCCATTTGCAGCAGCATGGGGATGGAATTGGAGGTCATTATGCTAAGGGAAATAAGCCAGGCACAGCAGGACAAATATCTTATGTTCTCAATCGTATGTGGAAGCTTAAATATTTCATTCCATGGAGGTAGATGGTAGAAAGATGACAGAGACTCAGAAGTAGGGGGAAAGGGAGAGCAGATGAAAGGAAGTGGGTTAAAGAATACAAACCTACAGTAAGGTAGAAGAAATAACGTCAATGACTGTAGTTAACAAAAACGTGCTCGCGTGATGGACACCCTAAATCCTCGGATTTCATCAGTATAGATTCATTACATACATGTAACAAAATTTTACATGTACCTCATAAATTTATACAAACACCACCAAGAAGAACCCTGTTTTTCTTGGAGCCAGTGAACTGCCAATGTGTCTGTGTAGCAAAGTTAACTACTTAGAGAAGCAAGGCTCCCAGGAAAATAGGTCCTTGAAGTTAGTGTGCATATTCTATAGTCTGATTCCATCTATATAAGTGACAGTAAAAGTGAGAATTTTTTGACGCTCCAGGAATTCATTCATTACAAATTTAAATAGGCACATAAGTGAGTAGGTACAAGCGACTTCCAACCCCCTCACCCAAAGGAGCAGAGATATTCTAAGGATTAGAGCTGGAAGAAAACCTAGACAATTTCTTAATAGAACCCTTTTCAAATTCTTACACCAAAATCCAATATTCAAAAGAAAGTCTTGGTAGAGGCAGAGGTGGAACACCCAGGGCCTCTGCTACTGTGGCCTTTCCCTCCACTTCAACCACCCCTCTAGCCTGAGGCATTCTTGTGAAACCTCATGGCTTTAAGGAACCCACTAACAATTGCATTTTGCCCCATCTTCTCACCTGTCTGAGCAGAAATGCCTAGCACTTCTACTTCCAAGGTATTTTTTGAGGTGTCATTGGCTTTAGTTTAGCCTGAAGAATTAAAAGAATCTCGAGTGTAGATGATTTCAAGCTCAACTTGTTCCCTTTATGAAAGTATAATACTGAATTTGAGACGTAACTTTCATGGATGGAAATAGACTGCAGGTCCACAATCCTATAATCCCAAAGCTTTGGAAACCAAAAGCCTCTTAACTCATTTGGTGCTTTCAGTTCTCCTAGAGCTCTGCACAGCAGCAGTCCCAGCTGAGCACCAGAGGTGGATAGGTAGAACCTTTTAAAAACTTGAACAGAAAACTTAACAGTGTTCCAGTCAGGTGGCTAAGGGCTGGGCATTCGATTTAGTGTCTGAGCTCTCCCTCTCTGTGGGAAGCAGAGAATTAAACAGAACTAGGGAGCACTTTCTGCCCAGTAGCAGTCCCTCAAAACAAAGTGCTTAGGAAACTAGGAAACGAAGAGGCATAGCCATAAAGCTTAAGGTCTTTATTTGCCTGTCTTTAAAGAGTCCTTTATAAAGCCAGCTTGTCTTCCCACCCCCACCCCAATGTCATTCTTTTAAACAGGCAGGGACATTTTAGTAGCACACTGTACTCCTAATGCCTGTTGCTACTCCTTATTGGAGAGAGAGAGAGAGAGAGAGTGTGTGTGTGTGTGTGTGTGTGTGTGTGTGTGTGTGGTTGAGAGAGAGGGAGTAAAACACAGCTTTATGATGATCAGGCAGAAGCTTGAGTAAAGTGGAAATATCTCGGATAAGAAAAGCTAGAAATTAAACTCCTTTTTGGCTTCGGATATTTTCTTAGTAGAAAATGCTGATGCCTGTCCTGAGTCTCCTCAATATAGACTCTTAGAGCAGAGCTGCTAGGATTTTAATAGAATTTATTACTGTTGATAGCTTGTATATTACAACTAAATTCAGAGACCCTCTTTAAGGCAATAGTAGAGTAAATATCAGCCTTGGGATACTGTATGCCCATACTTAATCCCAGGCCACTCTGAGTGCCTAGGAAATCTGTAGCTTCAAACTCATTCTTAAGGAGGTTGTCTTCCAGGTACCTTAACCCTGAGGTGGGAAACTATCAATTGACATTGACCTTTAAGTTGCTATTCAAATCTGATTACAAGGTTTCCATTTTGATTATGTAGATATCAATGTCAATGTTGTTGTCTCATTTTGACTTAATAACCTTTGGTAACTAAAACCTTAAAAAAAAAATCAGAGGCTTTCAGTCTTTACTGTATCTTAACTCCAACCTGACTATTCTTTCCAAGTATATTTATACCTATGTTCTCAGACTACAAATCATTCTTTTCCTGATTACTCAAGGTAGAGTCTTACCACTTTCACAGTCCCCAAAGGTAGTAAGGTCATATAGAACTGCAAGACACGTACCCTCAGCATTGAGAATATTGCAAACATATTAAGAATCCAGTGGCAATGAGGGGAGAGGGGAGAGGCACCAGGTACCTCAGATTTGGTTTAGCAGTATAAAACAACACAGGTGATGCTTCCTGACAACAATCTCTACCCTCCTCTAGTTCCCCTTCTAAATCCCTAGTATATTACAACCAATAAAACGTGAAGAATGAAAAAGTATTATGAAATGAAGGTAGGAAACCATTCTGCTTTGTAGCTGGGTCCTAGCTTAATTAGACTCATGGGAGCAGAGTGATAGATGCAGTTTTAAAAGCAACATATTTAATATCCAAGGAAGTAACCACACCCATATGGTCATCTTGATTTGGGCCAAATTTTAATCTCCCTGGGAAGAGCCACAAAGCACGAAATGCTCCCAGACAGCAGGGAGTAGCTGACACTAGGGAGACCAACTAGGGTATTGTGCACGTAACACAAGAGTTCCAGTCTGTGCTTGTCTCTGTAATATCAGTTCTTATGCCAGCATGCCACAGCTGCAAATGCTGAAAGGTGGCAGGAAATCGGAAGGCCTTCTGCTGGGACACCCTCCCTAAGTAATCTGCGTGAACTATATGATTCCACTGTTTTTCTCAAATATTTGCAGTATATTTGCTTTAAGGGCCACATCTGTGCCTTTTATCGTGAAGCAATCACATCCGCCAGAAGGACGGAACTGCTAATGATAGGAAGCACCTGAACATTAGCTGGCCTGTGCCGGGCAAAACACCAACTGTCCCACTTAGAAGTCTTAGTTCACACCATTGTGTGAATTAAATATCCATACATTAAGCATAGAAAACCAGATTCAGAGAAATCGAAACTACATCTTCAGCTCCACCTCACTTTCCTTTCCTCTCCTCTTTAAATGACAAATGATCTTCCTTTCCCTCTTAACTATACTTTCTTGTTGCTTTTATCTTGGAGCTGTTTTTTAAAGCTGTGTTTTTCCAATTAGACCTCAGTTTCTAAGAGGAGGAATCATGTATTAAATCTCTATTTCTACCCTATTCTTGCTGCTCCTTCTAAATCTTCTTCACTGTGCTTGTAATAGAAACATCATTAATGGATAATAGTATGGATGTGGACAAGAAATGCCATTAAAGGATTAGGACTTGGCTGATTATAGCCACACACGTAGTTTCAACAAATGAGAGAAATGAGTCCACAGGCAGAGATGATGCCCCTTGTGGTCTCTGGGCAATCTGGATTCCTTCTATTTTCGTCTGGCTCCATTTGCCCGAGATCACTATTCCAGCCACCATGCCCAATTTTCAGGTACCAGGAATGAAGAGATGGAAAGAAAATGGATCCTCTATCCTCTTAAGGACATTTCCCAAAGTTGTATATACCATTTTAGTTTACATTCCATTAGTCAGAATGTAGCCCCTTGGCTGCACCTCACTGAGAAAGAGGCTTGAAAATCTAGTATTTAGTCTTAGCATGCACCCAGCTAAGAACGCAATTACTGTCAGTCACTGGCTGAAGAGCCATCCTACTCTGGCCCTTAGGATGTCATAGCCTGCCGAGTCTGCAGTATCCTTCTGAGAAGGTCCCCATCCATGGGTATTAGGTATCTTGAATCTATAACCAATCCTTGCTTTACCGAATGTTCCCTTCTTATTCTAGGGAGAAAAGCCAAATGTGAACCCTCCCAATTCCAGTGCACAAATGGTCGCTGTATTACGCTGTTGTGGAAATGTGATGGGGATGAAGACTGTGTTGACGGCAGTGATGAAAAGAACTGTGGTAAGTAAAGAGTTTGATGACTTATGCATTTTGTTAAAATATGATGTTATCTTAGTCTGCAAATGTATTGAGATTCTGAAAATAAAATCCACTTCTAACAATTGCTTTGAAAGAATCTATACTTCTCTGTGTAAAGGAATAAAATTGAATGTTTGACGTGGGGTTATCAACTTGAGAATGGAATGATAAGGTGATGTTCCATTTAAATGACAGGACCTAGTTTATCTTAGATCAGACAAACGTGGAATAGGAATCTGGGAGAAGGGAGAAGAGGACCAGAAATAGAGACAAACAGAAGATTGCTTAGAAGGGGCTTTTTTCCCCTTTTAATTTTCAAATGGCTCTGATCCTAGAAAAGAAGGCAAGCCATGGACATGAGAAAATCCCATAAAGTTTCAGGGGGTTAATTAACCCTTGACATAGAAACTACAAGCCAGCACAGATCAAAGATCAGATAAGGATTCTTTTTTAATTCTCTGCCTACAATAGTTGCTAATTCTAAAGCATTAGCAGGGCGGAAGACATTCTCTCCCCAAGAGAATGGGGATACAGTGTCACAGCCATCAATCAGCATCTATTAAAAGATCACTGTGAGAAATGCCTATGTATGCAATCTATACAACCTCATGTCAAGCCAAAATAGCTGAGAACTGCATGGCAAGATTACATTTACATACCATGAATACATGCTGAAATTTGCTCTACGATCCCTTTGTTCAGGGTTGTAAACATTCTGAAACAATATTCTATGTGAATATTGGTGCTAACATTGTCATTTATCTTTTAAAAGATGTTATATAAAGATGTTCACTATACAAGGTAGAAATACAGAAGAAAAGTAGAGTCTAAATGTAGGTTTCATCAACTGCCATCTTGTTATGCCTTTACCTACTTCTTCATGCATCATTATTAAAATGCTATAAAGTATGCATCATGGCAGACCTTGTGCTACACCTGATCTCTCAGAGCAGTATCACAGGTGTTTTCATGCCAATGTGTAAAGCAGATCAGTAGCTCCTTTAGAAGCATAAGAAAGTCCATTCTACCATCTCAGGGAAGAAACTTACATCCAGTCTCAGGACCAAGAATAGTTCTCCTGTGCAACACTTTATCATCATTTGCATTTTAACACTAAGATTTTAATCTATTCCACAAGACACTGAGTCTCATGCTATTTCTGGGTTACCTAGGTAATTTAGTTCTCTTACTAAATATCTCCTTAGAGAGTCCTCACTCTTGTCAACTATTTTCCTGTTGTAAGTTGCAATTTTTTTTCCTCTCTTCTAAACGATATATTTGGCAAAACCCATTGCTTGTTCTTAAAAAGTAATTATTCTCTTTGTGTTGCACAAGTCTTTTTTTACCATGTGACTCAGTAGGAACTAACCTGGGTCAACTTGGGATTTTTCTAAAATAGTCTTGTATAAGTACTCTCTACTAGCCACATGGTAGGAGAGTTTGGCAAAGAAAAAGAGGTAGATGTATATCTAATCAAGATCATTTGAGGCAGGAAAAATTATATCCTTAGCCAAAATTTGTCTCTACTTCCTGTGTGTGACAGTAGAGAAAGAAAGTAGAAATATTACAATCAGGGAAGGTCTGAGTGCTTACTTTGTTTCTCTATGGAAGAGGAAAGCTATAGAATTACTTAAAACTTCCAAAGCTGCCTCCTATTTTTAGTCTAACCTCTTAATATGGAACTTGGTTACAATATTTAGCTTAGTTCTTTATTTCCAGTATGTCAATGGGCATAGTCAACTTAACCTTAGATTCTATTAGCCATGTGCTTCTGTTGGTCCCATTAACTCATTCTTTTATAATGTTAGGCTGAGCTAATTAATCAGCAACCTAAGTACTCTAAATATGTAACTGCTAATTCTCTTCCTCTGTAGCACATCTAAATTCCTATTTGTCTCTCAAGGCCCAGTTCACATATCCTTTCTTTACCCTCCCAGTCTATGCTCCAAATGAAGAGAGAGAACCATACGGCAATTTGTCTGTCTCTGTTTATCTTTTGCTCAAACACTGTGGTATACAGCCAATCTTTCACATCCTCCTTACGTTTTCTAAGACTTAAAATCATGGAGGGCCGGGTGCGGTGGCTCACGCCTATAATCCCAGCACTTTGGGCGGCCTAGGCAGGCGAATCACGAGGTCAGGAGATCGAGACCACCCTGGCTAACACAGTGAAACCCCGTCTCCACTAAAAATACAAAAAAATTTAGCCGGACATGGTGGCAGGTGCCTGTAGTCCCAGCTACTCGGGAGGCTGAGGCAGGAGAATGGCGTGAACCCGGGAGGCGGAGCTTGCAGTGAGCCAAGACCACGCCACTGCACTCCAGCCTGGGTGACAGAGCGAGACTCCATCTCAAAAAAATAAATAAAAATAAATAAAAAATCAATCAATCAATCAATCATGGGGTCTCTTTACAGCCATTCCGCTACTCCCTCTTTTGTAGCTTCCAAAGAATATCACAGGTTGAATTATAGCAACTAACCCTGCAGACCCTCTGACTTCTTCCTCCATGCTCAGGAGAACACAGACCTTGAATAGCACTTAATTCATTAACATTAGTGTTTGAGTTTTTCAGTGATTTTAGAAACAGGCATGAATCTAAAGCTAGCATGGCCAGTCTTGTTTCCTTGGCTGTGTAATTCAAGGAGATAATCCTTTATAGATCATCATAATTTGTCAACCCATCTTGAGTTCTAGAAATTAACTGTAATCACTGTCTCTCTCCTTTACAATATCTTACTCTCAACCAGAGTGGTCCAAGGGCACACTCTAAGCTCTGAGAGTTCTACCTGCTTTAAACCAGTGATTTGAGAAACAGTCCCTTTCAAATGTTCATCAAATTGTGAATTTTTCACTTATTTACCTTCACAGAATATATGTTATAGAGGAATGTTTTAAAATAGAAATTGGGTAGAAGGTATAAGCATATAGGCAAGAAAGAATATAATCTAAGAAAGATAAGCTTAGGGTATCCTGTGTGGCTACTTTATATCAAGATTCATCCTGCTCCGTGATTCCTTCATGGGTAGGATAATCAAGCTGCCCGATTTGCTTAGGACAGTCCTGGTTTATGCTTATCTTCCAGATATAATTAAAAGTGTCCCCTTTCTGCTGAGACTGTCCCAGTTTGGACAAAAAATTGCATGGTAACCCTAAGTATAGGGGAAAGACCTGCCCCAGGAAGAATTAGCAACAGAATCAATTCCTCTCCTTAGGCTATTTTAACATTAGCAGGCAGTTATGGATATTAGCACTGACAGCTTCAATGACTTTTAGCTGGTTGATGTTAGCCTACCCCTTGGCTAGAAAGGCTAAAATCTTCTCTCCCTTGAATTCTAAGTACAACATCTCTTGTTACACTGATTGAGTTTTCTCCCCTTTCTACCTGATGAGTTTCTTTGCCCCTGTAGACCAGTATGGGTGACAATATTCAGTACTGGGGTTTGGCCTTCATTCTCCACACTAAACACATGTGTTGTTAGGGGATGCCCCTTGAACAGTATATTAGTCAGCTCAGACTGCTGTCACAAAAATACCATAAGTGGGTGGCTGAAACAACAGAAATTTATTTCTCATAGTTGTGGAGGCTGAGAAGAGACCTGCCAGTAGATCTGATATCAGGTGAGGGCTGTCTTTCTGGTTTGCAGATGACCATCTTCTCACTGTGTCCTTACATAGTAGATAACAAAGAGAGAGAGAGTAAGCGCTCTGGTTTCTTTTTATGAGGGTGCTAATCCCATTCATGGGGGCTCCACCCTCATGACTTAATTACCTCCCAGAGGCCCTACCTCCTAATAACATCATGTTAGGGGTTAGGATTTCCACACGTGAATTCTGGGTGGAGACAAACATTCAGTCCCCAGCAAGCAGTTCTACTATGATCCAGTCAGAAGATGGAATGTTTAGCTGTTAAATGAAGTACTTGAATGACTTGGAAGAAATGCATGTAGAAAATGAAAGTGTTACTTAATCTCAACATTATAAAACAGGCAGGAAGTTAAATGTAAGGTATCTCCGAGTTGTAAGATAATGGGCAACCTCTGTCTGACCTTGACTTCAGTTTCCTCCAAGTCTCTCAAATGAGCATCTTCCTCCTCTGAAAAAAAATAATAATTTTTCTGAAGTTTCCCCTGGATATTGGCAGTTGAGTGCCCATTGACTCAGCTTTTTTTTAGAGCAAAACATGCCAAAATGCAGTATGAGCCCTCATGTGAAGCTAGGGCTGTGGGTAAATGACTTCAACTTTAACCCTTCAAATAAACGTTTGTAGTAAAGAAGACGTGTGCTGAATCTGACTTCGTGTGCAACAATGGCCAGTGTGTTCCCAGCCGATGGAAGTGTGATGGAGATCCTGACTGCGAAGATGGTTCAGATGAAAGCCCAGAACAGTGCCGTGAGTGTAACTTGCTTTGGCCTTGAACTTTGCCAAGTTGTTCGGTGTCTAACATTTCTAAGTATTGCTTAATCTCCTACTTGGTATTCATTTTTCTTTGCCTGCCTTAAAGTTTAGGTCAATTGACTCCAAGGGCAGTCAAATCATTACCAGTTTATCAGCCTCCTTTAAAGAATGTTCTCCCTGGTCCAACAAGACTGACATTCTCTTGGGTAGCTTCACTATTGAATACTTAAAACTGAAGTCAGCAGATTCAATCAAGAACTCCTTGACTAGGTGCATAGATTTCAAATGTCTGTTTATAATAACTGAGCAGATGGTACTCTGGTCCTGGAAGCTAAGTCAAGAAGTGAGGGTTCCCTATGGGCCAAGCAAAAGCTTTTAGAAGCACAGCTTATCATACTATTAAAAAGCTATTACTGAAGAGGTAAGGTAGCTAGTAATTGGGTGATATAGTGACTCCTGACACACATGTAACCTCAAGTTACTAAAATGGAGATCTTACAGCATATTCTTAAATAAGAGAAACTTCATAGGTATGCAAGTATATACCTGTGTCCTTAGGAAAAAGTCTATGAGACCATAAAGAATGATGGTTTGGGATCATATAAATTGAGATCACACGAATGTCAAGGCAAAGAAAGTCTTAGAGTTTGAGTCAGTAGAGGCCTGCACTGGTAGAAACACTAAAAAAGGACTAACATGAACACAGTTTAGGTCTAAAGTGTGATTATGAAAGAAAATCAAATAGAAAGGAAGATAAGGCTGTTACTTTCAATTTTCTAGATAAGAAGTGAGGGGAGTAATATTGGTCAAGGCAAGTGAGTTCAAGGCCTGTGAGCTAAAGACAGGTTGTGTAAAGATTCAGCCTCAACTTTTAGTGGAGAATGACCTGGTCAAGTCAAGCATTAGGGCATGCTTCTACTTTGCAAGATGTCAATCTAAAGGACATTGTGAAGGAGGCCCATAAAGGAATCTAGGCAATAGAAGATTTTGTAGGTGTTTGACCATCTGACTTTTCATGTATTTGAGATTAGATGACAATATCTAGGTGTGCCCACTTGACATCCAACAGATAAATAGTGGTCTAGGAGCAGGCCAGCCAATAAACTTCACCACGCCAAGTAAAACAAAAGCCAGAACTGAGCACGCCATGGGACCTTGAAGGAGTGACGTGGTCAAAGCTGTCACGTACACTGCCAGGTAGCATAGGTTGGCACAGCTTCTAAGGAGTGGAGCTGATGAAAGAGCTCCCCGGGCTTCAGCCAGTTAGTAGAATTTCACCAGTGTGCCAGGCTACTGAGTCACAGGTATTAGCGCTTCCAGGCAGCACAGGAGCAGCAGCTTTGCATTGATCAGTTCTGAGGCTCTTTTGAGACTGTATATCATCAACAGATATGAGAACATGCCGCATACATGAAATCAGCTGTGGCGCCCATTCTACTCAGTGTATCCCAGTGTCCTGGAGATGTGATGGTGAAAATGATTGTGACAGTGGAGAAGATGAAGAAAACTGTGGTAAGAAGATCAGTGTTGAGTGACGTAACCCAAAGACCCTTTTCCTAAAGGAAGGGTGGGCAGGGGAAACTAATCTAAGCCTGAAGACGCACTGACATTGACTCACTTTTCAGTGACTTCACTATCTGCTCAATTACTTGTCCTTCATAACTGCCCTAAAACCCTAAAAGACATTCATGTGGCAATTGACCATCGCTTGGTGTTTCTTTTAGGCAAATAGAAATAAGAAGGTAAGTCATTCAAGGCACTTATATATAGAAGTAGCTCAGGGAAGCAGCAATTGTGTGGGCTTTTGTTTTGACAGTAATTCATGTGTCTTTTGCACTTTGGCACAATAAAATTAGAAGGTGAGTAGGGTTGGCAAACACATTCATAGGTCTAAATTTGATTGGGTTATTGGAATAAATTATTTGAGTATTATACAAGCATTTCTTTGCCCATGAACTAGATTCTGGCATAACTTTCCCAGAAAAAAAAAAAAAAAAGACACAGAAGCATGAATTAACATCTTGCCTCAGATACCCAAAGAAAAGTCTACCCAACTGGTGATACCTTTGTCTCCTGTTGCAGTTCCTGTCTCTGAAAGCTAACTCTGCTTCCTATTCTTTCATGTTTCTGGTCTTGGAAAATCTTTAATAAAATGCTGCATGTTGAAGGTGAGGGCCTGGGAAAATCACTAGGTTGAACAAACAGTGCTTTGAATGTTCTTTCAAGCTACTGCCCTTTTTATAGGGCCTCTAAAACCTACAGCTCCCAAGTCTGACAAGCATGGGCCTCCTGATATGGTAGTAGTCAAGGGAGCTCAGGGCACTTACAGTTGAAACACCAGTCTTGTGTGTAGAAGTCGCCTCCTGAGGTCAATACCACTGCACCTAGTCCAATGAGTTTTAGTGTTCAATCCTAGAATTGGGTTTTCTGTATTGGTAAGCCCTGGTGCTGCCAAGTGTTTCCCTTATAAATCTAGACTTTGCTTCCCAAGAGAGTCGTGGTCTCTATTCTAATTGCCACCAAATTGTGACCTTGAAACATTTGGCAGGAATTTAAGTCAAAGTACCAATTGGCTAGTAGGACTAGCTTATCATTGTCAGCATACCTGATTGTTAAATGGTGATTATAGCCCTGGCAGTGACTTTTTCAAAATGGAAAGTGTTTAAGACTTGTTATTCCTGATCCTTATTTAAAGGACCAAAAAGAGGAACCATATATGGTGGTATGTGGTTCACCTCTTTTGGTGACAAAGTCTTAATGCTTGTTGTGAGTATTACGTTGCATGATATTCTCAACTAGTGATAAGATCTGACAAGCAGTATGTTGATTCAAGGACAACTCAATCTCTGCCTTCCAAATTGAAATCCCTTGTTACAGTTTGTTATTTATGATGGCCACTTTTAGAATCAATTGTGGTTCTCATCTCAAATTAATTTCCAGTCTTCAACTATTTTCTTGGTTCTTTATTTCTGTTCTTCTTATTTATTGTGTGCCTTCATTTTTTGTACAATGAGACTGTACAAAAGTTCTTGATTTAACTCCATTGTAGCCTTTAAGTTGGGCTAGTAAGTTAGGATTAATGAATAAAGATCAATGTATTAGATTTTGGGACAAGAATCTTGAACGGACCAATCTTGATGCATTTTCAGTGGGGCATCCTCTCTCTTAATAGGCAATATAACATGTAGTCCCGACGAGTTCACCTGCTCCAGTGGCCGCTGCATCTCCAGGAACTTTGTATGCAATGGCCAGGATGACTGCAGCGATGGCAGTGATGAGCTGGACTGTGCCCCGCCAACCTGTGGCGCCCATGAGTTCCAGTGCAGCACCTCCTCCTGCATCCCCATCAGCTGGGTATGCGACGATGATGCAGACTGCTCCGACCAATCTGATGAGTCCCTGGAGCAGTGTGGCCGTCAGCCAGTCATACACACCAAGTGTCCAGCCAGCGAAATCCAGTGCGGCTCTGGCGAGTGCATCCATAAGAAGTGGCGATGTGATGGGGACCCTGACTGCAAGGATGGCAGTGATGAGGTCAACTGTCGTAAGTAGCTTTCTAGCATGGCATGTTCAGTTCTCTTCCCTGTATCAACTGGGACAATTTGCTGGCTTCATTCCATGGTGTTTCCTCCCTTTGTAGCCTCTCGAACTTGCCGACCTGACCAATTTGAATGTGAGGATGGCAGCTGCATCCATGGCAGCAGGCAGTGTAATGGTATCCGAGACTGTGTCGATGGTTCCGATGAAGTCAACTGCAAAAATGGTAAGGGTTTCTTCTTGTTGGTTAAGCAATGGATTGCTCTGACCAGACCCACTCATGGAATCTCTCTTCTTTGTTTCTCTTTGTAGTCAATCAGTGCTTGGGCCCTGGAAAATTCAAGTGCAGAAGTGGAGAATGCATAGATATCAGCAAAGTATGTAACCAGGAGCAGGACTGCAGGGACTGGAGTGATGAGCCCCTGAAAGAGTGTCGTAAGTGTACTTGTTGTTCAAGTACAGATCCTGGAAGTTTGACACAATCCAGTATAGCTAACACTGTGTGGACCCCCCGTGATGGCTAGTTAAACTTTTGAATGTACTGAAGTTCAATTGTAGACTTCAGAGTGAAACTTTATGACTTAAAAGCCCAGGTAGGACAAACTAGTTTATAGTTTTTGTTTTTGTTGTTTTTTTTTTTTTTTTTTTTTTGAGATGGAGTTCCACTCTTGTTGCCCAGGCTGGAGTGCAATGATGCAATCTCGGCTCACTGCAACCTCTGCCTCCCGGGTTCAAGCAGTTCTTCTGCCTCAGCCTCCTGAGTAGCTGGGACTATAGGCGCCCACCACCACGCCCGGCTAATTTTTTTTTTTTTTTTTGTATTTTTAGTAGAGACAGGGTTTCACCATGTTGGCCAGGCTGGTCTCGAACTCCTGACCTCGTGATCCACCCGCCTCGGCCTTCCAAAGTGCTGGGATTACAGGCATGAGCCACCGCGCCCGGCCCAAACTAGTTTATAGTTTAACCTCCTTAAAGATAACTGATCATCAATAGAGAAACTTGACTAAATGCTTGACCAGCTGGTAACTTGCCGAGGAGTTAGATAATCCACCCTGAAATATATACCTATAAAATAAATGATTAGGTCTTAGACAAATCGTGGGTTTGACCAGGCCAACTAGATAAGTTATCACAAATAGCCTGGGTTTTAAATGTGAAAGATATTAATTGAAAATAAGTTGTCAAGTGACTACTACATTTTTATTCCAGATATAAACGAATGCTTGGTAAATAATGGTGGATGTTCTCATATCTGCAAAGACCTAGTTATAGGCTACGAGTGTGACTGTGCAGCTGGGTTTGAACTGATAGATAGGAAAACCTGTGGAGGTGAGTCTAAGAAGAAAACCTGGACCCTGCAGGTGATGGGAAAGGATAGTATGTACCTAGTAAGGTATAGGAGCAGCAAGACTAATTCTGATTTCCCTCCCAGATATTGATGAATGCCAAAATCCAGGAATCTGCAGTCAAATTTGTATCAACTTAAAAGGCGGTTACAAGTGTGAATGTAGTCGTGGCTATCAAATGGATCTTGCTACTGGCGTGTGCAAGGCAGTAGGTAAATGAACTTGGACTGGTATGGCTGTTGTACCTTTATGAGTAAGTGCCTCTAAAAGGTACAGCCAGTGACTACAATAGTCAAACTAAACATGAAATTGTACTTGAGAACAATGCTGCTAACCTCATAATACAGCAGTATAGGTCAAATAGCAGATCTCTCCCCTAGATATGTACCTTGATCATTCCTTTTGCATATGATACCATGAATACCTACCAGGTTTGCATGCTCTGTTTCCAAAACTTGAGTCCAACTCAAACAAGTGACTTATTCATCACTCACCCTGTTCTTGAAGGCTGTAACCCCACGACTGCCTTCCTAAACTGTAGGAAGCACTTGCAGGTCCCAGGGGCAGGAACTCCAGAACAGATACTACTGAGGTATTCCACAATACCTTTATTTTCTAAGTGCTCCTCTGCTGGGAGGAGGTGGTTTAGAAAGACCTTGCCTTCTTAAAGCAAAACTAAGTAACCCAGACTTCCATCTTGCAGGCAAAGAGCCAAGTCTGATCTTCACTAATCGAAGAGACATCAGGAAGATTGGCTTAGAGAGGAAAGAATATATCCAACTAGTTGAACAGCTAAGAAACACTGTGGCTCTCGATGCTGACATTGCTGCCCAGAAACTATTCTGGGCCGATCTAAGCCAAAAGGCTATCTTCAGGTAACTTTCAGTTCCTTTTGTGGTGTCTTGACATAAGTCATTGTCACTTGGGAAGTGATCTGTGGGATAGTTTGGAGGAGTTTCTTTTGTGTCTAGCCCCATCTAGCATCGAATTACCTGGGGACATTAAATCTAATGCTAATTCTTTATTAAACTGTTATCACTTCCTAATTAGAAACTAACAATTGTCTATGAAGTAAAAGATGACATCTTTCATATTTTTTATATTTTCTCCCTTTTCTCTACAGTTAATTGAGAACTGTTCATTGTTGCTACAAATAGAAATGGTAGTACAGCCTTTTCTTAATGGGAACTATAGAAACTCAGATGATGGATACTGAAACAAATAGCTTCACTTAGAAATTTGTTGTTCTTGTATATAGAATACATACCAGCAACTAGATAATCTACAGCATTATTAATTTAGGATCAGTAAGCAGCATGGTTAAATAATTTGAGTGGTGAGCTGTGGTGTTAACTGGATTTCTTTCTGAACAAAGTCATTGACCATTTTGTAAGCAAAAAGTCCATTCTCCAAGCTCTAATTGTGTCAAACTCTTAAATTTCTTGTGACCTATTCTGTTTCAGTGCCTCAATTGATGACAAGGTTGGTAGACATGTTAAAATGATCGACAATGTCTATAATCCTGCAGCCATTGCTGTTGATTGGGTGTACAAGACCATCTACTGGACTGATGCGGCTTCTAAGACTATTTCAGTAGCTACCCTAGATGGAACCAAGAGGAAGTTCCTGTTTAACTCTGACTTGCGAGAGCCTGCCTCCATAGCTGTGGACCCACTGTCTGGGTTTGTAGTCTGTTTTCCATCACAGACTTTGGAATGGTATCTGTGTAGGTCAGGAGCTTTCTCATACCTGAATTAGTACTCAAATCTCAAGGTTTATGAGCCTTCTGCAACAAAGAATTAGAATTCTAATTTAAGATATCAGTTTTGCCCCAGGTGAGTGACCCTGGGATGTCCTTATCTATATGACAGGTCCTCCTGTCTGACTCTCGTATGACTGATTGCTGGCTGACATTAATGAATTAACATTCCTGATTTGATGTGTGTACCAAAAGCTGTATCTGAACCCTTTTGTCCACCCAGTTTCTACGCAAGTGATTTTTTAATTTTTGACTGAAAGCTTTGCTGGGCTAGCTCTGGATGATCAAACCTAAACGACAGCCTGAATTGTGAGGATTTGGGTAACCACATTGCATCTAAGTGTGCAAGTTGTCTGAAAGTCCAGCAGAAATAAACAGACCTTTCTAGAAACATTTCACTAAGGGGGTTCTGTAAATTGCCACTAAGTAACATAGAAGAGCAGCTCAGGAAGTTGACTAAGGCTGTAGTTGTCATCACAACTGGCCCCCGTGCAGCCTCATTAGAACTCAGTCAGCCAGCCAACCCCTGCTATGAAATTTGAAGGATGTTCGTCTTGCACTCCTCTGTAAGAACTGACCTTTTAAAAAGGAAACATAACCTTGTGACTTTGGGCCGAAATTTAAATGTCAGACAAACATAGATTATTATAGTTAATAATGAGCTTGTAGATTCTTAATATTCAATTTTATTTACCTAGAACATAATTTAGACCCTTAAGTGTTACTATTTGTCACTAGAGAATGCCTTGAGTTTTCTGCTCAAATTTTAAATTTTTGTTTCCAGCTACTACAACTTTATTCCTTCTAAACCACTGAGGCTTATTTCTCATTTAATTTTTCACAGCTTTGTTTACTGGTCAGACTGGGGTGAACCAGCTAAAATAGAAAAAGCAGGAATGAATGGATTCGATAGACGTCCACTGGTGACAGCGGATATCCAGTGGCCTAACGGAATTACACTTGGTATGTATGTTCTTCCTTCTCGACCACCCACTCAACTATCTTCATAGTGTTTCCATTTATCTCCATGGTGAATTCTGGACTAGCAGATGACTCTACTGCTTCCGCCTAAATTCTAGCAGGAATTTTCAATGGGAGTAACTGAACAACACAAGTAAAATGGTGGATTAACAAATTACACATTCCATAATTACTGGCCTGTTGTCCAGCTGGGCCTAATATGTGACACAAATTCAGTGAACGTTGGGTCTTGGGTGCACTCATACTAAATATTCTGGGCATGAGTGCCTTAGCATTTCCTGAATTGCAGGCTTTTAACAGTTTTCTTCTGGCTTTTTGGAGGAGAACAACAAAATGGTAGCCTCTTTTAATATTTTCTGTAATGTGAGTAATATTTCTTAAGTCATTTGCTTTGAGAATCTCAGGTACCCTGTTAGTCCCCAAAAATGAACGTGGATACAGGCTCTGCATGCTGCTTCGCAAGGTTTATGGTGACCCCGTTAAGAAACCCTGCTGGGGAAAGAACCGTGAAAGTAGATTATTAATTCATTAGATATTTTTAATGGAAGCCAGAGTAGTAGTGGCTTGTCATGTAATGACAATTCTTTTCCTACCTAGACCTTATAAAAAGTCGCCTCTATTGGCTTGATTCTAAGTTGCACATGTTATCCAGCGTGGACTTGAATGGCCAAGATCGTAGGATAGTACTAAAGTCTCTGGAGTTCCTAGCTCATCCTCTTGCACTAACAATATTTGAGGTAAGATGTGTCTCACATCAAAGTGTGTACCTTTGAGCTACTATATCACTTTGAGAAGAAATAACAGACATAGCGGGAGGAGGGAAGAGCAGCTGAACATGGCTTGAGAAACTGCTTTCACTTAAAACCTGGTACAAATCAGACACTAAGTCCCAGAAGCACTCCACACCTAAACTTGATTCTTTTACAGTTTTATATCCAGTGTCCCAGTTCAGCATTCAGTAAACTTAGTCCATTAAATGAGAAGTAAATGATGATGACCTTAGAAATGGACTTGTGTTAATCCTGGATGTACATGCTAATTGTGGGCTTCTGTTTTAGGATCGTGTCTACTGGATAGATGGGGAAAATGAAGCAGTCTATGGTGCCAATAAATTCACTGGATCAGAGCTAGCCACTCTAGTCAACAACCTGAATGATGCCCAAGACATCATTGTCTATCATGAACTTGTACAGCCATCAGGTACCGTGGAGAAGCACAGTCCTTAATAACTACTTTAAGGGAAGCAGCATGACACAGAACCTGCTGGATGTCAGTAGCTCTTGGCAACTCAGTTTTCTTTAAAAGGGAACTTTTGCCCTCCTGTACCCTACCTTAAACATTTCACATGTTATTTTTTTATTTCTGCTGCCTCAGAGAAATGGCTTCTCAACTTCAGCTCCTGGCTTTCCTCCCAAGCCTCAGTGTCAGAGCTTTTATTTCTGTTTCATTCATGTCCCCTTGGCCTTCAGCCCCTCTTGCCAAGACTATTGCAGTAGCCTCCAAAGTAGCTTTTGTGCTACAAGCTTTCTCTACTGTTAGTTTGCTAGGATTTTTGCAATGAAGTACCACAGACTATCTTAAACAACAGAAATTTATTGTCTCAAAACTCTGGAGGCCAGAAGTTTGAAATCAAGGTGCCAGGAGGGTTGGTGCCTCTTGAGGGCTGTGAGGGAAGGGTCTGTTCCAGGCCTCTTCTTGGTCTGTTGATGGTGCTCTTCCCCCTTTGTCTCTTCACATCATCGTCCCTCTGTATATGCTCGTGTCCAGCTTTCTTGCTTTCTTTCTTTTTCTGTTTTTTGGAGACTGACTCTTGCTCTGTCACCCAGGCTGGAGTGCAGTGGCACAATCTCGGCTCACTGCAACCTCCGCCTCCTGTGTTCAAGCAATTCTCCTGCCTCAGCCTCCCGAGTAGCTGGGACTACAGGAGTGAGCCACCACGTCCAGCTAAACTTTGTATCTTTAGTAGAGATGGGGTTTCACCATGTTGGCCAGACTGGTCTCGAACTCCTGACCCAAAGTAATCTGCCTGCCTCGGCCTCCTAAAGTGCCGGAATTACAGGCGTGAGCTGTAATAACAGTCATATTGGATTAGAGCCCACCTTAATGACCTCATTTTAACTTGATTACCTCTGTAAATATCCTATCCTCAATATCTCCAAATAAGATCACATTCTGAGGTACTAGGACTTCATTATATGAATTTTAGGGAGGAACACCATTCAACTCATAACACCTACTTTCCCCCTGTGACACACCTGATATAGGATTGTGTAGATTCTCAAACACATCGGGTTATATTATCTCCTGCTGAAAACACTTGGCTGGTTCTATCTAAATAAAGCCTTCAAACCTTCCTAAGGCTGAGTTTCCTTCCACTTTGTTGGAGCAAGTCAAGAGAAAACCAGGAGAACATGCCTAGTCTCCTTTCTCTGAGCCTTCACGCTAAACCTCGGGCAAATAGTGAGAGCCAGTCCTGGTCCCTCACCTCCCTTCCCCACCTCCTCTTTTGGCATCTGTCTCTTAAAGGCATAACTTTTACAGTCTATCTCGAAGAGGTCCCTTATCTGGTGTCCTTAGAGCATGCTGCCTGTACCTGTATACTTATTCTTCCTTGATACTGTTCTCACTTGAAGGATTAGCAGAGTAGACAAGTTTAAGCTCTTGGGGGCAAGGACTCAGGTCTTCAACATGTAGAACAAGGCTTTATATATACTAGGCACCGGAATACCCATTTTAATGGTATTTTTTTTCCTGACTAGGTAAAAATTGGTGTGAAGAAGACATGGAGAATGGAGGATGTGAATACCTATGCCTGCCAGCACCACAGATTAATGATCACTCTCCAAAATATACCTGTTCCTGTCCCAGTGGGTACAATGTAGAGGAAAATGGCCGAGACTGTCAAAGTAAGGCATTTTGTGTTTCAACCACAAGTAGAACCTACAACAAGCAATATAATAAGACACAAGCTTGGATTTTTAAGAATTCTGTCTTAGCTAATTCTTTGAATAGATTTGAGAAGATATCTGCTATTGTATGCCGGGTTATCATGTCATTTCTTTAGAACTGACTTTAACCCATTTCAACATTAAATGAGTTTATAGGAGACTAAAGTGTCAACATACCTTACACTAATTTGTACCTAGTCCCTTAACAGCACTGAGCTAGCCAACTTGCAGGTAATTAAATGAGGCCTTAACATTTTTCCTCAAAAGGAGGAGGACAGAAATTATGCTTAAGGAAGGCCATGGTTACAGAAACCTCATTGCCTCAGTGGGTGACGCTACCCTAAAATAACACTTAGGCTGAATTTGCATTTAGTCTTCTGTTCTTAACTTTTGATTAAGTGGCAAATTAAAGTCATTTGTGTGATCAAGGAGCTTGTATGGTGAGGCTGATGAGGTTTTTATTAGCGTAATTCATGGTCAGGCAGGGATTAGCTCAGTTTACCAAGAAATTAGTTGCAAGACAGTCTGGTATGCCTGGTATACCAGAGCATCTTGAGAACATTTCTCGTAGTTTCCAGGAACATGGGATGTTGTTTAGAGGGATAAAATGTGGTTGTCCATCATTTTGAATTGTCAAATTCCAAACACCGACTGTCCTTCCCAAAGTTTCATGTATCTCTTTTTTGCATGAAGATTGCTATTTCAATGTTGACACATCAGCTGTACAACTTAGTTCAGCAGTGGTTTGTCTATTTTACCTGGTTTTAAAATAACCTTTTACATGGCTTGTCTGGACAAAACAGCTAGCCATGCTGGAACCCTGGCATTAACCAGGTTCTTGGTTTTTATAATTCAGGTACTGCAACTACTGTGACTTACAGTGAGACAAAAGATACGAACACAACAGAAATTTCAGCAACTAGTGGACTAGTTCCTGGAGGTATTGAGTTCAGTACTGCAAACTGTTAATCTCAACTAACAGCCACACTCTTTGTATCTACAGCTTAAATAATTAATGCAGCCTTTAACTACTATTTCTGCCCCAATTGGTAACCTATATTTAAACACCAAAGACTTAAAACTTGCATATCTTTTCCTGACTGATCTTAAAGGTTTCTAGTAGAGAACTGTCAGTGAAATGGCTACTACAGCATGTGACTCAAATACTTCTAAGCCAGAGTTGTTCCTGGTGTTCAATTGTTGTAGATACTGAACATCAATATTGGATGCAAAGGTTTTGGCTCCTTACCTGATGGGTAAATTTCTAAGTCTGAATACAGATCCTTCTAAACTGATTCCTTTTATTCCTCTGTAGGGATCAATGTGACCACAGCAGTATCAGAGGTCAGTGTTCCCCCAAAAGGGACTTCTGCCGCATGGGCCATTCTTCCTCTCTGTAAGTAGATTTCCTACAAGTCTGGGTTCAAGAACTTCTTAGATACCAGATGAAGATTTTTTGTTCATCTGGAGCTACCCCTTTCATGGGCCTTTATGCTGTCTAGCATTTATGACACTGAATTACGTTCGCTTTCTCCCCCACATAATACACTAAATTAAGGCCCATATCTTTCTCTTCAGTTGTACCTTTGGCACAGTAACTGGCAATGATAAGTGTTCAACGGTTAATGCTTTCTACTTCCGCACTGTTAACCTGGCTTATCCCCTTTTATAATAAGTCTCTTTAACTAGTGTACTGTTCTGTTCCCCCTTTGAAATGTGTGTAATGCTTCATACAGAGGAGATGCACAAATGCTTAAATGCTAAGAGTTACAGGACTTGTTGAGGATAAATTAAAAGCAGTTAAGAATTTTCAAACCTATGGAAAAGGACCTCTAAACGAGACACGCAAATTCTAAGGACTTTGCTATAAAAACCTTTGTCCTAAATGAAGAGACCCAAGCTTAGCTAACACGCCAGGACCACCTGAATAGCTCTCCAGAACCTTCTGCAATTTTAATTTGGTGAGCCTAAGGTGGGACCGAGGACCCTGCCCTTGCCTGGATGGATGTGGCTAGTCCAGCTCCAGTGCACAGAGCTACCTCTGGGCTGAACTTGTTTCAAGCTCCTGGCCCATGTGTATTCCAACTTCTAGTTATCCTAGCTCCATAAAACATGGCATTTTTACTAATGTCAATTATTATGGATTCCTGAACGTTATTACCTTTCTTGTATGTTCCAATACTAGACTTAGCTCACTTAGCTACCCTCTGATTTTTTTCAGTGCTCTTAGTGATGGCAGCAGTAGGTGGCTACTTGATGTGGCGGAATTGGCAACACAAGAACATGAAAAGCATGAACTTTGACAATCCTGTGTACTTGAAAACCACTGAAGAGGACCTCTCCATAGACATTGGTAGACACAGTGCTTCTGTTGGACACACGTACCCAGCAGTAAGTCAGCTTTGTGTCTTTATACACCATGGCTTGAAGTGAGACTTTTCAGAAAGGAGACCTGGGTGAGAGAGAGAGAGCCATTAGGATGATGGAGTTACCAAACACTTCATCTGCTACCTGGCTATTAGACAGACAGTATAGCCTGTTAGAACATAAGTCACTCAGTTGATCAGCATCTAACCCTCACCAACTGACAAGTGGGTCAACTTAAAGTCACCACTATATTAAGATATTTTTGGTTATAGAAATGACATGTAAATACTAGCATGAACCAAGTAGCTCATTACTGAACTATTAAATCCATTGCCTACTGGATATTTGAAAGTAAATTAGCATATCATATATAGGGGAGTTGGCTTAAAGTCAGTGTATTGAGTAAGATTCACTTAGCCAAAATTATTATATGCTTTGCTTTAAAAAGGTATCCCACCGCCCTTAGTATAGCTAGCTTTTCTTCCAGCAATAGTCACTCACTTGTTCTTCAGATGAAACCCAAGTGGAGTATTTGGCCTTCACGTAGGAAACAGGCTGAACAAAACAAGTATTGATCACTCCCCTCTCAAACTCCGGTGAAACATGGAACAGTGGTCAATTCTTGACACACACATGGCTTTTCACATTTTTCCCCAAGACTTATGATCATTAAGTAGAAAAGACAGAATTAGTCACACTATCTTATCTCACTACCAAGCAGGTATAGTTGAATTCAAGTTAAATGCATGAATGATACAACTCAGTATTCTTTTGTATCTGACTGACTTTTCTTCTAAGCACTCTGAGTGTTTGAATGACCAACTCAAAAGCAAGGTCCATTTTAAAGACTAGAGTTGCCATCAGTGAGTGATCACCAAGCTCATTCTATACTTCTTCTTTTCCACAGATATCAGTTGTAAGCACAGATGATGATCTAGCTTGACTTCTGTGACAAATGTTGACCTTTGAGGTCTAAACAAATAATACCCCCGTCGGAATGGTAACCGAGCCAGCAGCTGAAGTCTCTTTTTCTTCCTCTCGGCTGGAAGAACATCAAGATACCTTTGCGTGGATCAAGCTTGTGTACTTGACCGTTTTTATATTACTTTTGTAAATATTCTTGTCCACATTCTACTTCAGCTTTGGATGTGGTTACCGAGTATCTGTAACCCTTGAATTTCTAGACAGTATTGCCACCTCTGGCCAAATATGCACTTTCCCTAGAAAGCCATATTCCAGCAGTGAAACTTGTGCTATAGTGTATACCACCTGTACATACATTGTATAGGCCATCTGTAAATATCCCAGAGAACAATCACTATTCTTAAGCACTTTGAAAATATTTCTATGTAAATTATTGTAAACTTTTTCAATGGTTGGGACAATGGCAATAGGACAAAACGGGTTACTAAGATGAAATTGCCAAAAAAATTTATAAACTAATTTTGTACGTATGAATGATATCTTTGACCTCAATGGAGGTTTGCAAAGACTGAGTGTTCAAACTACTGTACATTTTTTTTCAAGTGCTAAAAAATTAAACCAAGCAGCTTAACCATGGTTTGTGCCTGTTCCTCTAGGATGAACTCCTATCCTGAGTAGTACCAAGTGTTCTAACTAAATGTGTGAGCTGTAGTTCTTGATGTTGTATAACTAAGCCTGTAATTGGGCTGGTTTCTCTTACACCCTAGCACAGTTAAAAAATGAAGTACTGTTTAACATTTGCTCCCGAAATATTTCTTACTGTGTAAAAGAAGCTAGCTTAGTCTGTACCTAGAATTCCTCTTGGTTAGAGGAGTGAGTTTCTTTTTTTTCCATTAACTTGTTTCCTGATCGAGAAACACGTGCTAAGATTTCTATGAATTCTGCTTCTTTATAGTTAAGTCTCTGTTTTCCATGTTCTGTCATTTATATAGGTCAAGGACAAGTGCCTTCTAAGGCATGGATAAGGGCTTTCTTCTTATGAAAGTCTAGACTGTCTTACTGTGAAGATGGCCAGGGAGGATAGCAAGCAATGGCATTCTTGAACAGTCTAAGGCAGGTTTCTCAGTGTGGTCCTGAGAACAGAAGCATCTGCATCACCTGGGAATGTATTAGAAATGCAAGTTCCCAGCCCCATCCCAGACCTACTGAATCAGAAACTCTGGGGGCGAGGGCTGAAACCTGCTTTCATAAGCCCTTCAGGCGATACTGATGTAAACTAAAGCTTAAAAACCACCGTTTTACTGTGACTTCATGAAGAATATAATTGCAATATCACCTAAATTTTTATCCTGGCTGGGATGGGGCAGATTCTTACTATGGACAATTTCTGGAACTTACAGTATGAAGAGCAGATGAGGAGTTTGAGACAAAGAAAAAATTGTACAGGGAGTTTAGTGAATTTTCCATCAGGTTGGCCATTACTTTCTTTCTCTAAAGTCTCAGGATGTCTGGAAGCAAGGAAAGACAAAAGACTTGAAGCACCGGGTGCATGCTGTGTGTCACAAGTGAGGTGGAGAGTTGGCTGTGGAAGGTACAGCAATTCCTCTGGAATTAAATGACCGACCAACACAGTACCAAGAGGATGAAGAGAAGATGTTTTGCGTTGCTACGTGAATCAGTGGATGACTCATATTTCACTTGCATATGAAATATAAGGCAGTTAACATCTTGTTTGTGGCTTAAGCAAGGACATTAATCCTACTAGATGAAGGGGAAGTTGGTTCTGTTGTCTTAAGGGATGCCCCCTTGTGATTTTGGTCAACTGAATGAAAAAGAAAAGATAGCCTTGGACTTTTTTTTCATGGGAGGTTTGGAGGTCAAGCATGTAGAAGGAAAAGGCTGTAGTCATGAATATAGAACTGTCTGCTCTCCACCTTTTCCTCACTCTACATTTAGTCATCACACTGAACAGGATGTGGCCTGCTGACAGTGAGTAGCTGAAGTGCCTGTTTGGTAAGTAGGTTAGCATTCATCATGAACTCTGAAAGCCATTTCAGAGTTTGGCTGCTGCTCTGACCCTGCTGTGGTACAAAAAACATGGATTTTTTTTTTTTTAACTGGAGTAATACCAAATTCCCTTTAGAAGCTTGAAGTTTGATACTATTGCTTTCCCCATTATAAGGATTATACAGTATTAATTAATTATAAGGCCCAAAGTTTGTTTTGGCAAATAAAGTATTATTCTCTATCATCATCTTTTGAATTCCTGTCCCTAGTATGTTCTTTCATGTTCTGGGTAAAATTTCCAACCCTCAAAGAGTCTAAAACGTCTCATTTTTTTTTACCACGTCCTCCCCAGTAAGAAGCCAAGGTACAACTCATTGTACCTACGAGGTACAAACTCATTTGTAGAAACAAAGTAACTAGATATTCCTATTGAAATAAGAATAGATATATTGGTGGGCCAGGCATGGTGGCTCACGCCTATAATCCCAGCACTTTGGAAGGCCAAGGCAGGAGGATCACTTGAGGCCAGGAGTTCGAGACCAGCCTGAGCAACATGGTGAGACCCTGTCTCTACAAAAAAAAAATTTATAAAAATAAAAGAAAAAAATAGTTATATGACTAAACTACTAGTCAATACAGCTTGCAATAATAGTGCATGAATGATAACAGGCCTCGGCTTTATCACCCAAAAAATAACTTGAATTCTATGTGAAATGTGTTAGGATAAGTTTGCTCTGTCTCTAGAGTTCAATGTAGAAGATAATTAAGAGGTAAAATATGAAGCTTATCATACACTAAAGGAGAATATTTGGAGTTAGATGAGCCTGTCACACAAAGTGAAAGTGGACCCTCCAGAAATTTTAGGAATTGCCACAAAGATTGATGATAGATGAATAAACAGATTTGTGGCCTCTGGTAAAGAAATCCAGCCAAGTTCCTCTGTCCAAATTTTTAAGTGCCCTTTGCAAGCTAATCTATTTGGCAAAAAAATAGTCCCAGTTGTTCAACTAGCTCCCTTAAAACATTCTAGTAGGTGTTTTAAAGCCTAGGTATCGCTGCCTCTTTAGTTCTTGATGAATACAAGGCAAAAAAAAAAAAAAAAAAAAAAAAAAAATTGAGGCTTTCACTTTGGCATTTGCTTCTGTTCCTTGTATCTGTGGAAGTCAAGTAGCCCTTCTCAAAAATGAGAAGCCAAGCTTTAAATAGCAAACTACAGGGTATTAAAAGACTAACTCTTCAGTTAAGAACACTGTAGAAATGGTAGACCAACTTAAAGTCTACCTTTTAACAATCTTTACCCCAAACCTAAAGATTCTAGGGGTCACTTATCTCTATTACGTAATCTAACTGGAATAATTTCCTAGAATTCTTACTAGTGAAATCTTACCCAAGTAAAACAATTTATTATTTTGAATCCAAATGAAAGCTATACTGTTTGCTTTCAATGGTGGCAAAAACTTGCAAAAAGCAGATATACTTTTGCTAATTTAAGTTGAAGTACTATGAATACAACCTGCTAATCTTGATCCCCAAATCTGAGCCCTTCAGTTTCATAATTGTTTTATCCTGAACGTAGTTGTGACATAGACATTTCTCAAAAGGGTCTGATACATCAAACTCCTAACAAGTAGGAGCAGCAACTAGCTAAAGAGTAGAAAGAAGCTTCCCTTATTGTGGGTGATGAGGCGGTGCCTAAAAACCACATATATATAATCCCCTGGGTATTACATATTCTGCAAGCCCTGTTAGTGGGGAGATGGTAGTGGCAATAGCAGCGATAGTTGCGTCAGTGCTAACTGCTGCTGCTGCCCGTTCTGTTGGCGGCTGCTGGCCAAGTGTGCACACTTAGCCCTGGTTGAGGTGCATTGTCTGCTGTCGTCTGTTAAGCATCTAACCGGAGTGGGAGGGCACATCAAGCGATTTCACTCTCTTAAAGAAAAGGTTTTTAGGTATTTTTGGTATTATATAGTCTCTAAGGCCAGAAGGGGCTTATAATGACTTCTCTTCTAGAATTGTAATACTAAAAAACTACTCGAGTAAATATCCTAACAAGTATGATTTTTCTTGGGAAAACTAAAAATTGTACATCCATGCTTCAGCCATATCATGGGCCTAAACTATGAGAGTTCAGAAATATATAAAAGTACAAAAATCTTCAAAGGTACTTATTTCCAAATATGGAGGGAATGAATCTGAAGAGGGAACAATGGCGTTTTTCGAACTTATTTCTCTCTAATCCAGCCTGGAGGATTTTTAGCCGAAACAGTTGCATGTGAAGGATTATCAGCCATCTTTGCATATCCCTTTCACATCTACCTTCACACAGGAAAGCTGAATGCATTTTACCAGTGAGGCTCTAGATATGAAACTTAGGGATCCATAGATAAATAAGCTACTAACAAACTGATAACAGTGGTGTTCCATCTCTCTATCATGTCTCCTGAGTCCGTTTCACGTTTTTGAGCCTGGCTAATGAGAAAAAGAACAAAGTAGGACCATGACCCAGTGTTCTCCTGTAAATCTCACTGTAAAAATCTCAATGCAAAAACACTGAGACAGGAGTGAGACCAGCTGCGGGTGGGGAGTTTGTGCTCCGCAGGTTACCTCATGGCATATCAAAAATGGCTTTTTTCTTCACTGCGCTCAAGGAAAAAGTCAGATGGGTGACAAGGTGGTTCTGTTTAGAAGCAGCAGGCAATGTAGTTAACAGCATAGACTTCCGTGTCTTGTGTGTGGTACCTTGGGCAAGTTACTAACTCCCTCTGTAAAGTAGAGACGATGGGGACTGTCTCACTGTGACAAGGTAAGATTTAAGTGAGATGCACACAAAAAGCTCAGCACAGTGTCTGGCATCTAATATGTGCAGGGCAGATGTCACTACTGAATATCACATCAATGCTAGGGCTGTATTTACTGTCACACACAGGCACCGGTAAGTGACTTTACCGGTGAAAGTCACAGGTACCTTTATCTATGATGAATGTAATGTGTTAGATGGTGACCGAAGTGTTCTCCACTACACCTGTCTGAAGAGATCTAAGTCTGATATTTAAGGAGTGATAGCATCTTGCATACTTAAGAAGGCTTAAAAGACTGCATGGTTTAAACCCTAGAAACATAAATGGAATGTTTCTGCCTCAGTTCTTTTGACTACCTCCTAGGACATGGAAACAAATATTTGGGAGCCTGCATAGTCTTTAGATGGCTGCCAAAGCACTTAAAATCTCCTTTAAATTCTTACCATATGCTTACTTTTGTACTAAGTAAGTGCTCCCAAGTCTTTTACTTGCTCTTCACAGCAACCCTAATAGGTATCTCCATTTTACATAGGTAAAAACTGAGGCTACAAACAATCTATGGTTCCAAATCCTATGTGCTTACTGCCGTCTTCTCTTAGAAGGGGATGCAGTACTGTACAAAGATTGAGCTGGATGTCGCATTGCATGTTTGCTGAGTCCTCCTCATTGCTGATGTTAGGATCCTTCAACAGTTTCTCAGATGCCAGCTATGGCTGGCATCCAGTATGGTGGTGTAATGGAAGTGTACTACTAGCACTACTACATCAGGTCAGCACAGATTAACTCAGTTACGTGTTATACCTTCAAGACGCTAGACATTCCAGAATTATTTTCCTTGGCCATCCAAGTGAAGTAGAAGTAGATTGTTGGATTGCAAAGAAAATGATAAAGATTCCCTAAAGGAATTTATAAGCAGGCAACTTCATTCCTATGTATAAGATATTGGGAGAAAACAAACTGTACCACAACAAATCTTAAGTTTCAAGGCTCTCCTATAGGGAGAAACATGGCCAAAAAGACAGGAAGAACTGTGGCTTGTAACTCAATGATGCTATAACTCCAGCACTGGATCTTAAGTATTCTGGAATATACCAGATTGGTAGAACTACCAGACTTGGGTATTTCTCAGTTAACACACATGCAAGGAGGAAGAGAGTTTTTTTGAACAAAATGACTGGCTTTGACAAAACTATCTTGCTCTTTTTAAATGTCACTTGATACTAGAATGCGATTTAAAAGCATGTAATGCCTCAGGAGTCCGGCATATACAACCAAATTATCATGCTCAGGATCTTCAGAATTCTAAAGGCACATGTTAGAATGCAGAGTCCTGATGACCTGTCAATAAACTTTTTTTTACTAATGAACTGTACATTTAAATAAAAGTTTATTTTTGGGATAATTGTGAGCCTTTCCTTTCTCTAGAGACCTTTTATAAAAGCTTTTACTCAAATCTTTTTCCTTTTCTCAACTGAATCACTGAAGATGACTCAGTCACCCCTTTCTAGGAACAAGTAGGGCCACCCAGGTCTGGACACTTCAGGCTGAAAAACTGAGAGATGGTCCCTTTCTTGCCATATTTAGTACAGTTAGTGCCTCACCATGGACAGCCAGTATATTATCCTCTCAAATTTCCCCTCTCTACCCTTCCCATGAAAAAGACAGAAGTCAAAGCTACTGTTACTTAGTTAGGAATGTTAGCCTAGCACTTCCTTCTTGTAGGTGACTGAGAACAGGCCACACCTGGCTAAAGGGGGGCATATCCCAGGGCGGCAGGACAGGAAAGGACATTACAAGTAAAATCATTTTGATGCTGTCTCCTCGTTAGTTCTTAGATGGTCTGTGTTGAAATTCGTTTATAAGGCTAAAACTTTTGTGAGTCGTAGATATATTCCACCTAAAACTTTTCTAAGCAATGGCCCCAGTTGTTCGAATTAGTTGGGCACTAAACCTTGAAATTGACTCAGAGGATCCAAAAGAGTAGGAGAAAAATAAGTAAATCGAAGGAAAGAGAAACAGTCAAAAAAATATTTTAAAGCTCAACAGTGAGTCTGTAATAAGTGAGATATTGCATTTTGTTTGAGATGTTGATCTCACCAGCTTTGCAGTGAGGTGGATACAAGTTTGGATGTTTTTCCACTACTTAATCAGCTGTGGCCACAAGTAAGTTGCTTACCATCCAAGCTTATGTCCTCTTCTGAAAATCACAACACCTACTTTCATAGTTCTCATAAAAGAGAGAGGCAACACGTGTAAAGTGCTTCATTCAAACAACAGCTCTTTCCCTCTCTAGCACCAAAAAATAAATAAATAAATAAATCATGATTCATCTTTTTTAAAGTAAAAATCCTTATGTCTATTCGGAGATCTGATTTTGATCTGTACTCTTGTATTAAAATTCCATTTGCAAGTATTCCTTGTTAAATCTCCCCTTGAAATGCTAGCATTTGGTGATCTTTTTTTACTCAAAAAAATTAAAATGATTAATCATGCTGCACCTATTAGGTTTGCAGAAAGCCTCGTGTGTGACCCTCTGCTGATTAAAGAACACGGATGATTGGTTTAAGTTCACCAATTATTCAGAAATGTATTTTTAATTAGTGGGGGTAAGAAGACAGACTATACCTCATACCACTCCAGAAGATATAGCACACTCTTTGGATTTATCAAACTCAGCAAATATGATTGGCCCGCAATCTAGGAAATGTGAAATGCTAGATTTTAGGCATGAACATTTAATGTTATAGTGTTCAATTCAGAGGCATTTCTTGCCTACTGGTTTTGAGGGCAGAGAGTATATTTTATACCCTTAGTCATTGTTTATGTTGTCTTAAATTTACTCACTTACATGTGAGATTTGCTGATTTGTTCTTTAAAGATTTGTCCTTTAAAGTTTCAGGGAAATTTGCCTTTTGACCTGACCCCAAACAAGTAGCCCTGTGGTTTGCTAAGCAGGACTTCTAAATGCTGGAAGATAATTTTAAATAACTAGATAGCAACTGGCATTCCTCCTCAGACCTCAAGGGACTTAAAGTAACAGTTTCTAAAAGGTTCCAGAACAGTTTTATAATTGGCACATCCTAGAAGAAACATCAGTTACGGGGAAGCACACACATTTCTTAAACTTTTAACAAAATTGAGGAAGGATATATGGATCAGCCACATCAGAAGGTATCCCTCCTTATAGCCGCACATAGACATCCCCTATATGTGCTGTCTTTACTTCATTCATTTGTTTAGTGCCTGCTATGTACCAGGTATTGTTCTGGATTCTGGGGAACCAGAGAGAACATGAGAGGCCAGAGCCCCATCCTTCATGGTGCTCATTCTAGCTGGGAGTTAGGCACTGAACAGACATTTATATGTTAGGCAGTGATAAAATCTATAAAGATAAACAAAACAGAGTAAGGGACTAGAGAATAGCAGAATGTGCTATTTTAGATAAAGTGGTCAGGGAAGCTCTCCAAAGAGAGGATTTAGCAGACAACCTGGTGGAAATGTGTTATGAGCCCACTGAGGCATAGTAAAGACTGAAGCCATGAATAATGAATAATGAATCCTGAGGCATGAGCATGCCTGATTCCTCTAAGAAGAAGCAAGGTGGCCTTGGTAGCAGGAGGTGGCAGAGGCAGAGTGGGAGGAGAGAAAGGAAGAGGACCAAGTGATGTCAATTTCAAGAGCTGTGGTTGGGACTCAGTTTTTTTTTAAGTGACAGAACTTTTTTAGTGGGCTTGGGGCGATAGAATGACATCCAGTTTTAAAAGGCTCACACTGGCTGCTTTGTCTGGAATGGGCGGCTGGGAGGCAAGGGTGAAAACGGAGATATATTAGAAGACTCTGGTAGTGGTCCTGGTAGATGGACACGATGTGAGCTAAGCCAGTGGGGATGAAAGAAAGCTCTACTCCAGATTCGGTCCATCACAGGGGGTGTGTGCACAGGCTATCTCCCCAGAGTACGGGGAATTCAGCCTGTAGATGGTCCCTTAATCCAGGAGAATCTCACCAGTTCCTAGCTCAGCTGTGCCCTCTGCCTGTGGGATATCTGTTTGGCTGCCTCCCTGATTGGGCAGGGATGATAGGCTCAACACCAGGAAGGCTGGAAGAAAACAAGGCTGCGTGGAACGCAGGAGAAAAGCCATGCCTCTCCTCTCTAACCAAAAGAATTCAGGATTCAGAAGAAAAGAAGAGCCCAGAGCACGAATTCCAGCCCCCGAAAAGTTCAAAGGCTTCAACCATTCAAAGGAAGTTCTTTTCTACCTTCAGTGTAAAGGCCTTCCAAGGGACATATTTTGGCAGCATCATTTTAATATGGAGTTCCATACTAGCTCTTGAGTAATGGTCTCTGGAGGAATGTTTGTATGAATGGCATCATTTTTAAAAAATATGATGGCTTTAGGCAGGGTCCAGCATATCCTATCTATCCAACTGCTTTATATTTTCCCTGTTACCTGTCTGGTCTCTAAAAATATTGGAGAACTATCAAAACTACTTTCCCTAAGACATTTTAGAATCCTGGTATTTCTGAGTTAAAAGGAACCCAAAGGTCATTGAGTCTCTGATAGTTGTCTGATACAGGAGGCAACAGGCCCCATTGAGGAAGCAGAAAGTGGCCACCTAACATTACCAGGAAGGAGACCTCATTCAGCAATGTCTTAAGTCACCCACAGAGTAAGAATTGCTCTCATAGTAAGCCTGTAAATTCAACAATAACTTGTGACTCTTTAAGATAAAAAAAACAAACAAACAAAAACAAAACAAAAAAAAACAGGAATGGATGCTGTTTGGGAAAACAAAGCCTCCTAAAGCCAAAACTTTCAGGAAAGGATTCTTTGTATGTTAGGAAGTAAGGTGAGTCTCTGAAATGCATCCATGCATGTCACAGAAGCCAAATAGTAACAAACAGCTTATGAAACAGAAAGCAGCCTCTTCCCAGACATTAGCCCCAGTGCCTATTTCCATTCAGAAAACAAGGCCAACCTCCCATATGTCAGGATCCACTAACCTCCGGGGAGGACTATGCTGAGAACAGAGACTACGTGCCATTCTCCCTCTCTTCTCCCTCCCCTGCAGCAGGCAATGTGTTCCCAGTACTCTGTGAACTGTCTCTATTATGAGACAGATAATATTTCAGTGGGCCTACTTAATATTTTTAGTTCACCAAAAGTGGCACGCCGGTCTGTATGCAACTTCCAGTCTCTCAGAAATCCAGCGAAATGGGGGTGGAAAAAGATTATCTAAAACCAAAACCAACTGTAGCTTCTTTTGCCTTGGTAGGAGGGCTAGGGATGCCCCTGGGAAGGGAAATTTCTCTATAGCTACAAGGGAAGGAAAATCTGGATCTGCCAAAGGAGGTCCTGAGCCAAGTTTGGAAAGTAGGCTACAGATGGCTGCATTGCTCTGTATTCTGCAGAGAGAAAAGTCAAGTCAGGGATGAGGAAGTAGCTGTGAAGCAGCAGGGTGGAAAAGAGGGCAGAGGCACACGGTGTGCCGTGGAAATTTGGAGCTCAAGGTGACAAACAAGAATATCCAATATGCAATTTTGGATGGCTTACATTTTTGGCACTGTAAGCCCTATCACCTCCCTGATCCTTCAGTAATGTCTGTGGCACACACTAACACGTTGTGGGAGTGGCTTTTGATGAAAATCATAGATAGGAGCCCAGTCCTAGACCTGGGTTGATATGGCAACAGAACAGAGAAGGAACTTTCAGAACAATTTGTTAACTGAACGAATTAAGTCACTGAAGAGCTTAGAGTCAGAAAACATAAGCAACCCAGGGACTCTTAGAACTCTGGCTGGGACACTGGACTTTCTGCAGGATGTGGAATGGAAGTTCAACCCTGTATTATCTGGATATTCAAGGGCAGAATGACTCCAGATGATGTCACAAGCTATTAAATGTGTTAGATGGGATCAGGTGGCTTTTAAATACTATACACCCAGCATTTTGCTAGTCAGGATACAGAACTAAGTATAGCAATGGCTTGTAGGATCTTGGAATATCTTGAACTATGGAATCATCTTTCCAAAGTGTGAATATGACCATGTCACTCCCTATCTAAGATGACTTCTTGATGCCTACAGAATGAAGGCCAAGGTCCCTAGATTCAGGCTCAAGATCACCATGGCCTGACCCTGGAGCCTGCTGCTCAGCCCCGCTATGCCCTGCAGTTCCCCAGCCCAACTCAGTAATGCCCAACTCTTTGCAACCACTCCCCTCTCCCCTTCTCCTTTACTGCTGTTTCCTGTACAAGGCTGTGCCTTTGCTCCTCCTCTTCCCTCTGCCTGAAGTGCCCTTCTGGCCTTTACTTACCCGGCTCTTATTCTTCCAGGTCTGGGCTCAGATGTCTCTTCTTCCAGGAAGCCATTCCTGTTGTCCCAGTTTGGGTCATGAGTCTCTTGTATATCCAGCATATAATTCTACAATAACATGTATAACATCAGGTTGAGATTATGTATATGTATATAACTTCTTGACTGAATGAAACACAAGCTTCTTTTATATAAGAATTTAGTCTTTGCAATCTTTGTGCCTTGAGTACGTAGCACAAAGTTGAATGCTTTTTAAGTGCTCAAATACTGGATTGTAAAACTAAATTGATCCCATGATTGCAAACCATAGATTATTTTGTAAATAAGCATCCCAGTATTTAGGCCTCCAAGTAACCACTGTCTCTTGAAAGAAGTTTTCGTAAGAGGTTGTTTGCCTATCCCGGTGATTTCCTACTCAGCACACAAGTTACAGGTCCTATTGTGGATTTATATTCAGGGAGCACAAAGCTGATTTTTGCATACATATTGTTATAAAAAAAAAAAACCCTTACATCTTTGAAGGTAGACTTAAGATTTTGAAACAGCAAAATCGTTGCACTTTCCATCAGGGAACATAGTAATTGTCATGCTGGTTAATGCCCTTTTGAGACCCTCCATAGCTGTCCTAATGAGGAAGTCCTACAGATCGTATGTAGAGCTAATAACATTGATATGGTTTGGCTGTTTCTCTACCCAAATCTCATCTTGTAGCTCCCATAATTCCCATGTGTTGTGGGAGGGACCAGGTGGAAGATAATTGAATCACGAGGGTGGGTCTTTCCCATGCTGTTCTCCCGATTGTGAATAAGTCTCACGAGATCTGATAGTTTTAAAAACAGGAGTTTCCATGCACAATCTCTTTTTGCTTGCCACCATCTGTGTAAGATGTGACTTGCTCCTTCTTGCCTCCCGGCATAATTGTGAGGCCTCCCCAGCCATGTGGAGCTGTAAGTCAATTAAACCTCTTTTTCTTCCCAGTCTTGAGTATGTATTTATCAGCAGCATGAAAACAGACTAATAGAGCAAATTGGTACCAGTAGAGTGAGGTGCTGCTGAAAAAATACCAGAAAATGTGGAAGTGAATTTGGAGCTGGGTAGCAGGCAGAGTTTGGAACCATTTGGAGGGCTCAGAAGAAGATAGGAAAATGTGGGAGAGTTTGGAACTTCCTAGAGACTTGTTGAATGGCTTTGACCAAAATGTTGATAGTGATACGGACAGTGAAATCCAGGTTGAGGTGGTCTCAGACAGAGATGAGGAACTTCTTGGGAACTAGAGTAAAGGTGACTCTTGCCATATTTCAGCAAATACACTGGTGGCATTTTGCCCTGCCCAAGAGATTTGTGGAACTTTGAACTTGTTTCTTGAGGAATCATTACTCTGATAGACACAAAAACAATTCCTCCTATCCCCCACCAAAGCAGCCCACAAAGATATCTCCATCTCCTGAGCTTTCAGAGAGTGTGCTGTCTGGCAAGAGAGATGATTTAGAGTATCTGGTAGAAAAAATTTCTAAGCAGCAAAGCGTTCAAAGAGGTGACTTGGGTGCTGTTAAAGGCATTCAGATTTAAAGGGGAAACAAAGCATAAAAGTTCCAAAAATTTGCTGCCTGACAATGCAACAGAAAGGAAAATTCCATTTTCTGAGGAGAAATTCAAGCTGCCTGCAGAAATCTGCCTAAGTAACAAGGAGCCAAATGTTAGTCATCAATCCAATGGGGTAAATGTTTCCAGGGCATGTCAGAGACCTTTGCAGCAGCCGCCCCCACCCCGCCCCCGGCCGCTGCCATCACAGGCCCAGAGGCTTAGAGGGAGAAAATGATTTTGTGGCCCAGGCCCAGGGTCCCTCTGCTGTATGCAGTCTAGGAACTTGGTCCCCTGCAACCCAGCTGCTCCAACTATGACTAAAAGGAGTCAAGGTACACCTTGGGCTTTTGCTTCAGAGGATGGAAGCCCCAAGCCTTGGCAGCTTCTACATGGTGTTGAGCCTGCACATGCATAGAAGTCAATAACTGGGGTTTGGAAACCTCTGCCTAAATTTTGAGCATGTATGCAAATGCCTGGATGTCCAGGCAGAAGTTTGCTGCAAGGGTGGGGAGCTCATGGAGAACCTCTGCTAGGGAAGTGCGGAAGGGAAATGTAGGGTCAGAGCCCCCACACAGAGTCCCTACTGGGGCATCACCTACTGGAGCTGTGAGAAGAGGGCCACCATCCTCCAGACGCTAGAATGGTAGATCTTCCAACAACTTGCACTGTGTGCCTGGAAAAGCCACAGACATGCAACACCAGCCCACGAAAGCAGTCAGGAATGGAGCTATACCCTGCAAAGCCACAGGGGCAGAGCTGCTCAAGGCTGTGGGAGCCTGCCTCTTGCATCAGCGTGACCTAGATGTGAAACACCGAGTTAAAGGAGATCATTTTGGAGCTTTAAGATTTGACTGCCCACTGGATTTTGGATTTGCATGGAGCCTGTAGCCCCTTTGTTTTGGTCAATTTCTCCCATTTGGGATGGCTGTATTTACCTAATGCCTGTACCCCCATTGTATGTAGGAAGTAACTAACTTGCTTTTATTTTACAGAGTCATAGGCAGAAGGGACTTGCTTTGTCTCAGATGAGACTTTGGACTATGGACTTTTGAGTTAATGATGAAATGACTTAAGACTTTGGGGGACTTTTGGGAAGGCATGATTGGTTTTGAAATGTGAAGACATGAAATTTGGGAGGGGCCAGGGGTGGAATGATATGGTTTGGCTCTGTGTCACCACCCAAATCTCATCTTGTAGCTCCCATAATTCCCACATGTTGTGGAAGGGACCTGGTGGGAGATAATTTAATCATGGGGATAGGTCTTTCTCATGCTGTTCTCATGATAGTGAATAAGTCTCACAAGATCTGATGGTTTCAAAAATGGGAGCACATGCTCTCTTTTTGCCTACTGCCATCCATGTAAGACAAGACTTGCTTCTCCTTACCTTCTGATATGATTGTGAGGCCTCCCCAGCCACGTGGAACTGTAAGTCCATTAAACCTCCTTTTCTTCCCAGTCTCGGGTATGCCTTCATCAGCAGTGTGAAAATGGACTAATACAAGCAACATCTTCGAAAAAACACATAACCAGGGAAAGGAATTACATTGAAATGGTAACAGTCATCTAGGTTACTATACACTGGTGGGGTTATTTTTAAAGTTATCCTATAGCTTGATAATCACACCTGTTACTTAGTTTTTGTGTGTTTAGAATTGATGTGCCAACTAAGTACCTTAATTAAGCATTGCTTGATCCCACAGTCCTCATGGGTTCTTACCCTAGTTATCAGAGAGTTTAAAGTCAACATTTAAGCCTATGATTTATTAAGCATCTACTACAGGCACAAAAGGGTTCTGTGTACTCTGAAACAGATTATTGAGATGAAGTCCCTCTTATGTATAACAGTTTAATGGCAAAGCAAAGCTCAGTGGGTCCCAAATAAACATGCCAGACAGATAGCACACTCTCTGAAAGCTCAGGAGATAGAGATATCTTTGTGGGCTGCTTTGGTGGAGGACAGGAGGAATTATTTTTTGTGTCTATCAGAGTAATTGTTTTTCAAGAAACAAACCCCACTTTAAAAGCCCAATGAAACCAAAAGATCCTCCCAGAAAACATTTAAACTCATAAAATTTTACATTTAATTTCAGGAATTCCTGTATCTCCTGGTGTCTATGTATATGGGGATTCTAAAAAGGTCTATATCAGAAGTTAGAAACCTCTGTTTTATATACATTTAAATAAATTCACATTATCTATGCCTGTTCTCTTTTTTTTTCTAAAATCCCACACGTAAGTTCTCTGAGATACCATCAAAACAGAGTATTAATGGGTGGAAAAAATATCTTATTTAAAAGTAAAACATAGACATTTCTTTATGGAATTGTAACATTTGGAAACTTATCGACAAAATATTCAACTCCAGGAGTGTAATATTGGCTTACGCTATGAATATACCAAGTGTGTATATTTTGAATCTTGCAAACTAGGAATCACTTCATCACCATCTCCGTATTGTCCCTCTGGAGAGGCAGTATGCCATATGTAGAAGCATGAAAGCCAGAGTTAAGAGATTTGAGTTCTGATCTTAGTTTTGCCACTTACTTATTATAGTCGTGGTCAATTATCTTCCATCTCCATGCCTCCATTTCTGCATCCGTACAATGAGTGAATGATAAAATTTGACTTAGTTGCTTCACACAGTTGTTATGGGGACCAGACGGGATGACAGATGTATACGATCCAAATGTGAGCTTTTTTGTTTTGTTTTGTTTTTAAGGCACTTGAATAAAAGACATTTGCCATGGGTGCATTTTGCAGGTTCAATTTCCAGAAAGAAATTTTATTGAGGTTTGACATCACAGACTTTACAATGAAAATCACTGTGCAGAATGTTCTGTGTTTAAAATACCACCACCCCTGGTGACAATGCCAAGTCATTCAAACTAATGCCAAGTGAAAGCCATTCCCTAACAGTGTTTTTTCCCAACAACACTTTATTATATTAGAAATGTGCTTAGGCATTGTTTGGGTTGCAGTTCAGAAGGAAATGCTGAAAGATGCTTTCATAAAACTTATATTTGGGGAAATATTTTCATAAGCTGAAAAGGGCTTATAAAATATGATGGTTTCATATTATTATTTTTAGTTTAACTTACTAAACTTTTAAGTTGGCACTGGCCTGGCCTATCCTACCCTGAGAGCCAATGCAATAAAGTGAAACTCATTGAGATTGGCCATTGCAATCTGATAAATCGAATTTCAATATTGTTTAATAAAAATAATAAACAGTGTGGAATGAAATATGTTGGATATCATGCCCAGAACAGGAGACCATGTTTATTCAAAAGGACAAATCTCTGGTATCGAAGGAAGGTGGCAATATTACAGAGTTGTATTATGAATAGGTCCTTCAGATTTGTTTTGGTTTTTTTTTGAGATGGAGTCTTGCTCTGTCGCCCAGGCTGGAGTCAGTGGCACGATCTCAGCTCACTGCAACCTCCGTCTCCTGGGTTCAAGCAATTCTCCTGCCTCAGCCTCCTGAGTAGCTGGGACTACAGGTGCATGCCACCACATCTGGCTAATTTTTTTGTATTTTTATTAGAGATGGGGTTTCACCATACTGGTCAGGCTGGTCTTGAACTCCTGGCCTAGTGATCCACCTGCCTCAGCCTCCCAAAGTGCTGGGATTACAGTCGTGAGCCACCACGCCTGGCCCCAGTTTTCTTTCATGACTCTTTAAACCTAGAAAGAAAAGAAAATCTAAAATCGTCTTTAAAAAATTCTAGTCACTTAAAAATGCTGCAGTCTAACTCTGGTCTTGGCACTTCATAAAGTAAGTGTCAAGCCAGGTTGGATTTATTTAGCTGAATTAGAAACCTGAGGGAGCAGAATTAATTTTTCAGTGACAATGGTTGCAGCCCACTCATTGCCTCCCCATATAGAAAAATCTTTCAGACTATTCACAGTTTTCATCAAATGGGGTCACTTTCCCTTCTATGTAGGAAATTCCTTCCAGCCTGTGAAAGATTAAACAAAAGCTTTTTCTGCAGGAACTTTGGAAATTAGAATATAATGTTTTCCTGGGTGTTTATATTGCCCTCGCTGCCAACATATTTCCTGCCCATGGCTGCCAGGTTCATCTCTCCAAAACCCACTTTGCAAACATCATCTTTTTACCATAGAAACTATCTCAGGTTTCTGAGCAAAGTCGAAGCTCTTGAGCCTGGCATTCAAGGCCTTCCAAATGGCTTTGCTGGTAAATTCGACCAAATATTTAAGAAAGAAATAATACCACTATGACCTAATCTCTCCAGAAAATTGAAGAGAATAGAATCTTTCCCAACTCATTTTAAGAGATCAACGTTATGCTGATACCAAAACCAGATGAAGACATTACAAGAAAATAGATCAATATTCCTCATGAGCACAGACGAAAAAATTCTTAACAAAATATTATATTAGCAAATGAAATCCAGCAACACAGAAAATGGATAATACAACATGACCATATGGGGTTTATCTTAAGGATGCAGGGCTAGTGTAACAACTGAAACCCAATTAATGTAATTTGTGATATTAATAGATTACAAAAGAAACCAAGTGATCATCTCAGTAGGTACAGAAATAGCATTTGACAAAATACAGCATCTATTCCTAATAAAAAAATCTCAGCAAACTAGAAATCGAAGGGTACCTCCTCAACCTCACAAAAAGCGTTTACAAAATGTTTATAGCTAACATCACACTTAATAGCAGAAGACTGACTGACTGCTCTCACCCTAAGATCAGGAATAAGGCAAAGGTCTTTTCTTTCACCACTTCAATTCACTATTGTATTAGGGATTCTAGTCAATTCAATAATACAAGAAAAAAGAAATAAAATGCATCCAGATTGAAAGGAAGAAGTAAACTTTCTTTATTCACAAATGACATTATCAACTGTCCCGATAATGTTACAAAATCTATAAAAAAAGGTCCTAAACTTAATATGTGTTTAGCAGTTGCAGGATATAAATGCAGTGCACAAATATCAATTGTCTTTCTATAAACTAACAACAATCAGAACATGAAACTTAACAATACATTTGACATCATCAAAAATATAAAAACTTTAGGTATAAAGCTGACAAAAGACCTGAAGACCTGAACTTAAGAATGTAGCCTATTTTGATAAATGCTACATATGAATTGTAAGAGAATATGAACTCTGCTGTTGTTGGGTGGAGTGTTCTGCAAATGTCAATTAGGTCAAATTAGTTGATAGTGCTGTTCAAATTGTATATATTCTCACAGATTTTCTGTTTTTTCAGTTATTGAGAAAGGTATTGAAATCTCTAACTATAAATATGCATTGTCTATTGATTCTTGCAGTTCCATCAGTTTTTGTCCACATATTTAACACTCTACTCAGAAAAGTCCTGTTCTGTTTGGAGACTTCTCAAAGAATTTAAAATAGAATTACCGTTTGACCCAGCAATTCCATTTACCCACAGAAATATAAGTCGTTCTACCCTGAAGACACATGCACACCTATGTTCACTGCAGCACTATTCACAATAGCAAAGACGTGGAATCAACCCAGGTGGCCACCAAAAGTGGACTGGATAAAGAAAATGCAGTATGTATACACTAAAGAATACTACGCAACTATAAAAAAAATTGAGATCATAGTCTTTGCAGCAACGTGGATGGAGCCGGAGGCCACAATCCTAAGCAAATTAACGCAGGAACAGAAAACCAAATGCCGCATATTCTCACTTATATGTGGGAGTTAAACATTGAGTACACATGAACACAAAGAAGGGAACAATAGACGTCGGGGCCTAACTGAGGGTGAAGGATGGGAGAAGGGTGAGGACTGAAAAACAACCTATCGGATATTATTCTGCTTACCTGAGTGTCAAAATTATCTGTATACCAAATCCCTGCAACACACAATTTCCCCGTGTAACAAACCTGCACAGGTACCCCTTGAACGTAAAATAAAAGTTGGAAAGAAAAAAAAAAAAGAAAAATCCTGGTCCGTGCCTGACAATAATAGCTTGTGTGAAAGCGCATGCGCACACTCACACACACGCATGTGAGGGCACCTATCAATCGTTGTCACTTATAAATGCAAATGAAAATATTCCAAATAAAATGCTAGCAAATTAAATTCAAAGATACCATAAAGGGCATAATCCACCATAACCAAGTCATAATTATTGTGCTATGCTAGAAAAATTTAATATTAAGAAATCTAATATGGCACATCAATGGATCAAATAAGACAAACCTTATAATATAAAACGTCCAAAAGGCATTCTGTAAAATGGAATAAGCAATTTTAAATAAAAGCTCTCTGAAAACCAGGATTACAAAGACACTTCTTTAAAATGATAAAAATATACAGCACTTTTAAATCAATAGCCACTTTCATACTTAATGATAAAATACACCAGAAGCATTTCTTCTGAGAGCCTCAATAAAACAAAAACGCTGGGTTTGGCTGGGCATGGTGGCTCATGTCTGTAATCCCAGCACTTTGGGAGGCTGAGGCCAGTAGATCACAAGGTCGGGAGATCGAGACCATCCTGGCAAACCAGTGAAATCCCGTCTCTACTAAAAATACAAAAAATTAGCTGGGTGTGGTGGTGGGCACCTGTAGTCCCAGCTACTTGGGAGGCTGAGGCAGGAGAATCGCTTGAACCCGGGAGGCAGAGGTTGCAGTGAGCTGAGATCACACCACTGCACTCCAGCCTGGGTAACAGAGCAAGACTCTGTCTCAAAAAGAAAAAAAAAAATGGTTTTTTTCCCAAAGATATTTGCAACTTGCTCGCTTCCATTCTTCATGTTACATGTCCCCACTGGCCCCAGGGCTCTTGAATTTCCTCAGTTCATGCCAGAGGCAGTTGTTGCAGGTTACTCAATAGGGCTTGGTGTCATAGGGTTTATACCTCAGGGTCATAGGGCTTATACTTCACATCTAATTTGGCCAAATAATTATGGCAAAAGCTTCTGTGAGCCACATAGATTAAATGATGTAGAAAATAAAAAGTCAAAATTATTGGGAAAATAATTTCCTTATAGCTGCATCAAATGGGACAAACTTTTCTTATAACTGTTTGGTCTTATTTTCAGAGTTCTATTTCCTGGCCTGTCTTATTAACACATCCTTTGTCGTACAACTGAAATATCTATAGCAATAGGAATTATACAGTGAGAATATTTTTTGTTTTAATAAAATACTATTATATTATGCATATTTTATAGCCTGCATTTTTTCACTTAGCCATACATTGTGACCATTTTTCTACATAATGTATGTTTGGCTAAATTATTATTGTATAGGTTACATAATATGTCATGATATAGCCCTCCCACCATCTACTTAACCTTGTCCCTATTTATAAGCATTTGATTTTGCCTCAGATTTTTCTAAAGTTGGGTTTTTAAAGCATATTCCCACCTCCTCCACCCACACAGCAAATAGAAAACTCATTAGATTTTCCTCATAACCCAGATTACTCTCTCTCTTATCTTAATAACCAAGTTTACACTCTGCAAGAAATAAACCAGAACTTTGGATGAAAACAGGGTGGAGCACGCTGGGAGTAAACATTGTCTATTTTCAGAGCCCCAGTCTTCTTAACTCCCAGAATATTTCAGCCAGATTTATACGTGCTTCTATGCACACACACGACAGGGAACTAAGGGTTTTGATATGACCAAGGAAAAGGATCTGTAGGTGCCGACGGTCAGAATTCCCTCTAAAAATGGCAAGGTACTGAACAAAACCATGTATAGAGAAAATCACCAGTCAGCAAGCCCTACTCGTGCACATGGTTTTAATCAACATTTTAGTTCCTCACTCTTAAGTACAAACAGCCAAAAGATCACCCAAATTTTTAAAAAGCCTTCCAACATGCAAGACAGACTAAATTGAACAAGAAAAAATAGCTTCAGAAGAATTCATGTCAATGAAGAAAACAGAAGAAAATGTTTAAAAAAATCTCTATAATTCATAGCTTTGAAACATAAAATACTGCGTATATAAGAATCGGATTTTATAAAAAAGTAATATTCCAAAAATAAGGAAAATTTTTGAAAGTTAAAAATAGTATAACCAAAAATAAACCAGTCAGCAAAATAATTCTAAAATAAAATGGATAAAAAAAATTCCAAAAAGTAGAACAGAAGTCAAAGAAAGAGAAAATAAGAGACAAAATACGTGATAACTAGAGGATCAGTCTAGGAGGCCCAATACTCGAAGACAAAGTTCCAGGAAGAGTTTGGAGAAAATGAGATAAAGAATATCATTGAAGTAATAACATGAGAATTTACTGGAAGAGAAAAAAAATGAGTTTTCAGACTGAAAGGACCTCTCCCGCCACCTGACTGTCCAGCACAATAAAACACATATACCCCAAGATACATCACCACAACATTTCAGACAACTGAGAACAAAGTGGAGATCATAAATATTTCCAGAAATAAAAAACAGGCCACAAATAGATCAGACAACCATATGTCACTAGACTTCTCAACAACACCAGACACCAGAAGAAAATGGAATGGCTTTAATATGCTGAAGAAAGATTAGTTTAACCTAGAATTCTATATCCAATCAAACTATTAATCAAATGAGAGAGGGGTGAAATAAACACATTTTCAGCCATGCATCCTCTCAGAAAGATTTACCAAACCAAGTTAGGTGATTATTTTCAAGAAAATAAAAAGTAATTGTACAAGAAAAATTAAAATACACACGATTCGTATTTACATTGTTATGAAAAACAAGAATAAGATTTACATTGTTATAAAAATATAAATACAACTATTAATAATAGTAATCTACAACTCGATTACTATAATCAAACATTGTGTAATAGAAGGATAGAGAAGAAGAACATGGAGGCAGAGCTGTGAGGAGTTTTAAGTGAGTAAAATTCTCACGTTTGATAGTAACAAGTCAATTGATAATCTCTAACTCAATAAAAAATAAGATTTAGTAGTAAAATTTTATCATTTAGAAAATGAAGTGAAATACTAGCATTAAGGGTAGTAAAAGTTAACAGTACTTGTCTCTGGGTAGCTGGGATCAAGGGTGGGAAAGAGGTGAGAGAAGGGACCACAGGTTTTCATTATAATCATTGTAGAACTTTTTAATTTTTAAAACAGTGCCTACATTTTGTTTCTTAAATAACTTCAAAAAGAGCATGAAGCAAGGGCTTTGATGGCATGAACACATAGGGTTGAGGAAGTTCCTTTATGCTTTGGTGTAAGGAAGATAAAATGATATTCCAAGAAACAGGGTGACCTCTGAATTCCACGATGCATTGAGGAACGTGTAGGCTGTGCCAGCAATGCCAGAGGCACATAGAAAGGAATATGCACTCTAGTTTAAATAACTACACAGAAAGTTTTTAAAACATTCACCTGGATCAGAAACTGCTTTCTCTGCCAGAACTCTTGCCTGAGTCCAGCCAGGGAATACCATCTGTCAGATATCTAGGCCTGTGGTATGGCTTTGCTGTGTCCCCACCCAAGACTCATCTTGAATTGTAGCTCCCATAATTCCCACATGTTGTGGGAGGGACCTGGTGGGAGGTAATTGAATCATAGGGGCAGGTCTTTCCTGTGTTGTTCTTCTGATAGTGAATAAATCTCACGACATCTGATGGTTTTATAAAGGGGAGTTCCCCTGCACACTCTCTCTTTGCCTGCCAGCATGTGAGATGTAACTTTACTCCTCATTCATCTTCCACCATGATTCTGAGGCCTTCCCAGCCATGTGGAATTGTGAGTCCATTAAACCTCTTTTCTTTATAAATTACTCAGGCTCCAGTATGTCTTTATTAGTACCATGAGAACAGACTAATACAACCTGGATCAGAGAACCAAATTTTGCAAAATGGAAGAAAAAATAATTGAAGAGATGGAAGAGGATGCAGGGAAGACATAGGCATAGGGAAAAGAGTGGGAGAGATCATGAATTGATCATTTATTGCTTGCCTGCCATGTTTCAGGTCACTGTACTTAAGCATACTACCTCCACGATAACGTATATTCTCACATCACAATAATTAGGCATTTCTATTATCTCCATTTTACCAACAAGAAAGCTGGAATTCTGAGGAGTGAACTTGCCTGACCAAAGCCACACCATTAACAAACGGTGGGGCTTGGATTTGAGCCAAGTCTGACAGATGCCAAAGTCTCCTGTGCCATGACAGAGAAAAAGAAACCCAAACAAACAAGTTTCCCGTGCTTCCTGGGCATATTAAAATGTCAGGTTTGTTGTGTGTTTGCTTTTTAAAATTGTAGGAAAATATGCTTAACATAAAATTGACCATTTTAACCATTTCAGTGTATACAATTCAGCAGCACTAAGTACATTCACAATATTTGCAATTGTCATTACTATTTCCAGAACTTATTTATCATCCCAAACAGAAACTCTGTACATTAAACAATAACAACTCCCTATTCCCCACTTCCCCAGCTTCTGCTAAATTCTATTTTACTTTCTGACTCATTGAATTTGTCTAGTCTACTTACCTAATATAAGTGGAATTGTATAATATTTATCCTTTTGTGCCCTGCTTTTGTGTTTGGCTTAATTTGCATGTGGCTTGTTAAGTATAATGTTTTCAAGATTCATCCTTGTAACATGCATCAGAATGTCATTCCTTTCAAAGGCTAAATAATATTCCATTGTATGTATGTAATACAGTTTTTTTATCCATGCATCTGTTGATGGACATTTGGGTTATTTTTATTTTTTGGCTATCGTGAATAATGCTGCTATGAACATTGGTGTACAAATAACCATTCAAATACTTGCTTTCAATTCTATAGTATTTATTTTTAAGCCTCTTGTTCTCCTTTGACATTATTCTCTAAAAGTTACACTTTTTCTCAAACTTTTTCCCAAACCCATTCTTCTACCCCCACTCCATGCTTCAAACATCTTCAGCCCATGAGGAAAAAACAGTGGAAAAGTCTACTTTTCCAGTAGCTCCTTGTACTCTCTGGACCTACTTAATTAATGATCAACACACTTACTCCTTTATTTATTCATCTGACAAATATTTTGAGCACTGCTGTTATGCCTGACACTGTTCCTAGAGCATGGATACTTCAATTAACAAAACAAAGATTTCTGCAAAGATCATTAAGTTTACAAATGAAGATCGTTAAGTTTACATTCTACCTGTTGATTTTTCTGACTCAAGTTTATCAGAACATTTTCAAATCACAGGGATGTTTTCACAGGACAGAAGAAAAGGAGTCTTAGTCATTCAAGAATACAAGTTTCAAGTTTGAGTGCACTGATGGAAGAGAAAACATGAACCTTCTGAAAAGATTTGGATTCCTTCAGAAGGATGTGAGTGATTGACCCTTACTTCCCTGTCCTAGAGAAGAGATGAAAGCAGGAAAGCAACAGGAGGAGAAAGAAGCAAGAAGATGAAGCAAGAGTCTTGGTTCCAGCATTAGCATAACTTGCTTTGATAAGTCCCATTTCCAGGAGCAAGATATAAGGTGCCTGTATCCTTTCATCATGATGTTTGAAAGTTGAGATTTCCCAGTGGTTTCACTGGATGACTTAGTAGAATGCAGGCACTACATTTTTGCTGAACTCAAAGTCCACTGAGGATTCTAAAGGAAGTTTTGAGTCTCTAACAAGTTGGAAAAGACTTTTGCAACTTTGCTCCATATAAAGGCACAGCCTCCTACATTTTTTTAAGATTAAAAAAAAAAAAAGAAGTCCTGCCACAGCAGATACACTGCTGAATCTGCAAACGATTTTATAAAGAGCCATGTCTTTCTTGGCTCTGAAGCCACTTAAAAAGCATCAATGCCATTGCAAACTGGAGCATTAGATTTTCCCCAAAAGGCATCGATTTGGGGCCAGTAACTGACATCAACTCAAAAGCGAATCTTGGATGACTACAGACCCAGCTGGCCTGCTGGTAACACAGTGCAGGGGTTGCTTGACATATTTAGGGCACCAGTTAGAATTTGGCGAGAACCAAACCAGTATACTTTCATTTTTTCCAGGTCAAAATCAAGATTACAAACTGACACTGAAAAGTGATCTTGAAGAAGTGTGCTTCCTTAGTCTGGACAGGAAGAGTCAGAATACAAAGAACTGGTTACATTCAGTGACACATACCAACATTAATCCCTCTACCAAAGCAAACCAGGGCTGCCAGAGTCAGCACATTATGTTCTAATACCCAAACAACTTGACTGGAAATCAACCCCCAGCAAAACAAACGGAAACAGGTTTACCAACATGACACTACCTGAATACATGTATTAGATTTGCTCTTGAGCCCAGGAAGCAGCTGGAACAGGGTTTCCTTGGGTCCCTTTTTTTTTTCTTCTGCCATCTAACATCTCTAAATGTAAATTCTATCTAACCTGATATTTCTGGGACAGTGGTGTTCTTTAGGTTTCCAAGTTAGCATAATGTCCTCAGGCAAGGAAGTTTCAATAAATGATAATTGAAATTAATTTTAAAGCCTGGGTTATCCCCAAGAAAATTTTATAATGAAAATGTTCAACGGACACCTTCCCTTTGGAGGGCCTTAGGACATAAGAAGGAAAAACACAAGCTAAGATATGAAGGAAGGAAGTAGAAAGCTTCCTCAATGAGGTACAAACATGGTATACTGCAAGGTGATCTCAGTTACACTGGAGGAGCCAAGTATGACTTGCTCTTTGGGCCAACCTAGGGTGACTAACCCACGCACACCCTCTGCAACCAGCACCTAATAAATAACAAGAGGCTCCCAGCCTCTGAGCCCTGGTTATGTAGAGGATCCTGAACCCTCTTTCCCTCCTTGCAATCCTTATTCCTAACTTCCTCCTCTGTTCTTGTGTTTACTTGCTGCCTGACCCATGGGTATCATCCTCTATTCCACCCTCACTCACTTTTGGAGGAGCTTTACTCCTTCTATTGGTCCTTTTGGTACCTAAGCTCAGACTCTCCCTGCTTTAGAACCTATAGCCTATTTTTCCCAGGCAAGCCACTGACTTATAGGTGGGTGCCTCTCAGCTCCATGGGGAAACTTAGGCTACACATCCAACGTTCTTCACTCCAGATTATACTATTATAGGTGACCTCCACAGGCACTGACATTAGGATCACTGTGCTAACGTACCACATTAAAGGAAGTAGAGAGCTACATGGGAGAATACATTCTGACCTTGGATTTAGATAACTTGAGTTCCACCCTTAGCTACCTATCTTTTACAGGCTATGTGACCATATTACTTGGTAAATTCAAACTTCACTTCTTAGCACACAAGGTCCTTTACTGTGGCATTCCTGACTTTTTTTTTTTTTTCTTTTTTTTTAAACTGAGTCTCGCTCTGTTGCCAGGCTGGAGTGCAGTGGTGCAATCTTGGCTCACTGCAACCTCCACCTCCCGGTTTCAAGTGATTCTCCTGCCTCAGCCTCCCAAGTAGCTGGGACTACAGGCGCACGCCACCACACCCAGCTAATTTTTGTATTTTTAGTAGAGACGGGGTTTCACCATGTTGGCCAGGATGGTCTCAATCTTTTGACCTCATGATCCACCCACCTCAGCCTCCCAAAATGCTGGCATTACAGGCATAAGCCACCGTGCCCAGCCCTGACAATTTTTTTTATTTCACCACCACCTATCACTGCCTCCATCACTTCATTCAATTCAGCCACACAGCCCCAGTGATAATTGCTCATGCTCTGGTAAACCCTAGTAGCTTTTGTGGATGTTTTTTCTTCAGCCTTAACTGCACTTCCCCTCACTTCTCCTTGTCCTACTCGTCCTTTGAAACACATCTCAGATGCCATCAGTAGAAAACCTTCTCCATCACTATGCCATCATCATCATCACTATCTCTCGCCTCCTCCTCTGGGTTTCTTTTCTGGAATCATTGATGTACACATCTGCTTTCCCCAATGGACTGTAAACTCTTCAGAGTCAGGCACTGTGCTGTATTTTTTTTTTTCTTTTTTTTAGACAGAGTCCCATTCTGTCACCCAGGCTGGAGTACAGTGGAGCAATCTCAGCTCACTGCAAACTCCACCTCCTGGGTTCAAGCAGTTCTCATATCTCAGCCTCCTGAGTAGATGGGATTACAAGCATGAGCCAAAACACATGGCTAATTTTTGTATTTTTTAATAGAGACGAGGTTTTACCATGCTGCCCATGCTGGTCTCAAATTCCTGGCCTCAAGTGATCCTCCTGCCTCAGCCTCCCAAAGTGCTGGGATTACAGGCTTGAGCCACTGTGTCCAGCCCATATTTGATTTTAACGTCCTGTCCTGAAATATGCCTGGAACAGAGCAGTACTCAATAAATGTCTGTAGAATGAGTAAGTGCTCACCTGCATCCCATGCCTGCTCTTAATCCTCACAAGGTCTGTATTAGTATCTCAGTTGGCAAATGAAGAAACTAAGGCTTATCTTGTACTGGCTAATTATGTGATTTCAGTCACACAATTAAAGAATGACAGAGATGATTTGTGAACTCAGGCTGGCTTGACCCTAAACCCTGTTCTCTTTTCACTACATCAGCCTTCTTCTACTGCATGGAACCAAGCTCAATATTGAATCTGAAGTATGCGATTAACCTCATGTGGACTTATCCTTCCTATGAAGACTTCTAGACCTTAACAGAATAGAGTACGCCATGTATCACTACCTCCAACCAGTAGCTTTACCATTGAGATAGGCCTTCTATTTGTGAAAAGATATAAGCCCACTTTTGTACTCTGGTAATATAAAATTTCCATCCCATCAAACCTATAAGAAAGAGAGAGGAAGGGCAAATGAGTGGGGAAGAAAACACAACAGGGAGAAAAGAAAGAAAGGATTTACTTATTTAAGATCAAGAAAGTTAAGTCAGTCCATGACTAAGAATGTCATGAGCACATAACTCAATGGAAAGCCTCCTTCGCTGCAACTGGTAGAACTTGTCAATCAAGGTTCCAAAGACCCTTCCTTTCAATACAATCACCCAGTTGCTCTGTTTTTCTTTTCTTTTTTTGTTGAGACAGAGTTTCTCTCTGTCGCCCAGGCTAGAGTGCGGTGGCTCCATCTCGGCTCACTGCAAGCTCCGCCTCCCAGGTTCACGCCATTCTCCTGCCTCAGCCTCCCCAGTAGCTGGGACTACAGGTGCCCACCACTGCGCCTGGCTAATTTTTTGTATTTTTAGTAGAAACGGGGTTTCACCGTGTTAGCCAGGATGGTCTCGATCTCCTGACCTCGTGATCCACCCACCTCGGCCTCCCAAAGTGCTGGGATTAGAGGCTTGAGCCACTGTGCCCAGCCTCTGTTTTTCTATAACACCTTCCTTTGTGTGGCTTTGGACGTCTATTCTTAGAGTTCTATGGTGCCTTCCATAAGCAAAGATTGCTTTAAAATAAAAGCATCTGAGCAGAGTTTTGGACACCTGTCACCAGAATCTTGGGAAAATTCCATGTAACTAAGAATTAAGTTTGCAGTGTCTTTTAGATGAGTGCTTACCATGATCCACTGCCAAAGTCCAAAATGTGTGTGTGTTTATGTGTGTTTGGGATTGAAATAGAGAGAGATACTGTTTCATACATCTCATCTCTGTCTCACCACAGTATTATCCAGCAATTAACAAATATTGACAAGTCTAATAATAGTTTATCCTTGGCTAATCCTATAATTTGCTCCCATAATACTATAGGCTAATCATGTACAGGCCTGAACTTCTAGCAAGCTTGCCTCAGCACCCAGCTTCCTGCTGTGGGTGGGACACTGAGTAAATACTGAATTGACATTTCTCTATTTTGAAGATACTGACACAGATGTGAGTGCTTTGCCTGTATTTTATTGATTTGGTTATTGATGTCAATATCTTGTTCTTGCCGTGGATTTCACAAAAAAAAAATTGGAATAGATTCCTTTTGTCTGCAACCATAAGAAAAATAAAAGTAAAGAAACTTCTTAACCAAATACAGTGTTACTTTGTTTCAAAGTGGAAATATTCTACTACAACTATCCTCATAAATCATTTTTAAAACAGCCTGGATCTGTAATATTTCTTCACGGTTTATAAAATTTGCAATGGGAATGCCTTTTCTTAAAAAAAAAATACTAGACTCTTCCCCATTTTAGTAAAGTTTTTGCTTCTTAAAATTTTCCATAGCAGGAGAAAGGACAAGAAAAATGCCTCCTTATTTTCTACCCATGAAGCTCCATGTTACAGCCAATGAGGGCTCTTTAATTTTCAACAGCCATCTGCATAAATCCTATAAAGGTAATATATTATTAGGATTATTTTGGCTACAAGTAACAAAACAATAAACTTATCTAAACCATAAAGAATTTACCATTTCACTTAACAAAAAATTTTAGAAGACAAGCTGCTTCGGTTTTGTTATCTCAGAACTTCTACATGTCACCATGTCACCATGGACTCAGATCCTTTCCATATTTCTGGCCCATCACTCTGGTCTTAGCTTTCCTCAAACTGACTCTCTAATGATTGCAAGATGGCTGAATAGCTTCAGGAGTGAAGTAGACGTGCTTTCTTTCAAGCAATGGGAAGGCTGCTTTCTTCAAGGGGTCCTATCTTATCAGTGAGGAAACTTTTCTAGAGCCCCAGTAGCACTTTTTCCCTAATTGGCCAGAGTTCCTCATTGGCCAGAATTAAATCATGTGACCATGCTCACAACAATCATAAGCAAGAGAAATCAAGCCACTGTAATTGGTTAGTGCCACCTTTTAGCACTAGGTCTGAAGACCATGTCCTCTGAAACTTATGGCAAGGTGGAGGAGGGTAGACATAATTTAGACAGTAACAGAGTTCTGATACAAAGGAGGAAAGAGGAATGACTTTTGAATCAGACAAGAGTCTACAGCAAATGCAAAAAGGAAAGTTTCTGCAATCTGGTCATTTTTTCATCTATTTAACCAATGTTTCCTGTGCTTTCTATGTGCCATACACTATTTGTTTTTGAGATGGGGTCTCACGCTGTTGCTCAGGCTGGAGTGCAGTGGTGAGATCATGGCTCACTGCAGCCCCAAACTCCTGGGCTCAAGCTATCCAGCCAACTCAGCCTCCTGGGTAGCTGGGACTATAGGTGCATGCCATAATGCCTGGCTTTTTTTAAAAAACGTTTTTTTAGAGATGGGAGTCTCACTATATTGCCCAGGCTGGTCTTGAGCTCCTAGGCTAATGTGATCCTCCCATCTCAACCTCCCATAGTGCTGGGATTATAGGCATGAGCTACCATGCCCAACCTGCCATACTCTATTCTAAGTAGCAGGTGACACCATAACAAGAAAAAGTAGATACTGCCTCTGCTGTCATGGACTTCAGTCTACTGAGCATTTCTTGACTGTCCACATTGTGCATAGTCCCAAAGCTGCAAGGGGGCTTAGAGAGCAAATATCCTAACCCTCTCATTTTTGAGGTAAAGAAACAAGCCTGGAGTGACTAAGTCATTTGCTGGACCTGGATACACCTGATTTTGGATTATCTTCAGTTTGTGCTTTTTGGGGCACCTGTTATCCTGGGTACAAAAGCTTTTTATACATGCAAACAGAAATTGTCACATGCCAACTCAAAATATGACTTATTGTAAAACATTTAATGCTTCAAGAGAACTATTTGCTCTATGAAATGATTCATAAGATTCATTTAGACAGTACCTCTATGCCATTAAAATACATTTTCATTTATAAAAATAGTTCATCATCTTTTTGGACGTAATCTTGGTGAATCACAAAAATTCAAACTGTATACTTGTATCCTACCTCAAACCCCATCACTCTGTCCTCTCCAGATCTGTGCAGTGCAATCAACCCCTGTGGGTAGTAAGAGAAACTCTGTACCCCTGATGGGTCATTTGGAGCCTTCAGAGTCCTACAAGGGATGGGTCCATTGTCTACTCTTTTCCTCTCCATTCTGCACACTGGTAGTAAAGACATGCCTGTACCTACAAATTTTGTCCACATCCTCTAGGATCCCTATTAATAGGTGATTGCTTAAAAGATTCAAAATCACCCAGAGTTCTGCTGTGATCTGGACATTAAAACTGTAACAGAAGTAGCCAAGTCTCTGGTTAGAAACTTTACTTATATTTGTGCTGAATTGTTAGTTCTGATTACACTTTTTTGAATTTATTCTACAAACAGAATCACAGAGGTGCACAAATGCAAATGTACAAGGATATATGTTGCAGCATTACTTACAGAAGGTAGACATCAGAAACAATCTTAGGCCAGCCGCATGGTGGCTCACACCTGTAATCCCAGCACTTTGGGAGGCTGATGCAGGCAGATCACTTGAGGCCAGGAGATGGAGACCAGCCTGGCCAACATGGCAAAACCTTTTCTCTACTAAAATATGAAAAAATTACCCAGGTGTGGTGGCATGTGCCTGTAGTCCCAGCTACTAGGGAGGCCGAGGCAGGGGAATCACTTGAACCCGGGAGCCAGAGGTTGCAGTGAGCTGAGATCGCGCCACTGCACTCCAGCTTGGTGACAGAGCAAGGCTCGGTCTAAAACAAAAAAAAAAAAATTAGCTGGGTGTGGTGGCATGCACCTGTGGTTCCAGCTACTTGAGAGGCTAAGGTGTAAGGATCGCTTGAGCCCTGGATGTGGAGGCTGCAGTGAACTGAGACTGCACAACTGCACTCCAACCTGGGCAACAGTGGAAAACTCTGTCTCAAAAAAGAAAGAGATTTTTTTAAAAAAGAGAAAACAACAACAAAAAAGAAACAGCCTTAATTCTCCTCAATGTATCATGACACATGCCTGAACATCACATGACCAATAAAACAAAAGAAGTAATTCTATGAACCCACGTGGAATGATCACCAAGAAACCTTAATAGAAAAAGCTCAGTGCAGGACAATACATATGACATGGAGCCTGTTTGCAGACAAATTAACAAAGAAACAGAAGAAAAATATAGTATATCTACATGTGCTTGAATATGCAGGGAATGCCTGTAGAACAGCAGTCAGCAAACTGGCCCAAAGGCCAACACCAGCCCACTACCTGTTTTTTTATTTTTAAAATATTTTTAATGGTTGAAAAAAATAAATAGAAGAATAAATTCAAAAGATGAATATAATGGCATGAAATATATGAAATTCAAATGTCAATGTCCATGAAACTTTCCTGGAACACAGACACACTCTTTTTTTTTTTTTTTTAGTGGCAAGTGCCACTCTGCCCTGCTAATTTTTATATTCTTAGTAGAGACAGGGTTTCACCATGTTGGTACAGGCGCCAGCCACCATGTCCGGCCGACACACTCTTCATACTATCCACAAAATAATGGTAGAATTGAATAGTTGTGATGAAAACTTCATGACCCACTAAGGGTAAAACATTTATTACCTGGGGCTTTACAGAAAAAGTTTGTCCACCCCCGGTCGAAAGGAATTTATAGCAACTAACAGCTATAGTTTCCTCTGGGGAAGGGCACTGGCATTTAAAAACAAGAGCAGGAAGAAGACTTAGGTTTTACTTTCTACCCTTTTGTGTGTGTGTGTGTGTGTGTGTGTGTGCGTGTATACATATATGTGCGTATATATACATATATACGCACATATATATACACACATATACATATATATATATATTTTTTTTTTTTTTTTTTTTTTGAGACAGAGTCTCCCTTTGTCTCCCAGGAGTGCAGTGGCGCGATCTTGGCTCACTGCAACCTCTGCTTCCTGGGTTCAAGCGATTCTCCCTTCAGCCTTCCAAGTAGCTGGGATTACAGGTGCACACTGCCAGGCATGGCTAATTTTTGTAATTTTAGTGGAGATGGGTTTTCACCATGTTGTTCACGCTGGTCTCTAACTGCTGACCCCAAGTGATCTGCCCACCTCGGCCTCCCAAAGTGCTAGGATTACAGGTGTGAGCCACCACACCCGGCCTGCATCTTGAAATTAATATGAACATACTTAAAAAGAAAATATAATGAGAAAAATAAAAGAAATACGATTCATACCAAGTATCTGAAAAAACCTTAATGAGAAAAGTGTGTGACTTTATACATAAAAAATAATGAAACTTATAATAAAGAAGGCTTGAATTAATATAGAGCCATATCTTCCATGAGTAAATATTTGAAAGATGCTAATTTACCTCCTTCCCCCACCCCAAGAAAAATTCACAGAATGATTTCTTCTAAAGTTATAGGAAAGAATAACTGAGCTGAAATATTTAAAATAATTCTAGAAAGCATGGCAGCAGGAGAATCTAGAAAGATAGTGCATTGGTGTCTCCTGCCTTTCCTAGACACACAGCTCCTCCTCAGCTTTCTCTCACTCCCCTCAGCCTAGCATCCACTCAGGCAGTGAATTGGCAAAACTGCACACACACGTTACACACATTGCACACCAGTGTGGTGTGTCCACCCTCTGGGCCAAGTGGGAGCCTGGGAGGCAGAGGCAGCAGAAGGTAGTTCCAAAGCAAGGATCTGAAGCAGCCAGCTCCTGGGAATAGCTTGATCTCCTGAGATCGCTGAACCTCTGTAGGGAAAGTTGACAAAGTTGACATTGGCCAGTCTCGCCAGGCCCAGAGAAGCTCATGAGGAGCTGTGAGGGTGGACGGAGAGCTCCCCCTGAGGCTGGGAAAGCCACGGAGAACCTCCCTCCTCCTCCACCCTTCCTCATGCCATGATAGGGAGTTGATGACTTCTCACTGCAGCCCAGCCAGTTCTCAGGGTCAGATCACCACACCTTCTGTTTCTCAGACAATCTCACCCCACCCTCAATCCCAGTTAAGGTATCCTAGCCACTGAACTCCAATGATCAGCAAAGAAAAATAACCAGATGCTAAGGGGGCTCAACAATCAGAGACAGGAAAAATAAACAAGGATTAGCTGGTCCCTCATGAAATAAAACTGACTGGAACAGGCAGAGGGCAATGTACTAAAAAAAAAAAAAAAAAAATGAAAAAGTAAATGATAAAAAGAGTATTTAAAGGGATTCAAATTCAGCACATAACAAAAGACTTCTTAGAAAACATGCATTCATTTTTTTTTAAGTCACTAGATGAATTTAAGGAAACGATGATCACTGATGATATTCAAATTCAATGGCCTGGAAGATCAAAAGGATAAAATAAGTATATCCTCAAGGAAAAAAATACAAAGGTCTAGTAATCTTGAGGAAAAACATAAGCAGACCCAGGAAACCAGCACGAGAAGAAAAAGAAAAGAAAAAAGTGAAGAGATGGAGAAGAAGCAGAAGTTAAAAAAAACCTTCCCTTAAAAAAAAAAACTGAGTTTTTAAATTGAAAATGCCTAATAAACTTCAGGCACTATTATAGAAAGAAGGGAGACATTTATCCATATTTTGGCAAAACTCCCAAACTTCAAGCATGAAGAGAAAACCTTGAAAAGTTCTGGGTTGAAAAGACCCAGAAATTATCTTTTTTAAAGAAAAAGATAATTCTATAAACTTGGAAAATCTTCATTCTAATGCTAGTAAAACAGAAATAAAAGAAAATAATTACATATTTCTATCAGAAATATAAGTAAGAAAATGGTAAATTTATGTGAAATTTTATGCAGCCAATATAAACAGTCATTAAAATGATTCCATAGTTACATGGAAAAGCACAGATGTAAGGAAAAACAACACATTATAAAGTAAAATAGCAAATTATAGAATGTTATGCAGTATAATTAAAACTATTTTTAAATGTTCATGAAAAAGATAGAATAAACAAAGATTACAGTAGTTGGGTTAGAGTCGTTAGAGGAATAAGCAAGATAACTATAGTTGGGTTAGTGTTGCTAATGGAATTACAGGTTTTATTCCCTGTTTCATACTTTCTATAATGTAATATTTTAGTAATAATTTTTTGAGTTAATAGTTTATATAAAGTTCGGCTTTTGTAAACAAAAAAGGAGTTACATTTTTAATAAGTAACACGAAGAAGTCACAGCTATAATCTGTAAACGCTAAAGGGAAGTTCATACATAGCACATGCCCTGCAGCTAAGCCAGATGATCCAAGGCTCCAGGATCTATATGCCAAGAGCAAAATCAAAGTTTAAGCTTGATATTGCTTGGGGGAGGGGTTTGCCCTAAGACTTAGATGATTAAATTATTTATTAGAAGAAATAAGAGAGGTCTCAATTTCCTTATTTGCCTGTATGTTTACACCGATTCAAACCAAAGTTTTAGGGTAAAATCTTGTCTCTCTGAAGGCATTTCCTTCGTTTCATCCATACTTACTCATTAGGCTCCTCAGTCTATAGAGTGGGAGAAAGAAACACAGCCCCTGATAGTTGGGAGCTGGCTGGCACTAGCAGTTAGGTCTTGGTATTGCTACTATGGAAAACAATGCTAGACAAGGCCGTTCTATCACTGAGATAAAGTGAGACAGAAATACATTCACCCCATAGTCATGTCTGAGCACAGACAAAAATAAGGCCACTGTGAAAACTACCAAAATATTTCTCTCAGCTTATGAGAGAGACTATAGCTTCTTAATAATCACAGCTTTAATCACACTTTATTCTTCCTGCCTTCTTGATAAAAATTCAGATACCCAGTCAGAATTGGCCCAATTCCTGACAGCACCGTATCCAGAGCAAACTCATGTTTCCTTGAACTCTCTCCAAAATCATCTACCACCACCTCAGATCCCATCATGTAAACCTCTCACACCTTCTCTCTGTGCCTTCCACCTATGTGTCCCCTTGACATGCAGCCTCCCTCAGTGCAACAGGCCAAGAAAAACCCAACTCAGTTTGACTTCAGGTGCATCCCTGGTGGTCTTTGGCTTTAGAGCACTGTCAAATGGAATCGTATCTTTATTCCTGGTTCTTTTTTTTTTTTTTCTTTTGAGACAGAGTTTCACTCTTTCGCCCAGGCTGGAGTGCAATGGTATGATCTCAGCTCACCACAACCTCCACCCCCCAGGTTCAAGTGGTTCTCCTGCTTCAGCCTCCCAAGTAGCTGGGATTACAGGCATGAACCACCATGCCTAGCTAATTTTTGTATTATTAGTAGAGACAGGGTTTTGCCATGTTGGTCAGGCTGGTCTTGAACTCCTGACCTCAGGGGATCCACCCGCCTCGGCCTCCCAAAGTGCTGGGATTACATGCATGAGCCACCATGGCTGGCCTATTCCTGGCTTTTGTCGCCTTTAACACAAGCAATCAAAACTTACTTGGCAAGCCAGAATTCTATTTGTAGGCTTTTGCCATTGCTAAATTCATTGCTCATTGTTATCCAGTACTGATCGATGCTCATTTAAAAGAAGCAATATGATGAACTGCCTGCAGCATACGTAATCCCTTTCTTCCTCTAAGACCTTGAAAATCTAAGGCCTTGGATTAACTGAGGACTTACTGTAGCCTAACTGAATTAAACTTTGGTATAATGCTGTGACAGCATTCAAAAAACCTCATCACTTGGCCACTGTGAAGATGCTGAAAATGCCATTCTTACATAAAGCAGTTTTAGAACTCTCAGGAGAAATATACTTCTTTCGATAATATCAGGAACAGTTTTACTTCTGAGCAATCAGTTTGTTTCCATTTTATATACAGTGTGAATTGTGTAACTGTAAAGTTTCCATTTTTAAGTTGGTTTCTTGAAAAGTGAGCCAAATCTGTAGCAAGATGAGCGTGCTCTCCGATGTTTGCTTCATTCCTGGCTCCCTTTAATTTATCTCTGACCTTGTTTTCCTTTTTCACCATTGCCAAATGTATGTTATCTTGCTTCATTTTATGTACCTGTGTAAGCCTAAATATACCTTTTAAAAAAAATTGGAAAGGCTGTGAAGAAAGACAATTCAAGCCTGAAATGGTGTCATACCAATTACAAAGCAGGGTACCTGTCTAGCAGAAGGTGAGAACAGTGGAGGAGCAATTGAAATCTGGGCTTTGGGGGCTGGGTGGAGAAGGGACCACATCAGGACACTGGAGGAGTGGAACTTAGCAATGTATACGGGAGGTGCAGTGAGCAAGACAGGAAGGAACCTTGTCTGATGGTCCTGTAAAGTTCATGCCAGAGAGATAAGCCTTGGAATGCAGAAGAGGAGAGGAAGATTGGAGAGAACCTAGAAAACAAGGAGCAGGAGTCTAGGCTTGATGTAGATCACATCTGTCCTTTCTGTGTGTCTAACAAACACAATTGCCTATGTCCCCACATTCAGGAGTCAGCAATGCAGGCGGCAGAAAGGATACCGTATTAGTATAATACGGGGCTGTTATAACCAAGTACCACAGACTGAGTGGCTTACACAGCAGAAATGTATTTCTTCACAGTTCTGCAGGCTAGAAATCCAGAATCAAGGTATCAGCAGAGTTTATTTCTTTTCAGGTCTCTCTCCTTTGTTTGTAGATTGCCACCTTCTCCCTATGTTTTCATATGTTCTTCCTTCTCTGTGTGTCTGTATCCTAATCTCTTCTTATAAGGATACCAGTCATAGATTGGATTTGGGTTCACCCAAATGACCTCATTTACCTTAATGACTTCTTTAAAGACTATCTCTCCAAATATAGCCACATTCTGAGGGATTAGGGATTACGACTTCAGCACATGAATTTTGAAGGTACACAGTTCATCCCATGACAGGGACCTGTAGTAGTTTCTGGAGAGGGCACAAAGCAGATGGCAGCTAATATCCAACGAGAGTCCACATGGAAAATGCAATTTGTTTCTGTGAGATGCAGCACCTCCTGATGGAAGGAAGTTGGGAAAAATGAGCATTTTGAAGACGCACTTTCCACTTACCTTGGCACCTGAAAATCAACTAGGGCTCATCTTTTCCAAATACCTCTAATCAACGGCAGCAAGGGAGAAGGGTGAACTTTGGGCATAATGAAGATGACAAAAGAATTTTACTGACAATGACTATGATGAAAACTGTGAACAATTTATGATTTTATCCTCAGTACAATGAGTGATAAAGGACAGGCACACAGTGACTCACAATAGCTATGTAATTCCATCATCACTAAGGCAGAGGTAAGAACACACACAGTGGGACTGGGAATAGTCTTCTGACCTTACCTTCACTCTCTTCCATAGGAGCCACATTTTCTGGCTGACATGTCCAAATCTCTCCTCTCTGTTCTAGTTACTTAACAGAAGAAGTTCATAGACTTTGCTAACATACCATCTCAATATCTTTAACTGGGAATGCATCAGTTGAATTCTGTAAAAGCAGGCTTTGCTTACTCTCAATATTCCCTGTTTAAAAAAAAAAGTTGCTGGCTGCTTCTGACATGTTCCCAGTTAAACTCATGCTATCCTGTATGCCGCTGAGCCTCTCTTCCTCTCTAACCTGTTTCAGATTGGTTTCAGCAGCTGTATGTGCTTCATAGAAACAGAATTCTCTCCAAGGAAAAAAAACATCATTTCCAGTAAAATCACCAAACTCCAGCCTGCTATGTGAATGGAAGGAAATGTTACATTCTTTATAACAGGATGAATTACTTCCTGTTGTAAGTCCAGTGAAAAACGAATCATTGGTTAGGAAGAAACATAGGGCCCATGACATTTTCAGTGCTACCTATTATCTTCTTTCCAATAATAACTCCTGATGTTATAGTCACTTCAACATTGAGTTTGCTATATTATCAAGTAAATTCCCCTCTTGCCTTTACTGCAATCCTTTCAAGTTGACTTTTGCTTTTCTGTGCTACCCCATCCATGCAATGTTTCATGATTGGCTGCTATCCCTGAAGGTTATACTCATTCCAAGTTCAGTTGACTGAGGTTGCCCCAATTATTATTCTAAATGGATCTCTTTTTTTCATAAGATAAAAACATTATTTGAATAAAAGTGGATGTCAGATCCAATTTGAGAAGGCTTAAGCTTGAGAAGGAGAAAATAATTGGAAACTATTGAGTAAAAGGTTGAAAGTAAGAAAATTCTGGTTGTTGCATTCAAGGCAGATGAGTTTAGGAAAGGACTGAGGAGAGGAGGATGGGTTGGGAGGCATTCAGGGCAACCCAATCCTGAGGTGACACTTCAAGGGCTTGAATTCCCCAAAGCTATGAGAAATGAAGGACCCTAGAAACAAGGAATCTTAGAGAGTGGCCACAGTAAAAGGAGAAAAGAAAATAGGTCAGCCAAAAGGACAAGACAAGCGCCACTGGGAAAGACGGCATCACCAAAGTTTTGAGGCACAAAACTTTTAAGACCTTATAGTCCAAACTGCTTTAATGTGATTTAATTTCGTTTATTTATTTTTGAGATGGAGTCTCACTCTATCACTCAGGCTGCAGTGCAGTGGTGCAATCTCAGCTCACTGCAACCTCTGCCTCCCAGGTACAAGCGATTCTCCTGCCTCAGCCTCCCAAGTAGCTGGGATTACAAGTGTGACTCATCACTCCCAGCTAATTTTTGTATTTTTAGTAGACATGGGGTTTCACCATGTTGGCCAGGCTGGCCTCAAACTCCTGACCTCAAGTGATTTGCCCTCCTCAGCCTCCTAAAGTGCTGGGATTACAGGCATGAGCCACCACACCTAGCCCCAAACTGCTTTTATTTTAAATGCGAATTCATGCTTCAGAGTTGAATTAAATGTTACAAAATCTATGGTCCCAAACTCCACACCCCTCTGCTAGGAGGGACACCGGAATACACCAGCAAGGTCATGGAGGATAAGATAGTCTCCACAGAAACTATTTGCCTCCAAATATCTTTCTTTGAACAACCCTGTAACCCGATTAGCTCTCTAGCCTATCCCCATTTTGATACTGATGGGGTGAACAGCTGTGATTTATGTTGTCACTGAAACTGTTCAGCATCACCACCTGTCTCCCTCCACTGAGTTGGTGGCACTGATGTAGTGACACTGCCCTCCTTGGTGGGAACAAACAACTGCCAAAAGTCTGAAGAAATAAGTCCATAACTTTGCCCATCCAGAGGAGAATAGGTAAAGCCAGGACACATCCTCAAGTATTTTCCCCCGATATTCTCCCCTCATCCCTTACTAACAAATAAATATCTGGCTTCTGGGTTGACTTTATTTTTTAGAGCCCACTATGTAAGGTCAGATTGGGCAGTGAGTGTTGAAAGATGAAAGCAGGCTGGTGAGCAGGCCGACTGAGGAAGCCCACACGGCCTGCCTTAAATTCTAGTCCCACCACTTTCCAGCTGCGCCTCGGGCCATTATTTAACTTCTCTGAGATTGAGTTTCCTCATCTGTACACACACACACACACACACACACACACACACACACAAAACAAAAAGCCAAGATGATAATGCTTCCTTTGCAAGACGTAAAGAAGAAAAATATATAATTTTGACAACATAGGAAATGCTTTAGAAACAGCAGCTTCTACTGCCATTAAGAGAAATCGTATTTCTTGACCGTTTTCTTTGTGCCAGGCAATGGCCGAGCACTGTTGACATAAATTTCCTCATTTAATGCCCAGATCTGCTTTATGCAATAGATACTATTAACCTGGTTCAGACAGGTACAGCTATTAGACCAAAATTAATTGGCTCATATGGGCTGGCCTCAGCTGTCACCCCTAGACCTGTTTTTCTCCAAGGTTTCTTCTAGCAGATGACAAGTGTGTCCATCTTTCAAAGACCCAGGCTGGGACACTTCTCAAGGAACACTGTGATTTCCCTAGACTTGTATGACTTTGCTGTGAACTTGCTGGGTCGTGTAAAGTTGTTACTTTGGAGATAGTTTGGTTGCTACACTTATTCAGCTGCACCTCAAAGGGAACTGGATGTGTGTTTACCTCAGGTACAGTTATCCTCGCTCTCTGACAAGTGAAATGCTACTTTCAAGTTGTTTTGTTGAGAACTCTGAGAGCTCTTTACCCTCGGATCAAGGCAGAATGGGTACCAATATTTTAAGCTACACATTGGTCCATAGATAGATAGGTACATAGATAATTAGTCAGGCTTGTCCAGATAAAAAGGATCAATTGTGCGTGCGTGTGTGTGTGTGTGTGTGTGTGTGTGTGTGTCTCTGTTGCTAGTTAAGATTTTTCTTTTTGAAGGCTGGGCGCTGTGGCTTATGCCTGTAATTCTAACACTTTGGGAGGCCGAGGCGGGCGGATCACTTGGGCTCAGGAGTTTGAGACCAGCCTGGGCAACATGGTGAAACCCCATCTGTACCAAAAACACAAAAATTATCTGGGCATGGTGGTGTATGCCTGTGGTCCGAGCTACTTGGGAGGCTGAGGTGAGGTGGAAGGATCACTTGAGCCTGGGAGGCAGAGGTTGCAGTGAGCCGAGACACTCCAGCCTGGGCGACAGAGTGAAACCCCATCTAAAAAAAAAAAAAAGAAGATTTTTCTTTTTCAGCACCAGACTTATAACCTACACTTTGGGATCCTTCCACAAATCAGAAGGTTCCCTGGCCCCTCATAACTTCTTTGCACCACTATTTTTTTTTTTTTTTTTTTTGAGACGGAGTCTGGCTCTGTCGCCCAGGCTGGAGGGCAGTGGCATGATCTTGGCTCACTGCAAGCTCTGCCTCCCGGGTTCACGCCATTCTCCTGCCTCAGCCTCCCGAGTAGCTGGGACTACAGGCGCCCGCCACCACGCCCGGCTAACTTTTTGTATTTTTAGTAGAGACGGGGTTTCACCGTGTTAGCCAGGATGGTCTCGATCTCCTGACCTCGTGATCCGCCCGCCTCGGCCTCCCAAAGTGCTGGGATTACAGGCGTGAGCCACCGCGCCCGGACTGCACCACTATTAATATATCCTTGTAATTTCCATCAGAAATGTCTTCCTGAGTTCTATATTCTGAAGCCAACTAGTCATTTCCTATGTATGAAGTTATCTAGCTTTTCTGACCAAAATACAGCTGAGACCTTGCCTCTTCTGCTTGAAATGGAAAAAGAAATTGCAATTAGTGTGCTAGATTTACAAAAATAAATTTTAGGCCTAAAGAAGTCAAGTTTTGAACTTTGGCTTCTGGTGTTAGAGCCGTCATTCACATCACCACATTCTGCTGCTTCCCAGTAATGCCAGCTAAGTATCATTAGAAACAATAGTGACCAGAAAGTAGAATAGAGGCTACCAAGGTGGGTGAGGTGGGAGTAGTGGGAAATTATTGTTTAATGGGTATAGAGTTTCTGTGTAGGATAATTTAAAATTTTGGAAATAGTAGTAATGATTATACTACATCATGGATATATTTCATGTCACTGCATTGTACAGTTAAAAATGGTTAAATGTTACATTTGTTGTTGTTGTTCAAAAGGTTCAAGCAATTCTCCTGCCTCAGTCTCCTGACTAGCTGGGATTACAAGCACGTACCATCACGCCGCCTAATTTTTGTATTTTTAGTAGAGACGGAGTTTCACCGTGTTGGCCAGGCTGGTCTCTGACTCCTAACCTCAAGGGGTCCACCTGCCTCGACCTCCCAAAGTGCTGGGATTACAGGCATGAGCCACCGCACGTGGCCAAATGTTATGTTAGGTTATATATTATGCTTACATTATACGTATTTTACCACAATAAAAAAATACACCAAAAAATAAACAGTAATTACGACTTGTTTTGCAATTCATTTAACTTATTAAAGCCTCCGTTTCTCCATCAGTAAAAAGGGTGACAATAACACCTAAGCTCAAAAATTGTTGTGATAATTAAACTCTAATACACCAAAAGCACCTAGCTTGGTATTTTGGGGGTGGTTATACAGCCTATCACCCCTTCATCTGATGGCTTCCATCGGCTCAACCCACCGGCCAGGGGTGGGCTTTCAGCAGCTGTGTTTTAATTTGCCTAATATGGCCTGTATGACTGTACTGTTTGGCACAGAGCCCACTGTGGTGCTCAGCCTACGTTCATTAACTTTCCTTTGCCCAATGCTAATACAACTTGAGTACCCCAAATTCAAAAATCAAAACTCCAAAATGTTCCAAAATCTGAAACTGTTTGAGCACTGACATGATGCTCCAAGGAAATACTCATTTCACATTTGGGATTTGCAGATTTGGGATGCTCAACCTGTAAGTATAATGTAAATATTCCAAAATCTGAAAAAAATTCAAAACTCAAAATACTTCTGCTTCTAAGCATTTCAGATAAGGGATACTCAACCTGTATCTCCATTTATTTATACTCACCAGGCTCAGCTAGCGGAGTTGGGCAATGTGTGCGCTAATGGGAAGCTTCTCTGTTATTTAAAAGTGGTAGCACACTATCTGAAAATCCCTAACACTTAATAGGTGCATAATGAATGTTTGTTCAACTAAATTGGATTGAATAGATGATAGACCACCAGGGAACCAGAGAAGAATGAGGATGTACTACTCAGAGACGGTTCCTGATGCACGTATCAGGGACTCTCAATCCATAGGGGATATAAACAGTATTTGTTGTTGATGAGGCAACTATGTTTGTGGTACACTTGATTACATTCCAGATTTAGGCTATTTTTTAAAAGCTCTTTTATGTGCAGTTTTACTACCTTGAACAACTGGAGCCAATGGGAAATTGGTGTTTGGGGGATCATCTGTAATGAAGAAAACTGCAGTAATAGGTATAAAAAGCAGATTCAAAGGCCACAAGTTACTTAATCCCCAGTTTAGGTGATGTTAATTAAAATCTGAAAAATGGAAATAGGCATTGATTGGGCTCACCTTTTATTTTTAAGGTTGCATAGATTCTATTATAGGAATGATCATTACAATTATGTAATTTAAGTTACACTGCTTTTAAATTCAGAGCAAGGAACATAAAACTTTATTCCATAAATATACAACTTCTAGAGGTATACAATAATTTCATTTTATATTTTCATAGGCTAAATGAAGAAGACAGGGTTGAGTGAAAGCAGAAAAGGGAATAATAAGGCAAGAGAGAGAGACAAGAGAAAAACCAGGCAAGGGTAGGTCAGATAGAGGTCCAAGGAAAAGAAGAAACCCACGTAAGGAAGACATAAATAGAAAAATAAAGAAGTAGACATAGTAGACATAGTAGGCATAGAAGGACAACCCAACTGGTTCTGAGGTAAGTGAATGAAACAAATTGGACTTCCTGCAAACCAGGGAATGTGGGAGTGATCATCTGATTGGCCTAGCTTGGGTTAGGTGTCTTCACATGGCCCAATCAGCTACAGTCGTACAGGCCATATTAGGCAAATTAAAACAGCGGCTGAAAGCCCAACCCTGGCTGGTGGGTTGAGGAGATGGAAGCCATCAGGTGAAGGGGTGATAGGCTGTATAACCACCCTGAAAATACCAAATATGCCCCATCCTTCCCTGAAACCTTTCAGTCCCTTCTGGTGAACCAGTCCAGTGGTTCTCATACTGTAGCCAATGCAAAAGTCACCTCAAGGGAATTAACACACAATTTCCCAGGCCCCAGGTTCGTTTTTTGTTTTTGTTTTTGAGACAGGCTGGGGTGCAGTGGTGCAATCACAGCTCACTGCAGCCTTGACCTGCTTGGCTCAAGTGATCCTCCTGCCTCAGAAGTGAACAAGAAAGACAGAGACACACAGAAACATGGAGAGCCACTGAGAGACCGATAATGAAGGAGTCAGGCCTACTCTTCCCAATGGTTATGCTACCACTTCTGACACTTGGGTGGAAGAGAGGTGAGAATGAGACAGAACAAGCAGGCCAGAGGTCCTTGAGCAGTGAAGTGGGTCCTAGCCCATCAGTGCAGAATAAACAAGAGAGAGATGACACTTTCAATCATTAATCTTTCCACATATATGGCAAATATAGCCCAAAAACTATTCCAGAGTCAGTTCAACTCACAGCAACTTTCTCTCCTTTGGGAGAAATTAGGAAGAGGTTTAAGAAAAACAGCAGATAGAGCCTTGAAACAAAATTTTTGTAGTACTCCCCAAACACCATGCTACACGTGCTACATGAAGTGAAAAGTGACCTGATGGCATGTAATGATGCTAAAGAGACAGTAAAAAATTAGGTATGGAAGTCCATTCGATGAGGTTAAAAAGCCTAGGCTATATCCTGTAGGTCAGTGCTGCTTGCTATTGTGGTCCATGAGGATGCAAATTCTCTAGCCCCATCCTGGACTGCTAACTCAGAATTTCAGATTTGAGGCTAGGTATGGTGGCTCACGGCTGTAATCCCAGCACTTTGGGAGGCCAAGGAGGGAAGAATGTTTGAGTCCAGGAGTTCAAGGCCAGATGGGCAACATAGCAAGATCCCAACTTTACAAAAATTAAAAAAAAAAATTAGCCAGATATAGTGGCACATGCCTGTAGTCCTAGCAACTTGGGAGGCTGAGACAGGAGGATTGCTTGAGCCCAGGAATTCAAGGTTGCCATGAGCTATGATTACACACTGGACTCCAGCCTGGTTGATACTGTGAGACTCCATTTCTAAATTAAAAAAAAAAAAAAAAAAAAGGAATGAAAGAAAGAGAAAAAAAAATCTTTTGCTTTTTTAAAATTTTTAATTTTAATTATTTTTATTCTTGTTGTCCTGTGTCACCAGGTAAATGTATCCACCTCATTGGGGAGGTAAGATTTCAGTATTTCTAGGCCCCCTGGGCTTTATACTATCATACTACCATCAAAACCTCACCTTATTTTTGACAGAGGCCATTTCATACAGGGAAAATCCTGGGCCCAAGAATCCATTCCCAACCCTGCCACTTTATGGCCCTGTGTCTTCCTTCCTCCCAAGCCAAATGAGGATTTCAAACACTGACATCACAGGGCTGTTGTAAGGCTTAAATGAGAAAATAGCTTTGAAAAGTGCTTTTGGCAACTATGAGACTTCAGCCCTCTTTGCTAAGCTTCTGTTCTTATCAAAGAGGGCTAAGCCTGGATCTCAGTGTTCAGCACAAAACTTGCTATCTGGGTGCTCTTTCTTGGTTGAGCGCCTATTCTTATCTTGATGACCGTCACCCAAGAAAATGATGTTGAATTTGGAACCCAGAAATTCTCAGCTCCTGTTCAGATTGCTTTCTTCCATGTAGCAATAGTCATTTGTTGTATCTTCATCCCCCAACATAAAATAGGAAAAACTGATCTGTTACTACTTAGCTCAAAATTTACTAACTAAACATCCCTGCCTTCCGGAATCTTATATGGCAAGTGGAATCCAACCATGATGACATCATGTTACCAACTATATAATGAGACCTTCCTACAGCTGGCCCATTGATATTAAATAAATACTGGGGTGGACCAGTAGGGATACCACTAATACACCCTCCTGGATTCATAGCCATTTTGCAAAGCACATTTCAACAATCTCCTTTGTTGTCTTCTAGAGCTCCCAAGCCACTACATTATGCATTGTCACGTAGTACTTTATGAAGTTATATGCACCAATATGTATCCCAGCATCTTTTTTACAAAGCAACATTGAGGCGCATCAGCTCAACTAAATAGATTCTCCTATCAAGACTGATTAGTCTCGCAGTAGCTGCCACTTTACACTCCAGGACAAACTGAGAAGGTGGAAGCTGGCTCCAGATCGGATGGAAACTATCTTTTATTATGTACAAGACACATCCTTGTCTTATCCTAACTTCAAAACAGCCAAGCAAATTGCGCATTGTTAAATCCTTTCATCAGATGAGGAAACTGCAAGCAGAGAGGTTACGCCACTTGTACTTGGTCACACAGTTAATGTCAGAAACCAGAATCCAAATGCACAGGTTTTGTTGGTTAAGAAGTAATCTGTCAAAATAGCAACAAAGCGAGACCTCCATCTTTACAAAAAAATGGAAAAAATTAGCCAGGTGTAGGGTATGCACCTGTGGTCCCAGCTACTCAGGACGCTGAGGAGAGAGCATCACTTGAGCCTGGGAGGTCGAGGCTGGGGTGAGCCATGATCGTGCCACTGCACTCCAATCTGAATGACAGAGAAGACTCTGTCTAAAAAAAAAATAAGCTGCCAAAACAGGTATATGAACACATCTTTTAACTTATGTTTAATCACAACATCACAGTCAACACACTTACTTGCATTCCTAAGTCACAAGTGTGGCTATGTTCCCCATCTTTCATCAGCTCTTAGGAAACAGTGTATTCCAAAGCCTTCACTAACAACTTGCCTTACATTTCATGACCTCCAAAGATCTTGAAGATAAAACACGGCAAAGGTTATTCTCTTTCTTTCTTGGCATTGTTCAGGCACAGCCTAACCCAGCAGTACTTGCCACCCATAGCACAAAAAAAGCAAATGAACAGAGAACTGAGCACTGAGATTTTATCACGGAAACAGTGTTCTCAAATATCAATCACAGAGCTGTACCTTGGGGGCGTGAATTTGAAAGGATAAGGCAAAAAACCTCCTAAAATCGTTCACCTCCGCTCTCATGAAATGGTTGATAAAGAATGGCATTGATTAAAGTGATTTAAAACTGGCATGCTGCGATTGTCCTATAAACTATTCTGAAAACTGGTTTTCATGAAAATAGAGAGAAGGTAATGGAAAATGGAGGTGAACAGGACCTGGGACAGAAGCATTCCAAAAACCTGGTTAGTCCCCAAAACTCATTAGTCTGATTACCATATGCTTCAGTTCATCCCCATCTTCAAGCCATGAGTCCCATATTTCGTGGTGAATTAGCATCCTCCCAGGAGCTTTTAAAAATGCAGATGATCAGATCCAAAGAATAAGTCTCCTTGAGGAGTGGGCCCAGGAATTGGTATTTAACTTTCACTTATAATTAGTTTATTCCAATGCTGCCAGTCACTCCAGGAACCAACTCTCTCAAAGGACAACGACACACAAGGCAATTTATGAGAAGGAAAAAAAAAAAGTCCTCTGCAATTTAAATCGGAGTTCCTTGCGGCCTGAAATGCTTCTGGGCGGTCAGAAGGCTGGTCTTCCGCAGCACGGCAGCAGGAGCTCCTTAGTACGCTTCACCTCTTCCACCAAGTCCCACAAGCCCCTTGTTTACCTTTAACATCTTTTCTGTGTAAGGAAATGCTAATCATTTTGTAGTGTAACATTTCCATTTGTATTCCGGACCATGGAGGAGGCAACACCCTGCTGCCAGACAAACCTATCACTTTCCCATGAAGACACTTGCATACAAAGAAGAGGGTTCCCTTCTTTTTTCTTCTCTTTTTCTTCACATGCGGGTGCCACAGCTGAGGCTCAAACTCAACAATAAAAGAAGGACAGAGAGCAATTTAATTCATATCTAATTCCCAAAGCTAAGTTGTTGCTTAAGTAAGCAGAGGCTTCTGGCTGGCTCCTCTTTGTGAAATAGTCATATCAAATAACATTTGCAGAGCACTTTATTTTCCAAATTGTTTTTCTTTTCATTACTATCTCACCTAAGCATCAGAATAACCCAGAGAAGTAGGTATTACTTCCTCCATTTAACCTGAAGAGACTGAGGCTCAGATAAGTTAAATGACCTACCCAAGGTCACACAGAAAGGAAATGAAAAAGACATGATTTGGAGCCAGGTCTTTTGACTTCAAGTCTTCTTATGCAATTGTCCTGCCTTTTTAAGGACCTAATAAATATTGCTGAATGAATAAGGGAAGTGGTAGATGGATAGATGGATGATCTCTTATGAAACAGACACAGTGCTAAAAATTCAAATTAACTTAACTTTAATATGCACTGTTGGATATAATCAAGGAAGGTGTCAAACTTAAATAAAAACTGGAAATGGACTGCCAAACAGAAACCCAAAGTGTGAATTTGCTAGCTGGTCTTATCACGTTAAGACTCTGAAGCCACATAGCCTGAGTTTGAATCCCAGATCTACTACTTACTAGCTTTGCAACCCAGAGCAATTACTTAACTGCGTTCTCACTCAGTTTCTTTGTCCACAAAATCAAAGTAATAATAATAAATGTTCTAACACACAGAGTTGGTTGAGGATTTTGAAAATTAAGTACATTTAATGGATTGAGAATTGTGCCTGGCACACAATAAGATATCATACATTTCTTTGACATTAATGAAAATAGTTCCTCGTATATAATCTACTCTCAATTGTCTATGTGTGGATTATTCACTAGGTTTTAGGTTTTAGTTGGGGCTGGTTTGGTACCCTTCACACACAGAGATCTATTATCTCAACAGTTAACTGCCCTTGGGAAAAGAGAAGGACATTTGCAGAGCAAGTACCACATGCCGGGCACCAGGCCAGATACTTTATACACACCATCTTACTTAATTCTCACACCACCACCACCAAGCAGCTATTATTATCCCCATTTTAGAGATGAAAAAAATCTAAGGCTCAGATTTAAATAAACCCTAGCTGGTAAGTGATGAAGGCAAGATTAAAGTAAGCGTTTCTCTCCCCTGATCTCTTGCTCTTTCAGACTGTCTCTTGTTCAATATGGATATGAATATGATCCTTACTAAATTCAAACTACATTAGCCGCATGCGGTGGTGTGCACCTGTAGTCCCAGCTACTGAGAGGCTGAGGTGGGAGGACTGCTTGAGCCCAGGAGTTCAAGACTGCAGTGAGCTATGATGATGTCACTATACTTCAGCCTGAGTGACAGAGAGAGAGAGAAACCCCAACTCTAAAATAAAAATACAAATAAATAAAAGTCAAACTACAACTACGTGCCTTCCACACTAATCATGCAATATATCACACCTAGCTCCAGCCCCAGGGGCAAATCCTGATGACCTGTAGGAACTACTTCTTGGGAGATCAAAGGGCATAGGAAGATCAACCACTCTGTCAAGCCACCGTCCAACCGATGCTTTCCCTCAGCAGCAAAAGTGTGTCCTGTGCTGCAACATCCAAAGTACTGGAATAATAATAGTGTGTACCTTAGAAGGCAGTTGTACTGATTGTAATTACTTGCTCTCACCACACAGCAAGCACCCAATAGCTATTGGCTATAAAAGGCAGTTCAGGACAATGTTTAAGAGCATAAACTTGGGGCTGGTGGCTCACACAATGAACTTGCGGTGGCTCATGCCTGTAATCCCGACACTTTGGGAGGGTAAGACAGGAGAAGTCCAGGAGTTCAAGACCAGCCTGGGCACAATGGCAGGACTCCATCTCTATGAAAAGAAAAAAAAATAGCCAAGCATGGTAGCATGCATCTGTAATCCCAGCTACCCAGGAGGCTGAGACAGGAAGATAGTTTCAGCCAGAAAGTCAAGGCTGCAGTGAGCCATGTTGATGCCACTGCACTCCAGCCTGGGCAACAGAGACCCTGTCTAAAAAGAAATAAATAAATAAGTGTGAACTTGGAAGCCAGATTGTCTGTATTCAAATCCTGACTATGTCACTTAGTAGTAGGGAGACCCTGGACAAGTTATTTAGTTTTTTTGTGCCACAGTTGCTCAACTATAAATTTAGGATAACAATAGTATACCTGAAAGGGTTTTGTAAGGATTAAATGAGCTAATATAAATGAAGCCGTAGAAAAGTGCCTGGGGAAAAGTAACTGCTGTATAACTGTTGGTTTTTATTATTAAGAAAATGTGGAGTCGCATTGAAGAAACATGGGTTGGTGAAATGTGGAAAAGTAGGCATCCACATATATTATTGGTTGGATTTTATATCCGTGCAGTGTTTTAGAGGGTGATTTGACAATATCCAGCAATATGTTATTAATAAATGTGTGTGCACCTTCTGATTTGTTAATTCCATACAGAAATATAAACTACAGCAGTATGAGTGTGTGTGTGTGTGTGTGTGTGTGTGTGTGTGTGTGTGTGTGTATGTATCTTGACAGAAGCAACCAGGAGTTAGAAAGAACTCCCTTAATCTAATAAGGATATCCATCAGAAACCTCTAAGATGGTATTCTTAAATGGAAAAATATTAGAAAATCCCCTTAAAATCAAGAACAGAACAAGGATACTCACTATCATTTTTTCTAGTTGATACTATATCAAAGACTAAGCCATCTGCATGGAGAAGAAAAATAAATAAGGATTGGAGAGAAAGACTCAAAGCTGCCATTAAGTACATAGAAGATGACTGTCTACATAAAACTCAATAGAATCTATTGAAATGTATTATTACTGAAATTAAGAAGAGAGCTAAATAAAGTAACTGGCTAGGAGAATAATGTAAAAACTTTAATTTCTGTAAACCAGAAACAAATAGAAAACATAATTTTTAAAAAGATATATTATTTATATACTAGTCTGTAACAAATTATCCCAAAATTTAGTTTAAATTTTGTTGTTTAAATTAAAACAACATCTCACAGAGTTCAAGCAAGCCTCAGTTCTCTCCATGTGGACCTCTCTGTAGGGCTGCTTGATTATCCTCATGACATAGCACTGCCTTCTTGCACAAAGGGTGCTCTGAGAAAGAGAAAGAAGAAAGCCAAAACCACAGCACATTTTATGGTGTCATTTTAAAATTACTTCTGCTTTATTTTATTCCTTAGCAGCAACAAGTCACTGAGTTTATCCCACACCTAACAGGAGGAGAATTCAGCCCCACCTTTTTTTTTTTTTTGCCTGCCAGGGACTGAAAGGAGGAAGCACCACCACCCTTTAAAAGGAAGAATTTCAAACAATGTGTGAACATATTTTAAAACCATCAGGAATGTCATATACAAAACCAGAAAAAATTTTAAGTTACTTAGAAATAAATCTAATGAAAGATGTTTAAAACCTTAGAGAGAAAAATTTTAAAACTTTAGTGAAAGACATTAAAGAAGACCTAAATAAATGCAGAGATACATGATAAGTAGTCTTAATAGCAATTATTCCAAATTAATATAATAATTCAATTTAATTCTAATCTAAGGCCCCAACAGATTTTTAAAAAATGTTTGGAATTTGAAAAGTAGATTCCGGGCTGAGTGCAGTAGCTCACACCTGTAATCCCAGTACTTTGGGAGGCTGAGGTGGGCGGATTACTTGAGGCCAGGAATTTGAGACCAGCCTGGCACTATACTAGCCAGTGTGGTGGTATGCACCTGCAGTCCCAGCTACTGGGGAGGCTGAGGTGGAAGGATGACTTGAGCTCAGGAGGCAGAGGTTGCAGTGAGCAGGGATTATGCCACTGCACTCCAGCCTTTGTGACAGAGCAAGACTCTGTCTCAAAAAGTAGAAAGGAATAGTAGATTCTAGAGCTTTTATGGAAATAATTCAAAGGTCCAAGGACAGAAAACAAACTCTTGAACGAGAAACAGTACAAGATTGAAGAAAATGACCCACAGATACCAAGACTTCTTATAAAGCTTGGTATCAATGGCTGTTCAAACAGTGTGGGATTGCTTCAGCAATAGACAAACCAAGTAATGGCAAAGAGAGGACCAGACACAGACCAACTATAGAAATTTGATATATGCTAGAAATAATATCACAAATTACTTGGGGATGAGTATACTATTTAATAAATACTACTCAGATAAGTGGTTATCCATGGAAGTAAAAAGTAAAATTGTATCCATATCTCAGGCCATATTTTCAGATCAATGGATTCCAGATAAATTTTAAACTTAAATGTAATGGAAAATTATAAAAGTTGCCAAAGAAAATAAAAGGATATGTCTTTGTGACCTTATGGGAGGGCTTCCTAAGCAGACACAAAAAGTGCTAGCCATAAAAATGATTGATAAATTTAACTGCATATTGGTCAGTATTGTCCTAAAGTTATGAGAAAATTCAAAAGACCAGAAAATGAAATAATCTATGTAAACATTTAAAAAGTAGAGATAAAACTCTAGATTGATGTGATTTTCTTTCCAGAAGCCCTAAAAACTCTAGTTAAAAAAGAAAAATGTCTAGAATTAATAAGAAATTTGATAAGATAGCTAAATGCAAGATAAATATACAATGATAAATAACTTTTCTTTATACTTTCAGTAAGGCCCAAGAAATGGAAATGGGCAGCTAGGCACGGTGGCTCACGCCTGTAATCCCAACGCTTTGCGGGAGACTGAGGCAGTTAGATCACTTGAGGTCAGGAGTTTGAGACCAGCCTGGCCAACAATGTGAAACCCCCACCTCTATTAAAAATACAAAAACTAGCCAGGCATGGTGGCAGGTGCCTGTAATCCTAGCTGCTTGGGAGGCTGAGGCAGGAGAATCACTTGAACTCGGGAGGTGGAGGTTGCGGTGAGCTGAGATTGCGCCACTGCACTCCAGCGTGGGCAACAGAGTGAGATCCTGTCTCAAAAGAAAAGAAATGGAAATGGGAGATGTTTCATTTACAAGACAAACTGAGTAAAATATTTCAGGAGAAATTTAACAAGGCAGGCTTAGGACTTTTATAAATAATCTATCGAATCTTGCCAAAAGTCATAAAATAAGATCTGACCAAATGGAAAGACAAACAACTCTGGAAAGTTTCTCTACATTCATATTCAGGTAAAAATTTTAAACAGGGGAATGGTCTTGTTCCATTTGCAGAATAATTTAGAATGCATGTGAGCTGGCATTTGCATTCAGCCATTCAACAAATATTTAACACTTACTAAGTGCCAGCCTCTGGACTACACATAAATAATAATCTAGACTTGGTCTGTGTTCCCAAAAACCTGATAACTGAGTAATAATGGAAGATAAGGTTTAAAAATCACAAAACATAAGGGCTGATGGAAGAGACCTTATATGTTACCTATACTCATGTCATTATTTCACAGATGTAGAAACTGAGCCCAGAAAGTACATGTGTTTTATTGAAGTTCACATAGCTAGTAGCCCAGCTGGGACTACAACTCAGATCTTGTGACTTCCACAACATATCATTCTGCCTCTCAATTACAATATGAAGCGTTTAAACTATTCTTCTCAGCATAGTCTAATCTAGTACTTAAAGAGATTTTACCGCACAGTTAGGACACACGAGCAGTGGGATCAGGCTGGAGAAAAAAACTAAGCATTGTCATGGTGCACATAGTCTATTAATATTTTGTTAGGCAACAAATAAGGTACGTACAAACAAGAGACTACCAGACAGCTATTAAAAAGATGATAGAAAACTAGACATAGATCTACACGTGGAAAAATGACTGTTACATACCATTCAGTGAATAAAGGTTGTAGAATGTTACATTTATCCGTATTTCATAGACGTAAAATTTATATATGTCTAAATACATATGTGTAATCAGGGAATACTATGCAGCCATGAAAAATGAGTTCATGTCCTTTGCAGGGACATGGATGAAGCTGGAAACCATCATCCTCAGCAAACTAACACAGGAACAGAAAACCATACACCATATGTTCTTACTCATAAGTGGGAGTTGAACAGTGAGAACACATGGACACAGGGAGGGGAACATCATACACCATGGCCTATCAGGGGGTGGGGGGACAGGGGAGAGAGAGCATTAGGACAAATACCTAGTGCATGTGGGGCTTAAAACCTAGATGACGGGTTGATGGGTGCAGCAAACCACCATGGCACATGTATACCTATGTAACAAACCTGCACGTTCAGCACATGTATCCCAGAACTTAAAAAGAAAAAATGTGTTAAATTAGACATATTAAATATATATGCGTGTGTGTATACATACATGTGTATATGGATAGAGACAGCAAGACGCAGAGATCTCTGGATGAATGTTCATGATGATGTAAACAGTATATAGTTATTTTGAGTTTTAAGATTTCAGGTGGATTTTATTTTTTCTTTGTACATTTCTCTACTATCAATTTTTTCTTATATTGATCAGGTATCTTTATTAAAGCAAAAAAAATGAAAATACAGGCTGATCTGAATAACCCCAGGTATCAGAAGCATGACCAACCAGTGGGTTAAAACAAATGTTCATATTAGGATATAGATTGGATAGATTATAGCAGAGCTTAATCATCCAGAAAAGAAATAAGGGAAAGAATTTGTATTTAGGACCAAATGCGCCTTTCTAAAATTTACAAATATTCTGGGATTTATCTGTATGTAAGTATGCACCACAATAATACAAGAGATTCAGACTTTATATTTACACACAAGGTGGCAGTTAGTCTTAGTTGGCATATCAATAACCAGTCCCAAACATCTACAGCCCCAACCATACTATAAAACAATACTATAAATACTGGGAACTATAGTAATCACCTTCCTGAACTCCCTTGTAACTCAGATCTGGCCAATCAGAAATAAGTGAAGGTTGCTGGGTGGGGCTTCCTTACACAATATCCATTTAAAAGGGGCCTCTTATTCCTTTTTTTAAATTATTAGTTTGTTGTTCTTGTTTTGTTTTTTGTGGTTTTAGAGACAGGGTCTCACTGTGTCACCTAGGCCAGAGTGCAGTGGTACAGTCATAACTCACCGCAGCCTCAAACTACTGAGCAAAAGTGATCCTTTCCTCTCAGCCTCCCAAAGCACTGGGACTATAGGCCTGGGCTACCATGTCTGCCCTCTTTTATATTTTATTTTTTTTTTTAGCAGCCTGAAATATAGACTCAATTCCTAGAGGTCCCAAAGTCATCTTGCAATCATGAGGATCAAAGCTATGTATTAAAGATTGCAAAGCAGAAATATGGAAGGATCCTGGATCCTTGATGACATCCTTAGCACCTCCCACCAGCCCCCAACTGCCAATCTTTGGGCATCTTGTCATAGGAGAGAAATAATGCCTACATGTTGAAGCCATATTTAGTATTCTTTCAGTTACAGGCAGCCTAACATAATCCTAAAAGGTGGATGCAATGAAACGTCCTTAAATTGACTTTATCTAGTCATAGTTTGCGATGTTCTTATATAAGCAGGAGCTAAAATCGACTTTTGCCAAATTAATTTTAGAAGAAATCAAGAGTGAAATTATGGGGACAAGGAAAATCATTACCTTTCTCAAAAAAAAAGCTACTTATTAATCACAAGCCCTTTCGCAGCACCCAGCACAGAGTTACATACTAACAGTTGCTATGTCAATTAGGTAAATAATTTTTATTTATTCCATAAACTCTTTCAGGCAATTACTTGCTAATTTATTTCCAGTTTGATCTTCAGTCCAAAATACTGACTTTTCTCATGGCATTCTCTGAAATCAGCTGCACTGCTTGAAAATTTAATCCACATCAACATAAAAACAATATGACAACAAATTATTTAAATATATTATTTATGCTTTTCAGTGTGTGTAACTCACACACACATTCATCACTTAAGGTCTAACTCTTCTGTTCTGACTTTATGAGTAGCCCCTGTAATGCAGAGATATATTTTAGAAAGCTATGTGGAAAGTATTTATCTACACGATATCATTTTGCCATGACCAATAACTGTTGACCTGTACAAAAAAAAAAAAAAAAAACCCAGCTTTTGGAGTAAAACTGCATTTTGTGTAATATAATTTGTGTAATATAATTTGTGTAATATAATTGAGTCATCATTAATCATTTGCAATCCTTTTCCTTCATCACATTTATTAATCCTTAAAAGATTCAGAGAATGATTCTATTCCAATGTTCTACACATACCATCTGTTCAAGCACATTCCTTATATTCTTACTAGGTTTTCACAGATGCCTCTTTTGAAATCAGCAAATCTCCTCAGGAGCATCATCTGGCTCCTGTCACCCCTACTCCAGGGAGCCCTCGTCACTGCAGTAATGCCAGTGTCAGAGCAGATGTTCCATAATCTCTGGCACATTTGCCTTCCTTGGTAGAGCTTTTGAATGCAAATTTTGAGGTGAAAAAAAATCCTCTGAGTGAAAGCATTATCTGCAAATGGTTTCTCTCTGCATCAAACGCAGCACTCAGGCATCTTATTTCTGCTCTTCTGGAGGCTTGGTCAGAGAGAACCTCATTGCTCATAGCAGAGGGAGCAGAAACACAGCGAGACCCAGAGACCAAGAGAGAACACAAGGACACCAAAGGAGGTTAGCTGTAAAGCAGTGTTAAATTATACGAGACTAAACTTTTGAAGGTCAATGGGGCTGTGCCCCAACAGAAAATAAGCAAAGTTCTGGTTTGGACAGAAGAGAAGATATTGTTTAAGAAAGGTATGTGACATTCAACTGTGACTACGTAGGCAACAGAAAATGGAGAGGAGAAATCTTCCACAAAATTAGATCTGTGAAGGCAATTAGTTTGGATAACTGAACTCAGCTCTTTTTTAAATGCCAGGATCTGATATTTAAATTACTCAAAAACATTCCCCCTAAATCTATAACTTGCTTGTTCCGCATAGATACAACTTCAAAGTGAAAAATACATTCAAGGAAGCAGAAACAATATCAAGTTAGAAGAATAGGGCACTAACCTGGAGCTAGAAAGGATTCTAGAGTAGAGTGAGTTAGGTGGTACTAACTCATCTGTGAGATTTGGGGCTAGTCGCCTGACCTATCTGACACCTCAGTTTCCTTATTTCTAAAGTGAGCAGTGGAACTAGGTAACCCTGGGTCACTGCCAGCTGGAAAATAGCACAACGCCGTGCATGCAGTACAAGCAGGTACACCTACTTCATGTTGAATTAGCTTGCATCCACTTCCAAGATACCAAAACAGATGGCAAGATCTGTTGCATCAGCTGGGGCAAAAAGAACAAAAAGAACCATGTTGAAAGATAGTCCACGTATGTTTAGGAGGAGCAATAAATAAAGACCAGTAATAAAAGTCAAGATTTTCTAAGTGAGGGGCATATCAATAGGGGCTTCATGTTCAGTTACCACAGTCCCAAGAACAGAAAGATGCCTAGAGATGCAGATACATGTGTCCCAGATCCAGATCCAGCTCTGTTGACCAACAGCAGGCTGAAAACCCACATCTCTAAGTCTCAGGTTCTTTATCTTTCGAAAAGAGAATTAAAGTGGATGGATGTGCTTTGGGAAAATGGATGCACCCTCCAGATTTAAGCTTTATTACAAGACATTGATAAAAAGAATGCTTAGTTACAGCCTCCTCTTCTCCCCATCATTTACTCTTCCTTTTTCTAAACTCACAGACAACTTTAATTTAGTCAGCAAGAATTTCAACCGAATAGGACACTTTGTAATCAATTGCTGCTCCCATTCATTCCACATCTCACCTATGGTGAGACAGGCAAATGTAAAGAGGAAGTGAACAAATAATTCAATTACTAGAAGAAATTTACCAGACTTAACACAAGCTTTGGTGGGGGGGGGGGGTGGGGGGGGAAAGACCTACTCTTTTTTCCTTTATTGAGAGTGGGGAGATTGTTGTGTTTTTTAGAATAATTTATTTTTGTTTGACTATCAAATTATCCAGCTATTTATTTCAACTTCCCATTTTACAATTACAATCTTAGTCATTTACTTTCAAAGGCCCTAAAGGAAATGTAGTTTCCCAAGTAAATGCCAAAGTTCCCTTCTGCCTCCCTCTCTCCCTCTGCCTTTCAGAACTAGGTCTGGGTAAATTTGTAAAGTTGTTTATTTTCAGTACTCTTGCTATTCCTACGATTTGCCTTAGTTCGACTCTTTCAATATTATTCTCCCCAAGCCATCCTGAATCCATTCTGAAATGCCCCCATCCCAAGCCTGCTCTCTACTTGCTCATGCTTCTCAATCCTGTCCCATCATCCTATTCATTTTATCAAAATTCCTTTCTCCCTGTCACATTCCTTTTTAGTCTCAGAAGTAGCAGGCCAGTTTATGCTGGCAAACTCATTTGATTAAGAGGTTTAAGAACCTTGTGTACTTAAAAGAGACGGATCTGGACGCAGCTGATAGCTTAACACTGCCCTGTCCAACATGGTAGCCACTAGCCACATGTGACTGTTCAAATTTAAATATAAATTAATTAAGGCCAGGTGCGGGCGCTTACGCCTGTAGTCCCAGCATTCTGGGAGTCCAAAGCAGGTAGATCGCTACAGCTCAAGAGTTTGAGATCAGCCTGGACAACATGGTGAAATCTAATCTCTACAAAAAAAAAAAAAAAAAAAAATTAGCCAGGCATGGTGGCCACACCTATAGTCCTGGCTCCTTGGGAGGCTGAGGTGGGAAGATGGCTTGAGTTCAGAAGGTGGAGGTTGCAGTGAGCTAAGATCGTGCCCTGCACTCCAGCATGGGTGACAGAGCCAGATCCTGTCTCAAAAATATATATATATTAATTAATTATATTAATATACACATTGATTAAATATATATTAATTAAAATTAAATCAAATTTAAAATTTCCATTCCTCTGTGGCACTTGCCATGTTTTAAGCCATAAGAACATTACCATCCACATAGAAAATGTTATCAGTCAGTGCTGCCTTCACATAAAGGAATTAATGTTAATGGTGGACTAAGAATGTAACCATTATTTCTGTGCTAAGAAACTCTACAGGTAATAAAAATGAACTTATTTGTGTGTTATAGGTGGAGAGTCAGGAATTGGGGTAGGAGGTGGCTAGATGAGGGAAAGATGACTATCTTTTGAGGCGTACTTATTATGTGCCAAGGTTTAGGCATAGACCAGGGAAAAATAGAGAAGTATTCTTTTTATATTAGCAGATGTTCCAGTAACCCATTTTATGGATGCGAAAACAGAACCTACAAGAGGCTAAGTAATTTGCCCAAACTTTGTAACTAGAATACAAAACCAAGTTTGTATGCATTCCAGTGTTCTTTGTACTGTACTATGCTGCCTGTAAATCTCTGTCAACAAGGAAAATCTCTATAAATCCCAGCCACTGTTCCTCAAAGGTTATTCATTATCTTTCCTTCAAAGTGGGGACTGGGGCTATGTCAATGCAGAGTAATATTCTTTAACTTTTTATGTTAAGATAATGGTAGATCCACATGCAGTTGTAAGAACTCATATGGTAAGATTTTGCATATCCTTTCAATAATTTTTTTAAATCTGCTATCATACTAGACCCCCTTCTTAGTGCTGGGGCCACAGAGACAAGATCATCCTTTCCCTTAAAGACTTCAGAGGAGATGAGGAACATGTAAATAAATCATTAATATAGAGTTGGTTAAAGCAAAAACGTAATGCAACTTTCACCTATCCATTAACCAATAAGAACAATAATAATAATAATAATGACATTCTGACCAAGCTACTGTAAAACAGACACTCAACTTGTATCTGTTTTCTCACCTGTAAAATAGAATAATAGTACCTATACTATAGGATTGGTGTAAACATTAACAGAACAGTATCTGGACATTCTATTTACTATTTAATATTGTATCAATTGTTGGTATTCTGGTTTCTATTTTTAAATTTTTCTACAATGCACTTATGTAACTTTTAGAGAAAAAAATTTAATCACTCTTAGTTAAAACAAGTGTCTCATGTTGTAAGCTAGTAGTATATACTATCTTAATTGAGGACACTGAGATGGGACAGCTGATTCACCTTGGAGAAACACAGCGATGTCAGACAAGAATCACTGAAAGAGAAAGACAATGTCTGAGGTGACTTTTGGAAGCCAAAGATTTAAGAAGAAGGTTGGAAGAGAATTCAAGATAAATGGATTATCAAGCAAAGACTTAGAATCTTAGTAATTTAAAGACAAGAAGGGGACATGAAGGTCATCCAGTCCTACTTTCCACCCTCTGCAGGTCTCCCTTGCAGCCTGCTCGACTGATTCTTAAATGCATTCAGAAAGAGGGTGCTTTCCCATGGAATACTATGCAGCCATAAAAAGGAATAAGATTATGTCCTTTGCAGGGACATGGATGAAGCTGGAAGCCATCATCCTTAGCAACCTAAGACAGGAATAGAAAACCAAACACCACATGTTCTCACTCATAATTGGGAGCTGAACAATGAGAACACATGGACACAGGGAGGGGAACGACACACACCGTGGCCAGTCAGAATGAGGGGTGAGGGGAGGGAGAGCATTAGGACAAATAGCTAATGCATGCAGGGCTTAAAACTTAGATGACGGGTTGATAGGTGCAGCAAACCACCATGGCACATGTATACCCATGTAACAATCCTACACGTTCTGCACTTGTATCCTGGAACTTAAGGTAAAATTAAATTAAAAAAAAGAAAGAGGGTGTTTTCCACATTATGGGTCAACCATTGTTGGACAGTTTTATTAGAAACAGTCTATATATGTGTATACTCATCTAATGTTGCACTTACATGCATATACATCAGGGCAAAATCCAAGCAACTACTCATACCGGGGGTGTAAGAGTCACTTAAGTGGGGTCTACCCAGGTAATATTCCTCAATCTACTGTATGGATGTGGTGTTTGTGCTTAGCTTCTAGATGCCATACAAACATTACTAACTCCATAGTTTTTAAGTGTTGAAAGTCTGGATAAGTGGTAGTACATGGGTTGGGCATGGTGGCTTACACCTGTAATCCCAGCATTTTGGGAGACCAAGGTGGGTGGATCACCTGAGATCAGGAGTTCGGGACCAGCCTGGCCAACATGACAAAACCCCATCTCTACTAAAATTACAAAAATTAGCCAGGCATGCTGGCGGGCGCCTGTAATCCCAGCTAGTCAGGAGGCTGAAGCAGAAGAATTGCTTGAACCCAGGAGGCGGAGATTGCAGTGAGCCGAGATCACGCCACTGCACTCCAGCCTGGGCAACACAGTGAGACTCTGTCTCAAAAAAAAAAAAAAAAAGTAGTATATTATTTCAATTGAAAAAGAAGAAGATAAAAATATGAAAATGGTGATATTTTTACTTTTTTTTTTTTTGTCGAGACCAAGTCTCACTCTGTCACCCAGGCTGGAGTATAGCAGCATGATCTCAGCTCACTGCAACTTCTGTCTCCCGGGTTCAAACAATTCTTGTGTGTCAGCCTCCTGAGTAACTGGGATTACAGGCACCCGCCAACATGCCCAGCCCGGCTAATTTTTGTATTTTTAGTAGAGATGGGGTTTCACCAAGTTGGCCAGGCTGGTCTCAAACTCCTTACCTCGAGTGATCCACCTACCTCGGCCTCCCAAAGTGCTAGGATTACAGGCGTGAGCCACCACACCCAGTCTTTACTTTTTATAATAGTATAATTGGTTCTGAAGAGAAAAGGTGAATTTATGCAACATGCAAAATCTATTATGGCAGTACTCAGCACAATATAAAGAAAAGATAGACTTGGAAAGCAATTAAGTGTGTGGCTAGCAAAACAACATCAATATTGTATACCAAAAAGGGAACGCTAGAAATACATTTAGGAACTTAAAGGCTAAGCCTGGTAAGAAGCTTTACCATAAGCTTGTAGGTCTGAGGCCTATTGCAAGCTAAACAACATCAGTGAATGCCACACTAGCAGATGCAGACCTCATAACGTTACCCGTCTCAACAACTTTGAAGCATAGTTAAAACTCAACTAAGTGACAAAGATAGTACCACAAATCAGTGAGGAAATGATGGATTATGCAATTAATGTGTTGAAACATCTGGATAAAAGCTTGGAAAATAAAGTTAGGCCCCTACTTCACTCTTTACATCAAAATTAATTTCTGATGTTAAAACTATAAAAAGAAAAGTTTTATTTACAGAGAGGTGAAGCCTTTTCTAATACTACACAACACCCAGAAATCATAAAATAAAGATTTTTACATGGAAAAAATATTAAAGTTAAAACCGAAAAAAGGTGCAATCCATATCACAAGTAAAGGGTCTTTTTTCATAATGTATTAAGCTCTCCTACAAATCAATAAGAAAAATGTAAACAACTCAGTGGAAAATATAGGCAAAGTCGATGAACAGACAGTTCCCAGAAAAAGAAATAGCTTTTAATCACATGAAAAAGTGTTCAATCACATTTATAAGAAATACAAATTAACCCACACATCATTTTTCACTTACAAAATTGGTAGAGTTAAAAAAGTATAAGACATTTTCAACCGTTGATGAATTGTAAATTGGTAAAACTTTTATGGAGAGAAATGTAGCACTACTAATCAAAATTACAAATGTGCAATCTTTGACCTAGTAATCTCACCTCTAAGAATTTATCCTTTATATATCTTGAACATGTGTAAAGTGATGTACATATAAGGTATTTGTTGCATAATTGTCCATAAAAGCAAAGGTAGAAACATTCTGAATGTCTGTCATTAGGAAAGTGCTCAGTGGCTATTTTTAAAATAAGGTAGATATTTGTGTTCAAATATGAAAACATCTTTTATATGGCCAACTGGAAAAGGCAAAGTATATAGCATTCTATGATTTCTATTAATAATGAAGAGGTACTGAGATGATGGATAAAGGTAGGTATATTTTTGCTTGTATATGTTTAGAATATTTCTGGAAGGATAGCCAAAAGGTAGTAATAGTGGTTGCTTCCTTGAGGTACACCTGATGTCTTGAAATTATGGGTGGGAAAGACATAAACTTTCTACTGTAATATGTCTTTTTACCTTTACAATTTTTTATCATGAATGTGTATTAGCTATGCAAAATAAATTGAATAGAAAAACCAATTCCCTGCTCAAAGCAAATCCCTCCTGCTTCTCTCCTCCCCAGTATTTATTGCATCTTTTGTTATCCTTGCATGTTTATATCCCCAACAAAACCAAGAGTTCTTTGACTGCTACAACTGTGTCTCCATCGTGTTTGCATATCCAGCATTTGCACATTGCCTTAATCATGAAAAGGGTTTTTTTTTTTTTTTTAAAGTGATGTTTTGAAGGATGAAGAAGACCCTTTTTTTTTGGGTGGAAGTCAGGCTCCCTTTAAATATGGCCTAATATTGCTGAGCAGGGTTGTGAGGCCCTAAAAACGTCTTCCTACCATTCCTGGAATTCTACCTTGAAACATGTCTCTATCCTTTAAGAGAAAGGGAGGAGATAAAAAGGAGAGAGAGAAGCTGAAGCTGACTCAAAGATCCGACTGGACCTGAACAGTGCCCCAGGGAGAATCCATTTGAAAAAAAAAAAAAAATGTGATCATGTGAATGGACAAGAAGGAGATGGCTTTAGATCTTATATGCTCTAAACGAAGAGTTACGCTGAGAGGGAAACTGACTTGTCATGAAGTCAGCTTTGTTCCGTTGCTATGTGTCATCCCTGCTAATGGTGAGTTTACCTAGGGCAGAGGCTACCATCTCAACCATGAAGCTGAAGACACAGGCATCCGTATTCTATAGCTAATTCAGTTGATTTCATCTCAGCACACATACACTGAGCGCTTCCTAAGAGCGAGGTTGACCGACATTTTTATTAGCAATAATCTCTGCCTTCTTCTGATTACCTAGAGATTTAAGACCACATAATCATCCTCTACCTCACAGGGTCAAGGGAGTGGGGGAGGAAATGGGCTAAGAGGTTCTAAATCCCTCCTAACACTTGCTTCTTCCAAATCAGCAAGATTAGAGCAGTCAACAGCTGACTGCGTTCAGACCCTGCAGGCTGGGCTGGCCTGCCCAGGACCTGAGAAGGGGCAGCTCCGGTGGCAATGTCTGAGCCCCTAGCTGTGCTGGTCCGGGCTGGCCTCTCTAAGACAGTGCAGGCCACGTGATCCATCCTCCTAGAGGCAGTGAGCAGGTGAGGGACCCCTACCACAGCCAGGAGGAAAAAGCTAGGCGTCCACTTTCCGCAGCCATGCTCAAACAGAGTGAGAGGAGACGGTCCTGGAGCTACAGGCCCTGGAACACGACGGAGAATGAGGGCAGCCAACACCGCAGGAGCATTTGCTCCCTGGGTGCCCGTTCCGGCTCCCAGGCCAGCATCCACGGCTGGACAGAGGGCAACTATAACTACTACATCGAGGAAGACGAAGACGGCGAGGAGGAGGACCAGTGGAAGGACGACCTGGCAGAAGAGGACCAGCAGGCAGGGGAGGTCACCACCGCCAAGCCCGAGGGCCCCAGCGACCCTCCGGCCCTGCTGTCCACGCTGAATGTGAACGTGGGTGGCCACAGCTACCAGCTGGACTACTGCGAGCTGGCCGGCTTCCCCAAGACGCGCCTAGGTCGCCTGGCCACCTCCACCAGCCGCAGCCGCCAGCTAAGCCTGTGCGACGACTACGAGGAGCAGACAGACGAATACTTCTTCGACCGCGACCCGGCCGTCTTCCAGCTGGTCTACAATTTCTACCTGTCCGGGGTGCTGCTGGTGCTCGACGGGCTGTGTCCGCGCCGCTTCCTGGAGGAGCTGGGCTACTGGGGCGTGCGGCTCAAGTACACGCCACGCTGCTGCCGCATCTGCTTCGAGGAGCGGCGCGACGAGCTGAGCGAACGGCTCAAGATCCAGCACGAGCTGCGCGCGCAGGCGCAGGTCGAGGAGGCGGAGGAACTCTTCCGCGACATGCGCTTCTACGGCCCGCAGCGGCGCCGCCTCTGGAACCTCATGGAGAAGCCATTCTCCTCGGTGGCCGCCAAGGCCATCGGGGTGGCCTCCAGCACCTTCGTGCTCGTCTCCGTGGTGGCGCTGGCGCTCAACACCGTGGAGGAGATGCAGCAGCACTCGGGGCAGGGCGAGGGCGGCCCAGACCTGCGGCCCATCCTGGAGCACGTGGAGATGCTGTGCATGGGCTTCTTCACGCTCGAGTACCTGCTGCGCCTAGCCTCCACGCCCGACCTGAGGCGCTTCGCGCGCAGCGCCCTCAACCTGGTGGACCTGGTGGCCATCCTGCCGCTCTACCTTCAGCTGCTGCTCGAGTGCTTCACGGGCGAGGGCCACCAACGCGGCCAGACGGTGGGCAGCGTGGGTAAGGTGGGTCAGGTGTTGCGCGTCATGCGCCTCATGCGCATCTTCCGCATCCTCAAGCTGGCGCGCCACTCCACCGGACTGCGTGCCTTCGGCTTCACGCTGCGCCAGTGCTACCAGCAGGTGGGCTGCCTGCTGCTCTTCATCGCCATGGGCATCTTCACTTTCTCTGCGGCTGTCTACTCTGTGGAGCACGATGTGCCCAGCACCAACTTCACTACCATCCCCCACTCCTGGTGGTGGGCCGCGGTGAGTACCTTTGCCCTGGGCTTTCCCATCCTCTTCCCCAGCCCAGTGAGCTGCTCCTCCCTCCCCTGGTTATCAGCCACCAGGCTTTGGCTTCTGATCCTCGTCTTCCCCCCCACCCCCAATCGCCGCATACAGCTAACAAAACGGCGATGGATGTCAAAAGTGGTGGAAAGAGAACTCAGCAGATCAGTAAGTAAGTGAATTTGACTTAGTCGTAGAAATCTCCAAATCTAGATTTCGTCTTCAAACCTTTAAAAGACAGGTTTTAAAGAAGATGCGTCATCATTACTGTTATTTACCAGTTATTGAGCATCCAGTGTCCTGACAAAGCTTATCTCATTGTGGCATCACAGCCTTTGAGATGGTTATGACCACCATTTTTTTTTAAGGGGACAAGCAGAAATGGCTTCAGTTTTTGAAAGAAACTGTAGATTTATACAGAGAAGGAGGTGAGACTTGGCTGAACCATGTTGACTCTAACTGAAATCCCACCACCTCTGGTTCCACTTAAATCTGAGTGTGGAAAGAAGCATCTCAAACTGAAACTTGCTCTGACTTCACTAAAGTTCTTTCAGGACCCTGTATTATTGCCCCATTTTACAGATAGTGAAATTGAAGTACAGAGAGTTTGAATGTGGACTCACAGCTAGAGGTGGCAAAGCCAGAACTGAAACTCAGTCCTGTCCATCTCCAAACTCCATGCCTTTCCCACACCCAAGCACAGTCTCTTTCAAGTTTTAGTTCTTTTGCATGCATTGCTGAATTTGTACAGTTAGTGTAACAGTTATTTTTTGTCATTGTTTTCTTTGGCCTTTGCCTTTTTATAACTTGTGCTGTTTACTCAAATATCTGTATTTTGAGCTGTGGTAGCTGAATCCCTGGAAATAAATGTTAATCAGGTCTTCTCAGATCGATGAATAAGTCGGCATATATGAAGGAAAGAATTGAATGTATGGTTTCCTTAGTTTTCTTTTGAAAAGTAGATTGTAATACCTTTAAAGACATTAAGCAAATATAACTAGTTTTCCCATGTCAGAAAGTAGATATTTTCAACATTGTGTATGTCATAACCCATAGTCTGGTGTGCACTTCTGAGACAAACCAACCCAAGGCCACTGACAGTGCAATGCAGCATAATAGAAGATTTAGAAAACCTGATTCTAGTCCCAGACCTGTCAATAATTAACCATGACCCTGAATAATTAACTGTGAAACCTTAATCCCTCACTTCCAGTCCTGCTTTCTCACCTCTAAAAGGGGAGGCTGGACATGTAAAAGTCTGCAGTTCAGTGAGTCTTCCTTCCCTTGAAAGCAGGGAGCTCATATGTATAGAGGATATGTGAGCTTTCTTCAGTGGCAGGATGATACGATGTTCTTCTGAATGAGCTAGGCAAATTCTGCTTCTCTGATCATATTCCAAGTGATGAAAGGTCATCCCTATAGTAGATAAACCATGTGTACAGATGAGGCTCATGGTTGATGATTTGTCCCCAGCAAATGACATTTACTTTGGGGTGACTAAAGCAGGAAAGCAGAAGAGTAAATCCACATGCTGATGATATGATACAACACTTGAGAGTCAAATTTCTATTCATCTAAACATCTTTAAAGGCTAGTGCATGAAGGCACTGGAGCTAGTACACTCTCTGATACTACAGTTTGAACCCACAAAAGTTTTTTCGACCTTTTGTATATTAACAAATACTTTGATAAAAGTTATGTTACTTTCAAACGGATATGGCTAGAGAAAAAATTTTAATTAAAATAAAACACATAAAGAATAATGTTACTCAGGTTGTATTTTTACCAGTAAATTTTTTTGAACTGAATACCCATTGATCTCACTTAAATTTCTGATCTGTTCAATGTACAATGAAGTCTAAACCTTTCAAATTATCTCTTTTTATGTTAACTGGCACTATGTAACTCAAAATCAATGTTTTTCATAAATTTTACAAAAATTGAATCACCAGTTTTTGCCAATCATAAATGTTACCAATTATTGCTCTTATCTGTATGAATTTCCTTTTGAAGCCATTATCTCTATCAGCCACTATTTTCATAGGCCCAATTTTGCACATTCCAACCATCCCATTTACAAACCTTACCCTTTATCAATGGTCTTTGTCCATTTTATTCTGAAAATTATTTATACCAGTAAAATTCGTTACAAATTAGATAAAAGACTGATCATCTGTATTTATTTCTAAACTAATCTATGAAAACAATGGGAGCAATTGCCCTTGAATATTCTAAGACCGCTCTGTTCCCCAGGACTGCTATGTTATTAATCCAGTTCTTCTCTGTACTTCTAACTACACTCCATAATACAGACTAAAGGTTCATATTCTCAATAGAGCAAAGAGAAAAGAACACATTGAATTGATGTGGACAAAATGTCTTGTTTCCGGTATGTAGATGCAAAGTGAAAAGAAACAAAACATTAGGACCAATTTGTCATATAACCCACAAAAATTCACCTTATTCATTCATTGAACAGTAAGTTTTTGAGCACCTCCAATGTGCCCAGTAGTATTCTTAACACTAGGGATACAGGGTAGGAGAAGAAAAAACAATCAAGTTTTTTCTCTTCTGGAGCTTACATTCTAATGGAGAAAGACAGATAATAAATAATTTCAGGTATTGGCATAGCTTGTGTGGGATAACAAGATTGAGAGTGATTCAGGCAGTAGAGTCTGTCTTTAGTGGGATAGTCAGAGAAGCCCTTTTGGAGAAGATGACATTGAGATAAAGTTTGAAAGATGAAAAGAGACTCATCTAAATGCACCTGACTCAACAGATATGACAATCTGAGAAGAGGATTCCTAAAAGTAACTGATCTAGTGGTTTCTAAGCATTTTATTAATCATGCATCTTATTTTTAAAAATTTGGGGCACATACCCATGATAAATGTGTATTTATTTATAAATAAATTAGAAGTTATTTATTTATAAATAAATTAGAAGTTATTTATAAATAAATTAGAAGTTATTTATAAATAAATTAGAAGTTATTTATAAATAAATTAGAAGTTATTTATAAATAAATTAGAAGTTATTTATAAATAAATTAGAAGTTATTTATAAATAAAATAGAAGTTATTTATTTATAAATAAATTAGAAGTTATTTATTTATAAATAAATTAGAAGTTATTTATTTACAAATTAGAAGTTATTTATTTACAAATTAGAAGTTATTTATAAATTAGAAGTTATTTATAAATAAATTAGAAGTTATTTATAAATAAATTAGAAGTTATTTATAAATAAATTAGAAGTTATTTATAAATAAATTAGAAGTTATTTATAAATAAGTTATTTATAAATAGAAGTTATTTATAAATAAGTTATTTATAAATAGAAGTTATTTATAAATAAGTTATTTATAAATAGAAGTTATTTATAAATAAGTTATTTATAAATAAAAGTTATTTATAAATAAATTAGAAGTTATTTATAAATAAATTAGAAGTTATTTATTTATAAATTAGAAGTTATTTATTTATAAATAAATTAGAAGTTATTTATTTATAAATAAATTAGAAGTTCTTTATTGCCATAATAACGATACATCACCAACCACCCTGAAATTCAATGGCTTAAAACATCAAGCGTTTATTTAGCTCATGAATTTAAAAGTCAGCGTATACTCTGATTTCAGCTAGAAGGTTCTTCTCTTTCATGAGGCTCTTGTTACTCATTCACATGCCTGATGGTCAACTGGCATGAAGGGAGAGACTAGGCCACATGTCTGCATTCCTCTGGCAGACTCCAGCAGCCACATGTCGATGGCTGTGGCAAAGAACAAGAGAGAGAATGCAAGCCCCATCATGCAAACACTTCATAAGTTTCTTTTCATGGCATTTGCTCAGCCCATTGGCCAGAGTAAGTCACATGGCCAAGCTGCAAGTCAAAGGGCAGGGCAGGTTAGCCCACCCACCATAGGAGGGCACTGCAAAGTTATATGGCAAACAGCTTAGACACAGAAAGATGTAAAGAATTAGTTCCAATAATGCAATCTTTCTCCTGCAGTAATATATTACTGCTCAAATATATTACACATATCAGAAAGTATACACTCACAAATTGAAACTTTAAAGATGAGATAAAGAAAAATATAATTGGCATTTTATTTCACCATTCTGGGGCTGTATCCTTTGTGAAATATGCATCCCACATTACAGAGAGTTTCTCTTATCCATTCTTTTATGTATTTTTAATACTTTCAGACAACACCAAATCTGACTTGCTTTTAATAATCTTTCTTCTCTCTATGCCAAGGATCCTGCAAACTTTCTCTGTAATTCAACTCAAGGATTTAAGAAAAATACAGTAGTTTTCATTACTGTGAATTCTCCTGCAGCTGCAAAACAAATCCCTCCTGGACACTTATGTCTACAAATGCTCATGTATTAGGATGTAGGATAGACCTGTCTTTTTCATCTGTCAAATGGAGGTTATTTGTGAGCACTAATGTAATAGGAAACATATGTAAACTGCTAGCCTATAGTAAGTCTGCAATAAATAGAAGCTACCATAACTGACTAGTTGATAGTCTTTGTCACATGGAAGCAATAACCTTTGCTTCTACATTCATTTGGGAAGAAAATAAAACAGAAATGATTCTTTTTCTACTGAGGAAAAGAAAGAACCTATAAAACATACGAGAAGGTCAGCTGTTCCCTCATGGGAGAACTTCTGAGAGTCCAGATAAACAGGCCCACGCCTAAAGCAGCTCCAGCCATCTTGGGGCTCTCTGGATTGCCTGGGGGTAGGAAATGCACGGCACAGCTAAACAAGAACAATGGGCTCTATGATGAAGCTGTAATCATTGGCCTCCTGTGTGGGTATGGTTTTTTTCTTTTACTTTTTTTTTTTTTTTAGCCTCAACATATGACCACATTTTTTTTTCTTATTTTTTTTTTGCCGGGGGTTGGGGGGTGGAGGGCATGGGTATGTTTTCAAGTAGAAAAGAGTAAGTAGACTTTGAATGAACCATTTCCTTCTGAGTTTTCCAGGGCAAGTTAAAGCTGTAGAAACCAAACAGGAAACTACGGCATGAACTCACTCCTTCAAAAACTAACTTCTCAAAAAGAAAATTTATCTCTAGTTGAGGCACCATTTTGTCCCAGAGACCTTGCTCCCATCTTTCTTTCCCTAAGGTATGTTTTCATTACCTTGCCAATAGGTGGCACTTACAAGATCACTGAAATTATTTTATTTTTGTTCATTGATTGCTTTGAGGAAACCCATTTGAAAAATAAATTAGGTTGCAGTCAGGAAAATAGATACCAAGGTGAATATTTCAAACAGGGAATTTAATACAAGGAAATAGATAGTTGTTAGAAGACTAGAAGAAGAAAAAAAAGAAGACTGGAAAAGCAGAAAGAGAAAACTGAGATAATCCAGAGATTGGTAATTGCAGGGAGTAGCTATTGGCCCTAGAATTGGGAGAATAAATGGGAAAAGGTGTTGCCACCAGAAGCTAAGAGTCCACAGGAGGGGCCTCTGTGTAGCTGTTGCAAGGACTCCTAAATTGGCACCATGAGGCTGATGCCAGGAATGCCAAAAAATGCCTGAACCATAGCTATTGGCTGCAATTGGAGGAATGAAGGCAGAAACCAGAGGCAGGATTAGAGACCCTTATGTCCTCATACCATCTTCCAGTCTCTCATAGGCAGAACATAACTAGAAGACAGTGGGCAAGAGAATCTGGGAAATGTAGTTTGCAGACTCCCAGTTCTGGAATTATAAAATAAAATACAGAAGGGTGTCAGGCTTGGGACTAAGAGACAACATATAAATATCTGGCACAGAAAGTAATAGAGTTCTACCTCCTTCAGAAGTAGCACAGGAGCTATAGACGGGGTAAAGGCTCTTAGGCATTGTTACTACTTTTTATCTTATGGATTCCCAATTTTGGAGTGGTCTCCTTTTATGTCTTTAAAGTATGTTCCTCATTTTAGCCAATATGATGTGAGTGGAACATGACAGCATCATTGAGGGCACGGAGAAATGCAGGGAAGCTGAGGGTGTGGACAGCATCATTATTGCGCACCTTTCTGTGGATAGATTAATAGATCTCAAACTTACATTTGTGGCTTTGCTTTAGCTGTGCACACCTACCGCTTATTGTACCACTTACAAACATGTCAGAACTGTAATATACAGATGAGGGTTGTTATTATCCTGAAGGTAGTCACCCATGACCTCATTCTAACAGTGATTCCACTAATCAAGACATTCTTTGAATTCCACTGAGGAATTACCTTCAGAGTTTGTGACACATCCACTTGTTTCTAGGTTGTTAAATCTTTGTCTTTTTAAGGCTACATTCAGTATTTTAAAATAGTTAAGACACTTTAGTTTAAGATCGACACTTAGAGTAAACCATCAAGGTGGATATGACCGCTTGCTGCTACTGAATCTACTGTGCAGACTATAATTCAAAAGAGGAATTCCAAATATACTTGTTGCAATAATAGCATGAGTAAGTACAGCCTTTGAAGCTGGATCCTTTGAAGGACAACACGTATTGAGGCTTATAATAATTTTATCCAAAAAAGATCCATCTTCACCACCTCTAATTCCTTTGGAAAACAGAAAGAGTGTTATTTTGAAAAATAAGTTTTATTCCCTAGGATCATAAATTCCTGAATGCATGGACTACTGGGTGCCAAGATTGATTCCATTCCTTGTTCATTATGAGGGAAACAAACTTGTCTTGTTAAATGAGAAATCCAAGTATTCTCAAGTTTTGGAGAAAAATTTGATGCTTATCCTCATAATATATGGCAGGCCAGGATTTGTTGTTTAGTGAGTAAACTGCCAGGGGAAGGTCACATTCTGGCTTTGGGACCCAAGGCTAAGGAAAGTATGTACGTTTACAGCAGAATGGTTAAGCTTCCAGTTTGCAGAGTTGCTGAGCTAGCCAGTTTTCTTCAGTATATTAAGATGGATTGCGGAAATTTTGGTCACATTTCCAAACCCAACTCCTGCTAATGTGACAACTCATTCTGTGAGGTCACTTGGGTCAGTCTGGGGCCTTCAGCTTTTAATTCCCATCTAGGGAGAAATGGCTTGGCCTATGGAATGTGGAAAAAAAGTTCCCCAAAGCCAAGGAATCCTGAGTTCCTCCTGGAGCCAAGGAACAAGAAACAGATCACTTGTTGAGTCAAATTATTCACGAAATAGACAACATATAAATTAACTGTACATTTTCAACAAATTATTGGGGACCAGTCACACATAGCCTCCTAGCAGAAGAGATCTGTTCTCTAAAAATAGAGATTGAAGATATACAAAAATATTTGGATCATATTATACACATCAGATATTTATTCTTCTTTAAGCCAATTCTCTTTGCTTTTGACTTTTCACTCAAAGTTCAGCCAAAAAAAAAAGAAGTTTGGCTTAAGGGTGAAGCAAAGCCAGTGTGCAGAATGATCAAAAGTTGAAAATAAGCAGTTTATCTTAATTATTTTCTTCCTCAGTGTCTTCCTACTCTCTCCCATCCCCGCCATCCTGAACCCTTAAGTGACTTGTTTCCTCCAAGGCCTCTGCATTGGACTTCCGTGGATGTCTCATGTTCTAAACCAGGGGTCCCCAATCCCGGGCTGTGGAGTGGTACTTGTCTGTGGCCTGTTAGGAACCCGGCCACACAGCAGGAGATGAGTGGAGGGCCATCAATCATTACCGCCTAAGTTCTGCCTCCTGTCAGATCAACCACAGCGTTAGATTCTCATAGGAGTGGGAACCCTATTGTTAACTGCGCATGGGAGGGATCTAGGTTGCTTGCTCCTTATGAGAATCTAACTAATACCTGACAACCTGAGATGGAGCAGTTTCATCCCGAAACCATCCCCTCCCCCAACCCCGTCCATGGGAAAAATGGTCGTCCACAAAACCGGTCCCTGGTGCCAAAGAGGTTGGGGACCGCTGTTCTAAACTACCCCTTCCTGTCACTCACTCCTAAATCCAAACTCCCTTTAGGCCTCCTCCAGGGAAGGTTGACTAAACTTTCATCCAGAGGTGTGAGTCATGGTGTTAGTGACAAATGAAAGCTATTGTTCAGCTCACACAACTGGAGAGAGATCAGCCTGGGGTTCTTTGACTTTTGGTGTGGTCAATGACAAGAAACACACACCCGGACACAGGAAGGGGAACATCACACACCAGGGCCTGTTGTGGGGTGGGGGAGGGGGGAGGGGTAGCATTTGGAGATATACCTAACGTTAAATGACAAGTTACTGGGTGCAGCACACCAACATGGCACATGTATACATATGTAACTAACCTGCACGTTGTGCACATGTACCCTAGAACTTAAATAAAAAAAAGACACACCCACTCATGCAACCAAGAGGACTTTGAGATTAACCCACAATCTCACTTTATCACTGCCTCACATCACCCCTTGGTCCAGAAGTTGGGAGAAGGATATTCTCTACTGGAGCCAGAGGGCAGAGTCAGGGAGGAGCTTGTTTCCACAGCCTGAGGGTCTGATAAGCATAACGTATATAGAGTTGCTGGTGTAGAATGCACTCAATAAATGTTGGTCTTTGCCTCTTCTCAGTGGAGGCCAGCTTCAGCATGGGGGACCCTGGGATTGCATACATGATATATATATAATAATATTATTGCTTACACACCCTGTGCCAGGCACTCCTTCAATTCCTATAACAACTCTGTGAGGTAGATACCACACATTTCAAAAGTAGAAACTGAGGCCAAGAGAATTTAGGTGATCTGCCCAACTTATTCAGCTGGGAAGTGGATTCAGACCCACAAGTCTACTGTAGTCCGTTTCCTTCAGCTTATCTACACCACATTACCTCTCTTGGATGCCTGCTTGTATTTTGACTCTGCAGAAAAAGGCTGCATGACCTCTCACAAGAGACAGGGCAGTGAGTGACAGGAGGTGCATCATCAGCCTCAAAAAGGAGGCATACCCTTCCTTTTTTCGTGGGCTGGATGGAGCTGTGGTTCTCATCAGTGCCCTCAGTTTTGTGCAGCTGGCTCACTTCTCCATTTCATTCTAATCAGTCAACTGCACTATTCCAGGTTCAAACTAACCCTTACATCATCAAAACAAAAATATTTACACTGCTAAGCTAACGGCCACCTCAGCACGGATCAACAAGATGACCATATGCTTTACTGCCGTCTGCTGGAAAATTATGGCAACAACTACCCAAATACACAAAGCAAAGAGTGCCCCCCTGGAGTAGTGCAACGCAAAAATGTTTACAACTGTGACCAACAGCTCTGCTTAAAAGGCTTCTAGTAATTTAGCCAATACTCTGGGGATCAGAGGGAGTACATGAGGCATAAAAAACAGTCCCCAAGGAATTTTCACAGGGTTTTCTCTGGTAACTGATAACTAGTCCCATGGTATCTGCATTTTAAAACAGAAGCTTGTTAACCTAAATAAGTCTCCAATTAGTGGGATTTAAATCAGTATGACAAGAGTAATGGGAAGTATTTCATGCAGGGGTGAACATATTTTTGGTGAGTGATGTCTTACAAAAGTCCCTTTACAAAATAATGAGAGTGTTTCTCCAGACATCTGCAATTAAAGCACCTTCACATAAAGTCTCTCATTTGAACTACGTAACAACTTTGAAAAGTGTTATAACTGTCTTCATTTTAAAGATGAGAGGAAGACAATGGAGGAGTTTCATGCCTTTTGTATGCCTGGTACTGTGTTCAGTGCTTTATATTCATTTTCTTATTTAGCCTTCACAAGAATCCTAAGAGTTAGATGGTTTTCTCCTGTTTTAAATAAAAAAAAAAAAAAAGAAAAAAAGAAAAAGAGAGAGAGAGAGTCTGAAGGTTTTGCCCCAGGTCACTCAACTGGAAAGGTTCAGAGTCAGGACTTGAACCCAGGTCTGACTGTTCTAAGCCCAAGATTTTTCCAATACATACAGTGTACAGGCAAACCCAGGGACCTGCTTTCCTGAATCTGGTGCCAGCTGAGTTAGGGAGGCAAAGATCATTTACTGAGCACGTTCTACATCAGGTACTTAACATACTATTTTAAATGCTCTTTACAGCAACCATTTCAAGTAGGTATTACCTCCTCCTCCCATATCTTACATTCAAACATGCATGAGTCGTAGTCAGGATTTCAGCCAAAGTCTTTCAGCTCCATCCATAGCTTCTGTTCTTTTCATGACACAGGTCCTAGAGGGAGTCTTCCTGGTACCTCCTAAAGCAGGCTCCGTGGGAAGCCATTACACTTCCCATGTGTACCCACAGGGAGGACGCTTCCCTGCTTGCTCCTCTCCCTTTCTTCTCCTCCCCGATCTTAGTGCTAACAATTCCATCCTGCTTTCCTTCCTCTACAGGTGAGCATCTCCACCGTGGGCTACGGAGACATGTACCCAGAGACCCACCTGGGCAGGTTTTTTGCCTTCCTCTGCATTGCTTTTGGGATCATTCTCAACGGGATGCCCATTTCCATCCTCTACAACAAGTTTTCTGATTACTACAGCAAGCTGAAGGCTTATGAGTATACCACCATACGCAGGGAGAGGGGAGAGGTGAACTTCATGCAGAGAGCCAGAAAGAAGATAGCTGAGTGTTTGCTTGGAAGCAACCCACAGCTCACCCCAAGACAAGAGAATTAGTATTTTATAGGACATGTGGCTGGTAGATTCCATGAACTTCAAGGCTTCATTGCTCTTTTTTTAATCATTATGATTGGCAGCAAAAGGAAATGTGAAGCAGACATACACAAAGGCCATTTCGTTCACAAAGTACTGCCTCTAGAAATACTCATTTTGGCCCAAACTCAGAATGTCTCATAGTTGCTCTGTGTTGTGTGAAACATCTGACCTTCTCAATGACGTTGATATTGAAAACCTGAGGGGAGCAACAGCTTAGATTTTTCTTGTAGCTTCTCGTGGCATCTAGCTCAATAAATATTTTTGGACTTGAGTTGACTTGAGAAAATTTTTTTTACTTTAAATTTTTCTAAAATTCTTAACTTTCCAGAGGGAGGGAGGGTTACAGCAGAAATTATACAAGCTTTGGAGTTAGACCAACCTTAGTCAGAATCCCAGAGCTACCAGCTGTATGCTTTTAGGCAAGCGACTCTAACCCTTTAAGCCTCAGTTTCTTCAACTGTGAAATGTAGGCAATACTTACCCTGCCAGGCTGAGCAATATAGTGAGACCCTGCCTCTACAAAAACTTATTAAGAATTATCTGGGTGTGCTGGCCCACACCTGTAGTCCCAGCTACTTGGAAGACTGAGGTGAGATCACTTGAGCCCAGGAGTTTGAGGTTAGAGTAAGCTATAACCACATTACTGCACTCCAATCTAGATGGCAGAGTAAGACCCTGCCTCAAATAAATAAATAAATAAATAAATAAATAAAACCACCTGCCTTGTAAAATGAGTCTGGGGATAACAGATATGTGTAAACGCTCAATAAATGATAGGTATTAAAATTGTTTAAGTGGATGTTATCTAGTGAAATCTCTAGACCAGTGGTTCTCAAAGGCAAATTCATTCCTCAGAGGCCAGCTAATGCCTAGAGATGGTTTTGATTGCCAATACCGTGAGGGGCAATAAGGGAGACTTCTGGCATCTAGGAGCTAGGGGCCGAGGATGTTGCTAAACATCCTACAAGGCAAAGGACAGCCCCCATAACAAAGAATTATCTGACCCAAAATGTCAATAGTGCCAAACTGGAGAAACTCTTGTCTAGATTTAATATGGGAGCCCCCAGATTGGACTTGTGAAACATGCCTAAATGTACTAATCCTCCCCCATTAGAAGGAGCCCCCATACTGTCCTTACTGACTCAGGCCTCCTTTTTCTCTTTTCCACAAAAGGAAGAAAAAAAAATAGCCCACCTCCTGAACAATTGCTGTGGGCAAAAGTAATTAAATCAGTGTGGCCCTCCACTCTCACTGTTGGTGGATTAGAGAACCAGTGCCCACAGGAAATGGGTCCTTTCTCTCCCTGTAACCTTTTCCTCTTCATTTCTTTGTCCTTCCTTGGGACTATTGGAAATGGAAGTGTTGAGAATTAAAGACTCCTTTGAACTGAGCACACAAAGATTGCCCTGTAACTGGAGCTTGCCAATGCAGACCCTCAAATTTGTCTCGGGGCATGGCTGGACCTATACTTGTGTCATAAGAATAAACTGCTGATTCAAGCAACAGAGAGAGAAAAAAATAAGAATAGTTGCCTACAATGAGAGGCAATTTGGACTGTATATGTAGCATATAACTTTAATATTTAATACATCCCTAAATAAGGTATTGGATTACTTTTTAATTTAGGAAGAAATGGAAGCTTGGAGAAGTTAAGTAATTCCACTACGTTCACACAGCCAGTAAACAGTGGGACTGGGGTTCAAGCCCAGGTCTGTCTGATCCCCAGGGCTCTTGATGGAGGGCTAAACTTGTATCATCAGCATCACCTGGACGGCTTGTTAAAGCCAAGCATGCTGGGCCCTGTCCCTGGGGTATCAATCAGTAGGCTTGGGAAGGAGCTCAAGGATTTGCATTTCTGACAAGTTCCAGGTGATGCTGATGGCGCTTGTGTGAGGGAACACATGTTGAGAGCCAGGGGTCTAAATCACTTTGCTCTGCCCTCCCATAAGGAGCTAGGATTATGAAAGGAGGCTATAACTGGAAAACTCTATTTAGATCCCACTCCCCCTTACTCCCAAGTGTTCTTATCATCAGCAGTGACCTGGCCTCTGAAGGGTGAACAGAAGCCCTACTGTCCTAAGGTTGCCAGATAAAATACAGGATGCCTGGAGTGTCTTACTCTGTACTGCTAAAACAGAATATTACAGGCTGGGTAATTTTCAATGAACAGACACTTACTGCTCACAGTTCTGGAGTCTGGGAATCCCAAAATCAAGGCATGTGCACGTTCAGTTGTCTGATGAGAGCTGCTTTCTGTTTCCAAGATGGTTCCTTATTGCTGCATCCTCCTGAGGGGAGGACTACTCTACCCTCACGCGGTAGAAGAGCAAGCTTACCAAACACTACATGAATCCCTTTTTATAAGGACCTTACGTGCTTTCAGGAGGGAGGAGCTCTCATGGCTTAATCACCTCTTAAAGGATCCACCTCTGAAAACTATCACATTGGCAACAGCTGAATTTTGGAGGAGACGCATCCCAACCATAGCACCAGTTAAATTTCAAGATAAATAATTTTTAGTAGAAGCATTTTGCAAATATTGCATGGTGTATACTTCTACTAAAAAACTGTTTATTTAAAATTCAAATTTAAGGTGTCCTGTACTTTCATTTGCTAAATCTGGCAATCCTGCACTATTGCTTTTGAGTTTCCTCTTACGGATGAAAATTACCCCCAAGTCCTAAAAAACCCACCCAAACAACAGGCCTCTCAGCCAAGGGAGACTTCTCTCCCCTCTTGCCAAATATAAAAGAGATAAATTTCTAATTAGTTTCTTTGCCAGATACAATCATGCAAACAAAGTTACAACGTGCAGGTCTGGAGCACAGCTTACATAACCACCTAACACCCTCACTGCAGCAGCCGCCTCTTCTTGTCGACCTCCAGCCTTCCTGCTCCTTCTGCAGTCTCCAAGGGGAGGGATTTACTGATGAAATGCATCTGCTGGGGCTGTTAGGAAGGGCCAATGTCCATCACCCCAACCCTGCTTGAAGCCCAGACAGAATGGTCCAGACCTTCCCAGCAGAAGAGACTGCCTGAGAGAAAGGAGTAGGGACCTGTGGAGGAAGGGTCGGGAGAGGTCTGATGAAAAAGATGGACTTTTCCAGATCCCTGGGAGGGAATCTTGGAAACGACAGTGGCCCACTCCTCCCAATCTCACTGGCCACATCTGCTCAGCACGGCCTTCCCAGCAAGTAAGACTGACAGATCGAAGGAAGTTAAAACAAAAAGAATGTTTCGTAAGCCTCACTGTGTACCAGGCACAAAACCAACATTATGTCACTTAATCCTTCAACACTCCTATGACATGGGTTTCAAGGTGGTCATTTACAAAGGCTTAGCTTCCTTTAACTTGACACGGTCTTTGGGTCTGGGTTTGAAACCTGGCTCTGCCATTGACTAAGAGGTTAAGCCATATGAAGTTTCCATTTGCATTTTAAAATGTCTGAATAGTGTAATTTCACATGGCATAACTGAATAGTTGTGTGACCACAATTTCCCTCAGCCTCAGTTTCTGCTTCATTTAAATGGAGATGATAACGATGTCTTTCTCAGGGTTGTGGTGGTAATAAAATGATATGATAGATCTCTTAATGTACTATTTGACACATATTTAGTGCTCAATAAATTTAGATCACTATTATCACCATCATCATCACTATTTTGCTAGCTGCATAGGAAAACTATACAAGTCCAGACAGAGTCACCTGTCATCGAAGACAGGATTCTGTGGGTGAAGACAGCTTTTGAATCCTGTTGCCAGCCCCCTAGCCCAACCAGTGGTATGCACAAGGATCTAGATGAGTCTGTCCAATAGAACTTTCTGTAATGATGGAAATTTTATTATGCACTGTCTGATGCAGTAGCCATCAGCCATGTGTGGCTAGGGGGCACATGAAATGCAGCTAACATAAGTCTGGAACTAAATTTTTTATTACTTAATTTTAATTAATTTTATTTTAGATTCAAATGTCCATGTGTGGCTGGAGGCTACCAAATTAGACAATGCAGATGTACAGTGCAATGTAGCCTCTTCTTCTGCCCTCATGGTGGGATCTCAGGAGGAGTGCTTGGCTTTTTGTGAAGGAGTAGAACCAAGAAAAGAGCAAGAAAACATGACAGTACCCCTGTTCTGGCCCAGCCGCTGGAATGGGTTTCTAGGCCAACAGGTGCAGCATTGTAAATAGATAGCGTTGATCTGATTGGTGGACTGGGATGGCCTCCTTTGTTAAAGAGAAAAGAAAAGAAAATCTTCCAAAGTATAAGCAACAACAAAAAAGAGCTCTGAAAAGACCATCTCCATTATTCAAATGGGTCCCAACCTTCATCCCGAGGGGCTTTGGGGCTCCCTCACTTGTGCCTACCCAAGGCCATACACATTATCTTCTTAATCTTCTAACCCAGACTGGGCCAAAAACACTTCCCCTGTTTCACCTTAGCTTCAAAAAATAAGTGGACATGTTCACAAGAAACGTTTCTCAAATTTAAGGGGAAAGCATTAGTTATCACCTGCCTCCAAAGATTCCAGGTTCAAGAAAATAGTTTGCCAAAGATTCCAGGTTCAAGAAAATAGTTTGCATTTTGTTGAGCTCCCAGTTCCCTCCTCCCAGGCTGATGTCCTGGTTCCCCAAGTCGAGGGGAATGTGGTCCCTACACTCCAGCTTTCCTTTCCCTCCCTGGTTTCCTCTGATGTGATGCTTTTAAAACTCATGTGAATTTTGTATTCTACCTTCTATGTCTATTCTGGTGTGCTGGGCCTTCTCCCTCTGTCCTCCCACAGCCATTATTTACCCTTTTCTGCCCTGCAGCATGACCAAGGGGTCTTGGAGAGAATGTTCTGGGTGTGTACTCCTCACCCTCTCTCTATCCACTGTCCAGTCTAAGCAGTAGTTGAGTTCCTACAGCCGTGGCTCAGTTGAGTAGCCTTGTTTAACCACAGCATTTACAGGTCCTAGAAACACCTTTCCCTCCTGTTGTTCCCTCAGGCCTATGAGTAGTAATGGCCTCCCACTGTTGCCAACTCTCGAATATCCTACCGAGCCTTGTTGGTTCTCTTCATCCAGATCATACCTGTGTGTGTAAATGGAATCTTTATTAAAATCTCTTCAATTAAACTGCTTGAGTGTGCCATCTATTTCCTGCTGGAACCTTAATACATCTTGTATTGTTTAAGAAAAATATATTGTGCATATTCCCCAACTCGCCACCAAATAGATGAGGCATGTTTGTCTGACAGTCACCACCCCAGACTGAGAAAGACAGTCTTCAGATTTATCAACAAAGAGGTATGTCTGCGGGCACAGTGGCTCATGCCTGTAATCCCAGCACTTTGAGAGACCAATATAGGAAGATCACTTGAGGTCAGGAGTTGGAGACCAGCCTGGCCAACATGGTGAAACCCCGTCTCTATTAAAAATACAAAAAAATTAGCCGGGCATGGTGACGCATGCCTGTAATCCCAGCTACTCAGGAGGGTGAGGCAGGAGCATCTCTTGAACCTGGGAGGCAGAGGTTGCAATGAGCCGACATCGCACCACTGCACTCCAGCCTGGGTGACAGAGTGAGACTTGGTCTTTAAAAAAAAAAAAAAAAAAAAAAAAAAAAAAGCCATATCCAACTCACAGATGATTGATAGGAAATGATAATCGGCATACCTCAGTGCCAATAAATGATTCATCTCTCCTGTCAAAGGCTGCCAGCTCCACCATCTTTAGGAGAAGTTTTCTGTGACTAAATCTGTTGAGTTCCCTTACACAACCTCATCCCAATATGCAAATGGATTTTTGTGAATATATGATGGAATCGCGTGCATAAAATCTGTTCAAATATATGCACCTAGAAACAGAAGTTTTGGTGCCCTCTGAGGACATCAAGAAATCATCTCAACCAGGCTCTTACCTTGATTCAGGTAAGGTTTATTTACCTCGTTTGGCAGGTGGTATAACTGAGACCGAGAGAAGTTAAGAGAAATGCCCAGAGATGGATCTGTTTCCCATGCTGCCACCCACTCCCTATGTCCACAGCAGATATTGTTAATCAATCACATTACTCGTTCCCGTTGGAAGGCCTTCTTGTTGCAGTTCTCTAGCAACCAACGCAAATCTCTCAGAGTTGACACTCAAGACCTGTTTGTCATCCTAGCATGTGCTTGAGTGTTAAAAACCAGAAAAAAGAACTAGAAATCAGTCTCTATAGTCTCCTAGTGCACTGTTCTTTTTGAAGGATTTCCCTGTAAATTCAGAAAACCTGTGCAGACTACGCTCAGTTATCCTTAATACCTAGTATGTTTTGTTAAGTAAGCCTCTCTGCCTCCTTCTTTTTTTTTTCTTTTTTTTTTTTTTTGAGACAGGGTCTCACTCTGGCACCCAGGCTGGAGTGCAGTGGCGCAATCATGGCTCACCTCAGCCTCAACCTCCCAGGCTCAGGTGATCATCCACCTCAGCCTCCCTAGTAGCTGGGACGACGGGTACCCACCACCACACCTGGCTAATTTTTGTACTTTAAATTTTTTTTTTTTTTTTTTGAGACAGGGTTCTGCATGTTGCTCAGGCTGGTCTCCAACTTCCGGGCTCAAGTGATCCGCCCACCTCAGCCTCCCAAAGCAAGAGGATTACATGCATGAGCCACCATGCCTGGCCAAGTGAGCCTCTTCAAGCCTCAGTTTCCACCTTATAACGTGGAGATTAAGATTTCCTTATTGGGAGGGTTAACTGATACATAAAGGCAAAGTACCTGGCACAATATCTATTACATAATGGGTGCCCGGATCATGGTAGCTCTTATTATTCATATTTTATCAACAGAATGTCCACCATCCACAGTGTGCTCTTCTGTGGTGGTCATCAGGCTCCCCAGCCATTAGGCTGTTCACAAGTATTTTATTAATTTTCCTGAAATATGTGCATTCTAATTGCATTTCTCCACCACATTCAAGTTATGTGTGACAAATGGCTTGTTTTGGCCAAAAAAATAAGAGCAAAAGATATTACTTCTGAGTAGAAGCATTTAATTGCTACTTCTCTCCTCCAGTCTTCCTTTTCTATGTTTTTGTAACTGTGGAAACACATGTCAAGATGGAGCATCCATCAGCCAAAGGCAGAGTACCTTGATGAACAGAACCCCAGGCTGACCCCTGTTGCACATGTCATGTAAGTGAGAAATACACCTCTGTTGGGTAAAGTCACTGAGATTCTGCAATCGTTTCTAATCCACCTTGATAAATGCCTCTTTTTGCATCAAGTTTCCATCATAACAGAGAGGTAACCTGAAACATTTATATGTCTTGAATATTCATGCCCCCCAAAGTAATTTTCTCACTCTTCTACATAGTACTTGATAATAATGCTGCTTAAAATGGATCCAATGCCCACTACGTGCCAAGCATTCTTTCTGAGCACTTCAAGCAAGCTAATGTATACATTTTAGTACCATGTCTGGCACATGGTAAATGTCCAAATTTATTCTAATCATCACTACCATCACTGTCATCATTACTATGCGCCATCTCCAGTCCTTATGACAGCCCAGGGAGGTAGGGACTATTATTATCTCCACTTGACAGAAGAGGAAGCCAAGGCACAAAGTCATTAAGTAATATGCTCAAGGTTTCAGAAGCTGAAAATAATGCCGCAAGGGTTTGGGCCCAAGTATGTCTGAAACCAAAGTTCTTGTCTTTTCCATAATGCTCCATATACTACCCATTAAAGACTGCCAAATTCCATGTAATAGATTTTCCTCAGACAATTTCTGCTTCCCACTGGTGTGGCAGGTGCCCCAACCTCAGAATCGTCGCCCTGGTTTTACCACTTGGAGCTGTTGTAGACTAATTCACTGAGGGAGAGAAAAATTGGATTCCTTCAGGCTAATCCCTTCATGGAAATTAAAACTTGGCACTCAGAAAGAGGATTTATATTTTTCTACCAGCTTCAAGGTTCACTACCAAAGGGATTTCCCTCTCCTTCCTTCATTTTCCTCAAAATCTCTAGCCTTGTCTGTCACTTATTTCTGTTTCATAAGTAGCATGAGACAAAGGGCCAGTGACAAGTTTTTCCTTCCCTGCTCATCCTCCTAGAGCTACAGAGTCCACACAGGGAGGCAGAGAGAGAGAACCCAAACACGCACAGACCTACCAACCAATCTCCACTCACCACATCTGCCTCCAGGCCATTTATTTCATTATAGCACAGGATGCTCAAGAGAACTCAGGGAGGGGGACAATTTCATTTTTCCTACACTTTGGAAATTAAAATTATTTCCAAAAAATAATGTGCTTTGTTCTTCAAGAAAGCTGAGGAGAAGAGAAAAGAGGTCAAAGGAGTAAGAGGTAAAAAAATGAGAGGCAGAAAGGGAGTGAGGGAGAGAGAGATAATAGACATATAGCAGTGGCTCACACCTATAATCCCAGCACTTTGGGAGGTCAACAATGCAGGAGGATTGCTTGAAACCAGGAGTTTTAGACCAGCCTGGGCAACATAGTGAGACCCTGTCCCTACAAAAATGTTTCGAAAATTAGCCAGGTGTGGTGGCAGGCACCTGTGGTCCTAGCTACTCAGGAGGCTGAGGTGGGAGGATTGCTTGAGTCCAGGAGATGGAGGTTGCATTGAGCTTTGATTGTGCCACTACACTTCAGCCTGGGTAACAGAGTGATAGCCTGTCTAAAAAAAAAAAAAAAAAAAAAGAAAGACATATATATATATGTATGTGCATGCATATATATGTATATATGTGCATACGTATGTATATGTGTATGTATGTATGTGTGTGCATGTGTGTGTGTATGCAGGAAATAGAAAGAAGAGAGTAGCAATGAGATTGGCTCTGTGTCTTCATTATATCAGCAACCGTTTGATTTTTTTTAATTTTAATTGGTACTACTTTGTCAATCACCCACATTTGGAGTGTTTTATGGAATCCCTTCCTTGAACTCCCACTCATACCCCTAGAAAAGCCTCTAACTCAATGGTTCCCACGAGTCTAGTTTATATCTGTGGTTCTTCTTGAAATGACATGGGGTAGTGGGAAGGAGGAACTTTCTAGTTCAACTAACTTGGGTTCAAAAATACAGCCCTAGCCCAGCCCATTGTTTTCATTCAACTAATACTTATTGATAACCATATGTGTGCCAAGCACTGTTCTAGGCAACTGAGTTACAGTGAACAAACTTCCCTGCCTTCATAAACCTTCCATTGTAGAGGAATAAATAGAAAGAGGAATATATAATATTTTACTGATAAGTACAATGGAGGAAAATCAATCATAGGAGGAGGATAAGGAGTAACAATACTGGAGTGAGGCACGATGTTCAATAAAATGACTGGGGTGGGCCTCACTGTGAAGGATGACACTGGAGCAAAGCCTTTCAGGAGGTGAGGACTGAACCCCACAGGTATCCTGGGGAAGAGCAAACACCAAGTGCAAATGTCCTGGAGTAGGAGCACTCCTGGCATGTGAGGAGGCCACTGAAGGAATGAGGAACAGCAAAGAGGAAGGTGTAACAGATTGTAGGTCATGCTGCAGTGGTAGAGTTATTGAAGTTCAGACACTAGAGGGAGTGAACTGGAAAGAAAGATATCAAAAAGTGGGATGTATGAAATTGACTTTATGGAATGATTGCCATTCCCATGCATAATTTAGAGTAATGGTAGTAAGTGCCTGAAGTAGGATAGAACAAAAAATGACACGTGGTGAGAAGGTGAAGGTTATTGGAAGTCTCACTGATGTAGGTATTAAAGTACCTAGAGTAATGGCAGTGAGTGTCTGAAGTACGATAGAAGAAAACTACAGATGGTGAGAAGGTGAAGGGTATTGGAAGTCTAACTAATGTAGGTATTAAAGTACCTGAGAATTAGAGAATGGTGTTGGAGTATAATCGCCCAATGGGTTCATTTTGCCCACTGCCCAGATAGAGCCGATTTATCAAGGGCACTGCTATAGAGAAAGTTTAATACACATAGAACCCCTAAACAGAAGACCAGAGTTTTATTATTACTCAAATTGCCTCCTTAAAAATTCAGAGGCTAAGGTTTTTTTAAGGATAGTTTGGCAGGCAAGGGTCCAGGGAATGGGTGCTCCTGACTGATCGGAGATATAATCATAGGGGTGTGGAAAATGGCCCTCATGTGCTGAGTCTGCTTCTGGGTGGGGTGGAGCCATCTGGTCATCAGAAACACAAAAGCCTAAAAAGACATCTTAAAAGGTCAACCTTAGGTTCTACAATAATGTTATTTATATGAGTAATTGGGGAAGTGGCAAATCTCGTGACCCCCAGAACAATGGCTAGTTATTGGTTAACTATGCTTACATTTTAGCAGAATTCAGACCCCTCTCATCCTCCTAACCTGATGACCTTTCACTAGTTTTACAAAGGTAGTTTAGTTTTGGGAAGGGCTATTATCATTTAAAGTATAAACTAAGTTTCTCCCAAAGTTAGCTTGGCTCACACTCAGGAATGACCAAGGACAGCTTAGAGTTTAAAGGCAAGATGGAATTGGTTAGATTAGATCTATTTCACTGTCATAATTGTCGCACTGTTATAATTTTTGCAAAAGTGGTTTCAGGAGAGGGTGACAATGAGCCAGGTCCTACTCTTCAAGGAATTAGAGGGAGGGTCTGGAGAGCAGTAGTTGATTGTGATAAGAAGGGGGAGGGGGTCTGTGACTTGCAGTTCAAGCTTGGTTTGGAGCAGTTAGTGAAGAAGGAGGCAGGTGGTCTGAATGCAGCAATAAGGAGCTAGGAGGACACCTACCTTACACCAGGCCCTGTAGGTAAGGGTCATTGGATAGAAGGCAGCCACCACTTGAGAGAACTGCAGGGAAACAGGGTTCTCAAGGGAGAACCAGGTATCAGTTAGGTCAATCTAATTGGGAGCACCTGGAGCTTAGGTTTCCTGTTGGCCCTGGAGGAAGGAAGACCTCACAGGGGTATTCTGAACTCTACTTAGTTCCTGCCACATCTAACTCTTTGTCCTTGGGCAAGTTATTTGACCTTACTGAGCCAGTTTTATAATCCATAAAGTGACTCAATGAGACCTATCTCACAGGATTGTGGTGAGGCTTAAAACTGGACAACATCCAGAAAGCATCTATAAAAAGATACAGTCCAGCAGATGGTAGGTGCTCACCACTGTCAGGCCCACAGCCTATGGCTCAGGTTACACAGGTCTGAGTTCAAATTCTGACTCTGCCCCTTACTATTACTGTGTGACCTGGAGCTAGTTATCTAACTTCTCTGAGTCTTACTTTTCTTGTATAAAAGATTGGAAGACTTATACCAGGCACAAAGGATGCTTGTAAGGAATAAATGGAAGAATAACATAATGAGCTATTAAATTTTGCCACCTTCTCCTTGCTAGAAGAAACTCCAAAGCATAAAAAAGTAGTTTTCTCCTTCCTACCCCTAGCGATTTTTAAAGTGAATCAGCAGGCCTCCGTGGTGTGGGCTCTCTTGTCCCAGGAAAAGTAAGGAGCTTCTTTAAGAAGTTTCAGAACTGCTACTAAGGCCTACAATACATTAAGGGGTTAGGCAAGATCATGCTGAACTGGAAGGTAACAGAGGCTAGAGTTTGGAGTTGACAGGGGACTACGGGTAGCCCAAACCCAGGAAAAGACAGGTGAATTCCCTAACATGGGGAAAAAAGGAGGCTTGGTTCTGCCAAAAAGTGGCAGAAAGCTATCTGGCATTCTAAGGCAGACTCGGGGATGTGCCGGGCTGCTACTGGGATAGTACATTCCAAGTCTTCACTTCTCTTCCAGCCCCATCACATTGATGGGTGTTTCTGCAGCCTGGAAGTCAAGGGCACCACAGCGTTATGTAGAGCAAACATGTTGCAATTTTTATCCCCGTCTTGTTCTTGGCTCAGAGCATAGCAGGCCACCTGCTCAAGACGCAGTCAGATAGCTATTGTGTCAAGGTCACCCTCCACACAGGTGTCCCTGGAGGTCACCTCACTCTTCAGTACAGGGGTCTGGCAGCTGCTTAGGGTGCAGCTGCCTTGCCAGACATTTTAGGTGGCTAGGATGAAGTCATCTGAATTCAGTGCCTTCTGCTTCTGTTTGCTCTCAATGCAGCTTCCAAATTTCAAACTCTTTCTACTCACTCCTTGGTGACTTAAGGCCAATCATTTAGGTAAAAATTTGCCTAGGGCTTCTCTTCTGTTAAATGGAAATAATTTCTATTTCATAGGATTTTTGTGACTCATGAACAACAGAAACTCTGCAAATGGGTGTCGCAATTAGGTGCTAAATGAATGGCAGCAGTAATAATATAGTAGAACTAGTAGTACTAGCAGTAATAATAATACTACTAAGATACTAAGACAACAGATACAGTGACCAGAGGCTGGCCCAGCTTTTCACCAGTCCCAAATGTAGGCAGCAAAAATAGGAGAAGGCACATTGGCCCAGCAGTCCTGAAAACATAGTTCTGTTCATGGCTTTGCCACAGACTGCCCTGGTAATGTTGGTTAACCCCTCAAGTCTCTGCCTTTGTTTCTGTATATGTCAAGTGGAGATGGTCCCTTCCACTTTAGAAAAAAAAGTTGCAGCTGGAAATGATACTGTTAGGCTGGGAGAGATCCCCAAACTCCAGAGCACTTCAACCCCAGCCAGTGTCCAGGCTCTTGACGCTATCGTGAGAAGGAATTCAAGGATGAGTCAGAAAATAGTGAAAGCATGGAGATATACTGCGAAGCAAAACGTACACACTCAGGGGAGTGCAGGCCTACTCAAGAGTCACACGCAACGGGGTTTGGGGCTGCTACCCTTATGGGTTTCTTTAACCAAGGGGTGGAACATTCATGAAAATTCCTGGAAAAAGGTGGAAATTTCTCAGAACGGCAGTGCCACCCATTTTTATACCAAATATGGGTCTTCCCGGAACTTTCATGGCACTGGTGGACTTAGTGTTTTAATGCACATATAATGAGTTCCTAGGAGAAACCCAGGTAAAATCCAGCTCCATGTTGGGTCCAGTTGGTCTTAGCCAGCTTGGTCCACATGCTGGTTTTTTAAGGTCTTAGTCCTTGGCTTCTGTAGCTATTTCAAGTTTCCTTTTGCTGGTCATGTGAAACTGCTGCCTGGAATTTTCTATTCTACTGCAACTATACTATATTATTCCTGTCTCAGACGGGCCCTGTGAGAATATCTGGTCCAACCTTCTTTCCTCTGCACCCCATTTTATAGAGGGAAAAAATTGAGGCCCAGAAGGTAAAGCAGCCTACATGATTAGTGCAATGAACACGGTTTCCAAAACCATAAAAGCTTCATTTAATTTCATTTTGTTTTGTTTACTGACATGGGTTGGGAAGATAGTGGGGTAGGAGCAAAGAATCAATAAATGTGAGATTCTTTTCCCTTGAAAGGCTTTTGATATACTGGGAAAACAAGGTAAATTCATGCCAGAAAAAAGTTTTTAAAAATGAAATAAGATATGAGAATTTATCTGGAAAATGTAAAAATATATAGACAAATTATGGTAGTGGAGGCCAACAGGAAACTTTCCCTTTGCCCTCTGAAGTTTCGCTGAAAAATAAACTGACAAAAGGCAGATTAATAGGAGAAATGGCACACAAATTTATTAACATGCATGGGTGAGAACCACAGAGTGATTGCCCCCATGCCCCAGTGGGGTACAGAATCTTACACACCATCTTGGGATTACAGAAGAATGGGGGCTCAGAGTATAGACAAAAACAGATGATGGTGGTAAATCGGGTTATGGTGGCAAGACAGGTTGTGGGAGAGAGAGCCAAGAGGAGACCTGGCTAGCAAAAGTGGTCTTGTTACATGGATGAAACCTCACATTTAGCAGCCTGCAGGGAGAATAGATGGTAAATGTATCTTTCAGATATTTAAGGTGTCAGGCTCTCTGTTAATCTTTTCTAGATAAGGACAAGAGAAAGCTTCAGGGAAAGCCTGGCCGCCTCAATGCAGATTCTCTACAGATGCCAATCTCCCCGGCAAAAGATAGCTTGGCAGGGCCACTTCTGTGTGCAGGCTCTCTGAACTGCCATCTCAAAATACGTCAAAGAAGTATATTTTGGGGTGAAGTATTTTGGTCTACTTCAGGAGCCAGCCTGCAAGACGGCGCCCAGGGACTCCACCCTTTGGTATTCACCCCCTTGTGTAGGCTCCTCCCACATTGTACCAGGGCTGGTCTGTGTGACCAATAAAAGATGGCAGAAGTGACAGTCGGTCACATCTGAGATTAGATAATAAAAGACTGCAGCTTCTTCCATCTTGGGCTGTCTCTCAAATTGCTTGCTCTAGATGAGGCCAGCTGCCACGCTGTGAGGACATTCAGGAAGCCTATGGAGAGACCCATGTGATGAGGTATGCAGTCCACAGCCTCTGAGGAGCTGAGTCCTACTAACTACCCCATGAGTGAGCTTGGAAGCAGATCCTCCAGCCCCGGGTGACCACAAGCCTGGCTGACAGCTTGACGGCAACTATAGGAGATATCCTAAGCTAGAACCACTCAGTTAAATCTTATCTGGATGCCTGGCCCATGGAAACTATGACATAATATATGTGCATTGTTATCAGATGCTAAGTTTGGGGGTTGTTATGGAGCAATAAATGACAAATACAAACATCATCATTCTTTATAGAGCACCTACTGTGTGCTGAGCCATGCTTCCCAAAGAATACGTAACAAAGACTTCAGCAAAAACTCTGGCTAGGGATAATGACTGCATCAGGGGTTTGAACCCACAGGTCTGAGTTCAAATTCTGACTCTGCCCCTTACTATTACTGTGTGACCTGGGGCTAGTTATCTAGCTTCTCTGAGTCTTAATTTTCTTCTATAAAAAGATTGGAAGACTTACACCAGGCACAAAGGATGCTTGTAAGGAATAAATGGAAGAACAATGTAATGAGCTATTAAGTTTTGCCACCTTCCCTTGGGTTTGTCTCTTGGGAACCAGTGGGTGGTACACACTAACCCCTCAACTCTATCAAAGTAAAGCCATGGTTTCTTTCCAAAAGCAAGATCACAAGGCTTGTGTGTGCCTGCACGATGAGTGAGAGAGAGAGACTCATTTATATTACTTTCAGCATGGAGTAGAGATCCAAGACATGGCTGCCTTCCACATGGGCCTTTGAAGGAGGCAGGTTCTAAAAGACTATCAACAGTAGGTGGGAACAAAACATATCCTCTGGGCCGGGTGCATTGGCTCACGCCTGTAATCCCAGCACTTTGGGAGGCCAAGGCGGGCGGATCACCTGAGGTCGGGAGTTCGAGACCAGCCTGACCAAAATGGAGAAAACCCATCTCTACTAAAAATACAAACATTAGCTGGGCATGGTGGCGCATGACTGTAATCCCAGCTACTCAGGAGGCTGAGGCAGGAGAATTGCTTGAATCCGGGAGGCAGAAGTTGCAGTGAGCCAAGATTGTGCCATTTCACTCCAGCCTGGGCACCAAGAGTGAAACTCTGTCTCAAAAAAAAAAAAAAAAAATTCTCCTCTGGAAAATGGCCTTTAGCTGCTCCCCTGGAGAACCTGGCTGCATCTGTGAACCTAGTAGGCAGTAGCTACATCATATGTAGTGTGGCATCAAGCAAGTCAGTTGTTCATCCACAAAATGGAAATAAAATTGATTTTCTTCTCTCAAAAGAATATAGCAAAGGTCAGATGAAAAAATGCTTCACAAATTATAAAACATTGTACAAATGTTGATTATAATGAAAATAAAGTGAGATCTTATATATAAAGTTCCTAGAACAGGGCCTGGCTGGCAGTAGAAAGTTAACAGATGGTAGGGTGTATTTCTATTGATAGACTCACCTCTGGTAAAGTGAGAGAGAAGCAAGTAAAGCAATGGCCGCAGAGATTTTCTGACTTCTGGACTGTGCCCAGAAGCCACTTCCTTCCTAGGAAGCCTCATCAATGTGCTGAAGACCACCCCTCCTCCACTCCTCACTCCCACACTCCCACCCCCAATTAGAGGCCTCTGCAGCCATGCTGAGTATAAGCAGGATTTGGATCACAAAGCAGGGGGTAGAGGGCAAGAGATCTAGGAGGATTTGACAGCTTCCTCTCTCTAGGATCTGAGGAGGCTGAGACAGCCTAAAGGCATAGGATGTAGTGATAAGAGATAGGAAGACTAAACGGGCAGGAAGAGAAACACAAAAGCCCCTTTTATCCCTCTGCCCAGGGTTTGGGTACTGATATCAATCTCCAGCTCTGGGATTAATGGGGAAAGGCAATACACACCTGCAAACAAGTGCATTTCTCTTGCCTTTAAGATACAAACTAGATCTTGAGGTCTGTAATGAATTGAAATGTGTCCCTATCACCGAAAATGTTGAAGTTCTTACCCCCAGGGTGTGTAAATGTGCCCTTGTTTGGAAAGAGGGTTTTGGCAGGTGATCGAGTCACAATGAGGTCATTAGAGTGGCGCCTAATCGGATATGACTGTGTCCATATCAAATGGGAAATTTGTACACACAGACGGACACACAGACAGGCACACAGGAAGAATGCCATGTGAATATGACAGCAGAGGTCAGGGTGATGCATATTTGATGATTACCTGCAAACCACCGGGAGCTAGGAGGGAGGCCTGGAACACATCCTTCCCTCACCGCCTTCAGAAGGAACCAATCCTGCTGACACAGTGATCTTGGACTTCCAAATTCCAGAACTGGGAAATAAATTTCTGTTGTTTAAGCCATCCAGCTTGTGCTACTTTGTTACAGTGGTCCTAGCAAATGAATACAAGGTCACTGGATGTCGTCAGCACAAAACTGCCAGGTCAGATAGAAACAATATAGAACTCTGCATTGCCATTTACTAGCAGCATGACTTTGGGTCATGAGCTTGCCTTAACGAGCCTTGGGTATTTTACCGTCAAAAGGGAAATTCCTACAGAATTTATGGATAGTTGTTGAAAATCAAAGTAACAAATGCAAAGCTTCCCATTACAATGCCTGGCTCCTAGCACCCACTCAACAATGGCAGTGGGGTTATCATTAGCAGAGATAACATCCGAACTCAAATTCCTTTACCCTCTAAACCAGAGGTCCCCAGACCCCAGATTGCGGACTGGTACTGGTCCATGGCCTGTTATGAACTGGGCTACCCCGCAGGAGGTGAACAGGTCCGCAAAGCTTCATCTGTGTTTACAGCTGCTCCCCATCACTCACATTACTGCCTGAGCTTCTCCTCCTGTCAGATCAGCGGTGGCATTAGATTCTCCTAGGAACATGAACCCTACTGTGAACTGCACATGTGAGGGATCTAGGTTGTGCACTTCTTATGAGCATCTAACTAATGCCTAATGATCTGTCGCTGTCTCCCATCACCTCCAGATGGACCACCTGGTTGCAGGAAAACAAACTCAGGGCTCCCACTGATTCTACATTATGCTGAGTTGTATTAATTGTTTCATTATATATTACAATGTAATAATAATAGAAATAAAGTGCACAATAAATTGAATGTGCTTGAATCATCCTGAAACCACCCCCCGCTAGCCCCCTGGTTCATGGAAAAATTGTCTTCCATGAAACCGGTCCCTGGTGCCAAAAAGTTTGGGGACCATGTTCTAAAGCACTCCAACCCTCACAGAGAAACAGAAGGACTAACTTCCTATCAGTCTGTGAGGACACCAAATGCTGTGAAGGAAAGGCTTTAGACTTGGATTAGACTTCTATTGCTTCATAACAAATTGCCACAAACTTAATAGCTTAAAATACCACCCATTTATTGTCTTACAGTTCTGTAGCTCAGAAGCCCAAGGGGACTTAGCTGGGTTCTCGGCTTAGAGTCTCACAGGCTGGGTTTCTACCTAGTGGCTCTGTGAGCAACTGCTTCCTAGTTCCTTCAAGTTGTTGGCCAAATTCAGTTCTTTGGCCAAATTCAGTTCTTTGCAGAGGTAGGACTAAGGTTACTGTCACTGCTGGCTGTGGGCCAAGGGTCAATCAGCTCCTCAATGCCACTCTCATATCATTCCACATGGCTCCCTCCATATCTGCAACAGAGGACTGCTGTCATGTCAAATCCCCCTCACACTTTGAGTCTTTCTGACTTCTTCTGCCACTAGCTGGAGAAAACTCTCTGCTCCCTTAATGGGTTTATGGGACTAGATTAAGCCTACCTGAATAATCTCCCTATGCCAAGTACTAAAGAAAAAATTATTAATAATGCTTGTTAAACACAGAAAGGAAGACTTTGTTCAGGAAGGGACTATGACTATTGAGACTGGCATATAGACTACTGCAATGGGGTTTTGCAGTAGGGAAGAGAGATTGTGCTCAACTCTAAATAAAACAAGGAGGCCGGGCACGGTGGCTCACGCCTATAATCCCAGCACTTTGGGAGGCCGAGGCGGGCGGATCACGAGGTCAGGAGATCGAGACCATCCTGGCTAACGCGGTGAAACCCCGTCTCTACTAAAAATACAAAAAATTAGCCGGGAGTGGGCGGGCGCCTGTAGTCCCAGCTACTCGGGAGGCTGAGGCAGGAGAATGGCGTGAACCCAGGAGGCAGAGCTTGCAGTGAGCCGAGATCGCGCCCCTGCACTCCAGCCTGGGCTACAGAGCGAGACTCTGTCTCAAAAAAAAACCAAACAAAAAACAAAAACAAAAACAAGGAAAAGTGGGAATTTATAGCGAGGAGCAATGGATGGAAAATTACTAAGAGGTAACATCAGCGGTAAGGAGGATAATGACTGAACTGACCTAACAGGATTCTTGCTGAAAGCAGACCAGAGTAATAAGACAACATCTAAGGGACGGTGGGGGATAAGGAATTTGATCGGATATGGAGAATGGGGGATTCTGGCTAAACTGACTTAGCAGGATTCTTGCTAAAATTGGGCTCTTGAAGGATATGCCCAGGGATGGGACCTAATGGGGCTCAGAAGAACTTGACTAGAGCTTGGTTCAAGAAGAGAACCTTTGACACATGCAACATAACAATCTCAGAAGTAGCACCAGAGGGCGATAGTCATGGGGCCATCTTAAAATTCTGCCTAACACGCTGGGTTCCTAGTTCTGCTATTAATTGGATAGGTAGACAAGATGCTTTTCCTTTTTTTTTTTTTTTGAGACAGAATCTTGCTCTGTTGCCCATGCTGGAGTGCAGTGGCGCGATCTCCACTCACTGCAAGCTCCACTTCCCGGGTTCACACCATTCTCCTGCCTCAGCCTCCCGAGGAGCTGGGACTATAGGTGCCTGCCACCACGCCTGGCTATTTTTTTTAATATATTTAGTAGAGACGGAGTTTCACCGTGTTAGCCAGGATGGTCTCAATCTCCTGACCTTGTGATCTGCCCGCCTCAGCCTTCCAAAGTGCTGGGATTACAGGCGTGAGCCACCGCGCCCGGCGTGATGCTTTTCCTTTCTAAACTACAAATTCTCTTAAACTCTTATATTCTATAACTCTTTCCATGATCAAATTATATTTTCTTAACTATCACCGGATGTGTGTCCTGCTTGAGGATCGCAAAGAAGTTTTTAAAAAAAGTTTCTCTCAAAGCTTTGCAATCTAAATGCAACATTGTTTAGGCTTCAATGCAAGTTCGATCACGTGGCAGCTTAAAAAAATACTGACGTGTGAGCTAACACAAGTTAGTAGACAAATTTCTACAGGGTCCAAAACACTGTGTTATAGACACATAGGTCTGTGGGCTATGCCAGCCTGGCTCCAGACCTCAAGTCTAGGCTATGTGTCTTTAAGAGAAACGAATGGAATGCATCTTTTTGTCTAAGTATTCCCATGTATGTATACATGTCTATGTTTAATTGTATTGGGGGTGGAGGTGGGTAGTTAGCGTGAAAGTTGATCATACAAATTGAGTCATTCTTAACATATCCAACTAAAACAGAGTCAAGAAGCTATCGGGAAAAAGCACTCAGGACTTACAACATTGCTCCAAAAATCTAATTCTCTGAAAGCCTAGCTGCTGAAACTACCCACTGTAACCTGAAACCCATTTTATCTAATAGCTGCTGAAACAACCTGCTGCAATTCTAAGATTAATTTTAACCACCACCATCACTCACCAATAAAAACTTCCAAGCTCCCACTTTACTAGTGCCAATTAACTTTCTCAAAGAGCAATACATAATGTTTCTCTTTTTTATAAAACCTCCAACATTTTTTGTTCTTCAGGCATATCAAAGACCACCTCGTCTGTAGGTATGCCCTGAATTGCAATTCTTTCTTCCCAAATAAAATGTTAAATTTGGAGATTCATCTCTACATTTTTATTTTGATGTTGATGATAGACGAAATTTCTCTCATTTGATAATAGTAGGAAAGTCCACAGTTGATAATTATATTCTCTGGCAAGGTCTTGGTGTACAGAGTTTATCCTGGAAAATTTTAAATCCATACAATTAAAATATATAGTACCGGGAAGAAATGTGAAAAACTTTGTAATGGGCAAAAAGATTACTGGGTGTCCTTTCAATAGAATGCTTTTCAATGGTGATATGGTTTGGCTGTGTCCCCACCCAAATCTCATCTTGAATTGTAACTCCCACAATTCCCACATGTTGTGAGAGGAAGCCGGTGAGAGGCGATTGAATTATGAGGCTGGGTCTTTCCTGTGCTGTTCTCCTGATAGTGAATGAGTCTCATGAGATCTGATGGTTTTAAAAATGGGAGTTTCCCTGCACAAGCTCTCCTATCTGCTGCCATGTGAGACGTACCTTTCCCCTTCTGCCATGATTGTGAGGCCTTCCCAGCCACATGGAACTTTAAGTCCACTAAAGACTTGTAAATTGCCCAGTCTCAGGTATGTCTTTATCAGTAGCGTGAAAACGGACTAATACAAATAGAATGCTAAGTGTTTAGACAAAACTTGCAGAGTTATTTGATTCTAAAGAGGTCTGCAAATTTCATTGTCCCTCACAATTCTGCAGTGCTGTAGAAATAGAAGTTAACTTCTGGAAGTCTAATAGGATGTAAATCATTTTTGTTAATAGAAATGCAAAATTTTGTTGATAAAGATACAATGGATTATGTATGACCCTACAGATATTGACTAGATTTTGTGTCTGTTAGCAAATTTTTATAATATTTCTGTTACAAAATGTTTCCTATGAAGAAAAAAAAGACCACCTTCTTTTTCTTTGAAGAGAAAATTTTTTTTACTTATCTTCCTTCAAAGAAAGAGAAGGGTGCCAAGAGATGTAGAACTGCATAAACAAGGGAGTCAGAGTCATTCAGCAAGAGTGGAGGTGAGTCCAAATAGAATATGTGCTAGTAGGGTGGTCCTTCACAAGTAGCTTTTTGAAGAACACAGGGTTTAAAGTTCAACACTATCAATATTATGTAGCAGAATGAAGCAATAAGGGAACATCCATCTTTTGTTTTAAAATTCCAGTCAATCTGGAATGAATAAAGCATTATTCATCACGATAGAAGCGAATCCTTATAGGGGGAAAGTTCTTTGACAGATGGTAAAGATTCAAAAATATCTATACCAAGATCTTAAAATTTTTAAGGCATGAATCGACATTTCTTCATAAATTTGGAAGTCCTTTGATATAAAATGTACCCAAAGTGTTAACTGGGTATATTACATGACTTATCTACAGCAAAAGAAAACTACTTGTAATTTTTTAGTTTTGAATTAATTGATATTTAATATTCTAAGAAAGGTCTTGGATTATTTGGCCAATGGTTTGCTTAATTCAAGGTATTTTACCTTTTCTAAAATATTATTTTTAGTTTTCTCATATTTTCTAACACAGTTTCCATAATTAATAAAATGTTAACATCTCTCCTCAAAAATACTTGCATGAACATGTGTGTATGCAAGCAAGAATTCAAACAAAATTTTGAAACAGAGTTTTCAAACAAAATTTTGAAAAAGAATTCAAACAAAATTACCAGCTCAAATTATTTTAAGAAACTTTTTAGACAGCAAATATCTTTTCATTTTGTTATTTTATTTGTAAAATTACAATGCAGTTTTCTTTAAAACAAAAACTGTTCCAGTTGTAGTGCTCGTTTCTGTATTTCTGCTTAATTTTGTAACAATAGTATACCTTTATTTTAAACTTAAAAATTTATCCACATATAATTGTTTAACTAGAAAACTAGTCAAATTATAATTAAAATGCTATACATATCAAGTTAATTGCAGACATGGTCTGGCTCTGTGTCTCCACCCAAATCTCATCTTGAAGTGTAATCCCCACGTGTCAGAGGAGGGGCCTGATGGGAGGTGATTGAATCATGGGGGTGGACTTCCCCCTTGTTGTTCTCTTGATAGTGAGTTCTCACAAGATCTGATGGTTGAAAACTGTGTGGCACTACCCCCTTTGCACTTTCTCTCTCTCTCTCTCTCTCCTGCCACCACGTAAGATGTGCCTTTCTTTCCTTTCACCATCCACCATGATTGTAAGTGTCTTGAGGCGTTCCCTGCCATACAGAACCATGGGTCAATTAAACCTTTTTTTTAATAAATTACCCAGGCTCAGTTAGTTCTATATAGCAGTGTGAAAACGGACTAATACAATTGCCAACCACAATCTACATGGGTATCACTATAGCTCATGCTGTTGGTACAAAATTTTGACAAAAACATTACAATACTAATATTCAGTACATAGAAAAAATCAGTTGAACTAAAGCAATCTATTGACACTGACTAGATCAGCAAAGCTTCCATGTATAGCACCAGAAAAACAGGCAGGATGCAGTGGCTCATGACTATAATCCCAGCTCTTTGGGAGGCCAAGAAGGGAGGATCACTTGAGCCTAGGAGTTCAAGACCAAACTCCTGACTAACTAGTGATACCCCTTCACTATTTAATAAAATAAAATAAACAAAACAAAATAAAAATAATATCAGAAAGACAAGAGCGCCCAGCCCACACACTATAATGCAATAATAATACATTAAATGATGTAACTATTAAAGTGAAATTTACTCCTATTAAAACCATGTATTTGTGTCCAATGGGAAAATACTTAACACTGCTTCAGGTTTAAATTTTAAATTAAAATTAAATAAAATTTAAAAATTAGCCTCTTGGTCAGTCTTACCATATTTCAAGTGCTCAAAAGCCATGTATGAAATAGTACAGTTTAGAAAGGGCAAGAAAGAGGTTTGGTGACCTTCTGGGAAGTGTGGGAATTTGGGAATATAGAACAATCACAGGAGATAATTTTAAAGCTTTGTTATACTCTATTATCCTACCTTTGCTAATACCACAAGAAAATCTACAGACAATCTATGACTTAGCAGAAGTGAAAAAAATTAAGATCCAAAAACTTATACAAAGAATCAAGAAAACCAAAAGTTGGTTCTTTGAAAGGATAAAAAAGAATGATAAACCACTAGCTAGGTTAACAAAGAAAAAAAGATACAAGATCCAAATAAGCATAATCAGAAATGACAAAGGTGACATTACAACCGATCCCACAGAAATACAAAAGATCCTCAGAGAATATTATGAACACCCGTATGCACACAAACTAGAAAATCTAGAGGAAATAAATTCCTTGAAACATACAGTCTCCTAAGATTGAATCAGGAAGAAACTGAAACACTGAACAGACCAATATTGAGCAATACTGAGATCCAAAATCAAATCAGTATTTAAAAAAAACCTACCAACAACAACAACAATGAAATTCCCTAGACCAGATGAATTCACAGCCAAATTCTACTAGACATACAAAAAATTAATTCTGCTAAAACTTTCAAAAAATTGAGGAGGAAGGATTCTTCCCTAACTCATTCTACAAGGCTAGCATAGCATAACCCTGATATCAAACCCTGGCAAAGACACAACAACAACAACAAAAAGAAACTGTAGGCCAATATCCATGATGAACATGGATGCAAAAATCCTCAGAAAATACCAGCAACACAAATTTAACAGCACGTGAAGAAGCTAATTCACCATAATGAAGTAGACTTCATTCCTAAGATGCAAGGTTGGTTCAACATACACAAATCAATAAATGTGATTCAGCACATGAGCAGAATTAAAAACAAAAACCACATGATCATCTCAATAGATACAGGAAAAGGTTCTGAAAAATTCAACACCCCTTTATGTTAAAAAAAAACCCTCAAGAAACCAGGCATCAAAGGAACATACCTCAAAATAGTAAGAGCTATCTCTGACAAACCCAACATTATACTGAATGGGAAAAACCTGGAAGAATTCTCCTTGAAAACTGGAACAAGACACAGATGCCTACTCTCACCTCTCCTATTCAACGTAATACTGGAAGTGCTAGCCAGGGCAATCAGGCAAGAGGAGGAAATAAAAGGCAACCAAACAGGAAAAGAAGATGTCAAACTCTCTGTCTTTGCGGATGATATGATTGTACACATAGAAAACCCTAAAGACTCTGCCAAAAGGTTTCTGGAACTAATAAATGACTTCGACAAAGTTTCAAGATACAAAATTAGTGTAAAAAATTCAGTAGCATTTCTGTTCACTAATAATGTTGAAGCTGAGAGCCAAATCAAGAACACAGTTTCATTTACAATAGCCACACACACAAAATACCTAGGAATACATTTAACAAAGGAGGTAAAAAATCTCTATAAGGAGAACCACAAAACATTGCTAAAAGGAATCATAGGTAACAAAAACAAATGGAAAAACATTCCATACTCATGGATAAAAAGAATCAATATCATTATCATTAAAACGGCCATACTGCCCAAACCAATCTATAGATTCATCACTATTCGTACCAAGCTACCAATATCATTTTTTACAGGATTGGAAAAAATGATTTTATATTCATATGGAATAAAGAAAGAGCCGGAATAGCCAAAGAAATCCTAAGAAAAAAGAACAAAGCCAGAGGCAACACATTATCCTACTCCAAACTGTACTAAAAGGCTGGAATAATCAAAACAGCATGGTACTGGTACAAAAACAGATACATAGACTAATGGAACATAATGGAGAACCTAGAAATAAAGCCCCACACCCACAGTCATCTGTTCTTTGACAAAGCTGACAAAAATAAGCAATGGGAAAAGAACTCCATTTAATAAATGGTGCTGGGATAACTGGCTAGCCATATGAACAAGAATGAAACTGAACCCCTACTTTTCATCATGTAAAACATTAACTCAAGGTAGATTAAAGATTCAAATGTTAAGACCTCAAAACTCTAAGAATCCTGGAAGAAAACTTTGCATACAGCAATCTGCACATTGGCATTGGGAAAGAATCTGTGGCTAAATCCTCAAAAGCAATTGCAACAAGAATGAAAATTGATAATTGGAACCTAATTAAACTAAAGAGCTTCTATACAGCAAAGGGAACTATTGACAGAGTCATCGAACAACCTACAGAATGGGAGAAAATATTTACAAACTATGCATCTGACAAAGGTCTAATATCCACAATCTATAGGAACTTAAGCACATTAACAAGCAGAAAACAAACAACCCCATTCAAAAATGGGCAAAGGACATAAACAGACACTTCTCAAAAGGCATAAACACAGCCAATAAGCATGTGAAAAAATGTTCAACATTACTAATCATTAGAGAAATGCAAATCAAAACTACAATGAAATACCATCTCATACCAGTCAGAATGGCTATTATTGAAAAGTCAAGAAACAACAGATGTTGGCAAGGCTGTGGAGAAAAGGGAATACTTGATACTCTGTTGCCAGCAATGTAAATTAGTTCAGCCACTATAGAAATCAGCAATCAGGAAGCTCTCTTCCTGATTTATGGACAGCTGCCTTCTCATTGTGTCCTTACTAGCCTTCTCTTTGTATGTGCAGATAGAATGAGCTCCCTGCTGTCTCCTTATAAGGACACTAATCTTATCAGATTAGGGCCCCACCTTATAATCTCTTTTAACTTTAATTACTTCCATACTCCAAATATAGCCACAATGGGGGTTGGGATTTCAACATACGAATTTCAGGGGAACACAAACATTCAGTCTGTAAGAGTTATTATGCAGACCAACAAGGACAGGCGTGACATTTTATTCAATGACCACATACAATTTTAGGAATTGTTTTGTTTTTTTAAAAGAATTTTGGCCAGGCATGGTGGCTCATGCCTGTAATCCCAGCACTTGGGGAGGCTGAGGCAGGGAGATCATGAGGTCAGGAGTTCAAGACCAGCCTGGCCAATTTAGTGAAACACCATGTCTACTAAAAATACAAAAATTAGCCACACATGGTGGCATGTGCCTGTCATCACAGCTACTTGGGAGGCTGAGGCTGGAGAATCGCTTGAACCCAGGAGGCAGAAGTTGCAGTGAGCCAAGATTGCGCCACTGCACTCCAGCCTAGGCGACAAGAGCAAGACTCCATCTCAAAAAAAAAAAAAAAAAAAAGAATTTTGCTGACTAGGGAGTCACAGAAAAGTGGACCCAATGAGAATCCACAGCTGGTCCAGAGTTTTATAATAAATTACATATCTTTTCAGCATTAGCTGATATGTAACTAGATGTAGCTTTCCTTCAATAACCGTATCATCTAGCTAATTTGAGGTATGAGAGTCGTAAATTGGAATATACTGTCAACCTAAAAGGAAGAAGCTGAGCCGAAACTAAAACTAATATAAGTAGAGAGTTTATTTGCACCAAGCCTGAGGACTGCAACCCAGGAGCATAGATTCAAGTTGCCCTGAATATACAATCGAATTAGCAGCAGTTACAAGTGAATTTTTAAAGGGAAAAAAGAGGGGACAGGGAGTGGACTAATACAAAGTCGTTTGTCAGGAATTGTCACTGGTTTATGGAAATAACATTGATTCATGATTGGCTATACATTGTTAAGCTATAAGGTATGGCTTATAGTCTCAGGTGAGGAATTATTAGGTTAATTTATAGCTATTTGTGGCAGTAGCAAGCAATTTCAAGAGGTAAATATATAACTCAAAAGTGGGGGAGTATGTGTTTGCTGTCCCATTTAAATGTCTCTCTGGGCCTGATAATTTAAAAGAATAAAGATTCTTTTCTCAATGCCAGTAAATTTAGTTTATTCCTCCCCTCTTTCTCATCCTAAAAGTGGCCCCTGAGCTCAAAGAAGGTTTATATCATACCATGACATCATAGGAGACCAGAATATGTCACCCCAAATATGCCTCCTTGGCATAAGGATTATTTGGAGCTAATTATTTTGAGAAACAGCAGACAAAGGAGAAGCTCTGAAAAGAGCAAAACCAACTTTTTGTAAGGAAATTTACCTTTATAAATGGAATATCCATGTGTAATAGTGTCTCCCTCTTTGTACCAAGAAGAAAGGATGACTAAATCTCAAGAGCCTTTTCTTAATGGAAAAGACACTGACTTAAATCTGCATAACAGAACTTACTCTCATTTATCATATGGTTCCTGGTCACATTCTCATAACTTGCCTCCCCTGCATCCTTCTTCCTTTGATTTAGCTGAAGATGGTATTTAAGGTTGAATTCTAAGCCACCTCTTTGGGTTACTCCCTGGATTTCTCCCATGTGTATATGATGAGATATACACGTTAACAAACTTTTTTTTTTTGTTTTTCTCTTGCTAATGTATCTTTGTTATGGTGGTCTCCAGCGGAGAACTTAAAAGGAAAGAGGGTAAAGGAAATAAAAATATTTTACCACGAAATATATTTATTTGACATATTTTGAGATGGCTGCCACAGGGACAGCAGACTGAAGCAGTCCTGCAAAGCTGTCTTTGGTGGAGGAGGTATGCATCTACAGAATCTCAATTAATGCAGCCAGCCTTCCCTCATCCAGATCTAGGAGGGATTAACTGAGAGTCTGACACCTTAAAGGACCTGAAAGAAACGTTTACCATCTATTCTGTCTGAGGACTGCTACCTGTGAGGTTTCATGTATATTATCAAGACATCTTTGCTAGCCAAACCCCTCTTCTCCCCCTCTCATAACCTGTCTTACCACCAGAACCTAATTCACCACAATAACCTGTTTTTTGGCCATGCTTTGAGCTTGCATTCTTCCTGTAACATAGCCTCAAGATGGTACATAAATTTCTGTACCTCACTTGAGGGCTGTGTCTTCATTCTGAAGCCTCCCGTGTATACACATTATATCAATTTGTATGCCTTTTCTCCTGTTAATCAATCTGCCTCATGTGAGTGATTTTCAGCAGAACTTCAGAGGCCCCTTATAAGAGAAAATTATGTTTTCCTCCCCTGTAACATGGTGGGGTAGGGGGAAGGATGGGCATCTGGCCCATGGTTGTTTTTCTGCTAGCATCCTCTGCTGAAGTAACTCATCCCATCTATTCTTTGCCCCTTAACTCATAACCTAAGGAATTCACTAGTCAGGTTCTCCTGTCCTTGGAGATCCTGTCTCTGGTTGATATAGGCTGCTCTGTGCCTTCTTCATGCTCATCACAAAGCCTCTTGGGCAATCCACATTCATTTTGGTTACTATCTCATGCTTTTGTGGCATTTCCAGAGACTAGACCTGGGAACTTAGACCCCTTTTGCCTAAACATACCACTTTCTTCATTCTGCCTTGATCAGCACCCCCATACCTGGGGTTCCATATGCAGTCTCTCTCAAATATACACCAGAAATAGAGACACAACTGTTTCTGTCCTCAGAGCTCATCAGTTACCTGAGACATTGTATTCATTTTGCAATCACCCAACAGGTTCTTCCTGCCCACTGCACAGACAAAACCAGGTCACTGAGACAGTGGTATTGCAGTAAAGAGCTTAGTTAATGCAAAGCTGGCTACATAGGACATGGAATTATCACTCAAATTAGTCTCCCCAAAGGCTCAGAGGTTAGAGTTTTTCCAAGGATAAGTTGGTGGGCAGGGTGCTAGGAAATGGGTGCTGCTGTCCAGCTGGGGATGAAATCATGGGTGTCCTTCTGTGCTGAGTCTGCCTCTGGGTTGGGTGGCAGCAGGGGCACAGGACTGGATGAATCAAACCATGGGTCTGGGTGGGGTCAGTCAGTTGTCAGAATGTAAAAGTCCAAAAAACGTCTCAAAAGACCAATCTTAGGTTCTACAATAGTGATGTTATCTATAGGAGCAATTAGGGACGTCACAAATCTTTTGACCTAAGGCCACATGACTTCTGAGTCATAAGGAATTTTGGAAACTATGCTTATATTTTAGCCAAATTCAGATCCCTTCCTTAATCCTAATCTGGTGGCCTTTCAGTAGTTTTCTGTCCCTTAACAAGGAGGGAGTTAGTTTTAGGGAGGGACTATTATTATCCTTGCTTTCAAGTTAAACTATAAATTTCTCCTATGGCTAGCTTGGCCTATGCCCAGGAATGAGCAAAGATAGCCAGCCTGTGAGGCTAGAAGCAAGATGAAGTCAGCCATGCTGGATTCCTCTCACTGTCATAATCCTCGCAAAGGCAGTTTCCCTTTCAACCCAGTCAGATAAAAAGACTATTGATCTCCTTCTCAAAAACCTACAGCAGTTACTCACCCTCACTCTTCACCTCTCAAGCCATCCTGTACCATTACAGATGATAAAGAGTTTCTATTGTAGAGGAAAAAATAATAACCCTGTTGACCTAAAAGGAAAAGACTACAGCACAAAATATAATTTAAAGAGTTTACTTGAGCCAAAGTGAGGACAGCTGCCCAAAAGACTCAGATCCAAGTAATCTTGGCTATGAACTCCTCTGTTCATATTTGGCCTCTGTTACAAGCAGGTTTTCAAAGCAGGTTTTCAAAGCCAAAACAAGGGCAAAACAAATAAGGTACAAAGTTGTTTACAGAAATAACATCAATTAATGATTGGCTATACATTGTTATGCTAAAAGGTAGGTGTTATGGTGTGAGACAGGGCATTATTAAGTTAATTTATAGCTACTCATGGCAACAGCAAACAGTTTTGAGAGATGAATACGTAGCTCAAAGGGAGAAGCAGAATATGACTGCTGTCTCATTGTGATGTCTCTCTAGACTTGCATTCCTCTGATAAAAGTTACTTTCTTTTCTCACCCCCATAGGTTCTTAGTTAAAACACAGCCATCTTTAAAAAGACAGATTAACAAGAGAACAATAAACAGAAGTGTATTAACATGTATATTTCATATCTACACGGGTGATACCCACAGCATGAGTAGTTCTCAAAGAGGTGGCTTTGAATTCCAGCCTTTATAGCATCTTCAACAAAATCAGTAAATATTTAGAGAAATGAAAAGACTAAGGAAAATACTTTAAGTCTTTACTGGTGATGTTACCTTCTCTAGTGCTTGTAAGGCTGCAAGGTTGGGCTACATCACTGTGACACCCTAACCCTGCTTCATCTCCAGCAAACAGGATACCTGTAGTCAGAAGTTCCCCCTCTTGACCAGACCAGCAGAAACAGGGGAGATCCAAGATGGCAGCTCATCTGACCTCTGAAGAGCCTCTAACTTCATCATAACCTGATTACCATACAACTGGCACACCTACTGGCAGCCATAAAAGGCAATACCTTACCATTAAAGGAAGGAAAAAGGGCAGCATCCAGATTCCAGGAAATCTCTGCCCATTTCCAGAAAAGACATGAATACTCCTCCCTTTCCTTTTCATGTCCAACACTTACATTAGAGAAACCCTATATTTTAACCCCATCACCCCTCACTAATTGATAAATTGGTTTCAAAGCCATCCTTCTGCTTTTCCAATTCCTGGGCTATTAAATAAACACTTGCCCTAGCTGGGCGTGGTTGCCCATGCCTGTAATCCCAGCACTTTGGGAAGCTAAGGTGGAAGGACTGCTTGAACCCAGGAGTTCGAGACCTGCTTGGGCAACATAGTGAGACCCCCGTCTCTAAAAAAAAAAATAAAAACTTGGTCAAGTGTGGTGGCACACATCTGTGGTTCCAGCTACTGAGGAGGCTGAGGTGAGATGATCCCTTGAGCCCAGGAGGTGAGTCATAATTGTGCCACTGCACTACATCCTGGGCAACAGAGCAAGACCCTGTTGATACAGGAGCTAAAAAGACATTATTTAGAAGATTAGTGAGAGTAAGAGAGTCCTCAGTAAGGCTTCCCTTTTAACAAAAAGCAGCCCCAAAATAATTTCTTTTCTAACAAAGAGCAGCCTGTAAAATTGAGTTGGAGACATAGATAAGCAAGCTGGAAGCTTGCATGGGTGAATGCCTGCAGCTGTGCCAATAGGAAAAGGCTAGGGGGCCAGGCATGTTCAACATGGCAGCTCCATCTTTCCTTTGTTAACCACATGTACAGTAAATGTACTGACAACATGGCGCTAGCCAGGTAGAGAACCTAACTGCATGATAAAAGATTAGGATGGGGCAGCCAGCTTCTTCCTGCACTATGTAAATGGAACACCTGGTCCGACCAATCTTCTGGGCCCTATGTAAATCAGACACTGCCTCCTCAAGCTCATCTATAAACACCCCCCATCCCCCTCATGAATTTCACCACTGAACTGGAAGACCCACTTGGGAGCCCCTCTCTCTCTCTGTAGAAGAGAGTTTTTCTCTTTCTTTTGCCTATTAAACTTCTGGTCTTAAACTCACGCCTTGTGTGTCTATGTCCTTGATTTCCTTGGTGTGAGGCAAAAAGCCTTGGGTATTACCCCAGATGAACCATACTGCTTCAGTGTCTCAGAAAAACAAACAAAAACCAAGCTTGCTCTGCTTGACACTCACTTTTGGCTTTGTGTATTGGTTCTGCAACACCAAACAGGAAACAATCTCAGCTTTTCAGGCTACAGAGTTTATCAGTATCAGTGACAACTTTGGGAGGGTAAATAAATGGCAGATACATGCTAGTTAGTGTTAAATTTAACCAAAAGTTTCCTCCTTGCATATTTTAAGTTCTGCCTAAAGGATTCTCTGTTCATAGTAAACTGAAACCTAACTGGCTGTGGACATAGACTGTAACCTACTCCTCTGCCAATCACCGAGTTTCGGCCAAAGGTAGCCGACTGTTCAAACTGTGTTCAAATGAGGCAAGCTCCAAGCTGTAACCAATCCAGCTGTTTCTGTATCTCACTTCCATTTTCTGTACATCTCACTTCCTTTTTCTGTCCATAAATCTACTACCTGGCTGCACTGGAGTCTCTCTGAGCCTGCTCTGGCTCAGGAGGCTACCTGATTCGCAAATGGTTCTTTGCTCAGTTAAACTCTGTTAAATTTAACTTGTCCAAGATTTTTTTTTTACATTAGGAAAGCTTATTAATTTCAATTCCTCTGATACTATCTCCAGGCCTATAAGGGTCCAAAGCTGTTTTCAATGGTTAATAAAGGTTAAGGAGGTGGTAGAGAGGTAGGTAGGATGACTTTTGTCATTATAAATTGTAGACGCCAAGGCCCTTGGCCTCTTGAAGATTTGCTGAAAAATCAACTTACAAAAGGCAGATTAATAGGAGAAAAGGCACACAAATTTATTTAACGTTAGTTATAGACAGGAGCCTTCAGAATGAAGACCCAGCTTCCCTATGTGGTGCAGAAGCTCATTTACCGTTGAGATTAGAGAAAGAATATGGGCTCAGAGCATGGCCAAGACCAGGTTTTAGTGCCAAAACAGGTTATGGAAGGGAGAAATGAAGAGACTTGGCTAGAAGGCGTGGTCTTGTCTAGAGGAATCCTCACAGACAGCAGCTTTCAGGGAGAATAGAAGTGTGTGTGCGTGTGTGTGTGTGTGTGTGTTTTCCGGACTTTTAAAAGTGTCCAACTCTCAGTTAATCTTTCTAAATCCAGACAAGGGAAGGCTTCATTAATGAAGGTCTCTCCAGATGCAAATTTTCCTCACTAAAGACAGCTTTGCAGGGACACTTCTGTTTGCTGACCCTCTGACAGCCATCTCAAAATAGGACAAATAAATATATTTAGGAGTGAAATATTTTTATTTCCTTCAAAATCTATGTTCTGCTTTAGGCAAATAGAGGCAGGGCTGAGAACTTCCCTGCATCTACTTCTTAATTGTCTTCAGCTCAACAATTCTTTCTATTTTGGGGAGGCACATGCTGGTCTCCCACATTATCATCCTCTGTATGGCAAAAAACCTAGTCTTAAATAATCATGTACTTCTCCACTGGCACAAGATATTTTCTGAGTCCTCTAGACCTGGCTTTAACCACTCCTACCCTCATTTTTATAAGGAAAAGTAAAGAGAAAATAAAAAGGCTAGTAAAATGGAAATCTGCATACCCTCCACCTAGATTCTCCACCTGTCAACATTTTATATTTTACTTTAGCATTCTCTTTCTCTCTGCACACAAATACTTTCCCTCTCTCTCTCTTTAAAAAATAAATGGGTAGTTTTAGTGTAATCACTCAACAACGTCTCCCTGCCCATTGCACAGACAAAATCAATTCACTGAGACTGCAGCACAGCAGTAAGGAAAGAGTTTAACTGACACAAGGCTAGCCATGTGGGAGATGAAGTAATTACTAAAATCAGTCTCCCCATAAGTTTGGAGGTTAGGGTTTTACAAGGACAGTTTGGTGGGCAGGGGGCTAGGGAATGGGGGATGTTCATTGATTGGGGATGAAATCACAGGGGTCTGGAAAACAGTTCTCATGCTCTCAGCCCACCTGTGGGGGCCACAGGACTGGTTGAGTCATGAATTGAGGGTCTGTGTGGAGTCAGAAATGCAAAAGTCTAAAAAACATCTCAAAAAGCTAATGTTAGGTTTCACAATAGTGATGTTATCTAGGGGAATCATTGGGGAAATTGCAAGTCTTGTTACCTCCAGAACAAGGGCTGGTAATCATTTAACTACGCCTACATCTCAGCAGAATTCAGGCCCCTCTCATAATCACAACCTTGCGAACTTAGTTTTATAGAGGTGGTTTAGTTTGGGGAAGGGCTATTATCATCCTTGCTTTAAAGTTAAACCATAAACCTAATTCCTGCCAAACCTAGCTTGGCTTATGCCCAGGAATGACCAAGGACAACTTGGAGGTTAGAATCAAGATGGAGTAACTATGTCAGATTTCTCTTACTGTCAAAATTTTGCAAAGGCGTTTTCACTTCTGGCACCCAAATCTGCAAATGAGGGGAGTTGGGCTGACTAGCATATCTCTAAGGACCCTGGGATTCAAAATTATATGTGGATGGGTGCTTTCTGTGTATATGCCCTTATTGTTCCTTAAAAAAAATAATGGTGTTGCAAACTCACATCTCACCATACATTCCCGGGAAAATCAGCCAAATCCAGAATAAATGTGCATGATCCTTGCCAGCTGAAAAAGGATTAAAAAGAGAGAAAACACCTGGCACAGGCCCTTGAAATACTTTTGCTCAAGTCTATTAAACAAGGCACAAATAACACTTGAGATTGCGATAATCTAATAATCTTTTTGTGAACACTATAGCTAAAGATAGATATGAGCAGGGGCTTCATCAAGAAAGGAGGGCAAGGCTGGGCGTGGTGACTCATGCCTGTAATTCTAGCATTTTGGGAGGCTGAGATGGGTGGATCACCTGAGGTCAGGGGTTTGAGGCCAGCCTCGCCAACATGGTGAAACCCTGACTCTATAAAAATGCAAAAATTAGCCAGGCATGGTGGCAGGTGCCTGTTATCCCACCTACTTGGAAGCCTGAGGGAGGTGAATCACTTGAACCCAGGAGGTGGAGGTTGCAGTGGGCACTATTGCACTCTAGCCTGAGTGACAGAGTGAGACTCCATCTCAAAAAAAAAAAAAAAAAAAAAAAAGAGAAACAAAAGAAAGGAGGACAATGCACTCATATTCTCAGACCGCTTCATTATAGAGTTCTTATTACCAGCATAACATTGCCTGCCACTGACTCAGAGTCACACGTCTCTGCTCCACAAAGAAAGAAGCTGTCCTTGCCGTGGGTGACAGCCATTGAGAACTACAGACTTCTCTCCTGCTTGAGAGAAATGCGGCACAGGAAACAGCAAGAATAATTCTGATCAGTGGTTGTCAGGCAGTTTTGTAACTTACAAAGTATTTTCCCTTGTAGAGTTTGGTTCATCTAAGATCATGGAAACAGGAAGTGGCAAACTCCACAGTAGCCACAGACAGGAGCTATGACCAGGGCCTCATATGATGCTCACAGCAGTAAGGCTTGGCTCTATATACCAACACAGGTATATAATAAAAGGAAATTAAAATATTTTATCCTAGGCCAGGCGTGGTGGCTCATGCCTGTAATCCTAGCACTTTGGGAGGGCAAGCTGGGCAGATCACTTGAGGTCAGGGGTTCAACACAAGCCTGGCCAATATGGTAAAACCCCATCTCTACCAACAATACAAAAATTAGCTGGGCATGACGGTGCATGCCTGTAATCCCAGCTACTAGGGAGGCTGAAGCACGAGAATCACTTGAACCCGGGAGGCGTAGGTTGCAGTGAGCCGAGACTGCGCCACTGCACTCCAGCCTGGGCGACAGAGCAAGACGCTGTCTCAAAATAAATAAATAAATAAAATAAATAAAAAAAAATATTTTATCCCAAAACCTATTTCTGTGACGTATTTTAAAAGGGCTATCACTTGGCCTATCACTTCTGACAGAAGTGGATTTGCAAAGCTGCCTTAAGTGGGGAAAATTTGCATCTATAGAGAACCTTCATTACTGTAACCACGCCCCCTCCCCTTTCTATACCTTCCCCGCTCCAGGAAAGATTGAGAGTCTGACACCTTTTAAAGTCTTAAAATAAACATTTACCATCTATTTTCTTTGGGGAAGGTTTCATCTATGTAACAAGGCCATCTTTGCTAGCCAAGCTTCTTCCTTTCTGTCTCTCTTCACATGTCTTGCCACTAAACCTGACTGACCTGTTTCTGGCCATGCTCTGAGTCTGCATTCTTTACTGTGGCCTCAGTATGGCATATAAGTTTCTGTTACTCACTGGGAAGTTGGCCTTTTCATTTTGAAGCCTCCTGTGTATATACATGTCTTACTCTATTCTTGCATTGCTATAAATACTGGAGACATGGTAATTTATAAAAAAAAGAGGTTTAATTGGCTCATGGTTGTGCAGACTGTACAGGAAGCAGGATGTTGGTATCTGCTCAACTTCTGCTCAGGAAACTTAGAATCACCGTGGAAGGCAAAGGGAGCAGCAGGCACTTCACATGGCCAGAGCAGCAGCAAGAAAGCAAGTGAGGAGGTGCCACACACTTTTAAACGATCAGATCTCATGAGAACACACTCTCTATTGCGAGGACAGTACCAAGAGGGATAGTACTAAACCACTCATGAGAAAACTGCCCCCATGATCCAATCACTTCCCACCAGGCCTCACCTCCAACACTGGGGATTACATTTCAATGAGATTTGGGTAACGACACACATCCAAACTATATCAACATGTTAAATAAATTTGTATACCTTTTCTCCTATTAATCAATCCGCTTTATGTCAGTGATTTTCAGCGAGCCTTTAGGAGGCCAAGAGCCTATGGCCCCCACAATACCACTACAGTACATACAGGCACTATATACCAGGAATTATAAATTTACACGTGTCTTCCTACATGATTGCATTTGATGCTTACATTCCTATTACTTGCAACAAAGTATCTCACCTAATAAAATAATGGAAAAGGTCTATTCCCTTGCCCTAACTACTTTTCTCACACACACGCAAAATAACAGTCCTGGCGGGGCACTGTGGCTCGGGCCTATAATCTCAGCATTTTAGGAGACCGAGGCAGGCGTATCACTTAAGGTCAGGAGTTCGAGACCAGCCTGGCCAATATGGTGAAAACCTGTCTCTACTAAAAATACAAAAATTAGCCAGGCGTGGTGGCGCATGCCCATAATCCCAGCTACTTGGGCGGCTGAGGCAGGAGAACTGCTTGAACCTGAGAGACGGAGGCTGCAGAGAGCCAAGATCATGCCACTGTACTCTAGCCTGGGCAACAGAGTGAGACTCTGTCTCAAAAAACAAAACAAAAACAACAACAACAAAACAGTTCTGCTGGACAAATGGAGTTTGTATTATTTATCATATTATGTATTGGAGAATCTCCACACGGTATGAACCCTCTTAGGTAGATAAGCAGGGCAAGAATTATTATCTCTATTTTGTAACGAGAAAATATTACTCTGAAAAAAATAAAAAGAATTTAACCTGTAATCTTTGCATTACACTCTATACATGCTGCTATGTCTCTATACATGCTGCTAGTATTAGGGAAGTTTAACCTCAAAAAGTTTCCCAGAGTTAGGTAAAACGGTCATAAATTTGATGTGGAAAAATAATTGCTTCAGTATAGTCAAGGAAGACAACTAGGAAATATAAAATAATGGGGAAAAGGTGTGGCTCTGAAATCAAATTAAAAATATTTGTATGATAATCAATAAACATACTAGTGGAACTGAACAGATAATCTAGAAATAGATCCTAGTTTATGTGAGAATATATCATAAAATTAATAGTTCAGTTCGATGGGGGAAATCATGGATTTTTGAATAACTAGTACCTGCACAATTGGCTATTAATATGGAAGAAAATTAAACTCTGTAACGTATACCTTCATACACACACTAACATCCAATTTTAGAAGATTAAATACCTAAATGTCAATACTTGTTGACTAAATAATGACAAATTGAAATAAAAACTCACACACAAAAAATCAGAATGACTACATGTATAACAGAGATAGGGAAGGCTTTCCCAATCAAAATTTAAATCTAAAAACTCTAAGAGGGAAGATGAGCTTTTTATGATAAAAGATAATATATCATAAACAAATGATATATTGGGAAAAATATATTTATAATGCTCATCAGGTAAAAGATAAGTATCTCAAATAAACAAAAAAACCTACACTTTTTAAAGAAAAGGACAACTCAAGAGAAAAATAGGAAAAGGATACAAATAAACAGTTCACAGATAAACACCTCCAAATTGCCAGCAAAACATATGAGAAAATGCTCAAAGTCAAGGACACGTAATACCTTGTCAAGGACAAGATATCCTTTTATATCTATCAGACTGAAAAAAATTGAAGAGAGCTATAATATTCATTGCTGGCAGCGATGTGGGGGGAAAAGGACACTGTTTTACACTGATGATTTTTTAAAAAGGAACTTTGTTTTTTTTCTTTTTTTTTGGCAGAGCCTCATTCTGCCACCCAGGCTGGGGTACAGTGGCACATTCCCAGCTCTCTGCAACCTCCACCTACCAGGCTCAATCAATCCTCCCCTCTCAGCTTCTTGAGTAGCTAGGACTACAGGCATGTACCACCATGCCCGGCTAATTTTTGTATTTTTTGTAGAGATGGGGTCTCCCTATGTTGCTCAGGCTGGTCTTGAACTTCTGGGCTTAAATGATCTACCTGCCTCAGCCTCCCAAAGTGCTGGGATCACATGAGTAAGCCACTGAGCCCGGCCATGACTTGCTAAAAAAATATTTGGAAAGCAATCTTGGAACTTCCACTAAAATTTAAATATACATGTCCTTTGACTCAATAGTTTTACTCTTGGCATTCTATCCCATAAAAATAAAATCACTAGTGTGATGGAATACATAAAAATGTTAATGGCAGCATTCATTTATTCAACACATTTTATTCAACGGCTATTTTATGCCTGACACTCTTTCAGGAGCTAGAGAACAACAAAAAGATTCTTGCTGGGTAAATCTTGTTGGGGGAGGTAGACATGAATAATCTTAATAAGTAAATAAATACACCCTAGTATATTAGAAACAGATAAGTGTTTAAAAACAAGCAAGAGCACAGTAAGGGGAATCAGCAGAGCTGAGATGATAGGGCAGGGGTGTGAGTTGCAATTTCAGATAGGTGGGTGTCCTACTCAGCTGGGGCTGCTATAACAAATTACCATAGACTAGATGGCTTAGACAACAAATGTTTATTTCTCAGAGTTCTGTATGCTGGGAAGTCCAAGGTCAAGGGGCCGGCCAATTCCGGTCCTGGTGAAGAAGGTCCACTTCCTGGTTTGCAGAAGGGTGTGGTAGTGTATATTGACAGGGTAGATAGAAGAAGCAAGCTCTCTCCCGTCTCTTCTTAGAAGGGTACTAAGCCCATCATAAGGGCTTCCCTCTCGTGACCTAATTACTTCCCAGAGATCCCACCTCCAAATACCATCACTTTGGGAATTAGGGTTTCAACACGTGAATTCTGGGGGGATACAAACATTCAATTTATTGCAGGAGGCCTCCCTAAGGAGGGAGCTGAGCCGATGCTTGAAGAAGGCAAGGGATATCTGGGTAAAGAGCCTTTCAGACACAGGTACAACTAGTGCAAGACACGAAGGCAAGAGCCTGCCTGGCATGTTCAAGGAACATGAACGAGACTGGCATAGTGTGGATGGAGCAGGTTGAACAAGAGGGAGAGCAGAATAAAGTCAGAGAGAAATGGGTTGCGGGGAGGGTAGGCAGGGGTGATATGTTATATGTGGGATCTGGGAAGCCACTGTAAAGACTTTGGCTTTTATTTGGGAGTAAAACAGAGAGTCACTACAGGGTTTTGAACAGAAGAGTAACACGATCTGATTCATGTTTTAAAGGATTAATCTGGCTGCTTTAGAAAATAAACTGTTATTCAGAGAAGAAAGAGAGAGGAGAGAAATAAAATGAATGCCCACCAACAAGAAAATGGTTGAGTTATACCAGTTGGCTAAGAAAGATTTTAGAGAGGGATTATTGAATGAAAATGGCAAAATGGAAGGAAGCATATTAAAATCTACTTTGGAAAGATAAATAACCACCAAAGAGAGGAATATGGGAAAGGAGGAAAGCAAGCAAACAGAAAGACTATATTTTAAAAAAATGCAAACATGATATAATTATACACATCTTTATGTCAAATTATATGGGTGTGTATGTCTTTATGTGGCATACATAGCCTCTGGGGAGTGGATTCCCAAATCACCTATAACCACCCAATGGGTTCTTCCTGCGTGCTGCCCAGATAGGGCCGATTTATCAAGACAGAGGAATTGCAATAGACGAAGAGTTTAATATACATAGAGTCAGCTAAATGGAAGACTGGTGATTTACTGTCACTTGAATCAGCCTCCCCTTAAATTTGAAGGCTAGAGTTTTGTTATTTTTCTGTTTGTTTTTTGAGATACGGTCTCAGTGTATCACCCAGGCTGGAGCACAGTGACACGATCATGGTTCACTGCAGCCTCAACCTCCCAGGCCCAAGTGATCCTCCTGCCTCAGTTTCCTGAGTAGCTGGGACCACAGGCATGTGCCAGGATGCTTGGCCAATTTTTAATTTTTTTTTGTAGAGATGCGGTCTCCAAGTGTTTCCCAGGCTGGTCTTGAACTCTTGAGCTTAAGGAATCTTCCCACCTTAGCCTCCCCAAATGCTGGGATTACAGATGTGAACCACCATGCCTAGCTAGAGGCTCGAGTTTTTTAAAGATAGTTTTGTGGGCTAGGGAAGGGGTGGTGCTGATTGGTTGGGGATATCATAGGGGTGTGAAAAATGGTCCTCCTGTGCTGAGTCCACTTCTGGGTGGGGCCCACAGGACCTCTGAGTCATGAGTCTTGGGTCTGGGTGGAGCCATCCGATCATCAGAAATACAAAAGCCTGAAAAGACATCTCAAAAGGTTAATCTTCGCTTCTATAATAATGATGTTATTTACAGAAGTAATTGGGGAAATTGCAAATATTGGGACCTCCAGAATAATGACTGGTAATCATTTAACTATGCCTACATCTTAGCAGAATTCAGGCCCCTGTCATCCTCCCCATCTGGTGGCTTTTCATTAATTTAACAAAGGACATTTAGTTTTTGAAAGGGCTATTATCATTTAAACTATGAAATAAATTTCTCCCAATGTTAGCTTGGCCCATGCCCATCAATGACTAAGGGCAGTTTGGAAGTTAAGGCAAGATAAAGTTGGTTAGGTCAGATCTCTTTCACTGTTATAATTTTCTCACTGTTATAATTTTTGCAAAGGTGGTTTCACTTCTAAATTACAGGAGAAACCAGGATGTAGTGAATAAGGTCTGATCTTGTTAACGAATTTATGGTCAATGAGTTCAGACACACTGAAGTACTCCTGGCTGCGGGGGGTGGAGGGAGGGTAAAATATACACCCCACCCCCCCCCATAAATTTTGGATAATCTTTTGTCTTCTTATTATTCACATAATGATATTCACATGTAATCAGTGACTTATTTTATTTTTATTTTTATTTTTTGAGACAGAGTCTCCCTCTGTTGCCCAGGTTGGAGTGCAGTGGCATGATCTTGGCTCACTGCAACCTCTGCCTCTGGGGTTCAAGCCATTCTCGTGATCAGCCTTCTGAGTGGCTAAATTTTGTATTTTTAGTGAAGACACTAAATACTACCGTATTTTAGTGAAGACAGGGTTTCACCATGTTGTGCAGGCTCCACTCAAACTCCTGGCTTCAAGTAATCTGCCTGCCTTGGCCTCTCAAAGTGTTGGGATTACAGGCATGAGCCACCACGCCTGGCCTCATCAATGACTTTTAAATTACTCTGTTTTAACTTGAAAATCTCCTGTAAAACCGTATTTCTGACAGTATCTCCAACTGGGGAGAAATTATGGCATAGGCCAGGCCCAAATCTGGCACCTCTCCCTTATTTGAGACTTTATGAGTAACCAGTGGATTCTAAACAAACCTTCTAGACAACCCACTGATAAGAGCAGCAATTCAGTTTATCAGCTGTAAATTACCAACATGAAAACAAGCCAATATTTTTATCTCTCCACCTCCTCCTTCTTATCTCCCCCAGGGACAAAAATGGAGAGAAAGGTTTGTTTAAAAGTGATAGCAAAGCAGTTAATTGCAGTGCTTATCAGCCAGCGCGGTTTCATTAAGGCTTGCTTAAGAAAAAAAATCTCACTAGTCCTAAAAGCTCCTTTGCTGTGTTTAGCTGAGTACCTTTACGAGTACAGACATCAGCTAAATATCAAATGAAGATTAATGAGTTCAGCAAATTGATTAGCCTTTTTTCTCCTTCTATTCTGATGTTGAATCTATATATCTTGCTCAATTTCACATCCCACATTTCACAAGAAGCCTTGGTAATGTTACTAACAGTATCTCACCTGTATGTAATGACTAGTGCACAAACACTTTTATGTACATCATCTAATTTCATTGTGAACATAGCTCTGAGATACAGGCAGTCAAGGCATTATTATTTCTGCTTATCAGAGGACAAAAGCAGAGCCCAGAGGGTTAAAGTGGCTTGTTCTAGGTCACAGAGTTAGCAAGCAGCCAAGGTGACACTAGAATGTCAGAATAATGACTCCTCTTTGAATGAGATAGCCATGATGTCATCCTGCTGCATGGTTTGGCAACTCAGGGATGTAGTTGCATCTTATTTTCTTAGTTTTCCCCCAGGGACAGCTGAAATAAGGAAGATTTTGGAAGTGAAGAGCCAGCTGCATTGATGATACCCAAGAATAGGATTTTGACTATCAGGGCTGTGGCATCCTAGGCCAGGGATATGGATAAAACATCAGGGGACAAGAAGAATGCCTTTGCCTGCTCATGATTTATAACCTGAGAAAGAGTTCCTTACACTGAAACATAAAAGCAAGAAAGAAGAATGACTAGAGAAAATGACAGTAATTCCCACTAGGAATTCACTGAGAATGGATTCAACTACAGCACTTTTGATCTCAGAAGTCTATATAGTTCTGCACAAAGAGTAGGAATGAACATACTAAACATGAAATTTTCATCCAAGTAGGGAACTACAGTCTCATAGGTATCAAGGAGATGTGGTGGGTTGAGGATCTCACCTAATATGACCAAAAGAAAAGTTGAATCATACAAGAGAAATATTTAGCAGAAGGGAAAAGGGAGTCATGTGGAATGTTAAGAGGGTGTGACGTTACCTGGAAATCCATAGACTGAAACAGACTCACAAGAAAGAGTATTTGGGGGAAGAAAAAAGAGAGAGAAACAGGAATTCGACCTGTGGGGATATGCTTCTTATAAAAAATCCTACAGCGAACATTATTTAGAGAGGCACAAATCTCAAGACTGAACAACAGACCACAAAAGAACCCAAGTTTCTTTAAATAAGCAGACTTCTAGACCCATACTTGCAGATCTGTTGGAGGAAAAACAGATGTTGGCAAAATTATGAAAAATAAAAAAAAGTAACACAAAATTCCAACTTCAATTACTTTTTTCTCCCATGGCATATACGTAAAATAATCTGTGAAAGAGAAGACTGGACACAAGCCATGTTAAGGTTTCCAGGGAGGGGTGCAAGACGGATTCCAAAAACAACAAACCATTGCTATGCAATAAAAATTCCAGCATCAGGTATTGAGCAGATGGTTTTCCATTTAGAATGGAAAGCAGTGATCGTCAGAAGCCACCATGGGGTCTGAAGTGCAAGCATGACAAAGTAACCTAATTTCTCCTGACATGGTAGCAGGATTGACAGAGCAGAAGGATGCAGATAACTTGCATTAGCAACATTTCTGACATTCTTTCTCGACATTGGACAAAGTAACCAAATGGGCTGGATACTAGCATAAAGAGTTAAACTTGTAGCTTTTTGGACTTGCCCAAAGAGTATTGATTGATGCATCCATGTCAGCTTGACAACAAAGGAGACTTTAATTGGTGCTATTGGCCTTGGTCCTGGGCATGGTCTTGATTAAAAATTTTATTAAAAACTTGAGCAAAAATACAGACACAGTGGTGTGCTGCAGCTGGCTTGTGAAAGCCTTCTACCATGATTGTGAGGCTTCCCCAGCCACGTGCAATTGTAAGTTTAATTAAACCTCTTTCTTTCGTAAATGGCCCAGTCTTGAGTAGGTCTTTATCAGCAGCATGAAAATGAACGAATACAATATCTATAGAACTCTTTACCCCAAAACAACAGAGTATACATTCTTCTGGGTGTCACATGGCGCTTGCTCTAAAATCGATCACATAATTGGAAGTAAAACACTCCTCAGCAAATGCAAAGAAACTGAAATCATAACAGTCTCTCACGTAACAGTGCAATCAAATTAGAACTCAAGTTTAAGAGACTTACTCAAAACCACACAACTACATGGAAATTGAACAATTTGCTCCTGTATGACTCCTAGGTAAATAATGAAATTAAGGCAGAAATCAAGAAGTTCTTTGAATCCAATGAGAACAAAGAGACAATGTACCAGAATCTTGGGGATGCATCTAAAGCAGTGTTAAGAGGAAAATTTATAGCACTAAAATGCCCATATCAAAAAACAAGAAAGATCTCAAATTGACATCTTAACATCACAACTAAAAGAACTAGAGAACAAAGAGCAAACAAACCCCAAAGCCAGCAGAAGACAAGAAATAACCAGGATCAGAGCAGAACTGAAGGAGGCAGAGACATGAAGAACCCTTCAAAAAATCAATGAAGCCAGGAACTGTTTTTTTTTTTTTTTTTTTGGAAAAAGTAATAAAATTCATAGACCACTAGCTAAACTAATAAAGAATAAAAAAGAGAATAATAAAATAGACACAATTAAGAAATGATAAAGGAGATATCACCACTGACCCCACAGAAATACAAACAACCATCAGAGAATACTGTAAACACCTCTATGCAAATAGACTAGAATATCCAGAAGAAATTGATAAATTCCTGAACACATACATCCTCCCAAGACTGAACCAGGAAGAAGCTGAATCCCTGAATAAACCAATAACAAATTCTGAAATTGAGGCAGTAATAAATAGCCTATCAATCAAAGAAAGCCCAGGACAAGATGGATTTACTGCTGAATTCTACCAGAGGCACAAAGAGGAGCTGGTACCATTTCTTCTGAAACTATTCCAAACAATTGAAAAGGAAGAACTTCTCCCTAACTCATTTTATGAGGCCAGCATCATCCTGATACCAAAATGGCAGGGATATAACAACAACAACAACAATTTCAGGCCAATATCCCCGATGGACATTGATGCAAAAATCCTCAAAAAATACTCACAAACTGAATCCAGCAGCACATCAAAAAGCTTATCCACCACAATCAAGTAGGCTTCATCCCCAGGATACAAGGCTGGTTCAACATACACAAATCAACAAATGTATTCCATCACATAAAATAAAACAAAAACTACATGAATATCTCAATAGATGCAGAAAAGGCCTTCAATATAATTTAGCATCCCTTCATGTTAAAAACTCTCAATCAACTAGGTAATTGACGGAACATACCTCAAAACAGTAAGATCCATTTATGACAAACCCACAGCCAATATCATACTGAATGGGTAAAAGCTGGAAGCATTCCCCTTGAAAACCAGCACAATGATTCCTTCTCTCACCACTCCTATTGGAAGTATTGGAACATAGTATTGGAAGTCCTGGCCAGGGCAATCAAGCAAGAGAATGAAATAAAACGTATTCAAATAGGAAGATAGGAAGTCAAACTGTCTGTTTGCAGATGACATGATCCTATATCTAGAAAACCCCATCATCTCAGCCAGAAAGCTTCTTAAGCTTATAAGCAACTTCAGCAAAGTCTCAGGATACAAATTCAATGGACAAAAATCACAAGCATTTCTATACACCAAAAATAGACAAGCAGAGAGCCAAATCATGAATGAACCCCCATTCACAATTGCTATAAAGAGAATAAAATACCTAGGAATATACGTAAAAAGGGAAGTGAAGGACCTCTTCAAGGAAAATGACAAACCACTGCTCAAGGAAATAAGAGAGGACATAAACATGGAAAAACATTTCATGCTCATGAAGAGGAAGAATCAATATCGTGAAAATGGCCATATGGGCCAAAGTAATTTATAGATTCAATGCTATTCCCATTAAACTACCATTGACATTTTTCACAGAATTAGAAAAAAAATACTTTAAAATTCATATGGAACCAAAAAAGAGTGTGTATAGCCAAGACAATCCTAAGCAAAAAGAACAAAGCTAGAGGCATCACACTACCTGACTTCAAACCATATTACAAGGCTACAGTAACCAAAACAGCATGGCACTTGTACAAAAACAAACACATAGACCAATGGAACCAAATAGAGATTTCAGAAATAAGACTGCACATCTACAACTGTCTGATGTTTCACAAACCTGACAAAAACAAGCAATAGGGAAAGGATTTCCTATTTAATAAATGGTACTCAGAGAACTGGCTAGCCATATGCAAAAATTGAAACTGGGCCTCCTTCCTTTTTGTTTTTTTTTTGACACGAAGTCTCGCTTTGTCACTCAGGCTGGAGTGCAGTGGTACAATCTTGGATCACTGCAACCTCTGCCTCCTGGATTCCAGCGATTCTCCTGCCTCAGCCTCCCAAGTAGCAGGGACTACAGGTGTGTGCCACCACACCCAGCTAATTTTTGTATTTTTAGTAGAGACAGGGTTTCACCATGTTGGCCAGGCTGGTCTTTAACTCCTGACCTCGAGTAATCCACCTGCCTTGGCCTCCCAAAAGGCTGAGATTACAGGCGTGAGCCACCATGCCTGGCCGCTTTCCTTACTTCTTATACAAACATTAACTCAAAATGGACTAAAGAATTAAATGTAAAATCTGAAACCATAAAAACTCTAGAAGTAAATCGGGGCAACACCATTTAGGACATAAGCACAGGCAAACATTTCATGATGAAAACATCAAAAGCAATTGCAACAACAACAAAACAAAAAAAAAGAAAAGCAATTGTAACAAAAGCAAAAATTGACAAATGGGATCTAATTAAATAGCTTTTGCACAGCAAAACAAATTATCATCAGAGCAAACAGACAACGAACAGAATGGGAGAAAATTTTCACAATTTATCCATCTGATAAAGGTCTAATATCAAGAATCTACAAGGAACTTAAACAAATTTACAAGAAAAAAACAACCCCATTAAAAAGTAGGCAAAAGATATAAACAGACTCTTCTCAAGAGGAGACATTTATGTGGCCAACAAACATAAGAAAAAAAGCCCAATGTCACTGACCATTAGAGAAATGCATATCAAAACCACAATGAGATATCATCTCATGCCAGTCACAATGGTGATTATTAAACAGTCAAGAAATAACAGATACTGGCAAGGCTGAGGAGAAACGGGAACACTTTTACGCTGTTGGTAGGAATGTAAACTAGTTCAACCATTGTGGAAGACAGTGTGGTGATTCCTTAAAGACCTGGAACCAGAAATCCATTTGACCCAGCAATCCCATTACTGGGTATATACCCAAAGAAATATAAGTCATTCTATTATGAAGATACATGTACATGTATGTTCACTGCAGCACTATTCACAATAGCAAAGACATGGAATCAACCCAAGTGGCCATCAATAATAGACTGGAAAAAGAAAATGTGGTACATATAAACCATGGAATACTATACAGCCACAAAAAGAATGAGATCATGTCCTTTGCAGAGACGTGGATGGAGCTGGAAGCCATTATCCTCAGCAAACTAACAAAGGAACAGAAAACCAAACACTGCATGTTCTCACTTTTAAGTGGGAGCTGAACAATGAGGGGGGACACCTCACACCAGGGAGGGGAACACCACACACTGGGGTGTGTTGGTGTGAGGGTGCGGGGGAAGGAAGAGCATCAGGATAAATAGGTAATGCATGTGAGGCTTAATACCTAGGTGATGGGTTGATAGGTGCAGCAAACCACCATGGCAAACATTTACATATGTAACAAACCTGCACGTCCCGCATATGTATCCCAGAACGTAAAATAAATTAAATTAGATTAAAAAAATACAAATAAAACCTAAAACTATAAAACCTCAAGAAGAAACCGTAGAAAATGCCATTCTGGATGTAGGCCGTGGCAAAGATTTTATTATGAAGACTCCAAAAACAATTGCAACAAAAATAAAAATTGATAAGCAGGACCTAATTAAACTAAAGGGCTTCTCCACAGGAAAAACAAACCAGTAAAACAAAAACAAACAAACAAAAAACTATTGACAGAATAATCAGACAACTTACAGAATGGGAGAAAATATTTGCAAACTATGCATCTGACAAAGACCTAATATCTAAAATCCATAATGAACTTAAACAAATTAACAAGCAAAAACCAAACAACTCTATTCAAAAATGGGCAAAGTACATGAACAGACACTTCTGAAAAAACATACATGAGGCCAACAAGCATATGAAAAACTGATCAGCCAGGCGTGGTGACTCACACCTGTAATCCCAGCACCTTGGGAGGCCAAGGCGTGCGGATCATGAAGTCAGAAGTTCAAGACCATTCTGGCCAACATAGTGAAACTCTGTCTCTACTAAAAATACAAAACATAATTTAGCCCAGTGTGGTGGTGTGCACCTGTAATCCCAGCTACTCGAGAGGCTGAGGCAGGAGAATCAAGTGAACCAGGGAGGTGGAGGTTGCGGTGAGCCAAGATTGCACGACTGCACTCTAGGCCAGGCGACAGTGCAAGACTCCGTCTAAAAAATAAAATAAAATAAAAAAATAAAAAAGAAGAAAGAAAAACTGATCAACATCACTAATCATTAGAGAAATGCAAATCAAAACCACAATGAGATATCATTTCACATCAGTCAGAATGGCTATTATTAAAGTCAAAAAAATAACAGATGCTGATAAGAGTGTAGTGAAAAGAGAACACTCATACATTGCTGATGGGAATGTAAATTAGTTCAGCCATTGTGGAAAGCAGTTTGGAGATTTCTCGAAGAAGTTAAAACAGAACTTCCATTTGACCCAGCAACCCCATTACTGGGGATATACCTGGAGCAATATACATTATTCTGCCATAAAGACACATGCATGCATACGTTTCTCACAGCACTACTCACAATAGGAAAGACATGGAATCAACCTAGATGCCCATCAATGGTGGACTGAATAAAGAAAATGTGGTACATATACACCATGGAATATTATGCAGCCATAAAAGAGAATGGAATTATGTCCTTTTTAGCAACATGGATGGAGCTGGAGGTCATTATCCTAAGTCAACACAGGAACAGAAAACCAAATTCTTCATGTTCTCACTTATACTTTGAGTACACAAGGACACCAAGAGAGGAACAATAGACACTGAGGCCTACTTGAGGGTGGAGGATTGGAGGAGGGTGCAGATTGAAAAACTACCTATTGGGAACTATGCCACCTACTTGGGTGCCAAACTAATCTGTACACCAAACAGCTGCAACACACAATTTACTTAAGTAGCAAACCTGCACATGTACCCCCCGAACCTAAAATAAAAGTTGGAAGGAGAAAACAAAAGCAGGGAGTATTCCTGTGAAATCTCTATCAAATACTAAAGCATAGGCAATTCTAATTTAAAAACAAAAGAATCATAAGTGCAAAAAATAAAAGGAAATTAAAGGCTAAAATTCAGACTGATTCAACTGATGTGAGGGAAGCACTTGTTAATCCCCCGGCTCCTCCTACTTTCCATTGCCTGATTATTCTGAATACACTAACTCTTTTGTGCCTTTTCTCTTTCCCCTTGAACTCTCTAGCAACAGATGTCCTTTAACACGGGGATCTTCTAATAAACCTCAGGTACCAGCCACAGCACAATGTAAGCCTTGATCTCAAGCCAAACTCTGAGCCATTTTCAAGGATTTTCCAGACCCTAAAAAAGTCCAAACTAAATTTACAGAAGAATTTAAAATTATTCTTTGTGCTTATGATTCAGGACTCATTGATTTATATCAATTTGTCAATACGATAGTCCTGGATGTGCTCAAAAATGGCCTCAAAAATAGATTAGAAGTATCTGACTAAAGATTCTGAAGATCCTACCAAGCATCCCTCTAAGGATGGAATAAAGAGAGCTAGTAAAATAGGACAAATACTTCTTGAGACCACATCTGAGGTTTTTCCTATAAGAATAGACTGGGCAGGCCGAGCGTGGTGACTCATGCCTGTATCCCAGCACTTTGGGAGGCCAAGGTGGGCAGATCACGAGGTCAGGAGATCGAGACCATCCTGGCTAACACGGTGAAACCCCGTCTCTACTAAAAATAAAAAAAAATTAGCCGGGCGTGGTGGCGGGTGCCTGTAGTCCCAGCTACTCGGGAGGCTGAGGCAAGAGAATGGCGTGAACCCGGGAGGCGGAGCTTGCAGTGAACCAAGATCGTGCCATGGCACTCCAGCCTGGGCGACAGAGTGAGACTTTGTCTCAAAAAAAAAAAACAAAAAAAAACACAAAAGAATAGACTGGGCAGTAATCCAGTCTTGCAAACAGGAAAAAAGGTGAATCTGCTGCTTTGAACTATCACATCTACTTAGAAAAAATATTTAAGCTGCACTCTGGCTTTAATGGCTGAGATGATGAATTAGTCTTGTAATCCCATTTTGTTAATAGATTGCATACAGAGATAAGTGATTTATTGAAGAATCATACACTAGAATAGGAAGTTACTCCTTTGGTGGAGTTACAACATTTAGCCGAACATCTTCAGGGAACATCGGAACAGGAAAGAAACCACGGGGTTATGCAAATTAATGACCTTGCAATTACAATTGCAGGAGTCCTGCCCTAACTTTAAAAGACTTTTATAACTCTTTTGATAAAGACACTTACGGTTATCACAAACAGAAAGTAATTTGGAAAAAGTATTTAAACAGCAGTATGGACCATGTGACATAGCACAAAAGGGAGACCCTCAACCTCCCACCTCTGGTGATAATTGTCCATGTTGATAGAGCTCCAAGGAATCTCCATGTAAGCAACTTTCAATAATTCCTTTAAATCAACAAGGAGAAACTAACTTAAAATAAATAGAGAAACGTGTACTGTGTTGGCAGTTACTAGAGTAATTCTTTATTCTTAATCCCACTATGATACATCAAGAACATCCTTGGAATAATAAAAATATCTTAGTAATGGGAGTTTCCTATCAAATACAAAGAGTTTCTCTGTTGGAACCCATAACTGTCACCCTTGGCCTTACCTCTGAAAGTCCTGCTTTTCTGTTACTGTCCCTGTGAATCTCCTAGATAGAGACCTGCTTTCTGTACTAAAAGGTCAAATAAAATTTCCTCTGAAGAAATAACCATAGAAATTCCAGATTCATCAGACACTGAAGCATTATGTTCTCCAAGCCCAAACTGATTGCCCTGAGGAGACTATTAAATTCCATAGAAATATAGATATTACAGATCTTGCTGAAATACTTGACGCTCTATGGGCCTCTTCTTCAAAAGATGTGAAAAAAGTTAAAAAAAATCCTGAACCTTTTACAATTCAAATTGATGCTTCAAAACTATCTCCTAAATTGTCTCAGTACTGTTTAAAACCTGAAGTCATACAAGGGCTCACTCTTAGAAGATTCAATGAATCAAAGACTTATTTCTTGTTTTTGTTAAATACTCCTATCAATGGAGGCTAAAGAAACTCCATCTTGAATGGGAGACTAAGCAACTCCATCTTCCATGCTAATCCACCATGTTGACTTCTCATTAACCCCAGTTCCAGGAAGGGCTCCAAGATTTCCAGTTTATCTATTGTTTCTTGTATAAAAGTGGATACTTACTGTAACTCCTGCCCTTAGGTCAAATAACTTTGATGTTACTGCACTTCAATTGTCTTACAACATTCCTTCGGAATCACCTCTCCACTACAGTATATAAACCCTGAGTCTAGCAGGTAATGGCATGGGGATCCACCATCTTGTCTTGCTGCCACCTGAGACACAGACATTAATTTGTTTGTAAGTCCCTATTAAATGTTTCTTTCTGAAAAACCAGATATGTCAGTCTCTTTCTTTGGTCTCTCACCTTCCTTGAATTTTAGGGGTAAGTTTGCATAAACCTACCCACTGCGAAACACTGTCCTACCTATAAGGACCCATGAAGAAGAATAGAGATCTATACAAGATCTTAGAGCTATAAATAAAATTATTCCAAGATTTCCTTTAGTGCCTAGCCTAACCACCCTATTGAGAAATGCCTCAACTGAATCCAAATGGTTCATAGTAGTGAATTTATGCCCTGCTTTCTTTAGCATTCCTGTAGACAAAGGGAGCCAATAATTATTTGCCTTTACTTAGAAAATTTAGCAATATACTTAGACAGGAATGCCTCAGAGTTGCCAATCTTTCTGCATTACTGCTACCTTCACAAGTTGCTATAATAAGAGCTGAATCTCATATCTACAAATCTGACTCTGAGTATCAAGGAAATACTGTGGCCAATGTTCATGCTAAAGCTGCAACTACAGAGACACCTAACGTACTAAGGCTCTGTAACTTGAATGAGCTCCCTAAGGTTGATCCAAATCAAATAATTTATGATGATTTGTTAATAAACAATGGTATGCTCCTGAAATGAAACAAGACTGGCATAACAGATGCAAATACAATTAAAAAAACAAAAACAAAAAAACAGGGAAAAAAAGGGACTCATGGAGGACCTATATGGATGCTTGGTACTTCCAGAGTCTTTAAAACTTCCTTTGCTGAAAGCCTTGCATTCAGCAAATCATAATGATATTAATAAGATGACACAAATTATGGAAGAAAATTGATGGAGAGATTGCTCCAAGGTGGCTAGATGGGGATATAATCAATGTCTGACTTGTCAAACTCATAATCCTGGAAAGACCATTCAAGTGGCCCCAGGAACAACTCCCCAGCCATCAGAACCATTTGAACATTTGCAGATGTTTCATTCAATTACCCATTTTTATGGGTTATCAATATGTGTGTATAACAATCTGTATGGTTTTTGGATGTATGGAAGATTTTCCCTGTTAAAAGGCTGAGGCAATTACTATTGTCAAAAAATTATAAGAAAATGTTTTTCCACTTTGGGGAATTGCAAATAAAATTTCTAGTAATAGAGAGACTCACTTTACTGTATCAACTGTAAAACAACTAAACAAGATTATTCAAACATTACGGTATTATTATTATCCCCAGTATCCCCAATCTTCAGCAAAGGTTGAATGAACCAATGGCATTCTAAAATTAGAACCAGCAAAACACTAACTGAAACCACAGGATTACACTGGCCTAAGGTGTTGCCTTTAGCTCTTATGATCCACACCTTTTAGAAAACATAAATTGACTCCTTATGAAATTGTTACTTGATTATCCATGCTTTTAATGACAGAACCCCATGTTCATCCAGTACTTATAAACTCTGACACAATCAATATTATAAAGCATTAATTCAATATTCCAAAGTATATTTACAACAGATAAAATAAGTCTTCAGAGACTCACTGTCTAATGATGACTTCATGCCCAACACATTGGAACTTGATGACTGGATGTTCTGAAAAAGACATCAATGAAAAACTGCACTTGAGCCTCACTGAAAAAAAAAAAAAAATCCTATCACATTCTTGTATGTCTCATACAGTAGTTAAATTAGAGGGCATCAAAACTTGGGTCCATATCTCTCAACCGAAAAGAGCTTCCTCAGACTACTGGACATGTCAAGCCACAGTTGACTTAAAATTAAGTATATTGAAGGAAAAGTTTTCCCCAGAAACAGATGACAAAAAGAGGTGGACAGCTTCTGCCCAAGAACACGGAACAGTGCCCCCTTGTATTCCCTTTATCTTTCCAGAATTTGCTGTTAACTTCCAAAATAATCATAGTAAGATGACTGTGATCCTACTACTTTGCAAACTAATACACAATGTTTAAACTCACACTTTTATTTCTGTTACGAACATACACCACACAAGCTGAACATGTACTAAGGTCTACTCTCCAACACATAGCCTCCCTCACTAACCCAAATAATTGACGGTTTTGTAGCCATCTAAATGCTTGGGAAGGCTGGATGCAGTGGTTCATGCCTGTAATCCCAACACTTTAGGAAGCCAAGGCAGGAGGATCATTTGAGCCCAGGAGTTCAGGACTAGCCTGGACAATACAGCAAGACTCTGTCTCCACAATTTTTTTTTTTTTTTAAATAGCCAGAAATGGTTGCAGGCACCTGTAGTCCGCGAGGCTGAGGCAAGAGGATCACTTGAGCCTAGAAGTTGGAGGTTGCAGTGAGCTATGATCCCACCACAGCATTCCAGCTTGGGCAACAGAGCTAGACCCTGTCTCTGTTAAAACAAACAAACAAACAAACAAACAAACAAACACTTGGGAAGAATTGCAATTAATGCTAGAACCAGCTCCTATATATGATTTGTTGACCCATTCAGGAAAATGACTTTACAAAAAGGTTTAACATAAGTCATCTGACTAATACTCATGGCCAGCTGGTTTGGCATTGGGAAGAAGCACTGGAAGCCATGGGATAGCTTCTAGTTACTCTAAGTTTTATTACTGGTGACTTATCTGTATGCATAGAAAGCCTTAATGGTACTAGATCTAACTTAGGTAAGGTCCCAGATTCACTCTGTAATTAAATCCTTTGGTTTGATTCAGATGATGGAGACTGGACTTCTATACATAACAACATAACATCATTAAAAATTGACAATGTTACATCATTAAGGAACCTACTGAAACCCATACATTGGCTCAATGGAAACTGTAGGTAAATGGAATGCCTCAAACGTACCACTATGTAAGGTAGATAACAGTTTTGGATGCTGGATAGATCAATATACAGGACATACCAAGAAAGGGAGTTAATCATATTTAATTTATGACTGAATGCATAGATTATTTATCCAATTCAAAGAAGTGTTTTTTGCTCCTATCCTGGTTTAAACCACAATCATTCAAACTGACAATGTGCACACGCCAACATGCCAAAAAATAATCACGACATTCATCTCACTCCTGATTTGTGGGTAGTGGGATCTGTCTTAATACTTTATCTCAGTAATACTGGGTTTTTTATTCTGTGTGGTAATAACACCTATAAATGTTTTCCACTCGAATGATCTGGACACTGTGATTTGGGTTCTCACCCCAATTAACTAAATACGACTTCTAAATGATAGTCAAATTCTTAACAGGATCATTTGTACACAGAACCCTCCCGCCCCCATAAGTTTCTCATTAGCCTCAAAACCTCATTATATGAAGAAGTTCTGGATCTTATTCTCTTACTAGAGAATTCTGCCCTCAAATGGGAGTGTTTGAATTACAAAAATCACTTATCAATGTTTCTGCAACTCTTGCAAAATAATTTAATGGTATCTTAAATTCTCTTCAACTGATAAAATCTAAAATGAGCAGTTTAGCCTCAGTAGTGCAGATGCTCCCCAACCTATAATGCGGCTACATCTGGATAAGGCCATCATAAGTAAAAAAAAAAATCTTAAGTTGACAGCACATTCTAGACTTGTAGTTTTAATTTACCACGGGCTTATTGGGACATAATCCTATCTTAAGTCAAGGAGCCTAGTGAAACATATCTCTTTTGCACCATCATTAAGTGGAAAAATCATGAGTCCAACCATCATAAGTTGAGGACCTTCTGTACTTCAAAACAGAAAAGTTCTTGATACCCTAACTACTCAACAAGGAAGAGCTTGTGCGCTTACTGGAGAAAGATGCTGTTTTTATGTCCATAAACAAGGAATTGTAAGCCCAGAATCTGGAGACCTAAAAGATAAAATCCAAGTATTCCACCTAATTGGGAAAGCCCAATCAGTTTATCCGTTAGTGGTTAAAACTTGACTCTGGGGGACCTTGGCTTTGGGGTATTTCTCAAACTCCTGGTATTACCCTCCTATTAGTCATATTGACAATATCCCCTGTACATTATATTCTTTCAAGAGGCTTACATGCTTGTCAGCAGCCACTAAATCATTGGATGATCTCCATGAGAATTGAAGGGCAGAAACTATATGAACTCAAATCATAAGAAAATAACCTATGATAATTTCAGTATGCAATCTTTAGATGAGCGTGGGAGAAGAAAACAGTATGTGGTGACTGAGAGTAACATTTAATAGTTGGCCACACTCCCAGTTAACTGAGTGTGTGACCGAAGAGGGGAAAATGTTAAAGATATACTTTTTAGAGGCCACAGTTTGATTATCCCCTTAAAACAGACATCGATAGCCACGAGTGAAAATTAAAACTGTCCTGATTCCCCTGTAATACTAGCTGTAACCATAAACACAATTTAAGCTTTCCCAGGTCAGCATGACCTTACAATTTCCAGCTAATTAGCTATCAATAGGTAAGCTTATAGAGCACAGCGGCTTGAAAAGATAAGTTTCAAGTAGCCCATCATGATAGGGAATAATGTTCTTTCTCATTCTCACTTAATAAACTGTGCTGTAACTGCTGTGGGCTGAGCTTCTTAATGCTTTCAGTTTGAAGTTCCCCAGATCATGGCCTGTATTTTAAAAACTTCTAAATTGTTCCAACTTGATCTGGTTTTATTTTTGTCAAACTGAAAAGTACAGGTTAAAGCCAGGTTTAGGCACAAGGAAGCTGGACTCAAATGATGTCACAAAGACTTCATTTTTCTCCCCGTGTTGCTCAGTTCCGCTTTCCTCCATGTTGGCTTCCTTCAGTAGTAATTTAAGGCTTTTATCATATCAACACTTGCAACCCCAATAGCTTAAGCAAAAGATCCGGTCACTTTGGTGACAGGGATTGGAACACGATTGTTTAGTCCTGGGTTATTATTTCTATCTCCGGGTACAGAGACTGAGGGTAGAAAAGCACTGGCCAAGGAAAAATCATGATGCAGTTACCAGGAGAAAGAGAAATCAATGGTGGGCATCCAAAGACAACACATGCCCACTAACACACACCACTTGATCCGTGAAAAAGAGTAAGAAATTCTAATTCAACTCAAAAAGGTGTAATCTTAGGATCACTGAATGAATGAAAATCGAATATCAAGTTATGAAATGTAGAGCTATAACTGCTTAACTACTCTTGTAGTTATTGTATACAGTACTTGACATTTTACTTTATAGGGGACATTAAATACTCAAGAGAAGGCAAATGAGGTTGTCCTAAAAACATATGTAGAAAGATTTACAAAAAATAGTTGAAGAAACCAGGAAATGTCTGTTTTGGAGAAAAGAAGACTTAGGGGATACAGGATCCCTGTCTCCAAATATTTAAAGCCCTTACTTCTGACAGAGGATGTCCTCTGTGTGGCTCTAGAGGGTACAATCACAGGATCAGGCGGAAGACTTAGGTTGCAGATAAGAAACTGCCCTCTAACGATGAACGCTGCCCAACAATAATCGGTTGACTCTTAAGTCTGGGAGGACTCCTTGTCATTAGAAATGTTCAAACAGGGTTTGGCTAATCAAACTTCTGGAAGGCTATTGAAGTCTGCTGGGGATATTGTACAGTGGAATAGCATTTTACTTCAAAGTTAGGCTCTAAAGTCAGTAAGGCAAAAATCACATATGCCAAAATTGCCTTGAAAATTACCTGTGAAATACGGTATATGAATCACGGTTTTAGGACATGTGATTTATATGCACAAATGTATTATATATTTAATAATGCACAATATAATAAAGAATGCAATTTTTTAAGCACTGGCATCACAGTGCTTAAAAACCTGTGAGAGGTTTTGTAGATGTGTAGGAACTAAATAAAGCAACCATTGCAATCATTGATTCAAGTATCCTATTTCACATTCACTTTGGGGCACACACTGATGGGGTATAATAGTAGGTGCATTGCTGTAAACACCTCACTCTTTGCTCTCACTAACAAGCATATTTAGTTGAATCATCCTATTGTATAAGAAAGAATTTGACTAGCTTTTGTCCCTGGTTCCTGGGAGGGAGACTAAATCCTTAAGAGTTTCCCAATTAATAGCAGTGTCTTTGTTATTCATGAACCTCTTGGATCACATCTGAGTTTATGGTAAGAGATGAGATGACTCAGGATGGGGGTTGGTCACCAGAAAAATCTACTATATGAGGAGAGCTTTGGGACTTTGAGCCAGCCTGACCTCCAGGAAGGGTAGAGGGGCTAGAGATTGAGTCCATCCATGGTCAAGGATTCAATCAATCATGTCTACAGAGTGAGACCCCAACAAAAACTCTGGACATTGAGCTGAGTGGGGAAACTTCCTGGTTTTTGAGCCCATCAATGTGCCAGAGGGTGGTGCATGCTGGTTCTACAGGAATAGGACATGGAAGCTTTGCATTCAGGACCCTCCCAGACCTTGCCCTGTCATCTCTTTATTTGGCTGGTCCTGATTTATATCTTTTATAAAACTGTAATTGTATATACAGTGCTTTCCTGAGTTTTCTAAGTTGTTTTAGTGAATTATCAAACTTAAGGGTGTTGTGGGAATCTCTGAATTTGTAGCTAGTGGTCATAAGTGTGGGTGGGCTAGGGACCCCTGAAGTATGGCTGGCACTTGAAATAAAAGCAGTCTTGTTGGTGACTATGCCCTTAAACCTGTGAAGTCTGACATCAACTCTGGGTGATTAGCATAGATATTGCTTGGCAGTACATCAGTTGGTGTCAGAGCATGTCTTAAAGAAATAAGAAGGTGGCTGCACAGTACCTCCAAAGAGCCTTGTGATTCTAAGATTCTTTTAAGGCAAAGAACCAAACAAAATTAATACTTTTATTCTGGCCCATAGAGAAGTGATTAAGCAATTGTCTCTTTCACTATCTCGCTTTATGAGATGTGAGATCAAAAAAATGCAAGAAAAATGGAATGTAGGAGTCTTTTAACTCATAAAATCTCAGCTTAAAGAAGCTAAGGTCTAATGATGGAACAACAGCTTGTCCACAGTGAGGCTAGGCCAGTTAGGAAGAGAAGGCAGAGCCCCTGTTTCTAAATCAGAATATGGCCTGGAAGACACCAATATTCTAATAACAAGATAAGCATGCCTACAGCCTAATGGCTTAAGGGTTGCCAAGATATTTCTTTTCTTCTCTTTCGGAGAAATGTGAGTCAAAAATACCTGCTGCTAATATTAATGTAGAGGGAGGGGAAATCTATTTGCAAGGTCTTTTGGGGCCAGAAGGACAATGCATTATTTTCCCAGTCCCTTCAGTCAGAGCCTAACAGCAGCAGTATTCATCCCAAACATATCTATTCGAATCCCTTACGATGACCCCAGAGACGCTGCCCTGTTCCCTTGGCACAGAAGGGCAGAGAATGAATTCCCAGAGAGCAGAACTGGGAACAAGGGTGGAAGTTACAGGGAGCCTTCTCAGGTGACTGTAAAGAAGAACTTTCCAGTGGAGAGGAATCCTCAGGAGATATAGAACAAATACCGTGTTACCAGCAGGATCTAACCTGAGGGCCACAGCCATATCCTGGGGACGAGTGGATGAGGATGCACACAGAGAGGGAGCAAAGACACCAGATGATATCTAGATCCCTGTAGTTCTGACAGTCTAGTTCTAACCTGACTGTAGATTCAAAGAAAAACCAGGGAAAATATTCTCACTTTAGGAGCTTTCTCAGCTGTGTTCTTACCACAAATATTCTTCAACAATAAATCCCACTAGAATACCTAGCGGCATGACGTTATTTAGCGCAGTTAAGAGAGATTTTAGAATTACTGCAATGCCGTTTAAATTCATTATCTAATGCTAATTAAAATGATCTGTTTCGCTGTCACCAAGGAAAATCTTGTCAGGGAAACTGATGAGTTACAGCGAGCTCTCTGGTACTGAGCTGAGAGCAGATGGGTGCTTACAACATCATACATCCTGTGCCATTGACAATTAAGACTGAGAGAGAATTAACCTGGCAGTACACCTGGCCTCGGGCAGGTTTGGGGGCCAGCCAAGCATCTAAAGAGCACTCGACTGCACAGCAGACCTGCCTGTGACCCTCTCTGCCAGTTACCTTGGGGCAGTCACCTCACCTCTTTGGGTTGCGTTAGATCAGTGGTTTTAAATCTTGATGCACATTAGAATCACCGAGGGAATTTTTAATCCAGATTCCCCACCTAAACCAATTAAATATGAGTCCCTGGAGGTGGGGCCTAGGCATAAGAATTTTAAAGCTCCTCAGGTGATTCCAATGTGAAGGTGGGGTTGATTACCACTGCATTTGATGGTCCCTAAGGACTATGCCCATTTCCAGACTAATTGAGAGATGAAAAATTATTGGCTTACTTCATCACTCCCTCGCAGACATTGGTTATTAGGAGTCTGACTCAACTGAGTACTCCACGTGATATCAGCCAGGCAGTAACTGCTGTTAAACCATGGTCCATGTCTTGGTTATTTTCGTAAATGCCTGGCACATCCTAGGCGCTCAGTACTCATTTGATAAATGAATGGTTCAGAGGGCAACAATTCAATTTGCAGTTCACCCTTTCTGCTTCATTTTGGGTGGCAAAATGAGTAACATATGAGTTACAAATTTTAAATAATGTATTAAATTCATCTTTAATAACAGAATAGCACAAAATAGCAGTAGCTTAAACAAAAGAGAAGTTTATTTCTCTAACACATAAAATGCTGGCTTTCAAAATATGGTCCTTGAACCAGGATGATCCATATCACCTGGGAAATTGTTAGAAATGTAAACTCTTGGGCTCCAAACCAGACCTACTAAAATAGAAACTGTGGGGTGTGGCACAGAAATCTGTTTAATAAGCCCTCCAGGTGATTTAAGAACCACTGCCATAGAAGAATTTGAGAGGGAGGTAGTGCAAGATTAGTATAGCAATTCCATGAAGTTGGGACCTGGACTCTCTGCTCACCATTCCTTCACCCCTAAGGCACAAACCTTGTCCACATGATATGATATGGCTGCTGGAGTTTCAGCCATCACATTCAAGCTCAAAGGAGAAGGATGGAGAAAAACCTAGAGAAGAGCACTCACTCTTCTTTCACATGACTTCCTGAAAGGACTTCTTGTCCTCTTAGATCTCATTGGCACAAAAACTTCTCTGTGAAGAACACCAGAAAATGTTATCTTTTAGCTGGGCACATGACCACACCCCTAAAAATTAAGGTTCTATTCATGAGGTGCTAAGACAGTAATCTAGTTGTTTCTGCCTTAAATTATTACTCAACAGTGGTAATAAAGAAAACTAAAACTTAGTGCTAATATGTCCAGGTATTGTGTTACATTCCTTATGATAGTATCTTATATAACCTTCATAACTCTATGGGGAATTGTTTTTCTCATCTTGTAGACTAAAAAAACAAACAGAAAACAAACAAACAAAAACGGGTTTTTAGAGACTGGTTAATGTGCTTGATGTCACTAACCAGGAAGTGATAAAGCAGAATTTCAACCCAAGTGGTTTATCTGCAAAGCATGCATTCTTAGCCTCTAAGATATGCTACTCTGATAAAAAGTTTTGGTGGAGATGAAAAATGAGTAATAACTGACACCTTATATCTGTTCCTCATTCGCAGGAATAATATAATATTGGTTTTGCCATCATTTGATTAGGTTGAGCTTGCAAAGCAACTCCCACCCCACTCCAAATGGCTGATATGTTCTAAGACTGTGTTTTCAGGTCACTTAGGACAGGTCTGCAGTGGTGTCTGCACATTAAGAAGCATTGGGGCTAACACTAGGGAGAATCCAGGGCTCATGGGACCTGAGGCTTGTACAACTTAGGATCCCCTGTTAAGAAAAAAAACCATTAAATTGTGAATACACGATTAGGTAGTGGGCTTTGGAATGCCCAGCAAGTGAGGGGCAGTGATACTTAAGCCTCATTGGCTTAATGGGAAATCTACCTCCAGCCTAATGCTTCCTTTCCCAGCACTGCTTGCCTGTAGCATGGAGGACACAATGCAGGTCACTGCAATCAACCAATCACCAACTGTAGAAGAAATAATGGAGATGACATTGATCAGTGGTCTTCTAACTTTGATTTGTTTGTTCTTAATGGCAGAATCCTGTTACAAAAAGAAATCTCACTCTGAATCTGAACACATTGAACAGATACAAGTGTGGCTGCTCTGGCTGGAGACCAGGTGGTCGTAGGTCAAAAGTCCCATCTGCTCTTGCCCATAATGTAATCTCCAAATGAGTTATTCTTCCCTGCTGCACAGATAAACCCAATTCACTGACACAGCATTATTGCAGTAAAGAAGTAGTTTAATTAATGCAAGGCTGGCCAAGAAGAAGGACTGGAGTTATTACTCAAATCAGTCTCCCTGAGAATTTGGAGGCTAGGGTTTTAATAGATAATTTGATGGGCAAGGGGCTAGGGAATGGGTGCTGCTGATTGGTTGGGGGATGAAATCATGTGGGAAACGGTCCTTGTGTGCTGAGTCCATCTCGGGGTGGAGGCCACAGGACTGCTGTTTGAGTCATGAGTCATGGGTCCAGGTGGGGTCAGTTAATTGCCAGGACGCAAAAATCTGAAAAACATCTCAAATGACCACTCTTAAGTTCTACAATAGTGATGTTACCTACTGAAGCACTCGGGGCAGTCACAAACCTTGTGACCTCTGGCCACGTAACTGCTGAGCAGTAAGGGGTTATAGAAAGTACACCTACATTTTAGCAGAATTCAGGCCCCTTCTATAATCCTAATCTTATGTCCTTTCATTAGTTTTACACAGACAACTTCAGTCCCTGAATAAGGGGGAGGGGGCCAGCTTTAGGGAGGGACTATTATCATCCTTGCTTTAAAGCTAAACTATAAACTAAATTCCTCCCATGGTTAGTGTGATGGTTAATAATGAGTATCAACTTGATTGGATTGAAGGATACAAAGTATTGATCCTGGGTATGTCTGTGAGGGTGCTGCCAAAGGAGATTAACATTTGAGTCAGTGGGCTGAGAAAGGCAGACCCACCCTTAATCTGACTGGGCACAATCTAATCAGCTGCCAGCACAGCTAGAATATAAGCAGGCAGAAAAATGTTAAAGGAGACCCTGGCCTAGCCTCCCAGACTGTATCTTTCTCCTGTGCTGGATGCTTCCTGCCCTTGAACATTGGACTCCAAGTTCTTCAGTTTTGGGACTCAAGACTGGCTCTCCTTGCTCCTCAGCTTACAGATGGCCTATTGTGGGACCTTGTGATCTTGTAAGTTAATACTTAATAAACTCCCTTTTATACACACACACACGCACACACACACACACACACACACGTATATACACACATGTATATATATATAACCTTCATAACATTTTATATATATATACACGTATATACACACAATAAATTCCTCCCATGGTTACTGTGAGGTTAATAATGAGTATCAACTTGATTGGATTGAAGGATACAAAGTATGTATACATATATCCATGTATATATACAAATACACATATATATGTGTGCATGTGTATATGTATCCACATACGTGGATGTATACATACACACACACATATATATGTGTATATACACACACATACACATATATGTATACATGTGTGTGTACATATACACATACATGTGTGTGTACATACATGGATATGTGTGTGTGTGTGTATATACGTGGATATATACACACACACACATATACCATTAGTTCTGTCCCTCTAGAGAACCCTAATACAGTTAGCTTGGGCTACGCTCAGGAAGCAGGGAGGACAGCCAGCCTGTGAGGCTATAAGCAAGATGGAGTCAGCCATGCTAGACTTCTCTCGCTGTCATCTTTGCAAAGGTGGCTTCAGTTGCAGCTCCAGAGGCATCTTGGGGCCTCAAGGAACCTATCTGAAAATCACCTGATGTATTCTAAGCCCCTCTTCTTATAGGGGAGAGAACAAAGACCCAGGAAGACTAAATAACTCAGCCTAGGTCATCACCTGGTTACTGGCAGGGTGGGGACTACAACTGTGATCTATCCACAGATCTTTTCACTATACTTTAAAAATCCTTTGATTTCTAGGCCAGCCTTCAAAAGCCTTTTATTGAGCTATCTCTTGCCCTATCCCAAATATAGCATTTGTAGTATATGATAGAATCAAACCACAAGGTATTACCCATTTCTATGGGAAAAGTCAGAAAATGTCTCCCCAGCTGCAGCCTTAGTACAGAAGGGGTGGGTACTCTCTCAGCTTAAGTCACTAGAGGTTTTTCCCCTGAACTGCTGTTCTTCTTTCTCCCCTTGTCTCACCCTGCATCACTAGCCAAGTCCCTGGCACACCCCAGGGAAGGCAAGAGGCAGAGAATGGAACCAGTGGGTAGCATTTGTACCACTGAGAAGGAAAAAGCAAGAATCCCTTGGGTCATGGGAACATAAAATTTATAAGCTGTGTATAGAGAGAAGCTACCTTCTTGTATGAAAAAAGGAAACAGACATGCAATGAAATATTACACTTCGGTGCATGGCTATTTTCTTTTCCATCTTTGATTTTTATTACTGATTGACTTAAATATGGGCTGCAAATTTAATCTTCCTCACTTGCTGGAATTTCATGTTTTTTTCTGACTATGCTTCTGGTCCTGGCAAAACTTTGCCTTAAGGAATTTCTCCAGAGGTATTTTAACTCGATGCTCATTTTCATGGAAGTATCACTGGTTTTTGCCCACCTAGGTCTTACAATAAACTTTCTCACAGGGTTGTCTGCTTTTTCTTTCAGAGCTTTCCTTGATTCAAACAATTCTCAAGGAAGTTGTTAGTTGGTGAAATTACTTCATTTAGGTCTTCTAATTAGAAAGGAAAAATTCTTCCATCAGTCCCATGCCTTCCTCAATTATAAAATTTCACTTAAAAATCTCAAACCGGTAAGAAGACTTAATGCTATTCAGTAACTAAAATTATAAATCTCTAAAGCTTTCTTTAAAACAAAAGAAACCTAAAATGCAATCTGAATGTAGCAGAATCGTTTTCCACAGAATAGTCACATCATGACCACAGTTGACAGCAAATGGTAACTGGAAACAGTTTGTTCTTCTACTTGGGAAATGGGCATCAACTGGCTAACTTTTAAAAAGAGTGAATATATCTCTTAGGTTTTGTTTTGTATTAGTCAGTTTTCACACTGCTGTAAAGACACTACCTGAGACTAGGTGAATTATAAAGGAAAGAGGTTTAATTGACTCACAGCTCTGCATGGCTGGGGAGGCCTCAGGAAACTTACGATCATGGCAGAAGCGGAAGTAGGCATGTCTTACACGGCGGCAGGAGAGAGAGGAGAAAGCAAAAGGGGAAGAGCCCCTTATAAAACCATCAGATCTCATGAGAATTCACTCACTATCACAAGAACAGCATGGGGGAAACCACCCCCATGATCCAATCCCTCCTTCAACACGTGGGGATTATAGGTCCCCCACTCCACACGTGAGGGTTACAATTCAAGCTGAGATTTGGGTGGGGACACAAAGCCAAACCATATCAGTTGTACAAAAAGGCAGCAAAATAACAATTACCTCTAAAGTGAAATAAAGAAACAAAAGGCTACTTCGTGATGTTAGAATATTAAAAACACGATTCTCACAAAAATATATGTCAAAGATTTATGTAACTCATTCATGAGAAAACAAGCAGGTAAAACTAGTTCAAAGGAGGATACAGTGGACTGAGTTATATATGTACATTTTTCTGTATGTCCATTTCAGGAAAAGGAAGTCTACTGGAATAAGATTGCAGTTAGATTAACGCCTGGTAATAAATAGGGCAATAAAACTGTAATTTTTGGAGCTGTCTCTACTATAGGGCAGAAATCATTTGCAACTTACTGATATTCTACTCAGCATTATCCACCTTCCCAGAGTCTGGGCCCTAACAGAATAATAGCATGTCAAACAAAATCACACCCCTCTAGAAAGTCAAATAACCTTGTGGTTTTGCAGACCATGCCCTAGTATGTCTTTAAATGGGACAAACCTTTTTGCTTTATTTCTACACTTTGGATAATTTTACTTAATGGTAGTAGAGGTTTTTTTGTTTTTGTCTGTTTTTTTTTTCCTTTATAATCTGTAAACTACAACTCTGTGACTTGGGAACCAAACGAGGTAAGGAATATTTGGAACCATCTGGGGAGTCATAAACACAAAGTTTTACAAGGCATCTTCACATATGGTCTTATTTGATTCTGACCCCAGCTTCCTGAGATGTTCAGGTATGATCCCTATTTTCACAAATAAGAAAAGAGAGGTACCTAAAGATTGTGACTTGCCCACATTCCTGGTCAGAACCAGGGCCAATCTACAAAGCCAGATCTTCTGAAAACACACACCAAGGGCTTTCACTGTGGTGCTGCTCTCAACAACCCCTCACATCGTAGAGAAGCTTATGGTTTAAAAAGCCCTTGGCAGGCTGGGTGCAGTGGCTCACGCCCGTAATCCCAGAACGTTGGGAGGCCGAGGCAGGTGGATCATAAGGTCAGGAGATCAAGACCATCCTGGCTAACACGGTGAAACCCCGTCCCTACTAAAAATACAAAAAATTAGCCGAGCGTGGTGGGGGGCGCCTATAGTCCCAGCTACTCGGGAGGCTGAGGCAGGAGAATGGTGTGAACCCGGGAGGCGGAGGATGCAATGAGCCAAGATCATGCCACTGCACTCCAGCCTAGGTGACAGAGCAAGACTCCGTCTCAAAAAAAAAAAAAAAAACCAAAAAAAACTTTGACAAATTGAGGGCGCATGAAGCAGGTGGTTTTGTTTTACAGACGGGAAAAATGAGGACCATGATCACCTGCCTAGCAAGTGACAGAAGCCAAATCATGTCCAAGTTCCCCAACAAGTCAAAGGCTAGTTCCTCCACAAAACAATCACCTGGAGTTAATCCACTTTGTCCCTCGGCACTGACCCAAATTTCATCTCTGGACACCAAGACCACCAAACAACTTGAATCCCCCACTTCTCTGCTGGACCTCCACCTATCAGGCCAGGTATGTGAGTTCAATTCACCCCTTTCTCCTGCCCCAAGAAACAAACTCCCTTGTTAACCTGTCTAGCTCTCTGCCCTCTACCTCAGCAAGCTGATAGACTTCACAGGAAGGTGTTATTGACAGGCAACAGCTAGCGGTGCTATTCCACCAGGGTTATTTGTATTTTAAAAGAAGCCCATTTTGGTATAATTACTTTCACCTTTTGCTTCCTAATCTATGTTGGCAGAAATGACTACAAGGAGCCTGCAAACCCAACCTTAGCCGAAGCACCAGCTGCCAAGGGAATGAAGGCTCATGTTTTGACTATTTTTCAAATGTACATTGCTGACGTTTAAAATTGTAAATATATTTTAAAGTGGTAATGAATTTATGGGTGTTCTTATGTGACTTCTTAGCCAATATATGTTTAAAAGTGTAACTGTGACTATGTGTAGGGGCAGAAGCTGCTGAAATGTTTTATGGGAAAATCTCAAGGAGGGGAACCTAACGCTCACAAAGACACAGTGAAGTATGATTATCTTCATTTTAAAAATGATGAAAATGAAGCAGAGAGGATATGTAACTTACAAAGATCATCCAGCTACAGAGCCAAGCTTCAAATGCAGTTCCAGGCCTGTGCTCCCAACCACTATTTTATATTCCCTTTAATTTTACCTGATTTTCATTTTCCAAAAGGGTGTGACTTATAGACAAGTATGCTGCAGAAAACACCTCATCCTAACCCTGATCATCTGTAGGAGGGTCCAGCAATAAAGAAAACTTTTGAGGGTTGAAAAGCTACTATAGAAAAGCAAACCAGAGAAACATTTGAGAGAGGAAAAGATGAACTGTATTTTACCAACTGTTAACACTTTGACTCTAAGACGTACCATTATTTTATCTATCACTCAGAAAAAAAGCTGCCTATCAACGGTCATGCTAATATGCCACTGACTATAAGTGACACCCGGAAAGATTTGTTAAATGCAAAATAAAAATGTACATTTTTAGAATTGATGAAATATAGTAACACGCAGGCAGGCAGCCCAGGCCATGGTCTAAGTTTGAGATCCCAGAAGAAGTGAGAGCATCTTTCACGATTTTTCTTCCGGAAACTGACTTGATGTTGTTACATTCAACAGTAGGCAGCAGATGTTTTAGCCAGAGAACTGTAAGTGCTCTGGTTTCAGTCTCATGCCAGTTCCTGATATGGTGCTACTCTTAGTATTAAGAGTACAGAGGCTGCGCACGGTGGCTCACGCCTGTAATCCCAGCACTTTGGAAGGCTGAGGCGGGCGGATCACGAGGTCAGCAGATCAAGACCAACCTGGCTAACACAGTGAAACCCCGTCTCTACTAAAAATACAAAAAATTAGCCAGGCGAGGTGGCGGGCGCCTGTAGTCCCAGCTACTCGGGAGGCTGAGGCAGGAGAATGGTGTGAACCCCGGGGGCGGAGCCTGCAGTGAGCCGAGATGGCGCCACTGCACTCCAGCCTGGGCGACAGCAAGACTCCGTCTCAAAAAAAAAAAAAAAAAAAAAAGGACAGACTGTCCCTGACTTATAATAGATCAACTTACGATTTCTTTTTCTTCTGAGACAGAGTCTTGTTCTGTCACCCAGGATGGAGTGCAGGGGTGCGATCTCAGCTCACTGCAACCTCGGCCTTCCAGATTCAAGCAATTTTCCTGCCTCAGCCTCCCAAGTAGATGAGATTACAGGTGCCTGCTACCACTCCCAGCTAATTTTTGTATTTTTGGTAGAGATGAGGTTTCATTGTGTTGGCCAGATTGGTTTTGAACTCCTGCCCTCAAGTGATCCGCCCACCTCGGCCTCCCAAAGTGCTGGGATTACAGGTGTGAGCCAGCCTACTTACGATTTTTCAACTGTGCAAAAGTCAAAATGATGAAGCAAAGTGATATGAACTCAGAATTCTCTTCAACTTACCACGGGACATGTATACTTGATTAACTAATCACGGTGGCCAAGGGAGTGTTGTGGTTCAGAGGCCAGAGTCACATGCCACTGGTCAAGGCAAATCATAATTCGACTCCACCCAAAAAGGCGACTAAAATGTAGGGGGAGGGGAACCTCCAGAAAGGTGCCGGGCAGGGTATTATTACCAAAAGAGCGGATTCCAACAGATATTTAGAACTAGACTTAGATATCGAGTTATACAATGGGGCCAAATAGTTGATCTGGTAAGAACAAATGAACCCATGTCTTGTCTGTTTCTTCAAAAGGATATTACTGCTGTTACAGATCTTTAAGATTCACAGTTTCTCTATCACTGCCTACTGCTGAATGTGATAACATTAAGTCAGTATGTGCTTACTGGTAGATATATCAATAAGAACCTAAGTTTTAAATGCAAGAGGATTTTCATCTAAAAGGAAAGTCTGTTGTCAAGCATCTGGAAGTCATTTTAAGATATCTGAATTAGTCATTATGTTTAATTATAGTCATCAAGAGCTCAAAGTCAGATGATTCCCATGACCTTACCAGACTCCTCTCACCTTTCCCTCAAGTAGTTATCACATATCAAGCACAACTAAGAGCTAATCATTTCCTCCCAAGGTACAATTAACTCCCTAAGAAAAAGAGCACAGACCAAAATTTCTCATTCCCACATTTTTGCAGCTCTGTCTGTCCACTTACATTCAGCCACGGGCATGAGCCCATGTTTAAAAACTGGATAAAACATTCTGATGAAAAATATTCCAAACACTGTTCTTTCATAGGCTGTTATCTGTGGTATCATCCAGGGCATCATCATCGGTACAAACATACATAGCAATCAGTGTCTGTCTGCACACTGTGGAAGGCAGAGCAGCCATTTAGTTACTATTCATAAAAGACACACAATCCAAAGGGCATACTGTATCTCCTAGTTAAGGCCATTCATTAAAAAATTTACTAATGCGGCCAGGCGCGGTGGCTCACGGCTGTAATCCCAGCACTTTGGGAGGCTGAGGCGGGGGGATCACGAGGTCAGATCGAGACCATCCTGGCTAACACGGTGAAACCCCGTCTCTACCAAAAATAAAAAAAGATTAGCCAGGCGTGGTGGTGGGCGCCTGTAGTCCCAGCTACTCAGGAGGCGGAGGCAGGAGAATGGCGTGAACCCAGGAGGCGGAGCTTGCAGTGAGCCAAGATGGCGCCACTGCACTCCAGCCTGGGCGACAGAGCAAGACTCTGTCTCCAAAAAAAATTTACTAATGCATCTGGGGAAGAAGTTAGGGGACCTGGGGCACTTGGATGGTGGTGTTTTTAGGTTCAGAAAAGATGAAGATGATCATAAACTTAGTTTCCTTACGTTAAGCACTATCAAAAGGTAAGACGAGCTCAAGTCTCAAATTTTTATGTTTGTTTAGGTCATTAATTTTGGCAGAAATAGTTTGATTATGGGCTCCCTACTAACTGCTGCTGTTTTGTGATCTTGTGTTCTCTTAACCATTATTCTAAATACATATATCCATAAATTTGCCAGACTTAAAAGTGACTAATCTGCTAAAATTAAGACGTAACTTTTTCAAATTTTCACTGATATAGAAACAGAAGTGCCATCTCATGTTTTCAAGAGCAAATCTTTTGAGTTTGGTCAGGTAGGAAGCCATTTCCTCTAAGAGGCCTTTATTCTGTTATGCAAGTGCTTATTACAGCAGACATAAAGGGAGAATGGAGTTCTCCTTCCTTCTAACATCAGCTGATTCCTAGGAGAAGCAGGGTTTGATGCAAACTGAAAATACGACAAGCTGAATTTTCAAATAAATGACATTCTCAGATCCGCTAAATTCATCCATGGAAAAGAAGACCACCATGAAGCCAGGTAGGTTGTTTTCAGTTTGTTTAAAGCCATTTGTGGATTTCTGCTTAAAAATGGTGCATTGTTGAGTTTATCTCTGTTCCTTTCAGAAAGAGTAAGATAAGACTAGAAAAATAAAATTGTATAAATTCACAGGAACAAAGTAAACAGAGGAGAAGCCACAGTGGGTGAGAGATAGCACCAAGTATCTGGAAGAACAGGAAGCAGTAGAGAAGGCGGCAGAACTGTGAAAGCGGAATACCTAGTGCATGGAGAGGAACGAGTCAATTCTCACCATGGTAGACCAGAAAATTCCAGCAGCTAGAGGTGCCAGGTACTGGAGAATGCTGGGGTAAGCCTTGGAATGGAAAACAGGGGGATTGGCCCAAACTGCTTGACCACCACTCCCAACCCTGGCAGCAGGCTGAGGAAGTGCTTTGTGAACTTATGTTGACTCATTTTCTCAAGACTAGGGGGCCCCAGATATGAGAGGGCATGAGGGAGAGGCACTGTGCTGAAAGCAGGTAGGTTAATTAAAATCTGCACACTGACTATTGAGCAACTGAATGCTGGCTGCAGGTGGATTTCTCTCTGGAGGCACTGAATGGCCCAGAGGAAAGGCCTACAGATACTGACATCTGGAGGACCCCAGTGAAACAGCAGGATCCACAACTAACCACTGGTACAGTAAAGTCAACATTAGAAAAGAAAAGAATGCCCTCTTTCTCGTCGGTTTTAAGATTTTAAATGTCTTAAATATATGAGAGCTAAAGACCTCTCCAAGAAAGTCTCAAACAGAGCCCAAAGCAAACAGAAAGAGCAGATGACAGAAAAGAAAGTAAAACAAAACAACCAACCATAAAATTGAATATCACCAAGAAACATGAGATAATGCATACAAGCAATAAGAAAAGGACACTTTAATGAAAAGGCTGGGAGTGGCTAGGCATGGTAGCTCAGGCGTTCAGGACTAGCCTAGGCAACATGTCAAAACCCCGTCTCACAAAAAATGCAAAAATTAGCCAGGCATGGTGGTACATGCCTGTATTTCCTGACGCCTGACAGGCTGAGGTGGGAGGATCGCTTGAGCCAAGGAGGCAGAGGTTGCAGTGAGCTCAAGTTGCACAGCTGCCACTCCAGCCTAGGTGACAAGATCCTGTCTCAAAAAACAAACAAACAAACAAAAAACCCAAAACACAAAAGGCTGGCAGAGAAGGTAGAGAAAATATCTCACTCAGAAAGCAAAGCAAAAAAACAAAAATATTAAAAATAGGGAAAAGAAAGAAGATTAGAGGCTCAAATCATTTCAACTCTCAGTAATAGCTCCAAAGACAAAGAACAGAGAAAACACGGGGCAGGGGGTACATTAAAAAAATCAGAAAAAAAACCATGGAAAAACATCTCGCAGGATGAAAGGATCTGGCTCTTCCGACTAAAATGGTTCACCAAGTGCCTAGCATAAAGAAGGAAAAGAAAATATACATAACACTTTCCAATGCACACGATCCTGAAACACGAGAAAGCTGGAGACTTAAAGGCCGCATATGAAGATTGAGAATAAGGATGGCACTGGACATTAAACTTCTACAACTTTGCAATCTAAAGACAATATTGACGAGCATCTTCAAATTCTGAGGCAAAATTAATTTTAAACTAGAATTCTATGTCCAGCTAAACTAGACATCTGGGTTTGAGAGTAGAATAAAGACATTCGGACTTGCAAGGTCTTTAGAATGTATTCTTTCTCGGGAAGCTACTAGAGGATGTGCCGTGTTGAGAAAAGGGTGTTAAGCAAGAGAGATGCATGGGATCTGAGAAATGGACTTTTCATAGGAGAGAAACTAAGGGAAGGCAGACGATGATGATGGTGAAGGAGCAGCAGTTCTTCAGGACATCCCGAAAGCCAGGAGGGGTGTCTCCAGGAGAAGGTGGAAATGCTTGCCGACTTGACATGTTGGATACTGTGGAAATTGGTATTTAGAGACAGCCAGGTTAGCATACTTTTGGCTGCAAGTTGCAAAAGATCCAACTCAAAACTGACCTAAAATGAAAAACTGGGGTTTATTCTCTCACATAACCAGAAGTCCACGGCTAGCGCAGCTCCAGGAGTTAACTTATTCAACAGCTCAACATCATCAAAGTTCCAGACTCTTTTCACAAACCTTTGCTCAGCCATCCTCGGCATATTTGCTATTTCCTGTCAGGCTTCTAGCTTGCAGGCTGGGCCTAGTCCTGCACATACCAAAGCTGACGGGCAGGAAGGGGACTCTCTACAACCCAAGAGACCTAAGAAACCCTCCCAGGAATACCATCTCTCTTCCAACTTTCACTGGTCAGGCTCCTTCCTAAATCCGTCACTGATTTAAGAAATGGGCCCTCCGGACTCGGTCATACCAGTGCTCTTCTGCATAGGACACACAAGCGAATCAGGTGTACAGCCGGGTGGGGTAATGAATGAGGTTGTCAAAATCCCAACACATTCACAACCAACTAGAGAAACACTGAATTATATCAGTTAGGATATTTAAGCCACGTGGAAAGGAGCAGACACCAGAATAACACAGAAGCCTTGGTGGGCTAAAAAAAAAAAAGAGGAAAATGGCTGTTGAGTAATTGCTAAGGGTGCCTTCAAGAGAAGAATTTAAGCAATTCTGACGTAAAGTTTAGGAAAAATCAACAGAGATGTAGAAACTAAGCAAATGAAAATAAATGACTAATTCCAGAAAAATTAAAATAGTAGAGGAAATGTAATGGCTGCTCACTACTTGAATCAATATTTAACAACATTTATGTAGGTATAATAAGGTAAACCCTGAACACTGATTTCATCATACATGATGCAATTCTACTGGGAAGGGAGGGAAGAGGAGTGGGGAACAGTGATGGTAAAAGTTCTTAATCTGCATTTCCTGTAATAGGAAATCAAAAGAAAATACCTGCAACTGATAGATGTATTTAGACATTTAGCAGAGCGAAGAATAATCAGTAGTTCTGGGGAGGGTGAGGCAGGGGTGCAGAGGAATGGGGTAGATTGCTGCTTCTGCTATAAGCTTTATAAAAGTACTCCTCAAATTATGTACACATTATCTTAGTTTCAAAGATGAAACAAAGAGCAGGGGTTCTTTCCCCCTTTCTCTGAATGGCTTCTTTATACAGAGAACACAAATCACAATGTATTAGCCAAACAAATGCAAGCTCTACTGTTGCCTTTTCCCCATTCACCTCCTTATCCCATCCCAGTTCCTCCAGCTCTCCACCCACACCCTTATATTGGGTGATGTGAGAATCCATGTCAAAAGTTACAGCCATCAGCGCTTTTGCAGTCTGGGAAGGATTCAATACACCGTGGCAGGAGGGGTCCTGGTAGTCGGTAGGCTGGAGTAGTCCTGGGACCCCATGGTCTGGAAAGGAAAGGCACAGCCAATTCCTCAGCAGGTGTAACTGCAGTGACAGACCTGAGTGAGTACCCCGTTAGACTACTTTGAGAAAGCAGCCAGATACTCATAGGCATGACTACATGAGCCTGACTGAGCTACCAATCCTTCTAAGCTTTGTTTGCTCAAACAACTGCAGTTTTAAAATTCAAACATCCTAGCTGTAGTTAAACTTCTGCACGTAACAAATTTCCACCTTCTTCCTTCTTATTCAAACTCCATAGGCTTTGACATTTTAGGGACAGTCTCAAGGGAGAAAGTCTAATCACAAGGAGCTATTTACTTGGAAGGCCCAAAATCAGAGACAAGGAGAACTTCCCAGTGACCCTGACTTTAACACCGCAATCCACAGTGATCCCCTAATTCATTTAGCACATTTCCTCCTATGAGCTTAACTTACCTGAGTGGCTTTCAAACAAAATCTAGCATGGAACCTAATCCATAAAACAGCTAGGTAGGCAGCTGTGAACCCCCCACTGCCCCGGTACTCATTAAATTCCACTTTACTGTGCCCACGACTCCCCCTGGCTCTTCTTTTCCACATCCTGCCTTCCTTTGACAGGATGAAAGTCCTCTCAAGTCCCACCTTCTCCAGGAAGCCTTCTCAGACTATGCTCACTGAAGATGTCTTCTCCCCTGAATCAACTCATTCAACTACACTTTATATATCTGGTTGGTCCCACCATATATGATTGGTAAACCTTCCACATTAATTGCCTCACACTGATATGCTTACTACTCAGTGTAACAGAGGAGACAGCTGAGATTTTTAAAAAAGACCATTTAAAAAAACAATTTATATAAATAGATTCGTATACAAAGAAGAAACACATATACAGAGTACCCCAATTACCAGTATGGTGGACCCTACCCCTTCTTTTCTGCATTGGGAAACAGAACAGAGAACAGAAAAAATCATTCCATCTTGCTCTTAACTCTTTCCACCTATGTGCTCAGTTTTTCAAGTAGAATTTCTATTCCTTTGCTGGTGCTTTTGGTTTTTTCCAATGTAGGAATCAAGCTTTTCAGTGCAGCTTTGACTTTGTTTGCAACTTCCAGGTCACAACTCTGGAGGAGGCTGAAGAGAGGAAAAAAATTAAATTTCATAAGCATTCCTAGATCATCTCCAATACTACCTGTACCAACAGTAAAAAAGACTTTGTTAACTGTGACACAAGCCTTGTAACTATATACACATTATTTTTCATTCAAAGGATGAATGATGAGACCAGTAGCCCATATTATAACACCACGGAAAAAAACGTTTTAGAATCTTGCTGGTGGAGTCACCCAAGCAAAGACATTTGTAGGACCAACATCATTCCATACAGAGTTGGTTCTACCTTCACATTATCTTAGGACTTACTTACATCCTGTCTTAAAATGATTCTACATGTATTCTATCTTCCCTTCCCCATCTCAGGACTATAAGCTCAAGAGCAGGGACCGTATTTTATTTATTTCATGATGCTACATTTACAGAGCAGACAGCCAAAATATGCCCACCACGTGGCTGAATGAAAAGGTGTGAACAGAGGCACAGAGAGGTCAGAGTTAGCAGGTCTTCTCACTGAACTCCACAGCACTAACATTGAGTGAAAGGGCGAAGGGCTTCACTGTGGAGCTTCACTGCTTGGGTGGGAAACCTGCCTCTACCACTCAGTAACTGTACAACCAAGAGCATGCTATGTAAACTCTCTTAAGACTCAGTTTCCCGAATTGTAGAATGGGATTCACAACAGAGTCCACCTTCCACCTCACAGAGTGGTTTTCTGAGGCTCAAATGGCCTTGTATCTAAAGCACCCAGCCAGAGCCTGACACTTAGTAAGCACTTAATAAATGTTAGCCATTCTACAAAATAAGCCCGGCCTCTGCGTTCTGAAACCCTGCCCGAGTACTCTATCAGAAGTGAAAGGAGCCATAGAGGCTGGTAACAGCAGGCCCATTTCTCTGTGGATAGGACCTACAGCTCTGACCGCAGAGTACCAGTCCTGAATTTCCTGTTCTCTTCTTTTTCGGGACCCTTTGTAAATACGGACCTCTGAAACACATTTTAGAAATGAGGTACTTGGTATTTTCCAAAGTCCCTGGTCCCAGTAACTTCCAATATGTCAACAAAGAGGAGGATAAATTATCAGCACCAAGCAATATTCTACTGCTTATGGGAGATAAGAAACAATTCAGCTTGCCACCTACGATGCTAAAAAGTAAAGTTCCCTCGTAATGAATTTGTGACTCACTAGGTGTTTTTATTTCATACATCTTGGCTAAACACACAGTTATACAACACATAATAGTAAGTTATTGCTTACTGAGCATATGCCACATATTAGACATAATGCTAGGCATTTTATATGCATCATCCAATCTAGTTTTCATAACGACCATAGGGTTATCATTAATCTCATTTTTTTTACCACCAAGAAAATTAAGGCCCAGAAAAGCTGAATAATTTTCCCAAGGCTATGCACTAAGCTAGAACCCAGGCAGTCTGTCAAGTGCCAATGCTCCCAAATGTTAGAGAATTCTGCTTCTCTGAGTTACTTTTCAGCCAACATACAAGGCTGATTTTCTTTTCACCCAAAATTTACAAAAACAATTTTTTTGTATTATTGTTATATATAGCTCAACTTCCATTTAGAACTTCAAATATTTCCTCTGCTCCTGTTCCAATTCTGAGTAGTGCTCCATAATAAACCTATAGTATCCTTCCTATGTTTGAAATCCACCTAATGGGAGTTCTGATTGATGAACAACCTTTATAAATTAATTTCATGGCATTGCTGAAATTTCCAGTTAATTGAGTGTAATGAAAGAATGTGTCAGTAGGTGTTAACACTCCAAATGCCTGGTAAAAAAATTTGTAATGAAAAAGTTCATGTATCAGCTAACGAATTCTGACTGTTTAACATCAACTGGAAAATTAACTAATTTTAAGCAGAAATGAACAAAATGATCTGTAACACTTATATATTTGGAGACACTGACATACCTGAAGCTATGAATGCTCCTGTGTGAGTATTATGTGTACCAGATCACGTATATGTTGAAGAAACACTTAAAATAACATTTACAAACAACATAGATTAAGTTGCATAGCATGTTGCAAGTAAAGTATCTTGAGAAATTCAAACTAGGGTTGGTATCTGTTTTCCCAAACCTTAATAACACAGCAGGGGAAAAATCAACAGTAATTGCTTCAAAGCAACATACAAATCTTTTTTTAAATGAATGCTCTTAACAGAAGGTTTTCATCTGCACAGAGAATGTATGGAAAATTTCAATGATTTGTGGATTGATTATAAACTCAACTAAGTTCAGAGAATAATACAAAAGAGGCCATAGCTCATCACTGTTTTTTTCTCATTTTAAGTCAGATATCAACAAATAGCACACACACTTCAGTAGCAAATGCTCTTCCAATCCTTTTACAATCTTTTAAAACAATGAAGGAAATTACATGTAGAATTAGGCATGATTTAAAAGTCAACATTGTCACAGTTTTCACAGGGATGTAAGTTATTCATTAAAAAAAATACAGGCTGGGCACAGTGGCTCATGCCTGTAATCCCAGCACTTTGGGAGCCCGAGGTGGGCAGATCACGAGGTCAGGAGATCGAGACCATCCTGGCTAACACGGTGAAACCAGGTCTCTACTAAAAATAAAAAAAATTAGCTGGGCGTGGTGGCGGGCACCTGCCGTTCCAGCTACTCAGGAGGCTGAGGCAGGAGAATGGCATGAACCCAGGAGGCAGAGCTTGCAGTGAGCTGAGATCGCACCACTGCACTCCAGCCTGGGCGACAGTGTGAGACTCCATCTCAAAAAAAAAAAATTATGTTTTGGTCAAAACCATAAATGTGGTGAAGCCACCTGATACCTTGTGAATGTTATAATTTGTCAAAAAGATGGTAGTTTAAAAATCCTAAGGGCCAAGCACAATGGCTATGCCTGTAATCCCAGCACTTTCGGAGGTCAAGATGGGAGGACTACTTGAGCCTAAGAGTCTGAGATCAGCCTGGCCAACACAGGGAGACCCCCATCTCTACAAAAAATAAAAAAATAAAAATTAGTTGGGTGTGGTGGCATGCGTCTGTAGTCTCAGCTACACAGGAGGCTGAGATGGGAGGAAAACTTGAGCCCAGGAGGTTGAGGCTGCAGTGAGCTGAGATCGTGACACTGCACTCCAGCCTGGGTGACAGTGAGACTCCATCTCAAAAAAAAAAAAAAAAAAAAAAAAGATTCCTAAGGACTGACTGAAAGAGTTACATTTGCTTTCTAATATTTGGTATGTTTGTCTAGACCATGAGTGACTGGGAGTAATATTAGACTACTGAGAACAAATATTAGAACTGAGAAATCAACGTGAAGGAAGTGTGTCTTTTGCATGACCAGGCCCTGCTCAGAGAAGGGCACATGTTATACATACCTAGAAAGAATAATGGCACCTCGATTTACACTAGCCCAGGACTTCAGGTTCTTCATACCAACATGCTCTACAAGTGTTTTTGCAAAACAACCTGTAAAATATACTGAAGCTTAGTGAACATCACATAATAAGATATATACTCCCTACCCCCTTCTCTACTGCCCTTAAATCTGCAAATATTTTTAAACAAAAAAGCTAACAAAAGTAGCTTTCACCCAATCTCCCTTTTAACACAAAAAATTCCAGTGCAGGTTTATCTAATGCATTTCTAAAAGAGCCATTTCTTTTAACTCTGATCCAAAACCTAAGCTATGTTTAGCAGTAATTACTCAAGATAAACTATGAATTCTAATAAAACACTCACTTGGTTATGTCTGCACTTCTTTGTATTATTTAATGATTTAACTTTGACCTGAAAGCTATTCAGGAAATAAATGTTTCACAGTAGCACCTCATGCTTGGTTGAAATCAAGTTCTTCCTCATGGAGAAATGCTCACTCACAAGGTGCCATGAACATAACACAGTGTTCACGTGTTCAACAGTGGTTGATAAATGACTGTTCTAGCTTAAACTTGGCATTTCTCTTTACAACGCTTACATACTCACAAATCAAAAATACCATTTTTCTCCCGTTATTCTAGTATTTGATTCCCAAGGTCGTGGTATTATCTTTTTCACTTTGCAATTAATGCTTGGACAAAGGAGAAATTCTGATAGCTAAGATTTAGTGCAGATGGAGGTAGGGACAACCTATCTTGAAGGCAAACATCATAGTCAGGTAGCATGTACTATATAATTCATTCAAAGATACCTGAATGTAAGGACTCTTTAAAAGCCAAGAGGCCTATGGCTATTCAGCCTTTCATGGTACCTGCTAAAGAGGGACAGAGTTCAGCTAGTGAGGCAAATTGTTTTCCAAAGCTGACCACAATAATATCTCCTGTCCTGTGTGCTCTTCTAGAATGCAGCCACTCCCCCATCTATAGGGGGAATCCATGTCTTCTTTTGAATCACAGTGGGCCTCTGTGATTGACTTGACCAAGACAGTATGATGAAAGTGGCATTAAATGACTGCTAAGGATAAATCATGGAAGTGCCACGCATTTACTTTGTCCTCTTGGGATGCTCACTCTTAAAAAAGCAACCACCATCTCGTGAAGGAGCCCAAGCAGCCTAGAAAGGGAAACTGAGGCTGTTGGTCCCCAGCCAACAGTCAGTACTCACTTGCCAGCCATGTGAGTGAGCTAAGCGAAAAGTGGACACTCCAACCACAAACCGAGCAGCCCTAGATGACTCTGACTCTGAGCATAGAGGGGCAGGCTCCACCAGACCCTGATCAAGTCATTGTTTTGAAAACTACTAAGTTTTAAGGTGGCTACTATCCAGTAAAAGAGAATCAAAACAGCTAGACGTGCAGGAGGACAAACTCATTTGGTGCTGAATACGACAAGACAAACACATCAGACCCAAACTGGCAGATTTTAGGGTTCTCAGCACATTTTAATTAAGAGGGAGAAAAACCACTGGACATTAAGCCAGACTACTTTTCTGGCATAAACTCAACTATACATCAACTTTTTAATAATGAAAAAGATTATTCCATATGTTATTTTTTTCTTTAATATTTATCACAAGGCTTCTCTTTTACAAAAAAATTTAGTGAAAAATAGCCCCAGGTCCCCATTCTTAAAGGTAAGGTGAGAAGTGACAGCTCTACTGCTATACTGATTGCCACACTAGCCATCAGAGCTGCCACTTGCCGCAAGACATGAATTCATGATCTGTCACTTTTTTCCAGACATTGTAATGAAAAGCCCAAACTGTTTTAACTCAGTAGGGGAAAAAAATCTCTCCAGTGGTTTAAATACCAGATGGAATTTGGATTTTGTAAGTGAAGGTCTGGTTGGAGATAGGACTGAGAGGGGAATGGCATGCAAATGCTAATGCTGTCCTTCTCTAGAGAGCTGAGTTTCTACAGAGCAGCTGTAAGGCTTACAAAAAACCAGAAAGCGCCAAAGACTGGCTTACTCTTTGGTCACATGTATTTCAATGCCAAATAAACAGGCACTAGTCCAAAACTCTCTTACGAGGATAATCTTCTTCTGCTTATTCTTTCTTCAAACATAGAGATAAATGTCATGCCTTTCTACTGAGGTAATGATACTCAACAATTGGGGCCCCCTACCCCCTCTCACCATCCTCATTAGAATGGCATTTTAAGGCATTGACCAAGCCAGGTTAGAAGCCTGCAGCAGCACAGGAAGGAAAACAGAGAGAGTGAGGGGGCGGTGGGGGGGGCTGGCGGGGGGGGTTTGGAAAAAAGAAAATTAAAAGAGTTCTCAGGCACAAATATTTCTAGGGGAAAAAGCATTACCAGCAACCACTGAATCATTTCTTATTCACAGACACCATTTCTAGACACTTGGCAAACTTCATTTGAGCTTAAATGGCTGGTATAAAGTTCAGGGATGCCAGGAATTACTGGAATTCCACATGAGATACAAGAAAAGGTCAAATTTCATAGCCTACCTTCTCTCCCATTTTCTTTCATCTTTTTATCTTGCTCTATTAACCACTTCAGAACTAGATGTCCTGCAGGATGTTCTGCAATGTGAAGCTATGAAGGGTCAAGAACAGTTAATTTTAAAAGTTGTTTTCATTCATACAAATACATTTGAATGAATACATACTATTTATGCCACCACATACAGATAAGGACTCAGCCACTTTTAAAGTTCCACAGGCTTAAGAGGTCTTTATCTAGGACAACCATCATACTTGGGGGGACCACAGATCTATTCTGATCCCCAGACTGAAAGACAGTTATGCCAGATAACACAGCCACGGCACAGCGCTTCAGTCTCCGCTTCATTTAATCTGCTCTGAACAGTAGCAGCACAAGGCTCATCTTAATGCTAATCACGTCTTGGATTGAAATATGTCATTCTCAGACACAAATAAACCTACAGGACAGAACACTATAGCACAAACATCAAAACCCAATGCTGCATGCTGTTTAAGTACACATGACCACCGAAGGGGATTATCTGATGAGCGAATCAAGAAAGCATCTTTTCAGCTCAACCTTACTCCTCTTCAAGAGCAATACCAAGCGTTCCCAGTTATTTGGGCTACTCCTTAGCAAGTATGGGAGGCAACCGGCTCAGTCTCCTTATAGAGAAACTTTCAAGGTACATTCATCTTTCCCATTTGTTAATATGGTCAGGAGCCAGGGCTTCTCTAAGATCCATGGCCCACTTCTCTTCCCCAATCGCAGGTGTCAGAAGCACCTTGGGCACTCAATACTTGGCAATGATTTCATTCATAAGCAAATTCACATCTGTAAAACATTCCCAAGTACCAGGCTTTGACCCAGATGGTTAGAGAAAATTAAAGATGAATGTAATTGCTGCTGTGAGAGGTTCTTGGTTGTTTATTCAACAGGTATCTCCCTCCCCAGCTTTCTTACTGACACCCCACATCGTCCAAAAACGAAGTTTTTGTGGCCTTTGCAGCTTTCCTGCCTGTGCTTTAATGGCACATTACCTCTCCGTCCTTGCCACCAGGATGCAGTCCTGTTGCTGCCAAGCTGGCGATGGCATTCATGGTAGGCTGAACGTCTCCAGTGGCAGATCCCAGAATGTCAGACACCAACACACACGCAGACTTATCTAGCACCACTTCTTGGGCGTGTTCTTGCAGGTAGCTTAACAAAGCTGGAGAAATGGATTCTAGGAGCTCCCGTCTGCGGACCTCTGTATCTTTCTTACTGTTGAGTATGTTGAACGGGGTATTAAGGTAAGATAAATCGCAAAGGAAATGTGGTGATATTATCACAAAAACCTCTAAGAGCTTATCACAGACTGTATCGCACTCTATTATTATTGTCTATCTTTCTGTTAAGCATGTAGACAATAAGTGATACGAGTATGTGTTCTGTTTTTAAAAATGTTTGTGTCCCACGATCTGAATAGTGCCTGGCACAGAACAAGGGCTCAATAAAGGGAGTCTGACTTGTGTAATACCAAAAAAAAAAAAAAAAAAATCCAAAAACCAAATAACATACCCAGAAAACAACACATTTACACTGCTGTATGGACACCATACTCTAGGGTACTCAAATATGTGGTATCGGTAGCTTTGAAAATAAAGCAAAATAAAAGCCAAACCACGCACTTGAATGCCTACTATGTGCCAGGTGCTCAGGTGTTCTTTTGGCACGACACTTTTATTTCCTTGTCAAGATAAAAACTTTAGAATCTGTCAAAAATATAGGCTTGAAAATGGAATTCACCTTTTCAGCAGTTTTAGAGAGGGTATGGATGGGTAAGTGGACTTCTGGAAGAATGCACTACTCAACATTAACAGAGGAATAAAGAAGTCAAGCCATTCTACTTGGTTTTACCTGTGTGCATTTCCATCTCCTTTTTGCAGAACTTCAATGATTTCTCGTACTGTATGTGCAGGATCTCTGGGGCTTAGTAAGTACAATAGGACCTTCCTTCCATATTTGTCATTTACTATGCTAGGCAATGAACTGATAATTTCCTATAAAATTATAAACAAAAAAAAAGAATCAATATCTGCATTCTCAAAACAAAGTACCACAGGACCTTTCTTCCATATTTGCCATTTACTATGCTAAGCAAGGAACTGATAATTTCCTATAAAATTATAGTATATGTGCTGCCAAAGTGAGCACAATGTCCTATAAAATTATAAACAACAACAAAAAAATGAATTGATATCTACATTCTTAAAATAAAGTATGCCTAGAATTTCAATGGTGAAGAATACATACTTAACTACTATTTTTCCCAGCGTACTTCATGGAAAATGTGGAGCTAGTTCTGAAATTGTGTCATTAAAGCACACAGAGATTTACATTTAGAACACAGAATCAATTCTCTTTTGTGACTAGCATTACTGAACAACTCATTTGTATTAACTGACCAAGCCCAAGGACTTAAAAAATATTTAAAGGTGTTATCTTCATTCATTATGGCCAGTATTTCTTGGGCCACTATTACTAGGGACATCACTTGCTGAGGTCACTGAGTAGAGGCAGTTAACTTGCAGCTGCATTTAAATGTAGCACCGGCATGAATGAAGAACACTTCTATTAGAATTTCCCTGCTGAGATGTATGTGAAAGGAGATAAAGAAACTCTGTTAAATCGAACAAGTGGATAAAGGCTTTTAAAGTTAGGTTGCTTATTCATGGCAAATGAAGGCTGTTTAGCTACCGCAATGAAAAACAAAAACAGAAGAGGAGGGGAAACCAAATCCAGAAAGCCTCGACTAAGCAGTTACAAATTACACTATATGACATTTCCAATCAACATACCCAAGAACAGTAACCTCCTTTTCTAGTTGTTCGAATTTAAGGGACAAAAGCAACGTCATCCCCACCCTAACTAAACTCCTGTGTAAATCTGCTGTTTTCAAAGATAGAAAAGTCACTTGAAAATTTTTAAAAATTCCTTTATTCTTAATAGAGAAGATGCAACAGAAGAGTCATCAATTTATTTCCCCACCTCTAACACTCCTATTTCTTGTAACAAACTTTATAAATATTCAATGCATGTTTGAGCACCCCATATTCTTCAGAACTGGCTGGGCCTCGGAAAGAGTTCTGTCCAACTGGCCAGGTTTACAGATGAGGCATCCAGAAAGAGGAAAGGATCTGCCAGGGGACTCACAGTGGCAGTGTCCTGGTCCTCCAACTCCAAATCTAGTCTCTTTCAAAGAAAACATAAAACCTCCTCTTAAGGAAGGGAATTCTCTCTGAGATGATATATTCAGATCTGCTCTTCTTAAAAGGGCCTATTTATTATGATGAGATTAGTAATTTTAGTGTGAGGAACCAAGCTCAAAATCAAGTCAGCCATCAACGATGGGACCGTGAATCTCACTGCATCATGATCCTATGGCTGATGATGCTGCTCCAGGTTCCAAACACCATGTTTCTCTTTTTAAAATCTCAACCTTCCCTCATTTTTTGCACAAAAGTATAGCATGCTTCTGATAACAGTAGCTAACACTCGTTAAGTGCTTACTAGGAGTCAAGCACTACTGAGAGCTGCACACTGATCATCTAACGTAATCTTCTGACCACTATGTCCTGTTTCTACCAGTCCAATCCCCATTATGCTCTCCTAACTACTTCTGAAGTTTAAGATCACAGTATAAAGATTCCCATGTAACACATAAAAGTTTTCAGAGAGCTGAAAATTCAATAGGTCTAACCACCTCAAAATGAATAACTAATTACAACCACTCAGGGAAAATGAACTTAAAATTTCAGTAACAAACGGGAAAACACACAAAAAGCATACAGAACTTGTTACAAGGCAGGGAACTCTCTCAAGGAAAACAAGCTCCAAAGTGAACTCCAACTATTTTTTTTTTTTTTTGAGACGGAATCTCACTCTGTTGCCCAGGCTGGAGTGCAGTGGCGTGATCTTGGCTCGCTGCCATCTCTGCCTCCTGGGTTCAAGCAATTCTCCTGCCTCAGCCTCCGGAGTAGCTGGGACTATAGGCTGCACTATGACACCCAGCTTATTTTTGTATTTTTAGTAGAGATGGGGTTTCGCCATGTTGGCCAGGCTGGTCTCGAACTCCTAACCTTAGGTGATCCACCCACCTCAGCCTCCCAAACTGCTGGGATTATAGGCATGAGCCACCACACCAGGCCAATCTATGTGTTGCTGATAATGAAGTGTTTAGTGCCCCAAATATGGCATACCTTGAGTGTGCCTTTAGTGTACCTTTAGGTACCTATATTAAGCTTTAACCAACACATAAGAGAGGACAAATGCTTTGTTATATATTTTGTTAATTTGTTGAAAGAAAGAGGTGAGAATAATACATAGCCTGGGCCAATTTCTACAGTTTAAAAAACAAAAACAAAAACAAAAACAAAATTTCGCTGCCCTTAACAAAATGACTCTGAAATATAACACCTTTAAAAATTTGTTTTTTTGAGAACAAAACCAAAACAAAACAAAAAAACTGGGCAGTATGTAGTGAACAACTATAATGGCTACTCTACACTTTTAGTTAACATTTTTTTCCTTGGTATAGGGAGGAGGCATGAAGCCGGCAATGTATTCCTCAATACACTGAGCTTTCTCCACAGCTTCCATGCTTAGGGACTAATCCAACACATATGGCTTGGGCAGAAATGGTTTTATAAAATGAGAAACTGGGACTTCATGATATGCATAAAACCTGTGCTTAAATACTACTCAGACCAGTCCCCAAATTCATTGAACTTTACTCCCTTTTGGTTTGTAATTAAGGAATTTAGAATCTAAATTCGTATTTAATTAAGGCTTTTAAAAGAATGCATGTTTATAAATAACAATTTTACAAAAAACTAAAAAACATTTCTTCAAAATGTAGTATCATTTTTTCAACCCACCTTATTGATCAGCAAAAAAAATGTAGTATCATTTAATCCTTCCCCAGCTCACCCTCGTTACAGCTTTCCCCTACCATCAAAAACATACACCTTTGAAAGAGTACTACTCCATTTCTCTTTAACTTGGGTTACAGAGAAAATGGGGAGGAAGTTCTAGATTATCACATGGTGTGTACTAACAATTCCAGTAACATGTATAAATAGGTAAGAGACAGCTAAGGCATAGTTGATTTTGTGCAGAATTTAATCTCCGGGGTCTTAAGTTCAAGCTGTGTAGCCTTTGGCAAATCCATTAAACTCTTTGCATATTAATTCCCTTACATTTAAAAGGAAATGATACACCTGCCTAACTCATGGGCTACTACCAGGAGCAAATCAGAAAAAGTCACACTGCAAAGTGAAAGCTGCCATAAAATAATTATTTCATATTAAAAACATACCTTTCAATATGTATAGCCTCCTTAACTATGGAGATTAAATAAAGCTAGCTGAGTCATGAGTTTTTACCCTCAAGAGAAAGAATACCAAAAATTGTTTAATTCAAAAGGTTTTGGCTTGGCTTACTCCTAACAAGAGTTAACTTACAGAAAATTCACAAAGGCCCATTTATTGTAATTTCTTCTTAAGCTCTAAAGTAGGCATGTAAACAAAGAAAGCATGGGAATTACAAAAGACTTCCCTTCTGAAGACATCTTTGGCCAGTTCTGACTGCCTTGCGCTGAACTCCAGCTAGATACCTTGGCACTCCTGTTTTGCCAATGCGCTTTTAAAGAGGAAGGGTAAAAGTCAAAATAAAGATACACACATGAAGTAGGGTTAAGGCGTGTGCGTTTTTGGTTGAGGGTAGAAATGTAAAAATCAACCCATCCATGGTGCTGAAGACTGAGCCTGTGGTGTCCACTCTTACGGTAGTTTGCTATGGGGACAAAAAGAAATGCAGACTACTGCATAGAACCTAAAAGCTAGTGAAGAGGGAAGAGAGTTAATAAAAAGTTAAAACTAAGAGATTTAACTAATGGATAACAGAAATATAGAGGGCAGGTTAGATCATCAGGCAGCTTCCCAAGTATTTTGTTCTGAAAACAGGGTGACTGTTTCCAAAAGTCTACCTTTTCAGCTGCACTAAAAAAACTGGAAGGTCTAGTTTAGTGGGTACGCTGCTTCATTCAGTTTTGCAAAATAAAAAAAGTCCTGGAGATTGCCTAACAATGAGCATATTTAATACTACTTAACTGTATCCTTCAAAATGGTTAACATGCTAAATTTTGTTATATGTAGTTTACCTCAATTAAAAAGAAAACAAATGTGAAGATCTATCGCCATGGAGCTCACACTGCCAGGGACTGGAGCTGAATGGTGCCCACCACCTTGCAGAGGGTGTGTGCTCTCGCCATTTCCTACAGTCCCTCCCACATCTCCTTGTCTCACACCTGGCCTGGCCACTCATTTACCTATCTGGTCAATGAAGGTTTGCAGGTTTGTGAGCCCTGGGTGAGATCATGATTAACTGCTCAAGGAAAGGATGGCAAAGAAAAAGACTATAGTAGTTGAGTGGGTGGGGAGACCACATCTGACTAGAAGATCACTATCTGCTGATTACACTAGAGCTTAGTCTTAACAGAAAACAAGCAGTGATTATCGGGCTATGATTTCAACTTGACATTTTGGGAAATCTAGTTACTCTAAATGGAATGCTTAGCAACACACTAAGCTTTCTTGGCTATTTTTAAAAGCACTGCGTAATGCAATGGTTTCGTAGTGGCTGAGTGGGAAATAGGAACACGTGACTCTCTATATAAACATACATGCAGCAAATTTGGCAGCCCAGCAATTCTGCTAAGTGCCTTAGAGAAACTTAACATGTACCCAAGGAAATATACACAAGAATGTTCAAGGATTTGGATTAGCAAAAATTAAGAATTAAAGTTAGTTTTTAAAATTGTAAACAACCTAAACATCCATCACCAGGAAAACAGAAAATAAATCGCAGTATAGTCACATGTAATAGAATACTATTTGGCAGTGAAAAATAAATGATTTAGAATAGGGATGGGTAAACTATGGCCCATTGGTCAAATTCAGCCTATAGCCTGTTTTTGTCCATCTTGCAAGCTAATAATGGTTTTTACATTTCAAAAGGGTTTTAAAAAACAAAAACAAAATGCACAAGAATACATGATAGGACCATATATACCCCACAAAGGCTAAAATAATTATTAACTGGCCCTTTATAAAAAGGCTTGCTGACCCCTGACAATAAATCTCACAAACATGAGAAAAGAAAAAAAGCAAGATGCAGAAAAATACATGTAAGACATCATTTATACAGAACTTGCAAACATGTAAAATAAAATTAGATACATGTTTTACAAAATAAAAAATGTCCACATATAGTGAAAGGATAAGGAAATGCAGATGAATAATAAATACCAAATTTATCATAGTAGATATGGGGCGATGATAGGATATCAGGGATGGGTACACAAAGGGCTTAAACTTGAACTGTATTTGTCAAGTTTTATTTCATGTCAGGTGGTGGGAGGCTGGATGTTCACTGTATTATTCATACCTTTCTGTATATTTTAAAGACAATGGCTTTAAAAATATGCATCAATATTTATTCACCCTCAAACAGCAATTGGCTAGTATACTTATTTACTTTCCAGCGACCATTGCTGTCAAACCGTCTGCATATCAATTGACTGCAAAGGTAAACTGGATGAAACTTTATGTTTATTTAGGAAAGTAGTAAGAAAGAGCTCGTATCCATTTTGAAAGGCGAAGAGCTCAGCTGACCAGGCTGTGATTTCAACCTGACATTTTGGGAAGTCTGGTGCCCTGAACAGAGTGCTTAGCAACACTAAGCTTTCCTGGTTATTTTTAAAAAGCACTGCATACTGCAACTGTTTTTGTGGTGGATGAGTGATGGGAAAAATCCAAGGGCAATTAGCATTCCAGAATTTTATCACGAGCTACACAGTTTAATAATACACAGAACCTGTTGAACGTTTGTCAGTTACAGGAAAGAGATCGGCAAATCAGGCCATTCAGGGAAAGCTGCCCTAAGTATGAGAAAGTCGTTAAGAATGTGGGTTAAGCAGTTGTGGGAATCAAAGTGATAAGCATAAGGAATTAAAACTTTTTCAACAGCAACTTTAAGTGGCATACATCTTTGGAAAAAAATTAACAGACAATTCTGGCAAATCATGAAGGAAATTTGGTTTCTCTTGAAATCCATTTGGAACAGCTATGCACATTTTAGTTGTCGTGAAAATATTAAACAAAAGCAAACTTTCAATATCCCAGCCTGTTTCCATTTCTGTGAAACAACTTTATTCATCAGCCAATTCTATGGCCTCACATCTCTGTCACAAGAATGAAAAACAATCATTATTGATTGGAGTCAAAAGGGTAATAAAGTCACAAGGAACATGTCAAAATACTCAGTTTGTAACATGAAAGTCTTGCCAACTTGTTTCTTCCCACAATCCTATCCCAAAGAAAGTCATCACAATCTTAAAACAGTCAAGGGTAAAGTTGGAAAATGACAGCAAGGGCATGAGAAATTCACACACACTGGGACCTACGGCTGGCATCTAAGAAAACAATCTTCCCCTCCACTAGCTGGTATACTTTTTCTACTACACTCAGCTCTACTGATCCCAGGAGGCTACAAAGAGAGACCACAACACCACCACCTGACAACAGGTAAATTCTCTTTTTGAATCATCATATTCTTCTTTCTTGCAGATGTGAAAGTACCACATGTCATCACTAAGATTTCTCCAAGGGTCCCATTTATGTATATCAAACAGAAAGGCTTGTGTAATTTTCAGATGAATAACCTATGTCTATACAGATTATGTGGTTTTCCAGACGTTTCCAAGTTTGGTCACTACTATCAAACTAGTATTTTCTTATCCCCACCCTGCTGCAACCTCTACCATATACTCAACACCACTCATACACTAAAAACAAAAGAAAAGACAATTGTAGAATCAGAAAAAGAGACTATTGATGCAGAATGAAGAAAACACATAGTTTAGAATGCAATTTTTACTTTGGAGTACTTCCCCTAAGAGGACAATTGGTTTTTCTGAAGGCAACGTTAGCGATAAATACACTACATTCAAGTATTACCACTTTATGGCCACTACACTGGACTAGAAGGAATTTCTGAAATGTCAAAAGGAAGCTAGAGTTTTAATTTTAGTAATAACTTTTAATCTGACCCTACAAAAGCTCTAAGAAGCATCACAACTGAGTGAGTTTTGTACATTTCTCTTCTCCATCAGCTCAATCCAGCACAGATGCATTGATTAACTGGGTAACTGTGCAGAGGTAATTATTTCTCCACAGGGAGAGAGATAATTTAATAGGTCACAGATACTCTCTGCTTGTATTTGAGTTCTGGAATAACTAAGGAATTACTATGCTAGTTTCTGATCATATCTAAATATCACTTTGCTAATTTTCCATAGTTTAGAATCACGTATGTTCTAAAGTACCATGTTATCCTAATCCAAAATAAAAGTGTTAAATCTTAATTTGACCAGTCTTAAATATTTAAAACAGTATTAATATCAAGTTACAAGGTTAAGATTTACACAGGAATAAAACAAACCTCCAAAATAAAACATAATTAACTTAAAAGTAAGCAAAAATACTGATAGAAGGCACAGCTGCAAGTCTTTACACATGCATGGTGAAATCAAGCTTACACATCCACAACTGGTTTATCGATGTAACTTAAATTCAAGACCATCAGGATTACTTACTGATATGATTATCTGCTTCACAAGCTTAGTATCATCAATACAATCAAATGCCGCCAGTAAAACCAAATGGGAGTATTGGCCCTGCAAGAATTGGAAGCCAGCAAAGGTTAAAAACAAGTGCATAGATCTTCCCTCTTATTTCACACATGGAATATCTTCATAAAGGTAGAGCGAGACTCCGCTCAAAAAAAAAAAAAAAAAAAGATTACCTACATTGACAACTTGTCTAACATAACAAGATGAATAAAAGCCATTTTAATGAACTTCCTCTCTTATCACGACCTCATTAATTATATTCTAGAGGTAAGGTTGATTTTTTTTTAAAGCACATTATTCATTACCAAATAGTCTAAAACTAATACCTATTTACATAGGTTACTGTTAATGAATAGCTACTTGAAAATTATACTTAAAAGTTCAAGTTATAAGATTAACTTCAAAAAACCTACATATATAAACACATATATGATACTCCAATCATGAAAAAGAAAATATAAACTCATACAATTTTACACACATACACACACACACACGATATACATAATACATGTACACAGAAAATCCTGGAAGGCAAGGCATTGTAATAGTCATCTCTGGGTTATACAAATGATTTTTAATTTTCTTTTCTATATTGCTCAATTTCTTTAAAGTGATCTCACAAAATTAGAATATAAATATGAAAAAATAAACTAGAAGAGTATAATTATACACTGAATGAGAATGATATAAAAATCATTACTTTAAAAAAAGTATAGCTGCATGAGATCACAGAAATACACATGTGGCTTTCACAACACTCATCTTTTGAAATAAAATTATTTCCATGATGCTAATACTGTTCCAAACATTTAAAGAACACCTACTTTATGTTAAGAACAAAAACAAAAGAAAACAAAAACCTGTTTCCAGAGCTTGTGGCATGAGTATCCTGGATGTTGATATAATTGTTTCAAACTCTGATAGGAATTTGATTTTTGATAATAGCCCACAATCATTCAGAGCCAGATCTGATAAATATCACAGATAATACAATTTCAATTAGAAACAATAACGAAGTTGCTAACTGTAAAGTCAAAAAGACAAACTGAAGACAAACAACAAAGGTCTTACTATACAAAGACCAACAACCAACTAAAAATGGGCAAAGCCAGGTGCGGTAGCTCACGCCTGTAATCCCAGCACTTTGGAAAGCTGAGGCTGGTGGATCACGAGGTCAGGAGATCGAGACCATCCTGGCTAACAGGGTGAAACCCCATCTCTACTACTAATACAAAACATTAGCTGGGCATGGTGGTGGGCGCCTGTAGTCCCAGCTACTCAGGAGGCTGAGGCAGGAGAATGGCGTGAACCTGGGAGGCGGAGCTTGCAGTGAGCCCAGATCGCGCCACGGCACTCCAGCCTGGGCGACAGAGCAAGACTCTGTCTCAAAAAAAAAAAAAAAAAAAGAACATGAAGAGTCAGATCACACTAAAACAGAAGTACAAATGTCTTTAAATGTATGAAATAATGCTTTATGAACTAATTAAGGACAATAATTAAAACAATGAAATGCCATTTATCCTATGGGTGATGGTGAAAACCTCTGACAATAGACTAATTTATCAAAGGTTTAGGGAAAAGCAGGCACGCTTTTATGTTGATGAGAATGTAAAGTGGTTCAACTTCTTTGAAGAGCAATTGACAACACCTATACAAATTTAAAATGCAGGTATGAGCTGATCCAGTGATTCTAGTTCTAGGGATTTATCTTGCAGACGTGTTTCCATGTAAGTACAAAGACTTACATATGAATATATTCACTGGGGTACTAATTGTAATTTTAAAAACTCTAGAAACTACCAAAATGCCCAACAGTGGGGACTGGTTAAATAAATTATGGTATAGGCACACGATGAAATATTACAGTCACTAAGAAAAGTGAGGTAGACAGATGTATGTATATTGAAATAAAATGACCCATAATATGAATTAAGTGAAGGAGACAAAATATAGAACAACGTGCCTAGTACAAAATCACTGGTTTCAGTTCTCTTAACTCGGACACACATAAGCATAACCAAGCATAAAATATTTCTAGGTGAATACAACAGAAGGTGGTACAGAATTGAATGTAAGTGAGAAACAGACAAATCCACAAGTATAGTTGGAAATTTTAACATGTTTCTCTCAGCAACTGATAGAACTAGAAAATAATAAGTCAGTAAAAACACTGATGGTATGAACACTGTCAACTACTTTGATCTAATTGACAAATATAGAATACCCCACCAAACAACTCTACAATATATTATTTTCAAAATACTTAGACCATATGTTAGGCCATAAAACAGGTCTCAGTAAATTTAAAAGGAACAAAAGAATATAGAATATATCCAGAAACCCCCAATATTTGGAAATTAATAATTCCAAATAATCCATGGATCAAATCCATGGGTAACGTTAGCTTATCACCCCTTTAGAAGTAACTCTTCGAGATTTAAAAAGATATGTACTTAGTGTTAAATTACCTGACATAAACAAACTGTAGAACTAAAACAATATAATTTTATTATTTTAAAATGTTATACTCTTAATACCTTTGTGAATTTTCTATTAACATTCTAGTTTTTACTCATTTTAATGTAAGGTATTCAAATTAGAATGTCACGCAAAAAAATTTACTTAATATTGAATTATGAATTATAATTATGAATTATATTTATATTTATAACATAATAATATAATGTTATATAATATATAACATTATAATTCATATTATAATTATGAATTATGAAATATATATGAATATTGAATTATGAATTATAAAAAATATGAGAATTCCATATTTCACTTTATTATAGGAACGTTAGCTGCCTTCTGAATTCTTCTAATTTCTAGCCCAACAGAAGACAATAGTCAAGTACACAATCACACAGCATTAATTTTAACTTGTTTGATTTAGTATTTCAAACAAGTTGAAGTATTCCCCAGATGCTAGTAGTTCTCACTGGATGTTTTCAAAGGATAAAGTAGTTGATTACTACATAATTTTAGTTCATCAATAAATTAGAAATTTGTTATCCATCAAATATATAAAGTATAACTCAAAAATTAAAATTGTATTCACTACATATATTCTAGTTACAGTACACCATAGCAACAGCATGAAAAATTATTTAATAACTAAAAACATATAAACACTATTTTTGAAGCAACAAATCCCCCAGAAAAAACTTTTGTACCTATGAATTTCATTAGGAAAATTGTTACTGCATTTCTAAAGAGCTATAAAATTTAACAACTAAAAATTTCCATAACCACACTGCAAATTTATTCTTAAAAAAAAGATACATTTTAATTTCTTTTATGGTTTTGGTCATAAGGAAAACTACTATCAAGTTTCTGAAGTGCAATCTGGCATCATTTACCCAGAGACTAAAATATGTACATACTGTATCCAGGCAGTAATTCCCATATTTAATTAACATGACTGGACAAATTCACCAAAAAAGCTAGTAAATATCAGGTTTTCAAAGAATATCTAATAAAAGTAGAGAACTATCACAATACAATGTTAAATTAAAAAAGGAGAAAAGAATGCATGTGACATGATTTCCATTTTGTGTAGATAAAATATGAAAATACATGTAGATGCAAAGAAAAATATAATAAAACAATAATTTTCTGCTTGGTAATTTTCTGAATTTTTCCAAATTTTCTATAATAGACATGAATTCATCTTACTATCAAAAATAATTAGAATATGTAGTTTTATTATACTTACATTAGCCACCTTTTCAACATAAGTCTTCATTGTTTTCACAATCACTTTCCTGTCCTTAAAAAGGAAAGATTGTCTCACTGAATTTTCAGTTATGTATTAAGGGTATTTTGTAGTTAAACATTTTAATATAATATTTATTAAGTTTTCATTTGAGTGGCATATGTTTTCATTAGTAAAAATAATAGTTATACAGCCAGAACAAAAAAACTGTAATATACCAAAGAAGTTGGCTTAGAGCTATTACAAGCTTAGATGTGTATGTGATAGGGTTAGGGTTAGGGTTAGGGTTAGGGTTAGGGTTTGCAAGCCACCTTTCACAGTGAGACCAGACAGATCCTTCTTCCAAGGTCTAAACTGTCCTCAAATGCAGAGTCTAGCAAACAGTTAGTACTCATCTGCATTTGTTGAATAAAATTAAATTTGCATTAAAAAAAGTAGATATAGTACAACTATCTTTTAAAGGCAGAATTATGCTGACCAAGGAAATAATGATAATTTCTGTTAAACTTCTGTGATTAATAAGGATCTTTACCTTTTCCCTCAAGTACATAACACCTATGGGAGCAAATGTGTGTGGCCAGCTGTTTGTTATCTCTTCCCATTTTCCCCTGCCACAGTATGATCATTAAAAGAGGAGGTACCAAAACCTCTATAAACTAAAGCTTAAATACATATTATGTTTACTTGCTTGATAGATCTCTTCCCATCCTTTAATGAAACTTCAAGGTTTCTACTAAAGCAGAGGAAAGAAGAAACACTAGGCCTAAAGAAGATGGCTCATTCCCATCAGGCTCTAAGGCACAACTTTTGGAAGATAATGCACAACAGGGCAAAGACCAAAGGGGGTTAAAAGTCTAAGGACAGCTAAGTCAAGCCTGCAGATAAAGCATGGCCCTGACTTGTACAGTTTAAATGCCCAAGTGCTGTCACACTTACCTTGGGCGTGCCATGCCACAGGCAGTGCATGGCCACTCTGGCGCCATCGTGTGTGTGTGCCAGGTAGACCACCGCTTCGCGGATGGCTTCAATCATTTCCTAGGGAACAAATGCTGTCAGGAACAGGGCTCTGCTTTATTTTCTTCTTTCTACTGTTTTATCTGTCTGTCTACAGGGGGCAGTTATGCAGAGAGAAGGAAAGGAAGAGAGTGCCAGGTAGCAAACAATTTCATTTTGTAGACAATCAAACAGAAACACGAGCTCTTTCTAGAAATGTTCTTTTCCATCAAGAGCAGTAAATACTGCTGGCAGACAATATCTATTAAAAACAATACCTGACTTTTACCAATGTCTGTTAAAAAAAAGGTCAAGCTATATGTGTAATATAATATATTCTAAATAATTTTCCAAGAAAAAGAAGCCTAGGAGGTGGTGGTGATAAGAAGGGAGCTTTTAACAGAATAGCGAGACAAAGAAAATGCTCTTCCCCAAAAGAGACCTGTATGCAATAAACAGAATCAAAACACTCATTTTGACTGAAAAGCTTCCCTTTTCAGTTCATAACTGGATTATCTCCAAAAATCACATTCTTTACCATAAACACGCTTACATAACATTTCCTCATGAAAAATTTCTATACTAACATTTAGACTAAGACCTCACCTATAAAATGACCCTTTAGTAAAAAACATTTAATTTCTCACTAGGTAGCTTAGCTTAATTTAACCTTTAGCCTTCATTTTCCATGTATATAATTTCTTATTTACATTTTCTTTTTTTTTTGGAGACGGAGTCTTGCTCTGTCACCCAGGCTGGAGTGCAGTGGTGCCATCTTGGCTTACTGCAACCTCCACCTCCCAGGTTCAAGCAATTCTCCTGCCTCAGCCTCCCGAGTAGCTGGGGCTACAGGTGCCCGCCACCACCCCCGGCTAATTTTTGTATTTTAGTAGAGACTGGGTTTCACCATATTGGCCAGGCTGGTCTCGAACTACTGACCTTGTGATCTGCCCGCCTCGGGTTCCCAAAGTGCTGGGATTACAGGTGTGAGCCACCGTGCCTGGCCCTATATTTTCAAAGTCTAAGGCATGTAGGATGTAAATGAGTTCTGGCAACTAACAAGTGCAGAGCTCCATTTTAGTCTATTCCCAATTTAAAAATGTACATTAAATAAATACAAAGCCTCATGCCACGAAAGAGAGGGTAGGTGCCTAATTTCATCAATAAGGAACAAACAATTTCAGCCTCAAGTATCTAACAATCCCTTCCCAAGATGACTCTCAAGAGCAGTTTCAACTAACATATCTGAACTTAGGAATCTCTTCAGAGCTATCCAGATGGAAAGCCATGCATATATTCCAATTATGCTTCCATTTTCCCCGAAGGTTTTTTTTTTTTTAAGTCTCTTTTGAAAATGCCCCCAATACCAGAAAAGACAATTTGTCTCATTACTTTACACGCATGCTAAGTTCCAAATGATTTTTTGCTGTTACTGAAACATTCAACACTAAAAAGATACTTTCTACCACTGAATATATTCAAATAATCATTGTGTCATTTCTGAGCATATAGTCCTGCCTCAGAACCGTGGGATACTGTATTTTTCAGGAAGTAAGAAAAATCTCCAAAACAGAAGGTGCTGCTATGGTCATCAAACCATAAGCTTACGTGGGTGGCTACCATCAGGAAATTATTTTGCATGCCAATTTTAAGAGGGTCAAAACTCCAATGAATGTATAGTCTGGCGTTATTTGTTAAGTCAGTCTCATTATTTTCATTATCCCTTGTGATTGGAAAATGAGGACAAATGGACAATGAGCTCACTGTATGATGAGGCAAGCAAAGTTCAGGGAACTAAATGATGAATTCTCATTTGTATTCCCATGACTGACTTGAAGGGCAGTGCAATTTACCTTCACTCTGTTCTTCTATGATATAAAGTCCAGGTTTTCATCGTCCACTTAGTTTTACAAACATATCCTCCTCTAACCTTTTAATGCCAAGCTAATTTTTTTTTTGTATTAGCACAGTTGAATTTAAAACTATCCGAATGCTTGAATATTCCTCCACGAGTTAGTTAATTTTCAGATTAGGTTAGCCAGCGGATACTCTCTGGATTATAATTAAGATATAAAAATTTAATATGATTAGTAAAACTAGGGTCAATTCTATTGTTTACTGGAATAAAACCTAAATGGAATTAGCAAACGTGTTCAAAGGGAGTTGAGTAAATTATCTTCCCTAAATAAGGAAGCAACTCTAAAATTTCCACAAGACAACGTACATCAAAGCAGTTTTTCAAATTTCTACACCGCTCCTCCTCCATGTTTTAGTTTAAAAACAAAAACCAAGAACTTACTGATCTGAGTTTGGGGGGTGCATAGGTAAAAAAGTCCAAGAATACTTTATGCACCAATGAGTGCTTAATCACAGCTTCCCTGAAAACAGAAAAAAAAAGCAAAAAGACACAACAGATCTGGCACTACAGTCATACAAAGACAGGTAATCTCAAAGTCCTAAAGTAATCTAAACAAGTGAAATGGTTTTACTGAATACAATTTGTCATAAAATAGACTGTATTTTTCAGAAATACTAAAACTTAAACAAAAATTTAGATGGTAAAATTGATTTAGTGCCATCTACAACCAAGACCAGAGTATAAACTTCTAGTATTTAATCGGCAAACATAAAATCAACATTTGAAATATGCTCTGCTCTATTAAATAAGGACATCTACATTTTTTCCCCCAGCACTGGACATAATGATTAGAAATCCACATGTGGATGTATTTTTTTAATAGTTGTTTTATTTCTGTTAACACCCTTCACAATCCATCTGTTTCACAAAATAATTTTAGCAGAATTAAAACTTGAATGAACCAAACATTGTCAGCAATTGCAACAACACCTACTTAATCCAAACCCCCTAGTGTGACACTTGGTGGATCCAGGTGTACAGTGGAGGCCGATGGTCAGGCATAAAAGACCTAAAGTTCACAGGTGATACCCAAGTAGACAGCAAAAACTAACACTGCCTTTATGGGCAAAGCACTGTTCTGAGTGTTTTGGAACAACCAACCCATTTAATCTTCACAAAATTCCTATGAAGTCTGTACTATTATTATCCCAATTTTACAAATATGGTAATTGAGGCACAGGGAGGTTAAGTTGCCAAAGATTGCAGTTAGTAATAGTTGGGGGAGTGGGGAACCAGGAGTCGTACCCAGGCAGTCGGGTCCCAAAAGCTATGCTCAGCCACTCCACTACTGGACAGATGCCATGAAGGGCACATGCACAGGCTTCCAAGTCTTACAATCCATTTTTTAATTTTTTTTTATTTTTTTAAAGCAAGGTCTCACTCTGTTGCCTAGGCTGGAATGCAGTGGCACAACCATGGCTCACTGCAGCCATGACCTCCTGGGCTCCAGTGAGCCTCCTGCCTCTCAGCCTCCCAAGTAGCCAAGACTATACACACATGCCATAAAGCCTGGCTAATTTTCTTATTTTTTCGTAGAGATGGGGTCTTGCTATTGCCCCAGATGGTCTTGAACTCCTGGCCTCAAGTGATTCTCCCAGCTTGGTTCCCCAAAGTGCTAGAATTATAGGCGTGAGCCACTGTACCTTGCCTACAACCAAATTTGAGTAACAGATTATATTTGTGAAACTGTTTAGTATACATGGCTTCCATGTAACATTTTATTTGGGGAAAGAATGTTTCATTGCTTAAAAAAGCTCATAAATCACGAATGCATGTTAGTTATCATTTTATAGGGTACAATATCAGAAAAAGAAATCTCCTTTTGCACCAAGAATGGTTTCAAACCAACACTTTTGCACTCTTATTTAGAATAGATTAATACTTGTAAGCAGGAAATAGCTACCTCTTCTGGGCAACAGTTATGGAAAACCTTCCTCCTTTGAATGTCATTTCTTAAGAACAAAACAAAAACAACTTTCTTACTTTTGGGCCATTGGAGTTAGAATCTGTTTCATTTCATCCATAATAAGTTCTAATTTTTCTGGCTGTACCTCTAACACTTTGTCCAGAGTTCGGTGATCTGCTGACTGCAACAAAACAAAACAATCAAACCCCTCTAAATTTAATCAATTTTTTCACTTCAGGAAAAAGAAAAGTAATTAGTCATTTTAAAATAAGTTTTAACAAATTTAAGATTTCCCATATTTACATAATGAAAGCTCTGCTGTATATCCTTGTGGAGTAACCTGATTAGCTGATTCTCAGTCTGTGTATCTATCAGTGCATTTAAAGAGCCAGGCCAACCAAGTTAACCAGCTAACAGTTACTTGCCAAGCACCTAGCTCTTGCCCAATTATGAGATCAAGTAGTCACTTCACAAATTCTTGCCACCATATGTTTTATAATTAGTTGGCTATTCCTATTAAATATAACGAACTGTTAACAAAATTAGTACAGCAACAAATTCAACCCAAGAATTGAACCTGGCTAATGGAGGCAACCCGGGAATCAATCCATATCCCTTCAGACACATGTGTGCATTTATGTTCCAAGGTTTGAAATAGATTCTTTAACCAGCTAGTCCCACTGCTAACTATTCTCAGATTCAATCCCTGTACTCTATCCAAGGTTAGGTCTCTCTGTTCCCCTTCATCTCCAGACACAATCTGAAGAAGGGCAATGCATGCACATGAAAAAACACAGGAGAAGCTAGCAACAGAGAGCCCAATACACTTCAGCCAGAGCTGGTTGGGGGTGGTCACACAACTTTGCTAACTATTGGGAGTCTTGTCCTTCAGTATGACTGTAAAAATAGAAGTATTGAAGTGCTACACACAGAGCACTCAGGAGAGGAACAAAGTTTGAATTGAAGGGGATTTAAAGCCAATGCTCTGGAGAAAGAGAAACTTGCTCACTATACCAGAAACAAAATAAAGCATGAGGGAAAATCAAGGGCATAAGATGGTCTCTTAAAGAACCAGCCACAGTAAAAATACATTCAAAAGATATATAGGGCACCGGAAGTTAAGGAAGAGCATATCGAAAAGTAAAAATACTAGAAAAAGACTTCTGGAGATGTCACCTTGTAAAGCTGAAATGTGTTCCCATAGAGCTCTTCCGTCAGCATGTTCCTCTGCTCCAAAATGGCTTTGTCATTGTATGCGTACTCCACGATGGCTGATGCTTCCGCATGCCGCAGCATCTTCCTCACGTGGCCTTTAAAACTTCTGATTATCTCTGCAATCTGTGGTTTACTTCTAAACGCAACACAATCATGGAAAAATAAATGATAGAAGGAGAAAGCTGGGTGACAATAAAACACAACTTACTTCTCCCAAGACCAACTCATCAATCTGTGTCACTCTGAGGAGTAAATGAGCTAGCATGCATTGAGAAGCTGTGGCCAGCACATAGTAAATGCTCAATAAATGTCATTTCCTATTAAACTGTTCTGCTCGAAAAAAACAGTAGGGCAGGAAAAAAGATAAAAGATTCAAGGAAATAGAAAATCATATTCTAAGATTCCTTTTGAAGATGGGACTTAATCACAAGTATTTTAACTATATCCTAAAAGAATTAAACAGCTGGAAACTACAGCTAGGAATACATTTTTGAAAATTTTGTCAACTGCATATATTACACTTTTTGTTGTTGATTATCATATTCTAGCACATTAATACACTCAAAAAGATTGGTCAAGACAAGTACTAATTCCACTTAATTTAGGAAATTCTCCCATGTTGACATTTTCTAACCCACTGACCCTCTATCAGTTTACTCACCTGTCCCTCCCCAGTCTCCACCCTCTTAATACTGGTGGCTAATTATAAGTTAATTATTCTATTTCTCTTCTTCCAGAGGTTCAAGATAAACATTCACAAATCATCCATCATGTAAAATTATTTTTACTATGCTACAATACCAGTCTACTTCAAAAGTGCTTATCTGTTGCTCACTCTGTCTTTAAAACTTTTGAATGCCAACAAATCAGAAGGTGAGGGTATACCTCCATCAAAGTCATAAATTTCAAGGAGATTTGCAGGACATTTCTCATGTATCTTTTTAGGAATGAAGGCAGTACCATAATTTTACATTAATTTCGATAATTGTATTTAAGATGATACTCTCTAAAAACAACACAAGCATCTGCTGAGAGCCATTACTATTACTTATAAAGACCACAGACTTCCTATCTCGCATCTGAGCACAGTTGGAAACCATGTCTTCAAAAGACAAAGAAAAAATGTATTTTATACATAAAACAACTTACCCATACATGAGAAATTTCTTAACAATATTTCTCGAATATTTGGCTTTACTTAACTCAACCAAATCATCTGAAAAACAAAAATACATTACAGTGACTTCAGATCTCATTTCAGTTCTCTGGAAACAAAGGGAGGAAATTTGTCCCAGGCAAGGAAAAAATAAAAACAAAAAAGGATCTGGAGAAGACAAACCTAAACAAAAATTGTTTTCTAGGACAGTCTTGGGTATTTTAAGAGAAAACAAGTGACTTATTGCAAATGATAACATAATCTTTAGTATGTAATAAATACCTCGCAATTCTTCAAAAGCCTGTTTTCTCTGTTCTTCATTACCATACTGAATGTAACACTGGATCACACGAGTTGAATCGTGTGCAAATGCAATCTGCAGGAAAAAGTTTGAGTTAGACTAATTCTCTTTTGAGACTTATGTTTCTCACTAATTTATTGTGACCTCTTCTGGAATTTCTTGTTAGAAAAAAAGGTAGTCTTCATGAATAAAATCAAACCTAGATTACTGAGAACTACTTGTTTTAATTATACAAAACATCATTCTGTTGTTTTGAGGCCTACCATATTTGATAGGTACAATAATGACATTGAGGCAAGGATAAATTTAACCATTTTGCAAGACTCCTCTCATTGCAATTAAAACCAAAGCAAACCAAACCATCTGATGATTATACAGACTATACTTCTCATTTCTTTGATAAGTTACCGTCCCTAAAAGGGAAATATTTCTGTTTAAAAGGTCTGTTACTGTATGATTTTTATATAAGTGATCTAAGAATGTTTGGCTTTGGCAACCAGAAGTATACCTGTAAGATCAATCTAAAAGTCTTCCTAAAGAAATAAATACAACTATGTCCATAAACACTGTCAATTATATAATAAGTTAATCATCCATTTGTCACATTTTCATTATAATTCCTGCACATATATCCAGTTATATTTCTAGAAGAGTTGTTGTGTTTTGAATCTGATTCTCTAACCCATTCCTCCTCATGACTGTTGGAAGGACCCACTGACCAATTTTCTAGAGCGCCCTCCACGAATCATCCATCATGCAAAATTATTTTCACTACGCCACAGTACCAGTCTACTTCAAAAGTGCTTATTTGTTGCTCACTCTAAAGTTTCTGAATTCCAACAAATCAGGTGAGTGTATACTTCCATCAAAGTCATAAATTTCAAGATTTGTAAGACATCTCTTAAGTATCTCTTAAAAAAATAAGGCTGTTTTTGTGCATATATTGAGCACCTATTATATAATCAACATAAATGCCTTAAACATAGTGTTCTTATTTATAACTCAAAGCAACAATAAGAATGAGCTGTTACTATTCCCACTTTACAGATGAGGGAAGTAAGGTTATGAGAAGGAACTCGCTATCTCTATTACCCCGAGGAAGAATCTTACTTCCCTGAGTCCCAGATACATCAAATATACAACACGGATGATGACATACAGTAAACGACACAATGCATGTGCTGGTTAACACAATTCCTAGCCTATAGTAAATAATCAATAAAGAAGTTATTGTTATTGTTTAAAGGCACACATATTTTAAGCAGCCCAGCCAGGATTTGAATACCAAACTCACTTCTAACACCATGGTCATACAGCTGTGACCTCAGGGTAGTTGAGAAAGAATCCTGAGTGAAATATTTATAAATTGTCGGAGCTGAGGGGGCAGTCCTATCGTAAAAAGATCCTGCTGAATTTATAAGAAAGCGGCAGCTGATGACTTGCTACTTTCCTTCAAACTGTAATATAGCATCTGGTTAGACCTATGCATCTGACTTGACAAAGGCTGCCCCTCCAGGTGCCGTAAAACTATGAGAATCTGTTGTCTTCCAAGCCATTATGTATTAATCCAAATACACAAGAGTCACAGGAAATTTATTACAAAACAGGATTAAGCAGCAACAATGAAAACTACTTTAGAATTCTGAAATGATTATATTTTAGTTAAAGATCTTCGCATGATGTTTACAAAAGCATGGAGGAAAAGAATGAAGTAATATGTTCACATCACAAATATAAAGAAGTTGGCAATTGAGAACATACTAAATTATATGGAGTTTAGAACAACACATTTATAAAATACTACTGAACTAATAAACTTCTCAAGATAACTTTAAGGAAACACTGGCTTATTTTAAGAATTATTAAAAAATGACTGAAAAGACTGATAATCTTTTCAAAACTCCCTAGCAGTAAGGTCCCTCACTTTTAAATTTTTATGTAGTTCAGTGTTATGGAAGATATTTAAAACTTTTGGCCAAATACACCGGAAACAATGATAAGATCATCTGTCATGAATGGTCAGCTACTCCTGAGAGTGAGGCAACTTCAACTGTTAAAAATTGCAACAATGAGTATATGCTACTTACAGTTTTAATTTTCCCTTGAATCAACTTCTGCAAATCACTCATTAACTTTACTCTTTTTTCTTTGTCACAGTCTTTTCTACAAATGAGGAGAGGAAGGAAACACAGTTGAAATAAAGAAGTTATTTTAAACACACAAAATTAAAAACTGTACCAGTATATGTTCTCCAAGTTCAGCATGATTTTCTTTTCTAAGGCAGCAAACCTCTGCCATTAAAATTACTATTCCAGAGCAGCCAGACAAAAGTAATTTTCTCAAAGGCAGAAACTCATCTCAAAAGGTATAATTTTAGGTATCAATCCAAATCTTAACAGCCAGAACTTCAGAAGTAAAAAAAATAATAAAACAAATCTAAGATAACAAATACTGAAGTATCTCAAAATCTAGCTGATAAGAAATTGTCCTTCATTTTCTCAGAAATCTCTCAGGAAGAATGTCAAATTTATTTCAACCTCATACATTTTCATAAGCATATCCGATGCCATCATAATGATTCTACACACTTCTGTGACGGGCAGACTTCCAAGTACTGATGTCTCTAATGGGGTGTCATGAGGACCCCCTCAATAACCCAAGTGCTATGTCATTTATTTTAGGACATCTCACTATTTACAAGGTACACTGACTTCTCCACTGTTGCAAAGGGACTAACAAAGGCATCTTTAGGTAGAATTACCTTCTTAAAATCTCCCACATCTGCTTTGCCCGAACAACAATGTCATAGTTGGTTTTATCACTGAGTTGTCTGCTTTGCTTCAGTTCTTTCTTCTTCTTTTTGAAGTCATCCCATTTGGGCTTCTTGGCTGCTGATTCTAGTTATTATAGAAATTATTTTCAATTACATTTAACATTCTAAGTGTCATACACCAATACAAATTAGGTAAAAAGGGCAATCACTAATCAGGATCAATGCTCATTCTGGAAGCTAAAAAGGGGAACATACCATCCCCCATATATACTTCACTTTGCTTTCTGAGCAGTTTGTACATTTTACATTTGGTTAAATTTAAATCTTCATTAATTCTTCTAACAGGATACCTATTAAGAGAAAAGGACACTAAAAGAATTACAAAAGTAACTAGAATATTTTAAATATCTTTTTCAATTGTGAAATAAAATTCTACTTTTTAAGATTAAGATCATTGGACTTTAGGTATAATTAACTTCCAATGAAAACAAAAATTAGTCCAAATGAAAACAAGAAAAACAACTTCGAAAATTCACTGTTCTGAGTGCTGTTGTATATTAAGTCACTTATTTCTTACAACAACTCGAAGAGGTAGGTATTAATATTACCCTCTCTTCCATGGTGGGGAAAAAGAACAAAGCAGTTGAGCTCTCTATCTGAGGCCACACAACCTGCAATGGTAGAATTAGGACTCAAACCTAGAAACAACCCTCTGCTGTCTTAGTCATGACAATGAACAACCAAAATTTCCAAGTTCGCCACAAACAGAGTGATACTATAAAAGTCGAATATCTATCACCACTTTTTTGTCTTCAAAATCCAAGTAACTTACCAATTGAACTAATGATGCCAAACAAAGAACAACTTACTAAAATGGGTATTATTTACATGAGTATCTGGCACAGAATCTTTTGGGGGAATTAGTCACTTCTAACTATCTCCCTGTCTCTATAAAAAACTGGGAAAAATGCAAAAAAAAAAAAAAAGAAAAGAAAAACCCTGTAAAACCAAAACCTAGCTATAGCCACTGATAATTTTCCCCTTGCTTCTTCTCCATACATGTTTTAATCTTTAAAAACTCAAAAAGTGGCCAGCTGCAGTGGCTCACGCCTATAATCCTAGCACTTTGGAAGGCTGAAGAAGAAGAATCATTTGAGGCCAGGAGTTTGAGATCAGCCTGGGCGAAATAGTGAGACCCCGTCTCCACAAAAAATTAAATTAAAAAATTAGCCGGGTGTGGTGGTACATGCCTGCAGTCCCAGCTACTTGGGAGGCTGAGGCAGGAGGATCACTTGAGTCCAGGAGGTTGAGGATGCAGTGAGCCATCATCACGCCATTGCACTTCACAGTCTGGGCAACAAAGTGAGACCCTCAAAAAAGAAAAAAATTCAGAATCTGCCTTCACTCAATATGATTAGATTATGTTTGCTCATGAAATTAACATTCCTCAAGAACATAATTTTTAATGGCTATCCAATATACTACAATGTATTTATTATTCCTTTATTGTTTACTTATATATTCATTCCCTGTCTGGTAATACAAAAGATTATAGGCAACAGAGGGCATATTTACCATTATATTAATATGGTATCCTCTACTATACAATAGAGGATAGGAACTGATCCAGGGCTAATTTAATTCCATAAATATTTGGGTACCCTTGACATATGTCATGCTAGGCTGCAGTACATTTATCAGTGTGGGGGTTGTCTAGTAACCAATCTCTCATGTTATTTTATCAGTCTAGTTACTGATACAAAAATATGAGAAAATGAAATCCAGAGTCCCATTTTGAGATATCAGGAACATATCTCCCATAGCAAAAGAAATCATAACTTTCCTCATATCAATGTGAGAAATTAATGTATATGTGTTTAAAATGCAGGCATCAAAAACTCCAGTAGAGAAAGAAAGATTTGGGATCTAGTAGAGAGGTTAGGAAAGAGAAAGTAGAAAAGAGAGCTGGAAGAGAAACTTCTGGCAATTGGGGAGGAGGAAGATGAGGGAGAAAGAAAAAATGAAAAGAGAAGATCAAGACTGGAGCATGAAAAGATCCTGGAGCCCTAATGGGAAACGATGGCATTTCCCCTCCTTCCTCTCTCCCTACCTCCTTGTCTTAAGGCTGCTGTCCCTCTGGTAAGCAGCCCTTAGGCAGGGTAAAAAGCAAGCACCAGGACTAGGGGATGGCACTGAGAAAACCATCCCCAGTGGTCTCAGCTGGCAACAAAGGAGCAGTGTTAAGACACGCTGTGCTGGAGAAAAAGAGAATAAAAGGCACCAGAAAAATTCTCAGGATGTTGCAAAGAAAGTAATGATATGACAATCCACATAACCTGGAAACTGCTTGTTTGAGATCAGTGCAGGACAAAGCACGACAGCGGAATGTTATAAAATAGAGAGCAAAGTTCTGGGTTAGAAATGACCCACTGAACATCGTTGACAGAGATGGGCAGTTTGTTTCAACAGACAAGCACGAGACCTGCCAATACTTCCAATCAGTGAGCAACTTGTCCTGAATCAATTAAAATCAAATCTGTCATGTGTGCACAACACCTTCTCTGGAACTACTATGGATCTGCGCCATCAGAGGGATTTATTGTATTAGACTGGCCTAAGCTCTGTGAAGGCAGGGTCTCTATGTTTCTTGCTCACCAAAGCATCCTTAACCAAGGCTGACACTTAGCTGGGGACAGACTGATTCTTTAAAGCCAGATTCTATGATTAGTTGGGGCCTGTATCCTTACTGATTATTTTTGTGTGTGTGCGTGTGTGTGTGTGTGTTTTGCCCTATCTCCTGGTACAATGCATAGAAAACTCAAATACTCGTTCGATGAACGAATAAATTTTAGCTTATAAAAAGAAATGTTTTATTGAGGTTCCACTGTATAAAGCCATTATAATTTAACTTAACTCCATGGCTAAGGTAATTCAGAAAAGGGCTAAGAAATAAGAAACTCTAAGCACCAGAGGAAAATTGTGAGCATGAAAGATGCTTTGTTGTTTATTTAAGCCACCTACCTGTCCCAAAATGTTACCTGCCAAGGAATAAGAATGTGAGGTTTCTAACGCACCTCCAGAGTCCCTGTGCACAATCGTTCAGGCACTAGTTCAGGCATGAACGAACCAGTACTTACCATCGCTTCTACCATCTGGCTGGAATTTTCTCTTCTTGTTGAATTTATTTGCCGGCTGGAATTTGTTCTTTGGTGATTTGTCCCCTTGCTGCTTATTCTTGAACTGCTTTACACCCTTTTTCCCAAGTTTTGTGATACTTTTCTCAAAGTTCCTAGATGTGACTTTAGGTCCACCTTCTTTAGCAACTTTCCTTGTTGGAAATGTCTTTGAAGAACCAGAATCTAGTGACAATAATAATTATAAGTTCAATGATTCTGGGCCCAAATCTCTTTTATCTATTGGATTATATCCATTACAGAAAATTATACTTTTTAATCCCAATACCATGTCTTACTCTCAAATATGCAACATATAGCCTTTTGAGTAGAACTGGATTTAAACAATCAAAACAAAAATAAAAAATTCTTTCCTTGATTATAAAACCACCTAGAGAGTAGAGAAATGTAAAATAAAAGCTACCCATGATTCTACCACTAAAGATAAACACTGGTGTCAGTTTGGTATGTTTCTCTAGTTTTAAGCATATAGCAGAGCTATTATTTATATACCTTTGTATTCTGCTTTAATGATGGTCTACACAGAATTTTCAAGAGTTCAATAACAAAAGAAGTCTTAAGAAATGACTTCTTGAACATTCTTGAAATTTGGAAAGTATATCATAAGGACATCTAAAATGTTAATTTTAAAATTTTCTAGTTTTAAGAAAATTTTAAAGCCTATATTAAAATTATTTATCAAAAACTTTTGATCAAGAAGGCTTACAAATTAGTACCTAACAAATGAGATGCAAACAGTAATGGCTAACATTAAGGAAACATTAATCATTTGTATAGTCCCTTGACTTTTCTGTTTTACAATACTGACACCTGATGGAATAATAAAGACATCACCATTATAAATTCTGAACCTAAACGTATTTGGCTTATGAGCAGTATGTATTAAACAGTCCTAATTTATCAAATGTTAAAATAAAATGTATGGTGAACTAGTGTGAATAAAATGAGGCAACAGCAGCAACAACTGAGATAAGGAGTCTTTCATGAATAAGGCATTCCTCAATCATTCTTGCAATTTCTTAAGTGTCTAAATGTCATGAGCAACATGTTAACTCATACACAATAACACATACTTCTTCCTACTATTTTAATCCTAATCCTAGCCAATGAATACAGATTGAAATTTACTACATGCCCTCCCATCCCCCAATTATAACAGCCAAACACCCACATGGGAAGCATATCTTACCACTATTTTTATGAAATCTGTTTTTTTCTTGTGCTGTCTTTGTACTCTTTCCTGTGAATTGCTTTTTCCCTTTAACTTCCATCGTAGCAACTCTGGAAAACCAAAACCAAAACCAAAAACAATCACTGCAGTTCTCTTCATCAAATAAGAGCTGTTTCATAGTCATTGCCACATTTAGTCCTTCAGTCTACAAATACAATACAAATCAGCCAGATATAGAATGGACAAGTACTTAAATCCAGCAATTTTGCAATCACTGACTCAAATTTTAAAACTGAAAATGAACAAGGTATCAATAAAAAAACTAAGAACAACACACACCCTGGCCAGTGTTTGATATCTCTGGAGGCATCACTTCACTTCCACAATAGTACTGGCTAAAAATAGACCACTATTGACACTAAGTATAATAAGCATCAGAGTTTGCATTTTGTAACCTGGGAAGACTAGGGGATGAATAACTGACAAAATTATCGCTTGATTTCTTGGAGCCTAAAAAGCCAGGAACAAACAATAGGCTGCATGTACCACTACATGCATTTAATATAAGAAAATAAAGGATTATCTGAAAGATTCCTATGCAATCCAACACAGCTAAAACAAAGATTAGCATCCAGTGTTTAATCTGTGATTGTTTTAGACGCAGCCAAGCAATTGGCAGTGAACTCCAAAATAAGATGTTGAAATAGTTAATATTTCATTGAAAGGAATCTGTCTAATAGGCGCTTTATAGGCTACTGAGACACCATGGTGCACAGGATAAACAAGTTATAACCCCTCACCTACCCAAGGTCCCTGAAAGCAGCAGAACAGATCAAGAGAAAAAGCCATTTGGCTCATTTCTCCACTTTCCAAAGTTGGACGATCAACTCATTTGAAAGCTGGCTGTAAACAACAGATGTTAGGGATCCCTAGACAACACCAGATATTTCTAGATTAGAATTGCCCATTCAAGAACTAATTTCTCAGGATATTACCATAAGAGAAAAGAAGGGTTCTGGGATAAAATATATTTGGGAAACAGTAAGTTAAATGACAAGAATCAGCCCGTAAGAAAAGGCTTTTCAGATTCTTTAATTTGCTAATATATACAATCAATTCTCAAGCAAAGGCTAAAGGATGCAGGATTTTCCAACTCCAGTTGAACCACTTTTTCCTGGAACATCATAAGGGAACAGCAGACTTCCAAGGAGTACTCTGGAAAGTGCTGTTCTAATCTAGACTTTTCTAATGATTTTGAAAAATGGACAGTCCCTGAATTACTCAGCTTCCTCAGGGCATTTAGAACTGAAGGGTCACATTATTACTTGGCTATGGCCATCATAACCATACCTGCATCTCTCAGCTCTTCTACACCTGTAGTTTTCTAAGAATCCATTCATTTACATGTTTTCTCTGTATGTTTGTTCTAATTTTTATATTGAAATAATTTTAGCTTTACAAAAGAGTTGAAAAGATACACAGTTCACATATACCCTTTCCCCAGCTTCCCCTAATGTTAACATACAGTTAACTAAGCTACAGAGTTGAGTTGGAGTTTACCAGTTTTTCCACTAATATCCTCTTTCTGTACCAGGATACACTGAATCTGGCCATCAAGTCTCCTTTGTATTTTGTAGAATATTCCTCATTTGGGGTTTGCCTGATGTTTTCTCATGATTAGGCTAAGGCTACACATTTTTTGGAAGACTACCAGAGGTCAAGCTTTCTTCTGGTAGTACTCTATCAAGAGGTACATGACATTAACATGACTTATTACTGTTTATGTTAACCGTGTTCACTTGGTCAAAGTAGTGTTTTCCAGGTTTCTCCACTGTGAAGTTGCCACTTTAACCTTTCCATCTTTATTAGATCCAAACCACCAAGTCCAGCCCAAAGTCAGAGGAAAATTAAGCTCCACTTCCCAGAAGGAGGGGTACTAAAGAATCCAGGCATACGTTAAACTACCACAGCAATTAATAAACATTTTAGACAAGATGTTTGGAGAATATGTAGACATCCTATGTCCTCCTAAGTTTTACCTGCTAACTTTAGCATTTGTCGGTGGATATCGCCTGCAGCAATTACTGCATTTAAATGGTGATCTTCTATTTCTCTTATTACTTTTGCCTTTGTTATTCTCAACTTTTCTGTAGGGAAGACTTGTCCCATCTTTTCCATCTATTTACTTGTATCATATAGTCTCAGATATTTATTTCATTCCTTGGTTATAATCCAATACCACTGTTATTTTGTTGCTCAAATAATGCTAGCTCCAGCCAGGGGGAAGTTTCTCAGGTTGCTTCTGTGTCCTTTTGACGCGGCCCAACTGTTTTGTTTTGCTTTTAAAGCACATCCTTATTTCCTGGCACTGGCTCCAGGTTCCTTCTGTATTTTCCTTAACCTAGCCCTGAAATCAGCCACTTCTCCAAGGAATCCTGGTTCCTTTCATTGAGAATGGTATTTAAAAACCAAGATCTGAGTGCTAGGCGCACTTGTTGTCACTGAGGTGTCCCTGTTTCTATGTCCTTTCGGCAGACAGATTCAGGAAACACATATATGTATATTAACTTATGCATATGCACATACCTATATTTATTTTTATATCTATTACAATAACTTGAAGCTCATACTGATGTTTCCAAATCTAATCAAGCACCACATATTTTCCTCCAGGCATCTCCTCTTGCTCATTTGTAACTTCCTTCTCTGACAGTGAGCAACCTGCTTCCCACCATCTACAATTTATTTATACACATATTCCACCCTACTATACATGCATAGTTTCAGAATTGCTAACCTGTACCCCGTGAGAAATAAATTTACAATGACAGTACAGTGTTGACGTACAATTCTTTTTTGTATCCATTCAAAATACTTTTCCAAAGTTACTTAGAGGCTTGCATGGTGGCTCACACCTGTAATCCCAGCACTTTGGGAGGCTGAGGCAGGTGGATTACCTGAGGTCAGGAGTTCAAGACCAAACCCCATCTCTACTAAAAATACAAAATTTAGCTGGGCATGGTGGTGTTGCAAACATGTAATCCCAGCTACTCAGGGGGCTGAGGCAGGAAAATCACCTGAACCCAGGAGGCAGAGGCTGCAGCGAGCTGAGATTGTGCCACTACACTCCAGCCTGGGCAACAGAGTGAGACTCTATTTCAAATGTTAAACTACCATAGCAATTAATAAACATTTCAGACAAGATGTTTGGAGAATATATGGACATCCTACCTCCTCTTAAGTTTTACTTGCTAACTTTAGCATTCAAGTCAGTGTATTCTGCCTGCAGCAATTACTGCTGCAGGCCAAAAAAAAAAAAAAAAGGTTCTTAGATCAGCCCTTCGGCCCCTCACCCTCTTTAGTGAAGTTACATGTTTATAATATAGTTTAACTGATTTGTCACAGCCTGCATTCCATCCCCAGAAATGCTGGCAGATTTATTAAATGTGCATATAGTCAAGTTTACTCTTTCTGGTGTATAATTCCACGGGCTTCAACAAATGGCTAAGACTCATGCATCCACTACCACAGTATCTTACAGAAAAGTCCTGTCACTCTAAAAAGTCCCCTGGTACAGCTCCTTTGTATTCAACTCCTTCCCTCTTTCCTGACTGCCAATGATTAGGTTTTCACTCCTGTTTTGTCTTTTCCAGAATGGCATTCTTATACATGGAATCATACAATATGTAACTTTTTGAGTCTTGCTTTTTGCACTGGGCAAAATGCAATTTGCTTTGCTTGGGAACCCTGTACCTTCGTAATGAATCATCACATTCAATAGTGTCTCTTGGAATTCGCCCCCCTTTTTCCTTTCCCTCTATTACCCCATTCAGGCTCCTGTTACCTCTTGCTCAGTTTTGTTTAGATCCTATCTGCTTTGATCCACTTTCCGCTGCCTGATTAACCTTCCAGTAGCACACCTATTTCATGTCATTTCCATGCTCCAATAGCTTCAAAGCTTTCCCACTGCCTTCAGGAAAAAGTTCCAACTCAGGCATTCACAGCCATTCAAAATGTGGTCTTAATTCACCCCACTCATCACCACCACACAGGAGCCACTATTCTTATCAGAATAGTGAAGTTTAAAGCCATTCTCTCTACCAACACAATTTCTACCCATCCTTCAAATTCAGTTTAAATGACATTTTCTTATAGACCAACCTCTACATGTTAGCATTCCTCAAATCTTTGCCCTAGGGAACTTCCCTTCTCTCTCCACACTTCTCCCTAGGTGGTCTCATCCAATCTCCTGGCTTTTTATGCTGAGTACTCCCAAATCATGTCTCCATTATGAACTTCTCCTTGGGGTCCAAACTTGTGTATAACTGCTTATCTGATACCTCTAATTATGTGTCTAACAGGAACCTTACCCTTAATATGTCCAAAACATAATTCTCTATGTTGTTCTTTATGTTATTGTTGTTTGCCCCACAAACAACAATATACTATTTTTCCCTGCCCTATCGTCCTCCATCTCAGCCAATGGCACATCATCTACTTTACTGCTCAAGTAAGAAATCTGAGTTACCCTTGACATTTTCCTCTCTACTCTGCCACGCTGAACCATAAGTTAGTTCTCTTAAATGTCCCTTACGTCACCACCCTAATGCAAACTATTACCAATACAATCTCTTGAGCTTCCAAATGTAATACATTTTCTAAAGAGAACCAGGGCCTATTCATGATTCTCACTTGCTTACAAGTCTTCAATGTTTTCTACACATGGTAATAGGAACGGAAATGTTTTCCTATTGTACAGAAAAAAAAATTCCCCATCATGACCTTCAAGGCCCTACAGAACCTAGTTCCACTCTATCCGGCTAACTTTATCTTGTACTCTAACTATACTCCTTCCTAGCTCCCATCTCAGGAACTTAGCCCATTATCGCCTCTGCTTGAAGTACTCCCTGAGCTTCCAAATCTCCGTTTAAAGATCACTTCTTCAGACTCCACTATCTGCCAACTCAGCATCCAGTTCGTTTCCTCCCAGCACTTAGAATCTGCGTACATTCAGGCAAACCGCCTAGCACTGGAGTTGGGGTTTGTGAAGTAGCACAGACAGGCTGATCAGGCCGAGCACGGGCTGGGATTCCGGAGTGAAGCTAGTCCACTCTAACCCGGCACGCAGGGCAACGTGGTGGGAGAGAGGTCGGAGTCCCGCCCTTCTTTTTTTTTTTTTTTTTTTTTTTGAGACGGAGTCTTGCTCTGTCTCCCAGGCTGGAGTGTAGTGGCACGATCTTGGCTCACTGCAAGCTCCGCCTCCCGGGTTCACGCCATTCTCCTGCCTCAGCCTCCCAAGTAGCTGGGACCACAGGCGCCCGCCACCATGCCCGGCTAATTTTTTGTAGTTTTAGTAGAGACGGGGTTTCACCGTGTTAGCCAGGATGGTCTCGATCTCCTGACCTTGTGATCCGCCCGCCTCGGCCTCCCAAAGTGCTGGGATTACAGGCGTGAGCCACCGCGCCCGGCCAGTCCCGCCCTTCTTGCCAGGCTCCAGTCAGTCCCAAACTCCTAGCCCAGAAAGAGGCCAGAGGAGACTGCCCAGTGGACAACAGCCCCGAGAGACCTTCCCGACTTCCAGCGCCCGGCAGGGTGCGAACCCCTCCCAAGAGCGACCGCTGAGCCTGCCACACTCACCGCACACGTGGGACCGAGACAGCTCGCGCAGCGGATCCCGACCGCCTCTCCGCTTCCGCTTCCTTGCCTTGCTCCGCCCCCGGGCCGCTTTTTTTCATCTTCCGCGGCGGATCAGGGACTAAGAGGTGGAGCTTCCCAGAGAATACAAAAATTCGGAATTTCTATTGGTCCGCTGCTGTTATGCCTCCTCTTGAGGCGCGAGGATTTTGGCCCTTGCAAGAATCCGTCGGGCGGAGGACGCGACAACGGCCACGGGAAATGACGTCATTAACCCTGTGGCTTCCGTGCTGGAAAGAGAGGGAGAGCTCTTGCGAGGCAGAACAGGCTGCTGAAGGACAGACCTGGCTGGCGCGGTTAATAAGAGGCCTGCATCCCGTAGCCTGAACAAATATTGAAGTAGCTAAAGTTTCTAAAGTGTGTTAATTTGCATACTTCCTCAGCAGTCCAGCGTGGAGGATAAAAGGGGTATCTTGTGAGTCGATTTGAATTGTAATCCCGTTTTTTTCACTTGCTAGCTGTGTGGCTCTGGGAAAATTACAGTTTTTATGAGCTTTGGCTTCCTGATCAATAAAATAGAAATAATTAAGTGATACGTGCAAAGCGCTTAGCATGGAACGCTCTCAATAAATGTTTGCCATTTTTAGTGTCTGCTCGTGCCTGGAAACTGCTGTTATTCCATTTTATACTTCAGGAAATAAGATTGTGGTTAGGATATATGCCCCATTTTCCAGATGAAGAAACTGACACCACAAACTTGCTCGTGTCAAGCAACAGAATTTTATTCTTTAACTGTTCTAGAGGCAAGAATTCCAAAATCAAGCTGTTGGCAGAGCCCTGCACCTTTTGAAGGCTCTAGGGGAGAATGCTTTGCTTCTTCAGCTTCTAACGGTTCCAGGCGGTCCGTGGCCTCTTGTTGCATGACTCCAATCTCGGCCTGTCTTCTAATGGCCTTCTCCTGTGCCTGTGCCACTTCTCTGTGTGTTTTTAGGACACTGAACATTGAATTTAGAGTCCACGGGGATAATCCAAGATCATCTCATCTGGAGGTCCTTAATCACATCTGCAAAGGCCCTTTTCCCAAATAAGGTCACTTTCACATGTCCTGGGAGTTAGGACATAGACATATCTTTTGGAGACTATTCAACCCACTGCATCTGTAAAGTTGAGGAACTGGCACTTGATCCCTGGTGCCAGACTTCAGATTTTACTGTCTTCCAACTTACTCCGTTTTCTGGCCACTAAGGAGTTAGAGTTGAAACTGGTAATTTAGTAGACTGTATGCTTCTTGATGACAGGGGCCATCATTACTTTCCAGGCACTTATCTCACTATGCAGCACATAGATACTTGATAAGTTCTTGTCGTCTACCTTAACTGTTACTAGTTTACATTTCAGCTCATTTAAATCTCATAAGAACGTTTTAAATAGGTCTTTTCTCATTTTACAGAGAAAGGCAAAACATAGTAGCTTTGGTCCAGTGAGCCTGACTCTAAACTCAACGTGGCTGCCTCCGTACTGCTTTCAATAATTCAGTAAATGCTAAGAGAAGAGAATATGGAACAGGAATTGCAGGAGGCCCATCAGCTGTGCCTTTTGGGCAAATAGCATAGTAGTGGGGATATTAGACACCTTGAAACACCTGACAAGTAAATGCTGGCCAAAAAGAAAGAAAAATCGCAAAATACACCCTATCACACAACCCTGGGAAGGGATACGTTTGTGTTTTCAACTCGACAGACAGCAGCACCCCATATCCTTGAAGATAGGTCCATGCAGTTGCCTTAAGCATCTGCACCAAAACCCTGCTATTCATTTGCCTTTTCACCAGGGAGGAAAAAAAAAATGTTATCACATATCAAAGCCCTTGATTATTATTAAAAACTTTTTTATCAAGTCTTCTGTGAAAGTGGATTGATTTGGATTTTTTTTTTTTTTTTGGAGTGAATTGAAAGCATCGTGTGGTTTTGCAGAACAGCACAAAAAAAGCTTATCCTGTAATTTTTTTTTTTGTCAAGCAAACCCATTAATTCTTCAAATATCTAATGATCTAAATGTAGACCACTAGGTGTACTCCTACAAGCCTAAGATGCTCTTCTTGCGTGATACACAATTTAATCAGAGCAACTAGACTTGCACACATCCAAGAGGTTAATAACAGTACTATAGCAATGCAATGACGAGCATTGAGATTAGAATCAAAGGAACCTGGCTTACAATCTAAATTCTGTATGGCCAAGGACAAGATAGCCAACTTGTATGGGCCTCAGTTTCTGCATATGTAAAATGGGAATAACAACACTTGTTTCTGGAGTTGCTGTGAGGCTTAAAAGTGATAATATCTTAAAGTTCTTAGCCAGTAGTAAATGTTGAGTGATTTGTAGCTTAAGAGAGAACCAAGGTGTACCCATTTGAAATACTTTGGGGCCGGGCGCTGTGGCTCACACCTGTAATCCCAGCAGTTTGGGAGGCCAAGGCAGGTGGATCACCTGAGGCCAGGAATTCGAGGCCAGCCTGGCTAACATGGCCAAACCCCATCTCTACAAAAATACAAAAATTAGCCAGGTGTGGTGGTGCATGCCTGTACTCCCTGCTACTCTGGAGGCTGAAGCATGGAGAATCGCTTGAACTGGAGAGGCGGAGGTGCAGTGAGTGGAGATTGTGCCACTGTACTCCAGCCTGGGCAACAGAGTGAGACTCTGCCTCAAAAAAAAAAAAGAAAAAAAGAAATACGTTTGACTTCACATAACGGAAAGTTCAGCTAATGGTGGCTTAAGCAATCATTTTCTTAACATAAAAATTTGGAAGGTACTTGGTTGTTGTGGTTCAATGACACAACAATGTCATCAAAGACCCACGCTCTTCCAGTCTCTGTTCTACCACCATCCTCAACGTTGACTTTTTATTGTCCCATTTACTGCTTTTTGATTGCAAGATGAACTCCTCAGTTTCCATATTTATCTAAGAGTTCAGGGCTAGTGAAAGTGCAGAAAGAAATGAAATCCACTATTTCCTCCCAGTGGGGCTCCGTCCTTTTATCCCAGAAGGAAAAGACCCAACAGGAGTCTCCCTTCTATTTCAGTGCCAAGAACTGGATTACACGGCCACCCCAGAATTGAAAGACCATCAGATACAATGTTAACCAGGCATTTGGATTTCATTCTTTTTCTAGTACTCTGGTAAAATTAAAGATCACTTAGCAAATATGCTTTTATCCAGCAGTAGAGATTTAATTTGTGACTTAAGCTAATCTGGTTTAAAACTTAAAATAACTATAGTATCCCAGGTGGTGGATAGCAATCTGGGCAGCGCATTGAATCACCTGTGGAGTTTTTGTTTTTGTTTCTTTAAGTAGCAGTAGTTCTGATTTAATTGGTCTGGAATGGGACCTGAGCATTGAGAATTTGATGCCTAGATCATGCTAACATGCAGCTAAGGTTAAGACCCAGTTATTTAAGGAATGGGGTTCAAGTTTTGTTTGTCTGTTTGAGACAGAGTCTTGTTCTGTCACCCAGGCTGGAGTGCAGCGGTACGATCTCAGCTTACTGCAACCTCTGCCTCCCGGGTTCAGGCAGTTCTCCTGCCTCAGCCTCCCAAGTAGCTGGGACTACAGGCGTGCGCCACCAGGCCCGGCTAATTTTTGTATTTTTAGTAGAGACGGTGTTGGCCAGGATGGTCTTGGACTCCTGACCTCAGGTGATCCACCTGCCTTGGCCTCCCAAAGTGCTGGGATTACAGGTGTGAGCCACTGCCCCGGGCCTGTTGATTTGATATTTTAGTTAACTAGGGGTTAAATCTCCTGGTTCCTCTTTGTATTGCAGGCACCAGAATTTAAGAATTAAATATACAATATGCTTCTCTCTGTAAGTAGAACATTGGAGAGAATTGTATCTTTCTTGCTGACTGAGTTCTCCTAAAGTGATTTAATACCATTAGATGTTAAAAAATGGTTTAAATTTGAACTATACACTTTCAAACATACTCTGGAAAATGTTTGCTTCTTTTTTCAATTTCACATAATTTTGTGTAATTTTCTTTTTTCCATAAAAATAAAATAGGTTAGGTGTCAGCTCCCATACATCTTCCCCTTCCCAAAATCAGTTCTCTGGAGTTCTAATTAGTGGATTTTTAACGAATTACGTTGTTTTTCTGTTTCTCAAATGCATAAGCAGAGATAGAGGGCATGTTACTGATATAAAGCATAAGTGATATTTTGGCAAGGATTGGGCTTTATTTTCAGGACCTATTAGAATCATAAATCCATGGAAACGGAGCAGTTGCCAACACATTTTTATTTAGTGAAAAAGAACTGCTTCTGAATAGTGTGCATTATGTTTTCCAATATCGTACATTTGCTACAAAGTGCACTAATGTAGTCTAAACATTAATTGAACATTCATAATGCTGTAGTTGCTGTCTAGTAAACACAGTATTAACCTTGTCCTATTTTGCTTTCTTTGATGACAAACTTTGGAGCAGCAGAAAATTACATGGCTAAGATGTAAGTTTATCTGATTGTAGTAGTCTCACCTTAATAAAAGCTTGTGTCAGCACATGATGGAGAAATGAAATAAAAAGTAGGTAATATCACTTAAAGCCCAAGAATTGTCACTTATACACAGTGCATTTATAATGCACTATGGTTTTGTCAAACAAAACTCCTCAAGCAACACATACTAGCTTCAGTTTTTTGTCTAGGATAAGAACGATTAATACGTTGGCATTTTAAGTTTTTAAAATTCTGCTTTCAGGCTTGATAAAAGTTATTTCCTTTGGAAAGTATCAATTAGTTTTTTCGTGTGATTTCCCTAATTTGTGAGCAATAAAGATAACCAAGCATATATTTTATTAGGTGAACAAATAAGAAAATTGTTTGTTTCAAATATGAATAAAGAATAATTTTCTTGCAAATCAAAACCACAATGAGATACCATGTCACACCAGTTAGAATGGCGATCATTAAAAAGTCAGGAAACGACAGGTGCTGGTGAGGATGTGGAGAAACAGGAACACTTTTACACTGCTGGTGGGACCGTAAACTAGTTCAACCATTGTGGAAGACAGTGTGGCAATTCCTCAAGGACCTAGAACTAGAAATATTTGACCCACCCATCCCATTACTGGACATATACCCAAAGGATTATAAATCATGCTGCTGTAAAGACACATGCACACGTGTGTTTATTGCGGCACTATTTACAATAGCAAAGACTTGGAACCAACCCAAATGTCCATCAGTGATAGACTGGATTAAGCAAATGTGGCACATATACACCACGGAATACTATGCAGCCATAAAAAAGGATGAGTTCATGTCCTTGGTAGGGACATGGATGAAGCTGGAAACCATCATTCTCAGCAAACTATCTCAAGGACGAAAAACCAAACACCACATGTTCTCACTCATAGATGGGAATTGAACAATGAGAACACTTGGACACAGGGTGGGGAGCATCACACACTGGGGCCTGTCATGGGCTGGGGGGAGGGGGGAGGTATATCATTAGGAGATACACCTAATGTAAATGATGAGTTAACGGGTGCAGCACACCAACATGGCACATGTATGCATATGTAACCTGCACGTTGTGCACATGTACCCTAGAACTTAAAGTATAATAAAAAAATTAAAAATAGAAAAAAAAGAATTTTCTAATTATTCCTCCCACTTTTTAAAACTATAGAAATTTCATGTTGGTACTTAGAATAATGATCTAGCTCTACTTACCTACCCAATATTCCTCTCTTCCTTTATTTTTTTTTCTTTTTTGGAGAGACAGGTTTTGCTATGTTGCCCAGACTGGTCTTGAACTCTTGACCTCAAGTGATCCTCCCACCTCGGTCTTCCAAAGTGCTGGGATTAATGGGCATGAGCAGCTGTGCCCAGCCTACCTCTTCCTTTTAAGATGAAGAAATAAATTAACCCACTTGCTCAAACCTATTATGTCAATTTAAATTCTCCAGGAAGCAGATGTCAAGATAGAATTAGGCCAAGAGACATGTTGTGAGAAAAACTTCACAATAAGCTGAGGGGAGAGGAAATAGCAGTAAATAGGGAGCACCCGATACCATGATACAGCTCTGACGTGTGTCGAGAGAGAGGCGGAAGGAGGATGTGGTAGAAAGTCTTCAGGCTGTAGTAAAGCTCTGAGAAAGCCTCGGCGAGGCCAGCATGGCACTGCAGAGCAAAGATTTCTCCTTAAAGGAAAGCTAAATTGAGTAGGAAAGGCCCAGCTCAAGTACCCCTGCTGTGCTCAGTCATTGGCTGGGAGCAACCCAGGGAGTGCATGGCCTCAGCATGAATGCTGCAGTGGATGCTGAAGTTGTGGCAGCTGGAGGCATAAGCTAACTACACCTCTCGCAGCCGGTTCTCTCTTGAAAGGAGATTGGAGCAGTTCACTCCATGGCTGCCAGAGTCTACCCCTCACACAGCACAGGGCTATTTCTCCATGTGTGTTTGGGGAGTGGCTCCTCCATTGTTCCTATGGCCCTCTGCTCAGGAGGGGAATGTTAGAAGAGAGAGACCAGGGGGACAAAGTATAGTCTCCTGGGGGCTGCAGCAAGTACTCATCATCTCACTCCAGCACTATCCATTCTAAATTCACCTCATCCTTGGCTATTAGCTTGGCAGGTCTTGATGACTAACCTGGTCATGTGACTTAAACCATTGGTTTTACAGGGTCTGAGACTCTAGTAATCATAACCTCTAAGCCAAGGGTTGCTTCCTATGTTCATTTACCATTACAGTGGGGGCTAAGGAGAACTGAGAAATACCTAAGTGGATCGCCTAGGTTCTATATGTATTCCTCCATGTCTCAGTTGACCAAAAGCAGTCCTATCTCCTCTAGTTATCGGAGTTAATCACACTTGCCCAGATGGAGACGCCCCTTCTTACCTGTTAATCTTGTACACAAGGAGTCCAAAATGTCCAGGAGACACCCGTAGTTCAATGAAACTCTTGCTCTGTCCCCTGGCAAGAGTGTGCCTCCTTTGAAGACAAGGACTTCTAAACCTGCAGAGCCCAGAGTTAAGGCGACAGGAAACATGCATTTCCCCAGAGGGCCATTGAGAATAATGGTAAGAATGATGATTCCTGCTTCTTTCCCCTGGTTCCTTGACCCATGTATTCTTATTAGGAGCATAGCACTCTATGGAGATCTCTGATTTATTTATTCTGCATTCTGGAGGATAGCACCTCCTTTTTGTAGACTATTGCCTGTAAACTGGTACTCCAGCTGTGCCTTCGATAGGCCACTGCAATGTTCTATTGTGGGTTGGTTGCCTCTTGATGGAGCATCTGTGATGTCATCTGGGAATCACATGACCATGGGCTCACTTCTGCACCCACTTTGCTGTGAGTTGTGGCCCCTGTTTGGATGCTATGTTACATAGGTTTACATGCTTGTGGATCATGCACTGCATAAACGTCTGGATATTGATGCTGGCTGAGGCTCTGTGGGTGGGAAAGGCAAACTCATATTTGGAATAAGACTATCCCACTGAGGGGAAACTGTTGGCCCTTCCAGAATAAAAGGAGCCCAAATGTTGTCAAGTTGCCACTGAGTGGCTTGTTGGTCTCTTTAGGAAATAGGGCCATTTCAGGAGTGCTGCATTTGTTCCTGTTGCTGGAAGACTCTACATTTAGAGGAAGCAGCAGTTAGATTGGCCTTGGTGAGTATAAGTTCACGCTGTTGGGCACATTTGTAGCCCTCACCTCTGCCATTGTGTTCACTCTATTCATGTGTCCATCATGCCCAATGCTGAAGACTGACGAATGTCAACTGGCCACGATATTTTGTCTACTTAATTGTTCGATGTTTCTCCTTTAGTGGATGCTTTCTGATGGGTATTAGCACGTGAAAATGTTTATACTTTGTGTAAATTCTCATCTGACTCCTGGAAGCTTCACCAAAGTGGCCTGTGCCTGAATTTTTGTAAGATTTCTCTCCTGCCCTCTGGAACACATGTTTCTTACCAAGATTCCTAGCATAGCAGCCATGTCTTCATTTTATTGATGTAATGGATCAAATGTGATATTCTACAGGATGTCCAGATGGTCCAGATCTCTTCGGACTATATTAAGACAGAGGGTGGGCGAGCTAACATAGCCCTGGTGCAAAACTGTAAATGAGTATCGTTGTTCATTCCAAGGAATGTGAACTGTTTCTGATCTTATTTTCCATCTATTTTTTTCCATCTTTTTTACCATCTGCTGTGGCAACTCAGGCATTTCACCTTTGCTCAGCAACTGGGCACTGCTTTTACTAGGCTTTGGAAAGCCACATAGCAGTGTGTTTGTCCCATCCCTAGGGCCTTACCAGGGTGCTAAAAACCGTATCCCAAGAAAGTGACCCCAAGTCAATGCACTCTTGCTTGTTCACTTTTGTCTTCCAGCCCTTTGGTCAAGAACTCTCATAGTCCTGCCCCTGAGAACTCCCCAACTCTTGAAAGTAAATGCTGTAGGTAATTGTTGCAGGTCCTTTAGGGTACAATCTCTCTGTATCCTCATCAGGCCCGGTATTTCTCTGGGATTTGACCTCATTTATTGGCCTGGCAGTCAGGAGAGGCATCTGGGGTAGCTCTGGGTGGGGGAAGACGGCAGAAGTTGTCTTTCAGAAAGAGACCTCGTGTTGTCTTTCTGCAGGAGGGAAGTTTAGGTCTTAATAAGGCCCTAAAACAAAGATTCAAGTGCAAATGGCTTAGTCCGGGAATGTCTGTATGGGAATGGGGAGTGAGGCAGGGAACAGAAGATAACCAAAAAAGTGTTCATTGTCAAACAATTTAAGATTGTGGGCAACTGAAGATCCATCTTGTTAGAGAACTTTGGAAGCCAATGTAGTACATATACCTCAGAGATAGCCCACCCAAGGGGTCCAGAAGCTGGGGCATTCATAGATGAACTCCCATCAGTCATTGGTTGACGACTGCTTCTGAGGGTGGGTGTGGGGGTAGTATTTCCCTAATATTTCTGGTCTGCTATATGAGCATCAACGTGGCATCTAGTGGCATCAGAGAAACTTTCAGAAAAAGATCCATCTGCTGGCAGTGGAAGGCCAGACAACGTGTACTGAAGAGGCCAGGGTGGGGATTCGGACAGTCTACCGGCAGGATCCACTACAGGATTATTAACAGTGGATTATTTCAGTTTCCTCAGCAGACCAGACCAATGGGCTGATAGTAGGGAGTGAAAAGATAGAACAGATTTTATGAGCTTGTATAAAGGAATATTTTCAGGGATTGGTCTTAAAGACCCTTGTCTTATAAGGCAACCAGGGATTTTGGCCATTTAATGACTTCGGAGTTAGCCTCAAAAGAAATGTTATCCCACACGCATTATTCTTAATACAGTACGGAAAATAAGTATTCACAAGATCAATCTTTTTAAAAAAAGGATCTGGGGAAAGGTGGAATAAACACACTCATGGAATAGTAGTGTAACATACAGTCATGGGCGATATAATGCCATTTTAATCAACAACTGTCCACATATACAACAGTGGTTCTACAACATTATAATGGAGCTAAAAATTCCTATCACCTAGTGATGTCATTGCAGCCATAATGTCATAGCACAATTACTTAAAAAATTAATGTAACCTAAGTGTACAGTGCTTATAAAGTCTACAGCAGTATACCATAGTGTCCTAGGCCTTTCCATTCACTCATCACTCACTCAATGACTCACCCACAGCAATTTCCAGTCTTGCACTCAATTCATGGTAAGTGCCCTAGGCAGGAGTACTATTTTTTATCTTTTGTATCATATTTTTACTGTACCTTTTCTGTTTACATATGTTTAAATACACATATACTGACCATTGTGTTGCAATTGCCTACAGTTATGTAGCACAATAACATGCTGTACAGGTGTGTAGCCTAGGAGCAACAGGCCATACCATATAGCTTAGGTGTATAGTAGGCTGTACCACGTAGGTTTGTGTAAGTGCACACTGTGATGTCCACACGATGATGAAACACATTTCTTCTTCTTTTTTTTATTTTTTTTGAGACAGAGTCTCACTCTGTCGCCCAGGCTGGAGTGCAGTGGCGCGATCTAGGCTCACTGCAAGCTCTGCCTCCCGGGTTCACGCCATTCTCCTGCCTCAGCCTCCCAAGTAGCTGGGACTATAGGCGCCCGCCACCACGCCCGACTAATGTTTTGTATTTTTAGTAGAGATGGGGTTTCACCATGTTAGCCAGGATGGTCTCGATCTCCTGACCTCGTGATCCTCCCGCCTCGGCCTCCCAAAGTGCTGGGATTACAGGCGTGAGCCACTGTGGCCGGCCGAAACACATTTCTAACAACACTTTTCTCAGAATGTATCCTTGTCTTTAAGTGGCACGCAACTGTACCTCAAACTCCAGACTTGCTCGTTTTAGCCATTCTGTCCTTTTCATAGAGATGAAACAAAAAATAAGAAATAATGGAAATCAAGAAACATTACCTAGGAATTAATGAAAAAAAATTAAAAGTACATTCTAACAGTTTGTTCAAATATTTCCAGCAGGAGCTTTTGAGAAAATCTCCCCCAAGTCTGATAATCAAAAAATAGAAGCATGAGCAAATAATATACTGAGGCATTAATTCAGTCTCATTCTCATAGCTGTAACAAAAAGAATGAGAGGTATTTTCCCTTTTCTTCACCCCTTGGCTCATCAGCAAGACAGAACAGACTTTAAAAGAAAAGAATATAAAAGAAAGATAAAGGAAAGCCGGGCTCCTTGAAGAATGGACCTGAGATATCCAAGAGGGAAAGCATTCCAGGTGTCAGGGAGCATTGCAGGTGGTGATGGGACTGCAGTGGAGGTGGAAGTGGGGGGTGGGAGGCAGGACTCCCACAATGTAGAGGAACACAAGGTGGAACAGAAGGGAATGCCTCTGAGGGTCCAAAGGGCTTGGGGAATGAGCATTTCTTTGACAATCACAATGAACTAAAGATTAAAGACTCTGTTCCTTGATTTTTTTTCTGGCAGCTAAAGCCCTGTGGGACTCTTCATGATGCATGAGACAGGGAGGGACTTCTAGAGACACTACTGAAAATATTCCACCACCTCTAGTGGGTGGCAGCTTAGCCAAATCTTTTCAATTTAGGAAAAAAAAAAAAAAGGCTGATTCTTGCAGCAAATTCATACCTGCAACAGAAGGAATAACTAAGACATACCCTATACTTAAAAAACCCCCGCTTTTTTGCAATTATGTACTGAGAAGCACCACACCTGGGAGGGCAATGAGTGATATTTTGCCAGGTTTATGGCTGGAATCATCCTCCCCATGACTATTCTCAGACTTTGTCCATCAGTGTAGGTGCCTAGACATTCTCAGCAACCTAAGAAGATTTAATTTTCCCCACTCTTCTTCTGAATTATTTTCTACTCTCTAGAAATTGACATGCGAACAAGAATGGGTACATATGACCAAGGAGAATGGAGATCTTTTAAAGGTATATATTTGAAAATAATGAGAAAGGATGAAGAGAAAGCAAAGCACAAAGGTCAAGAAGATGAAACAGAAGAGGAGGATGAGAAGAGTAGAAAAGGGAAGTGGAGGAAAAGGTGAAGAGTAGAAAGGCAGAGGAAGAAGAGAGGGAAGAGAGGCTAGGCCAGGTGCTGTGGCTCATGCCTGTAATCCCGGCAGTTCAGGAGGCTGAGGTTGGAGAATCACTTGAGGCCAGGAGTTCAAGACCAGCCTGGGCAACATAGCGAGACCCCACCCATCTCTACGAAAAATTTTTAAAAGATTATCCAGGCGTGGTGGTGCATGCCAGTAGTCACAGATTCTTGGGAAGCTGAGGCAGGAGGATCACTTGAGCCCAGTTTGAGGCTACATTAAGCTATAATTGTGCCACTCCATTCCAGCCTGGGCAACAGTGCAAGACCCTGTCTCAAAGAATGAAAGGAAAGGAGGGGAGGAGAGGGGAAGGGAGGGGAGGTGAGAGGAGAAGGAAGGAAGGGAGGCAGGGAGGGAGCGAAGGAGGGAGGGAGAGAGTCTTAGCAAATACTATATATGCTTGAATATACAGAGCTCCTCTCTTCCATTAGTTGAAGAAGCCCCAATAGTATATTTCGGCCAATTTGGTTAACTAAATTTTTATAGACGTAAGTGTACTAGGCATATGTCTCCTTATAATATTAATTTATGTAGTGACACAGACACATTTAAAATCACTTTAAAAATAATATACAAATCTATAAATATTGCTTGTTCTTACTTTGACATTTCATTTAGTAAACTTTGTACATTCATTTTTGACAGAAGTATCTTTGTTATCAATAGAGCCACTTTTTGAGTCATCCTATGCTATTTTCAGGAAGGACATTCAACATTAAGGTTTATAACTCAGGAATGATGCTTTGATGCTATAAGCAGCAGAGAAACCTGCCATAGCTCAGAACATACCTGAGAATCATCCAGTGACCCTCACAGGCCAGGAGAGTCCAGGTGGGACAGATCTCACAACAGGCACAGTAAAACAGAGTCCATCTAACAGGTAGATTGGGATCTCATCATGGCAGGAAATATGAGTCTTTTATTTAACAAGCATTTGATTGCTCCATGACTGGCATTTTTTTTTAGACACTAGGGAAACTTTAATAAGAAGCAAAGATGACAATCTCTATACTCATGGAGATTATGTTCTAACAAGAGGAAGAAAACAACAAAAATTAATAAGTAAAGCACATAAAAATTTAGATAGTGATAAATACTATGGAGAAAAATAAAGAACGGGCCACACAGTCTCTGGGCCCTTGAAAGAAGCAAGAGAATGCAGAATGCGCCATGTTAGTAACTGGAGGAACAGTGTTTTAGGCAGAGGGAACAGCAAGTGCAGATGTCCTGAGGCAGAGCCATGCTTTGTTTGAAGAACAGCAAGAAGGTCAGTATTGTTGGTGAGGGTAAGTGGAGAAGGAGATGGGTTTAGGGGGTTATCTGTGAGCCTGATTACAGTGTCTTGGATATTGCGAAGACTTCTGTTTTTTCTCTGAAGGAAAGGGATTGTGAGCAGAGGGGTGGGTACGATCTAACTTGTGGTTTTACAGTATCATTCTGGCTGCCATGTGGGGAATGAACTTAGCGGGGAAAATGTGGAAGAAGGTAGACCAGTTAAGAGACTCTTTCAATAATCTGAGAAAAAGTGCTGGTAGCTTGGACCAAGAAGTGGGCAGTGGAAGTTGTAAAAAGCAGTAAAGAAGGTGGGGAAAACTAGCAGAGCCCACATGCAGAGCCAGAATCAGAATCATAACTGTTGAGTCAAGGGCAACTTGACCAACATATGAAAGAAAACCCAGGGTCAGTGTGTCAGAAACCCCGGGAATCCACTAACATCAACATCACCTGAAGCCTGCAGATATCACGCCCCACTCACAACCCTACAGCCCTGATATCTCTTTGTACACCTTGTATTTGAAATGATCCAGGCATTATAAAAAATGAAAATGCTATTTTGAGGGAAGAGGGACCTTTACCATTATTGAAGCCTTGAGAATTGGAATTCAAATTGCCAATCACTGTCTTCTGCTAAACATTTCTAAAAAGGAGACAAAAATGTGATTCCACAGAACACTGAGCATTATCATTCATTGAATCTGTGAGATTTGTGAATTGACAAAACTAAACACACGCAGTGGACGGAAATGGGGAAGAGCTATGCGCTGATACTTTTAAATGCCACTGTGTTTCGCTATGAATGTTTCTAATTACAAGACAAACAGAAGTGTGCACCGGAGGAGGAGCATCAGCCACCAGATGGCACTATTTCCCTGAAATACCCAATGGTACCCAAAATCACCAGGATGGCATACTCTCCAGGATTCTGCAATACTCTCCAGGCTAGAAAGGAGAGTCTTTCATTATTATTAACATCTCTTCTAAAGTCAGGGTCTAGAACCACAGAGGCAAAGGTTCTGTCTGTTCTGAGGCAATTCGGTTCCCCTGGCACAGGATGGCCTGAAGGATTCTGTTTTTCCCAACAAAGCTCTCAAAAGAGTTTAATGCAGGAGCTCTTAATCCCTATGGCAGTCTGGTGAGACTTCTGAACTCCTTCTCAGCATTGTGATTTTAAATGCAAAAAATAGGATGCGTAGGATTGCAACGGAAGCCAGTTATATTGAAAAGCTGCTACTGGAATATTTAAGCAAATGCAAGACATAGTAATATATGTGCTTTTTTATGAATGCAGTAAATAATAAAAGCCAGAGGCAGGCCTCCTATCCATTGTAATCTTGAAATAGCAATAAGCAAAAACAATATCTCAAAATATCTGCAACAACTATAATATGATGTTGTGGCTTAACAATCATATTTTATAAACTATAATTTTACTTAAAAGTTAGTAAAAAAAAATAAAGGTGTATTTTCTTTTCCCTTCTCTCTCTCTCTTTCCCTTCCTCCTTTCTTATGTTCCTTTAAAAAATATTTTCACTGGCCAGGCATGGTGACTCACGCCTATAGTCCTAGCACTTTGGGAGGCCGAGGTGGGCAGATCACCTGAGGTCAGGAGTTCGAAACCAGCCTGGCCAACATGGCGAAACCCTGTCCCTACTAAAAATACAAAAAATTGGCCAGGCGCAGTGGTGGGCGTCTGTAATCTCAGCTACTTGGGAGGCTGAGGCAGGAGAAGCACTTGCACCTGGGAGGTGGAGGTTGCAGTGAGCCAAGATCGCGCCATTGCACTCCAACCTGGGCAACAGAGAGAAAGTCTGTCTCAAAAAAAAGAAAAAAACAAGACAAACAAACAAAAACAAACAAAAAATTATATATATAATGATTATATTATTATAATAATATATTTAGAATATATATATTTATATATATATAAATATATATATATTTAGAAACTGTTTCTGTCCATGAACCTCTTGATTTCTGTCCATGAATCTCTTGAATATTGGAAGACCCCAAGTTAATAACCTTTGGTTCAGTGCCTTTTTAATGACTGTATCATACATTTTTGCCAACTGAAGAAAGTAAAGCCTCCCTCAAGCTGGCCACACTCAAAGAAGAAATGAGTTAAAGAGATTTTTTTTTTAAGTTACATTTTTTTTAAAGAAAAGATCAGGTGCAGTGGCCCACACCTGTAATTCCAGTGCTTTGGGAGGCTAAGGTGGGAGGATCACTTGAGGCCAGGAGTTTGAGAGCAGCCTGGCCAATATAGCCAGACCTTGTTTCTACAAAATATTAAAAACTTAACCTGGTGTGGTGGCTCATGCCTGTAGTTCCAGCTACTTGAGGTGCTGAGGCACAAGGGTTGCTTAAGTCCATGAGATCGAGGTTACAGTAAGCCATGATCACACCACTGCACTCCATCCAGCCTGGGCAACAGAGTGAGACCCTGTATCTAAAACAAAATAAAAAACAACTTCCACCCCCCAAAACCATCTGCATTTTATACTGTCTCTCTACAAAATGTTTGTTGTGGGTCATGAGCAAATTTCTATTGCTATCAAATAGAATACACATATTTATATATATATGTAGCTAAATATTTATATATATATATAGCTAAATACTCTAGAGACTGGGATAAACTATAAATATAAATATAAATATATGAGGAAGAGAAGAATACGTGTTAACTAACTTTCAATAGTACAAATGAAAGTAATTTTGTTATTAATAATTTAATTTATTTGTAAATTGTCTCACTTTCTCATCATGAACAACATGGGTAAGAATATTAATCATTTTACCTTTGTGTCTCATGGCCCAGGCAAATCAAAGTTGTAGTTTACTGAGATAATATGCAAATGAGATCATGGAACTGCTGCTAGTGGGACTTTTTTAATCTCATGGGTAACAAGAGACTGCAAGCAAGAACTTCACATCCTTTACATTTTCTAAGATGGGAAGAAAATAAACTCTACAAACTGCATATTGGGGAACTCAGTCTTCGTTCCCAAGAATGTACGAACCTGGAAAGAGACGCTGATCCCAGTAGGTGGCGCCAGCAAGCAGTCACCAAGGACAAGTCCCAGCACAGTCACTCCACTCTTTTTCTGGAGCTTACTAGACTGGAGTGGCGTATTAAGAGGATGTGTGAGTCCCCTGAAAGGTGTCTGAGGATCTTGCTAATGGTATACTTTCTCACAAGTGAAGAGATGTATGCTAAGCACAAATTAGGTGAATTCAGAACATTTAAAAATAAATAATCAGCCATTCTCGTATCTTATTAGTTTGTAAGATCTGCCATCTTCTCCTTTTTTCTGTGGGAAACCAGTCTTCTAGACTCACACTGGCATATGAACTTGTTTTCATCAAATGAGTTAATAGGAATGGGAGAGTTGATTTAGGAAATTTTGGGCTACATTGAGGGAAGAAGTTGAATGTCTTGAATCAAAGAGATGATGCATTTACTCTCTTTTGGGTGAGGCAAACCAACCTGGAAAGTTGTACTCTGTTTGGAAAATCACATTTTAAAATTAGATACAGACAAATTGGAACACCTCAAGCAGAGAGTTAAGGATGCTGACGATTCAGGATATGTATAGGAAATAGTACAAAGGATTTGAGATGTTTCAACGTGAGAAGGAGCGTGGGTCATGACAGGGAGGGGGATAAAGCGTGTTGCTCACAGGTTGGGGCTGACACATAGAAGACTGTACAATTTAGACAGTAAGTGCAGTCACTAGTCTAAGACCACAAACGAAGGGGAAATAATTAGGTTCAACAGCAGAAGAGCATTCAGTCACAAATGTTCTAAGAGGAAGATATGTTAGCATCTCTAGTAGTGAGTTCTAATTCATCAGAAGTATGCAAGCATAGGCAAGCCCCAGTTACACCTTTTATGGATTTGGGGAAGAAGATTCAAGTATTGGATTAGTGGTAGGTAAGGTCAAAGTTTCTCATACACCAACTAGTCTAGGGATTGATGGTAGTTTATTCAAAAATTTTTACTGGCTGGTGCGGTGACCCACGCCTGTAATCCCAGCAATTTGGGAGGCCAAGGTGGGTGGATCACCCGAGGTCAGTAGTTAAAGACCAGCCTGACCAACATGGTGAAACCCCATCTCTACTAAAAATACAAAAAATTAGCTGGGCGTGGTGGTGGGAGCCTGCAATCCCAGCTACTCGGGAGGCTGAGGCAGGAGAATTGCTTGAACCCGGGAGGTAGAGGTTGCAGTTGGCCAAGATCGCACCATTGCACTCCAGCCTGGGCGACAACAGCAAAACTCCGTCTCAAAAAAAAAAAAAAAAAACACCTTTTTTTTTTTTTTTTACTATGTTCCTGGAAAGAAATAGGCAGCATGGTTCACAAATCTAAATTTATTCAATGTAAAGGGCTATCATTTATTCTAAAATTATTTACTTCTTACTTTGTGAGGGTGACACGCCTTTTCTTTGTATGAAATAATTGTTGGTGATAGATTGTAGTATGTTTGTAAATATACCTTACCTGTTGGAATAAAGTTTGGAAATACTCTATTGAACTCTCTAATTTTTATTGAAATATAATAATAAAAATTGAAATGTAAAAAATTAAAAGGTCACTTATCTTAGTGATCTTTAGGCTCCTTTCGGTCCTGAGATGCTGTAATTCTAGGCACTAATTATTCAGCATCGTTAAGGAGTGAGAGTCTCTTCCATTTGATTTGTCTTCCCAGTCAGCCTGGAGTGGGGCTGGCACATGTTAGGCCCTGCCTTCCTTGCGCACTCCTTCTATGCTCATCACTGTCTGGCTTCTCTTCACACTTTTACCACATAAGTGTGTATCCCTAAATACTATCATTTATGCTTTGCGTGTATTTGGCCTTTATAAGAACAAAATCATAGAAAACGTGTCCTTTTGTTTCTGTTCTCTTTTGCCCAACACTTGAAAAAAGAAGATCGATCTGGATTGTCGTGGATAGCTTTTATTTTGCGGCGAAATATAGCCAGAATATAGCACATTTATCGATTTTACTTTGATGGACACCTTTTCTACTTTTGGCTATTTTGAATAATGCTTCTCCAACATTCTTATTCATATCCCCTCATGCAGAGTAGAGAAGAACTGATAAGTAGAATATTTTATATTAAATATAACCTTTGTGAAAATCAAGTATCCTTTCCATGCACAACGACTGGCCCAATCCTTATTGCCCAAAAGGGACCCATGATTGAAATTCTTTCAGCCTGTTCACAAAACCAGGGAACACATATCCAAAAGTATCAAGTATGTTGTTGGAAATATGAAGAGGTCAATTTGCTGATTTTCCCCCTACTTCAGATATGTCTGCCTGAATTGGGTCAGTCTCTCTCTCTCTTTTGTTTTCAGGGTTCAGTTGTTTTTTTTTTCTTTTAATGCTTATTTGGAAAATGACTAGCATATACGAAAAAGGTACAAAAATATACAGCTTACTGAATTAGTGTAAGGTGACCATCTGGGTAACTAATGCTCATGTCAAGAAATAAACAACATTTTCAGCACCCTAAAAGTCCCCACAGGAGTCTCCTGGCTGTTCTTTGCTCTTTACTTTTGTATTGAATCTTCAACAATTAAACATAGATTTATCTGGTTTCATTCTTTTCTCTCCTTCCTCTTCCCCCTAACTGCTTGCTACTAGGAAGTCTTTTTATCTAAATTTATTTTATAACAGCATACTTGCTTATGTAATTCCTGTTACTTTCTTTCAGGCTCAAAAAATCTGGTATTATAAAAAAATTATTCTCTCAAATTTTTTTAGTAAAAAATGTTTTTTTCTACATATTTAATAGGGTAGAAAAGAGAATGGAGAATAAATGAACTTAATGGATCATTCAGAGTAACTTTACATGTCATGTGAATTTAAACAAGATGATTAAACCAGGAGAGCACCAGAATGCCACCATGCCTTCAGCTTTATCACAGCTATGCCAGTCTCATTATTGGTACTGGTCACCTCTTCCTTCTCTCCTCCCAAAGTTTCCTCCCCTATTTGGTAATATTTGGCCTCTTTTCTATATATACCAAGTACACTTATTCCTTTTCTTCTAAGTTTTCTATCAAGTCCCCATTTCAGATATTACACTAAAATCTGTATCAATGATAAGACCCACATCTCTCCCAATGATACTTGCATTTAAATAATTATCAAAAACATCCAACGGAATTTTATAAGCTCTAAATAGTATTTATATGCAGGCTTTATATGAAAATATTGATGTAACTTACCGTTAAGAAAAATGGGGTAAATTTTGCAGAAGAGAGACCTATCCCATGAGTCAACCTTTAGGAATGCTACACTGAAATATACAAGCTGAGCATCCCCAAGGAAATCTTGATAGATACAAAGAATATGGAGATTAATCATTTTATTCTCTCAAACAATGTCCCAAAAGACAAGAGAGAAATCTCTTAAACATAAGAAATCACACCAGGCCTAGTGGTAAAGAAATTTTAAATATAAATCATATTAATACACTTGATATTGTAAACATTTCTAACAACAGGGAGGCAGGAGTGTGATATGGCTTGGATCTGTGTCCCTGCCCAAATCTCATGTCAAATTGTAATCTCTAATGTTGGTGGGGCGGGAGGCGGGGGGCGCTGGTGGGAGGTGGGTGGACCATGGGGGTGGATTTCTCGTGAATGGTTTAACGCCATCCCCTCGGTGCTGTTCTTGTGATAGTGAGTGAGTTCTTTCAAGACCAGGTCGTTTAAAACTGTGCGGTACCTTCCCCCTTACTTTTTCTTGCTCTGGCTCCTGCCACGTAAGATACCTGCTTCCCCTTTGACTTCTGCCATGACTGAAAGCTTCCTGAGGCCTCCCCAAAAAGGAGAAGCCGCTATGATTCCTGTACAGCCTGTAGAAATGTGAGCCAATTAAGCCCCTTTCCTTTATAAATTACCCAGTCTCAGGTATTTCTTTATAGCAATGCAAGAACAAATGAATACAGAGTGGAAAGGATCTACACAGGGAAGATTTGGTTAATGATATATTGATGATATCAAGAGCAACATGTATAAAGAAAATGTGGTAAATATACACCACATGGAATACTATGCAGCCATGAAAAAGAATGAGATCATGTCCTTTGCAGGAACATCGATGGCACTGGAGGCCATTATCCTTGGCAAACTAACAACAGGAACAGAAAACTAAATATTGTATTCTCACTTATAAGTGAGAGCTAAATGATGAGAACACATGGATACCTAGAGGGGAACAACACACACTGGGGCCTCTTGGAAGGCAGAGGATGGGAGGAGGAAGAGGATTGGGAAAAATGACTAATGGGTACTAGGCTTAATACCTGGGTGAAGAAATAACCTGTACAACAAAACCCCACGATACAGTTTACGTATGTAACAAACCTGCACTTCTTCTCCTGAACTTAAAAGTTAAAAGAAAAGTTACATAAAAAAAGAGCGACATGTAAAGCTAGTAACCAGGAATCTCAGAGCTGCTGCTTCTTGATTAGAAGTCCCTTTTAAATTCGTCAGATCTATGTAGTGGGTTCTAGTAATCAACTTAATCACCTTGGGTATCCTTATCAATTGGAACTTTTTCCCTCTGGCTCCTTCCTAACAAAAATCTAAATAAAATGATAAAGATTTGTGGAAGGAAGCCTAGGCACCAGCTTGAGATGGCCTAGAGGAAGCAAGATTCTTCCTGGTATTGTGGAAGCCATACCCCATCAACCCTACTTCTGAGGGCTGCTCTGCCTTACCCCTTCTGTTTAGGTAACCCATGTGTTTGGCCACTGACGCTGGTCTGGCCCATCTTTTACCAGGTCCTTCACATAAATTTGGAGGTCAATACATTTCATTAAGAGGAGGTTGAGTTTCATTTGGAAAGCTGGAGAAAATATATTTTACGGAGGATCTTTCCATTTTAACTGTTAAAGCCCACATCTGCTCACTCTTGTGTGTTACTTGCACAAGACCTCTCTACGCATCATCATCCACCTGCTCCAGAGTTGCCAAACAACTGGATTTTGGAAATTAAACAAAACATTAACTACTCAATTATTCAGGAAAGTTTCATAGTATTTCAGGAAATGGTTGTCAGACTTTCAACCCAAGAAATTCATGGCCAGTGTGCTAGTGAATAGAGCTACAAAAGCTTTATTAAAAATTTTTAGCTCTGAACTACATCCGACTGATGGTAACCAGAGACCTGATCGGAGAAGCTTAAACAGATAAGGGGTATATGTTTTGATATTAAAAAAAAATAACAGAGGTAGTCAGGATAAGGCTTGTATGGTGACCACTGCCATCAGGAATGCAGACATCTTCCTCCTTTCTGCCTCACCATCCAGAAGGCAGCCACTCTTCTTGCAGTTTAGCAAAGCCTGAACAATGTGAACAGTTACAGTGAGTTCCAGAGTGGGAGGATGGAGAGGCTTTGCCTTTGAGGGCAACAAGAGAGAAGAGTTAAGGAATATTTCCCCTGAAAGAGAAGAGGTTGGAAGTCAATGGATGCCACATATTTTTGTGCATATTTCTGTGTAGATTTCTGGATGATTAGTGGATCAAAAGGATCTTGATTCATATTTTTAAATTGCTCTCCAGGGAGGTTGTAAAGCAGCAGTCCATGAGAGCGTCTATCTCACTGCCGCTCCTTGGTGATGCTTGCCCTCATCTCCCTATGTACCCCATGCACTCATGCCTTCTCTCCTGTTTTCTATCAAGCCTCAGTTTCATGTATTACACTAAAATGTGATCACTGATAAAAACTGTAACTCTTTTAATGGTATTTGGATTTCAACAGTTGTCGCAGACATCCAAAATTGACCATTGTAATTGCTTTACCTCATTTCCAGTTTGGGATTAAAAACAATATTTCATTGCTTTATTTTATTTTAATGTATTACTAGTAAGTGGATTTTAAAAATATTTATTGGACTTTTGCATTTCTGCTGGAAATTCTCGCCCATATCCTTTGCATATTTAAAATGTGTAGTGTTAGGGTTTTGTTTCATTTCCAATTTACGCAGGCTCTTCTTGTGTTAAAGATATCAGTCCATTGTCTACCATATTGGTTACACACTGATCTTCCAACTCACTGATTCATTCTTCAATTATATTCATCCTATTATTTATTCCATCTCTCATGTTCTCTATATAGAATAGTATAGCTTTCACTTGGTTCCTTTTTGATTTCTTCCTCTTGTTTCATGTATCTAACATCTTTAATCTTAAACTTTTTTTTTTTTTTTTTTTTTTTTTTGAGATGGATTCTCGCACTGTCCCCTGGGCTGGAGTGCAATGGCACCATCTCGGCTCACTGCAACCTCTGCCTCTTGGGTTCAAGCGATTCTCCTGCCTCAGCCTCCCAAGTAACTGGGATTACAGGCCCCCACCACCACACCTGGCTAATTTTTTTGTGTATATATATATATATATATATATTTTTTTTTTTGCATTTTTTGAAACCCCATCAGACAGGGTTTCACTATGGTGGCCAGGCTGGTCTCTAACTCCTGACCTCGTGATCCGCCCGCCTCGGCCTCCCAAAGTGCTGGGATTATAGGCATGAGCCACCGCACCCGGCCAAGCTTTTTTAACATTCATTTTTTATTCTTATTTCCACAATTCTGCTGTAGATGAAATAGGAAGGGAGCATCTGTGTGAGTTTAGGTGAGTCAGAGGAGAGGGGAGGGATGAGCCCCAGGTGGAGCCCTGGGTACCCACAGAACCACTGTTGATCTGTGCCATTTGCTGCCAACTCACTATGCAGCTTCTCTGGTCAGGGTTGCACCATTAAAAACATAGGAAGAAGGGGCCCTATGGGAAGGGAGACTCCCCTCTTCGTTGTCAGCAATAGCTCCGGGATTGAAGGAGAGCAGAGGATTACTCAGCCTTGTGTCTCTTTTCTTTCAATGTCTTGTTCCTATAAGGCTTAGTGCCTGCATCCAAACCATCCTGTGGACACTGGCAGAGGAAGTGTGGACAATTGCAGGATTTTTTGCAGTAAAGAGTCAGTTGCTCTCACACAGTGTCTAATTTACATTAAACATAATGGACACATAGTTCTTTTTAAAGTGAAAAGATGATAGAAAACAGAACACATAAAACATAAAAAGAAAAAGAAAAAGAGTCAATTGGTGGTTGCCCCAAGTAACCTAGGGAAGAGGCCTGTGCAGAATTTAATCAGCTTTTCTGCAACTCCTCTTTTCACTATTGCCTCGGGTCACCCTTCCTCTCAGCTGTAGCCACCCATCTATCCTAGCACAAAACAAGACAACCTTGTCTATTTAGGGACACCTTGCATTTTTTAAATTACTAGTTTCCAGAGTTCTTGTTTCCTCTTGGTTCTGGGGTTTCTCCAGGACTGATTTTGGAGGAAGGAGACAGCAGCCTGGGTAGTTGGTCATTTTATTAGTTTCCTAGGGCTGCTAGGAAATTGCCACAAACTGAGTGGGTTCACAACAGAATTGTATTCTCTCACAGATCGAGAGGCCAGAAGTCCAAAATCCAGGTGTTGGCAGGATTGGTTCCTTCTGGGGGCTCTAAGGGAGAATCTGTTCCATGCCTTTGCCTCATTTCTGGTGTTTGCTGGCAATCCTTGGTGCTCCTTGGCTTGCAGATGCATTGCCCCAATCTCTGCTTCCATCTTCACATTGCCTCTTCCGCTGTGTCTATGTCTTCTCTTCATATAAGGACATTTGTTGTTGGATTTATGGCCCACCCAGATAATCCAAGATGATCTCATCTTGAGGTCCTTAATTTATACATCTGCAAAGATTCTTTCTCCAAATAAGTTCACCTTTACAGTTTCTGGTGGGCATAGCGTTTTCCCCCCATTTATTTATTTATTTATTTTTAACTGTTTTTTTTTTTTTTTTTTTCTGAGACGGAGTCTCGCTCTGTCTCCAGGCTGGAGTGCAGTGGCGAGATTTCGGCTCACTGCAACTTCCACCTGCCAGGTTCAAGCAATTTCCCTGCCTCAGCCTCTCAAGTAGCTGGGACTACAGGCATGTGCCACCACACCCAGCTAACTTTTTTGTATTTTTTAGTAGAGACAGGGTTTCACCATGTTGGCCAGGATGGTCTCGATCTCCTGACCGTGTGATCCACCCTCTGCCTCCCAAAGTGCTGGGATTATAGGCGTGAGCCACCGCGCCTGGCCTAACTTTTATTTTAGGTTCAGGGGTGCATGTGCAGGTTTGTTATATAGGTAAATTGCATGTTGCAGGGTTTTGGTGTACATATTATTTTGTTATCCAGATAATAAGCATAGTACCGCATAGGTAGTTTTTCGATCCTCATCCTCCTCCCACCCTCTATCCTCATGTCTGTTGTTTCCTTCTTTGAGTCCTTATATACTCAGTGTTTACCTCCCACTTATAAGTGAGAACATGCAGTATTTGGTTTTCTGTTCCTCTGTTAGACATAGCTTTTTGGGGGTGGCTATTGAATCCACTGTTGTTGAGCTGAAAATTCCAAGGGCAGCTGGTTCACCTGTACTTGTTTTCATTAATTCATCCCAGCAGGGCATCTGTGTTACCTGATATACTACCTTTGCCTCTTGTGAGACATGCATTCCTGAGCTTTGGAGCCAAATTCCCCTAGAATCCACCAAAAGGGCCTTCTTTCTCTCTCGAGTCTCCAGGAGGTCATAAGAACTCTTATTAAGAAGACATTTCTCGGTCTGGCTTGGAGGAAAGCCGTGCATTTGTCCCAGGCCCTTTGACCTTCTCTCTCCTCTGTCACCCATAATAGAGACTTAATAGACATGCCTAGCAGGGCCAGACTATATAAAAATCTATAAGCCATTAACCATAGCTGTATTAAACTAATAAGAATCAATTCCCACACTTGCTTTCAAAGGATGCTGGGCTTCAGAAGTGACATGAAAAGTGACAGTCTGCATCTGGGCTGTGATCAGAGGGGTCTGGCCTGGAGCAGTCAGCTCCTCAGAGTTCACAAATTGTCTGACCCTCAGGAGAAGGCTCTTGGCATAACCTTAGGAGGATGATTCATCAGGAGTCGAGAAGTCCATTCCTTAACATGGACAAGAAATGAAGGGTCCAGGAAAGATTGAAAAGGGAATTAGTAATGGCCAAGCTCCCGAAGTCACTGGGCTTTGAAAACCCTGAGTTTTGCTTTGCCGAACAGCTCTGGGTTGCATTATGCCTATTGATCTTCCTGAGCTTTCGCAGCCTGTAAATGATGAGCCTTTTAGCGCACTCCATGACTGAAGGGCACACAACTGTGAGAACAGCTCATTTCATTTTTTTCAATTTATACAAAAGATGCTGTGGCCCAAGCCCTCTAGGCACCCATCTCAATACATAAATATGCCAATTAAGCTAAATGGAGATCCTGCAGGTTAAAAGTGCCTCATAAAAGAAGGAGGCTTTTTCAAAGCCAGAAAGTTTATCCACAGAAGAAACACCAAATCAACAAAAGTGGATCCATGCCAAGCCATGAAGGCCAGAAAAACAAGGCTTCTGGGATCCAAAAAAGAAGAAAAACAACCATTAGTTGTTCCCTAGAAAACTGGGGAAAAAATACCTTTTAGCTGTGACTTCAGGATTCCAATCAGATGCTACTATTATTATTATTTTTTTCATTGCATTTTCCTGGGCAGGGTTGATGGTTGGGGTGGGTGAGTGGGAGAGGGAGGAAATCAGTCCTAAAGCTGAACTGATACAAAAGTGTCTCAGTTACCCACCAAATGTCACAAGGGCAGGTGTGGGCAAATCAGTGTTAGTTAGATATGCTATAGCCTTGCCACTCAAGCATGGCCCATCACACTCATGCCTGGCAGCCACAGTAGCTGCATCAGCTGGGGATGGCTAAAAGTAGAGAATGCAGGCCCCATCCCACATTATGTTAGCAAGAGACTGCATTTGGCCAAGATCCCCTAACGATTTGCCTGCATATTAAAATGCCAGAAGCCTTGACCTACACTAAATGGCCAGCCTGATACTCACCATCCCATCTCTGGAGAACTTATACTCTTTCTGCCTACCCTACAGCACTGAGGGAGTGGAGGTCTGGATCCAGGGAATGGGCTAAGGGAAAAAGATAGACAAATGGGTTTTTGTCCAGCTTTTAGTCAACTTCAACTGAGTGTAAGAATCTCAGGAGATGCTTCTGAATGGATTTATATACTCAGACTTGTCCATCATACATCTCCAAATCTTTGATGATCAGCTTCCAATCAAAAACTAGGTTTCTTGGGTCATCTTTAACACCTTATTTGGGGTCTGAGGAAATAGCCTCCACTATTGGAGGGCACTGAGGAAAAGTTTGGCAGTTTAGAGAGCAACAGATGGTAGCAGGTGAAAGGATTTTTACTTTATGTTCTTGGCCCTTGGATGTGCTTTTGTGTGAGCCAAGAATGTTGTATAGTTCTTCCAATGTTTCTCCCACTACTAATACTAAAAAGGCTTAGAAATGCCACAGACCCAACAACATCACCAATGTTATCAAAACCATTTCATGAAACTCCAAGCATCTTTGCTCACTCACTCAGTTACTCCCTCAGCCATTGACTCTGTGAGCATTTATCCATTATCTACTTGTCATAAACCCATTGCTCTGGGATTGCTGCCCTCTCGTCTACTTTCTTTTCCTGCCAAAATTTACCCATAGTCATCAATAACTGCCTTCCTTTCCTGAGACCTTGCTGTCTTTATTTCTCTGCCATCTGTCTCTATCCCCATGTCTCTATAGAAATAAGCCTTGAAAATCCCTTCTATCTCTTTGCCAAATGCAAGACAGAAATTCTTGACCATCCAATTGGAAACAAGAACTAAGGGTCGTACTCTCTCTGTGGCTTCCACGATACTGCATTTTATCTGCTTTCTTACTCCTGTAACTTCTCTCTTTCTTTGCTGTCTCTATTTCCTCTCATTATTCATCTTCTCCAAGTTGAAAGAGCAATCACAAAGTTTTCAATTTCCATCTACAGACTCATAGAGTAGATAGGCAGTGGGGCAAGCACTCTACTACACATTTAACTTACATTTTCAGTTAAAGTCACAGCATGCCAACAAGTAATAGTTCTCATTACTATTTTATTTTGTTTATGTTTTAAATAGAGACAGCGTCTCACTCTGTCACCCAGGCTGAAGTGCCATGGCATGATCATAGCTCACTGCAGCTTTGATCTCCTGTAACTTCCTCTCACCTCAGCCTCCTGAGTAGCTGGGACTACAAGGCACACAACAGTATGCCTGGCTAATATTTTTGTTTTAAAATTTTTTGTAGAGATGGGGTTTCACTATGTTGCTCAGGCTGGCCTCTTAAACTCCTGGCCTCAAGTGATCCTCCCACCTCAGCCTCCCAAAGTGCTGGGATTACAGGCCTGGCCCATTATTTTAAAGACAATAAACTCAAGGCTCAAAGGAAGTAGGTAACTTACTCAAGGTTACAGAGCTTGTTAGTGGGGAGCCCAAGCCCATTACATCCAAAATATAACCAGCAGGAATCCGTTGCCCTCTGAGGGAATCTAGAATAATGGGAGCTGAAAGTACTGACCAAACTGTCAGGGCAATAGAAATCCTGGATGGATGGAGGGCTTGGTATGAGGGCTGGAGGGAAACTGGGCCGTAGAAGGAGTCACATAAGCGTTCTAGTCAGAACTGACTGAGGCTGGTGGAGCAAGCTGGGATGGGGGCTGCTTTATGGGAGCTAATGCTGAGATAAGGAAATCAGTCACTTCAGTGGAGGAGAAGCTTGGGTCTAGAGACAATCTTACCTGTTTCACCTATATGCTCTTGAACCCACTTTACCAATTTCCAAGTAGGTATTATCACAAATTAATTCAATCCGGTGAACGCTATTGTGAGCTTTTTCTGTGCCTCATGGCGTCTAGTTGGCAAAAGGGGAAAGACCACGTTGATTTAACTACCCTAAACCTCAATATCAGAGAGACATGGTGTCCAAGCCAAGCTCTACCACACAGTTGCTATAAGGTACTGTACAAGTTATATATCTCTCTAAACCTGTTTTCTTATCTGTAAATGGGGATGATAATAGTTTGTTACTCATTCAATTGATGCAATGTCTAAATAGATTATGCTCAAGAAGCACTTATTACATAGAAATACTCCCTGAAATGTCTGATAGACTGGAGGCTGGCGGGGAGGGGAATAAGACACAGTCTTTGCTCTCAAGGGCTTATAATGGGGTGGGAGAGGGTAGGGAAAAGACCTTGAACTGGGCAGTTTAAACATTTACCCATATTTGTCTCATGGGATTTTCATGGGGAAGCATTTGTTGGGTAAATGTGTGAGATGACAGATTCTATCTTTATCACACTGAACAGCAGAATGACAAAAAGGGACGGAAATGGTGGCGAACCAGATTCTTCCAGCTCATCAGAAGTAATAAACTTCTAACAATAAGAACTGTCAAACAGCAATGAAAGAGGGAGTTTTCCAACACTGCAATTGTATAAGTCAAAGATGGATGGCCCTTAGTAGGAAATGTTTTACAAAGGCATTCGCTGGAACGAAAGACTGAATTTATGTTGTTTTGCTCCTCCCCATCTAGCTGGCCTTTATGTACGAGAGACTCTCAAGGTCAGGGCAACCTCCTCCTCCTCCTCTTTTCTTTCATCTGCTCCTACTGGCCACTCTCTCACTTCTATCTTCTTCTGAGGTCTCTCTTCTGAGCTCCAGACACATGAATCCTATTGCTGATTGAACTCAGAAGGCTCCAATTCCCCAAGACCCAAAAGGAACCTATGATCTTCCCCCACAAAACCTGGTCCTTCTCCAATCTGTGAACCAGAACTCAAAGGCATTTCACAGGCATGTCACTTTCAAAGGACTTCCCTGCCGTGTTGCAAGGCAAAAGTGAGAGAAGGTACTGTCGGTAGAGGGAGATGTCAGATAAGAAAAGAACCTCACAGCCTCTGTCAACACACTTTTCAATCGTGGATTTTTTTAATCTAAAAAAAAAAAAAAGGTTTTAAAATCTGCTATATTTTGAGTTTTGAAAAAAATTAATGTTGCTGTTTTATAACCTCTGACAAGGTTTTATTCTATAGTTGGACAGGTTCTTTCTGTTAATTTGCCTTATGCAAGTGAAGCAATTTTTGTATTTGCGTTTTAACGTATATGATACTCACAAACACACCCATTTAGCCCGACTTCCCCCCAGTGCTACCCATTGCATATGCCACCCACAAAGCCCAACTGGGTGTGGCTGAGTCTAAGCAAGACATAATCATAGAGGCAGATCTGGAGAGGAAGACACATGCCACAGGCCAGAACACAGGTTCAGCAAGATTCTCACTCTAGTTATGTGTATCACTGTTTCTCACTGTCACAGGCAGTTCCTTAGACAGGCACACGATCCAGCCATAGTAAGCGTGTGTGGCCAGCCCCATTCCTGGCTTCATTTTGTCCCCATCCTTGTGTTTCTGTGTAATTTTGCCTAATTATAGTTTATACTATATTATTACATACACTTTATGGAACGAGCTCAAATCCTTTTGGAAAAAGGCAGGATAGATGAATAGATGGGTGGGTGGGTAGATAGGTAGGCACTCTTTACAGCCACCTAGGAAAAGGGCTATTGATAAATCTTTACTGTTTCCATCGATTGATTTCCACTTAGAATTCCCCTCTCTTCTTTTCTTCCTCTAATTCAGTTTCTCTTTGCACTCATCTTCCTCTCTTGCCTCCATCCCTGCTTCTCACCTCATCTCTGGGCCAAGATGGGGTTTGGGCTGACTGCAGGCTTAACACTATTAGAACTTTCCAGAGAGAGTCCCTCAACCATGTTCCAGAAGTGCTAAGCCAGTATTAATTTCCCTGGCTACTTTCCTGCCCTTGTTTCATTTCCTTATTCCCCCCGATCTTCATTCCAGAAAGATCATTTCCCACTTGTATCCCACCCAGGTTGGCATGAGTCTGCTTTTCTCTAAGACTGAGATCAATTTTATCTTGAGGCATTTGGGCATTAACTGTCATAAAATAGATAAGAATTCTGGAGGATGGGGAGTCTTGAGACAAGAACTGTCAGAGAAGAAAGAACCCCAAGTGCTTTCTTCTGGTAGAATGGACATATACTGGGAATGTCCCGTAGTTCTGGAAAATATAATGCCCATGCGTGCCCACGTGCACACACACACACACACATACACCCCACACACGATCAGATTCATCACATTTTAGCCATGCCATGAACCCTCACACATTCCCACAAATTTACTCTCAAAGGGAAGAACTGTCTTCAACTATTCAGCTCTCTCTTTCTCATCAGGACATGGCTTCATACTGGATTAGTTCATGCAAGATAAAGCTGAATGAATCAGCCAGTTCAAAAGTGGAGCCTCACAATCCTCTAAGAAAGAGAACTTTCAGTCAGAAAACATGTAATGAGTACCTACTGCATGCAAGGAAACCTAATAGGCAAATGCAGTGAGGGTGGAGGAAGACACATGAAGATGTGTGCAAGTCAGTCTCTTAAGACTCTTCAGGGAAAGCACCAAAAGCAAAATATTTATTCAAGATTGGCGATTTAGAATCAGCAGATGTGACGGATTATGATTGTTCTTGGCATTCATTGCCACCACATTAATCAAGCCAGATTCTTTCACAATTTACATGGATACATTGTTGCCTTTGAGATAAGAGACAACTATGAATACCGACTCTCCAGGAAAGGCAGTTACCATCAGTCAAGTCCATTACTGAGTCACCAACAGCTAGGAAAATGTTTATTCCCAAACCGCTGGAAGAAGGGGCAGACCAGACAGGGAACCAGTAAGCATTTTTTTTTTTCAGGGAAAAAAGGAAAGAAGCAACAAATTGGGGTATCAGTGCAGACAAACTTCAGGCAACTCTCCCCAAGATTGTGGCCCTCAAAGATACTGGGCAGAAAAGCCTAAAATATACTGCTTATTTTCTTTTGGTTTAGCTGCAGTTGCTATATTTTAATACAAAGCTATGTATTACCTATGCTATAAATAAAAGAACCAAAAACCTACTCTGGCCACACAGTTGTTCACTAGCCCTCAATCTTGAACATTTTGTGATAGGTCCTCATTTGGGTTTAACCCTCTTCCCACAATGTGTCTCTCTCAAATTCTTGAATTGGAATATTTTCATTTCAGCCTCTCTGAGTTTGGCATTGATAATGCTTCTTCTTTTGTGCTTAGCTCTGTGGTCTGCTTTGATAGTCTCCTTTCTAAGAAACTGTCTGTTTCCTCCCTGTTTCTAAGATTAGGCAGTAAAATAATACAGTTTTTTTCTCTGCTTGGAGCCACCATCACCCCCTAATGTATTATGACAGTGTACATAAAAGTGCTTCATAAAGAGTAATGCAATGCACAAATGTTAATTGACAAGATTATGAGTAGCTGTTTTAAGTATCCCAAGTTGACTTCCAATCGCAATTTCTGTTACTAGGTCAAACATAAAATAAAATTGCCCTCCTTGCTTCTGTGATGACTGAACCATTCAGGCACAATGCTATTGTACCCTCACCCACGGTGGGGTGGAAGGGCATGGTGTTGAAGATATAATCTGATGGTCACTTGTGGTAGAATTGCAGGTTCCGGCTGTGTTGGATGAAGGGGAGCCAAAGGCCAGGTTGGCTTGTAGCTGCAAAGCCCGACTTTCCTGCTGGTTGCATCTGCACAGAGAGCTGTGGGGAAGCAAGGAGTCCAGGGGTTGGATGCAGAGCCTGGGGGTGCATGGGACGCAAAGAGGATGGGTGGGAGAGGCCAGTCTGCTGGTTAGCATGTTCCATCTGCTTTTGCAAGGATAGGGCACCACCAGGCTGTAGGAAATCTGTCTCAGTGGGCTGAAAGTGGCTGTGCAGGACACAGGGCTGTGGCTGTGGCTGAGATAGGTAATGCACTGCAGGGAAAGACGAAGGAGCTCTGAGCTGCTGACTAGGACTATAAGCTGGCTGTGTGTGCCTATAGTGAGGTGGGGGCTAAGCAGTCCCATAGGCACCACCAGGACTGCCTTGGAATTGTCCATGCTCTGGTGTCTCCGCAAAAGCAGTTGCTGGGCCAACGTAGTGCCGGATCGTAAGCAATTTGGGTCCAAACATTTGTTTGGCTCTGTCAGCTGCCATGAGGGTGCCTGGGCGATTGTGTCCTCCAGGGCTCCCCTGCGTGCTGAGGAGTAATGTACCTGTGTGAACAGTCAGGCTCTGCTGGTATGCAGCTGATGTCAGGGTGGTCAGGTCACTCTGTTCCTTTCGCCTCCGTTTTTCTTCCTCATGTAAAACTTCCTTGAGCTGCAGGAAAAGCTGGTGCTTCTCTTCCTGTAGGGCCAAAAGCTTCTCCTGCAACTTCAGAATTTGTTCCTTGGTCTCCTCTAGTGACATTCTCTCCTCCATCTCCTTTTTCTTCCTTCTCTCCTGTTCTTCCTTCATCTTCTGTTCCGTCATCTTGTCCACCTCTTCTTTCTCCTGTCGCTTATGCTCCTGCTCCATCACAATGTGCTTGGTGCAGTGTTCTGGCCATGGCGTTGGAAAGCTTGGGGTGCTCCAAGACTGCGGGCATGGTGCTGCCGTGGGCGCTCGGGCCTTGGGCGTCTGGCTCTGTCTCTGACTCCAGACCTCAAACAGGGACCGCCTTCTCTGTGCTTTCTCCGTGTCTCCTGTGCGCCCTGGCCTCTGCGTCACAGCCCGCGGCTGGGCCGAATCCTTCCAGAGTCCCACAATGCTATTATAACAGCCGGGAATCATTTGAAAACGAGCTTCTCTTCACTTGGCGTGTCAGGTGGTCATTTTAAAAACCGGGCTCTATGTTTTTATATATTGGAATTGGTTCAGATTTAAAAGGCACACGCCCCCTGCTTGGAGAGGGACTCAGGCAAGCAGTGGGGAGTGGGACATCAAACTAGGGTCATGGGGACCTGGTTCCACGGTAAATCCTGATGGAAGCATCGCAAGAATGGCCAGCCAAGAGGGAGGCGTTTTGCAATACAAGGCCAATTTTGACAAGGGACAGGTGGTGATTCTGGCAGCTGATTAACTTAAGAGAGAGCCAACCAAGGACCTGAGCCAGCCAAGGGAGTGCTGGCAGGAGGGCAGGGCTTGCCCAGAGGTTCTGGAAGGGAGGGGATGATAGCAGGTGGATACATCAGTGACGGCAAGGTTCCATGACATCCCTGGGAACTTGTGTCAGAATGCTTAGGCACAAATGTCACATCTCCTATATTTATTCTCCCAGGTCTCTTCTGCCTCCTCATAGGTCAGCTGTATTCAACAGACACTCCAGACACATGGGAACTCAAGTTAGACTCTACTTACCATGCTTACTACCTAAGAAATAACTGCTTTTCTAAAAAAAAATTATGAATTCAGAAGCTGTTAGTGGATTTGCAAAAACCTACTTCTTTCCACGTTGGCAGATTTCTGGCTTTGTAGATGCAGAATAGCATGTGGGTAAAACGCCACTTGTGTCAGAAGGTGGAGGGTGGGAAGACTGTGCATGTATGTATGGAGGAATGACAAGAAAGTAATAACATTAGTTTCTTTGGGGGGAAGTGAACTGGAAGGTAGGAAACAGTGATCAGTTGGAGACATCATTGTGCATCCTTTTTACATTTTGAATTTTGAACCGTCTGAATCTATTGTATTTATTTGAGTTTATTGTATTTAACAATTCAAAAGTTAAATTTAAATAATTCCCAGCACTGTGATCATCTGTCACCTTGATGGCTGATGAGGTGAGAGCTGTGACTTTCTCACCATCACACTCATCTTGATGGCCATGTTTTTGGGGGATCCAACATTATCATCGGCTGTCATCAAGTGCATAAACCCTTTCTGAGTTTGTGAAGAACAGATGTATTTATTTACTCTTTCTCTTTTTGTTCATGTCTCTCCTGAGGATGTGGTTTACTATTACTTTATATGGAGATTCTGGCAGGGAAAAATTTGTTCTCGGAGTGGTCTGTCTGGCAGGTGTACATTCCCAGTCTTGGGGATATGATTCAGAAGAAGACTCAAGCCCATATGGAGTCTACAAATACCAAGCTGGGGGCCCAAGTCTAACCAAAATTGGAGGGCATGAGGTGTTATACACGTTGTCAAGGCAGAGGTTCAGATACAGGGACCCTACTCCTACTCCATTTTTTTCTGCTGTTCTTCCCATTGAAACTCCTGGGAAAAGCTGTCTAGATTCTCTACTTGGTCACATCCCCTTTAGTCTTCACTCCTGAAATGGTTCTTATCAGGGTCACTGATAACTTCCATGCTAGGTATTCTAATGGCCAAATCTCTCTTTTCATCATATTTGAACTTATAGCCACATTTGACACAAATTGTCATCTTTCCTTCTTGAAGCAATTTTCTTCATGTTACTGCATGCCTCCTACCTTACTGGGTAAAGCTCTCAGTCTGCCTGATGACCCTTTCTTCTCTGTCCAACTTTTAAATGTTCAAATTCTCTGCTCCTGCCTCTCATCTCTATGCTATCTTCAAACGGTCCTATGCTTTATCATCTGCATGCTCCCTGATTTTCCCAACCCTGTCTCCAGATAAGGTTTCTCCTGAGTTCCAGATACACGTGTCTAACTGCCAGCCCAATAGCTCCACTCGACTGCAAGTGGCCATCTCAAACCTAATATGCTCACAACCAAACTCTCGATTTTCCCTCCCAAACCTGCTCCTGGCCTCCCCTTTACCATTTTATTAAATTTTACCATTTTATTAAATGACACTGAGTTGCTCAGACCAAAAACCTGGGAGATGACCTTTGATTCTTCTTTCCCTCTGCTACCGACAGCCAATCTGTCAGCAAGTTCTGTTACGCTGTCTCCAGAATAGATCCTGAGTCAGGTCACTTTTCAGCAACTTCACTACTAAAAGCCTAGTCTTAATGCCCCGTCTCTCATTTGTTCTATCACAATAGCCTGCTGACTGATTTTCTTGCTTCCTTTCTTGCTCACATACAGTCTGCTTATCAAAAGTAACTGCAGTGAACAGTACACACGATCAATCCAATCTGCTTCAAACCTCAGACTTCTGTTCCGTCTGCCAGAGTTCCTTTCTCTAAATCTTTATATGGCTATGCCTCATCAGCTCAACTACCAGCACTTCTGTGAGGAGTCTCTGAGCACTGCTGCGTAAGCAGCAACCTCCAAGTCACTCTGCATCCAGTTTCCCAGTATAATTTTCTTCATGGCACTCATCATTTTCTAATACTTTACATATTTGTTTGCTTATATGTTTATTGCACATATTCCTCCTACTAAAATGTAAAAGGGAGGTGCTTGGGATGATGCTGTATTAGCTAGGGTAGGCTTGGTCATTCTGCAATAAGAAAAAGTCTCAATCCTCTGTGGTTTTAAACAACAGAGGTTTATTTTTTGCTCAAACTACATGTATAACATAGGCTGACAGGAGAGATTCTCACCTCACACATATTCAGAGGCTCAGGCTGAAGGAGGCCATACCGTGTCATGACACTGTCAACACAACAGGACTCCTACAATTACTAAGGAGGAAGAAGAGGTACAAAGAATCTCACACCATCTCTCAAATGCTTCCACATGGAGGTGACACACATCACTTCTGCTCACAGTAGATGGGTCATGGAAGTCATAAGGCCTTGTCTCATTTCAAGGGGCCTAGGAAATAAAATCCTCACGTTTCCAGAAAGAGAAGAAAACTGGGAATATTGGCAGGTAGCACGTACACCTACCACAATGCCTAGCTGAGAGTAAGTACTCCATAAATATTTATTATAAATGGAATGGGAAAGAAAGACACCCAGTTCTCAGATATGGGTACAAAGTGGAGACCTGGATTTCATGCACAGTGCGGAAGTTTATGAAAACTGGAGCACCAGGTGAGAGCAGGGCAAGCGGCAAGGCTAAGTCAGTGCAGAGTCACCATGTGCATTGGACGAGGGCTCCTGATACTCCCTAACTAGGAATAGAGTAGGTTTCAGAGGCAGAACAGAAAAAAAATGAATGCTTGGGAGAATAAGACTTATTTCCCCTGAGAATTCACTGGAAATGAGAGAAGGGACTCGGCTTTACTAAAGAACCCGAGGCCACCAGGCAGGTCTGCTAATATGAAACCGTGATTTACAGAGGGGTATAGCTCCACAAGAGCCAGGTGCCTCTTAGTGGTTTAGGTTCCTGAGAGTCCCTGAAAAACCTTATTCAGAGTGCTTTCCTTTGTCAGAACAGCCATGGCCTCAGACCATAGACTAAGATTTTCCCTTTTGAAACTCTGTCTGTTCATGTGTCTGTGTCTGTACCACAACCTAATAGAACTAAAAGGAAAGGATTACAACTATTCACCACCTAGTGATTACTAGGGACTTTACATTTATTTCATTTCACCCTGAATTAAATCTTTGAGATATGTGTTAGTATCCATATTCCACATCTGAGAAAACTGAGACTTAGAAAGGTTAACAAGGTTTCGATGGTTTTGGTCTTCCCTGTTTTGGTCTTATTGATATAAGAATATCAATAGAGGGCACTCAATAAATGATTACTGGTGAATGGTCACTGATGGTGTTTTATTCCTTTGAGGGTAGGGGCCAAGTCTTCTGTGTGCTCCCAGGGCTTGGGCCAGTGAAGAGCACTGAGCACCCAGTGATGTGCTAATGGATACAATGATGTGTCAAACCTGATAAAAAATGTGTGCCTATTTTTTTTCTGAAATTACAGCACTGGTGCTCAGGATTAAGAATATGGCAGTGCTTTGAAGAAAAGGAAAGAGAACAAGGGAGCAGCTTCAAAAGAAGAAGGTGGAGAGGTTGCAATGGCAGTCACAACAGGAGAGTTAAACAGAACACATCTCCTTGCTACTCAAAGTGTGACCCATGACCAGCAGTGTTGGCATCTCCAGGGAGTTTATTAGAAGTACAGAATCTCAAGCCATACTCCAGACTATTGAACCAGACTCTGCATTTTAACAAGATCTCCAGGTGATTCATGTGCACGTTTAAGTTTGAAGAGTAGCACTCTAGAGACCACCTGCATCTCTATCTCCTGCTCTAGCCCAGCACCAACTTCTCTTACTGACTGTTAGGGGCCAAGGAGGCCATGGAGCATTGCACCTGCTCTTCATTTGACCATCCATCACTCAGTGGGCCTGGCAGTGCAATCCTAAGTGCACAGAACAGCCTTCTACAGGTGCCATCACTTCGATCCCCAAATCTCCCACTCTTTACATACATGCAAATCTGGTGTGCCTGACTCAAAGTTCATGGTCTTAACCCTTCCATTGTTGGAAGAACATGGTTCTGGAGTTTCTGTGTTAACGAATACTTTCTTTTATTCTAATTTCTAGGTATTTCCAAATATCTGGAAAACACCACCAGCCACTTTTGGTGCTTCCAATATATAAGTGCTTCTGTTGTTCCCCCCAAAATCACTTATACCCTAATAAGTAATCTATAAGTGAGATTTCCAAAAATTTTCTTCCTTTTTACATTATTATAACAATGATAAAGTAACTTTTCAGTAAGGACAATATACTACAAATATTAAAAGAATGTATTTTTATTTCTCCTTTAAATGACCAAACTTCAGTTCTTCCTTTATATAGGATTTTTGACCCAGGGTAATAGAGGATGAAAGAATGAAGGAATGAATAAATGATTGAGATTATTTCTTTAGCAAGACAGTACATTTAAAATTAAGCTATGGACAAAAAGTGGATTTTTCTGAATTTTCACATATTCTGGACTCAGTCAGAAGTTTCTTCTGTAAAGTGGATAAGCTGCCACTCCATATCTGACAGCTAGATCACAAGCCTGTTGCCTTTAGGTAGAAGAATAAGATTATAAAGTAGGGGAAGGAATAAGTAGCCATTCCTTCTGCTCTTAAAGAGTGTGGGTCGCAGAGGGAGAGAGGCCGATTGAAATGGGTGGTCATGCACATGTCCCTCTTTCCCTGTTTGGAAGCATGGTGGTTTTTAGAAAGGGCATAAGCATGGAGCTGGGAAGGGAAACAAATAACCCATTCCATATGATAATAACAATAATAGCTATAGTTAATGAGTCAGGCACTGTGGGAAGTGCTTCATATATCTCTTTGCGATCAAACTTCATAAGAACCCTGTTATAATTACTTTGTTTTAGTAGATAAGAAACTGAAACTTAGAGATGGCAAGTGACTGGCTCAAGTTTATACACTGCATAAATGGCAGAAGAAGAATTTGAATGGACGTATATCTAAGTAAAGAGCCCACGTCTTTAACCACCATGCTACAATGCCATTTTCAGTAATAGTTGAAGTAGAATTGAGTTGCTTTGCGTGCCTAAAAGCTCTACTTCCTTGAATCCCTCCTTCTTGCTGCCACCAAAGAGGTCCATCTATGATATAAACTGGATTGTGTTACTCTTCCCTTTGGCTCACGCCTGTAATCCCAGCACTTTAGGAGGCAGAGTCGGGCAGATCATGAGGTCAGGAGACTGAGGCTGGTAGTATCACAATGTGTTCGGTGGACAACTCTGCGGGGCCCTCTTGCCCAACTCCAATCCAGGTATTTAGAGGTTACAATCTCTTTGGGGTTGTCACCTGTCCACTGTGGGTTGGAGCATTAGGCCCATGAAAATAGGAGATTGACCCACTCCACCACAGCTGGGGCTTCATATCTTCTTTTTGAACTAAATCCTGCAATTTATCCTGGCCAACATGGTGAAACTCCATCTCTACTAAAATACAAAAAATTAGCTGGTCATGGTGGTGCATGCCTGTAGTCCCAGCTACTCGGGAGGCTGAGGCAGGGGAATCGCTTGAACCCGGGAAGCTGAGATCGCACCACTGCACTCCAGCCTGGCGACAGAGTGAGATTCCATCTCAAAAAAAAAAAAAAGTGCTAAATAGCTCCTCATTACCGGATAAAGTCCAAAGTCAACATAGCGTACACTGAGGGGAGAAACGACTAAATAAAGTCATGGGATGCATACTTGTGCGGTGAGCAGTTACCTCCCTTGTTGTCCAATTTCTTCCACCATTCCATTAAATAAGCTATTCATTCAGTAAGCTTTTGGAATGTTAGCATTTCTTTTTGTGTGTGTGGCTTTTTTTTGAGTTTTAATTTATTTGTTAAATTTCTTATTGATACATAATAGTTGTACGTATTTTAGGGGTACATATGATAATTTGATATATTCATGTAATCACATCAGGGTAATTGGGACATCCATCACCTTAAATATTTATCTTTTGTTTAGGCTTGGAACATTTGAATTATTCTCTTTTAGCTATTTTGAAGTGTATAATAGATTAATGACTATAGTAACCCTACTGAACTATTGAATACCAGCTCTTAAGAAATAATAGTATATCTTTTAAAAAAAATTTTATTATTATTTTTTAAAGTTCCAGGGTACATGTGCAGGATGTGCAGGTTTGTTACATAGGTAAACATGTGCCATGGTGGTCTGCCGTACCTATCAACAGATCGCCTAGGTATTAAGCCCAGCATGCATTAACAATTTTCCCTAGTGCTCTCCCCCTACCTCAACCTACCCCAACAGGCCCCACTATGTGTTGTTCCCTTCCGTGTGTCCACGTATTCTCATTGTTCAGCTCCCACTTACAAGTGAGAACATGCAGTGTTTGGTTTTCTGTTCCTGCATTAGTTTGCTGAGGATAATGGCTTTCAGCTCTATCCGTGTCCCTGCAAAGGACATGATCTCATTCCTTTTTATGGCTATATTAGTATTCCATGCTGTATATGTACCATATTTTCCTTATCCAGTCAATGATAGTATTTCTTAAAATGACACTTATCCTCTCCACAAATGAATATTTATTTTTTCTCTTTTTTTTTGGAGGGGACACTATTCAACCCACTATGCTACATTAAAAAAATAAGAAAAACCAAACATTAAATTTCATTAATTCTAATGCTTTATTTAACTGAGAATATTCCATTTAAACAAGGCACTATACATATATGGCCAGGTCATGTGATCAGTATAATTAAACAGAGTCCCAAGCTCAGAAGTGGTTGGGATTTAATGTGCTATGGTCATCATCTTGAAGTCCTTAATAATTACATCTTTGGATTTGTGTTTTGTAAGTAAAGTACAATAGGAAAATGGAGCATAAGCCAGGAATTTAAAGCCTCAGATCATGGTTGTCCTGCTTCGCTGCTGCCTCTCTGGGATGGATTTTCATCCACGTACCAAACCTCAGCCCCCACCTAGCCTATTCTTCCCTACTCCTGCCCCTTGACTACTACAGCCACCAGGTCTCATTGGTTGGGGGTTCTTCCCTTCCTGGGCACAGGCCAGGAAGGGTCATGCCCATAAATGTGTCCTGCTGCATCACAGGATGGGGCAAGGCAATGCCAGCCTCTGTTGGGAGCTGGTAATATCACAATGTGTTCAGTGGACAACTCTGTGGGGCCCTCTTGCCCAACTCTAATCCAGGTATTTAGAGGTTATAATCTCTTGGGGGTTGTTACCTGTCCACTGTGGGTTGGAGCATTAGGCCCATGAAAATAGGAGATTGACCCACTCCACCCCAGCTGGGGCTTCGTATCTTCTTTTTGAACTAAACCCTGCAACTTATGTAGCCTATTCTGTCTATGGCTTTCTAATGTGTCTCTTTGAATATAATGTCTCTTGAATATAGAAGAAATGTCAAGTCATGATAAAATTGTGACATTAATGTTACCTCTAAGGGTGCCAAGTGCAAGGTACTAACAATTTAATAAGTTTGGGCTTTTGCATGACCTATGTTAATATGTGATTTCTTGCTATTTCACATGGCAAGGGAAGTTTTTCAGAATTCATTTGATTGCAAGATCAATGTGAAAATGCATTACCTGCCTGCCTTGAGCATGGCCAACTGTTGACCTCTCCAATTAAGGAGAGTTGAGAATGAAAATTCAATTACAATGAACAAATGTTTCTTGAACATTTTCCATGTGTGAGGCCCTATGCCAGGCTTTGTGGAGAATATGCAGATCTATGAGATTTTTTTCCTATCTTTGGGATAATTGCAAGCAAGTTGAAGGAGGCACAGACACATGCACGGATGATCACGGTATCACATGCTATCTTAACTTATGAAAGCAGAGGAAATGGAGTTAGGGAAGCTGGACTTTTTGTAGGTAGCCCCTCATAGCAGGCATGGCTGGTTCCTTGCCATACGTTCATTCCCTTTCTATGAGAGTAAAACCCTACTCCTATTTTTTTAGGGCCTCTTCGTTGGAAAAGAGGAGTCCATCTCCAGCTCAGTGACAAATCTTGATAGCTTTATGCTTTTCTTGATAATTCATGCCTCTTGTTAGTGATTAGTTAAGAGGTGGGCCTGTGACTCAGTTCTGGCCAATGAAATATAAAGTCAAATCTCTGGGTTACTTTTGGAAAGGTTTTCTTGTAGTAGAAAGAGTTTCACAGTTAAGAGCACAGATTATGAAGTGAACCGCCTGGTTTATAATCCTGGGTCCACTGCTTACTAGCTGTGTGTCATTATAAGTCACTTAATGTTTCTGCCTCCACTTTCTCATCTGTTAAATGGGATTAATATGTACCTAATGGAGTTGTTGTGAGCATCACGTTAGTGAATATTTTGTAAATAGACCAAGCCTACAACTCATTGGCATTCTTGAGAGAGAAGGAGAGAGAGTAAGCAACTTGCAAAATATATTTGAGGACACAGTCTTTGAAAATTTCCCTAATCTCACTAGAGAAGGTGACATGAAAATTCGAGAAATACAGAGGTCCCCTACTAGATACTATACAAGATGATCATCCCCAAGGCACACAGTTATCAGATTCACCAAGGTCAATGTGAAAGAAAAAATCTTAAGGGCAGCTACAGAGAACGGTCAGGTTACATACAAAGGGAACCCTATCAGGCTAGTGGCAGACCTCTCAGCAGAAACCTTACAAGCTAGAAGAGATTGGGGACCTATTTTCAGCATCTTTAAAGGAAAGAAACTCCAACCAAGAATTTCCTTTCCTAGCACACTAAGTAAGCTTCACAAGCAAAGGAAAAGTAAAATCCTTCTCACACAAGCAAATGCTGAAGAAATTCATTATAACTAGACCAGGCTTACAAGAGCCCCATAAGGGGGTGATAAACATGGAAACAAAATGATGACACCTGTTACCACAAAAACACACTTGAGGACATAACCCACAGACACCATAAAGGAACTACACAATCAAGTCTAGAGAGCAACCAGTTAACAATAACAGGATCAAAATCTCACATATCAGTATGAAAGGGGCTAAATGCCCCCACTTAAAAGACAGAGTGGCAAGCTGGATAAAAAGGAAAGACTCAATTGTCTGCTGTCTTCAAGAGACCCATCTCACATGCAATGAGACTCACCAGCTCAAAGTAAAGGGATGGAGAAAGATCTACCATGCAAATAGAAAACAACAAAAAAAGCAGGAGTCACTATTTTTATTTCAGATAAAAGAGTTTAAACCAACAACAATAAGGACAGAGAAAAACATCCCATGATGATAAGGGGTACAATTCAACAAGAAGATTTACGTATTCTAAGTATATACATACCCAACATTGGGACACCTAGATTCATAAAACAGGTCCTTCTTGACCTAGGAAAATACTTAGCACACGATAATAGTGGGAGAATATAACACCCCATTGACAACATTAGATTATCAAGGCAGAAAACTAACAAAGAAATTCTGGAATAAAACTCAATGCTTGACCAATTGAACCTAATAGACACCTACCACAGAATATACATTCTTCTCATCCACACTGGAATATATTCTAAGATTGGCAATGTGCTTAGTCATAAAGAACGTCTCGATAAATTCAAAGAAACCAAATCATACCAAGCACAATCTTGGACAACAGTGCAACAAAACAGAAATCAATATCAAGAAAATCTCTCAAAGCTACATAAATACATAGAAAGCAAACAACTTCCTCCTGAAAAACTCTGGGTGAACAATGAAATCAAAGAAGAAATGGAAAAATTTGAAATTAATGAAGATAGAAACATGACTTACCAAAATCTCTGGGATACAGCTAAAGCAGTGCTAAGAGCAAAGTTTATAGTGCTAAACACCTTCATCAAGAAGTTAGAAAAATCTCAAATTAACAATATAACTTTGTACCTAGAGGAACTAGAAAATAAAGAATAAACCAACCCCAAAGCTAGCAGAAGAAAAGAAATAACTAAAATTACAGAAGAACCAAACCAAAAGATCAATGAAACCAAGAGTTGATTTTTAGAAAGAATAAACAAGATTGATAGACTGTTAGGTACATTAACAAAGAAAAAGAGAAGATCCAAATACCATCAGAAATGACAGAGATGACATTACAACAAATCCCACAGAAACACAAAAGATCCTCAGAGATTATTATGAACAACTCTATGCACACAAGTTGAAAAATCTAGAGGAAATGGATAAATTCTTGGAAACACACAACCTCTAAAGATTAAACCAGGAAGAAAGTGAAAACTTGAATAGACCAATAACAAGTTCCGAACTTGCATCAGTAATAAAAGACTTAACAACCAAAGAAAAAAAAAAAGCCCTAGATCAGATCGATTCTCAGCCAAATTCTACCAGACAAAGAACTATTATCAGTCATACTGAAACTATTCCAAAAAATCAAGGAGGAGGGGCTTCTTCTTAACTCATTCTATAAAGCCAGCATCAGCCTGATACTAAAATCTGGCAGAGACACAACAAAAAAAGAAAACTGCAGGCCAACATTTCTGGTGAACATAGATGCAAAAATCCTTAACTAAATACTACCAAACTAAATCCAGTAGCACATCAAAAAATTAAAACACCATGATCAAGTAGGCTTATTCCTGAGATGCAGGGTTGTTTCAATACATGCAAATCAATAAATGTCATTCACCTCATAAACAGAATTAAAAGCAAAAGCCATCTGATTATCTCAATAGATGTAGAAAAAGCTTTTGGTAAAATCCAACATCCCTTCATGATAAAAACCCTCAACAAACTAGGCATTAAACAAAAATACTTCAAAATAATAAGAGCAATCTATGGCAAACCCACAGCTAACATCGTACTGAATGGGAAAATGCTGAAACCATTCCGCTTGAGAACTGGAACAAGACAAGGATCCCTACTCTCACCACTCCTATTCAACATAGGGCTGGAAGTCCTAGCCAGAGCAATCAGGCAAAAGAAAGAAATAAAAGACATCCAAATAGGAGAAGAAGAAGTCAAACTATCTCTCTTCACTGATGATACGATTCTATACCTAGAAAACCCTAAGGATTCTGCCGAAATGCCTCTAGAACTGATAAATGACTTTAGTACAGTTTCAGGATACAAAATCGATGTACAAAAATCAGTAGAATTTCTATACATCAATAACGTTCAAGCTGAGAGTCAAATCAAGAACACGATCCAATTTACAATAGCCATACACCAAGAAGTTGAAAGATCTCTATAAGAAGAACTACAAAATACCGGTGAAAAAAATCAGAGATGACACAAGTAAATGAAAACACATTCCTTGTTCATGGATTAGAATAATCGCTATTGTTTGAATGGCCATATTGCCCAAAGCAATTTACAGATTCAACACTGTTTCTGTCAAACTGTCAATGTCACTTCTCACAGAATTAGAAAAAACTATTATAAAATTCATATGGAACCAAAAACAGCCTGAATAGCTAAAGCAATCCTAACCAAGAACAAAGCCAGAGGCATTACACCACCCAACTTCAAACTATACTATAAGGCTGCAGTAACCAAAGCAACAGGGTACTGGTACAAAAACAAACACATAGAATAGAACCCAGAAATAAAGCTGCACACCTACAACCATCTGATCTTTGACAAAGTCAACAATAATGAGCAATGAGGAAAGGAATCCCTATTCAATAAACAGTGCTGGGATAACTGAGTAGTCATTGCAGAACAATGAAACTGGACCCCCTTTCATCATATACAAAAATTAACTCAAGGTGGATTAAAGATATAAATGTAAGACCAAATTATAAAAATACTAGAAGAAAACTTAGGAAATACCCTTCTCAACATTGGCCTTGCCAAAAATTATTTTGCTAAGTCCCCAAAAGCAATTGCAACAGAAGCAAAAATTGACAATTAGGAACTAATTAAATTGAAGGGCTTCTGCACAGCAAAAGAAATTATCTATAATCAGACAAACTCCAGAATGGGGGAAATATTCACAAGCTATGCATTCGACAAAGGTCTAATATCCAGAATCAATAAGAAAATTATACAAATAAACAAAAATAAACAAACTCATTAAAAAATGGGCAAAGGACTTGAGCAGACACTTCTCAAAAGATGACATACACGTTTTCAACAAACATGAAAAATGCTCATCACTAATCATCAGAGAAATGCAAATCAAAACCACAATGAGACACCATCTCATACCAGTCAGAATGGCTGTTATTAGAAATTCAAAAAACAACAGCTGCTGGTGAGTCTGTGGAGAAAAGGGAACTGGATAAAGAAAATATGGTACAAATACACCATGGAATACCACCCAGCCATAAAAAATGAAATCACGTCCTTTGTAGCAACATGGATGCAGTTGGAAGTCAGAATCCTATGAGAATTAATGCAGGAACAGAAAACCAGATAACTTATGTCCTCACTTATAAGTGGACACTAAACACTGAGTACGCATGAACATAAAGATGGGAACAATCGACACTGTGGATTACTAGAGTGGGGAGGGAGAAAGTGGGCTGTGGGTTGAAAAACTACTTACTGGGGATTATGCTCACTACCTTAGTGACGGGATCTGTACCCCAAACCTCAGCGTCAGGCAATATACTTATGTAACAAATCTGCACATGTATCCCTGAATCTAAAATAAAAGTTGAAATTATAAAATAATAATAAAAGTGCTTTTTCGTTTTTTAAGACAGGGTCTCACTCTGTCACCCAGGCTGGTGCAGTGACACGATCGTGGCTCTCTGAAGCCTCTACCTCCTGGGCTCAAGTGATCCTCCCACCTCAGTCTCCCCAGTAGCTGGGAACACAGGCTTGTGCCACCACACCTGGCTATGTTTTAAATTTTTTGTAGAGATAGGGTCTCTCTCTGAAATCTGGTCCTCAAGAGGTCATCCCATCTCAGCCTCACAAAGTGTTGGGATTATAGGTGTGAGCCACCATGCCTGGCCAAAGTACATTTCTTTGCCAAATGCTTAACAGAGGGTCATATCTTTGCTTTGCATAATGATTCTTTTTATTGAAGCTTTGCATTTTCATGTCCAGACAACAATTAAATGAACTAATTATGGTAAAAAAAAGTTATATTTATAAAGCATTTAGAATAGTGCCTGGCATATAAGAAGTGTTAAATGTCATTAGCATAATTTTAAGAGGAAAATTATGATAACAAAAATGATAGTCAGTTTTGCTGACGACTATCAACGAAAGTGATAGTCTCTTTTAATGACTCTGAGTGTTAGGGTGTCTGGATGTGACCTCTGGAACTTCCATGGTCACCTTGTGCCTATAATGGGGGCTGGATGCAGAGCAAAAAAAGGAAAGAACCTCAGTCCTTGATGAAACCACAGAGCCACTGATTCATCAACCCTAGAGCCCACTGTACCTCTGGACTTCTTGCAATACAATAGGATAAATTTCTTTGTTTAAAGTATTTTCAGTCGGGGTCTTGTGTTCTTGGCAAAGGCACAATTTAACTTCCATAGCAATTTACTGGTGTGTGTCCTGGAGTTCCTCAGCCCATGTGTTTTCCACGTCCTCCTATGCATGTCCCAGCTGCATACCCCAAGATGTGAGCTGCCTCCGAGCAGTTCGCAGTTCCTCACATCAGTCATCATCAGTTCCTGCTATAATTCTTCATAGTTTTGGCCTTATTTTAATTATGACTGGTTCACGAAAGACTGAGATTTCCAAGGTGTCCTTAAGTCCAAAGCTACTCTTGATATCCACAAGTGTATTAGACAGGATTCTTTAGAGAAACAGAACCAACAGTATGTGTATGTGTGTGTGTGTATATATGGTTGGATCTGTGTCCAATTCATTTTACATGTATATGTAAAGATATATATATGTGTGTGTGTGTATATATATATATATATATATATATATATATATATAAAGAGATTATGAGAAACTGGCACACACAATCATGGAGGCTGAGAAGTCCCTTAATCTACTGTCAGCAAGCTGGAGGCCCAGGAAAGCCCAGCGGTGTGATTCAAGTTCAATTCCCAAGGCTTGAGAACCAGGGGAACCGATGGTGTAAATCCCAGGCTAAGAGCAAGAGAAGACCATGTCCCAGTTCAAGCAGGCAGGCAGGCAGGAAGAAGTTCCTTCTTCCTCTACCTTTTTGTCCTTTCAAGCTCTCAACAGATTGGATTATTCCCACCCACACTGGGGAGGGCAATTTACTTTATTAAATTCAACTGATTCAAATGCTAATCTCATCTGGAAATACACTTGTAGACACATCCAGAAATAAAGTATACTCTGACACCCCTAGTGCTGTCAAGTTGACACATAAAATTAACCATCTCAATGAAGGACATGCTTTGAGGTCCTTTCTAATTTACAAATACTAAAGTTACTTAATTTCCCCCACAAAATGCAATAAACGAACATTTTAATAAGCTCCTTTCATTCTTTAATAATTCTATAGATACAAGTTGGAAAAATTAGTAAAGTTACAAAATTCCTTAACTGGAATAAACACAAACCTACATTACTTCATTTTTATAGTAACATTTACTTAAGCACTTACTTAAATTTTCAAAACTAAGGTGAAGATGATGAATAGCAATTTTTAATATGAGGGGAGTTGTTGCTTGCATGGAGGTGCACCCTCTGAGTGATTGATTAAAAAGTCAGTTATTTCCCCACCTTGTAGCATATATCTGTAACAAATTTTTGCTTCAGCAAAATTAGAAATTCATAAACCTCACAGATCTTCAGGACTGTTCAAAGATAGGAAATAATAGCAATCTGTGGATCTTTAAAAGTCATAAGTTTAATCTCTTATACAGACTATTATATATTGATAATGGCTTCCTAGAACATGGGGCTGAGAAGGATGGCAAGGCCTCATCAAGGTTAAGCAGGAAAGAGTGCTAGGATAGATTATGCATGTCTGCCCTCAGTGTGGGTGGAGCAGAAGCCATCATGTATTTTTGCAACCTAGGGTTTATATTTTCTGCCTACCATGCTTGAAAGGCAATTAGAACATTGTCATGTCTGATTCTATAATTCTGGTTACTCTTAGGATCAATTCATTTATTTAATCAATGTACATTTATTGAGTACTTTCAATGTATGAGACATACTGTTAGGCAACTTGGGTAATAAAAAAATGAATTGGACACAGATCCAACCAGTAAAGAACTTAAGTCTGATAGAAGAGAAAGATAGGTGCATGATAAAATGCTGCAAGACAGGACTAGATAAGGGGAGGGACTGCAGGATATGCCAAAGGTGGGAAAGGTACCTTTAGTGAGTGTGGAAGGAATCAGTAAGGCATACTGGGGAAGGTGTATTAGAAGTGAGCCTTGTAGTGATGTAAGATTGTTCATGTGGATAGAAGGGGAAGACTATTTCAGACTGAGTGGCCAGAATGAGCAAAAGCACCAGAGTGGAAAGCTGAAAGCTCTGGGTGACTGCCTGACTGATGAGAATATGTAGCTGCTATTTATTCCAGTTCTCCCTACAGAGTGAGCAGGTTGCCTGGTGGGCTTCATTAGACTGGTGTGCTGATGTGACATCCATTTTTATAAGAGTTGTTTGGGCCAGGGAAAAACCTGCTCTTTAGAAAGATCATCTCTCATGACTATTTGACATGTGACATATAACAAATGTCTTAAAGGAGAGCCCTCACTGTGGTCTCACACTGTACATTTTTACTGTAAACCTAAGAGAATTGACAAAGGCTCCATCTTTATCCTCTTAACTACATACAGACTCATCACCTAATGCCAGCGAAGAACATTCCTGACATCATATTATTCAATAACATGAATAAGGTAAAAAATTCTTAACACACTGCTGAGCTAGAAACTAGCTGATTTGTTGAAAATATTTGCAAAAATAGATTGAAACTGCAAATAGAGGATCACTCCTAACATGCTGTTATCTCAGTCATATATATGGCATACATATAAACACGAGGTAGGGTTTTGTTAAATTTCTTTTTTTTCTTTTTTTATTATTATACTTGAAGTTTTAGGGTACATGTGCACAATGTGCAGGTTACATATGTATACATGTGCCATGTTGGTGTGCTTCACCCATTAACTCGTCATTTAGCATTAGGTATATCTCCTAATGCTATCCCTCCCCCCTTCCCCCACCCCACAACAGTCCCCAGAGTGTGATGTCCCCCTTCCTGTGTCCATGTGTTCTCATTGTTCAGTTCCCACCTATTAGTGAGAACTTGCGGTGTTTGGTTTTTTGTCCTTGTGATAGTTTGCTGAGAATGATGGTTTCCAGTTTCATCCCTGTCCCTACAAAGGACATGAACTCTTCATTTTTTATGGCTGCATAGTATTCCATGGTGTATATGTGCCACATTTTCTTAATCCAGTCTATCGTTCTTGGACATTTGGGTTGGTTCCAAGTCTTTGCTATTGTGAATAGTGCCACAATAAACATACGTGTGCATGTGTCTTTATAGCAGCATGATTTATAGTCCTTTGGGTATATACCCAGTAAATGGGATGGCTGGGTCAAACGGTATTTCTAGTTCTACATCCCTGAGGAATCGCCACACTGACTTCCACAATGGTTGAACTAGTTTATAGTCCCACCAACAGTGTAAAACTGTTCCTATATCTCCAGATCCTCTCCAGCACCTGTTGTTTCCTGACTTTTTAATGATCGCCATTCTAACTGTTGTGAGATGGTATCTCATTGTGTTTTTGATTTGCATTTCTCTGATGGCCAGTGATGATGAGCATTTTTTCATGTGTTTTTTGGCTGCATAAATGTCTTCTTTTGAGAAGTGTCTGTTCATATCCTTTGCCCACTTTTTGATGGGGTTGTTTTTTTTTCTTGTAAATTTGTTTGAGTTCATTGTAGATTCTGGATATTAGTCCTTTGTCAGATGAGTAGGTTGCGAAAGTTTTCTCCCATTCTGTAGGTTGCCGGTTCACTCTGATGGTAGTTTCTTTTGCTGTGCAGAAGCTCTTTAGTTTAATTAGATCCCATTTGTCAATTTTGGCCTTTGTTGCCATTGCTTTTGGTGTTTTAGACATGAAGTCCTTGCTCATACCTATGTCCTGAACGGTATTGCCTAGGTTTTCTTCTAGGGTTTTTATGGTTTTAGGTCTAACATGTAAGTATTTAATCCATCTTGAATTAATTTTTGTATAAGGTGTAAGGAAGGGATCCAGTTTCAGCTTTCTACATATGGCCAGCCAGTTTTCCTAGCACCATCTATTAAATAGGGAATCCTTCGCCTATTGCTTGTTTTTGTCAGGTTTGTCAAAGATCAGATGGTTGTAGATATGTGGCATTATTTCTGAGGGCTCTGTTCTGTTCCATTGATCTATATCTCTGTTTTGGTACCAGTACCATGCTGTTTTGATTACTGTAGCCTTGTAGCATAGTTTGAAGTCAGGTAGCGTGATGCCTCCAGCTTTGTTCTTTTGGCTTAGGATTGACTCGGTGATGCGGGCTCTTTTTTGGTTCCATATGAACTTTAAAGTAGTTTTTTCCAATTCTGTGAAGAAAGTCATTGGTAGCCTGATGGGGATGGTGTTGAATCTATAAATTACCTTGGGCAGTATGGCCATTTTCACGATATTGATTCTTCCTACCCATGAGCATGGAATGTTCTTCCATTTGTTTGTATCCTCTTTTATTTCATTGAGCAGTGGTTTGTAGTTCTCCTTGAAGAGGTCTTTCACATCCCTTGTAAGTTGGATTCCTAGCTACTTTATTCTCTTTGAAGCAATTGTGAATGGGAGTTCACTCATGATTTGGCTCTCTGTTTGTCTGTTATTGGTGTATAAGAATGCTTGTGATTTTTGTACATTGATTTTGTATGCTGAGACTTTGCTGAAGTTGCTTATCAGCTTAAGGAGATTTTGGGCTGAGACGATGGGGTTTTCTAAATATACAATCATGCCATCTGCAAACAGGGACAATTTGACTTCCTCTTTTCCTAATTGAATACCCTTTATTTCCTTCTCCTGCCTAATTGCCCTGGCCAGAACTTCCAACACTATGTTGAATAGGAGTGGTGAGAGAGGGCATCCCTGTGCCAGTTTTCAAAAGGAATGTTTCCAGTTTTTGCCCATTCAGCATGATATTGGCTGTGGGTTTGTCATACATAGCACTTATTGTTTTGAGATATGTCCCATCAATACCTAATTTATTGAAAGTTTTTAGCATGAAGTGTTGTTGAATTTTGTCAAAGGCATTTTCTGCATCTGTTGAGATAATCATGTGGTTTTTGTCTTTGGTTCTGTTTATATGCTGGATTACATTTATTGATTTGCGTATGTTGAACCAGCCTTGCATCCCAGGCATGAAGCCCACTTGATCATGGTGGATAAGCTTTTTGATGTGCTGCTGGATTCGGTTTGCCAGTATTTTATTGAGGATTTTTGCATCAATGTTCATCAAGGATATTGGTCTAAAATTCTCTTTTTTGGTTGTGTCTCTGCCAGGCTTTGGTATCAGGATGATGCTGGCCTCATCAAATGAATTAGGGAGGATTCCCTCTTTTTCTATTGATTGCAATAGTTTCAGAAGGAATGGTACCAGCTCCTCCTTGTACCTCTGGTAGAATTCAGCTGTGAATCCATCTGGTCCTGGAATTTTTTTGGTTGGTAAGCTATTGATTATTGCCACAATTTCAGAGCCTGTTATTGGTCTATTCAGAGATTCAACTTCCAGGTTTAGTCTTGGGAGGGTGTATGTGTCGAGGAATTTATCCATTTCTTCTAGATTTTCTAGTTTATTTGCGTAGAGGTGTTTGTAGTATTCTCTGATAGCATTTTGTATTTCTGTGGGATTGGTGGTGATATCCCCTTTATCATTTTTTATTGCATCTATTTGATTCTTCTCTCTTTTCTTCTTTATTAGTCTTGCTAGTGGTCTATCAATTTTGTTGATCTTTTCAAAAAACCAGCTACTGGATTCATTAATTTTTTGAAGGGTTTTTTGTGTCTCTATTTCCTTCAGTTCTGCTCTGATTTTAGTTATTTCTTGCCTTCTGCTAGCTTTTGAATGTATTTGCTCTTGCTTTTCTAGTTCTTTTAATTGTGAAGTTAGGGTGTCAATTTTGGATCTTTCCTGCTTTCTCTTGTGGGCATTTAGTGCTATAAATTTCCCTCTACACACTGCTTTGAATGCATCCCACAGATTCTGGTATGTTGTGTCTTTGTTCTCGCTGGTTTCAAAGAACATCTTTATTTTTGCCTTCATTTCGTTATGTATCCAGTAGTCATTCAGGAGCAGGTTGTTCAGTTTCCGTGTAGTTGAGCAGTTTTGAGTGAGTTTCTTAGTCCTGAGCTCTAGTTGGATTGCACTGTGGTCTGAGAGACAGTTTGTTATAATTTCTGTCCTTTTACATTTGCTGAGGAGTGCTGTACTTCCAACTATGTGGCCAGTTTTGGAATAGGTGTGGTGTGGTGCTGAAAAAAATGTATATTCTGTTGATTTGGGGTGGAGATGTAGATCCACATCTGTAGATGTCTATTAGGTCTGCTTGCTGCAGAGCTGAGTTCAATTCCTGGGTATCCTTGTTAACTTTCTGTCTTGTTGATCTGTCTAATGTTGACAGTGGGGTGTTAAATTCTCCCATTATTACTGTGTGGGAGTCTAAGTCTCTTTGTAGGTCACTAAGGACTTGCTTTATGAATCTGGGTGCTCCTGTATTGGGTGCATATATATTTAGGATAGTTAGCTCTTCTTGTTGAATTGATCCCTTTACAATTATGTAATGGCCTTCTTGTCTCTTTTGATCTTTGTTGGTTTAAAGTCTGTTTTATCAGAGACTAGGATTGCAACCTCTGCCTTTTTCTGTTTTCCATTTGCTTGGTAGATCCTCCATCCCTTTATTTTGAGCCTATGTGTGTCTCTGCATGTGAGATGGGTTTCCTGAATACAGCACACTGATGGGTCTTGACTCTTTATCCAATTTGCCAGTCTGCGTCCTTTAATTGGAGCATTTAGCCCATTTACATTTAAAGTTAATATTGTCATGTGTGTATTTGGTCCTGTCATTATGATGTTAGCTGGTTATTTTGCTAGTTAGTTGATGCAGTTTCTTCCTAGCCTTGATGGTCCTTACATTTTGGCATGTTTTTGCAGTGGCTGGTACCGGTTGTTCCTTTCCATGTTTAGTGCTTCCTTCAGGAGCTCTTTTAGGGCAGGCCTGGTGGTGAGAAAATCTCTCAGCATTTGCTTGTCTGTAAAGTATTTTATTTCTCCTTCACTTATGAAGCTTAGTTTGGCTGGATATGAAATTCTGGGTTGGCAAATGGGATGTAATTAAACTAAAGCGCTTCTGCACAGCAAAGAAACTACCATCAGAGTGAACAGGCAACCTGCAAAATGGGAGAAAATTTTCGCAACCTACTCATCTGACAAAGGACTAATATCCAGAAACTACAATGAACTCAAACAAATTTACAAGAAAAAAACAAACAACCCCATCAAAAAGTGGGCAAAGTACATGAACAGACACTTCTCAAAAGAAGACATTTATGCAGCCAATAGACACATGAAAAAATGCTCATCATCACTGGCCATCAGAGAAATGCAAATCAAAACTACAATGAGATACCATCTCACACCAGTTAGAATGGCAATCATTGAAAAGTCAGGAAACAACAGGTGCGGGAGAGGATCTGGAGAAACAGGAACACTTTTACACTGTTGGTGGGACTATAAACTAGTTCAACCATTGTGGAAGTCAGTGTGGCGATTCCTCAGGGATCTAGAACTAGAAATACCATTGACCCAGCCATCCCATTACTGGGTATATACCCAAAGGACTATAAATCATGCTGCTATAAAGACACATTCACCCATATGTTTATTGTGGCACTATTCACAATAGCAAAGACTTGAAACCAACCCAAATGTCCAACAATGATAGACTGGATTAAGAAAATGTGGCACCTATACACCATGGAATACTATGCAGCCATAAAAAATGAAGAGTTCATGTCCTTTGTAGGGACAGGGATGAAATTGGAAATCATCATTCTCAGTAAACTATCACAAGGACAAAAAACCAAACACCGCATGTTCTCACTAATAGGTGGGAATTGAACAATGAGAACACATGGACACAGGAAGGGGAACATCACACTCTGGGGACTGTTGTGGGGTTGGGGGAGGGGGGAGGGATAGCATTAGGAGATATACCTAATGCTAAATGACGAGTTAATGGGTGCAGCACACCAGCATGGCAGATGTATACATATGTAACTAACCTGCATATTGTGCACATGAACCCTAAAACTTAAAGTATAATAATAATAAAATTAAAAAAAAAGAAATTCTGGGTTGAAAATTCTTTTCTTTAAGAATGTTGAATATTGGCCCCCACTCTCTTCTGGCTAGTAGAGTTTCTGCCGAGAAATCCGCTGTTAGTCTGATGGGCTTCCCTTTGTGGGTAACCTGACCTTTGTCTCTATTTGCCCTTAACATTTTTTCCTTCATTTCAACTTTGGTGTATCTGACAATTATGTGTCTTGGAGTTGCTATTCTTGAGGAGTATCTTTGTGGCATTCTCTGTATTTCCTGAATGTGAATGTTGGCCTGCCTTGCTAGATTGGGGAAGTTCTCCTGGATAATATCCTGCAGAGTGTTTTCCAACTTGGTTCCATTCTCCCCGTCACTTTCAGGTACACCAATCAGACGTAGATTTGGTGTTTTCATATAGTCCCATATTTCTTGGAGGCTTTGTTCGTTTCTTTTTATTCTTTTTTCTCTAAACTTCCCTTCTCTCTTCATTTCATTCATTTCATCTTCCATCACTGATACCCTTTTTTCCAGTTGATCGCATCAGCTCCTGAGGCTTCTGCATTCTTCACGTAGTTCTCGAGCCTTGGCTTTCAGTTCCATCAGCTCCTTTCAGGACTTCTCTGCATTGATTATTCTAGTTATCCATTCATCTAATTTTTTTTCAAAGTTTTTATCTTCTTTGCCATTGCTTTGAATTTCCTCCTGTAGCTCGGAGTAGTTTGATCGTCTGAAGCCTTCTTCTCTCAGCTTGTCAAAGTCATTTTCTGTCCAGCTTTGTTCCATTGCTGGTGAGGAGCTGCATTCCTTTGGAGGAGGAGAGGCACTCTGCTTTTTAGAGTTTCCAGTTTTTCTGCTCTGTTTTTTCCCCATCTTTGTGGCTTTATCTGCTTTTGGTCTTTGATGATGGTGACGTACAGAAGGGTTTTTGGTGTGGACGTCCTCTCTGTTTGTTAGTTTTCCTTCTAACAGACAGGACCCTCAGCTGCAGGTCTGTTGCAGTTTGCTAGAGGTCCACTCCAGATGCTGTTTGCCTGGTATCAGCAGCGGTGGCTGCAGAACAGCGGTGGCTGTAAAACAGCAGTGGCTGTAGAACAGCGGATCTTGGTCAACTGCAAATGCTGCTGCCTGATTGTTCCTCTGGAAGTTTTGTCTCAGAGGAGTACCCAGCCATGTGAGGTGTCAGTCTGCCCCTACTGTGGGGTGCCTCCCAGTTAGACTGCTCAGGGGTCAAGGACCTGCTAGAGGAGGCAGTCTGCCCATTCTCAGATCTCCAGCTGCATGCTGGGAGAACCACTACTCTCTTCAAAGCTGTCAGACAGGGACATTTAAGTCTGCAGAGGTTACTGCTGTCTTTTTGTTTGTCTGTGCCCTGCCCCCAGAGGTGGAGCCTACAGAGGCAGGCAGGCCTCCTTGAGCTGTGGTGGGCTCCACCCAGTTTGAGCTTCCTGGCTGCTTTGTTTGCCTAATCAAGCCTGGGCAATGGCAGGCGCCCCTCCCTCAGCCTCGCTGCCGCCTTGCAGTTTGATCTCAGACTGCTGTGCTAGCAATCAGCGAGACTCTGTGGGCGTGGGACCCTCCGAGCCAGGTGCGGGATATAATCTCCTGGTGTGCCATTTTTTAAGCCCATTGGAAAAGCACAGTATTAGGGTGGGAGTGACCCAATTTTCCAGGTGCCGTCTGTCACCCCTTTCTTTGACTAGGAAAGGGAACTCCCTGACCCCTTGCACTTCCCGAGTGAGGCAATGCTTCACCCTGCTTTGGCTCGTGCACGGTGCGCTGCACCCACTGTCCTGCACCCACTGTCTGGCACTCCTTAGTGACATGAACCCGGTACCTTAGATGGAAATGCAGAAATCACCCATCTTCTGCGTCTTTCATGCTGGGAGCTGTAGGCGGGAGCTGTTCCTATTAAGCCATCTTGGCTCCACCCAAATTTCTTTTTTTTTAACTGTATAATTATTTTATTTTTAATGTCCAGAATGTGTAATATAAGGGCCAGATCTTCCTCCTGGACTCAATTTTATAAATCCTTGATTGGTTGGTGAGGTCATTAGGGATACTTTTTCTTGTCTAATTTGGTTTCTGGGAAAGTTTTTTTCAAGTCCTCAATGGTCATCTGATCAAATGGAATTAAGTTCTTCATCTTCTCCTTCTGTTTCTCATATTCTACAATCCCGGCCTTTGAGAGAGACACCCACTCAGCACAAGATTTCACATCTTCTTTGTCTTCAGCATCCAGCTGGGCAGTATATTTATCCTCTGGCACAGAAACTTCAGGGCATTAAGCTTCTTCTCAAAGTCATCCACCAAGCCTGCCTTGGCTACATGGGCCTTGTAGTAAGCCTAGTCAATAGCTGGTGGATTCTCAGGTAAAGTAGCCAACCTGGAGGTGAGGGTCTCATTCCAGGATTTCAGGGAATTAGCAATGGCCTTTTAGTTCTGGGGTATGATCTCCACAAAAGCTACACAGTCAGTGGTTTTTAGAGCAAGTTTTCGCCCAACCATCTTGGGATCCTTCACCAACCCTGGCTGCCCACGGTCCACAGCCTAAATTTCTTTAAAAATACTTCTAAAATTAAAGTAATGCTGTTTGTTTTGCTATAATAGTAATAAAGAGAAACCCAAAATTAAAAGAAATTTAATCTTCAGGCCCATGCAGAAAATTATAAAGAGCTAGTCTAAGAATCACCAATAGACTTTTCAAAAAAGTTAGTATGCAAATTTTAGAGTTAGAAAAAAAATTAAATAAACCGAAACACCCTTGTAAAGTTTAGAATGCATAGATCATGAAGTATGAACTTGGATGCTGATAAACTTCACAGGCCTTCATTTTACTTATTGCTTGACTTGTTACTGTCTTCTAAGCAAACCTAAAACAGAGAAAGTGATTCTATGACACTGAAGTGGTTAAGTTCCAGCCAGATCCAAAGCTATAAGCAAGCAAGTTTTGTTTTCATGTCCTCTCCTTCTCCTCCTTTCCCCTTTCCCCTTTCCCCTTTCCTATTCTCACTCCCGTGCCTTTCCCTGGAGTTTTTAGGGGCAGCCTTAAATCTATATTTACCCACTATATTCAGTATGTTTGATTATGCACAGCCTGAATTCAGATCCAAGACGATGATCCAGATTTTTGTTCATCAAAAGAACTTTATTTCTTTTCTGTAGATTTATAGCAGAGCCTAAGCACTGACTTATTTTTCTGCTACTCAATAGGCTCATCGTGCCTGGGGCCCTTGCTCTTACTTCTGTCTTCTGGAAGGCTCTTCTTGTGCATCTGCCCATGCTGGCTCCTTTTTTGACATTTAGGCCTCTACTCAGGTGCCACCTCTTGGGACAGATCTCCTCCACCAATCCTCCAATCCTTCAGTCCTGGCCTTGACACTTCCTAGTTTATCATTCCTTTTTCACTTTCCTATAATTCCTTTATGTAATCATCTTTAAATAGGTTTTTATGTAATTAGAAAAATTTACATACAGTAAAATTCACTCTTTTTAATGTATAGTTCTTTCAGTTTTGACAAAGTATATAGCTATGTGTTGCCACCACTACAATCACAGTTTGGAAAAGTTCCATTGCTCACCCCTAAAATTTTCCCATACCTCTTTAGAGCCAACCCTTCTCAGAACCCCAGCTCTGTTCTGTTTTTGTTTGCTTTTGAAACAAGCTCTTGCTCTGTCACTCAGGCTGCAGTGCAGTGGCACAATCTTAGCTCATTGCAACCTCCACCTCCCAGGCTCAAGTGATCCTCCAGCCTCAGCACCCTGAGTAGTTGGGACTACAGTTGCACACCACCATGCCCAGCTAATTTTTATATTTTTTGTAGAGATGGGTTTTTGCCATGTAGCTCTGATCTATTTTCTTATCCATAATGTTGCCTTTTCCACAGTGGCATATAAATAGAATCTAATAGTATGTAGCCTTTTGAATCTGGCTTCTTTCACTGAATATAATGTAGTGTTATTGTTACACATATCAGTACTCCATTCCTTATTATTATTATTATTCCATTGTATGAATGAACGATAGTTTGTTTGTTTATTCTCTATTTAAGAGACATTTTAGTTGTTTCCAGGTTTGGTGATTACAAATAAAGCTGCGATAAACATTCAAATATAGTTTTCACTGTTAATGCAAGTTTTCATTTCGCTAAGGTAAATATCAAGGAGTGAGATTGCCAGGTCACATGGTAAGTGAATGCTTAACTATATCAGAAGCTGTGAAACGGTTTTCCTAAGTGATAGTGCCATTTTGTATTCCCACCAGCAATAAATGAGAATTCCAGTAGTTCTACATATTTGTCAGCACTTAGCATTGTCGGATTCTTACATTTTAGTCACCTAATAGTTGTGTAGTGGTATCTCACCATGGTTTTAATTTAAATTTCCCTGACTAATGATGCCAAACATCTTTTCATGTGCTTATTTGCTATTATATGGAACTCTTTTTTTTTTTTGGTAAAGTAGTTGTTCAAATCTTTTGCCTTTATCATTATTTTTTAAATTGAGTTTTCTTATTACTGGGCTTTTAGACAGAATTATATCACAAGTTCTTTTAATATTCTAGATTGTTTTTTTCAGGTTTGTGATTTCCAAATAGTTTCACCCAGCGTGTGACTTGTCTTTTCATTTTCTTAGTGTGTCTTTCCAAGCTTATGAGTTCTTAAAGTATTATTTATCATTTTTCTCTTTTGAGTTTTTGAGATCATATGTAAGAAATCTTTGTCTAACTCGAGGCCACAAAGATTTTCTTTGATTTTTTTCCTAGAAATTTTATGCTTTCAGGTTTTTTTATATTTTAATCTATGATTTCTTTTAATTTTTGTAGATACTATGAGATATGGATTAAAGTTTATTTTTTAAAATCGCACACTGATATCCAATGATTCCAGCATTTTTGAAAGACTAACTCTTCTCCATTGAATTATCTGCAACTGCCAAAAACCGATTGACCATGTATGTTAGGGTCTGTTTTTGATCTAATCCATCCTATTGACCTACACATCTACCCTTTCATGAGTACTGCACAGCCTCAATTACTGTAGTTTTATAGTAAGTAATGCAATCAGGTAGCTATTACTCTTCATCCTTTTTAGAAAACTTACCATCATCTGAAATTATCCTATGTGCTTAGCTTCTTTTTTTTTTTTTTTTTAATTCCTTTTTGAGATAGGGACTTGCTTTGCCATCCAGGCTGGAGTGCAGTGGTATGATCAGGGCTCACTGCAGCCTCAATCTCCCAGGCTCAAGTGATTTTCCTACCTCAGCCTCCTGAGTAGCTGGGACTACAAGTATGCACCACCAGGCCTGGCAGGGTTTTTTTTGTTTGTTTTTTGTTTTGGTAGAGATGGGGTTGGGATGTTGCCCAGGCTGGTCTCAAACTCCTGAAATCAAGTGATTCTCCCACCTTGGCATCCCAAAATGCTGGGATTACAGGCATCAGCCACCTTGCCCAGCCTACTTTTTAAAAAAACTTCTGTTGGGAGACATCAAACCATGAGACTCTCTAGAACCATGGGACCAGGGAGTTTGTACCTATCTCATTCTCTGTTCTACTCCAGCACCAAGAACAGTACCTGACACACCATAATTGTTTAATAAATTGGTTGAAAGAAAGAAGGGAAGTTAAGAAATACTTAAGTTGAGGAAATTAAGGGAACTTAATATTTTGGAAAAGGAAGGATCAAATTGTTTTGTGAGAGCTATTAATATAATAATAGAGGTTTGCTGTGGTGCTAGCCTGGAAGATTAAATGCTCTTTTGGCCATGATATTTTGATCATAAGCTTACTTCTTTTAGGACCCATGAGGAGCTCTTTGGGGACACATTCATTCACTCATTCACCAAACATTTATCCAGCACCTTTGTGTAACACTTTGTTACAAAGGGCAGTAGACAAGGTCTTGTGCTCAAAGTATTAGGGGTCCCAGACAAGTTAAACAATAACTGAGACCAACCTCATCCAGATGCCATAAAAGTGATGTTTGTGCAGGGGTCTTTGAGTGATGTGGGAGAGGCATCTAACTCAGCCTTGGGAAAAGCTTTGCTGGAGAGGCCATCCTTGACGAAGTTTTTAAGTTTCAATAGGAAACTTTGAGCCCCACCTTCCCTTCAAATGGGTCACTCTGTAACAATGTACCACAGGTTTCTTCTTGTGTTCTAAAGCACCTCCAGCTGTTTCTGGATTTGGGTCACTGTGGGTGGTTGTTTTACAGATTAACTCTGCAACTCTGCTCTAGGTCTCCCACTAAATGCTCCCTTAACACCCTTTCCCTCTCCTTCATATCACTTATTGCAATTATGATAATTAATTATGCATCAAGCTATTTAATGCCTACTTCCCTCCCACTACGATATGAGTTTCCTGGAGGCAGGGATTGAATCTGTCCCAATCTGCTGCATTTCTGCTGCCTGACATAGTGAGTGACCCAGCCACTGAATGAAGCACTAGTCTCAAAGCTCTTGTAAAATCTGCCAGGTTACCTGAGAGCTTGTCCTCTGTGATGAAGTGTTTTTGTCCTCTTGCTCAGTTTTAGGAATAACTGTTAGCTTTTCTTTTATTTTCAAATCACTTTAAGATAATTAATTTTCAAAATAAAGTTTTCCACCCCACCAAGGAAAAATAGAAACTTTCACATTATATGCAATGGTGGATGTTTGTGCCTTTAGTAATAAATTCGCTGATCTTGAAATGTTTCTAGTATATCAATGATGCCCAGATGGTATGCTCTTGCATATCAGTAGTGTTTATAGTGTCCTAAAATGGTAGAACAAAAAACAAACGGAGAAAAAGTTATTTTGGTGCTAAATTACCAACAATTCCTCTGGGTAACACAATTTATTTTAGTTCTTCCTAACACACACACGTGCTTCCTCTCAGATGCTGTAATAGCAAATTGACATTGAACTGGGGGTGGGAGTGGTCTGGAGAAGGGCATTACCATTGCTGAACACTTAATTGAGCACCTACTGTATGCTAAGCACTTTTCTAATATTCTGTCATTTAGTCCCCATCTCCACTGAGGATGCTGAAGTCTAGACATCAGGAAATGGATGGTGAAGAAATATAGTCAAGATCTGGAATTCTCAGGGAATTAAGCACCCTCTTCTGCTTCTGTCTGTTAGCTGCTGAGTAAGAGGCAAAGGAAAAGGAAAGTCATGTGCCCTTCACTCAACAGCCAGTCTGTTTTGACTGAGCTGTGGCCATCCTGAATTATCCTCAGACCTTACAATCTCTCACTATGACCTTATGGTCACTGTTTGTGCCTTCACACAAGGCAGGTGTTGGCCCTGGCCAGGATCTCTCTGGGTGGTATTTTGGTAAAAGCCTTGTTTTTGTAAGAGAAAGCAGAGGTGGAACTCAAGAGTTAGTAGTTTACATGTATTTAAAAGGTGAGTTTTCTAAAACCTTCTAAGTAGTCATATTCTTTTTCAAATCCCAAATGATTCTGTTTGGAATAAACTACAAGTCATCATCTATTTACCACATTGAGAGAGTTGGAAAGCAGACAACAGGAAGAAAAGGGAGGAAGAAAGAAAATTAACATTTATTGAGCATTAATTCTGTGAACTGTTAGGTACTTGAGCATGTTATGTAAATTCTTGCAATCCTAGTGAGGTATATGCTTTTTATCTCATTATACAGATAAAAACACTGAGGCCTACATAGGTTAAATGATTTGCCTCAAATTGGCCTGCATGTTAGTGAGTAGTCAGCTTGTTCTCTCTGAGGCCCAAACCTGTGCTTTGCTTTACATGGCATGATTGTGTTAAGGACGGATGAAAGCAAGGTCACCTCCCTTCCCTCAGAATTAAAGACGTTATCTGTATCTCTAATGGGCAATGAGTTTCAAAGATGTACACCTTATGTGACAACTGGTATGCAATATATTACATTGTAGCTTTGCCCTTTTTTTTTCCTCCCCTGCTTCAAGGTCAAAATCTCTCATTTTCTTATATCTGCTAAAGAATTATTGGTTTGGTTTCCTGAGTTTCCTCTTTGCTTCAAGTTTTTCAATACTACAGAGATATGATGCTTTGACTAATAGCCTTTGGGAGACATTATAATATGAGGAAAAAGCCTCTTTTTAATAAGGAAATCAATAGTAGCAGTGTCCAGTGGTTTTATTCGTGTGGCTGATTTCATGTGTGGATTTTTAATTGGCTCATATTTGAACAGGTGTCTAAAGATGGGGAGTTTTTTTCTGGAAACATTTGTTGTATTCATCTCATTGTGGCGAGTTCCTTGTATCAGATGAAATCTGCATAGCTCTTAAAGAGAGGAATGTCCTGACTTATGTGAGCTACACATCCGATGAGTCTCAAAAAAAGTAACTTAAATGAATTCATGTTTTAGGAGTATTGAAATAACTGCTACAAAACTGAATGAAAGCCAGATTATCTTTGAATCCCACATTTTACAGATGAGAAAACCAAATGCCAGGGAAAGAAACTGGCTTTGCCTGAGGTTACACAGCTCATTATAGCTCAGCTGGAGGACTGAGCTCACTTGGAACTGGAGGACATGATAGCTCACTTTGTAGGACTCTCTAGTGCCTTTGTTTCAGTATCAGATTGTTATGTACTGAATTCTATTTAAGGGATCATAAAACATTCAACTCCATACAGGCACCAAGTCTTCTCAGAGAGGAAGAGAACTAGTAGATACTTTCTTTTCCTCTTAGGAAATATAGAGTTATTCTGCACCTCTTTACCTGGTCATGGAGTGATTGAGATTTTATAAACATAGGTGTAAAATGCATGGGAAGACTTCTTACCTAAAGAAAGGATTCTTTAAGTCGAGGATGTTCTCAGATCTGAAGCCTGTTTGGTTCACCAACGCCACGGTCTGAATGTCATAGCTCTGTCTGCATTACAGAGTAAAACACGTCTCACAAGACTGGTCAGCTACTCATGAACATATAAGGCATCTTTCATATACACCTACTTCATAAGGGCTTTGAGAGTAGGTGTTTGGCATCTTGTATATGCACATGTGCATTTATTTAGAAGCCATTAATATTTGTAGAGGCAATTCAAAGTCTTGTTTATTCATTAGAAGAGTTTGATAGCTATAATTTCTTGATCTAAAAATTACAAAGGTAATGGTACTTCTGGTTGATCAAAGCACATTTTTGTGAGGGGGTGAAGTAGGGAAGCTTTATCAACATCAATGACAGAAAATGGCTTTAAGTAACAGAGATGCTTTATATGTCGTCATTGAAGTTCCAAAACAATCTCAATCATGGAAGGATTGGGTGAGCTAAAATTTCAAACTGATGTAAAACAGCTAACAGCAAACAGATGTGATTGATTTTAAGAGGCCTCAGATGAAGGCTCATGCAATTACAGTAAGAGGAATTGGCTGTTAAGAATAAATAACATTCTTGGTGACTAATCTGAAGGAGTTATGTTTGTAGGATTTTATTAGTCATTATTAATTATATATTTCTGCTGATTATAAAAATGTTACATATTCACTGTAGAAAAATTGAAAAACAGAGAAAAATATAAGGAAAATAAAATAATCCATAATAATAGATTCTTTCAGCTATTTTATTTTCCTATTTTTCTCTCTGTATACTTATAGATGTAAATGTTTAACAAAATGATGCTTAAGTATTGCTTTATATATTCTTTCTTTTATTTGACATAAGCAAGTGTTTATCCTATATAATTCTTGAAAATGTATTTTTCAATTATATGAATTACATAATTACATGCAATTATGTAATTATATGAATATATAGCTCTATTTAATAACTTCCCATTGTTGAATATTTATATTTTTATAATATATTATTACTTATAATAACAAACACTGAATTTTTTACAGAAATGTGGTAAAGGACATTCTTGCAATACATCTTTATGTCCTACCTACAATTATTTACTGGAATAAATTAGAGGTAGACTCACCTGGCTAAAGCATACCAATGTATTTAAAATTCCCAAAACTAATTGCTAAAATATCTTCCAGAAAGTGTACCAAATTACTTCCTCACCTACAAAGCATGTAAGTGCTGTTTTTTTTTTAAGAGACAGCTCTCACTCTTGCTTAGGCTGGAGTGCAGTGGCATGATCACAGCTCACTGCAGTCTCAAACTCCTGGGCTCACGTGGTCTTCCCGCCTAACCTGCCCAACAGATAGGACTATAGGCACTTGCCACCATGTCTGGTCAATTTTTATTATGTTTTGTAGAGACAGGTCTACTCATGTTGCCCAGGCTGGTTTTGAACTCCTGGCCTCAAGCAATCCTCTTGCCTAAGTTCCTCAAAACATCGGGACTACAGGTGTGAGACATCATGTCCGATGTGAAACTGCTAATTTTATTATGCCTTTCCAAATCCTTAATATTTAAATATTTGGAGTTAAAATATTATGGATTTCTAATTTCCTTGATTATTAAGCTTCTTTTTTAAATTTCAGAAATTAATGAGTGATATAAAGTCCTCTATCCCCACTTCCACACTGTCATTGCCAATAGAAGCCTGAGTAGCCTTAAATATAATGTCATATCCTGTAAAACCAATAACTCAAGTTCTGGATTTTATTGGGCCAGGCAAACTAGAAAGAAAACATAGCTACAACGTGTTTAAAAAGCAAGACTATATCCTTTGATCCTTTTTTAACTCAGCTAATTGGCTCAGAACTTGTTTTAAAATTTTTCTTCCATGATAACTACATCCAAGACTTCACCACATTTGTGATACCTGAAGGTAGATTCAAGGGGAACTAGATATGGTGACAACGAGCTCCTTAGGAGAGGTTCAAACCTTGCTGGAATCATAGAAAGACTGAGATATCAGCCTGGTAAATAAGTCAGGGAAAGACACATCTACAATTTTTGCCAAATGAAAGACATCTTAATGATGTCTGAAGTAATTAACATAGAACTCCAAATAGGAATTGAGTACTCTGACGTATGAGTGGATGTGTGTATTTACGGACGCATGTATGAACCAGGTTAGTCACAAGAACTGCATGGTTCTTGTGGTGGTTGGGATGAACAATCAATAGATTCTTGTTATGGGGTCTTCAGCAAGGCTCTTTTTCAGAACAGGATGTATCACAATGTAGCTACTTCATACTCACTTTTTACAACCCACTCCTCTTTGCCGACTGTCAAAATCCTATCTTCTCTAATGGAAAGAAAAAGAGGGAGCAATCTGGGGTCAGTCTGGGCAGTGAAAAGCTGAGGTTTGTGGTTAAAGCCCTTCAGTGTGTGGCAGGGCAGAAAGAGCGGTGCAGTGAAAGAATAGTCAGGTACACTGATTTGATAGTGATTCATCTGACCAAGGAGAATGTGTCCTCATTTAAAATTTCAGGAAAATAATATACTGTAGTAGCAGTGTCATGCTAATGCCAAGATACCCAGAAGGTCAACTCCAAACTCAACAATTACAGTGCAATGTTTATGGAATGTTTCTAAAGCAACCAATAAAGAATAATCTAAGACTGTGTCTACAGAACTTTTAATAACTATTAGTTTTTTTGAACTAGTTATTTGGCAATGTACATTTTTTAAAACCCTAGTTCTTTGCCACACTTAGTTATTTTAAACTGTATAGAGACAGAGCAGGTGGGTTAAGTGGGAACATATCTTAGTTCAAGGATTGAATACGAAACCATCACTTTGTATACCAGCATTTCTTTTGCAATATCCAAGAATAAATTGGAAACTTGGGAACAACATATGCAGAACATGTCTTTCCAGAGAGTATGGTAATTCATGATAATTTCCTCTTACAGAAAACAGAAGATGAAATAGTGGGATAGGCTTAGTTCTGACCATCAAAGAATAATGGGATGGAGAAATAAGTGGCAGGAAGCTTGGGAAAAAATTACGCAAGTCACCGAGGATTCACTGATACATAAAGAAATGAAAGTCTCTGCAGGCATGGACTCTAGACCAGTGTTCTTCAGAGGGGTTGAGTTTTCTCCCAGAGAGAATGTGGGATGACACATTGGAGTGTGGAAGAAAATGCTGAACTGTTATTTTAAAATGTTTTATTAGTTATGGTGGATTGAATTGTGTCCTTCCAAAACATATGCTCAATGCCTAACTACCAGTAGCTATGAATGTTACCTTGTTTGGAAATAGGGTTTTGCACCTGTAACCAAGTTCACATGAGGCCACACTGAATTTGAGTAGATTCCAAATTCCATGACTGTCCTCATAAGAAGAGGAGAGGACACAGAGATACATGCAGGGAAGACAGCCATGTGAAGACAGAAGCAGAGACTGGAGCCACGCAGCTCCAAGGAATCCCAGGGACTGCAAGGCACCGTAAGAAGCTGAAAAGCAAAGGGCAGCTTCTTCCTTTCAGCTTTCAGAGGAAATGTGGCCCTGCTGACACTTTACAGCATTTCTGTCAAAAATTCAGTGTTTATTATTATAAGTAATAATACATTATAAAAATATGAATATTCAACAATGGGAAATTATTAAATAGTGCTATATATTCATATAATGCCATTGAAAACTACATTTTCAAGAATTATGATATAGGATAGACACTTGCTTACATCAAATAAAAGAAGGAATATATGAAGCAATACTTAAGCATCATTTTGTTAAACATTCACATCTATAAGTACACAGAGAAAAAAATAGAATATAACAGCTGAAATAATATATTATCATTATGGTTAGATTCAACAAGACTCTAATCACATTTAAAATAATATGGTGCAACATTAGTGAGTAAATACCAGCCATGTGATGGGCACACGGGTCAGAGCTAGAAGAACATGAGTAACATTGTAGAGCAAAAAAAGTCACCTAAAGCTGCACTGGCACATTCTATTACTTCACTGTGCTGAGTAATGCACAACAGTTTCTTCCATAATTACTTCTGATGAAGATGAACACATATATAACTATGGAGAGGTTTTATTTTATGTGATGTCCACGGTAAAGCAGTTTAACAGTGACCATTAGAAATAGCAATGATTGCAATGATGTTTCCTATGCTTTAATTCTTTGATCAGCATTTCTTCTAGGTTTATAAACTACAAAGCTCATCAAACTCTCTCCAAACCAAATCCCTTGGCAAATCTGGGTATAGCAGGCCTTCACAGGGATCCAAAAATTTTAAATAATGTTTCAAAATATTTTGGTACAAGTGGCTGAGCTAGATCCAACAATCAGCCTATATTTATTTTTCAATGCATCCTTTTGATTTCTATTTTTGTATGTCTTACAAAATATATAATATATGAGTTTCTATATATGCATATGTTCACATAGATCTGTCTATGCATGTGTGTGTATATATATGTGGATAGGTATATATAGCATGTCTGTATATATCTCTGTGTGTGTGTGTGTGTGTGTGTGTGTGTGTGTGTGTGTGTGTGTGTGTGTAGCTAGAGAGAAACTACTTAGTTCTGGACTTTCTATTATTATTACTGTAGTACATGCACATAATTAAAAGATAAATATTGGTATACTTGGGGAAGACATACGTAAAGTGTTTTTATTCATAGGTGCAGATGATCAAAAACTTTAAAGACCACTTCTATGAACTTTCAGGATATAAATTTCGTAAAGTTAATGAAAACACTCGGTTCTATTTTATTGCCAGGGCAATAAATTGAATGACAGCTCCAGAAAGATGGGAGACTGTCAAAAAATAAAATGTTAACAGTACAATCAAAAATGGGCCTGATGGGGAAGAAAAGGGCAGTTATTGTCACACCTGTGAGGTTGCATAGGGAGCTCTTCTAGGAGTTCAGAGTTTAAAAGAATATTTGACACTAAGGGAGGGGGAGATTCTATCCAAAGAAGTACAAAGGGACAGCACCTTACTGAAAAAGAATGAAAACACTGACATTCACGAAGTGCAGAGGCTTTTAGAAAATACCAAGGAAAACAAGGATTTCAAACCCAAAATATCTGAAGAGATACATTAAGAATAAGGATGAGAATAAGGGAAGAGGAATTGGAATTAAGATACTGTGGGCTTACTGTGTGTTAATCACAAATACTATCTTCTCTCTTTTAATATTTGTAAAAGTGTGGTGAGATGATGATTACAAATATTACTTTATAGGTGATGGATGAGGTGAGGAAACTGGGATGCTAGATTCATTAACTTGCCCAAGATCACTCCAGCACCAACCAGTATATAGAAGAGACTGAACAGAACCAGGACATAGCAGACTCCAAACCCTGGTCTCTTCACTACATAAGGGTGCTAACCTAATAAGATTAAAAACTTCCTCCCTTCCTTTCTTCCTTTGCAAAACATTACATGGCCATATTTTAGCTGCTTCATTCAATTGTGCTAGACTAAGTTCTTAATGAGAGGCGGATATCAGCTCATGACACCTTCACTCCGTAATTCCACAATATTTCTGGGTCTCTGAAATACATTAGGTAAAGAGGGATACACCATAGAGTAAGACTCACTCTCTCTTCTCAGGCAGCTCACATATAGCAAATTACAGCAATAAATGGGTGCTCTAACAGAGGTACTACAGGGCTGTAGGAGCTGTGGGCAGGTGTGTGAAGTAGATGGTTTTCCTCCTTCTTACCTACTAGGGAAAATGAAGGAAAGAAGGGTAGAAAAAATATTACCCATAAGGATGAAACACAAGGTGTGTCAGAAAAAAAGTAACAGAAGAATAAGATGATTTAAATTCACTCACAAAATTATATACTAAGAAACTGTAAAAATATAAATATAGGAAAGAAAAAGAATGTTATCCTGGTTTGCAAAAAGCAGAAAAGGCAAAGTCCAAAATTCCAGGCAGATGATGGCTATTGCTCCTTTGCACTTTTCTTTTTTTTCTTTTTCTTTTTTTTTTTTTTAGAACTGGTCATTAAACAGATGGTTTATAAGGATTTAGAAAGAAAGTAGTAACTTTCAGGATGAACATGGCATAAGTCAGCATTTTCCACTTTTCCTTCTGGAAGCTATCCAAAAACAAGGAGAATCGAAATATTCTGCAGATGGCAAACCTCATTTTCTGTAACACTAGGAGAACGAGATAATCTGCAGCCTTTGACATATGTGTAAGGGTTGTAAAAGCAGTCAAGACTGGTTATTAGTCATGTGGGAAAAGGTACAAAAGAAGTGCAAAGAGGGACAAAAGAGCCCAGGGGTAGCACATCTTAGCACCTGAAGATGAGAAGCATTTTTCTGAAATGCAAAAGGTGTATTCCTTGTTTGTAACATCTTGTGCAGGAATTGTGGTGAGCAGAACTTTGGGCAGAAATGCTCCTGGAACTGGAGCATGGTGGAACTACCTCAACAATACAAGAGGGGCCATTCTTGCAGGAAGCAGTGTGATTCTGTGGCAACCTAGAAGGAGAAAAGGTTTGAGTTGAGAAAAACCGAGAGCATGAAAACTGTCACATCTTCTTCTGCCACAGAAACTTCCTCCTGTAAACAGCTGCCCAGGAAAGTCCTATAATTTGATGAACGACAAGAACATCAAAACAAGTGAGAGAGAGGTGATCAAGAACAAAAGTAGAAAAAAAGTAGTAAAATTTACAAACACATGAAAAACATGTATCAGTAAAATGATGCCGTGGCACATGTAAAAAAGGTGAGCAAATATTTTGTCACAATTTTTAAAACACAATGAAGGCTTCACCTCTATGGAGGAAGCAATAACTTCCATGAAGGAAGATCATGATGCAGACGGAAGAGAACCAGAAGGATCTTGATGTGCAGATATGGAAATGTCTTTGAGATGTATTGTTAAGTGAAAAAGGACATAGAAAACAGATACAGAATGTTACTATTTAGGTATAAAAGCAGTGAGGGGGAAATAAATAAGAAAGTAGATTCTTGCCTTTACAGTGTTTTGTAATTTTATGTCTAAAATGAAACTCTGAGAGGATATGCAAGAAATAATAACAGAGGCTACATGATGGGGGAAGGGGAGGGGCACAAATGAGGTTAAGGAGATAGAAAGTCATGGTAATTAGAGATCTAGCTCAGTTTCACTAAAATAAAAGCTATGTCCAATTAGTTTCATTTCCTTTCTATTGGCAGAGTTATTGGACTGGGCTATGAGAGTAAAGTCAGAAATTAAGCTTATTTAGATATCATATTCCAAAAAGGTCATATCATATTTCGTTCTGGCCTAGATGGAGAAATGTGGGCTGGGAATGAACACAGGGAGTGGATTTTGAGCTACTTCCATGACCAAAGCCAAAAGGTGTGAAGAAAGCTGGATAGCAAACTTTGAAGGAAGATTCCATCCTTGGCCTTTTTCTACTTAATATTTTTTAAATAAAAATTTGCCTATTAAATCTACAAAAGATAAAATGGTAGGAATCACTAATATGCTAAAAAAAATTAAAAGAAATAATGCACTGGCTCTGGTAAAGATCCAAAAACAGTAGATAATTGAATGAGTGGAATAAATACAAAAACCTGTACCGAAGTTGAAAAAGACCTGCTGCATGCTAGGAAAAGGGAGAAATGTGATTTAAAAGTCAATCATGCAAAAATATACTTCTTGTGTTTAATTGACTATACACTCAAGTAAAATGGATCCCAAACTTAAAAATATATTACTATGATTCAAAACAGAAATAGTTACTATTGCTCTGATCCCAACATTTATCAGAATACATATGCTGTTGTCCTGTAATTAGTTCTGAAGAAACATTTTAAAAGGGGACATTGATAACCAGGGTATTTCAGAGGGGAGAACTTAGAATTTCAAACTATTTCAAAATCACTTTTATAGGAGGAAGGAGTTGAGGATGTTAGCTTAAAGACAGGTAGCCTAGAAGGACATTTGGTAAAACTCTCCAAATATTTGAACAATTGCCATTTAGAGGTTAGAGCCAACCTACCTTGTTCTAGTTCAGAAACACAACCAAGATCAATAAGTAGAATTTATAGAAAGTAAGATATAGAATCAACAGCAAGGATAATTTTTTAATAATTGGAGATGTTGAAAATGGGAGACATTAATAGCCAAGGACCATATGAAGAGCGACTTAACCTTACCAAAAATTAAATACAAACCAAACAACAAGATTCTACTGTAAAAAAATATTTTTGGGTCTATCAGACTGACACAAATCATAGAGATGGATAACATGAAGTTTAGGAAAAGATGTAGAGAAATGAACATGTTTATTTATTGCTGGCGCAAGGGGAAATTGGTGCAACCATTGAGAAAAGTAGTATCTACCAGAGCGTAACATGCACATACTCTGTGATTCAGCATTTCCATTTCTAGGCATCTCATTTGAAAACACTCATGTCACCGTGCACACTATGTGTTCCGAGATGTTCACTGCAGAATTTTTTGCAATGCCAAAATAATTGAAAGCAACCTGAATCAGTCAATCAGAGATTTTTTTAAAAAAAAAACATTATAGTATATTCATGCTCTGGACTATTCTGCGTGTATTAAAAAGAACAAAAAAGATCTATCTGTGCAGATTCAGGACTTATTACTAAGTAAAAATTAAGTTGCGGACTTGTAGTATAACTTGTACAAACAAGCCCCACCATGATGTTATTTGTTGGCACATCATGGAAAAATCACCTGAAAGTATACAAATCAAACTGTCACATCAGAGGTGTGGGGTGAGGTGTGAGAGTGGAAAAGGACTCTATACACTTTTGTAGTTTTGAATTATATGGGAGTATGTTAGGTTTTTGTAATTAAAGAAATAAAGACTTTAAAAATGAAAGGGTCAATTTGTGAGGTGGTGAGCTCTTTGTCACAGGAGTATTCAAGCACAGGCCTTTTTCTGCTTAATAGTTTTGAAATAAAAATTTGACTATTACATCTGCAAAAGATAAAATAGAAGGAAGAGTGTGAGGTAGTGAGGAAAGAAAGCTGAATAAGATGACCTCTGAGTACCCTTGATACCCTGAAGGTCGTAGAACCCCTTCTCTACTCTTCTATCCTCTAATTCACACAGCAGAGTTCCAACAAGGTGAAATAGGATACTGAAAAAATGAGAGATAAATCGAGGTATATCTTGCAGATAACTCATGAAATCCAATACCACAGAGTCCTTCCTGATACTATATACTGCCTCTGGAATGCTTTTGTCCCCTGTATACAGATCAATTTTATTGTACTAAATTTGGGGGTATGTGGCCAGACCGATGTAAGTCAGTCCAGGAAGCTGACACAAGGTTTAAACACCTGATCATTCAAGCCTTGGCAAGTGCTCCTGTGAGCTGCTGGATTTCCTTCCTTCCTTCCTCCATGGTCAGCTGGAGAACACTGCCCTTAAGTTATCTGAAGCTCCTCTTCGTTACCACACACAGTGCTCAGGCAGGCCTCTGGAAAGCCTGCTGTCCATTTGTAGGTGCTGGAGTCTTAGGGGCCTGCCAGCTTCCTCCTGCTCCCAGACCTCAATGCCCTGGAAACAGAGGTGAAAGCACATCTGTACTTTCCTGCTTACCATTTATTGGCTACAAACAGCACTTTCCCTGACAGTGTCTTCCCTTCCTTGGCAAAGAGAGGAGTCTGCAGGAGGCACTGCACCTGGTACCAATGAGTCAGAGGCTCAGCTGGGGCTGTTGACAGCCAAACAGTTACCCTATAGGGCAAGAAAAGAGATAAAAGCCAATCACATGCCAGACCCACATTAATGGGTTGGATTGGAAACTAAGGTTGATAGTGGTTTTTGTTCTTTTGACTCATAGAGCCCTTTGATGAGAAGGATAGCTCAATTTATGGAGCAGGTTGGGCGCGGTGGCTCACGGCTGTATAATCCCAGCACTTTGGGAAGCCAAGGTGGGCGAATCACAAGGTCAGGAGATCGAGACCAGCCTGGCCAATACGGTGAAACCCCATCTCTACTAAAAATACAAAAATTAGATGGGCATGGTGGCAGGCCCCTGTAGTCCCCGCTACTTGGGAGGCTGAAGCAGGAGAATAGCTTGAACCCAGGAGGCAGAAGTTGCAGTGACTAAGATTACACCACTGCACTCCAGCCTGGGCGACAGAGCAAGACTCCATCTCAAAAAAATAAAATAAAATTATGGAGCAAGTACCACATGTTGAGTACTGAATTAAGAGTTTATGTATATAATTTTAGTAAATCTATACAATCGTCCTATGAAGTATGCCCAGAGAGGTTAAACAACTTGCCCGACATCACACAGGACAACTGGAGAGTCATGCTTCAAACTCATAGACTTGGCCACCATGGCAACCTGTATTTCTGAATCAAAGCTCATTAGAGGCCCAATAAGTAACAAGGTTAAATCAGAAGCTGATTTGCTTGACTAGTGTAGCAAAGGGAGATGTCTAGAGTCTGGTCTCTTACTGACTCCTGCCAACCTGTTCAGGGGTCTTGAAGGGGCTTCTGGAAGCAAGAAAAACTACTAGAGCAGATGACCTCTACCATGCTTCCAGCCCAGACATCCTGTGTGTGTCTGCCTGAGTGTTAAATTGAGTTTCCTCAGTTCATATGAAAAAGTGAGAAAGTCTTGCTGTGCTTCTACACCAAGGTCACGTGTTCAGTGGTTGTGCAGTGGTTGCTGGCTGGAGAGGAGCAAGGGGCACATTAAGCATGGGGAAAATTCCTAAAGGGTTAATTTTGACTAGAAGATTTGGGGAAAAATTTTATGTAATTTAGCTGCCTAAGAATATAAATGACCTTTATATCAAAATATACTGAGATATAATATAGAATAAAATGCAAATCTTCCTTCCCCTTCTTCTTTTTTTTTGAAACAGGGTAGAAACCCTGTTTTGAAGCCTGTTTTTCTGTTGCCCAGGGGATCAAGTGATTCTCCCACCTCAGCCTCCCGCGTAGCTGGGACTACAGGCATTCACCACCACACCCAGCTAATTTTTAAAAAATTTTTTGTGAGATAGGGTCTTGCTACGTTGCCCAAGCTGGCCCACAAATTTTCTATATATATATTTTTTAAAAAGATAAAGCATTTAACTTCAAAGACACTTCCCCCTTGAGGTAGGCCACTTCAAGCTTGTCTCTCTCACCCTTGCAGGACCAAATTCATTTACATGGGTTATTACAGAGAGGAGCAAATGTATGTATTCTTTGAACAAATATGTTCATACGGAGTCAAGATGATTTGTGCCTCATTTTATTTTTCTCAGATTGTCAGCTCTGACAAGGTTTCCAGGGGTCCCCTCTCTTGAGTCTTCCCCCAGACCCCCAAGCTGTATTACAGCCCCATGGGCATTTCTTTCTAAGCAGGTACAATGATAAGCCTGGGCATTCTCACAAGGAATGGAGGAGAGTTACACGGTAAACATTTTCCTCCACTTGGGCATGTGACCCAGACCAGATCTCTTTGCTAGTTGGAACATACTAGAAAGCCTGGGAAGAGAGTAGGGCAGTCAGGAAGAGAACAGAGATTTGGTGGCCATGGAGTGGTGCAGCCCACATGAGGAACACCACACAGTGACAGCCAACGTGTAGGTAGTCTTTCCCCTCTTTTCCCTGCAACTTTCAAACCTGTGCAGTAGGAAGGTGCACAGATAGCGAATTTTCCTAATGTTGCAACTAGCATTAGTAATACACACCTGCCTGATCGTCACAGGACTCCAGAGTATAAACCAAAATCAGGAAAAGTATAATTCCAGGCATCACCCAGATACAAGAGATAGTATAACCAGGTGTGTCAGAAACAAAAGCAAAGGCTTGGGGTACCACCCCATCGATTCTATTAAAGACCAAGAAGGTTCAAAAAGCACAAACCCTCTCTCACTCCTCCAAAGCTCAATTCATTTGGCTTAAGAGGCTTTGCGTAGTTTAGTTAGAGTTGATATGACACACAGAAAAGCATCTCATTTTCACTTTTTCCTAAAATCTAAAATTAACATTAACATCTGTGTTTATTTCCTTGAAAATTGGAGAAACAAGAATTAGTGTCATTAAAATCAATTATTAAACACTTTAAAATTGTGATTACAAATAGTAGATAGCATGGGGTAGAGCAGACTGAGAAAATGTTGGTGGGGGGTATACATACAGAGATCCAACAAATGCCACATCAAACCAGAACGCCAGGCCATGGATGAGCCCAGACTGCCATCTGAAACACAAAGGGAATTTCTACTCTGTAAGGAAATAAAAAAGATGAAAGACTCGAAACTATTGTTGTTGTTGGCAGATGTACTAGATACATTTGTGAGGTCAGTAGGAATATTTTCTTTCTCTCTTGGGCACTTTTGCCTTGGCAGCCAAGTTCTCTCAGTGTGTGATTAATGCTTGGGTGATGCTGCACATTTGAGAAGCTTACTTCTTGACAAAATCCTTCAAGAACCACGCTACTCTGCTGCAATGACCTGGAACTGCATAGGGTGAATGTAACATCTGGAGCTGGGTTTGACTAGAGAAGAGGAGCATGACTCAGGACACAGAGGGCAGCCATCCTTCAATAAGCCAAAGCATGGGCAGGGACAGTTCCCCTACAAAGCTGCTCAAAGGGAAAGGTTGTTCAGGCCTCTAAAAATGGACTGGAGCACAAAGGAAACATCGAGCTCAGAAGGCCATCCTCATAGTTAATTTCTTTTTGCGGGAGGCAATTTAACTTCCAGTAGGCTATAACAAGAGTCATGCAGAAGTGGCTATGGTTTATGCCAAATGCAGAATAAGTAGGAATAGAAAGAATATTGGGAAATACACAATGCAATCTAGATGCTGGACCTATTTTAGCTGTGGAACCTTGGAAGGCACTTAAATTCCCTGAAACTTGGTATCTGCATTTGTTGAAGGGTGACAAAATCTCTCTCCTACTTTCCTCATAAGGTTCTTCTGTATGTTAAATGGAAAAACATGTATATAAGAGTTCTTTGCAAACATGTATATAGAGTTCTTTGCCAACTTTAGAGTGATTCATAATTAAGAGGTGATATTATTGGCTCATTGCTGGGGCTGTATCATTCCAAGGAGTTGGATTTTCTGAAGTGCTTTAGAAGTTTTCAAAGAAGGTTGTATGTTATCTGTATTCATGGTGTCCCCAAAGACTTAACTTCCTTCACTCTGCTGAAAATAAAATATTTCTAGAGTTTTCCATTGTACTTGGCACAGTGAATTTATTGGTCTTGACTGTTATTATTTCTTTTCATGTTTTGCATCTCCCTAGATAAACTATGAGCTCCTGAAGAATAGAGACTTTAAAAATTACTTTCCACACATGTGCTAGCACCACCACAGTACCTGGCACATAGTAGGATCTCAATAAACATTTGCTGAATTGATGCACAAATGAATGAACGACATCGGTGGAAAACCCACATAGACATAATTTTCAAAATATTCCCTAGGATTCAGGAGGTAGTTCAGAGCAATAAATAAAGCTAATCAAAGTCGATTTTGTCTGGATCTTTGATAGTTATTAAAGTCGTTTGCAAATGCCATTTCTCTTGCTCTGAGCATATGGAAGGATTGCAGTTTTCCATCCACTTGAGCTCAGGTACTGCCACATGATTTGCTTCAACTGATCAAATGTGAACGAAGTGACTTGTGCCGTTTCCAGGCAGAAGCTTTCATTGTCCTTGCATACTTTGACATACTCATTCTTTCTCCTCAGTGACCAGCATCATTTCAGATAGAAGCTGCTGCACTGGCCCAATTACTAGTGTGTGTAATGCATGGTAGAGATAAAGCTGGTGCATGATGGATACATTGTGTAGAAAACAAGACACCTAAGTTATTAGAAGCCGCTGAGGTTTCTTTTTGTTTCTGCAGCATGTTCTAGCCTATCCTAACATCCAGGATACCCTTTGTGCATCATGATATCAAGATGGATGATTTTTTCATTAGCCAGATGCACCTTCTGAATTCTCACCCTTGCTTCTTCAGTAGCTCCAGGCAAACAACCATCTGGCTAAGTCTTAACTTTCTTGTCCAGAAAACAAATATGACTATTAATCTTCTAAGGGAGAAAAAGACAAAATATGAGTGAAAAATCACCCCAAATGGATTCATACCACTATCTAAATAAATGGAGCCAAGTCAAGGTAGGAATCCTCATTTCAGAGTCTTTTAAAATGGAGGGGAAGAGGACACAGATGAACATTTATTGAGTGCCCTCTTTAGAAATCAGCTGGTGCCTCTAAAACACTTAGCACAGTACCTAGTAAGTAGAAAGTACTTAACAAGTTGTAGCTCTTTGCTTGTCCTTCATACATTCACTGGCCTAAGTGCATTCACATATATGCTGTTACTTTAGAGGCACAAAGCAGAGTGGCTAAAAGCACAGACTTTGGAGCCTTCTGAAAGGTTTAAATCCTAGTTCTAATATACTTTTTAATTCTGTGACTTTAGGCAACATATCATTCCACTTTGCCTCGTATGTGTCATCTATAAAATGGGGATAATATCCTAGGAAGGAGACATCATTATCTTTATTTAGCAATAAATGAAGCTAATATTGACACATCATTCCCATATGTGACCAATATCTAAAATCTCTCCCCTGTGTGAGTAGCAAAAGTCTGCAATGAAGTTTTGTGGGTGGGAGATGTAGAGGGAAGATTTTAAACATCAAGAGCAACACTGATTTGCACAAACCTGTGTAGATCTTCCTCTTCTGCATCCATAAAGTTTGCTGTGTATTTGACTGTTCCAGCCATCAAAATCCTAACATCAAATGTGTCCTTAGGGGGAAAAATCAAAGATGTTACCTTTCTGCCAAGATAAACTGAGCTCAAGGAAATTTGAAGTTTAGCTTTTCTCCTGTAATTTTAAGTCATCAGTAGTTGGGATTTAGAAAGCATGAGCTTAATGAGAATACTGTTAACAATAAAAACGTTTATGAGTACCTACTATGTTAAGCACTGAGTGCTTTTCGTGCTTTACTAAGTGCTAAGGGCTTTACTAGGATATATCATTTACTCTATAAAAAATCTCTGGAGCAGGCATTTGGGGTGTGTGTGTGTGTGTGTGTGTGTGTGTGTGTGTTTTCTGACTATCCAGAATTTGTTTAGCAGTGCGGATTCATCTCTTCTCCACATTCTGTCCAAAAAGTTCCATGTGAACTTAGTCTACCCTCAGTAACAGGTGTGGCATATGACCCCAGATTGGCAAGTCAGAGCACTACTTTTCCCCTGAAGACAGTGATTGATCCGTAGATGAGCACATAATCCAAGGTACGATAACCTCACTGAACTACCTAAACTAAATCTGGAGCTCTTTGCTTAAGTTATTAGGAAAAGGCAGGCTTTCCTGTGGAATTTACAGTCGTAAGAATCAGAGGCTGGAGTTTCTGTAGCCATCTTGCTACCATGAAGGGAAAGCCTGTCTAGGAAAAGAGTTAAATCAGAGGAAGTGGAGATAAGTGACAAGGATAGAAAAATCATGTCCTGGTGACATTTTTGGAGCCCCTGCAACAGGTGCCAGAAGCAAACTCTGTCTCCAGGCTTTGTAATTTTTGAAAGACAGTCATTCAATTTTAGCTTAAGCCAATTTGATTTTTCTCCCACTTACAACTGAAAGAATTTCAGATGATGCAAACTTAAAGTTTTCCAAGGTTATACAGCAAAATGGGGCCATGGCTGAAATTTAAATCTGATTAACGGCAAAGCTCCTGTTCTAAGCTGTTATATAATGCTTGCTCTTCTATTATGTTTTGGGCCATGAGAATGAATGGGAGGATGTGAATTACTGAACAAATGTAAGGGCTGAGTTGTGTATGGGGTGGGTCAGGGCAGTGGGGAACTAGAAGTTACTTACTGAAAGGTAGTTTAAAAATTCCCTTGCTTTCAATAGTATCATTGTCTGATGATTTTCTTAATTGATGGAGGAGATTAGAGCTGGAAGACTTGAAAACATAGTGCTCTAGGGAACTCTTTCTCCTATTCTGTGATGGCTTAGCACAGAAGCTGGCAGCACAGTGCATACCAGTGAATGAGCGAGTGAATGAATGAATCAATATATAAACATGGGAGAAAGCCTGCAAAGAGAGCACACTTACTACTATTGGCTGCCTGAAGTATTCATCCACTGTAGCACCCTGGAGACTGGACAGATTGACCCCATAGAAACATTGCTGGTACCTAAAATAGCACAAAAAATCACCATGCATCTTGTCTGTCATCTGAGTCCCCAGGCCCCCCATAGCTGTTATGTGCTTCGAGGCTGCCTCATGGGTGCTCTGCGTTAGCCCTAGGGAGAATGTTTGCACATGTGAAGGGCAGCTGGTCTATAGGGTGTGGCAGGAAATTCTCTCTAGAAAATTTGCAGACCTGTATTTGACCTGGGGTGGGGAGAGAAAGAAGGGGAAATGAAGTTGAGTTGAAATAAATTGGGCTCACCCCTGTAATCCCAGCACTTTGGGAGGTTGTGGCGGGAGGAACACTTGAGCTCAGGAGTTCGAGAACAGCCTAGGCAACATGCTGAAACCTCATCTCTACTAAAATTACAAAAATTAGCCATGCGTGGTGGCAGGCACTTATAGTCCCAGCTACTTGGGAGGCTGAGGCAGGAGAATTGCTTGAACCTGGGAGGCAGAGGTTGTAGTGAGCCAAGATCATGCCACTGCACTCCAGCACGGGTGACAGAGTGAGACCTTGTCTCTAAATAAGTAAATAAATAAATAAACTTGCAAGGAGATTATCAAGAATGATATTTGCTGGCAGGAAGGCCTTTGAGCTCCTACCCTTGATCTCCCCTGACAGATGGCCCCCCAACTCTGTGCTGTTCTGTGCTGTCCAAGTGCTGAAATGCAGTTTCCTTGGTCCTCCCACTTTCCCAACCAAGAGCACGACTTTAGATCTCCAAAGCCGCTTGACCCTCCTGCTGTTTGAGAAAATAGATTTTCCTTCTCTGTTCTTCCCTAGCCACTGGCTGGTGCCTTCATGATGGCATTTGTTGTGATACCTGACACCAGGCAGCAAGTCACAAGTGAGCAGAGGATGTATCAGGTGGTGATCTGGAGCCAGCTCATAACAGCTTTTCAGAGCGCACTGTGCACATTTCTTCCCAATTCTATGGTCAGTGACATCTGAACCATAGAAACTGACAAACATTACAAATCATGTCTCCACCCCTCCCCCCACCCGGAGAGCCAGATATAACGTGTTTACCAGCACACACTGGCTCTGTTTTATTAGGCTGTTGCAAAAGTGATTGTGGTTTTTGCCATTAAAAGTAATAGCAAAAACCGCAATTGCTTTTGCACCAACCTAATACCTTTATGTATCCACTGCAATATAGACTGTGCCTGGAGCATAGCAGGTATTTCGTATCAGCTTGGCTAATGGCCTTGAAAATTTAGAAAAGCAATCTAGGCTATGAAATCATTCTAGTTCTGCCACTGACTAGCCGTGTGATTCAGACAAGTCATTTGAACTCTGTGCCCCAGTTTCCTTATCTCTAAAATGGACATAGTTATAAGCTTGCCTTACAGGGTTCTTATGAGGGTTAAGTGAGTTAATTTTTAAAAAGCAATTTGAATGATTCCTGGCATTTTGTTACTACTAGATAAGTGTTAGCTAGTATGCCCTGAATGTAACCTTCTCACATCAGCACTGGGCACTAGGGAAGTGCTGTCCAATCTGACTGTGCTAAGGGTTTACTTGGGGGAAACTGTTAAGAATTCAGATTCCCAGGCCCATACTCCAGAAAGGCTTGGCAACCTTATCACTAGAGGTTGAAAGCCTGTATCCCTCATTAAGATTCCCTAATAAGGGTGTGTTGTATATGTGCTATATAGTCTGTGAATCAAATGGGAACTCAATTCATCAGTCCTCACCCACCCAAACCCAATACCCACCAGCCTATAGGGAAAAAAGAAGAAAAACAAAACACAGAAACATGGAATAAACATAAAAAATTGGGGTGCAGTTAGATTTTGTTGAAAGGATCATTCAAAGTGAGGCTCTAAATCAAAAGTCAAAGCCTCAAATGCGCACACAGGCAGCAGTGAGGAGAGCAGCCTGGTGTTATCAGTCAGCAGCCAGTCCTCAACATGCAATCCAAACTTGAGCCGCATTGAACACTCACACATTCTTACAGGGATTGTACCATTTCTCACCTCTGAGCTTTTGGTTGTTTTCCCCTCTACCCGGAATGCCTCTTTTCGTTTTTTGCCCTGTTAATTCCTATTTAGTCTTTAAGACTCGGCTCACTCTTTGTCTGTTATTCATGTACAGGAATGCTTGTGATTTTTGCACATTGATTTTGTTCCTGAGACTTTGCTGAAGTTGCTTATCAGCTTAAGGAGACTTTGGGCTGAAACGATGGGGTTTTCTAAATATACAATCATGTCATCTGCAAAAAGAGACAATTTGACGTCCTCTTTTCCTAATTGAATACTCTTTATTTCTTTCTCTTGCCTGATTGCCCTGGCCAGAACTTCCAATACTATGTTGAATAGGAGTGGTGAGAAAGGGCATTCTTGTCTTGTGCCAGTTTTCAAAGGGAATGGCCCATTCGGTATGGCATTGGCTGTGGGTTTGTCATAAATCTCTCTTAATATTTTGAGATACGTTCCACCAATACAAAGTTTATTAAGAGTTTTTAGCATGAAGGGCTGTTGAATTTTGTCAAACTCCCATTCATAATTGCTACAAAGAGAATAAAATACCTAGGAATACAACTTATAAGGGATGTGAAGGACCTCTTCAAGGAGAACAACAAACCTCTGCTCAAGGAGATAAGAGAGGACACAAACAAATGGAAAAACATTCCATGCTCACGGATAGGAAAAGTCAATATCGTGAAAATGGCCATGGTGCCAAAAGTAATTTATAGACTCAGTGCTATCCCCATCAAACTACCATTGACTTTCTTCACAGAACTGGAAAAAAACTACTTTAAATTTCATATGGAACCAAAAAGGAGCCCACATAGCCAAGACAATCATAAGCAAAAAGAACAAAGCTGGGGACATCATGTTACCTGACTTCAAACTATACTACAAGGCTACAGTAACCAAAACAGCATGGTACTGGCACCAAAACAGACATATAGACCAATGGAACAGAACAGAGGCCTCAGAAATAACATCACACGTCTACAACTATCTGATCTTTGACAAACCTGACAAAAACAAGCAATGGGGAAAGGATTCCCTATTTAATAAATGTTGAGAAAACTGGCTAGCCATATGCATAAAGCTGAAACTGGATCCCTTCCTTACACCTTACGTGAAAATTAACTCAAGATGGATTAAAGACTTAAACATAAGACCTAAAACCATAACAATCCTAGAAGAAAACCTAGGCAATACCATTCAGGACATAAGCATGGGCAAAGACTTCATGACTAAAACACCAAAAGCAATTGCAACAAAAGTCAAAATTGACAAATGGGATCTAATTAAACTAAAGAGCTTCTGCACAGCAAATGAAACTATCATCAGAGTGAACAGGCTACCTACAGAATGGAAGAAAATTTTTGCAATCTATCCATCTGACAAAGGGCTAATATTCAGAATCTACAAAGAACTTAAATAAATTTACAAGAAAAAAAAAACAACCCCATCAAAAAGTGGGTGAAGGATCTGAACAGACACTTCTCAAAAGAAGACATTTATGCAGCCAACAAACATATGAAAAAAAGCTCATCATCACTGGTCACTAGAGAAATGCAAATCAATAACACAATGAGATACTATCTCATGCCAGTTAGAATGGTGATCATTAAAAAGTCAGGAAACAACAGATGATGGAGAGGATGTGGAGAAACAGAAATGCTTTTACACTATTGGTGGGAGTGTAAATTGGTTCAAACATTGTGGAAGACAGTATTGTGATTCCTCAAGGATCTAGAACTACAAATACCATTTGACCCAGCAATCCCATTACTGGGTATATACCCAAAAGATTATAAACCATTCTACTCTAAAGACACGTGCACATGCATGTTTATTGTGGCACTGTTCACAACAGCAAAGACTTGGAACTGACCCAAATGCCCATCAATGATAGACTAGATAAAGAAAATGTGACACATATACACCATGGAATACTATGCATCCATAAAAAAGGATGAATTCATGTCCTTTGCAGGGACATGGATGAAGCTGGAAACCATCATTCTCAGCAAACTAACACAAGAACAGAAAACAAAACACCGCATGTTCTCATAAGTGCGAGCTGGACAATGAGAACACATGGACACAGGGAGGAGAACATCACACACAGGAGCCTGTCAGGGAGTGGGAGGTAGGGGGAGGGATAGCATTAGGAGAAATATCTAATGTAGATGATGGGGGTTGATGGGTGCAGCAAATCACCATGGCACATGTATACCTATGTAACAAACCTGCATGTTCTGCACATGTACCTCAGAACTTAAAGTATAATAATAATAAAAAAAGACTGTGCTCAAATATGTCCATTTAAGAATGCAAAACCTTGTGTTACGATTAAGTATCTATGCTTCATTCACTTAAAAGCAGAAGAATTTTCTTATTCATCAGTGTATACTTAACACTTAGCATGGGGCCAGGAATATTGTTAGGGTGAAAAAGATCTGTCTACATTTATTTATTTAATGAATAAATTAATCAGTGAGGGAACTGGAGGGCTTGGTACTCTAAAGGGCCCTATATGTGGGTGCAGGCATCAACAACAACGAAGAGGAAATGGGAAAAGTCATTTGTCCATGTTTCTTCAGCTTCATCACTCAATTCCTAATCTTCTGCTTCTACCAAGGGCCAGAGCCAAGATATCTCACTGGTAAAGCCAAATAGTGCTTCACATCATTTTATTAATACATATATTGAAAACAAGCCTCTATAATCCTAGAAAATGTTTGGAAATAGAACACTGTAGATTTAAATGGCTTTTTTTTTTAAACAGTTAGAATGAGAATGGGAGTGTTTTGGGGAAATAATCATGTCACAACAGCCTATTATTAGGTTAATGCAAAAGGAGTTGCAGTTTTTGCCATTACTTTTGCACCAAACTTACATTTGAAGGAGGGAGGGAGAAAAGGAGAAATGAAGGAAAGAATGAAGGGAGGAGAGGGAGGGGGAAAAGGAGGGAGAAACCGAAAGAAAATTTTTCACTAGCTGAGAAAACTATGGTTTTTAGAATTTATTGGAAAATTTTTAAAAAGGGCTGATGCCTCTGAATTGTGATGCATTTGATCTAGGGATAACCCCAGTGCCTGTTTATTTCCACAGCTAAACAGGTGATTCTAAAGTGCAACCAGGGTTGGGTACTAAGTTAGTTGTTCTAGATTCTTGGCCAAGTAGATTCTTGGCCCAAAAGATTCTTGGCCATAAAGAAAACCCCAAGGGCAAAGATAGTCCTCCACGTGGCATGACTGAGTTGAAAACTTCTCTCTATCCACTGAAAACCACCTCAGCTCTCAAAGAGGATGGTGCGTCTGTGCCATTTGCTTTGCATGTTCAGTACCAATTAAAACCCAGCAGCCACAAACAGTGTGGTGCAGATGGGCACCATTTCTGGGGCAGATGGAAAGCTGTGGGCAAAGAGCCCACCGCCTGGGTTTTTAAAAAATTTCTGGCTGGACCATATTTCATATTTCTAATTCTTAGAAATTTTAAATATCCTTCTGCAATGCATCATAAAATAATTAAAGCAGATAAAATCTGGCATCTCTCTGGGTCTCCTGAGATACATTGTGTGTGTCAGGGGGTTGGGGAGATTGATCAGGCAACTAATCTGTTGAATGGGGAGCTAGGGATAGTTTCCATTGTTTTCATCAGCTGTGGCTTCTATTTTCTAAGTTAATTTAGGGTGTCTTTATGAGCACATAAGAGAAAGAGTCTGGGTGTTTTTTCTCCTGAGCTCATATTCCCGTTTCCTACCATTCTTCACGTGGGAAATCCTTCACATTTACCAACACTACAAGTATAATGCATGCAACATCTGGAAAGGCCTGAAAATACAGTTCATATAAATCGGACACTTTAAGAAGAATCTTTTGTCTTTATCCTATTCTGACAAAAAAAATGCTACTCATCCCCATTAAGAAGTTTTCTTCCTTTGAAAAAAGAGAAGAAGGAAGGTAGAAAGATAAATGAGAGAGAGAGAGAGAGAAGTGGGATGGTGTTGGGGGTGCGGAATCCAGGTTGTGCTGTTTGACAGTTAAGCAACTTTTGTGTCTTAATGTGCTGTGCTCTACCAGAATTAACAGCCAAGGGGACACTAACCTGATGGGAGACATATGTAACTCCAGGAACGAGGAAACAAAAGCAAGGATTCAAAAATGTCGCTATAGCCACAAAGGATGTTGAGAATGTGGCATAACAGTACTGTTGGTAGTTGCTAGCAGGAGAAGGGTGTGTGTCTAGGAATAAATTGAATCTTTGATTTCTTATATGTTCCTTATATACAGCAGGACTTGAGGCTTGCTTGTTTTTGACAAATTTCTTTTAAAATTAAATTCTATGTGGTTATTTTATGTGTTAATTGTAGCAAAAACACTTATAAAATCTACTCTCTTACCAAATCTTTGAGTTAGGGTACATTATTTTTGACTATAGATACAATGTTGTACAGCAGAGCTCTACTTATTTATCTTGCTTGACTAAAACTTTATGCTCATTGAATAGTAATGCTCCATGTTTCCCCCAGCTGCTGGTAATCACCATTCCACTCTTTGAGTCTATAAACTTGACTATTTTAAATACCTCATACACATGGGATCAAGCAGTAGTTGTCTTTCTGCGACTGGCTTATTTCATTTAGCATAACGTCCTCAAGGTTCATCTATATTATCACACATTGCAGACATGTTGTCACGTTCTGCCTTCTGTTTTTAATATTTGACAATGCTTCCTGTATGATTGTATTTTTTAATTTTCATTTTAGGTTTGGAGGTACATATGAATGTTCGTTACATAGGTAGACTCAAGTCGTGTTTGTTGTCCAGATTATTTGATCACTTGTGAATTAAGTGCAGTAGCCAATAGTTATCTTTTCTGCTCCTCTCCCCACAGCCCTCCACCCTCAAGTAGACCCCAGTGTCGGTCGTTTCCTTCTTTGTGTTCATCAGTTCTCATCATTTAGCTCCCACTTATAAGTGAGAACATGCAGTATTTGGTTTCCTGTTCCTGCATTAGTTTACTAAGGATAATACCCTCTAGCTCCATCCATATTCCCACAAAACACATGACCTCATTCTTTTTCACGGCTGCATCTGCCTTCTTTTTAAGGCAAAATATATTCTACTGTATGTATATACCACATTTTTTAAATCCATTCATCTGTTGATGGACACTTAGATTGTTTCCATATCTTGGCAATTGTGAATAGCGCTACAATGAATATAGGAGTACTAACATCTATTAAAGATCCTGATTTCAATTCTTTTAGATAAATACCCCAAAGTGGGATTGCTGAATCATATGGTAGTTTTATTTTTAAATTTTTGAATAACCTACATATACTTTTTCACAGCAGCTGTATAATTTTTCATTCCTGTTAACAATGTACGAGGGTTCCAATTTCTCCACATACTCACCAACACTTGTCTTATTTTTTTCAATAATAGCCATCCTGAAAGGTGTGAGCTGATCCCTCACTGTAATTTTGATTTGATACAATTTTCCACCCCAGCAGAATGCAGGCATATCAACCACTGTGGAAAGTGGTATCTGTGCAAAGATGCATGCTCGTTATGTCTCTGATTTTACTGGTTTAAACACCAGCAAAGTAGCGTGGCTTGTATTTTCCTTACGCTATGGTTAGATATTTTTCGTATTTGTAATAGTTTTTTTTTTGCTTTTTTAAGTATAAATGAGAGGGGAAACAGGTGCACTTCAGACCATGGTTCTTTGGCAAAAAGTAAGGGAAAGTCTGTGATTCTGTAAAGAAATCTGTGGAGCATTCCCACGTGTGTCAAGCTAAGACTAGATATTATAGTGGTTGGCCTAAGAATTGGACCTGTGAAAGCCATATCGGAGGGAAGAGTGAATCAGTCAAGGCGACTATGATGGCTATCTCATGTCTGTTCTACCTGGTGAATGGCTGCCTTTACAGTAACAGCACCAGATTTTCTTCTGTGAGGCATCTCTTTCTTACTCACAGTTCTTGTGGTTTAGGTGGTCTTGACTATGCTTTCGACATGCGGCTCAGTCTCAGCCAATAACAGCGTCTTATCACCCTAGCCTTGGTGACAGACTTAGGGTTAAGCACGTGACCCGGTGAGAGTCAAGCCTATGACTTTTGTTTAAACTGTGGCAAAGGAGAAGTGGGGATGGAGCTATGAGTCTATAAATCTGGATTCTCTAGAAAACACATTGCTGCCATGAGGGAAAAGCTACCTAAGAATGGAGCCAAGCTGAGTGATAGAAAGAGACCAGAATCCAATATAAGTGCCTTGAAATCCATTTGTGTCTGAGAAGCTGAATCTGTCCTTAGACTTTTCAGATACATTAGTCAGAAATATTCTTTTTTCTTAAGCGACTTTTTGTGGGACTTTTGGCCACTTAAAACAAAAACGTCTTAATTGAAAAAAATTAATGGGTCTTTAGGTACTGTACTATATACACATAATTCTGAGAGAATAGCTTTGCCTGGTTCAGTGAAGTCCTAATTCTACCAGGACTGAACTAAATTTTGTAACACATAATTGGGCCAGGGGATGGGAATACTGCATATCCCTGACAACACAAGTCAGGATATGTAGAAGAGGCATGAGCTTGATAGAGGCAGAATATTATAAAAGAGCCATGAGTTTGACAAACGTTATGAAACAAGATAAATACAGAAATCAAGGCTTATCCTAAGAGCATAAGCCAGATGAGTTCAAGAGCTGCAGATATAAACAGAGATACAGAGGATATATCAAGAATGAGTACTAGGTAATTGAAAGAGGATTAGAGACTAAGAAATCACTGAAATATGAATGGGATAAGGACAGGGGCACATGAAAATACTGACAGGATTTTTTGGTTATGGTAATATTCCTACATAAGTTCTTTCTCTGTGATGCTTTGCGCTGTTTACTTGGCTTCTGAAAAAAATTTGGTTATCTCGTATGCTAATTTGAAATATTTTTATTTGATCTACATAGTATTTCTATGAACTAGTGACCATCAGGGTCAAATATACTTTTGGGAATGACCAGAAGGCCTAAAACTCTAATTATGCAAAAGAAACTTTAGTGGGAAATTTAGGTTAGTGCATAATTAGGCTAGGAACAAATCGTTCATTAACTTCACAGTAGAATTCAGCAGCTTGTCCACTCAGTAGAATGGATTTCTTTACAAATAATGTTTCTCAGTAGTACCATGGGCAACAAGGTATTTAGTGGACTCAGAGTAGAAAGGAGCAAAAAGGGAGCTCTCATTGCCTATGGCAATATTCTACCTACATTTATCTTCCCTCATCCTTTGCAAGCACAGACCTCCGATTTCTGTAAAAAACAATTGACTACAGGCCATTCACCGCTGGGATCCCTGATATCACTCAATTGGCTCTGCTCTGGTCAAGCATGATAGATGCATACTATCCATGCATAATACTCTGACAAGGGAACTGGAAAATATCGTTTGGTGCCTTAGGTGGTATATCACCTTTTAAGTGCCATCCCAGATCTTTCTTACCTGTCTCTGGAATCCTCAGCCACGTGTTCTGCACCAGCTATGCCAAAGGATGGGCTCCTCTGACCTCACATGGGCACGGTGCCACAATGTCTCACCCCAGGCCTGCACAGTGTGCCTCTCTCCTCCTGCCCTGGGGCATCCCTGTTAACTTTGGGTATGAGACGCCATAAGACCCAGAAGGGCTAGTTAATGTTGGCAGGATGGGTATTTGATAAATGAGGAGATAAAAGCCAGTGTATAAATTCGTTTATCTGCCGTATAAACTGTCCTGGATGTAGTTCATTTGATCTTTTGAAGATGGTCCTGAGAGAGCCAGCAATCCCGTTTAATACTACCTGATGGTCAGCATGGTAACGATGGCAGCGGCAGCCTGTGCGAAGCAGCCGCTGCCATGACGCCGGCTGCAGTGGGGTACAGGAGTAGGTCGCGGGTCCTCAGGTACAGACTCTGAGGTGTGCAGCCCCTGGAGCCTGCACCTAGGAGCGCCCCCGGAACCTGCTGCCCTGAGAACTCACCCCTGGGAGCCCCGGGAATAGGGCTGGGCCCAGCCACCCCCTGGAGGGAGAGTAGGGAGGTGAGGCACAGAAAATGGGCAGAGAGGGTCCCCAAGACAGAACTGGGCCCAGGGCGGTGCCGCGCTTGCACGCGGAGCATGGGGGCCGGGCCCGAGACATGGAACTGGGGCCCCGCTTCAGGGGCCCAGGGCAAGAAGTGGGAGCGGCACCCACTTCGAGGACCTGCCCAGTGGCATGACCACTGCGCCCAACCCGCCGATGGCGCCAAGTTCCTGCGCCTCAGGAAGAGGCTCCGTATGGGGCCGCCTGAGGCCGTATCCCCAGGACCTGCCCCACATTAAGGTGACCGCTAAGCCAGACAATCCTGATGGTGAGGCCCCGTGCCTGCCATCTGCTCCTGGAGACGCCCCCCAACCCCAGGCATGGCCGTCAGCCGGCGAGGCGGTACTGAGGCAGGGGGCGCGTCCTGGTCATTGGAGAGTTTCAGCCCAGTGGGTGAACCAGACACACTGTTCAAGGGGGCAGCGGTTAGTAAGCAGGACGAGGGGGAGCCCCAGGCCGCAGGGAGAACTCGTGACAACGTCACCCCTGCCCCAGTCGTAGGCCCGGGCCCAGTGAGGACATGAAGCCCCCGCCTCAGGCTGCAAGGAGGCGCCACCAGGGCTGCAAGCTCCACGGAGCTGGTGGGACCTGGAGACAGGCGAGAACCCCGCCCCTTCCAATTTGGAGCAAGAGCTTCTAGGGTGCAGCTGCAGCCGCTGCAGGGTGGCTGCAGACCCAGGCATCTCTGCGCTCTTGGGGGCCCAGGAGGATCCGCTTGCCCCCAGCAGGCTGGGAAGTTCCTGCTGCTGCTGCCTGGCCTCTCCCTGCTGTTGGTGTCCACTTTGATCTTGGAGCTAAGTTGGGGCCGAGTCCAGGCGGTGTTGCAGTCTGGATAGGTGTGCACACGATTGCGGCAGTGTTAACACACCAGCCCCCTGCCACCTCGACCTCCTCTAGACTTTGGGCTCTGACAAACATGAAAGGGAGGCTTAGGGGTGGCTGAGGACAGCCCAGCACTGGCCTGCAGGCGCCCCTTGGCATGAAGGCATGGACAGTGGCTGGAGGCAGACAGGCTCCTGGGCAGAAGGGGACGGGTCCCTGGTGAAGCCTCACCTTCAAGCCAGGGAGGGCCTGAAACCTGAGGGCTGGGCCGCCAGTCACCCTGACCTGAGGGGAACTTGTGGTGCCTTCCCCTGGGTGGGCCCATAGCCACCTGTGGACCAATCAGCACGCACTTCCTCCCCTTTGAGTCCCGTAAAAACCTGGGATTCAGCCAGACTCAAAGGGAGGACGGAGAGACAACTGGATGAACAGCTGCAGAGAGGAGCTACCCTCTCTGCTAAGAGCTTAACCCTCTTCCGGACACCCTGGCTACAGAGAGGAGCTACCCACTGTGGGTCTCCTCTGAGCTGTTCTTTTGCTCAATAAAGCTCCTCTTCGTTTTGCTCACCCTCCACTTGTCTGAATACCTCATTCTTCCTGTATGCAGGACAAGAACTCAGGACTCGCCATCCAGGGCTAAAAGAGCCGTGATACAAACATGGCTGAAACACACCCTTTGCTCTCCATTTTGCAGGCAAAAAGAAGAGGAGGGCTGCAGCCCTTCGGGGATCCCAGACCTGGGAGCTCCTTGAGCCAGGTCTGTGACTCTCTCTTTGGGGCCCTGCAGTTCCTGGAAGGCTCTAAGCTTCTGGGCACTACTGTGTTCCCCAGTGCCAGCCGTGGAAGCTGACTGTAGTGCACCTGGTCCAGCTGTGGCCTTGCAGGGAGCCGGTGCCAGTGCTGGCACCTGGAGCTGCCTGTCCGGCAGCAGCAGTTGGCATGCCTGGCTATGCGCAGAGACCAGACCCCATGCTTGCTCACACACCCCTTGCCACTCCGCACCTGGCTTGCCCTTGGCATCCTGGGATCCAGGCTGGTAGTGTGAGCCGAATGCAGCCTGCCAGGCTGAGTAGGCAGAACCAAGCTAAACTCAGTCAAAGGTGCCACTGGCCACAGAGGTTTCTGGCTGGCGAAGCAACACCCCAAAGATCTCATAATTATAATGCACATTTGCACCAGCACTCCCCTCATTCCCTGCCTCATTCTTCTTTCTCCCAATTCTTGTTTCACTAGAAATACACTTCTTAATAAAGTTGTAGTATATAAGCTTCACCTATATACACTGTTGCCCAGGCTGGAGTGCAGTGGTGCCATCTCGGCTCACTTCAACCTCCGTCTCCCAGGTTCAAGTGATTCTCTCTGCCTCAGCCTCCCAAGTAGCTGGTACTAGAGGTGCCTGCCACCACACCCAGCTAATTTTTGTTAGTAGAGACAGGGTTTCACCACGTTGGCCAGCCTGGTCTCAAACTCCTGAGAGCCACCCACCTTGGCCTCCCAAAGTGCTGGGATTACAGGCGTGAGCCATTGCACCGAGCCTTTCATCACAATTTCTAATGGTCTTGCTGATGGTTAATTAGGATGCAGTAAAGGTAGAAGGTGAAACATTGGGCTTTATGGCAACTGTGTGCTTGAAATTTTGGAGCAATGATAATTCCATGAATTGAGGAGCAGGCAAGCCTCTGTTGACAGCATTGCAAGCTTTGCAAAAAGAAAGTTTTAATCTCAGAGCAGCCAACTCCCAACTCAAGACACACTGTGAAATCCAGAGGGGCTTTCTAGCAGATATAAAGAAATTCCTATCTCTTTGGTGCTCCAAGGCCTGCTGTGCTGAAAATCATGTATAGAATTTGACAAGTAGAAGCCACATCTTTGGAACTGAAACTGTCCCATCCCCCTACTCCAAATAAGAGAGTAAAACGGTAATAGTGGAAGAGCTGCAGAGGAGATTGGATATGCACTCTTGACAGGTCTTATGTATTAAAATTGTGGCCCCGACAGGGAAAGGGTATGGCCCTGAGACCTGGGGTTGGGATAATAGGGTGGGCAAAGCAGAGAAGCCTGAAATCTTTCCAATTCCCCTGAATCTTTCAAGCCAGCAGAGGCAGAATTCTTTCCCGCTTTGCCAGAGGAAAACAGCCTTGCTTAAAGACTATGCAACAACTTCTCCAAGAGCCTGTGCCTTGAAAGATGATTTTATTCTCTTCAACATCTGCCTCATGATCACTCATTGCCTTCAGGCTAATAGTTCCTCATAGCTGTCAGGCCAATAACTCAAGCACAGCCAGAGCAGTAAACACAATTCCCATTCCAGAAGGAGATAATTTACATACCTAAAAAACTGCAGAAGCCAGATAATATTTTCTGCTAAGAACTAGGAAATATTGTATTAGATTAGATTTTAAGTCCATAAAGAGGGCAGGATGTAAGTGAGGAGAGAGTGCAACTCATTGAAATGGCGCACTCATAGTTTCAGTGTTCTAACAAGACACCAGAAGCCAGTCCTAATAATCCACTGGATGTCACTTTAAAGCTTGGTCATCATGATGGCCTGCAGTCAATGAGGTGGAGATTTCAGAACTTCTGCTGCATTGAGGAAGGAGTCAGAAGGCTCAGGGACATGGAAATTCTAGATGGATTGACTATGGAATACCTAAGAACATTCAACCTGACTATTTTCTCGGAGCACAGGAAACTTTCCTTTTACAAGGTAATAGGGAAAAAACTGATTAGGTAACAGTGGCATCTTTGAGAGCCTTAGAGTAGTTGTCCTTGGTAGATGAAAGATGGTGGTAGGTGATGTAGCCATTAAATTGTGCTCTGAATGAACACATTTTGGAGGACATTTCAGAATGTCAGAGCAGGAAAGCAGTAATTATCTGGCCTAGGCAATAATGGCATAATTACTGTGTAAAAAGCTAGGGTAGAGTAGCAATCGGACACCTTGACCTATAAGAACCTTTGGTGTTAATAGATCCTAGTGTTACTAGAGAGGTAAAATAGATGGAAAGTCAGCTAGGATAGTGCTCAATTTGTATAACAAAAAATGGCTAGCTCATGAGCAGAAGAATGATGTCAGCTGTCACAATGGAAATATTAAGTCCCTCACCCAGATTCCAGATCCAAGTGGTCCAGACTTAAGTAGAGTCCCAGTCCTCTTGAGGAAGGACCCTCACTGCCACCACAAGCACACACAGAAAACATTCCCCACTCCTTCTCCAGAGAGACCAGGGTTTCTATGACAAAGCAACCGTGGTGAAGGAAGGATACCTCGATTTTTTGAGAAATGTTAGATGAGAAGTTTGAGCTGATATTGATACAAAAAAAATCTAGAATGTCTCTGGTTAGTGAAGGCTGTGGAGGATAGGTAATAAGTGGAGTTTTGGACCAAGTCCATCTCACAGTGTATCCACTTGTTTCATGCAAACCCTATGATTATTTTCCTGGTCCCTGAATATGTAATTGGGAAAGATATATTCAGCATCTGGAAGAACCCTACACCATGGGTAACCTGGCCCATGAAGAAAGGGCTTTTATGGTAGAAAAGTACAAGCAGAGGACCCATCCCTGAAATTTCATCATCTCCAGGTAGGTAAAATTATCTTCTTCAATTTATGGATTGAAATTAATCTCAGGGAGATTAAATTAACTTGGCTAAGGCTTTGCAGTTGGTAATTGACAGAACCAAGATTTAAACATAGTTCCATCTGGATCTAGAGTCTGAATCATCTGGCTTTTAACTACTACCTATTTTGTTTATGCTTTTATGTTCTATAACTGTAATAAATGTAAAAAAACAGTCTAGTTTAGTCTCAAGCTTCTTGACAATATTTGGCACACCTCTTAATTGATCCTATGTATATATTTTTCTTCATATGAGAATCCATTTAAAATTGTATCTACAGGCTTTGGTGTAAAACCCCTGAGCCAATTATTTTCAGTAATGCCAGAGGTACCCAACATATTAAGAAGAATTACATTTGGGAATGATGATTCTTTATGATGGGCCTTACTCTCAGGAGATAATTCTCATCACCTTGATTAATGGGGCCCAAGGAATCATCATATAAAAGATAATTAATATTTTTATAGGTGACTGCTACTAGCATCAGAATGTAATAATTTGGTCTACTAAGAGAGAGCCTCATAATTGGTTATTTGGAAAGGATAAAGTTATATAGTTATTGCAGACTGTGTACTAAGATGAATTTCAGAGTTAAATGCAAATTTTAAAAAATGTTACATGGAAAAGTAAAAACTTTAAAAAAGGAAGTTAATACCCAATTCATGGGGAGGGGGACAGGGAGCTAAAAAATTACAAAGGAAAATAAAGAAACAAGAAAATACAATTACTGGTAGATCCAGCTACATAAAAAGTTTAAGTTGTTTTGTGGTCAAAACTATCACAAATAAAATCACAAAGCAAGCTGGAAATTCTGAAGAAAATACGACAGTCTTAATGTCCTTAATATAGACAGAATTTTTACAAATCAATGCATTTGTCTTCTAATCATCAAAAATGTCTGCAGCAACTACTGTTAACCAGGTTGGATGATGGGGCTACAGAAGTAAATGAAGCAGCCACACTTAGGGAACTTGTAGTCTCATGGGGGAGATAGACAATAAATAAGTAAAAACATATAATATGGTATATGGTGATACGTGGTATAAAGAAAAATGAATTGAGAAGTGTGGTACAGGCTTGCAGGAGGAAAGAGACTGCAGTTTGTAATTAATAGAAGGTTTCTCTGGGACGGTGGCATGTGAGCAAAGACCTGCAGGAGGTGAGAAAAGTCACCGGATTGTCTGTGTCTTGGGCAGAGCGAATGTCAGGGAGGCAGGAGCATGCCTGATTTGTTCCAGGGAAAGCAAGGAGGCCAGCCATTGAGGCCAGAGGGGAGACAGAGTGAGAGAGGAAGTAGTAGGAGACAGAGTCAGAGGGGTAGCAAGGTAGGAACTAGATCATGTGTGGTCTTCCCAACCATTATGAGAACTTTGGCTTTCACTATGCAGAAACAGGGAAGCCACTAGAAGACTTTACACAGTGAAATAATATAATCTGAATTATGTTTCATCAAGAGCGTGGTTGTTGTTTAAAAAGAGGATTTAAGTTAGAAGGCTATTGCCAAGACTGTAGTAGACACAGGGGTGTTTTGTTTTGCAAAGGTGGGCAGTGGGGAGATGGTGAGGATCAGTAGCTTGCATTTAAGCATGTTAATTTTGAGATGCCCAATAGACATCCAAGTGGAGTTGTCAACAGCCAGTTGGACATCCAAGTCTGTGGTTCTGGGCAGAGGTCTGGGCTGGAGTTCTAACTATGTGAGTTGTAGACAGAAAGATGGTATTTATAGCCAAGAGACAGAATGAGATCAAGTAAGACAGTGAGTGTTGACAGAAAGGGGAAGACATGTAAGAAAGAAACCTGGAGTCACTCCAATGTTAAAGATTTGGGCCATGAGGAAGAATCAGCAAAGGAGACTGAGAAGTAGGAGCCAGAAAGGTAGGAGAAAAACCAGGTTCAGGCTTGAGAAGCGGAGCAAAGAGAGTCAACTGTGTCAAGTGCAAATAATAGGAAAATCAGGTGAGGACTGAAAACTGACTGCATCTGATGATCTGGTTTAGCCAGTTGGTTGCTCCTTAATCTCTCAGCTGAGAGATCTCACCCAGACTTATTTTTCGCACCACTCCTCACCCCGCTCCCAGCGTACATATCCACTTCTTTGCTTCTTCTGACAGAAATCACGCAAGCATTCACCACCTGTTTCCTGGATCAAAGCAGCAAGATACTCAAATGCCAGTCATCTAATGCAGAAACCTCACAAAGGGAGAGGAATTAGAAGGAAAGCAAAGGCTGTGAATTTTGATAACTATATATTTTTTAAAATATTTTTCTGTTTGTTGACTAAAAATAATCGTTCAAATGCACCAGCTATCAAAGAAATACAGATTAAAAATAAACTGGCCACCATTTTTTTTGCAAATCAAATTGGCATTTTAAAAAGCATATCCCGTATGGGCAAGAGTTAGCAGACATTCCCAAATACCACTGGTGGAAGTGTTAATTGGTAAAACTTTTCTAGAGGGCAATTTGGCAATATATAAGAATAATTTTTTATAAGTTGCTTCTTCACATTTTTTGGTCCAGTAATTCTGCTTTTAGCAATTTATCATACGGAAATAATCAGAATGTACACCAAAATTTATATGAAAGGAGGTTCACTTTAGTGTTGTGTCTTATAGAATTTAGGATATAGAATTCTATAGGATTCTATATTCTTACAGAATATTGAAACCTTGCTGTGGTTTGTTATAGAATCTATAGGACTAAAATAGCAATTCAAATAATTTAATATTCAACATTGAAACTTGAGTTAATAAATTATGAGTAACAAAATACTCTTCAGCCAAAAGTATGTAAATGATATGAGAACATGTCAACAAAGTATTGTGAAAGTAAAAAAACAAAACAAAACAAAACCAAGCTATAAAATGGTACTTATGATTCTGTTTTTGTAAAGAAAGGAGAGAAAAACCGGAAATATATCACCTACAATCTTAATAATTATTTTCATGCATGTTTGGGCATACTGAAGTTTTTATTCATTCAGAAACATTTACTGAGAGCCTACCCTGTGGCAGGCACTGTTCTGGGTGCTTGGGATACATCAGTGGAAACTGACAGCACTGCTGACCTTGCAGTGCTTACATTTTATCAAGAGGGATACAGACCATAGATAATAATAGGAAGGGGTTATATATCTTTTAGGATGCTGTAAGTGTTCGAGGAAAAACACAGAATTGAAAAAGAAGGGTTGGGCATGGTATGGGTACAATTTAAAATAGGATGGTCAGGGTAGATCTCATTGAGAAGGTGGCATTTGACAAAGACTTCATGGAGTTAAAAGAATTGACCATGTGAACATTGAGGAAAAAGTATTCAAAGTAAAAAAAAAAAACAAAAAAAACTGCAAATGCGAAGGCCCTAACTTAGGAGCATGCCTGATGTGTCTGAGGATCAGCACACAGGCCTGTGCAGCAGGAGCCAAATGAACATGGTAGTAGGAAATGAGACTAGAGAGTACCTAGGAGCCAGACTATGAAGAAGCTCCTGCGAGGCTTTGGCTCTGTTGAGAAGAGACAGGTAAGAAGCTATTGCAGTAATCTAGATGAGAGATGATGGTGTTGAGAAAACGAGGAAACAGAGAATATAATAAAAATTGGTGTGATTCTGGATACATTTTGAAAATAGAACCAATATAATTACTTGACGGTTTGGATTCAGGAGATAAAGAAAGAGAGGCCTTCAAAATTCTTGGCTTGAATGATGGAGAGGATAAAGTTGTTATCAACTGAGACAGAAAAACTGTGAGTACAGTAGGTTTTGGGTAGACATTGGGAGATCAGAAGTTGAATTTTGCACACAGTAAATTTCTGCAAGGGGGGAAACATCCAGGAGGCAATTGGCTAGGAAAATACAAAGTTTGGAGGATACGTCTGCACTGGAGAGGGACACTTGGGAACCATTAGTCTATGGATGGTATTTGTAGTTATGAGAATGGGTGAGCTCACCAAGTGAGCCTGCACAGAGAAAAGATCCAAACACTGCGTCTTGGGGCACTCCAACATCAGGGTCTTATGGAGACAAGTAACAGCGAAGGGATAGCTGGTTGAGAAAGTTCCAGCAAGGGAGGAGAAAAATCAAAAGATCATGGGGCAAAAAGAGTGTTTCAAATGATGCCGGTAAGTTAAATAAGTTGAGAAGTGACAGTTGATCACTGGAATTAGCAATGTGGAGGTCAGGGCACTGGTGACCTCGAAAAGAGTGGTTTTGGAGAAATGGCTCCAGTGAGAAACAGAAGGGGGGAGTTGGACACTGAGTATAGACAACTCTTTTGAGGAATTTTGCTGAAAGGGGCTTAGAGAATTGGCCATGGCTGACTGGGAAAGCGACATCTAGAGAAGATTATGTTTTCGTTTTTGTTTCTGTTTTTCATTTTTAGATGCAATAAATAGCAGCATGTTGGTACGTGGTGGAAATCTGAGCCAAACCACTGTGATCATTAATATCCTCAAGTTAGTAAGATGGCAGCAGATGGTATGGTTGGAAGGTCACGCAAGGACTGCCTGGACAACAAACCACTAGTTTGTTGGTCTGGTCTATTCTGCTACTTAAAATTCGTAACCCTTTCATCTCTGCATTTCCTCAGGAGGTCATAATTCAAATGTAATCATTTAGGGTCAGCATAATCTCACAGAACAATGATTATTAAGGTAAAAGCTCCCCCACCGTCCCCCTGCCCCAACTGACACATATATACACCAAGAAGCCATTCACCCCCACGGGAAAGCCTGTGGCTTAGAATCTCAGAATTGTAGATTCAACAAAACCACAAAATGCCCTGAATCTGTGCTAGGAAAGTCTACTTTGCCAAAAAAAAAATGGAAAGAAAAATCAGCCATTTGACCCCACTCCTCAAAGAGTTTAGTAGCCCAGGAAACCAAAGTACCTCCTATTTGCTGTCCCTTCTCTAGGATTACAAAGAGAAAAACCCAGAAATCAACTTTGGACCTCTTTGTATTATAAGGCCCTGTATACCTCAGACCAAAGTCAAACCTTAAATTTGAGGATCCTGACCCCCCTGCAGGCCATGCCTGTGCTCCCACACATGTAACATTCCAACAAGGATGAGATCTGCTCTCTTTCTCCCTCCCATTCTCGTTCCTTCCTTCTTCTTGTAAAAACCAGTTCTCAGAAAGGAATCCCAGAAACAATGGTGGTTTAAAACTGGCAGGAGCTTTTGTATCAGTTCCCATTCTACACATAAAGAAATTCAATCTCAGACGGGTGAGGTGGGTGTAAAAGCCAACCGCCAATTAAAACTCAAAAAGGGTTTGATCAACTCATTTATCAGGTGTACTGATTGATATGTTCTCTGACAAGGTCAAGTCCTAACAGAAGCCATTGCCCTGAGTCAAAGAAGTGGATGGTGAAAAATGGGAAGAGAGCAACAGCAGGCAGGGGAGGATATTGTTTTAGCAGCAGGATAGCTTTCCGGATGTTTGATGTTGCATGAACGGCTCCTTGATTCACCTGTCTCTGATTTATGAGTAGTGGTCTCAACTGGGGGTGATTTTGACCTGCAAGGGGACATTTGGCAATGTCTGGAGAGCGTTTGTGGTTGTCATAACTCTGGGGGGAAGATGATATCTAGTAGGTAGAGACCAGGGATACTGCTAAACATTCTACAGTGTACGGGATAGGTGCCTCACTGCCGCCGCCTCCCCTCTCCCCACCAAACAAGAGGCATATGACCCCAATTAGCAATAGTTTTAAAAACTGGTTTACTTTGAAGGGAAAGGAAGGGAGGAGAAAAGAACATTACCAAAAATTGGCTCTGGAGAAGTGTTCCACGTAGAGCTGTTCATCAGAAAAAGGGGCCAAGTGGATGTCGCTGAATGTCGGGAACATCATTCCTAATGAGCAAAACACAACAGACCCAGAAGTCAGTTTCTATTGCTTTCTGATTGAAGGCTATACTCACCTGCCACCTGAGAGCAATTCCATTCTTTTGCTTCAGTTATGACATGACAGCATAAAATATAATTTTGTCTCAATGCAAGTATAAAAAATTAGGCAGAAGAGTAGAGGGGCTATAGAAAAGAATATCAAAGCAAGTCAGAAAGCAATACAATGATAAAAGCTTGTAGAGACTTAGGCAAGCCGTTTAACCTGGCAGTTGCCTTCTCAGCTACTGGCTTTTTTTTTCCTTTCTGTATGTCCTATGAATTCTGGATATGTTTATTTATTTATTTAATCTCTTATTTATTGTAACAATAATTTAGCTTTAAAAATAATCACAATCCCATCCTTCCATCACATTATTATTCTCATTCTCAGACTTTGTCCATGTAGAATCAGATCGACCACCTGTCTTCTTAGGTGCTGTTGGGATTTATGTTTTTATGGATGCTCACCAATCTTTATGCTGGGAAATACACATTTGTGCTTATTTCTTGGCATCCACAATCACCACAGGAAAGGTAGATTCTTCAGTGGGCAAATGAGCACCTAGATTGGCATGCCTGAAGTCGGGCCTTTCTGAGTAGGCAGACCTGATGATCAGCATTGTTACTCTTGCAATTTTAGGGAAAATCTTTTTATAGCCATTTATTAAATTGCACATGAAAGAAAGAGGAACTATTAACTATATTTCAGAAATAAGGCTGACTTAAGACACCAGAGATGTTGTCATAAAAACAACAATAATAGCTAAAATTTCTCAGTTATGATAACCCTGTCATGTACTTTTCCAAGGGCTTCCCATGCATTAATTTATGTAATTCTCATACTAAGATAAAGTGGGTTCTATTATTATGTGCATTTTATAAACAAGAAAACAGAGAAATTTACATTACTTGGTCACGATCACAGAGCTAACAAATAGCGGAGCAAAATCCAGGGAGTGGAATCTCATCTGATAGTCAGTGCCCCATCCTGAAACTATGTGGCTTTCCATATCTGTTAAAACAGATTATTTTACTTGGGGTATTTTCAGAAGTGGTCAGGGGCAAAGCATGATCATAACCTCATTAATATGTCCCCATCTAAATCTCAGGCATTGGTATCAAAACAATAATGATTGCTTAGTGGTTTTTCAATTTCGAGATGATAGAAGGATATTAAATAACCTCAGAGAAGTAATATGTATCTCTGCTTGTGTAAACTTGGGAAGATTTAGAGGATGATGTTATGAGCCTCAACCTAATAGGAATTCTAAGAATGTCAGATAAAATGGAGGGGAGAAAATCAAATGTAAAATATTTTGAAAATTCTGAGAGCAGAAGAAAATCAGACTCCTGATTAAACATGTTCACTGAATTTCCAGCACAAGAACTGAAAAAAGATTCTCATTAGAACACTAGAAATAAAGAGAAGATACTAAAAGCATCTAGAGGGGAAAACTTTGTTACTCTAAAGGAGCAGGAGTCAGAATGGCATTGGAATTCTCAATAGCAAGATTTGCAGACAGAAACAAAACACAAAAACCAAAACACCAAGCTTTAAAAATATTGAGTAAAAATTGTTTTTAAGTTATATTCTTGACCAAATAATAATACAAGGGCTCGATAAAAAGTAACTTCTCAAGCTCCTTTTCTGCAGAAGCTGGTAGAGAATATCCTTTGCCGAAATGATGTCGTAAACCAACAAAGAGGAAGACAAAAGGATGATGATAGAAAGTCAATGTATGACAGTCATGAGATGGGGCTGGAGAACACTCAGTTCATGTTGCTAGGGAAGGCCAGAGGACTACTGAATAGAGGGGAGCAACAGAGGAACACATATTGATTGGCATCTGTCAGATCTACTGGAGCGTAGAAACATTTAGCCACAAATATATAAAAGCTAAGCTAATGAAAGAAACCAAGACAATTAACTCCAGGAAAAACAAAAGACTATATGAGAAAACATACATAAGCATAGAGCATCTACTATACCAACTGACTCAGAGTTCAACAATAGTTACATTACATCATAACACTGGAAACGCTGATTCTTAATTTAACCAAATAATGATCTAGGCCTATATTTCTTTATGCTAAATTCTGAGATCTGAAAAGCAACAGGTTTTTATAAGTTTGCAGCAGCATCATTTCATGGCAAAACCTGACCTGAACTGACAGGACAGTTTATTTGTAGTCTTTATTTATTCCACTTTGTATCAATATTCTTATGTTTTGTTGCAGCAATATAATGTCTTTCATTACAGAGTGTTGCCTCAGATCCCACTGGGGAGAATTAAGTAATGCATGGTAGGTGATATTAACTTTCCAAAGTCCTTCTTCTGAATTCTGAAACATATCTGGCACCAAGGGTTGGGATAAAGGAACTGAGGACCTATCTAAATATACTGAGAGAATGGGGGTGGGGTAGGTGCATCAGGAAGGAAGGAGCTGCTATTCAGGAAAGCTAAATTCTCAAGCAGAGAGTGACGAGAATAGCAATGTAATCATCTTAGACAGGAATATGTAGGTAAATAATAGAAGAAACAACAGATAGAGTTGAAAGCAGTTGCCTTTGGGGAGCAGTCTGATGATAGAAGGAGGCGTGGCAGAAGGCTACTATTTTTCATTATAAGCCTTTTTATTATTAATTGATGTTTTAAACTATGTCTTATTTTGATGGAATATATAAATAATTAGAAAAAAATCAATCACCCTTCCCTGAGGAATACATAGCCTAGAAAGCCAATAAAATCAGTATTCATTTCTACTTGCCTAAAGATATATAGCCCAGTATAAAATGTCATATTCATTTCAAATACCCGGGGAGAAAAGATACCTAGATATTATCTAAATACTCAGTTTAAGAGGGGCTCAGGTGATGCACGTGAATTAACTACATTACAAATCTCATCATACAGAAGCACCTAACCATCTGAAAATGTCCAGGAAAAAAACATACAAATTCTTCCTGGAGGCATTGAGGAGGAAATCCAAGCCACTTTGTACCTTCACTTTCATCTCCCACAGTTCAATTTTATCGCATACACACAAGGCTTCCAAGAGCGTCCTGAGCTGTTTTACAGCAAGATTGCTAATGAAGTTCTTGATGTTAGGTATACTTTGCCTGAGCTTATTTATTTATTTATACATGAGTTTTCTTTTAGTGCCTATTTCTGAAGTTTGAAGCATGTAGGAAATTATAAACTTCAAACTTCACTTATATGCATGTTGGTATGTATGAGTTGCATGGTTGTTCACTATTTCGTTTTCATTGAATATCAAGGTACGGAGCTACAACATTGGTAATTTAAGTAAATACAACTGGGGAAGGAGCTGAAATTCTCATGAGATGCAACTTAAAATTGGCAAGTTATCTGCCATGCTTTAATTGAAAACACCTGCTGTTGGAATGTGCCAACTTTCTCTGGTGAAGAGTGGAAAGCTAGTGTGTGTGCCCAAGTTATGAGTGTAGGCTTCAGTGTCAGATGGATGTAGGCTGAAATTCTTGGCCTGCCAATTGTTAGATGTTTGTTCTCGCCATGTTACTTTTCCTCATTGAGTCTCAGTTTTCTCTTTATAAAATGGGATGATAACAACGTCCCCCGCTAACCCAGATCTCAATCGTATACCATTGACATTTTGGGCTAGATAATTCTTTGATGTAAGGGACTGCCTTGTGCATCGAAGGATGCTTCACAGCATCTTTGCCCCTATTCACTAGATGCTAGGATCCCAGCCCCTGCTGCCATTGTGACAACCAAAATGTCTCCAGACATTGTCAAATGTCCCTGGGGAAGGTTGCAAAATTAGCTTCAAGGATAACCCCTCAAATAAATTGAAAACCTTCATCATTCAGACTTTATAAGGATTTTATAAAATAATTTATTCAAATTGCTTAGCACATGCAGTCACTTGGAAAGCACAAAAAGCATATTAGATTTAATATTATCTTGACTATGTGTAGTGATCATAGACAGAGAGAGAAATACAGTAGGGAAAAAATATACCAAAAAGAACAAGCAGACCCCAGACAGTTCCTCAATTACAGAAGGCCAACACTTGAAAGGACATTGGAGATTATGTGTAATAATGTCATTATACAGATGAGGAAACCAAGGCCAAAAGGTCAAGTGTTAGCCCAAGTTAATTAAGGAATGAAGGGATTGAACTAGGACAAAAAACACAGAACTCAGACCTGGCTCTCTACACCATGTTGAATACTGTGCAGCATACCTGTGTTCTTACGATTGGAGATGAGTTAATTTGTTATGGAAGAATGAGATGAGAAAAACAAATAATTGAGTATAACAGAAATGCTCTCTCCTTCTTTCTGTACAGAACCAGATGTAGGGGACAGAGAGTGGCAAAATTTTACAGAGAAGTTAGACTGTTTTTTAAACCAAGAATGGGCCAACTTACCATTTGATTTTAGCCATTTTTTGGAATGAAGATAACTCTCTAGCATCCGTTCATTGAACAGCATGTATCCCATTGGTTCGGAAATGATCACATCTACAGCCTCAGGAAGTGAGACGTCTTCAGTTTTTCCTGGCAAAACAATGATCTTGTCTGAAAGGTGATTGTTTTTCACTAGCATCTGAAAAAGATAAAATGGGGTGCCAGAACTGTTGTTATTCAGGATCTTATGAAAAATGAGTTTTATCGATTAAGGGCTGAGAATGTGACAGGAAGGAGAAAGAAGTAACATTTGTTTCTAGAAACACTTCTAAAGAAAAAGAACTTATTTGTCTTACTACACAAAAATTGCATGTTTAATGTAGATAATTTTGGAAAAGATACAGATATAAAACACCTACAATCCTATTGCATAGAAATAATAACTATTAATATTTTGCTGCATTCTCTTCTAGACTCTTTACACAAACATACACATATATGTGTATGTATGCCAGTATGTGTGGTCTGTGTGTGAGTGTATACATATAAATATATATTTGGGGGGATTTTTTAAATTCATGGCTTCAGTTTATTTCCCATTGTTCTACTTGCAATAGAGATGCCAAACAACTCTGTACAATAATCTTCTACAGATTAATGATCTTTTTTATTTTTCTTGGTTTTGAGATAGGGTCTCAGTTTGTAGCCTAGACTGGAGTGCAGTGGTGTGATCATGGCTCACTGCAGTCTCAACCTCCTGAGCTCGAGTGATCCTGCCACCTCAGCCTCCCAAAGTGCTGGGATTACAGGTGTGAGCCACTGCACGCAGGCCAATGATCTTGATCCTTATTAAATTTTTCCTTGGTCTTTTGATGTCAAAAATAAATACCATGATTACTGACCTTTCTTTAGGAATACATTTTTACAGTCATGTATTAATTTTTTGATGTCCTTGATATTTTATTTAATAAATTTAAACTCTTTTAAAAGAGGCACCCTGAAGAGAAATACATTTATTATGTTTCTAATGTATTTCTTCTGAATGCCAAATATGACAGGGTGATTGAATTATTATATTTATGTCTTTCTACTGCCTGAAAACATATTTTCTAGTAAACATCTTATATTTGCCAGCATAAATATATAAACAACTCAGAGAGTTGTTCCTCTCTGAGACTTGTAGATCTTTGCTCATTGTATTTACAGCCTGTCTGAGTCCTTCCATTTTGTACTGTTGTAGCTTAATCCCTTTACCCATCCTAAGTGCAATGTACTATGCACTTGTTATAATTCAGTGGCACCTTCTTAATTTCTGATCACTTCTTCAAATGGCTAGGATACCTTTCACATTAATCCTATCTTCTAGGGTGCTGCTCACCAACAAATCCCCTGTGAGCATACAAAATGTCTTTCTTACTTTGTTTTTTAAAATCAAGTAATCTCTGATCTATGGAGGAATAACGAAGAAAACTATTTGAACATGTCATCCATTGTCAGTATTCATCCATGGCCAGCGACTCTTGGAATGCTATTCTATCATCATTCCACACATAGAAGTCAAGTCCCTGGGAGTTCTGCAGAGACAAAGACTAAAGGTTCGAGCTTTTGGTGTCCTGCTTTTCTCTCTACACTCTTCCCAGGAGAATCAATTCTCCTGCACAGCTCTGACTGTGGCTCCATTGTGAATGACTATCCAGATTGCATCTTTTGTTTCGTCCTCTCAGCTGAGTTTCAACAATAACTTGGACATTTTCACCAGTGAGTTTTGCACCTCCTAAATAACAAGTAAACAGCAAAACTCAGCCGCTTCTTGAACATGAATCATTCCCTGAGTTTGCCCTTAAAACCTTTGTAAAATACTGCATTTCCATGATTCTGTTTTGGTCATTAATACCACAATCCCCAGTGTCCTGGAGGTGTACTTAGTTCCCACAGGTAATTAGTTATTATATTTTCTTATTTCTACCTTTCAGATATATTTTGTTTCTACCTTCTTCTGCCAGCATCAACTTGTCCAGTTCCTACTAGCTTCAAATATGGACTTAAAAAATGACATTTATGTAATGAAAACAATGATGGCCGTGACTACTTCATAGGTTTGAGGATCAAACCAAATAAAATATATTAAGAGCTATGTAAGCATTAAAATTATTATTATATTATTCTTATTAAATAATACTTTTGGCCAGGTGTGGTGGCTTACACCTGTAATCCCAGCACTTTGGGAAGCTGAGGTGGGCAGATCACTTGAGGTCAGGAGTTTGAGACTAGCCTGGCTAACATGGTGAAACTCGATTCTACTAAATATACAAAAAAAGTTAGTCGGACGTGGTGGAGTACGCCTGTAATCAGCTACTCAGGAGGCTGAGGTGGGATGGTCCCTTGAACTCAGGGGAGGGAGGTTGTAGTGAGCTGAGATCTTGCCACTGCACTCCAGCCTAGGTGACAGAGTGAGACTCTGTCAAGAAAAAAAAAACGTTTTTACTTAAAAAGAGAAATGTAAATTAACAAATAAACAAAAACATAAAAATTACTAGTATTCCAGATATAGGCAAGGTATGTTTTCAATCAGACATTGGAGTATATCTCAAAACTCAATGTAATAATACTTTATAATTTTTTCCCAGCAATATGTTTTAGATCAGTTTTCTGAACATTTTTACATTATGGCACACATTTTTAAAACCAAATAATTTTACGGTACACTTGGGTGAAAGAAGAGCCTGCTTGCATTTTGAGACATTTGAGTGGGGGACTCTGGCCACACTAGACCCTGACTACCTGCCATGAGGGCAAAGGACATCAAAATTTCAATACCTAGCAAAGTTGTTGGGAAGCTCTGTTCTAGACATCTTTCCATGAGTGGTTCTGTAACATACATTTATTGGCTATATAGTATTTAATAGATGTATATTGATTTGTTTGGTATCTCCTATTATTGGATACTCAGGTTATTTCAAATTTCTATTAAAATAGTGCATTGACAAATACTAGTGCAATTAAATCTGAAAATACACTTTCTGCTATTTCCTTCAAAGTTAAAGGGCATGAAGCTGGTAAGGGTTTTTGATATACACTGCCCCACTGCTTACCAGAAAGGTGGTCCCTTTTCTAAATTTCAAGCCCTCTCTAAATTCTGCTTATGGGGTCTGAGGCTGTCCAGATAACCTCAGGATAAGAAATTGCCTCTTGCCACAGACTTGTCAACTTGGAACAGGACGCTGGAAGGGGAGTTGCTCTCTAAGTGTTGCTGGAGGGCACAACATAATAAGACATTCAGGTGAATATCTGTGATGTAGGCCTTATATGCAGAATTTAGAGAGGACATCCCTAGACTCTTGAATCTTTAGGGAGAGCAGAGATGTAATAAGGTTTCAGAGAGAGGATTTCAGGAGCTGTCAGAAGTGCAATTTTGGGTCCACAGGAAATAATTTTAGGTCTCATTATTCTCACTGGCAAAGAAGGACACATCACATGCCTGGAAGGGAGCAAATAGGCCTGCCTTCAGGTCATTGCATCTTGTGACTTAATCTATTTTTGATCAGTTTCACACAAGATCAGGAATCTGAAGATACAAATTTTAGTTCTACCTTTATCACCAAAGAGCTATGTGACCTTGGGGAAGTCACTTAAAGCCTCTAAAATTTAGTTTCCCTTCTTGTAAAATTAGGGTTTAAAACTGGAGTTGTTTTGAGGCATGCTCTAGTTTGAATATTTTATAATTAGAAGAAAGCAAAATTTCTTGAAATATGTTCCAGGAGTCCATGAATACAAGGGCTTCATGATCAAATAACTTAGAATTTCTTTGTAATATACATCCCTCTTACAAATTCAGAGTACATCAGCATATTAATAGCTTTGAGAAATTCTACAGAAGAGAAAACTCTTGGCTTGGTTAAATTAAAAACACCCAAACTTATTTGAATACTTTGCAGGTATTTTTTCCCCACCAGATATATATGCATCTCTTTAGATCAATCTTTAGGAAACAATGAAAATAATTATTTGATTATCCTAGGTTTGATTAAATTCCTTGACAAAGATATTTGAAAATAAGACATAAACTCAACCAGCAATTGATCTAATACAGAAGGGCAGCTAAGTCTAGATGCATGACTGTTCTTTGAGTCAGTCTTGCTGTCTCCCCTCATCTTTGGTTTACAACATTCTCAGTATAGATTATCTTCGGGTAGCCTGTCATTTCATACGCCATTCTTCTAAAACTGTAACTCAAGAGAGAGATCCTTTCCAGGAATAAATGAACTTCACTATGCCCCTCCAAGTGCTAGAAAAGTCCCCTAACACAGGGCAAAGTTCTACCATCCACCACATTAATTGCTGCACACGTTTACCCTGTGTGACCTGGTTTTTTTCTAAGAGCTCAGGATGGAGGGATATTCCAAATAAAGGCTCTTCTCAGACATCATCGAGGCCCAAGCAAACGCACATCATATTCTTGTTTTAATCCTGTTTCCTTGTGATTAAATTGGGTTTCTAAAGTCTATGTCAATAGTACTGTCACTTGTATCAGCTGCTTAAAACACACACATGCACATACACGTATGCATACACATACACGTACACATACACACACACACTTCAGGTGGTAGCAGCAGAATTCATCCTTTTAGGTACAGGGGTAAGTTCCAAGAGAGATCAGGGCAGTAATTCCACCTGATATGCTGCTGTTCTTGTCTCATTTAGAAGGGTTTTCAATAACTTACATGTACTATAGATGGTTGTTTACTTATTCCTGTTCAGTTTAGAAGCTGAATTAGTCTTAGAGGCTGTACTACACAATATAGCACGTAATTATAGTCTGTCTCAAAGCATGAAAAGAAGCAAGCATTTTGGAGGTGAAGGCCTCGGTTGCTAGTTTAGATTCTCCATTTACTAGCTGTGGCCTGTGGCCAAGATGCATAATTTCCTTGGAGTCCATTACTTTACCTATAAAATGGGAATCATAATAGTACCTATTCTTCAGTGTTATTTCAAGGATCAAATCAAATGAGAAAGTGCAAAGGAATACATAAGTCAAAGAATATAGATGAAATAAAACAAGAATTTCAAGAAAAGATGATAAAGCAATAGAACTCAGATTAAAAGGAAGATTTGACTCAAGGAAACAAATCAAGAAGCAAAGTGACATAATAAAAGAATAATAGCCATCAACCAGGTAGAGAATATATTACGTTCAAATATATGTAACTATTTTAGAAAATCACTTGGCATTATTGTCAAGTTAAAGATGTACTTATAATTTGGAAATACCACCCCCCAGAAGCATACATTCTAGAAAAAATTTGAACATGTGTACTATATAATATATAATATATATAATATTGATAATAATAAAATGTTGAAACAAACTAGAAGTCATTAATAGGGAAATGAATGCATAAATGATACTGTATCCATCCTATGAATATTATTTTTAACTTATTTTTTGAAAATTAGAGATGGGGTCTTGTTATGTTGCTCAGGCTAGTCTTGAACTCCTGGCCTCAAATAATCCTCTCACCTCAGCCTCCCAAAGTGTTGGGATTACAGGCATGAACCACACACCCTGTCTATGAATAGTATTTAACAGTGATAAAGAAATAACTAAAGGCACATGTATTAATATAAATAAATTTCACAAGCAGAATTTTAAGGAGAAGAAAGACAGGTTGCTGAAGAATATATAGTGTGATTTATTTTATAAAAATGGTCAAACGTATTCAAAAGTAAACTGTATTAATTAGGGTATAATTTTTTAAAACTCTTATGCTATAGATAAAACTTAAGATGTTAGTAACTTTGGGGAATAAACAGAGGAGCACGGAATCTAGGAGAGGTATTCATATATAGGAATTTTAATATATAGTAATATTATTCTAGTTCTTAGGCTGGGTTGTAGAGATATGGGAGTTCATTTAGTTATTACTCTTTGTTCCTTATATTTAGACTCACTTCCTCTGTGTATGTATGAATACTTGAAAATTTTAAACTATGCTGTTAGTAGAAAAGTTTGAGATAATCATAAGGAGTGCAGATTTTAAAAAAGCAAACTGATTTCTGTAACAAGAAATTAACAGACAACATGTAGATTAAAATGAGGTAGCATAAAGTTAATGTCTCAGAATGACAGAAAAATAGAATAGAAAAATAACTTGATATATTAAAAGAAAGTTTTATTAAAATAAAAAAGCGATTTGCTGATAGACAAAATACATAAGGGCCATAAGAACATTTCCTACAGTAATGTTCCTATGCATTATGAAAATATATTCTGCTAAAGATTTTGGGTTTAAAGAATAAAGAATTAATTCCTTGAGCACCCAGGCAGAAAAATAAATCACCTAAAAACTGAAAGAAAATCAGGCTGTCATTAGCCTCTTCTATGAAGGCAATAAAACAACGTTTACAATATTTAGAAAAAACAAAAGTGTGGCCAAAAGATTAAATCCAGAGAAGGTGTTATTCACCTATAAAGATAATAAATGGACATTGTCAACATGAAAGAACTCAGGACATGTAGCACACATGAGACCTCCTTTAAAAAATGCTGAACCAAAGTGGCAACAAAATCTACATAAATAAGAGATGAATCTAAAGAAATTAGTAATAAAGAAGCTATAATTTAAAAACCAATGGTTATAAATTAACCTATCAAATTATAGAACAAATACTAAACAATTACATGGAGTTTTGTTATATTTGGTCATATTTCAATGGGAATTACCTTACACTTTGACAATATAAAAATGATATATAGCTAACAAAAGGGAGAGGAGGAAGGGAAATATATGAGAGTGTTCATGACTTCATCTCTTTCATAGAAAATAACATTTTTATCATAAAGTAGAAAAAATAATTCAAATTCCCTAATGTTTTCCATAACTTTAGAGGAATCCTTTAGAAAGTGATTTCTTTTATGGTGAAGAAGCATTTGTTTAAAGTTTAGCAATTTCTCTTCTTTTATCTCAGTTTCTTTTCCTTCTGTTAAATTTCCTACAAGTACTTTTCTCTATCTGTTCTTCTCTATATTTGCATTAGAAATGTCTGCAGTGCTGTTCACCAATATTAATAATGATTATTATGGTTGGTTTACATTTTTTGTTCTTTATTAAATTTCTGAATTGCTTACTTTCTTTATAATAAGATATTATTTTATGAAAATAGCAAATTTATTTTTCTTTAAAAAATATTAGTAAAAGCAGAGGTCTAAGCAAATGTATCTACCTCCTCTCTTTTCTTATATTGCCCAGCAATGTAGGAAATGTTATAAATCAGAAGAAAACCTTAATATGCATGTATATTTAAAAAGCTAGCATAGGAGGAGAAATTTTGAGGGAACTCTAAAAGACAGAAAGCAGACTGAATTGGATTGATGGAAAAAACCAGAACATATTATTCTGAACTCCTAAATATCAGAGCTAAGAAAGATTCCCTGTAAAGGAGTTTGGGAGTAAAATGGAAATTTTGAATCATCAAATTCCAGGAGCAGAAGAAACCCCCAGGACTATCATTGGAGCTGGCATGTTCCAGTTCCCTCACCTTGGGTCTTTGGAGTATGTGAGGCTGATATCACTGGGTTTTGTCCCCTGGCTAAAGCTCTTGGCACTGTTTTTTTGATGAAATGCCTTAGAAGAGATCTTAGGATACTGAAGCCAGAAACGTTAACAGAGTAGAGCTTGGGGTAACTTTAGAGTCTAGTTTCAGACTCTGAGAGAAGAAAACTATCAAACAGCACCACCTAAAGTTTCAGTCCTGTGAACAAAACTCTTATTTGGTGAATTGTCAAAGCTTAAGGCTAAGACACTAATAGAGAAGGTAAATTTGAGAAAATCTGAGAATGTAGCAACCAAAACCGTAAAAGAAACAGTCAAGTTGACATGTACATAATAGATAAATAAATAATATTAAACAATTCCCAGAAATCAAGAAAGATACTCGTCTTTAGATGGAAAGGGCCCACTAAATATGAAGCAGAGAGGATAAAGTTCCTTAGTCCACATCTAAATACATCACGGCAACACTGGACAACCCTAGAGATAAAGAGAAAAGTCCTTAAATCTTACATGGTTAAAAAAAAGTTACACTAAGCTTTGGGTGAACTAAAATCACACTAATCCCAGAAATCTCATCAGCATCTCAGGATATTAGCAGATAATGAAGCAACTTCTGAAGGAAAACGATTTTGAGGCTTGAATTGTATACCCAGTCAAAAACTTGTAAATCATAAGGGAATATAAAACATTTTCACACATGAAAAACCTCAAAGATTTTAAAATCATATAAGACAAATGACAACATACAAGGAAAAATATAAGGAAAAGAGAAATATAAAAGAAACAGTGGCAACCAGACTATGAAGGGAAAGAAGGGACGCAATCTGACAGGGAAAAGTTTTATCTGTTTTTGATATATAGAACATTTTTTTTCTTTTTTTTGAGAGAGTCCCACTCTGTCACCCAGGCTGGAGTGCAGTGGCGCAATATCGGCTTACTGCAGCCTCTGCCTCCTGGTTTCAAGCGATTCTCCTGCCTCAGCCTCCGAGTACTTGGGTAACAGGCGTGCATCACCACACCCAGCTAATTTTTATATTTTTAGTAGAGATGGGGTTTCATCTTGTTGGCCAGGCTAGTCTCGAACTCCTGACCTCAGATGACCCACCTGCCTCAGCCTCCCAAAATGCTGGGATTACAGGCATGAGCCACCGCACCCAGCCCTAGAACATTCCTCTTGGAGTGGCAAGAGTTCAGTGACAAAGGATCCCATTTCCTTTTCTATGGGTCCAAGGAATCAACTTCATTCCATAGTGAAGAGTATTTATATAATCATTATACTTAATATGACTTTTTAGGGGCTTAGATTTTCAGAAGCAATCTATAGACAAAGCATCAAAGACAGTGATGTATTCCATATCTTGACAACCTAGAAATAATATAACCAAACAAAATTGGGAGTCACACCAGAAGAGGGAAGTTTATCTTTTGGGAGTCAACAATATATCCAAAGTTGGTAATTCAGAAAACAGAAATACATACATTATGACATAAAGTCATAGTAATCAATGGAAGAACTAAAAAGACATAAGCTCAGAATGGTTAACGCTGGAGAATGTGGACAGGCAGGAGTGGGGTAGGTGGGGGACGATTTATTTTTAAATTTTAGACCTTCCTATGTTGTTTGATTCTCTTCCCCATGTACGGGTGTTTACTTTCATTTAAAAGAAAAAAGTCAGAAGCTCCCCAAACAACAGAATACCTAACCAATCCTTTTATTCTCTCCTTTCAAATCCCACTCCTTAATAGGCAATTCTGAACATCTGCTTGAACATTTATAAAAAGCAACATTAACTTTACTGTCAAAAAAACTCAACAGCTTTATTTTAGTTAAACAGAATGCTTAAGCTGAAGCTCTTTCCTAACTAACTGTTCCGACGTTGTCATTTTATAAATCAGGAAACTGAGTCCTAGAGAGGTCAGTGTTCAAAACAAGGAAATACTATAGGCAGTGGCAGACTTGAAGGAAAGTGACTATCATCAGTGTTTACATCAGTTGAGCTCATGACTATTAACTGGCAACAGTAACATTATGGCTTGGCTCCTTTCTGAGAAAGGTCGAAGGAAGAAATAGATGTGGTCGTGGTCGCTGTCTCTCTCTTTCCTTTCTCTCCCTCAGTGTACACCTGCCTCCTGCCTGGAATTCAGGGGAATTGCTCAGCACTGCGCAAGATGCCTCTTGGCCCACTGGTTCTTAATTATCAGTGTGCAGAAGGCAGAGCCCTCCGAAATCTGCTGCCAGGAAAGAGTAAATGAATCCCTGGAGGAAGCAGCCTGAGATCTGACTGTAAAAAAACAAAACAAAACAAAACAAAACAAAAAAACCTTTGCAAATGAGAATTAGTAGGCAGGGCAATGAGGACAACACACAGACAGAGGATGACAGATGAGAGAGTGGAAGGGAGGGGAAGAGAGGCAAAGACAGAAACATCCTTCCCTGTTTGTCTTTGAGCCGATTTAAGGGCAGAATTTGAGGAGTCCAGAAGGCTTCCCTGTACTGAGCAAGTTGATGCCTCTTTATCACTGCAGAAACTCTAAAGGTGACAGAGGGAAGTCATGTGAAGCTTTTAAGAGGGAAATGCTGCCAAACCCATAGTTTGGCTGTCAGCAAAAAACCACACTGGCAATTTTAATGCAATAGTGTTTTTCCTCTGATGATGCTACAAACTGCTCAACAATTGGGGAAGAACAAGGAGGCAGACAAGCTGTCCAGGCTTGGAAAGGATGTTTTGAACAAGTTATAATGTAAGACCTAAAAAATACATAATGTGCATAGAAGCAATTCACAGGGTTGGGTGGAGTGCACATTTGTAGGTTATATTGGACAGCATATTTGCCCTCTACTGGAAGGTAAGTTTTCCCCTGTATACGGTAAGTATCTGACAGCAGGAACCATGCCTACTTTGTCCATCTAGCAGAGTCTCTGGCACATTGAAGGCATCCAACATACATTTGCTAATTACTTCACGAAAGATGACATGACAGCCACTGGAATCCAATTTTCCATCTTAGTTTGGAAAGTTATTACCAACACACTAGGACAGTTCAAAGAGAAAAGATCATTCTTTGACCTTCCCTCTCTCTCTGCTGGACATCTAGTAGTGAATAAATTGGAGGGTAGGTAGGAAAAAGGAATCTCTGAGATATTCTTTACATCCCCCTAAACACTGGTATATCAGGCAATGGGGAGAAGATAATCTAGGTTCACTAGAAAAACTTTTAAATTATGAAAAACTTTGAACTAGACAAAAAGTTACTGAGTGTCCTTTCTAGCACACCTTTCCAGGTTATTTTTTATCTTTTGGTTCCTTCACTCTGTATGTAAAACAGATAATAGAAAGTCATTCTCATCCTTAGAAATGGAAAGAAATTGTGCCTGGTGGAATGCAATTGATTATTGCCCAATGAATAGACCAGTCTTGTATCTATTTGAAAATTCTTCCCAGCATTCCTCATTGCCTATATATCTGCATTTCATTGAATTCTCTTTTGAACATGTTTGACATCCTATTGGTTCACTCAGTTAATTAAAATATTTGACACATGTTAATTTTATGTTTGTATAAGTCATCATTTTACCTTTTAAAAATTAACTTTTAGCATTTTAATATACAATTTTTCATTTTAGTTCAGGGATTTAATTTATTCTGTTACCTCTTTATAACTCTTTTTTTCTTCCTTTTCCCTTTTGTGTGTGTGTGTGTGTGTGTGTATAGCACAGTGCAGTGGTAGAGCACTTGCTTCTAAGACGAAAGAACCTGAGTTCAAGTCTCTACTTTCACACTTCCTAGTAATCTTGGTCAAGTTAATTAACCACAGAGCCTCAGTTCCCATATATGTAAAATAGGAATAGTGCTAGTACCTACTTTATGGCTTGACCTGAGGCTTTAATGAAATAATGCATGCAAAACGATTACGCATTTTTTGTCAAATAGTAAGCACACAATAGATATGAGCTATTACTCCTTCTTTTTTCCTATGGTAGGCGAGCCAGGTTATTAGTGATCGGTTCCCAGCAGAAACGGGAGTGTGGACGTAGACTGTTGGTCAAGCCACTGGCAGCAATTCTCCTTGACCATAGGTTCTCCTTTGTACACTTTACCCAGAGTCCAAAATAATTTATACCTTGTGTGGCAGCTGCTACTAGTTGCCCATCCAACACCTATTCTTGCCTTTTATCTTATTAATAAAATGCCTATATTACTGGGGGCAAAAATGCACTAACTAAAATATTACATTCCTAGTCTCCTCTGCAGCTATCTATTTAGTCAGTTCTGGCCTTCAAGATAGCATACATTGTTGGGAAGGGCTTCCAGGAAGGTTACTTAAAAGGAGGAAAAAAAGCTAAGGGAAGACATTTTTGGGTCCTCCCTTTCTTTATCCTATTTTCCAGAACATGAATTCGTTGACTGAAGTTCCAAGAGCCATCTTGAACCTTGAGGTGACTGACCTTCAGATAAGCCATATACCGTACACCAGGAAAACATAACAGGAAGCTGGGGCTCTATGAATTTTGTGGGGCTGCCACATTGCCTTAGGCTCCCTCCTACAGATTTCTTTTGCAAGAGATAAAAAAAAAAGTCCTTGTGCATTTAAGCCAGTGTTAATTTGGGTTTTCTGTTAGATACAGCTGAACCAATGGACAGATGCTGGGTGTCTTATTTAACCAAAGGAGCCTCTTACCCATGGTAGGTAGTCATAACAGAACCATATGGTCTGAGAACTCAGAACTCAGACCGACTTTTTTTTTTTTTTTTTGGAGACACGGACTCACGCTATCACCCAGGCTGGAGTGCAGTGGCACAGTCACAGCTCACTGCAGCCTTGACCTCCTGGGGCTCAAGCCATCTTCCTGCCTCAGCCTCCCAAGTGGCTGGGATTACAGGCACACACCGCTACACCAGGCTAATTTTTGTATTTTTTGTAGAGATGGGGTCTTGCCATGTTGCCTGGACTGGTCTCAAACTCCTGTACCCAAGCAATCTTCCTGCCTTGGCCTCCCAAAGTTTTTGGGATTACAGGTGTGAGCCCCCACGCATGCCCCAATTTCTACCCTTTTGCCATCTGTAGCTGTGTTACCTTAGGGCTTCAAGAGAACGTGCAGTGCTAGAGAACTTTGTCTTAAAGAGTGGAGAGTCTCTTCTACCTACAGCCCCCTTTGACACAAATGTGTAAATTTCCCCACTGGAGATTTTTTTCCACCCAAGAGCAATTTTCAAGGGGTAGAGGACTGTGAGTAACCAGTATAACTATGGAGTTTAGAGAAATGCTAAATATTAATACATAAAAAAATTTCTGATTTGCCTCCTCTGGGCAGCTAAATCAGTATGTAATTATATAACTAGAGTTATAGTTAGGTTATGTGATTTTACAGTTATATGATATTTTAGTGGCTTTGCTTTGGATAAAATCAATAATATTAGAGTTTAGTTACATCATTATAGTTGGTAGATTTGCTTTTGGTTAAAAATCAATGATAATATTAGACTTTTACCTTTCACAAAATGTGTTCCCTTAATTATCTCATGTCTACCCCATGACACTATGGGAGATGCGTTATTATTATCTTCATTTTTTAGATAGGAAAACTGAAATTCAAATCAATTCTATTAAGGTTACTCAGTTTCTTTATAGCAATGAGTCACTTTACAAAGCTCTTGACTCAACTGGGTTTTTTTTTATAGCTAATGTGAATATAAAATTTTTACCAAAGGACTAGTTGAAGTTGGAGTTTTGATAATATAAATGACTGCTAAATTTTATGTTTGACCCTGCTAGTTTCAAACTTTTATACAAATAATAAAGTACTGGTGATAGGACCAAACAAAATGAGGAGCTTTGTTGGAAAAAAAAAAAAAACTGTATGTCTATGAAACAATTCTGACAAAGCAATATTTTGACAATTTAAATATGAAGAAATTGGGATTATCTGGATTTTATTTTCCATCAAATGTTATGTAAGTATAAAAACTGTCTTTGGTTTTTATCAAACCTCACATGTTTCATCTTCTTAAGTGATTTCTCCTCAAATGTACAATTCAGCTAATTAGCCCATCCCTGGCTTTAATGGCCACCAGTGACACGAATATCTAGAAGTCCAATCTGCAACCAGTTCTATGAAGCGTTGAGGAGGCCACAGCTAAATAAATGGAATTGCTCCTCCACAGTAAGGGCTGATAAAATGCATATACCACAAAAACATAACTAAGGCATTCTGAATTTTCTTTTCTCTAGGCCCTTCTTAAGAAAAAGAGTACCTAGTATAAGAAAGCTGCTCATGAAAAAATCATTTTTCTGAAAGGTCAAGCAAGTAGTGCTATGAATGGTTGGAAATATTCACGGTAAGAGAAAACCCACCTAAGGAAGCGTTAACTCACGTGGAACTCCATTATGAAGTAAATACCGTTAGGATTAATAGAATAAACACACTACGGCAGCAAGGCTCTAATAAGAAACTAGGTCTGAATGAAAATACACTTACTACAAGTCTCAAAAATCATGGGCTTTTAGAATCTGGATCTTGGTATGTGTCCGTCCTCCTTCTCCACGCCACCCCACTTGTGTTACAGGGATTGTTCAGCAAGACTGGAGGTTTCAGAATTTCCTCCACATCCACATCCCCTCTTGCTTCAGAGAAATATTTGGTGATGATTTGGGTAGGGTGACCCAGATCACTGCACCCTTACAAAGCATCTTTCTTCCAAGATAATCAAAACACATTGTCTTGGGTAAGTGTGCCAAAGATCATTTCATCCCTAGCCAGTTAGTCCCTTAACTGACTTGTGACCACCTCAAAGCATTTAAACAAGATCTGTACTTGAAAAGTGAGCAGCTGATGTATTTCTGACAGTCCCTTCTTCTGTTTCAGTCAGTTATCAGTGACCTTAGCCTTCCGGCTAGGATGCCTTAAGTTAAAGGGAAGGTCCAGGCATGCTTTTCACTTTTTATATTTCCTTCTATCAGTTTCTGTTTCATGCCAAGACCTCACAAAAAACACACATGCATAATGATGATGAATAGTCCTCTATCTTTCATGTAGAAATGCTTCTTTCCTGAGTCATTAAGACAATTTCTCAGAATTAAGAAATAGGGTTGACCCCACCTGTCCTTTGTTTCATTTACTTGTAAAGCAAGATCAGAGTCTCATTCAAACCTAGAGTTCAGTTTGAGACAATAAAATATAGAAAACACAGGTATTGGTACTGAGCTTCAACAGAGTAATTAAGTGGTGGGCTGTCAGAAACTAGAGTAAAAGTATTTACCCTGGAGCCAGAAGACCGAGAATCTATAGGTTTGCACAATGTTATAGAGGAAGTAAAAGCAGAGGCAGGACCTCAAAGATTGCAGTCATAGTTCAACAATCGCATTGTACAAAAAGGAAAACTGACACCTAGAGAAGTGATACATCTTATTGATTTCAAGAAACCAATGAGCAATCCGATCAAGGCTAGAAGCCAAACCCACTGTGCCCCGTGCAGCTATTTTCTCATTCCACTACTTGGACCTCCCCTATTTTTGGAACAAGAGGAGTTGCCGAATCAGGAACCAGACTGTGTCTCACATATTTGGGGAATGAACAATTGCACATCGTTTCCTTGCTCTTGCTTTAGGTAGCTTGATTCAACCACCTTTTCCATCATTAGGTACTATTCAGACCAGCTGAGGAATTCTCCTGCTGATTTGTTAGTCTCTACTGGGCTACGTTCCATGTAATTTTCAAGCAAAGGGGAGAAAAGATTTCCATCAGCTAGAAAGCTGTGTGAAGTGCAGAGGTTAAAACAACATCTCCCCTGAATAATGCATTTAAAAAGTCACCCAAAGCATGTTATTCAATCTGGCACCCAGATTTAAAGATTGCCAGATGGCCCACCCAGGCCTCTGAGGAAGAAATATCACATTGCTCTTCCCTTCTTTATCCTGCCTTGCACTGATAATATCACAATTGAGAAAGCACCACATAACTGCCGCATTCAGTTATGCCAATAACTAAAGGTAAGATGCTCAAGCTGAATTATCTCTCTATACCTGAAGACAAAACAGCATTTGTGTATGCAGTACCAAAATCCCTACACATTTTTAAGAAAGCAAGGAAACCTCAGGGAGAGACCAAGAAAGAGGAGCAGTTTCAAATTCCTCCTAGGGGAAGGCTTTGAGATCTAACTATATAAATGGGATGACAAAGCCTAATATACCGACTATACTGTCTCATACATGCAGACAGACTTTCAGTTCCTGCCCCAGTATCACTCTGAACTATCTCTGCCTTACATTTAATCAAAGATTGTGTATCAGGCACAAAGTGCTCTGCTATGTGTTGTACTATATGTGATGCAATACCGTTGTACGTAGGACTAAGCATAGTCTCTACCTGTGATAGGTTAGTGGAATAGACAGACATATACACACCAGAAATAACAGCTAATGCCAAGTAGGGCTTACTTGTGCCTTGTACTGTCTTAAGCGCTTTATATATATTAATTCACTTAATTGCTCAACAACCTCATAAGGTAGGATATATTATTATTCTATTTTACTAATATGGGAACTGAAACTAGGCAGTGTGTCAAAGGTCACCGTTACTGGGTTGAATTGTGTTCCCCCAAAATTCATATGTTGAAGTCCTAACCCCCAGGACTGTAGAATGTGACCTTATCTGAATATACGGTTGTTGTATATGTAATTAGTTAAGTTGTACTGGGGTCTGGTGGGCCCCTAATACAATATACCTCTTGTCTTTACAAAAAGTGGAAATTTGGAGATAGCTGCACACACAGCGAGTGCATCATGTGAAGACGAAGGCAGGGTCCAGTGTGATACAGCAGAAGCTGAGGAATGCCAAAGATTCCAGCAATCTTCCAGTAGCTGGGAGGGAGGCCTGGAACGGATTCTCCATCACAGTCCTCAGAGGGAACCAACCTGCTGACCCCTTAGTCTTGGACTTCTCACCTCCTGAACTGTGAGACAATAAATGTCTCTTGAAGCCACTCAGTCTGTACTACTTTCTTTTGGCAGCCCTAGCAAACTGAAACGGTCACCAAGCCAAGAAACAGTGAAATCAGTATTCAAGTTCAAGCAATGAGGCACCAGAATCTGCCTTCGCAATCATTAAACTGCTCGCACTGCTGAAGGCATCGACCTATGTATTATAACAAGCACTTCCCTACATATAAGGACGGGAGACACAGGAAGGAGCACATAAACTGAGTTCAAAGATTTTAATCTTCCCAATTGAAAACATTCACTGAATAAACATTTGTTGATAATTTACAAATGTGGGGACTCAAAGTGCAAAGACATGTCTCTATTCTCATGAAAATTTAGTTGGATCTCTGAACTACTAAAATATATGGAGTCAAGAAACCTTTACACCAGAAGTGACATGTTAGTAAAATCTGGAAGGATGATGAGCTCACTCAGTAACTATGGGGAGAAAGAAGGTTGAACAGAGAAAGCAAAGTGTGTAACGTTACAGAATCACAAGCTAGAGACAGCAAGGCAAAGACGGGAATGCCCAGATTTTGAATAAATTGTGTAAAGCTGGGTTAATGCCTATGCTCTCTCAGGTTCTCTTTTTACAAAAACGTTTATTTTAGGTTCAGGGTACATGTGCAGGCTTGTTACATAGGTAAACTGTGTGTGGTGGGAGTTTGGTGTACAGATTATTTCATCACCCAGGAAGCGAACATAGTATCCAATAGGTAGTTTTTGCTCTTCTCCCTCCTCCCAGCCTTCAACCTCACACAGGCCTTGGTGTCTGCTGTTTCCTCCTTTGTGTCCATGTGATCTTAGTGTTTTGCTGCCACAAACATCCAGAAAGCAGCCAGGGACTGGAGCCTGCCAGCTGTGGCGCTGACCGAGACCACCCTCTTTTGTCATTTGGATTTAACCTTCTCCGTCTTCCTCCCTCTGGCAGCCTCTTTCCAGCTAAGTGTTAGCACCTGAGGACCCTCTCCAGCTTGCCAAGTTTCTTACCTCCTGCTTTGGAAGGCTTCTTGGCTTTGTCCCTTGGCTTTTTTCAGGGGGACACCTTTCAATTCTTCTCTTGGGTTCCACGGAGCCTGGGTCAGCCAAACCTGCCCTGCATGAGGCAGTTAAGGCAGGTGAAGGGAACCAGTCCACCAGTACCCAGGCCACCAGTCAGGGTAAGGAGAGAGTGGCAGGTCAGTATGGGTTGAATTGCAGTTCCCCAAATTCATATGCTGAAGTTCTAACCCCTGGTGGCTCAGAATGTGACTGAATTTAGAGACAGGGTCTTTAAAGAGATTAAGTTAAAATAAAGTCATTAGAGTGGGCCCCAATTCAATACGACTGGTGTCCTTATAAGAAGAGGAGATTAGGACACAGGCAACTACAGAGGACAGCTTATGGGAAGACACAGAGAAAAGAAGGCAATCTTCAAGCCAAGGAGAGAGGCCTCTGAAGAAACGAACCCTGCTGATGCCTTAAGCTTGGACTCCCAGCCTCCAGAACTGAGAGAAAATAAATTTCTGTTGTCTAAGCCACCACCCTGTGGTACTTGGTTATGGCAGGCCCAGCAAACTAACCCACAGTAATAAAGGACAGGAAAGGAAGCTGTTCATCAGTGCAGCCTCACTACCTCTGAGGCAGCTCCGGTTCCTGGAGTGAAGATCAAGAGACAGTGCCCTTTTGATGCCGGTTTCAGGAAAAAGCCTCCAGCTAATAAGTCTAAATGTTAGCACCTGAGGACTTCAGCTAAGTAAGGCTGGGGACATTTTCCTGGAACTGGGCATCTAGAAGGAATATATCTAAGTGATATGGGCTCACAGAGAGATGGATCCCATATCACTGTACCCCGCTCTTGCTAAAAAGACTGAATCAGTTTCACCTTCAGGACTGCTGTCATGATATTGTTAAGTATGATTCCCATCAACCCACCTCTCTCCTTTTCTCAGAGGCTGTCATCTATCACAGTTAGAGTTCAAGGCCTAAAATTGCAACACTGATTGCGAAGGTCAAATTCATTAACACAAGAGTAACCCAGTTGATCAATCATCAAGGGAGAGTGACAATTATTTCTTTTTCTCTGTTTTGATTGGAAAAGCAGGAGGCATTGGGACCTAGAAATGGGAGCAGGGTTCATAACAGTGATGGATACAGTGTGTGTGCATGCACATATGTGTTTATGCATGTCCGTGTGCGTGCATGTGTGGCTGTGTACAGAGAAATGACTATAGGAATGGTGCCTGGAGACACAGCAGTCAGATTTATAAAAATTCTGCCTACTATTGGCCTTATTTACCTTTGGCAGGGTCGTTTTGGAAGTATTTTAGTTGCACTCACACATGCAAGCCGCTGGGCTTCTGAGGATTTATGAAGATTTCTTTTGTGACTTCATTATAAAGGCGCTTCTTTCCCAAGGGGTCTATTCATCAAGGCATCACGGCAGTGTGCTTCCTGCCTTTGGCCTTGCCGTGAAAGCCCTTTCAAACAAACTGTGCACAGCTGCAACACAGAGTGTGCTGCCTCGAGCACATGAATTAAATTAAACATCATTCAGTAAGCATGAGAAACAGGCTGTCAAGGCATCAGGAGGAAAAGTGAAAAATTCAGTCAATTTGTCCTGATCCTTCCTTGACATAATCTGCATATTCGGAGCTATTGGGATCTGGTTGGAGTTGAACATTGCTCCAAGAGAAGGGCTGTGTATTACTCTTCTTGAATATCCCCTAGCACCAGCCAGAAACATAATAGCACTCAGAAAATACATACCGCAGAATTTTTCACATTACAGCTGTATAGGTACAGTCTTGCAGATGTAGTGTCATTCCTAAGTAACAAGCACCACTTCTAGGTTTAATACTAAACAGCTTTTGTCATTGACTTACTCCATTTGCTGGTAACCTCTTGCCTATTTATTACAGCTTTACTTCCAACTAACTATGTGTATAGAACAATAGTTGGCTGCCACCAACATTAATTTACCCTAGTAAATAATGTGGCTTTTTATTCAACCTGAAAAGAATAATAACAGCAATTAGCATGTGAACAATGCTTTAAAGCTTAAAAAAAAAAGGCTTTTACATGCTTCATTGTATTTAGAGTAGGGTAGGTATGGGTTCAATGTTGCAGCTAACTTCACCTGTACAGGATCTGTTCTTCCACTGGTAAATTCTGGTAAATTCTTTCTCCCCTATTCTGATCATATGATGCTGGGGAGGCTGCTAATTACAGACAACTTCCCTTACCCTGGCCACAGAAATGGACATGTGATTCAGGTCCAGGCAATCACTGTACTCCCATTCCTCCCAGAATAATGACTGGGAGGGTAGGCAGCCAGGCTAATCAAAATCCTTCCCCAGATTTTTTTCATTGTAGATGTGGAGGAGAAGATGACTTGTTTTCTGAGTCATGGATCTGAAAGGATGTTATTCAGAGATTGTCAGTCATCTCCTCCACATGTAGATGGACTGTCTATAGTAAAAGAATGAATCCAACAGAGAGAGAAGGAGACAGAGCTAAGGTTGTAACCACAGGACCAGCTCAAACCAATTAACCATTGCTTAAGTTGTTACAGATGATACAGAGCCAAAATTGCCTGGGCACGTGCCTTCTGATTGCTAACACCATCAGCCTGGCAGATTGGCTACATTGGTATTATCTAGAACTAGTTAGAAATGCCATAAAAGCTTGACCCACCCTTAGATTAGGGAGACAGATTTGACTGTTGCCTCCTGTTTCCTTGCTAGTCAGCTTGCAACACAACCCCCCAACCTTTCTTTTTCTTGAAAGTCGGTGCTGCAGTAGTGGCTCCTATGTGTGTTGGGCAGCGAGCCTCTTCCTCAATAACAAGGTCGGGGGAGAGATGCAGGGCTGGGGAGAAAAACTCATTTGAGTTGCTAACCACTCCCTCTCTAGACTGCCTGGTTACATGACCCAGTACATTTTCTTTTTTCTACGCCAATATACCTTTCTGTGACTTGCAACCAAATATCTAGCCGATGGATTTTAGAAAATCAGACAGATTTTTGAAGATGAAAAAACCAGAGGGTTTTCCCATCATCTAAAAATATTCTCTTCCCTTCCCCCAGGTAAAGTCATACGTTCTTGCCCCATTCACATCAGCCTGAGCCACATGACTTGCTTTAGTCAGTAAAATAAGCCATAGGCATGGACATGTATGTGAGCAAAAAATGGGCTTTAGGCCTAAGAAGTTGAAGACCTTTGATATGTAGCAGACCTTGCCTATCCTGACTGATAACACCTATACTAAGTGCTACCCCAACATCGACCTAGCTTATTGGATTTCAAATTCTCCAGTTCTTATTTACACCATACCAAGCTGCTACTGGCAAACCTACTCTCCAAGTCTTCCAGTGCATCTCTGAAAAATAAGAATCCTATCAAAACACAAAGCAAAATAAAACAAAAAACCCTGGTCTCATGGCAAATCCTGGGTAAAGCTAGGAGGACTGATGTAAATTAAAGTGATAACACTGTTAATAACAACTAATATTAACATCCAGTAAGAGGCAACCTTTATGTGAACAGGGGCCTAGGATGTTTTGCTTAATGTTTTGTCCTAAGAAGTTAGTGCAGTGTCTGGCACATCATAAAACTCAATAAATATTTGTTCAGTGTTAAAAGAAATAGTTACTATTTGCCAGATTTTGTACTAAATTCTTTACCATATTCTCATCTGATTCAGCTACTTAACAGAAATGTATTGTGGACCTCCTATGTGCCAGGTTGTAAATACCTGGGACAACATAGACCAGGTTCCTGCTCTCATGCTGCTGAACCCTACAGCTGGCCTTCTCAATATTGATATTTTAGACCAGATAATTTTTTTTTTTTTTTTTTTGCTGTAGGGAACTTCTCTGAGCATTTTAGGGTGCTTAACCGCATGTCTGGCCTCTACTCCTTCCCTCAGTGTGACAGACAAAAATGTTTCCAGACATTACCAAATGTCTTCCAGGAGGCAAAGTCACCCAAAATTGAGAACCAGTGGGCTAGTGGTAGGAGACAGATAAGCAGAGTATTGATTTGAAATGTGTTTGATATAAAAGTGCCATTAATAAAAATAAAGCAGGATAAAGGAAAAGAGAATGATCCAAAGGGAGATTCTTCTTTACACAGAGTGATTAGAGAAGACCTTCTAAGTGAACATTTGAAGGGAACTGAATAGAGTAAATGCTAGCCTTGTGGCTACATGGGGGAAGAATTTTTCTAGAAAAGGGAAGAGTTAGAGCAAGGTCCATGTGGTAGAAGTGTCCTTGCTGTGTTTGAGAAGAGCAATAAGGCCAGAAATGCTGGAGCAGAGTGAGTGAGGGAAGCATGAGAGTAAACAGAAGGAATGGATGGTCAACCATGAATGGCTTTGCAGGCTACAGCAAGGACTCTGGATTTTATCCAGATTAGAATGGGAAACCACCAGAAAGTTCCAGAACAAAAGTGTCAGGTCCTAACTTACATTTTAAAGAATTTATCTGGCTGTTTTGTGGAAAGCAGAATAAGAGGAGCCAGGAATGAAGCAAGTAGACTAGTTAGGAGGCTCCTGTAGTATTTTAGGTAGGAGATGACTTAGCCTGAAGGGGAATGGTAGAGGGCTTGAGAAGTGGCTGAATTCTGGGTATGTTTTAAAGGTGGAGTTTGTTAGATTTGATGTGTTGAATATGGAGAAAGAGGAAAAGGAGTTGATGATAAGGCTGCACTATGATTGTCCTCATTTTACAGATGAGGAAACCAAAGAGCAAGAGTTTAAGCAGTTTTGTAGGACCACAGAGCTAGTAAATGATACCCAGACACTTATTTCAAGCTTATACTCTTCATGTCTATATTATATTGCCAATAAAAAGCTGGCAGCCTAGGTGGGGGAACAAAGCAAATTGAGGTGCTCTAGGCACCTATTTTCCTCCTATATAGCACTTTATTCACCCACTTTCTGGCTCAAAGACATCTAAGACATTATCTATATAGTCATAATACAAAAGTAAGCAACAATAAAAAAATGGCAGAGTTGACCCTTTTCATTATTGGCTCTTAGGCCCATTTTGATCCAAAGGTCATGGATATCTGTCACAAGAATACAGTTGAAAATATTCGATATTATAAAAAAACTTATTTGAAATATATATTTACACTAAATATCATTAACAACAAATCTTAGCTTAAGGGTACATATTGTGCCATTAAAAATCATCAGAATTTGCAAGACATTTAAACAACTTATCATCTGAGATATGAAGACAAACTTAAGATTTTAAAGCAATGTTGAAAGTTTTGTATTACTCAGTTCAATTCTTCATAAAATTTCCCCAAACTTTATAAGCCAGTTTTGATATTCCTTACATAAGAAAAAAAGACAACAAGCCAAATATCAATGAGAAATACTTGTTCTCCTTGTAGTAAAAATGGCTAAAATAATACATGGAATCAATGTGGCAAAAAACAGAAATAAATTCATTTGTCAGCAAATATTATTGATGATGCAGAGAAAGCATTACTGATGATTTTAGAAAAATTCAGATATATGTTATGTGGGAGGTTTGATATATATATATTTGTATTTAGTATAGATCTTCTTAAGAAAAATGTGTTTCAATAACAAATATAAGAACAACTGCTTTTTTGTGACTCAACTAAATGAAGGAGTTCTGGAAGAAGATCTCATGAGCTTTAATAAACTCAGTGTTTCATGGGAAAACTGTATAACCATAACTACTGATAGAGCAATGACTTGGATGGAAATTTTGAAAAACTCACACAAAGAGAAAGTTGTAGAGATAGCTCTACATGTGATATTTATTCACAGCATCATGTTATTAGAGATAAGAATTTAAGGTTACAAGTCCATAGGGGACTATGTGATGTGGTTAGTTTTATATTCAAGAGAATTTTTGAAAGATGAAGAAGTAGGAAGCACCATGAATCCAACGTCCCCACCTAGAAAATAATTGCATAGGCAAAATCTGCTTTATGTAACTATATTAAAATTCTGGTGTAAATTGAAGGCTTGCAATTTCCAGGAGAAGGCTTAGATGGTAAATTGTGGTTAATTTTGGTCAGTTGGAACTTTTAGCTCAGCAACAGCTATCCATTCCCTACCTCCAGCCTAGTAGCAGGCAGCTGTGCAAGTGTTGCTGAAGAAGCTTTTATGCAGCCTGTGGGAGCAAGGGTGAGCAATAGAAACTCTGTCCTCCAAATATCAGGGTTCTATGTTCTGATAATTGATTTTTGCTTCTGATTATGGAGGTGCAGACACAGAGGCAGGCAGTCACTGTGGCCCCTTCCTTCCAATTTTCATAAGCTTCTCTCTCCAAAACTTCCAGGAGATTTCAAAGGTTGACACCCTGATTTCCATCATTTTTCTATTTTCCCCTTTTGGGAGTCAGACATTAAAGCCTAGGGCATTCAAAAGCATCTGCATACATAGGGGAAATTAGTAAGTTACTGCATATGCCCAGTGAAAGTTTACACTTCAGGCTGATTCTTGGTATGGAGACAGATTAAAATAATAAAAAACACAAATTTTAAAAACAGCAAACCCTGGGGAAAGAGCGTAATCTGATTTCCTACTACCACACTATTAAATTCAAATGTTCAGTTTCTTGGGGACAGAAATTGTCCCCAAGAAAAGCTAGAAACAGACATACAAGACAAAGACTTTACAGCAAGTGTCTTAAAGATGCTCAAAAAACTAAAGAAGAAATTGAGAAAGTAAAAAAAATGTATGAACAAAACTGAGATATCAGTAAAATGATGGGGGAACCAAGAAGAAACCAAAAAAATTTTTAGAACTCAACAGCACAACAATTGAAATAAAAAATTTGTTAGAGGGATTCAAAGCAGATTGAAGCAAGCCAAAGAAAGAATCGGCAAACTTGAAGATAGGACAACTGAAATTATCAAGTTTAAAGAACAAAATGGAAAAAGATTGAACAAAACTAAAGCCTAAGGGACCTATACAGCACCCTCAAGCAGACCAACGTGGGCACTGATGGAGTTCAGAAAGAGAAACAGAAATGGATGGAGAGATTATCTGAAAAAAAAAAGTCATAGAAAACTTTCCAAATTTGATGAAAGATATGAATATAAATATCCAAGAAGCTCAACAAACTCCAAATAAGATGAACTCAAAGAGACCCACACTGAGACACATTATAATCAAACTGTGGAAAATCAAAGACAAAGAGAGAATTTTTTTAAGACAGGGTATCACTCTGTCACCCAGGCTGGAGGGCAATGGCACGATCACAGCTAACTGCAGCCTTGAACTCCCAGGCTCAGTCAATCCTCCCACCTCAGACTTTCAAGTAGCTGGGACTACAGGCATGTGCCACCACATATGCCTAATTATTGTATTTTTTGTAGAGACCAGGTCTCAGGTGATCCACTCACCTCAGCTTCCCAAAGTGCTGGTATTACAGATGTAAGCCACTGCATCCAGTCTCAAAGAGAAAGTCTTGAAAGCAGCAAGAGGGTACAGGCATGGTGGCTCACACCTGTAATCCCAGCACTTTGGGAAGCCAATGTGGGTGTATCACTTGAGGCCAGGAGTTTGAAACCAACCTGGCCTACACGGTGAAACCCCATCTCTACTAAAAATACAAAAATTAGCCAAGCCTGCTGGTGCATGCCTGTAATCCCAGCCACTTGGGAGGCTGAGGCAGGAGAATCGCTTGAACCTGGGAGGTGGAGGTTGCAGTGAGCTGAGATGGCACCCCTGCACTCTAGCCTGGGTGACAGAGCAAGACTCTGTCTCAAACAAACAAACAAACAAACAAAAAACAAAAAAAAAAAAAAGAAAAGAAAGCAAGACAGAAGTGACTCATTACATACAATAGATCATCAATAAGATTACAAGTAGATTTCTCATCAGAAACTTTGCAGGCCAGAAGGCATTGGTGGATATATTTAATGTGCTAAAATTAAAAATAAAAAAAAATTGTTAACCAAGAATTTTATACCCAAAAAATCTGTCCTTCAAATATTAGGGAGAAATTAAGACATTCTCAGATAAACAAAAGCTGAAGGAATTTGTTACCACTAGACATGTCCTACCAGAAATCCAAAGGGGGTCTTGCAGGTTAAAATGAAAAGATATTAGACAGGGGCACAAAGTCGTATGAAGAAAAACATATCAATGTAGGTAAATACACGGAGATTTATAAAATCCAGCGTTGTTTTAACAATAGTTGTAACTCTACTTTTCATTTTCTACATGATTTAAGAGGATAATTAACTTAAAAAAATTTCTAGTTTATGTTTTGTTGTTGTTGTTTTTTAAGATGGAGTCTTGCTCTTTCACCCAGCCTAGAGTGCAGTGGCATGATCTTGGCTCACTGCAGCCTCCACCTCCCAGGCTCAAGCGATTCTCCTGCCTCAGCCTCCCAAGAAGCTGGGATTACAGGTGCCTGCCACCATGCCTGGCTAATTTTTGTATTTTTAGTAGAGATGGGGTTTCACCACATTGGTCAGCCTGGTCTTGAATTCCTGAGCTCAAGCAATCTGCCAACATTGGCCTCCCAAAGTGCTGGGATAATAGGCATGAGCCACCACGCCTGGCCTAATTTATGTTTTTGGACGCACAATAATGTAATCGTAATCATTACAATTACAATAAATGGGAAGGGGATGCAATCATCCCCTTCAGCTTTATTGAGGTATGATTGACAAATAAAAATTGCAGGTATTTAATGTATACAACATGATGGCTTAATATGTATATACATTGTGAGTTACTGTCATAATCAAGCAAATTAATATAACAAGGATGTAATTTAGTGACATCAATGAATCAAAAGGAGTGGAGACAAAGCTGGAAATAGAGCATTTGAACAACACAATAATCCAACTAGCTCTAACATACATATACAGAACACTCTACCCACCAACAGAATACATATTATTCTTTAGTGGAGATGAGACATTCTCCAGTATACATCAGATGTTATGTCACAAATTAAGTCTCAAACATTTAAAAATAGAGATATTATACAAAGCTTCTTCTCCAACCACAATGATACAAAGTTAGAAATCAATAATCAAAGGAAAACAAGAAAATCACAAATTTGAGCAAATTGAAGAACACCATCTTAAACAACCAATGGATTTTTAAAAAGTCAGAAGGAAAAGCAGAAAACAATCAGAGTTGAAAGAAAATGAAAACACGACATACCAAAACTTATGAAATACAGTGAAACCAATGCTGATGGAAAATTTATAGCTATATATTCTTACATTAAAAACAATCAAAATCTCAAATCAACAACCTACCTTAATGACAAGGAACTAGAAAAAGAAGGACTAGCCTTAAAGCTAGCAAAAAATAAAAATAAAATAAAAAACAATAAAGATTACAGCAGAGATAAATGAAATAGATAATAGGAAAACAATAGAGGACAATCAACAAAATAAAAAATTTGATTCTTTAAAAAGATAAACAAAATTGACAAATTGTTATCTAGACTGACTGTATTAGTCAGGGTTCATCTCCAAATAAGATGAACTCAAAGAAACCCACACTGAGACACATTATAATCAAGCTGTGGAAAATCAAAGCCGAAGAGAGAATTATTTTTAAGACAGGGTCTCACTCTGTCACCCAGTCTGGAGAGCAATAGCATCTATCCTATTAGGGACAGGACTAATAGGATAGATGTATATATGATGGGGAGTTTATTAAAGAATATTGACTCACATAATCACAAGGTGAAGTCCCACAATAGGCTGTCAAGGAAGCCAGTCTGAGTCCCCAAACCTCAAAAATATGGATGCTGACAGTACAGCCTTCAGTGGCGAAAGGCCTGAGAACCCTGGCAAACCACTGGTGTAAGTCCAAGAGTCCAAAAGCTGAAGAACTTGGAGTCCAATGTTCGAGGGCAGGAAGCATCCAGCATGGGAGAAAGATGAAGGCCAGAAGACTCAGCAAGTCTGCTCTTTCCAATTTCTTCTGCCTGCTTTATTCTAGCCATGCTGGCAGCTGACTAAAGTGCCCACCTAAATTGAGGGTGAGTCTGCCTTTCCCACCGCACTGACTCAAATGTTAATCTCTTTTGGCAACACCCTCACAGACACACCCAGGAACAATACTTTGCATCCTTCAATCCAATCAAGTTGACACTCAATAATAACCATCACGCTGACTAAGAAAAAGAAAAGGAGAAGTCTCAAGTTATTATAATCAGAAATGAAATTGGTATATTACTACTGAATTTATAGAAATATAAAGTATTATAAGAGAATACTATGAGCAAACATATGGCAACAAATTGGATAACCTAGATGAAATAGACAAATTCCTACAAACATAAAACCTACAAGGACAGAATCATGAAGGAATAGAAAATCTGAGTAGACCTGTAACTAGTTAGGAGATTGAATTAGCAATAAAAAATCGTTGAACAAAAATGTGCCCTGGACCAGATGGCTTCACTAGTGAACTAACAGCAATCTTTCTCAAAGTTTTCCAAAACACTGAAGAGGAGGAAACACTTCATAACACAGTTTATGAAGCTACTATTATCTGAATGCCAAAGCCTGACAAAGAAACCACAAGAAAATAAAACAAGAAAAATAAACCAGTATCATGAACATTGATCCTGGTCTGATACAACAACACAAAATACTAGCAAACAAAATTCACCAGCATATTAAAAGTACTATACACCACAACCAAGTGAGATTTATTCCTTGAATGGAAGGGTGGTTCAACATAAGAAAACTGATCAATGTATAATAATTCACCATATTATTATAAAAGAATAAAAGGGAGAAAACCCACGTGATCATCTCAATTGATGCAGAAACAATATTTGACAAAATTCAACACTCTTTTATGATAAAAACACTCAAGAAAACAGGAATAGAAGGAAAGTGCCTCAGCATAATGGAAGCCATATATCAACATCCCATAGCAAACATCATACTTAATGGTGAAAGATGGAAAGGTTTTCTTCTAAGACAAGGAACAGGGCAAGGATGCCCATTTTCATCATTTCTATTCTATATAGTACTAGAAGTCCTAACAAGTAATTTGGCAATAAAAAGAAACAAAAGACATCCAAGTTGGAAATAAAAAAGCAAAATGATCTCTGTTCACAGGAAATATGACTTTCTATGTAGAAATCTTAAGTATTCTACAAAAAACTGTTAAAACTAATGAACATATTCAGCAAAGGCAAGGGACTTGAATAGACATTTCTCCCAAGAAGATATATGAATGGCAACTAAGCATATAAAAAGATGCTCAACATTACCAGTCATTAGAGAAATTCAAATCAAAACCACAATTAAAATGGATATATATAAAAAAGAAAATAACAAGTATTGGTGAAGATGTGGGAAAATTGGAACCCTTGAGCACTGTTGGTGGGAATGATACAGCTGTTGTTGAAGGCAATATGGCAGTTCCTCAAAAAGTTAAATGTAGAATTACCATATGATCCAGCAATTCCATATCTGAGTATATGCCCAAAAGAACTGAAAGCACAATCTTGAAGATATATTTGTACCCCCATGTTCATAGCAGCATTATTCATATAGGTGAAACAGTGAAAAAACCTGCTATGACTTGAATGTGTGCCCTCTATAATTCAGTTGGGATGGTATTAACAGGCGGGCCCTTTACAAGGTGATTAGGCCATGAGGACCTTTCCCTTGTGAATGGGATTAAGGCCTTTATAAAAGAGATTTCACACAGTATTCAGCTCATTTGTCCTTCCACCTGCCTTCCACCATGTGAGAACACAAGTGTTTCTCCCCTCCAGAGGATGTAGCCTTCACCAGACAACCAGACTGACTGGCACCTTTATCTTGGACTTACCAGACTCCAGGCCTATGAGAAATAAATTTGTCCTTTATAAATTACCTAGTCTCCATATGTTGAGCAGAAAGTACCTCAGCAGCATAAAATGGACTAAGATGCAACCTAAGTGTTCACCAACAGATGCATGAACAGGCAAAACGTGGCATATACCTAAAATGGATTATTGCTTAGCCTTAAAAAGCAAGGAAATTCTGACACATGCTACAACATGGATGAACTTTGAGAACATTATTCTAAGTGAAATAAATTAATCACAAAAAGAAAAATACTGTATGATACCACATATATGAAGTACCTACAGTAGTCAAAATTATAGAGACAGTCGTTACTAGGGGCTGAGAGGAAGAGGAATAGTGACTTACTGTTTAATGGACAGAGAGGTTTCATTTTGCGAGATGAAAAAAGTTCTGTGGATGGATGGTGGTGATGGTTGCATAACAACATGAATGTAGTAATTATCACCGAACTGTACACTTAAAAATGGTTAAGATGGTAAATTTTATGGTGTGTGTGCTTTATCACAACAAGAATGCTGAAAAAAATGGCCTTTAAGAGATAGTAGACTGTTTACAGTACTTTGGAATAATGTGTAGATGTCCTTGAAAATCTTTTCAGGAATGGGCCTTTACTGGCTGTTTAACAGCAAAGTATTTAGGAGAGTTGCTCCACTTACAAATCAATCATGGAATTTTCTTGTTAAAGATAAGAGTTGAAAGTTTCTGTAATGACAAGTAGCTGTCAAAATTATCCCATCCAGGAAGTATTTTTGAAAAAATAAACTTCTTTTGCCATTCTGAAATGATGATTTTTTAGTAATGAATGCAAGAGGAACTATTTTTCAAAAGAAACCTCATGCTGTGGAAAGAACATTTTGAAAGTGGCTCATTGGAATATTTCACTGTTATACGGTTTTGTTGCTAAAAATGATATAAAAACCTTATATCTGCAAATTTTAAAAACTTGGCAATATAATTTTATAACTTAAAACAATCTTCCAAAAGAATAAATAATTTTAAATCTATTTCTTAAAAATGTAAAAATGCCACATATCCTGATTCATTTGTAAGAGCTTCTGACTGACATCAGGGCAAAGAGAAATGTATTAACTGAATTTCACATGCTTTGCATAATGGTGGATGGGTTGAAAAGTGAATATTATTATTTACTTAGCTCAAACTATTTTACTTTTCTTCCATTTGAATTTGTATATCTGATGTTTGTTTTTTAACAGCTGCAACAGCCCTTATAACCAAGTGTCAAAATAAACTTAACATGCAACCAGATCTTTAAATCATAATATCACCAGTCGATCAATATGTTAAATTACATAACACTATAGGTTTTTGTGTGCCATTAGTGAAATCTATAGATTTTTAAAATATTGTCATTTTATTCTTATATTTTCTCCCTCTTTAAATCCTTTAATTTTGTACATTATTGCACTAATACTGACACAGGCTACAACATGGATGACTAGAAGTACATGTTGACCAGAAGTTTGCTTTTGTTTTTTCAAATCATGTTTATGAGGTATGATTTACATATAATGAAACACTAATTTTAAGTGTATAGTTCAATGTTTTAATAACTATATATATATCCATGTAACCACCACCACAATCAAGATATAGAAAATACCTGTCCCCCTCAAACTTCCTACGTGCCTCTTCACAGTTCATCCCACCCCCCTTTACCCATCCACCATCCCTCAGCCACCACTGATCTGCTTTCTGTCCCTGTGGATTAGTTTTCCCTGTTTTAGAATTTAATACAAATGATTCCCATACAATATACGCTTCTTTCAACTGGCATCATGTTTTTAAGATTCATCTATATTGTTATGTGCATAGATAGTTCACTTTTGTTGCTTAACAATATTCCATTGTTTAGATTCACCACAACTGATTTATTCTTTCATTTGTTAATAGGCATTTCGGTTGTTTCCATGTTTTCAAGTACAAATCTTTGTGTGGACATAAATGTTCATTTCTCTTAGGGAAACACAAAGGAGTAGAATTGCTGGGTCATAGGGGAGTGGGTGTTTAATTTTGTGAGAAACCGCCCAGTTGTTTTTGAAAGTGTGTCATTTTCTATTTCTACCAGCAATATATGAGGCTTCCACTGGCCCCACATCCTTGTCTACTTGCTTATTGTCATTCTTTTAAATTTTAGCCATTTGTGGGTATACAGTGGCATCTCAACATTTTAACTTTGGAGAATGTTTCTAACATACATAAAGTGTGAATACGGTAATACACATACAGCTTCCAAAATAAATCACTATATATATATTGGCAGGATCGCCCCAAATGTTCACTGGTCATGACACACAACAAAACCCTTGGAGATATACGCAGTAATGTCCAGGTCACTGCCTTAAGTGCCAGCTACCACAGCACTTACGAATTTGTTTTTTCAGATACTACAGCATGAAGGTTTTAGAGTTTAAAATATTATATTTTTAAGGAGTTTAGGGAGGAGAAAGAATGATTTTCTTGGTTTTACTTCTAACTGTGGTAGGTGCTGGCAGAGGCTGCCTGTCCGCTGGGGTAGTGAGGAGACTATGCAGCGTGTTTTTGCTCCAGAGTTGCACCCTGTAGTGACAGCTTTGGTTTCACCTGTGATTGAAGTTCATTTGCACAGAGGGTGCCCCTGAAGAAAAACACATTTCCCCTTCCAGCATTGCCCAGGAGGCAGCTGGGCCCCAGCAGTTTCTTGGGCACTTTACTTGCCATTCACACTAAAGTTTAGGGACACTCATCTGTCATTTGACGGCTTGTTGGCAGAAAAACAACAGTGCAAATACCAAGAAACCTCAGCAGTAAGTCAGTTTCAAGCAGGTCAGATGCCCTGTAATATGCGCAGTGTGATAGTTTAATCAGAGAATCATGCGGTATTATTGCTTCTGCCTGAGAGGAAGAGACTTTTTTCTTTTCAAGAAAGCGCTTTTCAGATAGCTATTAGGTTGTTGAATGAGGAACTGCACAAAAGAAATGCTGGCTCCTTGTGGTCTTTCAGATCATTAAAAAGTGACCCAGGTGGCAAAACCAGTTATCATTTTCTCAGCTGCAGTAGATAAAAGAGCAAGATTGGACACCAATCTGTGGCTACATGATGGCAAAACCATCAGCCCAGAGCAAAAGAGGGTTCATCAATTCCGTGGAAAATATGGAGTCAACGTGATTACTTGGCATTGTGCAGGTGCCAACCTGTTGATTTGACTGATTTTGCTTTTCAGATGTTGATCTAGTCTTGAAAAGTCTCATACACCCAAACTCACTGATCCTGTTTTTCTCTCTCTTGCAGCACCTTGTACATATAGGATAAAACTCTTGAGGTACCCAGCTGGAAAAGGAAAAGTTGAGGGGATGTGAGGCCAGTTCCCTGCTAGGGTGAAAAGAGTTCCAAGACATTGTTAGCAATAATTAGTGATCAACCATCTGAACGCTTTTTAGTTTCATTATAATACAGGAATTATTAAGAAATAATTTTTAGGCAGATAGAAAGGGCAAAAGGAGTTCTTATAAAGGCTTTTCCTTTTAATAAAAGCAATCCCCAAACCATTTATTTTCTAACAGAAAATGGCTTGAAGGGCCAGGCTGGCAAGATTTGATATGCAAATCATGGCCATTAGAAATGGTCCACCCAATATGGCGATTCCTGCCTCCTTCTTGTCACCAGGTGTGCCAAGGAGTCATGGCCACCTCCAAATAACACCGTGTGTTCAGAACATCATGGCGACTCATATTTGCACATTAAAAGGGTAAGGTAGGAGGGCCAGGTTTTTCACAGGCTACATAAATGACACACCTCATCAAAACCAATACCCTGGGCCCTGTGCAAACCAGACACCGCCTCCTACAGCATCCCAGTATAAGCAATCACTTTTCCACCGCACATGAGGTTTCTCTTTACTCGAGTCTCCCCTCTCTCTGTCTCTGTACAGGGGAGCTGTTTTCTTCTTCCTTCCTTCTTCTTGCCTAATAAACTCTCTGCTCCTTGAAACCACTCCATGTGTATCCGTGTTGTGTTGTTTTATCTAAATTGGTGTGAGACCAAGGACCTTAGTATTCCTCCAGTCATTGAAGCCATATCAATTATTTAGTGTACTTAAATTATAGTCCGTCCCAACGTTCCTTCTTTTCTTGCCAAGAAAACATGTGGCCTAATCACAATCCCCCTAGAATGTGTGGCTGCTGCAGTAGAAAAATGCTTTAGATCAACAAGTATTTTCTCTAAACACGCTGCTTCTCTCCTCTAATGCCTAGAATGAAATGGGTCCTTAAATAGGGCCCCATGACAGCAATGCACAATAGTGGCTTCTAGGAGCAGATGGGTAAGGAGAGAACTAAAAGAAGAAGGTAGGTGGCTAAGAGAAAGACTTTGGCTTAAGAAAAGTAGATTTCAGAAGCTACAAAGTGAGCTAAGGAAGTTTCTTGAATTGTGGTTTAAATACTGAAATGACAGGTATGTCAATGTTGGAAACAAGAACAACTTCCCTTGGCAGAGGTGTCTTAGTCTGTTTGTGCTGCTTATACAAAATACCTGAAACTGAGTATAAAGAAACTTATTGCTCCCAGTTCTGGAGTCTGGGGAGTCCAAGATCCAGGTGCTGCAGGTTTGGTGTCTGGTGAAGGCCCATTTTACAAAGATAGCTCTGTCTAGGTGTCCTCGTATGGTGGAAGGGATGGATAGGGGCAAAAGGGGATGAACAGCGTCCTCATGCATCAAAGAAATGAAAGGGCAAAAGGGAACACCCTAAACTAGTTATCCCCAGCCCTTTTCTAGGGTGCAAATACATTCATAAAGGCAGACCCCTCATGACTTGATCACTGCCTAAAAGGTCTTCCCCACCTCTTAATACCATCACAATGGAGATTAAGTTTCAATAGTGAATATTGGGGGCACTGATACTATAGAAAAAGGAAAACCAACTGTGGGTTTGGACAAACCACTTAACTTCTCTAGGCTCCCTCTGTTAATTGAGGAAATCGGGTCTCAGCTTCTAAAGTTTTTCTTGATCTCCTTCTGCAAGCAAAAGTTAATCCAGAAGCCCAATAAGTAAAACAGATAGAAGGGGTGTTGTTCTCATGATAGAGGTTTTTGGGGAGGTAGGCTTGCTGTTGAAGTTCAAGCTCCCTTACCTCTCTAACTTAGTCCCAGAAGGGACTTCTTGGTGCATCTTTCAATAGCACTGTGGTAAATCACTTTTAGGGGTTGTTTCAGTTTCAATGTTATATAATCCTAGTGGTTCTCAAAGTGTGATCCCAGAAGGATCATTATCAGACCTGCAAATTTTCAAGTGACTCCCCATACTTAATGAGTCAGACACTCTAGGGATGGGCCCCAGCAATCTGTGTTTTAAAAGCCCCTCAGGGGATTGTAGTGCACCTCTTTGAGAGCCATTGTATTGCTCCCTGATGCTAAAGAGCTGTGTTCCTTCTGAACAGTTGCCAATACTGAGACCAACCAAAGAGAAGTGAGTAGACTGGGGTGAGCAAGGGAAGAAGTAAGTGGAGAAAGAACTTAGGAACAACTGTGAATTTCTCCTGAGAATCGGATACCAGAGAGCTGCTCAAGACACTGCCCTGCCAAGTCTTTAGATCCTATAAGAAGAGTTGGGAAACAAGTACATCCTCAGCATCTGTAATGTCTGGGTTTTAAAAAGCAGTGACAAAGGACATTTCAACATGCAATTGAAACAACATGCTCTTGAAAAAAATGTGCCCTGCCTGGCCCTGTCCTCCCCACTGTTGCCTAGTGATCCCCCTTCCATGATGTTTGTTTGGTTAATTTATACAGAGATATGGATGAAATGAGGCCCCATAATAATGTCGATGATAACTGTGATGACAATAATAGCACTAGCTAGAGAATGGCAGGCACTGTGCTAATTTTATATGGGTTTTCTTATTCAAACCTTATAATATCTTTATGAGGGACTATTGTTATCTACAGTTTTATAGGTTAAAAAAAACAAGGTTGGGAAAGGTCAAGTAACTTGTGTAGTAGGCAAAATAATGGTTTCCCAAAGATGCCCACATCCTGATGCCTGAAAACTGTGAATTGTTATATTACCTATCAAAGGGACTTTGCAGATGTTACTAAAAATGGTGAAATGGGGAGATTACCTTAGATTATCTAGAAGGGTCCAAAACAGTCACAAGAGTCCTTGTAAGAGGGAGGCAGGAGGGTCATAATCAGAGAAGGAGATATGATAATGGAAGCAAAAGTCAGAGTGATGTAGCCACAATCCAAGTAATGTGGGCAACCTCTAAAGGCTGGAAAAGGCAAGAAGCTGATTCTCCCCTACAGCGTCCAGAAAGAACAGATTTCTGCAACATCTTCATTTTCGCCACATGAGACCCATTTCTGACTTCTGACCTCCAGAGTTGTAAAGTAATACAACTGTATTTTTTTAAGCTACTGTTTGCATTAATTTTTTACAGCAGCAATAGGAAACATAATACATTTGTCAAGGTCACACAGCCATTAGGTCATAGGGGCAGGGATATAACCTCACACTGTCTGATTCCAGAACCCACCCTCAATTTGAATCCTTGCAAAGGTATTTAGGATCTACCCTACAGGGATGTGAATGTCAAGTGAGATGAGGACACATGGATATTCTCTCCCATGTCGTCTTCTTTCCTCATCAATCCCCAATCTAGCTATGAGAAGGCTCTTTATTTCTTGGATGAGGCTTTGTGGCAAACGGGGACATTCCACATGGATTACTTTAACTCCTCCTCTAAATGTGTTACTAGCTGAATTTGCAAATGGAGCAGGATTCCTCTTTGGGTAGTAGAACTGTCTCCATGTTTAAGTGCTTCACAATAGGTTGCTTGCTAAGTGAAAGATGGTTTTTCTCTTGCTTCCTGAATGAACAATCTACAGGGGTAGGTGCTAGTCAAACACATTCACTTCTTCACTTTCAAGGGAATCACCAGTTCCTGCTTACCTGAACATTCTAGAAGGAAGCAGCAAGGAATTGTTTTCACAAGTCACGTCCCACCTTCATGGCTATCTTCTCTGAGGTTCTTTCTTAACTGTAATGTGGGGATGGTATTGTTTGCTCCAAGCACCACACAGACTCTTCCTGAAGATCTATGAGTTTATAGATGTGGAAATGCTTTCAAAACTCAAAAACTTCAGCTCTGCCAAATGCTTATTATTGTTTCCTTAACAGATTCCTTATTGCCACCTTTTAACTTCATTGTCAGTGCAAAAATAAAAAGTGTTGACAGGCTGGATGGAATCTTGTGACTCAGGCATTTGGTGTCTGTGGGAGAGTGAGGAGGAAGGAGAAGTTAGCAATTGGAGACACTTAAGAAATTGGAGAAAAACCCTAGCTCAAAGAGTTGAAATCAGGATAAATTCATACAGAAAAACTTCAAAGTATATGCTTTTTCTAGTGTTCAAGATTGAAAATGAGAAGTACCTTTCCAATAATTGGCCTTCAAAGCATTTATGAAGACATTATCAACACATTTAAGATGGGGAACCCCATGGGAACCTAAGCATTTTCAAAAATCTCATTGCTGGCAGTAAGATGTGAAAAATGAAAAGAGGAACATTTAATTTCTTCTCATCTTTCAGGATCTAATTGAAGTCACATATCTTTTCTGAAGGATTCCCTAACCACCCCAGCTCACGGGAATGGTTCATTGTGTAGACATGCCATGTTTCATCTCTGCCATTCATGGGCACTTGGCATTCACTGTGTGTCAGGAATTTTATTTGTTTGAAAACCAACTGGATTTTAAGCTGTGTGCTCTATGTCCTCCCAGGGCTTAGAATAATACAGACTACATTGGATCAGGTGATGTATTCAATTTCTAGAAAGCTTTTGCTTACAACTAAAGGACTCACAACCTGTCGCCTTGTGGCTTTTCCTAAGCTTTTGGTATCATCCTGCTGGCTCCCTCATTCTAACTCTTTTCCTTTGATTTACTGTCACTTTTTCTTTATCCTCTATCAGCTTCCTTTTGGTAGCCCAAAGTCAGAATCCTGGATCTTGAAGCACATGCTGTGGCATACCAGACAAATCCTTGCTTCTGGACCAAGGCACCCATTTCCCCAACTGCTGGGAACATTGGCAGATGATGGCTCTCGGTGAGTCATGTTCTAAGTGCTGCCCAGGAGAGCCACCTTACCCAAGGTCACACTTCTTCCTCAGTGTGTGTGCATTAAAAAAATGTGGAACATAAAGTCCCCCACCTCAAGGTGGTTCAACTCTGAAGGGCCACCCCAGCTCAAGAACTCCCTGTGCGATTGGCTGAGTACTTTAGTATGACTATATTGCAGCTTAACTCCCCCCTCAGCCAATCTATCCTGCTTCCTTCACTTCCCCAGAAGTGAGGCTCCTGAGAGCTCTTCCCAATATGCTTCCTGCTTACAAACCTCCACGTTGAGTCTGTTTCCTAGAGAAGCTGCTCTGTGACAGATCTTACGTATAAATGAGAAGACAAACAGTGTCCACAGCAACAAGGATTGTTGGATGCCTGCCTCACCTAAAGTCAAGCCAGACCAATCTGGCCACAGCTACCAATTCCTCGCAGTGAACACAGCCATCATCCTGGCCATCACATGCCAGAAAGGTGAAGTTTGGCTACTCCTGGTCTCCATCACTGCTGCCCAGTAGAACTTTCTGTGCCAATGGAAACGTATTCTACATCTTTCCTGTCCAATGCAATAACCAATAGCTACTTGTGGCTACTGAGCACTAGAAATGCTATGGTGACTAAGGAATTTAATTTTTTACTTTCATTTTTATTTTATTTTAGTCTCACTTTGTTGCCCAGACTGGAGGGCAGTGGTGTGATCTCGGCTCACTGCAACCCCTACTTCCTGGGTTCAAGTGATTCTCATGCCTCAGTCTCCCGAGTAGCTGGGACTACAAGTGCTTGCCACCATACATAGCTATTTTTTTTTTTTTTTGAGGTGGAGTCTCACTCTGCACCCAGGCTGGAGTACAGTGGCATGATCTCGGGTCACTGTAACCTCCACCTCCCTAATTCAAGCAATTCCCCTGCCTCAGCCTCCCAAGTAGCTGGGATTGCAGGCACATGCCACCACATCCAGCTAATTTTTTGTATTTTTAGTGCAGACAGGGTTTTACCACGTTGGCCAGATTGGTCTCGACCTCCTGACCTCAGGCAATCCGCCTGATTTTTTGTATTTATAGTAGAGAAAAGGTTTTGCCATGTTGGCCAGGATGGTCTCAAATGCCTGACCTAAAGTGATCCACCCGCCTTAGCCTCCCAGAGTGCTGAGATTATAGGCGTGAGCAACTACACCCAGCTAGGAATTTAAATTTTATTGTTAATTAATTTATATTTAAATAGCCACACGTGTGTGATGGTTACCATATTGCACAGAGCAGCTTAAGATGATGAGCTGCTTTACAGAGGGAATGTCACAACAGCTCCATTTCCATATGCCTTTACTTCCACCACCCCATGATCTGGAAACACTTGGTCTGACCCTTAAAAATCATTCTAATGAGGCATATCTAGGATCTGTGTACTAGTGATGTCTAATTATAAAGTGGCCCAATAATGATTCTGAACATTGTTAAATCTGAGTCCCAGAGAACTTTGTTGTAAGTTTAAGTTGATTGCAGCGCAAAAATCTAGTAATAATCACTCACTTTAATTTCTATTATCCTGGTGGCCCTTAAAGGAGTTTCTCATTTAGGTAGAGAGATGTAACATCTATCTGTGTATAAATTTAAATTAAGGAATTCCCTTTTCTCGATTTTATACTTGTATAGATTTGATGAATGCTTACTTCTTTTCCATTTGGTCTCTATAATCTCGGGGACTTTGCTTTATGTTTTGTATATAAGAAAAGGAAAAAAGGAGCAAGAGATAGCTTCCAGCTTGAGGTGGGAAGTTTCACAGCTTGGAGACCCACGGGAGACCTTTAGTCCTGCCCTGTTCCTTAAACAGGAATGGTATCTTTTTACTGACCCAGAAATGTCACATGGGACCCACAGTGAGAGCACGTAGCCACACCTTGCCAACCTTGTGACCACTCCTGCAAAAACATGTACATGCATACCGTATAGATAAGAAGTCGTTGGCATCAGCCTGCCTACCAAGGACCAACCCTTACAAAATCAGGCTGTTCTACTAAGTGAAACTGAAGTTGAATTCAATGCAATTTGAAAATATTTTATTTACTTAAAGCCTAGAAGGCTGGTGTGTGAAGAAGAATCCAGGGACAGGAGATGGTAGTTAAATTTGTACATTTTTCTTTCTTGTTGCAATTTTATCTTTTCCGAGAAATTTAATGAAGACTCCAGAGAAAAGAATTAAATGTCTGCTGGTTCAATTACCAAATAATGAAAAGGTCGAAAGGAGCACCATGCACTGTGTGCTGTGCTGCTAGATCAGCCTATTCTTAGAGTAAAATTCTTTTCCGTGCTGTTCACAGTCGCATTTTGCCACCCACAAACTGTACAGATGAGTGTTGGTGTGAGAAGCAAAAACCACGAGCTGGTACAGATCGTCCTCCACAAGGTGAAAGGGTCTTGGTCCCTGGGGAGCATCTCATGACACCCACGCAGGAGTGATGGGCAGAGTAGAGGCCATGGATTTCAGGAGGGACCAGTCTGTTGTTAAATCCACACTTTGAGAAGATTCTAATCATCCTTGGTGCCGAATACATTTTTAACCAGCCTGTTCTCAGGACCACATGCAGGGGAAGCCTCGGGAGCAAAACAGACTTGCGAGCGAGGATTTCAAGGGCTCCCGGCAGTCCCTGACAGCATTTGGAAAGCCACCCCTGTCCCCAACCTGCCCCAGTTGTACATAGAAAAGAAAGATTACTGTAACACACACATCCTCTACAGAAGCTAAAACCAAAGATAAACTATGATGCTTTGGAATTCATTAGAACTTTGGTTTTAATGTTTTAAAAATCAAGCCTCCAGGAGACTGAGGCAGGAGAATCGCTTGAACCTGGGAGGCAGAGTTTGCAGTGAGCCAAGATCGCACCACTGCACTCCAACCTGGGTGAAAGAGCAAGACTCCGTCCCCCCACTGCCCCTACCCAAAAAATCAAGCCTTCCTAGAAATACTAGGTAAGGGAAGGGAAGAGGCAGTTAAGTATAGACTCCTTTCACCTCAGCACCATGGTGACAGTCTCCCTGCTCATGCTGGGACCACCCCAAACACCTTTTACCACCAAAACTGAAAGACTCAATGAGCAAGTCATCATATAGCTTCTTTTTCAGCTTTAAATCAAATTCTCTTTTGGTTATATAAGAGAAAAGCCTCGTTTTTAGGAAATACACACTGAAATGCTTAATGATAAAGGGCTATGGCTATGATATATATAACTGACCCATAGAAAAAGCGTGTGTCTCTATATCTCTGGACATATATGTATGTTTTCATATACATACATGTATATATGTTCATATACTTACATGTGTGTTCATATACATACACGTGTGCTCATGTGTTCATATACATGTGTGTATTTTTCATATATACATTCATGTTCATATAAATGTGTGTATATGTTCATAAACGTGTGTGATCATATACATATCTGTATACACATTAATATTAATGTATGTTTGCATGTGGTGGGAAGACAAACTAGAACAAAAGATAAAGCAAACGGGGTGAAATGTAAACAATAGGTGAATCTAGGTAAAGGGAATTTGAGTAGTCTTTGAGCTATTTTTATTTATTTATTTGCTTATTAGAGATAGGGATTTGCTATGCTGCTGACGCTGGAGTACAGTGGCTATTCACAGGCACAGTCACAGTGTACTTGCACCTGCTATGGCTGGAGACAGGATTATGGCTCAGAAAGGTGAGAATATCTCTAGCTAATTCCTTCCTCTTTTTCCTTAAAGTACCATATCCAAGGATATTAGATGTTTAAGGTTTTAAAAGTAACTAAAGTATCTCCAACCACTTTAAAATATATGAAAAACAAACTATATGAAGGAAAGAAAACTCCCAAATTATTTACGCCACTCTTTTATTTTATTTTTTGGTCTCTTGTATAAGATACAACAGGATCAATACCTTATTAAAAATCAAATCTCTTTGAATATAGGAAGAGACCTTGATTATTACTGTTTCTCCTGTATTGCCCAACAACAGAAATGTAGAGTGCAATTGAGTAAAGATATGAATAAATGAATAAGCAGCACCTAAAACAAAGTCCTAAACAACCCCTCACCTTAAAAATTCATTTTAAAATCTACTAATATCTAAGCAGAGGCGTTGTTATCTATGAAGTTCTCTCTACATATTTTTATCCTCCTCTTCTCTATTCTTTTTTAGACCTCTCTATCTAAAGCTTACTAGGGCCATTAGGACAGTGAAAATGTAAGGTACAAACTGGGAGAAGATATTTGCTACATACATAACTGACATAGGATTAATATCTAGAAAATAGAATTCGTTCCTACAAATAAATTAGAATTAGACAAACAATTCAAAAGAAAAATTGTCAAAAGCCTGAATAGGCATTTTACTGAAGAGAAAGCACAAATGGCCAAAATACTTGCAAATATGTTCAAAGTCATAAGCAAGTGGAAAAAACAAAACCACAAAGATCCTGTCATAACCACTAGATTGGCAAAAATTTCAAAGTCTGACAATATCAAAGTGCTAACAAAGACATGGAACGATGGCACCCATATACTGCGGGAGGGAATAAAAATTGGCACAGCCACTTTGGAAAACAATTTGGCATTATATAGCAAAGTCGAAGGTATGCACACCCTAGGATCCAACAATTCCACTCCTGTGTATGCCTGAGAAACTTCAGCAAAGACGCAGTGGAGACTGTGTTCAAAAATATTCATAATAATACTTTTATAATGGAAGCCATCCAAAGTCTGCCAACAGGACTAACAACTTGAGGCATATCATATCACGAGACACTCTACAGCACTGAAAATGTGTAAACAACAGCCGTATGCATCAACAAATATGGCCCTCAGGAACACGATGTTGGGTGAAAAAAAAGCAAATTGCAGGAGAATGCATACATTATGAGCCCATTCATGGAAAGTTCATAAGTGATATGTTTTTAGGAATAGAAATATATGTGGTAAAAGTATAAAGAATAAGAGAACAATAAACAAAAATTCACAGTAGTGACTACCTCTGTTCAGGGCAAAAAAGTAATGCGATCAGGACAAGGTACATGGGCCTTTAAAGAAAATGCTAATGGTCTATTTCTTAAAACAGGAAGTAGGCACACATTCATTGTATTGCTATTCTTTACACTATATATGTTTACAAATATTGTTTGCAGTGTCGTCAATATTTAATAAAAATGACATTTAAGAACTAGTAAAGAAACAAATAACTGAAAATATTTTCTTCAGGACTTGCTGGAAGCAGAAAAGAGAATACAACAACCTACCCATCCATTAGGCTCTGACAATCTTTCCCTCCAAACATGCCAGAGTTGTCTACTTGTCTCTTGGTTCCTGTTTGCTCACTTACGTCAAAACCAACCATCACTCAGAGGTACCAGTTGTCCGGGCCTGGAGGAGGGTTTCATGATGCTCATCTGAAGCAGCAGCCAAGCTTTTCTCTCTATCTGTCATCCTATCCCTCATTAAAATTCAGGCCTCCTCCAGGTATGAATGACAAGCACATTACCCTGTTCACACGGGTGCACACATAACCAATTTCTGCAGTTTGATTGGGTTATTATTACATCCAAATATTACTGAAAGCCATTATTACCTGACTCTTGACTTTGATTTATTTTATAATATTTGTACACATTTCAGAATGATAATAGAGCACTACATTTAAAACAAATCTTCTCCCTCTCCTCCAGTCAGAACCTGAAATCTTAAAAAGCTCCTCGAAACACAGACACCTGTCTCTTCCTCTTACTACAACCATGTAGCAACAGCCCCTTAAACCAAAAGCAAAATTTAAAGTGAATGGTGTAGCTATTGTCATTACAGCACTTAAAAAGAAAAAAATAAATCTAGCTGCAGTGAAACATTACTCCTCACCCAGATAATTAAAGAAAACATTCATGTCTCCCTTCCTCTGCCCCAGCACCATCTGCCACCCAGTGGATGGGAAGGGAGAAGGTTTTGCTACAATTTCAGTATCCTGACAATTAAAAAAATTAATTTTTTCATATCAATCACTACAGGGAAATCAGGCTTGATTGGCAGTAACATTCCAATACAGCAAAAATTAGAAACTGGTTTTATTAGTCCATTTTCACACTGCTGATAAAGACATACCTAAGACTGCATAATTTATAAAGATAAAGAGGTTTAATGGACTCACAGTTCCATGTAGCTGGGGAGGCCTCACAATCATGGTGGAAGGCAAAAGGCATGTCTTACATGGTGGCAGACAAGAGAGAACGAGAGCCAAGCAAAAGGGGTTTCCCGTTATAAAATCATCAGCTCTTGTGAGACTTATTCACTACCATGAAACAGTATGGAGAAAACTGCTCCCATGATTCAGTTATCTCCCACCGGGTCCCTCCTACAACACATGGCAATAAAGGGAACTACAATTCAAGATGAGATTGGGGTGGAGACATAGCCAAACCATATCACTGGTTAAATAAAATAAATTATTCTAAATGACCTACCTGGAAGACTCCATCACTGGGTACCCTGAGGTATACTAAAGACCCACTTGGTAATTGCCTTAAAAATACAACCACTGGCCAGGCACCGTGGCTCACGCCTGTAATCCCAGCACTCTGGGAGGCTGAGGCGGGTGGATCACGAGGTCAGGAGATCGCGACCATCCTGGCTAACACAGTGAAACGCTGTCTCTACTAAAAAAAAAAAAAAAAATACAAAAAATTAGCCGGGCGTGGTGATGGGCCCCTGTAGTCCCAGCTACTCGGGAGGCTGAGGCAGGAGAATGGCATGAACCCAGGAGGTGGAACTTGCAGTGAGCCTAGATCACGCCACTGCACTCCAGCCTGGGTGACAGAGCCAGACTCCGTCTCAAAAAAAAAAAAAAAAAAAAAAAATACAACCACTTACCTCAGCATACTGTGCTACTGTACTGAACTGGCTTCAACTGCATAAACTGTCCTAGCTCCAGCCTGTACAGCAAAAAATGACAGGATTCCTGATCCACAACCAACATCTAGAACCACCTAAAAGGAAAGAAGACAAAAAAAAAAAAAAAAGTGTGAAAACACAAACAAGGGCTTGGCTTACTGGCACAAAGCCAGCTTTGGGTGTTGAGGTCAGACTTATTATAATAACACTAGCTTTGATGTTTCTAGTGGCGTTACCTTGGCAAGGTTATGAATCTTTGTGAGACTTGTTTTTCTCACATGTTAAATGGGGTTAATAACAAACACTCTTAGAATTGGATATAGAGATTAAATAATATGAAAGTATGCAAAGCACTTGGCACATAATTGGTGTTTCACAAATTATTGCTATTATTATAGTTTCTTTGTAACATGGATTGCTTTGAGGATGCTTAGGGCCAAGAGAAGTAGTGTCACAAATGGGCTTGCTCCACCAATTCTATCAGCATGAACAAATGAAAACTGTGGCAAATAACTTTTGGAATGATATACCTAGGTTTAGAAATCACTGAAGATAGTCTTGAAAAATTCAAAAATGAAGGGTGCGCTTTTATACCAGGCCCTCTCCATAAAGCTGGGGAGGTTTCTATGGAGGGTAGGAGCAGATGAAGGTAGTGAAGTGACGAAATTTGTCTTCCACTCTCTGTGTTCAGACCTGGATCTTAGATCAAGAAAACCACCATTTACTGGCATAAAAAGGCCAACACTTAACCCTGCATGCAAGGGGTGGATGGTATGTGGTCAACCCCCCTCCGCAAGCACTGCTGGAGCTAAGGCCTGAATCTCAGCCTGATCATTGAAATTTCAAGTTACTGTATTTCTGTCGCATTGATGCCTTTTAGTCTCAGCATCTTTTGGCACTAGCTTTGAACAAGACATTTTCCTTGGCTTTACCTCCTCACAATAACAATATGAATAGACAACATTATTATGCCGATGTAATAGGAAAAAAAATAAACCCTGAAAATCGGAGACATCGAACAATCACCTCAAGTTCAGCTGGCAATAAATAGGGAGGCTAAGAGTTGACTCTGAACATGTCTGCCTTCATGCTCATGTTTTGTATTATAATACATTGCTTGCTGACATTCATCTTCTATAAAACTGACATTTCAACACGGCAATACCAATTAGACAATGGTTGACAAGGAAACAAAGTAATATGTTCTGTTGGAAAATTTAGAAAAGTTAAAAAAATTATAGCAGGAAAAATTTGCCAAAAAACAAGAAATATTAAGGGGTGTGTGTGTGTGTGTGTGTGTGTGCGCATTTTAACTGCAATATCACACTGTGATGACACAGATACTGTGCCATTATTCTAAGATAACATGCTGTTAGTAATGGGTTCACAGTGCTCACTTATATTAATCTAGAGCTGTGGCTGTATTCCATACAGTTTCCTAGGGTTTGGGTAATTAGGAGCATTACCAATTTAAAATGTCATCCAGACTCCAAAATTGGCTATCAGGCTGTCTATACTTTTAGAAATTTTAGTATTCTCTTTTCCTCATCCTCCCCAGGAAATACATCATCTTCATGTGGCCATGGTCTGTTACAAGAACGCTCACAACTGCCATTTAAGAAATGGAGGCTGTTAAGTTGGAGAATGCAATCCATGGTCCCAAAGAAAAATGTACTACATTCAGAAGAAACTTTCTAGAACTTTCTTCAATTAAAAGTACAACACCCTAGATTTCAAGTTCAGCCCAAGGTATGGATGCAAAGTTAAGAGACAATGGAAATTGCACCTGGATGCTCTGGGAACAGGTGCCCTGGAATGTGTAAATGAAGTTCTTTATCTAATTTATTAAAATGGCACGAAGCACATCTTAGAGCAGTGTTTTCCAGTTCTCGTGATGCTGCAGACTAAAAACTAAAGGAACATCTTACCATTAGCAGAGAGATGGGGGAAAGGAAACAGGGAGAAAGAAAAAGAGACAGAGATGGGAGGGAGCCTTATGTGGTTAGGCTTTTGGAAAATTGGTCCATTTGGTAAAAAGATACTTCAACAGACCCAGGCCATATCTAGAGAAGTAGTGACAAATCATAAGTTGAGAAAATTTTCTAAAAATGCAAGCCAAAGTAACTTTAATCATTTGGCTATTTCAAAACAGAGTTAGGCCTTGAAAAAGAATCCAATCCTTTGCTAGCACTGTCCAGATAAGTCCATCTGCTGCCCACTTATGTGGATATTAAAAAATCTTGACAAGTAAATTTTCAGTCATGCAATGGGAAGAGACAGTGAGGAGGTAGAGGGACATTTCCCCTTCTCTACATAAGCCATGCAACTTTGGAAAACAAAGCCTTGGAGGACCAAGGATAAATTCTGTGTGAAAAAAAAAAAACTAATAGTCAAAGCAAATATTTAGGCTCTAATGGAAATACACCACCTCAGCCCTTTCCACCTGTGGTTTCCAAGACTGTGGAAGAAGAAAAGTCATTAACATTATTCCATTATGCTTTCTTACATAGCACCTTAGGAAGCATTGGAGCTGCATCTAATTGTATTTATTTGTTCTTATAGAGATAATATTGAGCTCATTTCTTATTCTACCATTGGTAGATCATCACAGAAGTGGATATATTTCAGGAACTTGGCAGACATTAAGTTATACTTTCATGCTCTGGGAAAAAATATCTCCCCTCAGTCAGAGGCAAAATAGAGTAACTAAATATCCTTGTATATGTAGAGCAGTTTACAGTTTCCAAAGGATGTTTGCCTGACATTATCTATCAGATCCTCATGCCTCTCGGGAATACAGAGTACATATAGTTTTGTGCCCATTTTATTGATAAGCTGAGGCTCAGAGATACTAAGTAGCCAGCCCAAGTAGGTAGCATTGGCAGAATTGGGATGAAAATCCAGTGTTTAGCTCTTTGCACCACTCTTGCTCTCTTTTTGTGCAGAAAAAAAAAAAAAAGAAATGAGTGGACTGTGAAGAGATGCATATCTGGCCATGTCACACTTCTAATAGTTCCACACATCTGGAGGAGAAGAAGGAGAAGGTCTCTCTGGTACGTTGTCCTTAGTCCTGAGCCATCCAGTAATGACTGACCTTTCTGGCCTCTTCTTTTGTACTTCTCTCCCTTCTTCCACACACACCCTGGGCCAGGAATCATGTCCCTTTACTTCATTCTGTGCTCCCTCATGAGCAATTCTCTGTGGCAGTGGGAGCCATTACCCCATACCAAATGTTCACGCTCTCTCAGAATGCAGCTGCCAGGAAGCAGCTGCCTACCCAAGACTACATCTCTCCACCCCTTTGCATCTACATGCGTGGCCAGTGGAATGTGAGGCAAAATGATGAGTGTCACTTCTGGACCAAGGTGGTTAAAGTTCCAGCATACATTCCCTGCACTGAAGATGAAAACAGCCTGAATCTCTGGATCACCACTTTGGGAAGAGCCACTCAGAACACACTGGACATGTCATGAGCAAGAAATAAATTTTATTATGATAAACAGCTGAGATTTGGGGATCATTTTAGTAGTAGTTGGCATCCATTGATCAATACATTTCCCCTAGATAACATTCCCTCCTCTCATTTTTCTACCTGGGAAACACCCTTCAAGACCTAGCTCAAATCTCATATCTCAGGGATGCCTGATTCCCCAGTCAGGGTAGGCTGGGCCCTCTGGCACCTTTGCATGTCACTCTCTAACAGCACTTATCACAGGATATGACAAGTAGTTCTTTACATGGTTGTCTTTCCTGCTTAGCCTGTGAGCTTACCAAAGACAGGAATCACATCACCTCTCAGAACCTAGTGAGCACAGTAGGAAATATAAAAACCATTAATAAATACTTGTTGCCTAAATGGCTGAATGGGATGGCCCAAGATAGCAGTCTTTTAATTCCAACATCACTTTGAAATATCTTTGGAAAAGGCCTATGACTTTTGTCTAACATTTGGACTCCGGGAATGCTCTTGCATCACAAGGCAGCACCCAAAGAGGTTGAGCTCAGGATGCCCTTGCCTTATTCAAGATTCACAGCCTATGATGTTTCACTCAACCTTCCATGTCTTCTGCATTCGGGCCTCTTTCTTATTTCTTGGCCTCCAAATCACCCCATGCATCTGACACTTTTCACTCTTGATCTTCATGATCTCTACTCTTCTTCCTTGACTATCATTGGAACACGATCACCCTTCTGACGAGCTGAGGTAGCCTTCTGCCAGGTCTTCCTGCCTGAACACAGGCCTTCTTAGAAGACTTTAGGCTCATTCCTGCCACAGGCCTTAGTACATACTGTTCCTTTTGCTTGCTATGCTCTCCATTACGCACCATCTGCTTTCAGTCTGCGGTCATTTTCTTTCACCTACTCAGTGACTATTGTGCTGGATATTTTCTATTTGCTTCTCCAGATCTATCCTCCACTCTTCTCATCCTGGTCTTTGGCAGGAGCCTGATCTATATAGACTGTTACAATGGGCTTCCTTGCCACTGGATTCTAGTTGGGATACGTCAAGAGAAATGACAATAGGAGATCAGAGGGGGTGAGGACAGTGAGGTCAGATTATTTATTCTTTTGGCTCCCTTTCTTCTGTGTCTCCATGGATTGTGACTTTACTGAAGTCACAGTTCCTGTTGGACTCCCATGTCTTACAGCTCTGATATTATGTCACATTTCCAGTAAATACCTTTAGGTCCAGATAGAATAACAGGTCCACATTCTTGCTGGTAACAGAGTGCTTCACTACCCCTTCTTTATTCTCCTAACTCTGCCTACATCTTTGTAAATAGTCATGTTATTTTTAACTCTCATAAAACACCCTGTGTGATGGTTAATACTGAGTGTGAACTTGCTTGAAGAATACAAAGTATTCATCCTGGGTGTGTTTGTGTGGGTGTTGCCAAAAGATATTAACATTTGAGTCAGTGGTCTGGTGAAGGTGGATTCACCCCTAATCTGGTAGGCACAATCTAATCAGCTTCCAGCAAATATAAAGTAGCCAGAAAAACTTGAAAAGGAGAGACTGGCCTAGCCCCCCAGCCTACGTCTTTCTCCTGTGCTGGATGCTTCCTGCCCTTGGACATCAGACTCCAAGTTCTTCAGTTTTGGGACTCAGACTGGCTCTCCTTGCCCCTCAGCTTGCAGAGAGCCTGTTGTGGGACCTTGTGATCATGTAAGTTAATACTTAATAAACTCCCTTTTAGATAGATAGATACATAGATAGATAGATGCATAGATACATAGGTAGATTATATAGATATAGATATGGATATATTTCCAATTAGCTCTCTCCCTCTCAGAGGACCCTAATACACCCTGTCATGTGTGCTGTCTCTCTCCTGCAGGGACCCTGGCTGTTAAACCAACTCATCCTTAATGTCACAAACACCTCCATCTTTTAATCATCAGTGTAGGGAAAGTATGCTGGACCATTAACCACCTTGGCCCAGAAGTGACACTCATCACTTCCTCTTTTTTTTTTTTTTTTTTTTTTTTGAGACGGAGTCTCGCTCTGTCGCCCAGGCTGGAGTGCAGTGGCGGGATCTCGGCTCACTGCAAGCTCCGCCTCCCGGGTTCACGCCATTCTCCTGCCTCAGCCTCCCAAGTAGCTGGGACTACAGGCGCCCGCCACTACGCCCGGCTAATTTTTTGTATTTTTAGTAGAGACGGGGTTTCACCGTTTTAGCCGGGATGGTCTCGATCTCCTGACCTCGTGATCCGCCCGCCTCGGCCTCCCAAATCACTTCCTCTTACATTCCATTGGCCACGCATGTAGGTGCAAGGAGGTGGGGAGATGTTGTCTTGGCTAAGTCACAAACATCTCCCCTGGTCTTTGCTGTCCTACCATGCTAGGTCCTCCTGTTGTATACTTTCTTATCAGCATCTCTTCATACTCTTTCTTCATAAATTCACCAGAATTATAATTTTTCATGTAATGAGTGATTATTTGATTAATATCTGCTCTCTCTCCTGGATAGTAATCTTCATTAAAGGAGAGACCCCATCTGTTTCTCACTATTGAATCTGAATGTAGTACAGGATCTTGTGCACAGTAGAGACACTCACTAAATCTTTATTGAACAAACTGAGGTATGAAAATATCCCTCACTACCACAAATAGAGGACAGATTCATGATCCAGAAAATATGGTAAAAATCTGTTACCTTGCTGAGAAGCCACCTTATACCAGCATAAGTCCTCTCCAACCTAGTTAAATTAAGAATCTTTCAAAGGATGACTTTCTTTTGACCTTGCCATATTCTCCCTATATTACCATCCAGTTACGTCTTGTGGACAATTACCTTCTAGAGAGGGAATTCATCCTCAGCTCCCTGTTGGATACACAGGCAGTGATGGTAGATATGGCTCTTTTTTGGCTTATACATAGTGGCACCCGAAAATAGTATGAAATCCCTGGCAGGACTAACTGGGAAAAGTCAACAACTGGTCCATGTAATCGTGGCCAAATGTCCTGGGAATTTATTGGTAAGAAAAGTTTTAAAAATATTAGAGAGAAAGAGTTATCGTTTTGCTTTCCGGATTATTTTAATTACATGTTCTTGTGGCTTCCTGGGCAAAGAAATCCTGCAAAGTACTTGGACAGGGCTTACATAGCTCCAAGTAGATTCAAAACTATTCATTTGGATTTAGTAGGTTAAAATTAACAAGGAATATATAGATCCTTATGAAAGCATGAAACAAAATTACCCTTGAATAAAAGAGCAAAAATAAATACAGTCATCTGTTGGTATACATGGGGAATTTGTTCCAGGAATCCCCTTGGATACCCAAATCCTTGGATGCTCAAGTCCCTTATATAAAATAGTGTGGTATTTGCATATGACATATGCACATCCTCCTGAATACCTTGAGTCTCTAGATTACTTATAAAGGGATACCTAGTGCAATGTAAGTGCTATGTAAATAGTTGTTGTACTATATTGTTTAGGGAATAATGACAAGAAAAAAGTGTCCATACATGTTCAGTACAGACACAACCACCCATCTTTTTTCCAAGTATTTTTGTTCCACAGTTGGCTGTATCCATGACGTAGAACCCACAGAAACAGAGCACACGAATATGGAGGACCTATTGTATCTACCACTTCTTGTATACTTATTATATGCTATGCCTGTTTAGTACTGTGTAGGCATTACCTTTTAAACTTGTGATAACAATTATTATTTTCTCCATTTTGTAGATAAGGAGGCTGAGAATCAGAGATGAGATTTTTTAAATTATCTAAGTTGAGTCCTAAACTATTAGCCACTCTCTCAACTTCAATTCTTTTTTTATTTTATTTTATTATTATTATACTTTAAGTTTTAGGGTACATGTGCACAATGCGCAGGTTTGTTACATGTATATACATGTGCCATGTTGGTGTACTGCACCCATTAACTCGTCATTTAGCATTAGGTATATCTCCTAATGCTATCCCTCCCCCCTCCCCCCACCCCACAACAGTCCCCAGAGTGTGATGTCCCCCTTCCTGTGTCCATGTGTTCTCGTTGTTCAATTCCCACCTATGAGTGAGAACATGCAGTGTTTGGTTTTTTGTCCTTGCGATAGTTTGCTGAGAATGATGATTTCCAGTTTCATCCATGTCCCTACAAAGGACATGAACCCATCATTTTTTATGGCTGCATAGTATTCCATGGTGTATAGGTGCCACATTTTCTTAATCCAGTCTATCGTTGTCTCAACTTCAATTCTAAATTATTATTTGTTCTATTCAGACTAGAGTAATACTGGCCACATTTAGTCTTATTTTTCACTCCAGCTTTTTATAATTGTCTTCAAATATGAAGGTTTTGATTATCCCACAATTGGTTCCTCAAGTGACATCAGTTATCATTTACTAATTCTTCTTTATTTTTTGAGCACATCAGTGGCTGCTCTGAATTGCTATACCTGTTATTGTTGTATGCCTTATATTCCTACGTTCTGTGTCCTACTTCCACAGCCATCACTCCTTCCTGCCCTCATTTTATTCCATCTTTAGTCAGCTCACTAGACAGCCCAAAACCACATGTGGCTCAGGCTCGTGCCCAGTATCATGTGCTTCATCATCACTGTTGGCTGCCACAGGTTGCCAACCCCCATAGACTGCATCCAGTATCCAGATCTTCCAATATCCGAACTATGGACTGACAGGTTAACTGAGCAACTTCTGGGCAGTAACAGAAAGAGGAGGCTGCACAGACTTTTGCAGTGCATCGCATCTCCTACTCCAGCTTTTATCAGAGAAGAAAATGTCCAAAGCATCTCAAGGACTACAGAAGACATCCTCTTATGGCCTTTGCAGCTTGGACTTAAATCTTGTTCAGATACTTAGCACTTTCATTATGGCAGGAAAATTCTGCAGTGATAGCTCCTCCTAAGACAGAACTCTACATCTGCTGTGCAGTGAAACTTGCTTGCACCCAGAGGGTTGCCTGTATTTAAATAATGCAGAATTAATGCTTATGAGCACATTTTGCTTGGTCTTCTGGCAGAGGACAGAAAAACTTATTACCAACCTTTTAACCACCCTTCTACCAGTTCTGTAACTATTTTCCTCTCTAATTAGGGAATATTCAAAACATGTGATCATGCTTAGCTTATCTCCTCACAATTAACCCTGCTTTAGACCTGGGCATGATCACTCAGCTCTAGATCCTTAAACACTCCTTCATTCATTGACCAATGTGCCAAGCACTGCCAGGTGCTGAGAATGCAAAGATGAATAGAGCAGGACTGTCTGGGAGGAGGAATAGGCATTAATAAAGAAGTACAATCATGTGCTACAGTGGCAATAACAGAATTATATAAGGGCACAGTGTGAGCAGAAGGACAAAGAGGCTACTTTACCGCAGGGTCTGGAAAGATTTCATTGAGGTGACCTGGGTACTGGAAATTGAAAAGTGAGTCAATATTGTGCCATTTAAATGATGGGAAATGCAGGAGCTCCAGGAAGTGTGGACAAAGGCATCTAAGAATGATAGAGCCAGTTGCATAAGGAAGGCAGTAAATTGCATCAGGAGCATGATGTGAGTATTAGAGGTAGAAGTGGGGCATGGTTAAGACATGAACATGGCAAGAGCAAAATCTGGAGAAACTGGCAGATGCTTGATCATAAATAGTCTTTTGTGCAAGACTTGGCTTGATTCTTCAGCAAAGAAGAATCATCAGGAAGTTTTAAATAGAAGTATTATTTCATAGGATTATGTCATAGTTGCATTTCAGCAACATCATACTAATGGCATGGATTGGAGGGCCACAACATCAAAGGTAACAGAACCTAGTAATTCCTAACCAGCATCAGTCCCCTCTCCCTTCCTCCTTCCAATCAGAACTTCAGTTTTATTATTTACCCTCCTGTATGTGGTTAACCATCTGCAGATCCAGGGAGGGGATCTTGATTGGTTTAGGGCAATCATAAGTGGTTCTATTCCTCTTGCCAGTGATGGGTTTAGGCTTGGGGATGTGATATGACTTTCTTTATGAGTCTACTGAGAAAGACTTCTTGGGAAAGATTTCCTCCCTCTTAAAGAGACAGAAAAGATGCCTCCTATTTCCTGAATGTGGTTAAATTCGGATGTGATGCTCAAAGCTCAAAGTAATTGGTTAAAACAGTCAAAGGTAATGTGACTTCATGGATTAAAACACCATGAAGTCGCATTACCTTTGACTGTTTTAGCCAATTTGAGTCAGGATTTTTCCTATTTCGAGTCAAAGATATCTTAACTGGTACAAGCAGGAAAAGTAGTTGCAAAACTTTTGCAATACTCCAGGAAAGACACAATAAGAATGAGAACTAGGGACTTGCTGTGGGACAGGAGAAGTGGAAAGGTTGCAGAAATGCTGAGACCATTGAATCTAAGGGATTTAGATTTGAAAGGAGACTAAAAGTATAGATTGACTCCTAGGTTCCTGGTTTGAGTGGCTGGTTATAATGCCTTCTGGTTTTGCCTCATGCCAGAAGAGAACGCTTGCCTTGCTATGTAGCAGAGGGGTCCTAGAAATTGCTTGCACTGATCTTTGAATCCTGGAGCTGGGTTTTATTGCTGATGCTGCTGCTGCTGCTGCTGTTGCTGCTATATTCACTACTGCCTGAGGAACTTGTTGCAATGGTTTCTTCTAGGTCCTCATATCGTTCATTAGCACAAAAAACAGTGCACAATTTGTTTGTGCCATGTGCTTCCTATAGTGGAATTCCCTTGTTTCTGTCAAGGCAGAGAAAGCACTGCAGCACCTACTTGATGCTCATGCATGTGTACCCTTGAAGTGTAAGGGAGTTAATACCCAGTGAGGGAATACTTTGACCAATGGGAGATGGCAGCTAATGAATAAATCATTTTCCCTTTCTCCCCTTGGAAGAACTATTTGAGGATGAAGTAGCTTCATGTTGCCCCTTTGAAGATGTCCTATGACACCAAGCAATCAGTTTTTCATAAAGCTGTGGCCTGCTCAGTAATGTACTGCCTTCCACTTGCTCTCCCTCCTTCTCTGCCTCACTCTCCTTTCTCCTACTCCTGTTTTCCTGAGATTAATACTCCCTGATAAAGTGCCAGCCCAGAAGTCTTTGCCTCGTGCTCTGCAATTTAGGGAATCTAGGCTAAGAAATTGGCGGTAGTTACAGGAAAATCAACACGTTTATTGACGTTTCCCTGTGATTCTGTCTTTTTCTGGGTTTCTGGAACTTCTCAATTCCAAAGCTAAGCCACCACTCTGAAGTTAAAGTGGACATGCCAATACTACAGACTCAGGAAATTAAGTGAAAAGAGGATTTAGGCAGAAGCTGTAAATTCATCAGAATTTTTCTGGTTCAGTGCCAAAAAAAGACCAGGGTCTAGCACACTCAGCCCTCAGCATCTGTGAGTTCTGCATCCAAGGATTCAACCAATACATCAAAAATATTAAAAACAAAACACCCCATAAAAATAACCATACAACAATTAAAATAATACAAATAAAAATACAGTAAAAATTATTCATATAGCATTTACACTGTATTAGATATTAATCTAGAGATGATTTAAAGCATACAGGAGGATGTGCATAGATTGTATGCAAATATCATGCCATTTTATACAAGAAACTTGAGCACCCACAAATTTTAATTTGGGGGGTATGTGTGTATCCTAGAACCAACCTCCCATGGATACCAAGGGATGAAAATACAATATTTTAAAGAGCTTATTAGTTGGTTGCTTCATCCAACTGAACTGCTTTTTAATGATTTTATCCTCTTTATTTTCTTACATTCTTAGCCTGCAAGCAGACATTAAAACAAAGTCATCTATATTAGATATTACTATGTCATACAGAGCCTTCTATATAAGCCTTTAGAAAGTCAGTAGTTGCCCCAAATTGGCACTTCATGGCACTGTCTTAGAGGAAGAGTGAAAGTGTTGGAAATTCAACTCTAGGAACTTTCTAAAATGCTTTGTGTTCAGTGGCTAGGCAATCCACCAGGCAGAAGTTAATTTCAATGAAATCCTATAAGTGAAGTATTAATCCATCAAGTCCCTCTTTTTTCTAACCCCCTCCCACGCACAGCTGGTGCACTGAGAATATCACCTTATCAACCTGTCCCTACCTTAATGAGTTTGCAAAGGTAATATATAGTGCCATTTACCAAATATTTCTGTTTCTTCTTATGGGTAGATGTAGATTTGCATTTCCCTGCTTTGTTGAAATTAGGAGTGACCATATGACTTGCTTTGGCCAACGTAATGTAGTTATAAGTAACACTGGCCATTTTCAGGTGGAAGATTTAAGAACTAGCTGTGTGATTTGCTAGGTCCTCCTTTCCTCTACAACAGGAACTAGTAGCGCTTTTCATGGAGGCTGTTCCATCAGCCTGGGTCCTGGAGTGAGAATGATACAGATTAGAGAAATAAAGCTCTGTTGGATTAAGCTGCTGACATTTAGGAGTTGATTGTTACAGCAGCATAGCCCTGACTCACAAGCCTGGATAAGCTGTATCTTTGAGGGTCCGATGATTTCATGATTTCTGATTCTGATTCCCCAGTTGTGTGGCAGCATTCCAGAGCTGTGCTGAGACTCTCCAAGAAGTTGCTTACTAAATTTTTCCAGCCACCATGTGGTTAAGTGTTTTTACCGCAATTTAAAATTAACCTCAAAAAGATCAAGGTCACATGTCGCCATCTTGAAAGGACCAGAGATGTGCTTTGAGTGCACATATCTTGGTTAGAAAGCCACCTATTGCATTGTACCCTAAAGCCCTCAGCTTCCTTTTTCACAATTACCCTAAAAATCAGTCTGTGACCAATGCTTATTCACAGTCTTCTTGGCTCTCCTGGAGAGCTGCACTTTGCTTTCATACCAAATGAAAGCATTTCCTTTTGCTGACTCTGGCATCTTTCTCTAGTAACCTTTCAGGAAGCAAATCTACTCAAGCTCAGGATGCTGGCACAGATATACTCCTGCTTCACTCACAGGCAGAAGATCTGTTCAGAGGGTCCCCTTTGGGCTTAAGGGACCAAAGAGATCAGTTAAACCTAGACTCATTTTCTATCACTTTCTCTTTACCTTTATTACAGAGAATTAGTCTCAGAAATGAGTTATTGTGATATCTAACTTAATGAAACTAGTCTCTATACTGCACTGAATAGTGTCTACCTCCCCAAAATTCATGTCTATCCAGAACCTGTGAATGTGACCTTATGTGGAAATAGGGTCTTTACAGATGTAATCAAGTTAAGATAAGGTTGTAATGAATTAGGGTGGGCCCTAAATCCCATATGGCTGGTGTCACTATGAGAGGAGAGAAATTTACACAGAAACACGTACTGGGAGAATGCCATGTAACCACAGAGGCAGCACTTGGAATGATGCATCTATAAGCCAAGGAGCACCAAAGACTGCCAGCAACCAGCAGAAGCCAGGAAGAGGTAAGGAAGGATCCTCTCCTAAAGCCTTAAGAGGGAGCATGGCCCTGCAGACATCTTGATTTCAGACTTCTAGCCTCCAGAACAATGAGAGAACAAATTTCAGTTGCGCTTAGCTACTGACTTTGTGGTAATTTGTTATGGTAGCCCTGGAAAACTGAATCAGACTTAAAATCCCAAGCTATAGAAAAAAATTATATATATATATATATATGTAAGCAGATACTGTTTTTTACCATCACAGCCTGCTCCCCTCACATTCCAAAAATCACATAGCGAAATGTCAGTTTATCAACCTAGAACACAAAACAAATGACTTTCTGTCACCCCTAAAATCACCCTGCAGTACAGGCTTTGCATACAGACAGAACTGAGTTTGTATGTAGCTCTGCCACATAGCAGTTGTTTATGCTAAAGCAAGTTAGTTAACTTTCTGTAGCTCCAATCTCTTTGTCTATACTATTAGCCTAACAATATGTATTGCATTTGTTTGTTGTACAGCGCAGTGGGCATTTGCCATTCTTTGGTGCCTCTCAGCATCAGAACTCCCTTCCTATGTTTGGGGAATGCCCCACATTCTAAGGCAGCACCAGCCTCTTGCTAGGGAAGCGAAGGTGTCAGCTAAAGCACAAGCATGACCCAGGCTCTGCCAGGAAGACGTGCTTTGCATGGGAGCTCAGACGGTGAAGATGTAGGGACTACATGGAGTCCACTATGGTGAGGTCACAGTAACCTCCAGACCCTAGAGCATCAGAGGGAAAGTTCTTAGGACAACACTCAAGATTGGTATTTAGTGAAAGCTGTGCACGTTGCAGTGTCTATGTCTGGCTGCATTGCTGTCTTCCTGAGATCAATTCTGCAACACGATTTTGAAAATTATTCCAGATACTTAGCTTCTAAGACTCATTTTCTGATGTTCCTGTAACATTTAAAGAAATCCTCTCACCCCACCTTAAATTAATAGAATTAGTTTCTGATGCTGGCAACTAAGAACCTTGACTAACACACAAAGATGAAATTAGATAGGATATGTGAAGCCCCTAGCAGGAATCATAAGTAATTTCCTTTTCTTTCTACTCCTACCCACAGGCTCTGAACAAGGATTCTGCCACCACAGGGTTAACATCTATGCTGGTCAAGAAGTAGAGGGTCAGTAGAAATGGAGGGAAGCAAGCACTTACAGACAGCCCTATGCGGCAGATCTAGGCTATAGCCTTTATTCCAGTCAGTGATGAAGGTCAGGCCTCATTAGTGTGTGCGGTGTGTTAAAGTGAGGGATCATTTCAGAACAGGATTAGAAATGGACTCAAAGGCCTTTGACCAAACTGATGATAAGCCCACACCAAAGAAAACTCACATCAGAAGAACCAAAGCTCAGGCTCTGCAAATCTGAATATCAGCTGACAGTCTGAACAGGTTGCTTTCCATGTTTGTTGTTATTTATGTTTTCTTTTAAGCTTTCAAATCCCTAAATCCCTTCTGCCTAAGCCAAACTCACATTTGGAGGCACTAAGCAGCTGTTGCAACTGGGGATTCTCTCCTCTGTGAAAACACTGATTTTAAAAAATAATAAGCTCTCAGCTCCTGCTCACTCTCACAAGTTTCCAGCAACTGGTGCCCTGACAAATGAAGTGTCAAAACATTTTCAAATTAAAACCCCACAGCTCACACAGCCCCAAACCCTCAGCAGGATGGACTTTCCCTGCTTGTGCCCAGTGCACACTTAAAGAAACTAAAAATAGCCAGATGGCAATTAACAGAAACTCCAAGAAGGGGAGATGGGTTGGATTCTAGTGGGGTCAGTTTCCTGGAAGGATTCCAAATGGAGTTCTCAGCCAGCAGTGTGCTCTGGCCAAGAAATGATTTTCATTAAAACTACATGGAGGAGGCAGAATGAAAAATCAAGATTTGGAAGCTTTAAAGTTATAGCAGAGGTGGAAACCCGTGACCATCAATAATAATAATCCTTGCTAATACAGAGTTCATAGACACTATATCATCTTGAACTTGTAAGAGCTCTAGAAAGTAGCTACTACTCTTATCATTTTCCTACTTTTATAGACAAAGAAGCCAAAGCCCAGAAACTGTAGACAACCTGCCCAAGATCTCAAGACAAACAGGACAAAGGTCTATGGCAGGTATATGGTAAGTGGTCAAGCAGGAGTTTCCACTCAGCTCTCCGGCTCCAGAACTCATGAATGTAACCATTGTGCAAGGCAACCTCATGTATTCATGGGAATGTTTAAGTAACCAAAATGTTTTTATCCCATCCTTAGGCCTGGAGCAACAAAAATCTCCCTTAGCAATTTTAGCCAACCTTCCCATGGGCAATGCCTTTCAGGGATTATGTGTACAGGCTCCAAAGTTAGACTAAGTGGGTCTTATTCTGGCCTTTTTATTTCTAGTTGTATAAAATCAGGTAAACTATCAACCTTCCTGGGCCCTTATTCTCTCATCTGTAAAAGGGCAATAATATTAGTATTTATCTCATAAAGTTGTGATGAAGATTAAAAGAAACGGTGTGTGGAAAGCCCTTAGCATGGTGCTTGCCCATACTAAGCTCCTCAATAAATAATAACTATTGTTATTGATCATTCTAAACCCCTGTGCTTTTAGGCAGTCAATTTCAATGCCCTTTTAAATAGTCAATTTCAATGAGGAAGAACACAAGGATTTAGTGAAAAAGGAGCATCCTCCACAGACCCCCAGGCGTTATTCCAGAATGCTCTTCAGTATGATGTAAGCAAACAAAAAAAGGACTAAAAAAGATTTTGCATTTGCGATGGATTTGGTGGATTTGGAGTGAGGGGTCCCAACCATCCTGGTTTGTTCAGAACCAGAGGATTCCCGGGACACTAAAGTGGGTCAGTTTTCTCATTCATTTTCAGAATGGAGGAAATATTTACTCCCAGGAGAGGGCAGTAATGGAATTAAGAGTGGTCATTTACCCTCCCTCTTTTTTCCCCTTAGCAGGAATGATTCACCTTGATGGTGACATTGGGAAATAGGATGGAGCAAGCATAGTGCATGCGCTTGGGAGGGGTCGGCCTGCCCACTCCAAACCAAGTGTGTGCCCTTGAGTCCCCCATGTGAGAACCTTATGGGGCAGGCTCTGGACTTGTTTGGGAGACCAGTAGTTCAGCATGTAAGTGAGTGGAAAAGTTCGGTTTCGGAGCAGAAGATTTAGGAAACTGCATTTGGCAATAGGTCTGAACCCTGTTCTCCAAACAGCAACAATAACATTGATATTGTGATTTCTTCATGACATCTGTGTCTATTTCTAAATTGGTTCAGAACTCAAAGAAGGAAAGGGATATAATTAATTATCAACCATGTGATTAATTATCACCTTCATAACCCCTAACAGATGGATGCCTATTTCATTTCATTGGCAGATGAAACTATTTCAGGCAGGCAGGGAAAGGGTATTTTGTAAAATCAAAGGAAGTTAGAGCTGGGAGTGACCTTAAAGATAATCTAGCCCAATATCTTCATTGTTATAGATGAAAAGATACAAAAATGAAATGGCCAAGTGATACGATCCATGTGAAAAGTCTGTGAAAGACTTTTATAATGTAAGTTATCAGTGTCATTAGTAGTTTAGGGAGTGGTCTTTAAAATTGTAACCAGAATTTAAAATAGATCATAGATAACATAGAAAATAGATTGTAGATTAAAACTAAGTCCCTATACAGAAAGAGAATATTCCCTAAATAAAACTAATACCTCCAGGAAACATGCTCAAACCGTGAAGAAGAAATCAGCAATTCAGAGCTAAATTTTATTTTAATCGGAAAAAACCTACCTTAGGTTGACAAGATTGCTTACTTACAACCTTAAAGGCCAGATAAGCTCAAAAATGAACTAGTTTTTCTCCTTTGTCTTCATCCTGCCCATCTATCCTAGCAGATCCTCTTCACTGGGAATGTTTACTTCGTAACTGTTAACAGGCTTGTCCCACTGGCAAAGTAAGGTTGTTTGCTGGGCACCTCAAGACATATGATATATAAGACTCTTTGGCTAAACCCCGCCATTTCTGGTCTCACCTTTGCCTTTTACCCATTACTCTCACCCATCAGAGCACACAGAGGTGGCTTTTAGATAGAGTCCAGTCCTAGGTGGGTTGGACAAGGCCCACTTCACCCTCTCTTTCTCTCTTTCTCTCTTTCTCTCTCTCTCTCTCTCTCTCTCTCTCTCTCTCTCTCTCTCGCACTGAATTGAATACAGCTGTAACACCTGGACAGAATGCCTAGAGCAACTACTTGAGGACTCCGAAGAGTTAAGAACGTCAGGCAGATTAGGAAATGCATTAGTCCGTTCTCACGCTGCTACTAAAGACCTACCTGAGACTGGGTAATTTACAAAGGAAAGAGGTTTAATTGACTCACAATTCCACATGGCTGGGGAGGCCTCAGGAAACTTGTAATCATGGCAGAAGGGGAAGCAAACACATCCTTCTTCACATGATGACAGGAAGGAGAAGTGCCGAGCAAAAGGGGAAAAGCCTCTTATAAAACCATCACAGCTCATGAAAATTCATTCACTATCCCAAGAACAGCATGAGGGTAGCCACCTCATGATTAAATTACCTCCACTGGGTCCCTCCCAGGACATGTGGGGATTATGGGAACTACAATTCAAGATGAGATTTGGGTAGGGACACAGCCAAACCATATCAGGAAATAAGACTGGGATTTGAAATATTACCCAACCAACAGTGAGTTAACTCCTTTCTTCCCCCAGTAAACCCTGGCCTAAAGTCAACACACCAGAAATGAGCACCAGGGTACAAAGAGAGCTCCTGAGACACCCTGTAGTTCTGGCTTTAGCAGCAGAAAAGTAAATTTCTAATAGTCAGGGTGTGAAAATTCTCTGTGTTGCTCTCTTCTCCCCCTCCTCTCTTCCCTCTATTTCCCTTCCCTTTCCTTCCTTCTTCCACACTCCCGTCCCCAAGAATCTTGTGGTATTGGCAACATCAGCCTGCATTAACCAAAACTATAAGGGAAGGAAACCTTTCTCCCCATTCAGTGGAGCTGTCATTCCCAAGCCTGGGCTGACCCCCAGTGCTTTTTTTTCTCTCTTGGTCTCTCTCTGCTTGGCCAATATGCAGGCAAAGTCGTGGAAGTACATGGCAGAGTAAACTTGTTGGCAAGAGACTGAAAAGTGGTCACAGGGAACCAAAAAGTATCACAGAGAGGAAGGAGCTTGGCAAAGCAGCTCCATACAGTTTCTTTTATAAGTTCCTGGGGTCATCCTCAGCCGGTGCATGCATGGATCTGGTACTAATTAGCATACCAAAACTTTGAGAACTCTGCCCAGGTGCCAGGCTGACCACTGGGTGACATACACAGAGGACAGATCCAAATAGCACCGCCAAGGCTTTGAAAAATGAACTGACATAGGAAACATAGCCCTCAGAAGACCAACTATGGGGAAGGAACTTGCAGCCCGAACCCAATCAAGAAGAAATGGGAAAACCTCAATTCCTATGGGAAAAGATAATCAGCTGAAACTAACACTGCCATGACATAGAGGTCAGAACAATCTGACAAAGACTTTTAAAGCAGCTATTATTTAAAAAGTTCCAACCGGCAATCATGAATACCACTAAAACCAATGGAAAATAGAAAGTGTCAGCCAAGAAACAGATGATATAACAAAGTGCCCAATGGAAATTTTGGCACTGAAAAATATGATAACCAAAATAAAAACTTCACTGATGGGCTCAATAGCAGAATGGACATGACAAAGAATAGAAAGCCATGTGCAAACCAGCTTCTGGCTGGGGGCCTATTTATCACTACCTTTCATGCATCTTTCCCTCTGTTTTCATTAAATATTGTTGTATAATAATACTGTACAGTTGTATATACTTGTATGCGGTTGTATAATTGTATTGTATACAACTATAACTACTGTTATGCAACAATAGTTAGTGAAAACAGAGGGAAAGATGCAAGAATATTTAGTGACTTAAACCAGGAACAATTTATGAATTCTCTCAATTCTGTGGGAGGGCTGGGCAGTTTCTCTCCTGGTCTTGCTTGGATTTGTTCATTCCTCTGCATCCGGCAGGAGGGTGGGTTGGACTGGAAGACCCAAGATGGCCTCGCTCACAGGTCTGGCAGTTGTTGGTGATGGCTGTTGGCTGAGGTGCTTCAGTTCTCCCTGTGACCTCTGAACTCTAGCAGGCTAGACTCCTTCACAGTATGGTAATCACTGGGTTCCAAGAAATGGAGAGCAAAAGCTATAAGGCTCATTAGGGCCTAGGCTCTGGAACTCACACAACATCACCACTGTCATATTCTATTGGTCAAAGCAAGTCACAAAGCCAGCACAGAGATAAGGGCCAAAAAATTAGAATGCTCTTGATGAGAGAAGCAGCTACATGACTATGTATGTGTGGATACAGGGAGGCATGATTATTGGAATAATTATTTCAATATTCTACAACAACCTCCCTGGGAAGTAATGCTGCAAAGCTAAAGGACCATGGATCTACAATTGTTATGTCAGTAGACTAGACTGTGAGGCTGAGAGAACTTCAGCATTTTGCCTAAGATCACACAGCTAGTTAAGGAGAAAATATGAAACTAGATCCCATACTGCCGAGTCTTTGGACTAGTACTGTTGCCTGAGAGATAAGCTGTTGAGTGTTCTGAACAGTTTGTCTCTTTAACAGGTAGAATAACCCTGGACAACAGGTGTATAATGTGCTGGCAACCATTCATCATTCATATCCATTTCATTAAGGAAATAAACGCATGTACTTGTGGAGTCTATGAAAAAATTGAAATAGAGTGTCTCATGAAGAGCTATTTATTATGTAGCAATAAAGCTCCTAAACTGTTCGATGCACCAAAACAGTGCATTCAGTCTCTCGAGTTCCTGGCACTCAAAGGTTAATAATTTTAGTGAGATGAATTCACATAACATCCAATTAACCATTAACTATTTTAAAGTATACAGTATGGCGTCATTTCAGACGTTCATTACATTGGGCGACCATTACCTTTATCTGGTTATAAGATATTTTTATCACCCCAAAAGGAAGCTCCGTCCCCGTTAAGCAGTCACTTCCTACTTCCCTTCCTCCCTCAACCCTGGCAGCCACACCACTAGTGCACTTTCCATCTCTATAAATTTATCTACTCTGATGCTTCGCATAAATGGAATCACATGACCTTTTGTGACTGACTTCTTTCACTTAGCATTTTTTTGGGGGTTCACCCATGGTGATGCATGTATCAGCACTGCATCCCTTCTTATGAATAATACAAATGTGAATAATAGTCATAATACTCCATGTGTAAATATACCACATTTTGCTTATATATTCTTCAGTTGATGGGCATTTGGATTGTTTCCACTTTCTGGCTATTTTGAATAGCGCTGTTATGAACATTTGTGCACAAGTATTTGTTTGAATGCCTGTTTCAATTCTTTTGGGTGTATAGCTAGGAGGGGAATTGCTGGGTCATATGGTAATTCTACTAAAGCTTCATTTTGATTCTGGTCTTGAAAACGTTTCTGAAATGCATGAGATTCATAACCTGCTGCCGGCATTACCTTGTCTCTAAAGTCAATGTGATTCTGGAGGACGGCTCTGTGGTAAGTGGCTGTCCTCACAAAATCTTGCATCATGTTCTGCTGTTGAGAAATGCAGCCATAAAACTATAAGGGAAAGAGAAAAGAGGGGGAGTAAACAACCCACAAAGTCAGCACGATCATGAGCATCTGGTTCTGACAGGCACTTTGGTCAGGGAAGGCATGATCTTTCACAAACAGAGAAGCTGAGGCTCTGAGAGACATAGTGACCTGGCCACGTTGGCCCTATATGTAAAGCATAGAATTCTAAGTAGATCCCAGACTTCTGACTACATAGATTCAATAGATTTGGACCTAGGTATTGATGAGATAAGTACTCAAGGTCCCTTCCTAAATCAGAGGTTGTGAGAGAGCACATATTGAGAATAATAGACAAGTTGGGATGGTTGACACCTGCAATCCCAGAACTTCGGGAGGTTAAAGTAGGAGGATCACTTGAGCCCAAGAGTTGGAGGCTGCAGTGAGCTATAATCACACAAGTGTGATCCAGCCTAGGCAAGAGAGCGAGACTCTGTCAAAAAAAAAAAAAAGAAAAGAGGCAAGAGAGAAAATAGCCAGGACCAAAAGGGATGGCCTGCCCTGATGAGCCCCATTAGCCTCGACAGGAAAACAGAACTTGGATAGAAATCCTGGTGGAGGTGGAAGTGGGGCAGAAGGCAATGATTGTGGTAATCCTGATGGAAACAGAGGCAAGCCAGTTGGGTGATCTGGTGCATATAAATCCAGCGCTGAACGCTGGTAAGAAATATTATTGTTGTAATTGCCACCATTTTGTGGAGCTTTCTATGGGCCAGGTACCATGCTAAGTGCTTCACAGTCTCATCTAATTAAATTAAAGCATCATGACAATCAGGTGAATTATGTTCCTCAGATGAGGAAGCTGAGGCTCAGAAAGATCCAGCAACTTGCCCAAGTCCTGACAATGTAATAAGTGGCAGAATGGGGATTTAAATCTATGTAAGGCTGATGCTGCTGGCCTGGTGACCACATTTTGAGAACCACTGCAATAGAATAGAAATTATCTCCTCTCCACCCACCCTGCCTCGATGTGTTCAGAGGCACACCTTGAAACAAATCAGTTTATTCCACCCAGGATCACCCTCCTGACCTGGAAGTACTGTGCAACAGACGCTGCTTCGGTCCACTGGCTGAACGCTGAGTATTCCTTTTTTTTATTTTGGCATATTTTCAAAGTATTTGCAAATGCACTGAATTCTGCAAGGATAAAAAGTAGATCCATTTCTTCACCTTGGAAACCATAGAGCTCACCATTGCACTCTGTAAAAAATTCTAACTGTGAAAATATTAGAAGATGAAAATGGCACATTCATCCCTGAACACATACATGATAAGAGATGGCAAGGCGGAAATGGGTACTATTCCGAGCTGTGACACCCTTATTTACACTTGTCAGACATATTTGCATTCAGAAATGTCAAGTGAGAGAGCACAAAGAAACACAGGCAGAGACTGGGCTCCAGAAATTCTCCCAGTGCTGTGCTTAACAAAGCTCACAGATTTATACTCAGAAAGTGCTCTAGGGAAGGTGATTGTTGATGATAAGAAAAAAAAACATATATGTGAATACAAAAAAATAGAATATATACGTACATATACACACATATATTTTATATATACATTCATCTAATCTCATTCTATTGTCATGACAGTTTTTTCTCTCTCATTTAGTATTATCTAGATTTATAGAGAAAAGGTAAAATAACTGGGAATATGTGAACACAAAGAAATGCTCTGTCATTTGAGGAAAGAATATAGAAGTGAAAGCTCAAAAAATTCCAGAAGTGATATTGCTGATAGACAACACAGTGTTCACAGTGGCCAGTTCCTGTGACTTCTGCCTCAGAGATGTCTCCTGAATACTGCCCAGCAGTCTCTACTGTCTGTGGCCTCTTTCCACTCCACCACAGGCACTGTGACCCGGTCTCTCCCTTATATTATAGCCTTGGCTGGATCCCTAATGCCCACACACTCTTGGTTCATGATAAGCTCTGGCCCCTCACATTCTAGACCCAACCTAGCGTTCTAGATGATCTTGTCCAGTAACCTGTACGCACTTTCCAGAACCCTCTCTGTGCTCTCTTCCTGCACACATGAGACCTGCCCTGTGACCTCCATGCTTCCACCATGCTGAACACTTACAAATTCCCACATCAACCCAGTCCTGGCCAGGCATCTTGATTTTGAATCCCCCTATTTTTTTCTGTTAGATTATCTTTTGATGTCAAACTTCTATTCATCCTCCCAGATTCTATTCAACTAGCATTTCTTCACTGCTATATTCTGGAACATCACAGACAAAATTAGTTGCTGTAATAGAGTGGATCTCAAACTCAGCTCTAGATCCGAATCACCTGGGAAGTGTTTTTAACCTATGGATAATGGGCCCTCACCCTACATCTAGTAATTAAATGTTCTAGTGGTAGAGACAAGGCATCTCTATTTTTAAAAAAGCCTCCAGAGTAAATTCTCCCGTGGAGCCAAGGATGACAAATATCCCTCCAACCTCATGTTCTAAGCTTACCATCATCATTCATGTTATACTGAACTTATAGTTTTTTTAAAAAAATCTCCATTTCTCTACCTAAATCAAGTTTTTGGGAAACTGTTTAGGGGGTGTCTTAGTCCATTTTGTGTTGCTATATCAGAATACCACAGACTGGGTAATTTATAAAGAAGAGTAGTTAATTTCTTACAGTTCTGGAGTCTGGGAAGTCCAAGGCTGAGGAACTACATCTGGTGAGGACCTTCTTGCTGTGTCTTACCACGGCAGAAGGCAGAGGGCAAGCAAGTGCAAGAGCAAGAGACAGAGAGGGCCACTTTTATAACAACCCACTCTATTGACATTAACCATTTCATGCGAGTGGAGCCCTCATGGCTTACTCACTTCTTAAAAGTCATACTTCTTTTTTTAATTTATTTTTTTGAGTCGAAGTTCACTCTTGTCACTCAGGGTAGAGTGCAATGGCACCATCTCAGCTCACTGCAACCTCCACCTCCTGGTTTCAAGCAATTCTCCTGCCTCAGCCTCCCAAGTAGCTGGGATTACAAGCACCTGCCACCATGCCCAGCTAATTTTTGTGTTTTTAGTAGAGATGGGTTTTCACCATGTTGGCCAGGCTGGTCTTGAACTCCTGACCTCAGATGATCCACCCACCTCGGTTTCCCAAAGTGCTGGGTTTATAGGCATGAGCCACCATGCCTAGCCAAAGTCACACTTATTAATACTGTCACAATGGCAATTAACTTTTAATATGAGTTTTGCAGGTGACACTTAAACCGTAGCAGAAGTTTAAGCCTCATTTATCGCTAGTCTCTAGAACACAGTGCTAATGTAGCAGCCATCCCAATAAATAAGTCTGAAATGTAAATTCAATACATTTGGAAAAATGACTAATGAACTTGGTGAAACTATTTAATTTGAGAAGCAGCCCTGTAAGGCCCTGGGTCCATCCCATGTAAGGACAGATAGTTTGAAAAAAAGACCTTGTTGAAAAATAAACATGCAAACACATATAACCACTGCCCCTCCTGCACAGGGGAATGCCATCTCCTCCAAAGGACCCGGAAAGGGATAAAGGGAGCAGTTCTAGGTGGAAATGTAGATCAGGATTAAATTTACAGTATACCCTGAACAATCACTATTTCACCAATTTGTAAGGGCTCATCCCAAATAATTAACCTCACCTAGCTAATGTTTCCATGTGGATTTTTTTAAATGAAAACAGAAGGATTCTTTGGTTAAAAATGTATCTTCATTATAAAATTTCTCTCAACTCTATCTTTTGCAGTTATATCCCTATAAAGGAAAGGATGCAAATGATGGTTTAAAAATAACTACAAAACCAACAAATGAAAAGTATAAAAAATTTAGAAAAATGCCACAAATCAAAAAGAATACAATAAAAAGAATAATTCCATTATACAAGTGACTAATTATGCTTAACATTCTGGGTACGTTTGTGTGTATGTAAAAATGCCTCTTACTTATAAAATTACATTGTATTATTTTATAACCAGCACTTTTTATTTAAGATGCTATGAATAACGTCCTAGGCCATTAAGTAGTCTTCTCCACCTCACTGCTAATGGATATATGATTTCAACTCAGTAATGTGCCATAATTTGACCAATTCCCTGTGGCTAAATTTCCAAGCCTCACTCCAAGTCTATTGTATCAGAATGATAAAACCCAGAATCTGTATTCCCGGTGATTCTGGTAACAAGAGAGTTTCAGCCAATAAAGTATGGCAACATTCATATAGTAAGAATATCCTATTACAGTAAAAGCAATGCCATTTCTTCACAGCATCTTCCTACACATAAAAATCAATGTATTGGTTGATATTTCTGTTCTCCCATTATATTTTTTCTTTTGACCTTTTCTTTTCTATTTTTTTTTTTTTTTTTTTTTTTTTGAGATACAGTCTCACTCTGTCCCCCAGACTGGAGTGCAGTGGCACGATCTCAGCTCACCACAACCTCTGCCTCCTAGGTTCAAGCAATTCTCCTGCTTCGGCCTCCCAAGTAGCTGGGATTATGGCTGTGTGCCACTACCGCCTGGCTAATTTTTGTATTTTTAGTAGAGACAGGGTTTCACCATGTTGGACAGGCTGGTCTTGAACTCCTGACCTCAAATGATCCATCCTTCTCAGCCTCCCAAAGTGCTGGGATTACAGGTGTGAGCCACCACACCCGGCCTTAACCATTTTCTTTTGCAATTGAAAAAATTTGTCTCTTACTTAACCGTATAAAATTTAGAAATGCAGAAAAGTCAAAAAGGAAAAATAATTCCCAGATATAATCACTGATAACATTTTGGGATTTTCCCAGGAATTTTTCTTTACATTTTCACATCTATCTCTATAATATATACAACAATAGTATTGTACTCCATTGGTTTACAACCTGCTTTTTCACTATTAACAATATACTGTCAGCTTTATTCTGTGTCAACACTTTTCATAGAGATTCACTCAACTACACATAAAGCTTCAAAGCTCTTTAATTGTCATGTCATTTTGCTCATTTCTCCAATTTGTTCTCAGAGGCAACATCAGAGACTAAGTAGAACTTAATTTATCTTAATTTCAACAATGTTTTTTGACTATGTTCCCTTAAATTCTGGACCCAACTATTTGCTTATAAAATTTGATTGGGAGTCAAAAATATCAAGTCTGTTAAGCTACAATTTCCTATATTTGCGTTTTTCTCTTTTAAAAAGATATTGGACAATATTTACCCAGCTCTAGTTTCCTGGCACCTCTCCAATTCTCTCTGAGTTCTCAGAGATTGCCAGCAGTGGTTTTTGTCACCCATCTGTGAGTTCTTTGAGTCTCTGTTGTTTGGGCTTTCAAAGCCTACGGTAAATTAATTTGTTTAACAAATAATCTTTTGAATATTCTCAACAGTTGCAAGTCTCTATCCTTTGGGGGAAATTTGAGACCTTAATACAACCCAAAATAATGGCTGCCCAATTAAGTTAGTAGGATATATGGCAAGTTGAAAAATATCATTTTTGGTTAAAAAACAAGATTTTGACTATAAAGTTACACAGCTGGTCTTGTATGGCTCGCCAATTATCTCCAAAAAGAAAATGTAAAAGAGAAGCTCCAACAAAGTTTTGTGTTACACGAGCATCCATGCAATACATAAATAGCCTACAAAGTAAGTACTGAGCTGGATGTGTCAGTTCTATTGTGTTTGATATTTTAAAAATCCAATTTTATTATATTATTAACAATGTTAGTCTGCTTAGGCTGCCATAATAAAATGCCACAGATTGGGTGGCTTAAACAACAGAAATTTATTTTCTCAAAGTTTTGGAGACTGGGAAGTCCAAGGTCAAGGTGCCAGATGGTTAGGTTCCTGGCAAGGGTTCCCTTTCTGGCTTGCAGTTTTCTGCCTTTTCCACTGCATCCTCACATGGCAGAGACAGCAAGCTATTGAGCTCTCTGATGTCTCTTTTTATAAGGACGTGAATTCTGCAGAACCAAGGCTCCACCTCATGACCTCGTTTAAACTTAATTGCTTCCTTACTCCAAATACAGCCACACTGGGGTTAGGATTTCAACATGTGAATCTGGACGGGACACAATTCAGTCCACGGCAGACACTATAGTCACAGCTATTTATAATCTTAATACAGGGGCCACATTTAACAAACCGAAAATCACAGCCTCTTGTTTGACAAGTTTAAGATGTATTTATGGGATTGATGGGATTTAGAAAATCAGGAATATCCTGGCAAGTCCAGGAACCATCATCAGCTAATTCCTCCCCGTGGGGAATTCTGTCAAAAGGTTTTTGTTTTTGTTTTTGTTTTTTCACAATTTACCCTCACTTTTATTTTAATGGTTAAATAAATGTGTATAAATAAAGAAAAGTGTCTATGTTTCCACATGGTGTGTAAAGAGTCAAAAAAATTAATAAATAAAAAAACCTCTGTAAAAAGGAAAAGAAACTTAATTGTTGATTTCTCCCCTCTCCTCAGCGACTTTGGAGAACCCAAAAGGAAAGGAGCAGTAATAGCCTATCCTCCTCTCCTCCTCAGTTCTCCAAACTGGCGGACAGAATTTGGGGTAAGAGAAGTGAAGGGCTCTTTAAATCCAGCAGGTAATTTTGCCTTTGGAGAAGATTTTGGCAAGGAGTGCTTTTTTTTTTTCTTTTTTTTTTTTGATGTGGAGGAGGCTTTTGATCTGCAGGTACCATTTGTTTGAAAAACGCTGTTAATTCTGTAGAGCTGGAATGTTTACCAGAGGAGAGGGAAGAAAGGCCAGCTATTTAGAGTATAAGAAAGTCAAAATGGATGTCCACATTTGCACAGTGGCTCCTTCAGCTGCTCAGGGTAGAGAGGTGGGAAGACATGGATTAGAATTGCTGCTCTGGAATAAAGAGGTCCCTATGGGGATATTGTCTAGAAGCCTGAGGGCAGTGGGCTGAGTATATAAGGATGGGGAACTGCCCTCAGTTATTCGTAAAAGCCCAGTTCCTATGCCTAGAGCACACATCATGAGTAAAATGAGAACTCCTTTCAAAGGACACATCTACCCACACTGTTTCTAAAAGGAATGACCTGGTGGAACTACTATTATAAGCTCTCAGGCTGTAAACCATTGTGTCTTGTAATTTTTTTGATCACAAATACACAAATGTAATTTTCTCTGTCATGTAGATATTTTACCAAGGACATAGCAGCTCCATGCTACAGCCATGATTCCAATTACTTTCCTTCCCTTCTCAGGCTTGATTTAGGCTTCTTCATAACAAACCATTACTTTTCAATTTTAGTATGTATTTCTACTCACGAATCAATACAGACTACTCAGATGTACCATTTTCTTTCTGTTCTGCTACTCCTAAAAGACCAGATTGAAGGGATCTGTTTTTGTTTGCTTGCTTCTCTTAAATAGCTGCTATTTACAAGTCACACTGTCTGTGGTGCTTTCCATACAAAGAGATTATTTACCAAGACACTAGCTTCTTTCCGTGCCAGGAAAGGGTAATACCTGTCTGACTACCCCAGCTGTTCTGGCCACATGTCCCAACATTATACCAGAAAATATACAACTGACAATAGAATAGTCATGGTGTGGATTTTTATAAAATAATGTCAAACTCTAGACATTGCTGCAAAACTGATTCTGGGCTATCTGGAAGAATTTGCCGACAGCTCATTTCAGTTCTCTCTAGTCCATCAGATTGAGCTTCCCCAATTAAGCTCTCTTTACTGGACACTCAAGGAAGAAAAAGATACCATTTTAATCAGTGTACAAAGAAGAGAGCAACACTAACCACTTGCTTCATTTAATTCTTCTTCCCCCATTTTTTTTTTTTTTTTTTTTTTTTTGAGACGGAGTCTTGCTCTGTCACCCAGGCTGGAGTGCAGTGGTGTGATCTCGGCTCACTGCAAGCTCTGCCTCCTGGGTTCACACCATCCTCCCACCTCAGCCTCCCGAGCAGCTGGGACTACAGGCGTCCGCCACCAGGCCCGGCTAATTTTGTTTTTGTATTTTTAGTAGAGACGGGGTTTCAACGTGTTTACCAGGATGGTCTCGATCTCCTGACCTGGTCAGTGCTGAGAGAAGTGGAATTACACTCAGAACATCATTCAAGCAGGATGGATGTGATATCTACAGCTGGAATACTTGTCTTTTTCTCTGTGTCTGCCTCTTATTAGTTCTTCGTATAACATATAGGATAATAATTACTATTTTGTCTAGTTACTTAGTTTTTTCTATCTTGCTCCATGGAATGTAAGCTTAAAAGATTTAGAGAGTACAAAGATTCATTCACCATCAAATCCTAGATCAAGTTATGATACCTGGCACATAGTAAGTATGCAATAAATATCATTGAATGCGTAAGTAAATGAATTAATGAAAGCATTCTTTCTTTTTCTTGCTTCCTTTCCTCTTCCTTCTCCTTCTTCTTCCTTTTCTCCTGCTTCTGCTCCTCTCCTTCTTCTTCTACCTCTTCTTCTTCCTCATCTCTTCTTTTCTTCTTCTTCCTACTCCTTTTTCTTCTTTTCCTCCTCCTCCTCCTTTTTTATTCTTCTCTCTCTTTATTTTTCCTCCTCGTCCTCTTTCTCCTTTTTTATTCTTCTCTTTATTTTTCCTCCTCATCCTCTTTCTCCTTTTTTGATCCATTTCGACTTCTACCTCTTGACTGGTTCACGTCTTCTAAAGCAATTACTTCAGGATAAGGAGTTTATTTTCTCATTTACTTATTTCTTCCCTAATCATAGGTGTGTAAACTTAAATATTTGGGCTCCATCTATTTACTTAAAAAGTCTAATCATAAAGTTCTTTGAGTTAGTGTCTCAGTAGCAAAACCAAATTATCTGATCCATTATATTTTTCAAGTCAAAATCCATTTATTACCTAAACTCCTAAATATGACAATATATTTTTGCTTCTCTTTTTTTCAATGGATAGGGACATATTTGCATAAGACAGTTCCCACACCTTCTTCATCCCAACTCTCAAAGTTAGATAAACATAAACCAAATTTTAGGAATTTTCCTATACAGATATGCTGTGTGTGTTTTTCCAGAGAAAGGCACAGATATCTCAGGTGGTAAGAGTTGAAGTAGTATAGGAAAATGAATACGTTCCAAATGTATATATAGACAGGGGACTCTGCTGCTGAGTGAAATTCAACATACGGGTGGCCCTTCTTACACTTTATACAAGGGTTTGTTTACTTAGTAAAGTAGCAAAAAGCGTTTAGATATAAAGCAGATTCTCTGAGTGCCCAACATAAATAGCATTATTATAAGACACTGTATTTTCCTACTGATACATGAAAAAACTAGAAAAATGCACAGCTTCATCAAACTTCAAGCTAATTTCCCCCTTTTAGTGCTTTTTTCTCCTCTTTAAAAAGAATTTGTCAGCAAAAGCAGCCATCGAATCAAACTCTCTTAAAACAAAGTTACTTATAAGTTCTAAGAAACTGAATATATTATTTGGGTTTCCTCTTCACTCAAAGCCTTACAATTAACAACCAAGCCTACAGTTCATAAGTTGTGTAACACTAACCTAACACTATTTTTGTCCAACCAAAAGATTGGTGCAAAGCACTGGGTAGGACTATTGTTGGGAGTATTTTGTGTATTAGTCAAGTCTTTAACTGTCAAGAATCTTATGGCAAAACAATTGAGATCATGTTTTTTCAAATCAGAGATGATCTTCATGCATATCTTCAAAACCAAAGAACACTTATTGAGATGACAAGTAGTGACCTAAACATTAGTAAAATAGTAATGTTAAACATTTATAAAGGCAAGGGCAGTTTGTTCATTTGTTTGAACATTGAGTGAGATCCCTAATCCCTGTAGAATCCTGGTAGACTTGCCCTGATGCTCTACCCATCAACAAAGAAGGCTCAAGATGTAAGAACTTCATGGTCTCCAATAAACAGATGGAACAGGAGGTCAACCTTAAATAGAGGAATAATTGACTGAACCAGAACAGAACCAAGATTCTAAGGTATATCTGTGAAAACTCTTTTATTAACAAGTGGTGGAAAACTCAACTACGTATAACTTGAATAGGAGCTTTATGGCTCAAAAAACCGAAAAATACAGGATTAAAGTTCCATTTTCAAGAATAGTTATTTTCAAGCTCTCCTGTGCTGTTGTTAGGACTTGTTCTCTCACTTGTGTGTGCTGTCACTCTCTTGCTCTTTTTCGTTTTTTCTTGTTTTCTTGCTCTGCATTTCTCTGTTTTTGCCTCCCCGTTAGGCAGGCTTCCCCCTCATAGAACAAGATGATTACCAGCAACTCTAAAACAACACTGCTACAAGCTCAGCAACCTCAGTCCCTCCAAAGTGTTCCAACAAAAGCCCCATATTGAGTCTTGTTGAACCACGTTCAATTAAAGACCCATCTCTGAATCCATTTCTGTGGCCAGGGGATCAATGCCAATGGACTAGCCTTGAGCCAGCCTTATCTAACCCAAAAGGAAGACTGGGCTTCCATTATCCGAAGAAAGGAGCATATATTAAAGGTAAGCAAAATCACAGTTAACTACTACTGAAAAACAGGTAGAAACATTGTAGACTAAGCTAAAAGAAAGGAAACAGGACTGAGAAAATCTGCATGCTTCAGGGGCAAATGGGAGGAAGGTGAGTCATGGAAAACACCCACTCAGCTCATCAGCTTCTGAAATCTTGAAGCTTGCATTAGCTTAAACCCCGATTTTGCTTCCAGCAGCCGGTGGTTGTTGTGACAGGCTACTACAAGCCAATTGGTGGAAAATTTCTGGTCATATAACATGTTGAGTCTCTGACACTGCCACAGTTGCCAGCACTGTTTCTCTGTCCACACTCACTAAGAATAGCTGGCCCTGCTCCAAGCTTCTGATGTTCTGCTTACACCATTGGACCCCATAGCCAACCAGTAGATTAAGAATGAGCTGTTGACCAGAGGGTAACTCAGCCTGAAGCAAAAGACTAAGGCACTGTAACCAAAGAGGGACAGGTTCTGAAGCTCTAATGTTGTTGGTGGTAGTCAGGCAATCCTATGTCTTGGTTCACCCGGAACATCTCAGTTTATACCTGCTGTCCTGGAGAAATAATCAATCCTACTGCCTTTCATATTCAAAAGATTCATGATTTGGATGAGAAATGATTTGAGTCGTCCTGCCTATAAGTTCATGTAATTTTGGGGGAGGTAGCCACTCACAACTGAGAGAGATGGGGAAACAGAAAGATGATTATGAGGAGACCATGCAATACTTGAAAGCTGGAGACGATATACCTCCTTCCCCACCATGGTACCAAGACACTGTCTGGGCCTGAATGCCTTACATTCCAGGAGACACTTCACTTCGATAACTTTTTCTTTTTGACTTGAGCTACTTTGTATAGGTAGCTTTGATTAAAACAGAAATTCCCCCAATTTACAATAATGTATTTTTTTCCTGGGTCATTGCCAGACACTAGAGTTTGCTGAGAGTGTATTATTTTCATTTGTTTTTACTAAAAATTTTATATATTTTAATGTCTTACTCATTTCATGTGCTTTTAAAATCTGCACCATGCTTTTCTGAACGCTAGAGGTGAATCAGTCTATTTGCAATTAGGCCTATTTCTACCACTGTGCTTTAACCAATCCAGTGAAGACCACCCCATATTAATATTACTTGGGATGAAGATGGAATTTCAGACAACCTCCTAGTCATTTGAAGGTCACCAGACTTATAGAAAGATAAATGGTACCTTCATTCACTACGTAAGGCCAGAATGCACCTTCTGGAGCATTTAACATGTATTCACAGAGGGACTAATTTATTTATGTTGTAGCATGAGCTATTATTCAATTAGTTCTCATAGCCTCCTGAGGCCTCTGCATGCCTCCCAGCAAGTAAAGCAGCACAGGTAAACACCAAACAGGTGGCATACAGGCACATTTCCAATTTGATTAGATTTACACTGTTTAAAAAATGACATTTGACAACTGAAATGAACATTTTCATGATTGCTTATGCCATACTCCCTCCATTCCCCTAACAAATAACTTTGGAGAAGCATTAGTGTAATCCTATATAGCATTCAGTTTAAAAAACTGAAACAGCAGTCTGTACCTTCACTACATAATGCTTGGGGCACTTTATTTTGCCAAGAGGAAACTTTGCATAATACGTAGACTTCAAAATCTCTCTGGGCTTTCCCTTTATATATTATCCATAAATGAATCAGACAAAAACACTTACAAACTCAGTTGAGAAATGCTATAGCTGGTACAAGACAGAGGAAAGAAAGTATTTTGTACCTGGAAGACTTGAGATTTCAAATTTAAAAAGACCACTTTGGATGACAAGTAACTGCTTTGTTAGTTTTGCCATGCGATTTTTAAGATCTAGCTCTCTTCCCATTCTAACACGCATTTAACAATAATTCGGCATGGTTGTGCTACCTAATCCTATTTAAGAAATTCATCTTGTATTCATTCTTTTAGAGAGCAAAATGTACCCACGGTAGTTCTCAGTGAAGTGAATCTATAATTGGCTAAAAGCGTGATGTGCATCTGTCTTCTTAGCTCAATCTCTTTGCTTTTATCTTGTTTTCTCTTTCATATTTATATTGATAGTCAACTGGGTGCAAAATGAGCAGAGGCTAAATCTGGTCTGTAGGAATATTTAATTTGGCCATGATGTGTTTTAAAAGTCAGAAGAATGTCACAGGAAACAAGGATTTCTACCTTAAATAGTATGACAGGGCACACAGGGGTCTGAATTACTGTGTAGCAACAACCGACATGAGGGAAGTAGCTACTGCAACCTTTTGAATGGACATGAGACCTCCAGTTGCCATAGTTGCCCCATTCTCTCTTCTTTGCAACCAGCCCTCTTCATGCATTTCCATGACTTGCTTGGGCTGCATAGGCATTTGAGTCTGTGCTTCCCATATACTCAAGGCCCCATTACAAAACTTCATGGACAAAAAGTCTGCAACTTAAAATATCAAGTACTTCCCTTCTATTTTTGAGCACCACAAAATCATAAAAACTAAGAAAAATGATAGCCAAACATAGTATTGTATGCTTATTTCAATCAATTGACGGTTTTATTTTAAATGTGTATGAGAAGTAGTTGTGTTTCTTGGCAATGACCTTATTTGGTCATTTTGTGCAGACACTCATTAGGGCAGGTTCAAACTTAAATCTAGAGCTATCAGATAAGTTCTGGTGAGTCAGTCACTATCATTCCCAAACAACATATTTTTATATGAATATGGTACTGTTGACTGATTTCAGCTATGAAAACGAGTTTTTCTCAAACCATTCATTTCCCCACCCTTCCTGTATAATTACTAATGATCCATGGGATCCTGGAGTATGGCATCTACATTGAAGAGTGATTCCACTCAGAGAGGATGCCTATGCCACCCACCGCTTTATCATCCTTCCCTAACAAAGTGATCAACCATCTACTCTATGACAAGCAACTAATAGATCCAGCAATAGTTAAATTAGTGCTTCCTGGTTGACATCCATCTGCACTTTCCTTACACAGAAGAGGGGATAACATGGACTGAAAGCCAGGAGGATTCAATCCAGGGATATTGGTTATCATTCAATATTTTTATAACCACAACCAGCAGATCTTTGTATATATACGGCTTACCTTCAGCTTTAACTGCAATCCAGCTCTAGAATGAGTGTCAAATCTATAATTTTTTGATACTTTGATAAAAAGGGATATTCTAAATCTTATTGAGAATGTAGCTATTGAGTGACTGTTGAGTCTAGATTCCTTGACACTCTGGTATGAAGGCATATTCCAAGTCCTATTGGGAACCCATATAAAAATTTTCTTCAGATCCAAATGCCAAAAGAAGCTTTGTTTGACATATTCTGCCCTCCTGCCACTGCTCTATCTTTTATGGACTCTGGAGATCATGTAAATTCACAGTGTTTCCCCTTTTGCTTGAATGTCAAGATGCCCAGAGTCAAAATCATGGGTTGGCAGTAATACTTACGAGTCCTCTAATATGCAGATCTGTGTTTTAATTTGCTCTTGGCCTCAGACTTCTGTGCTTTCTATATGTTCTCTAATTTTGAACTTTATCTGTTTATATTTTACTATAGAGATGTGTGAGGAAACTCAAACTTTCTGTGGTAAAAGTTAGGAGATGGATACATGGATGGATAGATGGATGAATGGACGGATGGATAGATGAACAGATAGGTAGAAAGACTGATCAATTAATCCCATCAATACTACATGAAGCTTTAACAGAGACTGATTAAATCATGCTGCAATTTTTCTGCCTCACTTTCCACACAATAACCCACCCTGCTCTGAACAGCAAACATGAGGACTTTGGAAGCAACAGCCTTGGTCCCATATGCTGAAAGCAGATGGGAGCTGCACTGTCTTCACAGTAGCAGCTGCCCAGGAACCAAAGTGAAGAGGAGGAGGCTGGGGGAAAGGAGCACAAGGGGAAACACAAAAGAACAATCGGGAGTGGAGAGGAGATACTTCCTGCTGCCAGTCTCAGCCAGGGTCAAAAGCAAACACGCACTCAGGAAGTGCTCCATTTAGTACCATTTTCACATTCATAGTGCCACTTAATCCAATCCCCATTGCCAAGAGATATTACGATCTCCATCATACAGATGGAAGAGAACTACAGACACAGTTTGCTCTGAGACAAACCAGCCAGGCCACTGTTCATTCCAGCACCAATATCTGCATTCCAGAAAGTGGGAAATTCTGAAACCTAGGACAACACTGAGGGGCATGTTCTACCTCGGAATAAGCTGTTAGTGAATCAGTTGACGATGGCTGAGAAGAAAAGATACACACAAAATTAAGATGTAACATATTCATGTAACGTAACTAACAGGGAAGTGGCTTCAGCTCCAACCAGAAAGATTGGCTAGACAGGGAAAGGTTTTCTGATCCCAAAGTTTACAAAATCAAGACAGTGAAAATTTCTCTGTGTAACTGCAGACGTTTTTTCTTTGGAGATAATTATTTGAAAACTAGTTATCTATTATTCTGGGCTGGTAAAGTGTTGCCAGAAATTTATGAAAAATACTCTAGCTGAACTCCTCCTGTACTTATAAAGCAGGTATCTATCAATTATACAATGTGTGATTTATCACCGTAAAGCAACAAGAACACCATGTTTATAAAATACTGCACCTTAAATTGCTCCCTGTGTTGCCTATACACAGGTACATATACACATGTACACACACACACAACACACACAAACAAATACATAAATTAATTCTAAGAGGTGTAGTATAGAAGTATTCAGTGCAGAGGCAGAGAGCTCAGACTCTCTCTCTCTTTCTCTCTTGCTAGGTAGACAGATAGATAAAATCCACATGCATACATACTATATGTACATGTGTTATATGTTAATACCTATTTATACATGAGTACATGTGTGCATGCACACACCCATATAGATATCATATAGTAAGAACTTAAAAGAGTGTTAATTTAGGTTGGAAATTCTGTTTCATTTTGATAAAGGAAAATGGACATAAGTGTGAATTTTATCCAACTGGCCCCCAGGTCTCTACTGGGGATCTGTTTCTTTCACAATTACCCCAGGGTAGGATGGCCCTTTCTGAGTTTTTTCTTTGAAGATCTAGCATTGAAATTCATACCAGCACTATGGAAGGAAGCCAAGAAAGCCAGCTTTTCTTGGAAGGCTGCATGCCTCAGAACAACCTGAGCCAAGGGGGCCAGAGTGCTGGCGGTGAGTCAGCTCCTTATTAAAAAGATTTATTGATCACCTGCTGTGTGCTAGGCACAGGAGTAGGGGATATGGAGGATGGCTACAAACAAAATTAGAAATGAGACTTCCCCCATCAAGGAATATGTGACGAGGAGAGAGAGAGGAGAGAGAGAGAGAGAGACAGAAGAAACGGACACACACGAGAACTACTGCAAAGCAATACATTGTTACACACAAAATGTTTTTAGAATAATTTGTATTCAAAGATCCAGGGGACGGAGCTCTGTGTGTTCCATCAGGGAAGGCTGCTTAGAGGAGGTGAACTGTGAACCAAAGGAAGAAGGAGACATTTGGGTAGGCAGAAAGGAGGAAGGGGGACAAGGACTTGAGGCAAAGCTTCCAGCGGGGAAATTTGGAGTTCCTATGCAGGCAAAGGTGTAGCCTGATTTTCCAGTGTGAAAGAACTGAGATGCAGAGTTACAGAAAAAAATAAAGGCTAAACAGAAAGCCCAGTTGGTGATGTAATGTTAAATGTAAGGTTGGATTTGTCATTTTACGCAACTGGTAGCCTGTGTGGGTTTTTGAGAAGGTTCTGATGGCAATTTTAGCAGTTTTCTTTGTGCTGAACTTTGGTCCTGCCATGAATAGCATAGCTGACTTTATGATCACTTCCATCAAAATTCATTAGGTTGCAGCCTACATGAGGGAAGGAAGCCTGTTTCTGGCTTGCTCACCATTACCAAGGTCAGTAACTGGTGTACTCCAGAAAACCAATCATTCCCATGATGAATAAGAAAAAAATCCCCTATTAATTAATTAATTAGTTTATTTATTGAGACAGGAGTCTCATTTTGTCATCCAGGCTGGAGTGCAGTGGCACCATCAGGGCCCATTGCAACCTTGGCCTCCTGTGCTCAAGCAATCCTCCTGCCTCAGCTTCCAGAGTAGCTGGGATTACAGGCATGTGCCATCACACCCAGCTAATTATTTTTATTTTTTATTTTTTAGTAGAGATGAGGTCTCATTATGTTGCCCAGGCTGATCTCAAACTCCTGAGCTGAAGTGATTCTCCCACCTCAGCCTCCCAAAGGGCTGGAATACAGGTGTGAGCCACCACAACCAGCCACCTATTTAGTAATTAAAATTTAATATATTGTATTAGTAAAGGTTCTGTAGAGAGACAGGACTAATAGGATAGATGTATACATGAAGGAGATTTTATTGACTCACACAATCACAAGGTGATTGTGATTGTGTCTGCAATAGGCTGTCTGCAAATTGAGGGGCAAGGAAGCCTGTCTGAATCCCAAAACCTCAAAAGTAGGGAAGCTGACAGTGCAGCCTTCAGTCTGTGGTCGAAGGTCCAAGAGCCCCTGGCAAATCACTGGTGTAAGCCCAAGAGTCCAAAAGCTGAATAACTTGGAGTCCGATGTTTGAAGGCAGGATGCATTCAGCATGGGAGAAGGATGGAGGCCCGAAGACTCAGCAAGTCTGCTCTTTCCATGCCTGCTTTTATGCTGTCGGCTGATTGGATGGTGCCCACCCAGAATGAGGGTGGGTCTGCCTCTCCCAGTCTACTGACTCAGATGTTAATCTTCTTTGGCAACAGCCTCACAGACACACCCAGGAACAATACTTTGCATCCTTCAATCCAATCAAGTTGACACTCAATATTAACCATCACATATATATATATATAAAGCGCTTGGCGGAGTGCCTAGCACAAAAGAAGCTCCATCAAAGTACTGCTATTCTTTTATCCTCTTTATCTGCATCCTCCTCCTCCTCCTCTTCCTCTTCCTCCTTTTTCTTCATGAGTAAGCCAATAGAATACAGAGTACTCATCATGGTCTCAAATGAGTCCTGTCCCTTGGGATCCCAGGGCAGCTGGATATCACCATACAGATTGTGCACTGTACAACTCCAGTTTACAACACTCACATAGGCTATGAAGAGAATAGTGTTCCTTGGAACTATGTTACACAGCAGCCCTGTGCAGACAAGCTTTTCATGTCATACCCAACTTGGAAGCTCCTTTCATACTTCAACATCCTAGAATAACCTCAAAAACCCTTCCTGCCATCACAGCAGAAGGCAGATCAAAGAGTGGACAGAGCAGAAAGAAACTGTAACAGTGCAAAAATGAGAGAAGTAATTCCCAAGGTAACTGGTAGCTGCAGCAGCATTTTAAAAGTGTATTGGAAGAAAAGAACTCTCCTAAAGGGTTTGCAAAAAGGAAGAGTGGAGAGATCACTACTTTAAAAGCATGAACTTGAGTAACTACAGTCGAAGACACATAAAAAAGCTCTGCGATTGTTATAAAATCCCTGATTCAAGATCCTGAGAGGTGAATGGGGCATGCAACAGCACAGGACATGAGCAGACAGCACATGAAAGAATTCGTGGGTAATGTTGATCCAGGAAGACTTCAGGAGACAAACAAACTGAATTTATCAGTACTGTTGTTATAGGATTTATCAATTCTTTCTGGAAGTGAGATTAGCTGTTAGCATCTGAATATCACTTTTTATTATTTTAGTCTCAGAAGTATGTCCTATGATTTATACGTAATATAACAGAAAACAATTTGGAGAACTGTATGCTATTAAAACCATATGGAGGTTCCAGTAATTTACAAGAAGTCACTTTGTTATCTTCGTCTTTAAGGGCTGAGCTTAAAAATTCTATAACTAAAGACAGGAACAAAGTCTAGGTGGTCCCCAGGTGATAGCCCCGTTAGGATTCTGGTTGGTGGCCAGATTGGGTGAAATAAGTTATCTTACAGAAAGAGGTAAGGGTATGATTCATTTCTAAGTAGAAGTTAAAATAATGCTAACACATAAAAACATAGATTACCATATTTCTCACCTCGCTTGTAAATGACTTATCAAAAAACTATATATATTTTATTAGAATACCTTCTATTTAATAGAAATTCATCAGTGACAAGGTGCTATCTGCCATAAGCTGAACTGGACTACATTACAAACGATGGAAAGTGGAAGTTCTACCCCTGTGGCTGCCAAGGGACTGTGAGCAGATGAAAGGGCAAGGGGTGCTGGCAAAGGTAATGGTGATGCTGGATTGAGAATGCTGCAGCACAGTTGTGGGCTGTAGGAGATTAGCAGAAGTGCAAGGACTGAGCTTGTGTGGCAGTCCCAGGTGGGTCTGCTGTCTCTTTGAGCAAACACCCTGAGCATTCCAAAACCCTAGGAAGCAGTACTGCACACAGTGAGATGACAAATTGTCACTGCTGTGCCTCTCTTGCAGACAAGCTCACTCTGCCATGCGTGACAATTATTGGGGCACACGGCCACCTCCCTACTAGACACCACGTTCCTGGGGAGTGTGCAGCTGTGTCTGGTTCATTTTTTGATCTCCTAGAGTGCCTCGCTCACCACTGGGCCCATAGTGGAGCCTCACAGTGTCCTGAGTGATATACATCTTTTTCTTTTTTCTTTTCTTTTTTTTTTTTTTTTTGAGACAGGGTCTTGCTCTGTCACCGAGGCTGCAGTGCAGTGGCAGAATCACAGCTCACTGCAGCCTTGAACTCCTGGGCTCAGGAGATCCTCCAGAGTAGCTGGATTATCTCATTTAATCAACCAGTAGCCCTCTGTACTATGTATTGGAACTGTCCCCATCTCACAAATGAGGACACTGAAGATTAGAAAGATGAGGCAGCAGACGTTAAGTTACACAGCTGATTGCAGACATCCACAGGCTTTGCAAAAGGCCATCCCTTTTAACCACCATATTCCTCTGCTTCTAGATCAGGGATTGGCAAATTACAGCCCACAGGCCAAATCCAGCCCCTTGTCTCTTTCTGTATAGCATATTAGTCAAGAATAGTTTTCATGTTTTTTACATGGTTTAAAAAATCAAAGTAAGAATAATATTTTGTGACAAATGAAAATCATATGAAATTCAAATTTCAGTGTCCATAAATAAAGTGTTACGGTAGCACAGCCACATTCATTTCTACGCATATTGTCTATGGCTGCTTTCATGCTACAATGACAGAGCTGAGTGGTTGCAACTAAGCCCATGGCCCATGGAGCCTAAAGTATTTACTGTCTGACCCTTTACAGAAAAAAAATTTTCATCCCTGCTCTAGGTCCAGACGCACTAAGAGGCAGACATGCTCCTCTGTCCAAAAGTGAAGACAGATTGACATGCAAGGCTAGAGAAATCCTGGAGTGATGAGTGCCAGGACAGCTTACTTACATCCTATCCCAAAGGCCATGGCTACAGCCTGACCGCACCTGAAACCAGTGAGGCAGGCAGCACCAGGCAGTTGGCTCAGGCCATTTCTTGGCAGCGAGGATAGAGCTAATGGTAGTTCTGAAGGTCAATGAAGATGCTCAATAAACCATTGACTGATGTGGTCAACTTGCAAGCAATATGTGTCTTGCGGTTGACTGAGTTCTGCAGATGATATAAAATTACGTTTAGCTTTGAGTCAGCAACCTCCTTTCCCACCAAGCCCTCTGTAGAGCAGCTGACAAGTTGCAGAATTGACAGATTTGAGTATTATCACCCTGTGCTAGGGATGGTAATTGAGGAATGCCATAGCCAGGAGGCAGATAGCAGGAAGGGAGAGAGAGGTACAAGCCAGGTGCCTGCACAATCCAGTACCTGCAGGATGAGAAGGGCTCAGTTGAACCTTCTCTCTGCTCAGCCAAGAGAACCCAGTGGAAGCAGAAGGGAACCCTGAAGGCCAGGGTTTGGGGGCTCAGGTAAGGGGAAGAGATGGTCGCATGATTGCCCCGATATTTTATGGACCTCCTGCCGATGGTCAAGCCAAAGGCCACGCATGTCCTAGTAGGGGCTGGGACAAAGTGGCCACTACACTAGTTCATACCAGATGCTCCATACAGGAGGGTAACTCATGGTGATCTGGTACTCTACAGCCACTGTTCTGCACAGCTATCCTGAAAATGTGCAGTAATAGAGGGAAGAGAGTAGCAGAAACCACCTCCTTGGAAAACAAAATGGTACAATAAGTAAAACACAGGCTTTGGGGACCAGAAGCCCCAGGCTTGAGTTTTACCTCTGACACTACTACTCCTTGTATGATTATTGTTTGGTCACTTAATTTTTCAGATTTTTGGTGAACTTCCCTGCAAAATGAGCTAAGATAGTTAATATTATGAACTTCCCTATAAAATGAGTTAATATAGTTAATATTAGCTCATTTGTGAGTTATGTATTGTATATGAGTCAAGATTAGATTTGTATGCATATAACAACAAAAAGCTCCCCAAAATTATAGTAGATTAAATGAATTAGTAATTTATTTTTCTCTCTCATAACAGAAGTCCAGAATTAGACAGTTCAGCAGTTCCACAGTTATGCAGACACAAGGAAGGACAAGGCAAAGGCATACTTCTCCGATGTGCTTAGAGCACACTTTCCATCTGAGAGTGCCTGGAAGTCACAAAGTGACTGCTGCAGCTCTGGAAATCATGTCTACATTCCCGGCAGCAAGCAGCAGGAAGAGGCAATGAAGAAATGACATACCTTTTCTCTGAGTTAGCCTGTGTTAAGGAAATTTTGCAGAAACCCTACCCAACTTTAGCTACTGTCTTTACTTGCAAGGCTCACTGGGAGGTGCAGATTTTTAACTCCACCCATTGCCACACCTAAAAATATAGGACTTCTGTTAGTGTGGAAGGAGAGAATAGAACGGGGAGACAACTAGCAGTCTTGGTCACCACAAATGCCTACTTTGAGGGCCGCTGCTCTTCCCAAATGTCCTAGTGTACATGGAAGAACACTGTAAAGCTGAAGAGGGTCATGCACAGAAAATCATACTCCTTGGCTCCTCCTACAAGGCCCTTCATGACTGAGCCTCATTCTGCTTTTACTCAGCCCAGGTGTCTTCCTCTGGAAGCTTCCCTGGAGTTCCAGGTTGGGCTAAGTGTCCCTTTGCTGTGGTCTCACAATGCCCGCTGGACTTCTGTCCCATCACTCTCCCCATTACTTTGAAATAACCATCTATGCCTTTATCTTTCCCTCAAGACCTGCACTGAGCACTACGATAGCCAGTAGTCACAGGAGGTGACGGAGCCCTTGAAATGGGGCTAGTCAAAATTCACATGGGGTGTCAAGTACAAAATAAAATGTACTAGATTTCAAAAACATAGTAAAAAGAAAAACAATGTAAAATGTCTCATTAATAATTTTCTATACTGCTTTCATATTTAAATGATAACACTTTAGAGATACTGGGTTAAATGAAATATATTAGTTAAAGGAAGGTCACCTGTTTCTTTTGGTTATTTTAACATGTACTTCTGCGGCTTGCATTTATGGCTTATGTTGTATTTCTGTTGGTTGGAGTGTAAGCTCCTAGAGGGCAGGAACTAGGTTCTATTGATTTTTGTGTCTCTAGCATCTGCATGGTGTCCGTTTGGTGAGTGTTGGATGGATGAAATCATGCATAGGATAAAAGTCTTGGTGCCAATGTAGCAAAGGCAGGAAATAGGGAAAGAAGATAGCAGCAAAGGACAACAACCTGGCAGAATCAAATGGGCCACACAAGAGGCCTTGAGAAAGCTTCAGAAGAACCAGTGTGTCCCCTATTGTGCAGTGGCTGCTACACAGCCCCTGGAATTACAAGTGGCTTTGTTCAAATCCTGGCACTTCCATTAACCATCAAATGACCTTGACAAGAGATACTGACTCTGAGCCTCCCTCTTCATCTGTAAACCAGCAATGATTATAGCACTGACCCCATGACCTTTTGAAAAGAAATGAAGGGGATTATGTTGGCAGGATGCTTGGCATGGCCCCTGAAGCATAATGAATGATCAATACATGCTGGCTCTTTTTATTAGCTTTTATGGGCCTGTTGTAAAAGAAAAGCCATTTTTAAAAAGTTGCCCGCAGCCAACCAGCATTAAGTCATTTCCCTGCTGAATATTAAAACAGAATTTTTAATCTGAGATGACAAAAATAATTTGAGCTGGCAGATGGCATAGTGTTGTCACCCACTTTGTTGCTTGGAATTGAATGGATTATACATAAATACCGCTGAACTCTTTCCTTGTTTGGAAAAGCACCTGACTCCAAGATCTGCTGCAGTGCTCTGTAGTGTTGCAATGGCCTGGCACCCTAGTGCTGTGGCACGGCAATGCAGGCAACTGAACTGTTCATGTTGGCCAAATCAGTCAGGACAGGTGGCTGTGCTTTGTAACACACAATCTTCAAATCTCAGTGGCCTAGAACAAATTTACTTCTCAGTTATTCTGCCTGTCCATCACAGACCACTGTAGGGCCTTTGCTTCATGTTATCCTCACCCAAAAACCCAGGCTAGAAAGTGCCTGGGATCATGGACGCAAGAAAACAGGAACATGGTGATTCTCACAATGATGTGTAAAATCTTCAGCCAGAAGTGACACGTTGCTCTCACTCACACTCATTAGACAAAGCAAGCCATATGTCCGCGCCTAACTTGAGGGAGTAGGGAAGTGTAATCTCATCATGTGACTAGAAGAAGGAGACAAGAATGAATGCCCATGAACAGCTCTGATGACCGCCACTGCCTGAGTAGATGGTTTCACGATGGCAGAGAGATGATGCCACCCAGTGTCCCAAGATCAAATTCTGGTATGTTAACAAAATCCTCCTCAGTTTCACATCAATAGAATATAAAGAAATACAAATTTAAAGGATCTACTTATTTTTTTTTCAGAACAACTGAATTAGGCAGTATTTAAAAACTTCCAATGTCCAATTTTTATGAGGTTTCAGTGAAATGATACTTTCAAACACTGCTGGAATCATCATAAATCACAAAACAGAACATGTGTTTTGGGAAGCAATTTGGCAGCATGTAGCAGAGCAAAAAACAAAAAGTTCATATCCTTTGGCAGAGTTGTCCAACCTCTTAGGATTGATCTGAATGAAACCATCCAAAAGCTACCCCTCCCAAAGACGTCTATTTATTTATAATTTTCAAAGTTGCTACTACTAATTATAATAGAAAAAATATTATTTATGATAGAAAAAAGCAGAAACTATTTAAATGTTCTACTACAGGCGATTGGTTAAGCAAATTACAGGAATTCTCATGTGGACTATTATTTATATATTTTTGAAGTCATAAAGTCTAACAAACATGAAAATATGCTTATTATAGAGCATTAAATGAAGATGGTGAATATAAAATAACATTTAAATAATGATCACAACTATTCAAAAATGGATACAAAACAAAAATGCTGAAAATAATTAAACCAAAATGCTAACAGTGATATATTAGCCTTATTTTTATCTCAAATATAATAATGAAAAATAAACTTTAACATGGAATCGGAACAAACTAAAATGTATCTTCAGTTGAGAGGGGTTCTCTGAAGCAGCTGCTTGGGCAGAAGCTCTATTTAGAACATGGTCTGTCCATGAGAACAGGGATCTGTAATAGTGCCTTTTCTTAGTAGGTGCTCAAAAACAGTTATTGTATAAATAAAAGGAAAAAGATGAATAAAGAAAAAATAGAAAAGGAATAAATGAATGTTGAGCTGAGAACATGAAAGTCGAAGGGCCATCTCTCTTAAGACCCCTGAATAGGTAACATTAATCACTAATGAGAGAAGTCATTTTCAGGCCCAGAAAGAACAGCTTCCCAGGGTCAGTTCTGTATGGGCAAGAAGGTCTAGCGGCCACAAACCAAATGGAAAAAACTCTTCACCTCCTTGACATTACCTCTCAAAAATCTCCTCCACTTTGGTTTCCTTCTCCCATTCAACCATTCCTCCCTGGATTTTGCTCCTCCTACCCCCAAGACTGGTCCAGAACAGAGTTTGAGCTGAAAAGCTGCCTGTTAGAAAGAACAAGGTGTTTTCTCTTAACCAAAGAGAAAATGAGATAAGGGTGATCTTACTGTCACTCTGTGATCTTCCTTGTTCTTTTAATGATCTGCTCCAAACTCAGATCACTTAATGGAATGCCCAGGAAAGCCTGTAAGTTTTCCATAAGTTTCCTTATGAAATACAGACCATACTTAATTTAAATATACAAGACAGCCATGTACAGTTGTGCAGGATGTGCATTGCACAACCCTGGGACCATGTTTTTTTTTTATCAAAAGCATCATAGATTTATTTATTATAAATTCTTTAGCAAATGGCAGTGAATTCATTTTTCTAACAAAATCAGTATATCATAACTTTATGACAGATGAAAGAAAAAACCTGTCTTAAGGAAGGTTGGGTTTTTTCTCCCCAATTTGGACAAGGTGCCATGTGGACTATGATAGTCCTTGAGCACACCGATTAGTCCTTGCCTGTTCTTCCATGGTCTACCCTGGAAAGGGGTGGCATACTCAAGTCCTTCACGGTCACACAGGTGCCATAAATAGGTGAAGAAGGCCAAGTATGTGTATCTTTAGAAAGGAGGGAGGGTTGTAAAAAGCTACATTGGAGGGCACAATATGGAAATTTCCCAATATGGAAATTCTATAAGTGGACAAACAATATATTGTCTCATCAATAAATTATTAATAAAGAGTTTCCTTCCCCGAGGTGGGTTTAATATAGCACACTGCCTCTTCATACATGGTCAGTGGGACCATAGGATGCAATATACTCTCCTGAGATTCCATGAATCAAACTGGTTTGGAGGTATCACTACCTTATCTGGGAAGCATAGGGAGGTTTCTCTTACAAAGAGAAGTTGAGAGAGTTGTGGGAGGCACTTATCTGGTGACAAAGTGCTCAAAAAATGGAAAATCAATAAAATAAAATATTACATCCTTAGCACCCAGCACAGTACCTGAAGGGCTGGGAGTTCTAAACACTGAATAAATATTTCTTAAACTGAGTAACAGACAGTATAAACAGTTTCCCCTAGTTAAGTCTAAAAAAGAGAAGGACCCTCAGTTCCAGGAAATATCCACCCCTTTCCCAGAAAACTCATGAATAATCCACCCCGTTTAGCATATACTCAAGAAGTAACTATAAGTATACTCAGTCAAGCAGCTCATGCCGCTGCTCTGCCTATGGATTAGACTTTTTTTATTATTCCTTTGCTTTCGTAATAAACTTGCTTTAATTTTAGCCAAGAACAGAAAATTTTAATTGAACTAGAAGTTCTTTTCATAAGTAAAAATTTTTAAAATAGCTGTATGGTATTCCAAACCACCCATCGCCTGAAGATGAACACTTTTGTTGTTTTCAGTATATTGCTATTACGAATAATGATTTAATGTTAATAGTTTCTTAAATTTCATTTTGCTCATTTATGAATATGTTTAGGTTAAATTCCTAGAAGTCAGATCAAAAGACATACATATATATATATGTGTGTGTGTATATATATATATATATATATATATATATATATATTTTTTTTTTTTTTTAATTGTAAAATATATTGCCAGCCAGGTGCAGTGGCTCACACCTGTAATCCCAGCACTTTGGGAGGCTGAGGTGGGCGGATCGCTTAGGTCAGGAGTTCGAAACCAGCTTGGCCAACATGGTAAAGCCCCCATTTCTACTAAGTATACAAAAATTAGCCACGTGTGGTGGCAGGTGCCTGTAATCCCAGTTACTCAGGAGGCTGAGGCAGGAGAATCACCTGTGCCCCGGAGGTGGTGGTTGCAGTGAGACGAGATCACACTATTGCACTCCAGCCTGGGCAACAGAGTGAGACTCTGTCTCTGTCTGTCTGTCTGTCTGTCTGTCTCTGTGTCTGTCTGTCGGTCTCTCTCTCTCTCTCTCTATATATATATATATATGAAATTAAAAATCAGCTAGGCATAATGGTATTCCCCTATGCCCCATATGTAATTTATATATGTAACATATATAACATATATTATATATGTTACATATATAACATATATTATATATGTTACATATACATATATAATATATATAACATATATAACATATATGTTATATTATATATGTTATTTTTATATATAAAATATGTTATATAATATATAATATAAATAATATATAATGTTATGTATAATATATAATATGAATAATATATAATATGTTACATATAATATATAATATAAATAATATATATTATATATGTTACATGTAATATATAATGTAAATAATATATATTATATGTTACATGTAATATATAATGTAAATAATATATAATATATGTTACATGTAATATATAATGTAAATAATATATATTATATGTTACATATAATATATAATGTAAATAATATATATTATATATGTTACATATAATATATAATGTAAATAATATATATTATATGTTACATATAATATATAATATAAATAATATATATTATATGTTATATATAATATATAATATAAATAATATATTATATATTTAACATATATAATATATAATATAAATAATTTATTATATACATAAAATGTATAATATATAATATAAATAATTTATTATATATGTAAAATATATAATATATGTAATATCTATACACATTATATTTGGGGCATAGGGGACTACCACTATGCCCGGATCACTTTTAATTTTTTTTTTTTGGTAGAGTCAGGGTCTGCCTGTGTTGCCCAGGCTGGTCTCAAACTCCCAGCCTCAAGCAATTCTCCCATCTTGGCTTCTCAGAGTGCTGGGATCAAAGGCGTGAGCCACGGCACGCTGCCAGAACATTTTCTTTTGTTTTAATTTATTAAATGATATTTATTCCTTTCATGCTCCTAAGAGAGCTGAGAGATTTGAATGCATTTTGAAGAAGAAAGAGGGGGATACAAATGTTAATGCTGAGCACAGTGTGTCCTATAACAAATAACTATGTTCTACTTCACCTGGAAGCTAATAGTCACATGCAGCAAATTGCAAACTATAAAGATTCTCAAGTTCCACTAGTCAGCCACCCCAGCCTCCTGCTCTTGCTACTGTAATTGTTAAGAGAGTATTTCAAGGCAGCTCCAATACTTTTGATCATTACACTTTAGACGACCAGCAGATTAATCAACTTGTAGATGAGTGACATCCTTTCTTTGTAGCTCCTCATACCCCAAGTCATGTTTTTGTGAACTTTTCAAGCATTATGAGTTTTTTCAACTTTTGTTATGAAAAATCTCAAATGTACACAGTTAGATTAATATACAGAATCCTATTCCCAAGATTTAAAATTTGTTAAGATTTTTTTCATCTTAATTCATCTGTACTGCCGTGCCTTTTGGGGAATTTTTTTTTTTGCTGTACATTTTAAAGCTAATTCCAGACATCATGTTATTTTACCCATAAATCTTTCAGTAGAACGCATATTTTGTGCACTTGCTCAGCAGGAAACAGGGACCAGAGAAGATGGTTGCTATAATAAATACTGAGAGCAGAGAGGCATACAGCAGTCATGCTCCAGCTGGGTTTAAATGAAGTATGAGTTTTCCCTATAAGAGAAAAAAATTGAAAAACAGCTGCTAGAAGAAAAAAATTGAAAAACAGCTGGTAGAAAGTTGGAGTTTTTACTTTTTGCCTTCTTTTGTAATCGTCTGAAGCATAACTTCACATATACTCAATGAAATATCATCTATGATATGGAAAAGGGACATAAAACATAAACAGTTATAGCTTGTAATTCCAATTCTCCTCCCTCAATAATTAATAGAACAAGTAGACCAAGAACCATTAGGGATCAACCAACTTGACCCAACTGATATTTAGAGAAAACGCCACCCAACAAGAACAAAACACACATTCTTTTTAAGTGCTCATGGAACATTCACCAACATGGACCATATTGTGGGCCATAAAACAGACTCCAACAAATGTGAAACCATTAATATCGTACAGAGCATTTTCCCAGATCAAGAAAGAATTCAACTAGAAATCATAACCAAGAGATATCTGGAAAATCCCCAAATGATTGGAAATTAAACATCCCCAAATAATCCATGGATCAAAAAATAAATCCATAGGTCAAAGAGAAAATAACAATAAAAATTAGAAAATATATTGAACTGTATAGCAAGGAAACCACAACATACCCAAATTTATGAGATGTTGCTAGAGCAGAGTGTGGAAAGAAATGTCCAGCATTAAAGGAGTGCATTACAACAAAGGAAAGAATTTAACAATCTAAGCTTAAGTTAGAGAAGTGTAATCAGAGAAACAAAGTAATCAGAGAAAAGAAAATAACAAAGATGAGAGAAAGAATCAATAAGATAGAAAATGGACAAAATAGAGAAAAATGAATGAAACCAAAAGCTGTTTCATTGAAAAGATCAACAAAATTGATAAGCCTCTTGTTAGGCTAATCAAGAAAATAAAAAGATAAGACCTATTATCAATATAAAACATGAGATATTTGAAGAAATGACACCAATTCTATACAGTTCCCCAAAGATTAGGGAGCATGTCCCAGCTCATTTTATAAGGCCAATATTACTCTGATACCCAAGCCCCACAAAGGCATTAAGAAAACTACAAAGCAATACCAAATAAACACAGACACAAAAATCATTTATAAAATTCTAGCAAACTTCATCTAGCAATATGTTAAAAGGGTCATACATCATGACAATGAGGTTTAACTCAGAAATTCAAGGTTGTTTTAGCATTGAAAAATCCATATATTAACAGACTAAAATAAAAATGATATAATCATCTCTGTAGATTCAGAAAAAGCATTTCATGAAACATACATTCAAAGTAGAAACTCTCGGCAAATTAGAAATATAATAGACCTTTCTCAGCTTAATAAAGGGCATCTATTTTAAAAAAAACCTACAGCTAACACGAGGGAAAGTAAATACTCTCGAGTTCATGAAAGAGGCAAGGATGCTCACTCTCTTCTATACAACATTGTACATTGTACTAGAGCACCTAGCTGATGCAATAAGGCAAAAAAAAAAAAAAGAAAAAAAAGGAAGGAAGGCGAGACATACAGACAGGATAGGAAGAAAGTAAAACTGTCTCTAATCACAGCTGATATAACCACTTATGTAGAAACTTCTAGGAATCTATCCAAAAAATCATATAAGAACTAAGTGACTTAGCAAGGTTGCAGGATACAAGGCTAACACACAAAAAGATCAACTGTCTTTCCAAAGCAATGGATAACAATCGGATACTAAATTTGAGGTAGGAGGCTATATGATGAGGAACAGGATATTTGTGGGATCTCAAAGTGCTTTTGCACAGATTGCTTATGAGTTATGGCTAACAGGGAAAGAAGAGTAACTTTGCAGTGGAGGAACTGGAAAACATCCTGATCTGGTGATCAAAACCAATGAGGGGTAGATGGGCTTTGGTGCTCCCTGATGTGATATCCTGAGAAGGACACAATAGAACTTGGGTAGTTTTCTGCCTGGGGATGTGTAAACTAATCTTTTCATGAGGAAACCAGAAAAGAAACACAAATGGGGAATATTCTATAACATAACTGGTCCATATTCTTTGAATATATCCATGTCATAAAAGAAAGAAAAGGCTGAAGAACTGTTTCAAATTAAAGGAGACTAAAGAAACATGACAACTAAATGCAAGACTTGGTCCTGGGCCAGATCCAGTAATGGAGAGGGAAAAATATGCTATAAAGGCATAAATTGGGACCATTTATGAAATTGGACTATGGGCTATAGATCAAGCAAATATTATATAAATGTTAAATTCCTGAATTTGATAACTCTACTATGGTTACGTAAGAGAATATTCTTATTCACAGGCAATGCCCAATGAAGTACAAAGGGTAAAGGAATGTGTCATATGCAAATTATTCTCAAAAGGTTCAGAAATAAAATTATGTGATTATATATGTGCACACACACATACAGAGAAAGAGATAAACCCAATGTGACAAAACACTACACATTAATGAATCTATTTAAAGGGTATTCATAAGTTCTCTGTTATGTTTATGTAACTGTTCTGTAAGTTTGAAAATTTTTCAAATTCCTGAAGAAACCTTTCCATGACTCATAAGTCCCCAGAATGAAGTCTGCCGGTGTCTCTATTTGTTTTTGACAGTTAGTGAAACGTTGATAAAAGTTGGTTTTCCCATGTTCTTGATATCATCCCATATAATGACATGAGTTTTCTACGTTAGACGGCAGCAGCCAATGCAATGAAAGGTGAAGGGGAAGTCTGGAGGACATAGAAAGAGAAGGGGCCTTGTATTTTATTTTTGTCACCTAGGCAATTTTCTTAATATTTGTGAGCCTTAGTGTCTTTGCTGAAAAATGGGAATAATGAAATATACCAACCTCATGGGTCTGCTATGAGAATTACAGTGAGAGAGGGTATAAATGCGTACCTTTAAAAAGTATATAAAAATGATATCATTCCCAGACCATGTCAAGCCCCTGCTACAAGTTCTCCAAAGCTTCTCATCTCCCTCAAAACATAGCTAAAGTCCTCATTATGGTCCCTAGTGTCTCACCTGACCAGGCCTCTAGCAATCTGATCCTGTCTCCTGCCTTCTCCTCCATCCTTTGAACACATCTTGCTTCAAGGGCCTTGTAGTTCTGCTCCCTCTGTCTGGACCACCCTTAGCACAGATGCACACGGCTCCTCCCCATCCCCATTGTAGTTTTCTACTCAGATGTCATCTTATTATGAGGCTACCCCCTCCAAAATTACCTATATGTAGTACATTGACTTAATTCCCAGCTATTCTCTGTTTCTTATTCTGGTTTGTCTTTTCCACACTTATCGCACGTAACCCACTATATGTTTATTTGCTTATTGTCTGTGTCCCTTCCTGAAAATGTCAGCTTTGTAATTGTAAGAACTTCTATTTCTTCAGTGCTGTATCTTCAGCACATAAAGAAGTACTTGGCACATAACTGACTCTCAATAAGTATTTGTTGAATGACTGGATGAATGGATAGATGAACAAGAATTAACCTTGCAGATATCTTGTAAGTACATAGTCAATGCTTCACAGATATTACTGTAAGTCCATTAATTAAACTTTAAAAAAAAAAAACTTAAAAAAATTTTTGACACTTGGCCAGGTGCGGTGGCTCACACCTATAATCCCAGCAATTTAGGAGGCCAAGGCAAGTGGATCACCTGAGATCAGGAGTTCAAGACCAGTTTGGACTACATGATAAAACCCCATCTCTACTAAAAACACAAAAATTAGCTGGGTGTGGTGGCACGCGCCCGTAATCCCAGCTACTCAGGAGACTGAGGCACGAGAACCACTTGAACCCGGGAGGCAGTGGTTGCACTGAGCGAGATTGTGCCATTGCACTCCAGCCTGGGTGACAGAGTGAGACTCTTTTTTTTTTTTTATGACACTCATTAAATATTCCCACTGCTTCCAAAATACACTGAATTAAAATATATTTTATTTTTAGGATTTCATACCAGTATTTGAGATTACTGGAGATTATCTGACATATGACCAAATCAGGCTTGGAAATCACTGAGTCACAATTCTGAAGAAGGAAGAGAGGGAAGAAATAGTCCTCACACTGTCATATTTGTATATTTGATCATTTCTTTCCTAGTAGTGCCTCCTAATTATCAACACAGGTCAACCCCCCAGTGAAGGTGGATTTATTTTTTACCCAAGTTACAGATACTTGGCAGCTGTTCACTCATTTCTAAATATAAAACAAAAGCCTTGCATTTCAAACTCCACATCCTCTTATTCCAGGAAATCAGCACACATCTTGAAAACTCAGTGATTGTATCTGATAGGCAGTGATATAAGTAGACAGCCTTCTGTCAACACCCAGGCTGACAAATGACAATCAAGATCCACTGCCACCTGGGATCTGGGCCATCTGGGACCTTCCAAGTCACATCCTGAGATAAGGCTTATCCTGATTTTCATTACCGAAGATAGGAATTTCTTGCTTTTATTAAAACTGACCCAAATGTAATCCAATCAGGATTGCAAGATGTTATATTTGACCTATAAATATAAGTAAACATGGCTCTCTTTATCTGGGAGCCATTTGTTGTGAAGGCAGAATTCCTTCATATATGTTTTACTGTTGCAGATAAAACTCAGTATTAAAAAAATGTTTTTTATTTTTTTGACTTTTAACATAAAGGACCCACCAAGATGTCCACATGGACTGATCCACCAGGGCTAACCAAGCTGCACTGCCCAAGAAGTACAACCTACAAACCCCTTATAACTAGGCCTGTCTTCCTTGGCTTCTGGGGTGCAGCTAACTGAACCGAGAGAGTGATTTTGCTCTCACTGAGTCTGTTTCTAAATTATTTCCGGTTTATTGCTATCCGAATACCTGGTTGTATTTCTGTCTCAAGCCTACTTAAATTATTTTTATCTAATGGATATCTGGTCCCCTCAAATAAGTGAAAAGCCCTGAGGCTGGTATTTATCCTCATTCAGTGTTGTTTCTCTGTAGTTTTCAGGATATCTTGAATGACTGAAGCACCTACTTCTCTATAACCAGGTTGGTGGGGGCATAATTTTTCAAGGTGTGAGGCTTGTCGCAATTGAATTATTAAGAGAGGTATACTATGGAATATCTTATACTACAAATATCATTTTATCTTAGCTGTAGAGGAAATTCTAAATTGCCTCAACCATGTCTGTATTTCCTACAAAGATTGTTCATGTATGTGTTTGTGTCTAGTTTGATCTGATGTATGAATTAAGCTTCCTATACTACCATTGTCTCAGTGTTTGTGTCTATACGTAAGAGTATCTTTTCCCTCCTCCACATGGAACAAAAATGCTGGGAGACGTTTCTCTGTCAGTCTCATACTGGGATTCATACCTGTCTTGCTGAGTATGCCAAGAATGCAAGACTTCGACCACTCTTTGTCTGGGCTATTTCTCAGAGTTATGTATGCAGCAAGCAATCTCAAGGGATGAAGTGACATCTTCCTCTGGAATAAACAGCAGGCTTTCTTACTTCTTGCTATAAAATAGCAGGTTCTCCAAGTTCAGTGGTCCTCTCCTATAATGCAACTGACTACATCTATAGGTAACCACCTGGCCTCTGCATCTGCCTGTGGGAACTGGAGCTCACAGAACTGACAATGTGCTGACACTCTGGCTAATGCTCTTTCTCTGAGTAATAAAGCCTTTATCTCTGAACCAGGATCCCTATGTCCTTTGTCAGCACCCATGAAACAGAGGCAATGTAACTTGTTACCTTGCAAATAGGATAAAATCTCAGATTCTTCACAAATCTTGATCCAAAAAAAATTGGCTTTTCGATATGGTCTGTAATGGTAGCCCTATGTATCAGTAGTCAGTATTTTGGAGGCACACTTTAAGATCACAGGAGGATTCCTGAAGATAATAGAAACATGTCATTTGCATACATTATAGGAATATCGAAGTCAAAAAGGCTGATCTATCATTAATTGGAAGGAAGCATTTGCAAATATTTTGAGTTGAAGACTGTTTTGCCTGGCTCAGAGAGCAGAAGTTTCTGACTCTGTTCAATTGCATGAACGGGCAAGAATGTGTGTCAGAATGAGAATACAGAGGAATGGAAATGTTGATCGAGTCTGGCTTTTCATCCAAATCTAAAGGGTTCTAAGTGTATGAATCTCTTTTTCTTCAAAGAAATATGGAGGACTTCTACTCATAATCATGACATTAACTGCTACCATACCTTCCCACCCATTGCCATAAGAAAACTAAGCAAAATATGTGAAACAATAGCTGTCACACAATGGAGAACAGTCCATGCCAAACTGTGATCTTTAAAAGAAGCTAAACCAATAAGGTCAGTGCTATGATTAACTTGGTTTTCTGTCTTGAGGCACTATCCAGACTTCAGCGTAGGGTGTGGGAAGCAAAATAGAGCAAAATGGTCTTGCTGAGTTAAAAATACAAAGAATGGCATTCAGGGAGGCTGAAGCTGCTGCTGGAATTTCTACAGTGGATTGTCAAACAGAAAGGAGTTATATCAAGAAGGAGCTCAAAATATCTACAAAAGGCTCCCCTTGAGTTTCTAGCTTGATAAATTCTAAGCAGCGCATATATATGGTAAGTTTCCGCAAGTGGACAAAAACCTCTATGGGAAAAGAATAACTTCAAGGAGCTCTAATTTTTCTAAGCTGAACAATTGCCAGAGATAATATAACATGGAGAAAGTTTATAGTTCCAACAAGTCAGTGTGAGAAGACCTTGTTGAACACTTCAGACATACATCAGAAAACACAGTTTGTTCACACTTTAGTAGCATATCTAAACTGGACCTGGAATAAAGATTTCTTAGCCATAGCACAACTAAAAATAAGCCTCAGAATAATGAAGCTGACCTATACTAGGTAATCTGCCTACCTGAGCAAACCTCAATATTCCTTAAAGGAAGGTTACAAAATCCAGACACTTGACGCACAACATTTAGAATGTCCAGCTTCGATAACCAAAAAATATACGAAAAATTCCCAAGTACATGGAAATTAAACCACTTCTCATTATCCCAGGGGTCAAAGAAGTAATTACAATAGAAAGTAGTATATATTTTGAACTGAATAATAATGATGATGCAACATACCAAAATTTGGTTATATAGATAATCCATGCTTAGTGGAAATCTAATGGTTTTAAGAAACTGTATTAGAAAAAGTAAAAGAATGAAGTTAGTGACCTAGGTTTTCACTATAAGAAGCTGTAACAAAAGAGCAAAGCAAGCCCAAAGAATGTAGAATGAAGAAAATAATAAAAATAAGACTAGAAATCAATGAAATAAAAAATAGAAAAACTATAGAGAAACGAATACAGCCAAATTTGATTTGTTGAGAAACTAATAAAATTGATAAACCCCTACCTACGCTGATCAAAGAAAAAAAGAGGAAACATTAATAACAACTATCAGAAAACAAATAGCAGAAATTATTACAAATCTTACAAAATTAAAAGGATAACATGCAAATTATGAACAATTTTGCCAATGAATCTGACATCTTTGATGAAATGGAAAATTCCATGAAAGGATATAAAATATCAAATTGAAACAAGAAGAAAATCTGAAGAGCCCCATATCTATTAAAGAATTGCCATGAATATTCCCATGAATAAAATCTCAAGCCTCAATAAATTCACAGGTGGATTCTATCAAACATTTAACAGACAAATAATATCAATTCTACACAAAGCACATCATTCAAAGCAATTAACCAAAGTTATAGAATATTATCATATCAATAGTTTTAAAAAAGTTTGACAAAATCCAATGCCTAATAATGATAAAAATTTTCTGCAAACTAAGGATAGAAGGGAATTTCCTGAATCTGAGAAAGATCATCCACAAAAAAATACAACAAATATTATACTTCATGGTAGCATACTGGACTTTTATCTATAATTTGGAAACTGTCAGGGACAGTTGCTCTCTTTTGCCTTTTCAATAAATTGCTCAATACATTCAATAAATTGTTAAAAGTACAATTCTCACCAAACTGATCAATCTCAATTATAATCGGATCAAGCATTTTTGTAGAAATTGACAACTTAATTATAAATGGATACAGAAATGCAAAGGACCAAAAGATCCAGAACAATCATGTCAAAGAAGAACTAAGTTCAAGGACATAGACTATCTGACCTCAAGAGTTACTTTAAAGGTAATCCAGACAATGCGATATTGGTATAAGGATAATCAAAGGCACAGAATAAAGTTCAAGACTTTTATATGGTCATTTGACTTGAAAATATCTTTTCAGTAAACATTATTAGAATAGCGGGATATCTGTATGAACTAAAAATAATTCTTGGCCTCATACTTCATATCATATGAAAAATAATTTAGATGAATTACATACCTAAAATATAAAAGCTAAAGCTAGGAAACTTCTAGAAGGAAACATAGGACAAATCATTTAGTACTGAAAGTAGCAAAGGGTTCTTAGGACACAGAGAGCAATAAACAAAGAAGAAGAATGATTAATTAGACTTCAAATTTTAAAACTTCTGCTCAACATAAGACAACATTATGGTAATGAATAAGCAACTACAAAGCATCCATAAATTACATATCTGATACAAGCGTGGTATCCTGGATATATACAGAACAACTACTCTATGGACACACAGCCAGTTAGTAACAGGCAAACAATTTGAACTCATAAGCACATGAAAAAGTGCTTAACATCATTAGACATCAGGAAAATGGAAATTGAAACTGTAATGAGATATAACTCATATCTCATGCAAGAGCAAATTTTAGCAAGAACGTGGAACAACCAGAACTCTCATTCATTATTTGTTGCTGGGAGTGTAAAATGCTATAACCACTTTGGAAAAAAAATTCTGGCTATTTCCTGTAAAACTCATCATGCACTTACTGTATGACCCAGGAATTTTACTCTTAGATTTTTGACTCGAGAAATGAAAAAAATATGTATAGAAATATATTGGAATGAGAATATTTATAGCAGCCATATTCATAATAGACAAAATCTGGAAACAGCCTCAATATCCATCAAAATGAGAATAAACAAATTGTGACTACTACTTAGCAAGAAAGATGAACAAATTGCTAATACTTGTAACAACACAGACGAGCCTGAAAACACTATGCTGAGTGACCTTAATAAAGAGAGTATATATTGAATTATTTCATTTATAGGAAGTTCTAGAAAAGACAAAGCTACTCTATGGTGGGAAAAATATCAGAAGAGTGATGATTACCCCTGGCAGAATGGCAGTGGGGAATGACTGGGAAAGGGCATGAGGTAATTTTCAGGAACGATAGTGTCTTAAGATTTGTGTACTTCAATGGACAATTTGTAAATTTAACCTCAATAGAAACAAATAAAAATCATCAACAAATTTTGAATTCTAATTAATGATATGCACAATATACGGGGGTGAAACATGCTGACTATTAAAATTTACTCTGAAATTCATGATTAAAGATAAGGTAGACTGATGGATTCAGAGACAGATGTATGGATAGATATATGATAAAGAAAGTTCCTCACTCTGGCTGACTCCAGAGTCAGTTTAGAAATCAGTTTAACTTCTTTATCCCAAGGTAGTTAATAATAAAAGAGCCTTGGATATTTTAGTTAACCAGAGAAGAATCCATACCATTGCTAGCATTTTACACTGTATGTGGATTAACACCATATGTGAGATGGAACAACTTATATCTAAGTTAAAGAAATGACACTCAACCATCCAAGGTTGACCCAAGGCACTGTTAGTTCTAATTTTCTTTATCAGGCTGGAAATCTTTCAGAGGGTGGTTCAGTACTTTCTTAAAATACTTCTAGTTACACTTTAATTTACTTCTCTGTTGCTTGATTTTTATTGCCCAGAGTCAAAAAATGCTCAGTAAATGATTCAAAGACAAAAACAGGATGAAATCATTCTGACCACCGCTCAAACTGAAAGTCGCATTTCTGCAAACAACCTCATCTTCAAGGAGAATTGACAACAGTGGTGAAGATCTGGACAACCTTTGGTAGTCTCTCCTGCAGCTTAGGATGAAGGAAGACCAAAAGGAGGGCTAAGAATAAAAACATTATTCAATTAGGAAAAGAGGAAGTCGAATTGTCCCTGTTTGCAGATGACATGATTGTATATCTAGAAAACCCCATTGTCTCAGCCCAAAATCTCCTTAAGCTGATAAGCAACTTCAGCAAAGTCTCAGGATACATAATCAATGTACAAAAATCACAACCATTCTTATACACCAATAACAGACAAACAGAGAGCCAAATCATGAGTGAACTCCCATTCACAATTGCTTCAAAGAGAATAAAATACTTAGGAATCCAACTTACAAGGGATGTGAAGGACCTCTTCAAGGAGAACTACAAACCACTGCTCAACGAAATAAAAGAGGATACAAACAAATGGAAGAACATTCCATGCTCGTGGATAGGAAGAATCAATATCGTGAAAATGGCCATACTGCCCAAGGTAATTTATAGATTCAGTGCCATCCCCATCAAGCTACTAATGACTTTCTTCACAGAACTGGAAAAAACTACTTTAAAGTTCATATGGAACCAAAAAAGAGCCTGCATCGCCAAGTCAATCCTAAGCCAAAAGAACAAAGCTGGAGGCATCAGGCTACCTGACTTCAAACTATACTACAAGGCTACAGTAACCAAAACAGCATGGTACTGGTACCAAAACAGAGATATAGATCCATGGAACAGAACAGAGCCCTCAGAAATAATGCCGCATATCTACAACTATCTGATCTTTGACAAACCTGAGAAAAACAAGCAATGGGGAAAGGATTCCCTATTTAATAAATGGTGCTGGGAAAACTGGCTAGCCATATGTAGAAAGCTGAAACTGGATCCCTTCCTTACACCTTATACAAAAATTAATTCAAGATGGATTGAAGACTTAAACCTTAGACCTAAAACCATAAAAACCCTAGAAGAAAACCTAGGCATTACCATTCAGGACATACGCATGGGCAAGGGCTTCATGTCTAAAACACCAAAAGCAATGGCAACAAAAGCCAAAATTGACAAATGGGATCTAATTAAACTAAAGAGCTTCTGCACAGCAACAGAAACTACCATCAGAGTGAACAGGCAACCTACAAAATGGGAGAAAATTTTCGCAACCTACTCATCTGACAAAGGGCTAATATCCAGAATCTACAATGAACTCAAACAAATTTACAAGAAAAAAACAAATAACCTCATCAAAAACTGGGCAAAGGATATGAACAGACACTTCTCAAAAGAAGACATTTATGCAGCCAAAAGACACATGAAAAAATGCTCATCATCACTGGCCATCGGAGACATGCAAATCAAAACCACAATGAGATACCATCTCACACCAGTTAGAATGGCTATCATTAAAAAGTCAGGAAACAACAGGTGCTGGAGAGGATGTGGAGAAATAGGAACACTTTTACACTGTTGGTGGGACTGTAAACTAGTTCAACCATTGTGGAAGTCAGTGTGGCGAATCCTCAGGGATCTAGAACTAGAAATACCATTTGACCCAGCCATCCCATTACTGGGTATATACCCAAAGGACTATAAATCATGCTGCTATAAAGACACATGCACACGTATGTTTATTGCGGCACTATTCACAATAGCAAAGACTTGGAACCAAGCCAAATGTCCAACAATGATAGACTGGATTAAGAAAATGTGGCACATATACACCATGGAATACTATGCAGCCATAAAAAATGATGAATTCATGTCCTTTGTAGGGACAGGGATGAAATTGGAAATCATCATTCTCAGTAAACTATTGCAAGGACAAAAAACCAAACACCGCATGTTCTCACTCATAGATGGGAATTGAAGAATGACAACACATGGACACAGGAAGGGGACTGTTGTGGGGTTGGGGGATGGGGGAGGGATAGCATTAGGATATATACCTAATGCTAAATGACGAGTTAATGGGTGCAGCACACCAGCATGGCACATGTATACATATGTAACTAACCTGCACGTTGTGCACATGTACCCTAAAACTCAAAGTATTATAATAATAATAATAATAATAAAAGAATAAAAACATTCTCATACTCTAGGAAAAGATTGATTTTTCTCTAGCTATGGTATCAAGTAAGTACCAAGACCAGCTTAAAATCATTTCATCAATGCATGAGAATTGACTGGTATCAGGAAACATGCTTCAAAAGCCAACTAATCAGTAACCACTGAAAGTGAGAAGAATCAGGAGATTCTTCTTTGGATAAGACAGAGGGCCTGGATATGCACAAAACTTACCAGCATGAGACTCAACCTTCAGTAAAGCACTGCTGTACCCCAGAGTCATCAAGATGGACTCCTTCCACACACAGCAACACTCAGTGTCTCTGTTGAGTAAGCATTTAAAGACACAGACGCCACTGGCTATAAAGAGTAAAAAAAAAAAAAAAAAAAAAAAGGATTAGATAAACTCACTTTGGCCTTCGTAAAAAGTATTCACAAGTGTCATTCCTACTTTTCTCTCATGTTCCCAAGATTCCACTTCCGTCTTCTTGATATAATGCCTCCTAGACGTATGTGAATATGAGAATCAGAGATGAGAAAAATCTAATCATGGCCAAATACCAATTCTCTGCATGTGGATCAGTGCAAAGCTCAACACTGACTCCTATTTATTGGCTCTTGCCTATATGTCCAGGGCCCCATTGCCCACAATTCTTACATTGCCCAAGTCAATTGTGTGTCTCTTGACAGCATCCCAGGAGAGTTCAGTCTATGTCTCAAAGACATTCTCGATCACCTGTTATTTGCCAGAGCTATCACAACAAATCTCCATTGTGTTATCATTGCCAAGGTTCCTAGTGAAGGCAAGGCAGAGAGTTTAGGCCCAAATATGCACAGCTAGTAAGTGGCAGAACTGGAATTCAAACCTAGGTATTGTTAAAAGAAAAACTTTAAACAAATGAAATCCAACAGTGTTTAATTAAGCAAGGAATCCTTCATAAATCAGACAATTCCAAAACTAGAATAGGTTCAGAGCCACTGTGGCTCTGTGATGTGGTTGGGCAGGATTTACTGACAGAAAACAGCAAAGTGATGTACAGAGAAAGGAACGAAGTGAGGTGCATCAACAGCTGGATTGATTCGAGCTTGGCTTTGGTCTTATCTGAATAGTTGGTCGCCTGTGACTGGCTGAAACTTGGTGGTTGGTACAAGAGTAGATTACAGTCTGTTCACACATCCCGTTACGTTACAATTCACTATGTCCAGAGAAACCTTTAGGCTGAATTTACAAGGAGGCAGCTTTAGGCTAAACTGAACAGTATTTGACTCCAAAGTTCATGTTCCTTCTACCACAATGTGCCGATGAAATCATGATAAAGACAGAGCTTAGATAGCTGAGAACTAACTTGCTAAACCTCCTTTTACAGGTTAGACAGGCATTTAGCATAGTGTGATGTAGTGTGGTGGAAACAGCAATGAACTTGGGGCTTTACTTTTACCTTTGAACTTCAATTACCTAATCACACTGAGTCATATTTTTTAATCAATCATGTAAAATGAAAATATTGGTGCTTATTTCATAGGCTTTGGTGAAGACTGAATAATAAAGGTAAAATAATTTCTAAACAACTATTAAAATAATAAGGGATTATTATTATTTCATTCATTTTTAAGATAGATTCTTTTTTTTTTTTCTTTTGAGACAGAGTTTTGCTCTTGTTGCCCAGGCTGCAGTGCGGTGGCGCGATCTTGGCTCACCACAACCTCCACCTCCCAGGTTCAAGTGATTCTCCTGCCTCAGTCTCCCAAGTAGCTGGGATTACAGGCATGTACCACTACACCCAGCTAATTTTTTTGTATTTTTAGTAGAGACAGGGTTTCTCCATGTTGGCCAGGCTGGTCTCAAACTCCTGACCTCAGGTGATCCACCTGCCTCAGCCTCCCAAAGTGCTGGGATTACAGGCATGAGCCACCGCGCCCGGCTGCCAAGATAGATTCTTATGTCCTTTCATTCTTTCTTATAAAATCAAATACAGAAAGTGTATTAACTTCAAAACATGATTATATGTAAAATTCTACTGCTACACATGAGCATATGCACCTTCATTCTCACACACTCAACACACACACACATACACAGAGTTAAGATGACCAAATATTTTCAAATGCTTTCATCTGTTACTTCAAGTGAACGAGTATCTCTTGATGAAATCATTCACAAATATTTTTCACAAAATGTCTTGGCTGGTTAAATAGTGCAGAGTTTTGAAAACATTTTCCTGGCATCAAACATGATTACAGGTTTAAGTATTACAGCCCAGTCAATGTCTCAAAGGCAACATTGCCTCCTCTCAGGGAAGTAACTGTGGATGCAGATGCAGAAGAAGGGACTTTGGGGCTCTTCTAAGTATGTTCTCTTGAAATCATAAGAAATATTTTTGAAGAAATTAGAATTTTTAGCATTTTGCCAACTGTTCCTCCTATGTTTTAGAAGTAGAATAAGATAAAGAAGGGAGGCGGGTTCTAGGCTCCTGCTGTGCCTTGTACATACATGACTATTGTAGTCTGTAAGCTCTTTGCTGGCAGTAGTAATTTTACTTTATTTTCAGAATCAATGCTTTTTTTTCTGAGTCAAAACTAAAGCACAGTGCCTGATACTTAACAGATATTTGTTGAATCAGTAAAAGCATTTCTCCAGGTATTGGTACCATCCCAGAAGAGATAAAAACCTTCAAAATTTATCTGGTTCAATTTTCTTTATCCAGAAAGGCTCAGAATTTTTGTTTTGTAGTTGTTTGTTTTGTTGTGATTTGATTAAAATATAAATTGAGTTTTTTCCCTATCTTTATAAATTGTAAAATGTCTATCTATATATTATTCTCTTTTTTCACCTCTCCCTGTCCTCTGTTAACATATGGGTGGAGAAGGTATTTTCAAGCATGCCATAAAATCCAGGAAATACAAGTAACTACTCAAAAATTTAAAATATACTTATGTAAAAAAAATTTAAATACTTTAAACAAAATTGAAAAACAGTGATAAGCTGGGAAAATATTTTCAACATGTATAAAGACTTAATATTCCCAATATGCGATTAGCTCTAAAAAATAAGAAGCAAGCATCCCTATTGAAAAGTCAGTAAGAGGCTGGGTGCAGTGGCTCACTCCTGTAATCCCAGCACTTTGGGAGACCAAGGCTGGTGGATCTTTTGAGCCCAGGAGCTCAAGACCAGCCTGGGCAACACATTGAAACCCCATCTCTACTAAAAATACAAAAAATAACTGAGTGTGGTGGCCCGTGGGGGCTGAGGTGAGAGGATCACCTGAGCCTTGGGAGGTGGAGGCTGCAGTGAGCTGTGATTGGGCACTGCCCTCCAGCCTCGGCAAGAGAATGAAACCCTGTCTCAAAAAAGTAAAAATAAAAATAGAATAAAAGTTAGTAAGAGGCATTAGCAACTAGAAAAATGCTAATAGCAAAAACAGTGAAAAAACAATCTCAGTAATAATAAATTTTAAAAATGAAGTCTTTTTATCTCATTAAAATTTTAAAAATATATTGATAATATCAAATGTTGGAGAGGATATAAGAAAACAGTGAATGACTATTATTGGAACTGTACATTTCTGTATTTCTGGAATGTATTCTGCCCTTATGAATCAAAATTTAAAATTTATATATTCTTTGCTAGACATTCTACTTATCATTATTTCTTCCAGGCTGTACTTTTTCGAGTGTGGATGGATGCATATTCAAGGATGTTCTTAGAGTTGTTTACTACTAGAAAATTCAAAGAAGCTGAGTCCATCACTTAACACAGTTGGTTAAACCGAATACAGTATACCTCCATGTTCAGGTTGCAGACAGCATTTATCTATCTTAGTAACAATTTAATTTTGTGTTTATCTTCACAGAAAGCTGTTTAAGGCCAGGCACCGTGGCTCACACCTGTAACCCCAGCATTTTGGGAGGCCGAGGCAGGCGGATCACCTGAGATCAGGAGTTCAAGACCAGCCTGGCCAACATGGCGAAACCCTGTCTCCATAAAAATACAAAAATTAGCCGGACATGATGGTGGGTGCCTGTAGTCCCAGCCACTCGGGAGGCTGAGGCAGGAAATCGCTTGAATATGGGAGGCGGAGGTTGCAGTGAGCCGAGATCGAGCCATTGATTGAACTCCAGCCTGGGCGACAGAGCGAGACTCTGTCTCGAAAAGGAAAAAAAGAAAAGAAAAGAAAGCTGTTTTAAAAGATACTCACCAAAGTGGGACTTGAACAGTGAAAACACATGGACACAGGGAGGGGAATATCACACACCAGGGCCTGTCAGGGGGTGGGGGACTAGGGAAGGGATATCATTAGGAGAAATACCTAATGTAGATGACGGGTTGATGGGTGCAGCAAACCACCGTGGCACGTGTTTGCCTATGTAACAAACCTGCACGTTCTGCACATGTACCCCAGAACTTAAAGTATAATAGTAATAATAAAAAAGATACTGACCAAAATGTCAACAGTGGTTCCCTCTTGATGGAGAGATTTGGGGTCATTTTAATTTGTCCTTCTATACAGTTCTGTCTTGTTTGAAATTTCTAAGTGACTACTTATTTTTACAATCAGAAAAAAAAATGAGAAAACTATTTTCATTTGGTAAAAAGCAATCAAACAAAAAACAAACTACCATTTAGGGCATTTCACCAGTCTCATTCTTTTAATTTTTTCATTTATTAGATATTCATTGGTACTTCACTTAAACATATTTATTAAGGAATTACTGCATCCAATATTACTATTATTCTGAAGTGTGGTAGCAGGATCACAGCTCACTGCACCTCCCATTCCTGTGCTGAAGCCATCCTCCCACCTCAGCCTCCTGAGTAGCGGGGACTACAGGCACACATCGCCTTGCCTGGCTAATTGTTTTTGAATTTTTTTTTTTTTTTGGCAGAGATGGGGTTTCACCATGTTGCCCGGGCTGCTGTCCAACTCCTGGGCTCAAGTGATCGGCCTACCCCAACCTCTCAAAGTACTGGGAATACAGGTGTGAGCCACCATGCCTGGCCTAATTCCCATTTTTAATTCTCCCTAAGAACGAACCCCTTCCCATGTATTTTGCTAATCGTATAACTTCTTGTGTTATATATTTTTTTCTGTCCTGTACTAACCAGGTTAATACATAAAACAAACATTCTAAATGATTTCTGTTAACTAATGGAATCAAGATTAAAGTGCAGCTATTTTAAGGGAAAATGTATTATCAAATGAGAAATGTATCTTCTTTAGTTAAAAAATTTACATTAGAAAAATGAAATATGATTTAAAAATTATTGCAGAACACACATAAATCCAACAACAAGACACGCCACAACCCTGGTGGAGAATGAAGTGGTGGGGACTCTCTCCCAGGTGCCTTAGGCTGAGGCTCAGGGCAACTATCTTTCTATGACTTTATTATTGCTGCTACTAGTATGAATAACCATGAATAACTACATTTGCAGAACACTCTGACTCCCTTTCACAATCATCTCATTTCATCTTTTCGGTGGCCCAATTGGCTGACTGCCTCTGTATATTTACTATCATTTTACTTTTGAACTTTGCTTCCATCAGCAGCACTCTGCTACTTCTTCAAAGGGCAAGGCCTGAGCTGCCAAGTAGCAGCAAAGGAACAAGCAGAAAAAGTCCATGTGCACAGAACGTAGTCAGCTTCAGGAAAGCCCAGAGCCTTGATGAAAAATCACATTTGCCCAGAGGTCTCTCAAAGAAAATTATAATGATGGTGACTCCAGACCCCTTACTCTACCCTCTCCCTCAGTCTCATCTTACAAAACTTCCAAAGGCACACCAAGAAATCCAGGATTCACTCATTTTACAAGTGCAGATGAGTAACCACAGAAAATGCCACGGGGTAAGGTCAAGAGTATTGTCCTTGCTTCTCTTAACCAACATTTCTCTACTTTTTAAATATATACTCCTTTCCTTTCAGCCTATACAAATGCAAAAGTCCAATCTTCATAGGAAAACTACAACACTAGTTGACCAAGAATATTAGATATCAGGCAAAGTCTAGAACAGGGGTTCTACAAAATATTTTTATTCATAAATTATTACACAAAACAGAACAGAATTCATTACCTAATAACACGGTATAGATGCAAACTCTATGCTAAGTGACCCTTTTAATATTTCCCTATCTAGAAATAGGAAGTTAGTCTACCTAATGACTGTATTTCCTAGAAATCGGTAACTAAAAATAATTACATAGGCAGTACTTATACAGATGGATTAAAGTATATAGATAACTGTGCAGTTATTATTTTTAATAAACAACCACAGAAAATGAATGAAAAGAAAGATTTGTTCCATAATCCAAAAAGAAAGAAACTTCCATAATGCATGATTCAACTCCCAAAAATCCTAATATTAAAATTAGCTATCAATACTAATCATATTACACAGTTTTTTATGAGAGGTGACAAAAAGAGTAATAAATTGCATATTCACAGCTTCTTTCACTCCTCTACCTAGTAAGCAGAATTTTGTTTCTAAGATTAGATTTTAGGTTTTTTTGTTTGTTTTTTTGCTGAAGTGATGATAGTGAAGAAAAACTGAAAATGGATTGAAAGGGGCCAAAAGTTAATAGCAGAAGAGAAATGAAGAGAATGGAAAAATAAACCAGAAAAGAAAGATTTGGAAGAGGTTTTAGAGTTGAGACAAGAGGTTGAGCCAAATATGAGATTACCACAAGAGATGGAAAGAGGGCTTTTAAAGAGCATATGTCAATCTCAAAATACAGATACTAATAATATCGCCACCAATTACGAGTACTGAAATGGTTGTTTGGCTTTGTTATTGGTTTGGTTTGGGAGATTATTTAGGTGAGTTTGAGGTAAACTCATGAGTCCTTTAAATCTGAGTCTATAGGTTAAATACAGGAAGTCAGAGGTTTCAAGTATGAGAAGAATTCAGCATGTTGTTGCAGGCTTGAAGACAGAGGGAACAAGGAATGTGGGTGGCCTTTAGATGGTGAGAGCAACCCCAGCTAACACCCAGAAAGGAAATGGAACTTCAGTCTTATAATCACAAGGAACTGAATTCAGCTAAGCACAAGATGAGCTGGGAAGCAGATTTTTTTTTTTCTCAGAACCTCCAGACTAGAGCTCAATCCAGCCAGAACATTGAATTCAGCCTTCTGAAACCCTGCAGAGAATTCAGCTACATTTTGCTAGACTTCTGACGTACTGAAACTGTGAGCTAATATTGGGGTATTATTTTAAGCCACTAAGATTGGGGTAGTCTGTTAAGCAGCAGTAAAAATCTGGTACAGGCAGTTAGTCACCAGATTACCTTACAGTGAAGCCTAGAAGTCATACCAATAATCAAAACTTCAAAACTGCTTCTTAGAACCTCACATCAAAATGAATGATCAACCAAAGTATACTACCTCTTTGAGGAAAGCCTCCAAAATGAAAAGAAAAGCAAAAACAGAAACAGAACTTCAAGGAGACAGGATCAAACAGAAAACAGTAGAGAAAATTTAATATAATTAATATAGAAGCCTTTTTCGTTCAACAGTTGTTTATTAAGCACCTGCTAAGTGTCAGGTAGCATTTTAGAAGCTAAGAAATCAGGAAAAAATATTGTGTTAATAAACTACCAACAGAATGCTATGAAAAAGAAACAAAGCACAAGAAAAACAGTGAATTTTTAAATGTAGCTGAAATAAAACATTCAATAGAAGAATTAAATGGTAAGTCAAGAAAATCACCTAAAAAGTAATAGAACAAGAAGAAAAATGACAAAAAAAAAGATGAGAGAAAAGAGAAGAATATTAAAGACTTACTTTTGATGTTCCACTATTCAACCAATAGAAGTTCATTCATTCATTCAGAATGAATGAACAGACAAAGCAGAGGGGAAGAATTTAGCAAAGAAACCAGGAATTTTTCAGAAATCAAGGACACATGTCTCCATATGATAAAGACTCCTCAAGTATCTAGATCAGTGAATGAAAAATTACATATACCAAGGCAAATTGTTGTGAAGTTCAGAGCATCAGAGATAAAATTAAAATCCTAAAAGCCTCCAGAGAAAGAAAAAAGAAAATAGGGCACAGATGAAAGAAATGAAATAGAGTGACAGCGGACTTCTATAGTGACCCTGGAGGCTTGAGGTAAATTGAAGAATTTCTTTAAAATCATAGGGTAAAATAATTTTCTATACCCAATTAGCCAATCAATCATGCAAAGGTAGGATAATATATTTCCAGGCATAAAATAATTCAAATGGTTTACCTCCCAAGAACCTTTTATTAGGAAACTACTGGAGAACATCCCAGTAATAATAACCAATACAGAGAAGTAAGTGGAAAAAACAGAGAGAAGATTTTTCTCTAATATCCAGTATGAGAAATGAATAATGGAAAGTATCCTGATGACAGCCATGTCACAGGTCGAAGCTTTAAACAAAAAATGTTTGCAAGATAGGAAATTTCGCAGCTGCAATGAAGGATATCTGCATAAGTGCACAAATATTACAATAAAACCATACTGGAAAGGGGCAGGAAGAGAAGTGAGGCTATGAGGATTCTGTGAGGGTGTTGAATTTTCACCCACCAGAGTCATTAGGGAATGTCCAACACTGATAAATCAACAAATATCATCATATTCTTTAGAAAATGGAGTCAACACTAGAAAAAAAGAAAACAGCTAGTTTAGCTAAAAATGGTTGCCTCTAGGGAGTGAACTCAGGAGAAGTGATGATTCAAAGAACTTCCATTTTTCATTATAAGCTCTAAAGTCCTATTTGATTTTTAATTACATGTATGTGTTATTTTGAAACAACAATTTAAATTAATAATAAATAACATCTACTTAGTGCTTACTTTATGCTAAACACAGTGCAAGACCCTTCATGTACATAATCTCATGTAATCCTGAAACCCCTCTTAAATGGGAAATGTTACTCCATTTTTTTATAGACTGCGGATCTGAAGTATCCAGAGATTAATCTCCCAGCCCGGGATTACACAGCTGCTAGTGGATCCATGATTTAAACCCAGGAAGCTTCACTCCAGAGGCCACATTCTTAACAAGTGTAGGGAGAGAAGGTAGAGAACTAAGTGGATGCGTTTGCATAGAGGTCAAGATGCATTTTGAAGAGAAAAGCCTTGAACCCCCAGACTCTATTCTTTTTGAAATGCTATATTACCATAATGATTTGCTGCACGAAGGTGGGCAGATTCCTTTGACAGGAAAAGCCAGTGAATTCTCCACTGAGAAATTCACCATGAGGAAAGGGAGAGTCTGGACCAGGAGCGTGGGTTCAATAGCAGATTGTGGGGTTTGGCGGTATTCTGATTCTGGCACAGTTTGGCTGAATCTGGAAGCTTCTTTATGTCTGATACCCAGGCATAGTACTGAGCAGCTGAGTGCCAGCCAGTGAGTTATCACCTTGAGTGTGCACACATAGAGATTCCCTGCATAGCCATGCGGAAATGAGGGGTCTTCAGTTTTTGATATTTGTCAGCTGACAGCTTCTAAGCCCCACCCCTCCATCTGCCTCTTGTGCCCCACATCTAGGTAAACTGATAAGAAAGCCTAGATTATCCCTCCTGATTCAAATAGGCAATCCCCTGCCCACGTGCAGGAACTTCCACCCTGGTCCAACCTCCTGACCACAATAAAAACCTAGGCCAGTCTCCTTTCCTTGCTTCCTTTCAAGCCATTCAGAACGGCTTGAGAGGTCTGCCCTGCTCTTGTCAGAGATCTAAATTACATAAGCGATAAATATTTGCATAGCCTGTTGGTGTATGTGGGGTCGTCAGTCTCAACATCTGCACAAAACAGCTTGGTAGTCCATCTGCCACTGCAGGTAACCATAACAATTGGATAAAGGCAGGCGAGACTGTGGGGCATCAGCTTTCAAAAGCAACAGCACTAGTACTGGTAGCAATGACAGTCAAAATTGGTGAACGACCCATTTTGAATCAGGCCCTTTGGCTTTCTCACGCTTGAAAGTAGGGTTGGCCAAAGTAGGGTTGGCCCCTCATAATAAGTAAAACCTTGACGTTCTTAGATGAAAAGTGAGAGAGACATTGAGGAAAATGTTTACTTAATGTGGTTAAAAAGAGCCTCAAAATGAGTAAGTGGAAAAATAAAAGTGATGTCATTATAACTGAACATCAAGTTAGCAAAGACAATCTTGTCAGACACTCTATTATTTGAGAGTCACTTGAGAGAGAAGCAGAAGGAATTGCAAGCGTTTTGGTTTTTTGCATGCTTCTGTGTCACAGATACCATAAAGGGAACATAATATAAACAGTTTATGGAAGGTAAGTCATAATAGCTCCATGTTACGGATAAAGAAACTGAGACTCACATACATTTGTATAACTTGTCTAAGATCACAAAAGATAGGTGCAGCTGGGAAGACATCCCCTGCCAAAATGATTATGCTCAAATGGATTCTGAAATTCTACCTGAAAATTCTACCATTTAAAATTCATTTTTAGGACTTCCCACTCTTTAAGAACCTTTTCTGTCTAAAACATAAGCTCCTTTCTAGTAGGTTAATGCCTTAATACCTTATGCAAGGGAAGAAGGCTGATGGGCAACAGGGAAGAAAAGTAAGAGGTTACTTGTTAAAACAAAGATAAGTGCTTGAGAACAGAGGAAGGGTGCTGGTGAAACGGCTAAAAAAAGAAAAGAGAAGCTGCTCAGGCAGATGCTGGCTGGAGTATGGTACAGAGAAAAGATGTCCCAGATATGCCCTACCATCCTGGAATGTCAAAGCTCTACTTGACCCTTACAGACAACCTAGCCCAATTTTACAAATGGAGAAACTGAGCCTCAAAGATATAAAATTACTTCCCTTGGTTAATACAGATGTATCGTTAATACCCATGTATTGCAGGACTAGAATGAGGGTCAGCCAGTGCTAGTCTCTATCTCAGGGCCACTTCCGTTCATTTGTCATGCAGAACGATGTCTTCCCTTTAACATTTACTAGATCTAGCCTATGACCAAATCCTATCTAGGTGTTATATGAAAGCTTCTACTATTTGGAGGAAAAAATATTCTATCAAAACTTTAGTCCACTTGCATTTACACTTTAATTGAAAATGTTATTGAGATCAGTAAGTTTATATGCAGCTGTACAAAAGAAATATGAAGTTACTGTGTACATATCACCTAGTTTCCTCAAATGATAATGTCTTGCAATGGTAATATTTAGCATTTTGCAATGATAACATTTAGTATACTATCACGATCAGTTTATTGACATTTATACTATCCACCAATCTTATTCAAATGTCTTCAGTTTTACTTGTAATCATATATGCATGCCTCTATGTGTATGTGTGTATTTTATCACATGTGTAAATCTGTGCATTCACTACAACAGTCAAGATACTCACAAGTATCCTTTATGTTGTCCGTTTATAACTAAACCACCTCCTTCCCACCCCACCCTACTTCTGTAACCTCTGTCAACCACTAAACTATTCTCTATTTCTAAAAATTGATCATTTCAAAAATGTTATATAAGTGGAGTTATATAGTAAATAACCTTTTAGTATTGTCTTTTTTTCACATATCAAAGTTCCCTGGAGATTCAGCCAAGTTGTTGCATGTATCAATATTTCGTTCCTTTTCATTTCTGAGTAGTATTCCATGATGTGGATTTACCACAGTTTGTGGAATCATTCAGATGCTGAACCATTTATCTGGGTCATTTCCATTTTGGGCTAATACTAATAAAATTGCTGTGAACATTTATATACAAGTTTGTGTGAACGTAAGTTTCCATTTTCCTGGGATAAAAACCTGAGGGTGCAATTGCTGGGTTGTGTGGTAACCACACTTACAGTTTTATAAGAAATCACCAAATTGTTTTTCATTGTGACTGTGCCACATAACATTCCCGTCAGCAATGGGAATGAATGAATGAATGATCCAATTTCTCCATATTCTCAGAAACATTTGGTATTGTCACTGTTTTTTTATTTTAGACATCCTGATAGTTGTATAGTGATATCTCATTGTGGGTTTAATTTGCATTTCCCTGATGACTTACGATGCTGAGCATCTTTTCATATGGCTATTTGTCACCTGTATATGCTCTTTGGTGAATCTCTGTTCATGTCTTTTACCCATTTTCAAATTGGATTGTTTGTTTTTTACTGTTGAGTTTTAAGAATTCTTCACATAGCCTAGATACTAGCCCTTTGTCTGGTATGTGGCTTGCAAATGTTTTTACTGATTCTGTACCTCATCTTTTCATTATTTTTAATAAAATCTTTTACAGACCTAAACTTTTTGATTTTGATAAGGTTCAACTTAACAATTTTTCTCTTTATGGATTGTGCTTTTGGTGCAAGGTCTAAGAACATTTTGCTTGAATCCCTTGATGTTGTCCATTCTGTGGTCTCATTGCATCTCAACTGGACAACCATGATAGTCTCTCCACTGCTATCTGCTCCTGCCATTGAAAATGAATTCATCCTACGCCAAACTGCCAGATTGCAATTAACGTAGCACAGGTGCAATTACAGAAATGCTGTCCTCAAACATTCAAAGGTCCCCACTGAATATTAAAGTACAATCTCTCCCGCCTAGAATTGTAACCCATGCCCCCTACCTGCCACTTTTTCTGGTTCTGCCCAGCCAACTCCCTTCCCCCTTAACATGTCATATTCTAGACAAAACAACTACTAGCTGCTCTCCAAGAAGCACTTATAATTATGGTAGTGGTAGGGATATGAACTGGGAAGAATGGACTTCTAAAGTGATACATAAAACCCCATTTCTGCCAATGAAAATTCTACCTAACTTATCAATGTCCATTTTAAATGCCACCATCTCCATGGAACTGCTCTTGATTGCACCCAACTGGCATGTGTTATCTCCCTCACTCCACTAAACCAACAGCACATTGCACCTCTCTTACAGCAGTTATTTTATTCTCCCATTTGTACCCCAGTCTTATACATTTTGCAAGACGTTGGTCTGCCCAAGGGCAGGAGTTGTGTCCTCCTCATCTTTGATTCCCCTGCAGGACCTGGTACACAAAAAGGACCCAGAATTGTTTAGTTGACTGGAACCACATCAGCATCACTCCAGTTCAGATGCACATGGCCTATTCACCGTATAAAACAAAATAAAAAGGCAAGCTATGCTCATCTTTCTAGCCTCCAGGCCAGCCTTAAGATTTTTTCCTAACCATTCCCTCCTTTCTTCCACATCCTTCCCTCTACACATAACCAAAGCAAAAAGAAGAAAAAGAAATAAATGCTGAAGCTGATGCCACACGGAAATTTTATTTTATTTATTTATTTATTTTTACAGAGCTTTGACCCCTGGGTCTGAAAAAGGCACTGACTCCTGCCAAATTTTGTTTGTTTGTTATATGTTAATTTTCAACAATTTTTATGGGTTCAAGGTAAGTGTATATATTTATGGTATACATGAGATACTTTGATACAGGCGTGCAACAAGCAATAATCACATCATGGAAAATGGAGAATCCATCCCCTGAAGTATTTATTCTTTGTGTTACAAGCAATCCAGTTATACTCTTTGAGTTATTTTAAAATGTACATTTAAAGTATTATTGACTTTAGTTGCCCTGTTCACACTGAAATTTTAAACACCTCTATAAGCAATATTTTCAAATCAGAAGTAAGTAACTTTTCATTCTGTATTGAGTGCAATAGTGTGCCATGCCTCTAACAACTTCTCTAGGAGCCTACTACTCCCTCGAATTTACTTACAACTCCCATCTTGGCAATTCTTCAACTCCCCTGCAATTCAAGGCAGAAAAGCAATGAGGTGTCAGACAGTCCATTGTTGCTAGCACTTCCAGGAAAAGGAGTAATAGATCTTTTTCTTTTTACAATCCCAACTCTTTCTTATCAAATACATATCTGTTTTGAGCACATAGACTATAATTTTTAAATGCTCATTGAATTAAACAAGTGAATCAACACAGTCACTGAAGCCTTTTTAGCTTCCTAAACCACATTAGAAACAAAAAGAATAAAAGAGCATTACAGATAACAAAATATCAAAAACTTGGTATTTTTAGTTGACTTTTTTAACACTGGCAAGTGGTTTGGATCTATTAGTGTATAAAAAATGTTTTCCCCATTATAATAATATATCTAGAAAAAGTGTATTTCTCCATAGGAATGTGAAATTCTTTCTACTTTTCCTGAAATGCTGCCTCTCTCAAATGTAAATGTAGTTTCATTGTGAAAGTCTCTTTAAGATAACCAAGTACTGTAGAGTCTACATCTTGTCTGAGTAGAGTTTTTGTCAGATCAACAGATTTCTCCTTGTGGTTCTAGAAATTATTAACTATCCTCTTGTAGTCACCCACTCAAGGAGAGTTGCTCTGATGTAGATTCACCAGTTATACTAACAAAAAAAGTGGGAGTTGCCAATGAAAAGACATAAAATAACTTCACAGTCAAAAGCTGTTCTAGAAATTCATTTTGGTTTTTGCCCCACAGTAGATATGGTGAAAGCAGACATCTGCAACCTTGATTTGGAGATTGACTCTTACATGCACATGCAACTAACATTTATGAGCATCTGATATAGGCCAGACACTGTCAATTGGCACTAAGGAAAGGTGCAAAAATAAATAAACTGTAGCCACAGCCTTGAGAGAGTGCACAGTGCAAGGAGAAGAGGTGTATTCAAAATGCTATGGTACCTCAGAAAAACAAGCAATGAATTTTGCCTGGAAGACTCCTCATAGGAGACATTACATTGAATCTGAGCCTTGGAAGAAATGTAAGAGCTTGCCAAGTAGAAAGGAAATATAAGGAAGATGGGGAAACAGTCTATATAATAGGCTAGTGAATAAGTGAATAAATGTATCACAAATGAACGTGACAGGTCCAGGAATAAGTGGTTCCGTGTGGTTTGCAGATGGAGTAATGAGTCTTAAAACATTGGTCTGCATAGGGAGATTGGAGCAGGGATTTTAAAAGGTTTTGATTTACCACAGTTAATGTTTCTATTTTGATTGACAACAATTGCTCATAGTAAACATGGTGAAATCTAGGAGAACTGAGCAGCTAACTGCCTGTGTTGAGTGTTTTCAAATCCTTTACCTCATTTGTGCCTCACAGCTACATTATGAGGTGAGGTTTCTTATGCCCATTCTACATATAGAAACCTAGGACCCTAGGTTATTAAGTCTCTGTATCAGCTCACCCCAGTCCGTGTTGCTTCAAAGTCTGTTCCCATTGCTCTGCATTATGTATCTCCTCCCTTGATAAGTTAAAAAAAAATAAAAATAAAAATAAAAAGGTCAATGGGGGAGGAGGACAAAGAAAGGGGCTTCAAATTTCTCGGTATATGAGTTCTAGGATCCTGTTTTCAAAGTGGTGTTTTGTTTATAAGTAGGTATAAACATCCCCCTTTCTATTTAATCTTAGCTACTCTTAAAAGCCCATTTTAAGCCCTACCTTGAAAGGTAGAGAATCACTCTGGCCCATGAGTATCACCTCACCAGGAATTAAGCATAACTTTCATTACATTCATTTCTTGCCATACATTGTTATCTTCTATTTCTGAACCAGTCTTATCACCCTCTTAGTTGATAAGCTCCTTCAGATGTCTTATTCGTGGCCTTTTGTCAGCAGCCCCCACCTCAATGCCTTACACCCAACACACATTCTCTACAGGTTGGTTCCCTGGGTGTAAATCAGGACTTTTTGGCCGGGTTCTGAGGAAAAAAATGGAAAGACTCTATAGAATTTTGTCCAAGAAAATTTCGAAGCTAGATGGTTTCACAAACAATATTTTATCAAACATTTGAGGAAGAGGTAGTTTCTCTTCTATTTAAACAGCTTCAGAGCAAAGGAAAAGATGGAATGTATCCTAAATCATTTACAAAGCCAATGTAATACAATAATAAAACTTGACAAAGATACTCCCAAAATAAAGCTTAAGTCCCATTAGGAATATTGAGGCAAAATGGAGACAACACAGCTTTGCATCTGGGTTAGAGCACTTACTCACTTTATTTCCTTGGTAGTATGATTTAACTTTTCCATAACTATGGTTTTACTAATGGTAAGATAAATAAAATAATAGTACAGTATGATAATATAGGGCTACTCCAGGTTCAACAAAAGTTGTCATGATAATGATGATGCTCACATTTATTATTTGTCTGGCACTGTTCTAAGACCTATTCATGCATACATGAATACCTAATCTTCCCAACAACCCTGAGGTAGGTATTACTCTAATCCCCACTTTACAAGTGAAGTACCTGTGACAGCATGAAGAGAAGTACCACAGTTACACAACTTGTAAATGATAGTACTATGGTCTGAATGTCTGTGTCTCTCCAAAATCTGTATATTGAAATTACAACCCGAAATTTGATGGGATTAAGAGGTGGGACCTTTGGGAAGTAACTCTATTATCAGGGCAAAGCCCTCATGAATGGGATTAATGCCCTATAAAATAGGCACAAGGGAGCTTGTTTTCCCTTTCTGTTATGTGAGCATGCAGTGAGAAGGTGTTGTCTGTGAGGAACCAGCCCTCACCAGACACTGAATCTGCCAGCACCTTCCAGTCTCCATAACTGTGAGAAGTAAATTTCTCTTGTTTACAAACTTCCTAGTCTATGGTATTTTGTTATAGCAGCCCAAACAAACTAAACTGAGTCAGGATTTGAACCTAGGCAGACTGGTTCCAGGTCTCATACTCTTAGCAGCTCCTCTAGTCATTAATATTAGTGTCATATTAACATGGCAAAGGAAAATATGTACAATATTTTATCAATGCAGAAAAATAAATGAACAAGAAAAAAAACAACAGCTTTTTATTGAAAAATAAACTTTAAGCGATTTAGGGTACATCTTTATTAAAAAAAATATTTGTATTGAACCAAAGATCAATATTGGACTTAACTTTGAAATTCATTTAAAGTCACAAATAAGACCAACAAGTTGCAGAAATTTCTATTAATTTACATTGTTCTTAGAATTTCTAATGATCATTATGCTGAGCATTGTAGCCAATGTAATAAGGCATGAAAATAAACAAGAAGTCTGTCTCAGCCCATTTGTATTGCTATAAAGCAATACCTGAGGTTGGGTAATTTATATTGAACAGAGGTTTATCTGGCTTACAGTTCTGCAGGCTGTACAAGCATAGCACCAGCATCTGTTTCTGGTGAGGGCTTCAGGTGCCTTCTGCTCATGGCAGAAGGCTAAGGGGAGCTGGTGTACATAAATCACATGGCAGAAAGTGAGAGAGAGGGGAGGAGTTGCCATGCATTTTAACAATCAGATCTCAAGGGAAGTAAGAGCAGGAACTCAATCCTGTGAGAATGACTTCAAGCCATTCATGAGGGATCTGCCCCCATGATCTAAATCCCTTCCACCAGGCCCTGCCTTTAACAATGGGGAGCAAATTTTAACATGAGATTTAGAGGGGACAAAAATCCAAACTATAACAAGGTTTAAGTATTGTAAAGGAGATGGTTCGATCATGGATCTGAAAGTATCAAGAGAATCAACTTAAAGCTTATTCACGCTGGTAAGGGGAACTGGTTACAAAATAAAATTACTCAACAGTTCTACATGTCTGCAAAAAACCCAAAGCTATAAAAAGTTTAATTCAAAGAATTCTATTTTAAATAGCAGCACAATTATAAAACAATTAGAAATAAACTTAGCAAGATATGTGAAGGACCAGACCATATAAACAGAAAAGAACTACAAAATCTGTGAAGCATGAAAGACAAATAAATGCAAAGTCTAGAAGTTACCTGTAATTCCAACAAGAAGTTCAATGTTTTTGTGAGGAAATTTTTCTATGCTTCTAAATTTTGTTCCAGAAGGTAAACAGATGAAAAAAACAAAAAAAACCTACGGATTTCTTTTTTTGGAGTATAGGAGTGAAATGAATAAAAACCCAGATATAATATTATCACAGATTATAAATAAAAGTTGTGTTGTAACAGTACATTAGTGGACAGAGAGATTAATGTAACAGAGGGAAAATAAAAACAGAAATAACTGTATCAAATAATTTAGTATTTTATAAAAATGGCATTTCAAGTCAATATAGGATGAATTGATTTTTTAATAAATAATAAAGAAATTTAGTCTCGTGGCAGAGGGGAAATTTTCTTTCAGTGGAGGAAATCCACCCTTCTTCCCCCTTTCTCTAACTCTGCTGTCTCAAAAGCAAATGTGATGGCTGGAGCTCTATCAGCCATTTTATGGCCATTAATATGAGTGGGAGCTGAAAGGTAGACTAGACTAGCGAGTTGAAGGGTAGGTCAGTATCTAAAAATGTCCTGAAGCCAACACTGGACTGGTTAACTACGGAACTTATTTTATGTGAGAGAAAACTGCACTTCAATATTTTTAAAGATATTGTGATTTGGGAGTTTCCTCTCATATGAAATTGAGCTGAATTCTACCTGATACAGATTCCTTCCTAACAACTTAAACCCAAATAAACATTGCCTTTTTAAAGAATAAGTAGACGTTTTAGAAATAAGGCAGATTATAGAGAAATATTTCTCACATTTTAGGAAAGAGAAGGCTTAAGTGTATATACAGGAGCAAAATATATAAAGAAAAATTGACAAAGAATTAAACTTTTTAAAATACAAAAATCAGGAAAATGTACATCTTGGGAAATAGTTATATAAAAGGTATTCACAATTATCTTAACAAATGAAAAGTTTTGTATACATCAACAAGAAAAAGCTCCCAAATAACCGAATAAATAATATTATGAGGCAATTTCTAAGGAAGAATAACATTTGGCCTGTTAACATGTGAACCATATAAAAATACTAGTGTGTGTTGTTTCCCTCCCTGTGTCCATGTGCTCTCATGTTCAACTCCCACTTATAAGTGAGAACATGTGGTGTTTGGTTTTCTGTCCCTGTGTTAGTTTGCTGGGGATAAGGGTTTCTGGCTCCATCCTGTCCCTGCAAAGGACATGATCTTGTTCATTTTTATGGCTGTATAGTATAACATGGTGTATATGTACCACATTTTCTTTATCCAGTCTATCATTGATGGGCATTTGGGTTGATTCCATGTCTTTGCTATTGTGAATAGTGCTGCAATGAACATACATGTGCATATATCTTTGTAACAGAATGATTTCTATTCCTTTGGGTATATACCCAGTAATGGGATTGCTGGGTCAAATGGTATTTCTGTTTCTAGATCTTTAAGGAATCACCACACAGTCTTCCACAATGGTTAAACTAATTTACATTACCATGAACACTGCAAAAGTGTTCCTATTTCTGCACAACCTTGCCAGCATCTGTTGTTTCTTGACTTTTTAATAACCACTATTCTGACTGGCATGAGATGGTATCTCATCGTGGTTTTGATTTGCATTTCTCTAATGATCAGTGATGATGAGATTTTTTTCAAGTTTGTTGGTTGCATGAATGTCTTTTGAGAAGTGTCTGTTCATGTCCTTTGCCCACTTTTTAATGGGGTTGTTTTCTTCCTGTAAATTTAACTCTTTTAAACATGTTTAATATACCGAATTAGTGAATATTCAAGGAAATTGTCACCTTCATACAATATTAGTGGGAGTATTATCATTATAACTTGATCTATAGGGCAATTTATTAATATCTGTCAAAAATCTTAACAGTATTTACAACATTTGATTTCACAAATCTATAGCAATTTGTCCTAGAGAAATTATTATGGTAATGTGTGACAGTGTCTGATAAAACATTTTGCTGTACCAAAGTGTATAACAGTGCAAATGTGAGGCAAACTAAGTGTTCAAATAGAAGACTAATTAAATAAAGGCAGTCTACACATGAAACAATATCATTCAACCATTGGAAATATTTAGTTAAAAAATAATCACGAGAAAATATTCACAATATATTGTAATATAAAACAAAAAAGACAAAATATTTGCAGGGTAATCTTTTTGTATTTTTTACAGTAGCATATACACAAAATATCAAAAGTAATTATAACCATGTGGTGATATTTTATTCATCCTTTGGAGTTTTCCTGCATCTTGAAAATTTTATGCCATTAGTATATATTAAATTTACAATTGAGTAAAATTTAAAAGCAACAGAAAAAGAATGCTAATGATCTGAATCAAGATTGTAATTTATAAATCTTAAATTAGAGCCCCATATTTTTCACTAAGACTATTCTTTAAAACATCAGACCCAGGCGGAACTTTTGTATTGAATAAGAGTGGACCATAGTTTTTGGCTTTATAAGTTATTTCCATTGACAATCACAATAGGGTAAAAATCATCTTTAGACTTGAGATTCCAAATGTCCATCAACAGATGAATAGATGAATTCCCAAATGTCCAGTGATGGATGAATGGATAAAGAAAATGTGATATATGCATACAATGGAATATTGTTCAGCCTTCAAAAGGAAGAACATCCTAGTATTTGCAACATCATCAGTGAACTTGGAGACCATTATGCTAAGTAAAATGTGCCAGTCACAAAAGGACAAATACTGCATGACTCAACTTACATGAGGTATTTAAAATAGGTCAAACTCACAGAAGCAGTGAACAGAGAATAGAATGATGGTTACCAGGGCCTGAGGGGAGGCAGGAATGGCAAATTGTTGCTCAATGGGCATAAAGTTCCAGTTATGCAAGATAGACATGTCCTAGAGATCTGTTGTACAACATAGTACCTATAGTTAAAAATAGGATATTGTGCTTTTGAAAATATGTTAAGAGGATAGATCTTGTGTTAAGTGTTTACCCAAACAACAAAATGAAACAAACACACACAGGAACAGAAGGAAATTTTTGGAGGTGATGGATATGTTTAGTACCTTGATTGCGGTGATGGTATTGTGGGTACATGCGTATGTTCAAACTCATCAAAATGTATACATTAAATGCATGCATTTTTTTTCATATATCAATTATACCTCAGTAAAGCTTAAAAGAACTGAGTTTCCGTCTGTCTTTCAAAGCATTTATTTGGCGTGATCTTATTGGGAAGGTTAGAATGTAGTGGAATAGCTAGAATTTCAAATCAACAAGTTATTCTAAAAGCAGGATATCTATTTGAACAATAAACTTAGTCACATTAAAGAGAAACCTCTTTTGGTGTGTAAGAATGGAGGCATTCACATGATACTCCTGAATCCGTGACCCACATGCATCTCAGGAGAGAGCAGATTAAATCTGATTGACATATAAATAAGTGATACAGCTCGGTTCATGCTGATGAAAATTATTTGCCAGAGGAATCCTTCCAAGGCAGTTAAACCAAAAACTTATCACTTCACTGCAGTGTGCACAGAGTCAGATCCAAAGAGCACTCTCCATGCTCTTATTATGAATGACAATAAAACCACACTCAGGGAGAGAAGGAAGAGGAAACAAATAAGCAGAACCTCAAATGTGAGCAATGCAGGAAGTGCTTAATGCAGCCAGGTCACGTGGTGCTGGACATCAAGTTGAATGCAACTGACTAATCAAGCCAAGGATCCGCAAGGCTTCAGGCAGGGCCATTCCAGGCCATGAGTGAAAGCTTAAAGACGGAGTGAGAGCAATTCTAGCGACCACTTTACAGTGCCCCACAGAGACAATTACGGAAAGGAGAGAGCCCCACACACTAGCTCAGGATCACCCCACAACTCTTGCCACACCCTTCTCACCACACCTATGGCCACTGCCCTGGTTCAGGCCCTCATTACTCCTCAGCTGCATGCTGAAGCATCCTCCTACCTTTCTTATTTTTCCTTTCTTGAGTTTTTTGGCGCCCCATTCATCCTCCACATTGTCCCCAGAGATAGTGAGTGGAGCAAATATTATGAGGGTTAGGGACAGAGCATCATAAGCTCAAATACTGGGCTTAAATCCATCGCTGACTAGCCATGTGGATTTGGTAAAAAATGCAACCACTCTGAGCCCCAGTTTTCCCAAAAGTAAAATAGGTCTCTTAATCCTTCATGGGGGCTGAGAGGATCATTTGAGGATGAAATGGAAGATACTAGCACAGTTTCTACTGGTAGGATAGTGCTCAGTATCCTTGTATGGCACCTCTTTGCCTGTAGAAATGTTATCCATATTGAGTTTCTTGGACTAGTATTTCCATGTATCGTAGACTATCAAGACTCTGAGAAGTCCTAAAACAGCCAATAAAACAGTTTAACATTATTGAATCCAGAATTTTCAAATCCATTGCCCAGGAAAATAGTTTTCTTTCCTAGAAACACTTATTAACATCACATGTGTTTCTGTAAGAGGCAGATATGCAATATTTGATCAACTTATTAGCCACAAAATCCCTTTATTAGAAAACATTCCTCAGGACTAAAATTATATAAAGATCTTTGGAAAATGTTAGTCTATAAAAGGGAGTTCATGTTGATCCTCCATGGTCTGGCTGCAGCCTACCTTCTCAGACTGATTTCCCAACCTCCAACTCACATTTTAGCCCTATCCAACTGTGTACCACCTCCAAAATAAACCAGCACTTCCCACATCCATGTCCGGGCTTAAGAGATTCCCTTTATCCCTTTCACCCTCATGCCACTCATTCATGCCTTCTGTATCTTCTGAAGCTCTATTTCCAGCTTTCATGCTGTGGAGTTATCTTATTTCAAATCAGGACAAACTGCTTATATTTCCATTAAGGCAAATATTGAGATTAGCTTGAAATGCTAGATAGGTCTTTACAATTTGCCTTTTTGGCTATTTTGTCTTTATATGCCTCAGGCCCAACTATTGTACTTTACATTCAATAAGGATTTGGTGAGCAAAAGGATGACAGGAAATTACTATTATTAATAAATAATAATCCTCCCAACGTTGTCTTGGTCAGTTCAGGCTGCTTTAACAAAGTAGCATACACTGTGTGGCTATAAACAACAGAAATTTATTTCTCGGAATTCTGAAGGCTGGAAAGTTCAAATACAAGATATTGGCAGACTCAGTGTTTGTTGAAGGGCTGCCTCCTGGTTCAGAGAGCTGTCATTCTACTACGTCTTCATGTGGCAGAAGCAGGAGAGAACTCTCTGGATTCTTTTATAGGGCACTAATCACATTCATGAGGGCTCCATCCTCATGACGTAATAACTTCACAAAGGTCCTACCTCCTTATACCATCACACTGGGGGTTAGGTTTCAAATATATGAATTTTAGGATACAAACAGTTAGCCCATAGCAAACCTCTTCACTTATTTTTTATTTTTATTTTTTTACTGTATTGCTTCTTATGCATCTTTGCAATCATTTTCAATCCTTACTAAAAGGCAGCAAGGAATAAATTAATAACGACCAAAAAACCAGACATTCATGGAAAACTTTCAACATTACAGTTAGGGGACTGAGCTTCATGAGACTCAGATACTTTTCCTCAAACCAGAGAAACTGGTATTAGAAGCTGGCTGTCTCGTCTACCCCAAAGACTGTGCTTGTTCCATGTGCACGTACTATCTCAGCCATATCCTAACGACTTCTCTGTCCATGGGATCTCTTCATTTTTAAAGCAATAGCTGCAGCCTGCCCTAAAGTTGAGTAGGCTCTAGAAGCTTAAAGAGCCATTAAATAAAACAGATTTTAAAAAATTCTAAGGATATGATGGAAAAGGATTTCACAATAATCACTGTGATATGCCTGTAGATAAGTTCAGTCCAAATGAAAAGCCATACTTAGAATTTCCCCGCCACCTAGGGTCCACTGTAAAAGCACTCTATGCTATTCAGACACTTACAATTTTATTATATAAATAATGATGACAATAATCACATCAGTCAGCAACAATAAAATGTGATTGCAATGTCAGCAGCAACAAAAGTCTCCAATGATGGGGTGCCTAATATGTGCTGAGCACTTTATATATATTCATTTAATTAATTTTCATAATAACTCTTCAAGGCTGCTGTTACTTTACAGATGAGAAAATTGGAGCTAAAAGTGATAAAGCAACTTGCCTAAGTTCACAACTGGCAAATTATGGAATCCAGATTCATCTCTAAATCTAGTTGACCCCAGATCGCATGCTCTTTTTGTCCTCAACATTGTCTCCCATCTGTTTGAAGTGTGCAACTGTATAATTCATAATAATTCATTGTACTTTGACATTTATTAGACATCTACTATGAGGGTTGTGCTAGATAATGACGATGTTAAGATGGATATGGCTCCGTCCTGACACTAAGAGATGCACAATTTAGTAAATAAGACAAGGCCACTACCTACAATTGTGTAGGCTGTTTTTCTGCAACTTCATTAATCACCATCCATACAAACTTCAAGCAAATAGTTCCATCTTGAGCTGGGCAACAAAGCAGTCCAGAGAAAGACAAACCCATATACAACCAAGTCATTCATTTTAAGTGACAAAGAGACTTAGTTATTATGTCTTAACCCATTTCACTAACCCAAAGAAGAGACTAATTAGAAATTTGGGCAGTGAGGAAGAGTCTAGGAGGGAGATCTACTTCTGGGCAGAGTGCATAGTTTCACTCACTTCATGCCCTGAGCCAGTCCTACCTGGTGCTGGGTTCAACAAAGACCTGCTGGCCATTACAGAAAGGACTTACCACGGGCTCCTTCAGTAAAACTATGTACATCTGAATACACACAGATAATCATCCATTTGAAAAATGTGCTTGGAAAAAGAGAACTGTCTAGCTCATGTTGTCAGGGGCAGGAAGAATTGAACCATTCATTAGAAATAAAGACACAGCAATATGGTATGCTTTATACCCTCACTTTTTGGAAAACATTTTCAGAAGGGGAGGCAAAGCTACAAAGAAATCTTTCCTCTCCCTCAGTACGAAGACCCCTGCCCTCTTAGGAGATGTTTCTTTACATACTTATTTCCAGCATGACCTCTTTTTTAAAAAAAATCACTGTTTTTTTTTTTCATTTCAATAGCTTTTGGGGCACAAGTGGTTTTTGGTTACATGGATGAATTGTATAGTGGTGAAATCTGAGATTTTAGTGCACCCGTCACCCAAGTAGTGCACATTGTACCCAGTATGTAGTTTCTATCCCTAACCCCTTCCACCTTCCCCGTTTTGAGTATCCAAGATCCATAATATCTCTCTGTATCATGGCCTCTTTAAAAAAAAAAAAAAGGATGAGTAGGTACAGGGAGAGGCGAAGGATTTGGTTGTTGTGGGGAAAGGGAAATTAGGCAATTTGCTTATTAGCTTATTTGCTTCTTATTCATTTATTAATTCAAGAGGATGAATATATAAATGCTTCATAAAATTCAAAAGGTAGAAAAGAATATGCAGTGAAAGTAAGTCTCCCTCATGCTTTTGACCCCCAGTCTCCAATTCCTCTCTCCAAAGGTGACCACTGTTACCAGTTGTGTACCCTTCTAGAGATACTTTATACACATACCAATCCATGTTTGGCTATATTGACATTGGGTTTAACATTCGCTCTATCCAATGTCTTGCTGTATATCATCTTAAAAAGCATATCCTGGGCCGGGCGCGGTGGCTCACGCCTGTAATCCCAGCACTTTGGGAGGCCGAGGCGGGTGGATCATGAGGTCAGGAGATCGAGACCATCCTGGCTAACAAGGTGAAACCCCGTCTCTACTAAAACTACAAAAAATTAGCCGGGCGCGGTGGCGGGCGCCTGTAGTCCCAGCTACTCGGGAGGCTGAGGCAGGAGAATGGCGTGAACCCGGGAAGCGGAGCTTGCAGGGAGCCGAGATTGCGCCACTGCAGTCCGCAGTCCGGCCTGGGCGACAGAGCGAGACTCCGTCTCAAAAAAAAAAAAAAAAAAAAAAAAAAAGCATATCCTGGGTTCTGCACCTTGAATTTTTTAAATGTAACAATATATCTTGGCAATTATTCCATGTCAGTACATATAGCAGTGTTTCATCCTTTCCAATGGCTGTATGGTATTCCCTCATATGACTGTATCAGGTTTTTTTCATACCACTTGCTATTACAAAAAAACTGCAATGAACTCATGTTACATACATTGCTGCACACGTGCGTAAGTGCACATGCCTTTTCTCTCCTCTCTGGCTTATTTTACTTTCCTTTAATCTCTGGTTTCTGTGATTATGCTATATTATATCTTGGAGTTTATATCTTTTTGGTTTGTTCTGCTTAGAATTCATTGGGTCTATTGAGTCAAAGATTCACCTTTCAGAAGTTACTGAAAATTATTAGCTCTTTATCTCTTCATATATAGCCCTTGGCTCATTTTTTCTTCTTTTCTCCTTCTGGAACTCCAATTCACTGTAGGTTATACCTTCTCAAACTATCGTGCATGTCTCTTATCAACTCTTTTATGATGGTGCATGGGGCTTTGCTCTGTAGTGTCATTCTCCAGGCTCAGGTAGAGGACTTAAAGTCTAGCACCACTCTAACCCGTAAAACAGTATGGAAACAGATTAGACAAAGCTGAATTAATGAACTGTAAACACAACTTAGGCAATCTTCTTGAATGCATGAGAGAAAGAAAGAGACAGAAACCATAAAAGCAGTTAGAAGACTGATGCCAGAGCAAGAAGATCTAATACACATCTAATGTAAGCTATATGAGGAGAGAATAGAGATAATAGGGGAAGAGTCATACTTGCAAATATAATGGATAAGAACTTTCCAAACCTAATGGGAAATAGGACTCATCATAAACTAGGAGCATAAGTTGCCAGCAGGATAAGGAAAATAAATTCAATCTTTAGATACATTGCGGTGAAACTTTGGCATATCCAATCAAAGGTAAAATCAGAAAGCAGTCAGAGAATAAAACACAAATCCATTATAAAAGAATGAAAATTATATTGGCATTGCCAAAAGAAAGGAAGCTGTACCTATATAAACAATTTTCAGAATCAGAAATTTTTAAAAAATACTTTTGGCTTGGAAAGTTAACTATATGGTCACAAAATATGGAATCTACTAATTCCTAATGAAAACAAAAGGCTCAAGGCCAAAGTTTAAGTTTCTTTGTTATTGTTTTGTTTTGTTTTTGTGTTTTGAGATGGAGTCTCACTCTGTCGTGCAGGCTAGAGTACAGTGGCATGATCTCGGCTCACTGTGACAGCCACCTTCCAGGTTCAAGCAATTCTCCTGTCTCAGCCTCCCGAGTAGCTGGGATTACAGGTGCACACCACCATGCCCGGCTAATTTTTGTAATTTTTAGTAAAGATGGGGTTTCACCATGTTGGCCAGGCTGGTCTTGAACTCCTGACATCAGGGTGATCTGCCCACCTCGGCCTCCCAAGGTGCTGGGATTACAGGTATGAGCCACCACGCCCGGCCCCAAGTTTAAGTTTTATGCCAAGCTCTTTCCATGAAATCATTGACTTTAAAGCTGTATAAGACACCAGAGGTCATCTCCTTCAACTTTCTCATTTAAAATTTGGACCTGAAGCTCAGGGAGTAAAGTGATTTTATGACTGTGTCGTTAGTTCACAGCAGATCTGGAGCTAGAACTTTAACGTCTTCCACTCCTTGCAAGTGGAAATCTGCAAAGTTAAAATTTTCTTTAGTTGCTTTCATTTGCCTTAAAACACTTATTCAAAAAAACCTAAAATCATCCACCAGTTTATATACACACAGATTTCCCTCACAAACCCTCTTTCGCACACCAATAGTGATTACCATAGATTAGAGAAGAGACCAAAGAATGGTCAGGCCTTTTGAAACTCTTGGCCAATCAGAAGCAGCTCATGTGTACTTTAGGGAGCTTACTGCAGAGATACTCCACAGTGACTGGCATTTTTTACGTAATCTAAGAGATTGTACACATTGTCCTTGGATTTGCTATAATTGCATTTTCATTGCTCAGCACTAGCAAGGTTCTGTTGGCTATGTTGTAGCTTTCCCATTTCTACCTGGAGAAATCTGAGAACACACAATCACCTTCCTTATTACTTTCAGGTGGTAATTTGTTTGACGGTCAAGATTCTAGATGTTAGCATAGATAATTAAAACAGAAATATATTTGGAAAAATTAGATCCAAGGTATCTCTTCAACAACTAAATGAAGAAGCTCTTATTGTTAATTAAATCTACAATCATAGAGCTGAAAAGAACTCGAATTCCTTGTTGAAATTCCTTTACTTTTGCTCAAAGTGTTCTCCATGACCATTAGCGTCACATTACATGGAAGCTTGCTGGAAAGGTAGATCTCAGACCCCACCCCGGATACTGAGTCAGAACATGTATATCAAGATCCCAGGGTGATGTGTATGAATAAGAAAGTTTGAAAAAAAACTGTTCCAACCATCCAAAAGTGAGGGTTGTTTATCCTGTTTTTTATACCATACCACATATATTATTTTCTTATTGTTTTATGCTAATTCATTCCTTTGTAACATATATGTATATATTCTCAGCACCTTTGCTTTTTGAAAAATAGAATCCCTAAGAAGTGAACATACACTTGGAAATACTATTAAAGCTATTAGACATTTGAGTAAATCTCTGTCCCATTCAAAAGTAATTTCTAACACCATTAAATTAGGCTTAATTCAATGACTGCTTCAATTACCCTTGAGGAATAGATAATTTAATGTTTTTGCTTTTTTGTGTGCATAAAGGCAAAACAAGAAACAATCTAATCAGTTATTGAGTGAGTTTAGCTGTATGTTCCACTTGCTATCATAATAATCAATGACTTTGGAGGCATTTCCAGGTTTCCTTAATAGCACTAAGGTTTTTTTAATCTGTGCAAAAGCAGCTAATGTTTCATTTTTCAAAGTGGTTACTAAGTAGACAGATAACCCATTTAGAATTTTAAAATGTAGAACATTTTCATTGTTCTTTCACAATTAGGGAGCAACTAGGCAATGTTTTTCTAGTGCTCTTCTAATGCAGGAAAACTTTCCTTGCAAGTTTTCAAGAAATCCTAGGTTTAAAGAAAGAGTGACAAGATGACTATCTCAGAGGGTCCCCACTGTCAGTGAAATGATAATTTAGCTCCACGTTGTCACTTTAGAAAGGAATCAAAAGTCCCTTTATAAAAGGCATTAAGGGATGTGATCTGATACAGCACTTGCATTTTTACTGCAGCCACAAAAAGATGATTAAATATTTAGATCAGTATGTTTTTATAAAACACAATGAAATTTTTCAAATAATTTGAATTACTTTTCAACTTTAGAGAACACAAATAAGTGGGGATGGCATTATTTGTTCAATTATTGTGTTGAGACAATTGGATAAACATTTGAGAAATAAAAATAATTACATATTTACCTGTTACTTTTCCCCCAAAATAAGTATCAGTAGATTAAAGATTCATTTGAAGAAAAAAATGAAACCATAAAAACATAACATGTAGGTAAATGGCTATATCGACTTGGGCTGTATAATAACTATATATTTTCCAGGCATGATACTACAGGCAATAGCCATGAAAAACGAACCGAATACCTTTGGCAACATGTTCCTAAAAAGCACACAAACTTAAGACAAATTGCAAGCTGGAAAATAGGCTGTAATACATGACAAAAGGATAATATCTTTAAAGGCTCATGAAGAGTTACATAACAGCTTTTGTCTACCAAATTTGTAAAGATATTTTTCAGTATTTTAGTGAGAGTAGGTGAAGATGCAGAGAAATAGCATTCTCATACAATAAGAGGGTAAATGATATAATATTTTATAAGGGTAATTTGGTAATATATATAAAAAGTTTTTAAATAATCATGCCCTTTGACCTAGTAATTTCAGTTTGGTGAGTTTATCCTCAGAATACAATATAGATTGTGTGGAAAGATTTAATTGCAATTCTATTCATCACAGTGCTGCTTGCACTTTTGAAAAATTAGAAAATTTTAAATGTCAAGCAATAGGGGATTAATTAAATAGATTTTAGTTCTTCTACATAAAGGAATACCATGAAATTGCCAAAAATGTTAACACAGATAGTTGTTCCTCATGTATTTCGAAACAATAAAATGTTTTACACAACTCTATAAGGAAAAAATATATACATTTCAAAAAAGTGTCTGGAAGCATGCCAATGAAGCTTTAAAAGTGTGGTTTTTTTTTCTTGGTAGGTAAAATTATGATTTATCTTCTCGCTTGTCTCCATATGAAAATTTTTCCAGTAATTAACATGCATTGTTCTTTAGTAAGAAAAGACAAAAAAAGTTATTTCTACAAAAAAGAAAGAGCAATATAGCATATATCTCATATGCCTTGAAGTGGTAATAATAACTTAGTACTATTTTAAATGGAAAGCCACAGAAAGTGAATCTCATGTATGCATAAGGCCTTAAGATTTTGCCCTCTAGGGAATTATTAGAAAGTATTTGACACTGAATTTGGTAAGTGCATCCTCAAAAATGAGAAAATCAAGGCTGAGTGTTCTTGATTTCCCACATTTCCCTAAAAATTCACAGATTCCCCAAAAACATGAGTGTAAGTTCATAAATAGTATGGTCTATATACATATCTTCCAAACTCACTTTTAGTTAAAACTGCCATGCTGTATTTTGAGCTGTGAGCTTTCCTGAACTGACCACCTGCTTTTTTCTTCTTTTTACTTTTCTTATTTTTTTGTGGGGGGACAACTGATGATGAATTTATTAAATCATTGAAATTCCTATCTTACTCTTTATAGGAAAACTGCCCTTAGTACGTATTTTACATTCATTTACTTTAGTGGCACATTATATTTACTGGACCTGATAGCCTCTTTAACTATTAGTATCTTTCTTTTTTTAATTGATAAGTAAACATTGTCTATATGGTGTAAAACATAATTTTTTGATATATATGTACGTTGTGGAATGGCTAAATCAAGCTATTTTATATATGCATTACCTTACATAATTATTTGTGTGTATGTGTGAGTGTGGTGAGAACACTGAAAATTTACTCGCTTAGTAATTTTCAAGTATAGAATACATTAAAACTATGGTCACCATGATGTGTAATAGATCTCGTGAACTTCCTCCTAACAAATTTTGTGTCCTTTGACCAACATCTCCCAATTCTCCCAGCCCCTATCCTCACAAAATTGCCATTTTATCCTGTTTCTATGAAGTTTTTTTCCTTAACTGTCTTCACCTGTTAAATTTTTCTAATAAATTCAGAACTTGAGACTTGTGCACAGATGAGAGACCCTGAGTGTCCACCTACCTACATACTAAAGCCACTTTCTGAAATCACAGAGGCCAAAATTTTCTTTATCCTATTTTCTCTTCTCTGACATATTTCTAACCTAGTTTCTATCACTGTGACATCTTGTGAGGACCAGGCTTTTCAGACTGTAGATCCTCAGCTTTTGAAATAGTCAGTCCTAAAATACATGTATGTATGCATACACATTTAGGGTCATAAAAATATGCCACACATACATATAATATAGGTTTAAAGTAGTATTTGGCAATAAACAGAAAATTACTTAATAGTAACTTTGGATGTGTTTACCAGCTAATCATCAAATCATACAAATTTTTAAACTTAGATCCCCTTCATTTATTAGACACTATTCTTTGTATAAGTAGATTAAGATAAGCCCTAATTTTACCATATTTGCAGTTTTGTGGAAAATATTTCTCATTTCTGCAAGCCCTTAAGTTACTCTGGAGGGGTAACAAATTAAGAAATAATTATTCTCCATAATGGACCTATTAACAGAGCCCCACCTTACTCGTTTTTCTCTAAGGTATATTCTGGTATTTTAATTTCCTTTCTCAAGCTGATCTTTAGTCCTTATATAATGTTACACAAATATTAGCAGGAATGAATGCTTGTAGGCATTAGTTCAATTCTGCAAGCATTGATGGAGCCCCGTAATGTGCCATTCTCTGCTAACTAAGAGGATAACACAGAGCAGGAAGAAGTTGTGCTTCAAGGTGTTCATAACCTCAACTTGCAAGTCAAGTGTTGCGATATGAATAGCGTTATGGTGAGAGTGTGCACAGAAAAAGAGCCCCTGCCCAGATCTGGAGAAGAGGGCAGGGGTTCCAGGAGACTTGCAGGAGAAAACTCTAAATTAAGGCTTAAAAAATTACTACACAAAGAAGTGAGAATGTCCTGATCCAGTTTGACCTTGCGATCCGCCCGCCTCGGCCTCCCAGAGTGCTGGGATTACAGGCGTGAGCCACCATGCCTGGCCCCCGGCTCACTTTCAACAGGAATTAACTCAACTAGCAGAAGTCCAATTCCAAGAAATAGGGCCACCTTTGTTTAACCCAGGAGATTTGCTATTGGTGAAAACTCTCCCTTCTCTCTCTCTCTCCTTCCCTAAGCCCAAGCTGGGAAGGGCCTTACACCATTCTCCTTTCCACACCTTCAGTGGTAAAAGTTTCAGGAGTTGACTCTTGGATACATCACACTCAAGTCAAAGATTGGAAAGCTGAGAGAGCAACCCCTGACAGCTCAGAGGAATACCCCAGATATCAATGCAAAGAAATAGGAGATCTTACACTGAAAATCATAAAAGACAAATAAATGAGTAAGGGCTACTCATCCTACTCAGTCCCACCTTACCTTACCAGACACTTTCAGTCATTTCTACTTTTCCTCTTGAGATTCGCTGTCAAATATTGGAGTTTCTTTTTGACACATATTTGTGGGGAGATTATCCATGGGATTTCATTTGTAACTTTATAGACTCCCAAAGGGAAATTCTGTATCTTGGATTTTGCTTAATTATTATCCTTATAGCAGGGATAATAGTTACTGAAGAGAAGTGAACATGCAGGTTTTACTATCACTGAGTCTGCTAGGATTTTTTATTGGATTTAGTGATCTGTTACACCTTTTAGCTCCTATGATGATATCAGCCATGGCCCTTTTGTACAAGAAGAGTAATTGCTGGGTCTGTTCTGAGCAGTTTGCTCAGTTCAATAACAATAAGGAACCTCTCAATGACCCAGAACTTACTGTCCTAGGATTCCCTTTTTTAGCTTTACTTTTAGCCCTTGAAGACTTATCAGGCATAACTGGGACATGGTATAGGAGCACATTCAACTGGGTAACTAACTCCTCTCAGGAAAATGCTCCCCACAAACGTCTGTGCCAGGAAACACTCTCCCCAAAGATAAGCTTCATACCCTTAGACTGGGAAAAGTTGACCGAATCACAGCAAATGCCTCCCTCTGCTTTAAAAGCAGCGGGGAAGGACCATACCTGGGATATCTCATATATTGTAACATCACACTTGTAATTGCTGGTAACTCAGAGATCAGGGGAGGAAAATGCAATAGGGGTGATCTAAAAGGATTGGAAGCCCTATGCGGGGGATGTGGGAGGGGAAAGGGCTTTCAGAATCTAGCACCTCCTCCTGGTTGGAAGTCCTGATGGGGATGTCATGCTCTAAGTAACCACCTTGACACATGGTACTATAATGTAAAGAATAACATATGGGCCTCTTCTGACGTGCCCCCTCATGAAATTCCAGACCCCTGTATGATGTTTGCAAATAGTAGTGGCCTACAAATCTGTGGGTGAACAGGAGACGTCTGGACCAACACCTCTTGCTGCAAGGATTATCTGAGATATTGGCCACGGCATATTATGTTCCTAATTTTTCAAAACTCCCTTTGTCAGGTGTACCCTTCTCATTTAGCATGTAACATTCCAAGCAGCATTCTGAATGACTATCCTGAGTATGGATATCCCTATCCCAAAGATGCTCCTATTTTCTGTAAGAGGCGAAGCTTCTAAGATATGAGAAAGATCTGCCTGTGTCCCTCACAAGCCAAAACTTAGAACCATCCCTTCAAGGGACAGGGCTGTATTTCCTTTGTGGCTCCTGGCTACACTTAATCCGCCCTAGGCACTGGAAGGGAACCTGCACTATAGTAGCAGTGGTTCTCAATGTATTATTTTTAAATTCCACTGACATGGCAGCATCATCTGGGGACACACCTAACCTAGGCTCTTTTTTTATTTTTTATATTTTTAATTTTTAGACGGAGTTTTGCACTGTCGCCCAGGCTGGAGTGCAGTGGCACAATCTCGTCTCACTGCAACCTCTGCCTTCTGGGTTCAAGCAATTCTCCTGCCTCAGCCTCCCGAGTAACTGCAACTACAGGCACCCACCACCATGCCTGGCTAATTTTTGTATTTTTAGTAGAGACAGGGTTTCACCGTGTTGGCCAGACTGGTCTCAAACTCCTGACCTTGTGATCTGCCTGCCTTGGCCTCCCAAAGGGCTGGGATTACAGGTGTGAGCCACTGCACCCGGCCTAACCTAGGCTCTTTTATAAAGAGTGCACTATCTCAGATATGCTGAACAAAGAGATCTATCATTTTCATGGCCTCTTATGGAGATGTAACTGAAAGAGAAGACTGGGGTGGGGGCATGCACATGACAATCCCATCTTAGAAAAACCATGGATGGGGAACTCTATAGCCAGAGGCCTATTCTGGTTTGCTGGTATTCCTCTCCTTGAAAGATCAGTACTTAATAGTTCCATTATGATGTAATGAGGATGGAAGGCAATAGTAGGGGCCAAAGAAGTACAACAATCCATAAACTCTTTAGCCTATGTAGTAGCACAAAATAGATGGGCCTTGGAGATGTCCTTACGGCTGAGATGGGGGGTACCTGTGCAATTTTAAATGAAACATGCTGCTTCTGGATGAACACCTCTAGTCAAGTAGAAGAAAACCTACGGGTGCTTAAAAATCAAATTAGAATCATTGACACGTTAAGAGAAAAATGCTGGCTCCAGCCCTACGTGGCTACCATCTCTCTTTAATTAACTCCAGTCTTCCTTGCGAAATTGGTTAGCTACTTTATTAAGCCCCCTCTTGCTCATATGTCTTATATTAATATTTGGACCTTGTATACTCAATACTATAACTCGAATTGTTTCCTCTTGCCTAGAAGAAATCAAACTCCAAATGGTGCTGCAGACTGAACCATACATGGACACGCCTTTCTTTCAAGGACCCTTACTTAGATCAACCTCAGGAGGAGCCCTAGCTACCGTTTCCCACACTAAGCCTCTTTTCAGCAGGAAGTAGCCAGGAAGAGTCATTATCCAACACCCACTAACAGCAGTTAGGGTTACCACTCCTGAGAGGGGAAATAATGCAGGAGCTAAAAAGAAATTATTTAGGCAGTTAGTAAGGGTAAAGGAGTCCTCGGCAAGGCTTCCCTTTAACAAAAAGCTGCCCCCAGATCATTTCTTTTCAACAAAAAGCAGCCTGTAAAATCGAGCCGCAGATGTAGACAAGCAGGTTCGAAGCTTGCATGGGTGAATGCCGCCAGCTGTACCAACAGGAAAAGGCTAGCTGGGGGCCAGGCAGGTTCAACATGGAGGCTCCATCTTCCCTTTTCCTTGTCAACTACTTGTGCAATAAAGGAACAGGCATCGTGGTGCCAGCCAGGTAGAGAACCCATCTGCATAATAAAAGATTAGGGTGGGGCGGCCAGCTCCTTCACACACTATGCAAATGGCATACCTGGTCTAACCAATCTCTCGTGCCCTATGTAAATCAGACACCGCCTCCTCAAGCTCATCTATAAAAACTCCTGCACTTCACCACAGGCTGGAAGACCGGCTCGGGAGCCCCTCTCCCTCTGCAGGAGAGAGAGCTTTTCGCTTTTTCTGTTTCCTCTCACCTACCAAACCCCTGCTCTTAAACTCACTTCTTGTGTGTCTCATCCTTGATTTCCTTGGCGTGAGATAATGAACCTTGGGTATTTACTCCAGACAATGACACCACTTCACTGCTATGGACCTTCTTGTATAAGTTTTTGCTTGAACATATGTTTTCGATTCTCTTGAATATATCTAGGAGTACAATTGCTAAGTCATACGATATCTCTCTGTTAAATTTTTAAGAAACTGCCAAACTATTTTCTACTAGGTTCACACCATTTTACATTACCCCCAGCAATGTATGAGGCTTTCAATTTTTCCACATCCTCCCGAACACTAATCATTGTCCATTTGTGTTTATTATTATTATTATAGCTATTCTAATGGGAGTGAAGTGTATCTTATTCTGGTTCTGACTTGCATTTCTCTAATGATTAATGGCAGTGAGCATCTTTTGATGTGCTTATTGGTCATGTTATATTTTCTTTGGAGAAATGGCCATTCAAAGCAAATGTTTTTAATTTTCAGCAAGTCCAGTTTATCTGTCTTTTCTTTAGTGGCTTGTGCTTTAGGTATTATATCTAAGAAACCACCATGAAATCCAAACTCACAAAGATTTAGTCCTATGTTTTCTTTCAAAAGTTTTAAAGTTTTAACTCTTACACTTAGGCCTTTCATCTACTTTTAGTTAATTTTTTGCTATAATGAACAGATCCAAGTTACTTTCTTCAGATATCTAGTTGTCCCAGAACTATTTGCTGAAAAGGCTTTCTTTTCCCCCATTAAATTGACTCGTCACCTTTCCCAAAAATCAATAGACATATTCATTTATTTTTGGACTCCCAATTCCAGTCTATTGTCTATCTTTATGCCAGTATTATACTGTCTTGATTACAGTAGTTTTGTAGTAAGTTTTAGAACTTGGAACTGTGAGTCCTCCAACTTTTTGTTTGTTTGTTTGTTTGTTTGTTTGAGGCTTTTTTTGTGTGTGTATTTCAGGCCCCTTACATTTCCATATGTACTTTAGGATCAACTTATCCCTTTCTGCAAGAGTCAGTTGGATTTTTTATAGGGATTATACTGAATCTGTAGATAAATTTCAAGAGTATCCTCATTTTAAAGATATTAAGTCTCCCAATCCATGAACATGAGGTGTCTTCGATTTATTTATATCTTATTTAATTTCTTTCAAAAGTGTTTTGTAGTTTTTAGTGTACAAGTCTCACATTTTTTGTTAAATTTATTTCTAAATATTTTTTCTTTTATTCAAATAATTTGGAATTTTTTGAATATCACTGTTAGATTTGTCATAGCTATTGTAGAGAAATGCAACTGATTCTTACATCCTACTTATGTCCTTGATCTTACATCCTACAAACTTGCTGAACTACTTTATTAGATCTTAGAAGTTTTTTATGGGTACCAGTGGATTTTTTCTGTATACAAGTAGAGATAATTTTACTTTTTCCTTTTCACTCTGGATGCCTTTTATTTCCTTTTTTTGTCTAAATGCCTTGACTAGAACCCCAGCACAATGTTGAATAGAACTGGTGAAAACAGACATCTTTGTGTTGCTCTCAGTCTTTGGAGGAAAGTTTTAAGTGTTTCCCCAGCAGGTGTGCTCTTAGCTATACTTGAAGGATTTTAAGAAGTAGATTGAAGGGTTGCAAGACTGGAAGCATGGAGACGCAACGTACCTGGAAAGTTTACTTCCTTTGCTTTATAAACTAAGGCCAATTACATTTTTACGATATTTAGTGTCTGCAGTGTTTCTTAGTGTATTGTTTCTCTCCACGCTCTATCCTCCCTACAAGGAAGGGGCGGCTCCTATCCTCCTGTTTCTAACAAGATCACTTCTCTCCCAGACTACCACACCACCTTTCCAGAAAGGCTGAAACACTATCTCATAGTCTCAGTCACTCAGAGAACAGCAGTTTCCCCCAAGAGAACTTTTCTTATCTCTTTGCTGCTACACCACTAGGAACTGTAGAAGAGAGCAGTGGCCCACTGGCCCCATATCTTCCAGCTGATTGCCCACTTTGCTCGTGTTCAGGATTTGTCCCATTATGCCTCACACTGCCATTACCTTATGTAGCACTAGGATTTCAAGCATTGTAGGTCTTTCAGTGATTTGACCTGGTGTTCCATAATTCAATGGTCATCGACACCCCTGAAGTAGACTCTTCTTTTCCTCAATTACCTCCACTTTTTTTCTGAAGTTCCCCTCATCTTCTTTTTCCTTCTTTTTTTTTTTTTTTTTTTTGAGATGGTGTTTTGCTCTTGTTGCCCAGGCAGGTGTGCAGTAGCACAATCTTGTCTCACTGCTGATTGCTTGAGCCTCCTAGGTGCAAGCAATTCTCCTGCCTCAGCCTCCTGAGTAGCTGGGATTACAGGCATGTGTCACCACACCCGGCTAATTTTGTATTTTTAGCAGAGACAGGGTTTCACCATGTTGGTTTGGTCAGGCTGGTCTTGAACTCCTGACCTCAGGTGATCCACCTGCCTTGGCCTGCCAAAGTGCTGGGATTACAGCCATGAGCCACCGAGCCCGGCTGTCTCATCTTCTTTTGTAACAGAAATCTAGCTGACCTCTAATTAGCCCACATCTGCACGTCTCTCAATTCAAAAAATTGACACACCCAATATATTACTTCTCTATTTCTACGTTAGCAACTTAAATCAACATAGATTGATTGATTAATTCAGTGTTATGTAGGTGAGAAGTCCTTTTGTTAATGACTGGCTCCTTTTTTGCATTTAGACTTCAATTTAAACATCACCCCCTAATAAAGGCCCTCCCTGGCCAATTTGTCTTAAATCATCTCTCAGTGACTCCTTATCACATAATCCTATTTTAAGTCTCCACATAGCTTTATCACTATCTGACATTTTTATGTGTTCATATATTGGAAGCTCTCCATTAACATACTTATTTGGGGCCTCTTTTTCCTTTATGTGCTAATTTTACTAACTTTCTTATTATGCCTATGATTGTTTTCAGTTGATTCTCTTAGCTTTTCTAAGTAAACAATCTAACATTGTAAGGCAATAACTTTGTGTTTTCCTTTCTACTTGTTTTTTTTTAAATTATTTTATTGCCTAAAATTTTAATGACTACAACAAAGTCAGGCTGACTTTTTTAATAGATGAATTTGGTCATTTACCAATCAGAAATTAATTAAGTCTAAATTCCTAAAGAATCTTTCCTGTTATTGCAGAATTGCTCTAATAAAGTAATAGTTGAGTAAATGGTCAGACTTAGAAGAAAAATGCTTCTTTGCATGTGAAGATTCAAATTTTAAAAACAACTATCAGTCCATTAATGAAAAATTCAGCTCCCCCCTAATACAACAATGTCAGTAGAAAGAATCTATCCCAAGAAAATGATTGAGCCTAAGCATATGGTTATATTATTTTCAAATGTATATTATTTGCACAAATTTCAAACAGTCTTTTTGACCTTGACTAACTCAAGATCCATTTCTCCTTTGCTGAGGAGTATCACAGAGCTCCTCCTCTCCCTGGAAGTCACAGAGCCTTGTCTGCTGATCACAGTGTGATGTTTGGAAAGGTCCTTAGGTTGTACCCATGCAGGAAATAAAAAATAGTGTAAAGACAAGCCACAGGAGAAAATATTTGCAAAAGACATATGTGATAAAGGACTGTTACCCACAACTTACAAAGAACTCTTAAAACTCAGCCATAAGAAAACAACCTGATTTTTAAAATGGGCAAAAAACTTTAACAGACACCTCACTAGAGAAGATAAACAGATGAAAGTAAGCATATGAAAAGATGCTCCATATCATATGTCATTAGAGAAATGCAAATTAAAATAAGAATGAGATACAACTACATATCTATTAGAATGGCCAAATTCCAGAACACTGACAACACCAAATGCTGATGAGGATGGGAAGCAACAGGAACTATCACTCATTGCTGGTGGGAATGCAAAATGGTACAGCCACTTTGGAAGGCATTTGGCAGTTTCTTAAAAAACAAAACATATTCTTATCATTTGATCCAGCAATCATACTCCTTTATATTTATCCAAACGAGATGGAAACTTATATCTGCACAAAAACCTTTCCATGACTGTTTACAGCAGCTTTATTCATAATGGCCAAAACTTGGAAGTAACGGAGATGTCCTTTAATAGGTGAATGGATAAATTAACTGTGGCATATCAGACATGAATATTATTCAGTGCCAGAAAGAAATCAGCTATCAAGCCATGAATTGACACAGAGTAAACTTAAATGAATACTACTAACTGGAATAAGCCAGTCTGAAAAAGCTGCATGCCATATGATGCCAATTACATGAAAAAGCAAAACTATGGAGGCAGTAAAAAGGGATAAATAGGCAAAGCACAGAGGATTTCTAAGGCAATAGAAATACTTTGTATGAACTATAATGGTGGCTACCTATCACTTTACATTTGACATTTGTCCAGACTCGTAGACTGTACAGCATCAAGAGTGAATCCTAATGTAAAGTATGGACTTTAGGTGATAATGATGTGTCAATGTAGGTTCATCGATTGTAATAAATGTGTCACTCTGGTGGGGATGTTGATAATGGGTGAGGCTATGCATGTGTTGGGGGCAGGTGGCGTATGGGAAATCTCTGTACCTTCCTCTCAATTTTGCCTTGAACCTAAAACTACTCTTAAAAATTTTTTAAAGGAAAATAAGACATCTACACTTTTTTAATTTAAATTTTAAGTTCAGGGGTACCTGTGCAGGTTTGTTATATAGGTAAACTTGCATCATGGGAGTTTGTTGTGCAGATTATTTCATCACCCAGGTATTAAGCCTAGTACTCGTTAGTTATTTTCCTGATCCTCTTCCTCCTCCCACCGTCCACCCTCTGATAGGCCCCAGTGTGTGTTGTTCCCCTATATGTGTCCATGTGTTCTCATCATATTGCTCCCACTTGTGAGAACAAATAGCATTTGGTTTTCTATTCCTGTGTTAGTTTTGCTAAGGATAATATCCTCCAGCTCCATCCATGTCCCTGCAAAGGACATGATCATATACATGTGTATATGTACCACATTTTCTTTATCCAGTCTATCATCCAAAGGACATGATCTCGTTCTTTTTTTGTGACTGCATAGTATTCCATGGTGCATATGTACCACATTTTCTTTATCCAGTCTATCACTGATGGGCATTTAGGTTGATTCCATGTCTTTGCTATTGTGAATATGCTGCAATGAAAATACATGTGTATGTATGTATATAACAGAACAATTTATATTCCTTTGGGTAAATAGCCAGTAACGGGATTCCTGGGTCAAATCATATTTCTGGTTTTAGGTCTTTGGGGAATCACCACAGTGTCTTCCACAATGGCTGAACTAATTTATACTCCCACCAACAGTATATAAGCATTCTTTTTTCTCCACAACCTCCCCAGCATCTGTTATTTTTTGAAAAAGTCTGTAATCTTAACGAGTTACAGAACGTGGGTATGACAGTAACTATTGAGTATTTATCTCCTTCCTGAAATGCAGTTCTTAAGCACGGCAAAAACCGAAACACTTCAATGGCACCATCTATGAAATAATAATGGTGAGAGTACATCTATGTCACACTTTGAATATTAGATTAATCTCTTATTAATCTAATATTAATATCTCAATAGTTTCAACATTTAATGTGATGTTTGCTATAAACTTATGATATAAATTCTTCAACATGCTAATGGAGTTTTAAAATATTGTTTAACTAATATTTTAACACAATGAAGATTAAATTTATTACTTTTTGCCATCTATTTATTTTTTTCCTTTAGTCTTAATATATACTAAGTGCTAGATTTTATTAATAGGCATTCTATGTTAAATTATCCCTGTATTTCTTTGATAAACTGATGGCTATTATTATTATTTTACTAAACTTCTGTATTTTAATGTTCTAGCATAGAATCAATATGTGCGGACAAAGACCAAGAATTCTTTTTGCACAGATTATTTGTTAAGTTTTTACATTTTTACTTCTATGGAAGATTAGCCTATGGTGGCTTTGCTCTTTTTGACATATTTTGGCAATCAGTGACATGTTAACCTCATGAAAATGAATACAGTGCCTTAGGAAGTTGACCAAAATGTTCCAACTGTGTAACGGTTTTAACAACATTGGAAATATCTGTCTAAGGATATTTAAAGATTTGATAAAATTCTCCCAATTAACTATCTGAGTCCAGTAAAAAATGGCATTAAAAAATTCCTCCGAATTATATGCTTTCTTATCTTTGAGGACGTATTTTCTGAACTATTAATATATGCTGGCCCCTTGCTTGGCAAAGTTGTAAACCCAGGTTTCTTAGGCCAGTGCTTTAGCCAAAAACAAGAAAAAAGGTGGAAAAGTGGGCAAGGAGGTAACGCCAGCGTTATTCCACTTCAAACCATATGATACTGTCGCACTTCTAGAGAAGTCTAAAATTATCAATGCAAGAGTATCTGACTTTTGCCATTTTCTTGTCCTTGTCCTTTGAGTCTAGAGGCAGGGATTTGTTATTGATTAGAAGTTATTTACTCTCAATGTAGACCCATTATTTAGCTACCAAGAGAATCAGAGTTCTGAGGAATCAACTCTGTCAATACTTGCTCATAAACAAAAAGTTTTCTTTTAACTTGTTTCTTTTTAAATTTTTAAAATCATGCTACTTTTGAAGTAGTGAGACCCATGTATATGTGCATGTACACACACACTTTTTTTTTTTTACTAATTATGATTAAGATGGGCTTTAAGAGACTGATCCTACTGTCTAAACAATGCCACCACAAAGAGCTTCAGAGGAACCATTCATTGGTTTATATCAAACAGTCCTATGCAGTTCATTATCTACTCAGTCTCTTTGGTTTACATTTTACAAATAATTAATCTTGGAGGACACACCAGGAGTTCATGCTGCTTAAATCTAGCCTTCTGAATGCTTTTAATGAGTTATGGAAATGGTAGACATTTGGTTGCACTAGCTTTAATAACTTTTCCAGATTAAAATTTACTTGGTCATACTATATGGAGTAGAACTCTTGGTCTTGGTCTGCACGTATTGACTCTATGTTAGCACATATAGAAATTTTTTTTCTTAGGATAATATTGATCTTACCCTAAGTCTCTAGCCTCAACGTCTACCCTGCAGTTCACTTCCAAGCAAAATACGTGTGCGTGAGTGCATGAAAGGTGGTAAGGCATGGAGACTAGCTCCGTTCAGGCATGAGACCTTCTTCACCACCATTTTCATATGAGAATGTCAATTGCCTGCCCAGCTCAGTTGATAATTAAACCATATGACTCCTTACTCAACTGGCTACATCAATGCCTGTGCAAAAGGAACTTATCCAGAAACATAATTTTGAACTCTGCTGCCCAATAGCTATTAAAACCTGGGCTAAGTTGGGAGGCCGAGGCGGGCGGATCACGAGGTCAGGAGATCGAGACCATCCCGGCTAAAACGGTGAAACCCCGTCTCTACTAAAAATACAAAAAATTAGCCGGGCGTAGTGGCGGGCGCCTGTAGTCCCAGCTACTTGGGAGGCTGAGGCAGGAGAATGGCGTGAACCCGGGAGGTGGAGCTTGCAGTGAGCCGAGATCCCGCCACTGCACTCCAGCCTGGGCGACAGAGCGAGACTCCGTCTCAAAAAAAAAAAACCTGGGCTAAGAGTAATATTTATGAAAAACTGGCTTCCAGTCTTAACATTCTAATGTCTACCTCTATATTAAGCCAAATCATCCAAAGATGTACATCAAATGTCCATCCTTCCTTTTATACCTCTCTCCTTTGGCTGACCTTTCCTTCCATGTATTTTACAGAGACCATGAATTGATTATTTATCCATTTTCATGCTGGTGGCTAAAAAACTTAAAGTGAAACTTGTGGTATACCCTTAACAAGTATATAGCACAGCAGCATACGTTTGCTGTCTTTGACATAACACTGGTACCATTTCATAGCTTTACCATTTTTTCTCTTTCTCTTTTTTCTATTTATAATTTATTTTTCTTACTATGTCTTACTTAAACCTTTGTCTCCTTAAATAAATTTTGGAATAAGATAGGGAAAATATAATAAATAGCTGATCTTCCTGCCTTTGAAATTCCTCCCTAATATTCACCCTCTCCGTAGATGTTGAGTGAAATTTCTAATACACATGTGTTATCATGGCACTGCCCTCCTTAAAACTCTTTGAAGGGCCTCCATCATACATGGTACTGATTCAAAATTCATTGGCCCGGGGCCTCCAATGTCTCTTTCTCCAAATCTTCTATCTTATTTTGGAGACAGTGCAGCATAGGAGTTAAAGAGTTCAAATTCTGGCTTCACCAAGTACCATATACTGGCCGCCTGACAAATATTTAACTCTTCTGGGCCTCAGTTTCCTCATCTGTGAAAAGGCAGTAACAGTAACTACTATGCAGGTTATTGAGAAGATAGAAAGAGTTTTTATACACAAAACATTAAGAACAGTTTCTGAGAACCTTCAAAAGTAGCTATTGTTATTAATCTTTACTCCCTTCTTTATTAATCGTGATCTGTTCATAACAAACTACTTAGAGTGACCTGTAGCTCCCGCTATATTAAATGATTCCTAAAACACTGCATGTTATGCTCCCAGCCTTGTTTAGTTTTTACAGCAGGTGAATTCTTCTTTCACCAGACCCAGACCAAGTATCTAAAATCTACAAATAAGTAAATAAATTATTCCTAATCCCTTCATCCCACCCAACCTTCCTGGCCTGGAAAGTTTAACAGAACAGCTGTTTCTCTTACTATACTTTACTTTGTGGAGTCTTGTATTAGAGCATTTAGCTCACTTCATTTCAAATATGCAATTATCTATTGACCTTTCTTACTGAATTGGGAGTTCTTGGAGGCCCAAGATTATAACCTAACTACAATTATATTTCCAGCAGTGTAAACTATCAATAAATATTTGATAAGCTATGAATAAATGAATGGGCAACTAAATGAATGAATGATGGTACCATATTATGAATAAATAATGTAAACCAAAGAAGGAATTTAAGAACAGAAGTAATAAAAAGAATTAATGATTAATGGTCTGGGGGATCACAAAGCCGATTATGTTTTAGCAAGGCTCACAAAAATACACTGAGATTTATGAAGATCACATGGATAGCAATACACATTTTATTTAGAAGGAAATGCCATTATAAGTGAAGTGTCCATCTTGGCTAAGTGTCTGCCTCTAAGTAAACTGAATTTGCATCTCTATAGATTATACACATTAAATGAGATCTGCATATATGAATAATGTTAGTCCCTTGAAAACTACTCAAAACTGCTCAACAAGTTAGGAAATGTTCCTATGGGAACATTTTATGGTTAACTATATAAAATGAACTCTTCTTCACATAATGTTTATATTATTGCAGTTCTCAGTGTAATATGGACACCCTGGATTTATACTGATGCATATACACCCTTGCCCTTATGTCTCAGGGCCAATACTCAGCATTTTCAAGAAAGCAACTGGAGGCTACAAATGTTACCTGTGGCCCATGACTCATTAAGAGTATTGTTCCATTCAAGAATGAACATGTGACATCTTTAGAACCACAGTCTAACCTATGTATTTTCATAAAATTTCTCTCAACGGATCTATTAAAAATCTATGAATAAAATAAAACCTTACTAACCCAATTAAAAAAATCAGAAATCACCTAAAAGAACATACTTGAAAGAAAAAGAGAGAGAGAGAAAGAAAGATTGGATTAGAAGGTCATGTTTATTTTATTGACTGGATCAAATTAAGTGCCTGCCTAAGTTATTAGATTTCAAAGAAATTTGTTATTTTTGAAGAAATTAGTTATATAAAATTAAGTCCAAATTATTTAAAAGATTATTGATTATCATGATATGAAAAAAATTAATCAGAATTTCATTATATACTTGTTTCCTTCTTTGGTTTTTTTAGATTAAAGCATGCAAGTTTTCTGGAAAACAGTAAAATACTTTTTTATAGCCAAAATATTTTAAAAACTCACTATTTCACTATTAAGAAAGTTCCAAAAATGCATCTTCTCATCCTACATCATATTCTAAGTAAATTCAAAATATAACATAGAAAATAAGTATGAATAAATCATAAGCATCCAGCTCAATAAATTTTCATAAACTATACATATATCCACTGGGGTATGTGTATGTTTAAATTGCCAAACACTTTTCCAAAGTGATTGTATCCATTTACACTCACATCAGGAGTATATGAGAGGGCCAGTTGCTTCAAATTTTCACCATTTTATGTCAGCTTTAAAATTTTGTCTACTGTGGTATGTGTGTAATGATATATTATTATGGCTTTACTTTTCATTCCCCTAATAACTAGTGAGATTGCGGACTTTTTTCTCATATTTATTACCATGTGGATACTCCCCTTAGTGAACAACCTATTGAAGTTTTGTCCATTTTTAAATTGAGGTTTCTGCCTTTTTCTTATTGATTCATAGGAGTTCTTTACATATTCCAGATAAAATAACTTTACTGGAGATATACCGTAACACTTTGTGTATCACATGCCATCAGTCCTCCACACTATGCCCAGCAATTACTTGCAGCTTGGTGGATGCTTCCCATTCGTGCCAATGACATTTTAGCATATGTTTCTGTGCCTCTTTGCATGGAAGCTTCTGGTTCAGAAATAGGCTCAGCCCATAGTCAAGGCAGGCTAGAAGCACCAGGGAGTGAATGTCCTCAGGAACAATTTTCCATAAATGTGGAGCAGGAGATGGTCGGTAAATAATCTGGTTTTCTCAGTTCTCAGTAAAACAATTCTGAGGCCTGTCCAGTACAATTTCTCAGGGGATCTTTGGAACTGAGCCACAGTTACCCCATGAACTTTATTGGGTTTCCTTCATTTTCTGTCTCATTTCCCTACTTCCTTGTTGTAGTTTTTGCTTTTATGTAAGATCATTTCCCAAATAAGCTACTTTTACCCAATCTTTATCTCATGGTCGGCATTTGAAGAAACTCAAACTTATGACTTCTCAATATTTTCATGGAGTCATTTGGTGAGTGAAAGTTTTTAATACACATTTCTATGCAGTTTAACTGTTGGAAAATTTTTAATAGAAACTCTAGTTACCAGTTTTCTAGCTAAATTTGCTTCACTTCTTGAGTGTTATCAAAACTCCTTTTTTTTCTTCCAAAGAGCCTTTCTCATTGGCATTCTGTGCTCATTCTCTATTCATGACCTACCAGCACTTCCCTAAAAAAGAAACTCAACATTTGCCAGCAGAAATGTAGGTTGGCCTAGTTGGAATAGATGGGTTAAATGTGTGTGCCAAACCAACACAGCTACAGACAGCATAGTGTTCTCTAAGCAAGGTCTTTTATTCTCCCTTCTTTAAAATTCCATCAACAGACTACAAACAGAAATTATCAATCTATTCAGTGTCTATTGCACATAAAATCCAGCCAGCAAAAGCACTCTTTCCTGTTAGAGCCCACTCTGTTAAGAGACAACTTATTGTCATGTAAAGACTCAGTAGCACTGATGCACATAATGTCTGAGAGTAAAATCAAAAGTTACAGAATGTTTATTGATGCTCAGTGAGTTGTGCTGAGGACCACCAGCTGGACATTGCAAGTGTTTTCACCAGAATTCACTGAGAACAGTGCTTAAAGACAGAGCACTGTGATTTGATAGTGATTTTTACCAATGACTTGAGAGAATGGAATAACAGGGTTTTTCTTAGATTTAATTTTTAGAAAATAGAAAATAACCTAGACAAAGGGTATTAAATTCAAGATGAATGTCAAAATTAGAGAAAAGGTCTACAGGCACTATTGTGAATTAGGAGGCAACTTGCTTTTTCAATTAATGAATTTGATTTTTTTCATATTTGTATCTTCAGAATTCAGCACAAGTCTGACACATATTGGAACTCAAAAATATTTTTCAATGAGTTAATCAGTGAAAAAACATATAAACAATGCGGCATATTAAATGTGTTAATTTTATATCTAAAAATATGACCCATATAAATCAATGTTTCATGAAGGTAAAGTATCCCTTTAAGAACTGAAACTTTTGAAGGGGTTCCATAACTCACTTTTTCTTTTTATGAGACAAGGTCTCACTCTGTCACCCAGGCTGGAGTGCAGTGATGCAATCTCAGCTCACTGCCACCTCTGCTTCCCCGATTTAGGCGCCCCTCCAACCTCAGCCTCCCAAGTAGCTGGGACTACAGGCACATGACACCACGTCCAGCTAACTTTTTGTATTTTTTTCTAGAGACAGGGTTTTGCCATGTTGCCCAGGCTAGTCTCAAACTCCTGGGCTCAAGTGATTCACCCGCCTCGGCCTCCCAAAGTACTGGGACTAAAGGGGTGAGCCACCACACCCTGCCAATTTAATAACTCTTAATGAATTTTTTCTGGAAAAAGACCGTTAGATAAAATATGTATGCTAGTGGACAAGGTTTAGACTCTAACATGAAGAAATCAATAAATGACCTTCTTATACAAAACACTAAGCATAATTTAAATTCTATTAAGGACACAATCTTGCATCATCCTATGCTATAGTATTATATCCTCTGCAACTATTCATTCAACATACATTTATTGATTGTGTCCTATATTTAGGGTAAGGGACTAAGTACTGGCAATAAAGTGCTTTACAAAATACACATCACATGGCTTAGTTGGAGAGATAAACAGTCACATAACTAAAGAAAGAATAACATTCCATCATGATGGAAGGAAGTTGGAAAAGTAGACATGCAGTGAGAGATTAGAACAGCAGATGTGATAGAGTACAATAACAGTACAAAAGCAACTCACATTTATTGAATACCCACCATGTGCAAGACACTGTTATCTGTCCTAAATGGGAGACAAAAATAGAAAAGACAAAGATGTTGCCCACAGGTAGGGGGCTACAATAATGGGCCATACAGACACATAATGCATTGGAGATGAAGAAGAGGGTCATAGCAAAACACAAATTGACTAAAATTAGTAAATAATTAAGATCACAGACTTTGAAGACACAATTTCTGGGTTCAAATCTCACTCTACCTCTTTCTGAGTACGACTTGGCACATCACTTAACTTCTTCGTGAATGACAACAGTTATGAGGATTAAGATAAATAATAAATATAAAGCCCTTGCACAGGGCCTGGTAGATTGTAAGTACTCAATAACGTTAGCTGTCATTAAGATTATTCTTATTATGAGTACCATGCTACAAATGAAATCCTTGCTGTAAGAATGGGATTTCCACAGCAGACAAGCTTAGTTGTCTACAGCATGATATTAACGAGACCCAGGTCATATATTTGAAGCCTCAATGAGCTTATGGTATCTCATTCTTTTTCATTATCATAGGCTTTAATTCTTGCTGACTGCCATGTAAATGTATATAATGGTGCACAAAGAGCTCTATGTGATTAAGGGTAATTAAGATGTGAAAAACAAGTTTGTGTATTACAGAAAAATTCTAGGAATAAGACCTATCAAATGAGACATATACTAGAAATAATATATTTCTGCAAGGAGGATGACAAGGAAGATCTAGGGAGTAAGCATTATGCTTTTCCACCATTAGTAGAATACCTCCACTTGGGTGTCCAAGTTTTGTCTAAAGAAGGATTAAATAAATTAGATTGAATTTGTAAAGATTCGTAAAAATAAATAAATGAATAGAAACAGCAATTGTATACAATGGTGATATTGTCCCATCAACAATATAATCTAAAAAAAAAATGAGGTTGCATTCCTGATGATGATTGACTAAGCCCCATTAGAATTAGTACCATGTGCCATTGTCAGAGCTTTTAGCTTGAGGGCAGACTTCAGGCTGTACCATGCAGCGTGGGCAAAGCTTTGAAAGCAAATGTGCAATAATTCTAGTCTGAAGAACAAGAAGACATAATTTAGGGTAACCACAGCTGCCAGGTAGTGAAGGAATAATCCCAGAAAGAAGAGAGCTAGAGAACGGGAGCCAATTCTGTGGATAAAGTCCATGCAAACACCTTTTGATAGGTAACCCATTCATGTATGAGACAAGCATTAAACACTTTAGTTGAAGGGAAATAAACTGAACTGAGATTTAGGCTTCTGACCAAGAGATAGAATTTGGAGTTTGAATCCAACCAAGTTACTTCCTTGCATTAAATACAAATTCAAAGTCTCCATAATATAAAATTCACAATGTTCAGGATGAAACAACAAAAAAAATTTGACTTATAAGTAAACAGAAAAATGTAACCCACTCTCAAAGAAAAGACAGCCAGCAGAAAATGCCTCTAAGATGATCCAGATGCAGAAAGAGCAGACAAAAATTTTAAAGCAGTTATTTACATATGCCCAAAGACATAAAGGAGGATATAATTGTAATGGATTAAAAGATGGGAATATTAAGGGAAATAGAAACTATCCAAAGAAGAAAAGGAAATTCTAAGACATAAAAAAGAAAATATCTGAAATAATTTATAGAATTATAGAATGGGCATTTTAATAGAATGAGATGAAAGGAAAACAGTGAACTTGTAATGGGTCAAAATGATCCAATATAAAAAAAAATTTTACAAGTTGTGAAAAAAGTCTCATTGGCTTGTGGGAAAACATAATTTGAGTTTTAGAAGGAGGAGAGAGAGAGAAGAACACAGCAGAGAAGATATTTAAAGAAATATTGACTGGATGTTTCCCAAATTTGGCCACAGACATAAAATGTTAGATACAAGAAGTTCAGCAAATCCTAAGGAAGAAAAATATCAAAAACCATGCCTATTTAATCTTATGAAAAGTACATATAAAAATGAAACCTTGAAAGTAGCCAAAGAAAAATAACATAACATACGGGGGAACAGCAATTTGAATTACTCTTGTCTGTAACAATGGAGTTTACTAGAGGATGAAAAAACAATCTTTAAGGTCCTGAAAGGGGAAACAAATAGTTACTGGTATGGTATACCTAAAACTCTATATTCAAAGAAAATATTCTTCAAGAATAAAAGCAAAAGTAAGACATTTTTAAATAATGGAAAACAAATAATTTGTTGCTAGCAGACTTGCAATATTTTTAAAAATTGGAAGAATGTTATAAAGGCTGAAGGGAAATTTTACCGATGGAAACTTGAAGCATCCAGAAAAAATTTTTAAAAATCAGGAATGGTAAATATATGTATAATATTACATTTCTCTTAATTTCTGTATACATTATAGTTTAAAACAAAACATACATTATGATTTAAAACAATAATTATAACATTATCTTCTGAGGATTATAATATATGCAGATGTTATAGATATACAAAATAAAACATAAACAATAGGAAAGTAGTAGAACTATATAGGTGCAAATTTTCTGCATTTTACATAAAGTGGTACAATAGCAACTAAGTAGGCTGTGAAAAATTAAGATGTATGTTATAATCCCTTAATCAATCCCTAAAGGAGGCATAGCTATAAAGTTAATGAATAAGTTTAACTGGATTTCTTTAAAATAATCAAATAATCCAAAAGAAGGCAAGAAAGAAGGAAAAGAGAAACAAACTATGGAGGGGACAAGCAAATATTAAATGACAGACCTAAATCCAACCATATAAATAATTATATTATATCATATTATCGGACTAAACACTTTAATTAAAAGGCAGAGATTATCAGGACTCAAAAAGAAAACCCAATTATATGCTGTCTATAGTAACTTAAATACAAAGATACAGATATGTTGAAATAAATACAAACACATACACACACACACACACACACACACACACATATATATGTGTATATATATATATATATGTATGTATATATATATATATGTGTATATATATATATATATATATATATATATATATATATATGCAATTAGTAAGCCCAAAAAGTTTGGAGTGGTTATGTGTATAATAGTTAAAATATATTTCATGAAAAACAGACTACCAGAAAAAAAATCATTTCATAATGATAATAGGGTCAATTCACCAGGTATTGTTTCATAATCATAATCATATTGTTTCATAATCATAAAGGTATATGTTTCTAGTAACAAAGTTTCAAAATACATGAAGCAAAAATTGACAGAAATAAGGCCAACAAAAAGTAAAAACATAGATAATGTGAACAATGCTATCAGCTACCCTGATGTAATTAATATTTGCAGAATACTCTCCCCAAAGCTGTTGAATACATATTCTTTTCAAGCATACAATGTGCAGACACCAAGATAGACCATGTTGTAAGCCATAAATGAAGTCTCAAAAATTCTAAAAGGTGTAAAATCATATTGAGTGTGTTCTCTGAAAACATAGAATTAAAGTAAGAATCAATACCAAGAATATATCTATTTTTAAATACTCTAAATTCACCATTTAGATGAAATGGACAAGCTTCCTGAAAAATATAGCTTACTGAGCCGACACAAAAGGAAACAAATAATCTGAATAGCCCTATATAATAAAGAACTTTTATTTGTTATCAAAAACCTGTCCACAAAGAATATTTTACCCTCACAGACTCAGATGGTTTTGTTGGTGAATTCAATGCCAAACATTTAAAGAAAAAATAACACCAATCGCATATAAACTCTTTCGGAATATAGAGAAGGATCAACTTCCCAAGTCATTTTTGAGTTTCCCTAGAAAAACTGTAATACCATAATCTACTCTGTAACAAAAATTAAAAATTACAGACAAATTTCCCTCATGAACACAGACATAAAATTTCTTAGCAAAATAAAGCAAATTGAATACAGTAGTACACTAAAAAGGACAATACATCATGATCAATTAGGGTTTTTCAGGAATTTAAGATTGTTTTAACATTCAAAAATCAATCACTGTAATTCAGCACATGAACACTCTAAAGAATGATCATGTCAACAGACAAAAAAATGACATAATTTGACAATCACTGAAAGTAACAACTCTCAGAAAACTAGGAATAGAGAGAATTTTCTCAGTCTGATAAAAGGCATCTACAAAAAAACCAGCAAGAAACATCATACTTAATAGTTTGAAAATGTTAATAGGCAAGTCACAGACTAGAAAACATTATCAAAATATATTTGACAATGTACTGGTACCCAGGATTTATGAAATACTCCCATAACTCAATCATGAGAAAATACAATCTCCCCCAAAAATGAGCAAAAGATATGACACAATTTTTTTGTGGTTGTTGTTGTTTTTTAAAAAAGAAAAAAGGACGGGAGCAGTGGCTCATGCCTGTAATCAAAGCACTTTGGGAGGCCGAGGTGGGTGGATCACCTGAGGTCAGGAGTTCGAGACCAGCCTGACCAACATGGACAAACCACGTCTTTACTAAAAATACAAAAATTAGCCAGGCGTGGTGGCACATGGCTGTAATCCCAGCTACTAGGGAGGCTGAGGCAGGAGAATCACTTGAACCTGGGAGGCGGGGGTTGTGGTGAGCCAAGATCGTGCCATTGCACTCAAGCCTGGGTAACAAAGGCGAAACTCTGTCTCAAAAAAGCAAATTAAATTAAATTAAAAAACAAACAAAAAAAACCACGGTGTGGCGTGGTGGTAGCTCACGCCTGTAATCCCAGCACTTTGGGAGACTGAGGTGGGCGGATCACGAGGTCAAGAGATCCTGGCCAATATGGTGAAACCCCATCCCTACTAAAAATACAAAAATTAGCTGGGGGTGGTGGCGTGCACCTGTAGTCCCAACTACTCGGGAGGCTGAGGCAGGAGAATTGCCTGAACCCGGGAGGTGGAGGTTGCAGTGATCTGAGATCACGCCACTGCACTCCAGCCTGTAAGACAGAGTGAGACTCCATCTCAAAAAACAAAAACAAAATAAATCAAAAACACATGGCATAAGCATCTGAAAAAGTATTCAACATTATTACTCATGACTCAGGAAAATTAAATTAAATTAAAATTACCAAGAAATACTATTAAATACCTGCCAGAATACTGAAATTAGAAAGAATGAGAACACTAATGGTGAGAATGTGAATCATCCAAAACTTTTATGCATTGTCAGTAAGAGTGTAAAATGATATAATCACAAGAAAAGGTCTAGCAGTTTCTTACAAAACTCAATATCCCCCCACTCTGTGACCCAATATTTTCAATCCTAGGTATTTTCCCCAGACAAATAAAAATATATGTCAAAAAAGGTCTTGCACAGGAATATTTATAGGAGATTTATTCAGAATTCCCAGAAACTAGACAGAGCCCAGGTGTCCACTGATAAAAATATATTTAAAAACTGCAGTATATTAGTACAATGGCATAAAACCCAGCAATAAAAACTGAACAAACTACTGGTTCTCAATATAGCACAGATGAATCTAAAAAATATTATGTTGTGTAAAAGAAGCATTATACAAGGGAATTCCCTGACCCCTTGCACTTCCCTGGTGAGGCGATGCCTCGCCCTGCTTCACTCCAGACAGACTGCCTCCTCAAGTGGGTCCCTGACCACCGAGTAGCCTAACTGGGAGGCACCCCCCAGTAGTGGCAGACTGACACCTCACACGGCTGGGTACTCCTCTGAGATGAAGCTTCCAGAGGAACAATCAGGCAGCAACATTTTCTGTTCAGCAATATTCGCTGTTCTGCAGCCTCCACTGCTGATACCCAGGCAAACAGGGTCTGGAATGGACCTCCAGCAAACTCCAACAGACCTGCAGCTGAGGGTCCTGACTGTTAGAAGGAAAACTAACAAACAGAAAGGACATCCACACCAAAACCCCATCTGTACGTCACCATCATCAAAGACCAAGGGTAGACAAAACCAAAAAGATGGGGAAAAAAACAGAGCAGAAAAGCTGAAAATTCTAAAAATCAGAGCACCTCTCCCCCTCCAAAGGAACGCAGCTCCTCGTCAGCAATGGAACAAAGCTGGATGGAGAATGACTTTGACAAGTTGAGAGAAGAAGGCTTCAGATGATCAAACTTCTCCGAGCTAAAGGAGGAAGTTCAAGCCCATTTCAAAGAAGCTAAAAACCTTGAAAAAAGATTAGATGAAAGGCTAACTAGAATAACCAGTGAGAGAAGTCCTTAAAGGACCTGATGGAGCTGAAAACCATGGCACAAGAACTACATGATGAATGCACAAGCTTCAGTAGCCGATTCGATCAACTGGAAGAAAGGGTATCAGTGACTGAAAATCAAATGAATGAAATGAGGTGAGAAGAAAAGTTTAGAGAAAAAAGAGTAAAAAGAAACAAACAAAGTCTCCAAGAAATATGGCACTATGTGAAAAGACCAAATGTACGTCTGATTGGTGTACCTGAAAGTGACGGGGAGAATGGAACCAAGTTGGAAAACACTCTGCGGGATATTATCCAGGAGAACTTCCCCAACCTACCAAGTCAGGCCAACATTCACATTCAGGAAATACAGAGAACGCCACAAAGATACTCCTCGAGAAGAGCAACTCCAAGACACATAATTGCCAGATTCACCAAAGTTGCAATGAAGGAAAAAATGTTAAGGGCAGCCAGAGAGAAAGGTCGGGTTACCCACAAAGGGAAGCCCATCCGACTAACAGCAGATCTGTCAGCAGAAACTCTACAAGCCAGAAGAGAGTGGGGGCCAATATTCAATATTCTTAAAGAAAAGAATTTTCAACCCAGAATTTCATATCCAGCCAAACTAAGCTTCATAAGTGAAAGATAAATAAAATCCTTTATAGACAAGCAAATGCTGAGAGATTTTGTCACCACCAGACCTGCCCTAAAAGAGCTCCTGAAGGAAGCACTAAACATGGAAAGGAACAACTGGTACCAGCTACTGTAAAAACACGCCAAAACGTAAAGACCATCGATGCTAGGAAGAAACTGCATCAACTAACGAGCAAAATAACCAGCTAACATCATAATGACAGGACCAAATTCACACATAACAATATTAACCTTAAATGTAAATGGGCTAAATTCCCCAATTAAAAGACACACACTGGCAAATTGGATAAAGAGTCACGACCCATCAGTGTGCTATATTCAGGAAACCCATCTCACGTGCAGAGACACACATAGGCTCAAAATAAAGGGATGGAGGAAGATCTACCAAGCAAATGGAAAACAAAAAAAGGCAGGGGTTGCAATCTTAGTCTCTGATAAAACAGACTTTAAACAAACAAAGATCAAAAGAGACAAAGAAGGCCATTACATAATGGTAAAGGGACCAATTCAACAAGAAGAGCTAACTATCCTAAATATATATGCACCCAAAATGGGAGCACCCAGATTCATAAAGAAAGTCCTTAGAGACTTACAAGGAGACTTAGACTCCCACGCAATAATAATGGGAGACTTCAACAACCCACTGTCAACATTAGACAGATCAATGAGACAGAGAGTTAAGGATATCCAGGAATTGAACTCAGCTCTGCACCAAGCAGACCTAATAGACATCTACAGAACTCTCCACCCCAAATCAACAGAATATGCATTCTTCTCAGCACCACATCACACTTATTCCAAAATTGACCACATAGTTGGAAGTAAAGCACTCCTTAGCAAATGAAAAAGAACAGAAATTATAACAAACTGTCTCTCAGACCACGGTGCAATCAAACTAGAAATCAGGATTAAGAAACTCACTCAAAACTGCTCAACTACATGGAAACTGAACAACCTGCTCCTGAATGACTACTGGATTCATAACGAAATGAAGGCAGAAATAAAGATGTTCTTTGAAACCAACGAGAACAAAGACACAACACACCAGAATCTCTGGGACACATTTAAAGCAGTGTGTAGAGGGAAATTTATAGCACAAAATGCCCACAGAGAAAGCAGGAAAGATCTAAAATCAACACCCTAACATCACAATTAAAAGAACTAGAGAAGCAAGAGCAAACACATTCAAAATCTAGCAGAAGGCAAGAAATAACTAAGATCAGAGCAGAACTGAAGGAAATAGACACACAAAAAACCCATCAAAAAAATCAATGAATCCAGGAGCTGGTTTTTTGAAAAGATCAACAAAATTGATAGACTGCTAGCAAGACTAATAGTGAAGAAAAGAGAGAAGAATCAAATAGATGCAATAAAAAATGATAAAGGGGATACCACCACTTTTCCCACAGAAATACAAAATACCATCAGAGAATACTATAAACACATCTACGCAAATAAACTAGAAAATCTAGAAGAAATGGATAAATTCCTCGACACATACACCCTCCCAAGACTAAACCAGGAAGAAGTTGAATCCCTAAATAGACCAATAACAGGCTCTGAAATTGAGGCAATAATTAATACCCTACCAACCAAAAAAAGTCCAGGACCAGACAGATTCACAGCCGAATTCTACCAGAGGTACAAGGAGGAGCTGGTACCATTCCTTCTGAAACTATTACAAGCAATAGAAAAAGAGGGAATCCTCCCTAATTCATTTGATGAGGCCAACATCATCCTGATACCAAAGCCTGGCAGAGACACAACCAAAAAAGAGATTTTTAGACCAATATCCCTGATGAACATCAATGCAAAAATCCTCAATAAAATACTGGCAAACCAAATCCAGCAGCACTTCAAAAAGCTTACCAACCATGATCAAGTGGGCTTCATCCCTGGGATGAAAGGCTGGTTCAACATACGCAAATCAATAAATGTAATCCAGCATATAAACAGAACCAAAGACAAAAACCACATGATTATCTCAATAGATGCAGTAAAGGCCTTTGATAAAATTCAACAGTCCTTCATGCTAAAAACTCTCAATAAATTAGGTATTGATGGGACATATCTCAAAATAATAAGAGCTATTTATGACAAACCCACAGCCAATATCATACTGAATGGGCAAAAACTGGAAGCATTCTATTGCGGGATCTGGCCAGCAGCCCACAATGCAACAGGGCTCTCTCTTTGTTCCCAGGCAGATTGGCAGGTTGAGAAATAATAGACACATACAAGATAGTGAAAGCTGGGTCCAGGGGGGTCACCGCCTTCTGGTTCCACGGTGCCAACAATGCACTGGATATATCAGCATTTATTATTAAGTTTAGTGAGGGCAGGGGTAGGTTAGTGAGGGATTTAGGGTCATTTGATTGTGAGGTGAGATGGTCACACGGGGATGAAGTAATTCTTTAACATAACATTTGTATGTAGAAGTACAGTACATTTGTACGTAGAAGTACAGTATACAGAGATAAGAATTTACAATATAGTGTGTGCATCAGTAATTTCTAACAGAGCCTTAAAACAGAAACACAATCTTTCCATAACCTATGATTAGCAAGATACTAATCAGCAGTAACAATTGCAACAAAAGCTGGTAACAAACAATCCATGGAAACAGGACGTGAAGCTAGACAACCTGTTAGACCAGAAATTCTCAGAAGGGAGTATCCCTTAACCCTAAAGATGCCTAGAAGAGCCATGGCAAGATGAAGGCGTTTATAGCCCTATCTTATCCATATGGACAAGCGCCCCCCCGTGCGTCGTTTATAGGCGCTCCACAAGGGTCGTATTCCATTCCCAGAGCTATGAACATCTGCTTTTCCGGGATAGAAATCTTGGTGATGTGAAACCTCCCTGACTGCATGTCCATTCATAGGCTCTCTGCAGGGGGAAGCACATCACGCACTGTTTGCTCATTCTGGCAGTCCAACCTGGCATTGTCTTTACACAATCCTGCATGCAATTTTGTATTTTTAGTAATCAGGAGCATTTCATCTTTTATTCTGTAGCAATAGTTTCAGGGGGTCTCCCTACAGTATTCCCTTTGAAAACTGGCACAAGACAGGGATGCCCTCTCTCACCACTCCTATTCAACATAGTGTTGGAAGTTCTGGCTGGGGCAATCAGGCAGGAGAAAGAAATGAAGGGTATTCAATTAGGAAAAGAGGAAGTAAAATTGTCCCTGTTTGCAGATGACATGACTGTATATTTAGAAAACCCCATCGTCTCAGCCCAAAATCTCCTTAAGCTGATAAGCAACTTTAGCAAAGTCTCAGGATACAAAATCAATGAGCAAAAATCACAAGCATTCCTATACACCAATAACAGACAAACAGAGAGCCAAATCATGAGTGAACTCCCATTCACAATTGCTTCAAAGAGAATAAAATACCTAGGAATCCAACTTACAAGGGATGTGAAGGACCTCTTCAAGGAGAACTACAAACCACTGCTCAACGAAATAAAAGAGGACAGAAACAAATGGAAGAATATTCCATGCTCATGGATAGGAAGAATCAATATCATGAAAATGATCATACTGCCCAAGGTAATTTATAGATTCAATGCCATCCCCATCAAACTACCACTGACTTTCTTCACAGAATTGGAAAAAACTACTTTAAAGTTCATATGGAACCAAAAAAGAGCCCGCATTGCCAAGACAATCCTAAGCCAAAAGAACAAAGCTGAAGGCATCACGCTACCTGACTTCAAACTATACTACAAAGCTGCAGTAACCAAAACAGCATGGTACTGGTACCAAAACAGAGATATAGACCAATGGAACAGAATAGAGCCCTCAGAAATAATACCACACATCTACAACCATCTGATCTTTGACAAACCTGACAAAAACAAGAAATGGGGAAAAGATTGCCTATTTAATAAATGGTGGTGGGAAAACTGGCTAGCCATATGTAGAAAGCTGAAACTGGATCCCTTCCTTACACCTTATACAAAAATTAATTCAAGATGGATTAAAGACTTACATGTTAGACCTAAAACCATAAAAACCCTAGAAGAAAACCTAGGCAATACCATTCAGGCCATAGGCATGGGCAAGGACTTCATGTCTGAACACCAAAAGCAATGGCAACAGAAGTCAAAATTGACAAATGGGATCTAATAAAACTAAAGAGTTTCCCCACAGCAAAAGAAACTACCATCAGAGTGAACAGGCAATCTACAGAATGGGAGAAAATTTTTACAATCTACCCATCTGACAAAGGGCTAATATCCAGAATCTACAAAGAACTCAAACAAATTTACAAGACAAAATCAAACAACCCCATCAAAAAGTGGGCAAAGGATATGAACAGATACTTCTCAAAAGAAGACATTTATGCAGCCAATAGACACATGAAAAGATACTCATCATCACTGGCCATCAGAGAAATGCAAATCAAAACCACAATAAATACCATCTCACACCAGTTAGAACGGCGATCATTAAAAGGTCAGGAAACAACAGGTGCTGGAGAGGATGTGGAAAAATAGGAACACTTTTACACTGTTGGTGGGACTGTAAACTAGTTCAACCATTGTGGAAGACAGTCTGGCAATTCCTCAGGGATCTAGAACTAGAAATACCATTTGACCAGCCATCCCATTAATAGGGATATACCCTAAGGATTATAAATCATGCTACTATAAAGACACATGCACATGTATGTTTATAGCAGCACTATTCACAATAGCACAGACTTGGAACCAACCCAAATGTCCAAAAATGATAGACTGGATTAAGAAAATGTGGCACATATACACCATGGAATACTATGCAGCCATAACATAGGATCAGTTCATGTCCTCTGTAGGGACATGGATGAAGCTGGAAACCATCATTCTCAGCAAACTATCGCAAGGACAGAAAACCAAACACCGCACTTTCTCACTCATAGGTGGGAATTGAACAATGAGAACACTTGGACACAGTAAGGGGAACATCACATACCAGGGCCTGTTGTGGGGTGGGGTGAGCGGGGAGGGATAGCATTAGGAGATATACCTAATGTAAATGACGAGTTAATGGGTGCAGCACACCAACATGGCACATGTATACATATGTAACAAACCTGCACATTGTGCACATGTACCCTAGAACTTAAAATATGAAAACATATATATACAAAAATACACTTTAAGATGATAAGAAAAACAAAAAGAGGCATTATACAAAAGGGTACATAGTGTATGATTTCACATAGAAGACAGGCAAAACTAATTTAAGACAAAGATACTGGAATAGTGGTTGCCTCTGGGGCAATGTGTAGGTCCAGGACAGAGAAGGTTTCTAGGCAACGGTAATGTTCTCCTGCATGATAGGGTCTGGGGTGACATGGGTGGAAGCATGTGTACAACTCATCAAATGGTACTTGTAAGATTTATACATTTCTTTTCATGTCTTCAAAAGAAAAAAGTAAACAAATATTGAACTTTATGGTATACATGTTGAAGTGTCTAGGGAGAAATGTATTGATGCTTACAACTTACTTTGGCTTTATTGTGTCTTTTTTGTAACATATTTATTAATTTAATCATAAGAATAAGTCAATACATGTTAATATAAATAGCATATTTTATAACACACAACGGTCGACAACAGTTTCCACACATCTACAAGAAACACCAGGGTAAGTTTCATACTGCTTCTACTTGACGTCATTCTACTGAATTTGAGAATTTCAGGACAAACTGTAATTAAATGAGAAGGTATGCTCCTAGAGCTCAAAAGAATACTCTCCAGTCATAAATAGGCTAGTTTTATCCAAGACAAAGCTTAATCTATCTACAGGAACGGATTACCTTAATTGTTTAAGACACCTACCTCTGTAAGTATTATCTTACATTGTTGAGTTTGTAAACTCTGGGCAGCACATAGTTGTGTTATATTCTCTCTTAAGAAATTTGAATGCCCATGTTCTGTTTAAAAAAAAAAACAGACAGACAGACAGACCTACATGTTTTGATATTGAAAACTGAGAGGGCCAAATAAGGTACTTCCCCAAAGAATAAGCCACCCTACTTCCACGGGGAGTGGACTCTATAATGGATGACCAGTGGATACAGCCAACATCTATTGAGGAAACAGCTCTGGATTTGTTTTTACCCAAACGAGGTGGAAAGGATGGTACCCCATGCTTCTTTTAAAGACAGCAGGGTTGTGATACTTTTTTTTTTTTCCTGGAAAACTAGGCATTATCAATTGTGAGAAATGTAACTTTCTGTTGAACCCTCTGAGATGAATTATTTACAAAGTTAACCCCTAGGCAAGTCCTTGAGTTGACCTATTATATAGGTACATGATATAAACTAATTAAACACCACAGAACATCTGTTAAAAATAATTTCTTTGGTTAAGAAATAGTTTATTGTGGGCTGTAGTAGATTCTATCATAATTAGATTATCTAGCAGGACCAGCTGTCAGTTGAGTTCAATCCTAATTTGTGGTAATAAAACCAGTTCCCTTATATTTTTCTTGTCTATTTTAAAGGGATATGGTCTCAAAATTGTTTGACATCTTTCAGATCAAATTAAGAATAAGAGAAGAATTGGCCAAACTTATCCCAGATTTACAGCATGAGGAATTCTTCTTTTCTGTGTAGATTCCCTGATTATTCCGATTTCCTAAGAGCATTGGGTTTGAAGCTCTATGTAAACAACTGTAGACAAAGTTTTTATTGAGATTAAACAGGTTAGGTGGCGTTTGTGAAGAGTAAAAAAACAAAGAATAATTTTAAAAATATGGAAAATATTACATAGTTCCTGATATATTTCTCCATAAAATTATAGTGTATATTAGTAACCTGTAGTGTGCTAGCTCTACCTAAAGCTCACTTGCTTTTTTAAATTTTATTTATTTTAATTATCTTATTTTATTTCATTACAGTAAAAACACTTAGCATGATTTATACCCTTTTAAAAAAGTTTTAAGTGTACAATATATTATTGTTAACTATAGATACAATTTTATTAAGCAGATCTATAGAGATTATTTATCTTGCTTGACTGAAGTGGAATCATACAGTATTTGTGTTTCTGTGTCTGGCTTATTTCACCCAGCATAATGTCCTGAAGCTTCATCCACATTACAGCACATGTGAGAATTTCCTTCTTTTTAAAGGCTGAATAGTATTCCGTCATATGTGTATATCACATTTCCTTTATTCATTCATCCGTCGGTGGACATTTAGGTTGTTTCCACATCTTAGCTATGTTGAATATAGCCATAGCAATGAACATACGAGTGCTAATATCTCCTTGAGATCCTGATTTCAATTCTTTTGAAGAAATTCCCAGAAGTGGGAATGCTGCATCTTATGATAGTTCTATTTTTAATTCATTGAGGAACATCCACGCTGCTTTCCATAGGACTGCATAGTTTTGCATTCTTACCAACAGTGTGCAAAGGCTCTCTTTTCTCCACAACCTTGCTAACACTTATCTTTTGGTTTTTTATAGTATCCATTCCAATAGGTGGTAGGGTGATATCACTTTGTGGTCTTGATTTGCATTTCTCTGATTGGTGAAATTGAACAATTTTTCATATTCTTGTTGGCCATTTGCATGTTTTCTTTGAAGAAATATTTATCCAAGGTCCAAGTCCTTGGCCCATTTTTATTTGGGTTATTAGGATTTCTTTTACTATCGAGTTGCAGGAGTTCCTCATATATTTTGAATATTAACCCCTTATCAGATATATGGTTTGCAAATATTTTCTTCCATTCCATAGGTTGCTTTCTCCTTTTGTTGAATGTTTCCTTTGTTGTGCAGGGGCTTTAGTTTGAGGTAGTTCAATTCGTCTACTTCTGTTTTTGTTGCCTGTGCATTTTGTGTTATATCCATGATTCATTGCCAAGACCTTTCTCTTACGTTTTTACTATAAGTTTTACAGTTTTGATTCTTACATAAATGCCTATAATCCATTTTGACTTGATTTATATGTATGGCATAAGATATAGGTCCAAATTCACTTTTTTGTATATGTATATCCAGTTTTTCCAACACCATTTGTTAAGAGGCTATCCTTTCCCCATTACGTATTCTTGGAACCCTTGTCAAAGATCAGCTGAACTTATCTGAGTGAACTTATTTCTGGGCTCTCTATTTCTGCCCCATTGCTCAATATGTCTGTCTTTGTGCCAGTACCATCCTGTTTTGATTACTGTAGCTTTGTTATATATTCTGATATCAAGGAAGTTTTACATCTCTTTGTTTTTCTTTCTCAAAATTAATTTGGCTATTTTGGGTCTTTTGTGGTGCCATAAGAATTTTAGAATTGTGTTTTCTATTTCTGTGAAAATGTCATTGGAATTTGGATAGGGATTGCACTGAATCTGTGGATTTCTTTGGGTGGCATGTACATTTTAACAATATTAATTTTTCCAATTCATGAACATGGGATGTCTTTCCATTTGTCTATGTCGTGTTTAATTTCTTTCCTCAATGTTTTATAGTTTTCAGTATACAAGTCTTTTACCTCCTTAGTTAAGTTTATTCCCAGGTGTGTTATTCTTTTTGGTGCTATTGTAAATGAGATAGTTTTCCTAATGTCTGTTTCATGTAGTTCACTGTTATTGTATAGAAACACAATTGATTTTTGTATGTTGGTTTTCGTATCATGCAAATTTACTGAATTGGTTTATTACTTCTAACATTTTTTAAATGGAGTCTTTAGGGTTTTCTTATATATAAGATCATGTTGTCTGCAAACAGGGACAATTTTACTTCTTCCTTTCCAATTTGGATGCGTTTTATTCTTCCTGTTGCCTAATTGCTCTGGCTAGGACTTCCAGTACTATGTTGAATAGAAACAGGAAGAGTAGGCACACTTCCCTTGTTTCATATTTTAGAAGATAACCTTCCAGTTTTTCACTATTGAGTATAATGTTAACAATGGGCTTTTCATATATGGCCTTTATTATGTTGAGGTAATTTCCTTCTATTTCTAGTTTGTTGAGAATTTTTATTATAAAACGGTGCTGAGTTTTGTCAAATGCCTTTTCTGCATGTATTAAGATGATCGTGTGATTTTTTATCCTTTATTCTCTTAGTTGTGTCATGTCACATTAATTAATAAGGATATGTTTGAACCATTCTTGCATCCCAGGGATAAATCCCCCTTAGTCGTGGCATATGATTTTCTCAATGTGCTGTTGAATTTGGTTTGCTACTATTTTGTAAAGAATTTTTGTGTTTATGTTCATCAGGTTATTGGCTTGAAATTCCTTTCCTTGCATGTCCTTATCTAGTTTTCATATGAGTTCAATGCTGTCCTTTTAAAATTCATTTGGCAGTGTTTCCTCCCTTTCAATGTTTTGGAAGAGTTTGAAAAGTAGCATTAATTCTTCTTTAAATGTTTGAGAGAATTCACCACTAAAGTTATCTTATCCTGAGCTTTTCTTTGTTGGAAGATTTTTGATATCTTCATGATTTAGTCTTGGTAGGTTATATGTTTCTAGAAATTTATTCATTTCTTCAGGTTATTGTTTGTTGGCATATAATTATTCATAGTATTCTCTAGTTTTGCTTTTTTTATTTTTGTGGCATCCCTTGTAATGAATCTTCTTTCATTTCTGACTTTATTTAATCTCTTAATTTTTTTTAGGTTATCCAACTAAGGGGGTTTTCGACTTTGTTTATCTTGTCAAAAAAAAAACCACACCTCTCAGTTTCATAGATTTTTCTACTGTTTTTCTATTTTTCTTTATTTCTGCTCTAATATTTTGTTATTTTCTTCCATCTGCTAACTTTGGGTTTAATTTGTTCTTTTTCTATATCCTTGAGGAATAAAATTAGGTTCTATATTTGAAATCTTTCTCCTTTTTAAGTGTTTTTCTCAATGAATTGCCCTATAAGTACTTCTTTTGCTGAATCCCATAAATTTTGGTATGTTCCATTTTCATTTTTATTTCTTTAGAGATATCTTCTAATTTCCTTTTTTATTTCTTCTTTGTATCAAGTGGTTAAGAGTGTATTGCTGAGTTTCCATATCACTGTGAATTTTACACTATTCCTTCTGCTATTGATTTCCAGCTTCATTCCATTGTGGCCAGAAAACACTTTGTATGACATCATTCTTCTTAAACTTGTTAAGACTTTTTTTGTGACCTAACATGTGATCTACAATGGAGGAAGATTGGTATGCACTTGAGAAGAATGTGTATTCTGCTGCTGTTGGGTGAAATGTTCTGTATATGTCTGTTAGGTCCATTTGGCTTATGGTGTTATTCAACTTCTCTTTTTCCCTGTTGATTTGGATGTTCTGTCCACTGTTGAAAATATGGTGTTAATGTCCCCTACTATTATTTTATTGCTTTCTATTTTTCCCTTCAGATGTGTCCATTTTTAAGTATATATTTAGGTGCTTTGATGTTGGGTACATAATACGTTTGTAATTGTGTTTTCCTGATGGACTGACCTTTAATCATTATAAAATTCCTTGTCTCTGTGACACTTTTTGACAAAGTCTATTCTCTCCAATATAATGTAGATGCTTCGGCTCTCATTTTGTTACCATTTGTATAAAATATCTTTTTCTATCCCTTCACTTGCAGTCTATATGTGTTCTTAAATCTAAAGTGAATTTCTTATAGACAGTAGTTGAGTCTTATTTTCTTTCAACCACTTGATATCTTTTTATTGGGGAGTTTAATCCATTCATATTTAAAATAATTATCAATAGAGCAAGATTTACTAATACCATTTTGTTAATTGTTTTCTGTTAGTCATGTAGGTTTTAAAAATCATTTCCTCTCTTGCTGTCTTCCTCTGTGTTTTGATGATTTTTTGCATTTATATGATTTTGTTCCTTTTTCTTTTTCTTTTGTTTAACTTCTATGGATATTTGTGTGTGTGGTACATAGAATTAACCACCGTAGGTACCAAGGTACTGAATCGTGTAACTTCTCCAGCTGGTCATTTTGGATGACTAGTTATATTGATTAACATTTCAAGATGGGGACAAAAAACAGTCCTGAATGTAGGTTAAAACATTTGATAAAGATATAAGTAAAGGGAGACAGAGGTTTTCTTATAATGACTCCATAGAAGAGGCAAGCACAATCCCTGGGCCTGTTCTCTGAATTTAAGAATCTCCAACTGACTGAGACCAGCTCAAATGCGTGTGTCCATATTCTCTTTGCCTGACTCTGATTTTTTTTTTAATGAAAAATCTGTGATTCAAAAATTTTTGAGGTTATATTTGGAAAGTTCTTATTATTCGTGGCTCTATTTCACAGGTGAATCATCAGCTACAACTGGCATGGGGATGGTAATATTTGACACAATTCGTGACATTTGTACCACATGTTATTTCTCAGATCCTGTTCACAGGCAAGAAAACAAAAAAACAAACAAAAAAAACCAGAACACCAAATCCTAGGTTAGGCTAGGATTTGTAGCCATGTCATCCACGTTACACTGACTGCATAGATGAGCTGACTGACTGGAATAAGAATTAGTGATAGGAAGAAATAAAGCATGACTTGTATCACTTAATCATATAAACAGACTCTCCTTTTAGCTCTGTCACTTGATTGAGTACTCTGGGCAAGATATTTCTCCGTAAAACTAGTTTTCTCTCTGAAAAGCAAGGATATAGCTTGTGCTTTCTCCCCTGACAGGATTTGCACAAACTTGCTACAGGAGGAAATCATACAGATACTCAAGCAATATTGTTATATGAAAGAAAGAGACTTCAGAAAACTTTGCCTGATGGCAGCTTTTCAAATATAAATTATGGACCATTTCAGATATTGACAGCCACAACAAGCTTATTAACATTGGAGAGCCACATTGAAAACTCCGCATTTCAAAAGAATATTTACTAAAATTATTCTAGTCCTACTTACTCTAATCTGGAATTGGAAACATGAAACATGGAAATTCATACATTCTTACAGATTAACAAACTGACTAATTAATTCTTCTTTACGGGATAAGTGACAAAAATTTCCTTGATGTATTTTCTATCTCAGAACATATGAATAGGTTGCTACAGGTTTTACAAGCTAAATAAATCCTCAATATTATGAAACTCTGAAATCAGATCTTTGTTAATAGATTTAAATTGTTATCTTAAAAAACAGTGAGCTGTGCACATTAGTTATACAATGCTACAGTTGCATTTTTATTCTCTTAAAAAAGTCTTCGCTCAAAATCGAATGTTGTCCAAATAAATACACCTAGTCCTTTAACTCAATACAATTACCAAATTTTCTCATTAAGTAGCTAATTAGAAAAACCTTAAGGGATATGGCATATCTCTCATTGCTATGGCACATTGCTGGTTATAGTACCATTTTTATAATGTCAGAAAATCAGACAAACAGAGTATTAGTACATCAATGTAGATTATTACAAGAATATTTGAAGAAGAAAAAAAAGCTCATGTCTCCAAAGCACATTCTCACACAGTTTAAAAATAGACAAAGACATTACTACCAACTGAACTCATTCAGCAATTGCAGGAAAAGGAAAAGAAGACAATGATTTTATTGCAACACTTTTTTTTAAGTGAGGAGTACAAACACCATTTTTGTTCAATAGCAAAAGCTTGGGATTTTAGTATATTGGGCTTCATTATCAGTGATTATTATCTGATCACTAATTATTATTATTATTTAACAATAATTGCATCAATCTCCTCTATTATCCTCCTAAAGCCATCTGACATTCTTCTTTTTTTATTATTATACTTTAAATTCTGGGATATATGTGCAGAACGTACAGGTTTGTTACATAGGTATACACGTGCCATGGTGGTTTGCTGCACCCATCAACCTGTCATCCACACTAGGTATTTCTCCTAATGCTATCCCTCCCCTAGCCCCCACCCCTCAACAGCCCGTGGTGTGTGATGTTCCCCTCCCTGTGTCCATGTGTTCTTACTGTTCAACTCCTACTTATGAGTGAGAACATGCAGTGTTTGGTTTCCTGTTCCTGTGTTAGTTTGCTGAGAATGATGGTTTCCAGCTTCATCCATGTCCCTGAAAAGGACTTGAACTCATCCTTTATTGTGGAAGACAGTGTGGCAATTCCTCAAGGATCTAGAAACAGAAATAGCATTTGACCCAGCAATCCCATTACGGGGTATATACGCAAAGGATCATAAATCATTCTACTATAAAGACACATGCACATGTATGTTTATTGCAGTACCATTCACAATAGCAAAGACTTGGAACCAACCCGAATGCCCATCAGTGATAAACTGGATAAAGAAAATGTGGCACATATACACCATGGGATACTATGCAGCCATCTGACATTCTTATTCACAGTAAGTCACAATTAATTTTACCTTGAGAATTGTTTCTAGAATTTTCTAACACTGCTGAAATCACCCAATATATTCAGCATGTCACAAACCAGAAATGAGAATTCTTAGGTGATCAGAAAAATGTCAAAGTTCATGATGGATTTTCTCCATCATGGGCAAGTTACATGTTGCAATTAAATAAAATGTATAGCACATGCTAAAGGAGCAATTATTCAGCCACATAATTCTTGGGTAATCTTGAGATGATCCCTCTACCTTCAACAATTAAAATGCTAGGGATGTCAGCAACTTTGTATTCATTTCCAGTTGTTATTTGATAAAACAGTTATATGAGTTTTACAAATCAAAATCCTACTTGAGGGAGCCACAGAAATGCAAATTAGTAGAATTCTCTTCAAAATAAATTGAACTATGAAGTAAGAAGAACTTAATGAGCACCTACAGTATAAAAAGCAAAGAAAAATGAAAACAAAATAAATCAGACATAAATCGAGATGGGCACCTGAGTGTGTGCCATGAAAAGTTCTGAGAAGCCCTCTAGAAAGCATGAAAAACTTACTCTGCTACAACAAAATAATACGTACATTCTCTCTGTGAGGATAAGTAGAGAACAACTGTGCTAGGCCTATGAAATTATTCTGCAGCATAAGAAAAACAGATTATGTAATAGTAAGAATCTAAAATAAAAATCACCTTTCTAAAAAAATTTATGGCAAGACATAAATTTTACTTGTATACTTCAAGTTCTCAATAAGATAAAAGGAGACACTGTCCTTTTAAAGTAACATATTACAAGAGGAGTACAGGCTAAGATAAAGCTAACCTGTATGAAAATTACAAACATGGTAATTAAAAACCATAATTGGTGTAGCCTTAAATTACTTTGAAATTTATTTTTCTATATGGTAAAAAGTAATATCTCACTTTTTTAATCCCTGAAAACTTTGCTATATAATATTTTCTCCTGCTGATAATCATAGCAATTTTATCACATACTAAATATTTTAAACACCAAATTCTCTTCCTGGACTATTTATGGAATCACAAATTTGCTGGCCAATTTTGCACCAGTACAAAACAATTTTAATTTGGAGAGTTTTATAACACAGTAAAACTGGTAAAGACAAGTCTTCCCTAAATTTTCTCCTTTTAAAAACATATTTTAAAATTATTCCTGAAATCATTTCATTGAATTAAACTTCCAACAAATTCAGTTGAGATGTTTATTGAAATTGTATTAAGCAAATTTATTAATTCTGAAACTCAAGAGCACACACGAATGAAAAAAGAATCCAAAATTAAAGACACAAGAGTATTAATGATGATTATTTTCAAGTAACGGAATTTTGGGTCATTCCAAATTTCTTCTTGACACCTTTTTGTGTTTTTCATACCTTCTACAACAGACAATTATTACTATTATAATCAAGGATTGCTTACCTATAATAGTATAGTAAATCATAGATTCAACATTGCAGAGAATTGAATCATAGAAATATCTAACTTATTTTTAAGATGCTTCTAGAACCCAGGTGAAAATGATAGAGTTCATGATAATTAATGATGAGATGTATGGGGACAGGAAAATATTATATTAATTTTCTTTCATTTTGTAGGAGTCAAATGTTATTATATTTTATCTTTAGTCATTATGTAAACGCAGATTTAAGAATACATTTAAACATTTGAAGCATAATATGTAGGAAAAAATCAGGATGCCTAATTTCCCAAATATTTGAGGATGAAATAATATATTTATTATTATTATTATTTATTATTATACTTTAAGTTTTAGAGACATGAAATAATATTAATTAACTCTACCATGTGTTGACTGCATATCATGTCCTATTTAATCCTCGGTCCACTCCATGAGATGGGAACTATTACAACAGTGGTAAAAATGACAGCAAGCCATAAAACTTAGCAGATTTGGGGTTTTAATTCATGATTGTTTGATTCCACGGTGTTTTATCTTAAACTCCATATATAGTCCCTTACACAGTACTATCCTACAATATCTCACAATAATATCCATGATATGTGAAATTGAATACTTAGGTCTGTTTCTGTGATATCAATTCTCTTCCACTGTTAATTCTGTTAATTGTATTTTGGATGAAATTTTACTGTCAGCATTAACAACAGTGAATTTTTCCAATGTGCAACACAGTAGGCTTCTACATTTATCCAAGTTTTTCATGGATCTTTGTAAAGTTGTAGAGTTTCTTCATGTAGACCCCTAGACACTTATGAAGGCTATTCCTAGAGATTTTATATTTACAGCAACAACTTAAACAGAACTTATTCCATGACATGTTCTATTACGTTTTTGCTCATCTGTGATAATGTTACACATTTTTGTATATTTGTTTTAAAAATCTAGTCACTTAGCTAAACTCTCAATAATTCCAGTTTTTCAATTGATTCTCTTTAGTTTTTCTGGCTAGACAATCATATCAGCTATATGTTTTGTTTCTTCCCTTCTTTCTTATTTTTGATTATTGTTACTGAATTGGTTAGAACTTTCCAGAATAATAATTGTTATAGCAGGTGTCTTTGTCCTGGTCCTGACTCTTAAAAAAAAGCCAGGACTAATTTTCAGCCAGTTTATTGGCATGCCTTCAGGCAAGTGAAGAACTACAGTCCTGACACCCCTCAAGAAGTCCCCAGACTCCCACCAAAAACGTCAATGCCTGGCACAGCAGGAAACTTTAAAGAACTCTGCTTCAGCACAAAGGCTCCTGGCCATCCTCATCGATGGTGCCTGCACTGTGCTTAACAGTGGTTAAAGCTTCTCATATTTCATAGTAAGGAAACAGGCTGTTAGGTGAAGGTATGTAGCTGTAAATATATTAAGAAAGAATTCTTTTCTTCCCTAGTTTAATAGCAGGAAAAAACTATGTTGAATATTTCTTGACACAACACCACACAGTTATTTAGAATGGCATTTAGAGAAGTTATGTTTTAGCATAGAGAAGTGCTATGCTATGATAAATATTTAAAAATCACAGATTTTATGTACATTTGAAAAAATATATTTTTTAAATGCTTAAAACAAAGAGACTTAGAAACACAAAGTATTAGTGATGATTGTCTTAGGGGATGGTTTTGGCTTTGTCTGCCTTCCAACTTTTTGTAGTTTCATTTTTCCTTTACATAATGAGTCTGCAGTACTACTATACCAAGAAAAAAACAAATGCCTTTATGCTGAGAAACGAATGTAATTCAGTGCTTTCAAAAATGTTGAGAAAATTTGTATATATGTAAATTAAATAAAAATAATTACTGAGAAACGTGGGGGAAAGAAGTACAAGAAATCAGTATACACTGAAGCATAGACATGCAGCAGAATACACAGTACTAGAAATTATTCATTTATTATTTACATCCCTACATAGTTCTGATAAAGATTTCAGGTTGTTTATAAGATTTGATGAGTTCAAAAGAGGGAAAACTTCTGACAAATCTCCTTGGAGAATACAGGTGCACTTGGCATACATCGGTCACGATGCTTTAATATTGTGCTATTTTAGTATATCCCTGTGTATACCAGTCACTCTTACAACTGCATAGAGTTCTGAATCAAAGCAGTGTTAAATACATACTGACAGTGTTCTGAAAGCAGTAACTGTGCTAAGCCATAAAAACAAATCAGCTTTGATACTTGACATCACTTGAACCCACCTATTCGTTTTACTTCCTTGTTAGAAGAGCTGAAAAACAATGTCTAATGAATCCTTTTCTTTTACTGTTTGTCTGCAAGTGCTCACTGAAAGAAATAAAGACTTCAGGCTTCCGAGCCACTTTCAGGTGTAACAAGGAAAATAACTGGAGTTTTCTCTACTGCAGAATCACAAAACATAATTGAAAGACAGCAGTGGCCATGCATTCGGTAGTTAAGGGGCTATGAACAAAGCCACCCTCCACGTTGTGGAGATGAATGCACTAGCAATAAAACATGTAGTGCCAGCTCTCAACCAAAAGCTCCAACAAGATAATAGTCAAACTTTACCTGGTGTCCATGACATTTAATTGGATCTGAGTGTGAATTAATCTAATAAAAGTCTTGCATTCTCATTATAATTTAAATAAGCACAAAAATTGGGTATATTAGACTATGACAGTACACTTCTGCCTAAATAACATATTGCCATACATCTTTGTAATTACTACAAACAACCACCAAGGAGAAGTGAGCCAAATAAATTTACTAAGCAACAGTAATTAGCTTGTGAGATTTTGGTTAAGTTATTACCTCTGTAAGCCTCAATTTGCTCAACTCTAATCATGACATGATGATGATGATGATGATGATGGTGATGATGATGATGACACTTTCCTCATAACATCGTTGTAAGGCTTAAATGAAATACAATGACCTACATGTAGTGCTTAGCATAATATCAATATGTGGTTTTGTAATCACTGCATAAACTTGTGCTGGTCTGTGACCCTCTAGTGGAGCATTTCATTTCTCTCTTTAATGCAGAAAATGTTCTAAACAAACTACTACAATGCCAGCCAGTATATTTCGAAACAAGCAGAGAGCAAGCCTAAATCCAGCAATCCCACGAAACCATTTTAAATTACTAGCAAATGGCCAAGGGACCAACCCAGGCAAACAGAGATGACAGCAGAACCCAGAGGTGCTGTTCCTTAACAACCAGCTTGAACATTCAGCCAGGATAATGTGCTTAAAATGAATGGAGGTCAAGTGAGTAACGCAATTTCTTAAATGCTAATAGGAAAATGGAAGTGAATGTGTGAAATTGTCAGACTAGACAGGCTGCGTAATGTTTCCAAATCCTTGCTGGGAAGTACAGCCATATCAAGGGTATTGCTTCATCAAATGATTCTTAGAAAAGTAAATTCATACCTCATGCAGCTGTGTCCGACTAACTGAAAATGTGTACTAAAGAGTTGAAAGGACTCTTTTCTGACAATCTCTTGAAAAGGTTCTGATAACTTCATGAAACCAGCACCTCTACCCAGTGGAAGCCTGGCCCACTAATAGTTCCAGTGAAAGGCTTTAACTAGAACATCAGGTAAACTGATGAATTAGGGTTCCTGTTTCTTGTTTGCCAAGATGTTATGCCTTGATGAAACCAGTAGCAACTGTGAGTGGTGGAAACTGTGAATTTCCATAAATAACCTCATTTTAATTTCACACTTCTTATAACTTTCAGATCAAAAACCTAGAATCTCCTAGGTCTTCTGTGTGGTTCATCTGTTAGTTCCCGTGAATCAATCTATACTTAGCCTATCAAATCATCTCTCTTCACAATAAAGCAGTAAGTTGACTAATACATTTGAAAATTCACAGAATGTTAGAGCTAAAAAGATCCTTAAAATTTTCAGTCGGAAAACCTCATTACCTAGATAAATTTTTAAAAAATAGTAGCACAGAGTGGTTAAGGCACTTGATCAAACTTGCACAGCAGATTAATTTCTAAATGAATAAGTGACACTAGCAATGAGCATTTTGATGTTTTTTGAATATTAGTGGTTTTCAAATAACTTTTAAAGCAGAAATTTGTATCATTTTAAAATAAAATCCTATACAGAACTCCAACACATATATTGGTTGGTGCAGAAACAATTGCAGTTTTTGTCATTGAAAGTAAAGGTGAAATCCGAAATTACTTTTGCACCAACCTAATAATAATGAGAGATGCCTGCTAAAGGCCAGAGTAGGAATTGACTAACCCAGCTTCTCCTTGCCCCTCTTCTCACTTATTGTCCCTCCCAAACCCTTTCCCAATTCTGTCATAGATAACTCCTCTGCAAAACCTTGGGATTTGATGGAGCAAACTCTGAAAACCTTTGCGCGTAGCATCATGGCCAGTCTACCATTTCTGCTAAAATACTGGAACTCGTTGTCTGTATCTTCACTGTTGGGTTATATCGCTATTGGGGATTATCCTCTGTGCTCACCGGACACATCCCTAGAGCCAGAGGCTCCTAGACTCCTATCCCACATTCCTCTTCCTTTCCACCTGCTCCTGCTCCTGCATGTATGCAACTTAATTATTTCTCCTGGTGTTTCCTCTGCATTTAGGCTATAGCCATGGATAACTTTCTTAACTGTTTTGGATGTCTGAGCAAATCTATTTTATTCTAAAATATATCAAAGCAAAGAAAAACAGATTTTCTGGTTCAAAATGTCAATACTGTTTTACAGTTGGCCCCCTCTTAACTTGGCAGTCTGTTGGAAAGAAAAAAAAAAAATGGAAATGTTCTTTCCTGGGCTTTCATCATTCTGATAGTGACCTGAATGAACTTATTCTCCAGGGGCTTGAGAAGCCTGGCGTCACCATTAGGCATACTCAAAACCAACATGTATCATTACCTTAGGCTTCAGGAAAATCATGGGCTTGAAAGCCCAGTTCAGGGCATTCCAAGTGAAAGCAATAGACAGAAAAAGAGTATTCTCAATTTCTAATTGCCTTTATTTTTACATATACTACAAGCTCAATGCAATTTTTTTCAAACTATAGTATATATACAACATAAATAATAGTTTCTATTCCCTAGAATACCTTATTTCCCCTCTTCACTCAATGTTTCTTGTTGGTATTTGGGAAAGCACAGTTTTTGCCATGTGTGGATCATCCTGTACATTAAAAGACATTCAGCATCACTGGCCTCCACTCACTAAAGGCCAATAATGCCACTCTCCAATCATTTTGTGGCAACCAAAAATGCCCCTATATATTGTAAACACCTGCTAGGAGTATAGAACCATCTCTGATTGAAAACCAACCCCTATTCATCACCTACTCCATTATTCCTTTCCTGCTTTTCCCTAGACCAGGCCAGTACCCCTTGTCATGTTCCCATAACACCTTTGCATTCCTTTGGCACTGTCCTTAATAAAGGTTATTAGCAATATCCATTTATGCATCTGTTCCCATTGCTCTCCACCCCATCTGTGAATATTTTGATGGCAAGAATAATATCTGAGCCTTTGTATCCTACTAAATGCTCGATGTTCAGCAAATAAAATGAATAAAACAAAGATATATACAGAGAGTCTAGTCTATGCTAAAGAAAAAAGGGGGATTATTTTTGAATTGTGCAAAACCTTGGAGCTTCCATCATTTCAACTCCCTGAAACTATCCCCAAATTGGTAATTTTGGAAAATCTTTGTGGAGGCATTATTCTTTCTTGGAAGAACTCATATTATTAGTTTCTAACTGCTATTGAACCTCTTTACTATCATCATTAATAAGAAAAAATCTGATTCTACCACCAATCACAAATCCATTCCAAATAATTAAACTAGCCCTATGAAGATTTTGGTACAGTTTTAAAACCTCTGTGTGTAAAGGATTTTTTTTCTATTTATTACCCTTATGTAAAAGCATGAGGATGCAGTAGGTTAGCATAGTCAAACTGGTTGCAAAAAATGAAATAAAAACCCATATTTTACCTTAAGGGAATTTCAGATACCAACACCAGATAAAAGGAGTATAACAGTACATTACAAGGCTTCATCAGGGTACGTGAATTGTAAGAGACACACCTAAAACATAAAGACCCAGAAAAGCACCCACGGATCCCTTATTGTGTGAAGTTTCTACATGCTTCAATTTCTTAAACTTTCGCTATTTAATCCCCAAGAAGTGATACTATTATTGTCTCAATTTAACAGGTCAGGAAAGTAAGGTTCCCAGAGATTAAGTAATCTCCCCAGAATCACAAAACACATAAGTGGTAGAGTCGAGATTCAAGCTCAGATCTGTCTGACACATCCACGCTCTAAAACACCATGCTCAGTCTTCATGTGTTACTGCTCCCACATCATGGCCATTTTCCTAAGGGGAAAAGGTTTATGGGTTTTTTGATACCTACAATGTACAGGTGATATGGTTTACAGTAAGAGTTTAGTTAATCCTTATAATAAACATTCCTGTGTTTTCAGATAAGAAAACTGAGATTCCAAGGTTAAGTCATCTGCCAAATGTCATCTTTCTCTGAGGTCACACAACTAGGGAAGACTCAAACTGGGGTTTTACAAAAGTAAGACCCACTATTCCATAGTGCTGCCTATATAATTTTTTAAAATAAAAAAAAATTGGAAGAGACTTTTTCTAAAACATATAGAAATACTGGCTCAGGCAGCATTTACAAGATACAAAAACTTTAATTAAAATAGCCAATCCCATTAGGGCGATCACTTAGACTGGTAATAAAACCAAATGATAAAAATATTCCCAAAGAAAAAGAGAGAGGGAGACTTCCTCTAAATTTATTTATTTATTTATTTTACAGAATTAAGAAATAATCTAGAAGGGTTTTTTTGACCAATATTCCTCATCTTCAAACAAATTCTGGTCCATTGGCCAATACTCAGGAAAAATTGCACGATTAATAATTATATTGAATTATGCAAATAGAGCTATAGTTCTCATCTGACTGCATTTTGTGCTTTATAACAGTCTTTTCTAATCAGTAAAGATTAGTGACAATATGTTTTGTATAAGTAATTATAAAACTGCCATGGTATTTAGTACACTTCATTATATTTTTGAGCATCAGACTCTCAGGTTATTAAATTAGACATGCTACCACTGGGAAATCTGGCAATTTTTCCTAATTAACAATGACAAAGGGAGATAAAAGGAAATATTGTTTCATGGTTCAAATGTACTTAGAAGGTAGGATCTTCTAAGAGCCGCTACTTTCAGCAATACTTGTGAAACACATACACACATCAGGCTCCACTTTCACTAAATAGCATAAAGGAGGCACTCAATAAAAAAGCAGTATTAGATGAAATCTCTCTTTTTCCCCTATTTGTGCTTTGGATGCTATTTCAACACAAGTAGAATCAAAATGATCATTTAAGGAAATATTACAAGTTATATGTGGTCACCAATGAAATCAATATGGCCTCTCAAATAACAGTTCCAATGGAACGAATTATGCATAATTTTTACCTTCACAACTCAGTGATGCTTGAAATGAAATCCCTTTATACCCTTTATGCATGTATGTCTTAGTAGTTAATGACTTGAAAAGGGGGGTTTTATCAGTGAGATTTCTGCTACTGCACGTCCACCTCAACTTAAGGGGTCAAGAGGTGCTGAATAAATGTATTTAGGTTCTCAAAGCACATTGTTTCTTAGCCTACAGAAAAATGCTACCTACTGGGTCCTCATGCTCTTACACAGGGGTAATAAATGGAAAAAAGAATACAATTCTTTATACACAGAGGTTTTAAAACAGTATCAGAATCTTCATAAGTCTCAAAATTATAGTTTCAAAGAGAAAATTAGAGAAAAAATCTCTTAATTTCCCATCTCCCTCTCCTTTCCAATATAGAATGCTTTTCCTGGGATATTACCAAAGTCAATATGGGCAGGATTATATACAAGGAAGTATTTACACTAAGTCATGAAAATTAAGTCATGGATACACACACACACACATATATATATACACACACACACACATATATACACACACACACAAATATACATAGTTACATACTTTTTCTAGAATAATAATGATGGCTAACAATTACCATAGTGCTATGTGCTAGAAACTGTTCTAAATGCTTTTCTGCTAACTCATATAGTCCTCATCAGGTAGGTACTAATACGATCCTCGTTTTACAAATAAGAAAATGGAGGCAAAGAGACTTTCCCAAAGACGTAAGTGCTGGAGTCAGGATATAAACGCAGGCACTCTGGTCCCAGGGTCTGCACACTTAAAGGCAAGAGCTGCTTAGCATAGCCCAGACGACACTGCATGTGCTAATACCTGCTACTCTCCAACTTCTTCAATATGCTCATCTTTGCTCTTCACTCCTAATCACACTGACTTCTTTTAGTCTACGCTATTCCCTGTGCCAGTTGCAGGGCCTTTGAACATACTGTGCACTCTATCTGGATCACTCTGTTTGCTCCTATTCAATTTCAGCTTCTTTGTCACTTTCCCGGAAGCAGCCTTCCCTGACCTCCCTAATTACCTGCTGCCATTATTAGAGCTTCTAGCAGCACCATCAGCACCATGCAGTCCTCCTTCAAAGAATATGATTATACTTGTCTGTATAACCATGTGATTGACATCACTTTCCCCCACTAAACAATCAGCTCTATGATGGTAGGAACTGGGTCCACTTCTTTTCAACCCGTGTTTCTGCCAATGCCCCATACATAGTATGTATTGAATGACTGTAAGGGGAAATAATAAATAGACTGCTATCATAGCCTCTGAGCAGGTATATCTTTCAGATGTGCTTTTCTGAGTTTGAAAAATGAAAATTGCCCATGCATAAAAGAGAACTAAAAGGAGAGGGGATATATCAGAGAGTAGAGGTTAGAGAAGGATAGACCATGGGCCTCATTCATCTGTTTAGCTAAAAATCACTAAGCGCCTTCCTGTTAAGTATCGAGTAACAAAGATGTGATGATAAGGACAGTTCTAGAAGGGAATAATATGTGATGAGTAACTAAACAATTGCAATATAATTTAAGGGCAACATATAGAGGGAAGAAGATGGAGCATCAACTCAACATGGGCTACAGTTAGGAATGTTTCCAGTGGCAAAGAGATCTCTAGCTAGGTCTAGGAGGAGGCAAATGCATTTTTCAGGCTGGCTGGAAAGAATTAGATAAAATCTTATGTTCAAAGTTATAGACACATGGGAGAACTCAGTGTTCAAGTGACCACAAAGGGTTTGGAAATGCAATGTGTATGGTAAAGTTGGGAATGAGTGGGAAAGGAGGTGGCTTAGCAGTGGCCATATCTGGGGGTAATTTTATACCATGCACAATAGTCCTGACTATGTGCATGATCAATGAAGAAAGTTTGAATAGTTAGTTATAAATGTAGGACACATTTAATATAAAATGGCACAGATTATTCTTCTATGCCTAAAATGTTTCTTATCTGAACTTTATGCATTCTTCATGGCTTCTCCATCCTGACCATATTTGCCAAGGCTCTTTGTTCTCTCTACATTGGGGCCCTCTGGGTTTCTTTAACTTCCATGGCTTCAGGGATCCCCTCCATTGAGCTGATTCTGCAGACATCATGTCTAACCCCGCACACTTTCTAAGTTTTATTCCCACAGTTTTTACTTTCATCTGGGCATTTTAACTTGGTTTTTGGCTCCCTTTGTCCCGACCATTCACGATTGGGGAAGCTCCCGATCGTGACTTCCCTGTATGTATTAATATAATTTAATTCATGATTAGGGCCTCAAACTCACACCTTCCTGTCTTGTTGGGCAAGTGAAAAAGTTATATTTACGTATATTAGAGGAACCTTGCTGGTAGCAATGTAGAAATTATATTTAGGTGGGAACTGGGGTGGGTACTAGAAAGGCCACTGCAGCCTTCCATCTATCTCCCCTTACCCTGACAGAGCTCTTCAAATATTTAAAAAGAACTACACTCTGAGAGAGGACCTTAGGTCCTGAACGTGGGTAAGGCTTCCATGTACAGCTGTGTAGGTTTTACTGTACACATAGGGTCCCACCAAGGGGTTTACCAGGAGCTGAAACCCAAGCCATGCTCTTGTTTATCTAATCTTTTGTATCTGTACAGAGGGAAGTTTGTTTTTCTACCTCAATAATACCAGTCCTATATTTAGAAGTCTAACAAAGCAAACAAAGTTTAAGATAACTCTGGAAACACACAACAGAGACGCAGGAGGAAAAACAGGGAACATCACTTCACTCAGACAACTGAAGTTGCCTGTATCTTTGGCAATTGGAGGAGAAGTCTCAGCTGATTGGCTGCTCCATATCCACATCCAAGTGAAGCTTGACAACCAACACACCCTGCCCTCTTACACAGAGCCTAAAACCAGGCTTCTTCTCATTGAAGAGTAAAATGTGTTAGGGAAGCAGATACAAATGCAATGCTAGTGGAAACTCAGGCCAGTTTATAGAATTAATCACCGTACAATTGCATAAGAAACTTCTGCCAACCCTATACACTAATCAATCTAGTCTTTAAAATAATCTGCTAAGGATAATTTCTTCAAGGAAAACCAATGACATGAAAGAGAATAACTAAGAGAAATGATCAGACATTGACATCAGAAAAAATAGAAATAATTTACTAAACAAGAAAGATTATTTTAGAAGTTTTGATATCCACGGAGAGATTTAAATTGATATTGCATCAAATGTAAGATCAAATGTTTGAATCTAGTTGGTGGGTATAGGGTTCACTATACCTGCCTTTCAACATTTTTCTGTGTTCAAATATTTTTTAAAAGTTAGGCATAATGCTACTGTAATCAAAAGAGAGCAGTATTGGCAAAAGAATAGACCAATAGATCTATTGACCAATAGATCAATGGAACAGAATACAGAGCCCAGAAATGCAAAGCTTGGTCAACTAAGCTTTGAAAAGGAGTAAAGTCAATACAGCGGAAAAAAGATACTCTTTGCATAAAACAGCACTAGAACCACAGGATATCCATATGAAAAAAAAAAAGAATCTAGACATAGACCTTACATCCTTTGCAAAAATTAACTCAGAATGAATCACAGATCTATGTCTGAAACTACAACCCCTCAAAGACAACGTAAGAGAAAATTGAGATGATCCTGGGTTGGCTGATAACATTTTAGATACCATGCCAAAAGCACAACCCATGGAGCAATTCATAAGCTGGACTTCATTAAAATTAAATATTTCTGCTTTTTAAGAGACACTGTTAAGATAATGAAAAAATAAAACAGACTGAGAGAAAATATTTGCCAAAAAAAATCTTGTCTGATAAAGGACTGTTATCCAAAATATACAAAGAACTCTTAAAACTCAACAATAGGAAAATAACCCAATTTAAAAATGACTAAAAGACCTTAACAGACACCACACCAAAGTATACAGATAGTAAAAAAGCATATGAAAAGATGTCCAACATCATCTCATTAGAGAAACACGACTGAGAACATCAATGAGATAAACCACTAATAGCCTGCTAGAAAATGGCCAAAATCCAGAACAATGACAACATGAAATACTGATGAGGATGGGGAGCAACAGGTACTCTCATCCATTGCTGGTGGGAATGCTAACTAGCCCAACCACTTTGGAAAGTGGTCTGGCAGATTTTTATAAAAACCAAACACTCACCATATAATCCAGCAGTCACACTTCTTGGTGCTCACCCAAAGAAGCTGAAAACTTAGGTCCACAAAAAAACACGCATGCACATGTTTATAGCAGCTTTATTCAAAATTATTAAAACATGAAGTAAACCAAAATGTTCTTCAGTAGGTCAATGGATAAAATAGACTCTGGAACATCAGACAATAAAATATTATTCAGCAGTAAAAAGAAGCAAGCTGTCAAGTCATGAAATGACTAACATGGAGGGAACTTGAATACATTATTACTAAGTGAAAAGAAGCTGATCTGAAAAGGCTACATACTGTATGATTTAACTATATAACGATCTAGAAAAGGCAAAACTTTGGAGACAGTAAAAAGATAAGTGGTTGTTAGGGGTTAGGGGAAGGGGAAGGATGAATAGGCAGGGCACAGAGGATTTTTAGGACAGTGAAACTACTCTGTGTGATGCTCTCATGTTGGATTCATGTCATGATGAATTTGTCCAAACCCACAGAATGTCCAACACCAAGAGTGAACCCTAACATAAACCATGGACTTTGGGTGATAGTGATGTGTCAGTGTAAATTCATCAATTGTGACAAATGACCCCCTCTTGTGGGCAATGCTAGTAAGGAGGAGAGCTATGCATGCGTAGGGATGGGGATATATGGGAAGTCTCCATACCTTCTACTCAATTTTCCTGTGAACCTAAAACTGATCTAAAATATAAAGTTTGTTTGTTTGTTTGTTTGTTTATTAAGACGGAGTCTCACTCTGTCGCCCAGGCTGGACTGCAATAGCATGATCGCAGCTCACTGCAACCTCCGCCTCCCAAGTTTAAGCGATTCTCCTGCCTCAGCCGCCTGAGTAGCTGGGATTACAGGCACCCACCATTATGTCTGCCTAATTTTTTTTTTTTTTTTTGTATTTTTAGTAGAGACGGAGTTTTGCCATCTTGGCCAGGCTGGTCTTGAACTCCTGACCTCAAGTGATCCGCTTGCCTCGGCCTCCCAAAGAGTTGGGATTACAGGCGTGAGCCACGACGCCCAGCCAAATAAAGCTTATTTTTAAAAAGTTAACAGACAAAAGGATATTACTTCTATAAAAACAAAGACAAGGATAAGCTATTATAACTGAGGATGAAAAACAAACAAACAAAACTGAAATCAAATGGTGTGATTATTACAATGAAAAGGTCTGAAAACCAAATGGGTGAAAGGGCCAGCAAATGCTGATGAAGATAAATTTTAAAACAACAATAACAAAAGATTCAGATTCATTATGAGGTTTCAGAATACCAAGTATAGAAACGAAGGAAAACCACTAAAGAGAAAAAAAGATTACCTATAAAAATGATATCAAACCAGGGACAAACCTCTCAACACAACACTAAACACTAGGAAACTATGGAGAAACACATTCAAATGTCTGAGGGAAAATCATCTCGAAGTCAGAAGCACAAATAGAAATTAATTTCAGGACAAAATAAAGACAGCATGGATCATGCAAGATTCAAAGAATTTACCTCCTACATACCCAGTACAAGACACAATGACAGTAAGAATGATTTGGAAGTAGAAAGAAGGATCAAAAGAAATTAACGAGAAACAAGGAGCCCTTGACATTGGGACATTCTCCCTTGATTAGTGATGTGAAATTACATCACTTTAAAGATGTGAAATTACATCTTTTTAAATTTTTTTTAATTTTTATTTTTATAAATCCTAAGCAGTACTTGGTTCTGTTTTCAGTACAAGTTTAGATCATCATAACACTAAGCTATGTTATTGAACTTAGAGACAAAGCAAAGGATACTAACAGCTATGGAGCAAGGTGTAAATGATTAAAACATCAAAAACATGAACAAAATATGTGCTTAAGAAAATCAATAGATGAAAGAAATAAGGTGAAAGTTAAAATGCTCTCACTTCTCATTCTTCCATAGCTAGAGCCAATACTTTGAACCCAAACTGCATAACAAAGAAAAGTATATCATTTGAAGTTGTAAACTTTTAAAGGTGGCTAAACATCAGGCATTGGATTTCGGCAAAGGTGAAAGTGAAGTTTTTAAGATGGTAGAGCCTTACACATAGTCCACTTAAAAAATTCCTATTTAAAATGGACATATTGTAAAATTATCTTACATAAGATGGCAATAAATCTTCCTTTTAAAATATTTTCTCTTTTCATACTTTTTTTTTAATCCCAGGAAGCCTCAATACAGTAGCAGGTGTATTTTACATAAATGACCAAAATGTAACAATATAAGTATGCCTCACATCTTGATCTCCATCTGTTTCCTTGTTAGAAAATTAAACAGTCTTACAGCAGATAATCCTTTCACAAATTATTCTTTCAGATGGCCTCGGTGTGTGGCATATTCATTTGAGCCTTACATCTCTTAAAGTTAGAATGACCTCTTCGGGCTCCGCTCTTGGGACATCACTGTTTTTCCAACACAAACTCCGTCTTTATGTTGTGCCAGCTGACTATGAAATTCACTAGACTACAGAGAAGTCTGGCCTTCATGAGGAGTTCAGGAGTTAACTGCTACTGAAAAAAAAAGTCTGTGGGAGGAAAAGTCTGTCATGGTTTATGATATGATTTATTGCAATTACAGAAAACTACCCTGATTGTTCAAATTGCGGTCTGTGGGCCTCAGCCAGATTAAATGCCAGGCTGTGACTAGCACAGGGGAGGTAATCAAATAATTGCCTTTGCTAAATAACACTGTTCTTAATTCACACAGAAAACTTTTAAAAATGTAAATTGATACGACATGACTGAGAGAAACAAAACACCAGGATTTTAAAAATTAGATTATGCAACACAAATGCATCTAGTGTTAGCTGACCAAAACTTATGTTTAAGGCAATTTTTCTTCAAAGATATTTGAAGTCTAGTTGTTATATAGAGCCAGTGAGGTCACGTAACCCGAGATCTAGTTGGTACAAACTCTAACATCTGCCATTTGCAAAGCCAAGGAAAGCTCGTCATTCAAGAAATGTGAGGGAAAGAGAAAAATTGCAAAAGTCAGACTTGGAAAGAAAAAGAGGAAGAAGTAAAATAGAGGCATCATACATGTTCCAATGAGCTATCATCCACTCAGAAGATAGTCTGCCTGCACTAAAGGGGATAGGATAGCATATTGGAAAGTCTGTCAACTACCAACAATTTGTTCTAGTCAAAATTAAAAAAAAATTGTGGTCACCTGTACTATCAGTGATAGATGTGATGATCTGAGTCCTCAGTGGTTAAACAAGGACATGCTTTTTTAGTCCAAAAGAAAACTGAGCAAAGGATAATAAGGATAAGAATAGTTAATAGAGGTGCTGGGCACAGTGGCTCAGCCCTGTAATCCCAGCACTTTGGGAGGCCAAGGCTCACTTACACTCACAAGTTCAAGACTACCCTGGGCAACAGGGTGAAACCCTGTCTCTACTAAAATACAAAAAAAAATAGCCAGGTATGGTGGCAGGTGCCTGTAGTCCCAGCTGCTCAGGAGACTGGGAGGCAGAGGTTGCAGTGAGCCGAGATTACACCATTGCCCTACACCCTAAGCAACAGAGCAAGACTCTGTCTCAAAACAACAACAGTAAAACAAAAACAAAATACAGTATGCTGGCTATGTGCATTATCTTCCAAAACCCATTATCATCCCTGGCACATCCAGATGCAGGCATTTCCAAACAACTACTAAAGGGTATACCTTAATTATAGCTCACAATGAGGTAATCAGAATCATAAGAAGCTTTATTGCATCCTCCCAAGAAGCATGAACTTGAACTTTGTTCTAAAGTTTAGAGATGGGCTAAATTTCAATTTTGCCTATGCTGATTTTAAAATCTCCTGAGGAAAACAGAATGGACAGAGAGAGATACCACAAATAATCCACTAATGAGTCACCAGAGACACACACAGATTCTATTAACACAAGGAAAAAATGAAAATATATACACATAATTTAAGCACTTTAGCACACAAATCAGTCGAGGGAACGAGCAAGTATGAGATATAGATTGACCTGGATTAAGGTTAACTAACTCCAAAAACTATGTGATTAGACATTAGAAAAAACTAGAAAGAGATGTGAAATGTCAGAAGAAAGAGTAGACAGGCAGATGTCCTCATCTATTTCAGGACGTTGGCCATGGAGTGGGGCTTGATGGTATCAGAGGTATTTGCCTGAAAAGGCTTGTGGCTATCAGATCCGCTCTGAGAAGCAAGAACCTAGGTAAGTCACGAAGCTGAGGGCAAATACCAGGCACAAGAACAACGCAGGGACAGGAACCAAAAGGAACCAAAATCGGAATCAACACTTTCCAAATATAGGAACATAAATAAAGAAAAAATAAAAAACCAAGAGAAAGAAAGTTACAACAGAAGCAAGGGAGGGGGAAGAAAATAACTACTTTCAACACTGGTGCTGGCTGTGAGCAGTTTTAGAGGACTGGACTTGTCATTCTCACGGCTAGGCATTTCACTTGGCATCTGTTCGGTTTGTTTTTGTGTTCTCCTTCTCCGTAAACTCAACATTCAGTAGAGACAAGAACTCTGACAACACAAAAAAAGGCCCAAGTCTTTGGGGTGAAAACCTGAGCTTGGTATCTTTTCTCAGACATGCATCCTGTTCAGAAAAAGCTTGGTGATTATTTCTTCATCTTTCTGTAATACAGCAATATTTATTTGCCTCTAAAGACATTTGTTTCTGTCCTTCTGTGTACTGGTTTCTGTGTCATTGCTATTCTTTCACTCCTGAAATACTGTCAGATAGTTTACTAATACTGTTAGTTGTTTTAAAAATGCTATCACTAGGGAGTAACCAAGAGTAAATATTGAGATTCTTTGTAAAAGAAGAAACAAAATAGAAAATCTTCCCATATTAAAGTAATTTAACATGTCTACTTTATGCCAATAATAAGCAGAATATATTATTATGTTAATAAGAGAAATGCATGTGCTTAGCTATCGGGATATATTGATGAGTAAGCCACAGGACCTGAGTTTAGGATATGTAAACAGCCACAACAGAACATCACTTTAACCCTAATATGAAATATAGGGTTGAAGAGTTCAGGGTACAAGACAACCAAATGAAATGAATTCAAAAAGTGACAGAGCCCTCTGAGGAGAGGTAAGAGACACAGATTGTTTTACTCTCAGCAGACTATGAAAGAAGGAGGTGACAATCTTAAAAGCAAGAAGAACAAAAACATCTGAAAGATAAATGCATTTGTGAAGACTGCAGGTAGACTAGCACAGCAGTTTAGAATCCCAGGGAGCCCAGCACAAGTGGACTCCTCACCCACTCAGCAACTCTTTTCTGTGAGTCTCTGCTGGGTGCTTATGAGAAAGATTGAAGGCAGGGCAGGAAACCCAGGAGTGCCGTCTCACCCCTGATGGTGCAGGGCTCAGAGCCTGACGAGTTATGAGAGGAGCAGGATGACCCCGGGAAGCCCATTTGTGTTTGAGCCCTTGCATGCGTAGAAGTCTGTGATTGACGGCGTCTGGAAGGCAAGCACAACCTTATGTGTACCCCACATTTTACCCTGATGTAGACCAAAAGACATCTGCCCCTGAGTAAGGAGTAAGAATCTCAGAACTTGACCCTTATTTGAATATCTGTCCCAGGAGAGGGATAGAAAACCTGTTCCCACCTTACATTGATATTAGGTAAAACCCATATGCTACTAAAAAAGGATCAGAATGCCTGTTCATACCCAAATCTTGTAATGATATAAGGCAAAATTCTGCCGATCCTGAGGGGGAACCCACTTACACAGAAGACCACCCACCAATACAGGGCTGAGTTAGGCTGCTGTGAAGGTAGAGACAGGGAAATTGCTTCTGATGTAAGCATGGACTCAATAGAAAGGGGAGACTGTCTACCACTGGAGGAAGAGAAGTGATGCTCAGGAAGTCCTGCTGCCAAAACTCAGGCCCAGAGGGTCTGCCTAAGACTGAGACTGAAGAGGAACTACTGAGAAATTGTCCCACCTCAGACTATGCTAACAGCACCTCAATGAGTAACAAGCAACAATCATGCAAAGAAACACCATCTGTGCCACAGGCATGCAAAGCAAGATGAAAACTGAGGCACAGAAAGACAACAACAAGAAAAAAGACCCATGTCAAGACATAAAGGCAACAGTAAAACCAGGCCCAGAGATGGCCCTGGTATTGGAACTGTCAGCCAAACAATTTCAAATAACTATGTTTAAAACATTAAAACTTCTATTGGAAAGAGTGAATAACATGCACAAACAGCTGGAAATTTTCAGAAAATAGATGGGAACTGTCAAAAAAGACAAATGGAAATGCTAAAAATGAAAAATATGATACCTATGAAGAATAACTTTCAAGGGGTAATAGCCAACCAGACACAGCATAAGAAAGAATCACTAAACGTGAAGATAGATCAATAGAAATTATCCAAATTGAAATACAAAGACCAAAACAAAAGTGGAAGAAATAAAAAGAACAGAACATCCAAGAACAAAGAGATATCAGATGACCTAACATATACATAAATGGAATTCAAAAGAATAAAAGACAAAGAAGAGTCCAGAAGATGTGTTAGAAAAATAATAGAGCCGGGCACAGTGGCTCACGACTGTAATCCCAGCAGTTTGGGAGGCCGAGGCAGGTGGATCACAAGGTCAGGAGTTAGACCAGCCTGGCCAATATGGTGAAACCCCATCTCTACTAAAAATACAAAAATTAGCTGAGTGTGGTGCCCAGCTACTGGGGAGGCTGAGGCAGGAGAATCACTTGAACCTGGGAGGCAAAGGTTGCAGTAAGCCGAGATTGCGCCACTGCACTCCAGCCTGGGCGATGGAGCAAGACTCCATCTCAGAAAAAAAAAAAAAAAAAAAAAGAAAAGAAAAGAAAAAAACAATAGATTCAAGAAGTTCAAAAAATCCAAAGAAAAAAGGTAAATAAAAACACACTTCTGGCATTTCATGGTGAAAATGTTAAAAATCAAAGATAAAATTGGGAAAGCAGAGGGAAAAAGACATTTTACATAGTATGAAACAAAGAAAAGAATACAATAGAGATCTCATTGGAAACTATGCAGTCCAGAAGAGAGTGGAGAGACATCCTTAAATAAATGAAATATAATAAAAACTTGCCACTGTATAAATATACAACCAGCAAAAATATCTTTAAAAAATAAAAATACACTAAAGCTTTTTCAGACAAAAAAAAACAATGCTGAAATAATTTATTGCCAGAATGCCTGCAATATTAAAGGAAATATTAAAGAAAATTCTTAGAGCAGAAAGAAAATACCAAATGGAAATTTGGATCAACACAAGGAATGAAAAGCACTGAAAACATATATAAAAAGATGAGGGACAAAGGTGAAAACATTTTCAATATTTCTTTTCTTTTTTTAAAAAATTATACTTTAACTTCTGGGATACATATGCAGAACGTGCAGGTTTGTTGCACAGGTATACACATACCATGGTGGCTTGCTGCATTCATCCACCCGTCATCTACATTAGGTATTTCTCCTAATGCTATCCCTTCCCTAGCCCCTCACCCACTGAGAGGCCCTACTGTGTGATATTCCCCTCCCTGTGTCCATGTGTTCTCATTGTTCAACTCCCACCTATGAGTGAGAACATGCGGTGTTGGGTTTTCTGTTCCTGTGTTAGTTTGCTGAGAATGATGGTTTCCAGCTTTATCCATCCTTGCAAAGGACATGAACTCAACCTTTTTTATGGATGCATAATATTCCATGGTGTATATATGCCACATTTTCTTTATCCAGTCTATCAATAATGGGCTTTTGGGTTGGTTTCAAGTCTTTACCATTGTGCACAGTGCCGCAATAAACATACGTGTGCATGTGTCTTTATAGTAGAATGATTTATAGTCCTTTGGGTATATACCCAGTAATGGGATTGCTGGGTCAAATGGTATTTCTGGTTCTAGGTCCTTGAGGAATCGCCACACTCTCTTCCACAATGGTTGAACTAATTTAGACTCCCACCAACAGTGTAAAAACGTTCCTATTTCTCCACATCCTCTCCAGCATTTGTTGTTTCCTGACATTTTAATGATCGCCATTTACTAGCATGAGATGGTATCTCATTGCGGTGTTGACTTGCATTTCTCTAATGACCAGTGAGGATGAGCTTTTTTTCGTATGTTTATTGGCGGCATAAATGTCTTCTTTTGAGAAGTGTCTGTTCATATCCTTTGCCCACTTTTTGATGGGTTTCTTTTTTCCTTGTAAATTTGTTTAAGTTCCTTGTAGATTCTGGATATTAGCCCTTTGTCAGATGGATAGATGGCAAAAATTTTCTCCCATACTCTAAGTTGCCTGTTCACTCTGATGATAGGTTCTTTTGCTGTGCAGAAGCTCTTTGGTTTAATTAGATCCCATTTGTCAATTTTGGCTTTTGTTGCCATTGCTTTTGGTGTTTCAGTCATGAAGTCTTTGCCCATGCCTATGTCCTGAATGGTATTGCCTAGGTTTTCTTCTAGGGTTTTTATGGTTTTAGGTCTTTCATTTAAGTCTTTAATCCATCTTGAGTTAATTTTTGTATAAGGTGTAAGGAAGGGGCCCAGTTTCAGTTTTCTGCATATGGCTAGCCAGTTTTCCCAACACCATTTAATAAATAGGGAATCGATTCCCCATTGCTTGCTTTTGTCAGGCTTGTCAAAGATCAGATGGTTGTAGATGTGTGGCATTATTTCTTAGGTCTCTGTTCTGTTCCATTGGTCTATATATCTGTTTTGGTACCAGTACCATGCTGTTTTGTTTACTGTAGCCTTGTAGTGTAGTTTGAAGTCAAGTAGCATGATGCCTCCAGCTATGTTCTTTTTTCTTAGTATTGTCCTGGCTATATGGGCTCTTTTGTGGTTCCATTTAAAATTTAAAGTAGTTTTTTCTAATTCTGTGAAGAATGGGGATGCCATTGAATCTATAAATTGCTTTGGGCAGTGTGGCCATTTTCACGATATTGATTCTTTCTATCCAAGAGCATGGATTTTTTTTTCCATTTGTGTCTTCTCTTATTTCCTTGAGCAGAGGTTTGTTGTTCTCCTTGAAAAGGTCCTTCACATCCCTTGTAAGTTGTCTTCCTAGGTATTTTATTCTCTTTGTAGCAATTGTGAATGGGAGTTCACTCAAGATTTGGCTCTCTGTTTGTCTATTATTTGTGTATATGAATGCTTGTGATTTTTGCAGATTGATTTTGTATCCTGAGACTTTGCTGAAGTTCCTTATCAGCTTAAGGAGATTATGGGCTAAGATGATGGGGTTTTCTAAATATACAATCACGTCGTCTGCAACCAGAGACAATTTGACTTCCTCTCGTCCTGTTTGAATACCCTTCATTTCTTTTTCTTGCCTGATTACCCTGGCTGGAACTTCCAATACTATGTTGAATAGGAGTGGTGAGAGAGGGCATCCTTGTCTTGTGCCAGTTTTCAAAGGTAATGCTTCCATCTTTCCCCCATTCAGTATGATATTGGCTGTGGGTTTGTCATAAATAGCTCTTATTATTTTGAGATATGTTACATCAATACTGAGTTTTTCTGAGAGTTTTTAGCATGAAGGGGTATTGAATTTTATCAAAGGCCTTTTCTGCATCTATTGAGATAATCATGTGGTTTTTGCCATTGGTTCTGTTTATGTGATGGATTACATTTATTGATTTGCTTATGTTGAACCAGTCTTGCATCCCGGGGATGAGGCTGACTTGATCGTGGTGGATAAGCTTTTTGATGTGCTGCTGGATTCAGTTTGCCAGTATTTTATTGAGGATTCTCGCATCGATGTTCATCAGGGATATTGGCCTGAAATTTTCTTTTTTGTTCATCTCTGCCAGGTTTTGGTATCAGGATGATGCTGGCCTCATAAAATGAGGTAGGCAGGAGTCCCTCTTTTTCTATTTTTGGAACAGTTTCAGAAGGAATGGTACTAGCTCCTCTTTGTACCTCTGGTAGAATTCGGCTGTGAATCCATCTGGTCCTGGGCTTCTTTTGGTTGGTAGGCTATTAATTACTGCCTCAATTTCAGAACTTGTTATTGGTCTATTACAGGATTTGACTTCTGGTTTAGTCTTGGGAGGGTGTATTTGTCTAGGAATTTATCCATTTCTTCTAGATTTTCTAGTTTATTTGCATAGAGGTGTTTATAGCATTCTCTGATGGTAGTTTCTATTTCTGTGGGATCAGTGGTGACATCCCATTTTTCATTTTTTATTGTGTCTATTTGATTTTTCTCTCTTTTCTTCATTAGTCTGGCTAGTGGTCTATCTATTTTGTTAATCTTTTAAAAAAAGCCAGCCCCTGGATTCATTGATTTTTTGAAGGGTTTTTCGTGTCTCTATCTCCTTCAGTTCTGCTCTGATCTTAGTCATTTCTTGTCTTCTGCTAGCTTTTGAATTTGTTTGCTCTTGCTTCTCTAGTTCTTTTAATTGTGATGTTAGGGTGTCGACATTAGATCTTTCCTGCTTTCTCCTATGGACATTTAGTGCTATAAATATCCCTCTAAACATTGCTTTTGCTGTGTCCCAGAGATTCTGGTACTTTGTTCTCATCCCACAGAACTTATTTATTTCTGCCTTAATTTCATTATTTACCCAGTAGTCACTCACGAGCAGGTTGTTCAGTTTCCATGTAGTTGTGTGGTTTTGAGTGAGTTTCTTAATCCTGAGTTCTAATTTAATTGCACTGTGGTCAGAGAAACTGTTTGTTATCATTTCCCTTCTTCTGCATTTGCTGAGGAGTGTTTTGCTTCCAATTATGTGATCAATTTTAGAATAAGTGCGCTGTGGTGCTGAGAAGATCGTATATTCTGTTGATTTGGGGTGGAGAGTTCTGTAGATGTCTATTAGGTCTGCTTGGTCTAAAGCTGAGTTCAACTCCTGAATATCCTTGTTAATTTTCTGTCTTGTTGATCTGTCTAATATTGACAGTGCGGTGTTAAAGTCGCCCACTGCTATTGTGTAGGAGTCTAAGTCTCTTTGTAGGTCTCTAAAAACTTTCTTTATGATTCTGGGTGTTCCTATATTGGGTGCATATATATTTAGGATAGTTACCTCTTCTTGTTGAATTAATCCCTTTACCATTATGTAATGCCCTCCTTTGTCTTTTTTCATCTTTGTTGGTTTAAAGTCTGTTTTATCAGGGACTAAGATTGCAACTCCTGCTTTTTATTGCTTTCCATTTGCTTGGTAAATATTCCTCTATCTCTTTATTTTGAACCTATATGTGTCTTTGCACGTGAGATGGGTCTCCTGAACATAGCACACCGATGGGTCTTGACTTTATTCAATTTGCCGGTCTGTGTCATTGAATTGGGGCATTTAGCCTGTTTATATTAAAGGTTAATATTGTTATGTGTAAATTTGATCCTATCATTATGATGCTAGCTACTTATTTTGCCCATTCATTGGTGCAGTTTCTTCATAATGTTGATGGACTTTACAATTTGGTATGTTTTTGCAGTGGCTGGTATCAGTTTTTCCTTTCCATATTTAGTGCTTCCCTCAGGAGCTCTTGTAAGGCAGGCCTGGTGGTGACAAAATCTCTCAGCATTTGCTTTTCTGTAAAGGATTTTATTTCTCCTTCACTTAGTTTGGCTGGATATGAAATTCCGGATTGAAAATTATTTTCTTTAAGAATGTTGAATATTGGCCCCCACTCTCTTCTAGCTTGTAGGGTTTCTGCAGAGAGATCTGCTATTAGTCTGATGGGCTTCCCTTTGTGGGTAACCTGACCTTTCTCTCTTGCTGCCCTTAACATTTTTTCCTTCATTTCAACCTTCGTGAATCTGACGATTACGTGTCTTGGGGTTGCCCTTCTCGAGGAGTATCTTCGTGGTGTTCTCTGTATTTCCTGAATTTGAATGTTGGCCTGTCTTGCTAGGTTGGGGAAGTTCTCCTGGATAATATCCTAAAGAGTATTTTCCAACTTGGTTCCATTCTCCGCCTCACTTTCAGGTAGACCAATCAAATGTAGGTTTGGTCTTTTCACATAGTCCCATTTTTCTTGGAGGCTTTCTTCATTCCTTTTCATTCTTTTTTCTCAAATCTTGTCTTCACGGTTCATTTCATTAAGTTGATCTTCAATCTCTGATATCCTTTCTTCCACTTGATTGATTCAGCTATTGATACTTGTGTATGCTTCACAAAGTTCTTGTGCTATGTTTTTCAGCTCCATCAGGTCATTTATGTTCTTCTCTAAACTGGTTATTCTAGTTAGCAATTCCTCTAGCCTTTTTTCAAGGTTCTTAGCTCCCTTGCATTGGGTTAGAACATGCTCCTTTAGCTCAGAGGAGTTTGTTATTACCCATCTTCTGAAGCCTACTTCTGTCAATTCATAAAACTCGTTCCCCATCCAGTTTTGTTCCCCTGCTGGCAAGAAGTTGTGATCCTTTGGAGGAGAACAGGCATTTTGGTTTTGGAATTTTCAGCCTTTTTGTGCTAGTTTTTCCTCATCTTCATGGATTTATCTAACTTTGGTCTTTGCTGTTGGTGACCTTCAGATGGGGTTTTTCTTTTTTTTTTTTTTAATTATACTTTAAGTTTTAGGGTACATGTGCACATTGTGCAGGTTAGTTACATATGCATACATGTGCCATGCTGGTGTGCTGCACCCACTAACTCGTCATCTAGCATTAGGTATATCTCCCAATGCTATCCCTCCCCCCTCCCCCCACCCCACAACAGTCCCCAGAGTGTGACGTTCCCCTTCCTGTGTCCATGTGATCTCATTGTTCAATTCCCACCTATGAGTGAGAATATGTGGTGTTTGGTTTTTTGTTCTTGTGATAGTTTACTGAGAATGATGATTTCCAATTTCATCCATGTCCCTACAAAGGACATGAACTCATCATTTTTTATGGCTGCATAGTATTCCATGGTGTATATGTGCCACATTTTCTTAATCCAGTCTATCATTGTTGGACATTTGGGTTGGTTCCAAGTCTTTGCTATTGTGAATAATGCCGCAATAAACATACGTGTGCATGTGTCTTTATAGCAGCATGATTTATAGTCCTTTGGGTATATACCCAGTAATGGGATGGCTGGGTCAAATGGAATCCTAAGCCAAAAGAACAAAGCTGGAGGCATCACACTACCTGACTTCAAACTATACTACAAGGCTACAGTAACCAAAACAGCATGGTACTGGTACCAAAACAGATATATAGATCAATGGAACCGAACAGAGCCCTCGGAAATAACGCCGCATATCTACAACTATCTGATCTTTGACAAACCTGAGAAAAACGAGCAATGGGGAAAGGATTCCCTATTTAATAAATGGTGCTGGGAAAACTGGCTAGCCATACGTAGAAAGCTGAAACTGGATCCCTTCCTTACACCTTATACAAAAATCAATTCAAGATGGATTAAAGACTTAAACGTTAGACCTAAAACCATAAAAACCCTAGAAGAAAACCTAGGCATTACCATTCAGGACATAGGCATGGGCAAGGATTTCATGTCTAAAACACCAAAAGCAATGGCAGCAAAAGCCAAAATTGACAAATGGGATCTAATTAAACTAAGGAGCTTCTGCACAGCAAAAGAAACTACCATCAGAGGAACAGGCAACCTACAAAATGGGAGAAAATTTTCGCAACCTACTCATCTGACAGATGGGGTTTTTGTATGGACGTCCTTTCTGTTGATGTTGATGCTATTCCTGTTTGTTAGTTTTCCTTCTAACAGTCAGGCCCCTCTGCTGCAGGTCTGCTAGAGTTTGCTGGAGGACCACTCCAGACCCTGTTTGCCTAGGTATCACCAGCGGAGGCTGCAGAACAGCAACGATTGCTGCCTGTTACTTCCTCTGGAAGCTTCGTCCCAGAGGGGCACCCACCAGAGGCTAGCTGGAGTTCACCTGTATGAGACCCTTGCTCTGTTGTCCCCTGCTGGGAAGTGTCTCCCAGTCAGGAGGCATGGGGGTCAGGGACCCACTTGAGGAGGCAGTCTTTCCCTTAGCAGAATTTGAGTGCTGTGCTGGGAGATTCGCTGCTCTCTTCAGAGTCAGCCTGCAGGAATGTTTAAGTCTGCTGAAGCTGGGCCTATAGTGCCCCTTCCCCCAGGTGCTCTGTCCCAGGGAGTTTTATCTATAAGCCCCTGATTGGGGTTACTGCCTTTCTTTCAGAGATGCCCTGCCCAGAGAGGAGGAATCTAGAGAGGCAGTCTGGCTACAGCAGCTTTACCGAGCTGTGGCAGGCTCTGCCCAGTTCAAACTTCCCAGTGGCTTTGTTTAGACCGTGAGGGGAAAACTGCCTACTCAAGCCTCAGTAATGCCAGACATCCCCTCCCCACACCAAGCTTGAGCACCCCAAGTCTACTTCAGACTGCTGTGTTGCCAGTGAGAATTTCAAGCCAGTGGATCTTAGCTTGCTGGGCTCTGTCGGAATGGGATCTGCTGAGCTAGACCACTTAGCTCCCTGGCTTCGGCCCCCTTTCCAGGAAAGTGAACAGTTCTGTCTTTTTGGTGTTCCAGGTGCCACTGGGGTATGAAAAAAACTGCAGCTAGCTCAGTGTTTTGTGCTTGAAACCCAGGGCCCTGGTGGCATAGGCACCTGAGGGAATCTCCTGGCCTGTGGGTTGCGAAGACCATGGGAAAAGCGTAGTATCTGGGCCAGAATGCACCATCCCTCACTGCAGGGTCCCTCGCACTTCTCTTGGCTAGGGGAGGGAGTTCCCCAACCCTTTGAGCTTCCCAAGTGAGTTGATGCCCCACCCTGCTTTGGCTCACCCTCTGTAGGCCGCAGTCACTGTCTAACCAGTCCCAATGAGATGAGACAGGTACCTCAGTTGGAAATGCAGAAATTACCTGCCTTCTGTGTTGATCTCACTGGGAGCGGCAGACCAGAGCTGTTCCTATTCAGCCATCTTGCCAGCCACTTCAATATTTCTTTAAATGATAATTAACTCTCTCCCTGGCTAGAAAGGGCAACACCAGCCTAGTCATTGGAAAAAGGCAGACGAAGATAAACCAGACAAAAAGGGGGACTCTGTTACCTACTGTCAGTTGCCAATTAAGGGTAGCTCAACCATCAACCCATTTGTTCCCATTAATATCATAATTTATTTTTATTTTCTTTCTGAGACCAGGTCTTGCCCTGTCACCCAGGTTGGAGTACAGTGGCACCATTGAGGCTCACTGAGGCCTTGACCTCCTGGGCTCCAGCGATCCTCCCACCTCAGCCTCCCAAGTAGCTGGAATTATAGGCACAGGCCACCACACCCAGCTATTTTTTAGATTTTTTGTAGAGACTGAGTCTTGCTATGTTGCTTAGGCTGGTCTTGAACTTCTGGGCTCAAGCGATCCTCCCACCTCTGCCTCCACCTCCAAAAGTGCTGGAATTACAAGCGTGAGCCACCATGCCCAACCTCATGACTTATCTTTTTTATGAAAAGGGTAAATAACTGTTTATCTCTGCTTCCAGCCCAGAAGAATTTACAGAGACTGAATTATGCTCCCACTTAAAACAACTGAAAAAAATAATCTTAAGAAATTTGACATCAGTCATCAGAGAACAGTAATGTCTGAGACATGGAAACAAGTGAGGTGATTTCCCCAGCTTACTACCTTAAAAATTTCCAGGCTGCAGCTCAGGGTAAGGGGATGCCGTCAGAGCTATGCAAACTCCCAACTTAAAGAGGTGGAGTGCAGAGTCCAGAGAGACCAAGGCAGCTAAAGTTCATAGAACAGATTAACAGAAAGCAGAGAGCTACAGAGAGAGAGAGATCTACAGACATCTGTAGAGGGTCCCCCTTGAGTATTCGCAGAGTAGTGATTCATGCATGCATTTCAGAAAACTGCTTTTAGGCCAGGAAAGAACCCCCAAAAGGATTAGAGGAAACAGTGATCAGAGATCACACATGGCCGGGAATAATGCCTGATCTCACTGGCCAGCTGGGAAAACCCCACAACTCCTGGGACATTGAGTCCAGGACTTCAGAAAAGTCCTGCCTCAATATAGGGTATAATTTGCCCTACACTAAATCCTGCTCTGTTTGTACCTAACAAATCTTAAAAGCAAGATCTATAAAGATGAAAATTTCCAAATAACTGCTTCCCAGAACAAACTCAAGAATATTTATAGGAAAACAAAGATATTCAGTATCCACAAAGGTAAAATTCACAGCCAATGGAATGTGCAATCTGAATTCAATTTAAAAAATACCAGGCATGAAAGGAAATAGGAAAATGACCTACGTTGAAGATAAAAATCAATCAACACCAACTCAAAATTTATGTAAATGTTAGAATGATCAGATAAGAACATTAAAACAGCTATTATATTAATAACTGAATTCCGTATGTTCAAAAGCCCCAGGGTTCATTCAGCAGTTCATGGCTGTCATCAAGAGTTGAGGCTCTTTTCATCCTTCTGGTCTGCCATACTTATATATTGATTATCACCTTCAGGCTATTTTTTATGATGCTAAATTGACTGCTGCAGTTTTAATCCCAGTGAATTGCACAAATAACATCCACAGCAATAAGAAAGGCAGAAAAAAGCTTCTTCTAATGCGTCTTCCAACTTTGCCAGAAAGTAAATTCTTTCCCCAAATCCCTAAGTAAATCTCCTCTTACATATCATTGACCCAAACTGGGTCAGAAGCCTAAACCTAAGTCAGTCACTGGAAAGGAGAGTGGGATGGTGGGATGGCTGTGAATGACTTACATCAATCGCCATTCATGTCTTGAGGCTTTATTCTGGTGGCATGATCAAGTAGGGATTATATCAACAAGAAAAAAGAAAACCTTGTTCTCCAACAAGGGTAACTGTTGGAGAATTGCAGAGAGCAGCCAGTTTCTCCACGACACCCCAGCAATCATGGATGTACCCACAGAGGTCATGCAAGCAAAGCCTTGTACTGTAACTAATCTCAATATTGGAAGAATGCCCTATGTTCATTCCAAAACACAAGAAGATAGGAGGCTCCTGAGGAACCATCTTGAAGCCATCTCCCATTCATCTCCCTATTTTTCTTGGGAGGCTGTCAGTTTCCTACTGCCTCCAAGTTCTGGTGAGGTATGGGGCTTTATGTCCCACGGCTCTTAGGATATATTAATAGCTCCACACTATAAAATTGCTTAGCTGTCATCACGAATTGGCTCCTCTGCAACAGGGCATCCCACAACTCACACTGTACTCATCCGGCCTTTTTTGTTTTGGTGTCATCATTTTTGGTATGTGGAATGAAGACCCAGAGAGCTGGCATCTTTGCGTACTCTTTCTTTAGCTATCTATGAAACTGATAAACGGTCTGAAAGTAGAAGGGCCTTATTGTATCTTACCAGCCATATCAGTCAGACTTTGGCCTCAGCCTTGCCTGCTGGGTGCCTGACAGGAAATACCAATAGTATCTGCCATACCCAATAAACATCCAGCATAATTCGAGGGCATATACACAGAAAATCAGCAAGCAGGATCCAAATTTCAGAGCCCCCATGGAAAATACTTATGGGGTGTAAACCAGGAGTTGTCAAACTACAGCTCATGGAACAAATCCTCAGTCTGATTTTGTATGATCTATGAGATGAAATGGCCTTTATGTTTATAAAGAGCTATAAAACATACACGGGGCCAGGGGGTGGATGGAAGAGACTGAATGTGGCCCGCAAAGCCTCACATATTTACTATCTGACACTTTATAGAAAATGTTTGCTGAACCCTGGTCTAAGCCGTCAGTCTCAGGACTTTAACTAGGTACTTCCTCCTTTTATAACTTAAAGCTTTTAGCCTAAATTATCCTGGATTTATGAGTGAAAGAGTTGGGCCCCCAAAAGCTTACATGGTATGCCCAGTTAGTGAGTAGCAGAGCAGATTCAAATTTCTGACCAGCTCCAAAGTCCAACCCTCCTTTAAATCTTCTACAACAAGTCAATATTTGTTCTATAGCTAGCTTAAATTATTTTCCACAAAATAATTATTTGGGCATTCATAAATCTTCCAGTAAAGAAAAATTTTGCAAATTTAGAATTTAGCCACTTAGTGATTCTACTAAGGAAAGCATTTGAATCTTTGAAAAGAAAAGAGAAGAAAACAAAAGAAAAGAAAGCTATAAAATCAGCCAAATCAAAGTTTAGATATTAGGTGTTTGTATCTTTCATGCTCTTGTCTCCCTATTTTTGGCCAGTTCTAACTATTTCCTACTTTCAAAGAAAGTGGTTACAAAATGAAGATAAAATTCACTTAATCTTGCTAGCTATGAGGAGTTTTGAAAAATAGTAAAAAAAAAAAAAAAATGGACAGAGGAGAAAGTGTAACTGTCAGCTTAAATATATGTAATTCACTCATCAAACAATATTAAACACTTATGTGCCAAGCCTTGTGATAGGTGAATATTTTAGATAATATCAGAATTCTGTGTCCATTTTTGCCTAGTCTACTTCTGTCATAAATGAGATTCTGTTCTATTTAGTTTGGAATATTTTGCTTCAAATCCAACCTCGTACGGTTCTATGAGATGCCTACTACAGTGGTCACAAAGTGAAATGCCTCCAGTGACCACGCAGGGAACTTAAGAACTAGAGTTGATATCCAGGGGATGGAAACAGTAAGGAGGGATGTGGGCCATGGTGCAATGGAAAGAGTATTTCCTTAGCATGAGATGAGGCAGGGCTGTGTGGCAAGAGTCATAGATTTTTTTGAGGAAGCAGAAATCTGGATTTTCATGTAAAATATCTCCATTGTTTAAAGTGAGCTCAACTTTAAAAAATATTATGTTGGTCAAACAAAACCCATCCCTGAGGGGTAGCTTCAAAGATGGGTTTTGTTTGATCCACAGCATCATGTAACTTCTGCATGATAGGTAAACTAGTTTTACAAGACCAGTCTCAAAAGAAACATGCTTTATGCAAAATCCTTTCTTTTTTAAAATTTTTTTTTTTGCTTTGAGATAATTTTCACAAAGGAAAGCGTTCACATACAGTTGTAAGAAATAATACAGAGAGAACCCATATATCCTTTACCTTGTTTCTCCCAATGATAATATCTGGAAAAAGCTATAGTACAATATCACAATCAGGATTTTTTTCTTTTAGGGTTTATTATTCCACTGCTTTTTAAATACAGGAAAAAACTAACAGATAAGTAGATAGGTAGTTCTCCTGATATTCCTAGAGGAATGGCAGCATACTATATGTACATTTGCTATTACCCCTTAGAAGTGTGTGTCTATGTGTGTGTATCTGTATGTGTATATATCTATATTCTTCGTATTTTCATGCTTACTTATAGCTGCATAGTATTTCTCTTTATCAATTATCTAGTTTATTCAACCACTCTTTTATTGATGACATTGTATGTTTCCAGTCTTTTGTAATTACTAATATTGCTGCAAATAACAGTTTTGACATTTGACTTTTAAAATTTTTGCCACTGTACCTTCAGGATAAATTCCTAGAAGTAGGTAAATGCCTATGTAATACTATTTTACACCCTCTCAGCAATGTGTAGGAGGGCTGTTTCCCCACAGCCTTGCCAACAAAGTACACTGTTAAATTCTGATTTTTTTCCAAATGTAAATGGTGAGAAACGATATCTCAGTTTAGTTTTAATTTGCATCTCTTATTTTGATCAAAATTGAGCCTCTTTTTCACATGGATAGGAGCCATTTGCTTGTGTTTCTCTGTGAATGCTGTGCTCACATCTCTAGTCCATCTCTCCTGAATTGTTGGCCTATTTCTTCCCTACTTAAGCACCCCTTTATATGTTAGAAAAATCAACTCTTTATCTGTATTTTAAGGTGCAAGAATTTCGCCCTCAGCTTGTCACCCGTATTTATCTACTTTATGGTGATTTTTTGGCCATACAACATTTTTAACATAATCAAACGTATCGATCTTATTCCTTATTGCATCTAAATTTTGAGTGTTTTAGAAAGTTTCCTCTATTCCCATGGTACAGAGCTATTAGCCCATTTTTTCTTCTAGTATATGTAGAGTTTTCATTTTTTACAATCAATCTCTGAATTGAACCTGGTATATGAAAAAGGAATGGATCCCATTTTTATTGTTTTCCATATGTCTATCCAAGTATTCCAACACCGGTTATCTGTTCTCAATTATTTGAGTTGCCATATTTGCTGTTACTAAATTTATATATGAATTGGACCTATCATGTCAAATTTCTATTCTTTTCCACTGGCCTGTTTGCTAATACAATCCTTCATTGAATATTAAAGCTTTGTAACATGCAGGACTGATCTGGTAGAGCTGCCCACCCCCACCCCCATCCCTACCCATTTCTCTTCTTTTTAAAGATTTCCCTGGCTACTCTTGATTAGTCATACTTTCAAGTGATTCTTATAAACAATTTGTCTATTTCCAGAGGAGAACCCGCAAAAACATAATTGTATATTTGGGGATTTCTGTGAAATCTATACATTAAATTAGGGAGAACTGACAGCTTTATGAAATTGAGTCTTCCAAACAAGAACAAGTGCATCCTTTCTTTTGTTCAAGGCTATTTATATCATCTTTCATGAAAGTATTTTAGCATTCCACATATAGGTTTTGGACATTGTTCATTAAGTTTGTACATAGATATTTTCTTTTTACTATCATAAATGGAGTCTTCCTTTCCATTTATTTTCTAACTTTTGTTTGCCTATATATTGGCTATTGATTTTTTTAGGGTTTTTAAAATTTTTTAAATTGATGAATAATAATTGTACATACTAATGGGGTACACAGTGATGTTTCTATACATATAAGGTACAGTGATCAGATCAGTTAGCCTACCCATCATCTCAAACGTTTATCATTTCTCTGTGTTGGGAACATTCAGTATCCTCCTTCTAGCTATTTGAAACTATATAACATTATCGTTAACTATTGTCATCCTATGGTAGAACACTAGAACTTATTCCTCCTATCTAGCTGAAATTTTGTTTCCTTTATCAAATCTCTTTCTATCCTTCCTTTTCTCTTACACTCCACAGCCTCTAGTATCTTCTGTTCTACTTTTTATTTCTGTGAGATCAACTCATTTTAGCCTCCACATGAGTGAGAGCATTCAGTGTCTAACTTTCTGCTCCTGGCTTATTTCACTTAACATAATGCCTTCCCATTTCATCCATGTTGCTGCAAATGACAGGACTTCATTTTTTCTTGTGGCTCGATAATATTCCATTTTGTATATATACCATGTTTTCTTCATCCATTCATCTGTTGTTGGAAATCTAGTTTGATTCCAGATCTTGGCTATTGTGAATAGCATTGCATAATGTGGTTGGAACTGTAGGCCCTTTTCCTAAGTGAAATGACTCAGAAACAGAAAGTTAATAACCACATGTTCTCACTTGTAACTGGGAACCAAGTAACAGGTGCACATGAACATACAGCATGGAATAATAGAACTAGAGACTCCAAAAGGTGGGAGGATGGTGAAGGATGAAATGCTATCCGTTGGGTACAATGTACACTACTCAGGTGATGGGTGCACCAAACTCCCAGACCTTACTACTGTGCAATGTATTCATTTAAGATGACTGCACTTATACTCCTAAATCTATTTTAAAATTTTTTTACGTACTGCAATAAACATGGAGGGGCAGATGTCTCTGCAATATACTGACTTTCTTTCCTATGGATAAATGCCCAGTAGTGAGATTGCTGGATTACATGGTAGTGCTATTTGTAGTTTTCTGAGGAAACTCCATACTCTTCTCCATAGTGGGTGTACCGGTTTACATTCCCACAAACAGTATATAACAGTTCTCTATTTGCTACATCCTCACCAGCATTTTTTATTTTGTCTTTTTAATAATAGCCATCCTAACTGGCGTAAGGTGATACCTCATTGTGGTTTTGATTTGCATTTCCCTGATGCTAAGTGATGCTAAGCATTTGTTTATATATTTGCTGGCCATTTGTATGTCCTCTTGTGAGAAATGTCTGTTCATATATTTGTCCATTTTTTGATTGTCTGTTTTTTTTGGCCATTGACATGTTTGACTTCTTTGTATATTCTGGATATTAATCCCAACTCAAATGAATAGTTTGCAAATACTTTCTCCATTCTATAAATTGTCTTTTCACTCTGTTGATTGTTTCCTCTGATATGCAGATTTTTTAGTTGGATACTGAAACAGGAAAGGTTCCCTTGTCCCCCTTGCAGGGCCTGCGACACGGGGAGTAGCTTGCTTCTTCAGGGCTCTGCTGCTCAAACCTCTAGGGCAGCATATAGATGGGGAGGTGTGGGGCTCCAACCCCACAGCAGCATGTAGGGGTGGATATTTGCAGCTCCTGAAGCCCCAGTGGGCCTGTGCTACCGTGTGCTCTTTTAATTTTGCCGTCTATACGTGGCTTATGTTAACCAGCTCAATTAGACCCTCTACCTTCTCATAAGGACAGAGGGCTTTCTGTATCCCAGGCTCTTGCTTTGATGTACCAGAAGAATCAGATCACACCTTGGCCTGGAGAATGAGTGCAAGATTTTACTGAGTGGAGGTAGCTCTCAGTAGATGGGGGAAGCCAGAAGGGGATGGAGTGGGAAGGGTTTTCCCTGGAGTTAGGCCGCTCAGCAGCCGGGGCTCTCTTTGGATTGCCCTGGCCAAACTCCACCGGGTTCTCTTCTCCTTGATGGCCTGCCAGTGTGCCGGTGTCTGTCTTGTGCTCTTCCACCAGCGTGTTCCCCTTGACATCCTCTTAATGTCCAACCACTTGTGTCTTCTTCTGCCAATGACGTCCAGCTGCTTGTGTGTCTGCCTGCTAGGGTCTCGGGGATTTTATAGGCTCGGGATGGGGGCGTGGCAGGCCAGGGTGGTCTTGGGAAATGCAACATTTGGGCAGGAAAACAAAAATGCCTGTCCTCTCCTAAGTGCATGGGCACAGGCCCAGTGGTGGAGCCCTAGCCAGGGACCACACACTCCTTTACCCAGCACTTCCCTTCCCCCTTCTGTATCAATATCATCTCATTTGTTTATTTTGCATTTGTTGCCTGTGGTTTTGAAGTCTTACTCATAAAGTATTTTCCCGGACCAATGTCTTGGAGCGCTTCCCCTATGTTTCTTCTAGTAGTTTTATTGTCTTTGGGTCTTTCATGTAGGTGTTTGATCCATTTGGAGTTGATTTTTATATAGGGTGAGAGGTAGAGGTCTAGTTTCATTCTTGTGCATATGGACATACAGTTTTCCCAGCACCATTTATTGAAGAGACTGTCCTGTCTGCAGTGAGTGTTCTTGGCACCTTCGTCAAAAATCAGTTGGCTGTAGATAAGTGGATTAATTTCTGGGTTCTTTATTCTGTTTTATTGGTCTGTGTGTCTGTTTTATGCCAGTAGCTATTGACTGCTGAATGTTAATTTTGTAACCTCCTCCCTAAGGAAATTCTGTTATTGTTTGTAATTGTTCTTCCATTGGTTATGCTATGTGTTTCATATATGAGACAGAAAAGATTTAAACTCTTCATTTTTAATAATTGTTTTTCTAGCAGCTTTCTCTATTAATTTCATTGGGAAATACTTTCAATACAATGCTACAGAGTAGTGGAAATATGGGCATCCTTGTGTTGTTCCCAATTTTAACAGATAAGCTTCTCATTTGTCTCCATTTGTTGCCTTTGGAGTTGAGGCTCATTTTAAAAAACACAAAGCAATTTCTATTTGATTACTTTTAAGATATGTGGTATACCACCTGTATGGCAATCATACAATTTTTCCTCCTTAATTCAATCAAAATAGTAAATTAAGTTACTAGATCACAGCGTACTATGTACAGAGAGCCCTGTGAGAACCACCACTCCAAGACTTCCCAATCTTTTTAATTGCCTAATATGAGTCTGATATTAGTAAATATTAAGACCAATTTGACTGATTTAGAATAAATTAGAACATTTACTTATTTCTAATCATTAAGTACCTCTGTGACTCCCCACTTTTCCTCAAGATAACCAAGTTCAGTTCAGAATTCTTTCCATTCTCCAAGCATCTGGAATACCCAAGCCAGGAGACAAACTCATTTAGAGGAGCTAAATCAGGTGTTCTTAAATGCTTTCATGTTGTAGACCTCTTCAGCAGTCTGATGAAGCCTAATGGGAACCTTCTCAGAATAATACTTTTAAATGTATTAAAAAAACAAGATTATTAAGAAAACTAATATTGAAATACAGTTTTCAGAATATAATAATATATGTGCTTTCTTTATTAAGAAATCAAATAACAAGATCTAGCTGCAGTTCTAATAACTACCATAATTTTGAAGCAGTGATGTGCATAAATATTTTGAGGCTACTGCAATTATTGTGATATGGTATGAAAATGTCTGTGATTCAATAGCGAAGACTTGGAACCAACCCAAATGTCCAACAATGATAGACTGGATTAAGAAAATGTGGCACATATACACCAGGGAATACTATGCAGCCATAAAAAATGATGAGTTCATGTCCTTTGTAGGGACATGGATGAAATTGGAAATCATCATTCTCAGTAAACTATCGCAAGAACAAAAAACCAAACACCGCATATTCTCACTCATAGGTGGGAATTGAACAATGAGATCACATGGACACAGGAAGGGGAATATCACACTCTGGGGACTGTTGTGGGGTGGGGGGAGGGGGGAGGGATAGCATCGGGAGATATACCTAATGCTAGATGACGAGTTAGTGGGTGCAGCGCACCAGCATGGCACATGTATACATATGTAACTAACCTACACAATGTGCACATGTACCCTAAAACTTAAAGTATAATTAAAAAAAAAAAAAAGAAAATGTCTGTGATTTTATTTATGATAAAGTTCAATGATGATACTACTGTGGTTTGTTACCTACATTTAAAATGGAAGGAAACATCAAATTTCAGCTAGAAGTCAGTGAAAATAGACATGTAATTTTGCTTCATTCAAGTTTATGTACTTACGGAGTTTATCCATGGTTTGCTTGAGGTCCTATAGATCCCAACTTAAGAACCTCTAGAGTTGAACTTTTTTCATCCTTCCACCTACATTAGAATTCTGATCTCCCTTATTGGAGAAAAGACAAGCAAAATAGAGTCTGATTTTTCTGTTTCCAATTAGCATTCATCATTCACTCCAGGATGGTGGTCCATATAAGCAAAGCACTTAATTTTTTTAGTTTTACTTTTGTTTCCTCAGTCTCAAACCATGCTAGACAGTATTTTTCTGATACGTGTTTATCGTTCTGTATCATGCAATTATTTATCCCTGGTTATACCTTTCCTTTATACTTTTTATTCATGGTCAATTATAATCTGTGCTAGAGTTCCTCATGCAGTCATACAGTTCTTTTTACAACATCATCCATATGTTCTTCATTGGAATGATACACAAGTTATTCTATCAGAATTTCATTTTGTATAAAATATCAATAATAATGGAAGAGCTTACCAATTTGAATCTTGGGAAATAGTTATATACCCTTCCTAAAATCTGGAATATGTATCTCCCAATGCCCAGGGTTCTCCCTGACTATGAGAGGGCCACTTTTATTCAAGTGGTCCTCTTATATCACTTTCACATTTCTAAATAATGATTCTCTAATGTGTTGAATTGGATCAATTATTTTGCTTTCTATCAGAAATTATCAACCAAACAAATCCAACATTTATTCAGTACAATATCTGGAGTACACACCAGGTAATTCAAGTTCCTCCCTAGTGGATACACAGATAACCAAATCCTCTTATCACTCCTATATCTCACGAAGGGCTAATTGGTGATTGCTGCCGGGCATGCAGCATATGCCCATGTCTTCCACTAGGTCGGAAATTCTACCTTACACTCCCAGCTTGACATCATCCCAGCTTGTCTCTTGTTACCTTCAGGCAAAATCTTTCCTGCCATCAATTTTGGATTTATATGTTTTTATAAATGCTTGCTTTCCTGATACTCAGATTAGCTCTGCTTCCTTTAGAAAAAGTTTATTTTCCTTAGATTAAGAGACACCCTTCCCATTATAATCATAAGTGGATTTATAATTTTCAAACCTCCTGGAAAGGGCCCAGAAAAATCTAATGCAACAAAATAAGCTGACTCAATCTAGTGGTCTTCCCAATATGCCATATTGTCTTATCTAAAAGGTGAATGTGGATTTAGTTTACATGGTCTCAAACTATCCAGTGACCTTTTTAGTACTTGTTTTGTTTTGTTTTGTTTTGTTTTGTTTTGTTTTGTTTTTGAGATGGAGACTTGCTCTGCTCCCCCGGCTGGAGTGCAGTGGCTTGATCTCAGCTCACCGCAACCTCTGCCTCTCAGGTTCAAGCAATTCTCCTTCCTCAGCTTCCTGAGTAGCTGGGACTATGGACATGTGCCACCATACCCAGCTATTTTTTTGTATTTTTTTAAAGACAGGGTTCCACCATGTTGGCCAGGCTGGTCTCAAAATCCTGAACTCAGGTGGTCCGCCTGCCTCACCCTCCCAAACTGCTGAGATTACAGGCATGAGCCACTGCGTCCAGCCCCTTTTTTGTAGTTTAAAATGTTTAGTGGCTTTCTCACACTCTGAGATACTTTTAAAGTGTCTGTCTCAAATAAAATTATCTTTATTTTTGTTATATATCTTGTATGAGCAAATATTTCCTGAATTTCCAATTCTCTGTGGCTAACCAAGATCACTGGGTGATCTATTTCCAAGGTCCAGAGGAATATTATACTGTATTTTATTCAGTCTCAGAGAACTACAATTTGCCCACATTACAGTGAGATAATGCAGCATAAACTCTCTACTGGGAGGCATGGGTTATGTTTAGAGACAAGTGGTTGTAAATTGAAAGAATGAATTATCCAAATATTTGTTTTCTGTTTTTAAATAATCACATCCATGTTATCTCAAAACATGAATGTAACTGACTGTTAGGTATTCATTTCCTGTGGCTGCTGGAACAAATTAGTATAAACTGGATAGCTGAAAACAACAGAAATTGTCCGGGCACAGTGGCTCATGCCTGTAATCCCAGGACTTTGGGAGACCGAGGTGGGCAGATCACGAGGTCAGGAGCTCATAACCAGCCTGACCAATATGGTGAAACCCCGTGTCTACTAATAATACAAAAATTAGCCAGGTATGGTGGTACACGCCTGTAATCCCAGCTACTCAGGAGGCTGAGGCAGGAGAATCACTTGATCCCGAGAGGCGGAGGTTGCAGTGAGCCGAGATCATGCCACTGCACTCCAGCCTGGGCAACAGAACGAGACTCTGTCTCAAGAGAAAAAAAAAAAAAAAAAAAAAAAAGGAAAGAACAGAAATTTATTATCTCACAGTTCTGGAGGCCAGAAGCCCCAAATCCCCAAATGAAGGTGTCAGCAAGGCTATGCTCCCTCTGGAGGCTCAAGGGAGAGAATTCATTCCTTTCTTCTTCTAGCTTCTTGGTGGCTCCAGGTGTCATCTGACTTGTGACTGTAACACTCCAGTCTCTGCCTCTGAGATCACATCCCCTCCTCTTCTCTCTGTAATCTCCCTCTGCCTAGCTGGCATAAGGACCCTTGTGATTAGATTTAGGGCTCACTCAGCTAATGCAGGATAAATGCCTCCTCTCAAAATCCTTAATCCTTTCTTTTCCCGTATAAGGCAATTTACCATATAAGGTAAATTTACCATATAAGGTAAAATTTACCATATAAGGTAATAGTCACAGCTTCTGGGGATTTGGGCAGGGACATATCTTTTTGGATGCCTCTACTTAGCCTGCTACATTTTTATTTATATAATCCATGAAATATGAACAGGGTAGATTTTTTTCATAGGAGAGCAACTAACATAATTTCTAAGACATTGGGTAATGATCTTCATAGAAAATTAGCATCTAAAATGTCTTAATGTCTATATTCAGGATGATTTTTATAAGTCAATCATTAATGAAAATATACATTCATATTTTAAAACTAAACAACAGAGGTGTGATTACTTCTGCACATGTCTGCTTAATCATTTTTCCTGTAGATATTATTCACTAATAAGTCATCAGTAGGTCTAATAAGAAAAGATTTTAATACTGTTCCAAATTCCACTGATGACTTTTTTTTAACTTATAAAAGTTATACTATTCTAAGATAAAACAAAGCACATTATATTTAGGCTACTTTCACACACTTTGAATCCACTTTTATTGGCAAATATTCTGATCTAGTTTAAAGAAATGATATATGAAAATAGTTATTTCTTCCAGGGAAAGCTCGAAACATAACTTAAAAAGTCTTAAATGCTATATTTTCTATCCAATGTGGTTATGGCTGTCATTATATTAGTAATTTACTGCTGTCTGTAAACCAGAATTAAAAGCATTAATAGCAAAGAGTGATAACCTAAGATACTGAATCTAGCAGCCATACCACAAGATCAGAATGTTTGAATCAGCCACATTCACCTGGCTCTACACTAATTTTAGAACGTCATTTCATCTCTACCTGTCATTTGATTACTAATCACACACTTTTGGTTTAAAGTACACGAAGACTCTTTTTTCCTAAAACCACTGTGTCTTTCTCCTTTAACACAAATTCCTTTCTGACAAGAAAGTAACCAAAACAAGAGTTGAGGTAGATAGAATATTTTTCAAGTTTACAATGCTCAAACATCATAGAATTTCTATTTCCTCTATTTGTGCCTCTCAGATAACTTGAGTATGATTACATTATTCATTTGAAATACAGTTCAATTTACTTCTGTTTGTACCCCAATTTTTCTCCTATGTGTGTTGTTTTTATTTATTTATATTGATAACACAAAACATTAGCATAGCTCCAAAACTTAGAACTATACAAAAGCATATATTTTAATAAGTGTTAAATTAATCCTCTTGCACCCTCTTTATTTCTATCCTTTTCACCCCATTCCCACCCACTCACTTTAGGTAATCAACGTCCTTAGTTTCTCATTTATCTTCCCTTTCTTTTTGGTAAATCTTCAGATGCACATATTTTCTCATTTCCCCTTTTTTCTCATACAAAAGGCAATGGACTATATAGTCTTTTCCACTTTGCCTTTTTCACTTAATCTGAAAATCACTCCACAAAACTTCATAGAGACCTTCCTCATTCATTTATTTTACAACTGCATAATTCTTCATTGTGTGTGTTTAACATAGTTTAATCTATTTCTAGTGTGTCAGCATTTAGGTCAAGTCCAACATTGCACAATTATGAATAATATTTAATGAAAAACTTAATATATGTGTTTTCATGTTGTTAAAAGGGTACCTTCAGCGTGAATTCCTAAGAGCAGAATTGCCAGATCAAAAGGTAAAGATGTATGTAGTTTATGTTCTTTTTTTAGATATTGCCGAACTCCCCTCCATAAGGATTATACCAATTTGCATTTCCACCTCCAATATGTGAGAGTGCTTGTTTCCTTATGACCTTAAAAACAGAACGTATTGTTACATGTTTTAATTTTTGCCAATCTGATAGACAAGAAATGATACCTCAATGTATTATTATTTTTCATTTTTCTTTTTAAAGTGAGGCTTTCATATGTTGAAGGTCCATTTTATATCTCTTTCAGTATATTGTTCATGTCTTTTGTACATTTTTCTATTGGATTTTAGTCTTTTCCTTTCATTTTTAATGATTTCTTATATATTAAGGATATTAACACTTTACTGCCAATATTTTCTCCCTGCTCATCAGTTGTGCTTTGACTTGTAAACATTTTTAAATAATAAAATTTATTAATAGTTTTTAAAAAACTACATCAGCATTTTGAATCCCAGTTGGTCTTTTCCTTCACACAGGTAAAACAAGAACGATTCATGTTTTCTTCTGGTACTTACATGATTTTATTTTTTTATATTTAGATTTGCTATCCACCTGAAATTTATTCTTTTGAATGATGTGAGTTATAAATCTAATTTTAATTTTTTCCCAATGGCTAACCTGTTGTCCTAAAACCATTTATCTAAAAGTTAATTTTTGCTCTGCTGATTTGAGATGCCACCTTTACAATATGTTATAGTTCCAGATGTTCTTGAATCTATTTCTAAACTTTTCATTTTATTCCATTGATCTGTCTGTCTCTTCATGTTTTAATTATAGTGACTTTGTGGTGTTTTAGTATATAGTAGGACTACTTTTATTGCATAGCTATTCTTTTTAGTGTTTTCCTGGCTATTTATTTTTTCATATAAACTAATATCAACTTATTAACTATTTTTAAAGCTTATTGATATTTCATAAGGATAGTGTTAAATTAATAAACTAACTTAGGGAGAACTGACATCTTCATGATGAGTCATCCTTTCCAAGTGCAGGGTAAAGAGGCTCTCAATTTACTCACATATTTTTATGTCTTTCAGGAATCTTTTGAAGATTGCCTTACCCATTTTTGCAAACTTAGTGCCGAATTCATTTTAAGTATCTAATTTTCTCTGTTGCTATTTAAATGGTTTCTCTAGCATTATGTCATCAAACTGGTTATTGTTTCTGTATCTGAAAACTAGTAATTCTGTTATGTTAATTTTATATTCAGTGACTTTACTGAATTATTTTTCTTATTTAAGGACGTTTTACCATTGTTTCTCTAAGTTTTTCCAGGTACATGATCATATCACTTGCAAATAGAGATAATTTTACTTCTTCGATTCCAATTCTTTCCCTCTAATTGCCTTTGCTATTACTTCCAGGACAAGGTTAAATTAAATAGATGGTAGGCATACTTTCCTGTTCCTGCTCTTAGTTGAAGTGTTTTCTCATTAAGTTTTCCCATTAAGAAAGATATGGGCTTTAAGAATAAGTTATATATATAAGAATACTTTATTTATATATATATATATATATATATATATATATATAGTTGGATTTCATCCAAGAATTTTGAGCATCCAAAGAAATTTGAGCAACATATGAGATATTCATATGTTTTTTTCTCCTTTGCTCTGTTAACATAGTGTATTATTTGACTGCATTTCCTAATAGTGAACCAAGCTTACATTCCTGAAATAAATGTCACTTAATCATGTTTCATCAGTTTTTTGTTACAATATTGGGTTCTGTTTGCTCATGCTTTATTAAGTATTTTTACATCAATATTCATACACGATATTGGTAATAATTTTCTAATTACATTGTCATTTGCATACTTCGTTCTCAAAAATAATTTTAATACTCTGGAATAAGCTATAGAGCCCTCAAACTATCTGGTCTTTGAATATTTGGTAGAATTCCCCTGTGAAACTATCTGAGCCTGGTGCTTTCTTGTGAAATAGCCACCTTATAACTTTATTTCTTTGATGTAAATTGGTCTCTTTAAATAGAGTGAATTTGTCTCTTTAAATAGAGTAAATTTCTTTAGGAAATTGTTCAATTCATATAGGTTTCAGCATTTCAATTCAACATTTATTTGCATACATGTTGGCAAATGAGTCTCTAATTAGTTTTTTATAATTCTTCTGTTTCAATGATATTTCCCCTTGCCAATTCTTATTTTGAATATTTGTCCTTTCTCCCTTTTATTCTTCATTAGGTTAGTTAGCAGTTTTTATATTTTGCTATTTTTTTCAAAACGCAGCCAGGCTTTAAGTTATTAATTATATCTACTTTTATTTATTTTTCTCATTTTTTTCTTTGCTTTACATCTTGACATTTTCTAGGTTTTTCAGTTGGGAATTTAATTTGTTAATTTTCGTTGTTTCAGTTTTTTAAATAAAAGTGTTTAGGGCTCTGAATTTGCCTCTAGTCACTACTTTAACATATATATTCTTCTATCCTCATCTCCACTTGATTTAGTGTTGCATATGCATTTAAGTATATTAAATCCTCATCATCAGTCCTTTAATGAACATCATCTACTCATGCCTTAATGGGATTCTAGTTGATTCTCAAGAAAGGTTCCTGGATACAAATTCCTGCACTCTTGCATATCTAAAACACACAAACACACACACACACACACACACACACACACACACACACACCAGTGCTGCTCTACTGTTGATGCACTATTTATCTTCTTTTAACAACAAACATTATGTTTTTGAATATCCAAAGCCAGCCTAGTTCTTTTTTCTTTGTAAGATATTTCATCTTTTCACCTTGTAGCTCTGAGGATTGTTTGTAATCTTTATCAATTCCAATAGTTTTACTCAGATAGGTCTCAGAGTTAGTAATTATGGGTGAATATTCCCTGAGCTCTTTCAATATGTAGATTCTGATCTTTCATTTACAGAAATAAGGTTTTTTAATTATCGTTTTAAATATGAATTTGTTCCATTGTTTTATATATCTCTTTCCAGAGATCTAATTGGATTATTTTTGCTACATTTTATTTCAAATACTTTCTTAGTCTTTTGAGATTTTTTTATTTTAAAATTTTATTCATTTTTTAGATTTCTTTTTGTTTTTTGTTATCTTGGTTGTTTTCCTCATTTTCTTCAATGTTCTCCTTAAATTTTCATTTGAATCTTTTATTCCTTAGAGACTTTCTAAATCAGTCTTCATTTTTTTGTGTAACTTAGACTTCTACGTTTTCCTAAAATCAACTTTTATTTTAGTTCTACTTATTTTGCATTCATTTCTGTTGTTGATGTTTTCATTTCTGTTTCAAAGTGGTTTGTATTATATTTCATATCCAAAAATGCTTATTTGAGGATATTTCATTTAGTTGCATTTAGTGGATAAAATTTTTGTCATCTGGATTAATTTGATTCTCATTTTCTTCTGTATTTTTATGGTGGTGATAGACCATTGAAGACTGCTTGTGCCTCTGCATTTCTGTGTACAGGGCTGGTGGTTTAGGTTTGAATAGGTTTCAGAGATTTCTAGTTGAAGAATTCTCTCTTATGTCAGGGCAGTAAAATATGGTTGAGAGGGTTTTTGTTGTTGTTGTTGTTGCTGTTGTTTTAAACAGGGCTGTAGGGTAAGGTGACTTGTCCTTTGCCTTTTTTCTTTTGGCTTCTAAGATTGCAAATGTGCTCTCTTTTTATTTCGATTCAGCATGTAGCTTTGAAAGAATGCCTGTCTTTTTTAAATTGTTCTCCTCAAATGTTACCTTTCCAAGACTTCCTCTTGACACGCTGTGTACAATTTTACCTTCCTCCTGGTTGTCAGTTTCCTGATCCAGCAGATCACTTTTTTTTCTCTTTTTATGGTGATGCTTTTAGATCAATATCAGGCCTGCTGCTAAGTCTTCCTTCTCCATTCCAATCAGTTTTTCACAGACTGCCCTGGCACTTCACAAGGACTTTGGGAGGAGGACAAGAGATAACTCATAGAGATCTGGTGTTCATTTGTGTAGCTGCAGGTCTTTTGAAGTTTAGTTGAAGACATTATTTGTCTTCTTGTTATGCTGAGAGCATGAATTTTAGTTCTTCTCATTGTTATTTAGGTGTTGGGGAAGGATATGTTGGGAGATTAAGATTTACATCATCACTATTACCTTGGTTACCCATCAAATTAAAGTGTTTAATAATATGCCACCACATAAAACATTTCTAATGACACTCAGCTGTGAGAGCTCTAGTTTTCTACCCTGGTCATAATACTTACCTCAAAACATGATTTTATCTAGTAAGTGGTTGGTGCATACCATTATATCTGATTGACACAGGAAAGCTGGGTATTCTAGAACCACAGAAGACTGACATATATTTGAGGGTCATTCCAAAAAGATGCCTGCAACCCCAGCAGTTAACCAGCTGAAGGTGAAAAGTGTGAGAGAAAAAAGGGAAGCAGAATGTTGAGGAGCAGCTACATAGCACACAGGTGTCCAATGAAAGACTTACTCAGAGTAGAAAATATATTTGGTAGTTACTCTCTAAAGGCTTTTATGAAAAGATAACCATGGCTTCATGGTTCCTTCTAGACTTCACTACTCTACCTCATGCCTCAGTTCCTTTGTGTTGTCTCTTGTCTCACTCTATTAATATTGTGTTATTGGTATCTTTAAAAGAAATTTCATTCCATGAGTGTTAGAGATAGTGGTCTCCATAAAGACAACCAGGAGCAACCAGGACCAAGTCAAGCAGTGAAGGGGCAAGAATGTACCTTTTCACAAGGTTAGGTACTCTTAGGTCCGCTAAGTACTGACATCGGTCTCTGTGTCTCTTAGGTCAAATCATCAAGAGTAAAAATCATATAAAATAACTGATTATTTTTTATTACTGGTTAGGTAATATAATGGTGCAGGCACTGAAAGGTGCTCAACAAATAATTGTAAATGAGTGAATAATAATCAAAAATTATAAAAATGACCATCAAATGTCATAATCCTCCTACTTGCCAATAGAAAATGCTGCTTTGGAAAGGTATTTTAAAGCCTACTGTTCTACATCAAACAATAAGTTACTGTTTGGGATCTGAGCCCCATGAAGAAAAGTGTCTTCTCTGGCTTTCTAAGGAACTTGATTTATTAGAAATCACATGACCTTTTTGAGAGATGGGTGTTACCTACAAATTGCAAATATGTTTTGCCCCACATGAATCAGCAAAAACCATAGCAATACATTGAAGTAAGAGTCAAGGGGCAAAAGAGTGGAAGGACCTGGAGATTATTTCCAAAACACAAACCAATGCTTCATTGAAGTAGACATTGCGAATTAACTCAACTGCTTCCCTTGATTCATCACATTATTATTTTAAAGTTCAGGCACAGGTTATAGGAATAATTTGCTCTAAGAGGGACAAGATTAACTAACAAAAGCAAAGAAGAATTTGACTGGCTTATAACAAAGATTGTAGACAAATTGGCTCACTGTCATAATGGCTGAGAAAATGTGATAAAAATTATTGGTCCATATTTTCCAAGAATAAAAGTATACTTTCTGCCCTGGAAGCTGTATAACTATATTCACTAGAACCAAGTCCTACTGTATATCTTCCTAGGAATGCAGAAATTATAAAGACACAATCCCAAACCTGAAAAATCTGAAAGGGAAGAGCCACATCAGAATCTGGGGAGGCACAAAGAAACCAGGCCATACTACTAAAATATTTCAACCTAGAGAACATATTATCATTCTAACTGGAACTTCAAAGAATCAAATGCTCTATGGTGGGGGGCAGAGCGCCAAAGAGTTCCTGTAAATGGAAAAGAAAAATCACAACTATTCCTGGGAGTCAAGAGATAAAAACCATATTAAATTGCTTAAGAGAATGGATTCTAAATATCATCTATGGAGACTGGTGGAGAGAGAGTAGAGCTGACCATTGGAAGGACTAAGCACCAGCCCTGGCTCTTTATGAACTAGCTAAGGGAGTCTGCCAATGTATTCCACCTCTGTGAACTACAGTCTCTATATCTATATTCTATAGATTAAAAACTTAATGTTCATTGCCTGTAGTTGACACGTTCTCCGCTTTTTTGATCTGCTAGCCTTGACATCTAAGAAACGGAATTCATATACTGAAGGATTTGCTATCTGTGGAAACAAAATAAGAAAACTTACTTCTCTGAGAAAGAAAAAAATATGAAATCAGAAGTGAATGCCCTTGCAAGGAAAAAATTGGCTTTGTCCACAGGAATTTACATGAAACAATTCCATGGAACTGTTTTCTGAGCACAGAGAAGCATTATGAAAGCTCAGCCTCTGGACAACAGCTGGGTTTGCATCTCAGCTCTGCTCTTTCCTCCTAATGTCTTAGACCAGTTTTTGAACTATGCCTCCATCTTTTTCCAAGTGCAACAAAGCATCTCACATCAGTTTGCAATACAGTATTTACAAACAACATGGAATCTGCAATGCCATTAGCCGGACTTGGTTAGGCTAAAAATGCGTACGATTCAGATTCACTTTCCTCTTCTCCATTCCAATTAATGGATTTTCATTTATCTTTTATTTTTCTGACACCTAAGATCCAAGACATAAGTGTTCTCTCAAGGTGGTACAGAGTCTATCTCTATGTCTTTTAAAATATAAATTCTAAACCCAAGACTGTAAATATCAAGGCTTGTGAAATATGTTTAGATGATTACTTAAAGCCAGAAAACATATCTAGTTTAAAAAAATCAATATCCATAGAGTATACTATCCATCATCCCCTAAGATGCAACAAATCTAGTGAGGCTCCAGCTTCCTTTCTTTCTCCATTCCTTATTTCCTTACTTCCTCCCTCCTCCTCTCTCCCTCCTTCTATTCCTTTCTTCCTTCCTTCCTCATTTATTTCTTCTTCTCTTTCACCCCTTTGTTTCGTTCTATAAAACCTCATTGTAATTTCTGGTGTTTGAAACAGCAGCTCAGTCTGTCTCCTTGTGAATGACTTAATAAAATTTCTCAAATAGCATCTGAACCTAGACACAAGATAAAATTTATCTTCAATATACCTCTTCCCTACAGAGAAGAAAATCTAGCTAAGCCTCCCCGTAAGGAAATGAAGTTGTGATGCAATAAACCTGACAAAAAATTAAATAGAGGTTACCACAGCAAGGTCTGTCTTCTTCAGAAATAAAAACCTCTTCCATCCAGCTATCCAAAGCAAAGTAAAGGGCTTGGAAGCCAGAAGCATACTGGAGCTTTTCTGTTCCACTGATCACTGCCACTCTGCTGAGAGATTTTTATGTATTTTATGTACATTCTTTAGTTATGCAATTCAACTGCAAACACCCTGAGGGCTTCAGGGCAGGACTGTACCTGATAACCAATTTAAAAAAAGATTTCTTCATATAGTGTTTAGCAATAAATCTATTAGAAGCACAAAATATGTTTTTCTCAAACAGGCCTGTAGAAAGTCATGCACAGACAAAAGACCCTGATACTTACTGAATGGCACTAGAATGCAAGCTCGATAAAATCAGTGATTTTTGTTTTATTCACAGTTCATGGCAGGTAGACTCCAAGATAGCCCCCAATAACCCCCACCTCCTGGATTCGTGTCCCTGTGTCATCTCTACCCAAGTGTGGATGGACCTTGTGACTAACCAACAAAATGTGATAAAGATCATGGAATGTCACTTCCATGATTGGGCTCCATAAAATTGAGACTTTTATCTTGCTATTAGACTCCCTTTCTTTTGCTGGCTTTCATAAAGCAAGATGCCATGTAAGGCAAGCCCATGCGCCAAGGAACTCAGGGCACCAGGGAACAGCTAGCAAGAAATTGAGTTGAATTAAGCCAACAATCACATAGTCGGCTCAGAAGAGGATGCTTTACTAGTCAAGTCTTTGTATGAGACTTTGGCACTAGCTGGATCCTTGATTGTAGCTCCTGAGAGACTCTGCAGTGGAGAACTCAGCTAAGCCATGCCCAGACTCCTGGCCACAGAAACTCTGAGATAATAAATGTGTATTGTTTTAAGCCACTAAGTTGGTGGTTATTTGTTACACAGCAATGCACAACTAACACACTGCTATTTCCTCAATTCCTTGAACAGTGCCTGGCTCATAGTAGGTAGGTAATAAATACAAGTTGCACAAATCAATAAATGAAATTAAGTCCTGTCACTGATATAGAGTTACTGAAGGTCAGTAAACTATTCATCACGGTGCTGCAATGTGCAACTAGATGAATAAAGCCAATTTTTACAACAAGCCTTCTAACAAATTCAATTTCCTAAAAACAAACATGAAGTAAATAAATACAATTTCCCACAATGAACATGTTAAGCAAGCTTTTCAGTCATCATATCAGCCTGAAGGTTGACTTATATTTTCTAGGAGAGAACAATAAACTTTATAGTTTAAAACAAAATTGAACTGGAGACCCCTTTTACCCTTCTTGGCAAAGAAACTGACCAGGAATTCAATTTCATGGTGACAACATTCAGAATATGCATTGCTCTAACCTAAATAGTCCTTTAACCCAGCCTGGCTTGTGCTCTTTATTCTTTCTGCCTTTATGATTCCTAATTGGGAAATATGCTTCAATCTTCTCACTCACATTCTCAAAAGCATTTGGGTCAGCCTCTTCCCTTCCTCTCAAGGTTTCTCATTAAATACTCTTGTGATTTGTGGCCTATGAGTCCAACTTCAATTTTAACCAAGGGTAAATTTTAAAAAAATATTTTTAGTTCTCATTACCAGTTGTGATAATTGCTAGGAAAGAAAGAAGGCTGAGAGAAATGGCAGCAGATGTGATAGGAGCAGTGGGTGCTTAGCATGATGAGAACACCTTTCTGTAAATGTGACTTTCAAACTTTGAAATAAAAAACGAAAAGAACCCAAATATACAAAGGGCCAGGATGGGGTTATGGGCGTAGAACAGCATTTCAAGCAAAAGGAACAGCACATCAAAAGGCCTGAGAACAAGTGTCTCAGCAGAGTTGATTTTACAAAGTCAGCCATATTGTGAATGTGAAGGACAACTATACATAATCAGGATCACACACACACACACACACACACACACACAGACACACACACAAAGTCCAGCACAAAGTATCCTAACACTTTTTTTGGATGGTACTAGAATGTAAGCTCCACAAAACTAGTAACCTCTCTTTACAACTGCTTGTAAAAAATATCTTGATGTTATTTTTATTTGGTAATTTTGACTCCATTTATTTTCAAAAGTAAAAGAAATCATTTTGCATTTTTTTCACTTTTCATTATTCTGTTTATGTTATTATTATTTTTTTTTTTTTTTTTTGCATAATCTTATGAGGTAAAAATTATCCTAGCTTCCAGGAGAGAAAACTAAGGTTCAGGCAGGTTCCAATAAATCTTCTAAGGTCACAAACTCGTAAATGGGGACATCTGACCTGGTTGATTGAACTCCCTCGCCAGCCTAGTCCTCATAAAACAGGGGTTAAAATGGTGGGAAGCAATTAACAAAAGAAGGTCATGCATAGTTTTATTTATATGGGTGTACTGGATATCAGAAAACCTCAGTTTTGTCCGAAATATGCCAAGAGTTACATTGTCAGTCCCTCCACTGTCTCACTGAGGTTTCTAAGCTTATGAAGGGATACAGCTCCCCCAAACACAACTAACAAATGCTTCCTCATTCTATGGACAAATCCAACTTGGTTTTGAGGCTAAAAGTCCAACTCTACTACAGGCCAAATGTTGGGTCACTAAGTACAAGAAGGTTATCATGGAAAGACGGAAATAATCAGATTTTGAGGACAATATACCTGCGATAAAATGGACCAATAAAACGATGTCAATATTATCTACCCTCCAGGTTACTGTACAGTTAAAGATAATTCATACAGCACTTAACACAAAGGAACAGCTTAGGTGAATGAAGGTAAATATTTGGATCTGAGAGTGATTTGGAAAACCCAGAGGTCTCTCAGACCTGACAAAAAGAACTTATTCAAGGATATAAGGTCATTCCTCTGAGCAAAGGGTTTGTTTCTTATTAAAACGCTGGTGCACTGGGGAAAACCTGACCCCTTCCACTTTTATCAGCAACTCTTCACGGTAAAACACTGGCTGCACTGGAGGGGGTGTGGGGTGTGGGAAAGGCTCTTAGACACTGGGAGTTTACGAGGGAGGATAATCGTGGAAGGAGAAGGAGGAGGGTTCTGAATACACTCAGTTCATAGTTCTTCTTCTAACTGCCAGGGGTATGAGCACCTACCATCTGTGACAGAAGCATGGGGAAGAGGGGATAAAGAGGGATTTTCATCAGCAGCATGGCTCTAGTCTAGTACATTTTTATAAGCCTCATATTTTAAAGTAATTATTTCAAACACTAAGAGTAAATCTAGAGATCTAATATACAGCATGAGGACTATGGTAATAATATTGTATTGTATAATGAGAATTTGCTAAGAGAATAGATCTGAGGTGCTCTCACCATACAATAAAAAATAGGTAACTACAGAAGCTGATGGATATGCTAATTTTCTTGACTGTAGTCATGATTTCACTATGTATATTATAACACATTATGCTGTGCACCTTAAATACATACAATTAAAAATTAATTTTAAAGACTCTGTGATCAATCATAACACAAAGCATAAATATTATATCAATGATACTTTCTTTCTTGCCTCAGTAACCTCTCTGTTTCCAGTATTAACTCTGAAAATCAAGGGCCGACTAACCATGCTGTCTACACTTTACTCACAAGATAGCCATACCTCTTCTTCTTCGAAGTGGCATTCACTGTAAGTACCAATCAGTGGAGTCCCTGTCTTCAAACTGGTTTATTCACCAGTACTGAATAAAGAACCACAACTTAGTACAACTATTGAAAATAGGGGGGAAAAAAAGGACTATTTTAATCGTTTTATTTATTTTATTTTATTTTATTTTGAGACAGAGTTTTACTCTTGTTGCCCAGGCTGGAGTGTAATGGCACAGTCTTGGCTCACTGCAACCTCCACCTCCTGGGTTCAAGCGATTCTCCTGCCTCAGCCTCCAGAGTAGTTGGGATTACAGGCACGCACCACCATGCCTGGCTAATTTTTGTATTTTTTTTAGTAGAAACGGGGTTTCACCACGTTGGGCAGGCTGGTCTCGCACTCCAGACCTCAGGTGATCCACCCACCTCGGCCTCCCAAAGTGCTGGAATTACAGGCGTGAGTCACGCGCCCAGTACCAGTCGAAAAAGGAACCTTAAAGGGTCTTTATTTGGCCAGGAAAACAAGGCTTTTCATCTGTTTTCACTTCTGTGTCTTCAGACTCAGCCACATGGGGCTTTGAACAGTTTTTCGTTTGTCATCCGCTCAAGGTACCAGTCCTGCCTGACAGAGGAAGGAAATGCTTTCTCTTCACTGATACACATTCCATAATGAGGACACACAAAACCAGGGCCACCTGAAATTCTCAGTTTAGTCTCATTAAAGATCTTTCTCGGAAAGTTATACTGAAACCATGAAAGTATTGCTCTTGGTAAAATAACGATAAAAGAAAGAAGTTACTTAGCGGGATTCTGACCGTATTTCACATTTTTTAAACGACTCTTCAGTACAACAATAATATCTAAATTGTTGCTAGGGCGAAATGGTAGTGAGGTTGAATTTGGTGATGAATGTGAGGCATAGTCTGCTGTTTGGGAGAGGGACTGCTGTGTCAAAGATGAGTGTCGTGTTTTTTGAAGTTCAGATGGAAAAGTGCGAGAGAGTATTCTGATTCTGTGGTTGTTTGTGGGGAAAGATGGTGGTTTGTGTATCTTTTTCTCCCTCATGTCCATGTGAAGGGAGTTGTGCTAGCAACGCAGGAAGGTTGTTCATCATTATCACAGTAATTGGGGAATGGGGATGCTGACATATATTGCCAAGGGGCCAGGGGTCTTAACCACTCTGCAATGCCTTTACAGTGAAGAATTTTCCCAGCTCAAGTTATTCATGCTCCATTGAGAAATACTGTCCTCCAGCAACGATTTTGCCCTGTCTCCCCAGCTCCACTCTCTCTCCCTGGGGTTCTCTGATGGATATATCAGAAGACATGAGCCTGCCCAGCCTAGCCCCCCTCCACTCTTGCTTCCTGGTCTGTCTGCCTGCAGAGTAGGTGTTTTCTGGGGTAGGCCTGCAGGTTGGTTTGTTTTGTTTTGTTTTTGAGGAGTGGGGTTAAGTTCAATTCAGGAGTGAATAATTAGGAAATCCATTGTGGGACACATCAAAAATCCATGCATTTACCTGCTTCACTCAAAACCCACCAATTTCAATGTTAATCTCATCCAAAATATACCCTCACAGAAACATCCAGAATGCTTGATCAAATCTCTAGGCACTGTGGCCCAGCCAAGTTGACACATCACACCAGCTCCAGCACCTGCCCAGAAGAGTGATGCGTTCTCGGCTCTCCAGACCAGGCCAGTCACCAGCTGAGTGCCAGAGAGTGACCTCAGTCAATGCCACAAAGGATCACCTGGCCAAGCCCTCCTTGGTTCCTAACTCACAGAATCTGGCAACGTTATAAAATGGTTATTTTAAGTTACCGAGTTTTGAGGTGGCTTGTTATGCTGCAATAATAACTGGAACACTCATTTTAAACTCCCATCACTCCCTCTCTCTCTTATGAAACTTCAGCTACACAGGCCACTACAAACACACATGCTCCCTCCTAGCCTCAGGCCTTTCTACCTGCCATTCTCTCTGTCTGCAATATTTTTCCTCCAGCTCTTTGCTTAGCTGGCTCCTTTCATCTTTCCTTCCTGCTTCAGATCAAATATTACTTCCTCAGAGAAGTCTTCCCTGACCACACTCCCTAAATTGGCCTCCTTCCCTCTCTATGTAGCTTTTTTTCATTCTGTTCATTTTCTTCAAAACATTGATCTCAATCTGAAATTATCTTGCTTTCTATCTTTGACTATTGTTTTCCTTGATTAAAGCATTAGATCTGTAGGGTAGGTTCTTAGCTAGCTCATTTATGGCTCACACAATGATTGGCACAGAATATGTGTTCCGTAGATATCTGTGGAAGGAAAAGTAATGAATGCTTATCTCATATGTGGGTGACTGCCTTCAGGATCCTGTCCACAGGCCTCAACTTACTAAGTCTGCTATCATAGAATTTAATGAAGGAAGATTAGAGCTCCCATGAGCTATAAAGGGTGTTTTTCTCTGACTTTTCTTCTGCTCTTTTTTTCCCCCTCTAATGAGATGAGCATTCACCAGGGAACAAAAAGCCTAGCATCCTTTTACAATACCTCACAGACAAAAACCACCGCATTTTTATACGTGATTATCTGTGGGGCTTATTTATAAATTTTCCTAACTCTGGAGGATTAATTAAAAGACATCTCTAAACTGAAAAAGGAAAAAAAATTTTCTCTTATTTCCTGGAAATCCAGTCTACTCTTAGCCTTTGTGTAATACAGCCTCAGTTCTTAATTTCTTTCTTCTCCAGTCCCCCAGTACAGGGCTTACAGAGAGCTTGGGTTAAAGGGTTGGGGAGAGGCAGGTCCACCCCCTACTTTTTTTGTTCCCCCCTTTTCCAGTTGCTGGTTTGGATACACTTGAAGCATAAAAAGCAACAGATATTTTTTTCTCATCCCCTGAACTGAGGTTCTTATCAGAAGCCAGCACTCAACCCATGCTCTATACTTCCTCATTCCCTTGTATTCTGATTCTCCCTTGTATTAACCATGTTTTTCATTTTCTGTATTCTGATACTTCAACATCTGGGGCCTTGCTAACCCTGGAGAGACTGCCCCTCCCAAGGTTTGCCAATTCCTAGAGAGTAAACAACTCACTTGGGAACATGCCTTTCAAGTACAAATCAACCAGTCCAGAGTCCACAGCCCAATCGCCTCTTTTACTGGGCTTTCACGCTCTGGGCCATCGTCCCTCTGCCTGAATTACCCCAGGGCCAGGTACCAGACAACTAGAGAGAGCCCCTAAACCCTAGAGCCCGCTGAAATCATTCAAATCAGCCAATCCCCTGCCTCACCCATTCCTTCCCACAGAAAGGACAATAAAAGCTCCTGCTAACAGTTCCCCCCGCCGCCCTGCCCCCAACTTCTGTCCCTGACCCACCCAGGTGCTTCTCCATGTGACCCCCTTGTGGTGTGGTATGCCCCCTCCTATTGGGAACTGTGAGTAACAAACCATCTTTTCAATGGCAATTGTCTCCTGATCTGTTGACCTTACTGTACCTCAAACTTCTATTAACATACTGCATTTTAAAACATCCCTCTAGACTGTAAGTCAAGCCAATGTCTTAATTGTTTTGGGCAACTTGGATTCTGCACACTCAGTGCTCAGTATTTTAAGTTTTATTTTAGCAAGACTTAGAAACCTGATTTAAAGCACTGATTCATTCAAGAAACATTTTTTGATGTCTCATGTGTACTTGGTATTGTGGAAGGCCCTGGGGATAGGAGGATGAATAAAACATGTTTTTAGGCAGGCTCCTGGCAGGATGGGGACTCAAAAAATATTTGAGAAAAGAAGAAATGAATCAATGTCTTCCCAGAGTTCACAAGCTAGAATCCATTGCTTGCCGATCCCCTGGTGTGTTACCTCTGTAAATTTGTGGTCAATTTTGGAAAGTTTGAAATTAGAATAGACTGGTTTGTCTCATTCTGTTCCATTTTTTACATGTCAAGCTATTGAAATCAGGACTCTAAACGATTGTTCAAATTTTCCAGGTTATTATTTAGCAGATTTAATGGTCTTTCTTGCAACATCTTTACAAAAATATAGCCTAACTCACTGTAAGAAGAGCCTAAGGAAACTGTTGTCTGGGGGACATAAAGTAAATATAACATTAACAATAGGTCAAGTGCAGTGGTTCACATCTGTAATCCCAATGCTTTGGGAAGCTGAGGAGGGAGGATGGCTTAAGGCAAGGAGTTCAAGGCCAGCCTGGACAATATAGCAAGATTCCATCTGTACAAAAAATTGTAAAAATTATTCGGGCATGGTGGTGCATGCCTATTGTCCTAGCAACTCAGGAGGCTGAGGCAGGAGGATCACACAAGCCAAGGAGTTTGAGGTTATACCGAGCTATGATCACTCTACTGCATTCCAGCCTTGGTGACAGAGTGAGAACTTGTCTCTAAATAATAATAACAGCTAATACTTACTGAGCTCTTAGTATATGCCAGGCATTGTCCCAAACGTGGTACATGTAGTATTTTATTTAAACATTATAATTCATATTATCATCCTTAGGTTACAGATGAGGAAATGAAGCTTAAATAGAGTGAATCATTCACTACAGTTAACATAGCCAGGGAGTACAGCCAGGATTCTAATTGAGGCAGCATTATCCCAGAATCTACCTATTTAACAACTATAGCTATGAGGTAAATCTGTATAATTTTCTCAGTGTACATTGCTTAGACTCATTTCTAAAGTCCATGAAAGAATTTGGGCCAAATTTATTCCCAAAGAAATCCTAGCCACTCAAAATTCTGCTACTAAATACACAATATTTGAGTTTGCCAGAATCTTTTTTCTTCCAATAATGTATTAGAATTTCTTTTTATGCTTTCTCTTCCTGGTCCCCATCCACAGGGGCCTAGTTGGTGATATAATAAAATGAGCTACTTTAAAGAAAAACTCCAGGATAGTTTCTCTTCAAAACTTTCCATAAAAGGGAACTGAGCTTTAATAACTACATTCATACATTGAATGCACCTTAGGACTGGAAAGTGAGTTTTCTGCTTCCTTATTAGTGAATCTTTCCCAAGGAATTCTGTCAAAATCTTGTGGCAATGACTACCTCCCTGCCTTGGCTTTAATTATTCTATTTCCATTAGTCCGGGTCAACACATACCACAGAGGTCATCTCTGGACTTGATGTACTGCATTAAAGGCGAGCTCCTCTAGGATAATTATGTCCTCAAAGACCAGGCATTGGGGTAATGCCTTGGGGAGTCTGAAACTCCAATCACCTTGAACTATGGATATTTCTTCTCTTAACATACATTTGTGGAAAAGAAAACCATAGGACATGAAATAATGCATAAGTCGCAAATCTGCTGTTTTCTCTGCACATGACTGGAGATTAAATAAATTGACTATAGCAGGCAAACAGTACTCTTTTCTGGAAGCTTGAGTTTCAGAATTCCCAAGAGAAACACTAAAAGCTACTTCCTTTCTTCTCTTACAGCCAAAAGAGAAATCAGTGAGCTATTGAGTAAGACTTTTGATCCATTACCAAGACTCAAGCTTCCTAAAACACTAGTCAAATGGTATTTAATACTTCGTTTTAAGACCCAAACTTGCCCATCCCGGCCTACAGTAAAGGGAGAAGACACATCCCACGGCTTGCTTTCACTCCAAAACAAGCATTTATTGAGTGTCTACTATGTGCCTGATCATGTTCTAAGTCTCTGAAGATAGAGAAGTGAACTTGTATCCTTATCACTGAGGAGGGAGAAGGCAGTACCTGCCAGTTACTTGAAATTCCCTTTGGAACCAATTCACAGGGCAGAACACTTTAAACTCTACTCAGACTCTCAGAAATTGGGTAGGAAGAAACTCCCTAAGTCTTCGGAGCCTCACAGCTGCCTTAGGAGCTCTGCTTTCCACACTTAACCAGAGACAGGTATTCAATATGAGCTGGGGGCAAGAAGCGTGAACCCCTCCAATTTTTATGCAAAGTTTTGTGAGCAAGTATGAGCATTTGCTGGAGCCAAAGTCTACAAGTGTCCTCGAATTCTCAAAAAGATCTGGAATCCTACCAAGGTTAAAAGCATTCCCCTAATATACCCACAACTCGTGGAGCCCAGGTGACTGCGCTTATGCTTTCTTGGTGAAGGCCACATGTCGAACCAAAAAGTCATGCCAAATGGATGCCACACTGACCGCAACAGCCACTTAGCCTGGTGTACACCCCGCTCAGTCCTTTCTCAACTTCACAACTTCGCTCACCAGAAAGCTTCGCGTGCAACTGTAAGATGGCCTATTCCTTTGGAAAGGAATGAGAAACACGTAGGCTTGGAAGTACTGAGACATTGGCGCCTCTCCTGTTTTGGTCCTGAATGGATTCCCGGCGAAGAAATCACATGCCTCTCTTCTCCTGACCCCACTTTTGGCATCTCTTAAGGCCGAAGCTGGTTCTCAGAGCTCGTCTGCCTACAGCTACTAAGTTCTCTGAGAGCAATAAAGATACGACGGGATCCATCTGGACGTTTTCCGGACAGGAGAGGCAGCCCGGCATTTCCCTTCAGAGAGTTGCTGGGGATGCACACCTGCTCTGGGACAGCCGGAGTGCGCAACCCGCACTTCTACACGCGCGCGCCGGGCAACATAGCGCACCGCGGGTACACGCACGCCGACCGGACACACGCAGTCTCGTACACGCCCAACGAGCGCACACACCCGCACTCCATGCACGCGCGATGGGCGCACACACTCGCATCCCTACACGTGCACACACCCGCGCTCCAATTACCGCGCTAGCGCGCAAAAGAGCCGCAACTTCCGAGTGGGACTCGGCATGCGGGGGCAGTGCCCGGTACTTCACCATCAGTCACCTTCGCGTCCGCCTCCTCCCCTGCTGGTTGCACCTCCAGCCGCAGAGATTTCCGGCTGGGGCACCAGAACTGTCCAGGCCGAAAGAGCTGCTCCTCCGTCACAAAGCGCAGTTGCACACTGTACTGCAGGCGCGCGGGGACCCGGGCCGGAGCCGGGGTCGCAGCCATGGTCCAAGCGCCTCTGCTCCTGAGCCCTAGCAGTGCCTCCCCCGCGCTGCTCTGGGCACCGAGAAACTGCTGGGGCAAGGGGGAGGGATTTGGAAGCGCGCACCACCTTCCCCAGCTCCCGTTGCAAGTTCAGTCTTCGACCTCCGAGACGCCCGGTGACTTCTGCTGGCACCTGCTGCCCTCGGCATCACCTCCCTCATCCCCCTGGAGGGCACGCTGGAAAGCTGCAACTCCCCACCCTCCGCACAGGAGCGCCCCGTAGACGCGCAGATGGGCCCAGCCACCCAGCGGGGCGGCAGCCCTGAGCACACAAGTTTGGAGAGCGCGCGAGGCACCTGAAAGTGGTTGGGGTTTGGAAGCAAAAGGGTGACACCTGCTGTTCGCTGGGACCGCTCTGCGGGTGTGGGCGTCGGTTTGGAAACGTCCTTTGCCTGAGCTCTGCTTGGTGAGTGGGCACTCGCTCTTGGTGTGATTCTGGCGCAACTGGCACCCAAGTGTGAGCAGCAGTCCTAAGTGCTGAGTTCTTTCCTCACTGACAGGGTCGAGAGAGCAGCAGCAACGTGATAGGAAAGCCCGCAGACATTTGTCAACTGGCTGGGCCCAAAAGACCATATTCGTCTTCCATTACTTAACTTGGGATTGAAGGTTTACTCGCTGCTGTATTGTGAACCATTTCCCTAGAAGTGGGCCAGCAGAGCCAGGGACTCTTGTCCCAAAGTTGATGCCGATCTCTAGCAGCTACCCAGCATAGTCTCTCGGCTCCAGCTTAAAAGGTTGGGCTCTCCAAGCTCTGAGTAACCGATTCGCAGGTCCTTAGTCCTCTTTGCAGAGAAACTGATCTGCTGCAGAGTTAAGAAAAGAAGCAGTTCTTCTTTTGACAAGAATCCCCCACACTTACAGATTCATGTGCCATAAACGGACCTTTTCTTCAAAAGCTGAACTGCTTTCTGTGTGCCCCCAGTCTGTGACCTCCTAATGGAATGAATTGCAGGGAGGAAGCAAGGTTTGTAAATCCATTCTGATCCTCTGAAGACAATGTTCCTCTTAACTGAGCAGGTTGACTTTAGAAGAACCAGCTTCCCTAGAAGTCCTGGGTTCTATGACTTCAGAGCTCCCAAGTGGGACTGTTAAACCCAGCCAAGCTGTATGAAATCCTGGGTCTCATTTATCTGCCTCCCACACCTTCTTCTTTCTCCCAGTTCCTGATCAGGCCTCTCTGGCTTCTCCAGTTTTCCTTTAAGACTTTTTCCTCCTCACCCTCCTTCTCTCTGTCTCTCATCTTTCTCAATCATCTACGTACTCTTTTCCCTTTTTCTCATTCTCACATTCTGTTGCTGCATGGCTTTGATTCAGGCTCTGGAAGCTCTTAGGAATGAGATTTTCTCAGTCTGGCGTAAAGGCCATAAAACACTGCATCCCACTTCACCCTTACACACCTTCCACCTATTGACGGAGGGATGACATGTTGTGACCAGAAGCTTGCAGGAACCTAACCCTAGGTATTTCCCCTAGGAGGAATGTTAGTGGCACCTTCATAGAACATAGCTGCCATAAATAACAACATTTGACTATATTTTACAATAACAATGCCTTTTTTAGGGTGCTTAGCAAAGAGATCCCAGTAACTACTAAATAATCTCTCTAAGTTCAGAGCTCCTGCCTTAACCCCAAAGAATGAATACCGTTGACTTTGAGGTCACATATTCTTGGTAGACGAGGTATTTTGGCTCATGGGCTTCCCAGCCTCTCAGATCCAATCATACACAGTGTTTCACCTATTCTGCCTGGATGTAAGTCAGGATCTGGTCATAAAAATAAAAGGCTGCCTAATTATGAACTAACTCACCTTCCTGAACTCAGAGCTGGGCCCTCTCAAAAGCACAAGTGACTCAGAATATAAAGTGCTTCCTCAAGCTCCTCTCACATAGTTTACAGCCAAGAACAAAACTGGCCCATGTAGAAGGGACCTAATTTTTTTCTGAAGTTCTTCATAACAAATCCTTTATGAAATCTTTATGGTAATGCTAATATTAATCATTGATAAAATTGCCTTATTGTGTTTCATTTATTATTTCTTCAGATGGATGTATTGGTTTCCAAGGGCTACCGTAACAAATCACCACAAACTTGGTGGCGTCAAACAACAGAATTTCCCCCGCAGTTCCGGAGGCCGGCAGCCTGAAATCAAGGCATCAGCATGGTCTTATTTCCTTTAGAGGCTCTGGGGAGAATCCTTCCTCGTTTCTTCCAGCTTCTGGAAGCATTCCCTGTTTCTTGGCTTCCTTCCCTGCCTCACTCCAACCTCTGCCTCCATGGTCACATTACCTCCTCATCTTCATGTGTCTTCTCTTCTGTCTCTTACGAGGGCAGTTGCCATTGGATTTAGGGCCCATCCAGGTTGTCCAGGATGATCAACATTTGACTATGTTTTACAATATCCTTGATTACATCTTCAAAGACCCTTTTTCCAAGTAAGGTCGCATTCACAGGTTTGGAAAGTTAGAATGTATATATGTCTTTTGGAGGACAACCATTGAAAGAACCCACACGTTCCCTGGTAGTCACCACTGGGGAAGAGAAATGAAAGATATCATTTCAAAGCTTAGGCCCAGCCCTTGTGTGTCTGATTTGGTGATTAGCACACTTGTTATTCCTGGCAGACGTGAGAGAAGACAGGTTGAGAGAAGGATTGTGCGAGGAGGTAGGGTGAGAGGGTCATGGTAACTAGACCGGATTACTAGAGAAACTAAAATGTACTGCATATTCCAGGAAAAGATGGACTTTGTTATGAAAGATGGGAAACATTATGAAGAAAGTAGAATGTTTATCTTTTTTTGTTTTTGTTTTTGTTTTTGTTTTTTGAGACAGAGCCTTGCTCTGTTGCCCAGGCTGGAGTGCAGTGGCACAATCTTGGCTCACTGCAACCTCCACCTCCCCAGTTCAAGCGATTCTCCTGCCTCAGCCTCCCGAGTAGCTGGGACTACAGATGCGTGCCACCACGCCCAGCTAATTTTTTGTATTTTTTTAAGTAGAGATGGGGTTTCACCGTGTTAGCTAGGATGGTCTCGGTCTCCTGACCTTGTGGTTTGCCCACCTCGACCTCCCAAAGTGCTGGGATTACAGGCGTGAGCCACTGCTCCTGGGCCATGTTTATCTTTCTTAAAAAATAAACTATATTGATTCTGCAAATTAATATTTTCCCAGAGACAGGAGAGGGAGAAAGAGAAAGAGCGTGAGAGCAAGAGAGAGAGAGAGAGAAACAGAATGACCCAACCTTTACTCTCTATACCAGTAGTCTTCAAGCTGAGGTATGTTAAGACCCAGGAAGGAGTATTTTAAGGAAATAAATTTCCAGACCCTCTACTTCCACAAATAGTTTTTTTTTAATTGATCTTCCTCAGAAACACTAATGAAGATGCAGATTCCCCTTCTCAGTGCTCACTGTTTTAAGGAAAGGCATACCTGTCACTCATCCTAAATTTTATGATGTCTAGTGTCTAGTTGCCATACACATAAAAAAATTTACAGCACCAAAAAAAAAGACACAATTCAAAATATTGCTGTAGCTGTAGAGAAAGTAAATGACTGTAATCATTTCAAAACTCAGATGGTAGCTAATTCTTTGTTCATAATAAAGTTGAGGGAGACCTATTAAGGTGCCAACTGAGAGATCGTTAAAAATAATCTTTGATGATAGATTACTATGTGACTTAGCAACTTCCAGCAACAACAGTGGCCACAGAATGAGTGGTCCTTACACTTAAATTCTCTTACCTTCATGGCTATCTTCATCTATAATTAGTAATAAAAAGTATAGTAATAATTAAATCAAGAGTTTTTATCAGACATATGGTCATGGAATTTTTTTTAAGTTGCATTTAAATTTATATACATTTTAGTTGTAGCAGGTATAAGGTTAGGATAACAGATGTTTAAGTGTAAACTATATTACAAGTAGCATAAAATTCTATGGAGTAAGTACATTGGAAATAAGATTTGGAAAAGATAAGGAAAATATATATGATTTCTGACTATAAGAACTTGTCAGGTATTTTTAATGAATGATAATGAATATCAAATAACCACATTAATTAGAATTGCTGGCTTCCTTTAAAATGTGACTGTAACTATTCCTTAATGTCAATATTAGCAATCAACTGGAAAAAATATTCTTGTGAATGTTTTAATTCGAAATATTTTAGATGTCAAATATGTGCAGGTAATGTTAAAATATGTGCAGGTAATGTTACGGTAGGTAGCTAGTCAGGCATGAACAGGGCAGGAGAGGGCTACCCCACCACACAAACGCATCAGGAATGTCAGGAGACCATCAGGCGATGGTCAGGTGGTTGTCAACTATCTCTCTAAAATAATAAAATAATTGATCACAGCTGGCGCCAGGGAACGGCAGTCTCCCAGTGGATAGAAAACACCTGAAACTGTTGATCAGCAGCTTCTCAATAAGATCTTGGGAGTTGGGCAAATGGGCTCAAGCATGCGCATTAAGAGGCAAATGGCGGGGTTTAACTGGTATATGACCTTCCTCTAGGAATGCTAGACTGGTAGGTGAAGAAAGCCTCAAGTGAGCATCTGTACAACTCCAGTGTCACAATCAGGGTTGGGGTCCAGCTCCAGCTGAGGTCTGAGGAGAGTGGGTGGATGTGGGTTGGGGAGCTGGAAGAACACTCGAGAGACACCAGGTAAAAGAGAGTTGGCTTTATTCAGCAGCCCCTTCACAGGGTCAGTGTTACATTTACACACTGCACAGAAAACAGTGGCTGAGAGCCAGGTGGGGAGCTTCTCTATGTTGTGTCTACATGGTTATGATTATATAAGACATGGGACTATGTGCTTGCACCCCAATCCCACTGAGTCAGCTAGGCTGTTTACCTTGGCCTATGCCTGCTGCCCTACGTGGCTGCAGCACAGCCATGTTCCTTACATCCAGTAACCACACTGTGTTCTCCCCTCCCAAGGGCTGGCAGCCCACTACACGTGTGCACAGCCCACCCCAAGGAAGGAATCAGGTGAGACATAACCCAAGACCCAGGCAGTATGCCAATGTCTAAAACCCCAAGTTGAAAGGGCATTTTGACCCTCAAATGCATTTGATCTCTCAAGTCGCCCTCTTCCAAGTACACTTGACTACCTTTCACTCCTGGTCTAAAGCTTTTTAATAAACTTTCACTCCTGCTGTAAAACTTGCCATGGTCTCTCCTTCTGCCTATGCCCCTCAGTCAAATTCTTTCTTCTGAGGAGGCAAGAATTGAGTTTGCTGCAGATCTATACAGTCCGCCGCTAACAGTAATCTCTGAATTTACAAAATTCTTTTAGGGATACACAGCAAATAAATAAATACATACATACATACATAAAATTGCTGTAGACAAGCAGAATAAAGAAACAGGCATGGCAACACCTCTTTGCTGTTAGGATCTTGAAGATGTTTCGCCTCTCCCACTCTTCCCAATAGAACCTGGGTGCCAGAGACTACCTGGGACAGCTCTACTGACATCATCAGCACGTGATTCTAGCCTCATTAACTCTAACTTGGGAAAAGTGCTTCTGGAGGAAAGGGAAGAGATTCTAAGGTAAAAGCAACTCTTTGTTAAGGGTGAGGTCAGGTTTTGTGAGAAGAGCGCATGGGATGGCCCAAGTTAGAAGTCACAAAGATGGTCTGGTCTTAGAGAGAGAGAGGGTGCGCCTGCCAAGAGAGAAGCAAAGGCAGGACCTGGGAACATGCTGAGAGGGTTTGTCTGTAGCTCACGAGGAAAGTCTCATTTGGGGTATAGTTTCTCTTATTTCAGGGTAGAGTTTCTTCTCATTACCTCATTTCAGTAGTTCAGTCTGTCAGTGTGGTGTGCGATGAGATAGGGTAAGAGAGAGAAACGTGACCTGCGTCTCAGGGAGGGAGCATTTTATCTAGAAGAGTGAGTCCAGGATTGCTGGTCATTACTAGCAGGATGTGAAAGGGAGCCCCACAGGGGTGGGAGGGCAAGGAAGGAGCAAGCCATGGTGGGGACTATGCTAATGGTTTCCGGAGGAGGCAGATTTGGTGTCCAACCCCAGCCCCACCTCTTACCGCCTGGGTAAATGGGGCTATTACTTAGATGCTTTGAATTCGGGGAAGCCTTTACAGTAAACCCAATATAACTCTACAGGCTTGTTGTGAAAATTAAATGGCACTGTATAGCAAGCACTCAACATATAGTTAGTGGCTATCATTAGTATTTGCTGAAGAAAATATGGAAAAGTTAAAAGAGAAGCTTGAATGAACCATATCCCCTCACCTGAAGGCAATTATTGGAATGCTTTTAGAGTAGTTATTTCTATTTTTTCTTAATTTTGGCATTAAGGCAGCTTTTATTGAATAGAAAGAGAAGAACAATGTGAATAACCCCTGTAAGAGAAGACCTGACTCAGTTGTTCCCTGAGAAGAGAAAAGAGGTTCATTAGTTACAAAATCATGTGAGTTTCAGCTTTTACTTATTTTTTTGTTGTTCAGTCATTCATCTATGGCTTGTGATTTATATCACATTCATACTCAGAGGCACAGCGGCATGTTTCGTAAATCTAGCAAATACATAAACAGCAGCTATATTTCCCTGTTTGTATGGAAGTGAAACCAAAGTAGATTGGGGAAAAGAAGCTGGAAAATTAAGAGAAGTGGAGGTTGGGGGGGCATTTTGGAAAAATAATGTGATTATGTATAACTTGCCAATCCACATTCAAATCCAAGTTGAGACCCCCTGCAGGGGACAGCTACAAGGACATTATTTCCCTGATCATCAGCCTGGAGCTCTTTTCCAGAGAGCTGATGTGTCTGTATGAGATTTGTACATGATTTCTCATAAGGTTCTTTTCTTGATCTTCAAGCAGGAATTACAAGACAGACATAGTAAGCTTGCTGACACACCTCTTATTCTCTCTGGAACTGACCATAAGCCAGAATACATTTGATTATCTGATTTAGTGGAGAACATAGTAAAAAGAATAAAATGGATGATATAAAAATTGCACCAGCATATACTTAACTAAGGTAGCTATATCCTTTTCAATTTCTTTATACATAAAAGAAAGTTGCTATACCAGGTAATCTTAATATTTCCATCCAATTTTAATATTCCATGTATTGAGAATAATAGCTAATATTTATTCATTGGTCTACATGCATCGACTCATTTGTAAATATCATATGGTTGCAGACTTACCTTTAGGCCAGTATTAACATTAGTCCACATTCTGAAAGGGAATGCTGGTTAAAATTTATCATGCATGAGAATCACCTGGAGAGAGTGTTAAAATGCAGATTGCTGGGCTCTGCCCCCAGTGATTCTGATTTAGCAGGCCTAGTGCAGTGCCCAAGAACTGTTATTTCTAATAAAGTCTTAGGTACTGCTGGTGCTGCCATTCTGACACCTGTGGACTTAAAGCAGCTCTGTTCTAAGCTTGGGAGGGGCGGCGTCCAAAGTCAGGCTGCACATTAAAAAGTACAGCAGCTAAATCAGGAAGCTGATGAGTTACATACAGATAATGGAGGATAACTGCTACTGTCTGAATGTTTGCATCCCCCCCAAATTTATATTTTAGAATCCTAACCCCCAAGGTGATGGTGTTAGGAGGTGGGGCATTTTGGGAGGTGATTAGGTCCTATAGGCAGAGCCTTCATGATAAGGATTAGTGCCCTAATAAAAAGGGACCCCTCTCAAGATCATTCTTGTTGGTCAAAAAAATTAATAAGATAAAAAATAAAAGGGACCCCAGAGACCTGCCTTCTCCTTCCACTGTGTGGAAACACAGCAAAAGGGCAATTCTGTGAACCAGGAAGCAGGTCTGCACCAGACACTGGATCTGCCGGTGCCTGGATCTTGGACTTCCCAGCCTCCATACCTGCGAGAAATACATTTTTAGCTTTCATAAGTGACCCTGTCTATGGTATTTTGTCACAGCAGCCCAAATGGACTAAGACAATAACTGTATCATTTAATCACAAGTGTGTAGTACTTGTGGGCAGTTCACTTTGCCACATTTTGAAACTATTGCCACATCATTTCAAAGCTATAATAATAGCTTATCTTCTTAGGGATGGCTTGACACAAATAAACTTCCTAGAAAGGATAAATGAAGGATAGAATGACCTTGAAGAGCCTTAACTCCACATGTATGCCGACAAATGAGCACTTCCCTTTCATTCGTATTTGTTGCATAAGCATCTGAGGCATAGTACAAAGAGCACTTTAACCTCTTCCACGTTTCCACTTCTTTAACCCCAAAGTGCAGACGGTAACACCTGTACCAAAGACTTGCTGGGAAGATTTAGTGAATAACGCATATGAAAGCAACAACACTCCCCAGGAAAATCATCCCTGACTTGCCTGCAAATCAATCCCCATTCTCTCAGGGCACCTCATTCTTTTCTTTCAGAACACTTATCATGGATTGGAACTATGTATTTGAGAGGGAGGATGGTAATTTGATTAATATCTCTCTCCCTCACGCTATTGTAAACTCCATGAATATCTATTTTTCCTATTGTTAAATCCACAACACTTAACCTGGTTGTGGTTCATAGTAGACAATCGAAATATTTGTAGAATGAATGACAATGATTGGCCCATGGTAAAAATTCAGTTAATATCCATTTAAAAATCAATATATATACGTACAAAATATGAGGTACAATCAAAATGAGAAGTTAAGGAAGGTATTCTTAATAATTAAGAACTGCAACATGACAATAGAACTGACTGCACAGTCAACACAGCATTGGCAGAAAACTGCTGAAGTCTCTAAGCTCCTTGCCACTATAAAGCAAACATGAAGACTCTTGTGTTTAAGAATTGTATCATTACCTACTAGAAAAAAAATTAAGCTGAGCCACTAATCTCTGGGGTTGTCCTTCTTTGTTTAAGAATCTACTTCGTGGCCGGGTGCGGTGGCTCATGCCTGTAATACCAGCACTGTGGGAGGCCGAGGTGGGTGGATCACGATGAGGTCAAGAGATCGAGACCATACTGGCCCACATGGTGAAACCCCATCTCTACTAAAAATACAAAAACTAGCTGGGCATGGCGGTACGCACCTGTAGTCCCAGCCACTTGGGAGGCTGAGGCAGGAGAATCACTTGAACCCAAGAGTCTTAAGTTGCAGTGAGCCGAGATTGCGCCACTGCACTCAAGCCTGGGCGACAGAGGGAGATGCCATCTCAAAAAAACAATCTACTTCACCTCTGATTTCTTCAAATGCCTTGCCTGTTCTTTCTGAGCCCTCCTTAACAGAAAATTGAAATCAGGGGTAAGCAGAGATTCTTAGAATTTACAAGCATAATGCAGATTTGCAGCTCAATAATTCCTACAGGTCTGCCAAATTTGTCAAATTTATAATGATGGTCTGGGGGAAAAATTGCTCAATTAGATTGCCAAGAACACTGACATGCACAGAGAACGTAAATTTTTACCTTTCAAGGATCAAAATTAATTTTTGGTATGAGGATATTATTAGTATGACAGTTTTACTGTACAAATTAAAAATAGGAATTGCATAATAGGACAAAGACACTATATCACCGAGCTCTTAGTCAATGTGCACTGCAATGTGTGTTTTCTTGGAAGAAAGAGAAATAAACAGCTCAGTTCCTGAGGCAGAAGACAAGGCAGCAGCATATACAAGCTAATTGCAGACAATAAAAATACATCTTAAAACAATTTTTATATACACCTAAGTGTAAAATAGACCATTTTAGACAGGTTTCCTGAGCTCTGCAATCAGAACCAAGCCTACTGTGCTGTGCTATTTGTCAGATACAGCATTAGTTTGGGAAGCTTTCAAAATAAATTCAAGTTTTCTATAGTTTTACAGTAAGGGTCTGTGCTCCTTCTTCTGCCACTAATTTTTATATTTGGAAAATCATGTCAATATAGAAAAAGGATTCCAAGTACACGCTGAAGAGGGAATATTTTTGATATTTATGTATATAGTTTTCGGTTTATTATGGTGAAAGGAAACAGGGTTCCAAGTCAAAAGATCTGTGTTTCCATCTTGTTTTCACAAGCTGGCATACGTTTTTAACCTCTCTGTCCCTCAAGTGTCCCCTTCTGAAAAAAGGGGGTTGATAGTAAAGCTAACCTCCAGGATAATGGCCAGGGTTGCCGTCTTCATTTTTATTTATTTGGGCTAATTTAAAGCTAGCTTCCATTCCAGAAACAGGCACACTTCTGTAGCCTAAGGCATGGCAATAGGAATAATACATACAAAAGTACTTAGTAATATCAAGAACTACACATAGAAATTTATTGGTGTTATTTTACAAACCTTCCCAAATAAGGAAGGAACATAGCTGCTGGCCATTGGTAGAAACACTCCCAAATGGCCACTTGTGAGCCGAACCTCCCGCAGGTTTCCTGAGCCCAGGCCTCGTTAGGTCTTTCAGAGTGGGCAGTGCTCAGTGCTTCACATCGACCTTCAGTGGTACCTGCCAATTATCTTTCCCAGGTACCTGCTGAGAGGGCTGTGCTTTAGAACAGCTGCAATCTCTGCTCTTTAAAAATAGAAAACCACTTTAACTTGTGTAGGCTTAACACAAGTGGGAGCAGAGAGCTACCTCAACCTTAGTACTATCAAAGATTTACCTCCTCCTTTGTATCTTAAAACAATCTAGATTTTTTCCTCGAACAAGTTATTTTTCTGAATATTTGAAATGAACCAGCCAAATAGCATATTTCTTGGTGAATCAATTCTAATGAAAAATGGATTACTGCAACTTTTTCAGTTTCTTCATGTACATTACTACAATTGAGAGAAATGATCATCTTTGAGGATGATTTTCAAACATCACTAGTCTACAGGCTGTAAACCATCAATTCACACAAAAAGGAAATTAGCATATATATGCATATGAGTGTATACATTATATATACATGCACATGTATATATAAGATCAGATGCTCAAGCTTATTAAATCTGGAAAATGTGAAATGAAAATCTAAAGAAAATATTCTTCCACTTTGTAGAATTGCAAAGATTTTTTAAGTTGCTTCAGTTAAAGGACAGAGAAATAAGTAGCATGTCACTGATTATGGATAGGTGAACTGGCAAATCTCTTTGGAGGATGGCGTCTACCAAATTTCAAAGTACTCATGTCTTATTACTCAGCAATTCCGCTTCTAAAAAATGGACTACAGATGGACTGGAATCAAATCTTACGATGAGGCTAGATTTTAAAGTCAAAATCTAAGCAAAAATCACAAATTTACCCTGAAGTCCCCTCAGTTGCCGGCAAAGAACAACACATCCTATAGAGTTACAATGGCATAGTCTGCATAGAATTGACTACTGTTCTTATGTGGATTATTTTGGAAGTATGAAGTTCAGCGTTGGCCGGTTTTCAGAGGTGTTGACATCATGTGCAGAAGCTTGGTTACTGGGGTGAGACTGTTGTTGCTTAGGATGAAGAGGTGTGTTTATTGGAGTGAGTGCCATCCCTGACAGGCTTTTAGAAGGGTGGGGTTAACATGGATCCATTGGCTTGTCTGAGTTCTGGTAGCTCCTTATTTTCATGGCAACAGAACCATCCAGCTTTTCCCAAATTTGTGGCAATTTTTAATTCTCTTTAGAAGAGCTTACTCAAATGTCTTTTGATGCAACTCTGCTTTATAATCACACAAGTGCTGGAAATGTGTGGACAAGGATATTTACTGCCTAAAGAGATTGCAAACAACTTAAGAAGGTGATTAAATACATTTGGTACAGCCATACTATGGAATACAATGTAGCTATGTTAAACAGGAGGGAAACTGGATAGTAGTACTGATGTGGAGCAATCTCCATGACATGGTGGTAAGTGAAAAAAGCAACGATGCACAATAGGTTCTGATCTATACATAGAACTCTCTGGAAGGATAAAAAAAGAAACATTAAAAGTGCCTCAAGAGAGAAGAACTGGGAGCCTTTGGGTGAGGGTAGCAGAGGAGACTTACTCTTCACCATGGACTCATTTCTTTTTTCTCTCTTTTCCAGGCTGTGTGCCCCATTCTTATTACTCTATCTCAGTGGGTCTCAATCCCGGCTACACATTGGAATCACTTGGAAAGCTTTAAAAATAAAACCAAACCTGTGCTTGGGCTCCACCATAGGTGTTCACCACAGCTGTCAGTAAGTATCTGCAGCAAATTAGATCGGTGAGCACTTAGCCTAAATGGAAGAAAGAGCAGCAGAAATGGCTTAAGATAGGTTAGGATTGCTGAATGCTGTGTCTCCGTTTCCCTCAGCGCCTGCATTTAAATACTCACAAGTCCTATGAACTGAATCTCCTGAAATAGAGCTCCTTAGAGGCCACAAGTCCTGGGCATTAATGTGCACTATCCCATTTGATTTTCACAACTACTCAGAGGGGCCATTTCCCCATTTTTTCTAGGGAGGGAAACTAAAACTCATACAAGGGGATTAATGAGCCGTAAGTCAGCAGAGTCAGTGCTCAAAAACTGGAAATCTTAGACTCGAAATTCCATTCTCTTTCCACACTGCCCCATCAAACTCCTCTCTTTTACATGATTTTTCCGGTCAGTTTTCCAGACTGCTTTGCATAACAGTAGTCTCAACACACATGAAAAAGATATCTTAAACCTTAGCACATCACGCCATCAGCCAAAACTCTCCTCTTATTCTTCCCCTTTCCCTTTGTTAAATATTTGCTCAAGGTTTGGCAGACCTGGGGTGAACACCCTTCTTAATTCTTAGGCCAGGTTAATCAGATTCCACTTTCTTCATCATTTTTAGGCAGAATTATACTGCCCAGAAATCCATGCACCATACACTTTCCACCCCACCCCCTACTCCATGCCTCCTAAGGGGGTCTCACTTACCCTTTGGGATGTTTCTGGTATTTCGGTTCTTCATAAACCGGAAGTCTGTTTTCTCTACATTCTCTATTTAGTTAGTGCAGGGTTGACATATTCGCATGTATGTCTTTCCTCCGCCTCCTAAATCAGTGCCTCCAGGGCCCCTGAAGTACTTTTAGCAATCTTCTCTCAAATCTTTCCAGCCTCTTGCATGCAATTGAGAGGCTCAGAACTCAACACAGCCAGCCAGGTGTGGTCTCCAGAGAACTCCATAGCGATTATTACTACAGTGAGAAGAGAACTCATTAATTCAAAATAAAGCGGAGCAGGAACAAAGTCATGTCAGAATGACTGAAATTTCTAGGGCTCCAGCTGGTGTTTGGTGAGGGTTGGTTGGGGGAGGGAGAAGAGGATACAAACCACCAGCAGAACACAATATTGACACGATGCGAGACCCTCGGTCAGATTGCTGAAGGCGCTGTAAGAGCAAAATATCCACACCGGCTGCTTGTTTTTTCTCTTGGGTTGGGATTGGGTGGATTAAGTAGGTGGATTTGTTCATTTTTATTTAACTTTCAACAATTGCACAAGTACTCCATAAAGAAAGTAGGAGCTACAGAAAGTAAAGCGAAGCAAATAAAAGTCATAATTCATGCATCCAGGGACAATCATTGTTAATATTTTGATGCATATCCTCTAGATATTTTTCCTATATGCCTGTGTCTAAAATTATTTTTAGGCCGGGCGCGGTGGCTCACGCCTGTAATCCCAGCACTTTGGGAGGCCGAGGCGGGTAGATCATGAGGTCAGGAGATCGAGACCATCCTGGCTAACAAGGTGAAACCGCGTCTCTACTAAAAATACAAAAAAAATTAGCCGGGCGCGGTGGCAGCGCCTGTAGTCCCAGCTACTCGGGAGGCTGAGGCAGGAGAATGGCGTGAACCCGGGAGGCGGAGCTTGCAGGGAGCCGAGATCACACCACTGCACTCCAGCCTGGGTGACAGAGCGAGACTCCGTCTCAAAAAAAAAAAAAAAAAAAAAAAGAGCTCTGGCTTGGACTAACTGAATGCAAATTGCAGCTGCGCCTTTTGTTTGCTGTTTTGGGCACATCAACTCTTTAAGCCAGATTTTCCAGGCAGGCATATGGCAGCATGCTGGGGTACCACCTATGCTGGGGTACCACCTATGCTGGGCTACCACCTATGCTGGGGTACCACCTATGCTGGGGTACCACCTATACTGTACCAAGGCCTGGGGTGGCCAGAACCCCTTGTTTATTTCCCTCTAGCCATGAGCAGCCTCCACAGACACTATATAATGGTTATCAATGCATGTCATAACATGAAAAAGATTGGGAAGCACTAATTAAGCTTCAGTTTTCTTATCTGTACTATAGGGTTTAGCTTGGCCCCAATTTGTTCACTGACTTACTGCATCTTCTTAGGTGAACGTTGAATCTACCGGTACTTCAGTTTCTACATGGCGGAAAACAAAGGGTTCAACTAAATTATTATACTTTCCGGATGCTTTCCAAGTCCACAACTCTGCCGTAATGACTAATGTCAAAGAAAAAGAAAACAAACTTAGAATTATGTTTCAGTACAGAACATATCAGAAACACTTTTATTATGCCCATCACAGAGGACAGAAAACAACGCCAGTGTCATTTTCTCCTGTACAACCTAGTGGGTTCACCATGAGGTCATAACATGGTTAAGGGATTGACAGGAGGCACAAATATGTATTGCTACTAAGTCTGGTACTAACTATTCTTTATGACTATGCAGATCATTCACCCATTCTACCATTTACCAGAGAACTACTGACAGCCTACTGTGTGCCATGCACTGCTCTGCATTGATATATAGTTATTCAAAAAATCCCAATTGCCTTTTTCATTGAGCTTATAGCCTAGTGGAAGAAGCAGGCAATAAACAAATGACTAATTAAATATATGACGTGTCAGGACGTAAGAAGGGATCTGTAATAAATAAAGCAGAACAAAAGGGATGGATGGATCAGGAGTTGGGGGTAGGGGCCAGGGAAGGCTTCTCTGATGACATTCGAGCAGAGGATAAAGGTGTGAGATTGAGCCACAAAACTATCAGGGGACTAGTGTTCCAGGTTAAGTCTTGATGTCCATAAGATTCACCCTTATAATTTTAAAAGACATTAAGAATACACATACAAATGTTTATTACATATAAATAAAGTACAAATACTACTACTGAAAGAAATATTAACATACCTACTACCCAGGTTAGGATAAAATATATATTTACCAGTAATTGTGAGACACCCCACATGCCAATGTTTAATTTTTCAATGATCTTTAAATACTAATTTTGGTCTGGGCACAGTGGCTAATGGCCGCATTCCCAACACTTTGGGAGAACGAGGTAGGGGGATCATTTGAAGCCAGGAGTTTGTGACCAGCCTGGGCAAAATAGTGAGACCCTGTCTCTATTAAAAAAATTAAAAATTAGCCAGGTATAGTGGTAAACTCCTGTAGTCCTAGCTACTTGGGAGGTTGAGGTGAGAGGACTGCCTAAGCTTTGGAGTTCAAGGTTATAGTGAGCTGTAATCACACCACTGCAGTCCAGCCTGGGCAACGGAGCAAGACCCTTCTCTAAAAGAATGTAATTTTGTAGAAGAATATGAAAGAACAGGAGAAAATAGTCAAGCGTATTATTAAACGAAAAAGGCAGGTTGAAAAGCAGCCTCACAATATGTTCCCCTTAATGTGGAAAACCCAGGTATATAATATTAAATAGCCAATAGTACTGAGAGCTAATTATGTGCACAGCTCTATGTTTGTGTGTGTGTGTGTGTGTGTGTGTGTGTTGTGGGTACGTAATACAGAAGTGCATTTAGAATTTATTTTTCATGGCTCTTTCTTAATAGTGGCATGCGAAACGATGTTTTACTCTTTCTGTATTGCCCTGTATTTTAAAGATTTCCACAGTGAGCACATATTACTTTGTATAAGCTGCTATTTAAAAATGATTGAAAGCTTTTTCAATCATTGATTGGGATGGGACTACAGGCATGACTGGCACATGTCTGTAATCCCATCTATTTGGGAGGCTGAGGTAGAAGGATCACTTGAGTCTAGGAGTTAAAGGCCAGGCTAGGCAACATGGTAAGACCTTGCCTCTAAAAAAATAAAAGCGATTTTTAAAAATATTACATTTTTTTCACTAAAGGACATTTAAAAGGATTTACTTCAGGCAGAAGGGAAATGATCCCAAGTGGAAGGTGTGAGATACAAGAGCCATGGTGAATGTGTGGGTAAATCTAAACCCAGGATTGACTACGCAAAACAGCAGTAATAATGTCAAGTGTGTGTGCATAGAGACAAGCCATAAGTAAAAGACTGGGCGACAGTTGCATTTAGCATGAGAGGGGGTTATCAGGGCCATCACATTGCATGACTTCAACGGCATCGTTCACAAAGTGCAGAGGGAGCCAGGGAGTGAGAAGAAAAACTAAGTTTGCCTTAAGTGCTCCTTTCAAGCCATTGAAATTGAGAAAGAGAAAAAGGAGTTTCAGACCACATTTGAAGGAGGCATCTCCACAAAACATGAGGTCGAGTTTTACATTTTAAAAGGCAAAGGCAGACAATACACCTTTGAAAATTGATAATCTCTTAGGAACTTAGGGTCAGGAAAATAAAGAATGGCGATAATTTATAAGTAAGCAAGCTTTTAGCAATTAGGCCATTTCATCTTAACAAATTTAGCTAACCACTCCCTATAGTTCACAAGGTATTCATAAATTCTCTAAACAAAAGCAATTTATTGTGTGCAACATGGGCAACTGAACGTTTGGTGAAATTGTTTCATAGTTTAAAAAATAATTTAATGTGATTTCTAATTTCACGTTTTTTTCTCTTTCCACACTAGGTATAAATCAATGCATCTTGGTTCCATTCTTCATCATTTGCTGGTAGCTAAATTATGGTAAATTCAGCTAAGGACATTTTAAAATCCTGTTTAATTTGTCCACATGCTAAATATCCCAGCACACAAGAGAAAAAGCAGCATGTACTTGGATAAGACAAACCTAGGGCTTCCTTCGAGTTAAGGAACAGTCTTGGAAGTCTTGTTATAGTTAATGGTTTTTTGAGTGGATGAGCAAATGAATGAATATACAAATGGTTATGCACACAATTAAGCAAACTACTTGATCACATTCCTCCTTTTGGTTTTGCTTCCTCTACCTGTCAGTTGTCCTGAACACCTGCGGAGGTATTTTGTGCAGGATGGTTTACCACATTGGCCTTGGGAGTTGAGGAAGCACCAGCTTAGGTTCTGCCACGTGCTCTTTCCTGACAGCGAGTGCTGCTGGCTGCTGACGCCTAGAATCTCAGCACGGGAGCTGCCTTTGTCACAGACCTTGGTTCCCCATTCAATCGAGCACCTGTGCAGTTGCCCTGTGGTCTAGCATCCCAGGCTCAGCAGTGACAGCTCCTGATGGGCTTTCACCTGACTTTCTAAATCAGTGCTGTTCTAAATCTGTGCTAAATCTGGTGACCAGCCAGAGCCTGGTCACCCCTGCATGGAGTAGGAGTGAAGCTTATGAAAAGGTGAGGTGCCAAACACACAGAGGAGAACACGGAGGAGGCCATATTGTAATAAAGAGGTAAGAAAAGATTCTGATAACATGGGAACATGTTTGAAAGTTCTTCTGACCAAAGATACTAATCTTACTCCAAAAGCTTGTATGTGAAGAAACATGGCTTATGAGTCAGATGTCAGAGAATCATAGATCCTTCAGAAACAGTGGGCATCTTAAAGGTCACATGGTTCAAAGCCCTTGCCATAGAGGAAGAAGACAGGAGGACTACTAGCTCTTGTCTATTTTCATACAGTATTGCAGGGGTGGAAAGTCCTCATTCATCATAAGGGTCACAGACAACACTCCTATAAGAAAAGACAGGTTAACATGAGAAAATCATAACAAATTTATTTAATCAAAATTTCACTTGACATGGGAAACTTCAGAAATGAAGACCCAAAGACCCAGGGAATACTGTCTATTTTTATGCTTAGGTTCAATGAAGAATGACCAGCCACGTAGAAATGTAAGTGGACGAAAGTTATGATCTCGTGGTAATAGACTGAGGGGAGTATCCCAGCAAGGACTGTGCATTCAGATTCTTCCTGGCCTCTCTGTGTAGCATTCCTTCTTCCTGGGTATGGGGAAGGACCTCTCTGGAATGAGTCTTTAAGGGCAAAGAGAGGAGGGAGAGAGTGACCCTTTTAGGTTTTGTCTTGCTTTGGGGTCTAGTTTCTATGACCCACTTTGGGGAAGAGGAATTCTTGTTTCTATGACTCACTTCAAAGGAGGAAGGACAGGTGAGAGACAGGAGAGCAGGAGAAGGTCAGAGAAAGAGACTTTTCTTCTGAGCCTACTTCTGTGACCTTCCCACATGGATGCTCTTTGGCCAGTCACAGAACCCGTTGATCCCTCGCTAAGCATATGTGTTATCTCATTTAATCTTCACATTGCTCTTATGTTGTGGCTTCCATTATCATCCCAATTTTGCAGATTATAAAACTGAACTTTAGAAAAGTGATTTCATGGCTACATTAGCAGATGGCATAGCAGGAATGGAGGCAGAAAACTGGACTGGAGAACTGACTTCTTTCCTCTCCTCCATAACTATATTATTGGTGGTACCCATGAGCATTTCAGCAGGAGCAATCAGGAATGTTTGGTTTCCCACAACACTCCTCTTCCTCAACACAGATGAAGCAGTGATGACTATTCAGAGAAGCATATGGCACTGGGAATTGACCTTTGAATAGCTATTTCCAGAAGGTCGACCTTCTGAAGTTCCTGCCATCATGCAATCTCAGGGAGTCAACAGTTACCTGTCAAGTCGGCCAAGTGTTTAAAATAGCACTTGACCGATATTTATTGTCACCCGAAAACAGGGATTAATAATAGAAACTATCCCACAGGCTTGTCGGGAAAACTAAATGAGTTAATATGTCTTTTATATTACCCCCAGAAAGCAAGCAGTCAGAAGTCACCCCATAAAACACCTTCCACCCTCTGAGCATGACCAGCAAAGCGGTTTCTTCTTGCGGACACTGCATCAGCCCAGCTCAAAGTGCATTCCATTCTGATGAACATCCACAAACAGTTATGAAGAAGACCCAAATGTCATGATTTTGTTCCTCTCAGATAATAAAAATATCATGATTCTGAAGGAGTGTTGGTGGGTGTTCAAGTCAATTCAGTTACAAGCATACGCCTTACCCCAGTTCTCGTGGCTTCATCCTGAATTAGAGTTGTCCCCTGTCATCTGGAATATATTTCCCATTGAGACACATTACTCTCACTCCTTCTACAGCTGTCCCAGGGTCAGTGCTTGATTTCTCAGAGATTTTGTTATGTGAATCAGTCCAAAGTGTGTTACAGCAAGACTAAGTCATCATGAGTCACATGATCCACACATTTCCTATTTGTATCTTTGCTTGGTTGAGTGTGTTGTGGGGGGTTAGAATATATTTTGGTCTGCTTTAACCTTTGTGTTCCAATTCACTCTTAGGTTGAAAGAAAAATATAAACTCAAATTTAAAGAATAGCCTTCTTGTAAAAGACAAGCTTGGCTATGACTAAGCAGTTGTTACTTGATGAGCGAGAGAAGCCCCTTCTTGGGTAATTGGGGCTGCAGGAATGGAGTGACCGTTTCCCCATCAGCATCCCCTCTGGGTCCTTCAGGTCTGAGCTAGAAGAGCAAGGGCCAGCGTCCCCCAGCACATAGTTGTCTTGATGCCACAGACAAAATAATTTAATTCATGTATGCGTCCTCATAAATCTGACAAATGTTTAGAAAATGGAAGCTTTGAAACGTGCTGAATTTGGGAGAGAAAGGTGTGCCTTTTACAGGACCATCAGGTCATCGCTGTGACCCGGGAATTTTTACATAGTGAATACAGATTTCCCAGCCCATAAACTGAACTCGGTTACCAAAGCATTTTTAAAATCTCGATTTACAGTTTTCTTTCTGTGAGTTGGCGGAAAATTTAAACTAGTTAATTCTTGGTATATTCAGGAATTTCAAAAATTTCTCTCTTTTAGGAGGTACAAGTCCTTTCTTCCCCTTTTTTTCCCCAAGTGGGCAGGCATTTGTGGCACCTAGCATCAGGAAGAAAGTCCTTGCTCAGCCTTTCTCTGTGTTGTCATATCACACAGTGATAGGATCATAGTTAAAGCTAATATTTATACTTCGCTCTCTATTTTAAGAGCTTTACATAAAAAAATTAATTGAGGAGTAGGTTATTAATAATTCATTAACTCCTCACAATGACTCTGTGCTACTATTACACTAGTCCCCTCTTATCCAAGGGGGTCAGCTTCAAGAACCCAAGTGGATGTCTGAAACTGCAGATAGAATAAAACATTGTTTTTTCCTATACGTATATACCTATGATAAAGTTTAATTTACCAATTGGGCATGGTAAGAGATCAACAAAAATAACTAATACAAAATAGAACAATTATAAGAAAACACTGTAGTAAAATGTATGAGTATGTGATCTCTCTCTCTCTCTCTTTCAAAACGTTTTCAGACCACAGTTCACTTCAGGTAACTGAAACCAAGGAAAATGAACCCATGGATAAGGGGGAACTATTTTATGAACATCCCCATTTTATAGGTAAGGAAACTGACACAGAGAAAGGTCAAGTGACCAGAGCCTAAAGTCATAAGGCTCAGAACCGGGGGAACTGAGATATAAATCCTGTTGTCCAGCCGGAGAGTCAGTGCGCTCACACCACACTACACTCCCCAGCCCATCATCTTTCTCATTCTTGGCATATTTTTTGTTTGGTTAAAAAGAGGGGAAGGGAAGGGAAAGAAAGAGAAGACTCACCGAGAGGTTGATGTTGTTATGAAAGTGATAGACTTCGATCCCACATCTGCCACTCCGCCAATCCACCTCTCCAGCTATGACACCACTTGGAGGCCTGCTCATTTCTTTCTGTAGACTTTATCTGTAAACATTTTTTTTCTTAAAAAAACATGATGACTATTTATTGCACTTTCTTTTCTGTCTCACATCTGCTTCTCACTATCTTTGAATTCGGGGGACTTCAGGTGACAGTTGATTCATTGCTAGTCCTTAGTTTAAAGAGAAGGAGACTCTTGCAGACCATCGAAGCACCTGATGTCACAGTGCCCAAACTCCCATAGAATGTAAATTCTCCAATGCCAGTTTCCTTTCTCTATAAGTCAGTAGAAAAATGGACAGAGTCTGAACATGATATTCAATGAGGAAATAGAGATGATTTTTAAATACATAAAATTAATGCTCAATCTTACTAATTAAAAGAAGTACCAGTTTATGTGGTTTCCTAGGGCTGCCATGATAAATTGCCACAAACTGGTAGCTTACAACAACAGATACTTACAGTCTCACAGTTCGGGAGCACTGAGGTCCCAAGTGGAACTGTCAGTAGGGCCATGCTTCCTGTGGAACTGGGTGGACTCCTTCCTTGACTCTTCCTAGCTTTTGGCAGTGGCCACCAATCCTTGTTCCTTGGCTTGCAGCTGCATCACTCTGGTCTCTGCCCTGTCCTCAGGTACTTTCCCTCAGTGTGTGTGTGTGTGTGTGTGTGTGTGTGTGTGTGTGTGTGTAGGGGGTGGGGGAACACGTGTGCACTAAACCTCTATTATTTTTTGTATTTTCCACCTCTTCTTATAAGGACACTAGTCACATTCAATAAGGGCTCACCTTATTTACCTCACCTTAACTTGATTACATCAGCAAATATCCTATTTCCAAATAAGGTCACACGCACAGGTACATGAGGATAGGACTCGAAACTATCTTTTTGGGGAACATAATTCAGCCCATAATATATGTTATTTTTGTCCATCAAACTGAAAATGTAAAAAAGTTTGGCTAAGTATAGGAAATGCATATACATATACACTGAAAACTAGACAATAAAATGACCGAGCAATGTGAAAAAATAAAATGTATATATACCATATTACCTAGTAATCACATGGTAATCTATTTCTTCTCCTATAAAAATATTAGCACATGCATATAAAGGTAATATAGCTGTAGACACAGATGTTTATTGCAGTGTTTGTTATTGTAAAAAAAAATTAAAAATCTAGATGTTGGCCGGGCATGGTGGCTCATGCCTGTAATCCCTGCACTTTGGGAGGCTGAGGTGGGCAGATCACCTGAGGTCAGGAGTTCAAGACCAGTCTGGCCAACATGGCGAAACCCTGTCTCTACTAAAAATACAAAAATTAGTCAGGCTTGGTGGCACACACCTGTAATCCCAGCTACTCGGGAGGTTGAGGCAGGAGAATTGCTTGAATCCAGGAGGCGGGGGTTGCAGTGAGCCGAGATTGTGCCATCACACTCTAGCCTGGGCAACAAGAGTGAAATTCTGTTTCAACAAAAAACAAAACAAAAAAATTTAGATGTTGATAAGTAGAAAATGTATTAAAACATTAAGGCACAGTCTTAAAATTATACAAACATATTATTATTATAAAGAATGTGTGATGTAGATACACATGTATGACTTGAAAATAAGTTTTGATATATCACTATGATAGAATAGCAAATTATAGAAAAACATGTATGTTCAAACCTGCATGAATTGTAAATAAATTTTTTTTAATAACTATGTTTTTATTCTGTAAGGATACACATCAATCTTTTAATAGCAGTTAACTCTGTAAAGTAGAATTCAATTGAGAGGAAGAACTTTGACATTTTACTCTGTATACTCCTGTAAGATTTTACTTTATTATTTTCTGAAAAAGGGTACAGTCTTCCTAACTCCTAATTGCAATCCACTTTGAGCCAGGCCCAGACAAACCCATCCAATGTTGTTACCCATGGAAAAGCAATTGGTTGATGGTGATGCTTCAGAATATTCCTGATCCTCCCAGAAGAGCATGGCATGCAGATACTGGAACTCAGAACACAATATCCCAAAGTATGTCACCTTAGGCCGCTGAGTATTTTGAACTCAAGGAAATTGAAAGGGACTTAGAAGCAAGTAATTTCCTCTGAACTTCTCCTGCCCTTCTTTCTCCTTTCCCCACTTCTCCTCCAAAGCAGGTTATGAAAACTAGAACTCCCCTGAAGCAAGCCATAAAAACTAGAAATGTAACTCTCCGGCCTTCTTTCTTTTCTCCTGCTATGGTTTGAATGTGTCCCTCCACGTTCACGTGTTGAAAACTTGACCCCCATTATGGTGGTGTTGGGAGGTGGGGTCTAATGAGAGGTATTTGAGTCATGGGTGCACTGCCTCCATGAATAGATTAATGCCATTATCGGGGAGTGAGCTTGCTGTCACAGGAGTGGGTTCCTTATAAAAGAATGAGTTTGGCCCTCCTTTCTCTCTCTCTCTCACCCTCTTTTGTCCTTCCACCTTGTGATGACACAGCAAGAAGGCCCTTGACAGATGCTGGCCTCTTGATTTTGGACTTCCCAACCTCCAGAACCATGAAAAATAAATTTCTGTTCATTATAAATTACCCAGTCTCCAGTATTCTTTTGTAGATGCACAAAACTAAGACATTCCCTGAAAGCCTTCATGTGAAAGGTATCCTGCCCTACACTAGGAGGAAGGAATGCTACATAAAGAGGCTAAGAAGAACCTGAACAAACAGGCTTTGCTGGATCAGTTTATGACCATAAAATTACACCCCTTTTTGCCCCTCAGTTTATGACCATAAAATTACACCTCTTTTTGTTAAATCACATTTCTACATGGCTGTCCATTCTTTAATGAACCTACAAAAACACACAGTTTTCCCAGGGTCTTTGGGTCTTCATGTCACATAAAACTTTGATTAAATAAATTTGTCATACATTTCTCTTGTTAATCTGTCTTTCGTTATAGGAGTATCAGTCATGGTCTGTGAAATGGGTGAGGAAAAGGTATTACACCTTTTTGTCCCTACACAGCTATGTTCTCCCAAGCCACCTTGTAAAACCAGATGTTAGGATGGATGCACCTCTAGATCATTGTCAGGACTGGGCCTCTAATAAAATACTGAAATATTCTAGTGCTGGAAAATAAGATTGTGTCCAATAAAAGCTGGAAATAGAATGGTGCGATGGAGAGGAGGGCAGAAACTGAGAGTGTGAGCATTCTCATTGCTCAGTAATTGAGAGTAAACAAGGATAGGAGCAGCCAGAGGAGTGGGATGGACAAGCCCTGGGGGTGACCACTTTCAGACTCTCTTCATTTGTATGACACTGTTTAGCCCAAGTGTTCCTGTGTATGATTGCTGCTGTTCCACTGGTCCTAAGCTGTGGGACATTTTGGATTCTGCAAATCACTCAGGATGGCCATATGGCACCCTAAATCTAATTGCCTGGGATGGGGCATATCACAGTGATAGCACACCTATCAAGCCAGTAAACTGTCCTATTTCTGCAACACAAACAGGTTGATTTCCTGATCATAATAGCTGCTATTTCTTAAAGTTTCTCCTAGACATATTCTGTGGTCTTGGTTTGCTGCCACGTGTCACACTGAGGTCTCTGTATTGTAAAGATCACAGAGCTAGTACTCAAATGCACAGAGCCTGCTGACATTAGTCATCTGAATAGCCATTTGGGCAAAGTGGAAAAACACTGGGCACTGCAGACCATTGAGAAGCATTTCTGCAGAATAGAGACAGCTTGTGAATTTTGGAGACTTTCCAAAATTTCCTGTTCTGATTTTTTTAAGATGATCTAGTTAAAATTGTATCCTCTACTGGTAACTTATCAGATGCCCAGAGTTTTTTTAAAAAGAAAATTCTTAATATTCATTTGTTAAATAAAATTCAACAAATCTATCCTTTTGTGATAAGATGTAAGAAATGGGGTAGGCAGTATTCATTTGTGATCATTAAAGCATGAACACTTCATGGCTACTTTTGGTCCAAGATATCACTGAAAAATGTGTTAAAAGTAAAGCTAGAATGCAGAAAAGTATTCAAGGTGTCCTTCAAATAAAAGCTTAAGTTAAATGCTTCCTGGACTTCAAAAAATTATTGATTGGATTTGGGGTTTTAAGCCATCAAGCTCTGCTAGAGGGGGGATTCTGGACTCAAACTAGTTTTAACTTTTTAAAAAATCAGCTCAATAAATTATCTCAAAGCAAATATAAAGATAGCCAATATACAGATCAAGAAATAGAACATTGCTAGCACCTAAAAGTGGCCTTGAACTCTTTCCTAAGCACAAATGTTTTCTTCTCTTCAAAGGTAAACAATACTGTAGCATACTTCTTTCTGTTTTTGAACTTTATAAATAGAATAACGTAATATATATTTTTTCATATCTGGCCTCCTGTTTCCGTGTGTTTGTGAGATGTATCACGTTGTTACTCGTACTTGGTTCAATTTACTAATATATAGTTTCCATTGTATGAACAGCCTATAATTTCCTTATTCATTCCACATTTGAAAGGAACTTGGGTTGTTTTCTGTGTGATGAGATATGAGTTACCTTTCTTAGGTGAGAAAGCTTTCCTTATAAAAATTATTTTTTCATATTGAGTTTAAAGAACATTTTCCTTAATACATACAATGAAGTGTCTGAGAATATGAATATACGTTTAACGGGCTACAATTAAAATGACAGAGGTGTAATATGTTAACATAAGTGCTTAGCATTCTATTTACAATTCATACTCCAAATTTAACTTTAGGATGATCACCTGATGTATAAAATACTTATATACCAAGAATGCATCTAAAATTAATATGACAATTATTGAGGGAAGAGTTCCAAATAATCAAATATCATCTTCTGAGTAATCAATTTGCTAGCTTATTTAGGAACTTTTGAAGTATTGGTTTCTCTGCTTGTAAAATGGCCAACAGTCCTAGATCAGATATAAGATGTTTTTACTTTTTTTCAGTTAATTGGCTTCTAGTGATCCAATCCCGAGCTGTTGAAGGAATTATAAATTGGTTCAAGGTTTCAAAGTAGAGTTTGGCAACATGTCCCAAAGCTTAAAATTTTGCAATTTATTGGCCCCCAAATTCAGCTTTCAGAAATGCATGTGGAGAAGAATCATTAAGAGTTATTTGTAATAGCAGAGACAACCTTAAATCACATAATCATTAGGTATAATCATAAGACAATTAGTTCCTTAATTCATACAACAAATACTCATATGTTAAATTATATACCGAACTGTGCTATACATTGGGAATTTTGTAGTAATCAAGACTGAAAGGTTCCTGAGATCATGAAGTTTGAAATTTAAAGGGAGATAGATGTTAAGTCAATATTTATCCAAATATGTATTTAATGTTAAAAGTTAAGTACTATGTACATACTTTCAACACCTTGGGTTTTCAGATTTTTTTTTTTTAATAGAGAGAGGATCTTTCTCTGCCACCCAGTCTGGAGTGCAGTGGTGCTATCATAGTTCACTGCAACCTCCACCTGTCAGGCTCAAGCAATCCTCCTGCCTCAGCCTCTCAAGTAGCTAGACTACAGGCTCTCACCACCATCACTGGCTAATTTTACAACTTTTTTATAGAGATGGGATCTCTCTATGTTGCCCAGGCTAATCTCACACTCTTGGCCTTAGGTGATATCTGCTTTGGCCTCGCAAAGTGCTGGGGTTACAGGCGTGAGCCAATGCACCCAACTTATTTATTTATTTGTCTATTATTTATTTATTTATTTATTTATTTATTTACCAGTGATTGTGAGACCCCTCATGCCAGAGTTTAATGTTTTAATTATTTTTAAAAAGTGATTTTGTAGAAGAATGTTAAAGGACAGGAGAAAATAGAACTTAAGAGTGCTTTACATCTTTTGGATACCAGTCCTTTATCAGATATATTATTTGTAAATATTTTCTCCCAGTCTGTGGTGTCAAGGACTGTGAAGGGTCTGGTATTTTACCCTGCTGTTGAACAAACAAGTGAGCCTGCCAGTTTCCAAGAAATGGGCAGGAGTTGGCAGCTCCTGGGTTAGAGAAAAGGGACTTGATAGCATCACAGCAAGAAGCATGAGCTTCACATTCACATCTGCTTCCATTGCCCACCCCTGACCCAAGACCTATGAGGATGTAGCAAGGCCCAGGGAGGCCCTACAGACAAGGTGGGTTGATGTCACAGGTGAGAAACTCCAAGCTTAGGAAACGCGAGATATTTAAAGGGGGCTGGCTAGCAAGCCTACCCAACCTTTCCCCTCGCCCCTCCAAAAGACAATATCTTTATTATACTGGTCAGGAAAAAAAGTAACCCAAACCCACAGGGAGCCATTATCTCTACCTCCCAAGGCTTTTTGCTGCGTAAATATCTTTGATGAGATGGTTCAGAACAAAAGTGGTGAATGCATTTGCTTGGAACACCTGCAGAAACATGAGAGACCCAAAGAAAATTGCCTTAATATATTACTTGTCTTTTTTTATTCTCTTAGCAGTGTCTTTTGAAGAACAGAAAATTATTTTTTAATGAAGTGCAATTTATCAATTTGATTTTTCATAGATCATGTTTACAGTGATACCTAAAATATTTCTGGGTTTTTTTTTGTGTGTGTGTGTTTTTTTTTTTTTTTTTTTGAGACGGAGGTTCATTCTTGTTGCTCAGGCTGGAGTGCAATGGCGAGTTCTCGGCTCACCACAACCTCTGCCTCCCAGGTTCAAGTGATACTCCTGCTTCAGCTTCCCGAGTAGCTGGGATTACAGGGATGTGCCACCACGTCCGGCTAATTTTGTATTTTTAGCAGAGACGGAGTTTCTCCATGTTGGTCAGGCTGGTCTCAAACTCCCGACCTCAGGTGATTTGCCCACCTCAGCCTCCCAAAGTGCTGAGATTACAGGCGTGAGCCACTGTGCCCAGCCTGATATCTAAAATATTTCTACCTAATCCAAAGTCTCAAAGATTTTGTCTATGCTTTCTTCTAAAAGTTTTATAGTTTTAGGTTTTACATTAACATTTATAATTCATTTTAAGTTATTTTTGTATGTGTTTGGTATGAGATAAGGATCAAATTTCACATATGCATACCTAATTGTTCTGGCATCACTTTTTGAAAGACTATCTTTTCCACTGACTTGACTGCCTATTTGTAAAAATGAATCCTAAAAAATCAATGGCCTATAAATGTGTAGGTCCATTTCTGTACTCTATTCTGCTCCATTGATTTGATAGGTTCCACTGAGGTATCCTGATGCCAATTCCACATTATTTTGAATATGGTAGCTTTATAAAGGTATTAGAATCAGGTACTGGTATTCCTCCAATTTTATCCTTCTTTTTCAAAGCAGTTTTAGCTATCCTAGGTCCTTTACATTTCCATATGTATTAAATTATACAATCAGCTTGCTATTTTCTATTAAAAACTTTCTGGGATTTTGACTGGGATTGTGTTGAACCCATAAATCAATTTGGGGAGAATTAATATCTTAACAACTTTGAGTCATCTGACCCATGAACACAGTATATCTCTACATTTATTTAATTTTTCCCTAGTAATGTTTTATGGTTTTCAGGGTACAAGTCTTACATATCTTTTGTCAGATTCATCATTAAGTTTTTAATAGTTTGTGTTTCTATTTCTATTTCTTTCCCTATCTTTGTACTTTCAACCTTTCTGAGCCTTTTTACTTGTATGCAGTGTTGTATTTTTAAAATCTCATTTGACAGTGTTTTCCTTTTAATTGGAGTATATAGTACATTTATATTTGTATTCAGACAACTCAGACACAGCTTCCCACGTCCCCAGTCATGCATGGAACACTTTGCGATCTCAGGGCTAGCAATAAGCTGATGCAAATCAGGTCTCATCAGCACAGAGAAACTCTTTTGTCTAGGGTCCCTCAGCCTCAATACTCGGCTCGCCATCCAGCACCCATGAGGGTAAGTGACTAACTTCCATTCTGTGGTATACATAAACATCACAAGTTACAAGTTTCTCAATGAGCAATCTTGACAGCCAAATACATTTTATGGAAGATTCTTGGATCAGTATCTTGTAGGTGGCAGGCATTGTAGGACTTTCTTCTCTCTTCAAGGATGATGTTCCAAGAAGTTCAAGGTCAATTCTTTAGCCTGGGGGGAGGACTCAGGGACCCATTCCTTCCTGGAACACCAGCATGAGAATTGAGAGGTGATGAGATAAATAAGATTCATTTTGCTGCCTTGAGCTTTCCAGATTTCTGATCAAATAAGGAACTTTCTTTTCTTTTCTTTGTTTTTGGAGATGGAGTCTTGCTCTGTCACCCAGGCTGGAGTGCAGTGGCATGATCTCGGCTCACTGCAACCTCCACCTCCTGGGTTCAAGCAATTCTCCTGCCTCAGCCTCCCTAGTAGCTGGGCCAACAGGCGTATGCCACCACACCCAGCTAATTTTTTGGATTTAGTAGAGATGGGGTTTCACCGTGTTGCCCTGGTTGGTCTCGAACTCCTGAGCTCAGGCAATCCACCAGCCTCTGCCTCCCAAAGTGCTGGGATTACAGGCATGAGCCACTGCACCTGTCCAGGAACTTTCTTTCCTAAAATTCTCCTTAGAAATCTTTTATTATCCCACAGAGTTGATTCCTTTTCTCTCAACTTTCTTCGTCTACTTTTGCTTTCTCTCTTCATTATGCAGCATCCCATTCTACTAGGCTAGACATATAAAAAGATCTTTGAAAATGGTAATCACACTTGTAAGAAATTAAGCATGTTAATTTGACATCTCCTTTACATTTTTTCCACAAAACAGAAGGACACTGTCTCTGTGGGTTCAGTCTGAAATATTTCTTACCAGTTGGTTTTAGGCCTTGTGTAAAGGAATGCAATTTTTAAAATGTTATTCAATCATCTTGAGACATAGCCTTTTCTTTGAGATCTTTCTTTCAATGTGAAAACCTTTGCTATTCTCTTTTCTTAAAAAATCTCTTGCCCCATCCTCTGTCACATAATAGTAATCTGACCCCTTTTCTTAAGGATATGTCCTGCTTTCTTGTTTTTAGGAAGCAAATAAAAGGCATTAATGAAGTGCCAACTGGTAGCTAATGAGGCATAGTCTTTGCCTTTTTTTCCTACTATGTAAGTAATTGAAGAACCAAAAGTTATTGGTTGATTGCCAGATTTGTGAAGCAGTACAGCAAAGTCAAACAACCAGCAAATTTCTGTCAATCATTACAGTGCAGCTAGCAAGGGCTACGTGAAATAGAAAGAACTTGAAGAAATAATAAAAAGTAAAGTTTAACTTGTCCCAGGCAAATTCCCTACAGGATGCCCTCTCTAAAAGAAGGTTGGCCTTCTGCAGATCAGTGACTGTCAGGTGCCTGAAACCTGCTATCTCAAAACTTTCTACATTTCTGGCATAAGGCAGTCATTCTGGTTAATGCTGAAGTGAAGAATCAAGACCAAAGGCACCGATTTTCCATGTCACACAACTCAAGGCTTAGAACACATGCCTGGGGAGAGAATGGTGCTCTCCTGTTCAATGAATGCTGAAATTGCAGAAGGAGACCACTTTTTCAACAGCATGGACTGCTGCTGGGTGCCAGCATCTAATCACTCTGAGGGAGGGGCTGGTGCTTCCCCTAATTGTGTCGCTTAAAGCTCACAAATCAAGGGCTAGTCCCTCTCTCTCAGAGTCTGATGTCCAGCCATGCTAGACACTCATTCTGTCTCAAAGTGTGATAGGCAACAGGGAGACCACACACCTGCTACCAGTTCCACTCTATGTGCCATGAGTGAGGACTGCTCATTTGTCCTTGCTTGATAGATAAATTGTATCTGGCAGAGAAGTTCAAATGCTAAGAACATGTGAACCACAAGGCAAAAACTCACATGCACTACTGGGTATGTATCCAAAGGAAATGGGATCAGTATGTCAGAGACATATCTGCACTCACATGTTTATCACAGCGCTATTCAGAAGAGCCAAGATACAGAATCCACCTAAGTGTCCTTCAGTTGATGAATGGATAAAGAAAAACATGGTCTACACACAATGGAATACTATTCAGCCATAAAAATGAATGAAATCCCGTAATTTGTGGCAACATGGATGAACCTGGAATGACATTATGTTAAGTGAAATGAGCCAGGCACAGAAAGACAAATATTGCATATTCTCACTCACTGACCTCACAGAAATAGAGAGTAGAATAGTAAATAGCAGAGGCAGGGAGGTTGGGGAGGATGGAGAGAGGTTGGTCAGTGGGTACAAAGTTACAGTTTGATAGGAGGAACAGGTTCTGTTGTTCTAGTGCACACTAGGGTGGCTATGGTTAATAATATTGTATTGTATATTTCAAAAAAGCTATGATATGGTTTGGAGGTTTTGCCCCTCTAAATCTCATGTTGAAATGTGATCCCCAGTGTCGGAGGTGGGGCCTGATGGGAGGTGTTTGGGGAGGTGTGGGGGCAGAGCCTGCATTAATGGCTTGGTGCCCTCCCCGTGGTAGTGGGCAAGTTCTCTCTCTCTGAGTTCACGTGAGAGCTGGTTGTTTGAAAGAACCTGGCACCTTTCTCCCCCGTCTCTCTCTTGCTCCCTCTATTGCCATGTGGTATGTCTGCTCCCCTTTCATCTTCCGTCATGATAGCAAGTTTCCTGAGACCTCTCCAGAAACAGATGCTGGCACTGTGTTTTGTGTATAGCCTGCAGAACTGCGAGCCGAATAAACCTCTTTTCTTTATAAATTACCCAGTCTCAGGTATTCCTTTATAGCAATGCAAAAATAAACTATTACAAGCTAGAAAAGAGGATTTTGAATGTTCTCACCACAAAGAAAGGATAAATGTATGAGATGATGAATAGGCTGAAAACCTTGTGTTGGTCATTACACAATGTACACATGTATGGAATTATCACACTGTGGCCCATAAAAATGTAGTTACTGTGTGTTGATTAAAAACAAAATTAAACATACCTCACATGCCTACAGGGTAAGGAAGGTAATAGAGTGGATCCAAAGTAGCAATATGGATTCAACATAAAGTAGAGGGGCCAACTGGAGCATACACACCCTGCCTCTCTGGTCCCAGCAGACTGCCGTGTAGGCATGGAGGCTCTGTGTTGCCAGATCCTCCAATGCTCAAGAGATACCACAAACCAGATTTTACTTTGACAGAATTACTGTGAGATCTTCTGGTATTTTTAAATTTCTGAGAGTAAATTAAAATAAAATAAACACATAAACACACACACACAAACCACAAAAGCCCTTTGTAGCCTAACACTATGTAAGCTGAATATCACACTCCTGTGGCCCATAGCCTGCTAATGCACAGCCTCTGATATAGATGATAAGTGCTATAAGATTCAGAGGCAGGGCCAGGCGTGGTGGCTCACACCTGTAATCCCAGCACATTGGGAGGCCGAGGCGGGCAGATCGCCTGAGGTCAGGAGTTCAAGACCAGCCTGACCAACATGATGAAACCTCTTCTCTACTAAAAATACAAAAATTAGCTGGGCATGGGGCAGGCGCCTATAATCCCAGCTACTTGGGAGGCTGAGGCAGGAGAATGGCTTGAGCCCGGGAGGTGGAGGTTGCAGTGAGTCGAGATTGCGCCACTGCACTCCAGCCTGGGCAACTGAGTGGGAATCTGTTTCAAAAAAAAAAAAAGATTCAGAGGTGGGAGAAATTCTGTCCAGCCACTATGTCCACTAAAAGCAAGACAAGTTTAAAAGGCAAATGAGTTGACTATAAAAAAATAATTTATAGAGAGAAATGGTCTATCCCCAAACTGTTGTCAGGGTGTCTGGAATACTTCAAAGAAACTCTGGGAGATTCAATGGTTATTTTTTGAATGCATGCAGGAAAGAAAAGCTCAGAAGCATCTAAGCAACCAGAAGAAATATTTTTACCTCCTGGGAAGCCTGAATTGATTGAATGAGAAGTAAATTCTCTTTTGTCTGAGGTCTAGACTTCTGGAGATACCTCCTTTTTTTTTTTCTTTTTTCCGTTATCTTTGTTTAAATCAAGGATGTACTTTATCGGCAAAGCTTAATCACAGTTAAATAATATCCTAGTTAAGTTGACCAGGTTCCACTCTAGAGCAATTTCTGGAAATGATAGGATAAGCCCATTTTGCAAGATTACTGATTGGCAGTTAATGGAGCTCTCACACTTTTATTTTAGAGGGTAGTTAAAGAAGGCTACCTGTAGTAGCTTTTACTGAGGGCTTGCCACGTGTGAGCACCTGCTAAGTATTTAGAAAATATTGCATGGTCTTATAAATGTGTATTACTCAATTTACCCAGTGAGGTCACATAGTTAGTTAGTTGTGGGGTTGGGATTCAAGCCCAGATTTACCTGACTTCTAAGACTATCTCTAAACCAGCATACATATACCATTCTTTCCAGTCATTGCTTAGGGAAGAGATCTCATTTTCCTTCTAAATATACTCAGATTTGTAGAAGTTAAGTGAATTTCTCAAGAACGGAAATCTAGTAAGTTGCAGACTTATAATAAGACAGACAGTTCAGGCTTCTGACTTCCAGTCCTGAACACTTCCCCCATGTGATTATCTTATTTATCTCTAAGTCAGGAGAATGTTAATTACTTTAAGACTAAGACGGAAATCCCCCATGAACCTGGAAACTCAAATAGCAGAATGGATGAGGCTCTGCAGGGTCTCAGCAACTCAGCAACACAGACTTCCCCTCACCAAGGCTGATACGGCCATTGCTACTGCTGAGCTGCTGAGCGCCAGCCTGCCCATAACAGAAGTGAACACTAAGCTTCCTGAAGTGGCCGTATTCCCCAAGGGGACCAAGTGGCAGGTTTATTATGTAGGATCTTTTTCATCAAAGAGAGAAAAGCAACTCTCTTAAAGGAATAGAGAAATATTCCAGATGTAGATTTGCCTTTTCCATCATTCTTCCATTTATAGTTATTTTATTCATGAATATGATATCCTACACAATCCTACTACTGATTATAGAACTAATTATATGGTGAAGGGATGTGGGCTTTCACCACAGAATTCAGAAATCTCATGCGTTTCATCATACAGAAGCAGCTCACTCCATAGAACAAGAAATAGAACAGCCTGCTAAAGGCTCAGCCATGATGTCAGCTGGGAGACAATAAATACCCATCAATATTTGGCACTATTTCTCTCACACTCAGAATACGTGGTTCCTGGAATCAAGGAGTCTAGTTGAGAGTAGCCCCTTTTTACACCAAATAAGCCATTTACAAGATTTTTGCTTTTGAGGCCTCAAACATTGAGCTTAGTGACTTTGGAGGGCCAAGTTTTCAAGGCAGGATTGCTTCCACTTGGGAACCAAATCATGATTTCATCAAACTGGAAGCTGAGACCGTCAGTCCTAAGACTATCCCTTGACCAGTTTGGGATCCTCATGGTTCTGAACCAACAGGTAAGGAAGGCAGTTGCTCTAGTGATTCAGGTAGTTAAACACAGTTATAAAAAGGAAGTGGGATTATTGCTTCCTAATTGGAGCCAGGAGGACTATCCTGCTACTTGTCCTCTCAGGAGTCTCAGCTTCATAGTCAATGGAAAACTGTGATAACCCAATAGACAAGACTGCAAGGAATGAAGGGTTGAGTCACCCTTTCAGCAACCTACCAAGTAGGCCCTAGCAGAGTAAGAACATGCAATGAGTAGAGGAATTAGTAAGATGTGGTTATCAATTTAGGCCTAATGACCAACTAGGGAAGTGGGAACCATAGCAACTGTCTTAGTACTTATTTACCCAACTTTTATCTATATTCCATGTAAACAGAATTGTTGCATATAAACATTTTATCTGCATTTTATGGCCGCATTTTATCATTAAAGACACAAAAAAAATTAACCCTTGACACGTCCTTGCAAATACTCCATTAAGCTTTCCTCAATTCCTCTGGGAGTGTGCAGTCTAATTCTTGTCATGAGTGGATACAGTTCTAGATGAAGAATTATCACCAATATCTTTAAAATCAGTTAATTCTTCAGAAGCTCCGACTGAATTTTGCCATTTTGACTTTGATTATCATTGTTTCTATTGCATTGCAACTTGAGTATAAAATCGAGAGCAAATGGTTTTAGAGTTTGAAGGCTTCACTACAGCTTTTTGAACCCAAGAGAGCATAATCTTTTAAGATGATGCAAAGGCTTGGGGTTTATTATTTACTGTTGATAATAACAAATCAACTTGCTATTAGTAATTATTAATATGCTGTTTCTAGACTTGTCATTTTATAAGCTTAAATTAAGTTTGAAATTTAGTGGTAACATTCTAAACAGTGAGTTTTGGGTTGCATATACCTTTGAAAATGTGATGAAAGCTATGAAACTTCGCAGAAATACGGGCGTACACACAAACTGCAAAATGTTCAAGTTTTATACAAGTTAAAACCTCAGTTTTAGAGGCTACTCCACATTCACATGTTTGTCTCCTTCAAAGTTGTGATTACTGATCATGAGACACTAGCTATGTGAACTCCATAGTCTCAGGAAATTTCATTACCTTTTATTTATATTTTCAAAGAGAGAGTGAGCAAGAGAGAGAAACTACATTACATTTAGATCAAAATGAAAAGATATTAGGTGATTGAATTGAATGGGTAAATAAAAATGAGTTACATTTCTCTGGCAGTAGGCTGAGTTCAAGTTTTGAAATGTCTGAGTTCCAAAGCAGTAGAAAATAATATTAAAAACTCACGGCAGGACTAGTATTATAGCCAAGTAATGCACTAATTATAAGAGATTTGAAAGACCTCAAATTTCCAAGAGAAATCAAATATGAAAATAAGATTAGAAACTGGGAACTCTTCATTTTGTATGAAAATTCCAAATATCTCAAAAGTGGCAATGGCTGCAACATAAAAATGCCCATATTGGTCAGATTATTTTTATTTCTACTCTAGTACTGTCTCTACTACTAGCTATAATTTTGCCTACTGTTCTTTCATTTGTTTATTAAATAACATTATTTGGATACATTTCTAAGATACTGGTTTAAATGTAAGTTAAAATGAATTTGGTGTTTCTGTGGGCTAAGATGCCAACAGTGTAGTTTTTTTGTTTTTTGTTTTTATTTTTGATGGAGTCTCACTCTGTTGCCCAGGCTGGAGTGCAGTGGCACAATCTTGGCTCACTGCAACCTCCACCTCCTGGGTTAAAGCGATTCTTCTGCCTCAGTCTCCCAAGTAGCTGGGACTACAGGTGCATGCCACCATGCCTGGGTAATTTTTGTATTTTCAGTAGGATGGGGTTTCACGACATTGGCCAGGCTGTTCTCGAACTCCTGACCTCATGATCTGCCCGCCTCGTCCTCCCAAAGTGCTGGGATTACAGGCGTGAGCCACTGCACCCAGCAATAGTGTATCTTTAGAGATAACTTTAGGCTACGATCTGGAAGTATTATGGTGGAGATTCCAAAAAGTATATTTTTTGCCTTGTATTTCTTTCTTTTAAAGAAACCCCACATAAATGGGCTATTATATTCTAACAGGAGGATATATATATATATATATATATATATATATATATATAGTGATTTGAAACAAAATTAAATGTGAGGTAAATCATTTTAAACTTGATTAGGGTGGTGGTGGCTACATGATTGTATGTGTCTGTCAATACTCATAGAATTGTACACCAAAAAGTGAATTTTCCTGCAGGTATTCAATGGAAAAAAACTGGCAGCATATATTCTTAACTGTGTTAAAATAAATTTTAATAAGCAAGTTGAATGTAAGAAAGGAACTTGAGTGCCAAATACCAATGTGAAGTGACATGAAACAAACACACTATGAACATCCAAAAATCTGGATTTACAATGGAAATGTGACAGCTTCTGAAATTAAATCGCACTCAATCATTAATTTTCTTTGAGGGTAAGATTTGTACCCTGCTGGGCTTATAATTTTCTCTTTTTGTGCTGTTCATGTGTAAATATTGCCAATTTCATCTGACACAAAAAAGGAAAACAACTTAATTTTGTTTCTAAGTTAATGAATGGCAGATACTACCCTCCAGATGAGGTACTGTATTATTAGCCTCCAGGCAGTGATTTGAGGGGGAAAAAACCCAAGCCATTTCCAATGTATTTGTAACAAGGAAACAAATTTATTGATTTTAAAAGACAAGACACCATTTTGTTTTGAAAAACACAAGAAAGCTAGCCTGAGTTCAAGTCTGAAATATTCAGAAAAATCCTACTAATATCTTTAGTATGTTCCAGTCATTTGTTTAAACAACACACTAAAAGTTAATATATATTTTTATAATTATAAAAGTTCCCCAGTTATTGTACAGTACACAATACAAATCGCCCACAAACTATTATTTAGCTCCTGCCAATTTTGAGAGGACATGATATACTAAAAGATTTAGCATTTCTCACAAAAATCACATCAGGAAATACGTATTTACAAAATCAAATACATTATACAAAAAACCATCACATGTTATTCGGTAAAGATGTTTTTAAATAATTAAAAAGTTTATTCAACTGTAGTCCAAAAACTGGAAAAGAACATTACATTATCTCACACATACAATCTCTACAAAAGTTGCTTACCTCATTTACATAATATATTCAGTCGATTGTAAAATAAATGTTCAAATATCTCCTAGTGTTACTATGTTTCTGTGCTTGTGGGACTGAATAATGTAATCTGCCACTTACTAAGTGAAATTTAAATGATGGCACTTAAAAAAAAATACAGTATCTTAAAAAAACACAATGAAAGAAGTTTTACCTAGAAGGTACGAAAGCCCTGAGTGATAGTGAAGTTACTGATTGGTAAGCACTACAATTAACCTAATTAAAAGTTTACCACCTCAGGCACAAATTTCCAAGTTTTCTCAAGGCACTCACTTAAAGTTTCTGTAACCAATGCATTGGTCACCACCATAGGTCCAAATTGATGATGGAAATGAGTAGAGAAAAAAATTTGCTTTGGTACAAAAGATGCTTTTTAAACGAATAAAGTTCAATAGATTCTTTATTGGGTCATTTAAAATTGTTGTTTAGCAAGTTAAAACAAGGCGATCGTTTCTTCAAAAATACTAATTTACTGAAGGAAAAATTTACTTGGTTATCAACAGTCAATGGGAGTTTTTATATTTTCTTTCCTCCCCAGAATCAAAATTCTTCTAAAGAATATTTGTTGTCCTCGTTATTGAGCTACATAAACAATTCTTACCAAAGATTTTCATTACTCAGGGCTTCCAATCCCAACATCATAATTTATTTAAAAAAAAAAAACAAAGGAAAGAGGGGAGAAAAAGAATCAAACCAGAACCAAATAAAAGAAGAGACAAAACACATTTTTCTTTTTAAAAAAACATATTATCAATTATTTCAAATGAAAGGAAAAAAAAATCCTAGGCAGTCACTTTGTAAGTGGCTTTTACTATTTAAGTAAAATTGGTAAACTAAACTCAGGTCTACTGGCACATAAAATCACTAGCAGCAATGATCAAGGCATGCAAACTGAGAAGCATTTACAGTAAATCATCATGAAGAATTCAAAAGAAGAGAGTTAAATTAAAACCCTTTGAGTATTGCATGTTAACACATGAGTAATTTGCATGGTCTGACTTCCTAAACTGCCTAAAAAGCAACGTTTACGGCATACTTGCACTATGCTATGGATGTCCTTTCACCAGACATCAGAATAGGTTACACTCTTATTTGCACCCAGCTAGGGCAGCGCAAGCACATCTGCAGACAACACTGCTTTCATGTTCGATCACGCAGGGAACAGAGGGAATCAAGTGCACGAAGAGATTCCCTTGAACAAAATCAGCAATGGTGTAAGCAGACTGACATTTAGAGATATCAGAAGCAGTAGTCATAGCATCTCCTGACAGATGAGCTTAAAATCAAGTGCTTTGCTCTCCATTCTATCTATATATAATTTTTTGACAACGTATTAAAGTTTTGGAGCATAGATAAAATTATGCCCTGTGTGAAATTCGCAAACAATATTTTATGAGCGATCTAACTCCAAATAGCCTAACTGCCCCCAAAGAGTTCAGATTCTCTTAATCCACTCGAACTCCTTTCTTCCTAAGGCTTTACTTACACTTGTACTTTCTAAAGCTAAATAAATGAGATCTTTTGATTCATTTTGGGAAAAAAAAGACAAAAAAAAAAGAAACTTAACCCTTTCTTTATACCTTTTAAAGGCAATCTAGGTACCTTCAATGTGCAGAAATCAGTTATGACATAGGTCTATCCAGGCCCATGTATTTGTCCTCCTTTTCTAGAGACTATGGTGTGATACTAGAAAAGTTGATTTTTTTTTTCTGTAAACAGTACACTTACTTAGATGGCAGTGAATATTTGGGAATAAATATATCAAGCCCTCTTGAAGAAAAATTAAGAGTTGTATATAAAATGCAAGTGTTCGGCGTGGAAACACTTTCTCTTCCTACCCCCCCCTTTAAAAAAACAGCATAATTAGACATTTGGATATAGAGTATACTTTACCGGTCTAAGTCTAAATAAATGATCTGAAAGGCTTTTGTCCCCCATTGTATATCTTACAATGCTCAAAGGGTTAATACAAGGCATTACATCAAAGGGGTTTTCTAATACTAGAACTAAGCACTGAATTAATGCTTCTATTCCAGTTTTTAAAAATCACCAAACTTGCAGAAATACTAGGATTCCATTAATTGATTCGTTCTAACCATATACATGGAGGTTGTTCTGATCTAACAACAAGCCCAATTTTCAACAGCACTGCATGCCAATCCTCCTCCCCCATGATCTGCTGTGATTCATACAGATCACAAAAGTTCTCATCTCAATTTCTGGATGGTTGTTCTTTTCTCACCAAGAATGTGTGTGTCTGGGGGATATAATAAAGGTCAATTTATTGTATATAACCACTGCCTCAAATTGTACACAAAGGTGACTTGCCAAGTTTTTTCTTTCTACTTGTGTCCACACAGGGAGGACCAACATCACAGTGACACTATTTTTTTTTTCCTTTTACACTAATGTTTCAAGCACAGCATTATTTTAGACATTTCAAATATATCATCTGAGGAATTTTTAAAAATTTGAAAATGCATTTAGCACTTTTAGACAGTGCATTCATATAAAAAGATTCATGATTACGGCACTAAAACCGTATTCATTCCTGAATAACTTTTACAGCATTCTACAAGAACGTATTCATTTTTACTTGTCTACTACAAATCAAAGGCAGTCAATGCTGCACACTACTAATTTTAGGTATGCAGTGTTAAAACCATTTTCTAAATTTTACTTTTGTTTTTAAAGTACACCATCTAAAGAGAGGTGCATAAACCGTGCTATACAGTACAAGAAAAATCACACAAAGGAAAGCAGATTTCTGAAAAGGCAGTAAGACTTATACAGTCAGTCCAAACACAGTTTGGATGAAAATCCTGAATAAGTGACTAGCAACTTGATAGCCAAAGAAAAAATTGAAAATTGGGCCCTGTCTTCCAAGGAGATGGTTCATCCATTCCACCCTATTGTTCACTGGTTTCATGAATGCAAATCTTTTGAGTATGATTTTCAAACTATATGTCAAGATCAAACTATACCCATGATACTCAATCCTATCATATGAAAATATCTTTTCTGAAACTTGAAAACAGTCAACATACCTTCCTTACATTCTTCCTCACTGAAAGTGTAGGACTTGGTTTATGTAGGTATATTTCATGACTAGTGATTGGTTATAATTGCAAGAAATACAAAGAAGTCTTAAAATGTGTACTTGTGTCATTTGTGAATAAATCTGTTGAGTGTTAGTGTCTAATATTATTTAGAAAACCCACACTTTCAATGAGTGAAAAAAGGGAAAAAGGGAAATAAATGCAATAAATGTGATTGCTCAATTTGCTCAAATGTATAAATTGTTTTTATTTTCTTATATATTTTTCACAATTCAAATTCGAAATTGATGAAAATGTTTGTGTGTATGTCTGTGCATGTTTTACTGTGAACTACAAATAACTAGAAGTAGCATAAACCATAGGTCTTCTTTTTATGTTTTGATCCAAACTACTTACACTAATCACAAAGAATATTCCTAATATTCATAAAGGAGATCAGAATATTTTTATTGAGTCAAGTTCAAATGTAATAATGTTTTATTAGTTCTTAATCTGTCCTAATTTAGAACAAACCATGAACAATTGGAAGAAATGTTGAATCCTGGAGCATCCCCGATCCCTAAGCCTCATCAATCTAAATTTGCCCATTATTACCAGATTCCTGTAATGATACAAATATATCCAACATTAAATTAAACAATGATAATAAATACATTTAAAGTCATTCAATAAACAAAATGAAACCAGTAAATACATTTGGTCCAATACAGATATAGTATCACTCAAAGGATGGCGGGTAGAGACAGGAAACTGAAAAAATTCAGAAAGGAGAGCCAAAATGAAGAGTGTTTTTTCAATTTTTGATTTTAATTTTACCTGTAAACACTTCCTATGCACAATGAAGTAGATACATGAACTTTTGCAGATTATCATGTTTTGTTTGCCTTTTTTGTGTGTGTTTTGGTACAAATCCATTGTCTTTTTGGGAGGAAAAAGGGGGACAGTAATTTAAATGACATTTAGATGAAGGTGATGCTACTATGCTAGTGAAGACTTTCAAATATATGAGTGAGTTGTATAATAAAAAATTTGGATCAGTTTTTAAAATTACATCTAAAATATTTAAATTTTACTTAAGAAATGTTGTTGATGTTATTTGAGTAGTCTGAGGCAATTAAGCAACAACAGCTTAAATACACTGTGTATTACCCGATAAGCCATTTGGTATTTCTAACTTTACAGACTGGCTCACCTCGTCTTTCCAACCCCCCACCCCCCTTACCCCAATACCACTGGAAAGATAAACATCTTGGGTTTAATATAGGCCTCATTTGATAATCTGTCAATCATTTTGTGCTTTCCTTTTTTTTGGCTTTATTATCTATTTATTTTTGCTGATTAGTTTTTTACAACTATTTAAATGAACAGATGTGCCTTTCTTGTGTTTTAATCATTAAATAATTTGAGTGCTTAAAAGAACCTTGGCTTTTCATGCAAATTAAAATGGGGCTGGGTGTAACTCTCTAGGATCTCACCTTCTGACTTTATAGCAGACTCCTGCCCCATGGGCACTCATGTGTCCATGTGGACTCACCAGCACCTAGACACACAGACAAACATTTAGACTGAAAAGATGCACTTCGATAAGTACCTGCTTACTTTGTTAACTTTCTAAAATTGTAACTAAATAAGAATGGTCTAAAACATATATGATTTTATGTTAACAAGTTGGTATTAAAACTAGCCTGCTATTCCACACCCTTAAGCAATCTGATTTGTAATCAAGTAATATTCAGCTCTAAGAATAAAAAATAGATCCACGGTCACTCAAAGAGGGAAACTGATTTTTGTCTTTTTGTTTTCCTTTGTTTTCCCTAAATTTCCTTTGAAGAACATGTCACCTGTCCTTACTTCAGGAATCTGAAAATGACAGGCACACTTTGTCAAATGGATTGAAGAGTTAGTCACATGAACAAAATAAACCTTACTAAACCTTAGCTTCAGTTCTGTTTTAAGGCACCATGTAATAGCCGAGGTACGATGATCCCTGATGTACATTCTTCAATGGCAATGGTCCATCCAGCCACCTATCCAAATCCTACAGAATTGGGGATAAGTAACAGTGAGGTGTGCCAGTTACACTGCCTTCAGGTTCTGTTTACAATTTAAATCCACATACTTTAGAAACCAGGAAATAGTTTTGAAGGAAATAACGTTATGTAGGTTGCTACATTCCTTGCATTCTATAAATTCTCGTTTATAATAGCAGCATATTGAACTACTATTAGGAAAAAGACCTGGAATAAAAGAAAGTCATCCAAATGGAATGGTTTCCTGTATGTCCAGCTCAGCATAAGTAGCATGTACACTTAAAAAAAAAAAGTCAAGTCTTTTTTTTCTGCTTCAGTATCTAACTATAACAGCCCCCACTTAACAGCAGAATGCATCTGTGCAGTGGTCCCAAATACAGAATCAGTAGTCTTTAAACAGAGGAATTGGTATGCAAATAATAGTTAAAATTCAATGTTTAACGGAAGCTTGCATTGTTAACATGGTTTAATAATTATGTACACAAATTATGTACATATTAGCATAATCTCTTGCAATTCTGTCATTTACTCTGAACTGATAAATGTACAGCTCATTTTTTCCTCAGAGAAAAATAGATGACCTTCCAAACCCTCTAGCACTATAATAAAAATGCTCTGTATTCTCTCTCCATACTCAAAATGTTATCAAAATAGTGTCTTATGGTTCTGTCCAATGAAAAGCACCTTTCAAAAGCAAATTTGATGCATCTGCTGCCAAATGGGCATGCCTCCAGTGTAAATCAAAAAAATCATTTCTTTTGATATTTCACAGAAGTGCATCTAATTAAAAAACTTACACATGAAATCATACACCAAGACTAACAATCAACAATAAAATATTTTAAGCTACAAAAAATGTAAATTACTTTTTAATTATAAGAAAACAAAACATTGACATTAAGTGTTGTAAAAATCCTTCTTGACACCTGAAACTAAGGGAAAAAATTCATTATTAAGAAGCAAATAATTTGTTTACGTTAAAAAAAAAGATCTGGCAAAATACATACACCCATTCCATTTCACAACTCCAAAAAGTTAATGTTCAGCACAGATAGAATTTGACAACAGTCGACCTTCAGGCTTATTAAATTTTCAACTTAAGCCCAATATCAACAGGGTTAATGTAAGCTGGAAAAATACGCTTTAATATTCTTTAGACTGCAGTGTAGGTATTTCCTGTAGCGCTGCACTGTCTGATAGTCTGAGTACTTGTGACAATGTGCTCGCTGTGAATTGGATTCAGGAGGCTTGGTTGCACGCCAGTCTCGAGAACAGGCTGCATGCAGCCCACTGGAAATGCCTGGCTCAGCTCTGTTTTCTCTCTTTTGGCTTGAGGCTCTGAAGAGTCATCCAGTTCTTCATCCATTTCACTTTCTACTTCACTGCCTTCATCTGCACAAACAAATAATACCAAGACTATCATCGAAGACAAATTAGAAAATAGCAATCAACAGGTGCTTTAGAAACACTTTAATATAGGACATTACGAAAGCAACAGCTTAGCTCTTCTCAGGAAACAAAGCTTAGAGGTTTTCTTTTCATCAGATTTTATTCATATCAATGCTGTACTGATGCATCTATAATTCTTTCAAACATAGTGAGATTAATTTACTTTTGGCAACTTGTGATTGATACTTTGTTAACTTTTTTAAAAAAAAAGGCCTTTGGAATTTCCCTAAGTGTTATATTAAATAATGGCATAATTTGTGTCATAATAAAATAGTCACTTTGGTATGTTATGCTGGCTTTTGGGGAATGTACTGAGCTGAAAACGCAAACACAAAAAAAGTGTTGTTTCCTCCAAAAATCTACACTAAATATAAATTTTATCTATGCTAGCGTTAATGTATAAGACCTATGTTGATTCTTAACATTATTATTCCATGTATAAACAGAGGCTGCTGTAAGACTTTCTGGCACTCATCAATGTCACAGTATTAAATAAACCCTTAATTTTTATTATAAAAATTATTAAGGTTGAGGCAGTAGTATCAGATTAAAAATGTGCAATGGATTTCCATTCTTGGCAACTGATACTGTTAATAGCTGGTATTCATTTCTGGAAATTAAATGCATTATATAGTCACTGTTACCCCCAAATTGTAATACGTTTTATATTAACTAAAGCATCATTATAATAGAATGCCATTTAATTTTTTCCAGTATGCACTGTTAAAATTCAAAAGTACATTAGAGAGAGAAAATGCACATATACAGCTTTACTATTGTGTGAGAGTCTCCTCAGAATACCTCTTCATGAGGGATAATTACAGTGGCTTGTATAAACAGAGTCAGGTCTCCATTCTCTACTGTTCTATGGCATATCACATACAATGAATGTGCAACAAGTATCTCTTTAGTCAGATTAAGCTGGATTCTTTGCAAGCAGTAAGATTTTAACTTTACCACTTGGCAGACACCCACAGCAAAAATCTCTGCTAATGCAGCTGTCTCTATAAACAAGGCCCCTTGACTTTTCTTATTTCATTATGACTAGGGCAAAGTTTGTTCTAGAAAAAAGCAGTGAGAGGTAAAAGGGCTTCCATATATGGCTGTACAGTGTACAGCCACCATGAGCAAGGTCTGAGAAATGGCAATTTGTGATTAAACAGCTGGAGATTAACATGCATTACCTAGAAATGTGTGTCACGCATTAGTGACCAATAAAACAAAGAAGTGCTCTTAGATGAGGCAAAAGACATCTCGGCCCACCGACTTTATCAAGTTACCTATTTGCCTCTGGTAAATGAACTTAATGATAATATTTGAGTGTGTCAGAACAAGTACATTCAAAGGGTTGGAGGGCTACAGGGAGAGGGATACCTTTTGTAGACATTTACTTCATCAAGAGGGTATACTTGAAACATGTTTGCATGATATGTTTTGGTTTTTCATGTTTTTATACATAAAACAACAATGTCTGTAAGGATCTTAACACAAACTCTTCATGGTGGCAGTCTCTTATGGTTGTGATAATAAAGCTTCACTTTCTATAGTTTCTAATTCTCTGTATTATTTGAAATTTTTCTACGGAGCAAATATCCCTTATATTATCAAGAATAAGAATTCTCATTTTGTGGGAGAAGCCCTCAAAACCTCCTAGGATTTCACATTCAGTCTTTAGGTCCTGAGTATGCCCATCTGGCTCTAACTCAAGAGCCATCAAGAGGTCTGGGGGTAAATGGGACCAGCGTGGCCACATCCAGCAGGTGAGGACAAGTCACACTGCTTCTCTGCTCCCTGTCCACAGACTTCCCTGTACCTAAGAAATTAGTGTCAAAATAATAAAAAAGGGAGCACTGAAAAGACAAAAGCTCATTTTCAGGCAGGGAGGGCAGTGGAGACAAAGTGAGGAAAGTTCCTCTGTCTATTTTGTTGTGGATGGAAAGGGTAGTGAGAAAATGGACTGGACGATTTAAGTGTTCCAGGTAGGTTTTGCTTAGGTCTATCTCTGGGTGACAGGTTTCCTTTGGAGAACTTACAAAGCAACTTATAAAAGCAAGCCCATTCTCCAGGTCCTAAGGACAAAGGAATGTAATTCTGTAGACATTTTATGCTTCTATAAAAACTCGAAGACACTTTCTAGAAATCTACTTCAGGTTATGGAAATTTGGTGCATAAAAACTAAAATTAGGCGCTACAGGAGTTTACAGAAGACTGTGGTTCAGCACCGTGTGAAGAAGCCTGGCTGGAATTCAGTCTCTGACTGAGCAGTAAAACTCTACTGTCCTTCTGGACACCCTGGGATGAAATCCCTAAATTTGGGTTATGAGGCTTTGGTGTGAGTATATCATCAGTGTTGCTTTATGTGGGACACGGATATCAATTACCACCTTTCTTGCTCTAAAATTACTAATTAATATCATCATTGACTTATTTTTCTAAGGGTTATTTGGTTAATCCTATAGAGTATATATTTGTAGCAACAATTTTTTTGGCTATAATTTTCTCATTTCCCTGCGCTGCTAGTGTACTGAGTACCTTAATATTGCACACTTTGGCGAATAGCGCCGAACCTCTTTACAGACTCCCCACGTACTTCTTTTCACCTCATTTTGCCCAGTGGCTCTGGCCTGGAAGGGCTAAGTGCATAGTTCTCCCCAGTTTTTGTGCATTTTGTACCTGTCGCCGATAGTCAATAACCGTAACAATTCTTTAACACCTCAAGAGACCTCCCACCCTCCGCCACCTTTTAAAAGAAAGGGCTCTGTTTCCTGCAGTGGTTAATAGATAATTTACTTGTTTTTAAAAATTGCACTGGTATATTTATCAGTATTGTTTTGCTTCTGCTCTGCTTATAAAGGTGGGTAAGATTTGTGTGCTCTATCCGCATTCTATCTCCCCCTAAGTCCACCTTGCTTTTTTTATTGTGTGATTTTGTTGATCTTGAGGTTCTTCAGAAATATATATCATGTTATCATATTATACTGTATATTAGAGTGGCAATGCTGATATTAAAATTTCAGAAGTACATATGTTACCTTTTTCATCTATACCACTACTAATCTTGCATTTACAGTAAACCTCACTGCTATCTCTGAGTTCTTTTTCTACACACAAGTAGGAACTGGTGAGGTAGGTGAGCCGAGGAATCTTTTTTCTTGCCTGGTGGGCCTTGAATAAAAATGTCTCATCCAATTTTATCACTTATCTCCAGGACTCTAGCCATGGTCAGAAATAATTTCTTGTTGCTTGTAATGAACTTCAGGAAAAAAGTATAAAGAATTTTATAACTACATTTAAATTCAGTTATCTGCATTTAATATACCTCATATGTAGAAGGCATAGGGATGGGGAAAAATGGAGAAATAATGAAAAGACAGGAGTTTCCTATTTATCTAGGATTTGTATGCCACTTCCACAAAATCAGAGTGTTGTAAACATATACCGTATTTTCCTCTGTAAGAACTTATTAATAAATAAAAGTTCTTAAAATGTACATTATTTTCGATTCTTACCTTTATCCAGATTTCCAGGAGACACGGCATTTAAATCACCAAACTGCAAAACAATAGTCATTTGTGCAATAGTTAATATAGGGCAGAATAAAATAATACTCTATCAGTCTGTAGTAAAAATGCCAATCTATGACTCTTTAAAACTGTAAACTAGTGGCCATTTTGATCTCTAATTACATGGATCACATAATTTTCCAATCAAACTTGTCAAATTTGAACAGTTTAAATTATGTCACAATTTAGCTGTCTTAGCCTCTTCGCAGAAGGATAACAATTTTCTCTGCTTTCCTTGCTCCATTTTACCTTTTATTATTTCAACTCAGCAATGAAGAAATAGGAGCCTGGATGACTTGGATGAAGACTGATGTGGCAAAACGAATTTGGAAAAGCCCCAATCAAGCAGGACACATCAGCTCCACCCCCTATACTTGGCAGATGAGTCCACCTGGAAGTCTCTACATTAGAGAAACAATATCCAGCAGTTTGGCTGAACTCTATTTTTAAAGCTTTTATTAGTAAAAAAGGAAAATAGAAACTCCAAAATTGAGTGTATTTGTTTTTACAAAATCTTTGAGACTTCTCTCAGATAATAGGGTCTCACTTTAAAAAGAAAAGCATCTGATCATTACTAATGCCAACAAAGAGAGCTTGAAACAATATAGAACAATTAATAGCCTTCGGCTTAGACATTATTTTCTAACTTTTAGTTCAATAGTTTGATAATTTTCCAATGAGAAAACACATTTTGAGAATCTCAGGGTGAACAAAGATGGATACACTGAAATAAAAATTGAATAGAGTAACAAAGCTAATCAAAAAAAGGTGAAGAGAAACTGCAAAGCATCTACTTTTAAAACAGTAAACATTACTTTTTTAAGGTAATAAGTCATTATTAGAAATTCAGATTTCTCAACAGGCTTAGAAAGGATGAGGCAGAAATTCTACTTACATTCAGAAGTTTGCTTATAAAGAGTTCCATGATAGGAGTATTTTTTTCATCTACAAGGTTTGTCTATAAAGTAATAAAACTGATCTTATTTTGCAAACATACACATATTTTTTTCCTTACCTAGACAAGTACTGTTCTTCACAGTAGCTACCTTGGGAGCTTATACATTTATTCCAAGGTCCAGGGTTCTGGAATCCCTCTTTGACAATTTCAAGAGTTAGTTTATGCATCATTAGGAAAGCCCATCTTGTTATTTTACATCCAACTATGGCTCCAAACAACACTCCAGATTTTATTTACTACACTTGGTCCTGGGATGATTTGACTACTCAACAAAATTAAATTCACCTCTGCCACAATTCAGGTTACTTAAAATAATGTCATTTCACCTTTATTTCTTAGCATTTCAGAGGCATTCCACAACATATTTAAGCCATAGAAGCATTACTGGAACAAATGTGTAGCCTTCCTAGGTGACTGCTTTGAAGGAGACAGGGGCCTCCTAGACATGTAATTATTAGTATGTTTATTTGAAAGTCTGCCCCACTGTTTTAGAGCTATTTTTTAGAGTTATTAAAAGTAATGGAAAAAACCACTATTACTTTTGTACCAACCTAATACATCCCACGGGGCAACAAATATAAATCATAAATACTGAAGTTTTGCAGTTGTTCTTGATCACATAGGTCAGGTCTTTTATAAGTCTAAATAAAAATTCAGTGTAAATTATGTGGATTTTCTTGAATTAAAGAATATAATCTAAACAACAAAAACCCAGAGGGATTCTTCATCAATTTTTGGTATTATTTAAATATTTTAGAACTATAAACAGAGAATGTTCAAAACTGAAGGATCATTTAACAGTTATTACTAACTGACATAACACAAGAAGATACAGATTTAAGGGAATACTTAACACTTAAGTTCTTGAAAGGAGTTGGTAGTGATGATTCTAAACACACCTTTATACTGATAAAAAGTGAGTATTCTATTTGCTGTTGAAAAGTCTCTGCAAGTTGTTTGTAGTTAAGTTATTATTGCTATTGCTGATCAATAATATCACACAAAGTGTCTAAAACCAAACTCTGGACATATTTGAAAATTATCTTCAAAAGAAACATTGCATTTAGTTGCTACTTAACTCCGAAAACATGACAACTTCCTTAATACAAAGATTTTCCTTAGATGTTTCTACTTAATACGAATAATACATTTGATAATTCAGAGGCTGAAAACAGAAACCAAAACAGCTGAAATCTCAGTGATTGTTATTATCATTAACAAAAATCCAGTTACATACTAAATTCCGAGGCTTGTCATTATGCACTATGGGGGACAATGTACAAAGAATGTCAGAGACACTGTCAATACCTCTAGGTGTCTCTGGGATCAACGACAAAGTTTCACATGTACAGCAAATAGAGAGAGTAGATTAAAAATTTTAAAAATCCTGTGAAGAAGAGATAAGATTTTACTATCCTATAGAGCTGAAGGTAAAGGCTTTTATATGCATTTTACATGTGAGGGGACAACAGATGTAAAGTTACAGAGGAAAAAACACTTTAACCCTATAGATAGGCTGCATGAGATCCGCAAAATCAGTTCACTTACTCATTTAGTCAATACATATTTATTGAGGATTTACTACTTGCCAGGCACTATGCCAGCCAATTCTAGTCAGATCAATTTGGAAATATTCCTGTCTTCAGGAGGTAAGTAGCAGACATTCCCTATATTCTGAAGGGTAGGTAGGTTAGCAGAAAAATGAGCGCTTAGGAAACCTCAGGGAAGGTTTTAGAAGTATAGGGTTCAAGTCTTAGAAATGGAAACCAATTGCATGGGTTTATGGCATGCAACAAGTCAAGCAGCAGGAAGGAAGGGTATGAACAGTGGCAGGGAAGATTGAGAGCAGGCAGAAGAAAAATAGTACCATAGATAGGGGCCAGATGACAAGATTAGGCCAGCACAAATCAAAAACAGAAGAGAGGTCAGGCATGGTGGCTCAAACCTATAATCCCAGCACTTTGGGAGGCTGAGGCGGGTGGATCACCTGAGGTCAGGAGTTCGAGATCAGCCTGTCCAACATAGTGAAACCCCATCTCCACTAAAAATATAAAAATTAGCTGGGCATGGTGGCGGAGGCAGGAGAATCACTTGAACCTGGGAGGCGAAGGTTGCAGTGGGCTGAGATCGTGCCACTGCACTCCAGCCTGGGCAACAGGAGCGAAACTCTGTCTCAAAAACAAGCAAGCAAGCAAGCAAGCAAGCAAGCAAGCAAACAAACAAAAAACAGAAGAGGAGGAAGCAGTAAAAGATTTAGATGAAAAAAAAAGGAAGCTCACAAGAAACTATAGGGATTATTATGAAGTTGCAGCATCACAAATTGGGAAAACTTACTGTTTTGTAATTTCTCCTCTTGCACAAAGGATTAGAGGGGGCTACTCTTCACTGACGTGACATCTTACCACTTATAAGGTGTGTCTGTGGTTCAGTATACAGTAGGCTTTCTCTCAAACAGACTGCGAGTGTCACACAGTCAATATTGCTTCCCTGAAGCTTTCCTGGCAGCCCTATCTTGAGTATCACCATCCCTGTCACTCTCAGTCACCGCATCATGCTCACTTCCTACAAAGCACCCACCACAACCTGCCGAACTTATTTTGTTTCCTCACCTAATATATGTCTTCCCAACCAAAATGTTACTGCCATGGGTAAGAAAGTTCATTTGTTCTCTTCATAAATGTATCCCACCTGGTATAGTGCCTGATACACATTAAAGGCTGAATAAATACTTACCAGATGAATGAATTTACTTCCTCATTTCAGCCTCACCAAAACAACTTAGGAATTTGGCAAGTTAAGTGTTTAGATTTCATCTTACAGCTATTGAAAACAATGAGTTGATTAGTCTAATGTCATGTAGTAAATATGGTGTTGTTAGATTTGAGACCAGATATTCTCCTTGGTTTAGAATCTGAGAGAGAGAGAGAGAGAGAGAGAGAGAGAAATGGGATGGGATGTGGGGTGAGAGAGGGAGGGGAGGGAGGGGAAGGGAACAGAGAGAGACAGACAGAGAGAAACACCCACACATGGAGGAAGAAATATAAATTAAGGGATTTTAAAAGTACTCTGGAGTTAGAAAGTATATGGCCTTCAATGTATGAATTCACATTCCATCAGTCAGAGAGATAAATAGGAAACGTTCCGAAGAGAAACTAGAACAGACAGTAGAGAAAGCATGTCTATTGTTTGAGAGAAGAAATACTTCCTATCCTATAGACTATTTCCTCTGGGTCCTGACTAGGGTCAAAATAACGAACACCTCACTGGACAACAGCAGGCTGGGAAATGCATGCTCCAGGCAGCCAGTGAGAGTCTATTAGCACAAATATTCGTGTAAGACTAGCAATGTCCATGAAGTATAAGTGGGCAACAGCTTAGCACAGCCAGGGCAATGATCGGCAGGATCCCTGAGAGACCCTGGGTTGTGGCCAGGCAGCTGGATTGTTCATTACAGGATTTTGAGGCCTAGTATCTATACCTGAGCATACTGAGAGGAACCTGGCTCAGCGTGGGAGAATGCAGCCCACAGGTGCATTAAAGAGACCACTGTACATTCAATTCAGCAACAGCTGACTTTTCATAGTGAGGCAGGCAAGCCTTGTTCTGTAATGTTTGGGCACTGAAACAACGCAGAGGAAGTTAGGGTGCCTAGACAGCAAACAGGTGGGGATCCATGGTGGGGGCCAAGAAACAGAGACTGGAACAGAAGTAGGAGAGAAGGAAAGAGCTCAGGGGATTGGGATGAAGACCTCACCCTTAGGGACACCTTCCCTGCTGGAAGAGTTTACCCCACCCTGAGGAGAAAGAATTAGTGAGTAATCATAATCACATTTATGTTATACGTATCATTAATTCTTTGTAAGCACAGCCATCGCTTGCTAATTGTTTAAGCAAATCTGTAACAAGTTCCCCAATAGTGTTAATTTGGATCTTTCCAAAGAACCAAGATAAAGTACTTCGCATAGTGCCTGGCACATAAGGAAGCACTTAACAAATGATCACCATTATCAATATTGTTATTATGTATAAATATCATCATTATCTCCCAAGAACTGTAAACCAGACATGCAGAATCAGTCCGACTCTACTATCCCAGTACTCTGAAAGGATACCAAAAGCTGCATAGAAAAATTGCATCTTACAGAAAATCTCCCTGTTAGTATATCCAGATTACAGATTTACGGGTAGGCACATTTTCATCCTTCCTCTCTGTCTCTTTCTCTATTTATATGTCCAAGTCTAATATCACTATGTTAACTATCACCCAGGAAACAAAATAAAACAAAACTGATACCAGCAAAATATGAAAGTGTATGGTCTAGAAGAGGGGCTGGCACACTTTTTCAGTAAGGGACCAGATGGTAAATATTTTACGCTTTATAGTCCATTAGGACTCTGTCACAGTTATTCAACCCTACCAGTGTAGTGCAAAAATAGCCATAGATAACAGGTATATGAATGTGTGTAACATAGCTCTAATAAAACTTTACAAAAACAAGGCTGGGCACAGTGGCTTACGCTTGTAATACTAGCACTTTGGGAAGCACAGGTGTGCGTATTGCTTAAGCCCAGGAGTTTGAGGCTAGCCTGGGCAACATGGCAAAACCCCATCTCTACAAAAAATACAAAAAAGTTAGCTGGGTGTGGTGGCACACGCCTGTAGTCCCAGCTAGTCGGGAGGCTAAGGTAGGAGAATCACCGTCCAAGGTGGTCGAGGCTGCAGTGAACTGTGATCGTGCCACTGTACTCCAGCCTGGGTGACAGAGCAAGACCCAGTCTCAAAACAAACAAACAAACAAACAAAAAAACCCAAAAGCACCCCACCCCAAAATCAAACCACTTCATTTACAAAAACAGATGATGAGCTGGATAGGGCCTGTGGACCACTGTTTGCTGACACCTGACTAGAGGAACAGCTTGTAAGACCCTGGAAGACCTGCTCCAGCTCATTAACAGTGAAGGGAACAGAAGATTTTTATCTTTCAGAAAGGTATATAAGGACTTGGGTCACAGGAAGGATACAGAACCAGAGCCTTCAAGAGAGGACAGCTCATGCATATGGGCATCAACTGATGAAGGTCACAAGGGAAAAGTAAGAGTCAGCTTTTAAAGACAGAAATGAGTGAGAAAAATCATCTTCCTCCACTTTCGCTGGGTACTTGCATATACAGGCAAAGAGAGACAGACCAAAGCTGGTGTTTAATTGTACGCATTCGTGGATGAAGACGGAAGAAGTCGAGAATGACAGAAAAGATTTCATTAAAGTTTGCAAGACAAGAGATTAGGGAAAAGTTTACATGTGTTATTCAGGTGGGGCAAGCTTCCCTAACGGGACATTTGCTCCAATTTGGGTGGCAGGTGAAGACGTAAAGAGAGAGTCTAATATAGAAGTTTTCCATAGGTAAAAGCAAATAGGGAGTGTTCCAGATGATGACGGCTTTCAGCGTGGGTCATCAATGGAGAAAGGACAGTACGATGTGTGGCAAGGAGAGGAGGAAGCAGGAAAAAATAATATACTGGAGGAAGAACCTATAATCCGTAAGTCTTCAATGAGCAATATTCATTCAGAGGAATATAGCTTTCATACTGTAACATACCTATTGCTGCTGCAACAAATCACCACAGTTAGTGGCTAAAAACAAGACAAACTTATTATTTTGTCATTCTGGAGGTCAGAAGTTCTAAATGGGTTTGCAGTCACTAAAATCAAGGTGTTGGCAGAGTTGTGGTTCTTTCTGAAGTGTCTAGAAAAGAATTTTTTTTACCTCTTTTTCAGCTTCTAGAGGTTGTCACCATTCCTTGGTTTCTGGCCTCCTTCCATTTTCAAAGCCAGTGATGTCAGGTTGAGTCTCACACATTGCGTCACTCTGACACAGATTCTTCCACCTCTCTCTTCATGTTAGTATGTAGTATTCTACATACTAACAATGTAGTTACTCTTGTAACTACATTGGGCACACCTGGATAATCCAGGATAATCTCCCCATTTAAATTCAACCAATTAGCAACCTTAGTTCCACTTATAACTTAATATATTCACAGGTTCCAGGGATTAAGATGTAGACATTTTAATGCCCATTCTACTGCTTATCACACATACATAAGTTATTTTTTTAAATTATCACATTTGCTTGAGTGAAACCATATGACTTTTTTTTTCTAGTATTGGAGGAAACACATCCAACCCGATTAAGCTATTTGGGACATAGCAATTTTTTCCTCAATTTTGTTTATGTTCCTCACTAAGGATAGGGTACAGTGGTATATAGGAATCAATTAATCTTTTATGATATATTTGCCACTAGTACATTTGTACTTTATTTTTCATTTACAGACTTTTAATTTTACATACAAGTTCCTACCGGTCTGAAAGTGTTTACAGCATGCATTTCAAGGCCTAGGCTGTTGACACCATACATGCATCTAAAAAGTCTATGAGGTTCACAGAGCTGAACGTTGTCAAGGAAGTTGACAAGGAAGTCATTCAGAGAAAGAAGTGGAAACCAAAATTGAGGAAACCAAAATATACTGAGGGATAGGAGGGACAGAGCAGTCCTAAGCTCCATATCCAAAAGAATATGTTAAAGTACACACTAAGGAAGAGGATATATCCTGGTCCTCTGGACAGTTTCATGAGCACCAACCCATGCTACCAGCTGCACCACAAGCAGCCCCAAAGACCTTGGAAAGCCCTCTGTGTCAGCACTTCTCAATGGTTCCATGAGGATCCATGCTGTGCAGAGGTGGGCAGTCAGAGGCCAAGGTGCTGGCATGTTATCAGATGGCGGAAGTGACCACAGGCAGTGGACACAGCAGGACACACAAAGCAGACACCACATTGCTAGAAGCATTCCTGCTGACCTGGGAACATGATAATCAGCAACAGATAGTCCACATATGTGAAAATGTTAACCAGAAAAGACTACTCACTTGAGGGTCATCAGGTACCTTGGAGACCAGTTCTGCCAGCAAATGGTAACTTTAGATAAACAAATGTAGGGGAGAAAATATGTATTTGTATATGTATACATTTTGCCAGTTTCTGTGAATGAATCATTTGCTCTAGGAAAGAAGATTTTTAAGCTGTCACAGGCCCAAAGAACAAATGATTATAAACTTTTCTGAAATAGTTTCTATCTTGTGGCTGGAATAAGATATCTCTTTGGGAAGCAACCTTTTAACTTGCTTAAATTCTATACATTATCCTTTCTCTCCACTTCACAAGTACTTACAAAACCTTTCATTCATTTCTACTATTTAAGATTTAATTCAAGTCTAGCTATGACTGTCTAGTTAGAACTAATTATGTTTATGCTTCTTCTCTAATGTTCCCATTTTCTTTTCTAATTGACTTGTTTTCCCACTCTATTTTGTTGTTTGTGTTTTTCAAAGCATTGAATTAGTTTGCCTTTGATTACCACTTTGGCTACATACCAAAGAATGCTGTTGGATTCTTTGTAATTCCATGAATCATTTGACTCAACATTCAAAAATTGTTTGCAGAGTATTCTTCCAGTAGCAGTACAGTATTATCAATGCCTTCATATGTCTTTTTTTATCTGTTTTATCAATTTCAACTTTATCTTTGTATGGTCCAAAAAATGATGATCTAATTATATACATTATTACTTGGATAGTCAATGCAGAATTGGTATTTAAAAATCTAATCCAGAGTAGAAGGCAATCAAATACTTATCAGATATTTACATATTTATGGAAAGGGGAAGGAGATGGAACTAACAAAGATCAGGAACCTACTATGTGCCTGTCTGCCTGCCTATCTACTCTACTTACCTACCTAAATTAATCTTCACAAAAGCCCTATGAAAAAATGTCCTTATGCTTATTTTGTTGAGGAGAAAACTAAGACTCAAGCAAGGATATTATATATAACTTTCCCAGGGTGCAAAGATATTAAATGGGAAATATAGAATTTAAATACAGGAGTGGAGCACAGCATGGGCGGAACAACATAAGAAGTGGAGCCAGCCTGACCTGGGTTTGAATCACAACTCTACCACTATCCCACGCCTGAGCCCATGAGGTCAAGGCTGCAGTGAGCTGTGATTGTGCCACTGCACTCCAGCTTGGGTGACAGAGCAAGACCCTGTCTCAAAAAAAAAAAAAAAAAATTGTGTGCTCCCAGACAAGTTAAACTCTTTGAGCCTTAGACTTCCCAATATATGAACAGACAGTTCACAACGTGAGGACTGAATTTGTTCGTGTTTGCAGAGGGACCTAGAACAGTGCTTCTACCGTGTCACATTATCTTTAAAACTCAATTTTCAAATACTATCGATAAAACAGTAAAATTCCATTTAATAATAAGGTCATAAGATGGTGATTTTAAAATGAAATAAATGCCTCTAGCTAAGTGGGATTCCAGGAAGCACAGTCTAAGAATGGAAGGGTAAAGTGGGCTTTGACGTCAGGTTGACACTGTAAACTCAAACTAGGACTGGAGCTGGAAGTCGGTTTATGCACTGATCAAGCCATTTATGATTCAAGCCAGCAAATACCATGAGAAGGGCTGGCCTGAGAAGGGATGAAGTGCTTGTGTGTGCATGTGTTTGCTGGAATGGGGGTGATTACACAACTGGAAATAGCTGATGAACTTAGATGAGTTATCAGCATGTAAACCTTGGCCTAACCCGAGTGTTTCTCTCTGTTCTTCAAAGAAGTCAATGAAGAAATAGGCCCTTTAAAGCCCTTTTTAGAGAATCAGGAAGATTGTTCACACGCAGATTTGGAACTTCCTGACTCAATGCTTCTCTTTTCAGCATTCCATACTTAACTTGAACTTTGCAACATTCTGAATTTTACAAATAATATATAGCTCTGCAATTTCCTGTGATTTCAATTCTATTAACGTTACTTAATAAAAGTGATCAGTCCGAGGCAGGCGGATCACGTGAGGTCGGGAGTTTGACACCAGCCTGACCGACATGGAGAAACCCCGTCTCTACTAAAAATACAAATACAAAATTAGCTGGGCGTGGTTGCGCATGCCTATAATCCCAGCTACTCGGGAGGCTGAGGCAGGAGAATCGCTTGAACCCGGGAGGCAGAGGCTGTGTCATAGTGAGCCGAGATCACCATTGCACTCCAGCCTGGGCAACAAGAGCAAAATTCCATCTCAAAGAAAAAAAAAAAAAACAGAGATAATAAAACTGATTCAAAAAAGGTAGGTAATGGCAGCTATTCTGGATGTTTTTGATGGTGAAAAGAAACATCTTGAAATTTCAATATAAGGAGTCCAGAGCATTATTATTTTCCTTAAATGTCTCCCAAACAAGAACCAAATAAATCAAAGCATTCTGCATTTAGCACTGATACATGGTTTTGCAAGCGAGGAAAAGGTTGCTGACTTTAATTTCTAGTTTTATAATATTTGCAAGGATTAACAACATTCCATTTGGTAAAACCTTGTGTTCCTTGGTTACTTTTCTTTGTATGTGTATGTGTACTTTTCTATGTATCTTTAAATAGTTTTTATTGAAACCTGCTAAGAAGGCCAAGATCTCTGGCAGTTTGCTCCACACGTGGGCAAATCCTGCCCGCAGTGGCTGTTGGTCTTGCTGTTGTGGGCTAGACAGCTATCCTGGCAATGTGTGCTACTGGCCAATCTGTAAACAGGGCAGCATGATTCTAACTGTTCCGGCTTTTCTGCCTGCCTTGGGGACATAGCAACAGGTGTACCTAATTGTGTTTAAATGTCTAAGACACACTTACAAGTGAGTGTGCAGGCGGTGAAGTGTTCAGATTACAATATTGGCCTTAGTTGCCTTTGAAGAGAAAAGTAGCCTCAAAAACAGGAGCATTTAACACCACCATTAAGGCCAAAGCAAGAGGGGCCTTTGGCCCAAGACCCACACTATGGAGAACTCTGCTTTGTGTTTTCCATTGCCAGTCCCTTTCCTACAGTGTAAGGAGTCCACAGAGCCAGCTGGATGTGACTTCTTGGAGCCTGTGCTTCCCTCCCTCCTCCCATACCACCTCTTCTTATCTGAGACCCTAGAATTCCCTGCCCCGTGGCTCTGAGTTCCCTTCCAGGCCCTGGCAGTTCTCTTCTCCAACTCTACCATTCAGAGGCATGAAGAGACAGCCAAAAAGGGGCAGCTGTTTGCAAAAGGTAGACAAAACTTGAAGACTGGGCTGAGGTGTCCACAAATCTGAGCACAAAGCTGTTCATAATATAAGATGGGGAGTGATGAAGCAGTCTAGGGCCAGAGGCTGGCGACACGGGCTGGCTATGTCTATGTCAATATTTTCTGGTATGGAACTCAGGGGAGACAGAATTTCAAATCCAAACTCAGCCTTCCAAGTTGTTATCAAGACATATTTGTCAAGGTAGGTGGATAGAACAGATTTTATTTATAGTCTGATTCATAACTTTTAAAATATTTAGACACATGGTATCCTGGGCCCTGTAAATTGCAGGGTTGGGCCAGGCAGCATATCCTTTATGCAAGTAAAACTATTGGGGAAATAGAACGAACCTTGCTCCTAATTTAACACTGGCTCCCCTTGAAAACACCTATATTATTTAATAGGAAAGCATAGCATTAATTTATTCTATCAGAGGACTATATCTTAATTTTGATTATACCACTTCTCTTTTCTGGAAATCATTAACTGGAGAGACAATCAGAGTGGCAGTGTAGAAACATGTTCCCTTTGTACTAAGAAAACCTTCACAACAAGCATCAATCAGGTTTGAAGTGCTTGTATTATCATCACATAAGGCCCATATTCTTGCAGAGAATCTCTAATTTTTATGACATTTTATGGTAGTATATTTTATACAAGGATGGTATAAAGAAAGAAAACAATTCCTGTGAGTTTAGGAATTTGCCTATCCCAAACAAGAGTTATTTATTTATCAGGGGGGCCAGCAACCACTATCTTCACCTGTGGTTGAGAGCAAAACCACCATAAAGACAGTGTCAAAGCCAAGAGCCACTTGGGCTAGGCACAGGATGACAGAGTGTGGCAAAGTGGCCAGTAGGTGGCACCGTCATGCTTACTCTATGCCAGGGAATCTTTTTCTCTGGTTGGGTCTGCCCAAATAGCTGCAGTGCTACCTGACAAACTCTTTACTAAACAAATAACTTAGCGGTGGACTTTGCTGAAGAGGACTGTGTGCTGAGATTTCTTTCCTGATGTCTACAGTGACCATTTTAGTCCTTGAAATATTTTAAAAAGTCTTCAACTTCTATTTTGGTTTATTTCCCCACTTCTAAGCTCTTTAGGGAAATTGCTGTCGTAAGCACCCACAAAAGTCCAACTTCATAGTATTTCTCTGAAATAGTATTGACAGGCACTTTCTAAGGAGAAGGTACACTTTTTGGTCTAGGAGTTTTTTGTTTTTTTTTTTTTTGCCCAGAGTAAAGAAATCTAATGTATCAATCATGAAATCCAAGAAGACGTCCTATCAATTGGTAGTCTGTCCTTTGTACTTCCTTCCTTGAGTATTTTTAGGGTACCTATTGCATGATTATGTTTAGATCACAGTTATAAGCAAATTTTCTCCATTCCCTGAAGAGGATGAGAGGAGAGGTTATAGCCCAGAGCCAGCAGGGAAGAAAGCCACGCATAGGAAGCTAATGAGCAGGGATCCCAGAGAGAAAGAACCGCAGCCCTGGGCTGCTGAGTCAACAGATTCCTTTCTCAAATCCAAGAAGAGAAATGAACAGAATGACAAACCAGGAACAAGGAAGAAAAAATGGGACACGGAGCCAATTCTCTGGAACTTTGGGGTCACTTCTATAATTTATTTTCAAGTTGTCAGAAATTGTGCTAATGTAGATGAGCAGATTTACAACTAAAACCAAACTACGACTTCTTTAAAAAAATGTTTGATTTAGGTCTGGTCTCAGGATGGGTGTACAGGAGCTGTAGGGTGTAATTTGTTCTTTTCCGGCAGATTTAGTTTTCCAAATGCAATTTGCTTAGACTAATATTCCATTTAGTTTTCATATTCTAAATATCTACTAACAAAAAGTGCAAGGGGAAAAGATGGCAAGCGTATTAAGAGGCATCCTGTAAGGCAGAGGAAAAAAAACTCTGAAACAAAGTAATAAAAACTTTTAAGCTAGGCACCTGGCTTGTGATTGTCAGAGAGAAAATGTGTGTCTATGTGTTTGTGTGTTTGGGGGAGTTGCACATAATCCCTATTTTGAAACTATAATAATTTATATGGTGAAAAACTGAAAGATAGATTAAGCCCATCCCATTTGACTATTTGAAGTGAGGCAGTCCTACTTTCTAAAGTTAGTTCTACCACTTGCTAGTTTTGATTTGGGGCAACTTTCAATTTCTCTTTTCCTCACTGGTGAAATAGGGATACTGAGACATCTTTTGCAAGGTTTCAATCAGTATCAAATAAGAATGTAAGACATCTAGAATAGGGATTGGCACAAGGCCTGCCCTCAATTGGAAAAATACTAATATAGTAAATAATAAGCTTCACTCTAAATAACAATCAACAGTATAATTTTTGACAAGTATTCCTTACATTTTCTAAGCCACTACTCTTCCATGATTGTTTTTTTTTTTCCTGCAAACTATCTCGACTTGTGATAATATTCTTTGCTTTTAAAATACTGTTGTAACAAGTCTATTGTTCAACAGGCACATTTAAAGTGTATTCCCTAGTCACACTAGCACAATGCTTGCTAAAATTTGTTTTTCTTTGGTTTGATTTTACTTTAAGCACCAATATTTGTTTACTATGAATGTAATTCTACTTCCACCAAATGGAATTCTTTCACTGAGCTTTTATCCCAAAAGCTTACATGTTCAATTATTATTGCTCTTCTTCAGTTTCTAGGTTTTGAAGATTTTTTTCCTTCCAAAAAAATTAACTGAGTATATCAATTTTGATGAATCCAAGACATTTTTCTTTTGATGTTAAATTGTTACAGGTTAAATTTTTCTCTATTACTGAAATATTATCTTTTCTATATTGATATTCGCAATTGAACACTTAAAGACTCTACTGGTTTCTCTTTATTTGAAAATGGCTAAAGAGGTGGCTTAGACATAATATTAAGTATAATTAAATTATGATTAAAAGAATTGATATATTTAATAGATTATTAAAAGGTTTGTAACAAAATCATTTTATGAAGCAATCAAAATTTCAAAGATTCAGTGAATATATTAATGGACTATGTATGTTTTAAAGAGATAAAGCAGAAAGATTCTAAACAGCCATAACATTTGAATAAAAGGACATTTTTCTGCTCAATTTGTCTGGTCAGAGTTGTATGGAAAGCTTTATGATTTTTAAAATTGTTTATTTAACAGGTATGTAAACAGATGCAACTCATTTATTTTATTTTATTCTTACTCTTAAAATTTCACCACTGCCAGAAAGCTTGTGGACAAATTTATAATATTTAAATGAAAATTTAAAAATTATATAAATTTTAGCAATAAATAAATTGTTTCCTTTTTATCATTTAGGCAAAAAAAAAAAACTCTAGAATTGCATATGCTTTAAATAATTTACTAGGCAGTATTAATGTAGTAGCATACTGACATTTACAGGAAAACTTCTTGGGACTGTGAAGCTGTTTCCAGCTTAGGGGAGTCCATTGTATAGCAGTCTTTATTTCAAAACACCAACAACATTTATAACATTGAAATGACAGCATTAAAGTCAATTTAAAAGTAATAGTTTGTATGCTTGTATATATCTTGTTTATATGTAAAACGGGTTGTTCTTTCCTGCCTGCCTGCTCAAATAATGTAAGTAATGTTAATTTTAAAACTCAGTAAAACTGAGTTCACATTATTGAAAAGATACATTCATTGTTCTTAAGTCACCTTAAAAGGAAAGTCTTTTTGCTTGCTTATGAAACTATTTAACTGACACCTTTTCCAAAGCAAGCACCTGTAAAGGCAAAACAAATACCCAGCAAAGTTTGTGACTATTTTGCAGGTTTGCCCTTGAAATTGTTCCTACTCCAATCCTACTCCAATCTGTAGCAGGTCATAAGCATGGCAGATTAACAGCAAGGACTTTGGTGCCAGACTGCGTGGTTTCAGAACCTGATTTCACAATTTAGTGGTTGTGTGACCTTGGGCAAGTTACTTTTTGGTTCTGTGTCTCATTTCTTCTTCTTTTTTTCTATTTTTATTATTTTTTTTTTTTGAGATGGAGTCCCGCTTTGTCGCCCAGGCTGGAGTGCAGTGGCGTGACCTTGTCTCACTGCAACCTCCACCTCCTGGGTTCAAGCAATTCTCCTGGTCTCAGCCTCCCGAGTAGCTGGGACTACAGGCACATGCCACCACGCCCGCCTAATTTTTTTTGTATTTTTAGTAGAGACAGGGTTTCACCATATTGGTTAGGCTGGTCTCAAACTCCTGACCTCAGGTGATCCACCCGCCTTGTCCTCCCAAAGTGCTGGGATTACAGGTGTGAGCCACCAAGCCCGGCCTCTTATTTCATCATTTGTAACACAGGTGTAATAATAGTATCCACTTATAGATCTGTGGTGAGTTATTAACATATATATATGGCACTTCGAACTGTACCTGGCACACAACTGCTATGTAGGTGTTAGCTTCACTTGAAATTTTGACTTTTTATCCTAATTCAATTTTTCCTCTTGTCTGTTGCATTTGACAGTGTTTATTTGGTCTCCCTGGTGCTTGAACGTTAGGTTTCTCAGGAAAACTTCCCCTTGGCTGTGCTCTCACCCACCTCTGTCAGGGCCTGTGCACATTCCCCTGTGCCTGGGGTGTTTTTCACCCCTTACCTTCAGATTCTCTCTTCACAGAGTTAACATCTTTTGTCCTTTAGTTCTTACCTCAAACATCACTTCCTTGGGAAAGACTTCCCTGGTCCTCCCAGGCTAGATTTAGGGCCTCAAGCTTTAAGCATTCTTATATCCCTTTAATTTTCCTTCAAAGCACTTAACAAAGTTTGTAGCTATAGTTATGTGACTATGTAAATATGTATCCCCCACTTGAAATCTAAGCTCCTCGAAGGCTGGGTAAAAATCCATTTTTTTCATCATTATATTCCAATCATGATAGCTTTGGCATAGAGTATCTGCACAATAAAAACTTGTTAATAAATGATAAATCAGTTTCGGAGATCAGAAGTCTAGAGTTCAACACAAGTCAACATGATTTGCCCAAGATTATACTAATAGCCATGACAGAGCTAGAAGTAGAATTCACTTCTGACTCAAAGTCCTTTATTGTTTCCAGGTATTACATCTTTGACTATACAAATCAAACAGAGAACTGTGCAATTAGTATTGTGGAGCTTCTAGAATGACAAGTAAAAGTACATATCAGAAAGACTTGAACTGTTTAAGGTATTCTGGAGTAACTGAGTCTCCCTGAGAAACTGATTTTTACAACATGAAGTAGGAGTTAGAATGGGCATGGGGAGATGGGCAGAGGCTTCCAGGTAGAAAGAACCATTTATGCAGTAGTCCAAGGATGAGAAAACCTTAGTGAATGAGAACAGAGAAAAGGCCACTGTGATTGCAACAGAAAGAGTAGGAAGTGGGAGGCTGATGTTGATCAGAGGGGCAGGGCCAGATCATGCAAGAGCTCATGTTAGTAACACAAGGGAAAGTCACTGAAGGGTTTCAAGTGGGGGATGACACAGTCAGCTTTGCATTTTCACAAGACGATACTGACTGCACTCTGAGGGATTTGAGAAACAGAACTTGGTAATTGGTTGTAGATGGGAGTCAAGATAGAAGGACATAAAAAAAGAATGCTCACGTGTCTGGTATAATCAACTGGGAGGATCGTGGCGCCATTTACTGAGAAAGAGCCATTAGTTGATACAGCAAGACTATTATCTTCATTAAGTATATAATATGCTCTCAGTAAATAGTGACAATTGTTATTGTCTTTGTGGTTGCTATTATTACTCATTATTCCAAACCATTTGCTGTGACTGGGAGTTATGGTGATTTGTATGGATTTCAATGGATTTTGGCCTGATGTGTTACTCCCACTATGTACACAGGCACGTCTGGATTTGGTGATTGGAAAAGGAAGTCACCCAAGGGACCAAGAGAAGGTAGGCTTAGGATAATGTGAGGAGAACATGAGAAAACAAACTTTTTATTTTTTGAATTTCCTTCTCCTTTTCCCCAAATCAAGAAATTTTAGATATGATAGTATGACCATGGCCAATAGATCTATGAGAGCAAACAGGTGTATGAGGCATCAGTGTTGTATGAGGAGATCAAACCTATAAAATTAGTCTGAATTTGCCTTTTGGGGTAAATAATGGATGAGCATAGGCAGGTCAAAGGGCTTTCCTATAAACTGAGTAAGCAAAGAAATCAAGAAGTATGATTAGATCTTTGACCATTTTTTAAATTTAGATTTTACGTATATATCTTTGCCTCATGTAAAATCTGTCATATTCATTTAGATCGTTTACATGTAGTAAAAAAAAAAAGAATAACTATTAGAATGGAGTTGGCACTATAGATTATGTAGCCCATTTTAATTCTGGTGCCGCCTGTGCAAGCATACCAGGAGGTTGCTAAGCCTTCACACTGTGTGACTGGCTCACATCCACTGCCTTTGTTCCCTAGAGATGCAAGGAAAGCAAAGGCCATGCATCAAGATTAGCCACATGGTGTTAATGAGAATCCCCGCCATCATTATCCTATTTATCTTGTTAAAGAAGTCCTTGAGCATATGAGGTAGTGGCAAATGTGTTAAGTATACTAAAAGGCAAGGTCCATTTCTGAAGTCTTGAACCCTGAGTTAAGAAATTTTAGAGTACTGAGTCCACGTGCTACCTGGGCATTTTCCAACAAGGCATCTATAAAACAAGTAAAGAAAGAGGCAATGAGGGGAAGTCAAATATAAGAAAAGTCCAGATTGTTTTGGTCACATGAGGTCCTGCTTACAATGAAAAGCCACAGTGATTCCTGCTTAATCTCACACATATATTTGGCATCATTTAAGCTTTATCATCAACAGGGAACATCATACAAAGACATTTAGATGGATATACAGCAAGGGGTTTTAAAGAAGTGGAAAAGATGAATATTTCAACTGACCTTCTAGGCAAGTTTGACATGCATTTTATTTATACTAGAATATTAGGGAGGTCCTTGAAGTATTTTAATGTATTTTTATTTATACCTTATTATATTAAACTAGGAAAAGCATTGAATAATATCTGTTTTCACTCTTTTTTATTTATATAAGCACATACACATAGCTTAAAAGTGAACATGTCTTTTTTACCGCCTTGGGTAATTTGTCACATTTAATAATCTGGTATGATTCGACAAGGTATAAACTACCCCCGCCTCCTGCATTCAATATAACAAAATAAGCCAGTGCTGAACCATCTGAGCATTTGCATCTATTCCTCATTATATTAACCAGCCCTTGTTATATTCAGAGTTTAAGCTTTTTGATAAGCCATTTTGATGACTATTCAGAAATTCTGAAGAAGAGAATTTTCCCCCTTACATCATTAGTGGTTAGAAGCATATGGGTTTGAAAATCAGACTGTGTTTGAAAAAAAAATCTCTACCATTTTTTAGCTGAGTAATCATTTAACCTTTCTGTGCCTTAGCTTTCTGCATAAACCTCGGATGCTTATTGTAAAACAGAATAAAGTAGAACGTATCTCAAAGACTTGCATTAAGTGCTTTATTACATGTAAAAAACATAGAACTGTGCCTCGCACATAGTAAGTGTCCAAAAAATGTTAGTTATCATCATTACCATTTTTATCCTTCTAAAATAGAATCATTTACTTTGTTCTTGGAGACCGGGAAAGAGTCTACAAAATACATATTTAATCCTTTCCATTGTATTCCCAGCCCTTTGCTTTATCAGGAGCACCAATCTTTTTCCCACTTAAAATATTTTTCATATTCCAGTGGTTCTCAAGTTTTTCTTTTACATAGGTACCTGTATAATATAGAGACACATTCCATGAACTTTCACATGATATAATCCACAATTTTAGAATCTTTTGATTAAGCACATAAGAACAGAGGAATTTAAGGAACTCTTGCAATAACTCCACAGTCCCTCCTGGCTCTGAGGCTGACTTGGTTAGGAACCATGGTTTTAATCAATAATGTATTTAGACTGAAGTGTAATTCTGGCTTATTTTTAATAACCCAGTGGGTCACAGCTCTTTCAGCCTCTCTTACCTCGCCCATGACTGCTATAGGAGTCTCTCCTGTTGCCTGAGCAACACGATGTTCTACTAAGTAAAACATATATTCGTCGTAGAGTAGACGGATCAGGTGGAAGGAGCCAAAGCTAGCAGCACTGCGTAAGGTTAAGTCCCGAATAACCATTGAGCTGTTCCAAGAGAAAAGACAAATATGCAGCTAACATTAGTGACAAGAATTAGCATTCTACCTATTTTTCCTCTTAAAAAAAAGTCAAGCTGGGAGTCTATATGGTTGGTATAGTATAAAACCTGCCATGAAAGCATTTCATTATTGAACGCAGTTGCAACTCATTTAAATAGAATGATAAAGAGGTAATCCTCACGGAGACTTGATCCTTATTCAAGATAGATAGTCTTAATGGAAAAAGTCATTCTACTATCATGGGCAAGTCTGCTGCTTCTACCAAACTCACAAATAAATCAGAATTGAACACAAAAATGTCTGAAAGATTGACCACTCATTACTACCCTAAGAAAAACAACTTGAGTGAAAATCCTATTGATGAAGGTTGGCAGTCTGTCCCCTCTCAGTGATAACGATCTCTGGGGTAGGCCTTAGAAAAAAGATGCATTTCTGCCAGACAAAGCTCACAAAATATAATAAGCAATGTTCCCAGATGTGGCAATACAGAGTATAGGCAAGTACGTACAGGGATTCCAGCAAGTTTCCTTGGAAGGCAAACGTATTAAGTGTTTCCAGTTTCTTAATGATTTCCACTTAAATTAAGGCACATTTACATTAGAAATAAGCACAATAAAATCAATTAAGAAATGCGTTATTTTTGAAAATGCAAACATTTAAAGTATATAATACGAAAATATAAGCAATATTTATAAAATACTTATAATAAACTCTATTATATTTAAAATGGAAATGAGTCCAAAATAAAATCTTGGCTTCAACATGCCAATCATTAAGCTTGTTCATGCACTTCAAATCTTAAAATAGTCATAATTTAGAATCAGAGTGATGTGTGTGTGTGAGTGTGTGTATGTGTGTGTTTCTTATCACTTTCATTTACTGACCTTTTTCTAAAGATTTTTGGCAGATGAACACTAAAACAACCATTGTATTCTCAGGAGAAAGAGGTAAAAACTCACCTATGCCTCGTTTTACAGTAAAGAATTATAAGACATCAGGCAAATGGAAAAACAAAAGACTGTACTTTTGTTTTCTGTTTCATTTTTCAACCTTGTTTAAATAGAGGCTACTAATACATCAAATTGTATGCATTCAACTTGGCAAGTGACAGATCATCATTGTCCATCTGAAACACAGAAGCCTTGAATTCTGATTCTGTCTCTTCATTGACTGTTGATCTCAAAAACATCATTTCCCCGAGATGTTTTTCCTCTTGCATGAAAACAAAACATTGCCTTTAGTCTTATCTAACTTACATGCTTATTTCAAGGATAAAATAAGTTAAAGGATGTGAAATCAACTTATGGATGACTAGAACGCTATTCAAATATAAGTGATTGTGATTATAATACACAGAATAGGAGAAGCTGACTTTCTCATTCTCATTTATTTATGGTGGCAAGAATAGCAATTATTATATGATGATGGCAGAGGACCTCTCAATTCTGTGGATCTATTTACTAAAATAATAATAATAAGAATAAGCACGGGTTTGAAGTTACACAGACCCGGGTTACCACTATGTGATTTCAATTGTGATCATATAATTTTTTGTAAGGTTCAAAGTTTAGCCTAAGAGTCAAATGACATAATGTATGTGAAATCTTAAGAAAACTGCCAATGTAACTATACTGTTACCTACATTAGTGTTAATAATATATTCATTATCATAAATAGTAGGTCTAGTGAATGATATCTTAGAGTTGACTACTTTAACGAATTCCTTAAGTTTACAGCTCTATAAATAATTATTAAAAATAAATGAATACTTTCATTTGCATGCCAACATATATGACAAAATTCTATATATAACTCTATCCACGTCTTTCCTAAAATTCAGTGACATATCACCAATTTGTAAAAATAATTTATAAGATTACAATATAAGAGTTATATGAAAATAAATATTTCTATTCCTATGGTAAAAAAAATTTTAAAGCAGTGAATCACTTACTAAAAAAGCAAAAACAACACAAAAATAAAAAGAAAATGTTACATAACGTTTTTACCCATACTAACAAAGACTTGAAATAAATGATTTTTAAAGTAAAGCATGAACAGAATATTTGCTCCTAATTGCATTTATCTTGCTGAAGAAAGATAGCAAGTATTTAAAATTTTCAAATTTTAAAAATTTAAAGTATAAGACAAATGCCTAACAAACATACAAAAACATGACTAATTTTACTTGGAATTAAAGAAATGAAAATTAAAGTAAGATACCCTATATAATCTATAAAGCTGTCAGAGGTTAAAAGACCCAATGTTATAGCTGGTTTGGAAAAACTCTCCTTTACTGTCCCTATGAATATAAATTCATAAAACTTTTGTAGAGGGAAATTTGGCAGTATTTGTCAAAATTTAAAAGGTCAAAACCTTTGACCCAGCAATCTAATTCTAGAAATTTACACAATTGACCAAAGATAGTCACAACTGCAGCACAATATTTCTACTAATGAGAAACTAGGAAAAGAAAGTAAATATCATTAAAAAGATAATCTAGTAGGATGCTGATTAAACAAGTTATGGCTCATCCAGATATAAAATTTTATGCAATCATTAAAAAAATGAAGTAGACATAAGTAGTAACATACAAAGATGTTTATAATATAATCGTTAAGTTGAAGCAAGATACATGAGCTCATTTACATAAAAACACTCCATACATCAAAAAATTCCTACCCCCAAGTGAATTGGAATATCTAATACTTTATTAGCATTGAGATCACACACTTCATTAAACTAGTATTAGTTACTTTAAATGTTTATATCCTTTTACTTGAACTTATCCAAAGATATACGTACAATCGTATATGAAGATAATCATAACAGCATTTTTAAAAACTCTATCAAAACACCAAAACCCATCTTAATGTTCAAGAATAAGGGAATGTTTAAATAATGTATGAGGCATAAACATAATGAAATAGTATGAGGACGTTAAACATTATGTTTCTGAAGATATTTAATGGCAAGAAATGCTTAAGATATAATTGCAAATAAAAAATGTTAAGAGAAAAATATAGTTAAATAGCCTATGGTAAACAACTGGATCCCAATTTTATTTAACCCAAAAAGAAACATTTAACCAGTGGTAATTTCCGGGTAGAAGTTTTTGTATTTCCTAGATTATCTTTTTAAAAAATTAATTATTTTTTTTTTTTAGAGACAGGGGTCTTGCTGTATTGTCCAGGCTGGGGTGTGGTGATGCCATTATAGTTCACTGCAGCATTGAACTCCTGGGTTCCAGTGATCTTACGCTCCTCACCTCCCATAGGCACTTGCTACCATGCTCAGCTAATTATTTTATTTTGTTAGAGATGGGGTCTCACTATGTTGCCCAGGCTGGTCTCGAACTCCTGGACTCAACTGATCCTCCTGCCTCAGCCTCCCCCAAATAGCTGGGATTACAGGTGCAAGCCACCATGCCTGGCCTGTATTTACCACATTTTCTAATGTGAGCATATATTAACTGCATAATAAAAATATTTATTTTAAAAGATGTCATTCATTATATAATAATACAGAAAAACAATACTGAGTCAGGTGAATGTTAATAAATCTTTTCAGGAATAAATATCACAGATACAGAATGAGTCTTTCTTTATATATTTCTAAGTTCAAATTTTAGGCCTTTCTATTTCTCTTTCTCTTTTTTTTGTTTTTGAGATGGAGTCTCGCTCTTGTTGCCCAGGCTGGAGTGCAATGGCATAATCTCAGCTCACCGCAACCTCTGCCTCCCGGGTTCAAGCGATTCTCCTGCCTCAGCCTCCCGAGTAGCTGGGATTACAAACATGCGCCACCACGCCTGGCTAATTTTGTATTTTTAGTAGAGACGGGGTTTCTCCATGTTGGTCAGACTGGTGTCGAACTCCCGACCTCAGGTGATCCGCCCACCTCGGCCTTCTGTTAAAATATAATAACCCTGAAATCATGTGAACAACTAAGGAGAATGTTCATAACAAGTAGTTTCTGATATCATTTTAGAAATGCAAATTCAACTTTTTCCAATAAAATTCACATTTATTTAGCAGATATTTATTGTGTTCCTACTCTGCGGCAGGGTCTTGGTTCAGACAAGACAGACAAAATTTGGTTTCAAAAAAGTTCACGTTCTGTTAGGTGAGACAGTTGGTAAATACACAAGTAGATAAAAAAATATAAAGTTAGGGAGTAAGAGATCCTATAAATCAGGGCCAGAGATTGGAGAGTGATGAGGGCAGGCATTTTAAGTTGGGGTATCTAGAAAATTCTTTCTGAGGAGGTGATATCTGAGCAGAAACTGGATTGAAGTGAGGAAACGAACACAGGTGAAGAGTCTTCCTGGCAGAAAGGAGAGCAAATGAAAGAGCTTGAGACAGAACTGCTTGCTGTTTTCAAAGAGTAGCCAGGAGGCTAATGTGGTAGGAAGGCAGTGAGCAAAGAGAAGAATACCTGATAGGGTCTGGATGACTCTAGTGGCTGGACTGTGTAGGGTCTAGTAGGCCATGATAAGGCCTTTGGATTTCATTCTGAGTGTTTTGGAAACTTTTGGATGGTTAGGCAATCACCTGATTTCAGCATAAAATGCACACGTAATACTAAATTCTGTTGGAAGTTTAAAAAAAAATTTATTGATCCTCAATTATAATACCTAGTTATTTAAAAAATACTGACATGTATGTCATGAAATTATTGTCATATGTTTAGAAAAGAATCAGTTGAATTGTATCATTAACGCTATGTCTACTTTATTCTCTCTGTGTCAGGCCTCCGCTTTACATGCCAAGTATTAAATGACACAATTAACAGTTTAATTGGAATCCTATTGTCCGATTCAGACTTCCGTAAGAAATGTTGTAAAATTGACTCCACTGAATTGTTGCTAAGTTACCATGAATTCAACTCTTTTTAAGATCAGAGTTGTAAACGTTAATTATTTTATAATGGACAAGAAATATCTTTGTGTATTTATCTTTATAACTCATGGCGTGGAAATTGAAATATATGCCCTAACATGCGATAGCCAACCTGCCTCTTCTGAGTGTTTGAAGATGTATCACACCCTTCAGGTGAGAACATCACGCCTGTGATCCTTATGTGAACTCACTCTTTGAAAAGTGCTTACAGTTGATTCAAAAAAGAGTATTACTTTTTGGAAGATTCATATATTGTCCAGTTGTAGGCAAACTAGGCACCCTGTGCCTACTTTCACGCCAAATATCAAAGCTATACATTCCACTCTTTAAAAATGGGATATCTGAATGACCTTCAGGGTGGCCCTGAAGAATGCTCTCTTCTGTTATCCAAAACACACAAGCTGAGAAATGGCCCATATAACTTCTCCAATTCTGCCCAAGAAAGGCAGTGATTTTTTTTTTCTGCCTCCCAGGGAACCACAATTAGTCACTGACAGCCAGGTTAGGCAAGGAGAGAGCCCCCATTCAGAGCAGAACCTCTTTGTAGCGCTGTATCAACTGCTATTATGATTCTCGGCAAGTTCATTTCTATATTTCCATGCATGTAAATATATACAAAAAATTTTAGAAATTAGATTAAGCATCTGATTTCAGAACATGAAGGGCCTGTGTATGTGACTGCCAAATTTATAATGGCATTTACAAATTTACAAATTTTTGGCATCTGTAATGCCAAAAACATTAAAAAATATTCTAATTCTGCTTCTCTGATAGTTTGTGAATGTAATTTTCATTACTCAATATGTTCTTATGTCTCAGTAAAAAACAGTTCAGATATTAAAGGCTTAAGTTTCTCAGCTATTGACTTTGCCTACCAGCAGGAGGTATGCATCTGTCTGAATGTGCCTTTCCTTCTGGGGCCCTGAACTGTAGGCCTTCAAGTCTTTTTGAAACGAAAATAATAACTATAATAGTATCTAATAATAACAAGCCAATTATCCTCAACTCAGGGAGGACAGAGGGCAGGCAAGTGATGATCTACTGGGTTTGTATATCTGCAGAGAACAAGAAATACAAGTAAGTAATTTTCTCTCCCTTCAAGATACCTGCAACAGATCTCTGTGGAGATGAAGGCTCCAGGGATGTATTTCTAAAATGACATCAACTAAATATAGGAAAAAAAAAAAAACCAACCACAGGTAGACGTAAGGGCAAGTCTGACACTAATAACATAAGAAAGCAGTAGGAAGAAAAAAAGCACCTTGCTTTTTTGGATGTAGAGGATGGACTCTGCCTTTGGTCATATAAGTTTTGGAACAGCCAGTCAGTGTACTGCTGTTTCATCAATTATTCATGGAGCACATATACCACTTACGTTGTTATCTGGGAAAAAACTTGATGAATAAAAAGAAACTGTTGGGCAACTGGGAAAATATCTGAAATCTTTTTTTTTTTTTTAAGATGGAGTCTTGCTCTGTCGCCCAGGCTGGAGTGCAGTGGCGTGATCTCTGCTCACTGCAAGCTCCACCTCCCAGGTTCACACCATTCTCCTACCTCAGCCTCCCGAGTAGCTGGGATTACAGGCGTGAGCCATCGTGCCTGGCTGAAATCTTAAAAAATATTCCCAAATTAAATTTTCTAATTCTACCATTACTACAACTGTTGCTGCATCTACCTTGAGAACACTGTGATAACGCATTTCAAATCCTCCTGCTGTATCAAGGGAAAACTTAATTTCTCATCAACACATTTCTCATAAACACCCAGATCCAAACCTAGCACTGGCTTCACTGATGCATACTAGTGGGTCACAGAGCCAGACAACACCTTAATAATGTGCTTCTTGAATTATGTGGGCTAAAGGTGTTAAATATATGAGAGGCAGGACTGTGGAATTGTACCACTGCAAAAACAAAAACAAAACAACAGCAAAAAACTGGTTGGCTTTCTTTCATTGCATTTGACCCTGGGCTAGACACTAGACAGCTATTTTCAGGACGTAAGGATAATTTAACTCTTATGAAACATATAATGTGGATCTATACGTCTACTTCAGTTTAAGAAATAAGAATATGGACCAAATCAGTTGAGAAAGAAAAAAGTCACTTATAATAAAACCAAAGGAACTACCATCATAATTAAAAGACCTCTGATTCCATCATTATAACCAAAGGTGGTCAAAGCAATATGGAAATCCTATAGTCTGGGTCTACTGAGTTCACAAGTACTATTAGTTCCTACATTCTATTACTCATTCATAGTCTTTCCCTCCTCACAACTAGCTTTGGACTCACCACTGATGTCCAGAGGATGACCATAGTGTAGCCACAGCTACAGTCAGGTGTATGTCCTGTGGCCACCACTTTCTGATATGTGCATGGCTGCACAGAATCTACAGTAGAGACTGCCTATACTTTACAGCAGATATTAATCTTAGGGCCAAATCAGTGGGGCCAGCTTTATCTAAAGAAGCTAAAAAATGAACTCTCACCATAAGAACAAATGCCAGAGTTAAAAATATAATTTACCCAACTTATGGAAGAATTCCCTCTGCCAATTCCATCCTACATATATGGTAGAGACACTGACCTACAAAGGTCATAAATGCTGTTTTTAATCTTTGTGGCCGAGTTATGGTCAACAGCTCATCCCATCATTTGATATATGTCATGTAATCAGAAAGCCCTTTTCTTCTGGGTGCTTCTATGTCTACAAAAATACACGTTTCTATCTATACTATTTTAGTCAAAAAGTGATTTATATTATTAATAAGCTATGTTACTGTCTACGAGATTACTGATGATCATTAGAATCACCAGGAGAGCTTTGTGAAAAAAATCCTGATTATCCTCATTCCTAATCATTATCTCTCTCTTTTTTTTTTTCTGAGACGGAGTCTCGCTCTGTCGCCTAGGCTGGAGTGCAGTGGCATGATCTCGGCTCACTGCAAGCTCCGCCTTCCGGGTTCACGCCATTCTCCTGGCTTAGCTTCCAGAGTAGCTGGGACTACAGGCAACCCCAACCATGCCCCGCTAATTTTGTTTTTGTATTTTTAGTAGAGACGGGGTTTTACCGTGTTAGCGAGGATGGTCTCGATCTCCTGACCTCGTGATCCGCCCACCTCAGCCTCCCAAAGTGCTGGGATTACAGGCGTAAGCCACCGTGCCCAGCCACTAATCACTATCTCTTGACCACCAAGATTTTGATTTAGTAGGTCTTGGGAGGCACCTAGGATTTGTTTCTTTTTTTTTTTTTTTACATTAATTCTGATGTGCAGCCAGGTTTGAAAACAGTTATAATTGATAAAATTAAGAAGTTAAATAGATGGTTCTGGGTATGCATCAGAATCAACTTAAGTACTTTTTAAAACATAAATTGCTGGGCCTTACCTCTACAGGTTCTGATACAGGTAGATTTGGAGGAGGTGCTAAGAATTTGCATTTCTAACATGTTTCCAATTGATAGTGGTGCTACTGGTTTAGGGACCACATTCTGAACATCACTAAACAGAGAACAAAAAGGAGACTAGTGTTAGGCCTCAAGAAAGAAGCCTAAATAATGTATGTTGCAAGAGGGAGGACAGTTGCCCTTTTCTGATTACTGCTGAACACATTATCTAGACTGGAATCTCAGACGTTCCCATCTGAGGACATGTAGGGCTTTGAGCAAGAGATTTCTTTTCCTAGCAGAAAGTTTATTTCTCTAAGTTTCCTGGTACATTTCCATGGTGTTGTAATCACTGAGTTGGGTTGAAGGTAGTTGTAACAGGGAGTTTCCACAAACTAAAGTCTTTATTACTTTCTTTTCTTTTGTCACAGAAGCATATACAAACACATACACACACATATTTGCAGAATATGAAGAAGAAAGCCTAGGAAAAACCTAGATGATACCTGTAGAAAGACCATTTTAGCAGAAACTGCCTGGCGGCTTTAGGAAAACTGGGTCTTCCTTCATAGGGTTTCAGTGCTTGCATCATCACATTGTCAAGCCACGCAGCCCACTGCTCCAGGGTGCTCTGCTGCTGAAGAGTCATCTTGAAGTCTGTTTCTAGTCTCTGAACCATGTTGTCATCACACTGGCACACCCAGGAAGCCTGCTCCTGAGACAGTAACACAGAAAGAAAAGGAAAAGTTCAATTCAGCATCCTTTCATTGAATGCCAGCACACACACTAGATGCAAGAACAGAAAATTATAATAAAAGCTTCACACAGTTAAATGAATCCAGAAAATAAAAAACTACTTGTCAATTGTTAGGGTAACACAATCTTTATCAGTTTTAAGGGATGAGTATTTCTCGTTGCTCACTCTGGTACACAGAAAAGTGATGACACATGTAAGTATCATTTGGTTTTTCTACATTAACTAGTCTGTGTAAAAGACTAAAATACATGATGACTTCAAAAAATAGAAGTCTGAACCTACAGTAGGCAGGGTCTTTCATCCTATTCAGCTTTCATACTGCTTTCAGAAGTTGTCTTTTTGTTCCCCATCAGATAAAACTTTAAAACCAATTTATTTGAGAAGATTTAGGGTAAGTCAGACAGATAAATAGATAAAATTGGCCAAAAGAGGTCCCCTCAAGATTAAAACAGAAACAAACACTAAATGATACTAGGTAGAAGCATATGCTGCTGTGAGTTATATGGATTGGGAACAGAAATCTCAAGGGCTATCAAGGCAAGGCTATGAATGCAAATTAATTCAGAGAAATGAAAACCACAATAACAACAACAACAAAAACTCTTGAGAAAATGTAGACGTGCTTCCTGCCAAAAAATGTGATTATTGCAATTTTCCTTCTGGTTCTGGTTGGGAAATGTTTGGTAACAGCAATGAAAATAGGAACTTTTAAGGCTACTTTTCAGTGATTGCCATAAGTACTGTGATGTTTCCAGTGCTATGTTGTATTTTAAGATTTAAAAAAACCTATTCACTCAAGGCAAAACATAATTCTTTGGTAACGTAATATTTGACTGGGAATGAGAAGACATAGGTGTTAGGTCCTGAATAAACAAAACTAACCTCAAGCAATTAATTTATGTGGGCCTCAGTTTCCCTAAGCATAAAATTAAAGAAATGAAATTTAATGAAAAATTTTAAGCTGGGTTCATTGTGTCCAGATAATTTTGTCAAGATAGATTTCTTTGGAGAAGTGTCTGTGAGGCTCCTAATAAAACCTTGTGAATACATATGTATTTTTCTCAAAAGAGTGTCTATAGCTTCTTTTTCTATATGCTCTCAAAAAACAAGTTCATTCAAATTAACAACTTCAACTGAATAAATCCATTATCTCCATCTTCTAGTTCCAGTATCTCTCCTGATCCTACAGACTTTACCTATTCAAGGGACATTTCAACCTGAAGGCACTTCAAATGCAAAATGCCCCAAACTCAACTTATTTTATTTTCCCAGGGAAACCTACTGTTTCTTCTATATCTCAGCTGATGATACTATTCACTGTCTTTTTTCCTCTTATCTAATTAATCATAAATCCATTCAGATGTTACCTTCTGAATACCACTTTTAAATATTTTAAGTATACTAAAATATCATTATAGAAAAAACTGTGAATACAAATAAGCAAAAAAGGAACAAAACATTAAGAATACTTAAAATGGCAACAGTAAGAAATTACAGCATATTGATGTATGTACCTTTCAAACTTTTCACATGCATATAGAAATAATTTATGCATATATCATCATATATATACACTATATTATTTATGCATACATTTATATTTTAAATATATATTTGTATTATAAAACACATATATCTACACATACATTTTATATTATTATATGCTTATACATACTTAAATGTTTAAAATAAAAGAGGATCATATTATATTTTCTATTAGATATTCTGCTTAGTTTCACTTAGAAATATTTAATAACCATCTTTCCATGTAGGCAAATTAGACCTATCTTCATTGTCCACTGAATGAATTTGTTTTATTGCATCATATACTATTATTTACATAACCAATCCCACATAGTTAGACATTTGTTTGTTCCAACATTTTAGTATTACAAATAAAGCTGAAATTAGCAGGAGAGGTTTTTTTTGTTTGTTTGCACGTTGATAATTGGAAGGAGAAACTTACTAGTATCCATGAAGGAATTTAATTTCATTTCTTACCATAAATTCAAACTCACTATTTACTTGGCAGTTAGTTTTTGCCAAGAAAAGATGATAATCTAAAACCTAACTTAGAGAAATAAAACCACAGCACATTATTCTGGCTTTTCAAACTACTTTATATTATACTTCATTTTACTACTCTCTAAAGTGAAAATATACTAACAATAGAGCGCATTGTAAATATTCCCTTGTGAAACGAATGTAGATATTTCAAGTCTATAATTAAAAAAGCTAAGGACACTTAGAGATGTTCTTAAATTAGAAAAAAAAAATATCCAAAATGAAAAGTAGTCAGGAACTTCAAAATCAGAATGCCTTTTAAATACAGAAACACAACTATATGCAATAGCTAAGTTATCAGGTCAGCCCACCGAAAGCTATTTAGCCCATAATGTAGATCTCAAAAACCACCATTTACACAAAAAATTAGAGAATTATGCCATCGTAATACTATCAATTAAATGAAACAGGAAACCAGTTATACTGCAATAGAAAAATTATCTTAAATGCATAAAGAAAAGAAAATTTAATTAGAGGAGAATGAAGTAGTGAAAAGTGATATATGGATATCCTGAAAGGAACTTTTTAGCACTTTCAAGCTCTTAAGTGTATTATAATATTGACACACATGTAATTTCATTGTTTTAAATAGAAGTCTCCTTATTACAAGAGCATCATTCTTATATTGTCAGATTATTGAGGTTCATGTTATAGAAGCTGGGACGACTTCCAAATGAACTGGAGATGGGGATAAAGGTAAAATGGGAGGCAAGGGACTCTGGGAAAATCTGGCAAAACTAGGAAAAGAAAAGGAAAGAAATAAGGGTGTTAAAGAGGAAAAGTGCTACCTTGAGAAAGAGATTACTCATTAATATGTACAGAGCTGTGAAAAGTAAAATGTAGGGGGAAATGAAGGGCTCACTACTGTGTCATGGTACTCTGAAGAAAGGAAGAAGGTTTTGGAGGGCAGATGCCGAATCATATGGGTTTCAGGAGTAATGGCTATCATGGTGGACCCAGAAAAACATGATAGTCAAAAATAGAGGAAAAGAAAGGGTATTCTTAAAGTTGGCAGGTAGAGGATAAGTCGTACAGTAGACATATCACTGATCATTAATATGCAAAAATGTTCCCAAGGTTAATGCTTATAACCAGGGAAGAACTCATTTGTAGAAATACTTCATTGGAATGCAGATACACAAATATATATATATGTATTTATACATATAATAATGCTAACAGAACACTGAAAAACTTTTTCGGATATTATTATAAATAATTCTTTAAAATGTTTTCTGTTACTGAGTTTAAATTACTTTCTGAAACTAGAAGCTGCCTTACTTCTTCAACTCTTCTTAAGAGACTTTTAAACAAATCTTTTCTGAAAAAAGATTTGAAATAAATATTACAGTATAGATTTTAAGGCAATATTAACTTTTAATACTCTTGCTTATTCAGTTAATACATCCCACGGAAATATGTAAAGTAAATGGTTTTGTAAAGCTGAGAAACTTTGTTCTTGTAAAGATTATGTACTTGTATGTGTGTATGTGTTTTTCTAGATGGATAGATGATATTTTTTAAAACTTCATATATATAGTTTTAAATTAGATATAAATAGATATAAATATCTAATATAAAATATTAGATAGATATAGATCTCTCTCTCTATATATATATATATCTCAGAAGTTTGAACCCAGTCCATGAAAGTCTCAATGAACAACTAATTTTTATCGTACTCTAAAATGGATCAAGCCCAAATGTTACTTTTTGGTATATTTTAAATGACAAAACTAGGCAAGAAGTAGAAATTAAAATTTCTAGAAAATAAAATAATTACTAATTAGCTTATTTTTAAAACAACAGTAATGTTTTTTAACAGCTTTACTGAAATGTAATTCACATATTATACAATTCATTCATCTAAAGAATACCGTTCAAAGGTTTCTTTTAGGATATTCACAAAGTTGTACATCACTGACCACAATCAATTTTAGACCTTTTTAATTTTCCTAAAAATAAACCCCATGACTCTTATTTGTTACCTCCCAGTCTTCTCAATCCCCCAGGCCTAGGTAACTACCAATCTACCTTCTGTCTGTATAGATGTATCTATTCTGGAATTTCATACGAATGGAATCATGTCACGTGTGATCCTTTGTACCTGGCTTCTTTCACTTAGCATCATGTTTCCAAGGTTCATCTATACTGCAGAATGAATCAGAACTTCATTTCTTTTTATTGCCCAATAATATTCCATTGTATGGATAGATCACATTTTGTTTATCTATTAATCAGTTGACGGACATTTGGGTTGTTTCTGCTTTTATGTGGCTAATATAAATAGTGCTGTTATGAACCTCTATGTATAAGTTTTGTGTGGACATGATTTCATTTCTCTTGGGTATACAACAAGGAGTTGAACTGCTGAGTCATACGGTAACTATATGTTTATCTTTTTGACAAACTGCCACACTGTTTTCCAAAGTGGCTACAGCATTTTATATTCTGACCAGCAGTGTATGAGGTTCCAATGTTTTCACATCCTCGCCAATAGGGTATGTTATTATATGTCTTTTTGCTTAGACCCATTTTAGAGTATACGAAATGGTACCTCGCTGTGGTTTTGACTTGTATTTCCCTGGTGGCTAATGACATTAAGCATCTTTTAATGTGATTATTGGCCATTTGTATGTTTTCTTTGCGGAAATGTCTACTCAGATGTTTGTCCATATTTAATCAGGTTTTCTTTATTACTGGGTTGTAATGGTTCTTTATATATTCTATAAACAAGTCCTTTATCAGATATATAATTTGCAAAAATCTTCTCACATTCTGTGGTTTGCCATTTCACATTCTTGATGGTCTCTTTTGAAACCCCAAAGTTTTAAATTTTGATTACGTACAGTTTATGTATTTTTCCTCTTGTTGCTTATGCTTTTGGTGGGCAATGCTATTGTTTTTATTTGGTAACATTTAGATTCATTACTTTAGAATCAAAAATAAAGTATTTATTGATATTGAAACTCTATAATAATGTTTCTAACTTAGCTTTTAAAATATACTTTAAAGTACAAGTGGGTAATGTGATCACAAGGTTAAAAAATATTTTTTCATTTGAACTACCACAATAGTTGAACTTATTGCATATAATTCTTTTCAAGTGAATAAATATTTACTAGGCAGCTATAGTAAACTCTGAAATAGAATTGTTCTTAGTTCTTTCAAGGAGGGGCAACAAAATAGAAATATCTCTGCATGTCATGGTACAAATTATTAAATATATAAACAATAATCTAAGACAGGTGTTGTAAGGTGGGGAAAGTGAAGCCTAGAGCAGTTAAGTAACGCAATTGCCCAAGATCCCACAGCTGGTATATGAGACAGCTTAATTTCTTGCCTGTCTAACTTCAATGACTGTGACCTTTATTACTCTACTAACTATTCAGCAAATGCTGGTGATATATTACGTTGTCTTTTAGGACTGTAAATGTGAGCTTACTTTAACCACAAACATGGGAGCACTACAGCTGTATCTGGGTCAAACTCCTCTCTTTCAGAACACTGTGAATATAGATGCTGCCATATATAGATGAGACTTTGAAAAGAAATTTGATGATCCCAATTAAGAAGAACAAATTGGGTATCTTTCCTTAAGAGACATGCTTTGCAAGGAAATAGAATACCTGGACATTGGCAAAGTCGACACGGTTGAGGTCACTAAGCATCTGGTTGATTTGGGAAGTGTTCTGAAGCACTGCACGAGCTGCCTGGGCCAGGTGATTAAGCGACGTGTATCTTCGCAGAGTCTGGGCAAAGGCACTTACAGCGGCAACCTGTAACGCAATCCAATTAAGTTGGGATTCTGTTTCCTCCAGTAAAAGAAACCACTGCAATTTTCAAATCTTCTTTCCCTTCACAAATTTTAAATGCTTGCCTCTGACACTTATTTAAAATTCATTTGGTGAGAGAGTTTACTTGTAAATTACAGCATTTAAATCTCTAAACCAAGTATTATTTTCCTTCTGAGTAGGTTGAGGTCAAGACTAAAACAAACTCCCACATTCTTCGACATCTGAGCGTAGCATTAATTAAACTAGTCTTGCAAGTGACTACTCATCCACAGTAAGAAATGACTTTGAGTAGGGAAGCAAGAAAAATGTTGGTTTTCATTTCTTTTTTTTACTGTTCTTTGGACAGTCAAGTAGAAACTAGGCAAATTTTAAAAGTAGGGATGTGCAGTTTGCCCTTTCAAATAAAAAGAGATCTGGACATTCCTACTCTTTACATTGTATTTAAAAATGCATGTGAGAGCATTACCATTCAGATTTATTCTTACTACCTTTATTTTATAGAAACGAGTAATTTTGAGGCGAGATTATCAGAGGCAACCAACTAGAATAACCTTTTTTCAGAATTAGAGTTTCTTTAAAAGGGCTATGCGGGAAATTTCTATTTGCCTCTCAAAATCTACTTTCCATTTTTCTTCATCTTGTTCTGTGCCCAGGAAGATTGATCCGAATGGACCACATTAACCTCCCCTCTTGTTCTCTGGCTTCCACCTGGGTTTGACCAATAACAGGCACTGGCAGGAGATGGAAGGATGGGAAGAAAGAGCGGTTACCAGGGTACTTATTCACTGCAACCTCTGCTTGCTGCCTGTTAGAGCGGAACCTGCTTTCCTTTTCTAATGTTACCACAGTCCTGAGGGAAAGAGTGGATTTCCTAATGCCATAACTTTCACCTCTCACCCCTTCATTCCTAGGGATGGTTAGAATTCCCACTATTGCTAGCCCTGGGATGCTTTACTATTCCTCTTTGTTTTTTTCAACTCTGTTCATACCTTTGGAAATAAACTCTTCTTAAACTCTGTTTATCCCCACCGTTGGATGCACGATTTGTTGCCTGTTCAGACCCTGAATGAAGCAGTTTATTTTGAAAGACAGCAAAGATAATGCAAAATGTCTACATGAAATCTAAATCTCATAATCTCATGGAAATTTGTTATGTGCACAATATAGATCTAATGATTTTAATCTTTTAAAAATATATTTTAAAAATAGACACATCTACAGGAATGTATAGTATTGCACTCAATCACTATATGGGTATATAAGGTACGAGCAGTTGAATGATCAATTGGGAGCGGTAGAGGGTGTTCACAGGGAACAGGATGCTCTATCTTGACATGAGATGTTTGAGGACTATTTGGAACTTGGGGGGAAGCTCATACGTCCTCAAAAAAGAACCTTATTCCATTTTTGTGGTTTACATTAATCCAGTATATACTATGTGCCAGGCTCTGGGTTAAGTGCCTTACATATATTATCTTATTCAAGTCTCATAACTATCTTATTAGACACATATTATGATTTAAAGAAGATAAGTAGCTTGCTCAAGGCTGCAAAGAAACTTCATTACTGATGGGAATTGACCTGGGCATTTTGATTCCAAAAGCCACAGTAGTTGGAATGCTGTTTCCTCTGTCAGGGTAAATTGTCTCTGTTAATTGAATGTGGAGAGGAAAAAAGACTGCATATCAGTGAAACCAGAAGAACAGACGGTACCCTCTACTGTGGTGAATCATTCAACCAAACTCTGGAGGTCAATGAGATGGCCAACGTTGCAATTGGATTGTTACCACATTCACTTTGACAACACTGGGAAGGGAAGTGCTTTTAGCTGTTTGAGGTATTGTTACAAATGTGACTGACTGAAAGTTGAAAAGGATTCCTTGACCATAATCAAAGGCCACCTTCTTTCTTGCACACCTCCATGTGGTATACAACAGCACTGCCAAAGAGAACTCTCTGCCATGATGGACATGCTCTACATATGCCAAAGAGAACTCTCTGCCATGATGGACATGCTCTACACATATGCTGCCTAACATGGTAGCCAGCAGCCAGAGGAGGCTACTGAGCACTCAAAATGTAGCGAGTATGACTGAGGAGCTAGTTTTTTCATTTCACTTAATTTAAAATTCTAATTTAAATAGCCACACGTGGCTGGCCCTACTGTGAAAGCACATTTCTAGAGGAACAATCTAATATGGGCACATCAATGAAATGTTGCCTTCTATATGTTTTAGAGAGAGAAAGTTTTATTGCAAACTTTAAGCCCAAGCAAACGAACTGGAGGCTACTTATGTTCCCACAGAGGTTTATCAGCTAAAATAACTTCAATTGCTCAACTCTGCCCCCCGATTCAAAGGCAAAGTATATTGCTGGAGTCTGACAGTAAATACAGTCATTGACAAGAAGTCACAAATGTGATTTCTGTTACCAACATTTAAATAAAATTTAGAAATAGTCCAATCTTGCTATGAGGATATGTTCACAGATTAACTGGAAGCAGCATGGCTAGTAGGAGACAAAGTAGAGACTAAAATTTGTATCTCTAGCTAAATAATCCACATTCCTGAGATATATTGATTAATTATGAGTTAATTGTTCACTTTATTCACAAAAGCATTCTCCAGTGTTTAGAAAAACACCAAAACATCCTGAAAAAGCAAAACAATATTAATTTCTATGAACTTTTCAGGATATGATAAGTATAGCAGGAAATTTTAGAAATAGAAAATTCCTTCAAATGAAAACTATTTGAACATTCTAGGCTATTATTTTAATATTTGAAATTAAACATTTATAGTTTATATCTTTCTCACAGATATAATTTAGAATATATATATCTACTATATTGTTTAGAAAGAGCTTATAAATGCACCACACTTAAAATGCTTCCCTATTCTCTTTGAAAGGAACATTGTCAAACATCTCTTGTGCAAGTTCTTTACTACATGGTTATAAAATACAAATATAAAAATCAGTTTTAAAAGATGATGTATGTTATAACCTCAACATTTTACATAATACCATTTGATAGGATAGATGTAAAGTTCACAATTCAGAATAATTTCCTCAACACAAAAGAAAAAGCAAGGACATAAAGTATACCTTGGTTTGTATCATTCTCTGTGGAATATTGTTCATGGCATTGGAAAGCCAACCTTCAAGGCTTTTTGCAAAATTTCGAATGGCTTGGGTCAAGGCACCTAAACATTAAAGAATAAAAGCAGGATAAAAAAAAGTATGAAAGAATATTAATGTTTGTGCTAGAATAAAAGAAAATGCTCGTACACAATATCTGATACAGCACAGAACTCATATTGTCCTCATTGATGAAACTTTATTTAACATTATTCCTAACTTTTTAAAGCATCCAAGAATTATATTTTGGGCTTTTTCTTTTAAAGTTATTTTGTTCCCAGATACTTATGACGCTTTTTTGGGAAAAAAAAGGATTCAAACATTTTTGCTTACAGCAACATATACCAGTTGTGAATATACTTAAAGAATTTTCTTGCTTGGAAAAAAACACTCCTTTCATTAACAGTTTTGTGCTAAAGGCTATGTATTTTCTTTAAAATTCTTCATCTTGTTCTTTCAAGCTCTTAATCTATTTTCATTTCTTTTATTAAAAAGAAAAATAATGCAAAGCTTGCTCTGTTTCTCTATGCATCTATTTACTTAGAATCTGTGAATTAGAGTAATTCTCTCTCATCCTTGTTGAAAAGGTAAAAATTAAAATTGTCTGAATTGAAATTTTTGGGCAATTATTTTCCATTTCATTTGGCAGGTAGAGGTAAACGATCAGTATGATAAAATTGCTGTTACGGAAACCCGTATTCTTAAGATACTCCTAAAATAGCTCATTCTGTATCCTTGACATATCTGTTAAAACCTGAAATAGGGATAGGTCCCATGACAGAAGATTTTACGGTGGTCATAAAATAATGAGAAGCATCTTCAGTTATCAGTGATGACTATGACTATTTTATAAGAAAAAATCTGCTTACTGAGATTGCTATATAGTAGGAGACAGAATACTTTCCTTGTTCAACAAGTAATCCAGTTAATAGTATTTTACTTCCTCTGTGCCCAAGGCTCCATAGTAATGTAGAGGAAAATTAGAGACATTTAGTAGACAAGTGCCTGAAGCACCCACAACATAAAAGTAACCTTTGTAGGTTCTCTATAATGGGGTAGGTATCAACATATGCTACTATAAGAAACACAGTTATATTTTGGGCCGAGGTCCCCAGGAATATTAATATTACGGATGGGCTTAAATTCCTTGGTTTTTCTTTCTGTGCTCAAATGAGTCTGACATGATTCTCTATGCTTCTGTTAAAACCAGGTTTTATAAATAATTTCACTTACTCAAGTTATTTGCAAACAATATAAATTTTCCCATTCCAATAATAAAGACAACTAAATGTGTTTTTAAGAGATTTGTTTAACTGTTCAAAACTGGAGAGACGAGATTGGAACGGGCTAAATTTTGGTTAGGAAAAACACTCAAGCAGTGCAGATCCTTAACCACGAGGATCATCTACTGGAAACACTGAATTGGAAATTTCTTGAGAACTAATCTTTTGAAACCTTCAAAGCTTCCCATGTTAGTCAAAAAAAGAAAAAGGAAAGAAAAATATTTTTCTGTTGTATTATGTGCTAGAACCATGGAGGGCAGGCATGAATGGAAATGAAAAAGAGTGAAAAAAAATTAATAATCCCTTTTGAAACAGTAAAATTTTGTTCAAGGTTCATTTTGGCAATCTGCATTTTCCATTTTTCCTACAATTAGTGTACATTAATTATTTAATCTGAAAAATAACCCCCAAATCTATAAATATTACTTTAAAAATATTTATTACGGGCCTTGTTTTATCTAGATAAATTTAATGCAAGGGCAATTAGGTGAGAAAAGATATATTTTGCATTTTAAATAATTGTGAATTTTTACTTTTTCTACTAAATGATATTCTGGGCCACCTCTGGTTATACTTCCAATTGTACATTTAAGTGTTACCCATTGAGTGCTCATACAATTAACGTTTTTTTCATTTTCAGATAACTGCATTTTAGAATATAGTAGCTTCAAGCTGACATTAAATTAGTGTGATGTGCAGAATTTTTTTAGCTAAAAAAAGAAATCCCATCTGGACAGAAAATGGTAGAGTGAAGTGCTAGTAGCCAGGAAAATACAATTTTTAAAAATAAAATTAAGTTTGCTCTCTCTACAGGGATTCATGTATGTACAAAATTGTGCAGATTGACTCTGACAACTTTCAAAGCCTCATGAATGGATGGTTTGGAATTTAAACTCTATTCCAAAGCTGACTTGTCTCAACCTGCTCAAGATTAATACTAAAATGCATACAAGCAGAAGATAGCTATCTAAATTGTATTTTAAGCTTTACTTTGCTACACCTCATTGTAGAATGGGAATTAAATTTCCAAATTTTCTTGGCAGGGTGGTATATCAATGCATCTTATAATTTCAGAGAGACTACAAAACTATTCGGGTGTCTGCTTAATGTAGAGACAAGCTATTTGACAGAATAAACTGGTTTTCAAATCAAAATTTGCAAAAGACAAAGGCCAGTGTATTGTGTACTTAAAATTATGGGCTTGAATTAAACTAAAATTGATACAAGATTTAAAACAGAGAACTGTTAAACTCACAAGTTAAAGTCTTATGGTGCTGTTACAGAAGCAAAAGATTTTAGAACTGTTTAATGAATACTGATGTTGTTGATTTGCCTCAAAAAAGAAAGTACTTGCTGACATCCCTTCTTTTATCTCATGAGAAAAATTTTATGTTGGTAGTAAGATGTCATAGGCTAATGAGCTACCCTATGCAACTTCTTATAAACATCTCTAGAGATTATCACTCAGAGCACAGGGAGCAAGAGAAAAACAAGGAAAATCCGATTCTGGAACATAAATCAGTAGAGAATTTAGCTAGTGAAACTTTCTAAAACATCACTTTTAATCAACCTTTAGCCAGGAAACTTGCTGTAGGTAGAGTAGAATATATTACCAATTTACAAAATTGTGAGATAATGTCAGCTAATTTTTTTTTTACTTATTCCTATATAAATTTACGTGTGTTCATTAATATTATATGGAAATATGTTTAAGCATACATTTCAAGGTGGCCGGGAACATATTAAAGATCTCATACCTTCTACTGTTGTCTATTGTTATTTAGAAAAAAAGAAAGTATAAGCATACAAATGTTAATATCTTCCCCTTTTGTTCTACTAAATTCCTATTTTCATATTTTCTAGAATAATTTAACACAAATCATCTGTGAATAGTATACTTGAAGTACACAGTAGCCAACTTCACAAGCTATATGCTTGCTTTTACTTTATTGATGTCAATGTAGAGTAGTAACTGTCTCATTTCTTAAAAAGTTAAGGTCACTACTGTGTACTCATATAGATATAGGCATAAAATAGTTTCAGCTGCCTCTAACAGTATCTGTGGTAGCGTTTATATCGATACTTGAGAAAATAGCTTTGTTTGCTACAAAGTAGTTTAAAAAGCACCATCACTTAAAAAGGTAATCTAACCTATCTATGTAATTCCCATTTTCTTCATAGTGGGATTACAATGCTTGTGTAGTTACAAAGATTTTTCTCTCAAAATGCCAGTTAACCATTACTGCTAATGGAAACCGCATCTGTAGTTCCTAACATGATGTAGGTGACAAAGTAAATGCTTTTATAATGGAATTCAACTTCAGTGGAAATCAAGATAGATTCACTTCAAGTCAAAAGCAACCGTGAAGGAGGTTGGCCTAGCAATTACAGATTTCCATAATTTTTGGCTTTATGAAGGAGACTGTGTCCTTGGGTAGAATAATTTTTATACGGTTGACTGGCCTGCTAGTGTTCTTACAAGTAGTTTACTGGGGCTGTTATATCTACAGGTTGGCTTTTCTATCAAAAAAAAGAAAAAAGAAAGAAAGAGAAAGAAGGAAAGAAAGAAAGAAAGAAAGAAAGAAAGAAAGAAAGAAAGAAAGGAAAGAAAGAAAGAAAAGGAGAAAGAAAGAAAAAGAAAAGAAAGACTGAAAAATAGATCATCTGTTCCCTTTTACTACAGTTTTGCTCTAGGCTGCTTTCACGCAATATTCTGTGTTGCATGTTTTCTATCTGGCAAATCTAAATGAAATTAGAATCATTCTAGATTGCAATGTCACTTCTCAAAACTTCCTGGGTGGAATGTATGAGAACAAAAGCATCCGTACTCGTCTGCATTTAACTTACTAGGAATAGGTCTAAGGACGTCGGGGATGAGAATCTCCACCAAAGCCTGGTACATCCCATGGTCACAGTTACACATCCATTTCAGGATAGACTCATGTTTGCACAGAGTTATCAGCTTTGCTTTCGGAAGTCGACTTTCTATTTCACTCAGATTGCTGGTGTGAATAAATGTAGCAAATGAATAGATGGCAAATGAGGATAAAAAAGAAAATGGACTTTAAAAATAGTTTAAGTTTACCAAATATTACTGAGGTTAGAACTATACCACCATTGCACTGGTGCCATACAGCTGGCTATATATACCGAGAGAGACAGACAGATATATAAAACACTCCCCCAGAGCTGTCTATGCACATTTGTATTTTCTGACGGTATGAAAGGCAGATATGATAGTAATTCCATGAGGATGAAATAACTACCACAGTCCCCCAAATCAGTACAAATGGGAGCTATATACACACACTGAAACCTCAAGAGAGCAGTTCATGGTTTATTTCTAGGATGGCCAAAACATCAATCTATTCAATTAATGTCATCAGGTAAGGTTCACAACTGGTATACATATCTCTAATTTATTAGTTGTGACATCTACTCAGCCATGAAAATGAATTGGAAAAGATGTTGATTCTGACCTCGATTCGGTAATGGTAGTGCCATCAGTTGGAGTAGAGGGAGAATAGCGCCAGAATGTTTGCCACAATTTTTCTATCAGGCTAAATTGAAGATTCACAACAACGTCCAATATTGCCTAAAAAACAAAATGGTACCAGTATTACCTTACAATATTATTTACGGGACTGTGTGAGGACAGTCTAACATGACAAGATTTTATATGGTCAAGTTCTCCCTTGGGGTCATAAGTTAACATGGTGAAACTACACTAAATTTTACCAAAGGAAGTGGAAGAAAAAAAAAAAAGAAACTAGCTAGGAAGAAGATAAAGAGGGGAAAATTCTTGGAAGATTAAGCAGGATAACATTCTTTTCATAATGTATTCATGCCACCCTCACTTCTACCTCTTTTTTCTTCCATTTTTCATTTTTGCTTTCATTCCTCTCTTCTTTCCTTCCCTCCCTCCCTCCCTTCCTTCCTTCCTCCTTTCTTTCCTTCCTTCCCTTCCCTTCCCCTTCCTTCCTTCCTTCCCTCCCTCCCTTCTTTCTTTCTCTCTTTCTCTTTCTCTCTTTCTCTCTCTCTTTCTTTCTTTCTTTCCTTTACCTACTGCTTCTTTCTGCCTCTATAGTTACTGTCACCCTACCTATTCTAAGACCTGGAAGGGTACAAAACATAGATTCAATTACCAGCAGTCCTCTTTGGGCTAGGTAACCACTGGCCATCACAGCAGGTGGAAGTGAAGGGTGTGGAGTTGCTTTTGTGTGGCAGATGGAGTTAGGGCTGAATTAGCTTTGTCTAAGGCAGCTGACCACAGGTTCCACTGTGTTCCCAGCCAAACAGAGGCTGGGGCAGAAACCATGGAGTCAGCAGGCCTTCAGTGGATACTGCCTCTCTGGGCATAGCATTCAACATTAAAGAGAATCCAATCCTACCTCTGCATACCTCCTTTACGGAACAACCTTAAGACTATCTCCTTTTCAAATCTCGGGGGCCTCACCTCCTCTTTCTCCTTTTTTATCTCCTAGAACTATTTCCCAGATGCATCTAAGACTTTTTTTTATGGTGCTTAAATGTACCACTTTCCGTTAACTGTCAATGATGATAATTTTACCCTGTCATTGCAATTAGTTTGTAAATAAGCCTTCAGGTAAAAGCAGGCATAAAACTAAAGAATAACCTGTTTGTGCCAAGAACACATGATTTTGTGATTATTTTGGGCATTAAAAGACAGAAGTAGTCAGTATAATGTGATTGATGTCATCACCTTTGAGGCAAAGGTAAAACAGCCCCACAAAGATCTATAAAATTCGTGGAAGATAAAAGAAATCAGGGGACAATCTAGAGTGTCTATAAGAGTATTGTAGGCAAAAACAACAAACCATAACTTCATATTTGTTGAGTTTGGGCCACCTGTATAGAGCTGGCCCAATGTATGATACACACAATAACTGGTATGAAATATATTCTAAAAGTATAAAATGTTGCAAGTAGTTAAATATTGAAAATGAAGATAGGGAGACAAATTAATTTAGACAGTCCTCAGTAACAATAAAAATGCAAAATGCAAGCTCTGAAAATAAAGGGCATGTAGATGTCCCTCATCCCAGCAAAGATCAAAATCTTCTCCAGCAGCAAATTTTTGTAACTGCTTTCTCAATTGTAGCTTAGGCACATTCCAAGAGACATCTCTAAAAGTGTGGAGCAACTATTAATACCTTATACATAATACCTTATATAGTTCTATATATGAGATTGCTGTAAGAACACTTCTTTTAACCTACATTAAAAAAAATATTTCAGCAACTTGTATAAAAAGTTACACTTGCTCCTTACATAACAAACTAGTGATACAAAAATATCTTTGATAAACAAATTGTGAGAATTCCCAATAACAGGCAAAGTAGGTATATTAATCTTTCTTTAAAAATATGTACTGTAGGAAATGTGAAATATAATTAGGCAAGTAAAGAATTTCAGTGTATCTTAAATTCAGTATCTCTTCAAATTAAATAATCTCAAATAACTCTTTCAAAAAAGACATTCATATCAGCTTCATTTGAGGCAGTTTTACACATGAATAAAACATTTTATCATTTGTCCACCTACTTTCAAATATGTTCAGACTAAAATATATAGGCAAATATAAATTAAAATAATCCATATTCTACTGGCTTAGGGCAAATGACTACGGGACTAAATATGAGATTCAGGCAGCTGTATTTCAAAAGTTTTTCATATTTATTCAAAATGAATATTTATTAACAGGAAAAAATAATTAGAATTTTTCTTTTTTATATATGCAGCTCAGCCCTATGAGAGAGATGGTAGGAACACTGGTAATTCTGAAATAAATGGGGATCATTCTGTGGACTGCCATTTTCCACACAGATTATAATATATGTCCCTATTTCTTCATAAAAAGTATATTTTTGAAAATGGTATGTTAATACAAATCTTATAATTCAAAGACTATTTCAACCTTATTCAGGGGAGTTTGTCACTTAGAATAATCTTACTGTATGTTTTGTAGCAATGTAAATAATTATGCTCCAACTTACATTCTTAATAAATAGGAGAAATTTTTTAAAAATCCATTATAGGGTGGGCACAGTGGCTCATGCCTGTAATCCCAGCACTTTGGGAGGCTGAAGCGGGTGGATCACTTCAGGTCAGGAGTTCAAAACCAGCCTGGCCAACACAGTGAAACCCCATCTTTACTGAAAATACAAAAAGTTAGTGGGGCGTGGTGGTGCATGCCTGTAATTCCAGCTACTGGGGAGGCTGAGGCAGGAGAATCGCTTGAACCCAGGAGGCGGTGGTTGCAGTGAGCCGAGATCGCACTACTGCACTCCAGCCTGGGTGACAGAGTGAGACTCTGTCTCAAAAAAAAAAAAAAAAAATCCATATAGGCTGGTTTGCTTAAAGTAAGGTTCACTTGAACACATGGGAATGAGAAATTGTTTAGAGAATCTTTACACAAATCTTTATTGAATAAGATGATAAATGTAGAAAGAAATAATTTTCTCTATATACATAAGGAAAATCCAGAAATTCTCTAATATGGGTAAAAGCATAGTAGTCAAAGGAAAATGAATATTAAGTGCTTTCATCATTCCAAGGAATGTTGGGAACTGGTAGGACACGTTGAAGAACACTTCTGGCACATGTTGTGTTAATAAGGAGAGAACCTGCCCTTGGTGGTTAATAATCTAGTACCCTTGACAAGCACTCAGATTTGCGCTAGCAATTCTTATTTCTGGTGTCGGGGAAAATGTCTATTAATGCTATGAGCTAAGAACCTCTTACTGCATACTGCATTGTCAGCAGTCAGGAGGACTGCCCAGGAAATCCAAAGGATTATCTTTTACTCCTAAGTAGATCACAAATATCCCTGGAATAAAGCTACTTAAATTCTAAATAGACTCTTCTTTCAAAAGAAGCACTCAAGAAAACTCTTACTATAATCCATTATCCCCTTTTTGCCAGGTGAGCTGTGGTACATTAATGTGCTGGCATGCAGAGAGCTCACCTCCCAGACAATGAAGCAAATTCTGATGTGGGATACTCAGAACGAGAGTAGGAGTAGGGCTAGAAAACACCAAAAGGAACCCTAATTAACCACAAAAGTGAAACAAACAAAACTGGAACCTCAGTGATCCCTGGAAAGAACACCTAAGGTGGTTTATTAAACATTTCCAGAAATTATTTTAATAGAAATATACACTTATGATATAAAATTCAAAAGATAAAACAGGTCTGTTGAAAAGTTGAGTCTCTCCCCTCTAACTCCCAGTCACCCAGTTTCCTTCACAAAGGCAACCACTGTTAACATTTTCTTGTTCTTTCTCCTTCTGGATATATATATATCCATATATAGATATGTATATCCATACATATGGATATATATATGAAGGAAAAGGAAGAAACATACATATATACACATACATAAACACACATGTTATTTTTCACTCAAGTGAAAATATGTATACATAATTTTTTGCATTTGCTTTTTCTTTTAACTTTAAATCTCGAAGTGATCCATTTTGGTATGTGTATAGAGTTGCCTATTCTTTTGATGGCTGTATAGTATTCTACTCTAAAGATTGTATTAATACCATATTTTATTTATGCAGCTCCCTACTAGATAAAGAAATTATAACCAATCTTTTGCATTAAAAATAATAATGCAACAAATGCCCTTGTACACTTCTCTTGTCACCCAGATATAAATATTTTTGTAGGACAAATACCTAGAGGTGGAATTGCTACGCCAAAGGATTCATATTAGGATAGGCTTAAGAAATAGAGAATAAAACTTATTCTCACTTTTCTGCATTCCTCATCTCTCCACTCTGAGACCAGAAAGAAGAAAAATGAATTTGTTAGTGCTAAAAGATACGCTCAAAAGAATTAGTGCTAAGTTCACCTGTCCTTTAGGAATAAGCTTGATTATTTTATATTAGCAAGTTATCTGGCAAAACCTAGCATGTGTTCATACTACATTTGAAAAGACTTACCTCACAGTGCTCTCTATAAAGACTCTGCAGTGACTTGATATCCTCAAAGGTAGTACCATCTGGCAGAGAAGAGATTTCAACTTCTCCAAACTCTGGAAGTGCTCGAGATGCATCTGTTACCGTGACAACAGAACAGAAAAAAGCTATTGTGGATGGTGCCAATTACAGATTAATGAGGGAAAATTTAAGAAGACCAAAAAGAAAAACAAATTTTAAAGGTCAGGGGTCCAGAGAGCAAGGACATTTTATATTAATATTTTACAAGTAAAACTAAGCAACATCATCAGCACAAAATATAAAACTAAAGGGAACATTCTTAAGAATTTTCTAGAAACAAAATTTGCAATACAATTATACTGCAAATAGTATACTGCATATCACAGTGTCTCTCAACACAAGGCCCCTATTAAAAGAAAAATATCTCGAGCTTGCTAGTACCTATTTTAGATATTTTTATTATGTTGTTTAATTACATAAAAAAACGAATTTTAAACTCATTATGTTCTTAACTGTTATAGAGTCATAAACCTAAAGAGCTACAAAGCAGATACAAAGAAAACTACAAAAATAACATACAATTTAACAACATTAATTTGATGTGATGGATGATGCTCTTGTCCTGTAACTAAGTTATCTCTTGCAACAAGGATCAGTATTGACTGCCGCAGCACAGGATCTTTTGGGTCTGACAGATCTATACCAACATGTGCTTTGTGGTGGCTGCTTCTCCTATTACTCTTCTATGTACAAATGACTGTGAAACTTTCCTTCACACAGAATACAGGGACATGATCTAGGCTTCCCTTGTGAGGGAGGCGTAATTTACATAGTAAGTCTCTCTGTGTTCTTTTCTTATTAGCTCTGGACAATTAATGTAAGACATTTTGGTGCCTGTCTTACCATAAATCCAGGTACAAATATGGAAACTAAAATTGCAGAACAGTATTTAGTTCTAGTTTTCTAGGTAATCCAGAATATGCTTAGTTTTTAAGATGATAATCGAAGTGAAATCACAAAATAAAATTCTTGTTGAATGACCAAAGGTCCACAAGAATATAACCCTAGGACTTCAGTCTGAGAAACGCTGCCATGTTTTCAACTTCAGTAATGATTCCAACCTGAGAGTCTATTTTAGTTGTCTTTGTCAGAAAGTGCACATAGACACATATACACACACACAGACACATACACACAGTCACTCTCTGATACCTTCTACTTATCTTGACCTGTTATATGGAAAATATGCATGTTCATCTCTAGAAGAGTTGTCAATCAAATTAAAGTGCCACTTTTTTGCCCCTTTGGCTATGGCAAAAATATGAAAAATATGCAAGTTTTTCTTCCTAACTCTTTCAATAACAAGAAACATGTATTCCATCTATAAATTACAAAAATAGAAAGTACTGTGATTAATTTAAATGAATAAATTACTTTAAAAAAGTTTATAAAAATTTTTTTTCTAATCTGAGCCTGTGCATATATAACTTTATACATAGGAAATGAGAATTCTTTTTGGCACTTGAAGTTACTACTGAAAGTAAACAGCATAATTTTGATCACAAAAGCCGAATAATACAAATTCTGGAAAACAATTTCATAGCAATGAGTCTTTAATTCATACGCATAAAAGTCCTATATAGCTCGAGATTTTTAAAAATAAGCTCTAATAAACACGAAAGGCAGACATGAACTAGGACTGTTATACATATGATGTGCATAATTTTGGCACCAAAAAAAATCTTTCTATGTCATTGACATCTATAATAGACATTGCACTTGGAGAAAAGACTAACTTTTCAAAATCCTAGTAGCAACTAATATGCATTACACCTTAACATACCTAAAAACTGTTGATGATGTTGGCTTTGGGCAATTACAGTTTGCTCAACAGATGTGCCTGTCTGTTGACCACTTCCTGTGAAACCATCTGCAACCCCATCCACTTTCTGCATAGGCTTGTACCTAAAAATATTAGATGGAAAAAAACAAATAAACCAAATTATTCCTTGCTTTTTTGTACTACCCGAAACTCCCAAAGCATTCAGTTTTATTCTATCTTCTTTAACGTCTCATGATAGTTGTAGGATTTTTTTCCTTGATAGTCTCATAAAGTTAGAAGGCAATATTTTTTTCAATTGTGAAAAGAAAAAAGGGGAGAAGGGATGCATGAAGGGGACCCATTTTTGGAAATCCAGAAATTTACCTAAGAATGAAAGAATTATAAGGTATTTCTTTGGACAGCAGGAGCAAAGATGTCCATGATTAAGTTTTAATACACAGCTTGAAAGTAACTTTTAATGGTCAATGGATATATTGGAACTTTAATCTGAACAATGATCTAGGAGCTCAGGCCTGAGAAATGTTGATGAATGGCTTTCAATTAGTTAATATCTCTAAAACATGATCAGCCTACAAATCCTATCATATTGTTTTTCATATCTCCTAGAACCTTTCGTGCATCTCAACACATTTATCTCCATGACAATTATCAACATCCTCAAATACAAAGGCCATAAGCATCATTTTGTAGCAAAATATATGCAAGAATCAATCTACAAACAGAGTTTATCAAATTAAAATAAAGAATCAAAGTCAGTTAAAGTTATGTATCTTCAGGTCCTAGTCATACAAACTTATGTATTTTCCATACAGCTAAGATAGAAAAAAATGTGCTTCAGTGGCATGGGGAAGAAGGAAGATGTCTTGAAAAAGAAATATCATATAAAAAAACAAAACATAAAAAAGCCTGGCCAAGTATCCTAGGATAAGCAAAACAAAATAAGTAAGCAGCAACTGTAATTTCTTCTTTTTCTCTGATTCCACTTATTTTTCTTCATTTTATAAATTTGGAAACAACAGAAAAGCGTAAGAAAAAATTAAAATCTACAATAAACATACTATCTAGAGATAACATTCACACTATGCTGTCTGGCCTCCCATTCTTTTTTTTCCCTATTTCTAATTATATTTACAAACAAACTAGTATTCTCACCATCCAGACACTTGACCCCTACATTGATACTAAAATTCAACTGCATCATTAATATGAAGTTACTATGAATAACAATGACCCTAATATGTGAACAGGACATACTCAAAGATGCCTGCATGCTGACAACAAATATGAAGTCACCGAACCTGGTAGAACATCATACAAACTAATGCTCAGCTTGCCTTAGGAAATGAATCAATCTTGGATGTTATCAATTGCAACTCAGATAAATGAAATTTTCCAAATAATTGCCAAATCTCTCATAATGACATTTACATTTATTTCTTATGTGACAGTATCTTACAAACAACTATGAAAAACAAAAAATAAAGTCAGAGGGGGAAGAGATTGGAAATCAGTACAGCACTCTTCATCCTCATGAATATAATTTTAGTGATGACTCCTCATTACAAAAAAATTGATTGCTGTTTTCTAATGAGAGAAAAGAACTCAGATCTAATCTTTTACTTAATGGAAAAACCTTCTGGGAGGTACTTTTCAACTGGGGCCATATCCAAATATAACAGAAGAGTTAGTGTTGTGATGTGCTAGATGCCTTGTTTATTAAAAATTTAATGTTTTTCTGATTTTTTTTTCCTCCTTAAAGAATCATCTTTGAGAAGCAAAGAAACTTCATGAGGCAAAAAAGCACTTTGTGTACATGTGCGGCAGAGCAGTTGCTAGCCATTCTGTTGTAGCAGACTTGAATGATTTTAACCTTATTTTGTTCAGGAAAGTTTCTTTTCCTTATTGATTCATTCCAAGTTTCAACTGATTTTAGCTTCCCCTTTTCAGCTATGGAATTGTGTCTCATTAATAAAATAGCCTAAAATTGTTTAACCATGTTTCTTCATTTAAGTTAATGGAGTTTGGGATTCACAGAGCTTGAATAAAAGTGGTTAAAGGAATTTGAGTTATTAATATTTACCCTGGAGGAGGAAAAAATGAAAATAATTCCAATAGACTTCAATTACATTAATTTTTAATACAGGATTGCAAAATTATTACAAGACTTTGCCCAGTTATGCTCTGCCACATTTCTTTGTCCTACAAAGCATTTAACATACTACAGGTGCTTAATAGGCACAAATATCAAGGGCAAATGGAATTTAACCATAAAAGAAAATGACTTATATTCCACTTAGACTGTAAGTTTTCAAAAGACAGATGTTACATCACAATCTAACTGCGCACAATGCTTAGGAATACTATAGCCTACAAGCAAAATTGTCTGCTTCCTTAGGAAGATGGAGACAGCTGTTAGTATTGCAAATGAAAGTTCCTAATGAAAGGAGAGATTATATTTTTAATAAGGAATCAAAATCATGATGCATTATAATTAACATATGATTATACTTAATGATACTGAGTGGGAAACACTAATTAGAGATAAACTATATTATGTGGGAGATGAAAAATGCATCAAGATCAACTTTTAGGGCAAAGAAGGAGGTAAGTTGGTAAATTCTGGAGAAACTATGCAGGTCAGTACTTAGGAAAAGATTTTATAATACACAGTTGAAATAAAGAAAAACACAGAAAATATATCAGAACTTGGAAATGAGTGTTTTTTCATTCTAACCACAAGAGTAAGGGTAGCACGGTGAATAGTGGATTGAAAGATGGACAGAGATTGAGCAAAGACACACTATGTGCATTCATTCTTGGTTGCTTGGCTACAGGACCTCTGCAAGCCAGAAGCATATGTTATGCCTCCTGGGAAAAGGTCTAGGGACAAAGTTTAGGATGGGTTTGTGCCATAAAGAATGACATCAAGATGGTAATATGGAATACAGCTCATGTACAAGAGGGCTAATGTGGGCCTGTAAGTATGAGAGAGCTTCCAGGTAGTGATAACTTTTGCTTTTCTTGCTTTAAGTAATGAATCATGTCATGGTATATCGACAATGTATTGTCTGGCAATGGATTGGAACTTAGAAAAAATCCCCAGAAATCAGAAATACTGGACTGAGAAAGCCTAGATCCTCATTTTCAAGGTACCCTAACTAAGGAAAATATCCTACCCCTACCCTCACCTCTGAAGTTTGTGTCTTCCCAAAGAAGGAGGGAGTTTAACAGGAAGTCAAGAACAATCACATTAAAAACAGGCTAAACAAATACCAGTAGCAACTGATTCTTCTTGGAAACAGTGGTTGTAGATTATATATCACTGCTTTTGAAATCTAAGTGCATATCAATATCTAGGTAGTTTTTCAAAAAATTCAGGTGCCTAGGCTCACCCTAGATCCACTCCCAAAATATTTGAGAATGGAGCTTAGGAACTGGTTATTCTAACAAGTTTCTGAGGTATTTCTTAAGTAGGTAGTACAGCCTAATCCACAGGAGCCTGTTGGTCCCAAATAGATTCCTTCAGCCCAATGTTGTAGAAATACATCAATTAATATTAGAAAAACATCATTTTAAACAAAATAAGTCATTAATTTTTAACTTTTCTCAATAAACTATATTTGGAATGTACAATAAATATATTTGAATGAATAAATGTTTAAGGTAACATGCTTGATTTTATCATATCATCAACTGATTTTGTATATATATCAAATCAATTTAACAAATATTTATTGAGCACATACTGTATTATGGGTAGGCCACTATAGGCACATGGTTTTTAAAATGCTGGGTATAAATATAATTTTTCCAAGATGTCTTTTATATTCTATTGGCTTACATAGTAATTCTACATTATGTTAACCTTGGTTGAATTTCAACTGACATTATAGCATTGAAACATGACTTGTAGATTTTCTGATTCTCTATACTCTTCATAAAATAATCACCATAAACTTTATCAAATCTACCATATCAGGAGAATAATAAATTTTAAAAAACAGGTAAGATTTCCATTGAAAAAAAAAAAGTCAAACAAAAACCTTCCTGTTGAATCCTTTAAAAATACTGAACTTTTTAATATTTAAGAGTATTTTCCTCCCTTTACTTCCATTTACTTTATGAATTAATTATTTTTAGATTTGGTTTTCCCAGAGTAAACTCTTAGTACTCTTTCATTGAGTGTGCTCTGAGAAAGACCTGTGCTTTATCAAATAATGAAACAGCACTTGGTTTCAAAATTAGTAAGAGGCAAATGATAATTTTAACAGCTTGCAACTCAATGGGTAATCAGTGCTAAAGTTGTTAATGATTAAGAAATAAAAGAAACTCTCATGCTTTAATAGCTGACTGTATGCATAAAACCTGTCACTAACACAGAAAACTTAGAAAATAATTAGGAATCTTCCTCCATGGGGTTAGTCACAGCTGCTATTTAGGACTTGGACAGTTGTAACTCTACTGTAAAAGTAATATTCTGTCAATCCCACACACATGGGTACTAAAACAGTCCAATGGAAGGCAAAGAATGGTATATATTTACCATTACATTCAACTAACAGCACCAGGTGGAAGGATTTTCTACAGATTAAATGAAACATTTGGAAAATCCTTTCAAAGTGGCTGAAAAATGCACATGCAAACACAAAATATAAACTGTATAGGCAAAAGGAGACATCATTATGTTTTGTAATTCCAGAAATTACACAATCATTTTATTTGCATGAATAAATTGAAATACTGAGCTCAGAACAAGGGCAGGAGGCTAGAATTTTCTACTGGAATCTTGTAATCTCTTTGGAAAAAACTGTCCCAGAAAGTCTTTAGATGACTTCATGTCTGAAATGAACCAAGTGATATAAACGCTAATGGATCAGAAGAAAATAGTAAATATGAAGAGTTCCACTCTTTTAGAATAGTAGCTAATTTTGATGTTACACTGAATATACTGATAATATATGCAAATGACTTCTAACATCAACCATGCTGGTTAATGATAGGTATTCCATCTCTTCCATTCTTGTTGGTGGCTCTCTGAGTATTTGTCTCTTCATTAGCTTTACATCTATAATCGGGCAAGAAGAGGTGGAAAAAATTAAATTGAAATGGGCTATATGTTAACTGCAGCAGGTAAAGGAGGAGGTTGAAGCTGCTGGCGAAAATCAGAGTTGTGGGTCATTCATTCATTTAACAAATATTTAGAGAGCACCGACAATGTGCTTAGAGCTCTCCCAGGTGCTGAGGATGCAGTGCTGAAAGAGGCAGACATGATTCTCTGATCTCATGAATTTCTTCATTGAGTCCTCTAAGCATAGGTGGTTTATGGTTAGCTGTATAGAACTGATATATTCTTGCTACAAGTATGCATGACACTTCTTTTATCTCTTACCCTTTCCCACCTTCTTTATTTGAAGAATGACAATCTGGCTCCATCTGATGCCAAGAGATAAACAATAACAACAACAAAAAAGGCAACTGAGGTTCTATCTAGGAAGAAATAAATTAGTGAGCTTCTTGAATACAGCAAAATTAAGTGGTCCTCAGTTTCCTTATCAGTAAGTAACAATATAATTGCCAATGAGATCTTGCATGTAATGTGTTTACTGAAAAATATTTTAAATGTTCCACAAATACTACTCAGGAGCATAAGTGGTGACTGTTATTATTAACAAACTACATAAATTACTATAGTTTGGTAGTTATTGAGTTGTGATTATTTATGTTTCTCCTCTCTTCAATAGAAAAGATTATCATTACATCACCAGGGAATTAATGTCTAGGAAAGGAATGATAAACTATTAACATCAATCAAAGTTAGAAACCACTAGCCTAGAGGTATAGAGAAATGGAAGCCCAATCTGACCAATTGCCAGGCTTCATTCTCCTCCAAAACACTAAATATCCCATAAGAAAGATATTTTTCTGTAGTGCTCATCATATAATAATGATCCTAATAATAATTATCTAACACTTTAACACTTCCAGTTATTAAAAAAATTTTCAGATACGTTATTCCACTTGAACTTCAAAACAATCTGTGAGATAGTCTATTATGAATTTCTATTTTGCAGATGAAGAAACTGAGGCTCAGTGAAGTTAAGTCATACACTCTGCAGAAGTGCCTATGTAGCCTGTACTCAATTCCCCATTTTCCAATTCTAAATATAGGGTTCGTTTAACTAGTCTATGAACCCTATATTAAGAAAGGCCATCTAATGATAAAAGTTCTTAAATTTCCTCTCTCACTTCTAAAAGAACGTGCATGCTTTTACATCTATCTACAGCCAAAACAAAAGTAGGCTTGCTGTACCATCTTTCCAAATGACCTCTTCTTCTCTCTTCTTAAGTGACATTCTTACTTCACATCCTGTGAAAGAAAGGTTTATTCTTTCACAGAATCCAATTGCTGTGAAGAGACCATGCAAAGAGGCAGGAGGTGGCACATTTCCTCAGTTACTTGAAACATACTCATTAAAATGTGATTTCTCCCTTTATTTCATATGCAAAAATTTTATTACGTGTATTTCTGTTTGGGTTATCTTACCTCTTTGAGGGTGGAATTCTCATGAGAATAAAGACAAGAGTTCTTAACCTGGTTGCTATATGACTGTGGATAAGTTATTTAACCTTTATGGACTTCGGTTTTCTCATCAACAGGATAAGTTGGACTAGGTGATTTCTTCCTTCCTTCTCTAACATTCTATGATTCTGTGTTATGTCTTTTAGATGTGATTGACAGATTGTGTATGCAAATAACAACTGATAAGTATTTGTTGAAGAAATGATAAATGACATTTAATATTTTGAGAATGGCTACTGGGATCAAACACAGCCAAGCATATTAACAAAAGCATTTGGCTTTTACTACTGGAATTTGGAAAAATATCTAAAATATACATGCCAATACTCTCTGTGTACTTCTTTTCATTATCAAAAATAAACTGCAGCAAATACTGTTACTTAGTTTGAAGAGGTGGAAATTACTGATGTCCTTTTTGCTCTATAATAATCTAACTTACTTATTATCTAAATTAGGGTAAACAAATTAGTCTATGAGTGCATTTCGTCAAAAACTGAAGATTACTTCATTTTAGTGCAAAAAAATTATTTTCATATGAAGTATTTTCAATAGAAGTTTTTTTTAAAAAAACTGTTACACAGTCTCCTGCCTCCTTAACCATGGTATTTTACCTCCCCTTGATTACCCATAATGCCATCAATATGCAAAGCAGTTGTTATATTGTGTTAGGCTAGATTTTAGTCATTAGAGTGATATTTGAAATATTTACTGGAGTGCCTAGGTCCATTTGCCCCTCCACGGAGTGTCCACAAACTGTTGTACTGAATAATTTTAAACAGAAGACCCTGTCTACTTGTATTTCTTCTTGGCAGCTGTCATAGTTCATGACTGCCTGTGAATCAAGTGGGCTCTAATCTCCTTTATTTTAGGTAAAATGGCTTGAGAATGGCTTTATCTTTTCAACTAACTGAAACTGCAGGCTCTATGACATCTGCTTTCCAATCAGAAGCTGTTTACATTTATTTTCCGACTCATGGCTATGTTCCATACAGTGGTATTGCTGGGAATTGGATTTATAGATAAATGGAGATTTCCTCTACCACCCCATCAAACCTTCAAGTGACACCTTGTATAAAGGAGCTCAAGAAATTGTGAGCTATATAAAAACAATAATCATTCTTATCCCTACAATGACTATAATTCCAAATTCATGAGAAAAATGTACAATTGAGCTCCAAAAGTTATATTTAATTAACAAAATAATCACTGCATAGACTTGCATTTCTTCACTATAAGAACATATAAAACAAATTTACATTATGAAAGATAAGCACACATGGATGCATTTAATAAACCTTCAAGTATTCAAACAACGTGAATATTTTGAAATATCTTCTATTTTATACTTTAAACCTTTCACATGTCATTTGTATTTTTACAAGAGACTGGCAGTCTCTTTATATAATTTTTACTGTATTCAGTAGAATCATTTGAATTTTGAAATTGAAAATTTTTTTAAGCCATAAAATATATTTTTAAGAAGTTCTTTTCCCACTGTTTTCAACAAATATTCTTAAATTAGTTTATGTCCACACCCATGAAAAGAAACTCCTTCTTTCCTGTCTAAATATTTCTGCACAACAGGGTAACTGGTTTCAGTTAAGGCTTATCAATGTTGTCAGTGGACAGATTCCTTCAGAGAGACCACAGAAGACTCCTGCTGCCCTATAAGAGAGGCCCATGCAATTGGCAACAGTAACACTGCAATCAGTTAGCAAGACATCATTTTAAGAGCAACTGTCTATAATCCTAAACTTGTATCATTAAAAAAACACAACAAATTAAAGGAAGTTTCAGTACTTCTTTGGTTCTTTCACATTCCTGTTTCGTAAGAAATAAGAATCAAATTCAATTTATTAATACTACTGAGATTCTTATATCATTTCTGAAATGTCTCCATATTTTATCTGTTTCCAAACTCAAGTACCACTATCCTGAGAATGCAGAGGTTTTTATGGCTTGCTAATCTTTATAGAATCTGTTTCATGAGGAGACCACAGAAAGTACTGGGCCTTACTTATGTAACTCAGGTTTTTTTTATAAAGAATGTCCCTTGAAGGCTTCTATTTCTATGAAAGCTTGCTAGAATTCCTGGCAGTTAAATCACAGGAAATTCCTTGCAGTCAAATAATGGGCTTCAACTGTCTTAGGTATAATTTATTAAGTTTTTATTCATACTTAAGTTTGAGTATATGTTATTTCTGAAGCAAACTTTCTTTTTCTTGATTTCACCATCATCTCCACTGTGTAGTGGTGCTATGCATGAGTGCAGAAATCACACCAAAAAGTAAAGGCTACAAGTGCTGCCATTAACAGATGCAAAAAGCAATCATAACCCAAAATAGTAACAATTTATTGCAACTCACACAAACTCTATGAGGTACTATCCAACTCTATGAGGTACTATTCTATAATTTATTTTATTATTTTTTTCAGAGCCCTTCTTATTTTTCACTGGCTACACATCAAAAAATAAGAATCAGCAATAAAAAAATAAGATTGAGAATCTGTAATAAAAAATCTAAAACCTTTAAGATATCTTTTATATAATAGCCAACCTTGAACTGAGTCTTCAGTCTGGTGCACTTACACTGGAAATTATGACTGTGTAAAAAGCCACTGAACAAGGATCCTTACCTCCAGTCTCTTTCCATTAAATATGTCTTGCCCAAAATCAAAAAGTCATCTCTCTAGAAAAAATCAAAGTTTCATTGTTTTGCTTCAAAGCCTTACATAGCTTCAAAGCTATGTTCTGCACAAAGAACAAACTTATTAGCTTTACATACAAGCAAATCCCTTAATATATGATCCAAACTACTTTTAAGATCTCATCTCCCACTAAACTACTCAACCACCTCCTTGATTCTCCTTCTGTAATACCAGCCTCAATAAATATGTCATGGACCATTTACCACAGACATCATGGACTTCACCGCTAGGTGAATTTTCCTTCTGCTTCAATATTTCTCTTTTTATGACTCCTCTAAGTTCCTACTCAAAGAGCACTTTCTCTAGAAACTTCCCAATCTCCCTTTCTCCCAGATATTGCCGAAAACTCCTCTGTATTGTGATAGTTCCTTGATCAAAGTTTTATTTTAGCACTTCCCAGACTGTATTCCATTTTTTTTCCATTCTCCATGTGCCTCCCCTTCTAATTTTTTAACTCTTCAAACATAAGAACTGTGTCTTATCTCTGCATGCAGGGCTTAACATCAGTATTGGCTGACTAAATAGTATAAAATTACTGTGTGATATATTCTTTTCTCAGACATTATCTTAGAGTTAATGCTTCTGACTAAACTAGCATGGATAGGGAGATGTGGCCAAGGCAACTAATCACTACAGATCATTACACTGGGACCTATGCAGAGGCCTCCTTTCTCCTACCTAATTCTGCATGCTCACTTGAAAAGAAAAATCATAACTTCTGTCTTGGTTGAGCTATGCTGGTAAAGAGGAAAGGATTTTTTCATTTTGTTTACTCTAAATTGTGACATAAGTCACATGGGACTAGAAGGCCCTTAGCTATGCAACTTTATTTTGTGCTTGTGCAAATCATTTAACCTCTCTGGGACTCATCTGAAAAAACAGAAACTATTAATGCTTTGATTGTCATAAGGTTTTAAAGCCAGACTAGACTGACATATTTTTCAAATCTAAGATCTATGATTCTATTCATCCGTCCATCCATCCGTCCATACGTCCATCCATCCATCATTCATCCATCCATTCATGAATGCTTGAGATCTCTTACAACTCTAATATCAGCAATTCTGTATCTATGAAAGTTGGATTCAAAGCAAATGTAAGGCATCCCAAACATTCTGCAAGAATTCATACTGTGTCAAAAAGAATGACTTGAGAGATGTGCAGAATAGCAAGTCAGAAGCTCATGAATACTGAAACAAATTTCTCCAGTTGGTATTTGCTTGGGTATGCTCCTTATGTTTTGTGTTTCATTTCCCTGTCTGAACAGTTTGGGATGTCACACTTAAAAGGGGCCAAACGGCTGACTGATAAGTACTTTTTAAAAATTTGGAAAACAGGCGAGATCACTGAAATTCTAAATCATATTTAAGAACTATCTGTAGTGAAAGCATGCCAACAATAAGAACGTTCTTTTATACTTAGGTATTTGTTCAGAAAAAAGGAGACCCGAACAACTAAGAAATACATAGCTTGGACACATCAATGATAACTTCAGAGTCTACCTTTGTTTCTGTTGCATGGGTTGTTGTCTCATAGCCATATACTGCATGTCTTCTTGCAGACGATTAAGAGGGGAATCTGGCTTGACACGAATCCCATAGTAGTGGTATTTGGAGTTTCCTCTTCATTAATGAACAAGAAACATTAGAAACAAAAGTCAGTCAAACTAATATTAATCACATGGGATGTCCATTAAACTTCACACTTGGAAAAATTTGGTAAAAACAGTAAGTTAATGTTACATATTTATGATTAACCTGTTCTGAATACTTTTATGTTTTTATGGTGATAAAATTTGAAGAATCAAAATAAGATTCCAAATCAATCAGCTAAAGGCCCTGCTAAAAATATTTGTTTATAAACTTCCACTTAAATATTAGTCAAACAGTCCATTTGTTCCATACAAATTACATTCCATTTTCAAATTTCTATTTTAAATTTAGTTAAGAAGGGTAATGATAGGAAAAAAGTTTTTGGCCAGTAAAAATTAGTTAACAGGCCAATAAAAATTAGTCAATGGAATACGTATTTATTGTAAAGCATGTATATAGAACAAAGAAAAAATCTTAATTCTACTTTCCTGGATAAGTTTGACATTTTTCTCTTTACTTCAGTGATGATGAAGTAAGATAACTTAATTGTCTGTTACAAAATGTTGTGGTAAAGACTTACTTAATATTTTGAAACCTAAAAAGAAAGTAAGCCTTTAATCTGTTGATTTTGAAACACATTTTATTAGTTTCTGTTTTTATGGATTTGTGTTAGTTTTGCAGGCTAAACAGGATTTGTCACAGAAGAGATGGGGAAATTTCTCTATGAAAATGGCAAATTTCCACCTGGAATAAAAATGTCACAATTTCCCCATGTTCATGAGAAAGACCATGTTTGCTATTAGAAATGACAAAGTTTTGCTCTGAATGGAATTTGCAAATTCTTGCAAAATATCATTTTAAATATGTAAATTATTGCAAAGAGAAAATAGTAGTTTTTCACAAGTCCATATATAGCAATACATCAGCACTTTTTCCAATTTTTTCTTCCATTTACAAAAAGAAATGCAAGAAGAGTGTGGATTAAATATTTTTTATAAAAATAGAGCAGAATTGCACTTCCAAGATTTAAAAACATATATTAAATGAACCTTATATATATTTGAAGACATTAAAATTATACTATATAAATTATATTGCCAGTTTTTAAAAAATGCAGGGCATCCAAATACCTACATGCTTTCAGCACAATAAAGCAGATAGAGAAACTTAACGCCCGTAAAGAAAGGTCTTCTACTTGCAGAGATTAGATCTTGTCTCAAAAATCCACTGCAGAATGGTGCAATAAGCAAAACCAAAAAATTCCACATACCCAATTTGTGGCGTTCTCCTGTACAAGCTGGAGGACAGTAGGGAGTAGAGGTACGGTAGGAAGCAGGAGACATTACTTACAGGACAAAACTACAGAGGAAAATGATGTCTCTCTTGTGAGACCTCAAATAGATGGAGTGCTGAGTTTCTTTTTGGTTTCCTACAAATTAACATTTTAATTGGGTTGGGAGGGAGAGGTTCTTTTTATTTCATTGGGAATGGTTGGGGGAGAGAAGCATATCCATGGTCTTCTTTACTCAAATTTAACTTGGAGATGGGATCTAATAAAAGGTACCTTTTTATTTGCCTTTGTTTAAAACAGTGATTTGATTTACTTTTTGTTTACTTAGGTCCAAAAACTTTAGAAAAGATCTGGTTCTGGTTTGAGTGGTTTCACCAGATTATTTTATTGATAGATAATATTAATAATAGTTCTACATATAGTTCATTTTAAAAAAAAGTATTTAATTTGCCTCATGATTTATATTAATTTTCCATCTGTTCCTTGGATTAGGAGTAGAAAGTAAATGCTAAACAGTTTCTATGGTAGAAAGAATGTCTAGTACCTCACTCCTACAATTGTCAGTTTTTTTACATTAGAATTCTGTCTTCATAGCACTTCATTTCTTTAAACTCCCTCCATAGTACTTATTTTCTCCTTATTTTTCTAGGGTTTGCTTCACAAACATAACTGTAAACACTACATACAATTAAAAAAAAAAAAACAGGAGACATAATTCATAATTGTTACCTAGTTGGGGGTGGGAGGAACCCAGAACATCAGAAAGTAAAAGCGGCAATATTGCAATACGTACTTACAGAGTATGGATTCTACTCATTCACAAAACCAAACAACCCCAATTTTGTCCCTTTCTATTTTAAAGACTTGTTTCAACGTTTGAATGGAGCCTCAAAATAGGACCCATTGAAATTCCTTTCAGTAACAAAAGAAGGACAACAATACAGCTATTAGAATGTTGAATAAAGCCCAGAGTTTCAAAATATTGGCACGGTATGCATAACTACAGAGCCACCAGCGAGGAGATAGTAGGTTAGGTCCCCAAATAATGATTTTTGTGGTTTTGAAAAAAAGTACTATAGAAACAAAAAGTTTTCTCAAGGGAATGAAAACTATTCCTTTAGTGTGAATAGACAATCACATTCTTCAGTTTAAAATATACTATCTTTTGAAGTACAGAAAGAAGGAAACATATTTATGAGAGAGCTAAACCTTCAGCAATCCAAAAGCTGTATAATCACTTAAAATGCTACAGAAAAGCAATAATTCATGCTAATACATACAGGCCTTGTAAATCTCATAAAACTGACACAGTGAAGGGGTTTAGGACATGCTATCCCAAACTATGGCACCTTGGCATTTGAAGAAACAACAGAAGCGGGCCACAGAAACCAGAAAAAATTCCCCTCACTCCTTCTCCTCTGAAGCAGGCCATAAAACCTAGCTTACTTTCTCCTGAAAATAGGTCATGAGACCCTCATTCCAGAGGGGTCCTCCTATACCTTGCAGAAAAGAACGTTCTTATTTTTGAAGACACAGGGATGCAGAAAAATCTGAACAAACAGGCCTTGCTGGGCTGGGTGCGGTGGCTCACGCCTATAACACCAGCACTCTGGGAGGCTGAGGCGGGCAGATCACCTAAGGTCAGGAGTTTGAGACCAGCCTGGCCAACATGGCGAAACCCCATCTCTACTAAAAACACAAAAATTATCTGGGCGTGGTGGAGTGGGGTGGTGCCTGTAATCCGGGTTACTCGGGAGGCTGAGGCAGGAAGAATCACTTGAACCCGGGGGGCAGAGGTTGCAGTGAGCTGAGATTGGGGCACTGCACTCCAGCCTGGGCAACAGAGCGAGAATCCTTCTCAAAAAACAAAACAAAAACAAAAACAAAACAAAACAAAACAAAACAAAACAAAACAAAACAAAACAGACCTTGCTGAGTTTCCCCCAGATTAGAACCATTAGATCATACCCCTAGAACCATTAGATCATACCCCTTTCTGTCCAATCATGTTTCTCCAGAACTATCCACTTCATCAGACTGCATAAAATACATACAGTTCTCTCTGTTTCTTTGGGCCATCATTTTTGAAAGCTCCCAGTCATGTAAAACTTATATTAAACAAATTTGTATCCTTTTCTGTTGTTAATCTTTCGTTATAGGGGTCCTAGCCATGAGTCTTGTGGTGGTGAGAAAAAGATCAATCTTTTCTTCCTACAACACTCACTCCTCTTTTTGGTATACATTTTTAATGAAGTCAATTACTAAGGAAGGCTGTGTTTATTTTATTAAGATTAAAAACTCTTCACTTTGGGAGGCCGAGGCAGGTGGATCACAAAAGAGATGGAGACCATCTGGACTAACATGGTGAAACCCCATCTCTACTAAAAATACAATAATTAGCTGGACGTGGTGGCACACACCTGTAGTCTCAGCTACTTGGGAGGCTAAGGCAGGAGAATCATTTGAACCTGCGAGGCAGAGGTTGCAGTGAGCTGAGATCGTGCCACTGCACTCCAGCCTGGCAACAGAAACAGAGTGAGACTCCATCTCAAAAAAAAAAAAAAAAAAAAAAAAAAAAAAAAAAAAAAACTCTTTACGAAAATACTCTGAAGTTGTGCTTTATAGCTAATTAAGGGTATATCACCTAATGTTGTATAGTACAGTATCTCTATTTTAACTTTTTATGTGATTTCTATAAGATTTAGGAAATTAAAAACATCCATATCCTTCTGTCCAGCTACTTAAAATATTTATCTTATGATAATTTATAGAAATATGGAAAGACAAAAATGAAGCCCCAGAGTTCTAAGTATTCTTTTCATGATATTTTGGTTAGTGAAAACACTCATATTTATTTCCAAAGGAAGAAAAACCAGAAACAACTTCTTCACATTGTTTCAATTCAATTGAACTATACTATGTTTTTCCTTCCACATACACATGGTTTCATATTAAGAGCAGAAAAAAAAGTAGGGGCTAATAAGAGGTAAAATAGAGCTATCTCATCACTGAGGAATTTAAACAATATTTTGCAAGTTTACCAAATGATTTTTAACTGGCCTCCAGAAATGAAATGAAAAAACTGCTTTAGTTTCTTACTCTATCCCAACAGTTATTTATAAAGACAAATGTAATTTTTCAAGAGTCAAGTGATACATAGTTTTCCATTTACTATGTCACTTAACTCATCATCATTAGTATGATTTCTTTCAATAAGAGAATACATTTTTATGTGCGTGTGTGTGTGTATGTGTTTGTGTGTGTTTTAAAGCACCATATGCAAATCTTGCATTAACAGGTTGGTCTGCTAATTTCTATGTAGTTTGAGAATCAGCTCTTCTCAAAGCTTTGCTCAGTTCATGTTTTAGACAACATATAATTGTGGCTTGGAAAGAAGTCACTGAATAATGTCCTTTCCTTTTCCTGGGGATGTTATAAACTGAGCTCATTCTATGTATTTCCTTATATATTGTCTGTAATCAAGTACTTTTGTTTAAACAATATATTGAATTGCCCTAGTTTGAAAAAGAGAGATTAGTTTATGATCTTATTTTTCAATACTAACCTAGTGCCCAATCTCCTGGTTCGTAGCCCCATAAAAATTGATCTTATTAATTTTCCAAAAGAGGCAGCATTGACTGGGTCCAGTTTGTGTTCCTGACAGTGTCGAAGGTAGTGGTTGTACAGAGTGCTTCTGGGAAGGCTCACTCCTTCTGCTGTCTCATAATTGTCCAACAGCCACTGGAGCTAGGGAAATAAGACACAATAAACACAGACAAATCACATAATTTGCCAAAATTTCTACAAGACACTGCAAATGCAACATACAGAAATACTTAGAAGTTCTTCATCAAGTCTTATGATAGAGTAAACTGCTATAATTCAGAAGGTGGTAATCTGCCTTTGAAAACGCTCAGAAACACTGTAAATAGCTGAACATCACTAAGGATCTCAGACAATATCCATTTCTTCAAATATTCAAGCACACGTAGAGACATACTAATTTTCCCTGTATTGATTCCAATTTTGAAAATAGACACCACTTCAAGGAGTTCAAATAATCCCGTTAACTGGTCATAAATATCAGAAATATGATTGCCACAGAACAAAATATGTTACCAAGCCTGGTAGCATGGTAAACAGTATGTCTTTAGTGTTGGCTTATTATAACATATGAACAGCAGGCTGCCTGGTATGAGTGTTTATATTAAAGTTACATTCCTTTTTATAGAATTTTAATTTATCTCAAATTACCACTAGATAATAACAATATTGTCTACTGCGACAGATTCTGAAAGCAGAAAAGACAAAATTCAGTCGTTTCTTCCCCAAATGAAAATAAACTGACAAGACATTGGCAAAGAGTTTACATGTAATGAAAAGGAATCATTTATTACAACCATTTTAATTTTTCTACCTCAAAACTGTGTTTATTCATTATTCTGGAAGGCACACTGCAATGATAGTTGGTAACACAATACTTTTTCAGTCTATGTTCACATTCTAAAGTTTTATGTTATCCTGTGTACATTACAAAAAAATCTTTAAAGCACTGAATGTACAAGAAAATTTTAGAAAATTGAATCCAAGTCTATATTATTGAATTTTAACATTAACAAAATTAAATCTTTTGTTCATTTATTTATTTATAAAAGCAGAACTGAAATAGACTTAAATAACTTTCTCAAAGTCACATATTGTCTCCATGCCTGAGTCTGGTTTCCAATTCACATTTCCTGATTACTCCAGACCAATGTTTCACAAAAGCAGTAAATATTTCACATTACTTGTGTCAACAAAAATTTTCATGCCATATGTAAGACAGGTGTAATAAAGAGCTGACATTTAACTTGCAATTCAAGTTATTATAAATTATAGAAGCCAAAGAATTCATTTATTGAGCACCAACCATGAGCCAAGTAATGTGCCAGGCATCTAGTGATGCAAAAATGAATGTGATCTCATCCTTGTCCTCTAGGAATTTCCAATGAAATGCTAAAAATAATATGGACATTTAAATAAATAAAAAATTTCTCCATTTTACTTACATATTTTAAGATTTGCAATCAAACTTAGAACCTGAATTTTCAGACTTTTAATTTAAAAATTCATTAAAAATATTTTCAGAATTACTGACTTTAGTCATGACAACTGAATTTCCAAAAACCATTTTAATGTCAAATATTCCTACATGATGTTTATGTAATTAAACTTATGTCATTAAACCCATATTGATAGTTGGCTTTGAAAACATAGCCACCAAATCTACAAGACAAACCAGAGTACTTTTAAAAATAAAATTCAGATTTTGATCAGAAAGACTTGAAGTCCTTCACAGGACACATATACGAATGAATATGCACATTTAAACATGCATAATACCTCTTAACATATACAAGGCTGACCTATAGAAGTTTAAAAAGATTACACAAAATAAACATTTGTTTTTACAATGACATAAAAGTATTACAGGCCAAAATAATTCTTTTGTTATGAATCATCTATAACTTGATTGTCAGTAAACAAGTTTTCCAGGGGCGCTTAAACATGATTTCTGAGTATTCTAAGTGACACACAGAATAGGTTTGCTACACATATTCATTTAGTATAAAAGAGATAAGGCAGTCTGATTGGGAAATTAAGTTACTGAGGTTCAAATTAGTATTTTGCCTACAACAGGGGGACAGCATGTCTCTTTAGTGTTTTTTTTTTAAGACTTTATTAGTTTTAAGTATAGCTGAGGGAGACTACACATAAAATGCAGCAATAAAATCCTGATTCATATATTTTATCCACATGCTTTGGTAAAATGATTGAGATTGGGAAGCACTTGAGTGATGTTATGGCAGCCCTAGTGAGCTGTATTGTACAACAGTGCTGGTTCTTGTTTTGTGTACATATACTAGACAGAGCAAGGGTTGACCACCTTCTAGTGGCAGTCTTAATATATTAAAGAAGGGCATATAGGTTCTTGATATCAAGGACTATAAAGAAGACACGAAAGAAAAAAATTCTGGAAAGGCAGACATAAAAAATGTAAATACTTTTTGAAACAGAGTAGTATTTTTCAACTAAACTAATGAAGTTTCCACATCCACAAGCATGGAACACACAATATGTGTAAGTTAAAAATGCCAAAGATATGTTTGTAAGTACATCTACATATCCTCATAAAATAATGCATATTGTCAAAGGTATAATAGCATGATTTGTTCTGAGTAAAGAACTCAATATTGCTTCCTTTGCTAATGAACAGAAGACATATCATATAGAAAAATCTTCATTTAAAGGGCATTTTTTTAAAGAAATGGAATTAGTCAATCTTATAATATGAACTTTACAACCAAAAGTATACAAATAATAAAAACAGATCTGATGTAATTTTAGTCTGATAAAAGCAAATTAAAAAAATTTTAATTAACCAGAAACAAATAAAACATTTAAAAAACTGCCCTACTTGTGTACTAGTCTTCTTGCAACATTAAATTACTTAAAAATAAGACAAACATGTAAAAATGAGAGCTTACTTATTTTTCATGATCATAGGAATTATCTTGTAGATTAAAATTTTTACTACAAAATTTGAAAAAGAAAATCCAATAATAGAATATTTGAAGGATACTGTAAATTACCTTTTATAAAAGTAAAAGCTAGTACAAATATTAAAGTTTAATATAAAATATTTTGAGTCCAATGGTATATTTACATTTTTATATATATATATGGGTTAATCAGACCACTCTTCATAAAGAAAACTTTTCATAGAAATAGTGAGATAATTACAGCAAACGTTGGCACAAACTACTTAGAAGCCTAAATGATATTACTTATATCCCAATTGAATAATTTACAAGAAGTGAAGCTTTTACTCGATTGGCTATGCAGGCCACTGAAATGGCTAGGTAAGTCAAAAAATCTGCACCGTTTTATAAACTGATTGTTCTTCTTATATAGTTTATATTCTTAAACTGAAGAAATTCTGTTTAAATTCTTCATTTCTAAACTAGTTCAAAAAATCAGTTTGTTTATATGTATATATGCATATACATATATATTTATATAAATCACTAGTTAGTTTGAAAAATGGTACAAGAACAGGTATTTTGATGACTATCACTTTGACACTAGCAAAGCTACGTTTTGTTCCCTACCCGTTGTATGCAGAAGGAGGAACTGTATTCCTTGCCAGATGCCTGGAGAGCAGGTTGAGAGAGAATAAGGAAGTCAAGTGGAGGTAAAAGCCCTGAAAGGATGGAGATGGCTTTGCTGTAGCCCTGCAGGTCCCAGCTAGGAAGACTGCCAAAAACTAACCCACCTCGGGCTAGATCGCCTAGAAATTCACTGTATTAACAGAAATTGATTTAAAAGGATCCACCAGACAAGACTTTGAGATGTGGCTGGGGATTATAATCTCCATCCTATACGCCAGTATTTAACTTTTACGTTTTGACACAGTGATGGAATTATAAATCAGACATTTGTGTCTAAAACATAGTATTAGGAAGCATTACTTTGACTGTAAGAGAAACTTGGCAGTTAAGTTTTTGTGTAAGTTTAAGTGCAACCTAAAGGCACAGGCTCCATGAGCTACCCAAGGGAAGTTAATGCCTGTTAAATATCGTTTTCTTGGGTTTTGTCTTTAATACAATGTATTTGGACATTAGTATTCCCCAATCTTAACATTCAATAATTTAGAACGAAACAATTATTATATCTTTTGCTCTTTTATAAAATGTCTTGTAAAATGTATGCTGACTTCAAAAGCCCATAAAATACCATAGGAATGATTTCAAAAGCCCATAAAATAACATAGGAACTTTTAACCTTTATCTTTAAAACTTGATTACTCTACTTATGAACTAATATACACTCATTTAATGGTGGAAACGAAGATAATTGCATCTTTCAACCTTTGCATTTAATCTGTATTAATCAAGATAGACTAAAGATGAATGGTTCCTGTTTTTCCCAAAGGGAAATCCTGATTGACAAATAAAAAGAAATAAATATTGCATTGCCCAATTAACATCTAAATGTAACATTTGTCATTTTTTCCCAGATGGATTATTACCCATCAGGATTCATTTTAAGTTCAGTTTACTAACGATATGCATTTTGACAGGCCTTATTTCTGTAATAACTTATATTTACAATACAGCAAAGTCAAGGAAAAGTGAGTAAAAAACAAGGTTTTGCTTTGAGCTAAATGTATTTTGGTAGCTAAAACCAGCAAACAACAGGAAATAATTATTTGCTAGATTGTGAGAAGTACATAAAATAGACGGCTAGAGCTTTTCATAAACTTTAAATGGAATTTTAAAGAAATGTACAACCTTAAATTTCATGCGATTATTGGGAACAATTAACAACATTTCTGAATTCAAATTTACAATGTAAAATAAGTAGTTTGTAAATAAGTGAACACACCACAACCATTAAATACTAATTCATATTAATTAACACCAAGAAAAAGTATAAAATAATCTTGTCTGCAATGAAAAGAATTAAATATTTTAATTTCATTTAGGCAGACTATACATCTCATACTGTAGCATCTTCATATATAAAAAAATTAGAAACAAAAATATTTAAATAAAAAATTATTAGACTAATAGAATTCTGTAAAACCAAATCTAAAGTACCATTCTAAAATACCAGGAGAAAAACAAAGTCACTCTTGGCAAGATCTTTTTAAAAGATGAGATTGTTTAGAGGAAAAAAAGAGTTATTTACTCTTAAACTGAAGGCTGCATATAGAGAAATAATTGAGTGACCATACATTCTTTACTCAGATGGTATACCAGAAGAAGACCACCCTTTACCAACGATGTTCACATATATATCTACTTGAAGCAAACTTGAAAAGAAACAATACAATAAATGTACACATGATTGGCAAAGGCATCCTAGAATTCCTAAATAATGAAGGTAACATAAGGCCTGATCCCTTCTATTGTTTCTTTTTATTCATTCAGCAAATATTTAGTGAGTATCTACTATGTACCAGGCACTGTTCTAGGCACTAGGGATGCACTGGTGAACAAAACATACAAAAATCCTTACTTTCTTGGAACTACCACTTGCAATAAATACTTACTAAATGCCTATTAGAGATGCTGGTACTAAAATAACTCCCACCATGTTAATTCTCTTAAGAATATGTTGAAAATGGGGTAGAAAATTCAATACCTCACCCCATCTTCTAAAGTGTGGAAAGGTGTAAAGCAAAGCAATCAAGTTGGATTCTGCTGAGGGGATTATTTATCTTATTTAGTCCTAATAAGAGTTTTTAAAATTACTGTGAATAAGCAAATACAGAAACAGAAAATAGGAAGTCTTTGCTTATCCATATTCCAAAATAGAATGAGAATAGACTTTTCACCCAAAAGTCATGATTAACACCTCTCCTTAGAAACAGGTAAAATACGGGATGCAAATTATTATCAATAATTTCTCCCAATGTTTTTACATAATAAAATTGATCCTTTGGAGACAGTGATAAATCAGGGAACTAATCATCATAAAGCGGAATTCATGTTCACCTTAAAGAATCCCACAAACCTCAAATAATTCTATATTATGCCCCATATAGTGAGAAATAAAGGTAACATAGTTTACTAACATTTAAAATATTAACAACAATTTTTTTAAAAAACTCCATCTCTCCACTGAAAAAATTCTACACAACATAAAAACACCAGTTAAATTCACAGAATGTAAAATACTTTTAGCAAATAGTTATCAACCAGAATGCATGCACTAGCAAATTCCAGTTGTTTTTGATAAATCTCAGAAACATTAAAAGCATCATCAACTTTCCAGGGAGGAAAAAGACAACAGGATCTTTTTCTGTGTTTAGGAAGAAACTAACCTCACTGATCAGTCAGTAGAAGCACTGATCCTTTCTCCACTGTTTATAAACCATCCGTAGAATCATTTTTGTTTCTAAATATTTGACTATAAATATATTTTTGAATGAACTTCACTGTGCCTCAAGGTGTAATAAAAATGAATCAGGATAGTTGGAGAAAGATTACCACTGCACAATCAACATTTGCGCCCACTCTTTCCACATACTGAAGTGTCTCTGGGAGTTGTTAGCAGTATGGAAGATCAGACATATTATGTAATAAAAAAAATGAAGCCATGAAGTAATAAATATTTGTCATTGTTTATGCAGCTTAATTCAAACATTTATTAATCTTAAACATTCTTTCATGAATTCTATAAAGAAAAATAATTGTTAAAAATCTCTAACAGTTGAAAAGCTTCAAACAAATCAACAAATACATTTTTAAAATATATAAGAAACATGTTCTTATACTTCCATTATTGTTCATAAAAATACTAAGATGAATAACTGAAGTTAAATTTAAAATTAAACATATAACATATTTTACTAAGTTATTCATGTCAAGTAAAAATGAACCCTGAGTTGAATATGAAAGCACAACTTGGAAGTCTGAAAGCTGAAACAGGTAACTGGAAACTTCAGGTTTTTTTTTTTCTTATGTCCTTGCACATTTGTGACTAAAAGGAAGAACAATTTCACTTCCCATTTTCAAAGCATAAATATAAGTTAATCATCACCCCCCGGACACACACAGCCTAGTAGTATACAGGAAATCAGCCTTTAATGCAATCACAGATACATGCCAACATAGCAGGAATATACTTACGAAACATAAAAGAGTGACATACTAAATACCAATTTTCAGAAATGAAAAAACTTATATTTCTTAAACTCTTTCAAAAGGAAGGGCCAGAATATATACTATCATGTTTAAGTTTGTATGTATAATTTGTCACCAAATTTATAGGCATTCTCCAAGTTGGCTAACCTGGTTTTGTTTTCCATGATACTTTCCTTTGAAAAAAGAAACAAGACAAAATACCCCATCTAAAAACAAAGTGTAAGAACATAAGGAGGTAATTAGTGCTATTTTAAGATATAAAATTAAAATTTTTCAAAGATCAAATACTTAAAAAAAACACAGTTAAAACATTTTCTATGAGTAAAAGTTTTAGGTTTATTGAAAAAAATGGTCTTATTTGGGTGATCCAATATCGAGCTTTTCAGTTATAAAATATGAAAAAGAAATAAGAAGTCATAATACTTTATCCCTAAATTTAAGAACAAATTGTCAGTTGTGGGAGAAAATTCTAAACTAAAATGTCACTAATGTTAAGTTAGCAGAAGATATATCTAAAATGAATTTACACCATGGGTCTATTTACTTTTTTCCATATATTCAGAAATCATCTTAACAAAACAAATTTTTATTCAGCATTTTCATTGGTTTCCCACATGAGAACAGCTGATAAAAATGTTTATAATTTCACAAAACTATCATCACCCTTCTTACACTTACCAGTGTCATAGTGATATCTGCATCTGATAACAGGAAACAGCTTCAGGGCATAGTAATGGTAGTTTTATCTCAATTATTAGCAATTTATGGCTTGTAGACAGTCTCACTTTTTCTTTTGGTTCACTTTTACTTCTCTTTAGGTCTTAGGACCTGAATTCAACTATGGGGTTGTTTACTGCCCACCTTACATAGTCTTACTGGTAAACAAATCATTTTCAAACAGTTTATCATTGGATTTCACATTAATCATCCTTTTTCTACTTAAAGAACATTACTGGTCACGCAAGTAGACATGGCTGTTTGACAGAGATGCAGATTACAAGTATTTGCTTCATAGTAAATAAATATCAAACTGGAACATTTTAAATATTGAAAATCACTATTATTACTTTGTACAAATACATGGCAACTTGTTACTAACTCGAAAATATTATATCTGTACCCAAAGAGTACAGAAACCTAATAAATTATACTGGAGACTCTATTTTTTGGATATTTCACTGTACAAAATAGCCATTAAATGACACAGAGATCATAAGGGGCTGAGAAGGGAAGGTTAAGAAGCAAAATAAATAAGTAAATAAATAAAACAAGCATTTAGAGGCAAGCAACACATGCAGAACAAGCAAGAGATTAGTGTACATGAAGAAGAGGCAACTTACATGGCTGTTGAGAAGAGAGCTTCTGTGAGTGGACAGACCGTCAGACTTTTGCAGCGTCTCAATCGCCATTTCAATCTGATAATAGATGTCATTAAAAAAAGGGCTCAAGACAAGATAGTAATAAAAGGCTGACCAGAGAATTTCTGATAGATTCTTTAAAGTCCAACTTCTTCCTCAACGGTCGTTAATGAACAGTTGCCACTTAATGTGTTTTCTCCCCTTCTTCCCCACCCTCCAGAGAACAAAATAAAAATATGCACACTAATAATAAGCCCATTCACAAAGTAAACCTTTTTTGAACATTCCATAATTATAATCAGAATGGAGACCTGAAGAGCAGGGACCCTGGTGGATTTTTCTTCTTATGAATAAACATTCTTGACTTTCATAGTTCAGGATATGGGATAGTAACTATTCTCTTTCTAAATCGTCTCCCACCTAAAGAGTATTTAATATTAGTGCTATTCTCTCACGAAAGGAAAATCATACCGCAGATTTTGAGTTTAATATGCATTAATATTTTAATGCAAATGAACAAAGATTCTTTCATTAATGTCCAAAAGTTACTAAATCCATACATCCCTCCATTAATCCTGTATTAAAATATGGAAGTAGGGGGTCATCAGTATGAACAAATATGAAGAAGTAAAATGATGGTCCCTACATTATATTTTACGATGTGGTGTTAAGGCAGAAATATTAGAAATGACAGCAGAAATGGAATGAAGAAGAGAAAATAATTCAGAGACAACAAAGAGAAGGGACAATCACAGAAACAGCTCTAATCTGTGAAATCTCAGCATACCATGTACGATTATTAATTAAGTACCAGGTGTTAGTGATAAATGTGATACACTCTTAATAACCTCATATTTAAAGTTATCTATCTTTCAACTCCTGGTAGTATTGCATGTTGCATTAAAAACAGGTACTGAACACCATGTATTTGGATACTGAGCTATATTAACAATATTAGCTAAATTCAAAAGAAAAAAATCACACCATGCAATTTAAGAGAGAAAATTGATTTCATTATTCTTAACAGTCTGATTACATCAACAATTCAGTATAAGCAGTTATAAAAATATTTAGAGCTTTAAAACATATTTAACTTTCTTATACTTTGACTATGGAAATTGATAATGCCTTCAAATTTTAACATACTGCCCCCTCCCAAAGAAAAATAATGCAGTAATATCTATAGCAAAGTCTTAATTTTCTCCCAAGTTTCCAATTTCTTTATGGTAAAACACTTTATACACAAAATACTCAGTATCAATTATACCAACATTAAATCTAATTTTCTTCTAAACAACTTAGAAGTTAATAGCTTTAATTTTATTTTACATTATTTTCCCACGTTGCTAATTCTTCCCTGGAGTTAATAAAACATAATACTGAAAAGAGTATGTTAGGTTAAGAAATCATAAAAAAATTCTTAAAATAGATATTAAATTAATTCATAGGAAGATGTAATACAATTTATCCTACTGTTAACTTTTTTTAGACAACAAAATTAAGTAAACTTCTTAATCATTCTCTTCTAAGAAACACAGGCTTCTAGAAACATAGGCTTCTACAACATTCTCTCTGCCAGAATGGATGTTAATGCAGTTTACCACTATACTTGAAAATAGTGATACTGCACAAATGAAAAGAGATATATTACAGAAAGAGTAATGTAAATGTAATGAATGAACAAACATTTTACCAAAATGTTAAACTGTGAAACTATAAAGGACTTTGGTATAACATCTCTTAAAACATGATCAATAAGTGCTTTTTTTTCAAAGAGAAAACAGAGCAGAAAACAAGTCAAAGGATTCATATGACTACAATTCACTTATAGGAAGAATTTGCTCAAAACCCTAATTTGCCATTATACCTATATTTTCTTTAAAGTTTGAGTGCAGAGAATTTGAGGTAAGATTTCAGTCTAGTAAATATAAATAAAATGATCTGTAACTTTTGATATTATAATTTTTAATGAAAGGTAAATTACCAGATACATAATTGCTGAGCAACACTAAAGGAGAAGTCCATGCTCTCAGTTTGTTAATAAGCACTTTTCAGTTGGATAAACCAGCACTTCTTTTTCTGGGAAAAAAAAAAAAGTCAGAGATCTGCTTCTGTTATTGAAGCTGTTATTTTATAGTGGTCCTAGATTTCCAGATGATTCCCTAGAAGGCCAGGCTTTTAGGAAATGGCCTTCTCATTTCTGGACAGTTTTTTAAGAGCTTTGGAAAGGTGCAAGGAAATATGTGGGTGAAAATGGATTCCCCAGGAACAGATACACTGACATTCTAGAATGCCTTGGACCTTCAGAATTTCGGTTCTTCTTTGTGTCACTTTGTAACACAGATAACAAAAGGGGTATTTCTTTTGGCTTTAGGAATCTTCTGCCTAACTGACTTAGGCCTGTGCCGAATTTGTGTAGCCCGGGGAATGGAAAGGAAGAAATATGGAATGATAGGACAAGCAAGAAATAAAGACTGAGTTCTTCTACAAGGAAGACACCAGCCTCAGCATGCATGTTGGAACCTACTTGGAAACCCACGGGCTTCCAAATACTAAATACTCATGAAATCTTTAAGGCTTATTAATTAGTCCAATGGGATAACCAGGCCATTTAGTTACCACCTCACTGATAAGAACTTCCGAGAAGCATACAAAAAATTAACATGTATTTATTATATTCATTTTAAAAATTTATTGAAGGGAATTCCAATCTCATGAAAGGATCATAGCCCTGATTACATTTTTTAAAAAACAGTTTCTTTTCTTTTTTAAGTACATAGTAACTGTGTGACTGTCATATATAAGGTTGTGTGCAAAAGATCATGATTACAAAAATTTTTCATAATCCAATAGACATTACAATCCAGTAAGAGAGACAGGGTATACACATGGTCATATATATGAATAAATGCATAATTACCAAATTATATGTCTCTGTCCCCACCCAAATCTCATCTTGAATTGTAGCTCCCACAATTCTAACATGTTGTGGGAGGGAGCCAGTGGGAGGTAACTGAATCATGGGGGTGGTTTCCCCAATACTGTTCTTGTGGTAGTGAGTAAGTCTCACGAGATCTGATGGCTTTATAAAGGGTTTCCCCTTTTGCTTGGCTCTCATTCTCTCTTGCCTGCTGCCATGTAAGATGAGTCTTTTGCCTTCTGCCATGATTGTGAGGTCTCCCCAGACACATGGAACTGTGAGTCCATTAAACCTCTTTTTCTTTATAAATTACCCAGTCTCAGATATGTCTTTATCAGCAGCATGAGAACGGACTAATATGCCAAACAAGACTACTTGTAACAAAAATACAAGCATAGTTCAGAAAGGTGGAAGAAAATAAGAGTAGTAGTCTTTAACTTTTGAGGAGTCTTTAACCCTTTTGAGGATGTAATGAAAACTGTGAACTCTCTACTTGGAAAAAATATATATAAGAACACCTACAAAATTCACATTTATTTTCTTAGTTTACAGACTCTCTGAATTCAAAACCCATGTATTAAAAGATGGAAGTGTTCAGGGGGTAAAAGGGAAATCTAGGAAGAATCGACTTAATAGAGCCAGGAGGCAAGAAAGCACAGGCTGTGTCCATATTTGGGAAATGGCAAGAAACCTAGTTTGTAGGGCATGAGCTATAAATATACATTTCATGTATATATGGGAGTGGTATGAGTGAGGCTGAAAAAATAGGTTGGAAGTAGATAATGTATGCGGGAATCAGGGAAAAAGCAATGTCATTAAGGTTTTGAGGAAAGTGTAGGGATGTATGAAAAATGCTAATTTTCAGATAAAGCCAGGAGAAGGGTTTTGCTAGGTATAATGGGGCCATGCTAGTAGTAAGGTTAAAATAGGTGAAAGCAAAGTGTGCCCAATAAATGCTTGTGGATTGAATAGAAGCTCTGGGACAACAGTAAAGGAAGACACTATCATTCATAGGAATATATCATGACAACGGTGGGAAAGTGAGGGTGAGGAAGAGGCAAGAGGAATAATGCAGAAATGGGGAAGAAGAGTAATAATGAGCCTTTGAAATTACAAAGATATGAAGGATTAACTAGTTGCATGATTCCAAATGGATTACTAATGTCACTCCTACGAATTAGCCCATGATTTGGGTTTATCATAGTTTCAAGGGGGTAGTTTTATGCATATGGGGAGAGGTTGGGTAGAGGGACAGAGGAATAGTGTGCAAATTAGCTAGATAAAATGTTAGTGAATTAGGATAAGTTTCTACCAGTCTCATCAAAGATTAAATTGATTTGTTAAATTTTCCATTATTGTAGGTTAGATATTTAAGTAAATATTTGTTCAACCTTCTGAGAGTTTACCAATCTCAAGAAAAAAATGGCACACATCAGCATTTGACACCTAAAACACTAATCCCAAAGTGAACTGGTAAGATCACATGCTTCCAGTTTATTGTGGATCACTTAAAAAGTTAAGTTCATTCATTAGGAAAAATTTATAAATTCTGCTAGGTAGAAATATACGTAACACTAAATGATGTTTTACCACAATACTCATGACTGTCATATTTAAGGTAGGAAATGATGATCAGTTAACACCGATGGAAAATTTGCTTAAAAGTAGGCTCATTGATCCAAAAGATTACTGGCCCAAGTGTTCAATGTGATATTCTCATATATCATCTGAGGAAATGCTCCTAACCTCAACAAAGATATTATATCCCCATAGCTTCATGCAACAAAAATGATTAGGTTACGAGTCAGCTAGAATTTAAAACTGATTCAAATTCAAGATTTTTTTTAAGTATAAGAATAAAATCAACACTATTCCTCTCCCAGTGCAACTATGGTGTGTGCTGCTGATAGTGGGAAATTCGTTAAACTAGCAGAGTTTCATAAATATGTAAGTGATTAAAGGCAAACTGAATGAATTAAATAATTGAATATTACTGGAAGGAAGGGAAATTACTTCTTGCTGTTACAGTTTGACAGAGCATGGGTAAGGCAGTTCTTTAGTAGAAAATTGACAAATATGACACAGGAAGGGGAACATCACACACCGGGGACTGTTGTGGGGTGGGGGGAGGGGGGAGGGATACCATTAGGAGACATACCTAATGCTAAATGACGAATTAATGGGTGCAGCACACCAACATGGCACATGTATACATATGTAACAAACCTGCAGGTTGTGCACATGTACCCTAAAACTTAAAGTATAATAATAATTAAAAAAAAAAGAAAATTGACAAATAATACCTGGCATTCTGATAAGGGCAGGTTAGTGAACATTTTAGGCAAAGCAAACAAGATAAGATTGCACAATGTAGGTTCAAGGAAGGGTAAGATTGGTAATATGGTTTGGGTCTGTGTCCCCACACAAATCTAATCTTGTAGTTCCCATAATTCCCATGTGTTGTGGGAGGGACCTGGTGGGAGATGACTGCATAATGGGGGCGGGTCTTTCCTGTGCTGTTTTCCTGATAATGAATCGATCTCATGAGATTTCATGGTTTTAAAAACGGGAGTTTCTCTGCCCAAGCTCTCTTTTTGCCTGCCACCATCCACATAAGATGTGACTTGCTCCTTCTTGCCTTCTGCCATGACTGTGAGGCTTCCCCAGCCACGATGAACTGTGAGCTATACATTAAACCGCTTTCCTTTGTAAATTGCCCAGTCTCGTGTATGTCTTTTTCAGCAGCATGAAAATGAACTAATACAATTGGCCAAATGATAAGGTTCCTTTAGGGATAGGTAAATATATACAGACTGCAACTTTGTGGCTAGGAGTGTTCAATTATATAGGATGTGGGCCACTGTTAAAAAGTCTTGAGAAAGGGAATTAATCTGACATCACTTCATATATTATTAATAATTTGGGATATAATGTAGGATAGGAGAGAATCTAGACAGGAAAACCAACTTGGAAGCTATCATAATAGTCCAGGATTGAGGTGAGAAACTGGTGATAACACTGCAGTGAGAATGAAAGGGATGAATACAAACATATTTTCAAATCACAGCTCTAAAGGTGGGAGTCTAAGGGAGAAGGCTTGGTAGTGCTGTATTTTTACTTGAAATGAACACAATGGCCTTTATTTCATCACTATGTGATTAGAACATTTCAAATACACATATCAAACACATTGACATGAATAGATTCTAAAATGTTTTTCCTGCTCATTTCTCTGCCGCATAGTCTTTATTCTAAGAATACAGATCATTTTGTTATTGAAATTTCAACTGTAGTGCAAAGTACTGTAATCACATTAACAAGAGGCCTTGTGACAACCTAAGTTAGACTAATGCAAAGCCTCAGTGATATCTCTCTTCTTGAGCGTTGCTCCTTCCTCTCTTTTTCCTTTCTCTTAGATTCTTTCAATTTTTTAAAATCTTCTTCTGCCTTTTTTTACTTAATGGTACAGAACCAATTTTCTTTTAAGATTAAAAAGTTCATTTTTTCCATTAAAAATGGGGATAGTAAACATTCTCCATTTTTTTCTTTAAACTTACAAAGCTTTAGGCTATGAAAATATCCTTGTTTATTATTTAAAAAATCAATTCTCTGAACTAAGATACACTGCCTATATGTAATCTATTAAATGATCACCCTGGGACTGAGTCACTAATAGTGTACACCTCCTCCCTATGATTATCTAACGTTAGGATACATAGTGCTTGGGAATTAAGACTGGTTCATGAAGGTCCTGGACTACTGCCTCACAATCAGATAAGACTCTATGGCAACTCCTGTAAGATCAAATGGTGGGGTGAGCCATTGTTGGTTCTCAGCCAAAGATGGGAACCCTCCATTCAGTGCTACTGGAAGCCAGAAATATTTTCAGAAGATGAAGAGGGGGATTCAGCACTGCCTTTAGACAGACTGCTGAAATGTCAGAGTGGCTGGTCTCTGGGGCAGAAAAGTGATAAAAGACGATGAAAAGTTGCCCAGCCTTAGGAATTATATGTGGTCTCAAAGCCTGGCAAAGGTTCAAGAGTCAAAGTTCACATAATAAACTTCCACATTACATGCCAATTTACATGCCAGATTTCTGACCACATATTAGCAGGAACATGAAAAGATCTCTTTGCAAGATGTCATACGACAAAGTGCTATGGAACATAAATAGAAAAATCAAACCTGGTTGGAGCAACTTGCTGAGAGAGTGGTTTACAATGAAACCTATTCAGAGTAAATTAGATTTCATCAGAGAGTAGAGATGACCCACCCCCATGCCATGACTGTTGCTGTGAGTGAGTTCAATTGAGTGAAGAAAGAGGGGAAGGTGTATGGGTTGCTATGAGAAAATATTTGGAGCACCAGAGAGGAACTGGAGAATTACAGCAAATACATATGTGAGTCAGCTCCACTAACCAAACTTTGAATCCTTGAAAGACACAATCCCAGGAGTTGCCTTCATTTGGGCAAGACGATCTCCACACTAAGCCTGGAGAGCTAGAGACTATACCAATTAATTTGCTTCCGTTGTACAAAGTAGTACGGTCACAAATGTGATAAAAATATGACCATACAAACAATCACCTGGCCTTTGTTCTTGTCAGGTAGATTCAAGAAAAATGCATAGATTCTGTACGACAGAGAACGTCATTTCTTTTGAGTATGCCAAGCATGCATATTTTGTGACAGACTACAGCAGTGAAGGGAACTTCCATGATTTCTCAGGAATTAGGATTAGGAATTCAGAAAGGGCAAGGGAGATGTCGTATTTCACACCAGGGAGAAAAAACACAAAGATTAGTGGAGCTCCAACAAAGATATAGCAACCCTTCTAGGAAGAACCTGTAGGGTACAGGGCACCTATTATCTCCTGGGAGACAGAGACAGTGCAATAAATCCGTGGCCTAAAACTCAGGCTGAAAACTTCCCCAATCACCAAGATGCTAATGCTGCCTTGTTGGAATGAAGGACAGGCAGACAGTCTCCAAGCATTCAAGAGCCACCCTGAGGCTTGTGCCACATCTGTCCAAAAATCAGCATCAAAAAAGAGATTTTGGAGAAAAGTCTTAACCTAAGCCAGGGGGAAAAGAGAATGGGGGTGGGGAGGAGAGGGTCAAATGATGTCCAATAAACGTTGTGCTTGTGTTCTCTTCCCATGTTCAAAGAAGGGATCAATATTACATTTTTTCAAAGGCAATACATATTGTGAAAAGAAAAATGTAATAGAAAAGAAAAAACACATTTTCCCTATTATAAGGGAACATATTTTTCCTATTATAAGGGAATGCATTTTCCCTATTTTAAGTCCCCATTGCCTTCTAAAGGAGAGTCCTTCTCATAGGATGGCCCTTTGTTTTGCAGAGTTGCTCTCAGGTTTAAGTGTTCACTGGAGCATTGAGAGATTCTGAGATTTAGAGGAGACGGAATGATCCCAGACCTGGAAAGACTGAAGGTGGAGGATCACTGGCAGAATAAAAGGACAGAGTGGGGAGAACAAGGTGGTACAAAAGAGGCTTTGTGTGACCGTCTTTTAGAGGGTGTGATCCTGAACAGTGCTTTCCCCTGCAAAATCTTCAGTAAAACCTATGCCACTTGCAGATGCTTCTAGTACAAGTAATCGAGACTGGCTGGAGCACAGGGATCATTTAGGGGCAGTTGATAATGCCAAGAAGGTAAACCTCAGTTTGAAATGCAGCAAAATGGGAAGAGGTGTTGAGTCTTTTGTATGATTTACATGGAACCAAAAGAGGCTCCCCTGGACATGTTGGTTACATACACATCTATGCAATGTCCCAAACAGAATATCATATATACGGACAATTAGAACTCTCTCTTAATGTAAATATTAACCTGTCATTCCCTTATATGCTAATAAGGCAGGAAGAAAAAGAACAATTATATCATCTTATTTATTGTCTTTATAGGTCAAGGCATGTTCTCTCGACTCTGAAATGGCTTTTTAATCTTTTGTTAAAAGAGTAAAGGTCAATATTGATATATTCAACTATCACTGTAATTAAAATTGGTTTCATGGTAGAAACTTTCTTTTCTAGAACTGTTACAGTGATTTGAAAATGGAATAGTACAATGCTTTATGAATTATAAAGGGTTTCTATATTAATTCTCACTTTATCTTCACAACAACTTTGTAAAATAGTAAAGGTAAGGAATATTATCTCCTTTTTAACAGATTAGAAACCTGAGACTATGTGGGATTGATGGATTTTCTTGAGATGTGTAGAACTTTCTTGGGTATTAACTATGAAATTGAAATCCAAGATTTATCATGCTTAAATTCAACATCATTGCCATCATATACAAATATAAAATGAATATAAACAAAGTGGAAATATTTCAAATTGTTGTAATGAAGTTATCTTCTGAGGAGTGAGTGGCTTATAAAATCAAAATTTGCTAAATGATTTACTGTTAACAATTTACTTTCTAACTGGAAAAATTTAAATATGATCGATAAACGTTACTCAAAAATGATGTAAAATGATGAAGTTACTAGGCAATAAAAAGTTTTAACTAGATAGTTAAATTTTAATTATAAAAACAGTTACCTAATGTATAACAATTGCATTTTCTTGTTAATACAAGTTACTCTGTTAACATCATCAGTGAGTACTTTCTCAGAGACATAGCATTTCTGTTTTCCTGTGAAAACTGTAAATTTTTTAGAGAAACTTAATGAAGAGGATACACTTAAAACCAGGAATTTCTTTCTGGGTAATTTCTCTTCTGATCTTCAGGACTTTAAATTTTGTTTGTATTTGAAATCAGGTAAGACAAAAACATTTCTACCTGGTTTGCATCTTGAGATCAGGTAAGACAGAACATTTCTACTTGGAGACTTATGTTTAGAAAAGGGAATTGTGATGGCTGGCATCAGCATGTAGCCACCACTCACACCTGTGTGAAATGACAGCCTCCTGGTGTGTGTGAAGAGGAGGGTACATCCTATAGGAAGCCATTCAACCAGGAACAACAAAAGAAAGAACACTTCCCTTTTGCATTTAGTCTCTATAATCACTAAAATTGCGGTTGTTCAAAATGTGGTCCTGAACCAGCAGTATCAAAATCATTTGGGTACCTGTTAGAAATGCTAAACAAGACCGGGCGTGGTGGCTCTCACCTGTAATCCCAGCACTTTGGGAGGCCAAGACAGGTGGATCACCTGAGGTTAGGAGTTCAAGACCAGCCTGGCCAACATGGCAAAACCTCATCTCTACTAAAAATATAAAAAATTAGCTGGGTGTGGGTGGGCGCCTGTTATCCCAGCTACTCGGGAGGCTGAGGCAGGACAATCGCTTGAATCTGGGAGGCAGAGGTTCCAGTGAGCCAAGATTGCACCACTGCAAGCCAGCCTGGGCAACAGAGCAAGACTCTGCCCACCCCCCTACTCCCCCAAAAAAGAAATGCCAAACAAAACAAACCTCTACAATGGAGACTCTGTCCCCAGGCCTTTCATACATGTATTGTAAATGCTCTAACCTCCTGTTTCATTTGCCCAAAGCAGTGTTTTTCAGAATGTAAGGTGCAACTAATGGGTTACAGAATTAATAATGTAGGTACTGACCAGCATTTCTAAAAACCTAACTGAATAGAGTAGAAAATAACCAGAGTTAACTGCACACAGTATGGATAAGTATTGCTTCATGAAACTTTAGTTTCAGTCATATGTATACATGTACATGTATATACATAGTCACATGTTTGTATGTAGATGTGCACTCATGAATATATGTATGTACATATGAGTGAGTATTGGGCCACAATGTAAAGGTATTTCTCATTGTAGTTTGTGGCTTTAAAACTTCAAATACCCTGTAATAAGCAGCTGAAACAGTATCAGTTCCCATCTAGTCAATGGAAACCTTCTTCGAAGGATCTCCAGAGTGTTCCTTGAGCTCTGCAGACCCAGCAGATATATACAGAAACACCATCAATCAAGCTAAGGTTCCAGCTATGTACTGTTAAAAGCTGTATATTCAAACAATATGCAAATACATTACTTCCACAGCAATGTCAAGAAGTAGCTTAACTGAGAGATTCGGGATAAACTGTTCTTTTAATCCTCAATTAAAAAAAAAAAAAAAGCAGGGGGATTGAGGTTCCAAGATGGCCGAATAGGAACAGCTCCAGTCTGCAGCTCCCATTGTGAGCAACGCAGAAGACGGGTGATTTCTGCATTTCCAACTGAGCAAACAGCACACCAGGAGATTATATCTCATGCCTGGCTCAGGGGGTCCCACGCCCATGGAGCCTCGCTCACTGCTAGCACACCAGTCTGAGATTGAACTGCAAGGTGGCAGTGAGGCTGGGAGAGGGGCGTCCGCCATTGCTTAGGTTTGAGTAGGTAAACAAAGCGGCCTGGAAGCTCCAACTTGGTGGAGCCCACCGCAGATCAAGGAGGCCTGCCTGCCTCTGTAGACTCCACTTCTGTGGGCAGGGCATAGCTGAACAAAAGGCAGCAGAAACTTCTGCAGACTTAAATGTCCCTGTCTGACAGCTTTGAAGAGAGTAGTGGTTCTCCCAGCACAGAATTTAAGATCTAAGAACGGACAGATTGCCTCCTCAAGTGGGTCCCTGACCACCAAGTAGCGTAACTGAGAGACACTTCCCAGTAGGGGCCGACTGACACCTCATACAGCCAGGTGCTCCTCTGAGACGAAGCTTCCAGAGGAACAATCAGGCAGCAACATCTGCCGTTCTGCAATATTTGCTGTTCTGCAGACTCCACTGGTGATACCCAAACAAACAGGGTCTGGAATGGACCTCCAGCAAACTCCAACAGACCTGCAGCTGAGGGTCCTGACTGTTAGAAGGAAAACTAACAAACAGAAAGGACGTCCACACCAAAACTCCATCTGTAAGTCACCATCAACAAAGACCAAAGGTAGATAAAACCACAAAGATGGGGAGAAACCAGAGCAGAAAAGCTGAAAATTCTAAAAATCAAAGTGCTTCTTCTCCTCCAAAGGAACGCAGCTCCCCGCCAGCAACGGAACAAAGCTGGATGGAGAATAATTTTGACGAGTTGAGAGAAGAAGACTTCAGACGATCGGCAATAACAAACTTCTCTGAGCTAAAGGAGGATGTTCGAACCCATCACAAAGAAGCTAAAAACCTTGAAAAAAGATTAGACGAATGGCTAACTAGAATAAACAGTCTAGAGAAATCCTTAAATGACCTGATGGAGCTGAAAACCATGGCATGAGAACTACGTGAAGGATGCACAAGCTTCAGTAGCCGATTTGATTAAGTGGAAGAAAGGGTATCAGTGACTGAAGATCAAATGAATGAAGTGAAGCGAGAAGAGAAGTTTAGAAAAAACAGAGTAAAAAGAAACGAACAAAGCCTCCAAGAAATATGGGACTATGTGAAAAGAGCAAATCTACGTCTGATTGGTGTACCTGAAAGTGATGGGGAGAATGGAACCAAGTTGGAAAGCACTCTTCGGATATTATCCAGGAGAACTTCCCCAATTGAACGAGGCAGGCCAACATTCAAATTCAGGAAATACAGAGAACGCCACAAAGATACTCCTCGAGAAGAACAACTCCAAGACACATAATTGTCAGATTCACCAAAGTTGAAACAAAGGAAAAAATATTAAGGGCAGCCAGAGAGAAAGGTCGGGTTACCCACAAAGGGAAGCCCATCAGACTAACAGCGGATCTCTTGGCAGAAACTCTACAAGCCAGAAGACAGTGGGGGCCAATATTTAACATTCTTAAAGAAAAGAATTTTCAAACCAGAATTTCATATCCAGCCAAACTAAGCTTCATAAGTGAAAGAGAAAAAAAATCCATTACAGACAAGCAAATGCTGAGAGACTTTGTCACCACCAGGCCTGCCTTACAAGAGCTGCTGAAGGAAGCACTGAACATGGAAACAAATAACTGGTACCAGCCACTGCAAAAACATGCCAGATTGTAAAGACCATCGATGCTAGGAAGAAACTGCATCAACTAACGAGCAAAATAACCAGCTAACATCATAATGACAGGATCAAATTCACACATAACTATATTAACCTTAAATGTAAATGGGCCAAATGCCCCAGTTAAAAGACACAGACTGGCAAATTGGATAAAGACTCAAGACCCATCAGCGTGCTGTATTCAGGAGAACCATCTCATGTACAGAGACACACATAGGCTCAAAATAAAGGGATGAAGGAAGATCTACCAAGCAAATGGAAAACAAAAAAAAAAGCAGGGGTTGCAATTCTAGTCTCTGATAAAACAGACTTTAAACCACAAAGACCAAAAGAGACAAACAGGGCCATTACATAATGGTAAAGAGATCAATTCAACAAGAAGGGCTAACTATCCTAAATATATATGCACCCAAAATAGGAGCACCCAGATTCATAAAGCAAGTCCTTAGAGACCTACAAAGAGACTTAGACATCCACACAATAATAATGGGAGACTTTAGCACCCCACTGTCAACATTAGACAGATCAACGAGACAGAAAGTTAACAAGGATATCCAGGAATTGAACTCAGCTCTGCACCAAGCAGACCTAATAGACATCTACAGAACTCTCCACCCCAAATCAACAGAATATACATTCTTCTCAGCATCACATCACACTTATTCCAAAATTGACCACATAGTTGGAAGTAAAGCACTCCTCAGCAAATGTAAAAGAACAGAAATTATAACAAACTGTCTCTCAGACCACAGTGCAATCAAACTAGAACTCAGGATTAAGAAACTCACTCAAAACTGCTCAACTACATGGAAACTGAACAACCTGCTCCTGAATGACTACTGGGTACATACGAAATGAAGGCAGAAATAAAGGTATTCTTTGAAACCAATGAGAACAAAGACACAACATACCAGAACCTCTAGGACACATTTAAAGCAGTGTGTAGAGAGAAATTTATAGCACTAAATGCCCACAAGAGAAAGCAGGAAAGATCTAAAATTGACACCCTAACATCACAATTAAAAGAACTAGAGAAGCAAGAACAAACACATTCAAAAGCTAGCAGAAGGCAAGAAATAACTAAGATCAGAGCAGAACTGAAGGAGATAGACACACAAAAAAACCCTTCAAAAAATCAATGAATCCAGGAGCTGGCTTTTTGAAAAGATCAACAAAATTGATAGACTGCTAGCAAGACTAATAAAGAAGAAAAGAGACAAGAATCAGATAGATGCAATAAAAAATGATAAAGGGGATATCACCACCGATCTCATAGAAATACAAACTACCATCAGAAAATACTATAAACACCACTATGCAAATAAACTAGAAAATCTAGAAGAAATGGATAAATTCCTGGACACATACACCCTCCCAAGACTAAATCAGGAAGAAGTTAAATCCCTGAATAGACCAATAACAGGTTCCGAAATTGAGGCAATAACTAATAGCCTACCAACCAAAAAAAGTCCAGGACCAGACAGAGTCACAGCCGAATTCTACTAGAGGTACAAAGAGGAGCTGGTACCATTCCTTCTGAAACTATTCCAATCAATAGAAAAAGAGGGAATCCTCCCTAATTCATTTTATGAGGCCAACATCATCCTGATACCAAAGGCTGGCAGGGACACAATAAAAAAAAAGAATTTTAGATCAATATCGCTGATGAACATCGATGCAAAAATCCTCAATAAAATATTGGCAAACTGAATCCAGCAGTACATCTAAAACCCTATCTACCACTATCAAGTTGGCTTCATCCCTGGGATGCAAGGCTGGTTCAACATATGCAAATCAATAAACGTAATCCAGCATATAAAAAGAACCAAAGACAAAAACCATATGATTATCTCAATAGATGCAGAAAACGCCTTTGACAAAATTCAATGGCCCTTCATGCTAAAAAATCTCAATAAACTAGGTATTGATGGGACGTATCTCAAAATAATAAGAGCTATTTATGACAAACCCACAACGAATATCATACTGAATGGGCAAAAACTGGAATCATTCCCTTTGAAAACTGGCACAAGACAGGGATACCCTCTCTCACCGCTCCTATTCAACATAGTGTTGGAAGTTCTGGCCATGGCAATCAGGCAAGAGAAAGAAATAAAGAGTATTCAATTAGGAAAAGAGGAAGTCAAATTGTCCCTGTTTGCAGATGACATGATTGTATATTTAGAAAACCCCATTGTCTCAGCCCAAAATCTCCTTAAGCTGATAAGCAACTTCAGCAAAGTCTCAGGCTACAAAATCAATGTGCAAAAATCACAAGCATTCCTATACACCAATGACAGAGAGCCAAATCATGAATGAACTCCCATTCACAATTGCATCAAAGAGAATAAAATACCTAGGAATCCAACTTATAAGGGATGTGAAGGACCTCTTCAAGGAGAACTACAAACTACTGCTCAACGAAATAAAAGAAGACACAAATAAATGGAAGAATATTCCATAACCATGGATAGGAAGAATCAATATCGTGAAAATGGCCATACTGCCCAAGGTAATTTATAGATTCAATGCCATCCCCATCAAACTACTACTGACTTTCTTCACAGAATTGGAAAAAACTACTTTAAAGTTCATATGGAACCAAAAAAGAGCCCGCATTGCCCAGACAATCCTAAGCCAAAAGAACAAAGCTGGAGGCATCATGCTACCTGACTTCAAACTATACTACAAGGCTACAGTAACCAAAACAGCATGGTACTGGAACCAAAACAGAGATATAGACCAATGGAACAGAATAGAGCCCTCAGAAATAATACCACACATCTATAACCATCTGATCTTTGACAAATTTGACAAAAGCAAGAAATGGGGAAAGGATTCCCTATTTAATAAATGGTGCTGGGAAAACTGGCTAGCCACATGTAGAAAGCTGAAACTGGATCTCTTCCTTACACCTTATGCAAAAATTAATTCAAGATGGATTAAAGACTTAAATGTTAGACCTAAAACTGTAAAAGCCCTAGAAGAAAACCTAGGCAATACCATTCAGGACATAGGCATGGGCAAGGACTTCATGACTAAAACACCAAAAGCAATGGCAACAAAAGCCAAAATTGACAAATGGGTTCTAATAAAACTAAAGAGCTTCTGCACAGCAAAAGAAACTACCATCAGAGTGAACAGACAACCTACAGAATGGGAGAAAATTTTTACAATCTACCCATCTGACAAAGGGCTAATATCCAGAATCTACAAAGAACTTAAAACAAATTTACAAGACAAAATCAAACAACCCCATCAAAAAGTGGGCAAAGGATATGAACAGACACTTCTCAAAAGAAGACATTTATGCAGCCAATAGACACATGAAAAAATGCTCATCATCACTGGCCATCAGAGAAATGCAAATCATAACCACAATGAGATAACCATCTCACACCAGTTAGAATGGCGATCATTAAAAAGTCAGGAAACAACAGGTGCTGGAGAGGATGTGGAGAAATAGGAACACTTTTACACTGTTGGTGGGACTGTAAGCTAGTTTAACCATTGTGAAAGACAGTGTGGCGATTCCTCAGGGATCTAGAACTAGAAATACCATTTGACCCAGCCATCCCATTACTGGGTACGTACCCAAAGGAGTATAAATCATGCTGCTATAAAGACACATGCACACGTATGTTTACTGCAGCACTATTCACAATAGCAAAGTCTTGGAACCAACCCAAATGTCCATCAGTGATAGACTGGATTAAGAAAATGTGGCACATATACACCATGGAATACTATGCAACCATAAAAAAGGATGAGTTCATGTCCTTTGTAGAGACATGGATGAAGCTAGAAACCATCATTCTGAGCAAACTAGTGCAAGGACAGAAATCCAAACACCACATGTTCTCACTCATAGGTGGGAACTGAACAATGAGAACACATGGACACAGGAAGGGGAACATCACACTCCGGGCACTGCTGTGGGGTGGAGGGAGCGGGGAGGGATAGCATTAGGAGATATACCTAATGTAAATGACGAGTTAACGGGTGCAGCACACCAACATGGCACATGTATACATATGTAAGAAACATGTACGTTGTGCACATGTACCCTAGAAATTAAAGTAAAATAATAATTAAAAAATTAAAATTAAAATTAAAAAAAAAAAAAAGCCCAGAAAGCAAATCTAGCCAGCTTGGCTTTTCATGTCCTCTTTAACCAGAAAGTAGCTAAAGACAAAATCTTTTCTAAGGTTTTATAAATGTTCAAATACATGAAATCTTTTCCTTTCTATTCACTGATAATTTTATGACGTCTAGAGAAAAAAATTAAGTTATTATGCTTTCAACCTGAAATTTTGGCAATTTTGTACCAAAGTTGTAACCTGAAGTTATTCTTAACATTTTCATAGCGGGGAGAAAAACGGTTGCCTAAGAAACCTTATAAATTGAATGTGTTCTGAGAACATTTGGCTTATTTTGGGATGCTGGGTTGAAATCAAGATTGTCTTTTTGGACTTCTTTGATTATTCTGTGGAGCCCAGATTCCCCCACCCTCACTAGAAGCCTATGAGTCTGTGACGATAAAACTAGTTTCTGAGACATCAAGTACAAAAGCACTTGGGAGTTGGAATTACCCCTCAGAAATTTGCTGGGTTAGAATTAAATAATAGGATTTAAACTCCATCTTACATTTTCAAATGGTCTCTGCATTTTGCAGTTTATTCTGAGTATAAGAACATTTTCACTTTGTAGTTAGTCTCCGTAATCACTAAAACAGGCTTTTAAAGTGTGGTCTTGGACCAGCATTTTCAGTATCCCCTGGGCACTTGTTGGAAATGCAAGGGGCCCTTGCCCACACTGACTGAATCGAAAGTCATTGGGGTGAGATCCAGAGATGTGTTTTAATCAATGCTCCAGAGGATGCACACTCAAGTTTGAAAACAGTTTCACTAAAACATGATCTTTTTTTTTTTCATTGCCAGAGTCAGACTGCAATGACTACTTAAGGGAATATAAATAGGTAGGTAACGGACATTCCCACAATGGTGCCAGTTAACTCTAATTAAAGGGTGATTCTGCAATCTTAAGTATTATTTGCATTCATGATTCTCTTTCACTCTCTTGCTATCCAATCCTGCCCAATCTTTAGGCAATTTTGAACTTGTATAAGCAATATTATCAGAAGGTAAGCACAATTTTGATAAATCTAAAATTAATCAATTGATAACATATGAACATTTGTGATTTAAAAAATAATGTGGCAAGAAAGTAGTTGAAACTAACCCTAAAAAGAAGTCTGGAGGCTATTTGTGAATTTGTATTTTTGCCTTACAGGATTAGGTACCTTTCAGTGCAGGAACTAGCTCCATTAGCCCATACTGTTAAGTCTTCAAATTCACAGAAGCACAGTGCCTGGTCAACAGTAATACCTCAATAAATGTTTGAGAAAGTCAGTGACCGAAAAAAAAAAAAAAACTCAGATTCTCAATACATAAATACAAATACAAACATCAACTTTCATTCCAAAATGTTGAACAGTAAGAATGGCTCTAAAAATTTCAAATGAATTAAATGCCAGTTTTCACTGTCTAAACTTTCAACAGTCTAATAAATGAGGACTTTATCTGAAACCTAGGATCAGGGTTTAATGTGAACTGTGACACCTCACAGACAATATTAATACTGGGCACATAAAGGATTTGCTTTATCTACATGCATTTGGGGAATATGACCAAATAGATATAATGTATAATCATTAAGAGCTTGTCCAAAATTTTTAAAAATAACAAGTGACTTCTTTTTTTTAATAGATAATATATTCACATGCCTCCCACCTTTTATTCTTCATGTATCCTTCCTAAAGACATCTTTAGGATTGGCTGGGCGTGGTGGCTCACGCCTGTAGTCCCAGCACTTTGGGAAGCTGAGGCAGGCGGATCACTTGAGGCCAGGAGTTTGAGACCAGCCTGGCCAAAACAGGGAAACCCCATGTCTACCAAAAATTACAAAAGCTAGCCGGGTGTGGTGGCGCATGCCTGTACTCAGCTACTTGGGAGGATGAGGCAGGAGAATCACTTGAACCTGGGAGTCAGAGGTTGCAGTGAGCCGAGATCAAACCACCGCGTTCCAGCCTAGGTGACACAGCAAGACTGTCCCACCCCCTCCATAAAAAAAAACAAAAAAAAAAACTTTAGGATATCTTATATAAGCACATAGTAATATGTGTTTCTATTTACACACACACACACTACTCTGCTTTTTCGCTCAACATGGAGACTTTTTTCATATAAATGTGTACATATGTGTGTGTGCATATATATACATACATACACACACATATGTGCCTATATATACATATAATGCATGCTACATAGCATATATATATATATATATATATATATATATATATATATATATAGCCTCATTATCTAGGGGCTACATGTAATTCCACTTAAGAGATAAAAGTACTAACGTTTATTTGCATATTTCCCTGCTGATGGATAAGGCAGTTTCCAGTCTTTTTCTTTTTTGAGACAGAGTCTCTGTTGCCTAGGCTGGAGTACAATGGCGTGATCTTGGCCCACTGCAAACTCCACCTCCTAGGTTCAAAGCGATTCTCCTGCCTCAGCCTCCCAAGTAGCTGAGATTACAGGCATGTGCCACCAAACCCAGCTAATTTTTCTATTTTTAGTGGAGATGGGGTTTTCACCATGTTGGTCAGGCTGGTCTCGAACTCCTGACCTCAGGTGATCCACCCGCCTCAGGCTCCCAAACTGCTGGGATTACACACGTGAGCCACCGCCCCCGACCCCAATCTTTTTCTATTACAAATAAGTCTACAACAAATATAGTTTTTATGTAGCATTTCATATACATAACAGTATTATCAGTATGGTAAATTCCCGGAAGCACACTGACTGAGTCAGAGGATATGTGTATTTTTAATTTTGATAAAAAATTTCCACATTGCTCTCCAATTCTGTGCCAATTTAGATTCCCATCAATCATGATTGAGAGTACCTATTTCCTTGCACACTTGGCAAGGCTTACCAACCTCTTCCGCATTGCTTGTATGGGATGAAAGGTGGTATTTCTTTGTAGTTTATTTTTCACTTCCTTTTCATTGGACTGCCTGTTCTTGTACTTGCTCTGTTTTTGTTATTTTTTCTGATGAATTTGTAAGAGTGGTCTATAAATTTAAAAAATTAGTCCTTTGAGTATAATACCTCAAAACTTTATGCCAGTTTGTTGTTTCACCATTGCCTTTGTTTATTGTGGTTTTCTCAGCAGGATGTTTTCACCTTTACATAACTGAGTTTATCAATATTTTTCTTATAGCTTCTGGATTTTATATTATGCTTCCCACTCTAATGATAAAACACACTTTTCTATCCAAGTGAAATTAATTTTGATATAAAGACTAATATATGAACCAATCTAATTTTCTTTTATAAATATATAAATATTCAGTTGTTCCAAATATCATTTACTGATAATCCATGACTTCTCAACTCACAGGCAATGCCTCCTTTAATATATACAATATTCCTGCATGCATTTGGCCTACTTGGTCTCTAGTCTTTCATTTACTAGTCTATTCATGTGCTTAGATAATTGTTTTAATTATTATAATTTTATATACATTTTAATATCTGATAGGTTGTTTCCCTCCACCCCATCCCTCATTATTTTTCTTTTTACAAAATTTTCTATAAATTCTTGCAAGTTTATTTACATGAACAGCCTTTCTTGTCAAAAAAACTATTGGTATTATGATTGAGATTATGTTGAAACATTTTATGTTAACTTAGGGAGGTTAAATGTTTAATATTGAAATTTCTTATCCAAGAATATGGTATGCCTTTCCAGTTATTCAAGTTTCCTTTTGTATCCCTGGCGAACTTTAGGTGTTTTTTATTCAGCAATTGGATCTTGCACACTTATTATTAGTTTGTTGCCAGGCATTTTTTGTTTTTATTATAAATGAGATCTTTGTTTCCATTATATTTTCTAACTATCTAGAAAAGCTATTGATTTATTTGTGTATTAATTTTGTGGCTGGGTGCGGTGGCTCAGGCCTGTAATCCCAGCACTTTGGGAGGCCGAGGCAGGTGGATCACTTGAGGTCAGGAGTTCAAGACCAACCCAGCCAACATGATGAAACCCTGTCTCCACTAAAAATACAAAAGATTAGCTGGGTTTGGTGGCAGGTACCTGTAATCCCAGTTACTAGGGAGGCTGAGATAGGAGAATCGCTTGAACCCAGGAGGTGGAGGTTACAGTGAGCTGAGATTGTGCCACTGCACTCCAGCCTGGGTGACAGAGTGAGACTCCATCTCGAAAGAAAAAAAAATTGTACTGCCACCTTACTAAAATGTCTTATTAGTTGTTATAGTTTTTAATTTCATTCTCTATGATTTTTATCAAGTACACAATCACATCATCTACAAGTTCTGACCTCTTTACCTCCCTTTGAATTTGTATTTCCTTTCTTTTGCCTAACTGCATCTTTCCTGTAATTTTGAAAGCACAATTAAACATCACATCTTCCTTTCCTATAAGACAGATGAAAAAGTCACTCAAACTTACACTTAGTAAATTTTAAGTGTATGTGTAAAATTATTTCTAAGTCCGTAGATTACAAAACTCCTATGTCATGAAATTTACTGCCACCAATAGTTACAATCAAATGCCATAATTAGAGTTTAAAGGAAACCAGATAATTCTGTGGCAAATAAAGACAACAACTGGAGTTACATGTACTGAGAAAGTGGTAATCAAATCACATGCTTTGGGGGATGAACTAATATGCACAGGAACATGGAGAAATTCTTTCTCAGAGAACTGACAATTGGTCATAGGCACTGTGTCGTATTTTTCCCCTTTAAATTAAACACATGGGCCAGTAGAAGAGGCAGTATTGAAACTTTCTGAGTCTAATATTGACTCATATGTCACTCTTAGACTACAATGTATTAATATTTTAATCTGTAGCAATGCATTTCATATTTTATCTGGATTATCTAATTTTTATAAGTGAAGCATTAAGTTGGTGGAGTTTTTTTCTTTAAAAATTATGTTAGTTTCAAACAAGTAACTTAACGTGAAACTTGACTTGTAAATCTAAGGAAGGATCAAGCAAAAGATATATAAGAGGTTGCCTGAGGTACAGGTTACTTTAATATTTATAAGTAGAATTTATGAGCATCATTAAACTTTGCTTATCTAGATCTTGTATGACATAGAATCTAGCTTTTTCTGGCATGTTACCCATACACCTGTGTTCTGAAATGCTGTTTCAAATATGAAGTAGCTAAAAAATAAAATAATTCATTATATTTTGCTTTAAAATTCAGAGGAATTCACTGGCTATGCTCAGGAGAGAATGAAGGATGCTGTGATTCTCTTTGTCTTAACCTGCTAGTTTATCAAGATTTCTAGGAGTGGAATGTCTTACAGCCCTAATGGTAAAATTACTGCCTCTAGATCTTATCAGCTTCGAGGCTGGAGCAGTGTGGAACTGACTGACAGCTGAATGGAATACAGATGAAGTGATGGAGACTACAAGTCATTCAAAGTCCCATTTTATTAAATGCTTTGAAAATGAGGCCCAGAACCTTCAGTCAATTTATGATTTAGTGTAGGAAACAGACGGTTCATGGTAATCTGTCTGAGGAGTTTCATTTCAGGGACTGAGTTGGCCTAGGGAAAAAGGGACACAGGAAAACAGAAAAAGCTAAGATCATAATGGTGATACATGTTCCTGCCAAAATAAGTGGACAGAGTCTTTTTTTAAAAAATATTGAGGCTAACTGTAAAACTTAGTAAATTATTTTAAATAGAAATTACTGTTTTGTCACATAAAATAAGAACTGTGATTTATGCATAATTTATGCATACTTCTAACTTAAAATTTCTTCTAAGCATATCTTCATATATGATAATTAAACAGAAGCGTTCATCTCATGTAACTATATTGCTTTTCTGTCTCGATGTAGTCATAACCAATAATCCAATATTATTTCAACATTTTTTCCTCTGGTAAGATAGATGGGCAATTCAGCTCCTTCTAATATAATCATTTCCCTTAAATATAAGGGAGTTCTTCGTGTGCTAATATGAAACAAAAAGTCTCCAAGACATATTGTTAGGTGAAAAAAAGCAAGATGCGGCATTTTTCTTACCATTTGTGTAAAAAAAAAAAAAAGAGAGAGGGAGTGAAAAAATATATATTCTGCTTGAATATTCTGCTAGAATATTGTTAGAATAATACTTAAAAAACTTGGTGGCAGGGAGTGGTGGCTCATGCCTGTAATCCCAGCACTTTGGGAGGCTGAGGCGGGCAGATCACCTGAGGTCAGGAGTTTGAGACCAGTGTGGCAAACATGGTGAAACACCGTCTCTACTAAAAATACAAAAAATTAGCCAAGCATGGTGGCGGACACCTGTAATCCCAGCTACAAGGAAGGCTGAGGTGGGAGAATCGCTTGAACACGGGAGGTGGAGGTTGCAGTGAGCCGAGATCACGCCACTGCACTCCAGCCTGGGTGGCAGAGTGAGACTCCATCTCAAAAAAAATCAAAAATCAATAAATAAAAAAATAAGAGAGAACTTGGTAATACTGGTTGCCTCTAAGGATGAGAATTGGGAAACGGGTGAGAGAGACTCATGTACTTTCTTATATCTTTTGAATGTGCAACTTAAGAATGTATAACTAATTCGTATAAATAAATTAAAATTTTGAAATCAAACACATGGCCATTGGTAACGTAGCAGCAAAAGAATAAGAAGGTAAAATTATTTTGAAGAGCTAAACATATTTATACTCTTAGAAAAAGCATTCCCTTACACCAAATTCATAAACATGCCAAACCAAGAATAAATAAATAAAAGCACTCATAATTCTTAAATGAATTCTTAACTTTCTATTAATTATATAAACTAGGCCAAACTTTTACTTATATAGCAGCAGATGGACTTTCAAATTTTCCTCCAAATAATTAAATAAATTATAATATTTTACATTAATCAAAAGAGGTGGGAATATGAACAATATTAATTTCAAGATATTTTTCTTGTGCCTCTTGGCTGGGATCTAATGTTAGCAACAGCCCATTTAAATGTATATACATAAAGGTGTAAAAATTAACTTTCATATCACGGTCTCAAAAATGATTAATGTAATCTTAAGTATTAAGAAGAATTTAAAAAACTCATACATAACCATCTAATTATAAGAATAAAAATATTATTTTATGTAAGAGTGAGTAAATAAGGCTTTTTAAAGCAAGTTGGTAATTATTGCATACTCTGGTATAAGATAAATTATGTTGTGATGAGCACCAAAAAAAATCACTAACTACATTCACAAATTTTTAATCTTCAAGTGAAAAGTATGTTCAGGTTCCAAAACTCTAAAATTCTATAAATGATGTGATTATATAGAAAAATAATCATGAAAATACTTAGAATTTCAAATGAATAAAAGCAGAGGGAAATATTATGTTGATATAGTTAGAAGACAGATGTATAATGAGTTCAGAATTATGACTGTAGCCAATTCTTCTACCTTAATGTCCATGTGCTACTGAAATATTAACAATAAACAGATCCCTAACATATTCAGGTCGCAACTTAGCTGAACCCATATCCAGTGATGATTCAATAAAAATGTTATAACATCTTTCTGAAAATTGCTATTTAATATTATCCGCAGGAAATGCCTTTTAAATGTATGTGTATGTATTTATATAAGTAAAAGCATAGATGTATATATCTATATACATATATATAATTATACACACATGGACCATATAAAAGGAAACAGTAAATCAAAGGAGAAATAGTATTTTGACTAAATTTGAGTATTAGTAGTTGATATAATATATTCATCATATAAAATTTAATTTGTTACCAAATTAACAAATGCTGACTTTATAAACTTTTATTTTAAGTTCAGGGGTATTTGTGCAGGATGGGCAGGTTTGTTACATAAGTAAATGTGTGGCATGGGGATTTATTGTACCAATTATTTCATCACCTAGGTATTAAGCCTATTATTCATTATTTTTCCTGATCCTCTCCCTCCTGCCACCCTCTACCCTCCTCTAAAGCCCAGTGTGTGCTGTTCCCCTCTATGTGTCCATGTATTCTCATCATTTAGCTTCCACTTACAAGTGAGAACATGCAGTATTTGGTTTTCTGTTCCTGCATTAGTTTGCTAAGGAAAATGGCCTCCAGCACCATCCATGTTCCTGCAAAGGACATGATCTCGTTCTTTGTTACGGGTGCATAGTATTCCATGGTGTATATGTACCATATTTTCTTTATCCAGTCTATCACTGGCAATTATCACATCAAGGCAACTATTCTAAGGACTGGAGCAGAAAACTTTGCCATAGGAACTGGGTAACAGTGTTTGCTTTGTGCTGTTTCCAAGTACCCAAACATAGCTAGTTTTACATCAACTGAATTAATTGACTATGCATTACACTTACTGATAGCCCCCTAAGGAGTGACCCAACGGACTATTTCTCAGTCAAGAATTTCGGCCACAGTATATGCTACTATTGCACAGTAGGCTGCATCAGTCATTCTATAGGTTATATGTCGAACACTAAAGAACAGTGAGAAAAACTGAACTTATATGGTACAGATAGGCTCAATGTTTGGAAAGAAATGGCTTGAGTCTTGACCAACAAATCTTTAAAGATTGTGTTCATATACAATCTTTTCTCTGATTCTACAGTAAAAGAAAAATATACATAAACTCAATTAAATCCCATTTAATGGCATGGCATCTCCTAAAAAAAAAAATCTTGATTTTTAGGAGTGAAAACAATCAAAAATCTATGGTTAGCATTTCTCACATTTGGCAAGAGGCACATGATATGAAATCTTAAATAGGTTTCACGGCACTTCAACTTTGTTAATTTTACTACAGTAACAGATGTGAAACTGTAAACTGAGAATCACAACCTCACTGTGAGTCAAGCAGATCTTCAGTACAATTGAGACGGGGATTTAAATTAAATATACTTTTCAATAATCAATTCAAGGTAATACAATAAACACTAGCAGAAGTATATTTAGACAAGTACCGCACTATCAATCAATATGGGCTTGGTGAGATCACTTTGTGATTTTTCCATACAAAAGTTACTTTTTTTTTAATTTTTATACTCCTTTTGTTAAAAAGGAAAATTTTCTTATTTAAAAAAACGCAAAACAAAAAAAAATCACCTTAGAATTTTTATCCTTAACAAAACAACCTCAAATATGAATATTTTTAGTATAAAATTAATATGTACAACTGATATTATAAATTGGTGTTTTGTAACAGTTTTCAACTATTCCCAGTTTTTATAATTCAGTTATCTGTTTAATTTACCAGTTAGTATAATAAAAATCACACATCAAATTTGTATAATGGATAACTTAAGGAATAATGCCACCTTTCATACATACATACCTACATAGAAAGTGTATACCTTATCAAAAAAAAAATAGAAGAAGAATCCTCAAACTATAAAGGTTAGCAATGCAACTGTATTTACATGAGCTGGATTAAACAATTTGGTTAATTTAGTGAGAGAGCAAGTAAATTTAGTAAACCCACACCCAGTTGATGAGGATGTTAAACAGGTATCAGAATCAGCATGAAGGCAAGTAGGAATACCTAGAAGAGGTGAGGTAGGAAAGGAATGGGGTTTCGAAGGATGGTAGGTTAGGATAAGACAGGGTGGATGAAATGAAAGTGGGAAAGGTAAATTTTGCCCCGTTTTTCAGTTTTCCTAAGGCCTTGATAAGTGGTATTTTCCTTTCACTGAAAATAATTTTCTAGGTGGCCTATAGGAGGAGTGCTATATACTACTGCCACCATTTTCTATCTCTTTTCTTTTTATGTTGAAGCTATAGTTACTTTTACATTTAGAATATTTTATAATTCCTTTGTAAATCTAATGGTGCTAAAGCTAGGAGGAAACTAGGAAATCATTTAGTCTAACTAACCCCTTATTTTATTGATAGGGGAACTGAGATCCAGAAAAGCTATGGTTTATTAGTAGCAATCCCCTTGTAATCTACATAAATATACTGATGTGACTAAAAGGTTTAAAATACTGTATTTAATATTATTAAAAGGAAGAGACAACAAATACACATAAGAAATGCTTCAAAATTACAAAGAAAAAAATTACAAAAAGGAACTCTCCGCTCAGAACAGCTAGTCATCTGTTCTGATGTTAGTAACAAATAGCGAATTAAAATAAAGAGTTTTTTAAAAATAAATTAGGGAAAAGGCACTGAATGATGAAAGTAGGAACACATGAAATTACTACAAATACACAAAGTATATACAAAGTACTTACCAAGCACATATAATATCCTGGAGAAAATCCATAAAATGAGAAATATAAAGCTTCTCATATTACTATTTTCTCCCCAATTTATTTCTATCTCTATTTCATTGCAAGAACAAACTATATGATGAAATGATAAAATGGGATACATCTCCTTAATTCAAATCCCCAGCACCCTTTTATATGTAATACCTAGAAAATCTATTTCATTGCTGCTTTAGCTATGTGGTTCTAAATGACCATTCTCATATGCTTAGTAGAGGTGAAAAGCAGAAGTTCAGGCTACAAAGTTTGATGATATCAAATTCTGCAAAATTTTCTATGACTATTTCTATTACATCATTTCAGTACGCTAAAATACATTGTGTTGGCCGGGCTCAGTGGCTCACATGCCTGTAATCCCAGCACTTTGGGAGGCTGAGGAGGGTGGGTTACCGAAGGTCAGGAGTTCGAGACCAGCCTGGCCAACATGGTGAAACTCCATCTCTACTAAAAAATACAAAAATTAGCCAGGCATGGTGGCATGTGGCTGTAGTCCCAGCTACCTGGGAGGCTGAGGCAGGAGAATCACTTGAACCCAGAAGGCAGAGGTTGCAGTGAGCTGAGATTGCACTATTGCACTCCAGCCTGGGCCACAGAGTAAGACTTCATCTCAAAAAAAAAAAAAAAAAAAAACAAAAAACCACCAAACAATAACCCACTGTGTTAAAATAATCTATTAAATTTAACTTAAATATGTATGCTCCTAAGATACTGTTTGCTCATATCTATGATCAGAGCCAACACAAATATTTTTCATCTGAATCACCTATAGTAATGCTTTCTAAAGTATCTCTCTGGTGGAATGCAACACGAATTTACATATGGCACATGGGTAAACATTTTTAACTTTACTATTTAAATATTGATTTCAATATGTATTAGGAAAAAATTACACACGATTTTCTATTTTAAAAGTGAGTCAACTTGGAAAACATATTAAGTTAATAATAATACAGGTGGCATGAGAAAATGGCAAAACTTACATGTCTAAGGTTTGGGATGCTGGCTTACATAATATAACTTCTCTGGGCATGAGCTAGCATAAATATTATTGTTGAAAGATGTGAAAATTCCAAGCTAAATTATATTTTATTCTCTGTATTACTGCCTGGCTTTTATCTCATAAAGTAAGCATAATATGAAAGTGAGTTCTTTCTATATAAATTTAAGATATTTTACTGATGGAAGACAGCTTATTAAAGCCAGCAGTTTAATGAGTAAAACTCACCTTTCTAATTGCCAGTAAAATTAAAAACTCTAATTCACCTGATTAGAGGGCATATGTATCAGTAACATTCTGCATAATACTACATATACTACATTCTGCAAACTCTCAATACTAAAACTATCCAACACATTCTTGCCCCAGTCCCATCTGTGTTGTTCTTTTCCCTCTATCAAAGGAAATGTTCATTAGAGACTATTAAAAGCTAAACTAAACTACTAAAAATTCAAATACTTACTGTCGCTGGGGAGGCCCGAGTTGTGTGTGTCACTGAGTGACCAGAATTCTCCATTGAGTTGCCGATCAGATAGGTTCCTCCAGAGCTGCTGATGAGTTGTCCTCCTGTGACGCCCATCTGAATCCCACCAGTGCCCACCATACTGTGGGATGAGACCACGGTAGTCACCTGGGCGGAACTCCCTTGAGTATCAAAGTAATTCCCTCCAGTATTTTGGCTGTACATCTGTGTCTCTGTGTAAGGATACGTTGTTGTTCGGCTTTAGAAGAAGAAGAAAAAAGAAATTTACTAGCTTATTTATGTCATCTTATTAATTTTTTTCTAATATGAATGTAATTGAAATATATTGGTTGGCTTAGCCTTTGCAACATGGCAAGTTTCGCATTTTGTACAAAACTTCATTCCCAGAAACAGTTCGATTTACTTTTCAAATTAAGGGGCCACTCATTTAAATAAGTACCTCAACTAGTTTCTGTACTACAGAGATTTTGCCCTCTCCTGGTGCCTATCTCCAGCATATAAATAAGCTCAGGTCTCTTCCCTCCAAGAAATCTTGCTGAACAACTTCAATTGCTTATAAAATGTACTACAAATCCCAGTTTTAGAAAAGCTGGAACCTGGAATAAGTAGGAGTAGTGTGAGTAGTTGACTTAGCTCCTACTTAGCTAATACTCAGACTACTTAACATTCCTGGGTGACATCCAATAAACCTCCATGACTAAAGGAGCTATCATGGATCTCTTTCTTACCTCCATAAGGATCTTAAGCAAATAGTTTACTCACCCTGGACCCTAAGTCCCTCCCCATATCTCTCTTTCCCTTCACACTTAAGCTCCTCCTTTATAAGATGACTATTCTAACTCTTCATGTCCTCACTTTCCACTTTCCAACAACTACAGTCAAGCTTCTGCCCTTAGCCTTTCATTAGAACTGCTTTTAATAAGGTCACTTGTGACCACAGCTAAATACCAAGCTAAAAGACTCCTGTCAGTCCTTATCTCTTGTGACCTATCTATAGTATGACACTGTTGGCCACTCCATGTTACCCTTCCCTCCCTTTTCTGTTCTGATTAAGCTTATTTGATTCATCTATTTTTATTTTCAATTGACTATAACTTCAATTTTAAGAGGATCTTTTTAACTTTTTATTTTAAAATACTAAGTTCTCAAGAAGTTATAATATATATAGAACAGGTTTTAAACATTCAAATACAAAATTGAAATTCCCAGTTCTTTTGCTATTATCTTCAACGCCACCTCCTAAAGCTAGCCATTCCTGAGAGTTTGGTGTATATGTTTTCAGATCTGTCTTATATATATCTTAAAGCCTGGATGTCTTAACCTTTTTTGTCCCTTAGTTTCTATGGCTCTCCTTTTCCACTTTTTGCTTTTTACCATAACCTCTCAAGAGCCTTTTGGAATCTCCAATTTTTCTAGCACATCAAATATTAATATTTTTCTGAGTTTTCCATTTTGAGCTCTTATTTTTATTTAGATCAAAGACCTTTACCACATAAAGTACTGTATTACCATATACATGCTCTTAGTAAACAATCTTACATAAGTTGGTATCACTGCCCTCTTTACTTCCTAGTTATACTTTAAGAATATTAAATCTGGGTTTCTAACAGCCAAGTGGTCATCACTACTCAGAACTCCCATGAAATATGGGAGGCTGTGTAAAATTTAACGTATGATGAGATTCCATTCCTCTCTTGTTCTTTCTTCCACACTTCCGCTTCTCAGTAGAGGGCAGCACCACCATCCTCAGCTTTGGAAATTATTGCTTACTCTTCCCTCTGACTGACATGAGTTGCTGAGTCCTGTCAATGTTATCTTCTAAATAATTTTCCAATTCTCTTTTCCATTATCATACACACTACCTTAATTCATAATGTTCTCTATTATACAGGCTGAGAATACCTTATCAACAATGCTTGGGACCACAAGTGTTTTGGATTTTGGATTTTTTCAGATTTTGGAATATTTTCATATATAAAATGAGAGATCTTGGGGATAGGACCCATATCTAAATATGAAATTCAATTATGTTTCATATACACCTTATACACATAGCGTGAAGGTAATTTTATAAAATATTTTAAATAATTTTGTGCATGACACCAAGTTAGTATATATTGAACCATGAGAAAGCAAAGATGTCACTATCTTATGTTGCTGCTCAAAAACTTTCAAATTTTGGAGCATTTCAGATTTTGGATTTTGCATTAGGGATGATCAACCTGTAATTGCCTTCTAATGGATTTTCCCTTCTCTAATCAGTTGCTCTTGCAATCTATCTCCAACTTTGCTGCCAGGAGAATTTTCTGTAACGCAGATATAAAAATAAAACCGCTTAAAAACCTTTCCATGATTCTCTCTTGCCTTCAGAAAAAGTTCAAAACTCTTGTCCACTTTACAAAAATCATCAGGGGGTCGTGCCTACATAATCTCGAGACTTGGTATTAGCCATGTTATCAAATGCTCTCTTCACTCACATCATATTGACCATTTTTCTGGTCCTGACAAAGTGCCATTTTCTCTTGCCTTTCTGCTTCACTACATAAGGATTCCTCTGCCTGAAAGGCCCTTTCATTTTATTCCACCTCCCTGCCTTTGTCCTAATCATTCTTAAGCTCTCAACGGAAGCACCTTATCTCAAAATTATTTTCTGCATCCTTTGCCCTCTATGGCCACTCCTCACAGGACTGTTATGTTTTATGTTCTGTACTTTCCCAACATCCTTTGAATTCCTGAAACATAGCTCTCAATGTGTTGTTAATTTCCTCAAGTCTTCCTACTCCCATCAGTACTCTCAACACTTAACACAGTTGCTGGTACATAGCTGGCACACTAATCAGTCAGCAAATAAAAATATTTAAAAGTATGGTAGACGTAATAGCCAGTTTCATAAATTTCTGTATCACAAATCTTTTATTTTGTTAAAACATGAGAAATTATGCTAAACTACTCCAAGATTTTTGATTAATTTAAAACAAATACTTTTAATCCATTATAAATTATACTTGTAATTTACAATATATATTTTAGTAAAGTAATAAGAGTGTTCTGAAAGTATTCCACACTGGGTAAAGAGCCCTTTCCAGAAAGAGCCACAGCAAATCCAGGTAAAAAGTTTAGTCTGGGGTGATGATAGAAACAAATTCATAGAAAATGTTTTTTTTTTTTTTTTTCCAGATAGAAAAATGTCACTTAAAATACACGTACCATTCTTCTCATCACTGCTATATTTCCCAACTGGAAATCTCATTTGTTTCTTTATTTATATGTTTATTTAATAAAATAAAACAGCCATGTTGGTTTCAAATTTAGATAAAATGAGAAATGAGGTCATTTTAATTTTTGTCTACCGAATATGACAGTGGCCCCACTTAACTGTGCTTAAAATAGCACAATCTAATGTTGATATTTAAGTATAGTCAAATAAGCTGTACAAATAGATATAGAACAATAAATACTTTGAGAGATGCGGGACATGGTGCCCCCTTTCCTTTTCATCATCCAAGCAGGATGATTCAGGATGCCCCCTACTAGTAAGTAGATTTCTCAAATAAAACATAATAATAGCTAAATATAGCTAATATTTACTGACCATTTACTATGCAGCAGACACTATTCTATGTGCTTTTTAGGCATTAGCTCATTAAATTTTCATAAACTCCATGAGGTAGGTGCTGTTATATTAATAATTCCTATTTCGCATACAAGGTGAATAACTGAAGTTTGGATTGGTTGAATTACTTAGTCTAAAGCACAGAGCTGATGAATCATGGATCTGGAATCTACACTTAATGTATATTCTCAACCATTATGTCAAAAAAAAAGAACATAACTTTTTATATCTGTCAATGATATATGTTAACAACTACTAAGGAACAGCTTAACAAGTGGAATAGGGACCATATGAACTTCCTGTTGCTATTTGAGATTTCCTTACAGCTTACTTTACTGTTTTCTAGCACTACACTATTCTCCATTATTACCCAGAATGAGGCCTGTAGATGATGTACTTGCAATTGTAAAGAAGCCATGGAAAAGGCAGGGCCATTTCAGAAGATACTTACCACTTCGGATTGGAATTTTAGATGTTCTATGATCGTGGAAGTTGCTACCTCATCATAAGAAAAACATCCCAAGGGATCACTGCAGCTTTTGGGCCTGCCCTCTTTGTATCATTATACTCAGTAAAGAACAGTAATGCAAAAAAATGCATCACAGATATATGAAATATCTATATAGCCCTCAAAGTCAGTTCATAAGCTAAAAAATGACCAAAGAAGAGGAGAAGGGATAAAGTCACTAAAGAGTGTGCCTAATCCATAAACTATCCCCATCACTCCATCGTGCGACTGTGGAGAAGCCTTGGCTACTCTATAAACACACACTGGGGTAAAGAGTAGCAATTTTTAGGGAGAAAAAGCACAGAATTATATTAAGGAATGAAGTGTGATAAATTGTCTGAATTTGGCTTTGACAAAAATACACTTGCAGTTGGAAATGGGGGAGACTTTCAAACACTGGGTTGAGTAATACAGGCTGATTATAATATCCTTAGCTGGGCCAGGCGCGGTGGTTCATGCCCATAATCCCAGCACTTTGGGAGGCTGAGATGGGTGGATCACCTGAGGTCAGGAGTTCGAGACCAGCCTGGCAAACACGGTGAAATTTGTCTTTACTAAAAAAATACAAAAAATTAGCCAGGCATGGTGGCACGCACCTGTAATCCCAGCTACTGAAGCTGAGGCAGGAGAATCGCTTGAACCTGGGAGGTGGAGGTTGCAGTGAGCCGAGGTCACACCACTGCACTCCAGCCTGGGCAACAGAGCGAAACTCCATCTCAAAAAATAATAATAATAAAATAATAATAATAATATTCTTAGCCATTGTCCCTTAAAGGTAAGAAGGCAAGCATGAACCCACTTGTTCGAGTCCCTGGAGCCAAAGCCAGAGTCATGCACAAGTAACAGGTAACTCCTAAAGGTTTTTTCCATGTCTAAATACTTTAAGCTCCTGAATAAATACTTAAAAATTTATTTTAAAAAAGAAGCACCAACGGCAAAAATAAACAGTTCTTTTTTAGGTACTAGAAATAGACTCTCTAATTCTGATATCTCAGATCAGCTCATCTTTTATATTGTATACTGAATATATTCTTCATATGAGTTACTGCTTGCACACTATTTTCTCCAGAAATTTCCTAAACATATGTTCAAGAAAACGACTCAATTTTTGGCATATCAGATTGAAAGCAGCTAACTATTTCTGGACTGTACATTCCTGAAATAGATAAATCCCCAAGCAATTCTGTGCACATTTAAATGATACTGCTGTGTTCATTTTGTTTGTTCTGTATTGATTACCATAGACTAAGTCATGAAAATAATGTCATATTATTTCTATAGCAGAAGAGAAATCTTTCCATTGTTCTGCATATGTATCCAGTAATGAATATGAACACATCGATATGTGTATACTTGCCGACAGAAGCTTCTTCATAGCTGACTCTATTATAAGGTTCTATGTAAATGTCAGGACTCTGATTCATTGAATTCAGTAATTTAGTGCCATTTGTTTCCCATCATGCCTTAGCATACACCTTGGCTAAGGGTGACCCTGAATATTCCCTACTTACTTATTCACTAGGATGATTATGGCAATTTATCTTAGCTATAACCAGTTTTTTTCTGTTTTCTTTATCTTCAGGTGTCTTATCCACAATTCCAGATACTCAGTATCTCTAAATTCTTTATTTTGTATTTTACCAAGATGTTGAATGTCCTCCAACCAATAAGCTTGTCACTATAAAATCAACCAATGGCATGAAAGTGATACATTAAGGAAATAAAATAGCATGTAAATCTCATACCATAAATTGTATTATAAGGATAGAATATAGATATGGTGACCATTATCTCACATGGGTACAACATTTTATTGCTTTTAGGCTACTCTGCATACATTCTTTTAACAAATATTTAATAAGCATCTATTCTAGCACCTAGAATAAAAGGAACAACACAGACATGACCTCTACTATTATTAGGGCTACGTAACACAAGGAGAAAGTGGGCAAAAATTAGAAAGAAAATAAGATAATTAGAAGTTTTCCTCATTCCTATGAAAGCAAAAAAAAAATACAATATAAAAGTAGAATAAATAAGAGAGAGCATACCAAATAGGATAGTTAAGGAATGTTATCCCTGAAAGCCAGATTTTTTATTTAGATTGAAACTAAAAGATGAAAAGGAGTCAGCCCTATGGAAAACAAGAAGAATAAAATTTTAGGAAGACAGTACAAAAACTCATAACATAGCACACAACACAGGAAAGATCCTGATATTTAGAAGGAAATTAGAAGTCTGAAGTATTTTAGATATAACAAATGAGAAAGCTGTTAGAAAGAAATGAGGTTAAGGAAGGTAAAAACTAAACATGCATGCAGTGTAAACAATTTTCTTAACTGCAGGCCATGATCCAGTAGTGGGCCATGAAATTAGTTTTAATAGGTCACAACAGCATTTAAAAAAGAGACTAGACTAGACTAGAAAACATCAGTGCTTATTACACTTAATGAGAATAAGAATCATTTTTAGAAATTTTGTTTTTATCGTAAGAGAATATACACATAAATGATTTGTGTGTGAATGCCTGGGTATGTATGTGTGTACTTACCAGAGTATGAAATGTACGCCTAATTTTCTCACGGTGGATGATAGTTTTAAAAGCTTAAAAGCCACTGTTACAGACTATTGTAAGAAGTTTGGATTTTGATTTGGGCTGGGATAGTGGTAAAGGCCTTATGGGTAGGAGGAGGTAGGGCAATGTTCTAGCCAGAGAGACAACCTACAAAGTCCTGAGGCCAGAGAGGTAAAAATACACCATGAGAAAACGGAGTTGCAATCAGGGCCCATGACTGAGATGGGCCATGTAAGATGATTCTGGAACCTGTGAAATAGATACAATAATAAGAGGTGATCTTATTGGAAGCTTGCTCAGTGTAGTGAGGGCATTATATGTCTGATTGAACTAGACTGAGGAAATAACTAAAGGCAGCCAGAATGAGCAACTTTTTAATATCTTAGAAAAGTTTGAGAGCACAAGAGGTGCATTTGGAAACCAGGGACAAATATTTTTAAGCCAGGTACTGGCTTTTCCAACCTCCCTTACAAACAAGCTAAAGGAAATCAACTTAGGACTCAAATAACCAGGTGGACTTGCTCTAAACAAGGAGCTAGGGGCACAAAGCAATGGAAATGGTGACACACTGTAAGAGACATGTCATGTTTACAGTGGCAGTAGGGCCAGGACACAAGATCAGTACCCAGGGGTAGCAATGGCAGACAGTCTTTGGGATGGCTGCAGTGGTGTGGTGTCTGTACTGCACTATCTCTGTGCTACGGTTTTGTGCATGGTCTGGCTGCTGCCTGACATCACTTGTGCCTGCCTGTTTCCAGCTTGATTCTCCAGACTTCCTGGAAATTCTGTGAGTCACAAACATCTTTCAATAAATTCTTTGTCTTAAATAGGCCAGAGTTGGTTTCTGTTGCTTGAAACCAAGAACCTCTGCCTTAAACAGTTTCAAATTATGGAGTTTTTACATGGGCCACCAATACCCTGCAAAGAAGTAGCTACATTATTTGGAATCTTCAACAAAGTGCATATATATATGTAAAATCTGTGCCTGGACCGCATGCACTACTTATTTACTTATATGAGTTTCAAAACAGATATTCTCAAGACTGAATATCCGAATATTCATCAGACTGAAGGCAGAGGATACACCAGAAAGATGACATGTCTATTTTGTGGAAGACACCAAAAGGAAAACAGTACTTCAGAAAGGAATTCAAGTGACCTGATATTAAACCTCCCCTTACTACATAAGAATAAAAAAGAATAGGTTAAATATAAAGTAATAAACACTAAAGAATATCACTAATAAAACATTTGCTTTCACTTATATTCAAAAGACATACTTATTTCTTCTAACTTCATCTGCTATAACAAAAAGTAAAAAACAAAAAGCATTTATTCAGCCATTGCTACAGCTACTGGGGAGGAAATGCAAGAATAAATGTTAAAAGTCAGTAATACTTCTTGTAATAACTTACTGAGTTTTCTCCTTCATGTGTAGTATTTTCATTACTATGTATGTTGACAATGTACAGCATACTGGAATCATTTATACCATCCTATGATTATTTTGTAAGGATCGGCACATCTTTACTTAGCATTTAAATTCTTTATTTCTGTATGGTAGAACAGTGGTTCTCACATTTTTAATGTGCATCAGAATCACCCGGAGTGCCTGTTGCAACACAGAGAGCTAGGTCCCACCCCTAAAGTTCTTAATTCTGTAGAACTGGAGTGGGCACCAAAAGCTGGCATTTCTAACAAGTTCTCAGTTGATGTGAATGCTGCTAGCCTGGGGAATACACTTTGGGAACCATTGTACTAGTTGATACTACAATTATGAAACCTGATTTTCACAGGAACGAAAGGGAAAAAGTGTTTTAAAATTTATTCTAGGCCAGGCACGGTGGCTCACGCCTGTAATCTCAACACTTTGGGAGGCCAAGACAGGCAGATCACAAGGTCAGGAGTTCGAGACCACCGTGGCCAATATGAAGAAACCCTGTCTCTACTAAAAAATACAAAAATTAGCCGGGCGTGGTGGCGTGTGGCTGCAGTCCCAGCTACTCAGGAGGCTGAGGCAGGAGAATTGCTTGAACCTGGAAGGCAGAGGTTGCAGTGAGCCGAGATCGCACCACTGCACTCCAGCCTGGGCGACAGAGCAAGACTCCAACTCAAAAATAAAATAAAATAATTCTTTTAGCCTACTTGAGTTTAAAAAAAAAACCCCAAAGTCTACTGTTATAAAAAGGAATTTTATATTCTGTGGCCGTTGCTCATGATAACATTACCAAAATTTCCAGTGCTATAATGGTTTTTGAAGCATACCAAAAAGATATACATAGTCAGTACATATATGAGTCACTTGCCCTGACAACAGAGGTCAGGGAAATAAATATGGACTGAAATCAATTTTAGCAGAAATGGCATTATAAAAGATTTGATTTGAAGTCACCGATAAAAATTTATAAACAAGAAAAACCGAGTAACCACACACATGTACGTTAAGTCTCGAAAGTTTTTCACCAGAGGAAAAAACACAACAAAACAAATAAGAAAGCTGTGTGAATGCCACATCAGCATCTCAATTCAGTTTCATTCATTTTTTCCCTGTGTACTTAAAGCCACCAAGTAGTCAGCTCCTGTCTCACTGATCATTCAATGCTAATCTTTAATTCATTCAACAAATATAGATTGAGCACCTATCATGGGCCACTGTTCCAGGTATTAGACAGAGAACAGGATGCAAACAAACCAGGTCCCCGCCCACATGAAGCTTACATTCTAGTGGGGGAGAGACAAGTGATCAGTTAAGAATGAAATAAAAATGAAATAAAAGAGGATACAAACAAATGGAAGAACATTCCATGCTCATGGGTAGGAAGAATCAATATCGTGAAAATGGCCATACTGCCCAAGGTAATTTATAGATTCAATGCCATCACCATCAAGCTACCGATGACTTTCTTCACAGAATTGGAAAAAACTACTTTAAAGTTCATATGGAACCAAAAAAGAGCCCACATTGGCAAGTCAATCCTAAGCCAAAAGAACAAAGCTGGAGGCATCACACTACCTGACTTCAAACTATACTACAAGGCTACAGTAACCAAAACAGCATGGTACTGGCACCAAAACAAAGATATAGACCAACGGAACAGAACAGAGCCCTCAGAAATAATGCCGCATATCTACAACCATCTGATCTTTGACAAACCTGGCAAAAACAAGCAATGGGGAAAGGATTCCCTATTTAATAAATGGTGCTGGGAAAACCGGCTAGCCATATGTAGAAAGCTGAAACTGGATCCCTTCCTTACACCTTATGCAAAAATTAATTCAAGATGGATTAAAGACTTAAATGTTAGACCTAAAACCATAAAAACCCTAGAAGAAAACCTGGGCAATACCATTCAGGACATAAGCATGGGCAAGGACTTCATGTCTAAAACACCAAAAGCAATGGCAACAAAAGCCAAAATTGACAAATGGGATCTAATAAAACCAAAGAGCTTCTGCACAGCAAAAGAAACTACCATCAGAGTGAACAGACAACCTACAGAATGGGAGAAAATCTTTGCAATCTACTCATCTGACAGAGGGCTAATATCCAGAATCCGCAATGAACTCAAACAAATTTACAAGAAAAAAACAAACAACCCCATCAAAAAGTGGGCGAAGGATATGAACAGACACTTCTCGAAAGAAGACATTTATGTAGCCAAAAGACACATGAAAAAATGCTCATCATCACTGGCCATCAGAGAAATGCAAATCAAAACCACAATGAGATACCATCTCACACCAGTTAGAATGGCAATCCTTAAAAACTCAGGAAACAACAGGTGCTGGAGAGGATGTGGAGAAATAGAAACACTTTTACTCTGTTGGTGAGACTGTAAACTAGTTCAACCATTGTGGAAGTCAGTGTGGCGATTCCTCAGGGATCTAGAACTAGAAATACCATTTGACCCAGCCATCCCATTACTGGGTACATACCCAAAGGATTATAAATCATGCTGCTATAAAGACACATGCACACATATGTTTATTGCGGCACTATTCACAATAGCAAACACTTGGAACCAACCCAATTGTCCAACAACAATAGACTGGATTAAGAAAATGTGGCACATACACACCATAGAATACTATGCAGCCATAAAAAATGATGAGTTCATGTCCTTTGTAGGGACATGGATGAAACTGGAAATCATCATTCTCAGCAAACTATCGCAGGGACAAAAAACCAAACACTGCATGTTCTCACTCACAGGCGGGAATTGAACAATGAGAACACATGGACACAGGAAGGGGAACATCACACTCTGGGGACTGTTGTGGGGTTGGGGGATGGGGGAGGGATAGCATTAGGAGATATACCTAATGCTAAATGACGAGTTAATGGGTGCAGCACACCAGCATGGCACATGTATACATATGTAACAAACCTGCACATTGTGCACATGTACCCTAAAACTTAAAGTATAATAATAATAAAATTAAAAAAAAAAAGATTTAACAACTGAAGGTCATCAATGACCTTGATAAGGGCAATTGTATTGTAATGTGGAGAAGCAAGTAAGCTTGGAAGGGGCTGAAAAGCATGTGGTCAGCAGTATCTCAATTCAGTTTCATTCATTTTATCCCTGGTACTTAAAGCCACCAAGTAGTCGGCTCCTGTTTCACCCATCATTAAATGCCAATTTTATTTAATTCATTCAGCAAATATAGATTGAGCACCGATCATGGGCCATTGTTTTAGGTATTAGAGAGAGAACAGGGTGCCCTTCCATGGTCTTTTCCACATAAGGGCAGTCCTCTCTCCAAAAGAAATTTCTATGTAACCAGACATATACAATTACTGAAATCTAAATGGCAAGTGGATTCACAAATCAACTCCTATACCAGTCAGAATGTGTACATACGTAGAAGCATAAATGAAGAAAGCACCTCTGCATCTCAATTACAGAATTCCATGTAACCATTTCTCTTAAGGAGACAGCATTTGAATAATAAGAAGAAAGCATAATTTCACCTGCAAATATCGAAATTTCACATTCCACTTATAGAGGAAGAAAAGAGATTGAGAGATTGAAGAAATATTCCTTTTAAGGTTCCTTATTAATCTTTTAAAGTGTATGGGAAAATAATTAGATGACTTCAAAAATGCATTAATACATGATTTTCAAGAGATGACTATAGGTATAGTACTTTAAAAATGGATTTTAAATTATTCAATGTCAATATATATTAGTGTACCATTTCCCAAAGCATAACATGTGATTTTATTAGATATTACTCAGGTACAAGTATTCTCTGGTTCTATGCATTTCTATAGGACTTTTCAGAGCTTTTAAAAGGGTAACAGGAATTGAGGGTTCTCAAGAGAAACTGAATCACACAGTGTTTCACTGCTTGTGTAACCACAGAACTCTTAAGGGACTAATGTACAATGGATCATGGTATGAGAAGTTATGTACTGGAGTTGAGAAATCTATAATCTAAACAGGAAGACTACTAGAACAGATATCCATACAATGCATACTTTTGCATTTTAAAACACTGATTATCTCTAAAGAGTGGGCAAGTTTCAAAGAGTGGTTTATATAAGAAAATCCTTTAAAATAAAGATTTCTTAATTTGACCATAATACAGCATGATGTCTCTGTTTCCACTTCGACTAGCATGATGTAGGAGCGAGTGGGGGAAGTATGAGTCAAAAAAGAGTGGGGGAAGAAAAAAATCATTTTATTTTAAAAAAAAACTTCTTAGCTACACCAAGAAATTTCCATTGAAATGAACTCTCTCTACATGGTATGCAATGTTTCCAAGCAGGTTTAATCATAGTATTCTAATTGATTAAATATCATAAGTAGTAAGAATTTATAGAAATAAAGATGATGATCAAGCCTTTGGGAAATCTTGGAAAAACTACTGCAAGGAAATACACAAATGATGTAGCATGGGTTCCTACAGAAGCAAGGATAAAATAAACAGGGGCAAAAGTAATTAAATTACCTTCTCCCTTGAGCAAAAAGGTACTCTATTCCAACACACAGTGCTGTAAAGCAGTCTCAGTTGTTTAATTGAAATGTACACTCACTCACTAACCCACACTGTTAAGCCTGTTATGCTGGCAGTAATTGTCCATATTCACAGGGAGAATCGGGTAAACATTTTAGTATCATCAAATTATAATGATTACACATATTCATAAGTGACGACACATATCTGTGAGAGCTGTCATCACTTCTTGAGTGAGACCCCATGCATTATGGCTACATGACATGGGGACGCTGGTGACAAGAGCATTAGCGAGCTTACTAAGCATGCACAGGTTGTAGGGCCATGTACTGGGTGCTCAAAAGTTCATGATAAAGATCAGAGTCCCTATCTTCTGGAAGTATCATTAGCAAAAAGCATTTATTATCACACAGAAGTGGGACTCCGACTGTGATCCAAGTCAGGGATCAAACACTAACTTGCTGTTAATTCAGTGTGGTAGAACAGAATAATATGGAATATTCTTTCCTAACGTACATGGAAGTGTGCCAAATAAAAAGAAGTCATAGAAAGACCCTAAAATGAACATTAGAGACAAAAATTATAATAGTCAAATGTCAGCACTACAAAATTACAGAAAGACCAAAATAGCTTATGCTGAAAAAAATTTTCTAGTCCTATTTGAGAAAAAATACTTATGGTCGCTAGTTGCTAAAATTTTGAGTATACTTCATGGCAACACAATGACATTTCCTTATTAAGTATAAAAATGATGCTACAGAACCTTTAGTCAAAAATTATCCTTGATAGTAATGAAAGGTTTTTGAAGATGCATCTTCTCCCTCTTGACCAAAAGTGCACATTTGTGACATTATTGGCTAGAGTTGAGGATACAATTTGAGTCCACACAGACCAGATCAAAGCTAATTGGACTTTGTGACAAATGACCTCATGACCTAGACCTCATTAGTCATGATCTAACCAGCTGAGCTAGTGGGCCATAGAAAATACATGTTAGCACTAAATATTTGCTTTGAATCATTTCTGCACTTAAATGGGTCCTATAGTTTTAAAGAACCTACCTTACAAATGCTGTTTTTCTAAGGTTTTATGAATGAATGAATTCATTCAACTCATGTTTACCTATTATGTGGAAGACCCTAATATCAGCAGTAAAGCAGTTTAAAAATGCACAAGACAATATGCAGAATTTAGAATCATTAAGTAGTAGCAAAAACTGTAAACAAATAATGAGTGCATAATTTTACAGCAATAACTAATGTTCATTGAGTGTGTCCTACTCTTTAGATGATACATAAAGCACTTTTGATAAACTGAGGTTACAGTTTGAGTATCCTATATCCAAAATGCTTGGAACAAGCAGTGTTTCGAATTTTTTATTTTTTCACATTTTGAAATATTTGCATTATATACTTAACCAGTTGGGCATCCTTAAGCTGAAAATCTAAAATCTGAAATGCATGATGAGTACTTCCCTTGAGCATTATGTTGGTGCTCAAAAAGTTTCAGATTTGGGAGTATTTCGGATTTCAGATTTTCGGCTCAACTGGTACTTCATTTCATACATAACAGACTAATCTCTCCACCTTAGCTGGGACCAGTACAAAATGAGAAATAACTGTGATAGGTACTATACAATTAACTCTCTCAATACCCATTTCAACTGCCCTTTTCCCTTGTCACATTCTACCACAACAGACACGAAAGCTACAAACTCCCATTCTCACATTCCCCTGCAGGTGCCCATTACTACTTGTCACAGACAAAGATGAAATGACAACTGACAACTGGGTGACCTCTAGCAGTGTCTACAAAGCCATTTATTTTCCCTGAGAGCATAAAGGTCGAAGTGGCAGGCGTCTTTTTCATTTGGTATAAATGCCAACAGTAGTTTAAGTTTATGGTGAAGATTCCAAAATCATGCTCCAGGGGGCCCTGGACCTATACAACAAATAAGTAGAGTGAAAAACATTCACAGTGTGTCTAAAATATGTAAAGAGGTATAGATTTAATACGGTAACAGAAATTTACTGACTTTATTATGTGCCAATCACCTAAGCAAATGTAAATAAAACAAAATGCCAAGTTCGCATTCAGGGAGAGTTCTTCCTACTATGGGAAACATAAACAAGCATTCACAGTACAATGCTGTAAGTAAAAGTCAGGGGATAATGTTGCCCTTTATAAGGGAAGGATAAGCTAACTGCAGAGAAGGAGAGTCAGGGTCCATGTCACAAAGAAGGGAGTGACATGTCTGTCTATAAAGATCACACTAGACTGGGTTTAGGGAGACTGGGAGGAAAGGAGAGAAGACAGAGAATGCTATTTCAGCAGAGAAAACGGCATGTCCAAAAACATAGAAGTATGAAAGGGGAATATTTGGGGAAAAATGCACAAAATTGGTTATGCCTAGAAGGTAGAAAATAAGGCGGAGGTAGGAATGCGGAGAATGCCAGTGTGGAAAGTTAGATTTTATTTTATAGGTAATGGAGGTAGTGTTAGGCAGTAGTGATGTGGGTAGATTCAGTGACCAAATATAGTAAGAAAAGAAAGAAGCCAGAGTCAATGAAAAGCTTCCAGTTTTGTATCATCTATTATTGTACCAGGCTCTGTATTAGGTACTTTAAATATATTTCCTTGTATCCTTGCAAAAACCCAATAAGAGTGAAATTATTCTCCTTCCCCTTCCATGGTAACAATAACAAAAAGCTCAGAATATTTAAGTACATTGGTCACAATTATAAAACGAATACAAAATTAACCAGAATTCTGTTTTTAGTTATAATAATAATAGATAACAACAACTGAACTCACATGTCATGCACACTTCTGGTGTTGAGTTATTACAGTAGTGAATAAAAACAAAAAAAGTCCTGCCTCCATGGAACTTATAGGTTGACATCACGGAAATAAATGAAATCACTCAAGGAAAGAGTAGATGTAGTAAGAATAAAGACAGCAGAGGTTATCATCCTGGAGTATACCAACACTGATGGGAGGTGGGCAGAAGAGTCAGTGAGAGAACCTGAATTCATTTTAAGTTAACCGAGGAAGCCAACAGGTTGCAAACAAAAAACCCAATTTGGAAACAATCCTTGCGACTTACAATAATTCTTAGTTCCTTTATTTATAACAACATTCTGCATCTTATTGCAAAGTAGCCAAGAAGCCCAAATAAAATAAATTTACAAATTTATATTATTGTTGATGCAAAAGAGATAAGCTGGTTTCGGGCAGGGGGCAGGTTTAGATAGGAAAGTAACATTTATTATCAGACATTTTTATGTGGAATATCTCATTCTGAAAATGTTCAAAAATCCCAAACTCCTAATATACTAGTTTTATATTCATTTACATGCAAATACATCACATAAAAATTGACCTCGTATAATAAAACAAAAAGCATAGAGTTTAGAAGCTATCATTAAAATACAGATATCACTAACAAGGGGTATATACATTTTTTCTCTACATAGGAAGAACTATTAAAGGGCATAAGACTTTAAATAATTTAAAATATCCTATGGGGTTAAGTGAAAGGAAAATGAGTGCATATTCTTAATAAATATAGACAAAAGCTCTAAACATCAGCTTAATTTCAATAACTGTTCTAGTAGAAAATTACTTTGAAAACAAGGAAACAATCTGGGAATAGTGGGAGGTGTTCAAAAGTACATTATTTTTCTCTGAGTGGGGGAATTAAAAAGACTTCCACATATAAACTTACATTGCTCCATTGGTATAGACAGTATCGCTTCCTTCCACATACTGCACCTGAGCGGGATAGACATGTTGTACCTGCTGCACAGTCTGTACCTGCTGTACCTGAAAAACAAGTATTAGGACCTTGGTAAGAGGTAGGTATGATAGGAAGAATACAGAGCATTAGATCTATCTCAAAGGTTTATCCGGTATTATTGATAAATTTGAGAAAGACTGATAAGAAAAACTATTAGATTCATGTCATAGTTTCAAGATAAGCATGTGTTGATTCCAGAGCAACTGCAACATTTATGCTGAATAAATTCTGTAACTTCCCTGCAGGTATAAATGTATAGACACATTTCAACTGTTCAGGTTTAAAATTATGAAAGTTCTTGGCCAGGCACGGTGGCTTACTCCTGTAATCCTAGCACTCTAGGAGGCCAAAGTGGGCAGATTGCCTGAGCTCAGGAGTTCAAGACCAGCCTGGGCAACACGGTGAAACCCCGTCTTTACTAAAATACAAAAAGTAAGCTGGGTGTGGCGGCATGCGCCTGTAGTCCCAGTTACTTGGGAGGCTGAGGCAGGAGAATTGCTTGAACCTGGGAGGCAGAGGTTGCAGTGAGCCAAGATTGTGCCACTGCGCTCCAGCCTGGGTGACAGAGTGAGATTCTGTCTCAAAAAAAAAAAAGAAAGTTCTTATTTTGGTGACTTATGAAATTCTATTCCAATTTAATTTTAAAAAGCTGATTTTTTTAAATTAAGAACAATTCATAATAGAAAATTTCAAACACTCAAATATGTAAAAAATCCTGTAATAACCCTATGTACTTGTCATCCAAGATAAATTATCTTTTCTGTTTATTCCCTTCACAGGATTATTTAAAAGTAATTCCAGAAGGCCGGGTGCGGTGGCTCACCCCTGTAATCCCAGCACTTTGGGAAGTGAAGGCAGCTGGATCACCTGAGGTCAGGAGTTCAAGACCAGTCTCCTGACCAACATGATGAAACCCCGTCTCTACTAAAAATATAAAATTAGCCAGGCATGGTGGTGCATGCCTGTAATTCTAGCTGCTTGGGAGGCTGAGACAGGAGAATCACTTGAATCCAGGAGGCAGAGGTTGCAGCGAGCCGAGACTGTGCCATTGCACTCCAGCCTGGGCAACAAGATCAAAACTCTGTCTCAAAAAAACAAAGGAATTCCAGAGATTATATCATTTCACTGGTAAATATTTTCATTTGTATTTCTAAGAGATAGGAATTGTTTTTAGCTGGAACACAATAATATCATTTATGAAACATTAACTATTCCTTAACATCATCTAAAACTCAGTCATTGTTAAAATTTCCCTGATGAGTCCAATCACTATAGTATTGGTTTTTTCAAAGTAAGATCCAAACATGGTCTACATAATAATGCATTTGGGTTGATATTTTCTTTCTCTTTGAATCTCCAAGTTCCCTTATCCTTTTTATTTCCCGCCTATTACTTATTCAAGAAACTGGGTCATTTATCTTGGAGAATTTCTGGCATCTAGACTGATAAACAGCATCCTGAAATGTCATTTAATAAGTTCCTCTATTTCATGTATGCTGTATAAACTGGTATATGTTGGGGCTTGAACAAGTTCAATTTTTTAAAAGTTGTGTACTTAGTATTGTACCATATCAGTTGACATATAACAACTGGCTGTCCCTCTGCAATGTTAAGTTTCACTAGTGGAGTCATATGTTGCCACCTGGGTCTATCTATTAATAGTATCCTGCTCCCTATCCACGTTTCGCCTGAGGATATTAGTAGCCATTGATGATCATTTCCTACAGATATTATGTTAAATAATAAAGGTTGTAAACTTGCGGTAGTCTAATTCTATTATTCTTTCTTCATTTATTAGCAAAATCCTTCTATAAAGAATAAATTCCTCTCATTAATTATTTAGTTACTTTGAAATAAAGTTTTTATGGGAAAAATAGGATAAGTACATGATTCTTTTTATATTACAGTACTGAAAATGACTTTATCCCCCAGTACCCTCCAGAGGTGATCGGTGTGGTTTTTTATTTTGTTTTTGTTTGTATCCTTACGATTCTCAGCTTTTGAACATATTTAATGATTTTCAATCCTAGCAATCTTTTTTTCTTGCTAAAATTGTCCCATTGTTGGCCAATGGTAGCCTCTTCTAACTAGTTCCTATGACATAACCCCACCATCTTTCTTAACTCTGCTACTTTCTGTTATAACAAGATGCTTCAGGCTTATGTCATATTTCCTACTCAAGATCTGGAATCAGACATTTCTTCAAAAAAGCCCTGGCTCTTCTTAGTGGAAAATGGAATTCAAAGACTACAATTGGGACCCATTAATGCTTGCTGCTAGGATGCTATTCATATTTCTAGGTCTTTTCATTGAACCAAGCTAGAAATACACATATTTTTTGAAGGATAAAAATACATATCATAAATTCATAGTAATTTTTTCATTGAATTTTAAATATATACAAATTAAATATATCTTGGATATATTTGTCCATCTTTGCTCTTATGGTACAAATTTTGGTTACTGGAGATTTTAACATGATTACTTATTTGCTTTATCATGAAATTTTATGGTTTCAAAATAAAAATATCATATTACTAATATTTGATTATCAAATATTGTTTCCTTCAATTTTCTGCCCTTAAGATATATGCCCCTAGAGATGTGTAATTTGTATTACTATAAAGTCACTTAAAATAAGTCATCAGCTTGATACGCAGTTAAATTCATGTATTTAATTTTCTTTTTAATTTTAGGATTTGCTGTATTTAATTTTGATTTAATTTTGTTTTATGATTACATGAAATATCTATGTGGTTCCAAAGCCAAAACTATAAAACAGGCAATATATTTGGACAGATGACCCTCCTTTCACCCCTGCTGCTTCTATCTTACTTACTGCCCCCACACCCCCAACAGGTAACCATTTTCACTATGTTTAGGTTTATCCTTTCATTGCCTTTCTTTTTCTCTATATCTTTTTAGACAAACGTGCAAATGTATATGAATGTGTATAGAAGTGCCCACGTGTGAATACATACACACCTCATTCTAAGAAAAAACAAAGCATTTTATACACACTGTTCTGAACCTTGCTTCTTAAACTTAACAATATAGAATAAATTTGAAGATCATTCAAGTATGAAATATTATGACATAAAATAAAAAAGGAATATATTCCTTTTGACTTGGAATTATGAAAAATTTTCCTCACTACAACATTCAGAAGTGATAAAAATACTTTTAAATAAAATTGTAAACCTGTTTGCAAGGATAAAAATATAATAAGCAAAACCGAAGACAAATGAGCATCCAAAACTTTGAGAAAGATTGATAATCCTATTAAAAAAATGTGTAGAAAATCTAGATAACCTTGGGTTTGGTGATGCCTTTTTAGACATAACACCAAAGGTGTAATTCATGGAACAAATAATTCACAAGCTGGATTTCATTAAATGGAAAATTTCTACTTTGAAAGACACTGTGAAGAAAATGAAAAGACAAGCCACAAACTGGGGAAGAATATTTGCAATACTGATCTGATTAAGGATTGTTATCCAAAATTTACAAAGAGCTCTTAAAACTCAACAATAAGAAAATAAACAAGCTGATTTTAAAAGGGCCAAAGACCTTAATACAGATGACAAATAAGGATATGCAAATATTCTCCCATCATAAGATACCAAAATCTAAAATGCTGAATTAGAATGGCCAAAATCCAGAACACTGATAATACTAAATGCTAGCAGGGATGTGAGAAATATAGAAACTCTCATTCATTGTTGGGAGGGATGGAAAATGGTAGACACTTGGGAAGGCACGTTGGTAGTTTCTAACAACACTAAACATAATCTAGTCATATGATCCAGTAATCATGTTCCCTGGTGTTTACCCAAGGAGTTGTAAACTTACGTATACACAAAAACAGGCAAACACGTTTATAACAACTTTATTCATAATTGCTAGAACTTGGTAACAACCAAGATGTCCTTCAGAAGGTGGACGGAAGAATAAACTGCACTACACATCAAAACAATGAAATATTGTTTTCATTAATTCCAATAATGGAATATTATTCTGCAGTGAAAAGAAATGAACTACCAAGCCATGAAATGACATGAGAGAACTTGAATGCGTATGACCAAGTGAAAGAAGGTAATCTGAAAAGGTTACATACTGTAGGATTTCAACTATCTGACATTCTGGAAAAGGTCAAATGACCGAGACAGTAAAAAGATCAGTGGCTGCCAGCCACTGGGGGAAAGGAGAGATGAACAGGCAGGGCCCATAGGATTTGTAGAACAGTGAAACTACTCTGCATGATACTGTAATGGTGGATACATGTCATTATACATTTGTTCAAAACCATAGAATGCACAACACCGAGAATGAACTCTAATATAAATTTTAGACTTTGGGTGATAATGATGTGTCAATGTAGGTTCATCAGTTATAACAAATGTACCTCTCTGGTGGGGAATGTTTATAATGGAAGAGGCTATTCATGTGTGAAGCGAGGGGTTTTATGGAAATCTCTGTACCTTCCTCTTAATTTTGCAGTAATACTAAAGGTGCTTTAGAAAAATGAAGTGTTCTCAAGAAACTAAAATCTTTTTTTTAAAGTGTGTATGCACATATATATGTAAATATACAAACATATACTAGTTTAATTAAATAATATAAAAATGAATAGGATAAAATAAAATCATGCCAATATTTATAGACTAGAAATGATGAAACCTCCCTAGAAACATTCAAGAGCCAGATGCCATAAGAGCAAGTCAGATTTGAACTAACAACAACAACAACAACAACAAAGACAGTTTAGGACAACTAACAACATAAACAAAGTTCAAAATCTAGACATATAATTGAATAAATAGTTTGCAACGTACTTAATAAGGTATAGTATCCCACATATATAAATACTCCCTATGAATCAATAAAAAAAGAACTAAAACATGTTAGAACATAGGTGGGTGGGTCACAAAATTAAAATTATAGATGAACGATAAATGTAAATGTTAAAAGCTCAACATTAAACATAATCAGATAACTTCAAATGAAAAGAAAACTACTTTTTACTCTCTAGAACTATAAAAATTACCAAAGGGATTATATTAATTAAAGACAATATTTTAAGAAAACGAGCATGCTTACATATAGTTAGTAGTAATATAAATAGGTTCTTTAGGCAATTTAAAGGTAATTTATAAGCAGGCATATCATTTGACATTTTTGTGAATTTATTCAACAAGAAAACTCAATATCTGAAGAGTTGCTGTACAAAAAAATTTCAAAAAATACGTAATTTATAAGAAAAAGGAAAACTTTAATGATGATGAAATCTGACATTATGAAGTGAATCTTAGTTCAACCATTCCATAGAATACATGGCTGATATAAAAGAATAAAGTAAGATATATATGTATTTTAGGCAAGATTGCCAATACATATTACTAAGTTTAAAAAGTATGTTGTGGAACAATACTTATTCTTACAGTATGATTAGCTTTGTGTATACAAAAATAAATTTATGAATATATAAACATAAACAAAATGTGTGTATGTGTGTGTGCATATATATATACATATCAGCATATATGTTCGTATGTGTATACAAATTCATATAAACAAGAATAGAAGGATATACACCAAACTTCTAAAAATGGTAACTCTGCTGAGTGACATGAAAAGAGGTGAGGGGGTGAAAAAACTATCATCTTTTATTCTGCATATTTATATTGCTCTTAGATTTTTTTAAGTGAAAATAAATTAATATATTACATACATATTAAAATCATATTAAACATAAAATCATACTTAAGGTCTTACCACTATGGCTGATCACATCTTAAACTTCTCTGCACCTTACACATTATGCACCTTACACATCATATTAAAACGTATTGAAAGATTATAAGACTTCCACTTCAGGCCATGCTGGAGTAAATACTACGGGAAATGCCCTGCCACATGAAACAAATAGAAAACTTGACAAAATATGTAAAATGATGTTTTCAGTCATGTGACAAAAGGCATCATAAGATGGTGATCCTTAAGAGAATGGACACAAACAAGGTGAATCCTGCCATGATCCTGGGTTCTGACCTAGAACCATTTTCCACATTGCAGAACAGGAACAGAGAAACTAGGACAGAATGATGGTCTCACTGAGATAAGGAAACAAAGATTAGAAATATAAAGACACGTGCACACGTATGTTTATTGCGGCACTATTCACAATAGCAAAGACTTGGAACCAACCCAAATGTCCAACAATGATAGACTGGATTAAGAAAATGTGGCACATATACACCATGGAATACTATGCAGCCATAAAAAATGATGAGTTCACGTCCTTTGTAGGGACATGGATGAAACTGGAAATCATCATTCTCAGCAAACTATCGCAAGGACAAAAAACCAAACACGGCATGTTCTCACTCATAGGTGGGAATTGAACAATGAGAACACATGGACACAGGAAGGGGAACATCACACTCTGGGGACTGTTGTGGGGTAGGGGGAGGGGGGAGGGATAGCATTAGGAGATATACCTAATGCTAAATGACGAGTTAATGGGTGCAGCACACCAGCATGGCACATGTATACATATGTAACTAACCTGCACATTGTGCACATGTACCCTAAAACTTAAAGTATAATAATACTAAAATAAAATAAAATAAAGAAATGGGGAGGCTTAATGGCAGCTGAAATGTGGGAGCAGAGTATTAAAGAAGGCATTAGAGAAAACGACAGCAACAGACCCAAGAGAATCTCTCATCATTTTCTGAACTGCACAAGTGTAAGGTGCAGAGATGGTTTAAGATGTGATTACCCATAGTGGTAAGACTGTAGTGAACACCTAGGGCATTCTGTAGATATACCAGAAGGAGTAAAGCCTTAGTAGTAGGGCTGTACTAGCTCTAGAGTAAAGACAACTTTAGGCTCATCCTAATGAAGCTAAAAAACAAGCCTTGACAATATCTGAATTACAAGCAGTGTAACTGACTACCCAAAACAAAATGTAATATGTTTAAAGGAAGACAGCAAAATCCAGACTTACAATACCATAAGAATCATAATGCCTAGCATATAATAAATAACAAAATTAGACATATAAAGAAGCAGGGAAGTGTGACCTGTAATCAGGAGAAAAATCAATCAATAGAAACAGACCTTGAAATGATAGAAATGAACTAGCAGGCAGAAACTTTAAAACAGCTATTATGAATAGACTTATGATTTAAGCGAAAACATGACCGTGCTGAGAAAAAAAGAAAGAAGCTACAAAGAAGAACCAAGTACTATTTGTAGAGTAGGAAAATACAATATGTAAAATTAAAATTTCACTGGTTAGGATTAAAAGCAGACAATACAATGAAAATGTATACCACTTAAAATGAAAGCTTAGCAATAAAATCTACCTACCATGAAGAACAGAGGCAAAAAAGAAATGATGAGAAATAAAGTATCAATGAACTAGGGGACAGTATTTAGTAGTCTCAGACAGAGAAGTAACAGAAAACATACTGAATAAAGAGTGGTAGATTTCTTTTTCCAAATTTGATTGAAATGATAAACACGAACAGAAGAACATCATCAATGTACAGACAAAGAAGCCAAAGTTGCAGGATCCACTGAGGCCAGAAATTTAAGCCTAGCCAGGGCAACACAGCAAGACCCCATCTCTACCAAAAAACATTTTAAAAAATGAATAAAGAACATTAAACCAAAGTGCATTATAATTAATATGCTAGACCCAGTAATAAAGAGAAAAAAATTAAGCAGACAAAAAAAGATAGATACCAGGCAGCAAATATTAGAATGACTGAAAACTTCTCAGTGAAAAATAATGCAAGTCTAAGACAAAAAAAACAGCTTTAAAGTAGTGACAGAAAAATATTTCAAACTAAATTTCCATAACCAGTGAAATAGCCTTCAAAAATGAAGAGAGGATCCTTTTTCTGACAAACAAAAATACTTCTCCAGCAGACAGCCAATGAAGATAATGACAAAAGAAGTTCTTCAGACTAAAGAAAAAGAATACTAGATGGAAACTGAGATCTACATAAAGAAATGAGAAACATCAGAAATAATAAATTTTTAGGTAAGTTATAGGGATTTTTTGTTTTCTTATCTTTTACTTTTCTGTAAAAAGTTATAGGGATTTTTTGTTTTCTTATCTTTTACTTTTCTGACTATGTAGAGCAAAAATAATAACAATGCCTAGTGGGGCTTACAACATATGTAGAAGTGAAATGCAGGAATGACAAAAATAGCACAAAGGACAGAAGAGGGAATTGAAAATACTCTTTTATAATATTCATATATATTTAGTGGTAAATTATTGGTTGAACACAGACTGATAAATACATATTTTTTAAATCTTTGAATACTAAAGAAAAAAATAATGAAGATAGAGTGTCATACTAGAAAACACTGAATAAATCTAATAGAAAGCAAAAATAAAGGAAATAAAAGAACAGATGGGACAAATAAAAAACAAATAACAAGACACTAGAATTAAATGCAACCATATCAATAATTACCTGGAATCTACAAGATTCATATCCTAATTGTCAGAGTGGGTAAAAATGGGTGAGATCCAACTATATGCTATCCACCAAAACACACTTTAAATATACAGAAACAGGTTAAAAATAAAAGGATATAAAGAGATAAATCTTGCAAATGCCAATTATAAGAAAAAATGGACTGGCTATATTAATATCAGTCAAAGTAGACTTCAGGACAAAGAATATTACCAGAGAAAAAGAGAAATATTTCATTAAGAAAAATATCAAGAAATAATAAATCCTACATGTCTTTGCTCCTAAAGACAGAGTTTCAGAAGACATGAAGCAAAAACTGATATAACGGAAAGAAGAAAATTTAAAAATCCAGTTACAATTGGAGACTTCAGCATTCTTTTTTCCATAGTTGATACGCAAAAAAGACAGAAAATCATTGAGAATACAGAAATTATCAATCAACTTAACCAAAATGACTTTCACGTCATAATCTATGTAACAACAGCAGAACAGGCATGCTCTGATGCACATGAACATGCATCATGAAAGTTCAGGAATAAATGAGGAATAAAACAAGTCCCAACAAATTTAAAAGTATTAAAACAATACAGAGCATGCTCTCTGACCAAAAACATTAAATTCGAAATCGAGGACAAAAAGATATCTTAAAAAGTCCAACATATTTGTAAAACGAACAATATACTTATTAATATAATCTATGGTTTATATCATGAAGAAATCACAAGGGAAATTAGACAATGTATTGAATTGAATGTTACTGAAAATATATCATAATTTTCAGAGTGCAGCCAGAGCCTCGCATAGAGGGAAATTTATAACTTTAAATATATATATTAGGGGGAAAAAAATCTAAGGCAATAACCTAAGTTTCCACTTTGTGTTAAAAATTGAAGAATATATCAAATCTAGAATAAGTGGAAGGAAGGAAGGAAGGAAGGAAGGAAGGAAGGAAGGAAGGAAAGAAGGAAAGAAGTTAATAAAAGAAATAAAAATATGAAAACAGAAAAAAATAATTGAAACAAGAAACAGCAAGGTAGACTTATCAAAGAGAAAAAGAAGACACAAATTACAAATTGCAAGGATGAAAGGGGAAACGTCACTATACATCTTTAAAAAGGTAATAATAAAGACAACGTAGTGTCAATAAATTCAACAACTAAGATGAAATGGAAAAAGTTTATAAAAGGCCTAAATGACCAAAACTGGCCCCAAAACACCCAATCCCAAATCATATATGTAAACTTGAATTTATTCCCGCAGAGGAAACTCCAGGCCCTGATGGTTTCACTGGTAAATTGTAGGAAACATGTCAAGAAGAAAAAAATTGCCAATCTAACACAAATGTTTTAAAAAACAGAGAACAACAGAACCTCTCCCAACTGTTTTTATGAGGCTAGCCTAAAAGTGAGACCCAAACTAGAAAAGACATTACAAGAAAAGAATACTACAAACTAATGTCTCTCATAAACCTAAATGCAAAAATCTTTAACAAAATATAAGTAGATCTAATCTAATAATATATTTACAGGACAATAAATCATAATCAGGTAGGATTTAACCCAAGAATGCAATGCCAGTTTAATATTTAAAAACCCACAAATACAATCCACCATATTTACAATATAAAAGAAAAAAACATATGATCACCTCAATAAATGCCAGAAAAGCATTTGACAAAACTCAACGTCCATTCATGATTAAACACACACACACATACACACATGCACACACACGCACACACACACACACACACACACACTCAGTAAGCTAAGGATAGAAATTTACTTAACCTGACAAAGCATCTATAGAAAAAAATACAAATATTATATTTAATAGTAGGAGACAGATCTTTGGCACTTTCAAAAATACTCACTTTTTTCATAATATAATGCCTCCGCTTAAATTATTAAGTGCATCCCAATCATATTTTAGATAAAAACAAAATAACCAGGACACAAAATCATTTCATTAATAATATGTAAACCTTGATGGATATTTTCAAACATAGCCTCTCCGCTCCTTTATAATCATCCATTAAAATCTTGTACATTCTTGCTACCTTCTCATCGCTTATATTGTTTTCTCTACATAAATTATCTCATCAACCAATAGAAATCCACTATTTCCTTTGAGGCCTAATTAAAAATTTAGAGTCTCTACTTTTCTAAATTTTTAAACAAAATAATATTTTTATTTTTGCAGTTACAATTACAAGAGAAATTAGAACATATTTTGAATTTAAAGATAATAAAAACACAACATAAAATTTGTGGCACGCAGGAAAGCAGTATTTAAAGAGAATTTTTATTTAATAGCTTATATTACAACCAAATTTCACCGGAGGCTGGGAAGGGAAATGAGGAAGGGAGGATGAAGAGAAGTTGGTTAATGGATACAAAAATACAGTTAGATAAAAGTAGTAAGTTCTAGTATTTGGTAGTATAGTAGGGAAATTGTAGTTAACAATAATTTATTATATATTTCAAAATAGCTAGAAGAATCGTAATGTTCCCAATACCAAGAAAAGATACATGTTTGAGGTGATGGATATCCCAACTACACTGACTGGTTCAGTACATATTGCATATGTGTATCAAAATAACACATGTATCCCCGAAATATGAACAACTATAATATATATTTTAAAAATGAGTTTCTCTAAAAGGTCTTCTGTAACTTATTTTATCCCACAAGAGACTATTTCTTTCATTTTGCTCTCAGGATTTATGAATACACAGGTGGTAGCACATAGCTTAGTACTAATTCAGATTCTCAACTGGTTTTCTTCATGGTGGTCAATACTGTGAGGTGGAAAAATTGGTTAATTTGAAATTAAGAGGTTCTTGTGCTGATACTGGATATTAGGGTCGTCAGTTATTTCTTTAAGCAATGATTTCCTTGTGTATAAAATAAAAATGATATCTAATCTATCAAAAGGGTTACTGTGAGGATCCAAAGCAATTAAGTTTAGATACAAATCATGGTTTAGGTCTGTATGACAATTATAATACATCTTGAATAACTGGTAAAATTATGAAATACTTCATAAACAAGAGTCTTGTCTTTATGTCTGTGAAAATTTCATCTTTAGATCCCATTTGGTTTCAGCCATAAATATGCACAATAAATGTTCATCAAGGGTCCCTTAAAATCATGAGATTCTATAATTAAAGTAGAAATGAAACTGGGAAAATGTCAAGAATCTTGGAAAAGAAATCTGGATAGATGCTGGCTAACTTGTCTAGGATAGCAATATATAAATACGTCTCTTGATCACATGGAGACTTTACAGTACAACGTAAAAATAGGGCATAATTCTTTACACTACCTACCAAGTTAACGAATTGACAAAGTGAATGGAAGACCAAATTAAATAGTGAAAATACTGAATTACAGCATATTTTGGCGGTAACACCATTTTTATTATTATCCAGTGTATCAGTTCATTCTCACACTGCTATGAAAAAATACCTGAGACTGGGTAATTTATAAAGGAAAGAGGTTTAATTAAATCACAGTTCCACAGGGCTTGGGAGGCCTCAGGAAACTTCCAATCATGGCAGAAGGGGAAGCAAACACAAGTCCTTCTTCACATGATGGCAGGAAGAAGAAAGAATGCCAAGCGAAGGGGAAAGCCCCTTATAAAACCATCAGATCTCATGAGAACTCACTCACTAACATGGGAACAGCATGGGGGAAACTGCTCCCATGATTCAATTATCTCCACCCGGTCCCACCCTTGACACATGGGGATTATTACAATTCAAGGTGAGATTTGAGTAGGGACACAGAGCCCACCCATATCATCTGGTATGCATGGTTTTTCTGCCATCCTTTAATCTGGGCCTACGAGACCCTTGAAACGATTTGGTGAAAGTAAGAAATGGAATTGGGCATACCGCTTGCAATTTGAGAAGGGATTTTTTTCAAAGGTAAAAGATAATGGAGGAAGCAAAGAGGGATTAAAAAAGGGCAGACAATGAAAAGAGGAACCAAAAAAGCGAAAGTATCTTATGTATACATACCTCATTCTACCAGTGAGAAGTTAAGAAGTTAAGACCCTCAAGAACCTTTTCTTTACCCTAGTTTTTAGTTTAGAGTTTGTTATTTGTTTTGTTGTTGTTATTGTTGCTGTTTAGGCAGTGAGGCTCTGCCTTTGTTATAATAGTAAAGGTGGATTGGAAAGCCATAGCTATGCTCTCTTCTACCCAAAGTAAAGTCAGTCAGGTCCAGGAAGAGAACTGTGACCACAGAGCCAGTCTATCAGGATGTATACACCCAGACACAGGATGGGAAATGAGAATAAGAGAATTCCAGCCCATCCCTAGCCCTGGCCCAAGTGCACATATAGAGCAGCAACATTTTTTATATTTGTTGGTATGTTCCCAGAGTTCAGCACGGGGAAAACACACTATATTTAATAATTATTCAATAACAAACAATGCCCAGAGAATATTATAAAATTGGTAGAATCTTCTAAATGGGGATGTGTATTTTTTTAAATAATGAAAAAAATGTTTATTTTTTCAAAGTGAACTGATATGATCACTTTTAATACCATTAGTGTATCATTAAAAACCAAAGGTGAAATTTTAAAGTAAAGTTGCATGCTATTTTCTCGTTCTAAAATGATCAAATGTGATTCAAATTGTTCAAATATTAGTTGCTACTATGTTAAACATTAATTTTTGTTCAAATATTTACTAAGTTATCTATTACAAGCTTATTTTCTATTTTAGTTGCCATTATCTTAGTGCAGGAACTATTCAGGTTAGCATTTCTAAAAGAGATGGGGAAACCAGCATCTTGTAGTCATTTCATTACCATCCCCAATAATTTTATTTTCTACCCATCTTTGTGAAGTCTTTAAACTGACACATTTACTATTTGTACTATCTAAGCACTTAGAGAAGAGATAATTAAATAAACTCTCTATGAAATTAATCATCTCAATTTCATTGCCTTTCCCAAAATAAATTCCCAGAAATATTTCCAAAGAGAATAAACAAATATTTTTCACTACTTTAAAATTAAAAAAAAACAGTGAAATGGGCAAAATGTGAACTGAAAAGAGAAGAACAAAGGTGGAATTAGCAGGAATAATCTGCAATTTCACTAATTAAGTGTTCAATGAATTAAAATGACCTGACCATATCAGGTTTAAAATGACCTTGAGTTAATTTTTAAATGGTTACCTAGTACACATCAGTATGTTGGCAGCAATGAAGTCTGACTGTAATAACATTCTGTACCAGAATTTATTCTGTCAACTGAAGGGAAAAAAAATTATCCCCCAAATATAAATATATGCATGATGTATTTACATTCATAAACACTAGATGAATTAAAAAACTTAACACTCTCTTACTGATGCATATTTAAATATATGGAAGCACCTCATATTACTATTCAAATATTCTATTACAAATACATTTGCTAATTTTGTGTACTTTTTTTGTAATTTGTATTATTTTTTAAAAAAGTGAATACCAAAACAAATTATATACCACAGGAAAACGTGCTAGCTCAACAGAATCAATTAGTATATTTTGAGGACAAATTTATACAATATGTTATTTCGGATGTGCTTCAAGAAAAATAAAATGAATCACACCTCAAAACAGAAATCCTTTTCAATAGTAAATGAGTTCATTTATAATTGTTAAGCTTATTAGTCAGCTAAGAACAATACTAGTCTCTTTGTAAAAATTTCTTTATTATGTCAAGGCCTTCATTGCCTTTCACACAGAAGAGCATTTCTTACACATTTGGTTGGCACCAAACATTTCAAACCTTAGTTTTCAGAAATGTCAAAAACTGTATTAAGATCATTTTAATAGACCTACAAGAAATAGGAGAGCTCTTAGCAGATTAAAAACATGGGATATTAGAACAGTTACGGTAGAGGCTGCTATGTGACTGACTAAATGTGAAACAGAAGGAAAAAGGACCCACATTATAACAGCTATTAATAAAAGGACAGTGGAGAAGGAAGACATCCAGAGTAGCAGCAGGGAGGTTAATTACAAAAGTAACCTTGTGAGAAAAGAGAAGGAATAGAACTCAGTCGGTATTTCTGGCCCAGTAAAACCACAGGGAAATGAAGCAATTGAGGAAAGAGAAGTAAAAAAGTCAAAAGCACAGTACGGATATGCTAGAAGGGAAGACACAAGAAAAGAAAAAGCATACGGGAAAAACTGATTTTCTCTGTAAGCAAGGGTTATGAAAATAGAAATCATAAACCTGAAAACAGCTTTTTCAGTCTTGGTTAAAAGTAGGCACCAGGCACAATGGCTCATTCTAACACTTTGGGAGGCTACGGTATTCATTCCAACACTTTGGGAGGCTGAGGCGGGAGGACTGTTTGAGCCCAGGAGGTCAAGACCAGCCTGAGAAACATAGTGAGACCTTGTTTCTTTAGGAAAAAAAAAAAAAAAAAAAAAGTAAAATAAATTGCAAGAACTTTCGGAGGCCAAGATGGGTGGATTACTGGAGCCCAGCAGTTTAAGACCAGCCTAGACAACATAGGGAGACCCTGCCTCTACAAAAAATAAAAAATTAGCTGGACATGGTGACACCCACCTGTAGTCCTAGCTACTCAGGAGACCAAGGCAGGAGGATTGCTTTAGCCCGGGAGGTTGAGACTGCAGTGAGCCATGATTGTGCCACTGCACTCCAGCCTGGTCAACAGAGCAAGACCCTGTCTCAAAAATAAAGTAAAATAAAATAAAATAAGTCACAGGCTATTTAATAAATCTTGCCAAAAACAAGTTCTACAAGTATTATGAATGTTTGGTATAATTTGTAGGTAAGGATGTTTATACTTCATGAGCACAGGATCACAGAGAACAAAAAGCATGGTTAAGGGGGTTGGAAAAAATATTACTTAAATTCTCTCTCACTGTGTTTATTGAGCAAGAGCCAGGAGATTCCCTGGATCTTTAACATTAATTTACAAAGGACTTCCTTGCATATTCAATGTTAATTACAAAGTTGCTGTGAATCTTCTAGGAATGGTAGCCCTTCCATGTCAAAGAATGTGATGAATGTCAAAGATTAGAAAATATTGTATTGTTAATTTAAATGACAGAATTCATTTTATGTAGAAAACAGAATTTGTTTATTTACATTATAAATTCACTCATTGCCCCTGTGGTAGATGACCCTATCACTTATAAACTGTGTAGCTTCTTCTGTTTTTCAGAAAGTCTTAGCTCTTTGGATATAATTTTCTTTCATTAGACTTTAACAGATGCTTCCAGCAGGTTCAAATCCAATAAACATCAAAAGCCTGCTTCTTATACAGGGTTGCAGTTAAACATGAAACTTATGCTTTATAGGAATTATTTACTAAAACTACATGATTGCTATAGGCAACTCTAACTTGTGAGGACAGCATAAGTGTAATAGTGTTATGCCTGAACTTCTTGAGAAGAATAATATGAAGGCTAACATAGCAGTAGGGTCCTGGCTCTCTTGACCTTGTGACCATCTGAGAAAGGAGGAATTAAATGGAAGTGAATTAGTTCAATAAATCATCCCTAGATGCCTACCATTTATTTCTCCCAAAATAGACTGGCATCAAAGAGCAGAAGCTACTTGGAAGAAGTAAAGCAGGTTTCAAAGGCGAGAGGGGGAGTGTGTCTGGGAGCAGGAATGTTACTCAGGAAAGATTTAGTTTAGAATAATTTCTCAGCGACAAAACAGGATAGATATTACATAAAATACATAAACCTATTTTTGTGAATCCAAAGGAACATAGCAACCATTACTTCTTACAAAGTGAGTAGCATTTTATCAGGATTATAACACTGTATTAAGCATTATTTCCCTTGGGTCCTAGCAGAGCCTACCAATGCTAAGATTCTACTAAACTAAGTAATAATTTATTGGGAAAAGCATTTACTAAATAATACTGTGGTGACCAGAAAGAGCAAATGAGCTAAAGATGTCAAGCTTACTGCAGTATTAGGAGAGTTCTTTGTAACAGGAGGCTCCTCTAGTCTTTCTAATAATAAATGAAACTACAGAAACATAAAATATCAATAAATGTATGCAGCACATCAAAATATCTAACTACAGAAAATTAAGTTTGGCAACTCTAGAGAGACCATAAGAATATGTACTTTAAATGTATTTTCTGCTGTGAATACATAGATACAGATTCATACTTACTCCCGGTGTCTATTGATATTATGCATATTTACAGGAGAGTTAAATAAAGATGTCGGTTCTTTCAGGGTATAGAACTGGAAATTACAAGAATGAATTATTTGTTTGCAGCCAAAGCACTATAGTCTAAATAGCAGAACTTCTTACTTATACATGATTATTAAACCAGTGCTAACACTATTATTAATAGTGATATGCAATAATATTGCATTTGATCTTTGCAAAAATCCTAAGGTGAAGTAAAAATGGTAGGCATTTTTATCTCCATTTTATAAATAGTGACATAAGTACAAAGATACAATGACAACTCAAAGACATGGTGTCAGCTGGCAGTGATTCCAGATCTTCTGACTCTAATCCTAGAATTCCTCCCACAATACCAGTGTTTCCCCAAATATGGGAATAATGATATTGGTAGTACAAAGGCAAGACATTAAGTAACAATAAATCATATACTAAAAACTTAACTCCATTTTCTTTTTGAGACGGAGTCTCACTTTGTCACCCAGGCTGGAGTGTAGTGGCACGATCTCAGCTCACTGCAGCCTCCGCCTCCCGGATTCAAGCAATTCCCCTGTCTCAGCCTTCTGAGTAGCTGGGACCACAGGTGTGTGCTGCCATGCCCAATTAATTTTTGTACTTTTAGTAGAGACGGGGTTTCACCATGTTGGGCAGGATGGTCTTCATCTCCTGACCTCATGATCTGCGGGCCTCGGCCTCCCAAAGTGCTGGGATTACAGGCATGAACCACTGCACCCAGCCCATTTTCAATTCTCTTTAAAATCATTCTGTTTTTTCAAGGACAAGGTCTCAGCATTTACCATCTATAACAATTACTAATTTCACTTTTTTTTTTCAATTTGAAAGCAGTCATTTTAGTAATTGACTAGGTTACAAAAATAATCATGGGATACACCTTAGCTCATCCATTTAACAAGACTGTTTGTCTGGTCTTCCCTATTGCCAGCATCTCTACCTTTTACAAAATGGGCGGTCTTTTTCTTCATTCCAACTCCTGAAGAAGTTAATTTGAAGGGCCACAGGAAGTTATTTGCTTCTTTGAAGTGCTTTCCAACTGTATAGATCTCATGAATTAAATCCTCCAGGCAGATGATGCCATATTTGGTTGATGCCAAGATGTGGCATATCTTGGTTGATGCCATCCAGGCAGATGATGCTCAACCAAGAGATTGACCAATCAAAATGTTATCTGTCAAGGCAATTTGCATCTTATTGATTTGGCCATAACCACGCTTGTAGATTTGTTCATTTGCTGACTTCAGGTTTGGATATCCCCATGAAATATATGGTTCTACAATCCTCAGTATGTTAACTGAAGCCTTCTTAAGCTTAACCAACGTTCTATTGAAGAATAATTTCACTTTTTAAGAGAAGGCAGGTCTTAGGACTGGGTCTTTTTAAGCAAATGCAGCTAGCCATATCTCATAAGTATTATTTAATTTTTACTATATTCAGTTTTATGAATATAAGATAAATCTTATATTTATGTCAAGAGATGCTGGCTTTTCATTTTAGGTCCAAAGTTTTTGTTTTAAATTAATTCTTTTAAGTAATTTTATAGAAAACAGTTAAGTAAAAAAAGTAACAGGCCGGGCGTGGTGGCTCACGCCTGTAATCCCAGCACTTCGGGAGGCCGGGACAGGTGGATCACAAGGTCAGGAGATCGAGACCATCCTGGCCAACATGGTGAAACCCCGTCTCTACTGAAATACAAAAAATTAACCGGGCATGGTGTTGCACGCCTGTAGTCCCAGCTACTCAGGAGGCTGAGGCAGGGGAATCGCTTGAACCCAGGAAGTGGAGGTTGCAGTGAGCCGAGATCACACCATTGCACTCCAGCCTGGTGACAGAGAGACTCATCTCAAAAAAAAAAAAAAAAAAAGTAACAATATAGTGGGCATCTTGGATAAAGCAAAAAATCATGAGGTAGTTTGCAAAAGACAGAATATTAGAAAATAATGCACTGCACATCATACACTATAAATTATACTCTTCATAAAGACACCAACAAAAGACTTTTACTTTAGAGATTTACATTTCATGCATGAATTAAAACAAAAATAGCTGTTTCATTGTATCAACTTACTATTCATCTAAATCCCTGAAGAAAAGAAAAAGAGTAGCAACCATAATACTCCTCTAGCAAGGGTAAAGTTAATTTTGAAGCAAACTGCTAATATATTACCTACTTTTTAGGAGAACTGCATTTTACTGATCCCAGTATTCTGATAACAAAACTTATATATAAACACAGTTTCATAAAGTATTCAGACAACAAAGAAATAATCCAAGTAAAATGCAACTGCATCCTTTATGCTCACACTTCCTGCTATTCCACTTCACAGAGATAATGGTATACAATCCTCCAACCCCCTACCAATAATTTCATCCTCATGTGTTTAACTGTGTCTACACTAACTAGGAGAGTTAACACTAACTGCCACACACACAGCCTCCCAGTGGTAACTCCAAAGTTACCTCTCTAACTTAGAAAATGTTTCTAAGTTAACTCTCTAACTTAGGAGTTACCACTGGGAGGCTGTCTGTGTGGCAGTCAGTGGTGCAGCGGGCCCTGCTCCACACGCTCACTTGGGGACCCTGGTTAACAGAGGTTCCACCACCTTTTAGTTGTGTCACTGTGATGTAGGCTCGCAGCAGCTGAGAGATTGTAGAAGCATACTAGCTCCTAAATGTCTTGGCTCACAAATAATACATGGTACTGTTGCTCATAGCTCACTATTGAGAATATGCTACAGGACCCAACACAAATACAAGGGAAACACCATAGGTGAGCATTTTATGCCCCGGATGCAGTGTCTTTTTATAGGAGAGTACATATAGTATAGGAACCTAGGTGAGATATGTGTGTTTTCCTACTTCTTGTTTGTTTTTTTGCACTTAACAATACATCTTTGGAGCTGTTTCCAAGTGCGTGTATACGTGTGTGTCTGCACATACATACACGCACCAACTACTTTGGTTTTAGAGTACTCCATAGTATAGACGAAGCTTAACTTATTTAACTATTTTACTATTAAAGAACATAATGAACTAAGTTTTCATTTATACAGTGATGTGCTTATTTATTCCTGGTCTGATATCACTCAGTTTTGATTACCATAACTGTATAGTATCTTCTGAGATTAAATAAAACAAGTTCTTTCTCTACCACTAGTCTGTTTTTGGCAAATTTTCTTTTCTTTTTTTTTTCTTTCTTTCCTTTCCTTTTCTTTCTCTTTCTCTTTCTTTCTTCTTTCTTTCCTTTCTTTCTTTCTTTCTTTCTTTCTTTCTTTCTTTCTTTCTTTCTTTCTTTCTTTCTTTTTGGCTATTCTTATGTACATTCAAAAGTCATCTGGGTGTTTCAGTTGGATTGCATTGAAATCATGCATGCATTTGGGAGATAAATGAATTATTTATAATAAGGAGCATTCCCACTCAAAAAAGTAGTAGTTTCCCCATATCCTTTGTAGCAAAACTCTCATTTTAAAATTTAGGCCTTCTTAATGCCCTTTCATATGTGAGTTATATGCTTCACTCTACCTCACTGGCTATGAGTAAAGTATTATGAAGATTGATAATAGATTTCAAAGTGGTAGGGTAAGGAGAATTCTAAAAATGCCTCCCCCTCAACCAAGATTAGAAACTCTAATTCCTATAACTTGTGAATACAATGAAAAATACCTCCCATGATTATCTTACGTTATATGGTACAGCTGACGTTAAAATTGAGTAGGCCTGCTCTAGCCCATGAGTCCTTAAAAGCGGAGTGCTTCTCTGGCTGGTGGCAGCAGTCAGAGTCAATACATAAGGCCGTATTGTTGCTTTGAAAATGGAGGGGCTACAAGAGAAGTCAAGCAGGCAGCCTCTAGGAGTGGGGAACAGATCCCATCAGACAGCCAACAAGATAACACAGAGGCCTTAGTTCTGCTATTCTGCCAGTAACTCAATGAGCTTGGAATGGATCCTTCCCCAGGATCTCTAAACAAAAGCCCCATGTGACAGACACATTACTTTCAGTCTTGTGAGACATGGAACAGAGAACTCAATCAAGCACCCCCAGACTTATGACCTCCAAAAATTGTGAGATAATAAGTGGGTGTTGTTTTGAGCTACTACATCCTTGTAATTTGATACACAGCAAGAAGAAACTAATCCAGACAGAGTCCAAAGGAATTGTTACCAACATTTTACACCTCCATGGGTTTTCAGAATTCCCCAGGGAAAAGGAAATACACTCGGAACCACTTCCCCTTTCTTTGCTTTTACTTTCATTGACATTCCCTAATTAAGAGTAACACACATAACAACCTAAATCCTTAATTTCCTGCTAAATGTTAAGGCTTTGGTGAAATACAAGGATAATTCTTCCTCAAAAAGTTCGAATAGTTAAGTTACAAGCAAATTGAAAACTAAAAATATCAAAGGACAAGACGAAATCTCAAAGTCAATGAGTAAAGTATCACATGAAAATTTAGGAGAATGCTATCATCAATCCCTAGAATTGAAAATCTATTTCACAAGAGGTTAGGATATATAAGATAACCAGAGCTATTTCAGTATTTTAGCTACATACATGCAGTGACTACAATGTTTACAAGAGAATTCAATATTTTGGTAAAATAGGAATTAATCCACAATCTCAGTTCCACTAGCATAAATTGTTCCACTGTTGATCTTCTGCCTCTAAGTGAAAATGCAATTTATTGCATAATATATTACCTTTCTAAAACTTATCATACTCTAAGAAATATTACTCTGAAAGCAGTTTAGAGAAATCCAAACTGATATATAGCTGATTTATATAATTTAAAAAAAGATATATTGAAAGAAAATTTTAATGATACCAGGATGACAAGACAAAATAAAATAAGCTTCACTTTGTTTGTGTGTTTCTATTCTATCTGAATCCTTTTTAGTAAAATGTGTTCCCTTTGGCACTTGTATGACATTTTTAAAACAAAAGAATAAATAAGGTAAAGCAATAAAAAATTAGTGAATATTAAAGATAATGGTTTCAATTTCAAGAGGACTGAGAACAACATAGTTAAGTTTTAGAATCTTAAAAAATATAGAGAAAAGTAAAAGGGCATTGAAATAATTTAAAGATAAGAAAATGGTCTTACCAATAAGATAGACAGGGATATCATTTCCTTAACTGATTTTCTTTGACATCTCCGTGGTTTTTGGCTTAGTAAACAAAAGATATTATTGACCTAATTACCAAAGTGTCCCTGCACATTGCTGTAACAAGTTTCAGTCAACTGACAGTCACTGGGAATGCCTAGCCACCTAAAATCTATCACCCACCTGCCTGGAACCCTTCAACAAAGAATGACTCCTAAGTACTGTAGTTTATAATGTGAACTGGATGACAGAGTTAATTTCAATGTTCTGTCATCCACTTACATCTTAGTATAACTAGCTTCCTTGCAAAAACAGTGGTAATTCTGATGTAGACGAGAGAAAGATAATTTTATTTTGTAAGTAAGCTCCATAAAGTCAGGAACAATGTCTATTTCTTCTTTACTACTTATCACAATTGCTATTAATAGTACAGAGGGAATCCTTAATAAGGATTTGGTGAAGGAAAGGAGGCAGATACAAACTGAAATATGACAAGTAGCTTTGAGCTTCCAAGGAAAAAATCACAAAGGCAAATAGCACACCAGGAGAAAAAGATAGGAAGACAGTGAAGAGTGCTGGAACTATTCGTTTTAGTCCGTTCAGTCTGCTACAGCAAAAACTGGGTAACTTACGAACAACAGAAATTTATTTCTCACAGTCTGGATGCTGGGAATTTCAAGATCAAGGCAGATTCAACGTTTGATGACAGCCTGCTTTCTGGCTCATAGACTGACCTTCTTCCTATGTCCTCACGTGGATGGAGACAGGGGTCTCTCTAGGTTGTCTTTTGTAAGTACACTAATCCTATTCATAAGGACTCCATCCTCATAACCTAATCATTTCCTAAAATCCCCACCTTCTAATACCATCACTTTGGGGGTAAGGATTTCAGTATATAAATTTTGTCCACAAACACAAACATTCAGACCATAGAAATTTCCAAATAAAGGAGTTCTATTTTTCCTTATTTCATGACTTTCTTACTTCATACCTCCACCCATATGCTATTTTACAAGAATAAAAGTAATTGAAATGGTAGAAATTAAAATTCTACCATAAAAGGACTGCTTCTGAAGATGTAAGAAAGCTTTGTAAGCACTGACAACAAATCAGATAATTACTTAAAGAATACTTTTACACTAGCGAAAGCAAATGATATTTTGAAGCCAAGAACAAATGACTAAAGAAATGGATCACAAATTGCTGATGACTAATTTGGGGCTCAATTAATGACGAATTAGATTTACAGAGCAGTTGTTTTTTTGTTTTTGTTTTGTTTGTTTGTTTGTTTGACACGGAGTCTTGATCTGTCGCCCAGGCTGGAGTGCGGTGGCGCCATCTCCGCTCACTGCAAGCTCCGCCCTCGGGTTCCCGCCATTCTCCTGCCTCAGCCTCCCGAGTAGCTGGGACTACAGGCGCCCGCCACTACGCCCGGCTAATTTTTTTTTTTTTTTTTTTGTATTTTTAGTAGAGACGGGGTTTCCCCGTGTTAGCCAGGATGGTCTCGATCTCCTGACCTCGTGATCCGCCCGCCTCGGCCTCCCAGAGTGCTGGGATTACAGGCTTGAGCCACCACGCCCAGCCCAGAGCAGTTTTTTTAAGACTGCTGGTTAGGATGTTTCAAATTATTAAAAAAAAAAAAAAAATTAAATGATCCCTAGAGCAAGTTATCCAATGAGTACACATAGGTAATATATAGGGTTCAATTCAATATTAATTATTTATCCTCAGAAAACTGAACAAAATACTTATTCAAAAGTAAGTAGTTTTGGAAATTATAATATATTTTTATGATTCCTTTTTCCAACCATAGTATCAATATTCAGTCCCTTGCCTACTCTGTGGTTCAAAACAGTCTTCAATAAATTTACAACTCTATCCTTTCAAATCTTCTATGAAGTACATGATTTTTAAAAATTATTTTTTAAAAACTATTAATTATATATATATATAATCTGTGAATCAGAACAGTGTTTGTTTCTGGGATCGAGGGATGGGGAGGGTAGAGATTGGGACGAGCCAGAGGAAAGTTTTCTAGAGTGATAAAAATGCCTTAATTTAAGTGTGGGTTACACAATCACTTCTCAAAACATAATAAACTGCATAAATTGATATCTGTGCACTTTACTGTAAATAAATTATAGCTCACTAAAGATTAAAAGCAAAAAAGTATACAAAATATTTCTCCTTTCTCCACTATATAAAATACATGCTTATACAACTGCAAATTGAGATTAAGTATTTTACTTTACAATGTCCAGATAAGTAATTCAAATTGGTGCATGTGTCTATGATGTGGGGTGTTTCCTCTCAGAAAACTGAACAGTAATGTATTAAGTTTCTCATAATGACATATGGCCACAATAGAATGACAAAATATCTGTGGGAGTAATGACCAAGAATGTAATTAAAAGCAAAGACTCTTGAAATTACTGTTGTAACATAAGATGAATCCTTTTTTAAAAAAAGCAAAATATTATTAAATTATTTAATATTTGCAGGAAAGACTAATTAGGAGTAAAGTCATTCAATTTATTCACTATTGTATGTGTATAACTGCAAGGGAATATTATTAGTTGCTATCAAGGGTAAGTTCTCTAAACACCAGGGTTGCCTGTTTATCATTTACAGCGGCTTCCATTTTCAAAAATTCAGATGTCTCTGTTCATAGTGCTAGCAATAGCCCTTTTTTATTTGCCAGTGGAGTTAAGATAAAGCAAAATGAATTTAGATACTTTAAAATCATGCAACCAATTCCATTTCTTTAGCAGCACAATTAATTCTTACTCTTTAATTTTAATACTTTATATTAGAGCAAAGTACTTAGGATTAAATAAGTGTTTCCGCTTACGCAGCTCTAAAATATATTACAATAACTATCAAATAATTGATATAGATATGCTATGACTTTGGGGATAATTTCAGTGATCTGTATAACTAAAATCATTTAAATTACTATTCAAATGATGATAATTAATAAATTATGAAGTTTTACATGTGGCCAGAAATTTAAATTATATAAGACTTCTTTTCATTAATTGTATTATCCTGAAAAAGCAGCTATAGAAAATAGACTCATCAACTTAAGTAAGATGAAAAGACGCTACAGGAAGTCCAAGAAAGAGTAACATAAATTACTAAATGATTGAGAAATGGCATAACAAAGAAAACCTAAAATAATTTGGGTTAGTAGAGAACAGAAGGCTAGTAATAATAGTCTTTATTCAAATAGAGGAAGGAATACTATGGGAACAGACACTTTCAGTACTTTGCCCATTGAGAAAAGGATCTGAAAACAAACTCAAGTAGCAACTGGAAGGACTATGTTTAGGTACCAAGAAAAATTCCCTTTACAGTTTCAACACTTTACAGCCTAATAACAGAGGTGGCTATAAATTCATATCTTTGAAAATGTTTAGCCACAATAGAGATTACCTAAGGTAGTCATTATTCTAATACCTAAGTGGTAAATATTACATGCCCCAAATCTGTATACATTCACCCTTACCTCTTCAGTGTACACCGGCCAAGCTTCTCACTACAGCAACTGTATTTCTTTGCCTGAGAGATTTCTTGGTACCCTAATACCTTCTTTGCCTACCATCACATTAGCTAGCAATACCAGGAAATTAACCACCCCTGTATCTCTCTGCCTATGACCAACAGAAATACGTGTATAAACACCAGAGGCTTCCTCATCCCTCAAGTGGGATAACTCTGAGATGTGGGATAATACTGGCTCCCCAGATTTCTCCATTGTGATAATTATCCACAGCTGTATCTTATATAATAAGAAAAACTGTATTGGATAAAGCCCCTTTCTGTCTGATTTTCCCAATATCCTACCACTATTTCCAGGGATCACCTCCCAAATAAACTACTTGTACTTAAATCTTTGTACCAGAGTCTGCTTCTTTAGTACCCAAACTAACGCAGTATATATGCCATCTCCATGTAGCACCTGCCATCTTTTTTTTCTTTCTTTCTTTCTTTCTTTTTTTTTTTTTTTGAGATGGAGTCTCGCTCTGTCACACAGGCTGGAGTGCGGTGGTGTGATCTTGGCTCACTGCAACCTCTGCCCCCCAGGTTTGAGAGATTCTCCTGCCTCAACCTCTGCCTCCAGGGTTCGAGTGATTCTCCTGCCTCAGCCTCCCGAGCAGCTGGGAGTACAGGTGCCCGCCACCACACCTAGCTAATTTTTGTGTTTTTAGTAGAGATAGGGTTTTACCATGTTGGCCAGGCTGGTCTTGAACTCCTGACCTCAAGTGATCCGCCCAACTTGGCATCCCAAAGTGCTGGGATTACATGCATGAGCCACTGTGCCTGGCCTCACCTCGTATCTTATGTACTTAACAGTTCTTCCATTTTCTACTTAAATCTCTTGGAAAAAAGGTTGCAAACACAAGAAAAAATGGTAAACTACTATCTTCCATCTTTCATTGTTATAATACAAAACTAAAAATAATATCAAAACAGGTATTTAGTACTAGCCAACTATTCGTTGCCATATCTCTATGTTTGTATCTCTAAGCTTGAATACTACTCCCTATTTTTAGGTGTGTCAGTAGGTATGGGGGAAGACTAGCAAATATTCATGAGGCTTTATAGATACTCTGCACCAAACTGACCTCACTGACTACTCCGAGACAGTGAGAGAGAATGGATGAGGGAATAAACTCCTCACTCTGCAATTCAACATTTTCTTAAAGCTCTTTTCCAAAATCAACGGAAGTCCATCTTTTGGCAGCTAAGACCACTTAAAATCACATCACATCCCAAAAGAATAAACATTCCACACTTCAGACAATATCTTTCTAGGTAACCTGAGAAAGCTAATTCACACTCCCACCCAGAAAAAATTATTAGAGATCTTTAAAGATTTCTTTGACACCTATGTAGTTTAAGAAAACTGTTAAATAGAGAATTAAAAATTTTAGTCCTAATTGCCTGTGTGGCTGCACTTCATTTCCCTGGGCCTCAGTTTCCTCAGCCTTAAAATAAGAAAGTCAAAGAGATCTGTGTTTTCTCTTCTGTTCTCCTCCTGGCCCCTTCAGGAATAAAAGGTATAAGGAAAGGTGAAGCTCTAGGTTTCCCAGTTCTGTGAAGTTCTGGGAAGATCAATTTTATATACAGACCTGTTTGCCAAAAGCAGGAGGACAAAAAGTATAGGAGGAGGAGAAGGCGAAAGATTAGGAAGAGAGAAAGAAAAAGAAAAACAGACTTTTAAAAATACAAGTACCAGCCAAGCACAGTGGCTCACGCCTGTAATCCCAGCACTTTGGGAGGCAGAGGCAGGCAGATCACGAAGTCAGGAGATCAAGACCATCTTGGCTCACACGGTGAAATCCCGTCTCTAATAAAAATACAAAAACTTAGCCAGGAGTGGTGGCATGCGCCTGTAGTCCCAGCTACTCGGGAGGCTGAAGCAGAAGAATCGCTTGAACCCGAGAGGCAGAGGTTGCAGTGAGTCGAGATGGCACCACTACACTCCAGCCTGGGCGACAGAGTGAGACTCTGTCTCACACACACACGCGCGCACACACACACACACACACACACAAACCCCACAACTACCACTTTACATCCATTAGGATGGTTACTGTCAAGAAAAGAGAAAATAAGTGTTGGTGAGGGTGTGGAGAAATTGGAACCCTTGCGCTCTGTTGGTGGGGATGTGAAATGGTATAGCTGTTATGGAAAACAGTATAGCAGCTCCTCAAAATTTTAAAAATAGAATTATCATATGATCCAGCAATTCCGCTTCTCAGTATATACTCAAAATAATTGAAAGCAGAGCCTAAAAGAGATATTTGTACAGCCCATTCATAGCATCATAATTCCCAATAGTACAGCTTGTTCATAGCATCATAATTCACAAGGGCAGGGCCAAAAGGTGGAAGCAACCCAAGTATCCAAGGGAAGATGAATGAATAAACAAAATGTGGTATATATCCATATAATGGAATATTATTCAGCATTAAAAAGGAAATTCTGATACATGCTACAACACGGATGAACTTTGAGGACATTTCGCTAACTGAAATAAACAGATCACAAAAAGACAAATACAGTATGATTCTACTTATATGGCAACTAGGGAAGCCAAATTCATAGAAACAAAATTACAACAGCAGTTACCAGGGGGAAATGGGAAATTGTAATGGGTAGAGAGTTTCAGCTTTGCAAGATGAAAAGAATCCTGGAGACTGGTTGCACAACAATGTGAATGTAATTAACACACTGAACTGTACACTTAAAAATGGTTAAGATGGTAAATTTTGTATTTTACCATAATTTTTAAAAATACAGGTTAAAAAAAAAAACTGGAGTAGATAACATTTAAGACTTCTTCCAGCTCCACAGTCTTCAAATTAGCATTAACAACAGTTACGTAATTTATCATTGTCATGATACAAGGTTCATGAACAAAATTAGAACAAAAAATTATTTATCCCATAAATATTATCCATACTATTTGCAGTATGTACATTATAAACATTAATCTCTATGATCCAACAAATGAGCCTCAGTGACTAATATTTACTCAAGCTCTCTACAGAGATTCACTAAAGTATTACCTAAATGTTGAAAATCTTATGGTCAAATACAAAATTCTTCAGATTGAAGATTACTACTGATCTCTTTCCAAAGCTGTCATCTCCACTATGAAGACCATTAACTCCCAGTCAGAATTATAGGAGTGCGCCTGATAATACACTCTGGTCAGACAGCTATCAGGATGAGCTGTGCACATGTCTGCCATTTTACTTTGATTCTGATCCCAGTGAGCAAGACCACACCATGATGTAGCTTATTTGTCTTATCTAACTCTGTCCATGGCATGCTGCGGCCACATTTAAATTTATTCAAACTAGCATACCATCTAACCATATATTACCAGGTTTCTCAATACAAGCTGATAAGATTTCTAAAATTAAACAAATTTCACATCATTTTTAGTATTCCATTTATTTCTTACCAAAAACATGACCTCACTTATGTTACTTTTTCATTATTAAAGTTATTTTATTCTTGCTTTCCTTGGTTTTAAGTTACAATTTTAAAAGGTTACTTACACCTATGTGAGTGTATTATAGAAATCCATTTAATTAGACACAAATTAGCCAGGCATGGTGGCTCACACCTGTAATCCCAGCACCTTGGGAGGCCAAGGCGGGTGGATCACAAGGTCAGGAGATCGAGACCATCCTGGCTAACACGGTGAAACCCCGCCTCTACTAAAAATATAAAAAATTAGCTAGGCATGGTGGCACACGCCTGTAGTCCCAGTTACTCAGGAGGCTGAGGCAGGTGAATCGCTTGAACCCATGAAGCAGAGGTTGCAGTGAGCTGAGATAGCGCCACTGCACTCCAGCCTGGGTGACAGAGCGAGACTCCATCTCCAAAAAAAAAAAATTATACACAAATTAGGTACTTACTACTTTAAATAAAAGTAGAAAGGGAAGAATAGTAAGCTCTCAGTAGGCAAAGATATTAAGATATACAGTTGGTCAATAAGCACATAAGAAGATAGTATTATTAGTCATCAGAGAAATACGGATTAAAACCACAATGAGATACCACTATATAACTCATTTGCATGGCTAAAATTAAAAATATTGGCAATACCAAGTTTGACAAAGATGTCAAGCAAGTAGAACTCTCATATACTGCTGGTGGGAATATAAAATAGTATAACCAGTTTGAAAAATATTTTGGCAGTTTCTTATACGGTTCAACAAACAATTAACCATGGGACTCAACAGGTCCACTCCTAGGTATTTACCCATGAGAAATAAAAACCTATGCCCTGAGAATATACGAATGTTTGAGACCAGAAACAACCTAAATGTTCAACAATAGGTGAATGGATAAACCAACTATAATAAATATTGGTATAATGAAACATTACTCATCAATAAAAAAACCTCTCATACACACAATAACATGGATGAACTCCCAAAACATTATGATGAGTGCAAGAAGCCAGCTTGCACAAAAGAACATATGTTGTACAAAAGCCAAAATTGACAAATGGGATCTAACTGAACTAAAGAGCTTCTGCACAGCAAAAGAAACTACCATCAGAGTGAACACGCAACCTACAGAATGGGAGAAAATTTTTGCAATCTACTCATCTGACAAAGGGCTAATATCCAGAATCTACAATGAACTCAAACAAATTTACAAGAAAAAAACAAACAACCCCATCAAAAAGTGGGCAAAGGACATGAACAGACACTTCTCAAAAGAAGACATTTATGCAGCCAACAGACACATGAAAAAATGCTCATCATCACTGGCCATCAGAGAAATGCAAATCAAAACCACTATGAGATACCATCTCACACCAGTTAGAATGGCGATCATTAAAAAGTCAGGAAACAACAGGTGCTGGAGAGGATGTGGAGAAATAGGAACACTTTTACACTGTTGGTGGGACTGTAAGCTAGTTCAACCATTGTGAAAGACAGTGTGGCGATTCCTCAGGGATCTAGAACTAGAAATACCATTTGACCCAGCCATCCCATTACTGGGTACATACCCAAAGGATTATAAATCATGCTGCTATAAAGACACATGCACACGTATGTTTATTGCAGCACTATTCACAATAGCAAAGAGTTGGAACCAACCCAAATGTCCATCAGTGATAGACTGGATTAAGAAAATGTGGCACATATACACCATGGAATACCATGCAGCCATAAAAAAGGATGAGTTCATGTCCTTTGTAGGGACATGGATGAAGCTGGAAACCATCATTCTCAGCAAACTATCGCAGGGACAAAAAACCAAACACCGCATGTTCTCACTCATAGGTGGGAATTGAACAATGAGAACACTTGGACACAGGAAGGGGAACATCACACACCGGGGCCTGTCATGGGGTGAGGGGAAGGGATAACATTAGGATATATACCTAACATAAATGACAAGTTAATGGGTGCAGCACACCAACATGGGACATGTATACATATGTAACAAAACTGCACGCCGTGCACATGTACCCTAGAACTTAAAGTATAATAATAAAAAAAAGAATATATGTTGTATGACATCATTTATTGGAAATTCAAATAAAAGTCGTGGAAAATATAAAGCGATCTAAATAACAGAAAGCAGACCAGTATTTTCCTAGAATTTGGATGGGAGAGGAAAGGTACTAATAACAAAGAAGAGGGAAGTATTTGGGGTAATGAAAATGTTCTGTATTTTGACTTTGGTGATGTTTATACAGGTATATATGTTTGCCAAAACTCATCAAACAGTACACTTAAATAGGTGGATTTTATTGCGTGTAAATTATACTTAGAAATTTTCAGTTCGGTAGTTTCTGAATTTTTTTATTATGTTTGCTTCTTAGTTAAAAATATTTACTTATAAATTATATACATGTTCTAGTGTATAAATATAAGTATACACTTTACAAAACATACAAAAATAGGAATTACAAAATAAAAACTAAAGATCAAATATTTAAGTATCCTGTTCATTGAGGCAACTTCATTAGTTAATTTTACAGCACAATATACACTTGGATAAGAATTCATCACTGAAAATAATACATACAATAGACATAAATCCATGTGTCAAAAATCTTAGTATTTGGAATTTTAGAGCCAACTTCTTATTTAGGTAATATCTTCAAATTGTTACATGACTGTCGAAGAATTGGACAGGTACTCATTCTGCCCTTTTCTTGTTTCTGCCTGCAATATTAATGCAATCTTCAATCTGTAAGCTATATGTGGAAAAATTTTTAAGCCACTTGTCAATATTATGAAGTTAGTTTAAAATCAGACTACATAATCCATTAATCCACCTTGCTGAAAATGGAAAGTGTAACAAACAAGTTGCATTTTTCGCCCCTCAGGATGCCTCATTCATATATATGATATGTATAAGTTTCTATATCTTGGCTATATCTCCTATTTTTAAGTAAAAATAAATAGAAATAAAAATTCTAACACTTCTTTCTCATATTTTTTTTCTTTCTTTTTTTTTTTTTTTTTTGAGATGGAGTTTCACTCTTGTCACCCAGGTTAGAGTGCAATGGTGCAATCTTGGCTCACTGCAACCTCTGCCTCCCGGGTTCAAGCGATTCTCCTGCTTCACCTTCCCAAGTAGCTAGGGTTACAGGCATGCTCCACCATGCCCATCTAATTTTGTGTTTTGAGTAGAGATGGGGTTTCATCATGTTGGCCAGGCTGGTTTCAAACTCCTGACCTCAGGTGGTCCGTCTTCCTCAGCCTCCCAAAGTGCTGGGATTACAGGCGTGAACTACCATGCCCGGCCTTCTTTCTCATATTCTAGTAAGTCTTGTTGCACTAACCTAGAATAGAGATGCTCCATTTTGGATACATCAGATAGTGACTGCTTACGCTATTCAGAAATTATAGTTTAAAAATTGGAGTGTGTGCCTGTACATATTCAACACTAAACATGTAAATAAATTACTGTCAATTTAGAAGGCAACTCAGTCATAACCTAGTTCACTCATTATTTCAACAAACATTTACTGAGGACCCATTATGTGCCAGACATAGTGCATGCAAGGTTGGACTACAGTGGGAGCAAAGGGAGACATGGTCCCTGGATCATCAATGTACATTACAGTTTTGGGGAGAGACACTAATTACCTGAATCAATTAAGACCATACTAATGAAAAAGTCTGTGAAGGAAAGGTACATGGGCTAGGAGAGTGCATAAAGGAAAGTTAATCTAGATAGGACAATCAAGAAGGCTTCCCTGGGGTCATGACTGCTGACCTCCACAAAATATTATTAAAACATAAGCAAACATAAAGCAAGGTATAAACAATGACAGTGTGGGACCAACTAGTACAATGAAGTTGGGTTTTTTTTTTATTCAATTTGCCTGTGATATCACTTAGCTTTAACATTTTCATATTAAGACTGGTTCTCTTTCTCCTCATTAGTGCAAGACAATTAAAGTAGTTTAACCTAGAATGAAAAAGATCATAGGCAAATATGAAACACACTGAAATTGAGTGGAAATCTCAGTTATAATGTGGTTATTCAGCTCATCTATTAATAGATTCAATTTGTAGTTTCATTAAAAATTTTATCTAAATAAGCACATACACCTGCACACACACACAGAGATAACTGAGAATACATCCATATACCACACTTTGAGAAACACTACTCTTTGCAACCATTTGCATGTCTCCAGTTCTCAGCAGAGTATGTGACATACAGATCAATAATTTGTACTTATATCTGTAAAACGCTTTGCAGTTTGCAGAGCACCACTACATCAATTATTTTTTCATTTGACCTTTATAACTTATGGGCAATTTATTTATTTATTTATTTATTTATTTATTTATTTATTTATTTACTTTAATTTTTTTTATTTTTGAGACAGAGTTTTGCTCTTGTTGCCAGGCTGGAGTACAATGGTGTGATCTCAGCTCACTGCAACCTCTGCCTCCCAGGTTCAAGCGATTCTCCTGCCTCCGCGTCCCAAGTAGCTGGGATTACAGGCATGCACCACCATGCCTGGTGAAGTTTTTGTATTTAGTAGAGATGAGGGTTTCACCATGTTGGTCAGGCTGGTCTTGAGCTCCTGACCTCAGGTGATCCACCAGCCTCAGCCTCCCAAAGTGCTGGGATTACAGGCATGAGCCACTGCACCCAGCCTCATTATGGGCAAATTATATTTCAAAGATAAGAAAACTAAGACTGGTGGTACCCTGAAGAAGTACCACCCTCTCTAGAAAGTTTCCCACAGCTTCCTCCTCCCACCAACTGACTCACCTCTTTGCTCCCACATCCCCTATGTATACCTCAGACATTACCATTCTTTATGTCATCTTCTGTTTACCTACCAGTCTCTTTGACCTAACATCAACATTCTTCATATCACAGCACCAAACAGGGTTCATGGCTCATAACAGATGCTCAATCAGTATTATAAAAAGTGAAGCTCAGTAAGGCTGAAGTGATTTGCTTAACACCATATAGCTTGTAAGTGGCAGACCTGGCATTTTGATTCACCTACATCTCATTAGATCAAATTCAAGTCACTATCCCTTTAGTTCATATCTCTAATATTTTACAGCAATATTATTACTGCTTCATAAGAAACAGGACAAAAACCACATTAAATGAATGCTAACTTGAAGTATTACCAACCAAAATGAAGATAGAAATATAATTTAAGCTCAAACATTAACAATATTTTCCACGTGAAATAAATTGTCTACTTAGATTTAACACAATTAGTTAAGAACCATCTAATTAATTAGCATTCTTAGTAGTGCTATTTTTATACTGAACATTTTTATACTGAGCTTTAAAGAGTATGAATTTGTTTTATTACACTAGCTTCTCTAGATCACTTTTTTCCCATGATAAAGTTTCTCAACTTCTCTGATGCGCTGTTGCTTTGTTATTTTTATATCTAATCTAGATATCTTTAAAATTAGATATTTTTAATACCTAATTAAAATAATTAAAGAAACACTCCATTTTTCAAAATGTATTTCTAAAAGTGCTTGGGAAAATTAAGCATAATCATGAGTTTTAAATATTATAACTGCCTACCAAATCAATGAACCCATAGGCAACAAACCCTCAAAGTCAAGGGAACCTCAAATTCAAGGAAAAACCTTGAAAATAAGCCCAAAACAAAGACCAAAAAAAATTCCCAAAATTATTGGTAAAAAGGCTTTTTGTAGAATAATTATGTTATTAATGGTCGTAAACAGGACTGTAATCGATGATCTTATCAGTCCCATAAGAAAAAAATCAATAAAAAGATTATTACTGGGATCTGAAGCTTAGGTTTGTTCAAAGTAAAATTAATTTATTTAGTATCACTTTCCAAAAAACTTCAGAAATAATTTTGCTCTATCATTTCAACAATCATTTCAACATACAGATTTTTTAGATTTGTTTACAAACAAAAAGAAACATGTAAATCTGTATTATGGTTTAATTCTGCTAATGATGAGATAGAAAGTTAACTTGAGATTCACAAATGGGACAATGCTTCTTTAAACCTAATTATATTCATAAGCATTTTTATTTAAGAATATAATTCCATTCATCATATTTTCTTATATATATCTTTTCCTTGATTTCTCTTCTTTAATCATACTATTTATAAATAGCTGAAATTACTACTAATAAAAAGCACAGATCTAACAGGATCCAAAGCTATCAATACTTAATAACCCAGAAACACCAAATAATAAAGGGAGACAGAGAAAAAAGAATCATGAAAAATCATGCCCTTGGTTAGCTAAGCGGATTTACAAGAAACAGCTTGGCCAATCTGTAAACCAGAAATAAAAAGTTATATATATTACTACTTTCAGTTTTGAGCCTTACTTTTTTGTTTGTTTGTTTGTTTGCTTGTTGTTTCAACTGGAGCTCGTTCCACTTTTCTCCATTTGACACCTTGAGGTTAATATATAAATTTATTATATGTTAGGTGAAAAACAGACTCCACTCTATCTCCTTTGTCCCCCTTAGATCTGTCACTCAGGCTAGAGATGTAGTGGTGATCACAGCTCACAGCAGTTTTAAACTCCTGGGCTTCAGTGATCTTCCTGCTAAGCCTCCCAAGTAGTTGGGACTACAGGCACATGCCACCACACTTGGCCTGAGGCTTACTTTTAAAAGTCACTTGTTAAAACTGTACTTTAAAGAAATAAAATATAATCTTTTAAAGCAACATTTAAGAGTTTAAATTATAAAAAGATGAAAAGTTGTACCTTTGTATTTAATTTAAAAATCTGTATTCTGTCCCACATTCAATAATTAATATGTCAACTATAATATGAATTTGGGTGAGTTTAACTTTTTTAAAAAAATACTGATCAATTGATTTAATTATTCTAGCTTTTCTTAGAGATTGGGGTGGAAACTGAGGGCCTTCAGTCTACTAGGATATATATCCTACTAATTAAAACAAAAAGCAAAGCCAGAAACTGGCTAACTATAATTTTTTAGTTTAGTACCTGATTTCTAATTTTTAATGCTTTTGTCTTTTTCTTGAGAATCATTTAGTTTGTATTTTCTAGCAATGAGGTTTGTAAAGTAGTCCAATTGTACCACCAATTCCTTATACACACCTGTTTTAAAAATAGTCCTTTAGAGTACCTGTAATTCTTAATTAACATCTGTTTTATGTGTTTTTCAAACAAATTTATTTTCTTGATAGTAATTTTCAGGACAAGAGTTGATAGGAAATGTAGAGAAAATTAGGCAAAACCTCAAAATTTATTTTTCGCTATATATTTCTCTAGGTGACTATAAAGTGGTTTAAACTGGATATTTTTTTGAAGAGCTCTTATTGCTTAGAATATATATGGCAAAGTTTCAGTTCTTATTTGTTTAAAGATAAAACACTAAATAAATACCTATGGCTATTGACTATAATTTATTAGTAGCTCATATTATCACTTTTTGAACTTATTTCAGATTGGCAAAGTTATTTATTTTAAAATGTTCTTCTTTTAATACAACTTCAGATTCCTAGAAAAATTGCAAGAATTATACAAAATATTCCTTTCCGCAGATTACCCAGATGCTAATATTTTACTACATGGATTTTATCATTTTTCCCTCTTTTTTTAAGGTTCTATATTTATTGATGTTCATACTTAGAGTCTGAGTTTAGGTAGGGCATAGGAGGTTCAAGGATCACTTTTTTAAATTTGCTAGTTATTTTGCTCAAATAGTCCTTTATATCCTGGGTGCTCTTCTTTGCTTTACTACTTTTGCTTGTGACATTTCTTGATAATGCATAGTGATTGGTAGAGCTAAAATTAATCCTTCTTGACATAAAGTAAATTATGTTCTTTACCATGGGGTTGCCATGTTTAGTACAGCTGTCAGAGGGCTTATAGCACTTCACAGTTTATCTTGTTTAATTCATCTGACTGCTTTATCTCTGGAAGTAGAGCTTAAGAGCTCATGAAGTCAGATGACTTGAGAATGACTCTTGGCCAAAAAAAAAAAATGGCTAAAGCAAGGTATATTAGTTAAAATATTAGACTTAAGACTTAGCACTGAGTTACTACGCAGCCAGGACAAAGAGAGTGGCTCCAGTTTGCTTTAAATAGAAAGCCTATCAGTTCACAAGGGCTGTAAGGAAAATGAACCATCAGAGTCTTTTCAGAAATGGTTTGACTGATGTCAACACAAGTTTTGTTTTGTTTTATTTTGTTTCAGGCAGGGACAGAGTGTTCTGCATGGGGATGGGGGTTTCTGGTAAGCGGAAAACCTGATAAATTCTAGAAGATATGTAAAACTTTCAACACACATTTTCAAAGAAAATAAAAAGGCATAACTTGTGTATCTATTTCTAAAATCAGCCCTGGATTTAAAAAAAGGTACAATAATTATTTTTCAGGGACAGAAAAGTAAGTGTTCCATTAAATTAACCCTCTGATATAGTGGTTCAGTTTGATACAGAGCTTGAAATTTTTTGATGACCGATTCATTTGGCTACAGAAGTATCCAGGAGAAAAGATGATTCTCAAACTGTGTTCCATAAATCCCTAGAGGTTCCACAAAGGCATGTAAAGAGCTGCTATCAGGGGCAGCAGGAAACTAAGTGAGCAAGGCCCAAGTCCTTTCCTCTCCACATACACAATGACACTACAGAATACCTCATGTTTGCATTATTTAGTGTATTCCTCCAATACATATTGAGCATTTACTACTGGCCAGTATTTACTGGTTTCATGAAAGAGCCTTTGAAAAAAAGAATCATTTGCTAAACAGATAATATGTGCCCCACTCCTGAAAGCAATGTAACATCAAGCTCACATACATTCATTTTATAATTACTGTCCTGGCGTATACTTCTCAAATACAAGCACAGGCTGTCAAGACCAAGTGGCTATTATCAAAAACAAGTTATTTAAATTCCTTTAGGCCCAGTTTCCTCGCCCATAAAAGGCAGATAATACCAACTACCTTGCAGGGTTGTTTTAAGCTTGAGAAATAATGAGCCATGCATTAAGCATAGGGACACATAATAAGATGCTCAGTAGATTGTAGCTTCTATTACTATGATCCATTGTTTGAACTGGACTTCTGACAGAAGTAAAATGGTAGGTAAATTCAAAATGATAGCTATTATTGAAAACTTAAATAGCTTATAGTGCAGACTGAAATATTATTCATAAGCTCAAGATACCAAGACACCTGTCCAGGTGCCACCTAACACCCTACTTCAACTCTTACCACACCCTTCCCACGCTCTCCCCCAGCCATATAGACTCTGTTTCAACTCCACAAACCCACCAGCTCCTCTCTCGTGCCAGGTCTTCATACACTCACTTCCCTGAATAAACACTTCCTTTTATTCCCTCACTGTTACCTCTATTCCTCAAATCTTAGCTTAAAAGTCAGTCCCTCTGGGGAAACTTCCTTGACCAGCTCATACTATAAATGACAATTTTGATTTGGACCTTAAAGTTTACCTTTCTTTGACACACTGATGACAAACAGACTCAGCTATACATTGAGATCTATTAGAATGAGGGTGTATTTTTAGCACACATAAATAATTCTTCTAATTTGCTATGGCAAAAGGGTAGGTGCTCTGTTTAAATTATGTTGCAAACTGTTCAAATTATATGTAAGTACAGGTGCCAGTTATCCTAAAGTTTTCTATTTTCTACTCATGTAAAACATTTTATAGGACACATTGAATTTTCCCAGCAAAAAAAGAACTAATGCTAAAATTGATAGTTTGATAGGCAAATTAGATATTAATAGGAAAGAAATTGTATGTCTCTAAGAACAAAACTATGGAATCAACTAAAGTAAGTCTATACATAGTCTTATACAGTAAGTGATCTGTTGAAGAAGAAAACTCTTGGCCGGGTGCAGTGGCTCACACCTATAATCTGAGAACTTTCGGAGGCTGAGACGGGTAGATCACCTAAGGTGAGTTCAAGACTAGCCTGGCCAACATGGTGAAACCCCGTCTCTACTAAAAGTACAAAATTTAGCTTGGCATGGCAGTGTGCGCCTGTAATCCCAGCTACTCAAGAGGCTGAGGCAGGAGAATCACTTGAACCCAGGAGGCAGAGGTTGCAGTGAGCCAAGATTGCACCATTGCACTCCAGCCTGTCTTAAAAAAAAAAAAAAAAAGAAAAGAAAAGAAAAGAAAAGAAAACTCCTTGCAATTCAACTCTGGGACGTCCTTGGGAATAGTTGCACTAAAGGAATAGTTTAAGCCTTTTCTAACTAGAAACTCAAATTCCAATAAGGTCATCTAAGATAATAATATATTATTTCCACCCTAATTTCCTAAAGTCTTATATCCTATCACAATGCCACACTTGATCCAAAACTATTATATTTTATGAGGTAGATAAAATGATGGAGGTATCTTTATTGAGAAATTGTCTGGCATTTTTTCAAACGACTGATGACTACACTGGGTGCCTATTCAAAGTGAAAGACACCACCACCACCTCTGCAGATCAGAGGAAGTTGGTGTTGGTTCTGATCTAGAGTCTGAGCCTCCCTGACTCATAATCCAGTCCAATACAAGGAAGGAGGAACAAAAGTTCTTGACTAGTAAAGAAAATGAAAGCAGCACTGGTTTCTAAAATAGCTACAGAGGATAAGTTACTTGAAAGTGAGAACAAAGAGAAAGTGGCCAAAAGCCAATGTTACAAGAAAAGGAGTTTAAAAACTCCAAATTTTTTTTTAGAAGATCATGAATTCTACTACTATTACTACTATTAATAATAACAATGAAAATAATAATAGTAAAAAATAATAAACATATTAAAGGCTTATTATAATCAGGTACTAACCTAAATATTTTAGCAGAAGTATTATTTAATATTTTTAGCTATAAATGAGCAAGACATTGTTACAATTATTTTATAGAAGAGAAAACTGAGTTTCAGAAAAAGCCAATAAGTTGCCCAGTCATATAAGTAGAAAGGACTAGAGCCAGGATTTGAATTTATGCCTTCCAACAATAAAGCCCACTCAATTTCCACAAAATCTGCTTCCCTTTATGAAGTAGTCCTCAAAGAAATACAAGAGGAAGCCCAGAAGCCACGGAAGAAAAAAGAGATAATAGTCAATAGTATCAAGTGTCAAAGAAAAATCCAGAAAGATCCTAGAAAATAATGTTGGATTTAGCTTGTCCAGAAGTGCACAGTTTCAAGTTGGATGGGGAGAATCCAAATTTCATAGGATTAAGAACTGAACATACAAAAAGGAAATGTAGTAGACAAGTACATATGTCTCTTATCAGGAAAATTGGCAGTCGGGGAATACCTAATGAAATAAGTCAACTGAGTAGGAAGAAAATGAAAATGCTAGGGAGGGGACACATATGAAGGTATCACAAATGAGTCATCTGATTCAACCTTCTGCAAAGAGGCTCTTGTGCAACACTGTTCCATATCCCTCACTTCCCAGGTTCCTCTCCCCAGTCACCTTCACAGATTGCCTTATTTCACTTGAAATCTTTCATGCTTTCCTTTACCAGAGATACCCTCTTCCAGTTTGTTTTTCTTGTGAATTCCAACTTTTCCTTCAGCATGCAGCTCAAGGGTCACATCTTTGGTGTCACATTATTGACCCTCACTCCCAAAGACAATCTTCCATCTTTGCTCCTAAGCACTTTGTATCAAATTCCATCAAACTTGTATTTTCTTCAAAAGCTGGCTTCCTACCCATCAAATACCATGTCAAATTTTCTTAGAAACCCCAGCATTTAACATAGTGCCTGGCACATTCCTCTTAGAACATGGTATCTAGAACTGATCACAATGATCTAACTCTGGATAAAAAAAAATTTTTTTAATTACTTAATAGAGAATCAAAGCATACTATTACTCAACTACTTAAATAGTAGAGCTCTCATTTTTTAACTATTCAGTAGAGATGGTCAACAAAAGGGCCTTAATATTGGATTGGCACAGCAAGACTTATTTCCATTGTAAATCAGCATGGTCCTCCAAAACACCTTACTTCTTTATACTGGATACCAATATTTTGCAGTTCTGGTTCTAAAAATAAATCTCTCCAAGAGCTAAAATCATTGTCTTTTTTTTTTTCAAAAAGACATTCATTTGGAATTCATTTTAAAATATAACTCAATCTTTCAGGATGTCTGCCACAGTCTTAATTATGAGAACACTGTCCCCCCTCAGGGAACCAAGCCAATGGGAATCAAGTCCCAAGTAAGAGCAAACCGGAGAAAAATGCCTTTGTTTCAGCTGATTATATGAAATAATGGTCTCAAATGAAAAGAATTCTATTCATGTCCATCAATGCTAGGATTCACAGAAAGCAAACCTCTTGACCCTGAACAGAAAAGAAAGATAAAGACAAGAATGATGGAGTGCACTATCTTGGGCATAGCTCCCCAAACTAACAAATTCATTTAAGATACTTTTGATCAAAATTTGATCCAACAGAATACTCTATTATGAATTTAACAAACTATAGGCAATTTTTAAAAATCACTACTGATTGCTTTAATGACAATAAACTTTATCATCGGTATAATTCTAATTATCAGGGTTTCTTACTGGTTGTAACGACATACTACTCAGAATATGGCAAACAGAAGTGAAGATGGAAATGACCCAGTATTGAAACTACGGTCTAAGAAATGTGAGGATCTAAGAAGTATTCATATTACACTTAAATTACTAAAATCTATTTCCTAAAGATTAACAGATCATTTTGTAGATACCCAAAATAAAGAGATCTAATGGAGACTATTCATTTAAATCTTACCTTACTTGAAGATTGCCCTTCTCCTGCAACCTAATTTACAACTCTGGTTAGATTTGTTCCCCAAAGAAAATGTCTTTTATCTTTTTGACCACAAGGATAATATGCTCAGTTTGCAGGATATACCATATTTTATGTGGAAAGGCTAAATGTGTGATAGGCTGATACTAACCAAAAAGAAACCAATATAGCCAACTAGCTATTCTATTCCTTTTAATGACTCAGATTATGAACAAAGTGTCCTTCTCTAGTCTATCTAGGCAATTTATAGAAAAAAACAAATGTTCTTTCCTGAATATAGTCTTGAAAGGAGCTTTTATGGCATACAAAGGGGTTTCAAATATCCCAATTACAAACCAAAAATCTACCAGAAACAAACTCTCTGAGTCCCTTAGCAGGAAAAGGTAAAGACTACAATTTCTAATCATAAAAAAATTTCAGCAAAATTGAAAGCTTCTTTGAAAAAAAGAAAATCTTGCTTTGAACTCAATAGAAGTCCCTGAACCCCAGGGCTCCACTATACCTCATGTGTTACATTTAGAAGAAACAATATAGAGACAATACATTTACTCATTTTGAGAGAAAAAGATTTGTGCTCTTCTCCAAGAAAGAGGTAAGACAGACAGAGATAGTAGAGAGGAGGACTACAGTTGCAAAGGCAGTTAAAACTGAAAAACTTAAAAGGGAGGAAAAAAATCTTAGAGCCATGGTCAAGATGGCTTAGAAATTATCCTCAATGTTAGCAGTATTTGTGGAATACCTGGAGCCCAAGATTATAATAAAGAATGAAAGTTCTGACTTCTGTCAAAGTTCTACCTTGAAAAGAAAACTAATCTGGCTGGCCATGGAATAGTAGGAAGACATTTTCCTTTGTCTTTCTCCTGGATGTTTAACTCAGTTCTAGGACAAGCAGGGGTTAGACGACCTCCTAGGTTGAGGCATAAAATGAAAAACAAAGAATAATCTACAAGAAACTCTTTACCAAATCATTCAAGGATGAAGGATGAGGAGAAGGAGCAATCCATTTCTAGTCATATTCTATAGAGACCCATTGGTCCAAAAAGTCTTTATAAAGATGATAGGATGGGTAATATCAAAATTTGAGTTTCTAATCAAGATACTTAGATATTTTTATCAATTTTATTGAATTGGGCAACAATGTCTATATTTGGAAATAAGACTCTATGATGTTTTGTGAGATCATGAAAAGACAGGAAATTTCATATAGCATTTCAGATTGAGTATCCCTAATCTGAAAATCCAAATGCTGAAATGCTCCAAAATTCTAAACTTTTTGAGTGCCAGTATGACACCACAAGAAGAAAATTCCACACCCGACCTCAAGTAATAGCCTGCACAAAATTACTTAAAATATTGTATAAACTCACCTTCAGGCTATGTGTATAAGGTATATATAAAAAAACATATATTTCATGTTTAATGCTGGGTCCCACCCCCAAGATCTCTCATTATGTATATGCAAATATACCACAAACTGAAAAAAGTTCCAAAGCAAAAGTACTTCTGTTCCCAGGCATTTCAGGTAAGTAATATTCGCCCTGTACATAGTAAGATCTTGCTATTCTTTGTTCAGAATTCTCTATCCCTGAACCATATTGTCTAAGAAAGTGTGACAAATGGATACTTGAGGTCATATAAAATAAACAAAAAATCATAAAAACAATTTTAGAATTGTTTTATTCGGTACTTACTACACGGTGAAATTAGAAGCCTTATGGCTTTGAAGAAACAGAAGAAGTGTATAATACTGCAATCCTGAAATTTTCTGGTTTCTCATTGATATGGTTTGCCTGTGTCCTCACCCAAATTTCATCTTGAATTATAACTCCCACAATTCCCACATGTCTTGGGAGCAACCCTGTGGTAGGTGATTGAATCATGTTGGGGTGGTACAGTAAATTGGTACCAGTAAAGTGGGGCACTGTTGAAAAGATACCCCAAAATGTCAAAGTGTAAAAGATACCCAAAAATGTAGAAGTGAACTGGATAACAGGCAGAGGTTGGAACAGTTCGGAGAACTCAGAAGAAGTCAGAAAATTGTGAGAAAGTTTGGAACTCCCTAGAGACTTGTTGAATGGCTTTGACCAAAATGGTGATAATGATACGGACTATGAAATCCAGGCTGAAGTGGTCTCAGATGGAGATGAGAAACTTGTTGGGAACTGGAGCAAACTTGTGGGGAATTGCTATGTCCCCACCCAAGCCTCATCTTGAATTGTAATTCCCACAATTCCCACATTGTTGTGGGAGGAACCCGGTGGGAGGCAACTGACTCATGAGGGCAGGTCTTTTCTGTGCTGGTCTCGTGATAGTCAGTAATTCTTATGAGATCTGATGGTTTTAAAAATGGGAGTTTCCCTGCACAAGCTCTCTCTCTTTACCTGCTGCCACCCGTGTAAGACATGACTTGTTCCCCCTTGCCTTCTGCCATGATTGTGAGGCCTCCCCAGCCACATGAACTGTAAGTCCCTTAAATGCTTTTTCCTGTATAAATTACCCAGTCTCATGTATGTCTTTATTACTAGCATGAAAATGGACTAATACACTCATCATTCTAGTATATTAGGTTGGTGCAAAAATTAAATTAATGGCAAAAACCGCAATTACTTTTGCACCAACCTATATATAATATTGAATGCCTCAAAATTTTAAAAATTAGCTATAAACTTTCTCTTTATGTCAAAATCAACAAAGCAAAGTTACAATGAAAAGTTGAATCAACAGAAGTAACTACCTTTGACATCAATATCATGATTTCTATATCCATTATGGGTCAGTAACAAAAGCTGGAAACTTTTAAAGGCATTTTACTATAGTTTGCAAACCCAAGATAATAGCAGCACATTAACAATTCAAACATTATAGGCATGTCAGAGGAATAGGAATTATAGCATGAATCTTATCAGTTATAGACAATTTATATCCACGGGGACACCACTGGAATATACTGGGGAGCTTCAAACATGACACTATTCTACTTAAGAAAAAAAAAGAAAAATAACGACAAAGAAGAAAAACATGCTTCTAAATAAGTCTGGGAGGACAACATAACAAGGGTCTCCAGGCAAATATCACAACAAAAAACTGCGTGAAATAAAACACTTTGTTGACAAAAAGAAAATGAGTGTTCTCACCTTCTTTGCTCGGTGTAAAGGAATATAAGGTATCACCTGCCTTGAATGTCCCAGAAGAAAAAGCTAACTTGAGGAAATGAAAAATATGCCTGTTGGGAGTGAGCCATATGGCACAGTACAATGTTTTTTCCAAAGTGTGGTCCAGGTGTACACAAGATTATTTTTTATGAGGTCAAGAATGAAGTGTTGGGGGTGGTGAGGGTGTGTATGTATAATCTTCTATTTATGGCTAGTGACACTGATTTTCCACTTCTGACAGCAATCCAATTTTTGTTTTTAATATATGTATTTAATATAAAATGTGATTCTACTTAAGAAGCAATCAGGTTCCCTCTACCAACCCCTACGCAGTAAGGTAACTGGCTTTCCCTAACTTTAGTAAAATGTTTGGAGGTTTGTTCTTTGGCTTAATCTCTTCATTGAGGAATACCAAGCATGGGTAATACCACATGAAAAAAGAGAAAGATTAATTAAATTCGTGCAATAAATACCCAACTCTTTCCCCAACTCAGCTCCCAGGCAGCCAAGCATTCCCCCACTAGGCAGGAAGTTGGACAAGTCTTCTTAAAAAAATTGACCAGCCAAAGAGGGCAAACAAAGATACTGAACATCAGAGGGTTCTTAATTAAAAAGCCTTGTCAGTCAGATGACCCCATTTTGAAGTCAACAAGACTCACTCATGCATTCAAATCAGCGTCTTATATCCACATTTTAAAATATGGATAAACACCCACAGATTGTCAGACATCAGAGAAAAGCTTTTAACATGAAAGACAGAGACATAGTAAAAAACAAAACAAAACAGAACAGAGTACCTTAAAAGAAACAGACTATGTAAAGAGAAAAAAAATTTCAACAAGTTAAAAAAAAATTAATATCTTCAGAAAGGTAAAAGAAAACCATGAATTAAAACATGATATTACGAAAAGGAACACATAGGAATTTTTTAAAAATTCCTGAAAATTAAAAAAAAAGTGATAGAAATTAAAAATAATATAAGGCCTGAACAATGAAATTGAAAATAGAACAAAAAAAGTCCGGAAAGTGAAAAAAACAAGAAAACAGAGGGGGAGGTAATCATAAATGAAAAAACTGAATAAAGTTTCCCAGAAATGAAAAAGCATGAATGTCCAGACTGAAATGGCCCATGAAGTTTCTAGTACAGTATTTGAAAATAGGCCTGCATCAATGCACATCATCATAAAGTTCATAAAACTGGAATTTCAAATATTCTACAAAGTTTCAGAGAAAAAAAAATCACATAAACCACATAAAAAAGATCAGAAATCAGATTGGTGTTTGGCTTGTCCATGGCAATCCTGCAAACTAGAAGAAACACAGTCATTAAATCTAAGAAAAATAAATGAGTTTTACAGGAAAGGAAGGTAATCACTGTTTACTACAAGGCTGGATTTGAAAAGCATTTATATATCATGGTAATATAAGCACTGAATTTACTGAATTTACTGAAATTAAAATATAACTTATAGGTTGAGACATGAAATTATTGTTTTTGTACCTAAAAAAACACATATGGTTCAATCTGTCAAGAACATAAGGGACAGGAAGGGTGGGTGGGCGGGTGGGTGGGCCAGGGTGTGTGTGTGTTGTGTTAGGGACCAAAAGAAGGGCATGCTAAGGTAATGTTTAAAATGCTTAAAACTAAAAAATCAAGGTGCAGTAAAATAAGTATACTATATTTAAATAAATGGAGGTAAATATCAGAATAACAGGTTTAAAGAGGTCAATGTAGTTGCCTATGAGGAGTGGTTTGTGGGAGAATGGGGGAGGTTAAAGGCCATTTTTTTAAAATAACAGACCTTGCTAAGTTTTTTGAGTCTTTATACTATTATATACCCTATTAAGACCTGGTGTAAATATTTGATAATATGTAAATTCAATAAAAAGAAAACTTTTTTTTCATGTTTACAGAAGGCACCTTCCAGAGATAGGAACACTATTTCCATCACACTCTTGTTAGTGATAGGCACTCTCTCAAAACCATTCTTCTACAGAGATGAAAACCAGAGTGAGTTAAATGTTCAACATTGCCTTTAAAAAGATAACTGTTATCTTTTTAAAGTTAGTTATAACAATGTCTGAATTGTTCTTTACTTGCTCTTCAGATGACATGACAAAAGCTATCCCTTTCTCAATAAGGTTCAGAGTCTTAAAATTGGTGATGGCATTAATAATAACAGAGCCTTTTAAATCACCATTGTGAAGATTCATTTTTAATGGTTAAAAAATATATATAAAAAGATAAAAACATAACCAATAAAGTGGGCGCTAAACAATTGGTACACATGAACATAAAGATGACAATAAGAGATACTGGGGACTCTAAAAGGAGAGAGGGTGGGAAGGGGATAAGTGTTGAAAAATTACCTATTGGGTACAATGTTCACTATTTGGGTAATGGGTACCCTAGAAGCCCAAACCCCACCATTATGTAATTTAGCCATAAAGCAAACCTGCATATGTATGCTCTGGATCTACAATTCTAAAAAAGAGAGAATATGCTTAAAAGAAATAAAAGGAACATAAGCAATAGATTGAAACATGTAACACTTTTTGTAGATCAAAACTATATATAGTTCAATCTAATAAACTGGTAGCTTGAGGGATGGGAAAGTTGTATATGTGTATATGGCAGAGTATGCTAAGATTTTTTTAAAAATGTTTAAAAAATAAACACAAAATGGCCGGGCACAGTAGCTCATGCCTGTAATCCCAGCACTTTGGGAGGTCGAGGTGGGCGGATCACGAGGTCAGGAGATCGAGACCATCCTGGCTAACATGGTGAAACCCCGTCTCTACTAAAAATACAAAAAATTAGCCAGGCGTGGTGGCAGGCACCTGTAGTCCCAGCTATTCTGGAGGCTGAGGCAGGAGAATGGTGTGAACCCGGGAGGCAGAGCTTGCGGTGAGCCGAGATGATGCCACTGCACTGCAGCCTGGGAGACAGCGAGACTCCCGTCTCAAAAAACAAAACAAAACAAACACAAGACGATTATCTCAGATGTCTTTACTTATCCTAAAAGCCAATGACTTCTGTACGATTGCAGCACACCCCCTGCCCAACCCAATTCTATATCCTGTAAAGAATATAACCTTGCATCTATCAATTATAAAAATGTCCTTCATCATCTATAACCCATCTATATCCTTCTCCCTAACCACTTATTTATAATTGTAAGAGCAACGTTTGCTAAAGAGTCTCTTTAATACTAAGAAATTATAGGCAAATCTTGAATCTCAAGATAATGTTATATGACATATGATCTTTCTCACTTATGTTCTCACCACTCTTTAGAAGAAATCACAGGCCAGTGTGTTCACAATCCACATACATGAACAGCATTACTTTGTCAGTATCTTTCCAAACAAGCCAACTGCCCTGCGTATGAATAAGACCTGTAGTAAATATCTGATGATGAATTCACTCCCAACTTTTTAAATAGCTTGAGTCAGATCTCCAGACCTTGAAGATTATTCTATTTTCATTCAACAGTATTTATCAACCACCTAATGCAAAGGCACTTTCTAAAATACCACAAAGGCAAAATCCCTGCCTGGAAGGTGCATGCATCCTATTAAGTACTACTGTGAGCCAACTAAATAAAGTATAATATTGCTGACATTTCAATATGAAAGAAATAGAAAGTTGTGATAAACAATGAGGAGAGAAGAGAAGGAGAAAACTTTGAGTGGTCATATCAGAAAAAATAACTTGCTTTAGGAGTCAAGACAGGCTGTTTGAGAATACAGATTATAACTTGAGTATTCATTTTTGTATCCCTATAGCCTAGCACAGAAAGAACCTGGCACATCCAAGAAATGCTCAAGAAACATTTGCTGAATGAACCTAAAAACTGAAGTATGCCTATCATAGCAAGACAGTAAAGTTCAAATAATTTTTGGATACAGGTATGTTGGACAGCCAACATAATGAAAGTAACAGCATCTTTTCTAAGAGCAGCAGCTCCTTACCTGTTGTTGTACTGGTACTTGCTGTACCACCTGCGTAGGCACTGCTGCTTGACTAGCCACAGATGTTTGTAAGGTCACTGTCGAGCCTGTGTCCGACCCAGTCTCTGATGTCTGCATGATGGTCTCTGAAATAGATTAAAATGAAATTAAAGTTTAAAATGTCACTCCTGCATGACTAGCTTCCTTACAATTGTTCTTAAAATCCTATACTGAAACTAACTTTCAACTCTCATACCTCTTATCCCAACATACTACCATGACAGTCCGTGCATGTGTATGGTCATTCTGACCACTTTATAAATAATTACTAATCCACATTCTTTAAAAAAATTCCCATTAGCACCTCTTATCCTGAGACTATCCAGGTTAAATTTCATTGAAAGCTACCTTCTATCTCATTTGTTATAAATTGTTTAAATCCCTTTATAAACTATCATCCAAAATTATATCAAAATGTTCTTAATTCTCAGAACACAAACCCTACCTGGATGTAAGTGTCATGAATTCTACTTTCTTGACACTTTTATAGGCTGTCAGGATGTCACCAGAATATAATTTAGAGTAAATCATTTCTTTTTTTTTTTTATACTTTGTTTTAGGGTACATGTGCACAATGTGCAGGTTAGTTACATATGTATACGTGTGCCATGTTGGTGTGCTATACCCATTAACTCGTCATTTAACATTAGGTATATCTCCTAATGCTATGCCTCCCCCCTCCCCTCCACCCCACAACAGGCCCCGATGTGTGATGTTCTCCTTCCTGTGTCCATGTGTTCTCATTGTTCAATTCCCACCTATGAGTGAGAACATGCGGTGTTTGGTTTTTTGTCCTTGCAATAGTTTGCTGAGAATGATGGTTTCCAGCTTCATCCGTGTCCCTACAAAGGACATTAACTCATCATTTTTTATGGCTGCATAGTATTCCATGGTGTATATGTGCCACATTTTCTTAATCCAGTCTATCATTGTTGGACATTTGGCTTGGTTCCGAGTCTTTGCTGTTGTGAATAGTGCCGCAGTAAACATATGTGTTCGTGTGTCTTTATAGCAGCATGACTTATAATCCTTTGGGTATATACCCAGTAACGGGATGGCTGGGTCAAATGGTATTTCTAGTTCTAGATCCCTGAGGAATCGCCACACTGACTTCCACAATGGTTGAACTAGTTTATGGTCCCATCAACAGTGTAAAAGTGTTCCTATTTCTCCACATCCTCTCCAGCACCTGCTGTTTCCTGACTTTTTAATGATTGCCATTCTAACTGGTGTGAGATGGTATCTCATTGTGGTTTTGATTTGCATTTCTCTGATCGCCAGTGATGATGAGCATTTTTTCATGTGTCTTTTGGCTGCATAAATAGAGTAAATCATTTCTAAGGTCCTTTCCAACTTTAAAACTTACTATTTGGTGATCTAAAACAATTAACGTATATCCAAAAGCCAACTGATATGCCCTAAACTTAGCCAAAGAATCAAGTTAACTAATTTTGTGTATGGTATAATATGGTACTAAAATCAAAATTCGATTATAGTCTTATACAAAGATAGCCCCAAATCCATAACATTTAATACAGTTGAAAGATGAGGGAGACTACTATCATGTAAATGAGATTTGTAAACAAAGACATGTACTTTCTCTCATTCACAATTAAACATGCCACGTTTCTCAGTTTTGCCTGACCTGCCATTGTTTACTCTAACAGGTATGCTTTCTCCGGCTTCCTGGCCTTGACATCCCCTTTTACTACTTATGCATTCAATAAAAGAAATATGAATTTCCTTGCTATTGAGCAAAGACCAGATTTCTAGTTTTCTTTCCTGGAGGAATGGAGCAAGAGAAACAGTGTTTAATTGGTAGCATAAGAAAAGCACTGCATCATAGTTTAAATCTATATGAAATACAGTGAACATTAATTTTTAACTAAGAAATTTTTGAAAGAGTATTCAGTTTTTCAAGGAGAAAATTAACCCCTCTTGGCATCTGTTGTCACAGCATGACTTCTTCTAATTTTCCCCCAAAACCTTCAATCATATTCAATTTCAGAAACGGACCTCTGAAGACAATGCATCTATTCTTCTTATTTTGTAAACGAGGAACCTAAAACCCAGAGAGATTAAGAGACTTGTTCAAGGTGACAGGAGTAGACTTGGGACTGGGCTTTTTCACTTTGACTCTGTGCTTAATTTTCTTTCTACACTTTGACATTGGCATCTTTTTAGGGGATTATTTTCTCATTCTTTTGTTAGTGAAACCCCTAAAGCAGCACAATAAACCTTGTACATGCAAAAGGTATAGCAGTAACAACTAGCACTGATTGTTCAACACACGCTAAGAATTCTTTTAAGTGCTTGATATATTTATTAATTTAAAAATGAATCCATGTAACAACTCAATGCAGTTGGTATGACTATAATCTGCATTTACAAATGAGGAACCTCAGGCACAGAGAGCAGAAGTGGCTAGGGGTTTACAAAATAAATGGAAAGTGATCAATTCAGTGGCTAATACTCCTAGATGGGTTAGCTAATGCTCAGCTCCAGCATATTGTGAGTATGTGGGAAACTTCCTTCCATTTTCCGAAAGAAACTGAAAGTCCAGATTTTTATGTGAAATCTCACAAATGGTGGTTTATTTAAATGTAGTACTGATCTCCAAACACACACACACACACAATCTTTGAACCAGCATTAAGACCACAGAAATGACCAAAAATGTTTGAGAATGACACTATTTTTTACTACACAAAATTCTTGCCTAACGAGTATTACTAGAGGACCAATAGTTCTCAAAATTTGGGGAGAGAATACACAAATTAAGAACCCAGTCTGTGCCTCTTCCTCTTTCTTCTACCACAGACAGGAAACAAAAAAAAAAAATCCCTAAAAAAGAAAGCAAAAGCCAGGGTCCTTTGATTTATTACACATTTATATGCCATTTGTGCTATAGCAGAGGAACTATTAGTAAGAGTGAGGCAATGCTTTTCTGCAAAGAATAAGGAATGAACCAGACATTAGATATCATCTTCTGTGAGGTCTTTTTCAGCCTCTCTTGTCAACTCCAAGATGGCTGGTGGCCTCTGTCAGTTTAGTGTACAGATGAGGAAGACAGCGTTGCCAGTTATAGCTTCTCCTTTAAGCTGTTCAACTAAGAGTAGATGAGTTTCTTACAATGATGTCACTCGCACTAAATCTGCCTCCTATTTCCCCCAGAGCTGGATGGGAATGTTCCAGAGTCTAACTTGTTTGCACATACATTGTATTACAGACTACTCTACATACTTTTTTTGGTCTATGACCCACACTTTGACATCAACTGTTTTAGATCAAACACATGCAAGAATGTAAAGAAAAAAGTTCTCTTTAAAAATTAAAACTACCATGTATACATATGTAACTAACCTGCACAATGTGCACATGTACCCTAAAACTTAGAGTATAATAAAAAAAAAAAAAAAAAAAAAAAAAAATTAAAACTACCTTTAAAGTAATTCTTAACAACTCCCAATAAGCCACCTGGGAGAGCATATCAGAAGATAAAAGGCATAGATTTGGAAATTGGCCTTCTATGGACTACATTTGACTCCCCACTCGGGTTTTGTTTGACTCAGAGTGATTACAAAATTCTTAATTGCTAACATTTAAAAATCAGAAAACTTTGAACTAAAAAACAAATTTCCAGGCCGGGCACAGTGGTTCATGCCTGTAATCCCAACACTTTGGGAGGCCAAGGTGGGTGAATCACCTGAGGTCAGGAGTTCAAGACCACCCTGGACAATACGGTGAAACCCTGTCTCTGCTTAAAAAAAAAAAAAAAAAAAAATCAGCTGGTCATGGTGGTGGGCACCTGTAATCCCAGCTACTATGGAGGCTGAGACAGGAGAATCCCTTGAACTTGGGAGGCAGAGGTTGCAGTGAGCTGAGATCTCATCATTGCACTCCAGCCTGGGCGACAAGACCAAAACTCCGTCTCAAAACAAAAAACAAAAAAGAAACAAATTTCCAGAATTTCTTGAAACATCTGAAAATTTTAAAGAGGTGAGCACATATTATGTGTTCTATAGGCAAATTATTTAAATGGTTATACTCTTTTCAATTGAATGGCCTCTATAGGCATTTGAGTTTGTGACTCTTTTGAGGGTAATCAGAAATCTATTTCTACATATAAAGATTGAAGTAGAAAATTGCTTTTTGAGGGGGCCGGGGGCAGTGGCTCACGCTTGTAATCCCAGCACTTTGGGAGGCCAAGTGGGGCAGATCTCGAGGTCAGGAGTTTGAGACCAGCCTGAACAACATGGTGAAACCCCGCCTCTACTAAAATACAAAAATTAGCCAGGCATGGTGGTGCATGCCTGTAATCCCAGCTACTCAGGAGGCTGCAGCAGGAGAGTCACTTGAACCTGGGAGGCAGAGGTTGCGGTGAGCCAAGATCATTCCACTGCACTCCAGCCTGGATGACAGAGCAAGACTCCGTCTCAAAAAAAAAAAAAAGAAAATTGCTTTTTGGGTTTGAAACAATATTGATGACATTTATATTAATTTTACACAGAAAAGTAATACCCAAGTTTAGACCATTTTACTGCTAGAAATGTATCACTAGATTAAAACTAGTGATTTTATCAATAGATGTATCACTAGATTAAAACTATGATTTTCCTTATTTTAAAGATGAGTTAACTGAGGCCCAGAGATGTTACATCACTTACCGAAGGCCATACAGACGCTGCACAAAGACAAGTAAGAAAGGCAAACTGATGAATTTTTAGAATGAGACAGGAAGAAAAGAAAAAGTTGTCAACTACTTAATAGGAGGAATCTTATAGAATAGAGTAGGGGAAATAAGATAGGTAAAAAACAATGGTTGTAAAACATAAAGCTAGAGAGTCACGGAGAACTTTCCATCAAGCCTCCAGCTGTACCTATAAACCACATCCAAACTGTTACATAAAGCCTAGTCCTGCACAACCAAGTATCCCATCAAGTATCAACCAAGTCCTAGTATATGTTCTGTTTATTCCCAAATTACTGCTCATAGGTCTGATCTACTTGGCTCTTGGAATATAGGGTCATGCCAGTTGATAAAAACTTAGTCTCTCTTTTGTGTCTCCATTTTCCTTCATAGACACAATTTCATTTTCCTCTGATTTTACTATCTTCAGCCTTGACAGAGAGGCTCTCTTTGCCAAGCTTTATGACATTAGAGGGTATCAATCATATCCCTTCCACAGATTAACTGAAAAGTTCATAATTTGGCCTCTCATGTAATAGTTTTTTCCTGGTGCCAGGCACTACACTAAGTGCTTTAAATACATTTTCTAGTTCAATCTTCAGAAGAACCCCCTGATGGAGGTGTTATCCCCATTTAACAAATAAAGAAACTGAGGCACAAATGGATTAAATAACTTGCCAAAAGCCACACAACTAGTAAGAGAAAAAGCCTGAATTCACTTGATGTCTGTCTGACTCTAAAGCACATGATGTCAACCAGTACATACACTGCTTTGCAATATCATGATGATAGGGCTTCCAAAGAAAAGCTAGAGACTGTTGGTCTAGACAGCAATCTTTGGGGTTCTCAATCGATATTACATGATTTACACTTCCAACAACAACAGAAAGACATCCCCTCTCTCTGACACCAAAGTTAGGAAGTATTTCTTCTCTTTCAACAGAGACCATAAAACCCAACTAATACGTATTTTTCCAGAGGCATTTTTAGTGATTAATTCTGAAGACCTGATAAAAACAGCAGATTAATTAGAATGTTAAAGCATGTTTGAGGAATATAACCCTCCCGCCAAATTTTGCTAAACAGATCATTTAAGCCCACTGACACATTCATAGTATTCTGGTAGGCTTCCAACATTTCTGCAAAGTAAGGATCATCACATGAGAGCAGTGCCCTAGCATGCTCCATTTTAGGTTTTGTTTTACTCCCAGCATAATAGCTTATGAGTATATTTGAGGTGTTCCCATTCATCCAGCAGTGGTTTCTGGTGTTTTGTTTATGTTTGGGAGTAATTTGGTTAGTTTAGTTCCTTCACAGCCTTCTTTCAAGTGATATTTGTTTATCAGTCACAAATGCCGTCACATTAATCCATTTTGATAAGCTAAATAAACCCCTGCAGTTTGTCAATGATGCAGCCCATATGTAAATGAGTTGTATATTCTTACAGGAGAGACATGCACAATTTCAGTCTAGTCATCCTCGCCTAATGTGTCTGTCAGGTGTGTCATGAGCAACAGATGCTTGTTTGACAAAGGACCTTTTTATTCTGGCTAATTAAGCAGTTGGACACACCCGCCTGTTAACGGTTCTTCTTTGTACAGCCAGCTCTGGCTGAATCATGCGAATCTACAGCTAAATAGGCCACATTTTGAAAGAAGGCTAATTAACCCCTACGAGAAGGAAAAGATATTGCAAAAACCCAGATGCTGAATGGAACAAGATTAGCATTTCTTCAACCTGATGGGTAAAACCTAGGCAAAGCAAATGTGTTTGGAACAAACATGCATTATTGCAAGTTTTAAGGCATTCAAATGTTTTTTGTGGAACTTCCTGAAGATTATTTAATACACTCAAATTCACAGTTGGATTCCTTTTATCACTCACAATGTACATGCCAGATTAAATGGATTAATAGTCTGACCTAATCAATTACTTATCAAACAGAACTATGTTACTGGGCTAGCTTAAAAATAGGTAGTATCCACCTAATTTTTATTGGGGTCTTTCATCCTGAAATAATTTGCTCTCCTAAAGACCAAAGTCTGCAAAGTTTGGTTCCACTACACTTACTGTATTATTTTTAACACTGAGGAATGTAACAGGTTTAAATTCAGTACAGAAAACAAAGACCTGTAATTTAATTTTCAAGCTCAACAGAGAATTTCCTTCCTTTATCCTTAGCATAGAAAGACAAAAGGTGCTAGTTCCAATTCCTACTTGAACCGAATTAACCAAAATTATTATGATAGTTACTTAATGGGTATAGTAAAAATAAACGACATCTAAAATGTGACCATATTCAAGAATAACTTATTTACAAGAGCATTAGAAACCTGATTCAACATAAGATCACAGAAATGCCATTTACAGAAAAAAATAAATGTTTTGCAGGTGAAAATTACTATTTTTAAAACATAGAACCAAAATTATTGTAATTGAAGTTCTGCAGCATTTATATTTATATATATTTATATTTAATACTTTTATTACTAATGCTCTCATTCAGCATCAGCATTCCTAAATAAATGCTGGAAAATAATAGTAGCATATATAGTGTCTATAGCAATTAAGATTTCTATTAAAATTAAGACAACTAAAATGAGCAGTGCTTTTGGGGAGGAAATTACTGACATTTAACATAAATTTAGTACAAAATGTACACAATTCCAGCTATTCTGGAGTAGATAATGAACAATATTAAGATAACTCTAACAACAACAAAAAAACACCTAAGGACATTAGGCATCTTCTAGAAAGACGATGTACAATGATGGGGCATAGTAGAAATTATTAATGCATATATATGTTACACATATATATGTATTTTAAACATATGTTTAGTCACGTACTACATTTAAATATATGTTTAAATAGTCAGGTACTAAATTTAATTTCTTAAAACTCTGACAAAAAATATATTGAGCTGATTGCTTCACCTACGAATATAAAACACTTGGCTTTCTTCCGCCTTCACCCAGTACAAATGAAAAAACTAGTTAAGCTATAAACTGTTGTCAAACACCAACCTTTCTTTATTTAAAACACATCTTTGTGAAAAATTTATTCATTGTAAAACACAGGGCTTTATCAAATCAATAAATCAAGTAAATGAGGAATGTAAAAAAAGTCATGATTTTCTGTATTATAAAAACGCTGCCTCTTTATTTAGGTTTGATGTTGTAATCCTCATGACTGTGTACAATAAATCTTTGTACTAAATTGATCTGTAGAAAAATGAAGGAATGATAATAGTGTAGACTGTTCAGCAGTCATCTTCCTGTGATAACTGATGACAGTGATTAATGCTGAAGATGATTAATCAGCACACTGGTAACATATACAGGTTGGCTGAGTAACTTTTTTCACTTTTCAAAGGTGTTCTCTTAACTAATTCTTTCCTTGACTCAGAATAGATTATGAAAAACTATTACTTAAAGAAAGAAATGAAATTACTGTAATTTTTATCTTAAAGGACTAATTACCAAAAACTAAAATAAAACAATCCCTTAACACTGAAGCCAAACTGCTGGAAAGACATACAGGACAGGAGCAAAGGGAGGCAAAGATTGGCTTAAAAGGCAGCATTATTTACAGAGCCACAAAAGAAACGAGCAGGTAGTACTGCACCAAACAGAGTTTCCTTTAGATTTTACAGGGAGTGACAGCCAGAACAGAAATTCTTAATTTTCTTCACATCAGAAAAGACTCCAATGACAGTGTTCCTCTAGATTATCTTGCCTACACAAGAATTTTTTTCTCTCATCTCTTTTTCTTTTAATAAAAGTGCAGAATAGAGTCTTTTGCAGTTCCTAACTATTCTAATGACAGACTCAAAGAGATCAACACATCTAAAAGAGGAAAATAATACTGTATAATAACATTGCTAATAATAGAAACAATATACCCCATTTTAAATGTACAATATCTTAAAGAACTGAATTCTCATTACTGCCATTCTGGCAAATGTAGTGAACATGGGTGTAGGTGGACCTCAAAAAAACCTCTATATATTCATATACACATAAATTCTGAAAACACTTGCTGTAAAACATAATGCTATTAAATTTTTACATTGATTTTCATTATATGTATATGTATATACACTTGGAATAAAGACTTGGCCAAAGGAGAAAAATGTAAACAGATTAAAGACTATAGCCAATACTGTAAATTCGGATACTTAACAGAAAAATTATTTCTCTGTAAAAATCAGTAAAATTTCAAATAAGTCATCTATACTGAATTACAAACAGTTCCACTGGTACTTATCTATGGGAACTGGTGATGCACTCCATGGATGGCTGTCCTTCCAATTTGGTATGAAGCATTTTCTTGCCTCCAGAAACAATAATTCCTTTAAAATCTCCTTACTATATAGCTATATTATCTAAAGTTGGTTATCCTAGGCTATCTCATAAATCTTTAGTTAATATCCTTAACTAGGTTTATTATAATGCTCAAAATCAACTGTAAATTCCTTACAAAAATATAGTTGTCATTATATAATATTTTAGATAAGTGTGAAATTTCATGTAATAAGTTTCATTGTCATCTCTCTCAAACTTTGGTGGTCTTCGATGGAGACTAAAATGGGGAAAAAAACTCTTCTTTTTCCTTGATAATACATTAAGTGTAACATCCCAATCACTTCTTTCACCACCAAACTTGTTCAGAAGAGTTATCTACAGTCACTGTCTTCATTTCTGCCCATTCTACTCAACTGCTGACACTTTGTTATTTAGTTTCTGCCACATCCCTCCAAGAGAAGATCAACTTTTCCAAAGTCACTAAGGAACAATCTTTTAATCTGCAAATTCTATGACCTTTTCTTATTTTTCACACTCATTGTACTATCAAATTACACTTGAAATTAATGACAATCTCTTTTATCAAAAAGCTTCCTCCTTGCCTTCCAAGACATTCATTTTTTCCGGTTTTCTTCCTACCTGTCTGGCCAATCTTTCTGTTTGCCTCAGAAGTTTAATTGCGTCCCTTTGAACAGAAAAAAAAACCAAAACAAACAAACAAACAAAAAAGAGTTGAGCTGGGGTGTTTTTCTGCTCTCTCAACAACACTCTGTTTTTAAAACTCTGTTTTAAAGAGTTTAGCCACTAATAACTATTATCCATATGTGAATAATTCCCAAATCTGTAACTCTAGTCAATAATCCTTCCTTCTATTGAGCTACAGTTCTAGATTTTTAACTACCCATTGAATCTCTTTAAATAGACTATCATCATTACAAGTCCACCTGTTCACATGAAATCATCAAAATTCAATTTAGATTTTCATCTTTTCTATTAAACTTTCTGCCAATAACTGCTGTTACATGCCTTGGGGAATACACAGTCTGCCCTCAATGAATTCAAATTCTACTGACGGCATAAGATAAAAGTGGTAATCTTGGGATCCAGTCATCTTGGCATCCTTTTTTCTCAAAGAAGCTAAAAGTAAGAGCCAGATTTCTTTTTTTCTCTCATCTTCCAAATTTAATAAATTACTGAGTCTGCTTCCTAATTATATCTCAAAAATACACCCACATATCTATATCTCGCCACACAGATCCCTAGAGTTCAGGCCACTACCTATAATAGGTTCTCAGTGCCCTCAGGATAAACTGCAAACCCTTACTTAACAAGGCTTAGGAGGCTCTTTAGAATATAGCTCCTGCCTACTGTCTCCCCAAGTTTATATACAATCCAGCCTTATGGAACTACCCACAGTTCCCCAAACCTGGGGCATTTGGTTTTTTGTCTTGTTTTGTTTTTTTTTGAGACAAGGTCTCACTCTGTTGCCCAGGCTGCAGTGCAGTGGCACAAACTTGGCTCACTCTGCAGCCTCAACCTCCCAGTCCCTGGTGATCCTCCCATCTCAGCCTCCTTAGTAGCTGGGACCATGTGCACATGCCACCACGCCTGACAGCTAATTTTTTGGATTTTTTTTGTAGAGACAGGGTTTCACCATGTTGCCCACCCTAGTCTCAAAGTCCTGGACTCAAGTGATCCACCTGCCTCAGCCTCCCAAAATCCTGGGATTACAGACATGAGCCACTGACTCGGCCAACCCTGGGGACATTTGAACAGGCAGTTTCTTCTGCTTGAAACAATTTTTCCTTCTTACCTCCTCTAATCTTCACTTTGTCTTTCAGGTCTCAGGAGAAATCCTACTTTCCCGTGATAGCTTCCCAAACAACCACTGCTTTTCCATCTTGCTCTTAACAAGTCCGAATCTAGTGTCCTCCTGGTATTCCTATAGCATACTATCTTTACTCAGTACACAGCAATTATCACATCTATAGTGTAACTGTCTCTCCAACAAGACTATAAACTCCATGAATGCATGGACTATCCTTATCTTTTTCACTTACATATGTAGCCACAGTGCCCAATATATACACAGAATCTTTGATTTGTTGAAAGAACAATCTCCAAAGAAGATGAGTTTAAGACCCTATTGAAACATTACTATTAGAATATGCTGCACCAGAGGCATATTCTACACAATTTTTTAAAATTCTACATAAATATAATTGTATATTACAGACATTTTTAATCAAATTATTGTGTTTTTTCTTAATTTTCTAATGTGACTTCATGTTCAATTTCTATTACAATGGAATTTTATAACAACTCCCATATTCAAAGAATTAAAAGACTCAAAAGATTTTGTGTATAGTTTTTTAAAATAAAGAAACAAGATAAGGATTAAGTAAACTCAAATGAACGAATCAAGTCTTCAGCTATTGCTCTGAACCTTCTGACATATCATTTACTGTGTTTTAATAAGTACATCTGATTCGCTGAATTGTGGATTCAGATCCAATGCTCTAATCATGTCATCTTAGAATAAGTGGCCTGGTATGCTTCCTTTGTTTTTATGAGACAGAAGCACTCAGATATCGTTAATTTTCATAGCTGAAATGCTAAGAATAAGTAATTAGCCTAATAGTAATTGTTCTGACTTCATCGTTAATTAACCACTTGAAATTTATTTGAGCTTGGTAACATTCAACTGATATTCTTCTATGTTCTCTTAATAATCATTGAAACTTTCTACCAAAAAAAGGTATTCTAAGAAGCCTCTAGTTACTAATTAGTTAACACATTTATGTAAGGACTTCACATACATTATTTCATCTGTACAGAAATCCTGATGTAGGTACTATTATTATCCCATTTATTATGGATGAGAAAACTGAGGCATAACTTAAATAATTAAATATTTAATTATTTAATAATTGATAGAACTTAAATAATTCCATCAGCACCAAGGTCATATAACTTCATATAACTAGAAATAGGCAGAGTGAGAACTTGAATATGCTATATCACCTACTAAGTCAAGGAGCAACATGTTGTTTCATTGTTTTTTTAACCTAGCCATATGCAGTATTAGGCTAATAATATGACAACAATTTAGATGTTTAACACACCAACTATTATGTAGTCCTGTCTAGAGTCTTTTCTGTTTTCATTCTTCTATATTATGGGAATTAGATATGCTATAATTTTTTAATCCAGTTAATAGTTTTCCGTGATAGATCATCCTCTAAAAAATATCTTAATTTCATTTCCAGCAATGCAGAGTACCTGACAAGCTGACTGTCTATTCTGTAGATCTCAGCTAAGACTAATAAAAATGATTGAATCATGGAATATTCAGAGTTTCTACACTACCTCTGCTGAAGCATCAATACAGATAGGCTTGTTGGAATTTGAATTAGGGCTCAGAAAATGTTAAAAATCAATGTGCCACAGTGATTTCAGAATCTTTTCTTTCTGAAATCTCAGAGTTGAGCTCTCAGGTACACACCATAACGCCCACTTCTAAAGGAGTAGGAATGACTGCCTGCAGCTTCTCAAGACGCCAAAAGAAGGGGCAATCTCAATTCGTTCATTCACCAATGAGCTTGTTTCAGTGAGCCTCTGGCACAGGTGCCAGGGGTTGTTGCTCCCTGACCTTTACATTTGATCACAAATTGCATTCAGCAATGGCAAGAAAATGGTATTTAACTCTCCTTCCTAATGGCACTGCAATCAAGGGCAATAACTGAGAAGTAGAGCTTTAAGGAAGGCTGTATAGGCCAAAGACACTGTTCAGGGTAATAAAGCCCCATAGCAATCCCATAGGTAACCCTGCAGTACAACCAACATCTCTATTCCTGCTTGAGCACAGGGCCATCCTTCCTTGGTGCATGCCAAGTAATTCAGCATATACCTTGATCTTTTCATTTTGTTGTTTCAGTCAAATGCTTATATAGAACATACTTTGTTACAAGGATCGGTCAAGCAGAGGAAAGCAAAAAGAAATTTTTCAAGTCTCACCCAGGCCTTTTTATTGTACTACTTCACTATTTCAAAAAGTCTGTGCTGTAAGAGTTATCTCTGTCTCTGTCTCTCTCTCTCTCTCTCTCACACACACACACACACACACACGCACGCACACATGGCCACACACACAGACAACAGGTCTTTGGTATCGAAACTTAAGTTGAACACACAGTACATCACACATGCACACGCAAATAAACACAGAGGGAGAAGACCTTCCAAATGGCTCCAACTTGGCTTATAGGGTGTGACCGAGGAAAAAGTGTTCTAACTCCAAATACAGTAGTAGTCTTCCACTACTGCCTCTTTTTCCCCGTCCCTGGCAGAGATGGTGATCGGGTACGATAAAACTAGGTCTACTTTGCCAAAAATAAACTTATTTTGCCAAATGGCCAATTTGACAAATTACCCATTCAGTCAAAACTTGTTTCTTTTAACCATTTATATTGTTAACAGCTACTTGTACTGAATAAAATAGTTTCAAAGAATCTTTTAAGAATTCTCCGATATTTAAGTTGATGGTTCAAGCTTTTAATTTACGTGAAAGTAAATACTGTTGTAATCCAGCACTGTGGCCTACCCATGTAATATTCTGTCATTTTGCTATCTTCTAGGCCAACAACTTTTGGGGATCAGAATCTATTTACTTTAAATCAAAGTGTTATAAATGTTTTGAATGCCAAAAAGTGTATAAATGATGGTATAGAAGATTTCTTTCTTTTAACACATTTTCTATCCACTTAAGTACATTGTATACTTCCCTTAATTCACACACTTGTTAACCAATTGAATTGGATGAACATGTTGCTTCCGTTTTAAGTAACTAAAAAGCATTCAGTATTTGAAATATCAATGATAAAATTGGCATTCAGCTGCGTTAGACTGTTAAATAATTCTACTGCGAAATATCAGGGTTGAAATTGCAATGGAAAAATTAAAATCAAATTAAAACTTAATAATTACTTCCCACTAAAAATTTCAAAAACTTTTGCAGCTATTCTATGCAGCATCATTTGTGATAAACTTTGTATGTAGTTAATACAAACACAGTTCAGGCAGTTGACAATTTAGAAAACTGGTCATTAGACAAAATGATAAATCAGAGTATTTGGTAAATTTAACAAAATGGCCATTCAGCAAATTTATGTTTCAGCAAACTGATTTTAAAAAAACTATCTATTCAGTGAATTGATCACCCAGTAAATTTTCTTTTGGTGAAGGAGTAATCGGTTTTCAGATAATTGGCCTGCTTCCCAAAATCACAGCCCTTTAAAGCTTAAAAGTATTCAGATCATCCAGTGCAGGCTCCCATTTCACAGAGAAACTGAGAAAAATCAACCAAATGGATCCATTAGTATAAGATCTAGTATTAGAACTCAAGACTCCCAATTCCCAGTCAAAAGCTCTTTCTAATAGGCTATGGTTAATAGGAGAAGAAAGGAGGAAGGCACTCAGAGGTAGCAAGGCCTGACAGACGCGCAAAGTGCTTACTACACAAGGAAAGAAATACTCATATAACATGGAGAATGCAATCTTAAAATAAGAGCTTCTCTTAGACGTTTCCAAGTCTCTTTCTCACATGAGTAAGGCTCTGTTTCAGGGTGTTTAACACGATTTCAAGTGAGATAAACTGTGTGTGTGTGTGTGTGTGTGTGTGTGTGTGTGTGTGTGTGTGTGTGGCGCTATCAACTAAAATGGTTCACAGCACTTTATATTCTATAGGAATTCTGAACCATCTTGCCAACTTGTTTTTCTCTATCTACCAAAATACTTTACATAGAGTATCTTGGTGTTCCATGCTCAGTATTTTATTATTATACAGAGTTTCTGAGTGTCTCAGGCTCAGAATTTTATTATTACATCATCTCTGGATGCCACTTATAATATACAAACTGACTCTATTTATACTGAAATAAATAAACCAAAAAGACTAATTTCTAGTTTTCCTGGAAGAGGGAAAAAGCAAAATTCAACACAACAGTAAATGCAACCAAAATAAACAGGGAACAAATTCTGAATTTTCACTTGCAGCAAATAAGTGTAATTTTGGGGTGTGAGATGGAAACCTTTTCAATGTAATGGTTTGTGTAACAGCTTTTACAAGGTGCACTTTTCACTGTCAAACAGCATGAAATGCTCGTAAGGGTAATCAGTTTTAGATGGCAGGTTTACAAGCTTTCCACAACATGTACTATTTATCTACGCTAAAATGTTTTCCAATTACCTCTTTACATATTATGTTCATGCATTCTTTTAAAAAGATTTAAAAACTGCTTTGTACAAATGTAACTCTGAAACCAACCACGCCGCTTGATTTCTTTAATCATCTGATGCATACTATTGGTTTTTACTAGCTCATAAGTTACCCATGCCTAATTTACATAAAAGCAGTATTTCTGTAATATATTAAAGCAAGGTAGAAGCAAACACCTCCCAGTATAACTGACTCAAAAATGGTATTTTCTATGTAATCTTGCTTATGAAGGAAATGATATTCTTGTTGTACCATAAGAGTTAGCTAATATTTACATATTATATTCAAAATTACACACAAATATGAGCTGATTACTTCTCATGATCCATGGAGCCACTTTTCTCACAAACCAAATTTATAAGGACGGTGTTTTCTAAATAAAACGGAAAGGTTATTTGCATATGAAAATTATATTCCCTTTCCTTATAAGGTTTACTCAACAATGAATACATAAATTCTTTTTCAATTAAGACAGCAATGGAATTTTTTTAAATGTAGGAGAGCAACCCAGTCCATCTTCCTCGCTCTGTGTCTTTCTTTCCCCCTTTCTCCCTTGCTCCTTTCTCTCCTCTTTTTTATTTATTTATTTATTTTTTGAGACAGGGTCTCATTCTGTTGCCAAGGCTGAAGTGCAGTGGCATGATCTCGGCTCACTGCAACCTCCACCTCCCAGGTTCAAGGAATTCTCCCAAGTAGCTGGGATTACAGGCACCCGCCACCAGACTGGCTAATTTTTGTATTTTTAGTAGAGACAGGGTTTCAGCCCGGGAAGCCTCCGCCTCCTGGGTTCAAGTGATCCTCCCACCCCAGCCTCCCGAGTAGCTGGGATTATAGGTGTGTGACACCACATCCAGCTAATTTTTGTGTGTGTGTGTTTTTTTTTTTTAGTAGAGAGGGGATTTCACCATGTTGGCCAGGCTGGTCTAGAACTCTGGACCTAAAGTGATCCTCCTGCCTCGGCCTCCCAAAGTGCTGGGATTACAGGTGTGAGCCACTGCGCAGGCCTCTTGTTCCCTTCTCTACCTTTCCTCCACCTCCAATTATACGGACCTAGTCAGCCCCATAGTCAAACACTGGCTACACAACAGCCCCTCCAAAATACTCTACATATATAAGCTGAGTCAGGAGTGCAGCTTAATTGTATCATTTTCTTCTTTGAAATTATTTTCACACATCTGGACAACTACTCGTAACATTATCCATAGGATCTTATATTCACACCATTTTAAACATTATGGGCATCAAAAATAACAGCTAAGCTATTTTCAGTACTTAGACGTAAGCCACATGGCCAAAATATTCAGTGTCTCAAAACAAAGCTTACTGTGAAATCAGATCAGTATCTGATTTGAGTATTCCTGGCTTGTACTTTCCAAAGTACAGTAGAACTACTTCATAATAAGACCACTAAAGGTCAACACTAATCATGTTGTATTACTTTACTTTATCTATGTTCAGAGAAATGTAAGCTCACAGACTCTAAGGTTGGACAGGCCATCAAGGTGACCTTGAGTCATGGTTAGTGCCATGATCTGTTTGAATATCCATAATGAAGCTCTACCACACCATTTTATAAGGAATGTTATGAATTATAGAATTGAGCTCTTAAGTTGACTCAAAGATAATGCTATTTTCGTTTCAAGTAAATAAATAGTAATTATCTATAGAGAAGTAAAAGAAAGGCTTCAAACCATTTAATAAAGATATATTAATTCATTTAGTTATTTTTTTCTTCTTGAGAGGGCTCTAAACAAAAATATCATCTTCCTAAGGTAAATATGTTAGTAAAAGTTTATAAAAGAAAGGTGCAAAGGGTGAAGCTGGCATTTCCTGAAGCTTAGGGTAGTTTCAGGAGATGCAACATGGTTGCAGTAAAAGCTATCACCTGGCTTAAAATAATAGGATTCTGTCCACTTTTTAAGCATACCAATTCTGTTACAGTTATTCTTAGAAAGAAAGGGAAACTTATAACTAGCTTTGAATGACCAGAAAAAAACTGCAAATTTCTTACTTTTAAAAATTATTGATGCTGGCAATTCTACTGGTAAATTCATGTTTCTTCCAAATTGAATATTAATAAAGCTACCACCAATGTTGAAAACCTGTTTATTATTTAATGTGAGCTGAATAAAAATCAATAACTATAGAGAACAGGGTTACTTCAGAAAATAAGATTCTAATATGTTTTATATTGAGTCTAAAAATCACACTTCTTTAATTGGTTAAAGCACAGCCTTTAATATAGAAAATTTTCTCAATTTAACAGGAAAAACCAAAAAACCTCTCTCCTTGAGAAATAAACAGAAATTTTTACAAAATTGTCATTTTATAGCAAGATCGATTTTTTTTTTTCAGTTACAACCTATTCTCCTAAGGATACTAGTCCCAGCTTTTAATCCAAATTTCCCAAATAGAAACATCAGCATCTTCCTAAGAAAATATTAAAATACTTGTTAAAGCATACTGTAATGTATACCAAGTAGAACTCTTTCAGTGCATTCAATTTACTTGATAAATTGTTTTATGAAATACTATAAGACTTAATAAACAATTCATAATTTAGGTAATTTATGTTCCTTCTCAAGGATATACAATCAAACTATTTTCATATGGGAGTTTAATATTTTAGGAACATCATACTATAGCTTATGATTTGTTTAAGTTGCTAAGAAGTGAACACTTTTATTTTATTTTTAAATGGCCCACCTTTAGTATTTAGATTATGCTCTTTTCATGTTTCAGTTTAACTTAACAAGACAATACAAAAACCTCAATAAAGAAAAATATCTAAAACTACTGCAGATCCTAGACACAGTTTCTTTAAAGAATTCATCCCTGTTTCTTTCTCCTTGCTCTGAAGACAAGGAACAAATGCTTCCTGAATGTGAAATTCACCCTAACAGTTCATTGCTTTAACACCTTTTGAGTAGAGACAGTTGGAGCAAATATAAGCTAAGTTCTGCAGTGTAGCAGTTCTCTTGACAACTCTTAGTAAGGCTGCAAGTGAAAAACCCTTTATGCTTTTTTGAATAATATCCCAGTGTGGGAGGATGAATACTAAGTAATAAATCAGGAAAAGAAAAAAATTATACTCTCCACCTAGATAACATGAAGAATGGTAAGGCTAGTGTTTGGTACTTAGAAATTCTCCCAATAAATCAAGATTGTCTTCTTTCATCTTTACCTCCTCTGTTACATCCAATTAAAAATTTTAAAAGCTGCTATTTATTGAACACCTACCACATATCTGCTAATAAACTTAATACTTTAATTTTCACAACAACCTTGTGTGAAAATTATGTGTGTGTTGGTTGAGTACTTTATTGAAATGGGACACTGAGTTCCAGAAAGATCAAATACTTTTCCTAAGAGCTCAACATTGGCAAAAGACAAAACTAGGACACACATGGAACTACATCTGACTGTAAAGGCTATGCTCCTGCCATATTCCAGTCTGCTTACAATACTTTTAATGTTTTCTGTATTTCCAAGTTAAAAGAAACAAAATTTGTGTTCCATATTTGAAATATTCAACAGTTATGAGAATGTCAATCTTAAGAGTAAAGTCATTATCTTGCAAAATCAGTGAGAAATTAAAAACACAATAGAGTTAGCTTTCATTATTCATACTAGTTGAAAGATCCAAAGACATATTTGCTGTCCTACCAAAAGGGCACACTGCAGTAAATACCACTAACATATATATATGTGTATATACATATATAAGAGTATATATATATGTGTGTGTGTGTATATATATGAGTGTGTATATATATATGCTAGTGGTATCTACTGCAATGTGGTATATATATATATGCTAGTAGTATCTACTGCAATATACGAGTGTATATATATATGAGTATATATATGTATATATGAGTATATATGTATATATGAGTATATATGTATATATGAGTATATATGAGTATATATGTATATATGAGTATATATGTATATATGAGTATATATGAGTATATATGTATATATGAGTATATATGTATATATGAGTATATATGAGTATATATGTATATATGAGTATATATGTATATATGAGTATATATAAGTATATATGAGTATATATGTATATATATGAGTATATATAAGTATATATATGAGTATATATACACACATATATACTCATATGTGTGTATATATATACACATATATGTGTGTGTATATATTCATATATACACTTATATATACTCATATATATACTTATATATACTCATATATATACTTATATATTTACTTTTATATATATACTTATATATATACTCATATATAAGTATATATATATTCTTATATATATACTCATATATAAGTATATATATATACTTATATATATACTCTTATCTATATACTATATATATTCTTATATATATATACTTATATATATATACACATACTCATATATATATATATATACATACTCATATATATATATATAAGAGTTGGGATCTTGCTCTGTTGCCCAGGCTAGGGTGCAGTGGTGCAATCATGATTCACTGCAGCCTCTAACTCTTGGGCTCAAGCAATCCTCTTGCCTCAGTCTCCCAAAGTGCAGAGATTAGAGGCGTGAGCCACCCTGGCTAGCCAACCAGTACCATTTTCCACCACACCTGGCCAATGATTAGCATTTTTAATATACACAATAATAGTTCCAGATCTATTTAAGAATAAAACTAACAAGACCCACATCCACTATAAATTCAATAAAGTATTCCATTACTGAAGGCAGGTTGCTGCTGTTAGATGCTGGGAAAGATCCCAAGAAGAGGAAAGCATTAACTTCCTTGGCTATCTCTTCTTTCTTCTCTCCTCAACAAGGACTAATCCCCTAAGATACACCCTTTGCCTTCTCTGTTCTTCTCTGTACACAGTCTCCCTGAAATATTTTGCAACTTCAACTTTCACTTGTATATCATGACTTTCTAGTCTCTTGCTCCAAATCCTTCTCATTTACCTAAATTCTAATTCTATAATATGAACTGCCTCTTTGCAACACAATGAGACCCAAGATTATATTCCCTCTCACACCACATCAGTGCTGACCCCTCAATCTCTCTATCAATTCCTAGAAGGTGGCGGCAATGTTCCTGAATGTCCCAGCCACTAGCCTTCCTGAAGTTTTATTCACTACCTAGATCTCTTCAAACTCTGAACCTATTTGGTTTAATTATCATACCTGCTCATAGTAACTTCAGTTATATTAATCATTGCTTCTCTAACATGTGCACAACATGTTTCAAGGTGTAAATGACTGATTAAAGTCTGCAGAGATAATTTACTGTGTAAGTAAAATAAGAGCACTTACTTGGGAGTCAGCCAATTACTTCCAGAATCTTTACATGACAAGTATATTTGAAGTCCTGCCAAGCAATTTAACTAGGTGCTTTATAAATACTATCCCAGTTAATTTTGACAATCAAGATAGAAATAAAGTGTTGTATGAGCACATGGGACAACAGCCCTGTAAGGTGATTATTCTCCATATTTTAGCATGAACATTATACTGGTTAAATAACTTGTCCAAGATCACATATCTAGCAAACAAGATTACTAGAGTTCAAATCCAGGTGTAACTGACCTAAAGACGGGTATTCATTACATTATGCTATGTTGGGCCTGTTTCTGCCATTTACTAAAGCCACTTTAAACTGATCCTCAGTGTTCTCATCCAGAAAAAGAAAGGATGTTATCAGTATTCTTATTAGGGGGAAAAAAAGCCAATAGAAGGGCATCTGAAGTGAGAAATTCTCAAAGTTCCCATATGTACACCCAATATGATTCCAGTATGGTCCTCTATCCCATTGTCCCTGGTGCTGTTGAGAATCACTGGCTTTTCTTACCCTATACATGAAGTGGCACATTATTTGAAGGTACACTGTGATAAGTTGAAGCAGCATACGTTAAACCATTTAGTAACCACTGAAAGAGTAAAACATAAAGAAGTAGAGCAATAAGTCAATTAACAACATAAAATGGAATCATAAAAATTATTCAATTAATCCAAGACAAGGCAAGAAAACAGGAAAAAGGAACCAAAGAATAGACAGAAGAAACAAAAAATAAATGGCAACACAGTAGATTTAAATCCAACCGTATTAATAATCACATTAAATAAAATTTAAACACACCAATGAAGAGACAGAGATTGTCAAACCTTATAAAAAACAAAGACAAACAAAATGCTTTCTACAAGAAATGCACTTTAAATATGACACAGATAGATTAAAATTAAAATGATATAAAATATATATAATGCTATATTAATATCAAAGGAAATTTCAAAGCAAGAAATATTACCAGGAATAAGAGGAGTCATTTCATAATGATAAAGGAGCCTGCCTATTCATCAAGAGAATATAACAATCCTAAATGTTTATGTACCTATTGTCAGAACTCCAATATACATAAAACGAAACCTAGTTGATCTGAAAAAGAAATAATAAAATGCAGTATTATTGATGGATATTTTATACCCCTTTTAATGATATAACAAGTAGTAAAGATATAAAAAAATTTGAACAGCATCTATCAATTTGTGCAAACTGACATTTATAGAACATTCTACCCAAAAACAGAATATATACCCTTCTCAAGTACACACAAAACATTTAAGAAGACAGACCATACCTGATCACAAACAAATCTCAATGAATTTTAAAGGACTCAAATCTTACAAAGTAATTTGTATGATCACAAAAGAATTAAGTTAAAAATCAGTAACAAAAATAAAAAGCAAATCAAATATTTGGAAACTGAATAATACATTTCTAACTAACCCATGGGTCAAAGAATTAAAACAGAAGTATTTTGAACTGAAGAAAATGAACACATACTATCATCTGTGAGATGCAGAACCCCCTCAATAAATTTGGGTGAAGAACAAAAGAAAAAGAATTAAATGACTAAACAAATCAACAGTTTTACAAGTGAACAATTTCAGAATTAGGATTAAAGGAAAGGGGATCATAAATTCATAAAATACTAGAACAGGAAGAATTCTAGAAATCCTTCTAAAATTTGTAAACTCACAAAATTCACATAAAAAACAGTTCCGGGAAGAACATATGATTTGCTTAATAAGGTTTATAATAGCAAGTGTTTTTAAATGAGCAGTCTTGGCCAGTAGTGACACTATATAAATATCTGAGTTCTTTAAATGCCTATTTTCACCTAATAAAAGCAGATATAGATTCTACAAAATAGATATGCATATTTGTTGGCCTTTATCTGATTAATGTGAGCATTCTGTGCTTTATTTGTAAATTTTCTATATTTCACATAGCACAATGAATAGGAGTGCTGAATTCTCTATCCACATTGCTTAAATTCATAATCTAGCTTTACCACAGTTGAGTAGCCATGATATTGGGCAAGTTACTTAAGTAGCAATGCCTTAGTTTCTCAACTGTAAAATAAGAATAGACTATAAAATGGTATAAATAGTTCTTACCGCCTTAGAGTGATTATAAAGATTCAACAAGTTACTGCTTTCTGTGGGCTTACAACAGTGCCTGATGCATGGTAAGAGCTCAATAAATGGTAAACATTATTACATAGCATTGATTTATAAATACTTGAAGCTTTTTTGTTTTTGTTTTTTTTTGGAGATGGAGTCTTGCTCTGTCACCCAGGCTGGAGTACAGTGGCACCATCTCAGATCACTGCAACCTCCAGCTCCTGGGTTCAAGCAATTCTCCTACCTCAGCCTCCCAAGTAGCTAGGATTACAGGCACCCACCACCATGCCCAGCTAATTTTTGCGTTTTTAGTAGAGACGGGGTTTCACCAAGTTGGCCAGGCTGGTCTCGAACTCCTGACTTCAGGCGATCCGTCTGCCTTGGCCTCCCAAAGTGCTGGGATTACAGGTGTGAGCCTCTGTGCCCGGCCAAATACTTGAAGCTTATTAATCAAATCACTAATTTAAACGTTTTAAATTAGGTAACATCAATTAAAATAGGATATCATCATAGAAAAATAAGTTGCTTAGAATTCATATTTTTAAAAAGACAAATTATTCAAGTTATTTGAATGCCAATGTTAAAACAAAGCTGGGGCAATCTCTTTTCAAAGCAAGAGACATGATCCAGTGGAAACTTATGTATTACATGGAGTGTTTTTGGATTAACCAATACATTTAATAATATCACATGAGATGATAGAAAAGTTACGTATTAATGTTGTCCTGCTGCCTTCACCTATTTCTTATTATATGCTCCATTCAACCAGAATTTATAGATTTGAATATCTTAATTTTAATTTTGAAGGATAAAACATGTATTTATGAATTTGTTTTAAATGGCTAAAGGGTAACATTCAGCAGTATAGCACTGGAACAATTTCCATTTGGTTTAAAAAAACAACAACATATATGTGGAACACAGTTCACATTTTTTTTATTTTGCGCAACTTCGATGCTTTCAACACTGCATACATTACCAAAAGCACAAAAATAGATGCTGTACTATCAAATTGTAAAGAATACCAAATTGATATAATTATACTTTATAATATCTTCCAAGTATCAAAAGGACAAGTTTTTATTTTTTCTTTAATTAAAATAATCTCATGGGTCTCTTATATGTTTGACAGAATAAGATAAAACAAGTATATTTTTTACTAAGTATCTTAAAAATACCATATTTTAATAAAAACTGCTATTTGTAATCCATGCTCTGTCTTTTTGACACTGAGGCAAACCCTTCTTACCTGGGCCAAATGAGCATGAACCTGAATCAATATGGTAATAAAATACCAAATAAGTCTGTAAAGTATCAACTTATCCTGCTGTACTCTTCTGAGAACTAAGTGCATGATTAAATTTACTGTACCTTTAACAACCTGCAGTTCTCCGTTGGTATCTGCAGGGTATTGCTTCCAGGATCCCCTGAGGATACAAAGATCCATGGATGCTCTAGTCCCTCATATAAAATTCTGTAAATTCTATGTAAATAGTTGTTACACTGTATTTTTCATTTTTTATTAATTATATTTGTACATATGCATGGGGTACATATGAAACTTTGTTATATGTAGAATGTTTAATAATTTTTTATTGTTTTTCACACTCAAATATTTTCAATCCATAATTGGTTGAATCTGCAGATGCAGAACTGGCTCACATGGAAGGCAAACCGTAAAATTCCAACACAACCTCTGCATGTGAGAAATCAATCAGCTTTTTCTCCTCCTCCTACCGCACTCAAAATTGTAAGGCAGTTTGTCATCGTCGCACGTGAAGGCACAGGAGGGAGACTAGCTAAATGTGGCAGAAAGAACGTCGGGGCCCGCAGCACCACTTGTTCCTCAGAACTGCCTCCCAGCCTCCGACCATCCTTCAGTGAGCCAGCGTACATTAAAGCTCTCACCATGTGTGCTGCCTTCTTCCAGATTTTTGCACTGAAGCACACCAGTCAGCAGCTTTCACCACTTGGGAGAATGATCAAGGCCAGGAAAGCACTCATACACAGGCTGAGTACTAACAGGACATTCTACGGTTCATGAAACCAAATGCCCCTACACAGAGGACAGCTGAAATGTGAACACAGAAGCCCAGAGCAACATAAGAAAGCTACAGTAGTTGTGAAGACCAATTGCAGTCATAAATATCACCATCAAATACTTAGCTACAGCTTTACTATTTACAAAATATTTTTACATACATTATTTTATTTGAACCCCACAACAGCCCTTTTAAGAGGTAGTATAGATATTTTTTATTAATAACTGTATTTTGCACATGAAGAAACTGAAAAAGGTTAAGAGACTTGTCTAAGGTCATTTTAAGTAAGCAGTAACTTGACTTCTATCTTCCCCCAAACTAACTGTAGATTTTAGAGTCTTTCAGCTGCATCACCGTATCCCACATAGATAAAAGAAGAGGAGTAAATTTTAAGAGGCAGGTTCCACAGCAAAGTCAGGAATTATTTCTATAAACCCCTGTATCCTTCCATAACTGCCTTCATTCATCACTACTGTTCTTTCCTTTACTTCCTTACCTCCATTCATTCCTGGTTCTTTTCTTCAGATGATCCAAGATGTCAGAAAGCATTCTGTCCATTTAAATCCCTTAGATCCTGATCTGCACAACCAAAGATATCCTTGGGTCAAATCTGAAACCAGCAAATATGGATCTTTCTCATCTGTAAAGTTCTGTGGCTACAACAGAAACTAGCCTAAGGAGTAATGAAATCTGTGGACTCTCAGAGATAAATATTTCTACTATGTGCCAAAAAAAAAAAAAAAAACAAGAAGGCAACAAATAATCAATACAGTATCTCCTGAGGCTCTGGAGTGACTTGTCCCCTGCAGGATGGCCACATTCAGTGACTGAGCCAGAACAAACACTGAGAATAACTATCTAAGCCACAATCAACAGCAAAATAAGATATTAATGAACCTCTAAAGAACTACTCAGATCATCTTGTTAAAGGTTTACAGTACGTTCTGAACTCAAAGCTTACAAAGTCTTGAGGAGCCGGTCAAAACCAAGTGGAGAAAGCTAACAAAAGCAATGGAGAAGAAACCCCTATTGATTAAATGCAACTGTTAGGCAGCATTACTTGTAAAGAGCTGAATATCCTCCTTTCATCTAAAATTTACAGTAAAATAAACTTTATTAAAGAAAAAAGGAACATTTAAATTACCAAACATCCAACTCCATAGAAATAACCCTGGTTAACATCTTCTAGTCTATTTTGTAAAAATATATGACAGAAGGTGCGTGCATTTTTAAAGCAAATACTCTATCTAGTCCTTATTGTTGTACAGAATAGCAGAAGATGAAAACTCTCAGCATTGCAAGTCCTTGACCTATATGAATTCATTTGGTTATCCCATTAACCTGATGACACAGGTAGTATTACTCTGTTTACAGATGGACAAATCAAAGCATGGAGCTCGTTTATTGTCTTTGTAGGTAGAGTTGCTGTGTGACACAGATCACATATGGAAAGTAAGCCCTCATAGACGAATGCTGGCTTCCACTCACATCACCTCTAATATATTTTCTTTCTCTCTGCCCCTCTGGTCTTCTATTCCTAATGCAATGGCACCTAAGAGAGCCTATCACAAAATTACTCTAGCAGGCAATTTCATTCCAACAACAGGATATACAGTTCTGCTGACAGGAATTGATAGGAACTCTGAAGCCAGAGACTGTGCTCTTCTATATTTTCCTGGGGATCATGATAGTGTTGTAAGTGACTCTTCTAAAAAAAAAAAAAATCTAAGGAGGCATTTGGATAAGGAGACCTGATTTGTTCTTCAGAGTAGAAAAGGTACCTAAGGGAAGGCAGGAGCAGCCCTAAAAATTACTAGTATGACAAGAGGCTGGAGAACAAAACTGAACCCATGGGATTTACCTCACGTGAAAACTCTTCAGCTAAATCTTCCTGGCACAAATAGCAATGAACATTATCCCACTCACCCAAAATGAAAACTAGTCTTGTTTCAGCCCAGCAGGGCTGACTCCAGAGTCAACAATGGCTATGTTCTACATTCCCAAACTGACCCTGAAACAAACTTGGGCTTTGTGTTGCTGTTGTTGGTAATGGTGGTGGTAATGGTGGAAGTTCACATGTGTGTGTATTTTAAAAGAGAAGAGATGACCTAAAGTCAAACACAGAAACACTGTGGCTATTCCACCCTGGCATGGGGTAGATCTGCCCAACCTTACAAGATTATTTTGAATTGTTAGACAAAGCAAAGGAGAAACCCTTCTGCCTTATTAGAAGCAACTCTTTTCTACCTTTGATGCTACTGGGAATCAAAGATCTTTTAAGTGATTTACAGATCAAATTCAACAACTTGAATCATTCAATATGCCAGTTAAGAAGACTCCAAAATAAGTCAGGCTTATTATTTTACAGTTTTGTCCAATTTAGCTACTAGCTTGAATGGTAAATAATATATATAATCAAGAGAAAATATGGTATTCAAAAAATGTGCACTGACTGAACACCTGTACTATGTAAGATATCTGCTATATATAAGACACTGGGGTTCAGGAGGTTTTATAAAAATAAATGGATTCAGAAGGAGAAATGTATTTCAGAAATGTAATTTCTATATAATTACAGTAGGATTGCCTATCTGGACTGTGACAATGGAGCTATATTTAAAAAAATAATTAAAAACCTCTATAAAAATAGTACTTTTGTCAAGAAAATAAAGATCTATGTGAAAACTGACAACCTTGGGAAGATAAAAGACAAAAAATAAGTTATTTCCTTATTGTAGAACTATCCTACTGTTTAGTCCGACTAAATGCAGATTCCTGATGACTACAGGCTTCTTCCTTAATATCAATTTAACACTATCCAAACATATGCTGAGAATTCTATTCAACTTTAAAACAATGAGTAGATACAGAGCAACTGGAGCTCTCTGTGAAGGAAGGAATGTTTTCAAACGGTACAACCACTTCAGGAAGCACTTTGAAAGGTGCTTCTGAAGTCAAACATATAGTAACCATATGACCCAATATTCCACTCCTAAGTATTGATCTAACAAAAATGAAGACATTTGTCTAAACAAAGACTTACAAAGATTCATAGAAACTTTGTTCATAATAGCTAAAACTGAAAACCAAATATACATCAAGAGGTGAATGGACAAACTGTAGTATACTCCTAAAATGAAATACTACTCTGGAATAAAAAGAACTATTCATATGCTATTCATACACATAGCACATGAGTGAGTCTCAACATTGGGCTGAGCAAAAGAAACCAGACACAAGAGTACATAATGCTTTATTAATCCATTTATGTGAAATTCTAGAAAACAGAAATCTCATCTAGAGAGACAGAAAGTAGATCAGCAGATCAGTGTTTGCCTGGGGCTGGGGATGGGTACAAGGGAGCTTCGGGAAGTATAAAAATGTTCTACAACTTGATTATGGTGGTGGTTACATAGATATAAATTTTAAAAACTCAACTCAACATTTTTTAAAAGGGTATATTTCATTTTATGTATTATATATTTTCATATATATATATATATATATATATATATATATATCTTAAGGTAATTTTTAAAAAGAACAAAATCTTAGAATATATTTAAAACAAGAAGGCCAGGCGCGGTGGCTCACGCCTGTAATCCCAGCACTCTGGGAGGCCGAGGCGGGGGGACCACAAGGTCAGGAGATCGAGACCATCCCGGCTAACATGGTGAAACCCCGTCTGTACTAAAAATACAAAAAATTAGCCGGGCGTGGTGGCAGGTGCCTGTAGTCCCAGCTACTCGGGAGGCTGAGGCAGGAGAATGACGTGAACCCGGGAGGTGGAGCTTGCAGTGAGCTGAGATCGCGCCACTACACTCCAGCCTGGGCGACAGAGGGAGACTCCTTCTCAAAAAAAAAAGAAGAAGAACTAGGAGGCTGTCCCTGGTGAACTTCAGGTACAAAATCACTTCAATTTCATTTTGTCCAAATATCACCTCAATGAGAAAAAAATTTAAATACCCAGAGATGTCTGTGAAAAATGTTCAGTAGGGCATCATCTTCCCACATTTGGGAATAGCAACAGTAGAGTCACTGTAATTACATAATTGACTTTTTTTTTTTTTTTTTTTTTTTTTTTTTTTGAGACGGAGTCTCGCTCTGTCGCCCAGGCTGGAGTGCAGTGGCGCGATCTCGACTCACTGCAAGCTCCGCCTCCCGGGTTCACGCCATTCTCCTGCCTCAGCCTCCCGAGTAGCTGGGACTACAGGCGCCCGCCACCGCGCCCGGATAATTTTTGTATTTTTAGTAGAGACGGGGCTTCACCGTGTTAGCCGGGATGGTCTCGATCTCCTGACCTCGTGCTCCGCCCGCCTCGGCCTCCCAAAGTGCTGGGATTACAGGCGTGAGCCACCGCGCCCGGCCCATAATTGACTGTCTTAATAATTAAAAAAGAAACTATGTATTCAGTTTTTATAATACAGAAATGGCAAATACAAGCTATTTTCATGCTCTGCAATTCCATAATTTTTCATCTATAATTGGTATATCTCTAAAATTATACATATATAATACATATAGATCGAATTCACATCCTGAGATTTTCTCACAAAAAGAATAATACTAGTCTCAAGATAAAAACTTCAAGTGGCGATGAGAGTTTAGGGCTTGTTTTAGAGAGTAGGATGCCTTAATAAGAAATGATTTTTTGTTGGCCAGGCACAGTGGTTCATACCTGTAATCCCAGCACTTTGGGAGAGCAAGGCAGGTAGATCACTTGAGCTCAGGAGTTCAAGACCAGCCTGGGCAACAGGCAAAACCCTGTCTCTACAAAAAATCTAAAAATTTTAAAACTTAGCCAGGCATGGTGGCCCACATCTGTGGTCCCAGCTACTTGGGAGGCTAAAGTGGGAAGATGCGTTAAGTCCAGGAGGCAGAGGTTGAGTGAGCCATGATCACACACCACTGCCCGCCAGCCTGGCAACACAATGAGACCGTGTCTCAGAAAAGAAAAGAAAATTTGTTTTTGTTTAATGATTCCCTACTACGTGGCAAAAACAAACAAACTAGAAATGTGGTAGGATAAAAGTGTCAAAGGCCTTGTGATCAGAGGTAAATTTTATATATCTGTATGGTCATGTATTTTCTCCAATGAGCCTGCATTACTTTTATGATTTGAAAAACATTGTTCTTTAGTTTTAAATAGACCCACAGATTCAGCAAAACCTTATGATTCAACATTTTAAAATGTATAAAATAGCCCTATCTTCTCTGTACCATATCGTTCCCCATGTGAAACAAAGTTAGCTGCTTCTTCCTGAATAATGTGGAACACATAGAACCCCCTGAAATAACGATTAGATATTTCAGCTGTTTAATGTGGCACATTATAGTATATTCATACTGCTTGGGGTTTACTGAACTTACTGGATGTATAAGTCAATGTATTCTTAATCAAAAATGGAAAATTTTCAACAATTATTTCTTAAATACTTTTCATTCCCCATTTTCATGCTCTTCACCTCTGTAATTGCAATTATACATATACTAGACCATGAGGTATTGTACCTTAGGTCCCTGAATCTCTGTTCATTTTTCTTTAATTTTCTTCTAAGTTAATCAGATTGAATAAATTTCACTGATATGCATCAAGTTGAATGATATTTCTTAATAGCATGTTGGAGATCGTAAAACAAATTTTTAATTAGTTATTGTTCTTTTCAGTTCTTGAATTTTCACTTAGCTTTTCATACACAGTAGAATTTATTAAAACAAACCAAAAAAACCCATCATTCAATTATTTTGGAATAATGATCTTTTTTAAATATACTATACGATTGGATTTACTTATATTTTATTTACAACTTTTATACCATGTTTATGAACAACGTTTCTGTTTTTACTTTTAAGCACAAAAGACAGTTTATTGGCTCATTTAACTGAAAAATTCAGTCATAATTCCATCTATGTTTATAAATGAGTGATTTTTTTAACTGACGTATTCATGAGGTACACAGTGATGTTTCAATACATATAATGTATGATGATCGGGTCAGTGTAATTAGCATATCCATCATCTCAAATACCTATCTTTTTTTTTTTTTTGTATTACAAACATCCAATACCCTTCTTCTGGCTATCTGAAACTATAAATAATTGATAACTATAGTCATCCTACAGTGGTATAGAACAAGGGTCCCCAACCCCTCAACTGTCTGTGGAACCCACCCAGGTACCAGTCCATGGACTGTTAGGAAACAGACCACACAGCAGGAGGTGAGCAAGAGGTGAGCAGGAGGTGAGCAGCAGGTGAGCCAGTGAAGCTTCATCTCTATTTACAGCCACTCCCCATTGCCCACATTACTGCCTGAGCTCTGCCTCCTGTCAGAGCAGCGGCAGCATTCGATTCTCATAGGAATGCAAACCCTGTTGTGAACTGCCCATGCGAGGGATCTAGGTTGCATGTTTCTTATGAGAATCTAATGCCTGATGATCTGTCACTGTCTCCTGTCACCCCCAGATGGGACTGTCTAGCTGGAGGGAAACAAACTCAGGGCTCCCACTGATTCTACATTATGATGAGTAGATAATTATTTCATTATATATTACAATGTAATAATCATAGAAATAAAGCACACAATAAATGTAATGTATTTGAATCATTCCTCCACCCCCTAGTCCATGTTAAAATTGTCTTCCATAAAACCGGTCCCTGGTGCCAAAAAGGTTGGGGACCACTGGTATAGAACACTAGTAGTTTCCATTTCTCTGCCAAGATTTCTAACCCGTTTACTCATTAAGACCACAATTTGTTTGTTTAAGTCCTTTTATTGGTATGCATACATGAGCCTTTTTCAGCTAAACTCAACAACTAGGCCATCTCAAGGTCTACTGCTATTGACTTTATTTTGACTATTGGTCATACTTTTCCTTTTTCTTTTGCACGTGCAGTAACTTATTATATACTATACTATATAATAAATATATAATACAATATAATATATAAATAAAATATATATATAATACTATATATATATTTTATTATATAATACTATATATAAATATATATTGTATTACATAATAATACAATATATAAATATATATTGTATTACATAATACTATATATAAATATATATTGTTATTATATAATAATACAATATATATAAATATATATTGTTATATAATAATACAATATATAAATATATATTGTTATATAATAATACAATATATAAATATATATTGTTATATAATAATACAATATATAAATATATATTGTTACTATATAAATAATACAATGCAGAGAACATGGATTCTGCTATGATCCTCTGAAGAATGGTAATCTTTGTTCTCAGGCAGTATAATTACTGTCTAAACACCCTGAATTTGTTTATGTTTTGTTAGGATGAATTTGAGAAAATCCCAAGGTGTTTCTCAAGCTCCTCTCTTTTGGCAGAATTAAACTTGGGACACAGCTCCAACATCTACCAGAAACCTGTACCATATCTTTTCATTCTCAGATCCATAGCAGGAACTCTCTGGTAAGCCCACAGTTTGACTTGCCATATGTGCAGTTCATCACTCAGCCATGACTTGAAGGGAACCCATATTCAGAATTCTGGATCCCCATTTCTGTGCAGCCTTCACCCTTCTGGTGCCCCGCTCCAGATTCCAGCTGCTTCAACAGGCCTAGATTCTGGTCTCTGCCTTCTCAGCTCAGAGGTGCCACTGTTTCTGCTTGGACTCCAAGTCCTTGTTACATAGTCAGGAAAATGTCCCTAGGCAGAAATGCAGAGCAAATGTGGGGCTCTTTTTATGTATCTGCCTTCTCTCAATAATCACAGTCTTGCACTGTCTGTTGTCCAACATGTGAAAAGTTGCCTCATATATTTTGTTCAGTTTTATCACTGTTTATGGCAGAAGAATCAATCCAGCATCAAGGTATTACATCAAGGCATTACATCAAGGCAAGTAGCAAAAGCTCTTGCACACATTACTTTAAACTGTTCTTATTCTCTCTCACTCTTTCAATTTCTATTTCTCCTCTTTTCTCCCCATCCCCAACTTGTATAATTTATCAGCTTGAGTTGAATGAATAGGTAGCGCTAAATAATTTTGATAGAATATCTCAGAACTTTAAGATCTTATAATGATGATGGAACACTTTGAAAGTATTCACAATATCACAAGTTTTGTAGAGTTTCTGAAGTTAAGTAAAAACGTTTAAAATTTATTTTATAAAGTCTTTCTTCCCATACTTTTCCTTTTTCATGAACAAGCAAAATATCAGCAATACTCTGCTACCATGCTGTCCTTCATAACCCTTACTTTGCTTATTTTTATTCAAGTCAAAATAAAAAGAATAGAAAATTCAGAAAATCTCAAATGATCTGAATTCTCATTTCCCAATTTTTGAAGTTAGTCTGATCTCACTGCCACACAACCAACAGAATATAAAGGTCTTTCTAGCTATATTTAAAGACTGTGGAAACCTATCTGTCCCCAAACTACAACAGATTTAAATGACAAAGTAAATAAAAGAAAGTTTTTTAAAAATTTAAAACATTTACATGAAATGAATAGTTCCACAAATAAAGCGTATTTTTGCCAAGGATGAGTTTCTCAATTGTTCTAGATACTAGATATTCTCATTCAAACAAATGCTTAGAGATAGACAGGGCTAAATTACCCATTAGGCACAGTGCCAAGGGCCCATAATACTCTCTAATACTCTCTAGGGCCCCAAAAACGTTTTAATTTCTTTAAAACATTTCTTTTTAATTTTTAGTTACTCTTTTTTTTTTTTTTTGAGACGGAGTCTCGCTGTGTCTCCCAGGCTGGAGTGCGGTGGCGCGATCTCGGCTCACTGCAAGCTCCGCCTCCCGGGTTCATGCCATTCTCCTGCCTCAGCCTCCCAAGTAGCTGGGACTACAGGCGCCCGCCAACACGTCCGGCTAATTTTTTGTATTTTTAGTAGAAACGGGGTTTCACCGTGTTAGCCAAGATGGTCTCGATCTCCTGACCTCGTGATCCGCCCGTCTCGGCCTCCCAAAGTGCTGGGATTACAGGCGTGAGCCACCGCGCCCGGCCAATTTTTAGTTATTCTTATGATTAACTAAAAATTTAGGTTAAAGAAAATGTTTAATATGTAATCTTAATATATACCAATACTATATATATAATATACAAATATATATAATATAATATAATTGTGTGTGTCTGTGGAGATAGACATAAATTGACAACTATTTTCGGATTTTCTAGAAACCTCAGTTTCTCATAAAACCTGAACACTGTCTGATTGTAGGATGTGAAGCCCCAGGTATTTTTCCACTGGACTAGATAAGGCATTTTTCCCTCTAGGCTCCTGGAGGTGCTAATCTCATCCTAACCCATTTCCGTCTTATATTCTGGCTTGCCTGAACTACATTCACTTGCAAAGTATTTGGGCAGGCCGATAATTAAAAGATAGTGACTCAGTGGTACTCTGGGTAGCTACACATCTCCATGCCCTCTTTTAATTTACTATATAGCAGATGTATCTTAGCGGCTGCTATACATCTGCTTTACATTTGCTTTAAACAATAGAGAGATGGACTTGATATCTCCCTATTTCAAAGCCCTCAATCTCTTTGAAGCAGCCCACAAAGTAACAGGTTTCTGTCTAAGCAGTGGCTTCCAACCCACGGCCCACTTGCAGAGCCAAGATAATAATCCCATTGACAACTCTTAAAGTCTCAAACCTTAGTTGACTTAGGTTACCAGGTTCACTGAGGTTCCCAAGTTTTCTTAGTTACTTATCAGTCATAGCTGTTCAAGCAAGTGATTTCTGTATTCAAATCATCAGTGTCATAACAGAAATACTCTTTGTATTCAGAGTGACCAATATAATTTTCAACGAGAAAAGGGTATGTAAGAGAATAAAATGATGTTTTGAAAGACTTTCAAAAGAAATCTTACATGTAAATCTAATACTCAGGATAATTAATAGCAGAGTGTTCTAGGTTAAAGCCTGGAATGAAAGATGGATAGCATGCTAGGCTGTAACCATCAATCTCCTTAAATCTCTTTGATTGAGTAAATTTTAATCAGCTTAATTAGAAAGCATAGATCCCAGTTAGTTCCAGCTCTACTACTGTTGTACTCACTGGCAAAACACTTTTGCTTTAATTTTAGTATCAGTTTCCTCAGAAATAAGATAGAGATATAAACATAAGTCTTAGCAATCTTCAAAATACCATTACCATCAAATGAACATTTGTGCCTCAAAGGCACTTGGTAAAATTTTTTTAGAGAAATAAATGTATACTATTGTTATCCTTTTATTTCATCACAATGACACCAATATTTTTAATTTCCTAGGTCTGCCCTCCACTTGCCATAATTGTGTCCATCACAAAATCTGATTCATTCTTTTGAATTTTTAAATATGTTTTATATATCAGACTTCAATGTAATGTTGACCCTTGAAGAACACAGCTTTAAACTGTGCAGGTCCACTTATATGTGCATTTTTTTCCAAAAAATATATTGGAACATTTTTTAGAGATGTGTAACAATTTGAAAAAAAAAATCACATAAAGAATGAGTCCCCCAGAAATATCAAAAAATTAAGATGAAGGTATGTCATGATGCATAAAATATATGTAGGTACTAGTCTGTTTTATCATTTACTACCATAAAATATATATAAATCCATTATAAAAAGTTAAAATGTATCAAACCTTACAAAAGAACTTAGAATGCACACGGTACCATTTGCAGTCAAGAGAAGTGTAAACAAATGTAAAGATGCCGTATTAAATAATAACTGCATAAAATTAACTATAATACCTACTGTGCAACTGTAATAATTTTGTAGCCACCTTGTGTTGCTATTGTGAGTGAGCTCAAGTGCTGGGACTATCTACCCTGTGATGCTAATCATCTCTGAGTGAGCAGTTCATCTTTCCAGTAAATTGTGTATCACAGTAAAAAGTGATCTCTTACAGTTCTCACGTATTTTTCATCATATTTAGTGCAATGCTATAAACCTGGAATAACACCATGGGTCCCATATGAAGCAGCACTAGTGATGCTGCAAGTGCTCCCAAGAAGCTGAGAAAAGTTACATTACAACAAAAAGTTGAATTGTTTCATATGTACCATAGATTAAGGTCTGCGGCTGAGGTTGCCCACTTTTTCATGAGTTCAGTACCAAAGGCATGAACACAGCATAAGAATGATTTAAAAAAAAGAAAAGAAAATTTATGAAGTTGTCACTACAGTTACGCCAACAGGTATGAAAACCCCGCACTTTTTGCAAATTACCCTTTTCTGTCATATTGAAAATGCAGCTTTTATATGGGTGCAGGATTGCTATAAGAAAAGCATACCTATAGATTCTAATATAATTCAAGAAAAAGTTGTCATTATATGACAATTTAAAGCAAAAGGAAGGTGAATGATCTAAAGCTGGAGAATTTAATGCCAGCAAAGGATGGTTTGGTAATTTTAGAAAGAGGCTTGACTTAAAAATGTCAAGACAAGAGAAGCAGTTTCTGCCAACCAAGTAGCAGCAGACGAGTTCCCAGACAAATTTAAGAAAATCATCGAGGAGAAAGCATATCTCTTATGAACAGGTTTCTAATGCAGAAGAAAGTGCTCTATTCTGGGGAAAAATGCCACAAAGAACACATATGAGTAAGGAAGAGAAGCACTAGGATTTAAGGGAGGAAGCAGCAGACCAACTCCACTATTTGTGCAAATGCCGTCGGGTTTATGATCAGGACTGGTCTTATCTATAAATCTGTTCCCCAAGCCATGAAGAAGAAAGATAAACACCAGCTAAGCTTTTGGTTGTACAATGAGAAGCTCTTTTGCCACACTGCCTAAGAAGATGAGAACAGCTTTCTGGATTGGTTCCACTGATTCTTTGTTCCTGAAGTCAAGAAGTACCTTGTAAATAAACGGCCTGTGTTTCAAAGTTCTTTTGATATTGAACAATGCCCCAGTCACCCAGAACCCCATGAGTTCAGTACCAAAGGCATCAAACTGATCTACTTGCCCCCAAACACATTATCTCTAATTCAGCCTCTAGATAAAGGGTCATAAGGATTTTTAAGGCACATAGTACTCAATGGAAAGGACTGTCGATACTATGGAAGAGAACCCCAGTAGAGAGAACGTCATGAAAGTCTGAAGAGATTACACCATTGAAGAGACCATGGTTGTTACAGAAAAACCTGTGAAAGCTATCAAAGCCCAAACCATAAATTCCTGTTGGACATAACTCTGCCCAGACTTTGTACATGACTTCACAAGATTTAGAACAGTGCCAAGCAAGGAAGTCATGAAAGAGCTTGTAGATGTGGCCAAAAAAAAGGTAATGGATGAAAGGTTTGAAGACATGGATCTTGGAGAAATCCAAGAACAGACACCACACCAGAGGAATTAACAGAATATGACTTGAATTCCTTGAGTGCATCCAAACCAATGCCAGATTATGAGGAAGAAGATGTAGAAGCAATGCCAGAAAACGAAGTTAAATTAGACAATATGGCAGAAGGGTTCCAATTACTCAAGATAGCTTTTGGTTTCTTTTATGACTTGGATGCTTCTATGACATGGGCGCTAAAACTAAAGTAAACAGTGGAAGAAGGGTTGGTACTGTAAAGAAACATTTTTAGAGAAAAGATAAAGCAAAAAAGTCAGATACAAATTACAATGTACAGTTGTCCCTTAGTATATATAGGGGATTAGTTCCAGGTTAGCGTGTAAGTTTACCAAACCCATGTATACCTAAATCAATATATACAAAATCACTGAATACTCAAGTCCTGAAGTCAGCCCTGCAGAAGCCGAGTATACAAAAAGGCGGCCCCATACATGTGGGTTGTGTATCCCATAATACTGTATTTTTATCTGCATTTGGTTGAAAAAAATCCAAATATAAGTGAATCCATGTAGCTCAAGCCCATGTTGTTCAAGAGTCAACTGTATTTCCATAAAGTCACACAAAGTGTGCCTGCCTCCCCTTCTACCTCCTCCGCCTCTTCCACTTCCCCAAGACAGCATGACCAACCCCTACTCTTCCTCCTTCTCATCCTACTCAATGTGAAGATAACTAGGATGAAGACTTTTATGATTATCTACTCCCATTGAATGAATAGTAAATATATTTTTTCTTCCTTACGATTTTCTTGGTAGCATTTTCTTCTCTCTAGCTTAATTTACTGTAAGAATACAGTACATAATACAGATAACATAGAAAATATGTGTTAATCAACTGTTTATGTTATTGGCAAGCCTATTAATAGTTAAGTTCTGAGGGAGTCAAAAGTTATAGCTAGCTTCTGACTGTGCTTGGGTGGGGGTGTTGCCACCCCAAACCACTACACTGTTCAAGGGTCAACTGTATTTCATTTGTATTGTAGATTACAGGCTAAAAATGTGTTAAACCAATGTTTTTCAGAACTGTTCAAACATTGCCTATTCCATAAAGATTTTCACAATCAAATAAGTAAAAATATCTGTCACGCTACTTGTTTACGGACTAGAACAAAGGGTGGGACACTAAGTCTGTAAAGGGCCAAGTAGTAAATATTTTAGGCTTTGTGGGCTAGAGTCCCTGTCACAGCTACTCAAATGCCCCATTGCCTGTGAAAGCAGTCATAGATAATATGTAAACAAATGGGCATGGCTGTCCCAATAAAACATTATTTACAAAAATAGGCAGCCAGGCGGATTTGGCACCAAGGCCATAGTCTGCCAAACCCTGCTCTAGAACAGTGTTTCTCAATCTATACTATTTGTACTAATCATGTGAAATCTCAATGGAGATTCTGATTCTGTACATCTGGGTGGGGCCTGAGATTCTGCATTTCTAACAATCTCATAGTTGACTGACGATACTATTCAGAGAATCGTATTTTTGAGTAACAAGGCTCTGATAAGCCCCATGAGAAGAGAGGTCCTACATAATTAGTAATTATTTACTATCTGGCCTGAGTGCCTAGATCAGTGTCTGACACGTAATAAAGCACTCAATAAATATTTAAGAAATGAACAAATACGCTTCTAACAGAATATACCACTCTGCCTTATATCATTATTAAGTGTGTCATCCTTTATAAGGCTCATCCTTATGTTCACCTTATTCGCATGTAAGCTTACCAAATCTAGCAATCTCTGTAACATGGTAGATTTTCTAATAAATGCTAAGGAATTAAATCAGAGCCTTGGTCTATGTATACACTACAAAAGCTAGTTGTTGACAAATTCATCCTAAATTCTTCTACTATGTTCCTCCACAATGATCATCTTGTATTTCCTTAAACTTTCTACAGTCCTTGTACTTCAAGGTCTTTGTACATTCCACTTTCCTTAATAGGAACATCCTTCCCTAATCTTTCAAGTCTAAAGATAAACGTCACCTCTTTAGAAAGCAGTGCAGTAAGTGTCCTTACCTTCTCCCCACCCTCCTTCTGCACTCCAAATGCCAGTTCTCTAGCTCAGCCATGGGTGTCTTCTTTAATGCACTTACCACATTTCACAATTACAGTCATGCATTGCTTAACAACAGGGATATGTTTTAAGAAATGCATCATTAGGCAATTTCATCATGTTGTAAACATCACAGAGTGTTCTTACACAAACCTAGATGGTACAGCCTATTATACACCTAGGCTATATGCTATAGCCTATTGCTCCTAGGCTACAAACCTGTTCAGTATGTTACTGTGCTGAATATTATAGGCAATTGAAACACAGTGTTAAGTACTTACATATCTAAACATAGAAAAGGTACAGTAAAAATATGGCATAAGAGATAAAAAATGGTATATTTGTATTAGGCACTTAACAGAAATGGAACCTATAGGACTAGAAGTCAGGTCTGGGTGAGTCAACGAGTGAGTGAAGGCCTAAGACATTACTGTACACTACTATAGACTTTATAAACACTGTATAATTAGCCTACATTAAATTTATAAAAATAAATTTTCATTCTTTAGTAATAAATTAACATTGGCTTACTGTAACCTTTCTACTTTATAAACTTTTTAATTTTTTAACTCTGACTCTTGTGATAACACAGCTTAAACACAAATACACTGTACAGCTGTACTAAAATATTTTCTTTATATCCTTATTCCGTAATCTTTTTGTATATTTAGTTTTTTCCTTTTAAAACTTTTTTTTGTTAAAAATTAAGACACAAACATACACATTAACCTAGGCCTACATAGGCTCAGGATCATCAAGACATCACTTGGCTATAATAATATTTCAGCTCTATTATAACCTTAGGGGACCACTGTCATATATGCAGTCCATCATTGACTGAAACCTCATTATGCAGTTCATGACTGCATTTTATTTATTTATACGGTGATTTTTACAAATTCCATTTACTCTGCTAGAATGTTACCTCAATATTGTATTTACCTTATTCACCACTGAATCCCTACCAATTAGCACAGTTCCTGACACATGTAAACACAAAATTATATTTATTGATTGAATGGATAATTATTCACATTCACAGAGAATTTCTTTTGATATCCTTATACTTAAGAAGCATCTGCATTGTAAAAAAAAAAAAAAAAAAAAAAAGGATAACACTGCCTTTTATCTGAGTGGGGCCACAGCAGCCAAATTTGTACTTCATGATGCTGCTCTCTCAACAATAACTAATTAGATCAAGAGTGAATCATCTGCTCCCAGTTGGTCTACATTTTCTCTCGTGCTATTTTCAGGACTGGGACTGACACTCTGGTGTCTCTATGCTGGTCACTTTAACTGATTAAGTAGTAGTGATAGGTAACTATATTTGGTCATGTACATCCTTGAAAGTACTAAAAAGTACATCTTTACACTAAAAAGTGTAAAGAAGTAAGAGACATCTAGATAGAAGCAAGCATAAAAGATGGGAAGAGTATTACCTATGTTCCTAACAGCTTTACCTATGGCAAATTACAATTCTTCATGAAGCCAAGTTGTTCTTTGTGATTTCAGAAGTTATCCCAATATCCTTCTAGATTTCCATTTTCAGATAGGCTGAAATGGGTTTCTGGTAATTACAACCAGTATTTTTCTAACTAAACATATCCAGTTTATAAAAGAACATACAGAAGCAAGAATATAGCCCAGAAAGTGTGTCAAAATTGCAGGAGGGAAAAATTTTGAGTGATCTTCAAGTTTTTAATAACTAGAGTCTAGCAATCAAAGGTATGATTATAAAAGCATTATATTTTTAGTAAAAAGATAAACACTATCAACAGATAAGAGTATTTATGTCAAAACTAATATACCTTAAAATGAATAAATACTTCAGTAATTCCTCCAGCAAAACATTTGTCATCAATGGACACTTAGTTCCAAAATTATTCAAAATACTACATGCCAGTTGGCTGGCCCTAAGTACATTTTTAAAAGTAAAAAGTTAACAATCCTTCGCATGAACTAATTGAAATAAATACTTCTTTAACCCAAAAGAAACAGGAGAAGAGAGCAAAATGCTGTGCAATATTTGGGATAAAAATGAACTTGAGAAGACAGAAAGGATAGGAAACGATCACACCCAACTGGAATTCTATTACTCAGACATACAGGGAAGGAGATGTGACAAGCAAGAAGCCTGAGCCAATAAACTCCCTAAGAATCTCCTACAAGCCAAGCACCTCAAAATGTCAATCAATTCTGGTAACTCCTGCAGCCAACTCTTCCTATTAATTTTTTTAAAAAAAATTGCTCATTGAGTAATCCACGTTTTTGTTAGGAAGTTGAAATGGAAATGACAAAATCCTAGCAGTTTTCTTTTATAGCACAATTCATAGTATCCATTATTTTCCAAGCAGCAAATGAAAATGTCAAAAACATTCTTGCTGTAGATATTTAGTTGTTTTCTGCCACATTAATGAAAGGAAAATATTGCACTTTGAATTGGTTAATTACCATGAATCCTTCTGCAAAGGGCTCCTGCTTGCAGAATTAAGCCAGCTTTAGTTGGCACACTGCCCTAATATTCATGGAGACTAGACTATAGGCTCCACTGTACTCAAGAGACATTTAGTTTTTGGCATCATTCGTCAGCTTACAAATCATCAGTCCTAACTACTATAGACATTCAACTGTTTGAAATAAACAGGGCAGAAAGCACCTGCATTTAATGGGGAGGTACCACATTCTGCTTCTTTGAAATTTTAAGAGCTAGACTTAGAACACAGAATGAACAAGAATACCCTGATTTATATAGCTTCTAGAAACTAGAGGTGCTTTAACAAAAATCCTCTGGTAATAAAGCTAGTCCAAGGAAATCCTCGTAGAAGAAGGCAACTTCAAGCAAGGGGGAACTTGGAGAAGTTATTTTTCTTCAGTACTAGGCCAGGGTTCATAAAGCTATTTCAGGTTTAGGCCTCTCAGGAGTTCATACATAGACTTCGTTCCACCCTACTTCCTAGGATTTGAAGTTAAAAGGTGCTGATTTGCCGGTTTCAAAACCTCATTAAGTAACCACTGCAGTATTCAAGCCCAACCCTATCTCTCCTTTCACCCTTCTTCATGTGATGCGCTTACCTGCAGAAACCACAAGACCTGAATGCCCTCTCTCCATGTCAGATGGCATATTAAATATATTTCCTTAAAATTGGATAGGGAAATGCTTCTCAATTTTTTGAAAAATATATTCTACCAGGCCTTCTATATGGGAAAGAATGGGTAGAGAGACAGAGATGAAAAAAACTAATGACGTATATATTTTCTTTTTCCTCTCCCTAAATAAAATGGAAAAAAAGAAGACCTTGAATAAAGACAGAAACATACTGATAAACCTAAGAATACAAGCTGGCCATCTCCAAGATGTTCTCCATATGATCGTAAATAAGCACCTCAGGCTCCAGTGTGTCACCTCCTCAGAGTCTTGCATCAGGGAATGGGAATAACACAGAAGCCGACAGTTGATCCTAAAAAAGGTCATTCAAAACCAACTACAATGTTCATATACTTTCACATTTAAGTATTATGGCAAATGCAAAATTAGCAAGCAGTGTTTTTTAGAACTGACGAAATGACCTGTACAAATCCTCAGTCAAAAATACTTACACGACATTAGACTTCAGTCTTGAAGAACTTGATACAGTAAGTCTATATCTATCTTTAAATAAATTGGAGCTAGGTCAAGAGGACAACAGAGATGCTTAAAGGGTCTAGAAACCATGAAAAATATGGTGTAAAAACAGAAAGAAGGTAGAAAAAGAAAAAGAAAGAACAGATGGGACAAAGAAAGAACAAATGGCAAGATGACAAAAGGAACCATATCAAAAATAATAGTAGTAAATGCCAATGATCTAAATACTCCAATTAAAAATTAAAAGGCAGAGGTTAATAGACTCCTAAAAAAGCAAGACACAACAACATGCTGCCTGTGAGAAATATACATTAAATATAGACACATATAAGTTAAAAGCAAAAGGACAGAAAAAGATATACCACACTAATACCAGTCAAAAGAAATCTAGAGTGGCTATACTGTATCAGAAAGAAAGTTGATTTCAGAACAGAACTATTATTAGGAATACAGAGAATAATTTCATAATGATAAAGTGATCAATTCATCAAGACGACATAATAATTTTAAATGATTATGCACCAAATAACAGAGCTCAAAATATATGAATCAAAAACTGACAGAAACCAAGATTTATAATATTCTGGCCATAAAACAAGTCTGAAATTTAAAATGATTCAAGCTATAACAGTATGTTATCTGCTCACAATTGAACTGAATTAGAAAACAGTAACAGAAAGGTCTCTAGAATATCCCCAAATATTTTGGAGATAAGTATGAAACTTCTAAATAAACCAAAGGGTCAAAGAAGAAACAAAAACGGGGATTAGAAAGTATTTTAAACTGAACGAAATTAAAAAAAATAAAAATAAAAATTTGTAGTAAGCCACTAAAACAGTACTTATAGGGAAATTTATACTACTAAATATCTATATTAGAAAATAAGAAAGGTCTTAACTTAATAGCCTCTGCTTCCACCCTGAGAAATCAGTACAAGAGTAAATCAAGCCTCAAGTAATGAGAAGAGAGAAAGTAAGGATCATGGTCAAATTCATTGAAATAGAAAACAGAATAATAGAAAAAAATCAGTGAAAACAAAATCTCATTCTTTGAAATGGTCAACAAAACTGATAAACCTCTAGACAGACTGATCTGAAATTAAAAGATATAAATTAGCAATTCCAGGAAGGAGAGGTGGCATCGTTACAGAATCTATAGATAATATGGGAATATTTTAACAACTTTATGCCAATAAGTTTGAGAATTTAATAGCAGAAGTAATCAATTCCTTGAAAGACTCAAATTACCTAAGCTCACTCAAGAAGAAACAAATAATGTGATATATGTATTAAAGAAATTGAATTTGTAATTCAAAAACCTTCCCACAAGGAAAACTCCGGCTCAAATGACTTCTACCAAACATTTAAAGAATAAACAATACTAACAATACTAACATGTTTCCCATACACTGCAGAGGAGAGAATACTTCCCAACCTAGGCTATGAGACCAGCATTACTTTAATACACATGGAGATATTACAAGAAAAGGAAACCACACACCAATACTTCTCATGTACATAAATGTAAAAATCTTAAACCGTTAAATCTAATATTCATAAAGGATAATACATCAGAACTACGTAGAGTCAGTCTCAGGATCTGAAAGTTTGTTTAGGGTTTCGGACCACCTTAAATGTAATCTACCATACTAAGAAACTGAAAAAGAAAAACTTAACAATCATCTAAATAGGCACCTAAAAGTATTTAACAAATTCTAACATCCATTGCTGATAAAAACTCTCAGAAAAGTAGCAATAAAAGAATTTTTTCCATCTATTAAAGAAATCTATTAACAACTTGTAGTTAACATCATATTTAAAGATGAAAAATTAAGTATTTCTTCTCTATGATCGGGAACAAGACAGAGATGTCTGCTTTCATCACTTCTATTCAATACTGTGCTGGACGTTCTAGCTAGTGCTATCAGCAAAATAAAACAAACAAAAAGTATCTAGATTTTAAAGAAAGAAATAAAATTCTATTCAGACAATATGATCATCTAGACAGAAAGTTAGCATCTATAAAATCACTACAAGAACTAGTGAGTTTAGCAAGGTTGCAAGATACAAAATCAATATTTAAATCCATTGTATATCATCTACTTACTAGTTATTAAAACCTAAAAGCTGCAATTAAAAAAATAAATTTATAATAGCATCCACAAACACAAAATACTTAGGAATAAATCTGACAAAAGATGTGCAAGATCTATACACTGAAAACTACAAAAATACTTCTAAAAGAAATTAGAGGGCTAAGTAAAGAGGTATAACTTGTTCATGGGTTACATGACCCAATATTGTTAACATGTCAAGTCTTGCTAAATTCATTTAAAGATCTAATGCAATCCAAATCCCAAATCCCAATAGGCTTTTTCACAGAAATTGACAAGTTAACTCTAAAATTCATATGGAAATCCAAAGGACTTAGAATAGCAAAAACACCTTTGATAAAGAAAAAGTAAAAAGGAGAGCTAACACTACCTGATTTGAAGACTTACTGTAAGTGTGCAATAACTAAGACAGTATGTTACTGGGGTAAAAACAAACAAACACACCAATGAAATGGAATACAGAATTTCAAAACTGACCCATATATAAATGATAACCAATTGTCAAGAAAGATGCAAAGGCATCCAAGTAAAGAAAGAAGTTTAACAAGTATTGTTGGAACAAATGGATATCCATATTTTCAAAAATGAACTTTGGTCCACAGCTAACACCATACACAAAATTAACTAAAAATGAATTGCAGGGTATAGGCTAACAACTCTGAAGCTGCTTTATATGTATACTGGGTTTGTACAACCAAGTAAATGGATGATGGAAGCCATGTTTCTCATTGTTGGATAGAGACATTAATGATAATAAACCGCACTAAAATGAATTACATGGTATGAGATTAGAGTCAGAGACACCAGTATGAACGCATATTTAGTTTAATATATATACAAATGGACAGCTACAGAATTGAGAGAGAGAGAGAGAGAGAGAGATCCATGGGTTAGCACATTTACATATGTTTCCTGGTTCTGTCTGCCAAGCAAACCTAGACACAGTGACACCCTGTGGCAACAACCAGCATATCCAGTGTCCAGGTCTTAATTTCTATATAATAAGCTCTAAAAACAAGAACCAAGACTCCTTTGAGAAACGGATGATTCTGGCGCTGGGGCATAGAAAATAAAAGACTCGGGCATCTTGTAGTATCAAAAAATAAAATGTGCTCAACAAAAAAGGTGGAGGGTAACAAGTTAAGGAGACACAGGAGCCAACCTAAAAGAGCTCTCAATGGCCAAAGCTGGAACGAGTAACAAAATAACGTAGTATTTGAATGTAATGTGAAGTATAAAATGAGGCCATACTGATAAATGATTGGAGAAATAAATGGGAGAGAAGAGATAAATATTTTTATAGAAGAATTTCAAAGAACTTATGTAAATACCCACACCTCTAGGAGATAGGACATAAAACCCTCTATAAAACTCTATAAAACCCTCCCCTCCTTGGGCATAGGCTATAATTAGTGACTTGCTTCCAAAAAACAGAATATAGAAAGAGTGAAAAGAATGAACTTTACCAGCCGGGCATGGTGGCTCACACCTGTAATCCCAGCACTTTGGGTGGTCCAGGCGGGCAGATCACCTGAGGTCAGGAGTTCGAGACCAGCCTGGTCAACATGGTGAAACCCTGTCTCTATTAAAAATACAAAAATTAGCCAGGCGTGGTGGCACGCACCTGTAATCCCAGCTACTTGGGAGGCTGAGGCAGGAGAAACGCTTGAACCCGGGAGACAGAGGTTGCAATGAGCTGAGATCACACCATTGCACTCCAGCCTGGGCAACAAGAGCAAGACTCAATCTCAAAAATAAATAAATAAATAAATGACTTTACCATAGAGTAACCTGGCTAATATTACCTTAGGTAATCAAGGTTAAGCAACATCAATGATAAGCGTATATTGATACCATATGATGTGATGAGAAAGGCACCTCTCCCAAAAAAAAATCAGAACCCCTGTGTAATCAAGAAAAGGACATCAAAAAAACAAAATTGAAGGATACTCCAAAAAGTATCTGGCCAGTACTGCTCAAAACTGTCAAGGTCATAAAAAAATAAGGGAAGACAGAAAAGCCATCAAGGATCAGAGCTAAGGAGACACAAAAACTAAACAAAATGTAGAATCCTGGAACAGAAACAGATATTAGTGGAAAAACTGATGAAATCCAAATAAAGTCTGAAGTATAGCCAATAGTAATATACCCCCTGGTTGCCTAGTTGTAACAAATATATCATGCTTATTTAAAACGTTCACAAAAGGAGAAAAGGAATGGGGGTATATGGGAACCTCTGTACTACCTCTGCAACTTCTCTGCCAATCTAAAATTATTCCAAAGTAAAAAGTTTATTATAAAAATGGATTATAGACCTAAGTGTAAAACATAAAGCTTCTGGAAGAAGACATAAACATATTTTTGGCATTTATTTTGGCAAAATTTATTAGTTATAATGCTAATAGCACAATCCATAAAAGATAAAATTAATAAATTAGACTTAATCAAAATTAAAATTTTCTGCTCTTTGAAAGACACTGTACAGGAATGAAGAAAAAAAGCAGGCTAGGCTCTGCAAACATATATCCAATAAACGTCTTACATCCATAAATGTAAAGAACTCTCAAAACTCAATAATAAACAACCTGATTAAAAGTGAGCAAAAGATTTGGACAGTCACTCAAGAAGATATAAAGTGACAAATAAGCACAAAAAAAGATACTCAACATCATTAATCATTAAGAAGGTACAAATTAATACCACAGAAAGAAACCACTACACATCCATTAGAATGGCTAACATTTTATTTTCTTCAACTTTTAAGTTCAGCGGTATATGTGCAGGATGTGCAGGTTTGTTACATAGGTAAATGTGTGTCATGATGGTTTGGTGCACAGATCATCCCATCACCTAGATATTAAGCCCAGCATCCATTAGCTATTCTTCCTGATGCCCTGCCTCCTACCACCAACCCTCTCCAACAGGCCCCAGTGAATGTTGTTCCCCTCCATGTGTCCATGCGTTCTCATCATTCAGCTCCCACTTACAAGGGAAAAGATGTGGTGTTTGGTTTTCTGTTCCTGTGTTAGTTTGCTGAGGATAACGGCTTCCAACTCCATTCATGTCCCTGTAAAGGACATGATCTCATTCCTTTTTATGGCTGCATAATATTACATGGTGTATATGCACCACATTTTCTTTATCCAGTCTATCATTGATGGGCATTTGGGTTGATTCCATGGCTTTGCTATTGTGAATAGTGCTGCAATAAATATACACATGCGTGTATCTTTATAATAGAATGATTTATATTCCCTTGGCTATATACCCAGTAGTGGGGTTGCTGAGTCAAATGGTATTTCTGCCTCTAAGTCTTTGAGGAATTGCCACATGGTCTTCCACAATGGTTGAACTAATTTACACTCCCACCAACGATGTAAAAGTATTCCTTTTTCTCCGCAACCTTGCCAGCAGCTGTTTTTTGACTTTTTAATAATAGAATGGCTAAAATTTTAAAAACTGACCACATCAACTGTTGGTAAGGATGTAGAGAAACTGGAATTCTCATACAATGCTGGTTGGAATTTAAAACAGTGCAAACAGTCTGTGTAACAGTTTGGGAGTTTCTTAAAAATTGAAATACATACCTACCATATCACCTAACCAATTCTACTCCTAGGGATTTATCCAAAGAAAGCATTTGTCCAAAATCATGTACATCGATAGTCATAAGAGCTTTAATCATGATAATCAATAAATAGACATAATTCAATTATCTACCAACAGGTGAATATATAAACTCATTGTGGTATATCCATGTGATGAAATACTACTCATCAATAAAAAGGAATGAACTACCATTACAGGCAACAATATAGATGAATTTCAAAATAATTCTGCTAAGTGAAAGAAGCCACACAGAAAGAATGCACACTGTATTATTTTATTATTATAAAGTTCTGGAAAATGTAAACTAATACATAGTGACAGAAAACAGAAGAAAAATTGCAAGGGTAGGGAGGGATAGATCTTGGTGGGGCAGGGAGAGGCAAGAGAAAGAGAATAGGGACACAGGGAAACTTCTGGGGCGATAGTATATACACTATCTTGATTGTACTGTTAGTTTCACAGCTATATACTACATCAGAACTTATCAAATTAAAAGTTAACTATATGCAGTTTATTGTATGCCAAATATACCACAACAAAGCTGTTTTTCACAAAATCAACGACTGGCAAAACTGGGAATACACTAAACCTAGAAATGAGAAGCCTCAAAAAAGGAATCCTGGCATTTGCCAAACAGCTGATGGCACAGCAAGTAAAATGCTGATTAGATTTGGTCTGTGTGGCTTCAGGAGAGAATCAGTACCCACAGAGGAGAAATTAAAAGGAAGCTGTATCAGCTACACCAATGGAATATACTGACAATTGAAGCTGTCTGAACATGGAATGGACTGCTTTGTAACATAAAGCTTTTTCTCAGTCACAGAAAGAGTTGAAGCAGAAACTCAAATGATCACTTTGTTAGGTGAGGGTCTAGGAGAAATTCCTATGTGGGATAGGAGACAGACAGTACTTCCTGATCTTTAATGCCACTTATTAGGAAAACAGAACAGATAGTTTGTACTTGGGGAGAAATACATTTAATCACATTCATGAAACTTAAAGCCATCAATACCCAACATTTTGAATGGTTTAAAGTATTTGGGAGCCTGTAGGTTAATGAATGCACTTGTCAATCTTCAACTGAGTTATCTTTCACGTAGGGAAAGCAATAAAGAAATCTTCAAAGATAAACATAGTTTTCAAATGTGTATTTGTCTGTTTGTATTTTTCATAAAGTAAGTTATTATAAATTTATTGAGAGAAGGGAGCATTTATAATGTTTACTATGCAATTCTAAGCAGTTAAGAGTTCAATGCATAATAGTAATAGCCACTACTTAGTGAATATTTATCATAGGCCTAGAAATTTAAGCAAAACATCTTGAACACATCAACTTATCAATACTTCAAGATAGCTATTTTTCCCATTTTACAGATGAAATATCTCAGGGTGAGTGAAGTTAAGGGGATCTGCAGGTTGAGGATCTGAAGTCAAGCCCATCTGGCTTCATAATCCAATCTTACAAAATCACTCCGAGTTCACTGAAAAAATAAGGGCCATCTGATGATCACTGCGTACAGACTCTTTCTTTCTTCTCCAAATATTTCCTGTATTCCCACCCAATTTATTTTTTAAAAATACAAATTTTCTCATGTTATGCATCCAGTTTTGATGGCTTTCGTGCCTTATAATTCCTTAGAGGCAAAGTGTAAACTTGTCAACGCGATCGATAGGAGATCTTCCCGCCTACTTTTCCAGCATAATTTCCTGTTATTTCTCCTGTATTCTAGACATACTAAGATCTTTCAAAGTCCTTTAAAAATGCAATGCATTTGTACTTGCTGTTCTCACTTCTCTGCATGCCCTGATTTCTGGCCTGGTGAATGAAGTTTTATCTTTCCAGGATCAGTTTAAATATTGTTTCCTTTGGTGAAATCTTCTTTGACATTCCAGTCACATTTAGATGTACCTCCTTTTACATGTACACCACTCTATTCATACTGGTATTATTTATTTGTAGGTTTGTTTCCTGCAAAAACATCTCCTCAAAGACAGTTACTCATCCCTGTATCTCCACTGCCCAAGCCCGATGCCTGATATATGAGAACAGTTCAATAAATATTGATTGACTGAATGGATAGATGATGGGCAGGTGAATGAGTAAACAAACAAATTGATACACAAACGAGTGGGTTACTGGGGGAGTATATAAAAGAAACAGTACTTGCATAGGGCAGAGGTATACAAGTTGCCATAACTATAACATGTAACTATACCGTATTAATTTATATTATTTCATCCTAAATGAAGTCTTCATTGAAGCAACTATTACTATCTGTCCTACTTGTGTGATCCTATTAAAATAGTTTATTTAATCAAAAGTAAAGGTAATATATAATTTGATGCAAGAATTAATTCTCAAGAATGTAAAATGGTTGGAAACCAGGAGATCTGTGAACTACTCTGATGACTTGTCAAGAAGAAGAAAGCCAGAGGAATAACCTTTCTGTGACCTCCTCCCACAAACAAAACTATTCAGAGATTTTACCATTTCAAGATGTAACCTTGTTTAGTGCACTCCTTCTGCAGATAATGAGACTTCAAAAAAAAAAACATACATACAACTCTCACCATTTAAAATTTCAGACTCCTTTCCTTCTCAATTCTTTATGATTTTCAATTAAAATATTTTTATGCCTGATCAATATGTTTGATTAGTTTCCTAAAATCAATCTTAATAAATTGGAGTAACGTATGGTACATTTTGGTTTGAGGGGCTTCTTTTATCATCTATTCTCTCACACAGACTTAAAATGGAAATAATTTGGGTTCTTGCTGGACACTGCTGTTTTATGTTAAAATCAGGCTAGAACTAATTCTTTTTAAAAAATCCAAAATAAGATGGAACTTAAAAAAAATCAAGAAGCTTTGAGAACAATTCTCAGCTAATGGAAAAATTATTTTAAATACATGAGAAATGTTCTAAAGCAATCTTCTGGGTGACAACAAAGCATTACTTATTCGTTGAGGAAAATGCCTTCTCTAGAGAAGTGTTCACATGTCAGAATCCCTTAGTCTATGAAATTAATGCCTTATACATGTAGGTTAAAAAAAATTCACACCTTGATAATTTTCTTCTAACATGCTGCCTCATTATAGCAATAACATTTTGATTTATGCTAAAAAGCATTCCTTTCTGAAGAATTAAAATGTCTTTTAAAAAACACACAAGAAAAAAAAACTGAAGTGCTCTATAAAGTACTCAGTCAATAACAGTGGACTTTACCTCAGAAGGACAAAAGAAGCAATTTTAAACTCCATTAAGTATAATCATTTTTTTCTGAAACATGATAGTAACATGGAGATAATAACTGAATGATTTCAGAGCCCAGCAATGCAAAAGTTGAGAAATGAAAAATGAAAAGACAAAAACTTTGGGCTAAGACATCCATTAAACAAAAGAAGACTATTTCTCAAATGCTGGTATAATTTTCTCAGGTTAACCAGAGAACACAGGATATACAATTTGTTTCGATTTTTTTCTTTTACTATTTTCAACTTTGTTCTTGCTCATTTTATAAATACACAGGTTAACAAAAGGAGGTAACCGACTTCTTAACTTATCACATTGTGATCTTTCAAGGAAAACATTTCAGTTCATTCAAGATTTGGTTCCATTAAGCATTTTTTGTGTCTCCTGCATGAAGGGATAATAGTCTATAAAATGAAAGGACACCATGCATGAATTAAGTAAGAAGCATTCATAAGAGAATCAGAATCTAATTAGATAAACACACTTCCCTACAGGTGGATATGAATTCAAAAGTCTCTGAAATCTCCTATTTAAAGGCTAGCAGTGCTTTTTTAATTATGCTAAAAGTCCCTTGTCTGCTTGATCTCTCATGAACAATTTTAATCAGGCAAGCCTAATATACTCCGTCTCACAGACAACTTAACAGAGCTCTCAACTATGAGCCAATGGGAAGACAAGGAATCACAAGCATTTTCATTAAAAGGGAAAAATGGCCAGCCTAGAGATTTGGCCAGCAATAAAGCAAGAATAAATCATGCTTTTCCCTCACTTCACCTACTTAACTTCAAGAACTACAGACATATAATTAATTTGCTCTTGAGATTTACTCTGTAAACATAAACACATGATTTAAAAAAAAAAATTACATTCTTACAATTCACAGTGGTTTTAGATATTTTTTTCCCACTCACAAATGGACTAATATACTAACAATCCTTTTGCCAGAGTCTAAGAGTAATCTCTTAAAAATGATCCTTTCCAAAAAAGGAGAGTCAAAAACCATTCTGTGCAGTTGGTAGGGATTTTGACAAAGGATCCTGTTCAAAGTGTTAAGCGGTAATTAAAAGGACCAAATAATTCCATTTCGACCTTTACATCCCCAAATCCATTTGCTACATCAGCTGTATCACCATGAGTCCTCTGTCCATTCTGAGGCCCTCCCACAATACAGCAGCTTATTACAACCCACATATTTCTTTTTCTTCTTTAAAAAAAAATAGAGAAGGGTCTCATTCTGTCGCCCAGGCTAGACTGCGGTGGCGCCATCATAGCGTGAATTGCAGCCTCAAACTCCTTCCTAGTCTCAAGTAATCCTCCCGCCTCAGCCTCCCAAGTAGCTAGGACTACAGATGCATTCTACCACATCTGGCCAATTCTTCAAATTTTTTGTAAGGAAGGAATCTCACTATGTTGCCCAGGCTGGTCTCAAACGCCTGGCCTCAAGTGATCTTTCCACCTTGACCTCCCAAAGCACTGGGTTTGCAAGTGTGAGCCACTGCACCCAGCCATAACCCACATTTTTAAACTGCAATAAACTACCTAAATCTAAATGTAACAATTTTCAACTCTTTTCTTTTAACCAATTCAACCCAGAAAACTCCAAAGAAGTACTGATGGGTGACCTAGGCCCTAAGAATTTGCACCTATGCTACACCTTGTTGGTTTTGTCTATTATCTTTATCCCCAAACTACTTTAAAATTAAAAATCAGGCCCTTTGAGTTTACCCCCAATTAGTTGCTATGTGACTTGCAGCATGTTTTCAACCCCCTCTGTACCTCATTTTTTCCATCTGTCAAATTGTTGCTAATAATACCCTCCCTCAAAGAATAGAGGTAAGAATTAAATGATATCATATTAATACATAGGAGAGCAACACCTAGCATACTGTAGACACTTAATTTCCTTCTGTCGTGTCCAAGATCATTGTTTCTAGGCTCTTCAAGCATAGGTCTCAACATTTCAAAATTACTTCCCCATCTCTACACTAAGCTCCATCCCTCTTGAGGATTTCCAGCTATTTTCATCCCAGAGCTCTTGGAGCTTCTCTGCCTCACACAGTTTTTCTATGCACTAGTCATGTTTGCTTATTTATTAGAGATGGTTTCATTTACCCTTCCCTCAGTTTTTACCTGCCTGGTTCTTTTCCTCATTGGTGCTGTGCTTCTTTCTAATTACAACTGTACACTATCAGTTTATTTGACACTTTTCTATTCACATTGATTTAAAAGACTATTCTTTACAGTTAAACTAACATACGGAAAATTGGCCAGGCACAGTGCCCCATGCCTTAATCCCAGGAACTGGGGAGGCCAAGGAGCTCCTGAGCTCAGGAGTTCAAGACCAGCCTGGGCAACATGGCAAGACCTTGTCTCTACTAAAAAGGAAAAAAATTAGCCAGGTGTGGAAGTGCATATCTGTAGTCCCAGCCACTCCAGAGGCTGAGGCAGGAGGATCGTTTGAGCCCAAGAGATTGAAGCTACAATTACTGAGGCTGCAGTGAGCTATTATCACACCACTGCACTCCAGCCTGGGCAACTGAGCGACACCCTGTCTCAATAAAAAAAAAAGAAAAGAAAAAAAAAAAAAACCTAAGACACAGAAAATTAAAATAGTTTAGGACAAATAGTGATCATCGTAGCCCAGGATAAAAACATTTGGTTAATTCTTTGAAAATGATTTTGGTTTTTATAGTTTATGCATTCACCTATCAGATCCTGTGGTTCTACCAATCTGGTTGCTTGATGGGCTGTAAAATTCAACTTGTTTATTGAAATGGTAGATGCTAAAGAGAGTATTTGCCTGGCAAGGCAGAGAAAAAATAAAATTAAAATATAAGCTTTCAAAAAGGTTCATCAGTACTACTAAGGTTGCAATCACACACATACAAATAAATCCCTTTAAAACCTCTAAAAATGAGTTGTTTGATCTATGTGAAAATACCTCAGATTAAGAAAATCTCAATTCTGGTGTCAGAAAGACGAGATATATAACAGGGAACGTCTCTTTAAAACAACATAAAACACAGTTAAAATGTATTTTAACTATCCTCAGAGGTCATGTTTTTCTCTCTTTTTTTTGCTATTTTTTTGTTTTTCTCTTTCCTTAACAAAACATTCTCCCCAATCCTCTGTTCAATACACAAATTTGAAATGTTTAGTGATACAAAAGAAAGTACTATTCTTTCTTTTAAAAAGAACATTTTTTTAAATCTTAGATGTCTGAAGGTGGAAGAAAGTATTATTCTTTATATAAATATGAATTACATGTCTTTTATAGACTACATGCTTGTTAATTTTCCTAATGGAGTTTAAAGTCTTTCCAATATCCCAGAGTTAATCCCAACCTGCTTCAAATTACCATGTTTTGAAGTTTTGCCTCAAGTTTTTTGGTCAAGGACACACAAAAAAAATCAAATCAAGTGATATCATTACAGAATTTTTTTAAAAAAGTAACAGAAAACAGTAATAAGAATTCTTAGAATTTTCCCTTAAAAATCCTTAGGATCATTCCATTCAATCCAGTGAACTTATATAAATTATTGCAATGACTTAATTTAGTACTACCTGGGAAAATGGCTAAAACTTCCTTTTCTATTCAATATTTGGTTTTAAAAGAGCTGCAATTACAACTGGCACCCAGATCTTGGTTTCCAATACTATTTTCCAATAAAAAGAATCGGACTTCCATGGAGAAAAAGCTGATTCTAGGAGTGAAGCAGGAAATATAAAAGGCGAATCTGGAGCATCCTGCAGTGTAGGAAAGCGAAGCGCTCAAAATAGAAAACAAAAATAAAACACAATGATGAAAGTGTGTTAAAGAGATATAGAAGTCAACTAAAAGAGCTCTCAATGGCCAAAGTTGGAACAATTTGAGCAATAAAACTGTAGTACTGGATTATAACCCAAAAATCATATAATCCATGAGCCATATTTATATATGTAAATGACTGAGGCTGGGCACAGGGACTCACACCTGCAATCTCAGAACTTTGGGAGGCTGAAGTAGGAAGTTCACTTGAGCCCAGGAGTTCAAGATCAGCCTAGGCAACATGGTGAAACCCCATCTCTCAAAAAATTACAAATATTAGCAGGGCATGGTGGCGTGTCTGTAGTCCCAGCTACTTAGGAAGCTGAGGTAGGAGGATGGCTCAAGCCCAGGAGGTCGAGGCGGCAGTGAGCTACGATTACGCCACTGCACTCCAGCCTGGGCAACAGAGAGAGTCTCAAAAAGATAATAAATAAGTTTTGACTGAAAAAATAAATAAACAGAATGACAGACAAATTTCTTGTGCAGAAGCATTCCAAATAATTTACTTAGCCCTCAGGAAGGTGGAACATAATCTTCCACTTCTTATGTGTAGGCTGCATATAGTGACTTCCTTCCAGAGTAACCTGATAGTGGATAAACCTATTAATAATAGGGGAAACTGGGTGTAGCATACATGGGAACTCTGTTTAATATCTTCACATGCTTTCTGTAAATCTAAATTTATTCTAAAATAAAAAGATGTATTTTAAAAGTTTTTTTTTTTTTTTAATATCTGCTACTGACTTTGGCTTTCTGAAGTTTGCTATCTGGCTTACCAGTAGAAACCCTTAGTCAATTTTGGAATTGTACAATTTCAATTGTACAATTCTTCGTTACACTCTCAAATCCACAAGTCATTTGTGCTGAAGTAGAATTGGAAAAATGAGAAGCATATTTCTGCATCTGAGTTCTGCTCTACCTGCAACTCCCTACATGACCTAAGTAACCAATTTTCTCATCTATGAAACAAGACAAACCTGCTGCAAGGGCTTTCTGTTACCCCTATGGGGATGGTGGGTAATGCTGACGCCCTATCTGACACTCTCATCACTGAAGGTGTGTCATCTGCATCCTTCTCCAGCCTTCTCTAGCTTGGCCCATTCAGATGTCAATCTGGTACAAGATCTGGCTCTTCTAGTTTTCTTAAGAATTGATGCTCAAATGTCATTTTTTAAAAAAACAACTAATGGCCAGGCACATTGGCTCATGCCTGTAATCTCAGTGCTTTGGGAGGCCAAGGCAGGAGAACTGCTTGACACTAGGAGTTCAAGTCCAGCTTGGGCAACATACGGAGACACCAGGTCTATAAAATAATAAAAATAATAGCTGGGCCTGGTGACACATGCTTGCTAGTCCCAACTACTACGGAAGCTGAGGCAGGAAGATTGCTTGAGCTCAAGAGTTTGGCACTGCAGTGAACTATGATTGTGCCACTGCACTCCAGCCTGGGCAAAATAAAAATAAAAATAAATTCATGTTAACACCATATTTGGAAGAATAACCACAATTTAGATACAATGGTTGCTTCTGTGTGGGGGAATAGGAGGCTGGTGTGGGAAAAAGACATACTTTGCACTCTATAGACACTCTGGCTATCTGAATTATTTTTTACTATGTGTATGCATTAGCTATTTAAAAACTTATTATAAAAGCAACAAGAAATCCATTATTACACAGGGAATACTATAGGTTTCTGATTTCAACCTTTGTATCTGCTATCTGTGTATTATCTCTTTTTAATATAGTACCATAGAAAGTAGCATGGCTCCAGGAGATTAGACTAAAATGATTTCAATCAAGTTCTTTTGTACCAAATCAGCCGTCTCAAAATACCATAGCAGTCTTGGAATCAAAAGCAACTTAGGATGGAACATAGCCCTCTCTATTTACTAGTTATTTAACTTCACTAAATCCCAGCTTCTTCATCTGCAAAACTGGAATAACAGTACGCACATCCCGTAAGACTGTTGGAAAGATTAAATAAAAACACATGTAAATTTCTTAGCCTAGTGACAGGCCCATCTATTATGGTCATTATCAGTATAAATGGAAGTCTGTAGACGAGATCTGATTAATCACTCTGTCATGTCTTCTACTCAGCTATGGATCCAGAAGCAACTCCCAAGTGTAAACACCCCCCAAGTGTAACTGGTTTTCAGCAATTATTATTCGCAGTTCATTAGGGAACTAAATACTTATCACTAACTAACTAAAATGAACAGTATTTCTTCTGCATAGAAATGCCCCAAATCCTAAGACACAAGCAGAAGTCATACCTACTTAGAATTGAATAATTCTGTCTCGGCACAGTGGCTCATGCCTGTAATGCTGGCAATGTCAGCACTTTGGGAGGCCAAGGCGGGTGGATCACTTGAGGCCAGGAGTTCGAGACCAGCATGGCCCACATGGTGAAACCCTGTCTCTACTAAAAATACAAAAATTAGCCAGACATGGTGGCACATGCCCGTAATCCCAGCTACTTGGGAGGCTGAGGCATGAGAATTACTTGAACCCAGAAGGCAGAGGTTGCAGTGAGCCAAGATGGTGCCACTGTACTCCAGCCTGGGCAACAAAGCAAGACTCTTTTTTCAAAAAAAAAAAAAAAAAAAGAGTAATTCTAATGAACAATAAAGCAACAAAAAATTCAAGAACAATGACATAAAACATGTTTAATTATACAGAGTGCTACAGTTGAAATTGTCTTTGGCATTATCCCAGAAGATGGCATAAATTTAGATTTTTTAAATATTTTAAATATATTTTTAAATATACCCCGGTCTTTTTGCTTTAGTTCACTGTAAAAAAAGATATGTCCACATTTAACTTGGGCATCAGTTTTTGAGACTAGTGATAACATACATAAATAATTTTAGTAAAAATACAAGTTAGAGTAGTACATATAAATATATTAGCTGTTTAAATGGATATTTGAGTGGATTTTGTGTGCACAAATATGTGAATAAATAATGTTACCTACACGCACTCTTTGCTATGAATTAGGAATGTCATTCCTTTCCTGTCTCAAAAAAGTAGCTAAACAGTATATTTTACCCTGATTTCTACTTTATCTTGGGTTGTAAAATAAACCATTTCAAAAAATAAAGGTATATTTCTACTCACAGGATCTGTATTTGCATAGCTTCCCACAAACACATACATATACACAGGCAACACTCGAGAGAAGAAATACATGTATATCTCCATGTACTTGAATGCAACTTCAGATATGTATGTTCTACCTTACCAAAAGATATATTGAGAATTTTTTTATACTTTCTAATTCTTTGCTTTAGATTTTGCTACAAGATTCCTTAAATTGCCTCTTATGTCTGAGATCATATATAAGAGAAAGAGCATGTGTAAAACTCACTTAAAATCACATCAAGCTACTTGGTTGCCACTAGAAAGCCAAAAAGCATGGACCCGCTATAAATGTTTAGGCTGTCCTTGTTAGTAAATGCTCCAAAGCAACTGAGAAGAGATAGGGAAATCTGAAACTACAATGATAAAAATCTTAAAGAATCATCTATTCCAACTAGTTAAGACTAGGAACCACTGAAAAAATCCCATTCTATGACTAGGCTACCCTGTCCAATAATGGCTATTATTGACTATTTTTTTCCCCACAAATCTTTCATTTTATATAATGCTTTACAGTTTATAAGCCATTCACATGTGTATCAAATCATCTAATCTCAACAAAACCTATGAGAAAAACGTGGTACAATTAAATCAGGGACACAGAAATAACGTGATTTACACAAGGCCACTAAGCTACGAATGGTAAAACTGAGACTCATACCCAAGTCTCCCGCCCCTAAATGTATCTTCATTGTCTCCCACCTCGTCTTCAGAACTGAATTCCACTTTCCCTGACAAGTCCCATTTCTTGCAGCACAATGCCCCCTCATCCACCCAACTGGAACTCTTCCTTAGGTGTTTTACCAAATCCTCTCTAGTCAATTCCCCACACCGTAGCCAGAAATATCTTCCAAATTTAAATCAGGTACTCTTCTATGTAAGACCAGCAAATGTTTTTCACTGTTTCTAGGTAAGGAACAGACTTCTTACCAAGGTCTTTAAAGGCTGAGTGGCCTCATTCCTTTCTACCGTTTCAGGTTTAGAGCAGATTCTGTATGCATCAGACAGGCTGTTTTTCTTAAGCACCATGCTTACTCACCCTAGATCCCTCTCCACCCCTTTTCACCTAGTCAATGCATATTCTTTCTTAATTCAGGCAAGCCTTCCCTTCCCTTCCCTTCCCTTACTAAGCAAATCAAATGCTCCTACTATATACTCTTTCTCATGACACTGTATACTTCTACTTCATTGAAGTTATCATAGCTGCAATTTACATTTACTCATGTAATTACTTGGTTAATGTCTACCTTTTCCATCAGACTGTCAGTGCCATAAAGAGTAAAAAGGAGGTCAGTTTTTCTGTTTTTAGTCACTATTATATCCCCAATGCTTGGCACAATTTTCAGCCTGCTAGTAAATACATGATTTAAAAGCTGAGCAAATATAGAACTAGGTTAATTCTTTCAGCCTTAAGTATCTGAAAAGTTATTATTCTAATAATTTCTCTACACTACACACACAAAAGTTATGTTAGGAAACCATTCTGATTCTTCAAAATATTTTTTATAATAAAGTTCCCAGATACTTCTTAAAACCTGGAAACCATAAATGAATACAATGGTATCTTCTCATCAGTACAGAGACTGCACTTCCCCATTCCAAGTACTTCGCTTCTATTAAAACAGTCTACACTTGTGTTTTAGTTTGTGCTGACAGAGCAATACTTGAGACTGGGTAATTTACAAAGAACAAAAACTTATATCTGACAATCCTTGGCTGGAAGTCAAGGTGTCGGCAGATTTGGTTGTCTGGTGAGGGCTGCATCTTCCAGAATGGAGGAAACTGTGTCCTCACATGGCAGAAGGCAGAAGAGCACGCTCCTGAAGGCTGTGTAAAGCTGTTTTTATAGGGGTTTTACTCCCATTCACAAGGGAAGGAGCCCTCATGACCTTATGACCAATCCCATGCTCGAATAGTATCACATTGGCCCTTAAGTTTCTACATCTCACTTTTGGAGGAGACACATTCAAACCATGGCACTGTGGGACATGGCAGTGACAGTTAAACCACAACTTTCCAGGTCTCTTCATATGAATTTCTTTTAAAACATATCCACTTGATCCGTGGCTAGTGTGATAATTTGACAAACCTATATGCAAAATTTTATGTTAATCAGTATTACAGACCATCTTAATTTCAGCTAATCATTTCAGATGGCTAAGCTTTTTTCAATCCTAATTCCCTCATCCAAACTATTAGCTTTTGCTCCCAGCTTTATGTGATATGCAAATGTGATGTGCCTGTTTAATTCAAGTCCATGATAAAAATGATTAATAGAACAAAGTGAAAAAAACGGCCACATCATGTCACTAGAAATACCTTTCTCCAAGCTGACATCAATTCATTCATCAAATTATTTCAACCATCCATTAATTTACTTGGCCCAATAACCTAACTCCTAATTTGGCCATCTATTAAATATGTCATAAACATTTCATGAGACACTGTCTGAAACCGTGCTAAATCAACTTACTCCACCTACATGGGGAAAAAAAAGTCACATGTTTCACATGAGACACTCCTAGGAAGCCCATGTGGTCCCTAGAGGACTACTCAAGTCCTCACAAGTCATCTGTCTAATCATCAGTTAAAGAATTGTCCCAAGGGCCAGGCGCAGTGGCTCATGCCTGTAATCCCAGCACTCTGGGAGGCTGAGGCGGGTGGATCATGAGGTCAAGAGATCGAGACCATCCTGGCCAACATGGTGAAACCCCGTCTCTACTACAGAAATTAGCTGGGTGTGGTGGTATGCACCTGTAATCCCAGCTACTTGGGAGGCTAAGGCAGGAGAATAGCTTGAACCCGGGAGGCAGCAGTTGCTGTGAACCGAGATCGCACCACTGCGCTCCAGCCTGGCAACAGGGCGAGACTCCATCTCAAAAAAAAAAAAAAAAAAAAAAAAAAAAAAAGAAAAGAATTGTCCCAAGGATAAACATAAAACCTACTGATCTTAAAATAGGAGAATTCTACCTTTTCCTCTCTTTTTTGAAAATAAAAACAGTATCTGCATGATCTTTAGTTTTCTGGCATCTCTGTTACTGGCCATAATGGTTCAAAGATTACCTAACCATTCATATTTGCAAGTCATTTAATCCTAGGACATTAACTAGTTGAGAGCAAAAAAGTGCTTTCTCATCATTGCTTTGCCTTTCTTAACTTCAATTCCCTTACTGTCATTAGTCTTCTTTACTCAATTTGAGTATCATTTTATTTTGATAGAGAAATTAAAAACCCAGGAGTTCCATAACTCTGCTTTCACTGCACTATCCAGTATTACATCTGTCCCAACCAGTAGTTTGTTCTTTTATTATTATTTTTTTTCATGATCTGAACATGTTCCAGTACTTAGTATCTTTACAAGCCTCAATTCATTTTAGGATTCAGCTTCCTGTATGCCATTCTCTCAGTTTTATAAGACATTTGTATTTGTGTCCCAACCTTTTCTTACTTACGAGAATCATTTTTGCTTATATGGTATTTCACTTTAAGGAACTCCACACACTTCATTCATTCAATGAATGTTTTACCGATTGCCATCTATATGCAATTCACCAAACTAGAGTAAAGAATACAAAGATGCCTGAGATCTATCTAGTCGCTGTCTTCAAGGAATCTAGACAGAAATATAGACTGCTAGGTGGAATTGTAGGCTTCTATATTCCCAAGATAAAAATAAGTGCTGTGTGAGCAGAGTACAGAGCAACTAGCTCAAGCATGAAATAGCTGCTTAAGTCTTCATCAAGGAAATGACATCTGAGTTGAGTCGTGAGGAAGCAGTCATTAGAAGACTGGAAGTATCCTAGGGAACAGCATGTGCAAAGCCATGGCAATATAAAAAAGGACACTGTTTTCATGCAGGAATGATGGGCTTCATGCAGCTAGGATTTAAGGTGCATGAAGTGTAATTCCAAGAGATAACTTAAAAATATGGGGTCAGTTATTAAAAAAGGCCTTGTAATGTAAAGTCACCAATACATAGAATAAATAAAATGAAGCAAGTGCTGTCTACAGAATACTATGCAGCAGTTAGGAGTAGCAATCCAGATGTATGCCATTGATATAGACAGATCTTTAAAAGAGTGCTGAGGTCAAAATAAATAATGTCTAGAGCATAACACAAGTATTACAAATTTAAAATACAGGCACATCCAGTATTTGTCTGCACACAAAATAAATCTACATGTCTTACAAGCACACATACAAATAAAAGGATTCAGATCAGAAACATCAGAATTTACCTATGGAGTAGAAGAGTAATGGAGGTGGGAAATAGAAACAAAGTGATTTTTTTAAAGCAGATAATACACCTGTTTTATGACCCCCGAAGTCTGTATGTTTTCCTATAGGTGACAAAGGTTTTAAAGTCTGGGAATGGCAAAATCTAATGTAGCTTTTAGGAATAAAGTTTGGCACAGTGTAAAGAATACAGTCCTGTAGTTGTAGTTTCTTCTGGAGTCAATGAACATGTGTTCATTACCCTTTTTCTACACATGCTTAATAGATATTTATTATTCTGTAAGAAAAGGCTAAGTATAAGACTAAGCTACCAATAAGTAAAGATGGATATAGAAACTTTGGTAGTAGAAGAAAGTGAAGACAAGAGCTGACAGGGAATAAGTAGTTACAGACAAAAGCAGCATCTTCAAACTCAAATTTGATTATCTGCCAAGAATAGTATTGAAAACATTCCTGCATTGCCGTAGACACTGAATTAAATAAATGCTAAGAATTTCACCAAATTGAAGATCTGTTCATTTTCTTGTAAGTGTGCCAAAGGGACGGCAATGAGAAATTAAAACAATGCCCCTCTGAGTATGTCTTGGGAGCTCAGAGTAAAGATCTCTGGAATAAACTCATACGCACCCTATCACTTGAGAGATGAATCTTGCATTACACCAAGAACTGCTTCATCTGTACAAACAGACTTTCTATAGAACTGTAACTGAACACTACAGGCAATGAGCCAACACTTTTAAATTTCATCAAGCTCTAGTGCCAGGTGACAACTGTTTGCTGTGACATGATTTATGCAACACATTTCATCTAGTTATCTCAGAATCAAAGGAATTTTACCAAAGGGTTCTCATTCAGATAAACAGGAAGAATTTCTACCCCAATCACATCTGTGAAAAGTGGAAGACACATGGTAAGTTTCAGGACAAGATCCTACTGATTAAATTCTGAGAATAAAGGACTGGAAAACATAAAATTGGCGCAGTTACTGGGCACTCCTCTATTATGAAGACACTGTTTTACATTTGGATGCAGTGAGCTAACTAAAAAGCGACCCGAATCAAAATAAATTTTATGAATAATAAGTGAAAGTATACATAATACATAACAATACTTATTTATATAACTTTACATTTCCATAGACATACTCATGAGAGTCAGAATTTTTTGTTTTGCTCTTCCCTTTTTGTTCTGTGCTTCAGTAATTTCATGGGGATTCTTTTCCTTCTCAATCTTCTCGTGAATTATCACTTCAGCCCCTAGTTATCTCATCCTACTACATTCTTATCCATTTTACTCAGAATAAGTTATAGTTTGATAGAAGGTAGAATTTAAAAGAGGACATCTTCCACTAATAACTCTAATACAATTTCATTTTGAAAGTATTTTACCTAAAGAAGGTTATCTATGTTATCCATGGATGGTGAGAGTATGGGTGTAGTTCCTTTCTACTTCGTAATGTACGTATTGCTTTTGTAATCGAGGAAAGGGGTTTTAAATAATGATATAGTGACATGATGGAGAAAAAAAAACTTTATTATAACAAATGTTCAACTTCAAAAGATGGTTGGTTACATATCAAAGGACCCCAGTCTGGTATCTTTCTCTTGCCTTCTACCATTACTCTGGCTTACAACCCAGCTTAGATATGAATACACAAATTCATCAGCTTTATTGTAGGGAATGTGACAAATTGGATGATGGAAGGCAGGGGCCAATAAAACCCAAAAGTTACATAACAGGTACTTAGAAAAGATACTAAATCTATTCTGGGCTCTACAAATTAAATTATATGTTACTAAAATGCTCAATTTTCTTATGAGATGCAAATTAAATCAACACCAATTTAAGAACACAAATCCTCTTACACCTCAATCTATGCATGGATGAAACTAAATAATCTAATATTTTAACAACATCACATAATAGATTTAATATTATTTTTTAAAAGTCCTTGTTCCATAAAACAATCATCACCCTATTTTCCCAGTTTTCCTCTACCTTATACTCATCAAATAAGATAAACCAACATTTTAAAAAATATAATTTTCAATGTTCAATTTTACTTTCCTTAGCTCTAAACTTGAAACTGATAAACTCAGTCATTGTAAAACCTTATTCATGTCACTTAGTTCATTTTGATCTACTTTAAATGAAGCAGGATTTCATAGACTCTCAGAGCTAATACCTTACCTCCCTTAATCCCAACCCAACCCCACCCCAGGCTTAGGTAGTTATAGGCTACACATGCCCACTATCAAAAGAAAGCTTCAAAACACTGTACTATTTTCTTGCCATTTCTAAGTATACATGCTTCTATTTCTACAGTGAGAAAAGACAATGCTTCCCTAATCACTTAACCAATTTCCTAACAACATATTATTTTTATTACATATGTAACAGAGAACTACAAACGCCTCTCAATACTTCTCCTGTAGTCTTACTCTAATGTATTTAATGTTCTCACCAATTATTTTTCTTATAAGATGACAGGTTATCACAATTTATAAAATCTGGTAGTTTTGGTACATTTTAACATTCATCGCTGAGATTTACTATTTCTTATTTTCTTTCTCATTAATATTTATTTAAAATATTTATTTAATATAAATAATATTTATCTAAACTAGATAGACAAAATACATGTAGCAAATGTTTATAAAGCTCTTCACAAGGTTAAAATTCTAATATTTTTAAATATATGAGAGCAACAAACTATTTTCATCACAAAAAAATATAAATTGGGTTTCATGTTTGCCACCCAATAAAGTTCACCATTTTTATTCATTTAATCCAACTTCCCAATCATCCAAAACAATTTTAACAGATACCGTGTTAGATGGTAGACAGCATTTGAAATCCTGATCCTAAAGTTCACAGAATGTGCTTTGGATGAAAATAGAACAGTTTTAACAGCAACATGTAAAAAGTCATCCAACGAGGTCAAATCAGTGACTAAGCAATCTAAATACATCTATCAGTTTTCTCATCTAAATGGGATACAATTTAAGAACTACTGCATGTTCAAGGAATAGTTTCCTGCCACAAAGAACTGTTAGTAGAACAATATTATGCTAGAAAAAGAATTTTTTTAATTTAATGTAACATAACAATTACCACTGACAAGTTGTTAAGCTGAAATATAAACAAAGTATGACTTAATGAGAATGTACAAGAGACTTCACAAAATGTTTACATGAACGAAAACAAAATAATATAAGTATTAACATCTCTGTGAATATATTTTCATATGTCATATCTATGGCTTATTGATATTAAATTAATATCCAAAGCTGTTAAATTTTAATTTGCATATCAATTTTTACAAAGGCCTATATAAGCATACCTAAATAAGCTATTTTATTTTCTGTTTTACTTTTTGTTTTTACATACAAATAATCATTTGGAGAACATCTGAAAGGGAGAACACACCCTTTAATACATATTAAGATATTTCTTATTTCAGTCACAAGAAATAAGTTGTTTGAGTGCCACAAGTGAACTTTTGTGTTTTCCGATTCATAATTAAGTTGGGGTTTACTCCTCCTGAAAATAAAAGACGGAACATTCCCCAACTCATTTTATGAGACCAGTGTTACCCTGTTTAAAAAAGAAAAAAGTGACAAGCATACTACAAGAAAATTTAACTACAGGCCAATATCCCTTAGGAAGACAAATAACAAAATATCTGTAACAAAATCCTATCAAACCCAGCAACATACATATAAACAGATAATGACAAAATGGGATTTATTCCAGAATTCAAGGTTGCTTTATCATTAGAATATCAATCAGGATATTTCACCAGATTAACAGACTAAAAGAAAAAGTATAAGGTCATCTCAATTTAACATTCACTCATAAATAACCCTCAGCAAACTGGCAATTGAAGAGAATTTCCTCAGCCTAATAAAAGGCATCCAGAAAGAAACTATAGCTAACATTATACTTAATAGGGAAGGACTGAATATTTTCTTTCTAATATAAGAGGGCAAGGATATCCTCCCTCCCCATTTTTACTCAACGCTGTAGGTCCTAACCAATGCAATAAGGTAAGAAAGATTAATGAAAGGCACACAAATTAGAAAAGAAGTAGTAAAAACTGCCTTTATTTGCAAACAACATGATTGTCTATGCAGAACATTTTTAAGAGTTTACCAAAAATTAAATAAAGCTATTAGAAACAGTGCATTTAGTAACATTACAGTGTTACAAGGTCAAAATAGAAAAAGTGTACCATACTTCAATACTAGTCATATTGTATTTAAATACTAGCATTGCTAATATTGCATTGCTAGCATTACAATAGCATGTGATGTCACTTATAATAGTATTAAATATATAATGGGAATAAAGTTAACAAAAAATATATGCAAGAATTATCCACTAAAAACTGCAAGACACTGGTAAGGGAAATTAAAGACTTAAGTAAAGAAAGAGACATATCATGTTCGTGGATCATAACACCCAATATTGTTTAATATATTAATTTTCTTGAAACAGATCTACAGAGTCAATGCAATTCCAATCAAAATCCCAGTAGGCTTTTAAAAATGTATATGAAAATGTAGAGGACATAAGGTAACCAAAACACTTTTGAAACACAAGAGAAAGTGGGAGGGATTATATATTACTTAACTGTAAGACTTTGAGCTACAATAATCAAGAAAATAGGGTATTGTCATAAAGACAGTAATTAAAAAATGGAATGGGAATAAACCCACACATATATATGGTCAACTGATTTTTCAATGAAAACGCTAAGGTAATTAAATGGAAAAATTATTGTCTTTTTCAACAAATGGAACTGGAACAATCACATACCCATCTGGAAAGATACAACACCTCATATCATATACAATAATTAACTCAAAGGGTATCATAAGCCTAAAAATGAGATTATAAGCTACTAGAAGAACATACAAGGCAATCTAAATGATATTCGTTTAGATAAAAATCTTTAGCACTCCACAAAAAGCACAAAGGAAAAAAATCAATAAATTGGGCTTCATCAAAATTAAAGACTTATTCTTTGAAAAGGCACACTTAAGAAAATGAAAGCACAAGCCCACAGACTTGGAAAAAAAAAAATTGGAAAACATATCTCTGATAAAGGACTTCTATCCAGAATATGTAAATATATATACAGAACTCAATAAGAAGGAAACAAAGAACTGTTTTTTTTAAAACTAGGGGCTGGGCACTGGGGCTCATGCTTATAATCCCAACACTTTGGGAGGCCATGGCAGGAGGATCGTTTGAGCCTAGGAGTTCAAGACCAGCCTGGGCGACATAGGGAGACCCCAGTATCTACAAAAAGTTAAAAAAAATTAGCCAGGCATGGAGGTACACGCCTACGGTCCCAGCTCCTCAGAGGGTGAGGTGGGAGGATTGTTTGGGCCTGGGAAGTCAAGGCTGCAGGGAGCTGTGATCATGCCACTGCACTCCTGCCTTCATAAATAAAAATGAAAATAAAAAATAGGGAAATGGTTTGGACACTTTACACAAGAATATATGCAAATGACCAAAAACTACATGAAAAAATGTTCAAAAAATTAATCATTTTAGGGAAATACAAAGTAATGTAACTGTAATGAGTTACCATTACACCTTCATTAGAATGATAGCTAAAATAAAAAGAACTGTTAATACCAAGTGTTGACAAGGATGTAGAGCAACTGCCAGGAATGCAAAATGGTACAGCCACTTTGGAAAACAGTTTGGCAGTTACTTCGAAAAGTTAAAACATACCCTTATCATATGACTCAGCAATCGCTTTGTACACATTTATCCGAGTAAAATAAAAACATATGTCCATAAAAACACTTATATTGCATAACACTGTGTTTGTATAACTGTTTTATTCATAATAGCTAAACCCTGAAAAAGAAAAATTCCATCAAATAGTTATCAGAACAACCAAATTGCGGTATAGCCACACAGTAAACTACCACTCAGCAATAAAAAGGAACAAACTGCTGATACATATACAGCTAAAATCTAAAAGAGGCCAGGTGCAAAAACTACATACTGCGTGATTCCATTTATATAAAATTCTAGAAACAGCAAAATTGTAGTACTATAAAGTAGATCTGCGGTTGCCAGGAGCAATGAGATGGGGTAAAGGATTGACTACAAAAGGGCAGGAACAAACTTGTGGGGGTGATGGAAATGATCCATATTTGGTTGTAATGGTGGAACACAATTGTATACATCTGCCAAAACTCATCAAATTGTACACTTAAAATTGGTGAATTACACAGTAAGTAAATTATATCCCAATAAAGCTGATTTAACAAATAAAAGCAATGAAATATATGTTGAAGACTTTTATACTGGTGGGAATGTTTGATAACTTACCCATCCAAGAAACAGTTCCAATTTGTTAGATTTGAACACATAAACATGTAAATACTTAAAAAAAAAAAATTCAAAAGTTATCGGTGGAAAGGTAAGTGTCTCTCTCACCCCTATGACTTCTATGCCTTTTACCACTTAATTTATATTCACAAGCAAACAATATTGATATATAAGGACCTGTTCCTAATTAAGGTATCTATATGTTAAAGGGGTGCTTTATTAAAATAGAAGAATCACTAACTCATAACAATATGCAGGTCATTCTTTTCCAGAGGGGAACCTTCCCCAAACCCTTGCAATCTGAACTCTTTACCCCTATAAATCAAGAGTATCAGTAGTCTGACAGCATCTTAGTATCTCACTTCTAACAACCTGCCAATCCTTGTTCTAATATCTCGTGGCAAATATAAACCATTTCTTATATGTTAACCTGTTTTGCTTTTTTTCTTTTTTTGAAACAGAGTCTCACTCTGTTTCCCAGGCTGGAATGCAGTAGCATGATCTCAGCTCACCACAACCTCCACCTCCTGAGTTCAAGTGATTCTCCTACCTCAGCCTCCTTAGTAGCTGGGATTACAGGCATGCACCACCATGCCCAGGTAACTTTTTTTTTTTTTTTTTGTATTTTTAGTAGAGACAGGGTCTCACCATTTTAGCCAGCCTGGTCTTGAACTCCCGACCTTAGGTGATCCACCTGCCTCAGCCTCCCAAAGTACTGAGATTACAAGCGTGAGCCGCTGCACTTGGCCCATATGTTAATCTGGATATATTACAAGTTCAATGAAAATATCCTTAAAGAGTAACTACAAAAATCAAAGCTATTATTCCTATTATACAGGAGTTTACAGTATACAAAGAAGAGAAGGTATGCAAACAGGGCATTTTTATTAATAATACAAGATACTATATATCTCAAAATAGAGCAGTGAGTGGTAAAGATAGTAAGTATTGCTATGGTGAAAAAAAGAAAAAGCAAAAGTGGACTCAAAGGAGATAGGGGAACTTGACTATTCCTAAAAATCAGGATTTGAAAAAAAAGTGAAGGACAGCATTCTTAGCAGGGCAAAGAACAGGAGAATGATGTAGCTGTGACCATATGAACAACATTTTCAGTGGTCAGAGTAGAGACAACATATTTGAGTTGGAAAATAAGAGAGAAATACAAGATTGGAAGTACAGAATTTATTCAAACAGCATTCATTAAGTACCTATTTATGCCATGCATAGTACAGAAATGAGCAGTTTGAAAAGAAATTCCAGACTAAGAAATTTTGTCTTTTTACTCTGTAGCAGGAAAATAGAGTTCTAAAGAACTCATGGCAATTTCATATAACATTATTTTAACCAATCTTGGCAACAAATAATTTTAAATAATAGAAAAACAGAGACTCAGGAAGGTATACATATATGCTTAAGGTCATATAGCCAAAATCAAAGCAAAAATCCCACATCTTCCTATTCCTAGCTCCATGCTCCTTGTCTTGCTCTACTGGCTATATCCTTTAGTACTTTTCATTTTCTCAAGCAAATAATAAATTATTAAAAGAAAAAAATGTGATGCAATAAAAGCAATGTTTTAGTCAAATGCATATGGCTAGGTTGTACGGGCTGAATTAAAAGATGAAGAACATGGAAAAAATGAAATCTATTAGTATAGGTTGGCACAAAAGTAATTGTGGCTTTTGCCAATTACTTTTGCACTAACCTAAAGTTACTGTAATAATCTAGGAATTGGTGGTAGCAGTAGGAATGGAAGCCATTGGATAGGAGACTTTGTATAAAAAGATTCAATTAGATGTCTTATTTGAAAATACCAAGAGATTCAAAGATAACTAGGTGATTAGTAAGTAGAGCCACTGATAAAATGTAAATGTCAAGAAATGAGTCTATTTTATTGGAGAAATCATCTACTGTGGTCAAATTATTGCCCGAAGTCAAAGATATTAGATCAAACATTTTATAAGTTTCTATCCCTGAAACAGAATAATCCAGTTTACTACCATCCTTGGATCTTTTATTTACAAATACTTATCATTTTCTGTCTAGACTTAAAGCTTAGACACCACCCTCTATCCAACCCCCGGAGGTATTCATATGCATAAAGCCCAATAAGAGTTTATGCCTACTTCCTGGAAACCTCTAAGAGAAAGCTGATATACCTAAATCTAAAGAATTATATATATATATATATATGTATATACATACATATATATAAGTATATATGTATATACATACATATATGTAAGTATATATGTATATACATACATATATGTAAGTATATATGTATATACATAATATATATGTATATACGTATATAATGTATATATGTATATACATATATAATGTATGTGTATATACATATATAATGTATATATGTATATACAATATATATTATATATACATATATATGTACATACATACATATATATACATATATATACACACACACAAATATATATATGTGTGTGTGTATGTACGTGTGTGTGTGTGTAATTAAGTCTATCACTGAGCCAAGGCTTTCTTTCAAGGCATCAGGGTTTTTTGTCAGTCATAAGTAAAAGACTAATCTCTATATCATACATTAAGGCTTGCAACTGAGAAAGTATTTTAAAACCTACATAAAGATAAATCTATCTTCCCTCTTACATGAAAATTATTTCTCAAGGAAAGGTTATATTCATAACTTCTTCTAAGGTCCTGAAGAATTCCATTCACTTATGATATTAATTTATTAATGAAAATACTGGACTAGTAGCTCTTTATTAATTATAAATCAAGACATCCAACAGAATAACTAGTCTTCAAAAGAGGACAACAAAGAGGGTGAGGACCAAAGAAGAAAGAGCTAAACCCAAGTAAAAGCATATGCAACCTGGAATGGAAAGAACAGAGGACAATGCTGCTCTTTGCAATGGCCAGTAGAGGCTGCCAGTGTACAAGCACACATAGGGCTTCCCCTCCCCGCCTCCCACAGACACAGAGTTGTCAACAAAATAAGAAACATTTCCATGGTATAATATGAAGCCCAGCACTCTAGGCTCATCACAGAGCATCATGCAGCAGCAATCACCAAGTGTCCTTGCAACCATGGCTTCTGGGTATGTGTCATGGGAACAAAAGAAAGCCAGAATATTTTTTGAGTACTTCTGAAAGATGATCGCATTTAACCACTGTCTGACCAAAAGAAACTACCAATCCTATGTGATTACCTTTCCAGAAACGATGCCTCAAGTTTTACAGACATGTGAAAATGGGTATTTTCCATGAAAGATAACTCAATTTAGGGCCTTCAAAATCTTTATTTGAATAGATGTATTACTCGGCTTCTTCAAATACAGTGAATTGTTACAGCTAAAGGACTCAGTTACTGAGTACAGAGACACAATTTGATCTAAAATTTGTAAGTATCATTCTTAAATAACAAATACTAACATACTTAAAAGGAATTTATTGATATTTGGCAGTCAGGTGAGATTCTGTCCATCTGTGCCCCTCACCCAGAGCCAAAAACACAAAGACACTCAAGTACACCAAGTGGCAATCACTTTTTAAAATTCATTTCATGAATCTGCTCTACAATTTTAAGAATTATGTATCTGGCCCTTTTTGAGCTCCACAACACTGCTATTTCTTGTAGAGAGAAACTTTGCTGTCAATCACTGCTCCCTTTTGCCACGCAAATATGTGCTGCAGCTTTCACTTGTCATTCCTATTATATGTAATGTAGGCAGCTTAGCACTAAATCAATTTAAGGAACTGCAGGAGTTAAATACATACATTATTATTTTGATGACAGAAAAGGCAATGAATGTCTTGCAGCTCCATTTGCTTTCTTTGTTAAGAAAGAAAAAGCTAATTATCTGCAGCTGTCAACCATGAAGACCTAGACCTATTTAAGTCAACATTAGCCTTGGACAACTGAAAATATTTCTCAGATTTTTACCCGATTGTTTTCCTTTTGAAAAAAAAAAAAAAAAGAAAAAAGAAAAAAAAGAAGAAAAACCGCATACTTTCATTACAAAATATTAAACATTCTAAAGGGCAATGTAAAAACAAGTTGAAAAATGTAAAACTACATAGTTGTATCCCTTTTCAAAACCAATTCATTTAATATTTTTTAAAACTGCCTGTCAGTTTTTCGTAATACCCACTCTCTAATTAGTGTAGCCAAAATTTAGAAAAATGCAAAGCATCTCCAGATAAATTCATTAAAAAAACATTCAAGTGAAAGCCCAGACTATTGGTTACAATGAAACTATGTTACAGATGATCAAGGGATAAATTCTGTTCATTTATTTAACAAAAAGAGAAAGAAAGAAATACATGTCCAAAGTTGAACTGCTGCAAAAAGACAGAAAATGCATACTGAATTTGTGTTCAATGTAGGAACACAAATACGTTATGCTTCTGTGTTCATATACTATTTCATATACATTATTTTCTTTACCTACCAATCTTCTATTTTCTAGTCTAGTACCATTAGAATCTAGAAATACTTCGTTCTGAATTTTCTTTTTTCAAATTTAAGGATCAACTTGGGTATTTTTCCAGGACACCCAATAAGGATGAAAACAATATTTTCAATAAGTCAAAGATAAAGTCAATATATAAACTACGAAATCTCTCAATACTGGGTTCTAAAAAGTGCAGAAAGGTCATTATTCTTGATTGTGAACATAAATTTGTTTTGCACTTGTTTTTACTGGGTCAATGATAAAATATTATTTTCCTATTATTTTCTTTGGAACAGCTCTTCTCATGGGAATACACTTAAAACTATTTTACAATTTCACATTAAAATACTGTCCAGTTAGCTTTCAAATAATTTTTTAGACACCAATATAAATTCAACCGTACAAAATCAACAATGAAAGAAAAACAGGACATATGACCCAAAATAATTATAGTTTTAAAAATTATAGATCATGTTGCAGTGAGCTGAGATCGCGCCACTGCACTCCAGCCTGGGTGACAGAGCGTGACTCCGTCTCAAAAAAAAAAAAAAAAATTATAGCTCATGTGTAAGTCCCTAAACCAGCCTTAAAAAGGAAGCCTTTTCGAAGTACACCTAACCGACAACTCCAAGATGCTGATTTGCCACAAGCACCCCTGCAATATTCAAGGATCACTATTGTAATCCCAAGTCTCAAATGTGTTAGAGACAAGAAAGAGAAGGTCAAGAACCATTAGTATAAATAGCATAAAAATCAAACACATCTCAGATCCAAAGAATGATATGTAAAAATGAAGAGCCAGTCAGGTTTAAGTATAGACACAGACATAGCCTATGTGGTAAGTTAAAACAACAATGGTAGGTTAAAACAACAACAAAAAAACAGCATAGCTATGTGGCCACAAAATACTAAGTAAATATTTCACTGTCACAAACTAGTAACTGACAGGGCAAGATTCCATCTCAACTTTTCACAACAAAGCCCAGATTCTTTTCTTTTTTTCTTTTTCCTTTTTTTTTTTTTTGAGACGGAGTCTCACTCTGTCGCCCAGGCTGGAGTGCAGTGGTGCGATCTTGACTCACTACAAGCTCCGCCTACCGGGTTCACGCCATTCTCCTGCCTTAGCCTCCCGAGTAGCTGGGACTACAGGTGCCCACCACCACACCCGGCTAATTTTTTCTTTTTTTCTTTTTTTTTTTTAGTAGAGACGGGGTTTCACCATGTTAGCAAGGATGGTCTCGATCTCCTGACCTCGTGATCCGCCCGCCTCGGCCTCCCAGAGTGCTGGGATTACAGGCAGTGAGCCACCGCACCGGGCCAAAGCCCAAATTCTTTTCACAGCCCGATACTAGCTCCAGAGTTCTTCTCTGACATGGCTTTACATTTTCAGAAATCTGTATCTATTGTGATTGAGAGACAGTTGCTATCCTTTACAATTGATGATGCTGGTGAGATGTTATCATCTATGCATATAAACAGAGTACAACTGACAAAAGTATTAGGAGGTGATCCTTGTCTTTAAATGAGCAGGATAAGATAGATGACCTTCACAGGGCTCTTCTAGCATTCTAACATTCTATGAGTAATTTATCTTATTAAGATGTTTGGGAACAGATAAAAAATCTCTGGCTATTTCTTTTCTAACTTTCTGAAATCTGTTCAAGATAATAACTCCTACCCCATCACTATTTTACAAAAATTTAAATATAGTATCTACATTAATGTAATTCTCACAAATCTGTGATGTTGATTATTTTATACAGATGAGAGTACTGAAATTCAAAAAGATTGTGGTGCTTTGGCCCAAAGCACCAAATTACTAAACAGCAGAGCAATTCTAAAGGCAAATCTGTCCCACTCACAGCTCAGGACATTTACCCTTATATATATTAGATGCTGCCATAATAACAGCATCCATTTGTACATCACTGTACCTTTGTCACCTGTTCCCTAACTTTGTCCTCAGAACAACCCTGCAATAAAATAAGGCAAGTAATATCATTCTGGCATCATTTTACAAATAACTGAGTCTTGGAGAATTTAAATCACTTGCTCAAGGATCCTTACAGAGTAATGGTAAAGCCAAGTCTCAAACAGAGGTCTCCTAATTCCAAGTCTAGTGTTTCTTTTGTCACTATATCTGACTGTCAATTACAAGTTTGGCTTCAACATATCTTTGAAACATTTCTATGCCTACCCTGCTTAAACTTGTCTCTCTAAGTGTGAAATTCATTAAGTATAATTGAACTCATGAAAGCATTGTTTATGCCTATGTGTGGCATAATCACTTATGTTCCCAATATAGAATTACGTTTAAAATATATCTGTCTAAGACTTTTAAGAAAATTCTCACCCAGATTTTGAATGATCAAGAATAAGGTGGCTAGTTATTAGAAAAAATCCTCCTTAAATCCCAGCAAGGGGGAAAAAGGGATGCCTAATTTGGGAGTTTGTTGAATTATAAATCAGCCTTCTCCTTACATCCAATTTATAGAACAGACAGCAGTACTGCCTAGAATTCTGTCTTCACTTCTTCAGAATCTTTCTACCAAATGCACTGCGATTACTGAATGATCTTATTTAGTAAACCAGCTTCTTGCCCCTTCATTAGGTCCTAATCTAAATTATAGTATAAAGACATAGGTTTTCTACTCGTGGCTGACTTATGATAAACAGCACTGGCTGGCCATGTGGCCTGATGAGGTCCTGGGACACAGAAGGGTCTTTTTTTGGACTTTATCAGTCTTAGGGCAGGCAATTTATTTTGAGCCAGAAAAATAAAATATAATCTTAGGCCATCTGGTTCTGTAACGCACTGTATTTGTTTAGAAAGGTCACTGTTGTCAAGTTATTGAATGTTATCTCTGGAATTGACAGGAAGAGGGAAGTTTTTGAAAGAAGGCCAAGAATATTAAAGCACCGGATATTAAGGTGTAAAGCAGTATTTAAAAGCTTGGGCTTTAGTGTTAAACAGACCACAGCTCAAATCCTAGCTCCACCACTTACTACTTAAATGACCTTGGGCAAGTCACTTTCTTTCTTAATTCAATTTTCCCCATCTATAAAATCTAGATAACACACCCTAGTGAGATACTGTAATGAGAAAATGATGTAATACATATATGTCACTAGCTCATAGTTATCATTCAAAATTTATGTAATAATTATTTTCAGTATAATTTTTGTTCTAATTTTTGTTTTACCTGAAACCAAAATTTTCATTACTTTTATAAACACTTCTCCAGACAGCAAAGTATAATTCCAATACAGAATCACAATTTATACTATACAAAAGATACGGATTTAGAGCCTATCCCTAACAAAAACTTCAATCTATCGTAAGGATTTAAGCAACATTCATTTCTTTGTTAAATCAGATATGTAGCAACCATTATTTTGTCAGTGAAATGATTGAGTTACTGTGTCAGTGAAGAATGAATACTAGGCTTATCAAATCCCTATCTGAACAACTTCAGGGGGACCAATACTGCTGTTTTATTGGACAACTGCTATAGTATCCTGATGTTCCTATGCAATAGTTATTTTCTGTACATTATGTAGTTTTCTATTAATGTTGCACAGCAGTATTATGATCCAACTACTGCAGTAACGAGATGATCCAGAGTTGACTTAGACAGGCTATTCAGGCCCTTTCCTTTTGTGAGATTAGCAATGTGGTTAAAAATATAGTAATAATTAAAACACTCATTAAAAAATAGCTCAATCAAAACTCCATCTAGAATGTTGCTGAGGAGCAACAGTTTCGATTCAGCATGCCAGAGTCTGGATCGACTTATATATCCCTTAAGAATCTCAATGGTAGGCAAACACTTCACCTGTGGAATTATCTCCACACATAATTGGATTTCCCAAATCAAAGTAGGCACTATAAGCCAGGGCAAAAGCTGCAGTCTTAGGCTAGAGAAGAAGATTTCCATCTGTTTTCTACTTCAAGTATTAGCTGCTACAGAGTTTCCCCTTTGGTGTCATAATAACAGGCACATATTTTTCATATGAACTACTGGGTTCTCTTATTTCTCCACAATACTGAACTGAGAGATCTGAAAATCACTAAAAACATATTTCTAACTCTGGGGTCTAGCCAAGAAGACTACCTACAGACTAACAAAAGTCTAAAACATGCGTACTGAATTAGGGGTTATAAAGATAAATGGATCCAAGAAATATATAAGCCTACATAGAATAATACACATGAGAAGCTCTCTTGATCAAGCTTCACTTACCCAGCTTGCTATGTAAACCCACATTGTTCATTTCCTCTTTAACCATACTGACAGATGCCCACAGAATACTGAAAACTCACAGCCTGCAGGAGTCTCTCTAGCATGCCCCTCAACACTTCTGCTCCCAACTGCTGAGCTGTATATTCACTCAGAACAATATTTGTTCCAAAACCTCAACAGGGGAGTTTTATTGTTATTGTAATTAGCTAATTTAATTAAATATCACATAAACCATAAAAGCAAAAATAAAAGGTCTTGTATCTTTAAAAACTAAGTCAAACGCATTGAAAAGACTTGATAAAGGCAAGTCACTGCAAAATACTGCTGTTGAAATAGGCAAAGATAAGAGAAATATTTTTAAACCTGGGAAAAATAATAAAATATAGAATATAATGTTTCTGAAAATGTAGCATGGAAGCCAAGCATAGAATACTGAGCCCCACCTTCCATAGTTTCTGATTCAGTAGGTCTGGAGTAAAACCAAAGAATTTGCATGCTATGAAATTCCCATGATGCTGAGGCTGCTGGGCTGGGAACCACACTTTGAGAACCACTGCTCTGCAAGTGTCTCAATTTTTTAATCTATATTAAAGAAATAAAGCATAAACTGGATATGACTTGTTATAGATGTAGATTTATATAAGACTTGCAGTTCCAATCAGCAAGCCTATATTGAAAAAAAGGCCCTTGGTCCTAGTCACAAAAACAGTCTATTTATACATTTTGCACATTTCAAGTTAAAATGTTAGTGAGAAGTATGCAGCACTTTTTATGACCTACTGTTTTAACTTTTTCTATTAACAGTCAAACTACAAGAACCAATCTCATCAGAAAAGATCCCTTGTCAAATACAGACTATGAAAGTACCACTGAAGTTTCAAAGTTCCTTTACCTACACCATTTGCAAGAAGGAAATTCCGTGATTGTCTCATTGGTTATAAGACTTCCCCGAAACACAAACTCATAGAAGCTCATAATATCAATGACGCTTTTAAAATTAAAGTTAAAAGGTTTAGTATCACTGTCTCCAATTTATAGATGAGATTACTGACTCAGAAGAAACATATCTAAAAGTAAGTCAGCCAACAAGTGGCAGCCAAGACTCTGAATACAGATTTGTCTCCAGAAACAGTGCTTATTTGCCCAAACCACAAAATATTGCAGTATAATCTTTAAAAGAATCAAAGACAGGTTTGCAACAATACACCATTAGAACCCTAATCAATCTAAATGTCTGTGAAACAGAAAATGACCAAACTAGCAGCCAGGTATGGTGGCTCATGCCTGTAATCTCCGCACTTTGGGAGGCCAAGGAAGGAGAATCACTTGAGGCAACCAAGAGTTGAAGACCAGCCTGGGCAACACAGGAAGATCCCATCTCCACAAAAAGTAAAAAATTAGCTGGGTGTGGTGACACATGCCTATAGTCCTAGCTACTCGGGAGGCTGAGGCAGGAAGATTGCTTGAGCCCAGGTGATCTAGGCTGCAGTGAGCTATAATTGTGCCACTGCACTAACAGCCTGGGCAACAGAGCAAGACCCTGTCTCCAAAAAAAAAAAAAGAAAGAAAAAGAAAAAGGAAGGAAGGAAGGAAGGTAGGTTGCCAACTATAAACAGTTATAAATGGATGCTTATAAGCATTATATCTTCATCTTGAACACTGTAGGGTCCAGCCCCACAGGGTCAGTGGGTTTTTCTCCCCGTGTGCAGAGACGAGAGATTGTAGAAATAAAGACACAAGACAAAGAGATAAAAGAAAAGACAGCTGGGCCCGGGGGACCGCAACCACCAAGACGCAGAGACCGGTAGTGGCCCCGAATGCCAGGCTGTGCTGTTATTTATTGGAAACAAGGCAAAAGGGGAAGGGTAAGGAGTGTGAGTCATCTCCAATGATTGACAAGGTCACATGAGTCACATGTCCACTAGACAGGGGGCCCTTCCCTGCCTGGCAGCCAAGGCAGACAGAGAGAGAGGGAGAGAGAGAGGACAGCTTATGCTACTATTTCTGCATATCGCATATACAGCGTATGCAATAGCATACGCTATTATTTCTGCATAATATTACAATATTGTTTCTGCATATCAGAGACTTTTAGTACTTTCACTAATTTTGCTACTGCTGCCTAAAAGGCAGAGCCAGGTGTACAGGATGGAACATGAAAGTGGACTAGGAGGGTGACCACTGAAGCACAGCATCACAGGGAGACAGTCAGGCCTCCAGATAACTGTGGGCAGGCTTGACTGATGTCAGGCCCTCCACAAGAGGTGGAGTAGAGTGTCTTCTCTAAACTCCCCTGGGGAAAGGGAGACTCCCCTTCCCAGTCTGCTAAGTAGTAGGTGTTTTCCCTTCGCACTGACGCTACCACTAGACCACAGTCTGCTTGGCAACAGGCATCTTCCCAGACGCTGGCGTTACCGCTAGACCAAGGAGCTCTCTGGTGGCCCTGTCCAGGCATGACAGACGGCTCACACTCTTGTCTTCTGGTCACTTCTCACTATGTCCCCTCAGCTCCTATCTCTGTATGGCCTAGTTTTTCCTAGGTTATGATTATAGAGCGAGTATTATTATAATATTGGCATAAAGAGTAATTGCTACAAATGATTAATGATACTCATATATAATATATATAATATATACATATAATTCATATGATATTCATATATAATCATGTCTATGTAGATCTAGTATAACTCTTGTTGTTTTATGTTCTTTATTACACTGGAACAACTCGTGCCCCTGGTCTCTTGCCTCGGCATCTGGATGGCTTGCTGCCCACAGAATATAATCATAAACATCATCTATAAGCTGAACTTATTAAGTGCCAAGAGAGGATCATCAAATATAGGGCACTGGAAGGTAGCTAGTTTATCAGCATTGATGCAAAGTTTAGTATTTATGGACTGCTTGAAAACAGGGGAAGAGATGAAGTAGCTCAGTGACAGCAATCACCATTAAGATGATGCCATTAAACCAAGTCAATTTTAGAAACTAGAGGCACAGACAAACAGCACCTTATCTCTGCCTTATAAGGTAGTGATGCATTCATGTTGTATTATAAATTCCAGAAGAGAACCATATCTGTAAAACTATGAAGGAATCCATCTTTTATGTATCATAAGCCCATCAATACAACTTTATAAGAATTGCTTTATTCAGTTGTGTTTTAAATAACTGGAGAAAAAAATGTTACAAACAAAAACGCATTTATTGGAATTGACAGGAAGAGGGAAGTTTTTGAAAGAAGGCCAAGAATATTAAAGCACCGGATATTAAGGTGTAAAGCAGTATTTAAAAGCTTGGGCTTTAGTGTTAAACAGACCACAGCTCAAATCCTAGCTCCACCACTTACTACTTAAATGACCTTGGGCAAGTCACTTTCTTTCTTAATTCAATTTTCCCCATCTATAAAATCTAGATAACACACCCTAGTGAGATATTGTAATGAGAAAATGATGTAATACATATATGTCACTAGCTCATAGTTATCATTCAAAATTTATGTAATAATTATTTTCAGTATAATTTTTGTTCTAATTTTTGTTTTACCTGAAACCAAAATTTTCATTACTTTTATAAACACTTCTCCAGACAGCAAAGTATAATTCCAATACAGAATCACAATTTATACTATACAAAAGACATGGATTTAGAGCCTATCCCTAACAAAAACTTCAATCTATTATTCAATCTATTTGTACATGTCTTTCATAATGCCTGTAGTTACCTTTAACCATTCCTCTTTATTTCTTCACACGGATTAAAATTTACCATTAAGTGTCCTTTCATTTCAACCTGAAAGACTCCCTTTAACATTTCTTAGAGTTCGTGAGAATCCTTTCAGTTTTTATCTATTTGGAAACGTCTTAATTTCACTTTCAGTTTTGAAGAAAAGTTTAGCTAAATAGAGAATTACTGGTTGACAGTCTTTTACTTTCAATGTTGAAAATGTCTTCTAGCCTCCAGGGTTTCTCGTAAGTCAGCTATTAAGCCTATTGAGGATTCCTTGTAACAAGTCATTTTTCTCCTGCTACTTTCAAGATTTTTCTTTAAATTCAACTATGATGGGTCTAGGTATGGATCACTTTGGGCTTATTCAACTTGGATTACAGTGAGCTTCTTGGATGTGTAGCACAGAGTAATATTTTTCAGCAAGTTTGGAAAGTTTTCTGCCATTTTTTTTTAAATATTCTTTCTGCCTCATTCTCATCTTCTGGGAATCCTATAATGTCCATGTTGGCACAACATTTAATGGAGTCACATAAGTCTTTTGAGACTCTGTTCATTTTTCTTTCTGATCCTCACATTGAACAATCTCTATTGACCTAACTTCGAGTTAAAAGATTCCTTCATTTGCCAATTTATATCTGTTGTTGAGCTCCTCTAGTGAATTTTTCATTTCAGTTATTATACTTTTAAGCTCCAGAACTTCCTTGTTTTTTAATAATTTCTATCTTTATTGATACTCTTTCTCTGGTGAAACACCATTCTGATGCTTCCCTTTAATTCTTTAGACATGGTTTCATTTAGTTCTTTGAATGTATTTGTAATAGCTAACTTAAAGACTACAAAGTCTAAAATCTAGGCTCCCACAGGGACTTTTTTTGTTCGTTTTTTATTATTTGTCTCTGTGTGTTTTATTTCCTGTTTCTTTGCATTTCTCAATTTTTGTTAAAACTGAACATTTTAGGTAATATATTTTAACAAATCTCATATCAGATTGCTCCACATTATTCCCCTAAATTTTTTAATCATCAGTGTGTTGTTTTTCTTGATGCTGATTCTTTAGTACTTTCATGAACGAATTTTACAGATCCTGTATTCCCCGTAGTGTGTGGCCACCGAGTTCTCTGCTAGAACTTTTTTTTTTTTTTTTTTTAGGATCTTGTTTTTATTTGTAAGCCTGGCTTCCAAGAAGTCATACCTGGACCAGTAAAATGTAGTAGTCAACCAATGATCATTTAAAAGATTTCCTTAAATGCTTTGCCTATATGTCTTCTACCTTTTGCCAAAGAAATCTTCATGAGAAGTCATACCTTCAAACTTCAGGAAGCTTACAAATAGCACTGATTTTCACTTCCTGCTTACACAGTGCCTCAAGATCAGTCAGAGGTGACATTCTCCTTTCCCAGGTCATTTCCGGGCATGTGTACAGACTTGCACATTGTACAGCCTTTTAAATACCCAGGAATATGCCAGAGCTTTCCAAAGTTCCCTATAGTTGGCTAGTTCTCCAGACTTTCCTTTTAAATTCCTGGCCAGATTCTTCCTTTGCCTCAACTGAAATCACAGCCTTAGGCAATTGACATTTTGCCAACAGTTTGCTATTGTTTCAGTAATGCCCTGGGGGTAAGCTTTTTCTTCCCCCAACTGAGCTGAGTTCAGAGTCAAATCAAATATCCAGCCACTCTCTCTGAAAAGAGTTTTCCCAGGGAGCTGCAAGTTGGGACAAAATATTAACTGTGCTCTGGGGATAGTGCCTTCAATGGGGCTCCAGAAGTGGTCAGCTCTCTCCATTGTCTGCAATACTGCCAGCTTTTAGCTACACCACTAAGCTGGAGAGAGAGATGAGAATAACCCCAAGTTAAAATATCGCAGACCCCACTGGTCTTCCCAAGATTCACTAGTTTTCTCTTGGACAGATGATTTTCAATTCATACTCCTGCTTAATTGCCAGAATTCTAAAATGGCTGATTTTCATTATTTTACCCATATTTTTGTTGTTGTATAGGCAGCACAAATTCACTGAGGCCCTCACTCCACCATTCTGGAAGTTGATCAAGTTCTGTAATATTCTGAATTTATAATTTTCAGGACAAAAAGATCTTAACCAAAAAAAACAAACCCTCACTTAGTTTGATTTTTTAAAAATATACTTAAAATTTTTAGATCACTGATTCTTATCTCTAATAGAAACTTATGAAAAAAATCTGTATTTCAGTACTTAAATGAGAGTGAAACAGATCTGTGAGACAGGAAAAAATAAACTGCATAAACAATTTATCACATCTTTCCTGTTAACTAATATGTGAATCATCAAAAACAAAGGTGATTACTGGTCTCAGAGCCACTCTCAGTCCTAAACGGCCTCTCAAATCTTTTGGGGACAACAGAAACAAGTAAAAGTGAGGAGGAAAGCCTAGTCCATCTTGTCTTACTTGGCTGACTGAGGCCAAAACCAACTATACTCTGATAGTAAGAAATTTTTTTAAAACCACAGAAAACTGGAAGTGGGAAATCGACAGAAAAGAAGAATCAGATACTTGACTTAGGAGGCAACCCTATCTCTTGAGATTTCTCTGAAGAGACTCAGAACAGAGATTGAGTTTACCTCAGATTCACCCAAGTATAGGCCAAAATCGCGGGCTTCTGGAAGAGAAAAGAGTTGTTCATTACTATTTCTCTTTTGTTAGCTGGTATTGGCAAGCCAAGGAAAGACCAAAACTGTCAAGGTAGGCCGAGAAAAGTAAACATCTTTTAGCAAGGCTTTTATTTTCAAGAATATTGTCGCATGTTTCTTTTGCTTTTCTTTTGTTGTGTAACAAACCACCCCAAAACTTACTGGCACAACAACCACCATTTTATTTGGTCATAATTCTGCAATCTGAGCAGGGCTCAACTAGGCAGTTCTTACAGTCATCTTGCTGGTGGTCATTCATACTACTGCTTTCAGCCAGCAGGTGAGAAATGAGATCAGCTAGGATACTAGCATGGCTAAGCATCTCTCTCCATGTAATCTCAGAAATTCTCCCTCTCCATGTGGCCTCTTTTCCACTGGGTCTCTCTAGGAGAACGGTCAGATTCTTACATGATGATCCTCTCTCTCGAAAACACAAAAGCATAAGTTGTCGGGCCTTTTTGCACCCAGACCTGGAAGAGCTTTAATCCCTTTGCATTCTCTTTGTTAAAACAAGCTACAGGCCCAACCCAAACTGAAAGGAAAGTGACTTCACACGAGCATGAATGCCATCAATGTAATAGACAACTAAAACATTCAGGCCAATGTTCAGATGACTGGAATGGACACAACCACAAGAAACTATAAAATGGCTAAAGCTTGAAGACTGAGCAATTATAGTCAGATTCTATTCTCTGTTCTTTCCCACAATGAGAGTCAATCTACGTTCACCAGGAATCTTAATTATAAGTGGAACCTGTTAATCACTTAAAAGCCATATGACCTTAGACAAGTCAATTAATCTCTCTAAGCTTCAGCTGCTGTATTGTAAAACAGGAAAAATTATACATGCCCTGCCTGTCTTAGAGGAACGCTGTAGAATAAATAAGAGCTTTGAAAGCTGTAAACTGCTATACAAATATAAGGAAATATTATTTAGCTGACAGGATGGTAAGTATAATCAACCTAGCTAGGCTCCATTCTCCTCCCTATTAATAAAATTATAACCATCATCAATTACCCTATATGCTAAATGACTACCACAGCAATATTATATATAATAGCAAGCTAAAATTACATTATGTTTTGTTACTATGAAGAATAATAACACTAACTACAATTTATTATTGTCCAATTATATGTCAGGTGCTGTTGGTTACTTTGGATAATCTATAACCCTTACAATAACTCAATACGGTAGGTATTATCCCTCATTTACAAATAAAGAAACTGACACTTGGCTACTTTAAGTAACCTGCCCATAGTTACACAGCCAGCAAATGAAAAATCCATTCTTAGCATCTAATGCCTAATAGGCACTTGATAAATATTTGTTGGATAAATTAAAGAACAAATAAAGCCAAGGCTATCTGGCTTTAATGCAACGTTGTTCAAATATATCAAAGGATTTCTCTCTCACAATCCTTATTTTTATATACAGCTATTAAAACTGTAATCATAGCAAACACATCTAACTAACATGAACAATTTAACCTTCCACATCAAGAAAATAGTTTCCCATCTGAAAAGTACATTTTTTAAAAAAAAAAATCTAATATTTAACCTATCTAATGAATTATTTTGAATTATAATGATCATGTTATAATGTGGGGACATCAACTGGAATAAAAAGCAAAAAAAAATTACATACAAAAATCACTAAAACAAAAAGAATCATATTTTTAAACTAAAAAAAAGGTGCATTATGGATCACAAATTTCCATATCCTATAATATGAAGAGATCTTGAAATTTAAGAAGAGGAAAAGAAACTGCCCAGCAGAAAAACAGATGGAAGATATAAATGGAAACTCAACAAAAGAAATATGAACAGCTAATGAATTCTTTGTATTTTTGTCATTAGTTATTGAAGAAATGCAAATTCAAATAGATTTATTCAACTATTCGATTGCCAAAATAAAAAAAATAAATAAAAAGACTGATTATATCCAGTGTCAGAGTAAACAAAGAAACAAAACATTAAAGCATTATTGCTGGGCATATGAAATGGTACAACCTTTCTAGAGAACACTCTGATAATTGATAAAAATATTCTAAATGTACCCAGCATTTACTCAGCAATTCCACACCTAGGAATTCATATAAAGAAAATAATTGGACAGCTACACAAAGATGCACATACATGCCAAAATACTGTATAGGATACCACCCAAATGTCTACGTAGAGAATTGTTTAAATACATGATACATACATACAATGCTAATAAAGATACAAAATTTTATTCATTACCATTAAAAGATGTTCAAAATATGAGTGTGAAAGTAAAAAAAAAATGGTATGACCCAATTTTCATAATAAACTTTGATTTGTAGGAGAAAAGAGCACATACACACACAAGCAGAAGCACACCCAAGAGTGCCAGAGTGAGCACATATGCACTCACGGAGAAATCCCGAGAAGACATGACAATAATGCTCAAGCAGATATGTAGTCATCTGTGAGCACAAGAACATACATATTTTTACTTTCTTTGTACGTTTCTGTATTTTCTGAATGCTTCCCATTAAGCATATATAAACTTTTATAATTGCAATTTAATAAAATTGTTTTCACTTAAAATAATGTCAACTGTCATAAGCATGAACAGGTTCTGTGAACTTTGAATGTTAATTACGTTTAATATAAAATATTGCCCAAAAAGCAGCTGATATGGATACTGAATGAAGATTTACATTTTATTCCTTTTTCAAACGATGGATTCAAAATCATAAAACCCTCATAGTTGTTTCTATTCACATATATTAGAACTGGGAATTTACTGTAAAATGTCACTTAAAAATGAAAATGAAACAGATATGTATAAGTGTTACAAGATATGCTAAGTGTGCTATATTATATGTCTTTGAATAACTTGCATATGTAAGGGCCTAGAGACCTTGATTCTGTAACTGAAAAAAAAAATCCAGCATCACTTGGTATGTCCACTTGGGAGCTTATTAACTTATGCTTATTATTTACACAGTATAATGGGAATTCTCAATTAGCTATGGGTAGACTATCCACAACCAATCTTGCTTTTGAGTTTAGCCATTGTACCAAGAGTATAAGCAGTTTAGCTATTTGCTTCATAGATCTCTCAGCTGTTTATTTTGCATTATGCCAGGATTCAGCAAAAATAAATACTTAAAATCAATTATTCCACTTGGATAGTGGATGGGCAGGCAAGTGGGCAGCTACTACTCTCAGGGCTGAGCCTGAGTATCACCCAGATACACCACTACCCGACCCCCAAACAGAAGACTTTGGGAAATGTTTAGGGTCATTTTAGTTGTCACAATGATGCAGGGAGGGGAGTGATTCTAATGCCATTTTGGCCCAGAGATGCCAAATATGCTGCAACATGGGGTACCCCACCAAGATATGTCCAATCTATAATAACAATAGTGTCCCTGTTGAGACAGGTACCATTTTCTTGCTCAATGTTGTATTTCCAGACTACTGCATAACAGGTATTAAATAAATATTTGTTGAATAAAACCAATATATGCAATTTATGGCACTGAATGAGACACAGATAATACAAAGGAGGGAAAAGAAGTGACAACAGAGAAACCAGATTCTACCTCTACCTAAGACAGGCCATAGTGGCCGGGCTCTGTTATACTTAGGGGAACTCTATAATCAGACACATTGATACCTAAGATACTTATAAAAGCACAATAATTCACATTGAAATCCAGATTATAGATATCCAGGTATATGCTTTCCTCTATTAGTAAAGATCAGCAACTGTATCAGTTGAAGACATACATACCAGTGCCAATCTTGCCGTGGCAACACTAGTTTAAGAATACGGTTTCTGGGGTAAACTGCTGGGTTTGAGTCTGATTTTATACATGCATTACCTGAGTAAATTACTTGATATCTTAACATAGTATTTATAAACTTGGGAATTTACCTCATGTCTTCTAGTATAAACCTTCTCATCTACAAAAATGGAGTAACGAAACAAGTTCACCACCCCCTACTCTAAATCTATGGGCCAGATATATTACACAACTCAAAATTTTTTGAATTTTGTGAATACCAAATATATATATAACATCCCAGGTGAATATAGGGCAGCAACTCATAATCATACACACTAATGTTTCTGTAGCAAAAAATAAAAACAATGTTGCAGATGTAGGATATATAAAGACCTTTACATAGCTTCATCTCACTTAGTTCAGGTTTTTCAGCCAAATTAGTTTGCTATAAATATAGGAAACCATTTTCAAACCCTTTGAATTTCAGAAATGAATATAAAAGATCATGGATATATAGAACCTACTGCCCTCGGAGACAGCACATAAAAATTAAATGAGTTCATATAAGGTGCTTACCTCAGTGCCTGGCACACAACTAGCACTTAATAAATACTAGTTATTGTTATGAATGTTAGCTAGCTAGTGTATGAAATACAAGACAATGCAAGGTAGCTAAAGGAGTCAGTAGACTTACAGAGAAAGGGGTGGGTAGGGATGAGGAGTGGTCAGAGGGACCTAAGATAACTACGCTAATCAAAATAAAACAAAATGAGAGCTGATTAACCATAAATTGCAAGAAAATAATGTATCTGCCACATTTAACTCTTAAGTACACATTTACTTCCTTTTGATAGATGGGAGTTTCTCCAGAAGTTAGTATCTGAAAACATTTAGTATTTTCTACTTCACATGTGGTTTTCTACTTACAACTCTGTGTAGCTTTCTTACTAAAAGCGGATCAAGTTTTTGAAGATTTTTAATCAAGGTAGGACCAAAACTGGTTTCTCCCTAAGGTAATAAAGCAATTAAGTTTTTGTTGCCTACCACAGAATATAGTAAAATTTGGGCAGTTAAATAGTAAACAAAGGCTGGGTGCAGTGGCTCAACCTGTAATCCTAACCCTTTGGGAGGCCAAAAAGGAAGGCTCACTTGAGGACAGGAGTTCAAGACCAGCCTGAGCAACATAGGGAGACACCCCCCCCCACCCCATCTCTACAGAAAGAAAAGGAAAAAAAAAAGCTGGGCATGATGACACACCTCTAGTCCTAGCTACTTGGGAGGCTCAGGCAGGAGGCTGAAGCGGGAAGACTGCTGGAGCCAGGGAGTTCAAGGCTTCAGTGAACTATGACGGTATCACCGCACTCCAGTCTGGGAAACAGAGCAAGAGCCTATCTCAAAACAAAATTAATTAAATTAATAGTAAATACAAAAAATAAAAATAAAAAACATACTGAAAACCATTTCCCCTTGGAAATGACTGGAGTTAAATCTGCCCCTATACCACCTCCCTGTTCTATTGGTTTTTCCTAACCCAATCTACTGAAGAAACTTTTACATTTATATAAGAAATGAATGAAACTATTACTTCTGAAGCACTATTCTGTGCCAGGCACTGGATTACACACTTTGCATAAGTCCTTTACTTAATTTTCACAAGTCTTCAAGGTAACAATTAATGTCCTCATGTTACATAAGAATATTGAATTAGTAAGTGAGTGAACCAATAGTCAAACTCAGGTTTGACTCACTCAAAAAGCCATGAGCTGCTTACGCTAGACCACTTTGCCAAAGGATACTGCTTCATTCTAACATTGTTGACTAATTTTTTGCTTCCCTCTGTATTTGTTATCAATTATTTTTAAAGTGTACATAATACGGAATTTGTAATCTCTCTCAGAATAAAAGAATTTTAGTTCTGTCTATAATCCCAAATTTGAAATGAACTTGTAATTTTTATCTTAGTTTATCTCTGAAAAACAATTTAAAATCTGCAAAAATTACATGCATCATCTTTAGTTATAAGAGAATATTCATAAATACATAGCAATACATTTCCAAGCAATTAGCATCAGAATTATAATCCAAGAACTTTAAACCTGGTAAAGACTTTAAGAATAATAGATATTGGCTGAGTGCAGTGGCTCACACCTGTAATCCCAACACTTTGGGAGGCCGAGGTGGGCGGATCACCTGAAGTCGGGAGTTCGAGACCAGCCTGACCAACGTGGAGAAACCCTGTCTCCACTAAAAATACAAAATTAGCCAGGCATGGTGGCGCATTGCCTGTAATCCCAGCTACTCAGGAGGCTGAGGCAGGGGAATCGCTTGAACCCAGGAGGCGGAGGTTGCAGTGAGCCGAGATCATCCCATTGCACTCCAGCCTGGGCAACAAAAGTGAAACTGTCTCAAACCAAAAAAAAAAAAAAAAAAAAAAAAAGAATAATACAGATATTATTTAGATGAATTACTAACTATTCTGGTCTTAAAAGATTTTTGTGGGGTATGACCTACCAAATATCCCTCTCTACCCTACTCCAGAGCCCAGTGAACTTTTAGGGACTGTCTTTTTTATGACAAATAAAAATCACCCTTTCTAAAAGCTTTCAAGGCAACAAGTTACGGCTCTCTTTAACATATTATGCTGCTTTTATCGATTTTAGCTGGGAGTTTGGAACAAAGAGTAAACAGAAATACAAATAAATTTGAAAACTAATTTTAAGTTCTTTCCCCTCCTTTCCTATACAAAATAGTTTCCATGGCTCCAATCTTTTCTCACTGCTGTCAATACCCATTTTTTCTGCCCTTTTCAGTGTCTCTCCAACTGCTTTATGTCCAGAATAAGCTATGGACAAAATAATGAAACTTTATTAGTTCAGAGTGTTTAGTTTAGTACTCTCAACTAAATGCTCAAAGACCAAGTTAAAGAAAAATAATAATCACCAGCTTTTGAATATTAAACTCCGGATTCATGCTCATATCTAAAAGTACAAAATTGCTAATACATATTCAATTTGTAGAATGCTATGATTTGAGTCTAAACAGTTACTTCGAATTTGTGTGATTAACTTCTAACCCTTATTAAACGTTATCATGTTTTTGATGGGCCCCAGATACGATTTATTTTCTATGTGCACATAAGTAATTTCATAGACTGTTACAATAAGATTTAAATGCACATTTGGGTAAAGTGAAAACATATTTTGGAACTCATTATTATCAAAGACTCTAGAATTCTACAATATGAAAAGGGAGCCATTTCTAGAAACTATTACCATTACTCATAAATGCTATCATAACCTAGAATTTTCTCTTTTTTTTTAATAGAGACAGCCTCTCCCTGTGTTGCCCAGGCTGGTCTCCAATTCCTGGGCTCAAGGGATCCTTCTACCTTGACATCCCAAAGTGCTGAGATTACAGGCACAAGCCACCATGCCCGGCCTAGAATTTTCAAAGTTCTATAAACAGACAATAGCTTATGGAAATTACTTTTAACAACCAATGTACTTAATTAAATACCAGGCTTGGGGTTATGAAATTCAAGCAATATTTTAAGCTGTACAAAGAATGAGGATATTTACTAATGTCATTTTAAGCCCAAGACATGCTATGTTTAATATGGACAGTTTCTATTTTGATTTTTATAATTTTTCACATTTACATTTTTAAAACTATACTACTCTTTAAAGACCAATTGTTATTGGCCCTGGTAAAAGGTTAGTAACTTGTATATCCTGTGTACAGTATTAAGTCAGAAACTATTAGTTGGAAAGCAATAAAAGTAAAGTAAACTGCCAAGAGTGTAATTCTTATTTCTATATCCACGATGCCATTAGAAAAAGCAGCATATAACTTTGATCATCACTTCTAGCAACTGCAATAACAAAAAGAGAGGTATAGATTACTACTCTAATTTACAGTCCTTCCACCTAGAAAAGCAATATAGAGAGCAGCTTCGAAACCCTGTCTCCCAGTAAAGTACTACTCAGAGTCCTAATTTAAGAAAAGACAAAAATGGACCTGCTCTGCTTCCAATTATCCCTCCAAAGGTGTCCCCTGAAAATTCAAGTTATTAAAAATATGATTTAAAAATTATTAATAGAGTAGATACAAATTCTAGAGTAAGAGTCAAAAGATCTGGAAAAGTGTTTCTTGACCTTTCTATCTCAAGTTTCCTCATCCTAAATTTGGAAACAATTCCTTCCCCATATAACTTACTGTTGGGAAAAGCTAAATAAGATGCTACACACAAAAGAGCTTTGTAAAGCATGACCTTTGTGTAGCATGACCTATTGAAAATATGAGGCGTATTATAATTACTGTTCTATAGGCTAGGCAATATTTTAAAATAAACGTGCTTCTTTTCCTACCACTCCCGTTCCCAAGATACTTCCTTACTTCACATACTACAAAGGAGTTTAATGTTATCAAAATGAAAAGAGGTCCAAAAATCAAATTGAAAGAGAAAAAGAGGGAAGGAGAAACACATATAGAATTGTTCTCTACTGCTTCTCTCAGATAATTTAAGATAAGCTCATTTCCTATTACTTTACCAAGAGAAGGACTTCACCAACACATCTATTGATTAATTTCCTCTAAACTATTTTTGATAAATAAGTTTGTAAGTACTTTTAATAAAAGTATACTATGGAAACGCTTTTCTGCAAATCCATAAAAAGATTCACAATTATTAGGTATAATATCAATGTCCATAGTCAGATATCTTCAATCATGAAAACTCAGTGATAAGGGAAAAGAACGTCCAACTGGTTTGTTTGACACAGACAACTCAAATGGTTTGAGAAATATAATAAAACTGTAATTATTTCCTAGGAAAACTACTTAAAAGAGTTAGTACTAAGTCCCTTTAAATATACTACCTATGATAAAGATTATTGTAACTCTGAAATTGTAACTTCTATACATAAATGCAATTACTAACTATAAATAATGTTGTCAAGGCCTTAGACACAAAACTACTCAATTTCTCTTTCAACCTTATATCCATAAAATTGTAGAAAATGCATAGGGGAATTTTTGATGTACTTTACAGAGGACTTACGCAGAACCACAAGTTTGAAATGGAGGTTACAGCTTCAGCTTATTTCTCTTGAGCTTTGTCTCTTAACTAGCAGATTGAGTGTTTATCTTCCCAAAGAAACTAGAGTATCCTCCATGGCTGCTAAAACAAAGACCATATATCAAATTGAAATAAGGAGTACCTTGTTCCCTGTGAAGACTGATGGATTCTATTTCATCATCACATCTTTGATTGAAACAACATGAACACAATTTTTAGAACTTAGAAATTAAAGTGTAGTATTTAAAGATAAATTATTAATACTTTTCAAAAATTTACCAGATTATACATGCTTAAAAAAAAGTAAATCACATGATTATTTTTAAATAATACCAATTTTAATAATATAAGCTTCATTTATTAAAAATTAAGAAACATTAAAATAGCAATGTTTGATCATCCTCAATGGGCTGGCAATTGCATTTCAACTCTTTGGAAAGGTAAGGAAGTAATTTGGATGCAAACATAACCTCAAAGACCAATGATGACAGCTTACAAGTACTCACAGACACTATGCCTATCCCTCTGACACCCTTCCCACCTATCCACCCCACCCTGACTCCTGCTTTTTTCACCTTTCTGAATGGCAGTGGAAGGCCTGTCTTTAAAGTACTGTTTGTAGTGGAAGCAGAAGTTCACACAAACAAGCTGCTGCATCTTCCTACATAACAAAACTATTATTGAGTAGTAGAGTAGGGGAATTATGACATCAGCAGTATATTAACCAATTACTCTACCAAATACTTAATATCTACTGATAAGCCTGCTACTGTATCATTGGCTTAATTTCATAAAGTCAACTATTATTTTTCTACCTTTAATTGAAACTTCCTTTGATATAGGCTTAATGTTTAGTCTATGAAACCACTATGAAAATATATGTGGCATATACACTTATTTGACTGCCATTTTAGAATGACAAACCCATACATCACACAGGGTCACATATGGGTATCAAAGGACAGGAAAAGACTAACCTATGAGTCTCATATTTGTGCTCTCAAAGCACTCTGAGTAGTGCCTGAAAATTTTACATTATTGGAGTTCCAGTGCTCTTTCTTTATTGTTCCTCTATAAAACTCTGTGTGGCAGTTATGACTTTTAAATGCAGCATGACCTTAATCCTACCTGGGGCAGGATTGGTTGGGATGGGAAGTTGGTAGGTGGAAAGGAAGGAATTCTCTTCTGGTTTTTACAGCACCACCGAAAGCTAGGTTAACTGAAGCATTTAAAAATATAAACTGAAAACACATAACTATGTAAATAATACTGTTTTCTTGAAAACATATATAGTAGTGATAGAAAATAAAGTTCTTCACCATATTAACTATTGCCAACCATCAAGAAAGGAAAAACATCAAAATATGAAAAAAGAAAATTACTATTGAAAAAATTCAGACATGAGACTCCATATATGACATCTGAAAATACTCTGTATTATGTACACACAGTTCATTATTTATAAAGAACATGTGTTCAAATTACCTCATATTCCTTCCAGAGCCAAACTCAACGTATTCTCTACCATAAAATGCCAGAATGACCAAGTGGCCTAAAATATTAAAAGCAAGAACAATTAGTTCACATTAAAAATGAATTTTTTGATATGTAGAAGCCATGTGACTATTTAAAATTATTAAGTTTATAGATAAGTATTAATTATATTAATTACATAACTGAATTATTTTAGAAGTATTTCTTCACATGAATGCACTGATATTTTTAGATGTTTCTGATTTAGCCAAAAAAGATACTGTTTTTGATTTTACATGAGAGAATTTTTAGTTTTCAAAGAACTATAATTCAAAGAATAATCATAGTATTGTAATAATAAGAAATATAAATTAGGGGAAATCTCAGAAAAAGCATTCTTTAAAAGAATATGTGCTTTTAAACTGTGAAGATGAGAGAGCAAACAATTCTGAAAATCACCCTGCTAATTTCTTGTAGAGAAGCAAAAGTGAGAATGATTTAGCAGCTGACATGCATTTGCTCATTCCTTAAAAATAATTTAGTTTTATAGAAATTTTTAAAAGAAAGATCTTTTGTTCAAGGAAGGAGAATACACAAGTTATTTTTAAACTAATGATCTTTATTGGCTAATAAAGTAAATGTGGAGTAGCAATGATATACAAACATACTTACATGTATGTGTTTATGTATGTTCCCTAAATTTGGCCCATGATATCAGAGATCAACTTATTACAACGTATATCTGATAATTTAGTTAACTATAAAGAGCATCGTAGTTACCCGGCATGATTTGGCTTTACCTTTTTTCTTTAAAGGTAAAGGTGACATTAAGTGACAGTTGCCATAAATTTTTATATTGCTCCATTAGACATAGAAAAGTAACAAAGCAAACAGGCACAGCTGAGTATATATGAATAGGCAACAGTCTAAATACACATATTTGAGATTACTTGAAGAAGACAGGACAAGGATCACTAAAACAATCACAGGTGTTTGCTGTGTATTTAGGTGATAACAAACCAGATACATCAAAAATGTAATAATCTACAATAATCAACACACTTGGATTCTCGAAAAGAATTTGGCAATTTTAACCATATTATTACATTTTCTTACTTTACTCTCAGTATATTTTCTGACATGAGGCCTTATATGTTATTAACTAAACGACTACACAATACTTCTTAACAATTTTGAGCAACATGAGTCAAACATATCTGCAGTTATAAATGTTTATAATTCACCCTACTCCATTACTTCTAATCCTTTTCTCCTACTACCTTTCCCTATATACACCTTGCAAATATCAAGTGAAAATTTTAGGCCAGTCTACAGTCATCTGTGTTCTTCTTTCCAAATAGGTTACAAATAAAACCTATTCTTTGAACATATCTTTCACTGTTTCATATCTCATTGTGAGCAAAAACCACAGTTGCTTAGGATCTCTTTGTTTTTTATGATTACAACTTCCTCAGGTATACCAGTTTACTGATGATACAAATTTCTGTCACTCATCTTAACTTTAAAATCCAATTCATTTCTTAAAAGTTCCTTCTTGTATATTATTCAATTATTCATTTAAGAAAGACTAGTTGTTTGGTATCACACATACAAAAATTAAATATATAATACAGTCTCCCCATACTAATAGTTTACAGATGACCATGCTAATCGATGCTATCTACCTACAATCCAAAGTGCTACATTGGCCTCACCCACAAGACCTTATTTTCCTTGTTTCTTTCTATATTCTACAATGACTTTATTTTCATCTCTGGCACAACTATTCAAAATATCTACTCTGCCCTTCAAAATTTATTGAATCAGTACTAGATGCTTGGCAATGTGCTAGAAGGTAATTAGGTGCTGGAGGATATAACGGTGAGCAAAACATGGCTATTCTACATTCAGGTCCCATTCTACCAACTCCCAAATACTGTCCTACTTTCTCAGTGGCTCCATAATTCTCCTGAAACCCAGTGATCTTTCATCTTTTTTCACTCACATTTTCTCATACCCCATAACTAAGAGTAAATAAGCCCTGCTCATTTGACACTCATGTCAGATGTCCCTTCCAGCACAACCGTGAGACTCAGGCGAGAGGGCCCATTGCCCTTGGGCCACTCACTTTAGAGAGCTTGCTTTGGCCCTCTGGCCAGGTACCTCCTTGGGAGGCAAGAAGTCTGCACAGCCCAGGGCCATGCTCCCCGAGTCCTTCAGACTCTACTTCAGCACATTCCCAGGACCCCAAATTCCCATGCAAAGTTCTTGACTATACTCCTCATGACAGATGGAGATTCAGGCATACTCAACTCTACGCCTACAGGGTAGTCAACAGATAGCTTGCAAGGGGTGGGGCAACATTGCCTGCAGGATGATCTTGTGGGCATGCTATGGCAAAGAGCCCAGGATATGAAAAATGGAGGTAGACTGCAGGACACAGATGAGGTGACAAAGGGTCAGCTCTCCCTTTGCCACTATGCTCTAGAACAGAACTGCTAAAAAAATCTGAGAATTCTAAGTGGTCATTTATCTCATTATAAAGCTGTTTCTGGTCAAGTTAGGAGGTCAGAGGATGTTTGATTTAACCACTTCTTTACTGATATGCAACATTTAAGTATGGAGAAATATAGTGAGTGAGCTTTCATTTGTATTCTTGCTCTTATTGGTGTCGGGGTGGGCCTGATTCCCCACATCCTATTTACAAGGATGGTTGCCCAGCCTGAATCTTCATTATAACTCATCAAATAATAACAATATTATTATTATAGTAGTAGTAGTCATAAATGTTGTATTGATAATAATTTACTGAGGGTCCTAGCATGGTGCCAGGCATCTAACCTGTTGTAGGCTCTTTCACACCCTCAGTAATATTTACAACCCCACTGGCTAGTTGTTATCTACATCTTATCCATGAACTGAAAGTAAAAGACTAGCAGAAAAAGGATTTCAACCAAAGTCTTTCTCAATTAAAAGCCCAAGTTCTGTACCATATGCTTCCTTTCAGATGATTGAGAGAGGTTCCCCTGACTTCTGATCCACTCTGCTATCTATCCTACACAGATGTGCCAGATTAATCTCCCTAAAGGGCCACTTTCATCTAAACACGTGATCCATTTTTAAAAAATATACACTGGGCCAGGCGCGGTGGCTCACACCTGTAATCCCAGCACTTTGGGAGGCCGAGGCAGGCAGATCACGAGGTCAGGAGATCGAGACCATTCTGGCTAACATGGTGAAACCCCATCTCTACTAAAAATACAAAAAATTTTCCGGGCGTGGTGGCACGCGCCTGTATTCCCAGCTACTCAGGAGGCTGTGGCAGGAGAATGGTGTGAACCCAGGAGGCAGAGCTTGCAGTGAGCCAAGATGGCGCCACTGCACTCCAGCCTGGGCGACAAAGCGAGACTCATCTCAAAAAAAAAAAAAAAAAAATATATATATATATATATATATATATACATACATACACACACACACTGGCTGGTTATCCTATAAACTTAGTTAAGGTCCAAATCCTAAGCCATTTCCTTTCCAGTCCATCTGCTTCACAATTTCCCAACAAGCTCTTCCAACTCTTTATACCAAAATCATACTTGCCTCTATGCCATTGTATGCTTAACCTCTTCCTCACAGCCAATAAACCTCCAAAACAACCTTTTAAGATCCATGTCCTGCTTTACCTCATCTCTGAAGGTTTCCCTAACCACTCAAGCCCATAACCCTTTTTCTTTCCATTTTTCTATACCCCCATAATACTGATAGTCTCAAAGCAGTCAACAAGTAATTAATCTATGTACTTAGTATGATGAGAGCCACAGAAGATATCACGTATCTTTTAACTTCAAATCACTTTGTGGAATTAATCTTGTTAGAAGACACTATAGAAAAAAAGACTGGTAAAGTGGCTCTAGAGACAGAGTACCTGGCTGAAAATTCTGCCTCAATCATATATTTGCATAGACTCTGGTGTTAAATTTGCATAGTATAGTAACAAGCAGCAGTTCTTTTGTGATAAGCAGAGTTGTTGACCTGGAACCCCTTCAGATCTTAAATTTTTTGAGAATCCCAAAGAACTTTTGTTGGGATGTGTTATATCCAGTCATGTACTGATAAATGTTTAAAACCAACATTCCACTCTTTCCCTCCCCACCAAAAAAAGTCAGATTTGTGATTTCTACTAATTTCCATGGTGTGTATACTTCTGGAATGGCTACTTTTCAAGCTAGAAATGTGACATTCTGAATGCAGAATTAAGAAGAGATGAGCAACAGTGGCTCTCTCCAGCTGGTAAGGCTTCAGTAAATCATAGTTGTATCTATCTATACCCATCTGATTAGAAAATAAAACAGAGAAATATAATAAACATTCATTAATTTAAAATAATAGTAATCATTCTATGTTAATGTTTTTAAATTATAAAATAATCTAAATTTTCCAAAATAAAATTTGATAACTATGGAACTGGTGTACATTTTTATAAAATCCATTAATGTCTTGCTTAATAGAAGACAGATTCTCACATCTAGTTCTGCACTCAATCTGCTGTTTTGTCTGAAGTTATGAAGAAAATGCAGCCTCACACAGGGAATTGAAAAAGGGCCTCCAGGGGTCTTCCATTCACACTTTGAGAAGCATTTATATATAGTGTACAGTTTGCATAAAAGATTTTGGTGTTAAAAGGCCTTACCAATAGTGAGAGTCTGGACAAGTTTGGTAGTTTAATTAGTTTTTCTCACCTAGTAATTCTATCAATATGAAGAATTCTAACTTTAAATTGCCCTGAAAAGAAAGTCCACACTATTTCATATGTGTATGTATTTACATATGTATGTATATTAATGTATATGTATATATATATATTATACTTTCCCCTATTCAACCATTCAAAGTGCTCAGAATATCAAGGAAAAAAAGATAACCATAAAGCAAGAACTTCTCCATTTTTAGGAAAAAAAAATTCTATGTAGCAAGAAAATTTATGAAGCTAATGTATGAATCGTCACTGAGCTAGACATAATATGCAATTAAGCATAAAAGGTAAAATTATGTTCTACATTTCTACAAGTGGTCAACTGTACTGTACCATCCATAAGTCAGACATTGCACCACACAAAATACATCAGAATTACATATTCATTGATGTAAAAAAATGGCAGCTATCAATAGAATATATTTTAACTCTGAAATTTAACATTTCTGGATTTATTTTTGGCAGTATTTAATTCTTTAAAATGTCATTAAATGGCTTAATAATATGCACACATAAATTGTACTCAAGAAAAAAATGATTAACTTAAAATGTGCAGAACAATAGAATCAGCTAGTGGTTTTAGTTGAAAGACTGTATCTGCGTAACTATATCTGTGTAAGTACTGTTTCCCCTGGCTCTAAAAGTATCACTTTAGCCTGGTTTTCTTCCCACTCTTAAAATATCAAGGCAATGTTAAGCATGTTCTGTGCCTCTTCCTTTCATTAATCTTAGGCTGGATTTACTCTCCTCAAAGAATTGAAATAGGATAGCCACTGCCTAAACCAGTTTAATCACACTAGCTACTTCAAACCATTATTATATTTCAAACCACTTCTATTCTTTTAAACATATTACCTTCTAATTAAATTAAATGCCTTTATGGTCACTTAAGCAACAACAGAATATATTCAAACATAAACCATATTTTGTAAATCAATGATGAGCACATTAAATAGCTTTAAGGGGTGGGCCAAAAAGTGCCAAAGGTAATCAAACTTTTATGTGACTCCACTGTTACTTTACTGCTTCTAAGCAGAAGCTATATTCATTTTCAGTTCTCTTATATCAACATTGTAAGGTGCTTACACAAGCCTGGGCAGTTTAGTCACTTCTGCTCATACAGATTTTTACACGGAAGAAAATTTTAAAGACAGGCTATTTAATACGAGCCTCGTTGTATATATTTACTAAAATAACTAAACTTGTTCTGTTAATGAAATTTTACTCCTTGTGCAAAGTAGTAAGTATTTCATCTCTTAGTGCATATTTTTTTCTATTACTGCTCCTGTAATCTTTAATGATCCTGCCCCAAGATTGAAATCTGAATGAGAGGTCATTTTATAAAAGTTTAAAGAATTCTTAATCACTTACCAATACTGAAAATGACTTAACATACAGTACATAACATTCCTCTTTGAAAACAATTTTGTTTCTGATTGTCTACTGCCATGTTACTATTTTCAGCTGCTACCCTCTCCTGCAAAACTCTCCTCATATCCTATACCACAAAGACTAAGCCAGAAAGATGAAAATAAGAATACTAGCTTCCACAGTTCAACTACTAATTCTGTACTATCACGTTAAGCTCTCTCTATACGCTTATCTCATTTTCCCTTTCACTTTATCTTTCAGGTAATATTCCCATTTTTACATTAAAAATCTGGGATCAAGGCAGTTAAGGAACTTATTTAAGGATAATTAGCTATCAAATGACAAAACCAGGATTTGAACTCTGGTTTCCCTTATTCAAAAGAACCCACATTTTTCCCTAACAATTTTGCAAGCTAACACACTTCATGCAAGATGCATCAGATTAAAAAAATTACACTAAATATGTAAGTTAAAGATACTTGTGTATGTGGAACTGGCATACAACTGTCTCATACAGCACAGTTTGCATCTTTGTGGAAATTTCACAGATCCATGCAAGTACTACAACAAGCCTTCTATTAATGTTGTGACAGTCCTGACAAAAATCTACATTCAAGATTAGTTGCAGGAGGTAATCTTCCCACAAATCTGCTTCATACTGAACCTGTGTTTGTGTCTTCAAGAGTGAGCTGTGATTTGATACTCACAGGCTGATCTACAGTGTTTATGCCATACCTCGTGATGTGAAATATAGTGACAAAGTCTTGAAATGTTACAATATGTACCAATTCAGGCTACTTAACTGCTAAACTACAATCTGAACAATTGATAGGCAGTACTATTCTATAAAGTGCTACAGTCACTATACTATATAACAAAGTAAATAGAAATATCTTGAAGGTAACAAGTGCCACAAGGAATTCTTCTCTAAATAAGCAAACAATTAAATGTTCTGAAAGTGATGCCCAAATTTAAATATTAAATTCACAGTGGCTCCAGTGGATTATTAAAGGATAAAGAAAAAAACTGATAACCTCGTGGTGAAACTTCCAAAAATTAGAGTTTTTGCCTGGTAAAGGCAGTATTTACATTGAACTGGAGCTGTAACTCATCACTTAGCAGGAAAAAGATTTTTTGGTGAAGTCATGCTGATCTCTCGAACTAGGATGCCTCATACTAGTAGGAACTAGTATGATATCAGATGGGTGTATAAAAATATCTCAATGGGAAATGCCACTGTGGACAAACTATTATTACAGGAATGTGAAAGAATACACCACTTAATCACTGACAAACATCTCTACCTCAAGCAAAAGTGTTACAAAAAAATTGCTTACACTATACCATTTACTTGTTCTATGCCATAAGCTTGCTTAAAGAGGCTGATTTTACCTTTAGCTGAAGCTGTGTATTTTCTAATCTGTTTAGGGCAGCTGTCAAGTAATCAGAGTAAGCAGTGCCATTTTAATAAGGAAGTCTTTTAATGAAATATAATAGGTCACAAATACCTAATTTCTGCTCTTTACTGTAATTGCCCGTCTTTACTATAACTGCCACTTTAACAATCTTTTCCAAATGCTGACACAAAAGATGAACAAATCAAGGGTATTAGCATGTGTGTATATTTACAGCTTATTGCTGTCAAAGACTGTAGTTCCAACTCTAGCAGCTATATGAGGATCTGATTCTTTTGATGGAAGCATCTTGTTTCAGGTTGTGAATGTATCTGAATTAATCTCCTTTTCACGTCTACATTAGCAATCACATACTAAAGGACACAAAGGAGAAATGTTAACTTACAGCACAATGTTACACTCTTAGGAATATCACCGATACTTTTACTGTCGCTGTAAAGGATTATATATTTTAACACTTTACTCTTCTTTAATAAATTCTGTGCTCCACTACTTATTAGTTCTTAATTTCAAAAAATGTTGTTCATGTACAGTTCAAATAGCCTGTTTTCTTAGATAAATTTTAAGTTTATCATAATCATCAGTTTTATATGAACATCCCTTGAATCACATAAAACTACAAGGAGCTGCTGCAAAGTGAAACAGAGGGCCACAGCAAGAGTGAGAAAACACAAATATCAGTTTTATTTCTAAAAAGCATTATTTTGCTACAGTACACTTTTAAGTTGTTGATAAACTGTTTAAAAATACTTCCCTGAAAACTTCTTTACGTGATATCCTTTTTTTGTTGTTGTTATTTTGGGTATATTATTTTTAAGCAGTAGCTGTTTAAATTTGGTACTATTATTGCTATTTTAATACCACAAGTCCTGTGCACAAACAGCAGTAGTTTTATAAGAAGGTTGCCCATTTTTGAAAAGCTAAGCTTTCCCAAATCAAACTAGCTTACCGTGAAAAGAAAACCATGACAACTGTTTGTACCTCTTGCTTTATTATTACATCCGGCCTGGTCACTCTTAGAAATTCAATCTATTACGGTTGCTAGGAGTCTGTTGCTGTGCAACCTAAAAGGGTATGCTGTGCTTTCAGGATAAGGAGTACTAATAAACCTGTAGGCTTCCCTCTATGGGTCCAACCAGTGTGTTTAAAGGGCTTAATACTTTTCAGGAGTGATTGGCCTACAATTCAAGACACATCCTATTAAAAACAAGTCACACTGAGAGATTTCTAACAAAGGGACAAAATGCTAAACATACACAAATATTCAAAATGTATCCTCAGAATCCCTAACTAATTTGGTAAAACAAACAATGAACAGATTATCATCTACATTTCAATTATACCACCTACCAATCCCAAGTTTTTATTTTCATACAGTCTCCTAAAAGGTCATAATGGATATAAATGAACTGAGCAAGTTTTAGGGAAAAAAGCAGCACTAAGTACCTTCAACTTTTATAAACTTCAATAATAGAAAAATAAGTTAAAACTAGGAATCCCAGAAATCATGAAGTTGGTAAAAATAAAAACCATTCCCCCAAAAAAATTATTTTAAAAATCAAGAAGTTCAACATTTCATTATAAAAACAGATTTTTTTCATCACTTTTGGACAGTAATAATTTTATATTAATTATAAAATCTATACCAGCCTATCATATGCACATTCTATAACTTTAAAGATTAACACTTAATAAATTATTCACATAAATTTACTAAAATTAGATAGCATTATTTGAATGTAAATGAGAAGAAAAGCACAGCAGAGTTTATAAATGAAATACTGTTAAGTCAAATTGTGGGAAATGGATTTTGAAAAGTGGGTAGACATTAAGGGACAGCTTCTGATTCCTTTAGAAACTGTACTAATTTGTATTACTTATTTTTAAATAAGCCTTTTTCATAAGATATTTGGAGACCAAGATAAAGGTGTTCTATCATAAAATACCAAAGACCACACACACAAAAATAATAATCATCTTAACTATGAAAATCTATCCAGGACTTTCCACGGATATTTTTGCTATATTAATATTACCTGCAACTTTGGAAAGTTAATTTTTTTTAAGTGAGACATTTTCTCTACATTCTTGGAACCATTTAGCCCTTCAACTTAACTATTCTGAGCTGGGAACCCTTTAAATAACCTGTCAACTGCACTACCTTATTCCTTTTTAAAGAGCCAGTTATCTGTCCTTCAATGGTTGCTTTCATTTCTTCTCATTACACACTACAGGAAGCAGAGTAAAAGAAATTAACTATTTCTCTAAAAGTACCCCAGAGCAACAAACAGAGGAATGTGGAACAACTATCCAAAAAAGAAAGGCCAAGAAATCAACAATAAAGGAGAGCTGAAGTACACTGAGAGGTGTAAAGGCAACATCTGACCAAAGAACTGAGGATGAAGCAAGAAGAGAATGGGTTCACTAAGGTGGTTTAGAACTGAAACAGCGCATAGCAAAGCAAAGCACAGCACAGCAGAGCAAATGGGAGAAAAGAGGTAGAAGAAAATGACGGACAAGAACGTGTTAGAAAGAGAACTGAAAGAGGATTTGTTAAAAGAAATGTGGATTCATTTTCCGGATGAAAAGAAAAGGAAAAAAGAGAAAACAAATATGAAAGTTTATATTCAATAATTATATATTCCTTGCTTCATCCTTCTTAAAACAAATGCAACTCAGAAAAAAAAGTTCTTAAAAGATTCAGTGATGTCAGCAGACACAATGTAAAAACCAAGATTAGTAACTTAAAGGCTCCACTTAATTTTACAAAGAATTAATTTGAATACTTTCTAGTTCTCCTGTATGACAAGAAAAATTTAACTTGATTCCATAGGGCCTAATGTATGAAAACCTTTTAAAAGTAATTAAAATTGATATTTCCCAAATAAGAACAAATCATTCAAACACACGCACTACACATACACACACACTAGTCAATAAAGTTATTAAAGTCAGATTCTACTGAGGAGTATACTAGTCACAAGGCACGTGTTAGGCAAATGTGTTAACTTCCAAAACAGTTATTTAATACTTAGTCAATTATTAGTTGAGTATATTCAATAATTCTGTTAAGGATCTGATCTTAAAGAATCAAAGTTCTAAACTGGTTACATGAATACTTAGGACCCTGTCAATACTATTAACTAAATGGCAAAAATAAAACCAACAGGTATGGATATCTATATTGGCAGTGTCATTGGAATGTGCCTTCTGGTATTCATTGGGTCCTTGTCTCCTCAAGGCTACAAAGCTTCAATATAATTAAGTGTGGCATTCGTAAAAGAAACTATATACTATGTAGCTATATAAAATAACATATTCCACCATGCAATTAGCCTCTTTTTGGCAAATTCCAGTTTTCTTGGACTAGTAACACCCTATTACATTTGCTTCATCTCCATTTACCCACCTTCCTAAAAGAAAATTTTTAAAAATCAAAGATCCTCAGTAAATGTTGCCAAATAGAACAGATTTTTCTTAATTTCATAATTTTTATCAAGAATTGTAAATTCTTTGATATATAAATAGAGTTGGTAAACAAGAACTTGACTTACAGGTTAGAATACTTTTCTGTACACATGTATTACCAAGTATAAAAAGAAAAATAAAATTACTCCGAGGGCCATAAAAATATTATTTCTCCTGACAGACTATTTCCTTATTTTGTTTCTTCAAATTATTTCAACAATTTGTTTAGCCAAGATCAATAAGGATGTTGATATACAAAAAGATACATATTTTTTTCCTTCTTTTTTTTTTTTTTTTTTTTGAGATAGAGTCTCACTCTTTCACCCAGGCTGGAGTGCAGTGGTGCAATGTCAGCTCACTGCAACCTCTATCTCCGAGGTTCAAGCGATTCTCGTGCCTCAGCCTCCAGAGTAGCTGGGATTACAAGGCATGTATCACCATACCCAGCTAATTTTGTATTTTTAGTAGAGACAGGGCTTCACCACGTTAGCCAGGCTGGTCTCGAACTCCTGGCTTCAAGTGATCCACCCATCTCAGCCTCCCAAAGTGCTGGAATTACAGATGTGAGCCACCGTGCCCTGCCCAAAGAAATTTTTAATATTAAAATTTATTACAGGAATGTGATACTGATTAGAACTGACTATAAGAGTAACCTCAGTTAAACACGTTTTCTAACTTCTATCAAAAATCACTTTCGGCCAGGCGCGGTGGCTCACGCCTGTAATCCCAGCACTCTGGGAGGCCGAGGCGGGCGGATCACGAGGTCAGGAGATCGAGACCATTCTTGCTAACACAGTGAAACCCCGTCTCCACTAAAAAAAAAAAAATACAAAAAATTAGCCGGGCGTAGTGGCGGGCGCCTGTAGTCCCAGCTACTCGAGAAGCTGAGGCAGGAGAATGGTGTGAACCCGGGAGGCGGAGCTTGCAGTGAGCCCACATCACGCACTGCACTCCAGCCTGGGAGACACAGCAAGACTCTGTCTCAAAAGAAAAAAAAAAAAATCACTTTCACTTTTTAACTACTACCATTCACCTTTATATATCTAAAAACTTGAGATACTGAAATGAGCTGATTTTTGAAATCAATAATTGAGGATAATGAAAAGGTACCTTGAAGTACATTCTATAAATCCAAAGGATAATTTCAGCCACATCATATTATGAATGCCAAAAACTCACTTATATATTTCACAATTTTTAGTGAAAGAAAAATACACAGAAAATCTTTCAAAAACATAAAAGCCATCTTAATAAAGAGGTAAATAATACCATCTCACAGAACTTTCAGTCTTTGTGCAGTCAACACTAAATTTGAAAAATTATACAGTATTCAATTCCAACTCTAAATCTAACATCAGACATATGACACTTCACAATTCAAAATATTAAATTTAACACTTGTTTAGAAACTTTCATTATTTTCACGATTTTTTTTTCCTCACCCTTCCATCCACAGGGTAGATAACACAACATACAAGGCAGAGCAATGGACTGGCAATGTGAATGTTAGCCCTGAGTCATCTATGTCGGTTCTCTTTCCAAAGGTAAAAAGCAATGGGAATAATAAGATAGGTGGGGAATAAATGATTATAGCTGGAACCAGATTAACCATAAGTTGTTAACTTTAAAGGAGAGTGATGGATACATGGAAATTCACTTCATCATTTCATCAAACTGCTCTATGCTGTAATATGCTTAGATGTTTCCTAATCAAAAGAGTTACGAGGAAAAACATGAGAGAAGACTCATTGGTCACCAAAGTCTCTTATACCTCACATATCTTTTCATAAACACAACGGTGGTACAAACAAGTGGAGATACTAAATTTTGCTTAATTTTTTACTTTTTTAATGTCAGAAATAACCAGGTACTCGTCTTCAACAGACTCTGGCCCACAGCTTGAGAAAATGTGTGCACAGCTGACTCACTTCAGACATAAATGCCTGGGCATATTTGCAAGTATAATCATTGAACCGGCCTTTCAGGATAGAAACCTAGATTAAAAATAAATATTGTATATATAATTGTATAAGTTCAAAGAGAGAAAGATGGTTTTTTGCTTTGCTTAAGGTTCCATAAAAATGTCTATTTCCTTAAATAACTTAAATGTATACACATTTATGTTATATTTATTATATTTTATTTTGTACCATTTTTTAAGTAGTCCAATACAGTAGAATAGCCTCGAATACTGTGAAACTGTACATTTCATAATGGATGACAGGCACATAATGCTGAATATTTGACACCAAACTGAGTATCTGACACCAAACTGAAATGGAAAATATGGTTGTGACACTAGTACACAGAAAACCCCATTCTAAAAATATCAGTATGACAATCTATTTGTCAAAATAATAGAATTCAAGACAATTTGCCTCCATTAGTAACTTTTATTTAAATAATCTCTCATTTGCCTTTTATGTCTTTTTACATGTACAAAGTTTTACAAATAAATACAATTCATAAATTACTATCAAAGATGACTAGATGATAGCTATGCTATATAAACAATGACATTGTTTCATATAAAACACTGAAGAGCATTTTTATCACAGAAGCCATCATATGCAAAGATTCTGTCAAATTTAAATTAGCCATAAGTAAACTAAGGGTATAACCAACCAAATTAGCAGTCTGGCTAACTCTAATTTCTATTTGCCTATTATTGTAATTTTTACTTTTAACACTTCATGTGCACACGCTGTTCAATTTTTTAAGTGTTTCCAAAGAGCCTCCAACTTGGAAGCAGGTAGGGTGGACTTCAAGAATTTAATTTTGAAAATGGCTCAATCGGCTCGATTCCTTAGTTTTGATCAATACATCTTTCTCTCTCTCTCTCTCTCCCTCTCTCTTTATATATATTATATATTATACATATTATATATTATATATATTATATATTATACATATTATATATTATATATATTATATATATTATATACTATATTATATACTATATATTATATATATATTTTATATATAATATATACTATATTGTATATAACATATAAAATATATATTATATACCACATAGCATATATTATATATAAAATATATATTATATGCCACATAGCATATATTGTATATAAAATATATATTATATACCACATAGCATATATTGTATATAAAATATATATTATATACCACATAGTATATATTGTATATAAAATATATATTATATGCCATATGGTATATATTGTATATAAAATATATATTATATGCCATATGGTATATATTGCATATAAAATATATATTATATGCCATATGGTATATATTGCATATAAAATATATAGTATATGCCATATGGTATATATTGCATATAAAATATATAGTATATGCCATATGGTATATATTGCATATAAAATATATAGTATATGCCATATGGTATATATTGCATATAAAATATATATTATATGCTATATGGTATATATTGTATATAAAATATATATTATATGCTATATGGTATATATTGTATATAAAATATATGCTATATGTATATATTGTATATAAAATATATATTATATTATATATAAAATATATATTATATATAAAATATGTATAAAATATATATATTATATATGATATAATATATATTATATATATTATATATAATATAACATATATTATATATATATATAATATAACATATATTATATATAATATATATAATATAATATATATTATATATAATATATATTATATAATATATATGTTATATATATTATATAAAATGTATAATAAAATATTTTAAATAATATAATATATTTTATATTATATATAAAATATATAATAAAATATAAAAATAAAATATTTTATATATTTAGATTTATTTTATATTTTATTTTTATATATTTATATTTATATATTATATGAATATATGAAATATATTTTATATTCATATAAATATATATATGAATATATATTTATATATATATGAATATATATTTATATATGAATATATATTTATATATATATGAATATATATTTATATATATATGAATATATACATTTTTATATTTATATATATATAAATATATATTAATGTATATTTATATTTTATATAAATAAAATATTTTATATTTATATAAATATAAAATATTTTATATTTATATAATATAAAATAAAATACTTTATATTTATATAAAATATAAAATAAAATATTTTATATTTATATAAAATATAAAATAAAATATTTTATATTTATATAAAATATAAAATAAAATATTCAGGGAAAGGCATATAAAAATGATAAAAGGGGGTAAAGAGAAAGGCAGAAAGTGCTGTGTGAGGACAGATGTAAAAATTAGGACTCTTTAACAGGAAGGCCAGCAGCTACCAAAGTATCAATATTATATTATAAATATACAAAGCCACATTTGAAGACATATTCAAAACTTCCTTCAGGTCTTTGTTCAAATGTTACCTTATCTGCAAGGTGTTCTTAATCATCCTATTTAAAATTACAACCTTCTCCACCCCCATCATTTACATATCATTTACACTCTCTACCCCCCTGCTTCTCACATTTGTTTTTTCCATAGCATTGACAACCATCTATTATAATACATACTCATTTATCTTCTCTCTCCCTCACCCCCAATTGTTTGAATGTGAGTTCCTTCAAGGGCAGAGGCCCTTGAAGAATGATCAGTTTTATTCATTCTTGTATCCTTCACAGCAGTTCACTTCTTGGCCCCTACTTTATGTGCCAATATTTGCTCAAGAAATGAATGAAATAATTTTTAAAAAGTGAAATGAGCATGTATATTAAAACTTACAGAAATTGAAGAGCACTCCTTAAGTCTGGAAAGAGGTTAAGATGACTTCACAAACGGCACTAAATTCAGCAACTCATCATCTCGAGAGATGGTATACAATGAATATACACTAATTAAAATGAGGGCTGGATAGATTTATGAAGGACAACTGTTTTTTTTTTTTTAAAAAAAAAGGTTTTTCAGGGTAAAGTCTCTGTAGCAGACATAAAGGCAGATAATCATACCTTCGCATAGTGCAACCCTAATTAAAATATCACAAATGCAAACATGGATCTCACTACTGTAGTAATTCCATTCTGATACTACTGGTTGCCTTGGTGTAACCCTGGAACTGAAGTCCTGATCCTCTACTTTTGACATCCCAGCAGGCACAGTAAAGTTAGGCAGTAGAAGGAAAAACCCAAAGTTTGGGATATTCAAAGTAGTCCCCCAAAGCAAGGTTCCCATAATGCCCCGCATGTCTCTCCTATATTAAGGAATTCTTGCACCCTGTCACAACTAGAAAATAGAAATAAGGTATAGAATCCTTAAAGGCATTCCCCAACTTCTGAAAGTAAGATATTAGCCTTGTTGGATACTAAGAAAATCCAAACAAGTCTGGAATTATATCTATATATAGATATATGAGTCTAGAATTTCACATATAGAGAAATGTATATATATAAATATAGAATGAGGTGACAGAATGTCATTTGAAAAGGTAAGAAGAAAAAGACCTGGATTAAGGTCAGCCCAATCCACTGCCAGCTACATGATACTCTATTTGAAGAAATATCCAGAAATTCATGAATTCATGCCATTAAATTCATTTTGGAAAAAAAAGAAGTAAATAAATCCAATGGAAATAATAAAAGTAAGACTGCATTGCTTGAAAGGTCATTGTAAAATCAGAACTAGACAAAATTTTTAAATAGTGAAATGTGTTTTCTAAAATTTGATTAGAGATTCCAAATTGACAATCTGAAGCTTAAACAACTATTCATTGTTTCTACTAGAAAAAGACACTGGGTCTCATGCTGAGTTCAAAAACCTTGATTATGGAGTCTTCTGCCCTCAGTAAGCTTATAAACAATTTAAAAAGATTAAGCATTTACAACTGAACAAACAAAAATCTAAATCACAATTTCCAATTAGCAGAGATAATAAGAAATTACTAGAAATGAACCCATCAAGTTAGGGACCACTCAAATTTTAGAAGAGATTAATTGAAGTAGGGTAGAAAACACATTCTAATAGAATAAAGGATGAGAACTAAGTTTTAGAGAAAAGAAATGACAAGGCAGAATTCAGACCATATAGGATAATAATAGCAATTGCCATTTATTAAACACTCACATGTCAGGCACAGTGCTATTTTGACTATGTCATATACTGTCTTTGAAACAATCTTTTCAGGTTGATTTTATTAATCCTATTTCACAGAATTTAAGTAATCTGCCTAACATTAAACTGCTAGTCAGTGGCAGAGCTCGAATTCACACCCAGGGCTGTTCATTTTGAAGTTCATGCTCTTAACCAATACATAATACAGTTGTCCCTCCGTAACCATGGGGAATTGGTTCCAGGACCTCCATCTTAAAAAAGGGTGCCCAACTCTCTTATATAAAATAGCATAGTATTTGTGTATAGCCTGTACACATCCTCCCGTGTATACTTTAAATCATCTCTAGATTAATTATAATTCCTAATACAATGTAAGTGCTATATAAAGTTGTTATACTGTATTTACTTTTTTTATTGTTGTGTTGTTATATATTGTTTTCTTTTTTCAAGTGTTTCCCATCCTCAGCTGGTTGAATTCACAAATGCAGATCCCACAGATACGAAATGTAGACTGGTCAAAAAAGGGGAAGTACAGAGAAAAGTGGTGAAATACAAGTTTGAAAATGGACATGAGACTATAAGCTTCCTAACAGCAAAGACTGTGGTTGTTCTGTGGGACACTGTGATAACTAATAAATATTTCTTAAACGACTCTGACGAAGAGGCAATGAGGAATCCTGAAAAGATTCTGACAGAGGGAAACGTAAAACTCTGAGCTATTTCTAAAAATTCAAAAAAACCTTCTTTTTAGAGGACTCTATTAATCTGAATTTTAAAAGTTAAGTAAAAATGATTCATAAGACATTAAGACCACGTTCCATATTTGAGTTTCCTTCTCTGCACATCCAACAAATACAGCAGTCTAGTATTTAGTTACTCTGGTAACTCAATCTCTATATTCAAATCCCAATTTAAGGCTTGCAAGTATTTAGCACTTTCTATTCATTTGAATTACACTTTCAATATTTGTATTTTCCATTCTAATTTATGAGTCAGTATATATGTTGATATATCAGAAATATAGTTCAATCTAAAAGTATATTATTTAGATCTCTCCCCCTAAAAACATTAACAGAAAGTAAAATGAATGTAATGCATTATATTCTGACTCTCTCAATTCATCTGAAACAGCGGCATTAAATTTTAAAAAATGATAAAGAATAAAAAAGAGGAACTTCTAGGCAAAAAATGCAAGAGCTAACTAATATTTCATCATACTTTCGTTTATTACATCTCCCTTTTTGTTGAAGGTGAGGCTAAATCCAAAGGGAACAGTTTTACAAGAAGGTTTATCTGTGGGGATTTACACCTTGTTAAAAGCAAATGACAAGCGGTTTTCCCCCACAGGAAACATACTCCTGTTTTATATAAATGTATCCTTTCATATTTGTTACCACAAATGAGGCTGCAGAGAGCATCAGGTTACATTGGGAAGTTCAATTGCCATATTCTTGGTTTCTCTTAAATTGACTGTTTCAAATAATTAACAGGGTTAGGGCTCAAACTGCTCATCTTTAGCACAATACCGAAACTAATTCAAGTCTGAGCTCACTGATTTACTTCTAATTGTAAAACACAGACACACACACACACACACACAGAAAGAGAGACACAGAGAGGAGAGAGAGAGAAATAATTAGACAAAATCTTGGTAATTACAATTCCTGCCACAGTCCCATACTATTAAAAAGTAAACAACATAACCTTCCAAAAACTCAGATTAAGAAAATAAAAAATCAGATAATAGCATAGTTGCCAGTATTGCGTCTGGTTGCTATGGAATAAAGGGCAGTCCGTTCATATATTCATTCTGTTCATTCACTGCTACTTAAGAGCGCTGCTACACTTTTAAAGCCCAGCTGGGCAAGTCTCAGCTTGTACCACCTATATCAGCTGCCAGTATTTTACTTTTGTTCCACAAAAGAGTGACCTACAAGAACAAAGATTTCCATTTTTAAAATTCATAATTAAATGAATGTTTACAAAAATTCTTAAAACAATTAAAAGCACCTTTACCCTCATCAAAAAAGTAAAGACGTGCATACCAGGACTGAAAATTATTTACACTAATACATTGATTATGACATACATCATTAATTCCCAATAAGAGGAAATACAAATAATAGGAATTAAATATACAATATTTTTCTTTTTAAAAAACCTAGTAAGTATGGCATTTCTCCTTAAAATAAAGCCTACTGATGGTTTGGAAAACATTTTTAAATTTTATTTCTACGTCATTCTAAAAATAATCCATATACCAAAAATTACATTTGGAAATAATTAGAACATTAAGGTATTTATGCAAACTTTGAATGCAGATTTATAAAACTTGCTTTTTCTAGAAAAAAATATGGAGTTCAAAATTATAGATAAACAGTTACTTAAAACACTAAAGGCAGTACATTTGAGTTCTTTGCCTTTAAAAAAAGTTTTGTATTAGCCCTAAGAACATTTGCGGAGGAGTGTGGAGGCTGGAGTTCGACAGTCCTAATTCTGATGTTCTATGTCATTGTACAAGTCACTTACCCTCAGTTTTCTTACCTATAAGAAGTGGGGAGGAGGAAGGAGGGGTTCAACTTGATAACTTCCCAAGTCCATTCCAACTAAAAGAATCTGACTCTAAAATAAAACATTCTAATTATGTTTCTACTGAAATCCTGTATATTTGGGCCATTTGGAAACATGTGTGACTCTAGTGAGAGACCTTTTCACCTCTCTAATCTGCTGTAGTCCCATGGCTGTCTCTTTTGGTCTGCTGTGCAGGGCCAGACATAGTAAACGGAAAGTGGAATATGGCAGTAAAATTAGTAGAGATAGGAAGAAAGGCTGAAGTTGGCCACTGAGAAAGAAAGATACTCATCACAGGGGATTTGAAGTTCCAGACCCAAAAGTTTAGCTGCTATGCAAACAGGGCCAGGTTATAAGATACAGATCATTTCTTGCCCCCCCCAAAAAAAGCAACAAACAAACAAACAAAACTCTCCTTTAAATGTGAAGAGACAGTGTTCTTCCAAATTACAGCATTAAGTTATTGAGGAGTTACTCAAACATAGAATAAGTGGATCAATATTATTATTCCCACACTGAAAATGGCTGATTTTTAAATTATATCCTATAACGCAAATGTAGTACTGGTCAAATTTAAAACTAAACAACTTTGAAACACTAGAATAAAACTGCCTGTGCTTTCATTGATACTAAACAGAATGTAAAATAATAAAAAGCCAAATAAAATTATACTTTGATTTTAAGTACAAGGTATCTAAAAGCACAGAAAAAGTTACTACTGTAAATGTTGAAACTCATCTTGCATTAAATTCATAAGGAAATCTATAAATATTTCTGAAAATAACATGTACATTCTATAATCTTCTGTTTTGCAGGGTTACATTTACGTTTTATTCACATATTGTTTGGCTCATTAAACTTTATACTGGTGTTTTCTTCATACACTGTATCTTCTATTTACTTTTGAAAAGTATAAAAATCTAATAGGCAGAATTACATAATGAAGATGTTTCCTAATGTCAGTTAGAATTATATATAACCCTTTGAGAAAAGAAACAGTTTAGTTCTAAAATAAGATCATTTAATTAGTGTATCACTTTGGTTATTTTGTATCACTTTACTACTCAGTTTGTCTAGTGACTCTGTACAGAAATATTTTTAAAGACCGCCACAAAATATATTAAGTCATACACAATTCCACTGAACCCTTTGGATCATAATGAAGTTTGGCAATTAAAGTTATTATACAAACAAAAAATGCAAGCTTATTTAATGCACTGTATTTACCTCTTCATATCTTAATCATTTAATTAGGTTCAAACAAGGAAACATCAGCTTTTAAAAAGATTTAGGTATAAATTTTGTGTTGTTTATTAAAATGCCATTAATCACTATTTGTTATAATACTAGTCTGCTCATTATAGAATAGTTTCATGTAGTAAGACCATTATTACATGAATAACGATTTTTTTTTGGCTATAGATTTTAGAATTGTAAAATAAACTTCTTTCATACCAGTCTGGCCTCAGTCAAATAAAAAAACTAAGAGAAGGAACCTCCTCATTCCCTGAAGATACTAAACCACAAAATATTAAACTGCTTTGAGTGATATCATAAACTATCAGTACATTAGCTCTTAGATGTCTCTTCCTTTATGTTCTATTAGAAACAAAATGAGTAGCAAACTTTGAAGGAAATATTCCAGAAGAAGCAGAAGATAGTTGGTTCTCTTCCCTCATCAACTTACAAAATGACTCAACTGTTTACTCAAATATACCCACAAACAAAGTTAAAAGAATGGCAGACAAAAGATAACCCCATTTCACCCTTGGGAGAGTTAGTCTTCAACACAGGTTTCTTCAAATATGGGCTACTGTCCCTGGACTTTCTCCCTTTCTTAACAATGGGTCAGGATTCAAGTAAAGGAGACTTGAATTCAATTACTAAACAAAAGATATGACCGGAAACCAAGAACAAACTTCCTGATTTAGAAATGCTGTGCTTGTAGGGTAACTACAGTCAACAGTAATTTATTGTACACTTTAAAATAACTAAAAGTATAATTAGAATGTGTGTAACACAAGGAAATGGTAAATGCTTAAGGTGACAGACACCCCATTTACTCTTACGTGACTACTATGCTTTGTATGCATGTATCGAAATATCCCTTAAATATATACCCTTAACATGTACCCATAAAAACAAAAATAATAAATAATAAGAGAAATGCTGTGCTGAGAGAAAAAACAAGATCATTTTTAAATATTTTGTTTTAAACATAAGCATTTTTTCAAGTATACATTGAATCTGTTGTTAGCATAAGATTTAAATATTTTCAAAGCAACACAAAGTAAAGAATGATTCAAGGTTATTTCAATATGCAAATATTTCAAATTATATAGCTTTAGAGCAATAGAAGGTACTACTTTGTTAAATCCATATAATGGGCATATGGGAGTTTATTATACTACTCCAGTGTAAGTTTTAAATGTTCCAAAATATAAAATGTTTTAGGAATATATACATTTATGGTACACAGTTTTTTACTATATACTGACTTTACAACTGTAGGCTGCTTTAGATATCAGATAAACTAATCAGATATCCCAACTGGATATGCTAATTTTGTGTTTTTTATATATTAATATATTACCTTGTAATAATAAAATAATTACAAGAAAACTCTGAGGCAACACCTCAATTTAATCTTTTCTATATACAATGTCTAGAAATAGTCAAACCTCATACAATACTAGTCAAAGATCCCAGCACCTTGTTATAAAAATTTCCAACAAACAAAAAAACAAATGTGGTGCTCAAAAAGAGGCTAAGTACAATCTTTTTCCTTGGGTCCTCCCATTAGGTAAAAATCACAGTAAAGATTTTAAAAAGAAATTGTTCATTCAATAAATTATTTCACCATTCATAATGTAATTTTTCCATCTTATTTTTATCTTTATTTCCAAATTCTCTACTAATTTCATTCAACTCCACTTTTCAGTATCTCTTCCAACACTTTTTTATCCTTCTTGATTCCCAAATATCGTTATGTCCTTTTTGTAACCCTCTACAATTGGAAACCTTAAAAAATATGTCCACATAGCTGAGAATATGCAATTTTGTATCTAATAACCCATTTCTCTCATTTCTTTATGCTCCTTAAAACTCAATGGAAATCTAAGTCATTTCGGGATTCCTACATTAACCAAAATAGTACTGCACTAAATATACATTGATATAAATCCTTTAATTCCTCATTCAAAATTAAAGCTAAAAGACAAAATAAAAAACCAAAAGCTTAGAGACTAATTTATCCAATTATCTTAGGTCTCTGCTAGAATGTTTTTGAATCAAATATTAGAAATGTCATCAGTCATAGCAGTGATATTATTACTAGATATGCAGAATATGCAGAATATGGTGAACTGGGATTCATATTTAGTCCCTGAAATGATATTTCTTTTTCTCTACATTGTACTAGTCACTGTTCATACTCTAGTTTTTCAAATTATATGATCCTGCACTTCATTTTTTACCCCATTCCTTCAGATTAAGGTGTTGTTCTGGGCATGGGGTGCCATCTATTGGCATTCTTTCTAAGGTTTATAATCCAGAAGGTAAACTGGAACTTCCAAAGCTCCCAGATAATGTACATTTGGGAAATTCCAGGCAGCAATGAAAATTAACAAAACACATTTTAATAGAGAGGCTTACATCATTAAAGAAGGAAGTCTTTACTTCAAAGTTTATCACGGGCAGTAGGACTGGAAGTGAGTGTTGCATCAGGATCGCTACAATTACCTCCTCTCACAAATTACTCTGATCTGTATCTCCAGTCCATAGTCATTTGCATTTCTATCAACCCCCAAAAATGCTCAAGCAAACCTAACCCAATCAAAATATTAAAATAAATCTCTTTCCAAGTTCCAAGATAAAAGAATCCCACCTTACTTCCAAGACATATGGCACTCAAATCTTTGCTGAAATATAAACCCACAACTACTATACAGCTCTACTCATTCAATATTATTTAAAAGGTTTTACAATTCAAAACTTGGCAGACTTCTAAAAATAAGGAGATCAAATGTTGATCCAACAGCACAATATTTTAACCTCCTATAATTGGAATGAATTACAATTTTTGTCTTTAACTACAATTTAATTCAATTTCAGCATTCATGGCCTTTATTAACTGAAAGTAGCCTCTAAAAATCATCATACAATGTGAGACACTATTAAAAATTGCTCACAAAACTACACGAAGGTCATTCAAAGAACTTCATCAGACAGTTCCCCTAATCTTTCTTTGCCTCAAGAAAATAGCACTAAGGTGGAAATACTAAATGTTCCTAATGATCCTCCAAGAGATGGATAATGCAAAAATCAGTGCACAAAAACAGTATTGATTGTTCTACAACACCAAGCAAAATGTAAATTAAAATGACTTTCTAAATATCTACATACACATACACAAAACACATTAAGTTAAACTCCATTTTTCTTAATATATCTACTACACTCTAATTGAAAAGTAATTTTTTTAACCAAGTTGTGTTTTGTTTTGTTTTGTTTTGTTTTGCTTTGTTTTTTTGAGACAGGGTTTCCCTCTGTTGCCCAGGCTCCGGGTTGTCTACAGCCTCCAGCCTCCACCTCGAGGGCTGAAGCAATACACCCACCTCAGTCCTGAGGGGGTGGTACTACAGGCAGGCACCACTGCACCCGGCTAATTTTTTAATTTTTTGTAGAAACAGGGTCTCACTATGTTGCCCACACTAGTCTTGAACTCCTGGGCTCAAGGGATTCTCCCATCTCAGCCTCCCAATGTGCTGGGATTACAAGTGTGAGCTAAACAAAGTATTTTAAAATGCTCCTAAGACACATGCAATATAATCATTTTATGAAACAAAGAATCTAAATTTATGGGTTTCCGTGTTATGTACTGATTTTTCAAGTTGGGTTTTCACCATGGCACGTAAAATACATATTGTGCTTTTAAAGTTGTAAAGGTGATTTTCAGATTACTCATATAATAGCTTTTCATGTTTTTTATTAATGACCCTTAAACTGACACGTCATCAAAATTCATCTCTGAGACTGTCATTAGATATAATCAGATGCCAATCAGCAAATGCCTGATGTGACAGATTTTACTCTTTGGTTATTTAAAATAGCATAAATAGTATCAGGGGAAAACCTAAATTCTAATGCAAAAACATATATCCACAAAACCATTTATCCAAAGCAAAACATAAAGAGGTAGATTTAAGGCATCACTACTGTTACCTTGCTTATGAACTAGATTTTCTCACCAGTCTTTTTAATTCCTTTCTAAAATTTGTGCATGACTAAATCAAAATTCAGGTTCCTTAAAAAAGAAAGATATTATTTTCCATCTACTAATATACTAATGGATAGATATATACAGATATATTGATTCTTTGGAAAAAAGGAATCACTAACAAAATTAAACAGAATGCCCGTCTTCACAAAAATAGATGTATTCTGCACAATATTACAGTAGGTAAGGAAAGAAATCTGGAAGAAATACTGGATCACCTGAGTCTTCTGTCTCCCACCTCCCTACGCCCCGTAAGTCCCACCTCAAGCCCCCACACCCGCCTAAACTTAATGGTCCAGGAAAATTAACTGGGGAAAATATGTAATGCACTGATGTCTAACAATAGAAACAGGATATGATTCCTAAATGTATCTGCTTTTCCTGCCCTTCTACAGCAACCTCCCCCATTCCTCCACAACTAAAACATGGAGGAAACTTAACTGACAAGCAAAGAATCTCTAAAATGGTTTTGAACATTAAAGTAAACTATGCTGACTGAGACTGAAGGGGATGAGATATATTTTAAAGATGAAAGTTATACTGAAATACACAAATGCTATTAGGCATGCAAATCTGAATGTAGTCCAGAAACTTGAAAATGTCTAAGTTAATCAGTAAAAAACAAAGCATTCAAAAATAAATTTTTTAAATCAATAATTACAATCTAAGCTTTAATATACTCCCCTATTAGGCTGGTAAAAGAGTTGAGTTACAGCAGAATATATGACTTATCCTGAATAAATGCAAAAATGCTTCCTCTTTTAGCCTGCTATGTTCTAAAATCTTGAGAAGTCTACTAACCAAAGTAGTATTAAAGTAAAAAAAAAAATTTTTTTTTTTGAGATGGAGTCTTGCTCTGTTGCCCAGACTGGAGCGCACTGGCGTGATCTCGGCTCACTGCAAGCTCCACCTCCTGTATTCACACCATTCTCTCACCTCAGCCTCCCGAGTAGCTAGGACTACAGGCGCCCGCCACCACGCCCAGCTAATTTTTTGTATTTTTAGTAGAGACGGGGTTTCATCGTGTTAGCCAGGATGGTCTAGATCTCCTGACCTCGTGATCCACCCGCCTCAGCCTCCCAAAGTGCTGGGATTACAGGCATGAGCCACCGCACCCAGCCTAAACTAAAAATTTTTTAAAATTTAAGAAAATGTATACTTCTTAAACAAAAGACTATTTTTCTGCTACCAAAGCTGAATTAAAAGAATGCTTATCCAAGTATAAACAATATTAAGAAAAAGAAAAGCAGTAACTATTACCGATGGAAAAATATGAGACTAGTGTGGAGGATAGCAATGCTTTCCAGACCAGGGACCCCAAAGTAGTCCAAAGGCTCTCGGAGCTTGTCTAGACCTTGACGGGATTTTTAGCTCTTCTTAAAAACCAGTTGAATAGCTTCAATAATTGGGGAAGAAATGTCTTAAAAATGAGATCAACAGAAACCTAAATTAATTTTTATTCTGATCAGAGAGCACACATGCACTAGCTCGCTTTCGCACTCTCTCTCTCTCTCTCTCTCTGTTAAATTGCCTATCCACATACTCGGGAAATTATGTCCTGTTTTAAATATCTCATTGGTGAGCAACAGACAGGAGGAGCCCCAAATGTCAGACACTTGTCTGGCACACACACATAGAGAAGCTGGCTCCGGCAGGAGCTCAAGCTGTGAGACTCAGCTAATTCCTATGTGGGTGAGAAAATGAGGGCACTTGGCCACCACTCTCTACAGAAGCCATTGAAATGGTGGAACCTTCTGAGACTTTGCTATAGGTATGGCCATTATGCTAGCACCAGGCTGTGGGTTTTCTTTCTTTCTTGTTCTTACCAGAAGAAACAATAAGCAAACAACTTGCTAGCCTTTGAGAACATGAGTAAGGGAAATGCCAATTCCTGGCTCCATGTTATTGGCATGTTTCCTTCCCTTTCCCAGTGTCAATCTTGCTACAGAATCATAGATTGGAAAGGGCTTTAGAAATCCCATAGCCCTATTGTTTCATGTTACAGATGGAGAAACTGAGACCTATAGGGTATAAGTGACCAGGCTAAGGTTTTACAGTTAGAAATAGAGTGAGAACCTTTATTTTCTCTTTAACCTCCTTTGGCTAGCATTTTTGAAGTCCTTTATATCTTGGCCTGGTCACTCGCTGTCCTTTCTCCTTTTATCATCTTTCACTGTATCTGTCTCCTCTTACCAACTAACACACTATTATTTTGAGGACAGCTGTCTCACTCTATTAGTTTTCCTAAGCTCAACTCCTATTACCCAATACCTCATTTTTGCCTAAACAGGAATTACCAAGAACCTTCAGAAATCTTGACCAAGCACTCTAAAGCAAAGGCAAGCAGTACTAGCTGGGTATTACTGCTTCTAATAAAAGTGAGAAAGGAGAATCCAGGAATTAAAAGTCAACAACAGCAGGCATCTGTGATTGTGCAAACACAGTGTTTATGGACTACAGATTTAACCCTAAGGTACTTAGCCAGAGGCCAGTACATAGCCAGGACTAAGAAGGGAGCCTTCTGAATCAAAACCACACTCAAATTACATAGTTAGTGGAACAAGGTTATAAATTTGTCCAAGAGGACAGTCAGATGAGTAGAAATTGTAAGATAATAATAGACTATCGGAAATGGTAAGAATAACCATACAGTCACGCACCACATAACATTTCTGTCAACAACAAACCACATCCCATAACAAAATGGAGCTCAAAAATTCCTATAGCCCAGTGACATCATAACCAACTAAACATCTTGACACAATGCATTACCTTTTCTACGTTTAGATATGTTCAGATACACAAATACTTATCTCTGAGTTACAAGTGCCTACAGTATTCAGTCCAATAACATGCTACGCAGGTTTATAGACGAGAACAATATGCTATACTATATAGCATAGGCGTGTAGCAGGCTATACCATCTAGGTGTGTGTTGGGTACACTCTATGATGTTCACACAATGATGAAATCACCTAACTACGTAATTCTCAGAACATATCCATATCATTAAGTAATGTATGACTGCATAACCTGACCATCCAAATCACATTTCCTAAACTTTTCCCAAAAGTTCCTTTTAAATCTGTGTCAAATTCACTGGCGAAAGGAAGCAGAGGAGGTGGCTAAGCTGAGAGTCAGTCTAATTGATATGTTGGGGCTAATTATCTACAAAAATAACGCAAAGGGGGTCATATAACTAAACACTTAACGGGAGTGGGGAGAATGGTGAAATGAGTGACACAGACAAACATCTGTACAATATACAATGCTTTGGCAAAAAAGAAAAGACATATAGTATCAGGTAAATTCTCAACTGAAATATATAAGTCAAATTTCCAGTTTGAGAAAGATTAGGACTGTTTATAGATCACTCTAAAATGAGAAAAGTATTTCATTCTGATGAAAATGTTCAGGAAAAATATAGAAATAAAGGAAATTACTGAATAGCAACTTTAATAATTAAGCAGCCAACTTGAAAATGTTACTTAAACATCTTTAATATCTAATGAAAGGAAGCCACAGGTGATATATTTCCTCTATGATTTCATATTATATATTACACTAAATAATGTTCCAAGGTTACTTTACAACTCAAGATTGGGATTGACAAATCATCCCAAAATTATTTATTGCTGTAGGTACACAAGTAGTAACCTCACACATTTTTCTACCCTTAGTAAAGTAACAATTCTAAGCAACGCATTATAAAAATGTAGAATAATTCTTTGATAAACTCATCTTTACACAACTGACTAGACTATTTATTATTATTAAACTTTACTGACTACATTCAGTATAAAGTTTATAAATAGGGCTCAGACTGTTTTCAAATAATTCATGTATAACGTGAAAATAAAAATATAAGTGGGACAATGAACTGGACAATGGGAGTATAACAGATAATGACATATTACATCATTAGTTCTTAATCTAAAATCCTTTGACCAGGAGAGTTATGCAAACCTAGTAAAAGGAGCCCATTATAAGGCTGCAGAGTAAAACTAAAACATAACTTTGGGCTAGCATTCTATTAATTCAGTGTGATAAGACTGGTTATCAAATGATAATCCAAGCCTGTGATTGGCAGCTTGTCTGTGCCTTATTTTTTAAAGTGGAGGAAAAAGAATAATTATTATTTAATGAGTATAAATTGGTAAGCAAAGTCTTTCAAAACTTTTTGGGCTCATTAAAAAAGGGATGGTCAAAGGATTCTTAGGTAGCAAAAAGATTAGAATAGGTATTTTCTCAGCCTTCCCTAAAAATAAAGCCAACGCGTATTGAACACATATTGTGTCAAATACTGAGCAAAGTACGTTACATAAATTATCTCCTTTAATCCTCACAAAACCCCATAAGGCAGGGAAGATTGATCCTATTTTTCAAATGAGAAAACTGAGGTTAAGTGAAGGTAATAACTTGTCCAAAGTCACACAACTAATGAGATTATCTGAAATCTGACTCCAAAGCCTGTTATTCACCAGTATACTTATTCTATCCATCTATTTAAAGAACAAAACCTATTTATACCTATTTATTGATACTCTAAACACGTTTCCATTTTTAACTGATTTGTTTTCACTAAGAACACTCTGCATTTGATACGAAATAAAAACTACAAATATAAAGATTTTGAAGCAATACAACTTGCTATAAAGTATACTTTCAAAAATCTAGCCTGGGCAATGTAGCAAGACCCTGTCTCTACAAAAAAAAAAAAAATTGAAATGTTTTAAATTTTAAAATGATGGCAACAGCCTGTAGTCCTAGCTACTCAGGAGGCTGTGGCAGGAGGACCACGTGAGCCCAGGAGATTGAGGCTGCAGTGAGCTATGACTATGCCACTGCACTCCAGCCTGAGTGACAGAGCAAAACCCTGTTTCAAAAAAGGAAAAATCTTAGTGGCAAAAACTAACTGGTAAACTGTAGGACTATATTTTTAAAGAAAAATGCCTAACCTATTTTAGCAAGACCAGTATTTAAACATAGTGTTACTTTAATAAATGTTTTGGATTCTTTGAGGCAGTCTAACACACATGAACTACTATGCCTTGTAAGCTTACTTTATAAAAATATCACAATTAACTAATTATAGTAAAATATGGACTAGTACAGATAAATCCATTATCAAGATTAAAAAGTTTATATGCTGTAACTGTATCTTTCTAAGCTTACTTAAGGAAGGTATCACTGTTTCAGTATGTCTTTTAGAGTATATATTGCTGTGAAAAGAGTCGATGATACAAGAAGTAGCCCAAGATTGGATTCAGTATTCTCCTAAAAATCTCTCACTGAACAAATAAAATACAAAAAGCAATATAAGATCACTCCCAGTTTAAAAGTATATGGCACACAGTAGGGCTGGGAACCTAAAAGTTTTCAGATAATAAGCCAAATTAAACAATCAAACTAGCCTATTCCAACAGCATGAAGTACGGATTGCATTCGTTTCTGTTTTTGGTGTTTTGAGACAGGGTCTTGCTCTGTCACCCAGGCTAAAGTGCAGTGGCATGATCATAGCCCACTGTAACCTGAAACTCCTGGGCTAAAAAATTCTCTCACCTCAGTCTCCTGAGTAGCTTGAACTACAGGCACGCACCGGCAAGGCTGGCTAATTTTCTTTTACTTTTTTTTACAGAAATGAAATCTTGCTATGTTGCCCAGGCTGCTCTTGAACTCATAGCCTCAGGTGATCCTTCTGCCTCAGTCCCAAAGTGTTGGGATTATAAATGTGAACCAATACAACCAGCCAGAATTATCTAGATAATGTCAATACTATTTTATTATGAATTAGCCTGATAACCACTATTGCCATTTATTTTTCCAGTGGTTTTTTTAAAGATTATACAATAAAAAGCATATCACTATGCCATGTAAAAGTGTTATAAGAATGGACAATTATTGATATGTGCTAATCATATGAAATTTAAGAAGTATAAAGCCACATATCGCCAAATAGTATGATTCTCAGGGTAACCTAAGTTTTGAAATAAAGATTAAAATATCTACATAAGATAATCAACATATATGCCTATAGGACTAATGCCAGACAGTGCCAAAGATATCAATCTTTATATTGTTATATGTTGCGGTAATATGTATTAGTACACGAAGTTAGGTTCTGATGTAAAACTGCCAATTAAGATAGTATGTTAAACTCCATAAAAATAAGCCTATTATATGCTTCAATGCATATATAATTAAAAATTTTTTTCTTTAAATAAAAGTTCTAGTGAGTTCACATTCTTAGTGATAATAATCTCATGTTGCAAACAGCACAGCACCCTCTGGTGCATCTGTTATAAGAAATATAAAATTCCCACAGAAAAGGACAGAATTGTAGAGTAAAAGTGAACCTTAGAAATCAATAGGTTGATAGTTTTTTTATTTACTGCAGTACATATTTTTGAACATTAATACTTAAAAATATTATCATTTTAAAAGATCACTATAAACTTTATAGCAGTAAATGAAGTCAGGAAATGTCTTAGTTTGAAAATACTTAACCAACAAAAACAACACCTATTTCCAACATATAAAAAATGCTGTCAAAAAATTATTTCAGTAAAGGATGACAAAAGTTAACTTGTCATGTTAACCAAATTTCACTTTATTCAAATTGGCCTTGGGGTTTGACTTGGGTGTGTAAAATGTTCCTGTGTACTTTTTCTGGATTCAAAGGGAATTTACCATTATTTATAAGAATTGATAAGTGTTTTGTGAAAGAATCTGCAGGTTCTACCACTTAAAAATAGAATATTCAGAAATAAAAGTTATGTTAAATTACGAATCTTGAGTAGTTCAAAACTTTTACTTTAAAAAAAAAAAACTTTTCCTAGAAAACTCTAAAAGTAGATTTTACTAACAACAAAAGCAAAGGATGCCACCTGCTTTAGACAGCCCTTTTGTCAACCACTGGAAGTCCCAACACAATGCAGTAAAAAATGAAAGTGACACCTGTTTAAAGCAGCCATCTGTCCCTAACAAGCCAGATTTAGTCAAATCCACTTAATCTTGGATTTCCAAAATATGGGAACACTATGTATCTGTGAATAGAGAGGAATTTAAAACATACTTTGTCATGGCCACTGGGAATATATACCAAAGAGTTAAAGGCAAATTACTCAGTTATGAAAACTGTTTTTAAGGTAACTGAGCTCAAATAGAGGATTTTTAGCCAAAGGTTCAGCATTAAAACAAAATAACCAGGAGCCTCTCAAAAATGTTAAAGTTTACTTCTTCCCTATTCTCATTTCTTGTAACACATTCTCACTATGGATACTAAGAACAAAGTAATATTCCTATTACTGTTCTGGAAAAGTGTGTGTGCGTGTGTGTGTGTGTGTGTGTGTGTGTGTGTGTAACTTTTGCCACACATCTGCTGCTATGCCCACCCATTTAAACACAAACACACACACACACACAGACTTTAAAATCTGAAAACCAAAAATCATTATATTCTGCCTGCTAATTTCTTCAGCTGGAGAATACCAACACAATATCAACTTTCTCAAGAAATGAAAAATGTTACCAAAAAGTAACATACATTATCATTTAAACGACGCATAAAATCCAACTTGCCTTTAAGATTCATTCATTTTTTAATTGCTATTGTTAATGGTAAAAAAATTAACCATAATAAATTGTTTAGGGTAAAATAAACTGTTCCAGGTTAAAGCACAGTAAGCTTATAAACTATAACCTTTTATTTGAGTACCAAAGCAGAGTACAAGACTATTTGAGTACTGGAGGAATAATACAAAAAAAACTAACCATCACTACAACCTTTAATGAAAACATTGTGAAACGATGCAAAACTTCTAGAAATTCATTAGTTTGCCATATATGTGTATATGTATGATGCCTACACCATTTAATACAATTCATAGGCAAAACACACCAAAACGACTGAGTTAGGCATTATGACATACATTGAATCACAGACATTTGACTATTCAAAACAAGTTACAAGTGACTTCTATTTAATAGTTTTAGTTTCAAAGCATGATCACTTTTACAAATTTCTATTAGTATAAAAACTGAAAACACAAGAGAGTATCAATACATAACATAGTCCCTTCTAGGAAAAATATTAAGAAAGAATAAAGTAAATGCTAAGTATCTATCCTTGTGTTTAATTTTTAAATTTACCATTTCTCAGTGTTTCTGATTATTTAATCAATTCCACAGCAGCTCTAATAGCAATTTTATCCCACATATATGCTTCAAAAAATGGAAAAGTAATGAAATTCAATTTAAGTTCTGCTCTCAAATCAACTTGTGAATGAAAATCTAAATCACAGAAAACCTGAGCTATACATGAGTGAAATGCCTCAAAAAAAGTTCTCAGACACTGTAAATAAAATATTAAACCATAACATTATAGTATATAATTTACTTAACTGAAAACCTATTATGTAAATGGCATAAGGTCTGAAACTGTCCCAAGACAGCAAAACTCCTATTAACTTCAGAGAGAGTTTATAGGACCCAGGAGCTTCACCATCCAAAAGTGTTCAGGCATTTGACACTCATCTGAACAGAAAAAAAAATACAAGTTAGTATTAGAGATTTGCATGGAACCCAGTTTGGGGAGAGGAGGAATAATTATAAACAAATCTGAGTGCTCTGAGAAAGACTTCTTTCAGAACAAAATATCGTCTTCATTTAAAATAGCAATCACAAGGAAATGAATTGAAAAAGTTTTTTTAAAATCCCAACTCTTATTTTACAAAATATTAGCCTTAATAGCATTATAATTACCCACCCTGCTCGTTGACAATCTCAAGAATAATTAGTACTGTCACATTATTCACAAGCTGCTGTGTCAGTTAAATCAATATATGTTTGCTGTTAGAAAGAAGACTATTTGAATAAGCATTTTAAAACTGTAAATTTAAAACTTCAATATGTGCAACTACAATAGTACATTATATTTGTTTTAGCACACATTCATTATCAAAACTCTACTGATAAATCTATTAACTAAAAGTTAAGCTGAAAAAAATGAACAAATTTAGGGGATCTGTAAAACTGGGTTAACGTTAACCAAGAACCTACTATATAAGGACTAATAAGTATTCAAATCTACAGAGAAAAATAATTTTTAAAAGAAATACTTAAAAAGGAAAAAGTTCTCTCTCCTGAGCAGGTTCAAGTCACTGTCCAAAGAAAATCAAAAAGTAAATAAAAAGAATATGTTAAGTACACACATGCCTAGATCTTAACCAGAAAGAAAGTGAAATATACACACGTTTCAAGTTGAGAACCTTCATACATTCTTTATGAACTTGACTTGAATTTCAACTCTCAAAGGAAAATGAGGAGATTAAAAAAAAAAAAACTCTTAAAGTACCATAACTGTCACAAATAACACTGTGAACTGAGTTCTCACAAAGCTTCCTTGTGTCCCTTCCCTGTTCATCACAAAGTCTCATAATCACAATGAAAATTGTTAACACTCTACTGCGGGGAAGGAGGATCATCAAAGTGAAACGGAACCTCACTACTCCCCCTCCCACCTCCACATGAAGGATAAAGCACTGTCAATAACTACTAACCCAAGTATCACAGATGCCCTGCATCCGGTTTAAATCACAAGCACACACACACACACACACACACACACACACACACACACACACACACACACCAAAGAAGAGAGAGGAGACAGACTTTAAAAAAGAAAAACATCTTTCCCAGTACAGCAAAGAGGGCCCAACGAACAGGCCCCAGGTTTCAATATGTGTGCAAGGGGTGTGTGGGGGGGGGGAGAAAGAGGGGGAGGGAAGAGTGCTGAATGGATGTTAAGACTGTTTGCCGCACAAAGAAAATACAGTTTTAAAAAGAAAAAAGAAAACCATGAAGCTGATGATGGTGAAAGAAGAGCAGCCCATTCAGCACCAGGCAAAGAGGGGCAAAAATGAAGGGAATGGGCGGTGGGAAAAGTTCACCAACGTATGAGGATTAAAAATAACAAAACCCATAACAAGGCCCCACAAGTGAACAACAACAACAACAAAACACCACCTCTTGGGTCCCCCCCTTGCACACTGTTGTCTATTTCGGCTTTGAAAGAAGCAGGAAACAGCAGCGTTGGAAAAGAAGAAAATTAAAGAAAGAACAAATTCTTATCTCTTCACCTGACCCTCCTCCTCAGACCAGACCTAAGGGAAAGATCCAGCATCCGCATCGGAAAACTGTGGCTCCCTCTCCCGCTCGGCTCGCAGCCCCCCAAGCTCCCGCTCCATCCCTGAAGTGCGGCCGGCGCAGGGCCGGGGCCGGCGGGCGGCGCGGCGCCCACACCCCCGACCCAGCCGCGGCGCGCAGGGTCCATTGTAAACAAGCCCGGGGAACAGAGCCCCTCGGCGGCGGCGCCGCAGCGGCAGCCCCCGTGTCAGGAGTGAGACCCCAGCACAGCCACACTCGGCTCGCACACACGAACACACACACGCACGGACACACGCGTTCACACGCAGCCACACGCTCCCACACACATGTAGAGACCGAAGAATATTCACCTTGGCTGTGGATTATTGTGGTGTTGTTGGTGGGTGATGGAGATGGTGGTGGTGGGGAGGAGGAGGAGGAAGAGGAGGAGGAGGAGGAGAGGAGTAGTTGTTGTTGATGGGTAACAGTCGCCAGGACTACGGTGACTATGGCGCTTGATTCACAAGGCAACGGTTGCTATAACTCACAAAAGAGAGAGAGAGAGGGAGAGAGAGAGAGAGCGAGAGGGAGAGGGAGACACTCGCACGGGGAGGGGTGGGGGAGGGAAGAGGGGAGGAGGCGGGCCCGGCCAAGCCGCCGGAAGGGGAGGGCGCAGCGCTGTGACTGACGGCCCCCAAACCCGGGTGGGGTGGCGGGGCGGCGGGGTGACGGGGCACGAGGCCGGGATTCCACCGCAGGACTCCGAAGAGGTGCGCCTATGCTTGGCTGGGGCTGAGGTCACCAAGAGTCCTCTCGGAGGGACGTTACTACACGCGCTGGCGAGGCCCAGGAGTCGTGGTGCGAGGGGTACTATCTGTGAAACGAGGGCTGCCTGTCCCAGCAGCCAGCTTTGTACAGAGACGTCCCGGAGCCACGAGAGAGTAACGGCTAACCCGGGGGAGGGGGTGGCGAGGGTGATTCCAGGCACTTTGTGAAGAAACGAGCTATGGCGAGGGAAGAATCCACTTTGAAGAGCGGCCCCCGCCCTGCCCGATACGTTACTTCCGGGGCGGGGCGGGCAGAGGGGCCCGGATGTGCCGCCGCTTTTTAGTTTCTGAGGCGCCGGCGGTGTTCCTGGTAGCGTCAGCCTCCTGGCTTTTCCTTTTCCTGGACGCTTCAGGGCTCCGCGGCCTGCGCTAGACTGGAGGGTCCGCGTCACTCTCGCCCTCCTGCTTTCCGCGCTCTCACCCGCTCCCGCCTCCTGAGGGCACGACTTGTGGAGGAGCGCGGGCGGCGGGGCGTGAGCGAGCTGCCTCTGCCGCCATCTTAGAGAAGGCGAGCGTGGGGTGTGCGTGGGCGCGAGTCGGCCTCCCGCGGTGCCGCCGCAGCGTGGCGCGGAGAGGTGAGGTCCAAGCGTGTCCGGCCCTCACTCCATAACGAAAAAGCGAGGTCATCACTCCCTATCTACAAGGGATGGGAGTAAGTGCCTGTAGAGAGCAAGAAATTGCCCTGCCCGGAGGCTGAGAAAGCGCATTTGGCGGTTCCCCTCGACGGAAGGCGTAGAGGGGCGGGGTAGCTTACACCTGCCTGCGATACCATCCTGTTAGTTTCTAGTTCTGTTAGTTTCAGCCCTTAAGTGCTCACCCCTCTTTAAAGACCGAACTGGGAGTTGAGCTCAAGCCCGGATCCTGTTACCTGCCGTGCTCTCATCCCCCGTTACTCAGCCTACTGTAGCTGAGGGTCTTGCTGTTTGTGGCTGTATTGAGATAGACGAATGGCTTCCGTCTGTGTTGAATGTTGTTAACACAACCTGCCATCTCAAACACCCGTTGATAAGGCACAGCCTGTAATGCCTCATGGTTCAAACAGACTCCTCCAATTCTCTGCAGACTCGAGTCCAGCAGGCACATGCCCCCAGGCCCTGCCAATACCCAAAATCTCCCAACATTTGCCGCTAAGCTGCTTAACCAGGACAATGACATAGTAGAAGTAGAGCCTTAGGAAGTCAGTTCTCCTCTTGAGGCTTAATTTTTGCACCTGCAAGTAAGGGATTTGGGCCGGCATGCGTTCACCAGCGCTAAAATAATACTGAGCTCATTCTGTGTCCCAGAACTGGTGCTAAGTGTTTTACATACATTATCTCATGTAATCCCAACAACACCAGTGTTAGGTAATATTCGCATTTGAGGAAAAACAGGCCGAGAGTCCTAAAAGTCGGTGGTTTTAGTTTATGGCTGCGTGCCATAGAATACAAGGTTACCTTGTTTTAGGAACCAGCTACTTTGGGTACGTTTTTAAAAGTAATATTGTTGCCTTTGATAATCTCATGAGTTAGAGATGTTCTTACAATAATAATGTGTTGCAGTAGTGAACAGTGGTGAGCCTAGTGCTAAAGCTAAAAGGTTTCCTGACCCACTGTGGTAGTAAGGGCTTCTAGTCAGACAAATGATTGTGTGGTGACCAGTGTGGGTCCCATTTGACATACAGATGGGAAATGAGGTATACGTTCCAGCTTTATGAAAACTGGTAGTCGTTATGAATATTCTCTTTATTATATTTACTGATAAAGTCCTCATTCCTATAATGGTGTGTAGGGCTGTATGTTCACACTACATGGCTCTCTGAATAGCTTTGTTTTTTTAAATTCCATTGTCTGTTATAGTTTGCCTGTCCCGTCTTTCATTGTCAGCTGTTGCTTTTTATTTTTGTCAGTGAACATAGTTCTATTATCCTTACCGCCCTTTTAATTTATTGCTCTTAATCTGCAGGCAAGAAAACCACATAGTGAACCTTGTGCAAAACTGTATCTCAAGAGTATAAATAGGTACTTCGAGGGACTATTAAAAAATAAGTGCAACCCTTGTGCTAGGACATTATAGAATCAGTTTTAAGCTGCTTAAATTTTTTTTTTTTTTTTTTTTTTTTTTTTTTGCCTTACAGATTTGGTCTTTTCCAGAGTTAGGAATAGATAAATTTCCTGAAGTTAATTCTTGAAAATTTAGAATTTAGAATATTTTCCCATGTTTTAGGATACTTGATGATGATACAATTCTAACCATATTGAGGTTAATATTTGAAATGTTAGTGTTACTGCCTGATAGGGTTTGGCTTTGTGTCCCCACCCAACTCTCATGTGAAATCGTAATCCGAAAGTGTTGAAGGAGGGGCCCTGTGGGAGATGATTGGATCCTGGGGGCAGTTTCTGATGGTTTAGCACCATCCCACTAGTGCTGTTTCAAGAGTGACTTCTCACGAGATCTGCTTGTTTAAAAATATTTACCACTACCCCTCTCTCACCTGCCACAATGTGAAGAAAGTCCTTGTACCCTTCGCCTTCCGCCATAATGGTAAGTTTCCGTGAGACCTCCCAGTCATGCTTCCTGTTAAGCCTGCAGAACTGTGAGTCAGTTAAACCTCTTTTCTTCATAAATTACCCAGTCTCCGGCAGTTCTTTATAGCAGTGTGAAAAGGTACAAATACACCACCACACTGAATCAGATGACCAAGATACCAGTTCAAGCTATAGAATCGAAAATACGGATTTTATATGCATGTATTGTTTAATACTGTAATTAGTTACAAAAGAACCCAGAAACCTTTTAACCCATAGTTATTGCTTGTAGGATTTTTTTTAGCCATTTTTTAAAGCTGCATAGATGCATCTTCACATATGTTGCATGTATGTTTCAGAAATAAATTATTTGCTAAGAAGTCACAGAAAAGACCCAGTATTGGACCACTCTAACAGTTATCACCTATTATAGTGCAAAACACACTGTGTGATCAATAAAAAAAGGTACATAACCAAGCTAAAATTGGGCAGACATAGTTCCTGAATGTAAAATGTTCAACATTATCTATTAATTTAGAATGTTGTGTTTTAACTTGGATTGTTTTTTTCTCTCCGATCAGAATGATTGGAAGAGACATGGAATAACACATTTGTATCTGAACTACTTGAAGAAAAATCTGAAGCCCTGATGATATATATAGATTGTGTATTTCATAAGTTACTTTAACACATTCGTAGTGGTAGATTTCTGTATTATCTATTAGAGTGTTTTTGCCTATTCATATCTACTCCATATTCAAGGACTAATAAGTTATTTCATTATTATACTTTAAAAAAGAAAGGATGCATATGAAAAGATAAAATAGTGCTATGTGATAGGCTTGCTTCTGAAAAATAGTATGAGAGTTTGAAAAGTAATGTATGCTGTGGCACCTTATTGTTGAATTTGTGGTGAATCTTTTTATGAGAGAAATCACACCTGTTTTAAATTTTTTCATTTGATTATATCCTATTTTCTTCAATTGAGAGAGAGATGTAGAGTCTTGGGTTCTCTTATATAAAATGAATGGTTTCATTTGTACCAATATTTATTGAGCACTTATGTGGAATACTGGATAATTTTATTACTCGATTGCTAATTCCCTTTACTAGATCTGAAATTCTGTGGATATGTGATAATTATTTAAAAATGATAAGAGAGTGATAGGGGCCAAGGTAATTCAAAACTGAACATAATTTGCCACTATTCTCTGGAGCACCCTCAAGCCTCCCTATCCCCACCTAAAGTATGATTTGGTTTTGAAAACAGTGCAATAATTTTTTCTGGTAGATTTGTCTTTCTGTGTTTTCTTTAAGTAATACAAACCAGCTGATTACTCGGCAGTTCTGAAGAGTGTGTGTGGCTATGTGTACACACGTTTGTGTGCATGTGTATGTCTTGGAATTACATTTTTACTCCAGCACAGAAAGATGATTATAGAATCATAAGTTGACTACCTTTGCTTAACACCAAATTACCTTTTGATGTACACATGCAGCTTTAAAAAAAAAAGTCTGGGGCCGGGCGTGGTGGCTCACGCCTTTAATCTCAACACTTTGGGAGGCCGAGCGGGTGGATCACCTGACATCGGGAGTTCGAGACCAGCCTGACCAACATGGAGTTACCCCATCTCTACTAAAAATACAAAATTAGCTGGGTGTGGTGGCACATACCTGTAATCCCAGCTACTTGGGAAGCTGAGGCAGGAGAATCGCTTGAACCTGGGAGGCAGAGGTTGCGGTGGGCCGAGATCGCACCATTGCACTCCACCCTGGGCAACAAGAGCAAAACTCGGTCTCAAAAAAAAAAAAATAGTCTGGAAACAATTCAAATGTATATCAATAGGAGGATGGGAAGACAAATTGTGGGCCCAGCACAATGACTTAACACCTGTAATCCCAACACTCTGGGAGGCCAAGCCATGAGGATCACTGGAGGCCAGGAGTTTGAGACTAGCCTGAGCAACATAGCGAGACTCTGTCTTTACAAAAAAAAATTAAAACTTAGCTGAGCATGTTGGCACATGCCTGGAGTCCCAGCTACTTGGGAGGCTGAGGCAAGAGAATTGCATGAATCCAGGAGTTCAAGGTTGCAGTGAGCCGTGATCACACCACTGTACTTCAGCCTGGGTGAGAGCAAGACCTTGTCTTTAAAAAGTAAAAGAGTAAAACAAATTGTGATACAGTCATACGATGGAGTATTATTGAGCAAGTCAAAGGAAAGGACTGCTGATACAACACGGACAAATCTCAAAAACATTGCATTTGGCAAAAGAAGCCAGACACAGAGTACATAGCATATGAATCCATTTATATAAAATTTAAGAACAGGAAAAAGTAATCTGTGTTTAGTATCTTCTTATGGCAGAGGCAGTAGGTTGGGATTTTAGTGGAAAGGATTATGAGGGAACATGGTAGGATGGTGAAAATGTTCTGCACTGTCTCAGCTGCACTAATGACATATAGCTATTAAAATCTATTAATTAAAACAAAATTCATTTCCACTGTCACATTAGCTACATTTTAAATGTTCAATAGCCACATGTGGCTACTGCCTACTAAGTTGGACAGTGCAAATACAGACTTCTGTTATCTCAGAAGTTCTACTAGAGAGTTCTAGTCTAGACCTTGTTTTATGCACATGTTTACATTTTTCAAAATTGTAATTAATATGCATTGTATGCCAGTAATACCTGCCCCCAAACCCTATAAATCATTAATAGAATTTTTATTACTCTATTTTAATCTACTAATTAGCCCATGTTTTCCATAATATTTTTGTTCAACCCTGGGGAGAAAGGATAAATAGTAAAATTCTTGGCAAATTTTCAAATATGTAATTGTGACATACAATAGATAGCATTGATTTTCCGCTCCAAAAAATGAGTTCTGCTGCTTTATAATTTTGAATGCATCTAGAAACAAGAAATTTCTTTTGAGGGCTTAAAGTGAACTCTAGATGAATACAGAAAAAATTTTTTCTATTGGAATCAAGTATCTTAAACGTGGCGATCATACAACCTTCTTCTAAGGTAACACTTAAGAGCGTTTTGGGAGATTTTGGTGCTAGCTCTATGACTAGGTTTAGAAAGTCAAATAAGCTCGGTAGGTAACACTTCAGACTCAAGCCTTTTGGAAGTAGAAGAAAACTAAGTTTGTAAGTGAAGGATAAAAAGACCTGAATGATCTCAATTCTAAAATTCTGATTTTAATGGATTTTAAGAGATGGAATACCAGGTGAATTGATTCAAAATATTAAATATATGTGTTTATATAGTACTTCAGTGAAATTAAGAAAAATTTTTGGTGGAGTAAGTACCTTAATAATGTTAATAAATATTTCTACCAGTGTTTTTTAAGACCTTTGTGAACCCCAAGTAGATTTTTACAAGACAATGAACTTTAACTGTTAAAGATTAATTATTATAAATGAATCAGCAGTTCATGTCAATAATATGTGCTGGAAAGTATTTTCTCAATTATTGTCAATTATATATAAAAAATGATTTTATTTGATCCAAATTCTTTAACTGCCAAATTCTTGTTTTCTTTCTCTCTCTCTCTCTCCCCCTCCCTCTCTCTCCCTCTCCCTCTCTCTCCCTCTCTCTCTGCCCCCTCCCTCTCTCCCCACCTTTCCCTCTCCCTCTGCCTCTCTCTCTTCCTCTCCCTCTCCCTCTCCACTTCCTCCCTCCCCTTCCCTTCCTCCCTTCCTCTACCTTTTTTTTTTCTTATAATGTAATATGTAGTCTGGAGAAAACATCTCCCAAGTTCTGTTGGGCCATTCTCCCTATTGGAAGTATACTAATAGTATCTGCTCACTGGAACATGCCATATATGTCACCTGCCCCACATACTGATATCACAATAATATGTAAAACCTTCATTTAAATTGTTTTTGAATGTGTATATCAATTGTTACAGCATATGACTGAACTTTTTTCATCCTTAAAAATTTTTTTAAGCAATATGACACAACCACTAATGAAGAAAAATAAAGATTACTGATTGACATTACATGTATTTGCCTCTTGATGCCTTGTTTGTTTTGAAAGAGAGAATTTACGTGCGTGCAATATTTTTCCAAAAATTTTTTTTTAGCTTACTAACATTTTTGTTTTGAGGGCAGGGAACAGAAAAATACACATTTTACAGTGGGGTGTTTAAAACACTTGCCCGCAAGTACTGTTTGAAATGTTATGTGGTACTACTGTCATAAAAGAGATTAAGGGCCAGGTGCCATGCCTTACACCTTTAGTCTCAGCACTTTGGGAGGCCAAGCCTGGGCAAGAAAGACACCCTGTCTCTACAAAAAAATGAAAAAATAAATTAGCTAGGCATGGTGGTGCGTGCCTGTAGTCCCAGCTACTTGGAAGGCTGAGGCAGGAGGATTACTTGAGCTCAGGAGTTCAAGGATGCAGAGCCATGGTCACACCACTGCACTCCAGTCCCGGTAAAAGAGTAAGACCCTGTCTCAAAAAAAATTTAAAGATTAAGGCCATTTTAAAGACTTGGTTTGAAGACTTCCAACCCCATATAATATTAAACACATTAAAATACATCCACATCACATAAAATATACATGACTAAAAATTGAGTTTAAAAATGACAATAATGGTATGTTTTGTAGACATTAATTACATAGTTATTATTTGCCACTTTTCATATTTTGAAGTCAACTTTTTTTTTTTAGATCCCCAACATTTTCAAAAGACCTTGAGAACTGCATAAATCCTAAGCATAGTGATTGATGGATAAAATGGCCCTGAAATAATAGTGGCAAAAGTGAATTTAAAACAATTTGTTTCTTAGGCTTTTTTTTCCTTCTTCCTATAAAGGGAGGGATTAGTTAATAGATCCACTGAGATCATTATAGTGAACTTTGTGCTAGTTTCACAAAGATCAGAAAAAACTAATAAAAGGGTGATTACTTAAGTGTACTTGAACTCATTACCCTAATTTGGCACTACAACCTTCATTAAAAATTGATATACTTCATTATGAAAAAATAAAGACAGTTGGATTTGCTTTATAGGGTTATCTTACTTGTAACTTCAAATGTGTGACACAGTAATTATAGACTACTTGTTAAATGTTACATCATTTTTCACCCAGAAGTAACAACCTTTAGAGGAAAAACACTAATTTGTTTGAAGATTGATAATAGACAAGAAATGTTAAGTGAATAATAAGATTATAGAAAACTGTATGACAAAGATTTTTTATAGGGTTAAACATGCCTATTTTGAAAGTGGATAAGTTTAAGATTAAATTCCTCCTTAAATGAAATAAGTAAAATTGCATAAAATATCCATATCATTTTCTTTTGAGGCAGTACTGTCTCAATGACCCTACAATGAAATACAAAGAACTGACTTTCTGGAAAAGCCAGAAACCATCAGCGTCTAAGGAACCAGCTGCAGAGGTGGCAGAATTGAATGATGTATATAATAAGTGGATCTACACTGGAGCTTAATCTAGGTGGAAGTTCTTCTCACTGCTGAGAGCACATTAAGGAAGTATCTATTATAAGAGTAATTTCTATAAGACTATTTTTAAGTTAACTTAGTTGTACAATTAAAACATAACTTGTTAGCATCTCTTGAAAAAGCCATACCTCTGTATTTGACAATCATCTTTGGAAAAGAAACAAAATTCTGAAAGTTTATTGTAGACTTCAAAAGATATAACGCTTACCTGCCAGAAACAGGTAAGACAGGCTGGAAGTTGTAATAACTTTTGGAAAGGAAGTTGACAGGAACGTTCCTCGAATATCCACAATCTTAATCTCATGTCAACTATAATGAAGCCATGTAAAGGTGAGAAAAGGAAGAAACATTATCATAATCTACCGAGATGATTACTATGATCTTTTTTTTTTAAAGTATTGTGGTCTCATGGGTTGATTGGTTTTTGTTTGTTTTTTCGTTTGCGTAGAATGAGCCAAAAGGAACAGGGAAGCACTAGTCCTAGAGGTAAGATATGGTTAAGACTTGGGTTAAGGCTATAACTAGGAATAGTGAGAGAGGATATATTCTAAAAAATACAGTGGAGGAAATGTTTACAGTACTTGAAAATGTCAAGCATGGTCAATTTTCTAATACTTACTGAGGACCGGCTATCTCTGCTATACTAGTTATTATGGACACGTGGAGATAAGGAACAAGGAAGAGTGAAAGATACAAAAGAACTTCCTTGTTGTGCCAGATTATCTTCTATTTGTGTCTCCATATTCACTCTTGACTCTTTTTTACCCACCTTTCTAGAAAGCTGACCTTCATGCATTCTGACTACATCATTGCTTTCTGGCTGCCAGTTGGTTTCCATCAGTGGGCAGCACTGGCAGGAGATTGGAGACGTGGAGAGAGGAGAGTAAAGTCAGGTTTTTTATTACCCTGTCTCCTACCTTGCAAAGTTGCTTCAAGATAGCCATATCCATTGACTTAAGAATTCTGATAAAGGCTCTTTCCCCTCTTTAGGCTTATGGGTAGTAACAGTTCCACTGCTCTCTAGGTTACTGCACCATTCTTTCAGTTTCTCTACACCCACATCTTGGTAAATAGGTCCTTTGTACTTAAATTCGCATCAAATTGCCCTCTTTCTAGTGTATCATCTGTTTCTTGTTGGGACTTTGATAACACTAAATAAACTCACAGACTGAAAAATTTTGCTTGAGTTGCCATAACAAAACACTACAGACTGAGTAGCTTAAACAACAGAAATTTTTCTCACACTTCAAGAGACTAGAAATCTGAGATCAAGGTGTCACTGCTTGACACCAAGAGATGGTCTCTTCTGAGGCCTTTCTCACTGGCTTGTAGATGTCCATCTTCCCCTTGTATCTCCACATGGTCTTTCCTCCGTGTGTCTGTGTTCTATCTTATCTTCTTATAAGAACATCAGTCATATTGGATTAGGGCTCACCCTAATGACCTCATTTTAACTAAATTATTTCTTTAAATATGCTACCTCCAAATACAATATGAGGCACTACTGGTTAGGACTTCAACATATGAATTTGGATGGGACACAATTCAGTGCATAACAGACTAGTTGAGGAAGAAAGGCATAAGATAAATGAGAAAATAATATATCAAGATTATGAGTATAGGTATGAATATAAGAAAAGGACAATATTGGACTTACTCTGAGCAGAACATTAGGAAGGGGAAAAGATAAGACTTTTTTTTAATAAGCAGTTTTATAAATATGCAAATTTCAGTGACAGATTCAAGTAGAGAGGCACATACAAAAGAAGTCCCATGAGCTAAGAACTATCAGACCAGGAGACTGATCTAGGAGCCATGTAAGTAACAGAATAACAATAATTACCAACATTTATGAAGCATTCTGACAGATTATTAGTTACCTGCTCCCCTTCTTTTATGAAAACAGAATTATTCATGTTTTGGGCTGAGCCGGAAGACTTCCTTTCCTGGTTTCCCTTAAAGTTAGATGGAGTCTTATGACTAAGCTCTTGTCAACTAAGTGTTCACAGGGCCACTTCAAAAAAAATTTAAGGCAGATTGCTTAAGTCCTTCACCCTTTCCCCCTCTAATTTTCATCCCCTTCTCTATCCCATTGTTTAGAAGAAGGATGCCACCAAGCCACACACATGGAGCAACAGAGTAGGAGACTAAGACCATAATGAGTGTGAGGCTACTACACTGGTCTGCATTATGTTTACATGAAAAAGAAACATCAATCTTGTTTTCTGTCTCACAGTTAATCCTAATTAACACAAACATTTTCTATGTACTAGGTACTGTTCTCAGTTTGTATGTATTATTTTGCTTAATCCTGTAGCAATTCTATATGTAGATTACCATTATTATCCCCTATAAGGAAACAGAGAGATTAAGTAATTTTCCCTAGACAGCACACCTCATTTTTGCTGAAGTTAGGTCTTGAACCAGACTAACAGACTATGACTACGGAGTCTGCCTTCTTAACTGCTATGTTGAACTACCTGCCTCTTGTCTCTAATCCTACACCCAACCCTTTTGCATCTAAGAAACATAATTTTTTTGTTTTTTTTTTTTTTACTTTTTTTAAATTATACTTTAAGTTTTAGGGTACATGTGAACAATGTGCAGGTTTGTTACATATGTATACATGTGCCATGTTGGTGTGCTGCACCCATTAACTCGTCATTTAACATTAGGTATATCTCCTAATGCTATCCCTTCCCCTCCCCCCACCCCACAACAGTCCCCAGTGTGTGATGTTCCCCTTCCTGTGTCCATGTGTTCTCATTGTTCAATTCCCACCTATGAGTGAGAACATGCAGTGTTTGGTTTTTTGTCCCTGTGATAGTTTGCTGAGAATGATGGTTTCCAGCTTCATCCATGTCCCTACAAAGGACATGAACTCATCCTTTTTTATGGCTGCATAGTATTCCATGGTGTATATGTGCCACATTTTCTTAATCCAGTCTATCATTGTTGGACATTTGGGTTGGTTCCAAGTCTTTGCTATTGTGAATAGTGCCGCAATAAACATACTTGTGCATGTGTCTTTATAGCAGCATGATTTATAATCCTTTGGGTATATACCCAGTAATGGGATGGCTGGGTCAAATGGTATTTCTAGTTCTAGATCCCTGAGGAATCGCCACACTGACTTCCACAATGGTTGCACTAGTTTACAGTCCCACCAGCAGTGTAAAAGTGTTCCTATTTCTCCACATCCTCTCCAGCACCTGTTGTTTCCTGACTTTTTAATGATTGCCATTCTAACTGGTGTGAGATGGTATCTCATTGTGGTTTTGATTTGCATTTCTCTGATGACCAGTGATGATGAGCATTTTTTCATGTGTCTTTTGGCTGTGTAAATGTCTTCTTTTGAGAAATGTCTGTTCATATCCTTTGCCCACTTTTTGATGGGATGGTTGGTTTTTTTCTTGTAAATTTGTTGGAGTTCATTGTAGCTTCTGGATATTAGCCCTTTGTCAGATGGATAGATTGCAAAAATTTTCTCCCATTTTGTAGGTTGCCTGTTCACTCTGATGGTAGTTTCTTTTGCTGTGCAGAAGCCTTTTAGTTTAATTAGATCCCATTTGTCAATTTTGGCTTTTGTTGCCATTGCTTTTGGTGTTTTAGACATGAAGTCCTTGCCCATGCCTATGTCCTGAATGGTATTGCCTAGGTTTTCTTCTAGGGTTTTTATGGTTTTAGGTCTAACATTTAAGTCTTTAATCCATCTTGAATTAATTTTTGTACAAGATATAAGGAAGGGATCCAGTTTCAGCTTTCTACATATGGCTAGCCAGTTTTCCCAGCACCATTTATTAAATAGGGAATCCTTTCCCCATTGCTTGTTTTTGTCAGGTTTGTCAAAGATCAGATGGTTGTAGATATGCGGCATTATTTCTGAGGGCTCTGTTCTGTTCCATTGGTCTATATCTCTGTTTTGGTACCAGTACCATGCTGTTTTGGTTACTGTAGCCTTGTAGTATAGTTTGAAGTCAGCGTGATGCCTCCAGCTTTGTTCTTTTGGCTTAGGATTGACTTGGCAATGTGGGCTCTTTTTTGGTTCCATATGAACTTTAAAGTAGTTTTATCGAATTCTTTGAAGAAAGCCATTGGTAGCTTGATGGGGATGGCATTGAATCTATAAATTACCTTGGGCAGTATGGCCATTTTCACGATATTGATTCTTCCTACCCATGAGCATGGAATGTTCTTCCATTTGTTTGTATCCTCTTTTATTTCATTGAGCAGTGGTTTGTAGTTCTCCTTGAAGAGGTCCTTCACGTCCCCTGTAAGTTGGATTCCTAGGTATTTTATTCTCTTTGAAGCAATTGTGAATGGGAGTTCACTCATGATTTGGCTCTCTGTTTGTCTGTTATTGGTGTATAAGAATGCTTGTGATTTTTGCACATTGGTTTTGTATCCTGAGACTTTGCTGAAGTTGCCTATCAGCTTAAGGAGATTTTGGGCTGAGACTATGGGGTTTTCTAGATATACAATCATATCATCTGCAAACAGGGACAATTTGACTTCCTCTTTTCCTAATTGAATACCCTTTATTTCTTTCTCCTGGCCGATTGCCCTGGCCAGAACTTCCAACACTATGTTGAATAGGAGTGGTGAGAGAGGGCATCCCTGTCTTGTGCCAGTTTTCAAAGGGAATGCTTCCAGTTTTTGCCCATTCAGTATGATACTGGCTGTGGGTTTGTCATAGATAGCTCTTATTATTTTGAGATACGTCCCATCAATACCTAATTTATTGAGAGTTTTTAGCATGAAGTGCTGTTGAATTTTGTCAAAGGCCTTTTTTGCATCTATTGAGACAATCATGTCATTTTTGTCTTTGGTTCTGTTTATATGCTGGATTACGTTTATTGATTTGTTTATGTTGAACCAGCCTTGCATCCCAGGGATGAAGCCCACTTGATCATGGTGGATAAGCTTTTTGATGTGCTGCTGTATTTGGTTTGCCAGTATTTTATTGAGGATTTTTGCATCAGTGTTCATCAGGGATATTGGTCTAAAATTCTCTTTTTTTGTTGTGTCTCTGCCAGGCTTTGGAATCAGGATGATGCTGGCCTCATAAAATGAGTTAGGGAGGATTCCCTCTTTTTCTATTGATTGGAATAGTTTCAGAAGGAATGGTACCAGCTCCTTCTTGTACCTCTGGTAGAATTCAGGTGTGAATCCATCTGATCCTGGACTTTTTTTGGTTGGTAAGCTATTAATTATTGCCTCAATTTCAGAACCTGTTTTTGGTCTATTCAGAGATTCAACTTCTTCCTGGTTTAGTCTTGGGAGGGTGTATGTTTCCAGGAATTTATCCATTTCTTCTAGATTTTCTAGTTTATTTGCATAGAGGTGTTTATAATATTCTCTGATGGTAGTTTGTATTTCTGTGGGATTGGTGGTGATGTCCCGTTTATCATTTTTTATTGCATCTATTTGATTCTTCTCTCTTTTCTTCTTTATTAGTCTTGCTAGTGCTCTATCAATTTTGTTGATCTTTTCAAAACACCAGCTCCTGGATTCATTGATTTTTTGAAGGGTTTTTTTTGTGTCTCTATTTCCTTCAGTTCTGCTCTGATCTTAGTTATTTCTTGCCTTCTGCTAGCTTTTGAATGTGTTTGCTCTTGCTTCTCTAGTTCTTTTAATTGTGATGTTAGGGTATCAATTTTAGATCTTTCCTGCTTTCTCTTGTGGGCATTTAGTGCTATACATTTCCCTCTCTACACTGCTTTGAATGTGTCCCAGAGATTCTGGTATGTTGTGTCTTTGTTCTCGTTGGTTTCAAAGAACATCTTTATTTCTGCCTTCATTTCGTTATGTATCCAGTAGTCATTCAGGAGCAGGTTGTTCAGTTTCCATGTAGTTGAGCGATTTTGAGTGAGTTTCTCAATCCTGAGTTCTAGTTTGATTGCACTGTGGTCTGAGAGACAGTTTGTTATAATTTCTGTTCTTTTACATTTGCTAAGGAGTGCTTTACTTCCAACTATGTGGTCAGTTTTGGAATAAGTTTGATGTGTGGTGCTGAGAAGAATGTATATTCTGTTGATTTGGGGTGGAGAGTTCTGTAGATGTCTATTAGGTCTGCTTGGTGCAGAGAGCTGAGTTCAATTCTTGGATATCCTTGTTAACTTTCTGTCTCGTTGATCTGTCTAATGTTGACAGTGGGGTGTTAAAGTCTCCCATTATTATTGTGTGGGAGTCTAAGTCTCTTTGTAGGTCTCTACAGACTTGCTTTATGAATCTGGGTGCTCCTGTATTGGGTGCATATATATTTAGGATAGTTAGCTCTTGTTGAATTGTTCCCTTTACCATTTTGTAATGGCCTTGTCTCTTTTGATCTTTGTTTCTTTAAAGTCTGTTTTATCAGAGACTAGGATTGCAACCCCTGCTTTTTTTGTGTTCCATTTGCTTGGTAGATCTTCCTCCATCCCTTTATTTTGAGCCTATGTGTGTCTCTGCACATGAGATGGGTTTCCTGAATATAGCACACTGATGGGTCTTGACTCTTTATCCAATTTGCCAGTCTGTGTCTTTTAATTGGAGCATTTAGCCCATTTACATTTAAGGTTAATATTGTTATTTGTGAATTTGATCCTGTCATTATGATGTTAGCTGGTTATTTTGCCCATTAGTTGATGCAGTTTCTTTCTAGCTTCGATGGTCTTTACAATTTGGCATGTTTTTGCAGTGGCTGGTACCGGTTGTTCCTTTCCATGTTTAGTGCTTCCTTCAGGAGCTCTTTTAGGGCAGGCCTGGTGGTGACAAACATATTTTTTAAAGCTGTAGTCTAAACAAGAGAATCTTGAATTTGGGACAGTTCCACACAGTGTACCAGGGAAAATAGCTTACATGAAAAAATTTGGTAAAGATTTCTATATAACTGTAATCTTATTTTCTTTCTTATTTTAGTCTAAATTTTGCCTAAGTTGCTTTGTCTTTTGAAATACTGATAATGTGTTTCTTTCTAAAATTAATTTTTAAAGAAGACTTTACTCTGGAGACCCTCTTGTGGAGGCTCTCTGTAAATCTAAAAGGCAGTCTCTTCCTAGTTATCTGACTGTGATCAGCCCCATAGGGCAAGGTGTTTTCGATCTGTGCCACAAAGGGCCTTCCCTTGGCCATATTCTGCCAGAGTCCTTCTCAGAACCCCAGCTGGGATAATCTTTGGTGCAATCCAAGGACAACTTCTGCACTTAATTGTCAGATTTCTCTTGAGAAAGACTCAGCTCTCAGTCAGGAATCAGTCCTTATGGTGACAGTCTCTGTTGCACTCCCCTTAGCAGCAGGAGAGCTTTAAGAGTGTTACAGGGCTTTGTTAACCCCTCTCTTATAGAAACTGGAGAAAAAGGGATTTTAAGGGTGTCTTGATTTTTTTTTTTTTTTTAGTGTTTAGTAAGAGGAAAAACTGGACCTGGGATATTGTTCTATTCCCTTCCCATCTGGCCACATAAAAGGTTTCAGAAAGGCCATCGGATCTACTTGGAGGATATTAATGCATTAAAATTCTCTAAAGAAATGAGGCATTAAATAAGGAATCCATTTATCCACTTGAAGTAAGTTCAGAAGGAAGAACACAGAAAACTACAGACCTATGATATCTCTCACCCAATTTACTTTCAGGCTATAAGTAATACTGATAATCAAGAACAGCTTTATTAGGAAGAGATTTTGAAATCTATTCCAATACATACTGTGGTTTTTAATTTCTGCTTCTAACCAATTTTTTCAGCTAACAAAGGTATTGGAATAGTACATTTATGATAATCAGTATTGTTGTGCCATCCTGGGGATATAAAAGAGTTCTTAATCCTTTATTAAAATATAATTCACATATAATAAATTCACTCCTATTAAGTATACAATTAGATAAATGTTAGCAAAGTATGCAGTCATTTGACCACCACCGCAATCAGATATTGGACATTTCTATCAACATCAAAATCTTCCTTGTGCTTTTGTAGTCAACTCTCTCTTACCAATTACCTCACCCCATCCCCAGGAAAACTTTGATAAGCTGCCACTATATTATTCCTTTAACTAGAATGCTACATAAATGGAACATACAATATTTAAATTTTGCTGGGGGGTGGGTGCTGTGGCAGAATGTTTCTGACATTCACCCATATTGTTGTGTATATCAATAATTCATTTGCTTTTATTGCTGATTAGTATTCCATTGTATGGATATACCAGAGTTTGTTTCAGATATTTGTTATTATGAATATTGCTACCATCATTATATATAAGTGTTCTTGCCACAATAATGCTGCCACAATTCATGTATAAGTGTGCCTGGAGATAGATGTTTTCATTTCACTTTTACAGACGCCTAGGAGTGAAATTACTGGGTCATATACCAAGTGTATGTTTAAGAAATTGCCAAAATGCTTTCCTAGTGCCTTTATCATTTTGTATTCCTCCCAGAAATGTGTGAGAGTCCTAATTGCTCCACATCCTTGCCAACTTTCATTGTGGTTTTAATTTGTATTTCCCTAATGACTAGTAATGTTAAGCTGCATTTCCTGTGTTATTGACTTGTCCCATTTCTTCTTTTGTGAGATATCTGTTCATGTTTTACCCCCTCCTTTTTTTTTTTTTTTGTTTGTCATCTTCTTCTTGGATTATAAAAGTTCATATATTTTGGACACAAATCCTTCATCAGACATACATATTTTGCAAATATTTCTCCCAGTGTACGGCTTGCCTTTTTACTTCCTTGAAGGTATCTTTCAAAGAACAAAGACTTTAATTTTGATGGTCTAATCTGTTAATATCTTTTTTTATTGTGCCTTTTTTGTTTTACCTAAAAAGTCTTTGCCTAATCCAAAATTTATCTCATCTGTTTCCTTAACACAGTTTTATTATTTTTGCTAAGTTTAGGTCTATGAGAGGTTTTGAATTAAGTGGTGTGTAAGATATGAGATAAGGATTAAGGTTCACAACTTTCCATACAGATTGTTTCATATCCTATTGTTTCAGCACCATTCATTAAAAAGACTACTGGTCTCCACTGAATTCCCTTTCTATCTTTATCAAAAATAAGTTGTCCCTATGTATGCGGTTCTATTTTGGGATTCTCTATTCTGTTCTATTGATATGTTTGTCTATCTTTACCCCAATACCACACTATCTTGTATACTGTAAATTTATAATTTTGAAATCAGGGAGTATTTTTGTTTTTCTTTTTAAAGGTTGTTTTCTATATTATAAGTCTTTTGTGTTTCCATATGAATTTTAGAATCAATGATTTGGGTTAACATTGTGTTGAATCTACAGAATAATCTGGTAAGAACTGACATGTTAATAATATTAAGTCTTCTGACCCATGAAAAAGGTACATATCTTCTTTTATTCTGGTCTTCTTTAATTTCTCTTGGTAATGTTTTTTAGTTTTTGGTATACAGATCTTTCACTATTTTTATCAGTTTTATCCCTGAGTAATCGTAATTTTGATGCTATTGCAAATAATACTGTTTTTAAATTTCTTTTGTTCATTACTAGTATAGAGAGATATAACTGATTTTTATTATGATCTTTTATATCCTGATACCTTGTTAAAGTAACTTCTAGTAGTTTCTTTGTTGATACCACCAGATTTTCTATGTAGATGAACATGTCAGCTGGGAATAAAAACAATTTTATTTCCACCTTTTCAAAAAGTAAAACACTTCCTCCAAAATCCCTCACCCTACTCAGGACTCAGAGATAAACACTATTAACAAATTTTGGTTTTAGTTCCTCTGGCAATCACAGTATTATTTTTCATGATATCTGTGATTCTCTTTCAAATTTAGATAGTATCTCTTGAAACTCTACAATGAATGATGAAAAAATTATACTATTTTCCCCTCCTTCACCTTGTTTTTCTCACTCTGACTCCAATTTTTAAAATTACATTATACTTTTCCATTGTCTAGGTTTATAACAATTGTTTCCATTTCTGACCATAAGGTGGGCTAGGTAAACTGAATGATCCTCCTTCAGCAAATACCTAAAAATTCTAAAGTATTTTAAAACAGCTTACTAAATGCACTGGTGAGCTGGCAAGAAAGGGAAATTCTCAAAGACGTACAAAGGATCAAAAGTCCAAATCAAAAAACTAAACCAGTACTGAGGAAGGAAATCTACCCTTCTTTCATAAGCTAGAATTACTATTTTAATGGCCTCTTGGAGACTGGAGACAAAACCTCGGACCTCATGAACTGAGAAGTTATAATCTGAAACCCCTCCACAGAGCCAGGACCAGAAGGGCTACACCTTCAATGAAAGTGAATTTTCATTAAAAGTAAAGAAAACAAGCAGTCATGTAAGCAAGAAGGTACAGAAGAAGACATGGAGGACTGGGAGTCTTGGGTCAAAAATGGTCCTGTACAAAATCCTTTTCAGGGTCAATTAAAACCTATTTCACTTTCATTTATTTAATCATCATTTTCAATGACTATTGATGAGTAGGGTTTCATTTTATTATTTCTTTTACTTTGCCATTTCATCTTGATCTCTGAATACTTTTTTCCAGTGGTTGTTGGATACCAGTGCATTTGTGAACAGAAGAAGAAATATTAGTTATCCTAACCTATAATACTAACTTTCAGCCTAATCCACAATGTATAATAAATATCACTGGGTATCTGAAGCTTATGAATTTTCATTTCAGTTTTAAAATGTTTTTTGCTTTGGCATGGTGGCTTATGCCTGTAATCCCAGCATTTTGAGAGGCTGAGGTGGGAGGATCATTTGAAACCAGGGATTCGGTTTGCAGTGAGCTATGCACTTCAAGGTGAAGGAAGGGAAAATAGTATAATTTTTTCATCATTCATTGTAGAGTTTCAGACTGCACTCCAGCCTGGGCTACAGAGCAAGACCTTGTCTCTAAAAAATAAAAAATGTTTTTGTGCTAAAGGAATTAGTATGCTGTTGCTTGAATTTTGTTAATCTGAGATTATAAAACACACAAAAATATTATAAAGCTTATCTGTTTCCTTTAAAATTTTTAAAGCCTTACTTTTTATACTTTTCTCTGAATTGAATAAAAGGAAGAATAAGTTAACCACTTGATAACTATATTAGCAATGTTGAGTTAGTGTCAAGAACTAGAAAGTAGGAATATAAAAATTAAAACTTGACAAAGGTTTAAAACCATGATTTTAAAAAATATCCAGACTTAATCTTTTGCTCCTTTAAAATGTGGTTCTTAAATGTGCATAGTTTGTAACCCTTTTACTGTTATAACTCCCTACAAATTGATTCATTGGTTTCACAGATTTTCTCCGTAGAAAATATAAAAACTTCTTGATTTCTAATTTTTCATTGTGCTATAGTTTTTCTCCATCATGGGTGTGTATATTTTGTAAATTCTAAATGGGTTTTTAGGTAAGTTTGGAAGCTATGTAATTAGGCATTTTCCTTATCCAGTTTTGAAGTTTGCGAATAAGTGCTTTTAAAAGAAATGTAGTTATTTTCATCCAAACATACCTTTATTCTCATGTTAGACCATCCTAAATTTAACTTTCACTAATGACCTCCAAAATGATTTGGAATTTTTGGCACTTCCTATTAAGACAATTACATTTTATTTGTGCAGGTTTAAAATTGTGTTTTATTGTGCATCACAAGAGTTTACCCAACTTTCTGTGAACTTGGGTCTCAGAACTAGCTTCATTACTGTGTTACTTTTGGAAATCACTTTACCTCACCGGGCTTCAGTGTTTGGTCTATAAATGGATTGGCATTTTTTAAAGTTTAAGGAAGAGTCCTCTTTGATGTTGATGAATCTAAGAAATGTGAACAGTGCACCTGTTTCACCATGAGTTTGTAATCTCTGATGGGTTATTTGGTTATTGGCAAAATAACCTGAAAATATAGCAGTGTTAAAGCTCCTGAAGATACCAGTATATTTTAATGCAGTTTAGTTTTTGAAGTTTTACGACATCTAAATTTCTACATTCTACTTTCTTTTTCTTTTCTTTTTTTTTTTTTTTTTTTTGAGAGGGAGTCTTGGTCTGTTGCACAGGCTGGAGTGCAGTGGTGCAATCTCGGCTCACTGCAACCTCTGCCTCCTGGGTTCAAGCGAGTCTCCTGCCTCAGCCTCCCGAGTAGCTGGGACTACAGGTGCCCGCCACCACGCCTGGCTAATTTTTGTATTTTAGTAGAGATGGAGTTTCATTATGTGGATCAAGCTGGTCTCAAACCCCTGACCTCAAATTATCTGCCTGCCTCGACCTCCCAATTCTACATTCTACTTTCTATTAGTAAAAGTGAATATAGAAAGATCGTACTCTGACACAAGCTAGAACTTGAATTTGTATACATTCTGGACCTTATTTAAAAATTTTAATACAATAAATTTCTGATGAAATAATTATTCATTAAAGCAAAATTTCTCCATATAAATGGGCTTTTATGATCTAATTAATGTAATTGTGTTTCACCATGGCAAGGTGTGTTTGTATGGCTCGTGTGTGTATGTGTGTGTGAAGTTAAGCATGATAAACTACCTTTAGAAGGCTGCTGAAAAATTTTTTGAAACGCTATTGAATTTTTCAAATGTTAAAAAAAATGTAAACTTACAAAATATTTTGGTCTTTTTTTAAAAAGGCAGGGGCATCCAGTGGTTCAAGGTTACAATAAGCTGTGATCGTGCCACTGCATTCTACCTGGGATGACAGAGTGGGACCCTGTGCCACAGAGTGAGACCCTGTCTCAAAAAAAAAAAAACTATGTAAATCCAAGGTATGATTTAAATACTTTTAACACGTGTTCATTTTAATCACACTTGTGGCTGTATTCCTCTTGTGTTTATATCTCTCAATATGTATACTGTTATTAATGTGGCATATATATAAAATCTTCACTGTTAAAAATATTTTCAAAAAATCAGTGCAGCTTATAAATTTACAGTGATTTATGCCTGTGCTCATGATGGGTACGATTTTGCTGATGTGAAACTAAAATTATGCAATAATTAAGTGAGATGCTTTACAATGGAGTTTGACTGTATTATCTTGGACAATAATTATAACTAACATTTATTGAGGGTTTTCTTTGTGCCAGTCATTGCTCTGTGAGTTAACTCAGTCGTCACAACACGATAAAACAGGTACTATTACAGTTCTCATTTTTACATAGTGAGAAAATGAGGACCAGAAACTTAAATAATTTTGCCAAGGCCGTAAGTTAGTAACTAATTGTCAGGATACACACTCAGACAAGGGCCTGTATTTGCCAAGCTACCTCTCTAGGGTACCAGTGGTTATATAAACTGAGCAAACTGGCTGGGTGCGGTGGCTCATGCCTGTAATCCCAGCGCTTTGGGAGGCCAAGGCAGGTAGATCATGAAGTCAGGAGATCAAGACCATCCTGATTAACACGGTGAAACCCCGTCTCTACTAAAAATACAAAAAATTAGCCAGGTGTGGTGGCACACACCTGTAGTCCCAGCTACTTGGGAGGCTGAGGCAAGAGAATTGTTTGAACCCACGAGGCGGAGGTTGCAATGAGCTGAGATTGTGCCATTGCTCTCCAGCCTGGAAGACAGAGTGAGACTCCATCTCTAAATAAATAAATAATAGAGCAAACTAATATAGTAGAAGGTGAAGTGTATGATAGCTATACCTTTTAGAATGATTCAGTCAGTTAATCCAATGATAATCAGGCCCTCTAGGATTTAAGCATGCATCCAAAATCACCAGACAGTGATTTCTAGAACAGAAGAATTACTCATTTCTAATGGAAGATACATATATTTGTCTGAAAACAAGAATCCTCATCTTCATAAAGCACATTCCTTCCACATGTTAAATCAAAAATCTGTCTGGCCAACATGATGAAACCCTATATCTACCAAAACTACAAAAATTAGATGGGCATGGTGGCACACACCTGTAATCCCAGTTACTTGGGAGGCTGAGACAGGAGCATCGCTTGAACCAGGGAAGACAGAGGTTGCAGTGAGCCGAGATCATGCCACTGCACTCCAGCCTGGGTGACAGGGCAAGACTCTGTCTCAAAAAATAAAAATAAAAAAATCTGACTGTTCAAGAATCCCAGACTTCCCTGCTAATGGGCATCTCCATTTGGATGTCCCATAATCAACTTCGATTTAAAATATCCAAAATTTGGCCTTATTACTTTTATGCTCCAATTTAATGTTTGTTTCCTGTATTCCTTTTCTTGATAATTGGAATCACTACCCCTCTGGTCGCCTGAGTTGGAAATCTGGTAGTAATCCTAGACACCTCTCTATAACTTAACTTTCTTAGCCAATCCAGTCTCCAAGTTCAGGACATTCTGCTTTCTTAGTCTCACTCGTTCTCACTGCTTTTCCTTCTTCCCTGCTGCCACTGTTTTTGAACAGGTCCCATCTCACTGGGATTAGCTGAGGAGACATTTCCCGTGATTTTTTCTATCTGTAATCTGGAAACTCCTACTAGAATGATCTTAAAATAGAAATCTGATCATGTCTTTCCTCTAGACAATTTTTAGCAATTTTTCATAACTTTTAGGAAAATGTCCAGATTCCTAAGCTGAACATAGAAAGCTCATTGTAATTTGGTACCAGCCTACTTTTCTAAAAAATGGTCCAGTCATCCTCCCTGTCTGGTGGTGCAAGATCAGTGGCAGGGCAGGCTAGGGAGTATGCAGGAGGATGGCTGAGGTTCTATGGTAAGGCATATCTCTACTATACTATCAGTAGGCAAACACCAGGATGTGTGTCCCCTGGAAGTGCAGAGTCAGGTCTGCAGTAAACAACGCAAATTTGAGAGTTAGAATAAGAGCAGAAACCAAGGTAGGAAGCCAAATTGAACCCATTGGTGAACCAATGAATGAGGAGGGTTGGGAGAAAGTTATGTCTGAAGGAATTCCTGAGAGATTTACACGTGTTTGTAGGAAACTTTTTTTAAAAGTTATTTACATGCAAACTATGAAGGCATATTTGGTTTTAGGAAAATAAACTAAATTTGAATAGGTATAAACCACTTGTCACCGAGAGATGTTATACTGTTTCATGTCTCTGTGCCTATCAGATGTCATTGCCTCTCCCTGAAATGCCCTCTGCTGCCTCCCTATTCTCTAACTCCTACTTATTCCATAGCCCAGTTCAAGCACCATCTCTTCTGTAAATAGCAATCACCAACATAAATTGAGCATTTACAGTCTCCAGGCACTATGCCAAATGCTCTAATACATAATCTCATTTAAACCTCATTAGGAAAGCTGCCTCTCTTTTCCTTGTTTTACAGATTAATAAATTCATGTTTAGAGAGATGAATTGATTTGCATGAGGTCATGCAACAATTAAGTTATGGAATGGAGAATTAAGCCCAGAGGGTCTGACTCCAGAGTTTGAGCTTGTTACCACCATTGGCCTTCACCAATTCCCTAGGCTGATTTGAGATGCCTTTCCATGTGCATTTGTGCTTATATCATCATAGCCACATCCATCTCTGATATGATCTTTTCTTTATCTGTTTCTCCCAGTGGTTAAAAAGCTCCTAAAAATCAAGAGACAAGTATCTACCACAAAAGTAAAATTTCAATAAACATTTGTTTAATTAATAAATTAGCATTTTCCGGCTGGGCATGGTGGCTCACACCTGTAATCCCAGCACTTTGAAAGGCTGAGATGGGCAGATCACGAGGTCAGGAGTTCCAGGCCAGCCTGGCCAACATAATGAAACCCCGTCTCTACTGAAAATACAAAAACTAGCTGGATGTGGAGGTGCATGTCTGTAGTCCCAGCTACGCAGGAGACTGAGGCAGGAGAATCACTTGAACCCGGGAGGCAGAGGTTGCAGTTAGCCAAGATCGCACCACTGCACTCCAGCCTGGGCAACAGAGTGAGACTCCCTCTCAAAATAAATAAATAAACAAAAATACAATAATTATTTTCCAACAAGTTGCTTAGGGAGTAGTAAGTGAGGACACTTGAGTGTCGTACCCAGGAAATTCATGTCAATTAAATGTGGCCTGTTTTGTTATGCTTTTGTCCTTTCAGGATAGTTCTTTAGTAAAATCTGGGGTCAGTCAACTAGAATCAGGCTATTCTCTTGTCTAGACAGTATTACATATATAGATAAAACATTATTTTTGTCTTTCTCAATACTTTATGCAGTTAACTGCCTCTTTGCTTCTGATAATCATTATCATGTGACAGTTTTCAAGATAGTTACTCATGCATGGCATATTTAAAGAAAATGTTTTTCCTAATTCATTCTTATTTTGCATCCAGGTTTGACTTTCACAAGGTATTATGTCTTATCCTTTTTCTAATTTTTGTGTTTGGAGATTTTAGCATAATCCTAGATAATGATTGTTTCCTGTGACTTCAATGCTATATGACTACACTAGACATCGAATAACCATGGCTTGATAAAAGTTGTATTCAGCTAATTATTTCAAATTAGTTTTAGGGCCTTATTCCAGCTCACGAATAAGGACCCCTCAAGTTTCAAAGAGAAGGAAAAATGGCGAGGAAAAACACTAAAATAACTACTGGCAAGGGTGTGTGTTCTCTTGTTCCAAATAGGCCCAAGAAAAGTAGTCATTAGTCTTACTAAGACAAGTGCCTCTAGACCCTGACAAGTGAAAAGAGAGGCAGATCTACATGCAAGGAGAGAAGCTTGTAAGCTCTTTTAAGAACTGCGTGTTCTCCCACCCACAACTCTGGGGACTGCAAAGCAATTTTAACTTGCCTACCAAATGGTCAGAAGGAGCACGAGGAAATTTTATCTCACTCATTCCAGATGTAATCCTGCGCAACATCAGTCAAACTTTTTTTTCTTTCAAATAGAACACGACAGACTGTGACAAAGTTTGAATACTCACTCAAACTTCACAGTGCAAGAACAAAGAAATAGGTCAACATTTTTGTGAGCTAAATACAGCATTTATATTAGAAGAAGGGATTGAAAGATATTAGATGTTGTGTCAAGACCACTGATTTCAAGTGGATGACTTGCTAGGTTTTAAGGTTCGATGAGAATGTAGCGTGGAGTAGCCCAATGTAGGGTGGTATAGATCCCACCTCTAATCAAGGGCTTCCCTTACCTTGAAGAGCAAAGGGCGGCTCTGTAGCTCCTGCCTTTGTCTTCAGTGCTTTCCATCGCTGCAACTGCTACACGTCCCATAACTGCTACCCAGCCTCCAACAACAGGGGCAAGTCTCCAGGGCTTTTCTCCATCTGACATAATATAGGTAGACATCATAGAAGATATGTGCAAGATGGCTCAGTACAGGGTAAAAAGAGCCAGGGGACAACAAGAAATACTCCTCTGTTGCGTTAGTCTTCTGAGATGTTAGGGTTTATCTGATACAGCAACTAGCTTTAACCCTATAATATTGGGCTTCCACAGAATTGGAATGTACCTGCAAACCTAGAGAAAAAGCTAAATTTTCGGAGTCAGATCACCTAGTTTTCTTTTGGTTCTTCAATTTTTAAAAACAATTTTTTTTAAATCAGTCTTAGCTCTGTTTTCTTATATTAAACAAAGGATTACAGGTCATCCTTAGGGCAGACTGTTAAGGAACGAGCAGCTCATGTCTGAGGCTAGATTTTTGGTGATGGCAGCATTAATTAGTGTTAGACATTAAAGAAAGTCAAGTCTAAAGGATAGAATCAGGACTATGTGGTCCAGTTCTCTGTCCCAAAGGAAATTTTACTTTGAGTTTCAACTCCAGAGACTCTAACCTTTTTTATTTTAGAGTTATTTGTTTCGTTTAGCTTTTATTCTTATTAAGAAAGATGGCATGTTTTTACTAAGATCTTACCATCACAGGAGTTCAAGACCAGTCTGGGCAACATGGCAAATCCCTGTCTCTACAAAACATACAAAAATAAGCCAGGTGTGGTGGCATGTGCCTGTAGTCCCAACTACCTGGGGGGCTGAGGTGGAAGGATTACTTGAGCCCAGGAGGTCAAGGCTGCAGTGAGCCAAGGTCATATCACTGCACCCCAGCCTGGGCAACAAAGTGAGAACCTGTCTCAAAAATTTGTTTTAAAAAAGACCTTAAATGGCTATTACTGAAGTAATTTTATAGTGACAGAAAATATGTTTTCTTAAGTAGATGGTATCTGTATTGAAATAATATTTACAGTTTTACATATTTAGTTCAAAGGTAAAATCCAATCTACCCTTGGGCCAAATTATCCTGCACTATAGGCTGGTAGGATATAAATTAATCTTACTGCTATCAATATGACCAGTTGTTATCCAAATTTATTAATATAAAATCAACAAGGTAGATAAATTTGAGAAACTAGTGGACCCTTGTACAGTAAATAATATTAAAGTTAGTTGGTAAAAAATAAGTGAAATGTGTAAACAAAAGTTAACTTTTATATTCAAAGTTATTAAGAAAGCCAGAAGAGGAAATGCTTCTATAATAATAATAATTATTATTATTATTATTTAGACAGAGTCTCTGTTGCCCAGGCTGGAGTACAGTGAGACCATCTTTCAATCTCTGCCTTCCGGGTTCAAGTGATTCTCCTGCTTCAGCCTCCAGGATTACAGGTGCATGCCACCATGCCCAGCCAATTTTTGTACATTTTTTAGTAGAGACAGGGTTTCACCATGTTGGCCAGGCTGGTCTTGAACTCCTGACCTAAAGTAATCCACCACCTCAGGCTCCCAACGTGCTGGGATTACAGGTGTGAGCCACCGTGCCCAGCCATTTTTTGTTGTTATTGTTTGTTTTCATGATTTCCTACAGGAAAAAAGCAAAATAAAAAACTGTAAAGAAAAAATGTCTTCAAATTAAGAAGTTTCAAATGTTAGGGTGGTCCCAAAATGCAGTAAGATCAAAACTTTGTGATTACAGAAGAAAGCATGTACAAGCAGAATCATAGAAAAATTACCTCCTGAAATATCAGAACAGGAGCTTCCTTAAAAAACTCAAGTTGCTTAAGAATTAGAACAAGTTATTGACTTTCCAAATAATTTTTGGTACTGAAAGCTCCCAGTAACACTAAACACTATCTAAAAATATTTCGGGAAAGTCATGTAAACTCTTTTTCATGTCATCTGAAAGAAGTTCTTTTGTAACACTGCTGACACAATTCAAATGAGTGAAAATATATATATTCCCTGAGGCATTTTGGTGGTAGGAAAGGAAGTATTTTCTAATGAATTATACACTGAGCTTGAATAGAATTAGCTGATCATTTTAAAGCTTAAACCATATCCATATGGCTTTTAAAAAGACACTAGTAGCAGAATCAACTTAGAAAAGAAGAGACATTCATGTCTACACAGATTTCTAGTTAAACAGTAATTGTTCCTTTGTCTTTTATAAATCACCAAAAAGAATAATGCTGTTAATTAATGGTGAATCATGCTCCAGTGATCTATTCATATTCTCTGGCATGTTGCTCTGGAGGTGGTAAGCAGCAAAGTGTTGATAACTATATTGACTTAGCTCGGAAAGGGATTAAGAATCTCAGTATGACAACAGATATGTATTCTCTTGTTATAGAAACATTTCACTCTTCTGTGCAACATTTACAGTGGCTTTCTTAGTCTTTGTATAGTAGCCAAACTCGTCTGCCTAATCTGTAAGAGCCATTGTCAATTCATGCCTAATTCATCTCAATTTTCTTGCTCAGACTCAACTCTATTTTTTTTCTTTGCACATATCCCCTTTGCCCCACTGAAGTTGTTCCAGTCTCTTCCATACGTGTCCATTCTGTCGCTTAAACGTGACTCAAAAAATCAACTGTGATTATCACATGAGAGGAGGATGATAGTCAGAAGTAGTAGAAAGACCTGTAAGTTTCAATTAATAAACTTTTATGGTGTTTGTGGAAGACAGTGCTAATTGCCTACTCCAAATCTATTCTTTCATCCCTAATAGCAGGATTCCAATTTTGTTGGAGTAGCAGTGTGTGCTTTTCTAAAAATACTTCTCCAGGCTCCCTTGCTGTTTGAGGGTGGCCATGTGTCACGACTGTGGACAATGAGGCATAAGTTACGGGTTTATTGAAAAGCTATTGTTTTCCTTGTAAGGGCACCTTCCTGCTTCCTTCTCCCTTCCACTTCCCACCTGGAATGCTGATGCAATACCTGGAGACAGAGTGGCTTTTTGCCACCTTGATATGAAAATCCTGAGGGCAAAGGTGTACACACTAAGGACAATGGAGTGAGAAAATAGAAAATGGGTCCCTAATGTTATCATTGAGCTGCCATAAATGGCCCTATTCTACCTACCTCCCCACCCCACCTCTACCCCTGCCTAGTCTTCTTACTCTGTGAACCAAATAAACTTCTCTCACTCTACGTTATTTACAGGGTTTTTCTGCTCATGTGGACAAGCCCATTCCTAACTGATGCCACTTTTAGAACTTTTTTGACCATAAGAATGCATCACTTTTATAGTAATAAAATAATTAAGTGTTTTAAGTGAAAACAACATGCACAAGAGCCCAAGCTTTGGAGTCAGACAAGACTAAATTGGAATCCAGATCTTCCTGCATACTAATTATCTGACTTTTGGCAACTTAATATCTCCAAGTCTCAACTTCCTCATCTGTAAAACAGGAATAAACAAATAAGTAATGATATTTAACATACAATACAGAGGATTGTTATAAGGTACATAATGAGCCCTTAATAAAGTATAGCTATTATTATTACTACCAACTTTCCAACACACACACACACACACACACACACACTTCTCTGTGTTCCTAATGCACTATATACAGAGCATTATGTAAGTAGAGAATGTTATATACATCAAGTATCTCTGGAGGTCAGAATGGTTGGTTTCTGATCCTTCGTTACCAGTTTCTGTGACTTTGGGAAAGGTATTAGGTCTCTTGACTTAAAAGTCCTCATCTGAAACGTGTGGGACAAAATCTTCAGATCTTTTTCAGTTTTAAAATTCTGTGAATATTAAAAAAACAAGGAAATGATTATCAAACCTTTAAAATAGTGGTTTTCCAGAGAGGATAGGAAGAGAGTTATGATCAGAGAGAGGCATATGGGGTAGGGATGAGGATGGTGGAAATGTTCCATTTATTTACTTGGTTGGTGGTTACACAGTTATTTGCTTTATGATTATTCATTAAACTGTACTGTATTAGGGTTCTCCGGAGGGACAGAACTAGTAGGATATATGTATATATGAAAGGGAGTTCATTAGGGAGAATAGGCTCACAGGATCACAAGGTGAAATCCCACAATAGGCCGTCTGTAAGCTGAGGAAGAAAGAAGCCAGTAGTGGCTCAGTCCAAAGCAGGAAAGGTAACAGTGCAGCCTTCAGGCTGTGGCCAAAGGCTGAGAGCCCCCAGCAAACAACTGGTGTAACTCCGAGAGTCCGAAGGCGGAAGAACCTCGAGTCTCATGTCCTAGGGCGGGAGGAATGGAAGGAAGCATCTAGCACGGGAGAAAGATGAAAGCCAGGAGACTCAGCAAGCCAGCTTATCCCACCTTCTTCCTCCTGCTTTGTTCCAGATGCGCTGGCAGCCAATTGCATGGTGGCCACCCACATGGAGGATGGGTCTTCCTCTCCCAGTCCTCTGACTCAAATGTCAGTCTCCTCTGGCAACACCCTCATAGACACACCCAGAAACAATGCTTTACCAGCTATCTAGGCATCCTTCAATCAAGTTGACACCTAATATTAACCATCACATGTACCCATATATTTTGTGTGCTGCTTATATGTATCTTACATTTCAGAAAATCCTCCAAAGTTTATAATTATGTTTACAGGCATACTAACTTGCTCTACATTATGTTATAAAGATTTTTCGGCCAGGTGCGCTGGCTCACGCCTGTAATCCCAACACTTTGGGAGGCCAAGGCCGGCGGATCACAAGGTCAGGAGTTGAAGACAAGCCTGATCAACATGGTGAAACCCCGTCTCTACTAAAAATACAAAAATTAGCTGGGCCTGGTGGTGCTGACCTGTAACCCCAGCCACTCAGGAGGCTGAGGCAGGAGAATCACTTGAACCCGGGAGGCAAGGTTGCAGTGAGCCAAGATTGCGCCACTGCACTCCAGCCTGGGCGACAGAGCGAGACTCCGTCTCAAAAAAAAAAAAAAAAAAAAAAAAAGATTTTTCCACTTGTACAATTAGGAATAAGATGTGTATAATAATAATATAATTCACTAATCCTCCTTATTGACAGCATAGCTCCTTTCACTGTTGTCTTACATCTTTATCTCTTAGTAGAAGAGGTTGGAGGTGGGGCAAATATCTCCTGAGGAAGGAGGAGGATGTGACATAAGTAAAGCTCCTAAAAGCCAGTAAGGGGAAGTAAAAGATAGCCCTTCAGTCTTTTGGAGAGGGGTTTGGGGAAGGTAGGAGATCAAAGTCTTGACTCACTTTTAAACCTGAAACCCTGGAAAGATAGTGTGGGGAGAAAAATACAGTAATGGAATCCCAATGAAAATCTGTTTCATGCTTTTTAAAAAGAACTAATAGTGTTTTTTTAGCAGTTTGCTATAGAAATATTGAGTGGAAGGTACAGAGAGTTCCCACATTCTCCCTCATTCCTCCCACCAGTTTTCCCTGTTATTTTGTTATTATTTTTATTTTTTAGTAAATGATGGTTCTTTCTTTCAGTCATTGGATTTATGCTGGCTGCTGTGACACAGCCACCCTGTTACCAAGCACTCTGTCCCTTAGCAGAATCCCCTAGTTGAGAGCCAGTATCAAACCCAGAGGTGTAAAGAGTTTGGTGGGAATATTCATATATATATACTTTAAGTTCTGGGATACATGTGCAGAAGGTGCAGGTTTGTTACATAGATAAACATGTGCCATGGTGGTTTGCTGCACCCATCAACCCATCATCTTCACTAGGTATTTCTCCTAATGCTATCCCTCCCCTAGCCCCTCACCCCCCGAAAGGCCCCTGTGTGTGATGTTGCCCTCCCTGTGTCCATGTGTACTCATTGTTCAACTCCCGCTTATGAGTGAGAACATGCGGTGTTTGGTTTTCTGTTCCTGTGTTAGTTTGCTGAGAATAATGGTTTCCAGCTTCATCCATGTCCCTGTAAAGGAGATGAACTCATTCTTTTTTATGGCTGCATAGTATTCCATGGTATATATTTGCCACATTTTCTTCATCCAGTCTAACATTGATGGGCATTTGGGGTGGTTCCAAGTCTTTGCTATTGTGCATAGTGCTGCAATAAACATACATGTGCATGTGTCTTTATAGTAGAATGATTTATAATCCTTTGGGTATACAGCCAGTAATGGGATTGCTGGGTCAAATGGTAGTTCTGGTTCTAGATCCTTGAGGAGTCGCCACACTGACTTCCACAATGGTTGAACTAATTTAGACTCCCACCAACAGTGTAAAAATGTTCCTATTTCTCCACATCCTCTCCAGCATCTGTTGTTTCCTGACTTTTTAATGATCCCCATTCTAACTGGAGTGAGATGGTATCCCATTGTGGTTTTGATTTGCATTTCTCTAATGCCAGTGATGATGAGCTTTTTTTCCATATGTTTTTTGGCTGCATAAATATCTTCTTTTGAGAAGTGTCTGTTCATATCCTTTGCCCACTTTTTGATGGGGTTGTTTTTTTATTGTAAATTTGTTTAAGTTCCTTGTAGCTTCTGGATATTAGCCCTTTTTCAGATGAATAGATTGCAAAAATTTTCTCCCATTCTGTAGGTTGCCTGTTCACTCTGATGATAGTTGATTTTGCTGTGCAGAAGCTCTTTAGTTTAATTAGATCTCATTTGTCAATTTTGGCTTCTGTTGCCATTACTTTTGGTGTTTTAGTCATGAGGTCTTTTCCTATGCCTGCATCCCAAATGGTATTGCCTAGGTTTTCTTCTAGGGTTTTTATGATTTTAGGTCTTACATTTAAATCTTTAATCCATCTTGAGTTAATTTTTGTATAAGGTGTAAGGAAGGGGTCCAGTTTCAGTTTTCTGCATATGGCTAGCCAGTTTTCCCAACACCATTTATTAAATAAGGAATCATTTCCCCATTGCTTGTTTTTGTCGGGTTTGTCAAAGATCAGATGGCTGTAGATGTGTGGCATTATTTCTGAGGCCTCTGTTCTGTTGCATTAGTCTATATATCTGTTTTGGTACAAGTACCATGCTGTTTTGGTTACTGTAGGCTTGCAGTATAGTTTGAAGTCAGGTAGTGTGATGCCTCCAGCTTTGTTCTTTTTGCTTAGGATTGTATTGGCTATATGGACTCTTTTTTGGTTCCATATGAAATTTAAAGTAGTTTTTTTGAATTCTGTGAAGAAAGTCAATGGTAGCTTGATGGAGATGGCATTGAATCTACCAGTATGGCCATTTTCACGATATTGATTCTTCCTATCCATGAGCATGGAGTGTTTTTCCATTAGTTTGTGTCCTCTCTTATTTCCTTGAGCAGTGGTTTGTAGTTCTCCTTGAAGTGGTCCTTCACATCCCTTGTAAGTTGTATTCCTAGGTATTTTATTCTCTTTGTAGCAATTATGAATGAGAGTTCACTCATGATTTGGCTCTCTGTTTGTCTATTATTGGTGTATAATAGGAACGCTTGTGATTTTTGCACATTGATTTTATATCCTGAGACTTCGCTGAAGTTGCTTATCAGCTTAAGGAGATTTTGGGTTGAAATGATGGGGTTTTCTAAATACACAATTATGTCGTCTGCAAACAGAGACAATTTGACTTCCTCTCTTCCTATCTGAATACCCTTTATTTATTTTCTCTTGACTGATTGTTCCAGCCAGAACTTCCAATACTATGTTGAATAGGAGTGGTGAGAGAGGGCATCTTTTTCTTGTGCCAGTTTTCAAAGAGAATGCTTCTAGCTTTTGCCTACACAGTATGATATTGGCTGTGGGTCTGTCATGAATAGCTCTTATTATTTTGAGATATGTTCCATCAATGCCTAGTTTATTGAGAGTTTTTAGCATAAAGAGCTGTTGAATTTTATTGAAGGCCTTTTCTGCATCTATTGAGATAATCATGTGGTTTTTATCGTTGGTTCTGTTTCTGTGATGGATTATGTTTATTGATTTGTGTATGTTGAGCCAGCCTTGCAACCCAGGAATGAAGCCGACTTGATCATGATGGATAAGCTTTTTGATGTGCTGCTGGATTTTGTTTGCCAGCATTTTATTGAGGATTTTTGCTTCAGTGTTTATCAGGGATATTGGCCCGAAATTTTCTTTTTTGTTGTGTCTCTGCCAGGTTTTGGTATCAGGATGATGCCGGCCTCATAAAATGAGTTAGGGAGGATTCCCTCTATTTCTAATGTTTGGAATAGTTTCAGAAGGAATGGTACCATTCCTTCTCCTCTCTGTACCTCTGGTAGAATTCAGTTGTGAAGCCATCTGGTTTTGGGCTTTTTTTGGTTGGTAGGCTATTAATTACTGCCTAAATTTCAGAACTTGTTATTGATCTATTCAGGGATTCGACTTCTTCCTGGTTTAGTCTTGGGAGGGTGTATGTGTCCAGCAATTTATCCATTTCTTCAAGATTTTCTAGTTTATTTGTGTAGAGGTGTTTATAGTATTCTCTGGTGGTAGTTTGTATTTCTGTGGGATCAGTGGTGATCTCCCCTTTATCATTTTTTATTGCATCTATTTGATTCTTCTCTCTTTTCTTCTTTATTAGTCTGGCTAGTGGTCTATTTTGCTAATCTTTTCAAAAAACCAGCTCCTGGATTCATTGATTTTTTGAAGGGTTTTTGGTGTCTCTACTTCCTTCAGTTCTGCTCTGATCTTAGTTATTTCTTGTCTTCTGCTAGCTTTTGAATTTGTTTGATCTTGCTTCTCTAGTTCTTTTAATTGTGATGTTAGAGTGTCTATTTTAGATCTTTCCCACTTTCTCATGTGGGCATTTAGTGCCATAAATTTCCCTCTAAACACTGCTTTAGCTGTGTCGCAGAGATTCTGGTATATTGTGTCTTTGTTCTCATTGGTTTCAAAGAACTTATTTATTTCTGACTTAATTTCGTTATGTACCCAGTAGTCATTCATGAGCAGGTTGTTCGGTTTCCATGTAGTTGTGCAGTTTTGAGTGAGTTTCTTAATCCTGAGTTCTAATTTGATTGCACTGTGGTCTGAGAAACTGTTTGTTATGATTTCCATTCTTTTGCCTTTCCTGAGGAGTGTTTTACTTCCAATTATGTGGCCGATTTTAGACTAAGTGCAATGTAGTGCTGAGAAGAATGTACATTCTGTTGATTTGGAGTGGAGAGTTCTGTAGCTGTCTATTAGGGCCACTTGGTCCAGAGCTGAGTTCAAATCCTGCATATCCTTGTTAATTTTCTGTCTTGTTGATCTGTCTAATATTGACAGTGGGGTATTGAAGTCTCCCACTATTATTTTGTGGGTGTCTAAGTCTCTTTGTAGGTCCCTAAGAATGTGGTTTATGAATCTGGATGCTCCTGTATTGGTGCATATATATTTAGGAGAGTTAGCTCTTCTTTTTGCATTGATCCCTTTACCATTATGTAATACCCTTCTTTGTCTTTTTTAATCTTTGTTGGTTTAAAGTCTCTTTTATCAGAGACTAGGATTGCAACCCTGCTCTTTTTTTCCTTTCCATTTGCTTGGTAAATATTCTTCCATCCCTTTATTTTGAGCCTATGTGTGCCTTTGCACATGAGATGTGTCTCCTGAATACAACACACCTATGGGTGTTGACTCTTTATCCAATTTTCCAGTCTGTGTCTTTTAATTGTGAGATTTAGCCCATTTACATTTAAGGGTAATATTGTTATGTGTGAATCTGATCCTGTCATTAGGATGCTAGCTGGTTATTTTGCCCATTAGTTGATGCAGTGTCTTCATAGTGTTGATGTTCTTTACATTTTGGTTTGTTTTTTCAGTGGCTAGTACTGGTTTTTCCGTTCCATATTTAGTGCTTCCTTCTGGATCTCTTGTAAGGCAGGCCTGGTGGTGACAAAATTCCTTAGCATTTGCTCGTCTGTAAAGGATTTTATTTATCTTTTGCTTACAAAGCTTAGTTTGGCTGGATATGAAATTCCGGGTTGAAAATTCTTTTCTTTAAGAATGTTGAATATTGTCCCCCACTCTCTTCTGGCTTGTAGGGTTTCTGTAGAGAGATCTGCTGTTAGTCTGATTGGCTTCCCTTTGTAGGTAACCTGCCCTTTGTCTCTGGCTGCCCTTAACAATTTTTCCTTCATTTCAACCTTGGTGAATCTGACGATTATGTGTCTTGGGGTTGCTCTTCTTGACGAGTATCTTTGTGCTATTCTCTTTTTTTCCTGAATTTGAATGTTGGCCTGTCTTGCTAGGTTGGGGAATGTTGTCCTGTCTTGCTAGGTTGGGGAATTTCTCCTGGATAATATCTTGAAGAGTGTTTCCCAACTGGGTTTCATTTTCCCTGTCACTTTCAGGTACACCAATCAAACGCAGGTTTGGTCTTTTCACATAGTCCCATATTTCTTGGAGGCTTTGTTCATTCCTTTTCACTCTTTTTTCTCAAATCTTGTCTTCATGCTTTATTTCATTAAGCTGACCTTCGGTCTCTGATATCCTTTCTTCCCCTTGGTCGATTCGGCTATTGATACTTGTCTATGCTTCACAAAGTTCTTGTGCTGTTTTTCAGCTCCATCAGGTCATTTATATTCTTTTCTAAACTGGTTATTCTAGTTAGCAATTCCTCTAACCTTTTTTCAAAGTTCTTAGCTTCCTTGCATTGGGTTAGAACATGCTCCTTTAGCTTGGAGCAGTTTGTTATTACCCACCTTCTGAAGCCTACTTCTGTCAATTCATCAGACTCATTCTCCATACTGTTCTGTTCCCTTGCTGGCGAGGAGTTGTGACCCTTTCTAGGAGAAGAGGTGTTTTGGTTTTTGGAATTTTCAGGCTTTTTGTGCTGGTTTTTCCTCATCTTTGTAAGTTTATCTACCTTTGGTCTTTGATGCTAGTGACCTTCCAATGGGGTTTTTGTGTGGATGTCCTTTTTGTTGATATCGATGCTATTTCTTTCTGTTAGTTTTCCTTCCAATAGTCAGGCCCCTCTTCTGCATGTCTGCTGGAGTTTGCTGTAGGTCCACTCCCGGCCCTGTTTGCCTGGGTATCACCAGCAGAGGCTGCCGAATAGAAAAGATTGCTGCCTGTTCCTTCCTCTGGAAGTTTTGTTTCAGAGATGCACCCGCCAGATGCCAGCCAGGGCTCTCCTGTATGAGGTGTCTGTAGACCCCTGCTGGGAGGTGTCTCCCAGTCAGGAGGCATGGGGGTCAGGGAACCACTTCAGGAGGCAGTCTGTCCCTTAGTAGAGCTTGAGCGCTGTGCTGGGAAATCTGCTGCTGTCTTCAGAGCCAGCAGGCAGGAATGTTTAAGTCTGCTGAAGGTACTCCCACAGCCGCCCCTTCCCCCACATGCTCTGTCCCAGGGAGATGGGAGTTTGAACTATAAGCCCCTGACTGGGGCTACTGCAATTCTTTCAGAGATGCCCTGCCCAGAGAGGAGGAATCTAGAGAGGCAGTCTGGCTACAGCAGCTTTGCGGAGCTGTGGTGGGCTCTGCCCAGTCCAAACTTCCAAATGGTTTTGTTTACCCTATGAGGGGAAGACCGCCTACTCAAGCCTCAGTACTGGCGGACTCCCATCCCCACACCAAGCTCGAGTGTCCCCGGTTGACTTCAGACTGCTGTGCTGGCAGCGAGAATTTCAAGCCAGTGGATCTTACCTTGAAGAGCTCCATGGGGGTGGGATCGGATCACTTGGCTCCCTGGCTTCAGCCCCCTTTCCAGGGGAGTGAATGGGTCTGTCTTGCTGGCATTCTAGGCACCACTGTGGTATGAAGAAAAACTCCTGCAGCTTGCTCAGTGTCTGCCCAAATGGCCGCCCGGTTCTGTGCTTGAAACCCAGGGCCCTGGTGGTGTAGCCACCGAAGGAATCTCCTGGTCTGTTGGTTGTGAAGACCATGGGAAAAGCATAGTATCTGGGCCAGAAGACACTGTTCCTCATGGCACAGTCTTTCACAGGTTCCCTTAGCTAGGGGAGGGAGTTCTGCAACCCCTTGTGCTTCCTGGGTGAGGCGACACCCCACCCTGCTTCAGCTCGCCCTCCGTGGGCTGTACCCACTGTCTAACCAGCCCCAATGGGATGAGCCGGGTACCTCAGCCAGAAATGCAGAAATCACCTGCCTTCTGCATTGATCTCGCTGGGAGGTGAAGACCGGAGCTGTTCCTAATTGGCTGTGTTGCCCAGGAATCCAGCTTTCCCTATTATTAATATTGTGCATTAGTGTGGCACATTTGTTATAATTGATGTGCCAATATTGATACAGTATTATTAACTAAAGCCATAGGTTACATTAAGGGTCATTCTTTGTTTTGTACATTCTATGGATTTTGACAAGTGTTTTGTAACATGTATCCATAATTACATTATCATACAGAGTACAGTCAAGTGTCAATACTTTCTGAGAAATGCATCGTTTGGAGATTTCCAAGTTGTGTGAACATCATAGAGAGTACTTTACACAAACCCAGTTGATATAACCTACTACACAGCTGGTATATGATATAGTCTATTGCTCCTAGGCTATAAACCTGTACAGCAGGTTACTGTACTGAATACCATAGGCAATTACAACACAGGGTAAGTATTTCTGTTTCTAAACATATCTAAACATAGAAAAGGTACAGCAAAAATATGGCATAAAAGGTAAAAATGGTGCACCTGAATAAGGCACACACCATGAATAGAATGTGCAGAACTGGAAGTTGCTCTGGGTGAGTCAGTGAGAGAGTATAAGTGAATATGGAAGTCTAGGATATTACTGTACACTACTGTATACTTTATCAACCCTGTACACTTAGGCTACATTAAATTTATTTAATTTTTTCTTCAATAATAAATTAATCTTAGCTTACTGTGATTCTTTTACTTTATAAACCTTTTGGTTGGGTGCAGTAACTCGTACCTATAATTCCAGCACTTTGGGAGGCTGAACCAAGAGGATCACTTGAGCCCAGGAGTTTGAGACCAGCCTGGGCAACATGGTGAGACCTGGTCTCACCTAGTCTCTACAAAAAATACAAAAATTAGCCACGTGTGGTGGCAGGCACCTGTAATCCCACCTACTCGGGAGGCTGAGGCAGGAAGATCACTTGAGCCTGGGAAGGTCGAGGGTGCAGAGAGCCATGATCACGCCACTGCACTCCAGCCTGGGTTACAGAGTGAGACCCTGTCTCACAAAACCACACAAAACAAAACCCTTACAAAACAAAACCCTTTTAATTTTTAAAAAACTTTTTGGCTCTTTTGTAATAACACTTAGCTTAAAACACACATACATTGTACAGCCATACAAAAATCTTTATATTCTTATTCTATAAGCTTTTTTCTACTTTTGTAATTTTTAATTATTTTAACTTTTTAAACATTTTTGTAAAAAATAAAAATAAAACACAAACACAAACATTACTCTAGGCCTACACAGGGTCAGGATCACTAATATCACTGTCCTCCACCTCCATAGCTTGTCCCACTGGAAGATCTTTGGAGGAAATAACACACATGAACCTATCATCTTCTATAATAACAATGCCTTTTTCTGGGATATCGCCTAAAGAACCTGCCTGAGGCCATTTTACAGTTAACTTTTAAAAAATATGTAAATAGGAGTACACTCTAAAAAAGCCATAAAAAGTAGAGTATCATAAATACATAAATCAGTAATATAATAATTTATTATCATTATTGTGTATTTTGTACTATACATAATTGTATGTGCTATACCATTACACAACTGGCAGTGTAGTAGGTGTGTTTACACCAGCATCACTGCAAACACATCACTACAAACATGTGAGTCATGTGTTGTGCCACGACATTCGGATGGCTGTGATGTCACTAGGCAATAGAAATTTTTCAGCTCTGTTATAATATTATGGGACCACTTTGGTGCTATATGTGGTCTGTCATTGATGAAAACATTATGCAGTGTATGATTGTTCCACTGTTATAAACAAACCCCTGCGTTCGTTTTCCCAAAACCTGCCAACCACTGATCTTTTCACTGTCTCCATAGTTTTTTCCTTTTCCAGAATGTCATATAGTTGTCATATAGTTGTAGCATGTAACCTTCTCGGGTTGTCTTCGTTCACTTAGCAATATGCATTTAAGCTTTCTTTATGTTTTTTTCATGGCTCAATAGCTCATTTCTTTTTAATGATGAATAATATTTCATTGTATGGATGTACTACAGTTTGTTTATTTACCTATTAAAAGACATCTTGATTGCTTCCAGATTTTGGTAATTGCTATAACTTTTGTGTTCGAATTTTATGTTGACAGCAGTTTTCAACTGGTTAGGGTAAATATGCCTTTTTCAAGAGACACAGCATGTGACATGAAGTGCTTTCCCTAAGCCTTCCTGGCAGTTAGAAATGGCGCAGTAGCATCATAAGTTTGCTTCACATTTGCACTGGAGCCGATGTTAGATTTGCAGGGTTTTCTAAATGTACAGTAGTACTTAAGAACCCACATAAGGGCCGGGCACGGTGGCTCACGCCTGTAATCCCAGCACTTTGGGAGGCTGAGGCAGGTGGATTACGAGGTCAGGAGTTCAAGACCAGCCTGGCCAAGATGGTGAAACCCATCCCTACTAAAAATACAAAAATTAGCCAGGTGCAGTGGCGGGTGCCTATAATCCCAGCTACTTGGGAGGCTGAGGCAGGAGAATCGTTTGAACCCAGGCGACAAAGGTTGCAGTGAGCCAAGATCGCACCACTGCATTCCAGCCTGGGTGGCAGAGTGAGACCCTGTCTCAAAAAACAAAAACAAAAAAAGAACCCACATAAGTAGTGGGCTCAAGGACCAGCTCACTGGTACCTGTAGCTCTCATCCCTCCTTATCCAAGAAGTTTCCAGTGGGACAAAGGGGATGTAGTTTCCATGCAGAAACTTCAGAGAGAGTCACCCATTAGGGATAAGGGAATGCAAAGGTAGCACCTCTAAAGGTCTCTGACACCAGGAGGCTCTGGTAGTATGAGCCCAGCAGTTATCTGATGACCATGAAATGTGCTCATGATGCAGCCAGTTGCTGAACACCATCATTGACAGGAACCAGATTGAGTGAAGACAAAAGCAGTCAGAGCCAATGAAGAGCAGATCCCAGACTTTAAGAGGAGATGACAGCCCAGGCGTAGTCGCTCACACCTGTAATCCTAGCACTTTGGGAGGCCGAGGTGGGGGGGGATCACCTGAGGTCAGGAGTTCGAGACCAGCCAGGCCAACATGGCAAAACCTCGTCTCTACTAAAACTACAAAAATTAACTGGGCGTGGTGGCACACAACTGTAGTCCCAGCTACTCGGGAGGCTGAGGCAGGAGAATCGCTTGAACCTGGGAGGCAGAGGTTGCAGTGAGCCACGATCGCACCACTGCACTCCAACCTGGGCAACAGAGCAAGACTCCATCTCAAAAAAAAAAAAAAAGGAGATGCCAGTCTGGGACCTTGTTGTCAAATCAGACAAACGTCCTCACAGAAATCAATCAGACATCTTGAAAGACAAGGCAGGCAAAATATCCACGTGGGCTCCTGAAGCCCTGTCTCGCCCTCACAAGGACACAATTCCTTCCTTTTTCAATGTAGACTTTATCTCTGGAAATAGGAAAAGAGGAGGGAAACAGACCTGATGACAGGAATTTGAAATTTAGCTTAAATGGATACACACCTGAAATGGTCTAAGATACTTTTAAACGGCATGCTTAGGTACCTCCCTTCCAGCCCTTTGTATCTGCCTATAGTTGGAAATGGGGACCCATACCGGAAAGGAAGTTTAGATCATTGAAGAAGGAAGAGGAGTGGGGGGAGAGAGGAAAAGGATGAGGAATTTTTTTCTTTTTTTTTTTTTTGCCAATCTAAGAGAATTTGTTATATTTTTGCTCCACAATATGGGTTATATTATACAACATATTTTATATAAAAATGTCCTGTGGAATAGTAAGATGGGAAGCACTGCTTGAAGGACAGAAGCCAGGGACTTCTCACCTGGAAAGCAACGTACTCCTGCAATTAAGGGTTGGGAACGGTCAGTGTGTGTTTGAATCGCAGCATCCTCACTTATTTTAAACAAAGTAATTAACCTGACTGAGCATTTGATTTCTTAGCTATAAAACAAAGATACTACTAATATCTACTTAATGGACTGCTTTGATATTAAATAAGAGATGCATGTAAATCTTCCAGCACAGCGCTTAATAACAAGAATTATTAAGCTCTAAACTTTATGCCAAGTAACTTTGTATAAGTCACATGGGCTATTTGACTCTAAATTTTCACATATGCAATAAGAAGAATTACTGCTTCTTTTACAGGGTAGTTGTAAGGATTGAATGAGATAACTAAATAATGGGTGAGTGCATAGTACATACTGAGGTCATATTAACTTTCCCGTCTCATCTCTTAATAACATCTAGAATAGTGCAGTGCTTATAATACTACTTATAACTCTTAAGGATCTATTGAGAAACTACTTACTTCTATTTCTGTAGTTGCTGGTCTCTTTATTGAATTCTATACCTGAGGAGACTCAATTAATGACACCAGGGTTGAGTCTTGTCAGCTTTAGGAAGGAAGTACATGTGTATTTTGTATGCCTTTATTTCTTTCAGCATATTTTTTCATCCTCCCTCACTCACACCTCCCTTCACTTTTCAGAGTTCCCATTTCAGCCCCACCCAGGCCTACATACCCTGTATGTGCTGGGTCACCATAACTCTTCTACTGTCAAATCTTTTGCTTTGAGGGCATTCTCCTCTGCTGACCAATGGATGGTTAGTAACCTGAAAAATGGATCCCTCTTGGGTTCTTAATGGCCGATAATGGGTTAATTCACATGTCATTATTTCATTCCAGGTGTTACAATTTAACAGGATACTCTGGTAGCTTGTGTGCTTTAACCCATAGGAATAATTTCTTTTATAGTCCCATTACCATTCTTGAGTGCTAATAATGAAATATTTTTAGATTAGACGATCACTTGAGGCCCCTCATATCACACTCAGAGCTGTCTACTCTACTAACACTTAGTAAACCCTGATCAGGACACCGTATAAACACTGGTATCCTAGAGACTTGGAAATGTTAACTTATCTCCGTTACATTGTGCCCAGGGAGTGGCGTGAGCGCTTGCAAGCATAAGGCCAAACAAACAAAGTTCATTAAATGAACATAATTTTTCCAACCCATAGATAAAATTCTGCCCTCAAATTCTTACTGGAGCTCTACGTTTAATATTGGAAACCTAAGAATATTATAAAATTCCTCTTTAAAGTAGACATTTCACAAAGGAAGTAAGGACAATATTTTGTGTTCGCTGGCAATATACTCTATTCTTATTTAAGTCAACATTGCCCAGTGGTTGCACCTGAATTTGGGATATTAAAATACAGTCTCTACTCAGGAGGCTGAGGCATGAAAATCACTGAAACCCAGGAGGTAAAGGTTGCAGTGAGCTGAGATCATGCCACTGCACTCCCACCTGGGCGACAAAGTGAGATCCTGTCTCAAATAAATAAATTAAATCTCAAATCTGTGGTGTTATTACAGGGTTTTAATGTTTATAATCTTCGTTCTTTCCATGAAATGTAAGTGTTATTACCATTTCTTCTCACCTATTCTTTACAAAACTACTCTGGCTTCTTTACACAGAAAAAAAGAAAACAGCTCCTGTTGCCTTTTGCCTCTCATCCAGAAAGGTATCCATTTGCCTTTCTAATATCTCTTCATCCTGTCAGGCCACAAATGGTGAGTCCTTCTATCTCTGAGGAGTTGCTGACACTGAGTTTCTGTTTAAAGAAAACTGTAAGAAGGTTATATCCTAGAACTGATCCAGGATATCACCTCCTGGCTTAAAATATTTGAAAACTCCCTTCTTAGTTGTGAATCCGTTTACTTATCAGTATTTGTCATTCCCATGTATTCATAAGGCAACATGCTAGAAACCACAGTGGATGCAAAAAGTCATTAATTTCCTGAATGGCTCTTAACAATCTATTGGAAAGGCAAGGTATACACAATGTTACTGGGATTTTTCTCTGTATCGGGCTGGCAAACTACAGGCCATGAGTTGGCCCATGACCTGCTTTTACATGGCTCAAGAGCTAAAAAAGGTTTTTATATTTTTAAAGGGTTATAAAAAACAAAATAAAACAAAGAATATGTGACATAGACTATAAGTGAAACACAGAGACTGAGATATTTACCATCTGGCCCTTTACAGAAAAAGGTTGCCTATCTCTGCTCAACACAGTTCTGGATGTAACTAACAGGATGTAGTTCATCCCCAAAAGCAAATACTGGAGAACATTCTTATGGGCCCCATATAAACACACATAGCCCACCCTTCTTCTTGATGTATTTCTAGTGGTCCCATATGCTTCTCTGTATCTTGAGAGAGAATTTGCCTTGGTGATGTCTCCCAGTGCTGACTTGTGCAGAGGGACAATTGCAGCAGAATGGTCCTAGCACCCTTAACCAGTAGTAGTGTCTAAAGCATAGAAGCTGGATGAAGTTATGGTTGTCAGTGTTTGAGAAAGGGGAAACCCCCAGCATGATGCCTCTCCTCTACATCCTGCTAAGCAGGAGCCCAAATGATTGGAGCTCTTAGTCGTCAGCTCTCATTTGCCATATCAGCCATATTCCAGGTGCTAGGTTTCAGCACCTGTTCCACCACAGAATTTCTGCTGTCTTGCCCAAGAGTGAGATTCTCACTGCAAATGTGGGAAGGCTTCTATTTATACCCACAGTCCTATATTCACATCCTTTCATCTAAATCTAGTTGACTAAAGAATATTGGCTTGCAGTGGGCTCTAAATTCAAATCCATTACTTAATCCTTAAAAATCAGAAGATGTCATGTAATGCATGAAAGATCTGCATGAAGATCTGCCAGAGCCCTAATCTGGTACAGCCGAGTAATAACTCCATGGGCTCTACAAATGGCCATTGTATCAGCCAATTCCTATTACCTCCTAGACCCTGAGACTGAGTGTCCAGTGCCACAGATCATCTTAAAGGGGCTTGTCTCACTTGTTTACAGTTACCTCCTTGGCCTCTATGAATATTTGAGTTTGTAACTCCTGTTTTAAATCCTTAAAATGCAAAAGATCCACTTTACACCCCTTAGGTTGGCTACTGTCAAACAAACAAACAAAAAACACAGAAGATGTGTTGGCAAGGATGGAGAAATTGCCACCCTTGTGCACTGCTAGTGGGAATGTAAAATGGTGCAGCCTAGCCACTATGGAAACAGTTTGGCAGTTCCTCAAAAAATTAAAAATAGAATTACCCTATGATCCAGCAATTCCACTTCTGGCTATATATGCAAAAGAATTAAAAGCAAGAACTTGAGCAGATATCTGTACACCCATGTTTATAACAGCATTATTTACAGTAGCTAAAATGTGAGAGCAACCCAAGGGTCCATTGACAGATGAATGGATAAACAAAATGTGGTATATATATATTATATTATAATTCTATATTAGAATTAATATATTATTATATTAGAATATATATATATATTAGAATTCTGACACATGCTACAACATGGATAAACCTTGAAGATACTATGCTAAGTGAAATAAGCCAGTCATGAAAGGATAAATATTGTTTGATTCCACTTGTATGAGATAACTAGAGTAGTCAAATTCATAGAAACAGAAGGTAGAATGGTGGTTGTCAGTAGCTAGAAGAAGGTGGAAATAGGGAATTATTGTTTAATTGGTACAGACTTTCAATTTTGCAAGATGAAAAAAGTTCTGAAAATGGATGGTGGTGATGGTTGCACAACAATTTGAGTGTATTAATGCCACTGTACTGTACACTTAAAATGGTGAAGATGTTAAATTTTATGTTATGTGTATTTTAGCACAATTTCAAAGAATACAAAAGATCACCTCCTTAGGATTTCTGTTCCTTTCTTGAAAAGAATGGAGTTACATCTGGACTATCCCACTTACTAACTGTATGATCTCAGACCACACATTCTCTCAATTAAAAAAATGCATTTATCTACCTATATGGTAATTTTTTTTAGTGAGAATTAAATGAGTTTCTATAGTTTAGTGACCTGTAAATGGTAAGCCACATTCCAGGTAGGGAATAAATGTCATGTGAGTGCCACACGTGAGTGAAAAATTTGCCTGGAGCTGTGATGACTTCCAGTGAGCATCATAAGGGAGGCTTTTATGAAGAACCTAGCATTTGGGCTGAGCTTCAGAGAATGGTCAGAATTTGAAATGTGCAGATACAGGGGGATATTTAAAGCACACGGAGAGGCATGTGTGTAAAGGGACTGAAGCAGACAAATAAATGGTGTATTTGAGCAAATAATCATGTTCGACCGGAGGATCAGGTGAAAAAGGTAGACCAACAGGAAGGGGCCAGATCATGAAAAGTCTTGAATGGTTGCCTAAGAAATTTGAACTTTGATTTAGTGGATAATGAGAAGCCATTGTTTTTTAAGCAGAAGGTTTAGTGGAGCTTTATAAGTATTACTGAAGAGGTATACAGAATAGATTGAAATACAGATAGACTGAAACAAAGGAAACTAATTAAAAGGCTCCGGAAATGTTCTAGTCATGAGCTAATCAGGACTACACTAAGATGCTGGCAGAAGAAATAAAAAGAAAAGGATACAAGTCCTAATGCCAAATCAGTAAGAAAGTCTTAGAACTCTTTGATACCTTACAGTTGATGGAAGGCCTGTAGTAATTTTAAATCTCTCTAACAGGTGCTTCCAAAAAGTAGCTTACATATCCAGCCCACACTTCTATTCCAGGCTTCAGAATCATGCATCCTTCTGCCTTTTGGATATTGTCAACTGAATGTTCTCCAGGTCTCTTAAATTAAAGATGTTCATTCTTGAACTTATAAATCTTTTTATTTTCCAGCTTTCTGATTTTTAAAAGAAATAACACATACGCTCTTTTCTGTTATTAAAAAAGTAACATTTTTTTGCTGAACATTTAGAAACATCATCACAGTGCAGAAACTAAAACAAAACTTAATATTAATTCTACCCCCAAAACATATATATATGTGTGTGTATGTGTATTTATTTGATAAATATATTTGGTAAACATATTTAAAGTCTTTTATACATATAATTAACTTCGAAAATAAAAATTAGCATTGAATTCTTCATGCTATTTTGTAACTTAAAAAAAAAATGTTGTGACCTACTATTATTGTCAAATGATACATCAAGACCATTCTCCCCATCTCTGTCATTAACCCTATGATCTTAAGTAAACCCATCTCCAGTGTTCTTAACTCTGGAATGGGTATGCTAATACATAACTCACTGCATTGCTATAAGGCAGTGGTTCCTAAACTTTGCTGCATATTAGAATCACCTGGAGAGCTATTTAAGAACCCCAAAGTTCAGGTCACAATTCAGAGTCTGGGCATAAGAACTAGACATGAATGACTTTTGTCTCTTTAGGTGATTCCAATATACAGCAAAGTAAGGGAACCAAATTTCTAAGGTTTAAAATGAGATAACATAAAAACCTGGCATGCAGAAGTCACTCAATAATACATGTCATTTCCTGAATGTCTGCTATGTTCCCACACTGCACTAGCATTCTGTATTCATTACTTCATTTAACTCTCACCACATCCCTATGAGGTTTCATTATTCTATTTTTACAAAGTAGAGAATTGAATCTTAGATTGATTAAGAAATTTACTCAATGTCACACAGGTAAGGAAGCATGATTCAAACCCCAGTCTACCAGATCAAAAAGTCCACACCATTTTACCACACTGCATTAGACTACAGAAATATTACTTTTTAATTTTTTCTTTCTAGCTTCTTCAATCCTATCTAAGCCATTTTATCATAATGCTTTTCCAGCTGATTAAGTTGCATCTAAAGAAAAATTAAGTCGTATTTTGTGTGGTTTTTATTCCTACATTCTGAAATTTTACTAATTCACATTTTTAGCCAAAGAAAATGAGGATTGATATTTGTGGTAGAATAAAATTGTGAATGTCTATTTGATATATTATGTTAATTGAACTTAAAATATGGGTTTTATCCCTTTACCTGTAGGCTCGTTGACTATGAACAAATTAGAAGCAGTTTTATTCATGGATTACACCTAAAGCCCTATTCAGCCCTTCTTTAGATATGTAATATTTGCTATAAGAGACTCTGCATTGGCTTAAAGCAAACTAATCATCATCATCAGAAAATTAACTGCACATGTATACACATTTTACATACATATATAATTGTTTTGAAACAGACAAAATTTCTGGCTACACCATGATTATAATAAGGACTCTAATCATGACTCTGATCTAACGAGTTGTTAGTATAGTACCTCCATCTGTGGGTACTTAGGAATCCTGTCAATTTTTATCATGTAGTAAGACACAGTCAAATTATTTCCATAACTTTGGAAGTTACTCATTCCACATTTTCTTTATTATTTTTTGGCATTTGAGCCTATTTTATTCCTCTGACCAAATGTCTATATCTTGATAGCAAAAACATTTGCTTTCTTCTCATCTGACTTGATATTTTTGGAAGAACAAATTGACAATTCCCATGAATGATTCTGAGTTAGCAGGAGAGCATCTGCTGCAGAATAGCTCTTCCTCTTTTGAAGTTCACTGAGAAGCTAATTTCATTATTTTAAAAGCAAAAAAGTATTACCAGATCTGAGGTGACAGTAAAAGGAATCTAGAGTCAAAGTCTTGACCACTCACAACCAGAAACCTTAAATCATTAATATTTAGTTGGTAGATGCTAACAAATGTTATCCATAATAATAATGCACGTCCGTAAACATCACTCCTGAACTGGCCTACCTTGTATTCACTTACTTATTCGGTCTTGACATTGTCTTTTATAACTGACACTCAGGACGGGTTCTGTTTTTGAAAATATTAAGTAGCGGGAAGAGAGACATACACTTTTGCTGCATTTAAAAATGCTTTCATATTAAAATTGGTAAAATCTTTTCAAAGGGATTGTCGTTACCCACTTAGTAATGATGCCTAGGTTTATTTCTTTATTGTTCATTCTGTGAATTTTCTTAATCCAATCTGCAGCATTCCTTTAGTGGTCCATTGTTGCTACATGTGTACTTTATTGACTGAGTTTTTAAAAGATGCATCTATCATTAAAGATCTTTGGGAATATGTTCAAAAATGTTAAAATGCTGGGCGTAGTAAAATTACAAAGGCAACATAAGCCAGATTGAAAAATACCTTGCCAAATAGTATTTCTCAGCAAGCCATTTGGAGAGGCTAAATTAAAAAAAATAGTTGATACCTTGATGAAAAATATAATTTCTCCCCCCCTCCTTTTGTTAACATTAGTGTTCTTGTATCCATGCTAATTTCTATATGGCTACAATTCTAAAATATTCCTGGCATTTGTATGCAGTTGCATATAAATGTCTTTAGAGAATCAAAAGGAATTGAGAAGTTCTTAGTGACATAAATTATGTTTAGAAAATTAATTTAGAGTTCTGTTATGACCACTGGGCTCTAAAACTAGGTGCTTTTACCAAAGTAAGGTGAAGGGGGTGGATAATTTTCTTAGTGAAAAATCCAGTATCTTTCTGACTTTTCCCTTGAGGAAAAGCCATACTTCAGTGGTTGCTAACAACTACACTCCACCTTTGTGACTGCCAGAAGAGAGAACATCTTTGCCTAGTTTAGGTAACAGGATGGGTGTTGGGGTGGGGAGAAACCTGTTTAGATAGGATGGGCAGAGAATGCCTCTGAGGTAGCAAATTTAAAAACTGAGTTCTGAAGCAAGAAAATGAGCAACCAATGAGAAATGTGGTGTGGGGTGGTGGTGGAGAATTTTCCAGGCAAAAGGGAAAGCAAATAGAAAGGACCCTGGGGAAAGAGGGTCCTATATTTGAGGAATGGGCAGTATATCAGTGTGTCTACAATGAAATGGTAAAGGAAGGGGTGGTACAAGCAAGTGTGTAATGGGCAAGACACAACATTAGGGGCTTTGTAAAAATAGTAAACAGGTCAAATTTCATTTATTCAGTTTTAAGCAGAGCAGTGGCATGATTTAACTTGAGTTTTAAAAAGATTTCTCTGACTACCACTAGATTATAAATCAGAAGAGGCACGACCAATCAAAAAGCTATTAAAAAACAGAAATGACCAAAATGGATTCAAGAAGATAATTGTAGAACAAATCACAAAGTTTAAAGATTGATCGTTTTTCAAAAAGCACCAGGCACAGATGGTGTTAGAGATGAATTCTTTATAACCATTAGTGAATATATAATTATTTTCAATGTACCAATTCTAGTCTGTAGAGAAACGTGAAAACCTGAATAAAGTTAGAATAGCCTTAATTTTAAAAACTCTCAAAGATAACAAAAACAATCTTTGTACTTTTTGAAAGGAAGGTATCTATCAAGATAATCCAAAGTACCAAACATTATAGGGAAAAAATATAATTATTTTAATGATTGCCATAGATGTATTTGATAAAATTCACTAGCCATTCAAAAAAAAAAAAAAAAAAAACCTAAGTAAATTAGGAATACAAGAAAACTCCCTGGTGGATCTTGAAAGCCATACAAGGAGGTAATGTGAACAAGTTGACCCGCTGCTACAAAAAATTGGGTTCTCTAACTGTCCAGGCTGTGTTGTACCTGACGTGTACAATTTGAATGCAGTCCAATGCTAAAATCTACTCTTGACTTTTACTTCAAGACCCGACAGAGCTGGCTATACTCACCCAAAGCTGATGCTCTGAGAGCCAGTGCTTTACTCTTCCTGGCTTGGCCATGCACAGCTCCTTAGCCCAGGGACTGGGGGCATTTCCCAGGTAGTTTAGGAACAGCCTCTTCCCTTTTCCTTCCTCTAGCAGAAGGGGGTTTTCAGGGGCTTGACTAGCCAGAGTTTCTCAATCTGGGCACTATTGACATTTTGGGCCTGATACTTTGTTGTGAGGAGTGTTTATCCATTGTAGGATATTTAGTAGCATCCCTGGCCTTTATCCACTAGATGCACACACCTTCACCGCTCTCAATAGGCTCCCCCGACCACTGCCATTCAGTTGTGACAACCAAAAATTTCTCTAGACATTGCTAACTGTCCCTGAGGAACAAAATCACCTCAGTTAAGAACTGCTAGGCTAGAAAACAATGTCATAACTGTGTCATAATTTATGCTTTTATATTATTGCATTTACCAGTAAATTCTCAGCTGGGGCAGCCTGGAAAGGGAAACTGCCTGTATCAGTCAGCTCAAGCTGCCATAAAAAATACCATAGATTTGGTGGCTTAAACCACAGACGTTTATTTTCTCGTAATCCTGGAAGTTGGACGTCTGAGATCAGGAGGCTAGCATGGTCACATTCTGGTGAGGGCGCTCTTTCTGGCTGGCAGATGGCCACCTTCTTACTATGTCCTCACATAGAGGAGACAGAGAAAGCTGGTATTTTCTCCTCTTCTTACAACAGTTCCTCTTCTGGTATCTCTTCCTCTTCTTATAAGGATACCAGCTCTATCAGACAAGGTTCCATCCTTATGACCTCATTTAACCTTAATCATTTCCTTAAAAAATCTTTCTTCGATCGCGTAGGCATTAGAGCTTCAACATAATGCAGTTTGGGAGGACAAAATTCAGTTCATAGCAATGCCAACAAGATTTTAAAAAGTCCTCTACCTAAACCCAACAACTATATTATATTCAGCAGCTGCTTTAAATTTTATCAGTAACAAGAGACGGATTTCTGCTATTATCGCTATTTTTCAACACATTTTGGAGACTGATAAAGCTAGAAAATTAAAGGAGCAGTTTAAATATGAGAAATGAAAATACAGTACTATCTTTATTTGTAGTTGGTATGATTATGTACTTAAGAAATTCAAGATGTTCTGCTAAAAATCCATTCAAATTAATAAGATAATTGGGAAATGTGGCTGCCCAAATACAAAATTAATAGCTTCCCTCTCTATTAATATTATGCAATTAGAAATTGAAATGGGGAAATATCCCATTTATAATTAGAATAAAAAAGATAAATCACTTAAAATAAATCTAAGAATACAGAAGTTGGATCTAAATGATGAAAATGACATTTTATTGAAAGGTGTAAAATAAGACTAGAAAAGTGGAAGGATAATTTTTCCCATATTAATACATAAATTTATTGCAGTTCCAATCAGAATCCCAACATGTTTTTTTTTTTCCAACTGGTAAATAATTTTAAATTCATATGGAAAAAGAATGTGCAGTAACATTCCATTTAAAAAAAATTAACGGTGGACTTACCTTGTCAGATATTAAAATCACCAGGAATCTACTGTGATCAAAACACTTTGTACTAGCACGAAAATAGACAGTTTGTATACAATAAAAGCTAAAATGCATTTAGTAAGTAATAAAGCTGCCACTTTAATTTAGCAGAAAAAAAATTTTTTTTCTCTTACAAGATGTTAGCATAACTGGTTATTTATCTGAAGAAACAGAAGGATACTATGTTGGCCCAAAATATAATGTAAAAAGTTATAAGACAAACATATCAGAAAAAAATAAGAGGATTTTAAAAAGTCTTTTTTTTTTCTTTTTTTGAGGCAGAGTCTTGCTCTGTCACCCAGGCTGGTGTGCAGTGGCGCAATCTCAGCTCACTGCAAGCTCCAGCTCCTGGGTTCACGCCATTCTCCTGCCTCAGCCTCCCGAGTAGCTGGGACTACAGGGGCCCACCACCACGCCCGGCTAATTTTTTGTATTTTTTAGTAGAGATGGGGTTTCACCGTGTTAGCCAGGATGGTCTCCGTCTCCTGACCTCGTGATCCACCCGCCTCGGCCTCCCAAAGTGCTGGGATTACAGGCGTAAGCCACCACGCCAGGCCTAAAGAAGTCTTTAATCTTTTAAAGTGAGACAGTAAAGTATTGAAAACACATATAAAAAGCAGTAGTTTTGGTTATACTAAGTTAAGACATTTTTGTTTTGCTGTCTTGTTCAGGTAAGAGGTAAGATTAGTTACTATAACAGTGGCAATAGAAATAAAGAGAGGTAGAAAGACTTGATATATATTTTAAGGTGACAATTAACAGGATTTGCAGATAGATTGGATGTGGCTTTAAAAGTGGGAAGAAAGTAGGATTGGATCCAGGTTTTGTGAGATAATTTTTAAGGAAAAAATACAAAATTACACACTTCAAATTAGATACAAAAGTATTTCTTTAGAATGAGGAAACAAACCACAACAAATGACAAATTTTAAAGAGCTGCCAAATACTATAAACATTACCACATTTTAAAAAATGACATACTATTTTTAATCAATCAACTGCTTTAAATATTTTGGCAGTAAACTCTTGATATCGCCTTTTATATGACAATGATTTTATAAGATTATCTTCTAAATAAAGAATAGAAAGATAATTCAGTCTTTGGTTTAGCATGGTCAATCAAAATTTATTTTTTTATTATTGAGAATTGGGAAACAAAACACGTGACATCGCAAATAGATATACTATTTGTAGTATAGCTTTAAGCTTGTGGTCTCCATCTCAAAATTTTGATCAATTCTATTCCATACAATTTTAATCTAAGAAAGCATGGATTATTTATAATGATATATATGTTACATGATTGAGTATATTTTTGGCAAGAGAACTTTTATTTTGCCTTGGTACCATTATGTTTCTAATGCTCCAATATTGAGCTAAATAAATGCTCTGCTATTTATCTAAATAAATGCTACGTATTACACGTCTGATGATGGGAAGACTTTTCCACAGACTAACTTCTGGCTCCTTAAATTTCAAGTTTTATTTTTCCTCTCTGTATCATACTGAGTAAGATTGCTCATGCTCATATTGCAAGACAACCAAAGGCCCTGAAACTCTGTGTCACAAATCTAGATGAGTCAGCATAGTGGGTGGCTAGGAACTTTCCCAGAAGCTACTCTATAGAAGAAACAGTGGCAATAATTTCATACAGGAGTGTCTGTGGACAACATAAGTTTATCCCACTAAATCTGAACTAACATTATCCCTGGCACAACTGCCTCTTAGCTAGATCTTGAAAGTGCCTGGGGCAATGACCAGAGGAGAATGTAATGGAGGGTAAATCATAGAAAAAAAGAGGCATAGTCTTAACTAATTACACTTAAAATATGCTACTTTTGCAGATTTTACAAAAACATGTGACTATGTGAATTCATTCAGGTTCCAGGGTCCTGCAAGTGATGGGCATTGAAACCAAAGCTTCATTAATTCTTGGTAAATTCACTTCTGGTTGACAGAGGGAAGAATCGTACATCATTCCTAGGTTTCTGGCTTGAGTAACTCAAGTCAGACTCTTGTGTAAAACACTTTATTTGAGGTTTATGCCATTTACTTAGAAAACCAAGTTTTCTGGTTGGCGCCAGGAAAGAGAATCCTGCCACAGCATGCTGCCTGACCCAGGAAGCTTCTCCTCTGTGGGCCAGATACTTCTTTCTTCTATGTAGAGGCACCAGACAGTCTGATGCAGGGAAACTTTTTCTGCCCCTTCATGTAGCACCATCACTGGCATGAGATAAATCAAGCAGATGAAAATAGTACAATGAGAGCCTTGAAAATTAAATTGTAATTGGAACCACAACCTACAAAAGTAGGCAAGGATCTGCGCGCTAAACCTAAACTAGGTGACTGGCTGCTAAAATAAAGTGTTTACATAGAATCCAGAGTCTCCCAAAATAATAGCCAAAATTTTAGGCTACAATTCAAAAAAAAAAATCATCCAACACTAATAACCAGGAAAATCACAGCTAGAATGAAAAAAGACAATATACTAACACCATTCAAGATGAATCAGACATTGGAATTAACCCACAAAGATTTTAAGCTGCCATCCTAACAATGTTTCAAAAAGCAATAACAAATTCTGTTGAAACAAACGAAACAATGTAAAGTCACAGAAAAGAAACAGAAGATATAAAAAGAGAATGACATAGAAAATATAGAAGTAAAAACTTGCTGAAAGTCTCAATAGTAGGATGGAGAGATGGAGGTGACAGAGATACAATCAATAAACTTAAGGACAGATTAATATTATCTACCCAATATGAATAACACAGAGAAAATAGACCCCCCCCCAAAATAAAAACTAAACATAAGCTCAGGGAAATTTGGAAGAATAATATAAAACCCAATATTGGGTTATTAGGGGCATTTATTATATTATTGGGTTAACAGAAAAAAGAGTGGACTAAAAGAGTATTTTAAGAAAGAGTGGTTTGGCTGGGCATGGTGGCTCACACCTGTAATCCCAGCACTTTGGGAGGCCAAGGAAGGTGGATCACTTTTACCCAGGAGTTTGAGACCAGCCTGGGCAACATGGTGAAACCCCATCTCTACAAACAAAGTATAAAAATTAGCCAGCCATGGTGGTGCATGCCTGCAGTCCCAGCTACTTGGGAGGCTGAGGCGGGAGGATTGCTTGATCCTCGAAGGTCAAGGCTGCAGTGACTGGAGACTGTGCCATTGTACTCCAGCTTGGGTGACAGAGAAAAAAACAAAAGTAAGAAAAGAAATAGTGATTTGTCTCCCAAATTTGATAAAAATAAATAAAAACAAAATAAAAATTAAAAAAAAAAAACTCCTATATATTTAAGAGCCTGAGTGATGTAGTTTGGATATTTGTTCCCACCCAAATCTCATGTTGAATTGTAATCCCCAGTGCTGGAGGTGGGGCCTGGTGGGTGGTGTTTGGATCATGGGGGTGGATCCCTCATGACTTGATGCTGTCTTCACAATAGTGAGTGAGTTCTCGCAAGATCTGGTTGTTAAAAAGTGTGTGGCACCTCTCCCCACAGTCTCTCTCACTTGCGCCTCCTTTCATCATGTGACGTGCCTGTTGCCCCCTTGCTTTCTGCATTCGTTGAAAGCTCCATGAGGTTTGGCCAGAAGCTGAGCAGATGCCAGCACTATGTTTCCTGTAAAGCCTGCAGAACCTTGAGCCAATTAAATCTCTTTTCTTTACAAATTACTCAGTCTTAGATATTCCATTATAGTAATGCAAGAGTGGCCTCATACAGAAAATTGGTACCAGGACTGGGTCATCGCTATAATGATTTCTGAAAATGTGGAAGAAGCTTTGGAACTGGGCAACAAACAGAGGTTGGAAGAGTTTGGAAAGCTCAGAAAAAGCATGTAGCACCCTCCCCATCTCTCTTGCTTGTTCCTGCTCTCATCATGTGAAGTGCTTATTCCCCTTTTGCCTTCTGCCATGATTGAAAGCTCCCTGAGGTTTCACCAGAAGCCAAGCCAATGCCAGCACCATGCTTCCTTTAAAGCCTGCAGAACCTTGAGCCAATTAAACCTCTCTTCTTTATAAATTACCCAGTCTCAAGTGTTCCTTTATAGCAATGCAAGGACAGACTAATACACTGAGAAACCAAAAATAGGACAAACTGAAAGAAATCCATGCCAAGGTATATTAAATTTCTGAGAAACACACCAAAAAATCTCAAAAGAAACCAGAGAACAACAGTATGTTACCAACTGGGGAGTACCAATCTGAACGACAGTTTACTTCTTATCTGCAACCATGCTGGCCAGAAGGCTTGACACATTTTTCAAGTGCTGAAACAAAATAGTTGTCAATATTAAATTTTATATTCAGCAAAACTATCCTTCAGGAATGAAGTGAAAATAAAAACATTCTCAGATAAAAGAAAATGGAAAGAATTTGTGGCTAGCACACCTGCTCTTCAAGAATAGCTAAAGATTTTCTTCAAACAGAAAGGAAATGATAAAATAATCAATTTTGAGCATAAAGAAAAAGAAAAAGCATTGTAATGAACAGAAATATGAGTACAAGCTCACACCTGTAATCCCAGCTACTTGAGAGGCTGAGGCAAGAGCATCACTTGAGCCCAGAAGTTTGAAGCATCAGTGAGCTATGTTCACACCACCGCACTCCAACCCAGGTAACAAAGTGAGTCACCATCTCAAAAAAAAAAAAAAAAAAAACAACAACAACAACAACAAAAAAAAAACAAATGTGGGTACATACACTAGACTATCCTCATGAATTTTGTAAATCATATTCAGTGATTGAAACAAATAACACCATCATATACCCAAGACAATGCTGTTCTGAAGTGGGGAGGGTAAAGGGAACTAAACAGAAGAAAGGTTTCTACACTTGACTCAAAGTAATAATGAAATGTTGACACCAGTAGACTGTAATAAGTCACATATATATTTTTAATACCCAGATCAATTGCTATGAGAACTATACAAAGAGATAACACTTAAAAGCACTATAAATAAATCAAGATAGAGTACCAAAAAATGTTTAAGTAATCTGTAGGAAGTCATAAAAGAAAACCAGAGGAATAAGAACCACAAGAAACAAATAGAAAACAAATAATAAAATGGCAAATTGCCTTAAATGCAGATGGTCTAAATATGCCAATTAAAAATAAATAAAAAATATAACCCAGTTATTTTCTGTTTATAATAAACTCACTCAAAATTCAACAACGTAGGTTGAAAATAAAAGGTTGAAAAAATATACCATGCAGATATTAATTTTTAAAAAGCAGGAGTATCTATATTAATATCAGATAAAGCAGACATTATAGCAAAGAATATTATTACAGGCAAAGAGACACATTACATAATGATAAAATAATCAATTCTCCAGGAAGTCATAACCATCCTAATGTGCATATACCAAACAGCAGAATCTCAAAAATACATGAAATAGAAATCAAAAGAGCTGAAAGAGAAAGACAAATTCACAGTTACAGTTAGGTCTCTAACACCCATCTTGGCAAGCATAAAACTAATAGAAAATCAGCAAGGAAATAGAAGACTTGAACAATGTAATAAACTAACAAAAAATTGACATCTATAGAAGACTCTACCCAGCAAGGGCAGGATGGACATCTTTTTCAAGTGCCCATGGAACGTTTACCAAAATAGACCATTTCCTGGGCCATAAAACAAACTTCAATAATTTAAAATCATTTGAAATCATATAAAGCGTGTTCTCTGACCATAGTGGAATCAAACTAAAAATAAATAACAGAAAGACAAGAGGAACATTTCCAAACACTTGAAAATCAAACAACACACTTCTAAATAATGTATCAAAGAGTAAGTCCTGAAATAAATTATAAAATACATAAAGCTGAATGAAAAGTAAACCATACCGTATTAAAATATGTGGAGTGCTGCCAAAGCAGTGCCAAGAGGGTAATTTATAGTACTAGATGGATACAGTAGAAAAAAGACAAGTTCCCGAACCAATTATAGAAGTTCCCACCTCAGGAAATTCTAAAACTATGAGCAAAATAAACTCCAAGCAAATAGAAGGTAAAACCAACAAACAAAAAACATTGACTCCCCTTAGTTACTTTACTTCTGTTGTTACTAGGCTTAGGTTCTGTTGCCCAGCACTATATTTTCTTACAATTCTCATTGATTACTTTCCCATATCTCTTATTTTGTATATAGCCAGAAAAAACCTCTAACCTCTTTAAACAAATTAATTACTCCATATTTGTTTACAACACCTTGATATTACTGGAGAATATCACAACAGTACTGTCCAGAGTCATTTCAAAGTCCATGATCATACACCTCAAATGGTCAATTAACACGGCCAAACAAACCTACCCCAATTCTCTAGTAAATTTACTTTTCCATTTTCTAACTGGATGATTTCAAATCTTCAACATCCCATTCCCCCTTGCTCTAAGTTAATGACTTCTCTCGTGTTTTATACAAAAAATAGTTCCACTCCAATAAGAACTACCTCATTGTCCAACCAGATATTCCATCAGCCCACTTGTATCTGCACACACATGTTGGCCTCCCTTCTAATTATAATAGAAAGGTGGCTACTCCCTTCTATCTTAGCCCAACATCGCCACTTATTAAGAACTTTTTGCTTCTGTCTTTTATTTCTTTATTACATTATTTTTTCTCTCTCTCTCTCTCTGCTGGATCCTTCCTACACAAACTCAAGCATGCTTTGAGATTACCCATCAAAACAAACAACATAAACAAAAAAAACGAACAAAAACCTTCTTTTGACTTCATGTTCCAGCTACTGCTCGTTTATCTGCTTGCCTTCACAGAAAAATGGGACATTTTGTATCCTCATTGTCTCTACTTTTTCACCTCTCATTTTATCCTCAAAATCATTCTAATCGGTCGTTTCTCCTAACCATAAAATGGACCCTATCTCACCAGTGACCTCATTTTGCTAATGCTAATGATCATCTTACTTGAACTCTTAATATTTGGCATCGTGCATTATTGCTTCCTTCTTGACACATATCCTTCACTTGGTTTCGAGGATATCATGTTTTCTGGCTTTTGTCTTATCTCTGGCTGCTTCACCTCAAACTTCTTCACCTCCTCTCTTAGACCTCTAAGTGTTTTGGTGACCCAAGGCCCTGACCCTTGCTCTCTTCTCACCTCTATGATCTTATGTGGGTAATTTCAACTAATCCAGGGACTTAAATAGCATTGTTAGAAGATAGCCCACATTTATATCTCCAGCCTAGCCTTTTTTGAGCACCAAGCTCTTACATGCTTCTTGATATTTCAATACAGGTGTATAATAGAAAACTGAAACTTAAAACAAACATGGTGGCTGGACACAGTGGTTCACGCCTATAATTCCAGCACTTTGGAAGACCAAGGTGGGAGGATCACTTTAGGTCAGGAGTTTGAGACCAACACAGGGAGATCTAATCTCTACAAAAAACTAAAAATTAACCCGGCGTGGTGGCACACACCTGTGATCCCAGCTACTTAGGAGGCTGAGGTGGGAAGATCACTTGAGCCTGGGAAGTTGAGGCTGCCATGATAGTGCCACTGTATTCCAGCCTGTGTGTCAGAGTGAGACCCAGTCTCAAAAACAAAAAGAAAAACAGAAACAAAAAAAAAAGAATATGGCCAAAGTGATGTATTCATACCCTTTCTCAATTTGCTGCTCTTTGGAAGCAACTACAGTGCAAATTTTTAGTGAAGAGCAGTCTTCTGCCTCGCACTAAAGAGAGATCATCTATCTATTTGCACAAAATAAATTACAGGTTTGGGGATCCTTGAAACTTCTTTCCCTCAAAACCTATATCCAATCCACCAGTAAGTGCTGTTGGTTCAAATTTCATTATGTCCTGAATTTGCCCAGTTACTACCATCTCCACAGCTATAACCTTAGTCCACATCACCTACTCACCTCACATTTACTGAACAACTGACCTTCTCAATTCATTTAAAACTGAGACATGGCTGGCAAGTTATTTTAAAACAGTCATACCTTAACCTTCTCCAGGGTCACATATTGTGCATATGTTTTTGTTTTTAATTTGGGTCTTAAAAGATATTTTAGGAAGAAATTTGGAGAAGCAACTTCAAATGTCATTTTAGACTGAAAATGTCTGAGCTCACATTTCAAAAAGACAAACAAATAGCAGAATGAGGAATAGATAGCCAATGGTGAATTTAAAATACCTGCATGGGTCTTTAGGAATCATTTAAGGCATAAACTGTCATGGAGTTAAAGTTTGTGTAATATAATACGGCAAAAAGAGGGGGATTTAAAAAAGTGGTACTCATGAGCAAGAAGAACGAACAGGAAGTGGTAGGCCCTGTGCTTGAGACAGATGGGGATAACAGACGCTAAAAACAAAGCAGGACTACTTCGTTCCTCTTCGGTCTGTCTTCTGCGTCAAAGACAATGGTCTTCAGACTGACTCAAGAGCCTAGATCAAACATGTTTAAAGGGGGAACTGATGTCAAAGATATGGGAAGATAGAGAACATCAAGTGCCCTGGCTGAAATAAACTGCACTCCAGGGCTGGAGTGAACCAGGGAATGAGACTTTTGCACCAGTAAACTGTTACCAGTGAAGAATGGTGGTGAGAGGGAGAGGTGTTGCCAGACTGGAGAGAAACAACTGCAGTGCAAATTTTTAATAAAGGAAAAAGGTAAATTCTGTAAGTATAGATCAGTGAGCCTGACATTAATCCCTGTGCAAAATTATACACTGGATTATTAAAATGGATGGTTTTTCAAACAGTATAAAAAGACAGCATGTAAATTCTTACAAAGGGAAGTGGTATTTATTCACCAGGACCCAGCATGTGCTCCTTAAGATTAAGCTGTACCAGACTAACCTCATTTTCTTTGGGGTGGGTTAACTGCTACTGTTAAGAAGAGCTAATGTTTAAGCATTTATTTGATGTTAGGCTGTAGGTTAAGTGCTTTACATGCATTTTCTCATTTAATCTGAAGTATTATTTCTCCCCATTTTATACATGAGGAACTATTTAGTAACTAGCTGAAGACAACACAACTAAAAATTGGAGACTATGTTTTAAGCATAGGTAGCCACATTTCAGAACCCACGGTCTTAATCTTTATGCTATGATGCCACTAAAGAGTACATAATGGATACAACCAAAGAATGCTATTGAAACTGTACACCTGAATGATGACTATGGCAGTAAGATAGAAAAAGCTAAACTAGATAATGGTACACTTAGGATGGTCCATAAACAATGGAATGACCATTTTCAGAGTACTGATTAATATGTCATTTTCTATTCCTAAAAAAGTCTCTACTGATCTTATATCAGAACCACATTCCTATTGTTTGTTAACATTTTCACAATTCGTCTAAATACATCAATGGCATATTATCAAATTTGTGAGTGACCTAAAATCTGGTTGGCTAAATGATATGGTTTGGATGTGTGTCCCCACCCAAATTTCATGTTCAGTTGTAATCCTCAGTGTTGGAGGTGGGGTCTACTGGGTGGTGATGGGCTCATGGGAGTGAGTCCTTCATGAATGGCTTAGCACCATCCCTTTGGTGCTGTTCTCATGATAGAGTTCTCATGAGATTTGGTTGTTTAAAAGTGTATGGCACCTCCCTGCTCTCTCTTCCTCCTGCTGTGGCCATAAAAGGTGTGCCTGCTTCCCCTTTGCCTTCTGCCATGATTGAAAGTTTCTTCAGGTCTCCCTAGAAGTAGCTATACTTCCTGTACAGCCTGCAAAACTGTGAGCCAATTAAACCTCTTTTCTTTATAAATTACTCAGTTGCAGTGATATGGTTTGCCTCTGTGTCCCCACCCAAATCTCATATCTAATTGTAATCTCCACATGCCAGGGGAGGGAGCTGGTGGAAGGTAATTGGATCATGGGGGTGGATATCTCCCTTTCTGTTCTTATGATAGTGATTCCAATGAGATCTGATGACTTAAAATTGTGTGGCACTTTCCCCTTATCTCGCTTTCTCTCCTGTTCTACCATGGTAAGACATGCTTGCTTCTCCTTCATCTTTTGCTATGATTGTAAGTTCTCTGGGGCCTCCCAGTCATGATTCCTGTTAAGCCTGCAGAACAGAGAGTCAATTAAACCTCTTTTCTTCATAAATTACACATTCTCAGGTAGTTCTTGATAGCAGTGTGAGAATGGACTAACACACTCAAGTACTTTCTTTTTTTTTTTTTTTAGCAATGTGAGAAAGGACTAATACACTAATATTGATGACAGAATAGGATTCCCAAAAGATCTTAGCATGTGTGGAATTAAAACAAGATGCAGCTTATTAGGATAAATGCAAAAAACGATCACTTAGATTTTTAGAAATCTACCCAATATCAGTGTGGCAGTTCCTCAGGGATCTAGAACTAGAAATACCATTTGACCCAGCCATCTCATTACTGGGCATATACCCAAAGGATTATAAATCATGCTGCTATAAAGACATATGCACACGTATGTTTATTGTGGCACTATTCACAATAGCAAAGACTTGGAACCAACCCAAATGTCCAACAATGATAGACTGGATTAAGAAAATGTGGCACATATACACCATGGAATACTATGCAGCCATAAAAAATGATGAGTTCATGTCCTTTGTAGGGACATGGATGAAGCTGGAAACCATCATTCTCAGCAAACTATCGCAAGGACAATAAACCAAACACCGCATGTTCTGACTCATAGGTGGGAATCGAACAATGAGAACACATGGACACAGGAAGGGGAACGTCACACACCGGGGCCTGTTGTGGGATGGGGGGAAGGGATAGCATTAGGAGATATACCTAATGCTAAATGACGAGTTAATGGGTGCAGCACACCAACATGGCACATGTATACAAATGTAACAAATCTGCACGTTGTGCACATGTGCCCTAAAACTTAAAGTATAATAATAATAAAATTAAAAAAAAAAAGAAATCTACCCAATATCACATGGGGAGAAAAATGAGAGCTAATAACAGTACATTAGTTGCTGTTTCTCATGTTGTCAGGGCAAACTCAGGCCAATGGTGAAACTTTCACCAAGCCCAAAATGTTGAAGAAGCTTAATACCAGATCCTTGAACTGACACCTTACTGAAGGGCTCCAAGATCACAGGCGGAGAAAACAATGCTAACGATTAAGTCCAGAGAGTAAAGCAGGGAGAAGTACTAGAAAACAAGCAACCAAGAAGCTTAGAACTTGTGAGAATTTTTAAAGCGGAAGAGGGAGAAAAAGATTCAGTAAAACCAAACTCTTTCATTCTCTTTTTTTCCTCATATATGCACTCTCTTTTCTCTCCCATCTTACATGTGTAGTGGAAGGCCTTCTATTACCAAGGGCTTTCATTATTTTTCTTACACATACTATAGTCAGGCCTTCAAGTGGGTTCTGTAGCACACAATATTTCTTGATTTATTTTGTTATTTTAATTTTTTTAATAAAATATTTTAGCTTTATAATAAAATATCTCACAAGTGTAGTATTTTGAAGAATTTTAGGTTTGAATATGCATGCGTCTCTTGAGGTTAAGCGAAGCCAACTTTCAGTGTCTGATAGCCGCACTGCACTGAAACTGTCTTTTTGGTTCCTATAGGTGTTTTGGGAAGTATGCATTGCAGCTCAAAGGAGCTTTGAATCATGTGAAAAATATTTTTGATAAAAATATGAGTAAACAGTATGATGTGGCTACCAAATAAACTGAGTTTTAATACTACATTAGCAAAATTATACAGAAAGAAGGAACTAATTATCTCTTTGCATTTATACTGGAGCCCACACATGGACTAATGCTAGGTTCTGACACTTTAAAAGGATGAATAGGCACATCTGTATTTCCAGAGGTAACCTGGGTCATGAAGCAATTTGGAATCATGTAATATGAGAAATTCTTGAAGAAATTGGATTTTTTTTTCTGGAGAAGATATTAGTGTTTATCAAACTGTAAAAGCAACTGAAACAATAATAACTTAAAATATCAGGTAGAAAATTGTGAGTTTTACCAATGGGAATGTAGTGTAGTGGCTGAAAGCACAGGTTCTGGATTTCGACTGCCTGAGGTTATAGCCCAGGTTTACTACTTGCTAGCCATTTAACCTTACACAAGTTAATTAACTGCTCTGTGCTGTAGTTTCTCCATCTGTAAAACTGTCAAGGTAGTAGTACATGTCATTAGGATTAAGTAAATTAAGCTATGTAAAACACAGATAACATTGGATGACACCAATGGTTAGGCAGCAGATACATTTATTAGTAAAGTGCAATGGAAATTTTCCTCTTGCTGGATAAGAGTAAACTAATGATTAGACTTGAGGATGGCTTAACTAAGAAAGAAAGTGATCAAGAAGGTAAGAGTAGTAATGATTGGTTTTGAGAATTTAATTTTCTGTGCTTATCATGGAATAAATTTAGCTGAATTAAAATGCATTATAATTACAAGAGTTAGGATACCTTAAAATATCTAGTGAGGCTGTATAACCTAGCAAGATCAAACAAACTCATTGCTATTGGATTTTAAGAAATTGGATTGTCAAGAAGATAAGTAATCAATATGGCTTGGCTGTGTCCCCACCCAAATCTCATCTTGAATTATAGCTCTCATTATTCCCACATATTGTAGGAGTGACCTGGTGGGAGACAACTGAATCATGGGGGCAGTTTTCCCCATACTGTTCTCGTGGTAGTGAGTAACTCTCACGAAATCTGATGGTTTTATAAGGGGAACTCCCTTTTGCTTGGCTTTCATTCTGTCTTGCCTGCTGCCATGTAAGATGTGCCTTTCGCCTTATGCCATTATTCTGAGGCCTCCCCAGCCACGTGGAATTGTGAGTCCCTTAAACCTCTTTTTGTTTATAAATCACCCAGTCTTGGGTACACCTTTATCAGCAGTGTGAAAATGGACTAATACAGTAATCTTGCAAGCCTGCACAAACTTGCGCTTTGTATAAAAAGCCACAATAATAAAACTTGTTGAGAATATCCTACCAAAATTACTATGAAAGTTATCTCTCCCTTTTACTATGAGCAGAGGTGGCCCATTAGAATAATATGGTTGTCTCTGGATTATGTATAATAAGAAAATGTGTGTATACAAATAAAATGCATTTATTATGAAGTAAATTTTGTCATACCTCTTGGCAATTGATTTTTCATGTCCACTGTGTACTTTGTTTGAAATCTTCTTCCCCCAAATGTCACGTTTGGAAATAGGAGCATTTTATTTGACAAAGGTAAGAGTTGGAGATCATTAACTGCTATCTTTAAATAAGTTAAATTTATGGTATAGCAGAGTAACTGGACTTTTAATAAGGTTTTAGAAGTCAAAATAAAGACACTAGTGTGAATGATGGTGGGTTTCAATTGTCTCCTGGGCATTTTGGTCTATTGGGTTAGGAGAGTAGGGGTCCCAGAATGTTCTGTTTCTTTTCCTCCTTTAACAAATTTTATTGAACACTTACTAGTGCTAACCTCTTTTCTAAGCCCTGAAGAAACAGTAGCAACAAGACAGACAACATCTCTGCTCTCAAAGAATTTACATTCTAGTGAGGAGACCCAATAAATAAATAAAGAAGAAAACTCCAGAGAGTAAGTGTTAGTAGAGAATTAAATGGGACATAAAGAGTAAAAAACTAGATGACTACTTTGAATAGAGTGGCCAGGAAGACCTCTCTAAAGCACTGACATCTCAACTGAGATATCTGTCATAATGAGGAGCTGGAACTGTGAGGATCAAGAGAAAAAAAAAAAACTATTCCAAAAAAAGAGAAGAGCTGGTACAAAATTCTTAAGGTGAGAGAGAAGATGAGTTTTGCGGAAAGATCGTAGACAGGGTAGATAATGTTTACAGAAACTTCAGAGGTGCCAAGTCGAGATCATTTATGACATTGTAGGACAAGGTAAGAAATTCAGATTTGGCTTGGTTTGGTGGCTGACACCTGTAATCCCAGCACTCTGGGGGAGGATCACTTGAGCCCAGAAGTTCAAGATCAGCCTAGGCAACATAGTGAGAACTCATCTCTACAAAAAGTAAAAAAATTAGCCGGGCGTGGTGGTACACCTGCAGTCTGAGCTACTTAAGAAGTGGAGTTGGGAGGATCACTTGAGCCTGGCATATCGAGGCTGCAGTGGGCCATGATCATGCCACTGCACTCCAGCCTGAGTGACAGAGAAAGACCCTGACTCAGAGAAAAAAAAATAAATTTAGATTTTATCTATGATCAGAAGCTAGCCATTTAGGTTTTAATCATAAGAGTGACATGATCTGATTTATTTTAAGTAAATAATTCTTGCTATTACATAAAAAATATAGAAAGCAAGAGTGCAAGCAGGGAAACCAATAAGAAGTTTGTAGCAAAAGTCCAGGTGAGAAATAGAGGTGACTTAGAGGGAGGTAGAAATAATGGAGATAAAGAGAAATGATCAAATTTGGTGTAGCTTTTAGAGTTAAAGATGATGGAACTTTGGGGATAGATTGGAAAGACAAAGAGCTAAATTATGAATGTATTCTAAGTTTTTGACCTGAGCAACCTAATAGAAGAGGTACAGTTGGCCGGGCGCGGTGGCTCACGCCTGTAATCCCAGCACTTTGGGAGGCCGAGGCAGGCAGAGCACGAGGTCAGGAGATCGAGACCATCCTGGCTAACATGGTGAAACCCCATCTCTACTAAAAATACAAAAAATTAGCTGGGTGTGTTGGTGGGCGCCTGTAGTCCCAGCTACTCAGGAGGCTGAGGCAGGAGAATGGCGTGAACCCAGGAGGCAGAGCTTGCAGTGAGCCGAGATCGTGCCACTGCACTCCAGCCTGGGTGACAGTGCAAGACCCCGTCTCAAAATAAAAAAAAAAGAAGAGGTACAGTTTTCTGATATTTGTGAACATGGGGAAGAAATAAATTTGGTCAGAAAAATGAAAGATTCTTTTTAGTATATGTGCTGTTGAGGCAAGCACAAAAATGAAACATTCTTTTAAGGACAAATGAAGTTTTAGATACCTATCAGCTTATGAAGTATGAAGTTGAATAATTGAATCTAAGTTTCAGAAGAGAGATGACAAATGGAAGATATTGGTTTGAAAGCCTAGACCATCTGAAGCCATGAAAATGAATGGGAACACTTAAGAGAACAGGGCCAAGTTACTGAGCCCATGAATATGCCACCATTTGGAGATTGGGTAGAGAAAGAGGATAATCCAGAATAGAAGACTCAGAGGGACCAGCCAGTAGTTTGGTCCATTATCCAATTATCTATGGATAATGAGAATTTTATATATTCCTTTAAAGTCTACAATCTACAGATTTTAAAGGAAGATATACAACTCTCATTATCCATAGATAATTGATTAGAAACAAATTCCAAAAATAATCCACAGATAAAATACTCAAGTGAGTTCATTAAGGCTACTCAAATAAGTGAGCTCATTAAGGCAATAATTAGGAGAAAACAAATCACTTCAAGGCAGGAGTGGCCAACTATGTCAAATGTTGCTGAGAAGTGAGGTAAGAAAAGAACAAAACAGAGGCTATTGAATTTGGCAGCTCAATGGTACGGGGAGCACTGGAGCTCAACTGGAATAAATTGAGGAAAGAATGTGAGGTGAGTAAAGAAGCAGCAACTACTAACAGGAGAAAAAGCCTCTGGATATTGTAGGTGTGAGTGCCTTCGGAAGCTGGGCAGGTCTACTCACAATATTGAAGGATCTTAATGAAAGGTTTACTATGGCTTAAAATGAGGGGATTGGTGCACATGTTGGTGAGTTTGACCAGATAACCTTGGAAATATCTGTCACACAGGTATATTCTAGGATACTTTTATTCTGCAGTATTTGATATTGTTCTCTTTTTGCCTAAATTATCAGTGTTGTGTCCCCTACCTGATCCCTCTACAACCTTATGAAAGATAGATAAATTATTTCATTAGTCTTTATTAAATAGAATGAATTTTTATTACTTTCTCAGTAGACTATAGATTGGGAGAAACTGATGTTATTCAACTATCTTACAATGTAGATAAGACAATTAAGACTCCAGGAAGTGAAATGATTAGTCAAGTAGAAAATTCAAAGATAATAGCAAATCTAGGACTAGAACCCATCTCCTAGTTTCATTTTTCATCATCTTATTACTCCTCTATTTTTGGTTTATATCTTTTTTTAGACTATCTGCTTAGAATAAGAACTTTCAAAGTTGTATTGCTAAAAATAGTAAAACAGGCTGGGCGTGGTGGCTCACGCCTGTAATCCCAGCACTTTGGGAGGCCGAGGCAGGTGGATCACAAGGTCAGGAGATCGAGACCATCCTGGCTAACACGGCGAAACCCCGTCTCTACTAAAAAATACAAAAAATTAGCCGGGTGTGGTAGTGGGCGCCTGTAGTCTCAGCTACTCAGGAGGCTGAGGCAGGAGAATGGCGTGAACCTGGGAGGCGCAGCTTGCAGTGAGCCGAGATCGTGCCACTGCACTCCAGCCTGGGCGACAGGGAGACTCTGTCTAAAAAAAAAAAAAAAAAAGTAAAACAACAACAAAAAAAAACAAAAACTAGAAATACTCAGCATTAGAGAATTCGTTAAGTTCCTCTTCCATTCATTCCTCCAGCTACTGGAACACTGGCAGCTGATGGCTGTTAGCAAAGTCCTTCTCTCGGTATTGACATGCCATAGAGTCAGGTGGACTCAGCAGCAATCCGTCGTAAGACAGAAATGCTGAACCCAGTGTCAAGCATAAGCAGGGCTGAAGGGCACAATTAAACTGCATTGACACCTCCCAATCAGTACAAATCTACGGCCACGTGAGGGGCCCGTTATGATTAGTTCACTAGGGGTGAAAAAGTTCAGACTCAGTTCACAGGTGGGTCATCCCAATATGAGGAGCAAGCTAAAAATGAACTGCTGTTGCACTGTGATCTCACTCAAGAATGTCTCTGAAAGAAAGCTGAGAAAGGAAATCTTCACATGTTTTTTGGCAGTGCACTTGCTCTTCCACCTTGTGCAAAAAGAACAGTGGACCAAATTTGCAATCTACACCAATTCATGAGAAGAGGGAAATGATTTAGTTGTTTATTCAGGGACCAGGAAAAACAAAAATTGGAAAATTGGTGTATTAGTCCATTTTCACACTCCTATAAAGAATACCACCTGAGACTGGGTAATTTATAAAGGAAAGAGGCTTAATTGACTCACAGTTCCACATGGCTAGGGAGGCCTCAGGAAACTTAGAATCATGGCAGAAGAAGCAGCCAGCACCTTCTACGCAGGGTGGCAGGAGAGAGAAGGGCCTGTGAAGGAGGAACTTTTAAACACGTTTAAAACCATGAGATTTCATGAGAACTCATTCACTATCATGAGAGCAGCATGAGAAAACCACCCCCATGATCCAATCACCTCCCACCAGGTTCCTCCCTCAACACATGGGGATTATGGGGATTACAATTCCAGATAAGATTTTAAGTGGGGACACAGAGCCAAACCACATCAATTGGTAAGAAGCACATCTGAAGCACAATAATGCAACTACCCTGTATCTAGATTTCTGTTACTCTATCTTCATAGAAGAAAAAAATTCTTAAACTCTGACACATGGATATGTTATATACTACATAACATAATAATAATGTTACACAACAGTAACATAATATGTAAATGTGCATGTATTACCACATTAATATGTTGCATATTACATATGTGGGTAGTCTATGGGAATGAGCCCAAGTATGAAGATCTTTGTATCACATGCCAATACCTGTTAGAGGGCATCCTTCAAAGAAAAGTCATTAACCAAAAAGACAGAGTGACTTTGCCAGTTAGTAACAGCCAGCCTCTATCATCAGCAACCTCACTGCTGGCACAATGGTCAATAAACAGAGTGGTCACAGTGGCAGGGATGGGGACTATACATGGGCCAAAGATCATAGGTCCCACTCACCAAGGCTAATCTAGCTATTTCCACTGCCAAATAGCCCAACTCCCAGCAACAGAGACCAATGTTAAGCATAATCCACAAGGACATCAAGCAACTACTTGGTGCCAAATTGACTACCCTGAATTCCTTCCACCTTGCCGGGGACAGCAATTCACCTTGGCTGGAATTAACACATATAGCAGGTATGGGTTTGCCTTTCCTGTTCACAGCCTCAGCCAGCACCACTATCTAAGGGCTTATAGAGTGTTTGATTCACTTACATTAGATCTTATACGATACTATATCAGACTAAGGACCCATTTGACAACAAAGGACAGATGGAAGTGAACACATGACCACACGATCCACCGGATCTATCACACTCTGCACTACATAGAAATTACTAATCTGATGGAGTGATAGAATAGCATTTTGAAAGTGTAACTGAGGCACCAGCTTGGATATGATACTCTGCAGGAATTGAGTGCTATATTCCAAGATCTAGCATACACTCTAACCAATGACCACTGTATGATGATGCTCTGTCCCCAGTAGGTTGAATGTATGGGACTCGGACCTAAGAGAAGGAAGTAAAATTAGCCCTTTTACCATCCATCCAAGTGATCAACTTGTAGAATTTGTGCTTCCCATCACTACAACTCTGGAAAATGTAGATGTAGATGTTCTGCTCCCTAGAGAGTGAAGTGTTCCATCAAAGGACATAACAAGAGTCCTATTAAATTTTAAAACTACTACTGTCATTTTGGGGTCCTCATGACATGAAGAAGGCAAGGAAAGTAATACACAATGAAAGAAGTCACATCCAGGCAAGGATGTTTGGGTCTGATCATCAAAGGAGGTAGGGCTGCTGCTTCACTATAAGTATAGGGGAGAATATGTTCAGTACTGATGTAATCCACAGGGGTACATATTGGTATGCTACATTGCCCAGTTTTGACAATCACTGGATAAATGCAACAGTTGCGGCCCGAGAAAGTCATGGTGACTAAGGGTTGTGACTGTAGGGATGAGGATCTGGGTTACAACATTGTGTAAACCACTGAGATCAATAGATGTGTTAGCTGAGGGTGAGTGGAATCATACAGCTATTACTAGAAGAGGATGGATACAATGAAACTTAATAAAATATGAGTTAAGTGAATTCAAATGGCACAGGAGATGGACTAGCAAATATTGTTTTATGTCACCCAGATTCCCTCTCAGAACTGAGGAATTCATTACCTCAGTTGCTGGTAGCATTGGTGACTGATGGCTCTCAGCTGAATTCCTATCTGGGAGTTGCCTTTGGCTGAAAATAGCTGCCTTGCCCAAGTTCATGCTTACTCCTTGGGCACAGTCCCTATTCAAAGCCCTCTAGCCTTTTTGTCTCAAGGAGGGACAACTCTGAAGGGTCATCCCAGCCCCAGAGTTTCCCAAGGATTTTCTTTCTTTCTTTCTTATTTCCCTAAAGATAGGGTCTCACTAGTTTGCCCAGGCTGGTCTCAAACTCCTGGCCTCAAGCAATCCTCCCACCTTGGCCTCCAAAAGTGCTGCGATGACAGATGTAAGCCACCATGCCTGGCTGCCCTGAGGTTTTTCACTGCAGTTCCATTCCTCCCTCTACTTAATCCCACTTTCTTCAATTGTCCGTAAATATTGATCTTGAGAACTCTTGCCAATAAAATGACTACACACAGTACAAATCTCTTTCTTAAAATCTGTTTCTCAGAGAATAGTTCAAAAATTATATGGCACATCTATGTGAGATAATAGCTTGTAGTCATGAGAATGATATGGTAGTAGAAAATTTCATGAAATCAGGAAAATCGAGTGAGGAAAATTGTGAAATATTTGCTCCCAATTTTATTAAAAAATGTATACAGACGTGTAAATACACCCTGAGAAAAAGCATGAAGTTGCAAAATATTAAGTGGTTATCTTTGTGTCCCAGTGATAGCAACAGGAGACAGCCAAATGCCTCAGCAGATAGGCACTGATACCTGGTAAAACCCCATCACCAAGTCAAAGACAGTTTAAAGCCTGAAAGCCAAGCTACAAGTTAAATCCTTGGACCAGATTGAGAACTTGCCTTCCTGTTTGGAGCACTTTCCTCTGATTGATCCCCATCCTTCACATATTTTACATATACCTACCCCTTCCCAATTGGTTTTCTACACTGTCATGCCCACCTTTGAGTGGTGTCTTCACTTTAACCTTTTTTGCATACTCAAAAACCAATCAGCACACACTCCCCATCCTGTGCCTACAAAGAACCCAGACTCAGTCAGTAGAGGGGGTGATGTCCTGACTTCAGGGAAGAGACAACCTGATTTCGGGGAAGCTGACCTGACTTTCCCATCCCCTCTCCAGGTCTCCTCTCCACTGAAAACCATTCTCATGACTCAATAAAATTCTCGTTCTTCACTGTCCTTCAATTGTCCATATGACCTCATTCTTCTTGGACACCAGACAAGAGCTCAGGACCCACTGATTGTGGGTACCCAGAAAGGCTGTCACACTGGCCCTTTCCCCTCACCAGCAGAGGGAAGCCACCCCATGTGGTAAGGCAAGGGGTCAACTGATCTGCTAGCATGCTGCTGTCCATGGACGGTGGAACTAAAGGACCATTGTAACACCCCCTCTGGGGCTTCGCGGTCTTGGGCACCCTCACCTGGGCACTACCACGTTCCCCTTGAGGTGAGGCACCTGGTCTGGCCATGGACCCCACATGGAGCTTTCTCCCGTGTTGGCACCTGGAAAGGCCAACAGGATTCTGCACTCACTCACTCACGTGCTTCCTCTCACAAGGGGCTAAGCATGGCAGGTTGAGTAGATGGGATACCCCTTCCACGAGTCCGGTGAAGGGGCCAAGAAAAATCCTGCATCACCAAGCTCATGATGCTTTTTTATATTTTTAAATATTTCTAAAAATCAACATCAGATATGTTATTATTTTTAATCATATCTGTTATTTTGGTAAAAATGTTAACTGTATAATAATATACTTATAAAATTAGAGATAAGTATAACACAGAAGGAAGGAGAGACAAAAAACACAGAGTTCAATATAGTACATCCCAGATGACCTTCAGTTTAAGAATGGAAAAAAGTTTATCTGTTTCCTAATTCATCCACTGGACTAATTAAAGTTATTAGTTAAAGTAGACAAAAAGGAAATGAATATCTAGGAGTCGAATTGCTAGGTCATGTGCTAACTTCGTTTAACCATTTGAGGAACTGCCAGACTGTTTTCCAACATGATGTGCCATTTTATATTTATCAATTATTATAAGCCAAATTATTTTCCACTTTAGTCCCAGAAGGTTTTTCCTATGGCCTACATATTCTTCCAGATACAGATTAGTCATCTCTCTTAGATGGTTCTGTGCAGAGTCCTAACCAAGGGAAAGACTAGGGAGAGTCAAAATAATTTCGTTGGTTCCCAAGACTTTATACAAATGGTAAGAATGAATCAAGCATATTAGTTCTTCTTAGAGCCTGAGGCTTAGCTCTTAGAGCATTTCCATCACTATTCCTGTCCACCCACTTAAGGCATGTATTCATTGGCCCAACCCCCTCAGGAATCACTACATCAAAGGTAGGAACTTTTCTGATTGATATTTCTCTCCGAGACCTTCTCACAGGATGAGAGCCTAATTCTTATCTGCTTAATTGTTTTATATTGTGTAGGGAGCCAAATTTTAATTAAAACCAGAAATTATACAAATTGCCATACGGTAAAAGATTGTTTTGTTTGCTTTTTTTTTTTTTTTTTTTTTTTAGAAAATCATGCATCCTAAATTTTATAAACAGGTGATACACGCCTTTCTTGATTCCTCTCTAAGGCCAGATCATCCCAACATTTAAAAGAAAATTTGCCATATACTGTGGTTGAACATAATATTCAATCCCAAGTTTCTCAGCAGTAATTCTCATCTGCCAAAAGGAAGCATACATTTCTTAAAAACATTTTCTGGTACAAAAATTTTAATGGAGAAATTATATCTTATACAAGTAGCATGTATAGTAAAGAGCCCAATAATCACGACGTCTTTAACAGTTTCACAGAAAATGCAGAAGCGTTCTTCCAGTGAGTTTTCTTGATCAATTCTAAATAAAGCCAAATGAATAACATCAAAATATATTTTTCTGTGAAGCTCTTTTACGAGGAGGTTCAAATGCAGTTCAAGAGGGATGTGGCTACATTTCATGTGATTTTGAACTTCACTAATTTTAAGTGGTGTGGTAGAAAACATTATTAAACTATCTATATATCTTAAAATAATTGATTTCCCCTTTACAAAAATGTTCAAGGATTATATAATATAAAGCTGACTATCTGAATAAATTATAAGCTGTGTTTTTGCTATTTCTATTAGGAGGTGGCAATGTTAATGGCAAATAGATGCATCATCTTTTGTCAGAGCTATTGTAACTGAGTTTTGAACTATACAGTTTAGAAGTAAGTGAGGTTTTCAGGAATGTATCATTCACAATAATGCAACTGCCCTGTATCTAGCTTTCTGTTGCTCTATCTTCATAGGAGAAAAAAATTCTTAAACTCTGACACATGGATATGTTGTATACTACATAATAATAACACAGTAACATAATACATAAATGTGCACATATTATCACATTAATATGTTGCATTTTCATATGTCTTGTCCAATAGTATTTAAATTCCTGGCTGAACATTAGAGTCACCTGGAGAGTTAGTTAAAAGCCATATTTTGTCATAATAGAAAGTGTATTTTATTCAGTAATTTTTTAATATATAAATTTTTACTTGGCTCAAATTTGAAAAGGTACAAAGTTTATGCTGTGGAAAAATCTGTCTCCCACTCCTATCTGCCAACACCTAGTTATTCCCTTCAGAGGCAAAACCAATATTATCAACCACTTGTGTAATCTTCCAGAAATATTTCATGCATATATAAGCAACTATGTATGTTCATCCTTCTTTTTTAACAGCACTTGTAAAGTATAATACCTCTTGCAGTTTTCGCTTAATAAAATGTCTTGAAGATTGGCCTCTATCCATACATATCCAAAGAGAAGTTCCTCATTCTTTTCTGCATATGTATGTATGGATGTTTTTATTATATGGATGCATCCTACATTGTTTAGTTTACCTGAAAAGTTTTTAAAAATACATGTCCCTGGGACCTCTCACAGACCTACAGAATCAAAATCTATGGGTCACAGTCTGGGCATGTGTATTTTTAACAAGCTCCCAGGTGACTGTTATCCAGCCAGTTCTGCATCTTTCAGCAGATTGGTTTTGGGGACTCACCTTTCTAGCTTATCTATTCTGAATATCACTATTTTCAGCTGAGTGGTTCAGAGGCTAGAAAGCACACAGGTTACATTTGCTGGGAGGAACCTGACTTATTGTTAGTACATACTTCTGACTGAGAAGGACATAATCTTTATTGTTTGATTTATAGAACATTTTAAAGAGAAAAATGATAATTCTTCCTGTAGATTGCTGCCAGTGTAGTTAAGCAATGTATTGATTTACCCTGAATCACACTCAGCTGAAATGATTCTCAGCAAGCCTCAACCTCTGCCTTACAGAACTCCCCGCAGCAGTCTCATCTCCCCTGACACTTGGCAGTTCTCAAAGAGGTACCCGAGCACGGGAATAATAATGGCTGAACTTTCTGTAATATGGAAAGGCCACCATGGAGATTCTGATCAGATCCTCATTGGAAGTGCACCCACACAACCTTTGGAGAAAAACTGATTTTGATTCTCCAAGAAGGCTGTGAAAATCTCCTAGGTCATCAGTATATTCATTCAGTCAAGAGAAAAATGACTTATTTTTATCAAATGGAAGAATCAAAAGTCAAATGATGATACAGCTGTATCTTCTCTCACTTTTGCTGTTATCAGTATGTAACATTTTTCCCCCTCCTAGAAGCTTGTGGTATAGGACAGAAATTATCCCTTGCAGTCTTCCTTAAAGGCCCTAACCATTGAATTTAGTAATAATGACTGTGTATTTTTGGTCAGTATTTTGGGTAGATGCGGATTTGGGACTACCCACGTTGCCTAAGAAAATGTAAAAATAGTTAAAACAAAAATATATATGTATGGCCATTTTGATTTGGGGTAAGTTTAAAATGCGATTCTGATTACATAACCCCCTCTTCTTCCTATCTAACCCTAAACTGAAACATTTATTCTTTAACTTGCTTCCTTTCTGATTTTATCAGGCAAATTATCAATGAAAAGGCTAAAGTAAAATGGTTCATAAGCTGAATTTTCCTGAAAACCTTGCAAAAAGATTTAGAGCTCTGCTCTAATTGATGCATTGTTTTTGTTTGAGCGATTTGAAAAAATAAATCAACTGCTTAAAACAACTGCAATAAAAGATGTGGTGTTCCTCGTTGCTTTGGATGCTAATGGCCCCAGATTCTCAGCATCTCAGCCAATGATAGTGTCCTTTCAGATGGATCTTATGGAAGCAGGAAAGGAACTAACATGTACTGATTACAATCTACATAAATTACTTAGACAGTTATATAAGATGTAATCATATGTCTCCATTTTACAGATGAAGGGATTGAGGCAAAATAACTGTAAGGTGAAATTAACTTATCCAAATCTCACATCTGGTGAATGGCATAGCTAGGGCTGGAAACTAGTTCTAATTCTAAATATGGTGCTTCTTCCACTAAGTCATGTTCACCATCTAGACAAATTATATAATTCAGAGGCACATTTACAAGAGAAAATAGTCAACATATTTAAATAAAAACTTTTCAATATTTTATTATGAATCCCCAAACTGGGTAATTGAGGCGATTCAATTTCCTAGGGAAGTATTTCCATGGCTGAATGGATATTTATAAAACCAATTGTGCTATCAGATCATTCAGGTCACGTGTAATTGAGGAGAGGGGCTATTCTAGTATAGTACTACACATAAATTGTGCATCATTGAGTTTAATTTTTGAATAGTTTGAGTTATAACTGAGTATTACAGCTTCTTGAAGGAGATTCAAAATGAAAAAGTGATTTATACTTTTGTTGTTATTAATATGTAGTTAGTCCTATAGTACCTTTAATCAAACATTTATAAGTGTATAAATTTAAATCTTAGCTTAAAATATAGGTCACTAACATACCATACGGTGCTATGGTGCTTCTGTAACAACACTGTACAGAAAGAAATCAGCTTCAATAAAATTCCTTTTTTTTTTTTTTCAGGAGACGACTCACCTGTATTGTACCTCTCCAAGTTCTGGAAAGTCGATGGAGGGTTTACTCAGGTTAGGTGTCTATACCAAACCAAACATTAGACTTTCATAAAAACAAGAAAGGAAATTGTTTTTGAAGTATTGAACCCACAGTATTTAATGAGAGCAATCTATATTTTACCTAATTTAGTCTCAAATATCACTTATATGTACATATGCATGCATATATATGTATATATACACGTATTACACTATAGGTATTGATATCATCTTCCAGCTCTTAGGCCAATGAAACATCCATGCTGTGGTCTGCTCTGGATTATTCTTCTATATTTTGCCTACCCTTTTTTTTAATATCTCACCTTCTTGCCTTAACTGGATGAGATTTCAGGGTCCTTATTTTTATTACCTATTAATGCATTTACAAAAAGTTCCCTCCAAGTACAGTGTTTTAAATTTTGGAATATTTTAATATACTTAAATTTATAGCATCTAATATAAACATGCATGTATCTAACTTCTGGCGTCCTCAAATTTAATATTTTGCTTCATTTTCTTTCATTTTAAAATTACACGTTACAGATATATTTGATGTTTCAGCTCCCTTAACCCCCAATCAATCCCATTCTCCTTCCTCTTCCTGCATATGACAGCCACGATCCTGAATTTGGCGTCTCTCATTATCAAACATGTTTTAATTTGCTTAAACTGTTTGTATTTATAGACAATATATAGGGCTCCAGATAAACATGTCAGGTTGAACACATGCACTTATTTTCAACCTCTTCTGAACCCTGATTTAAAATGCTATATGGGCATAATCACACAGAAACAAAACAATTCGTGCTTTGTGCTCACTTGAAGGGGGAGTATGTGGCGGGGAGGTTAATATTCTATCAAGATAGGAAAAAGGAGGCTAAAATATCCCTTTAATCAAGAATGCAAAAACTTTCTCAAATTTCCAGCTGACTTTTGCCTTTGTGTTATTGGCAAAAACTCAGCCATATGACCACCACAAGCTGCAAGAGTAGTAGGATAGCAAGTATTTTGCCTTTCCACCTTCAAAGCAGAGTAAGCAAGGGAGACAGGGGTTGTTCCTATATGTTGATTAGCCAAACAGGTGGGTTTGCTGCAAGGCCTGAACATCCTGTTTGGCTGGGAGGAGGGATTGGAAATATCAATTGGGTTTTAGCAGAGCTACCTTAGGTAAATCACATAAAATGCAATGTACCTGCTTTGCTTTTAAACACCTTCTTTAGCTCAGATTTCCCCAAAGTGTTCTGCTTAGAATAAGGATTCAGTGGGATGTTTTTATTTGACCACAGCATAATATGGCCAAATAAGCTTGAAAAATTAGAGTTGACTTACCACATTGTTAAAATATAATTATGCAATATTAAGTTATATGTAAATTCTGTCTGTCTCAAAATTCCGGCTTCCAGTGTATTCCCTGGCAGACAGTTATGGCTCCTTATTGATTTTTTTTTGTTTTTTTCAGTTCATGAATGTTAAATTAAATTTTATATGAAATTATAGTATTCAGGCCTCTTAACTCCAATTTCTGTCCTTTTATTCCAATTCCTTCAAGTAATATAAAACATGATTTTATTTTTTGAGATTAAAATTATAGGACTGTTTCATCTTTTCTTTCAGTTATTTTTTATTTATTTTTGACATTTAAATTTTATTTTTAATTTATCAAAGTAATACATGCACTTAGTTTATGAAATCAAATAGTCCTAAAATGTTTACAACAAAACCAGTAGCTCTGTGGCTCTCATTATCAAACATTATCCCCCACCTCCAGGAGCACTATTCTCATATTTGTTCATTTCTGTATTGATCAATGATAGGGGTAGGGGCCAACTGAAAACTTCCCAATCACCCTTTAAAGGTTTGCTGAAAAATCAGCTTAATTAGAGGCAGATTAATTAGAGAAAGGCAGATTAATTAGAGAAACGGCATAAAATTTATTTAATGTATATACATGAGAACCTTCAGAATGAAGACCCAAAGATAAAGGAGGAAATTGTCCATTTTATACTTAGGTTCAACAAAGTATGGACAGTGTTTAGAAATATGATTGGACAAAAAGGGTATGATCTAATGCAAATAAGCTAAGTGGAGAAACCCAGCAAGGCCTGTTCATCTAGGTTCTTCTCCGCCTCTCTGAGCATGTGTTCCTTTTCTGGGTACAGGGCAAGACCCTCTCTGGAATAGGGATCTTATGACTTACAGTCAAACAAGACAGGTTAGATAATTTCTTTATGGCCAGTTTTTACACAGAAAGGCAGAGGGAAAGTTGAAGAAATATTTTTAGATTTTATGGCTGGCTTTGGTGAAGAGGGGTTCTGGTTTCTATGACCCACCTTGGGGAAGAGGGATTCTAGTTTCTATAGCTAGCCTCAGGGGAGAGTGGGGCTGAGAGACAGGAGAGCAGGAGAAGGTTAGAGAAAAACTTTTGCTTCTGAGGCTGCTTTTGAAGCCTTCATTTTGGCGTATTGTTTTCTGAGCCCCGCCACTGGCGTGTATCATTATCTTTTTCCCTTCTTTTCTTCAACACTTATTTTTATCTTATATTTCAGAAAGTTTTAAACATTTATAACAGTAACAGAAATCATAAAATTAACCCTCATGCACTTGTCACCAAAATTTCACAATTACTAACACTTGGCCAATTTTGTCGCATTGAAATCCTCACCCATTTTCTCCTCTTCAGGCTTATTTTTCCACTTTAAAAAAAAGTCATTAAAGTAGAATATACATAAGGAAATGTGCACATATCAAAGTGTACTGCTCACTGAACTTTCATAGAGTGAACACAACTGTGAAATCAGTCCCTAGATCAAGAACTGGAACATTAGGGGCTGCTGAGTCCTCACTCATGACCCATTCCAGTCACTTTCCCTCCAAAAGGAACCACTTTCCTGACTTCTAATAGCATAGATGCATTCCCTCTGGTTGTGTATGTTATATAAATGGAATTATACAGTTAGTACTTTTTTGGTCCAAATTCTTTCATTCTGTATTTCTTTTTTTTTTTTTTTTTTTTTTTTTTTTTTGAGACGGAGTTTCACTCTTGCTGCCCAGGCTGGAGTGCAATAGCACGATCTCAGCTCACCACAACCTCTGCCTCCCGGGTTCAAGCGATTCTCCTGCCTCAGCATCCCGAGTAGCTGGGATTACAGGCACACGCCACCGTGCCCAGCTAATTCTGTATTTTTAGTAGAGATGGGGTTTCTCCATGTTGGTCAGGCTGATCTTGAACTCCCGACTTCAGGTGATCCACCTCCCTTGGCCTCCCAAAGTGCTGGGATTACAGGTGCGAGTCACCTTGCCCGGCCTCTATTTCTTGATATCTATATTGAATGTCAATTTTCTATAGATATTCAGTCTTTTGGTTGTCTGCTGGAAGTTGTTCTTTCTCATTACTGTTTAGTATTGTACTATGTAAACACACCACAATTTATTTACTCATTCTACTATTGGGCATTTCAATAAGGTCCACTTTGTAGCTATTTCAAATTGCATGACTATGAACAAGGTAAAACATTTTGGTGATCATATGTTTACATGTCTAATGGGTATATACCTATAAGGGAAATTGCTGGGTCATAGGGTATGTATACGTTCAGCTACAGTACGTACTTCCAAAAAGTTTTCTAAAGTTGGTTGACTAAATACATATTTCCACCAGTGGTATATAGAAGTTCAACATTCTGGTATTTTATGCCTTCCATTTTAGCTACTCTGATGGGATTGCAGTTTATCTTATTACGGTTTTAATTTGAAATCTGTAAACTAATGAAGTTGGACACCTTTTCATATTGTGTATGGGCCATTTGAATACTTACTTTTTTTGTTAAATTTCTGGTAAAGTCTTTTGTCAAGATTCCATTGTCTTCTAGATGTTCTTTAATTACTGTGAATATGAGTTCATTTTGAGATATATGTATTGCAAATATCTACCCCCACAGTGTAGGTTGCCTTTTTATCACCATAATGATAGCTTTTGATGAACAGAAGTTTTAAATTTTAAAACAGTACCATTATTCATTTTTTAAAAATTGTCCAGTGTTTTCCATATGCTGTTTAAGAAATCTTTGCCTACTTTAATGTCATCCATGTAATCCCCTATGTTTTATTCTAAACTCTTTATTGTTTTACCTTTCACATTTAGAACTTCAATCTATCCAGAACTGAGTTTTGTTTATGGTGTGTGCCAGGTAGGTGTGAAGATTCACTTTTTTCATATATATGCCAAAGGGGCCCAGCATTATTTATTGAAAAAAATTTATTTCTCCACTCTATTATTAAGAATCACCTTTGTCATAAGCCAGCTGACTATATGTATATGTGTTTCTTTCCGAAATTGTCTCTTTTCTGTTGGTTCATTCTTATTCAAATACCACTGTCTTAGTCACTATGGCTTTATATAGGTATATAGAATTGTAAGCCCTCCAGCTTTCTCCTTTTTAAAGATTGCCTTGGCTTTTTTGGTTCAAAGCATTTTCATATTAACTTTATAATTAGCTTTCAGTTGTCTAAAAATAATAAAAATCACCTATTGAAATTTTGTTTAGGATTGAATTGAGTATATAATTTGGAAAGAAAAGACCTCTTTACAAGATTGAGTCTTCTGATCTATGAACATCTATATCACTGTTTAAGTCATTTTTTAACATACTAAAATGTGACAGTGTTCTTACCGTTTATGGCAGGAGCTTTTTCAGCCCTGTTTTAGAATTCTTTCCCTACCTTTAAATCATGAAGATATATTTTTCTTAAAGCTTAACTAGTTTGCTTCTCATATTTTGTTTTAGAGAACACCTGAAATTGACTTTTGTGAACAGTGTGAGATTTGGTGCTATGGGTTTTTTCATTAATTTTGTTGGACACTCAAATGTGGGATATGCTTTTATAGTGTTTCTTTTATCACGTATTTCCCCTTGTTTCCTTCGCTACTGGAACTCCTATTAATTGAATGTTGGGTCTCCTAAACTAATCCACTAATTCGCTTATTCCTTTTAATATTCTCTATCTTTGTGTTTTTTTGGATTCTCTTTATTTTGTATATTTTTTCTTTTTTCTAACTTTGTATATATATATATATATATATATATATTTTAACTTTTATTTTAGGTTCACGGGCACTTGTGAAGGTTTGTTATACAGGTAAATTGTGTGTAACCAGGGTTTGGTGTGAAGAATATTTTGTCACCCAGGTAATAAGCATAATACTCTACAGGTAGTTTTCTGTTCCTCTCCCTCCTCCCAAACTCCACCCTCAAGTAGGCTCCAGTGTCTGTTGTTCCCTTCTTTGAGTCCATGTGTACTCACTGTTTAGCTCCTGCTTATAAGTGAGAACATGTGGTATTTGGTTTTCTGTTCCCGAGTTATCTCTTGTAGGATAATGACCTCCAGCTCCATCCGTGTTACTGCAAAAGACACAGTCTTGTTCTTTTTATGGTTATGTAATGTCCCATGGTGTATATGTACCACATTTTCTTCATCCAGTCTACCATTGATGGGCATTTAGGTTGATTCCATGACGTTGCTATTGTGAATAGTGCTGAGAGGAACATACACGTGCATGTGTTTTTATAGTAGAATGATTTATGTTCCTTTGAATATATACCCAATAATAGGATTGCTGGGTCAAATGGTACTTCTGTTTTTACTTCTTTGAGAAACCACCACACCGCTTTCCGCAATGGCTTAACTAATTTACATTTCCACCAGCAGGGTGTAAGTGTTCCTTTTTTCTGCAAACTCACCTGCATATATTATTTTTTGACTTTTTAATAATAGCCATTCTGACCGGTGTGACATGGTAATCTCATTGTGGTTTCAATTTGCATTTCTCTTATGATTAGTGATGTGCATTTTTTCATATGCTTGTTGGCAACACGTATGCCTTCTTTTGGAAAGTGTCTGTTCATGTCCCTTGCCCACTTTTTAATGTAGTTGTTTGTTGTTTGCTTGTTAATTTATTTAAGTTCCTTGTAGATTCTGGGTATTAGCTCTTTGTCAAATACATAGTTTGCAAATATTTTCTCCCATTCTGCAGGTTGTCTGTTTACTCCGTTGACAGTTTCTTTTGCTGTATAGAAGTTCTTTAGTTTAATTAGGACCCATTTGTCAACCTTTGTTTTTGTTGCAATTGCTTTTGGCATCTTCATCATGAAATATTTTCCAGGGCCTATGTCCAGAATGGTATATTCCCTACGTTATCTTCCAGGGTTTCTATAGTTGTAGGTTTTACATTTAAGTCTTTAATCCATCTTGAGTTGATTTTTGTATACAGCAGAAGGAAAGGGTCCAGCTTCAATCGTCTGTATATGATAAGCCAATTATCCCAGGACCATTTACTAAGTAGGGAGTCCTTTCCCCATTGCTTGTTTTTGTTGACTTTGTCAAAGATCAAATGGTTGTAGGTGGCACTATTTATGGGCTCTCTATTCTGTTCCACTCAGTTTTGTTCTTTTTCTTAGCATTACCTTGGCTATTAGAGCTCCTTTTTGTTTCCATTAAATAGATTTTTATAATTCTGTGAAGAATATCATTGGTAGTTTAATAGGAATAGCATTTAATCTGTAGATTGCTTTGGACAGTATGGCCATTTTAATAATATTGCTTATTCGTATTCATGAAAGTGGAATGCTTTTTCATTTGTTTGTGTCATCTCTGATTTCTTTAAGCAGTATTTTATACTTCTCACAGAAATCTTTCACCTTCCTCATTAGCTATACTTCCAGGTTTTTTTTTTTCTTTTATTTGTGGCTATTGTGAATGAGATTACATTCTTGATTTGGCTCTCAGCTTGGACATTGTTGGTGTATAAAAAGGTTACTGATTTTTGTATATTGATTTTGTATCCTTGAAGCTTTGCTGAAGTTGTTTATCAGATCTGGGAGCTTTTGGGCAAAGACTATGGGGTTTTCTAGGTATAGAATGGTATTATCTACAAATAGATAAATTGGCTTTCTGTCTTCCTATTTGGATTCCTTTTCTTTCTTTCTCTTGCCTGATTGCTCTGGCTAGCACTCCCAGTAGTATGTTGAAAAAGAGTAGTGAGAGTGAACATCCATGCCTTATTCTGGTTTTCAAGGGGAATGCTTCCAGCTTTTGCCTATTCAGTATGAAGTTGGCTGTTGGTTTGTCATAGATGGCTCTTATTATTTTGAAGTGTGTTCCTTCAATGATTAGTTTGCTGAAGGTTTTAACATGAAAGAATGTTGAATTTTATCAAAAACTGTTTCTGCATCTATTGAGATGATCGTATGGTTTTTGTTTTTAGTTCTGTTTATGTGGTGAATCACATTTATTGATTCACGTATTTTGGATCAACCTTGCATCCCAGGGATAAAGCCTACTTCATATGGTGGATTAGTTTTCTGATGTGCTGCTGGATTCAGTTTTCTTGTATTTTGTTGAAGATTTTTGCATCTATGTTCATCAAGGATATTGGCTTGAGTTTTCTTTGTGTTTTTGTTTACTTTATGGGATATATATCAACTTTGTCTTCCAATCCTTCTACTAAATTTTAAAAATTCACTACCACATCTTTAACTCCAAAAGTTCTTTTTTTGGTTCCCAAATGTTTCTTTCTTTATAGCCTCCTATTCTTGTTTTATTTATGTTGTATCTTTTCTTAAGCTTCTGAAGCTATTTACAATAGTCCTTTTTTTAAAAAAAATATTTAATTGACAAATACAAATTATATATATTTATCATATGCAATATGTTGTTTTGAAATATGTATACATTATGGAATGGCTAAATTGAGCTAATTAACATTTGTTTCATTTAGCTTTTTTAGAAATATTTTTGCAGTTTTTTTTGGTCAATGTTGTACACTTCTTGATTAGACTTATTCCTAGATTTGACATTTTTCATACTATTATAAATTATATAATTTAAAAATATTTATTTTCTCTCTTTATGTTGCTGGCATACAGAAGTACAATTGAAATTTGTATATTGACCTTGAATGAAGCAATCTTGCTAAATTTACTAATCACTTAGATTTTTCTAGATTTTTTAGGTACACAATTATAGTATCTGCAAATAATAACAGATTTTTTTCTTTCTCTCCAATTTATTTATATTTGCCCTACTCCCCCCAGTTTTACTGTCTAGGACTCCAGTATAGTGTTGAACAGAAATTGTGATAATAGGTATCCTTGTCTTTTTTCCAACTTCATAGAAAAAATTCCCAATATTTCATAAATGAGTATTAGTTAGCTAGGACCACAGGTGTCCACCATCTTGCCTGGCTAATTTTTGTATTTTCTGTAGAGACAGGGTTTCACCATATTGCCCCTACTGGTTTTGAACTCCTGAGCTCAAGTGATCCACCAGCCTCAGCTTCCCAAAGTGCTGGCTGGGATTACAGGCATGAGCCACCACTCCTAGCTTGTAGTTAGTCTTTTGGTTAAGTTCATCTTTTTGTCTTTCTATTCAAGATATGTGTAATTATACCCCACAATTACGGTGTTATAATATTCTGTGGTTTTCTGTGTGTTCACTATTACCACTGAGTTTTCTACCTTCAGATGATTTCTTATTGCTCATTAATACCCCTTTCTTTCAGATTGAAAAACTCCCTTTAGCATTTCTTGTAGGACAGGTCTGGTGTTGGTGAAATCCCTCAGCTTTTGTTTGTCTGGGAAAGTCTTTTTTTCTCCTTCATATTTGATGGATATTTTCACTGGCTGTACTGTTCTAGGTTAAAAGTTTTTTTCCTGCAGCACTTTAAATATGTCATGCCACTCTCTCCTAGACTGTAAGGTTTCCAATAAGAAGTCTGCTGCTAGATGCACTGGAGATGTATTGTATGTTATTTGTTTCTTTTCTCTTGCTGCTTTTAGAATCCTTCCTTTATCCTTGATGTTTGAGAGTTTGATTATGAAATGTCTTGAGGTAGTCTTGTTAAATCTGCTTGGTGCTCTATAACCTTCTTGTACTTGAATATTGATATCTTTCTCTACATTTAGGAAATTCTCTGTTTATATCCCTTTGAATAAACTTTCTGCCCTGACCTCCCTCTCTACCTTTGGTTTAGGGGCAATAGCTTTTAGATTTCCCCTTTTGGGGCTATTTTCTAGATCTTGTCAGTGTGCTTCATTGTTTCTTATTCTTGTTTATTTTTTCTCCTCTGACCATATATTTTCAAATAGCCTGTCTTCAAGTTCACTAATTCTTTCTTCTGCTTGATCAATTCTGCTGTCAGAAGACACTGATGCATTCTTCATTATATGAATTGCATGTTAAAGTCCTGAATTTCTGCTTGATTCATTTGCATTATTTCAATCTCTTTGTCAAATTTATCTGATAGGATTCTGAATTCCATCTCTGTGTTATCTTGAATTTAATTGAGCTTCCTCAAAACAGCTATTTTGAATGATTTGTCTGAAAGGTCACGTATCTCTGTCTCCCTGGGATTGGTCCCTGGTCCCTTATTTTATGCATTTGGTGAGGTCATGTTTTCCTGTATGGGCTTGATGCTTGTGAACATTCATCAGTGCCTGGGCATTGAAGAGTTAGGTATTTATTGTAGTCTTCACAGTCTAGGCTTGTTTGTACTCATTCTTCTTGGAAAGGTTTTCCAGGTATTTGAAGGGACTTGGGTGTTGTGATTTAATTCTTTGGTCACTGAAGCTGCATCTGCTCTTAGGGGCACCCCAAGCCCAGTAATGCTGTGGCTCTTGCAGACTCATAGAGGTACCCCCTTCTTGGTCTTGTGTAAGATCTTAGAGAATTCTCTAGATCAGAACAGAGACTCTTGTTCTCTTCCCTTACTTTCCCCCAAACAAATGGGATCTCTCCCTCTCCCTCTCTCTCTCCCAAAGGCTCTGTAATCAGTAGGTGGCAAATCTAGCCAAACTTGTGTCCTTCCCTTCAGGGAAATGGGATCCCCTCAGCCCCAGATGGCTCTGAAGATGCCATCCAGGAGCCAGGGCCTGGAGTCAGGAACCTCAGGAATATATTTGGAGTTATATTCTAGTGTGACTCAGCTGGTTCCAAAGCCACAAATCAAAGTCCTTCTCATTCTTCCCTTCCCTTTCCTCAAGCAGAGGAGTCTCTCTCCATGACCACCACCACCATAAGCCTGTGGCAGTACTGTCTGGCTGTCACTGATGTTCACTGAAGGCCCAAAGACTCTTCCATCACCTTATAGTGAATGCTATCAGTGCCTAGCTCTCCCTTCAGGGAAGTGGGCTCCCCTCTGGCCCAGGGCAGCCCCAGAAATACCATCCAAAAGCCAAGGCCTGGAATCAGGGACCCGAGTAACCCACTTAATGTTCTACTCCATTGTGGCTGACCTGGTACCTAAGTGGCAAGAGAAAGTCTCTTTTACTCTTCCTTCTCCTTTCCTCAACCAGAAGGATTCTTGCTCTGCAGCCACCACAGCTGGGAATGTGCTGGGTTACACTTGAAGCCAGCATGGCTCTGAGGCCCAGAGTGAGTATTGCCTGGCTACTAGTACTAATTATTGAGGGCTTAAGAGCTCTTTAATTAGCAGGTGATGAATTCTTCCAGGAATGGGTCTTTCCCTTCAAGCCAGCAGGTTTCATTTTGGCCTAGGGTGTGTTTAGAAATGTTCAGGAGCTAGGACTCAGAATGTGAGCCACAGGAGTCTTCTTTTTGTTCTATTCTACTGTGACTGTGCTGGTATCCAAGTTGCAAGAGACAATCCTTTATACTCTCCCCTCTCTCCTTTCCTCAAGCAGAAGGAAGGGGCTTCTCCTGGAGCTGCAAACTATGCTTCCTGGGGTTGGGGAAGGGGTGATATAAGCGCTCCTTTGGCTTCCCCAGCTAGTGTCTCACTAGGTCACATTCACCCCAAGTCCACGGTCTCCGAGCCCAGCACAGCAATAAGACTTGCCCAGGAATTGCAGTTCTTGTGGCCTAGACTGCCTTTCAAGTTTATTTAGGACCCCAGAGTGCTTTAGTCCATGGTGATAGCACTTGTTGGAACTTCTGCCCTGATTGCTGGGATAGATGATTCAGCTCTGGCTAGGGCTGGTCTAAATGCTCCCTCCATGGGTACTGGGTGAGATCTGCCTTGTGTTGCTTTCTTCTGTCACAGGGCAGCACTGAGTTCCAATGCAAAGTTCCACAATCCCTGCACTTTCCCTCCCTCAAGTGCACTGATTCTCTCTCCATGCCTTGTAGCCACTGCCACAAGATGGGTGAAGGATGGTGTAGGTAATTCAAGACTGTAGTTTCTACCCTTTTTAGTGCCTTTTTCTTTAATATTTTGCTAAAACCAGGTACTGTTGTCACTCACCTGATTTTTCATTCTTATGAAGGTATTCTTTTGTGTGGATAGTTGTTCAATTTGGTGTTCCTGTGTGTGTGTGTGTATGGGTGGGGGTTGCTGGAGGCTTTTATTTGGCCATATTGCTCTGCCTCCTCTATAAACCTCTCCTGGGCTGTATTTTTTGTTGAGTTAGAGGAATTTTTTTTATATTCTACATACATGTTCCTTGTTAGAAGTTATGTCTTGCCAGTTATTTTTTTCTTCAACTTTTATTTTAAGTTCAGGGGTACATGTGCAGGATGTGCAGGTTTGTTACATAGGTAAACCTGTGCCATAGTGGTTTGCTGCACAGATCAACCCATCACTTAGGTATTAAGCCCAGCAACCATTAACTATACTTCCTGATGGTCTCCCTCCCCCAACCATTCCCCTCCGACAGGCCCTAGTGTGTGTTGTTCCCCCAGTGTGCCATGTGTTCTCATCATTCAGCTCCTGCTTGTGAGAACATGTGGTTTTTGGTTTTCTGTTCCTGCTTTGGTTTACTGAGGATAATGGCTTCCCATTCCATCCATGTCCCTGTTAAAGGACATGATCTCATTCCTTTTTATGGATGCATAGTATTCCATGGTGTATATATATCACATTTTCTTTATCCAGTCTACCACTGATTGGCATTTAGGTTGATGCTGTGACTTTGTTATTGTGAATAGTGCTTTAATGAACACACATGTGCATGTATCTTCATAACAGAATGATTCATATTCCTTTGGGTATATACCCAGTAGTGGGGTTGCTGGGTCAAATGTAATTTATGCCTTTAGGTCTTTGAGGAATTGCCACACTGACTTCCACAATCGTTGAACTAATTTACACTTCCACCAACAGTGTAAAAGCGATCCCTTTCTCTGCAACCTCACCAGCATCTGTTGTTTTTTGACCTTTTAATACTAGCCATTCTGACTGGCATGAGATGGTATCTCATTGCGGTTTTGGTTTACATTTCTCTAATAAACAGTCTTATATATGTTTATTGGCAGCATATATGTTTTATTTTGAGGAGTGTCTGCTTATGTACTTTGCTTACTTTTTAATGGGGTTGTTTGTCTTTTTTCTTGTAAATTTGTTTAAGCTCCTTGTATATTCTGGATATTAGATCTTTGCCAGATGAATAGATTGCATAAATTTTCTCCCATTTTGTAGGTTGTCTGTTCACTCTGATGATAGTTTCTTTTGCTGTGCAGAACCTCTTTAGTTTAATTAGAACCTATTTGTCAATTTTTGCTTTTGTTACAATTGCTTTTAGCATTTTCATCATGAAATTTTTGCACGTGCCTATGGCCTGAATGGTATTGCCTAGATTTCCTTCTAAGGTTTTTATAGTTTTGGGTTTTACATTTAAATCTTTAATTCATCTTGAGTTATTTTTTTATATGGTGTAAGGAACGGGTCCAGTTTTAATATTTTGCATATGGCTAGCCAGTTCTCACAGCACCATTTATTATATAGGGAATCCTTTCCCCATTGTTTGTTTTTGTCAGGTTTGTTGAATATCAGATGATTGGAGGTATGTGGTCTTATTTCTGAGTTCTCTATTCTGTTCCATTGGTCTATGTGTACAAGTACGATGTTGTTTTGCTTTCTGTAGCCTTGTAGTATAGTTTGAAATTGGGCAGTGTGATGTCTCCAGCTTTGTTCTTTTTGCTTAGGATTGTCTTGGCTATTTGGGCTCTTTTTTGGTTCCATATGAATTCTAAAATAGTTTTCTTTTTCTAATTCTGTGAAGAATTTCAATGGTAGCTAAATGGGAATAGCATTGAATATATAAATTACTTTGGGCAATATGGCCATTTTCACAATATTGGTTCTTTCTACCCATGAGCATGGAATGTTTTCCCGTTTGTTTGTGTCCTCTCTAATTTCTTTGTGTAGTCGTTGGTAGTTCTCCTGGAAGAGGCCCTTCACTTCCCTTATTACCTGTATTCAGAGGTATTTTATTCCTTTGTAGCAATTGTGAATGGGAGTTCATTCAAGATTTGGCTCTCTGATGGCCTGTTGTTGGTGTATAGGAATGCTAGCAAATTTTGCACATTGATTTTGGATCCTGAGACTGCTGAAGTTGCTTATTAACTTAAGAAGCTTTTGGGCTCAGATGATGAGGTTTTCTAGATATAGAATCAAGTCATCTGCAAACAAAGAAAATTTGACTTCCTCTCTGCCTATTTGAATACACCTTATTTCTTTCTCTTGCCTTATTGCCCTGGCCAGAACTTCCAATACTGTGTTGAATAGGACTGGTGAGACAGGGCATTCTTGTCTTGTGCCAGTTTTCAAGGGGAATGCTTCCAGCTTTTGCCCACTGACTATGATATTGGCTGTGAGTTTGTCACGTATGACTCTTACTATTTTGAGGTATGTTCTTTCAATACCTAGTTTATTGAAAGTTTTTCACATGAAGGGATGTTGAATGTTATCAAAGGCCTTTTCTGCATCTTTTGAGATAATCATGTGGTTTTTGTCTTTAGTTCTGTTTATGTGATGAATCACATTTATTGGTTTGCATATGTTGAACCAACATTGCATCCCAAGATGAAACCAATTTGATCACGTTTGATAAGCTTTTGATGTGCTGCTGGATTCAGTTTGACAGTATTTTATTGAGGATTATTACATTGATGTTCATCAAAGTTATTGGCTTGAAGTTTTCTTTTTTTGTTGTATTTCTGCCAGGTTTTGGTATAAGGACGATGCTGGCCTCATAGAATGAGTTAAGGAGGAGTTCCTCCTTTTCAATTGTTTGAAATAGTTTCAGTAGAAATGTTATCGGTTCTTCTTTGTACCTCTGGTAGAATTCAGCCAGGACCTCTGGTCCTGGGCTTTTTTTGGTTGATAGGCTATTTATTACTGCCTCTATTTCAGAACTCATTATTGGTCTATTCAGGGATTCAGTTTCTTCCTGGTTCAGCCTTGGGAGGGTGTATGGGTCCAGGAATTTATCCATTTCTTCTCAATTTTCTAGTTTATGTGCATAGAGGTGTTTATAATATTCTCTGATGGTTGTTTGTATTTCCATGATATCAGTGGTGATATCCTTCTTATTTCTGATAGTGTTTCTTTTAATTAGTATAGCTAGTGGTCTATCTATTTTATTAATTTTTTGAAAAAACAAGCTCCTGGGTTTGTTGGTTTTTTGAAGGGTTTTTCATGTCATCTCCTTCAGTTCAGCTCTGATCTTGGTAATTTCTTGTCTACTGTTAGCTGTGGGAGTTGTTTCCTCTTGGTTCTCTGGTTCTGTTAGTTGTGATGTTAAGTTGTCAACTTGAGATCTTTCTATCTTTTCGATGTGGGCATTTAGTGCTATAAATTTCCCTCTTAATGCTGCTTTAGCTGCATCCCAGGAATTCTAATATGTTATCTCTTTGTTCTCATTAGTTTCAAAGAACTTTTTGATTTCTGCCTTAATTTCATTATTTACCCAAGAACCATTCTAGAGCAGGCTGTTCAATTTCCATGTAGTTGTGTGGTTTTGAATGAATTCCTTTTTTTTCTTTTTTTTTTTTTGAGACAAACTCTCACTCTGTCACCCAGGCTGGAGTGCAGTGTCATGATCATAGCTCACTGTAACCTCCGCCTCCCAGGTTCAAGCAATTCTCCTGCCTCAGCTTCCTGAGTAGCTGGGACTACAGGCGTGTGCCACCGCACCCGGGTAATTTTTTGTATTTTATTAGTAGAGATGGGGTTTCACCATATTGGCCAGCTGGTCTTGAACTCCTGACCTCGTGATCTGCCTGCCTCGGCCTCCCAAAGTGCTGGGATTACAGGCATGAGCCACCGCGCCCAGCCAGTTTTGAGTGAATTTCTTAATCTTGAGTTCTAATTTGTTTGTGCTGTGGTCTGACAGACTGTTATGATTTCAGTTTTTTCTTTTACATTTGCTGAAAAGAGTTTTACTTCAAATTATGTAATCAATTTTAGAATAAGTGCTGCATGGCAATGAGAAGAATGTATATTCTCTGTTGTTTTGAGGTACACAGTTCTGTAGATATCTACTAGGTGCACTTGATCCAGAGCTGAATTCAGGCCCTGTATATCTTTGTTAATTTTCTGTCTTGATAGTCTAATATTGTTAATGGGGTGTTAAAGTCTCCCACTATTATTGTGTGAGAGTCTAAGTCTCTTTATAGGTCTCTAACAACTTGCTTTATGAATATGGGTGCTCTTGTATTGGGTGCATATATATTTAGGATAGTTAGCTCTACCTGTTGAATTGAGCCCTTAATCATTATGTAATATCCTTCTTTGTCTTTTTTTTTTTTTTTAAATCTGTGTTGGTTTAAAGTCTGTTTTGTCAGAAATCAGGATTGCAACATCTGCTTTTTTCTGTTTTTCATTTGCTTGGTAAATTTTCCTCCATTCCTTTATTTTGATCCTAATGTTTGTCTTTGCATGTTAGATGGATCTCTTGAAGGCAGCATACCAAAGGGTCTTCACTCTTTATCCAATGTTCCATTCTGTGTCTTTTATTTGGGGCATTTAGCCCATTTACATTAAAGGTTAGCACATATATATATATACTTTAAGTTCTGGGATACATGGACTGAACATGAAGGTTTGTTACATAGGTATACATGTGCCATGATGGTTTGCTGCACCCATCAATCTGTCATCTACATTAGGTATTTCTCCTAATGCTATCCCTCCTCTTGCCCCCATCCCCTGAAAGGCCCCAGTGAGTGATGTTGCCCTCCCTATGCCCATATGTTCTCATTGTTCAACTCCCACTGATGAGTGAGAACATGCAGTGTTTGGTTTTCTCTTCCTGTGTTAGTTTGTTGAGAATGACGGTTTCCAGCTTCATCCATGTCCCTGTAAAGGAGATGAACTCATTCTTTTTTATGGCTGCATAGTATTCCATCGTGTATATGTGCCACATTTTCTTTATCCAGTCTAACATTAATGGGCATTTGGGTTGGTTCCAAGTCTTTGCTATTGCATATAATGCTGCAATAAACATACGTGTGCATGTGTTTTTATAGTAAAATGATTTATAATCCTTTGGGTATATACCCAGTAATGGGATTGCTGGGTCAAATGGTATTTCTAGTTCTAGGTCCTTGAGGAATTGCCACATTGTCTTCCACAATGGTTGAACTAATTTACATTCTCACCAACAGTGTAAAAGCATTCCTATTTCTCCACATCCTCACCAGCATCTCTTGTTTCCTGACTTGTTAATGATTGCCATTCTAACAGACGTGAGATAATATCTGATTGTGGTTTTGATTTGCATTTCTCTAATGACCAGTGATGATGAGCTTTTTTTCATATGTATGTTGCCGGCGTATGGCAGCATAAATGCCTTTTGAGAAGTGTCTGTTCATATCCTTTGCCCAATTTTTGATGGGTTTTTTTTTTTCTTGTAAATCTGTTGAAGTTCCTTGTAGATTCTATATATTAGGCCTTTGTCAGATGGATAGATTGCAAAAATTTTCTCCCATTCTGCAGGTTGCCTATTCACTCTGGTGATAGTTTCTTTTGCTGTGCAGAAGTTCTTTACTTTACTTACATACCATTTGTAAATTTTGGCTTTTGTTACCATTGGTTTTGATGTTTTGGTCATGAAGCATTTGCCCATGCCTATGTCCTGATTGGTATTGCCTAGGTTTTCTTCTAGGATTTCTATGGTTTTAGGTCTTATGTTTAAATCTTTAATCCACTTTGAGTTAATTTTTGTATAAGGTGTAAGGAAGGGGCCCAGTTTCAGTTTTCTGCATATGGCTAGCTACTTTTCCCAACACCACTTATTAAATAGGGAATCATATTACCATGGCTTGTTTCTGTCAGGTTTATCAAAGATCAGATTGTTGTAGATGTGTGGTGTTATTTCTGAGGCCTCTGTTCTGTTGCATTGGTCTATATATCTGTTTTGGTACAAGTACCTTGCTGTTTTGGTTACTGTAGCCTTGTAGTATAGTTTGAAGTCAGGTAGCATGATGCCTTCAGCTTTGTTCTTTTTGCTTAAGATTGTCTTGGCTATACAGGCTCTTTTTTGTTTCCATATGAAATTTAAAGTAGATTTTTCTAATTCTGTAAAGAAAGTCAATGGTAGCTTGATAGGAATAGCATTGAATCTATAAATTACTTTGGTCAGTATGGCCATTTTCGTGATATTGATTCTTCCTATCCATGAGCATGGAATGTTTTTCCGTTTGTTTGTGTCCTCTCTTATTTCCTTGAGCAGTGGTTTGTAGTTCTCCTTGAAGAGGTTTTTCACATCCCTTGTAAGTTGTGTTCATAGGTATTTTATTCTCTTTGTAGCAATTGTGAATGCGATTTTGCTCATGATTCGGCTCTCTGTCTATTATTGATGTAGAGGAATACTTGTGATTTTTGCACATTGATTTTGTATCCTGAGACTTTTTTGAAGTTCCTTGTCAGCTTAAGAGATTTTCAGGCTGAGACAATGGGGTTTTCTAAATATACAATCATATCATCTACAAACAGAGATAATTTGACTTCCTAGCTTTTTATCTGAATATGCTTTATTTCTTCCTCTTGCCTGACTGCCCTGGCCAGAACTTCCAATACTGTGTTGAATAGGAGTGGTGAGAGAGGCATCCTTGTCTTGTGCCGGTTTTCAAAGGAAATGCTTCCAGTTTTTGCCCATTCTGTATGATATTGGCTGTGGGTTTGTCATAAACAGCTCTTTATTATTTTGAGATATGTTCCATCAATACCTAGTTTATTGAGAGTTTTTAGCATGAAGTGCTGTTGAATTTTATCTAAAGCCTTTTCTGCATCTATTGAGATAATCACATGGTTTTTGTCATTGGTTCTGTTTATGTGATGGATTACATTTGTTGATTTGCATATGTTGAACCAGCCTTGCATCCCAGAGATGAAGCTGAGTTGATTGTGGTGGATGAGCTTTTTGATGTACGGCTGGATTCGGTTTGCCAGTATTTTTTTTGAGGATTTTCACATCAATGTTCATCAGGGATATTGGCCTGAAATTTTCTTTTTTGTTGTGTCTCTGCCAGGTTTTGGTATCAGGATGATGCTGGCCTCATAAAAGGAGTTATGGAAGAGTCCCTCTATTTCTAATGTTTGGAATAGTTTCAGAAGGAATGGTACCAGCTCCTCTTTGTATCTCTGGTAGAATTTGGCTGTGAATCTGTCTGGTCATGGGCTTTTTTTGGTTGGTAAGCTATCCTGCCTCAATTTCAGATCTTGTTATTGGTCTATTCAGGGATTTTACTTCTTCCTGGTTTAGTCTTGAGAGGGTGTATTTGTCCAGGAGTTTATCCATTTCTTCAAGATTTCCTAGTTTATTTGCATAGAGGTGTTTATGGTATTCTCTGATGGTAGTTTGTTTTTCTGTGGGATCAGTGGTGATCTCCCCTTTACCATTTTTTATTGCATCTATTTTATTCTTCTCTCTTTTCTTCTTTATTAGTCTGGCTAGTGGTCTATCAATTTTGTTAACCTTTTCAAAAAAAAAACAGTTTCTGGATTCATTGATTTTTTTGAAGTGTTTTTTGTGTTTCTACCTACTTCAGTTCTGCTCTGATCTTAGTTATTTCTTGTCTTCTGCTACCTTTTGAATTTGTTTGCTCTTGCTTCTCTTGTTCTTTAAATTGTGATGTTAGGGTGTCTATTTTAGATCTTTCCTACTTTCTCCTATGGGCATTTAGCGCTATAAAATTCCCTCTAAACACTGCTTTAGCTGTGTCCCAGAGATTCTGGTACATTGTGTCTTTGTTGTCATTGGTTTCAAAGAACTTATTTATTTCTGCCTTAATTTCGTTATTTACCCAGTAGTCATTCAGGAGCAGGTTGTTCAGTTTCCATGTAGTTGTGCAGTTTAGAATGAGTTTCTTAATCCTGAGTTCTAATTTGATTGCACTGTGGTCTGAGAGACTGTTATGATTTCTGTTCCTTTGCGTTTGGTGAGGAGTGTTTTACTTCCAATTATGTGGCTGATTTTAGAATAAGTGGTATTTGCTGCTGAGAAGAATGTATATTCTGTTGATTTGGGGTGGGGAGTTCTGTAGATGTCTATTAGGTCCACTTGGCCCAGGGCTGAGTTCAAGTCCTGAATATCCTTATTAATTTTCTGTCTTGATGATCTGTCTAATATTGACAGTGGGGTGTTAAAGTCTCCCACTATTATTGTGTAGGAGTCTAAGTCTCTTTGTAGGTCTCTAAGAACTTGGTTTATGAATCTGGGTGCTCCTGTATTGGGTGCATATATATTTAGGATAGTTACTGCTTCTTGTTGCATTGATCCCTTTACCATTATGTAATGCCCTTCTTTGTCTTTTTTGATCTTTGTTGGTTTAAAGTCTGTTTTATCAGAGGCTAGGATTGCAATCCCTGTTTCTTTTTGCTTTCCATTTGCTTGGCAAATATTCCTCCATCCCTTTATTTTGAGCCTATGTGTGTCTTTGCACGTGAGATGGGTGGGTCTCCCGAATACAGCACACTGATGGGTCTTGACTCTTTATCCAATTTTCCAGTGTGTGTCTTTTAATTGGGGGATTTAGCCCGTTTACATTTAAGGGTAATATTGTTATGTGTGAATCTGATCCTGTCATTATAATGCTAGCTCATTATTTTGCCCATTAGTTGTTGCAGTTTCTTCATAGTGTTGATATTCTTTACATTTTGGTTTGTTTTTTCAGTGCTAGTACCAGTTTTTCCTTTCCATATTTAATGCCTCCTTCAGGAGCTCTTGTAAGCCAGGCCTGGTGGTGACAAAATTCCTCAGCATTTGTTTGTCTGGAAAGGATTTTATTTCTCCTACACTTATGAAGCTAAGTTTGGCTACATATGAAATTCTGGGTTGAAAATTCCTTTCTTTAAGAATGTTGAATATTGTCTCCCACTCTCTTCTAGCTTAGCATTTCTGCAGAGAGATCCGCTCTTAGTCTGATGTGCTTCCTTTTGTGGGTAACCCAACCATTCTCTCTGTCTGCCCTTAACATTTTTTCCTTCATTTCAACCTTGGTGAATCTGATGATTATGTGTCTTGGGGTTGCTCTTCTCGAAGAATATCTCTGTGGTGTTCTCTGTATTTCCTGAACTTGAATGTTGGCCTGTCTTGCTAGGTTGGGGAATTTCTCCTGGATAATACCTGAAGTGTGTTTTCCAACATGGTTCCATTCTCCCTGTCACTTTCAGTTAAACCAATCAAATGTAGGTTTGGTCTTTTCAGATAGTCCCATATTTCTTGGAGGCTATGTTCATTCCTTTTTGTTCTTTTTTCTCTAATCTTGTCTCCACACTGTATTTCATTAAGTTGATCTTCAATCTCTGGTGTCATTTCTTCCACTTGATAATTCAGCTATTGATAATCATGTATGCTTCACGAAGTTCTCATGCTGTGTTTTTCAACTCCATCTGGTCATTTATTTTCTTCTCTAAACTGGTTATTCTAGTTAGCAATTCCTCTAACCTTTCATCAAAGTTCTTAGCTTCCTTGCATTGGGTTAGAACATGCTCCTTTAGCTTGGAGGAGTTTGTTATTGCCCACCTTCTGAAGCCTACTTCTGACAATTGATCAAACTCATTCTCCATCCAATTTCGTACCCTTGCTGGCAAGGAGTTGTGATCCTTTGGAGGAGAAGAGGCATTCTGTTTTTTGGAATTTTCAGCCTGTTTGTGCTGGTTTTTCCTCATCTTCTTGGATTTATCTACCTTTGGTCTTTGCTTTTGGTGACCTTCAGATGGAGTTTTTGCGTGGTCATCCTTTTTGTTGATGTTGATGCTATTTCTTTCTGTTTGTTAGTTTTTCTTCTAACAGTCAGGCCCCTCTTCTGCAGGTCTGCTGGAGTTTTCTGGGGGTCCACTCCAGATCTTGTTTACCTGGGTATCACCAGCAGAGGCTGCAGAACAGCAAAGATTCCTGCCTGCTCCTTCCTCTGGAAGCTTCGTTCCAGAGGGACGCCTGCCAGATGCCAGCTGGATCTCTCCTGTATGGGGTGTCTGTTGACCCCTGCTGGGAGGTGTCTCCTTGTCAGGAGGCACTGGGGTCAGGGACTCACTTGAGGAGGCAGTCTGTTCCTTAGCAGAGCTCAAGCGCTGTGCTGGGATATCCATTGCTCTCTTCAGAGCTGGCAGGCAGGAATGTTTAAATCTGCTGAAGCTGCACCCACAGCTGCCCCTTCCCCCAGGTGCTCTGTCTCAGGGAGATGAGAGTTTCGACTATATGCTCTGACTGGAGCTGCTGCCTTTCTTTCAGAGATGCCCTGCCCAGAGAGGAGGAATCTAGAGAGGCAGTCTGGCTATAGTGGCTTTGCTGAGCTGTGGTGGGCTCTGCCCAGTCCAAACTTCCAGGTGGTTTTGTTTACACTATGAGGGGAAGACCGCCTACTCAAGCCTCAGTAATGGTAGATGCCCCTACTCCCACCGAGCTCGAGCATCCCAGGTCCACTTCAGACTGCTGTGCTGGCAGCGAGAATTTCAAGCCAGTGGATTTTAGCTTGCTGGGCTCTGTCAGAGTGGGATCTGCTGAGCAAGACCACTTGGCTCCCTGCCTTCAGCCTCCTTTCCACTGGTAAGGGTCTATCTTGCTGGTGTTCCAGGAGCCACTGGAATATGAAAAAACAAACAAACAAACAAACAAAAAAACTCCTGTGGTTAACTTGGTGTCTGCCCAAACAGCCACCTAGTTTTATGCTTGAAACCCAGGGCCTTTGTGGTGTAGGCACCTGAGGGAATCTCCTGGTCTGCAGGTTGTGAAGACTGTGGGAAAAGTGTAGTATCTGGGCCGGATAGCACCATTCCTCACTGCACAGTTCCTCACAGCTTCCCTTGGCTAGGGATAGGATTTCCTCGACCTCTTGCACTTCCCGGGTGAGGCGACACCTCACCCTGCTTCTGCTCGCCCTCTGTGGGCTGTACCACCTGTCTAACCAGCCCCAATGAGATGAACCGGGTACCTCAGTTGGAAATGCAGAAATCACTTGCCTTCTGTGTTGGTCTTGCTGGGAGCTGCAGACAGGAGCTGTTGCTATTAGGCCATCTTGCCCAGGAAACCAAGGTTAGTATTGTTATGTGTGAATTTGATCTGTCATCATGGTGTTAGCTGGTTATTTTGCACACTTGCTAATGTAGTTGCTTCATAGTGTCACTGATCTGTGTACTTCAGTGTGTTTTTATAGTGGCTGGTAACAGGTTTTCCTTTTCATATTTTGTGCTTCCTCCAGGAGCTTTTGCAAGGCAGGGCTGTTGGTGACAAATTCCCTCAGCATTTGCTTGTCTGAAAAGGATCTTATTTCTTTGCTTAGGAGGCTTAGTTTGGCTAGATATAAAATTCTGAGTTGAAAATTATTTTCTTTAAGAATGTTGAATATTGGCTCCTAATCTCTTCTGACTTGTAGGGTTTCCACTGAGATGTCTGCTGCTAGTCTGATGGACTTCCCTTGGTAGGTGATCTGGCCTTTCTCTCTGGCTGCCCTTAACATTTTTTCTTTTATTTCGACCTTGGAGAATCTGATGATTATGTGTCTTGAGTTGATTTTCTTGTGGAGTATCTTATTGGGGTTATCTGCATTTCCTGTATCTGAATGTTGGCCTGTCTTGCTAGGTTGGGGAAGTTCTCCTGGTTAATATCCTGAGGTATGTTTTCCAACTTGGTTCCATTCTCCTCATCTCTTTCAGGTACCCCAGTCAATTGTAGGTTCATTCTCTTCACATAATCCCATATTTCTTGCAGGTTTTGTTCATTCCTTTTCATTCATTTTTCCCTATTCTTGTCTGCCTGTCTTATTTCAGAAAGGTAGTCTTCCAGCTCTGATATTCTTTCCTATGCTTAGTCTATTCTGCTATTGATACTTGTGATTGCATTGTACTCATGTTGTGTTTTTCAGCTCCATCAAGTTGGTTACATTCCTCTCTAAACTGGCTGTTCTGGCTATTTGTTCATGTATTGTTTTCTGTGATTTTTGGCTTCTTTGCATTGGGTTAGAACATGCTCCTTTAGCTCTCAGCGAAGTTCATTATTACTCACCTTCTGAGGCTTACTTCTGTCAATAAGTCATCTCGGCCTCAGCCCAGTTCTGCGCCCTTGTTGGAAAGGTGTTGTGGTCATTTAGAGGAGAAGAGGAGCTCTGGTTTTTTGAGTTTTCAGCATTTTTTTGGTTGATTCTTTCTCATGTTTGTGGGCTTATCTACTTTTGATATTTGAGGTTGCTGACCTTTGAATGGGATTTTGTGGGATCTTTCTTTGTGGATATTGCTGGGATTTTGTTTGTTTTTCTTTTAATAGTCAGGCCACTCTTCCGCAGGGCTGCTGTGGTTTGCTGGCGGTCTGCTCCAGACCCTAGTTGCCTTGGTTTTCCCCATACCTGGAGGTATCACCAGTGAAGGCTATGAAACAGCAAAGATGGCAGCCTGCTCCTTCCTCTGGAAGCTCCATCCTGGGAGGGTGCTGACCTATTGCTGGTTTGAGCATGCCCGTAGTAGGTGGCTGGAGACACCTATTGGGAGGTCTCACCCAGTCAGGAGGAACAGGATCAGGAACATGCTTAAAGAATCAGTCTGGCTGCTTTTTGGTAGAGCAGGTGTGCTGCACTGAGGGGGACCCTTACTCATCCAGACCATTTGGGTTCTCCACAGCTAGCAGGCTGGAACTGCTGAGTCTACCAAACTACAGAGATGGCAGCCACCCCTTACCCCATGAGCTCCATCCCAAGGAGAAATCAGAGCTGTCTGTATAACCCTGGCTGAAGTGGCTGAAGCCCTTGCAGGGAGGTCCCTCCAAGTAAGGAGGAATGGATCAGGGCCCTGCTTAAAGAAACAGTCTGGCTAACAGCTGACAAGGCAATTGTGCTGTGTTGTGGGGGACCCTTCCTCGTCTGGACAGCTAGGATTCTCCAGTGCTGGCAGGCTGAAATGGCTGAGTCTACTGACCTACAGAGATGGCAGTCACCCCTCCCCTGGGAACTTGGTCCTGCGTCAGTCAGACTCCAGCCTGTGCCACTGGCTGGCTGGAATTCCAAGCCAGTGGGTCTTAATTTGTGAGGTGCTGTGAAAGTGGGACCCACAGAACAATGCTGATTGGCTCCCTAGATTCAGCCCTCTTCCTAGGGATATGAACAGACAGATCTCCCACCTTGCTGGGGATCCTGGGGCTGAAATATGTAAAATTCCTGGGTCTCTCTGTGTGCCTGAGCAGCTGCTCTGCCTAGACTCCACACAGCTCTGTTTATCAGACCCAAGGCCCTGAGGGCATGGGCTCGTGAGGGGATTTCCTGATCCACAGGTTGCAAGGATCCACGGGAGAAGCATGATTTCCTGGGCAGGGTCATACAATCACTTACTGCTTCATACAGTCACTACCTGGCTGGGGTGGGGGTTCCTTTGCCTCTGTGCTGCTCCCAAGTAGGCTATCTGTTGCCCCACCCTGCTTTTCTTCGTTCTTCGTGGGTTGTTTGCCTAGTCAGTCCCAGTGCAAGAACCTGGATATTTCAGTTGAAGGTGCTGACTGAATTCACTTGCTCCTTTCATTCCTCTCTGTAAGTGCCTTGGACCGCAGTTGCATCTAATCGGCCGTCTTGGCCCTGACCCACTAATTTTCTTAGTGTGTTTTTTGTTGAACAGAGATTTTTATTTTGATGAAGTCCAAACTTATCAGGTTTTATGTTTTTGTTTGTTTGTTTCTTGGCTAGTCCTTTTTCTGTCCTGTGAAAAAATCTTGGCCTATCTCGAGGTTAAACTTATTTTTTTCCTGTCTTCTTCTAGTCTTATAACTTACATTTCAGATTATTATCTATTTTGATCTTTTTCTTGTAAAAAGGAAAAATATGGATGAAGATTGATTTTTTTTTTCCATAGAGGTATTCAATTGCTTTAGCACTGTTTGTTGAAAAGACTATTCTTTCTCCTATTGAATTGCTTTGCTACCCTTGGAGAAAATCAGTTAACTCTTTAAGTGTGGATCTATATCTGAGCTCTCTTCTCTTACGCATTAAACCATTTGCTACTGTTCTACAGGTTTCTGAGCTTCTATTTATTTTTCATCAATTGTCTTTCTGTCTTGTCTTCAGATTGGACTTTTTTTATTAATCTGTCTTAAAGTCCCATGATATTTTCTTCTTTGGTGTCTAGTCTGCTTTCAAGCCCATCCAGTGAATTTTTAATTTCAGATATTGTATTTTTCCATTCCGAAGTCTTCATTTGTTTGTTCTAGATAGTTTCCATTTCTCTATTGAGATTTCCTAGTGGTTCCTTTCATTATGTTTATGTTTTACTTTGTATTCTTAAACATACATGCCTTAATGCTACATTCTAATACATAATTTCTGTGATTTGTAAGTCTCATTATTATGGATAGATTTTCCTCTGTATTGTAGGCCACCTTTTCCTGCTTATTTATATATGTAGTAATTTTGTATTGAATGCCATCAATTTTGTTCTCTTTTGTAAAGAGGATTGAACTTTGTTATGGCAGGTAGTTAATTTACTTGTGCATCCACTTGATCCTTTAGAGGACTATTTATAAGCTTTAATATGGCAGGTCTAGTCTGGGGCTGGAATAGCCTACTTATTAGATTTGGCCTTTCTTGTGTGTCAATTGCATGTCTGCAGGTTTATTTAAGTGTCTCACTTGAGCTAGGCAGAAACCCAACATTTCCAAGCCCTGTGCAAGCTCTGGAATCCCCTTTCAACTCATAGTTTTTCTTGGCCTTCCACTGCCTTATTTTGTACTTGCATTGCTTAATCTTTGGCCAAAGACTCAAGGGAACCAAATTCAGATTTCTAGATTTTCTTCTTTTTACAGTTCTCTCCTTTTCCCCATGCTTCATATTTCAGCCACTTCTGCAGCTATTATTTTTCTCTTTATTTTATTTTGTCTTATAATAAAATTGTGTGGATTCAATTACGATCCTTCTCCATTGCTTAATTTAAGTAAAAATAGTTTTTCTATACATTCTGAATGTAGGAATGGATTAGGTTAACATTTTTGCTGGTGTGATCTAGGACTGTCTTTGCTATTTTTTCTGGAAGTGATAAAATATATATTCTCTTACTTTTCAAAGTCTGCTGCCTCCTGTCCTCCTTCCCATTTTATCCAGATCTTCTCTTTTCCCCACCCACTACTGTCCCTGTCTTGCCCAATGTGGGTTATATTCCAAGCAGTTTCTGCTAAGTGTGACCTTGTCCCAATAGGAGCCTCAGATGTCATAGTTTTTAAAGTCCTTAGGGCCATACAATCCTAACAGTTCAGAACTTACGATAACTGTCTTATCCTGTCCCTGTGAACTGGACTCTAAAAGTGTACATTTTAGATTCTGTTCTCAGATTGTCCCCTGGCAATTTCCAGTGAGTACCTGTTGGTGATTTTGAGGTTCTTCTATTCTCAGGGCCATCTTGTTGCCTTTCCTCAGCTTTCTCTTGCACAGACACTGATGGATCTTATAAAATGGGCTATTTGTCACCACTTGTTTATATTTTAGGTTCTTGAGAATATTTTATTGCCTAGTTTAGTTGTAGATATTGTGCTTGAGTTTTTGCTTTCATTATCCTACTTGTTCTTTCTGTTTTATTAATGATTCAGGGAGATTCACTGCCAATACTGCCAGCCTAAAATATTCCTTTATTTCTTACTAAACATTATGTCATCTTTGTCATGAAGAGGAAGACGTACTTCAATTCATGCATTTCTTAAACTTTAAAAATCACTAATGTAGCATTAATTGATTTAAAAATTCTACACAGGATTAGGGATAAAAATTGTTTACTTAGAGTGCTGACTAAAAATTATAAATGCACATTCTGTAAAAGGGCTTGGATTTGTATAGTGAAGAATTAACTTTACCCAAAGAGAGCTCTGGCTTTTGCTTTTGGCTACTGGGAGGAGATCTCTAGGCCCCAGGAATGTCCTGCTTGATGTGAATGTTTTTGTTTGCCTGGGAGCTTTTACCAGTGAACAGTCCGACAGTGTGATTTATGATGAAGATTTTGGAACATACTACCTCAGCTCTAACATCCAGAGGAACTAGAGGCTAAAGGCATTAGCCTAAGCCTCCAGGATGGGCTGGAGCCTAAAGATCAGCCTCATGAGCAGTACATGCTCAAGCTCCAGTAAAACTCTGGACACCAAAGGCTCAAATGAGATTTCCTGATGACAGTACTCTGTGTATTGTCAGGTATAAACTGGCTGCGAGGGTAATGCATCCCTGAAGATGATGGAAGTTGTGTGTTTGGACCTTTTCATACCTTGCTCTATGTGACTCTATATGACTCTCCCTTTCGTTGGTTCTGATGTGTATCTTTTTGCTATAACACAATTGTCCTCACAAGTATAGCGCCTTCTGGGGTTCTGTGAGTTTTTCTAGTGAATTATCAAAACTGAGGGGGTAGTGGGAACCCCTGACTTTGTAGCCAACTGATCAGAAGTAAAGGAGGCTTGGTGCTATGGTTTGAATGTGTCCCCTCCAAAACTCAGGTGTTGGCAATGTGATGTGATAGTATTAATAGGTAGAGTCTTTAAGAGGTGATTAGGCCACGAGGGTTCCTCCCTTGTGAATGCGATTAAGGCCCCTGTAAAAGCAACTTCACTCATTGTTCAGTTGGTTTGCCCATTCACCTCTGCCATGTGAGGACAGTGTTCCTCCCCTCCAGAGGATGTAGCAACAAGATGCCATCTTGAAAGCAGAAGAGTAGCCCATACCAGACAACCAAACAGCCCAAGCCTTGAAGTTGAAATTCCTGGAGCCCAGTGAAAATAAATATCTATTTTTTATAAATTACCTAGTCTCAGATATTTTGTTAGAGCAGCACAAAATGGACTGCAACAACTGGGGACCCCAGACTTGTGGCTGGTGTATAAAGTGAAGGCATGCTTGTGGAGGACTGTGCCCTTTACCTATGAAGTTTGGCCCAACTCTCCCAGGCAGGAGGAATCATGGCATTTCATGAAATGGTTCGGTATCAATATACTACATAAATAAGCACAGATTTATTACAGAGCAACACAATTAATTAAGAAAGTGCACACTAAAATGGTATGGTATTATTGGAAGTAGAAATATGCAAGAATGAGAGAGAATTAAAACCACATAGGAATTGAGGTAGGATTTATTGCTAGTTTGATAACATTGGTGCTATGACAATAGACTGTTCAAATTCTTCCCTGCCACTTATCCCCACAGGGTTCATGATGTATCTCTAACAATAAGGAGCAGTAGAAAATGGGGAATCAAATAATAATCAACTGCTACCGTAATGCAGATCTGAGGTAAATAAGAGGGTCATTAGGTCAGCAACTAAATAGCTGCCTAGAAATAGGATGAGAGGGGAGGAGGCAGGTCTTGTTTACTCTGTTTAGCATGTGGAAAAAAGAAAGAAGAAAGTACAATAGTAAAAGGAGAGCCTGGGCAAACTGATGTGTGCCTATAGTCCCAGCTACTTGGGAGGTTGAGGTGGGTGGATTGCTTGAGCCCAGGAATTGGGGTCCAGCCTGGTCAACATAGTGAGACCCCGTCTCTTAAAAAAAGTAAAGGGATACAATTAGATTCAAGAGAAGGGTTTACATTTCATCACTGATGTGGGGGGATTATTTTTCTCTTTCCTATTAAACTGAACAAAGGAAAAAAATTCTCCCCTTTCTGCTGGCAGTTATCTAGCAGATAACAATTTTATGACAAGCAGTGAAGCAAAGCTGAGACATGGAAAGAACCTGAATCCTTGGTGACATGATTGAGTTGCTGACTCAACCAGTTATGAAGCCCATTCATCTCTGGACTTCTTGTTATGTGAATTAAGAAACGTTTTTATTGTTTGGAATCAAAGTCAAGGAATACATATCCTGTACCCATGAATTTTAAGTTATTGTCAACCCATTCATTAGTAATCATAGCCAGTCTTTTTCTTGGTCCACTGAGTTATGTTTTCCTCTAAATAGAGTTCTCTTTTCCCTCTTTGGCAAGGTGGCAGGTCACAGCCAGACCTACTGTACTAAAAACTCAAGCAGACTCAATGATATAATAAGAGCTAGGATATGGAAGCATATATGCTCTGGCACAGTACAGATTTTCTTTTTCTTTTTTCTTTTCTTTTTTTTATTTTTATTTTTATTTATTTATTTTTTTTTTTTGAGACAGAGTCTCACCTGTTGCCCAGGCTGGAGTGCAGTGGCGTGATCTCAGCTCACTGCAACTTCCACCTCCCAGGATCAAGCAATTCTCCTGCCTCAGCCTCCCAAGTAGCTGGGATTACAGGTGCCTGCCACCATGCCCAGCAATTTTTTTTGTATTTTTAGTAAAGACGGGGTTTCGCCATGTTGGCTAGGCTGGTCTCAAACTCCTGACCTCAGGTGATCCACCCACCTTGGCCTCCCAAAGCACAGATTTTCCCATATGAAAATAATGTGCCTCCTAACCAGCCCCAGTAGCATAAAAGATACCAACTGGTGGGTCCACGTCTACCAGCCTGGAAGATTTTATTTCATTTGGAGCCACACTCATCAATAAACTTCAGGTGTACTGCCATAAAAAATATTAGGAGGTACCAGAGAGGCATCTACTAACTTGCATGCTTCATCTCATATAATTTTGCTGGTTTGGTAATTTACAAAGTGAAAGTCACTTTGGACTAAATCCAAGTTGTCATTCTTATCAATATTTGAACTTGGAACATGTGTTCTGTTTTAGCGCTTTGCTTTTTTACTAACGAAGTTAGTGGCTGTGGGTGTGGAGGATGGCTGCATGATTCTCAAGGCAGGTATTCTTTTTGTTCTGATATACTTCAAAAGACACATGGCTTATCTTTGTACCATATCCAACACTGTTTTAGTCTTCAGTTTTAGGATTGGTTATTTTCTACCTAAAGGAATGGGACTGAGCACAGGGATAGAAATAAAAGAAATAGGAAGCAGGGATGAGCAGTAAGAGATGTTCCAATGGTATACTTCTTTATCAGAACTATTCTAATATTTTGTTAAATATGCTATACCAGGATTCAATCCACCTAACTGGGTGATGTAAACTGTTCCTGGGTGGAGGAAAAAAGCTGAAGTCCACAATTCAGTGACTAGTCCTAAAACCTTTACTTCCCTCACAGAGAATCAGACCCATATTTACTTCTCCCTTTCCCCCAGAAGGTATTTCTATCGATCCCAATATGAAGATTGCAAAGGTAAGGACCCCCACTCAGTTTGCATCTCTTGGAATTTGGCTATATTACTGAGATTTATTAGGATTTTTTTTTTTTTTTTACTTACTAGTATGCTTTCTGAGATGTTATAAGATCAGGCACTATTTCTGTTGACTTTGCCATTCTACCGAAGATCTTTATATTTTCTTATTATTCTAACATTTCAATTGAGGAGGATAGACTTAAAGACTAATAACCATGACAGTTTCAGCCTCTGATATTTCTAGAGGCAAATATTTCCTTATTACTTTGTGAGAAAAACCTTTCGTTAATGGGTGTCTTTAATTACAAGAAACTTATTCCCTGTATTGCGTTAATAGTTGCCTTCCCAAAACTTCCCTCTGGAACAATGCATAATAAATCTACTTCATTTTCCAGAGGACTAGATTTAAATGTATAAAGAGTTATGTATTCTTCTTTCTGGGCATTATGAACATATCTAGTAACTTTATGTGTTCCTTTGAATACTTCTAGGATTTAAAAGTTTATAGACATCATCTAGATAACTTCATAATCACACAAGGAGGTAAGTGAGGCTCAAAACAGTTGATGAGGGAAAGCTCTACTTTAAATGCCAATTAATTAATGTGGGAGAAATGACAGAATTAGGACAATAGCATTTCACAAATTCTATTTAACTTATTGATTCAGACAAGATTTATCAAGGTTAAAATCCTTAGGTAAATGGATGTTGGGACACTGGACCTTCATTTTGTGCCCAGCTGATATTACACAGAATAATTTCTAATCACAAGAGATAAAATAAAATTACACAATAGCAGGTTCAGATTGTCGTTACTCCAGAGAATGTCAATCTTATCAAATTAATGGTAAATGTACTAGAAATTCTGTGTCTTCTGATGTGATAAAACATGAAGTACACAATATCATCTATGATATTCTTTTCACAGTGTTTCACCTGAATTCATCAAGCCTTTAAAATCACTTCCACAGGAGATGAAGTAACAGGACACAATTGAACAAATTCTTAAAAGATAGAATATTCCAGGGACCAACTGGCCTTTGGTTTTCAAAATTCATTTTTAAAAAAAGACTGTTAAAAGATTAAACAACAGGCACACACACACACAATTCGAAAGATATGCACTAAGGTGTTAACAATGGCAATCTCTGGATGGTGGTATGTGACATTCTTTTTTTCTTTTGTCTATATTTTTTATTTTTCTACAATGCACATGTATTGTTTCTCTAAGTATCATTAAGAAAATTAATAGTCAACCTGGCAAAATAGTTTGCCCAATCTGTATGAGATGTTTTTCAGACTCCCACCATATTTGATGTGTTCCCATGGTTGAACTCTTGTTCGCTATTGTCCTCCCTGAATTGTGAAGCCTGCTATTTGGCAGTATGCCTCAGATACAATCTTACTTACCTGAGGTAAAATTTCTGACCTGGCCATTTTAAAGATTCTTAATAATGTTCAATTATAAAGGCAATTGAAGACTACACTGCCTTTTTGGAAGTTCAATAACATGGTTAGCTGTTTAGAATATAGTCTGTTGACTATTTAGAATCGATGTTAAGAACATAGGCTCTGGAGATCTCAGGAATATTGCTGAAACTTATTTAAACCTTAATTTTCTTATCTGCAAAGTGAAGAAAATACCAGAACCTATTTCAAAGGGTTGTTGTAAAGGTTAAATGAGATAACACAGCAAAATACTTGAGTATAATGCTTAGCTCACAGTATATAAAATAAATTTGAGCAATTATAATAATTATTATCGTGTTCATATAAAATATCAGAATAAACATTGTATCATTTATACTCCCTCCAATACCTCAAAATTAATTTGACTAAAAGTGTTATATTTAGCCAGCTTCTTGGTGAAATATCTTTTAATCAAAAGAATAGGACTAAATAAGTAATTTTCTTAATCTGGTAACTATAGATAGCACTGTATCTGTTTTTTAATTCCATAACAAATTCTTTAAGTAACTCATTAACATTAAATCTTTCGAGTGTTTAGGACCTGTGCGGTCCCAAAAAGCACCCACTTAAGTGGAATAACCCCAAGAACATAGGATAAAGTTTCTGGGATTTTCATAGTACATTGACATTCCTTGAGAATACACAACATTTATTGAGGTACCTGAATAACTGAAGGCCCCGAGGAGCTAATCAGAACCACACAATCTACTCTGTGTAGGGTGAATATATTCACTACTAGCTAGTGGAATCATGGTCCTCAAATGCAGGAGGTGATAATATCAGAATTTTATGAGAACATCCATTAAACTGAACACATAGACAGTTATCTATCTGAGAGGTAAAGTGATGGAGAGTAAGTTTAAAATATTTGATGTCCCTCCAAACCCCCCAGTAGCCCAAGAACTGAAAAATAGAAGCTGAATAACTTTATGGACCTGCCTGCTTCTGCTGTGCCACTCTGCAGCAGAACTTTAAAGCAAAAAATTTCTTGGAGTTTTACACTGGATATATTAATGAAATCACTATTTTTGTTGCATATTAAACAAGATTCCTTCCACTGCAAGTACAGAAACTCAAGAAATTTAAACAATAATGAAGTGTATTGACTCAACACTGAGTCTAGAAGTAGAACAGACTTCAGAGTTGGCTTAGTCTGGCAAGCACTAGCTTTCTTTCCCAAAGCTGGTTCTTAGGCTCTGTTCTCCTCTGTTGGCTTCACAAAATGGCAGTCCCAGCTTCACTGGTGCGTAACTTCTTCCAACAGCTCTCACTTAAAGGTAAAGAAACATTTTCCAGAAACTCTCAACAAGTTTTCCTTGACGTCACTAGCCAGTACTGTGTCTTATTCCTCATTCCTGAACCAATCATTAGCAAAGGAATAAGATTACTCCTAAGACACATAGCTTCTGGTAAGGGAGCCGTGGATGTATAAATGAAAATGGGGTGCTCTTGGGAAGAGGGAAATAAATATTGGGTGGGTAATCAACAAGGCGTCATCAAAAAACTTTCTGGGGGTTGAATGAAGCAGGAAAATTTTTTTTTCAGAATAGTTTTTCATACAATACTTGGCTTTTAAACAGTTGAGAAATAAAAGAATCCACATCTTTTCTCATTTGATTTCCCCCTTGCTGAAATTACAATAATTTTTTTTTTTTTGAGATGGAGTCTCTGTCACCCAGGCTGGAGTTCAGTGGCACAATCTCAGCTCACTGCAACCTCTGCCTCCTGGGTTCAAGCGATTCTCCTGCCTCAGCCTCCCCAGTAGCTGGGATTACAAGCACCCGCCATCACGCCTGGCTAATTTTTGTATTTTTAGTACAGATGGGGTTTCACCATATTGGCCAGGTTGGTCTCAAACTCCTGACCTCAGGTGATCCGCCCACCTTGGCCTCCCAAAATGCTGGGATTACAGGCGTGAGCCACTGCACCCTGCCTACAGTAATAATTTTGAGTGAGAATAACAATATTTTGTGTATAGACTATCTCCAGCCAGTTTGTAGAATTCTCAAACGGCTCTGAACACTTTCAGGTTGTTTGGAGTTTGGAAAAACCTAAGTGGTGATTTTCCCTGAAATTTTAGGATGTGAAATTTTTTTAAAGTGGAAATGCAATCTGTATATAATAACGTAGACTTCAAAATGTTGTTATGTAACAGGTATTTGATGTTTGACAAGTTTTTGACACTCTTTAATGAGCCAGTTTACATCTTTAATCTTATAAATAAATTTACCAAGTACAAATCTGAGCAATAAGTATGGTAAGTTCGGCATTTTATCTTTAAAGGGGTGGAATGGCATCTAAATTCAGAAAACCACTTAATTTTCTTAAAGTGAAAACATATCCACACGCCTTAGTGATTTCAGTCTCAGTCCTTTTTCTTTGACTTTCTTTTTTTTTTAAACCAAATTAACCACCATTTTTTTTCTATTATTAGGGATTTCTAAGTTATTGTTTATGGAGAAATGACTTGAGCTCAGGAGACCTGGATACAAGTCTTAAACTAGTGATGAGGTCTTAGGAAAGCCATTTTGCCTCTCCAAATTATAGTTTTCTTTTCAGCTTGTTAGACTCAATGAATCATTTATTCATTCATTTAATGAACATCTACTGACTGCCTATTGCGGTTTGGAGAATTAAAAAATAATAATAATAACACTTTGTCCTTGCTTTCAAGGAGTTCATAGTAAAGTGACACAGGTGGTACATAGCACAAGGAACTTTTCTGAGTTAAGTACAGCGATGGAGATGTGAATGGGGTCTTTTGGAAATATCTAGAAGGGATACTTAAGTCAACTTCAGGTTGGAGATGAATGAAGGGAAAGTTTCCCTGGAGATCATGATATTTGAGCTGAGGATGAATAGGCATTAGCTAGCTAAAGGCTGGTTGGGGAGGAGTTGAAAAAATTCACAAAGGGAAGATAGTATGAACAAAGGTATGAAGACACAGCCTGGTATAAAGGGATATTGTAAACAATTCATGTTATTGGAGAAAAAATTGTGAAGCAGAGAGTAGGAAAGAAGAATGTTGGAGAGGTGTGCAGGAACCAGAAGGCTTTGTGAGACTTTTTTCCCGGTAGGTGATAATTCAATAAAAGATGTTATTTAAGGGTCAGAGGGAAACACATCAAGTTTTCCTGATATCTCATTCTAGCCTTCTTTAATTTGATTTAATTTATCTTTAACATTTAAAACAGTATGAAGGAAGTGGTCTATAAGGTTTATCCTATAATATTCTAGCTTCCCAACCTCACTACCATGAAATCATTTTTAGTATGGTGCTAGGATATTTATTGAATATGAGCTTTTTTTTCCCTTTACTTAACTGAATGAAAAAGAGCTGTGAAGCTTTTTTTGTTTCCAGGAAACACAATTGTTTTGAATTAGTAGAGTGTTTGTCGAAGGAGTTCAGCAAAGCCCCACTATTACCCTGGAGTATGTAACTCTCAGTATAGTTTTCTTTCTATTTTCATAAGGTTAACTGTTTCTCCATATAAAACAAGCTTAATAACTAGCAGGGTGATCCTTTGCCTTTGCATCCTCTGTTACATATAAAACTTTTGATATTAAAAATGATTTTTCTCCTCCATCATTTCCTTCTCCTCCTTCCCTTCCTCCCCCTCCTCCTTCTTTCACTTATAAAAGTCTCCTCTTAAGATAAAAATTCTAGAAATGAGATTCATTAAGCTATTATCAGATAATGGGAGCATAAGTTTTCTGACCATTAGATGCCCATTGAAAAGGGAAATATGCTTACAGTCCAAGGTCAAGTGACCAGAGGTGGCGAAGGGCCTGTATGTCTGAGAAGAAAGGGCCAAATATACACTCTGCCTCTTCACTGGAGAGAGCCACTTTCAACCAACATGGTTTTTTTCTGGTAAAGCAAGCCAATGTTAAGAACTACATAATGCTTAACAAAATAATTGAAGGGTCTATTATTCAAAAGGGGAAAGACTAAAGTCACTAAATAGAAGAACATTTCCTCAATATGACTGTAGGCAATATTCTCTTAGAAAATAATGAAATGTTTGTCTTGGTGATATGGTTACCTTTCTTAAGTGAATAGGAGAAGTATTTTGCATCTCTCTGTGATGGGGAAACTGACCTGAAATTGGAGCATTCATAGTCATCTTCATCCTTGATTATGGGATGAGTGTCCACATCCCAACTCTTTCTCTTTTTCTTGAATGGACAGATAAGAGATTCCGTAAGTCCTGGCAAAGAGGGGAACACATCTCTCTCAGAACTTCCCAGGAGGGAAGGTGGAGTCACTGAGGAACTTGAAGGTTTGATTATGGAGGTTTGAACAAAGAGAGAGAAGGGTGAGGGCTGTTTATAAGGTAGTGAGGGAGAAAGCATAAGTTAGGAGCATCTTTCTCATGAGGCTTAAGTCCGGAAGTGCTTTCCCAGGTGCTGTATAAATGAATGGTGAAGTCAAAGAGAATTACTGTAACTTCTATTCCTCCTCATACCCTACAAGGCTGTCTTTGTGGATGTGCAACCTACATAGTTGCACAGAACACATTATCAGAAAGGTCCTGCACTTGGTTTAATATTCTACTCTTACTGTCTTGAAATTGTTACTTTTTTCTTTGAATTTATATTTTTTAAATGAAGTGCAATAAGATGATGGAGCCTGAACACAGGATATGGCAATAAGCATGTGTGCTGCCATTTTTGCCACCCCACTCCCACATAATGTTCAGTATGCCCCATAAGCACAGAATTTCTCTGGACCCATGATGGGTGGGAATGCAGTGAGACTCAAAGCAAGTACAAGGTGAGTTTGTTACATCTATGTCTGACTAAGCAGAAACTGACAGCTGCAAGAGGCCAGTGTTTGAACTAGAACGTGCTTTGAATGCAGAAATAAGGCAATGGTGAAGAGACAACCTATGTAATAGGAAAAAGTATTTGCAAACCATACAATTGATAAGGGATTAATATCAAAAATATATAAGGGACTCAAGAATGCAAACAATTCAATAGCAAGAAAACAAATAACCCAATTTAAAAATGGGCAAAGGATCTGAATAAACATTTAAAAAAACCATACATATGGCAAACAGGTATATGCAAAAAAGCTCAATGTCATTAATCATCAGAGAAATGCAAATTAAAATCGCAGAGATATCCCCTCACACCTATCAGAACAGCTACTATCAGAAAGATGAAAGACAAGTGTTGATAAGGATGTGCAGAATAGGGAACCTTTGTACACTGTTCGGGGGAATGTAAATTAGTGCAGCCATTATGGAAAACAGTTTGGAAGTCTCTCAAAAAATTATAAATAGAATTACCTAAACCCACTACTGGATATATATCCAAAAAATTGAAATCAGTACATTAAAGAGATGTCTGCATGCCCATGTGCATTGCACCTTTATTCACAATAGCCAATATGTGGAATCAACCTAAGTGTCCATCAACAGATAAATGGATAAAGAAAACCTGGTATATATACACAATGGAATACTATTCAGCCTTTAAAAAGAAGGAAATCCTGCCATTTGTGACAATATGGATGAATCTGAAGGACATTATGTTAAGTAAAATAAGCCAGGCACAGAAAGACCAATACTGCATGATCTCACTTACATGTGGAATACAAAAAAGTCAAACTCATCGAAGCACGGAGTAGAAAGGTGGTTACCAGGTGCTGGAAGTGTGAGGGATGGTGCGAGATGTTGGTTAAAGAATATTCGCATTTCAGTTAGACAGGAGGAATACGTTCAATAGATCTATTGTACAACATGGTGACTATAGTTAATAACGACGTATTGTATATTTCAAAATTGCTAATAGAGCAGATTTTAAGTGTTCTCACCACTAATAGTAACTATTTTATATGTTTGTTGGCTGCATAAATGTCTTCTTTTGAGAAGTGTCTGTTCATATCCTTTGCCCACTTTTTGATGGGGCTGTTTTTTTCTTGTAAATTTGTTGAAGTTCCTCATAGATTCTGGATATTAGCCCTTTGTCAGATGGATAGATTGCAAAAATTCTCTCACATTCTGTAGGTTGCCTGTTCACTCTGATGAACCTTTCTTTTGCTTTGCAGAAGTTCTTTAGTTTAATTAGATCCCATTTGTCAATTTTGGCTTTTTTTGCAATTGCTATTTGTGTTTTAGTCATGAAGTCGTTGCCCTTGCCTATGTCCTGAATGGTATTGCCTATGTTTTCTTCTAGTGTTTTTATGGTTTTAGGTTTTACATTGAAGTCGTTAATCCATCTTGAGTTAATTTTTGTATAAGGTATAAGGAAGGGGTCCAGTTTTAGTTTCCTGCATATGGCTACCCAGTTTCCCAGCACCATTTATTAAATAGGGAATCCTTTCCACATTGCTTGTTTTTGTCAGGTTTATCAAAGATCAGATAGTTGTAGATGTGTGGTGTTATTTCTGAGGTCTCCATTCTGTTCCATTGGTGTATATATCTGTTTTGGTACCAGTACCATGCTGTTTTGGTTACTGTAGCCTTGTGGTATAGTTTGAAGTCAGGTAGCATAATGACTCCAGTTTCGTTGTTTTTGCTTATGATTGTCTAGGCTATCTGGGCTCTTTTTTGGTTCCATATGAAATTTAAAGTAGTTTTTCTAATTCTGCAAAGAAAGTCAGTGGGAGCTTCATGGGCATAGCATTTAATATAGACGTTACTTTGGGCGGTATGGCCATTTTCACAACATTGATTTTTCCTATCCATGAGGATGGAATGTTTTTCCATTTGTTTGTGTCCTTTCTTATTTCCTTGAGCAGTGGTTTGTAGTTCTCCTTGAAGAAGTCCTCATCACTGGTCATTAGAGAAATGCAAATCAAAACCAGAGTGAGACACCATCTCATGCCAGTTAGAATGGTGACTATTAAAAAGTCTGGAAACAAGAGATGCTGGTGAGGCTACCAAGAAATAGGAATGCTTTTACACTTTTGGTGGTAGTGTAAATTAGTTCAACCATTATGGAAGACAGTGTGGTGATTCTTCAAGGATTAGAACCAGAAATGCCATTTGACCCAGCAATCCCATTACTGGATCTATACTCAAAGGATTATAAATTATTCTACTATAAAGACACATGCACACTTATGTTTATTGCAGTACTATTTACAATAGCCAAGACTTGGAACCAACCCAAATGCCCATCAGTGATAGACTGGATAAAGAAAATGTGGCACATATACACCATGGAATTCTATGCAGCCATAAAAAAGAATGAGTTCATGTCCTTTGCAGGGACATGGATGAAGCTGGAAGCCATCATTCTCAGCAAACTGCAAACTAACACAGGAACAGAAAACCAAACACTGCATGTTCTCACTTATAAGTGGGAGTTGAATAATGAGTACACATGGACACAGGGAGGGGAACATCACTCACCAGGGCCTGTCAGGGGGTGTGGGACAAGGGGAGGGAGAGCATTAGGACAAATACCTAATGCATGTGGGGCTTAAAACCTAGATGATGGGTTGATGGGTGCAGTAAACCACCATAGCATATGTATACCTATGTAACAAACCTGCATGTTCTGCACACGTACCCCAGAACTTAAAGTAAAATTAAAAAAATAAATAAATAAAAATAGGCTGGGCACAGTGGCTCACACTTGTAATCCCAGGACTTTGGGAGGCCAAGGTGGGCGGATCACGAGGTCAGGAGATCAAGACCATCCTGGCCAACATGGTGAAACCCTGTCTGTACTAAAAAATACAAAAATTAGCTGGGCGTGGTGGCACACGCCTGTAGTCCCAGCTACTCGAGAGGCTGAGGCAGGAGAATCACTTGAAACTGGGAAGCAGAAGTTGTAGTGAGCAAAAATCGTGCCACTGCACTCCAGCCTGGCGACAGAGCGAGACTCCATCTCAAAAAAATAAACAAATAAATAAATAAAAATAAAAAATAAAAAATTAAACTAAATTAAATAAAAAGAAAATAAATAAATAGTAACTATTTTAGGTAATACATTTGTTAATTAACTTGATTTAGTCATTCCACAATGTATACACATTTCAAAACATGATGTTGCACACTACAAATATATACAATTTGTCAATAAAATAAAATAAATGAATAAAAGAAAAATGATAATCAGAAAAAAATAATTTTTTTAAAAGATGGCAATGGTGTTAAGAAACATGAACTCAGGTACACTTTCATACCCTTTCTTACTCATGTTATTTCCCTATACTAGCTAACAGCTTACACTAAAACAATGATAATAAGTCCTTCCTTACTCATCAGCAACTTTAAGGTAGGGAGTGTTGATAGAATGTGTGCAGATCAAGAAGTAAAATAAAAACAGTTGAGTTAGTTTTATGTAGTTATTCTGCCATTCTGGCAAGAACAATATACATATGTAGGTATGAGCTATGAAATATGAATTATGGAATTTCAATGATTCCACATGCAAGGTGAATGATCTTATATTTGCATTTAAAACTGCCATTGCACAATATAAAGATGAATGGTAAAATTCATGCTAAAAATTTTAAACTCTAATTTTTTTTTACTTAGAACAACATTAAATAGCAAATGAAAGCGCACCATGACAATTTGAGAGAGTCACTACCAAAGAAAGAAAAGAAGCTTTATGTTTTAATAGCATTAATGTCACCCTTTTCCTGCTTTTTGAGCAAGGGGCCCCATATTTTCTTTTTTTATGGGTTAACTAATATTATTATTATTACTTTTTTAGATTATACTTTAATGGGTTAACTAATATTATTATTATTACTTTTTTAGATTATACTTTAAGTTCTGGGGTACATGTGCAGAACGTGCTGGTTTGTTACATAAGTATACACGTGCCATGGTGGTTTGCTGCACCCATCGACCCGTCATCTACATTGGGTATTTCTCCTAATGCAAGGGGCCCCATATTTTCATTTTGCATTGGACTCCGCAAATTATGTAGCCCTCCCAAAATATGCCCTACCTCTTGAAACCTACCTGAATGTTCAATAGTAATTGTCTTATCTTTATGTCTTAACAGAACATGTTTGGTATAGTGGGGTCTTTCTTTCCAGCTTGGCTCACCTCACCCATCCCAATCATCAGAAATAGGCCAGGGAATAAATAAGAATAAAATCATGTTCTTCACAGCTACATGGATAGAACTGGAGGCCATTATTCTGAGTAACTCTGAAACAGAAAGATGAAATACTGCATGTTCTCACTTACAAGTGGGATCTAAACAATGAGTACACATGGACAGAAAGATGGAAATAATAGGCATTGGGGACTCTAAAAGGAGATAGGGTAAGAAGAAGATGAGGGTTGAAAAATTACCTATTGGGTACAGTGTTAACTATTTGGGTGATGAGTCCACTAGAAGCCCAAACCTCACCATTACACAATATATCCTTGTACCAAATCTGCTCATATATCCCCTGAAAACAAAATAAAATAAAATAAAATAACAACAAAAGAAATAGGGCAGGCAGAACATTGCACTTCAACCCCAATTTATAGACATTATTAAGTTAAGCTTCCTCTCACATTAATAAAACTACAGGAAGTCCATTTGACTTGAGAGACAAGAAATTGAATTTCTTTATGGCCTCTGTAAATAAGTCTAGCACCGTGCCTGAAACAATATAGTAGGTAATCAATGAAAGTTGCTCAACTGGTTCATAAATTGTGATCATCTACATGTATACGATTTCCTAATTCTTCTAATATGTACTAATTTTGATTGGCAAACCAGGAGCAGATAACAAAATATAATTAATATGTGACAATTTTTTTTTAGAAAAACAAAAGAGAAGGCCCAACCCACTATTCTTTACACTTGTGATTAACTGTCACCATTATACAGGGGCCTACATATTTATCTCTAGATTTCACTAAAAGCAATCAAAGACCTGTCTGTAATGAATTCATACTCCTAACATCTTGCCTCCAAATTTGAGAAATACTATCTCTATTAATTTAACATTAGTTCAATGGCAAGTGACAGAATTTCCCTCATCCCCACCTATGAAATAGTGGCTTCAGCAAATTAGATGCTCTTTTCTTTCTGATTTATAAGTCTGGGAGTAAGTGATTCAGGGCTATGTTCTCAACAGTGTGAGTGACCTAGGTGTCTTCTATTTTGTTGTTCTGCTACGTATAACCTCTATCCCCAAGGTTGCCTTGAGATCCAAGATGTCCTTGGCTATCCAGCCTGTCTGCAGAAAAGCAGGAATAAAATGAGACGAAAAGGCATGCTCCCTTCTTTTAAGAAACTTTGAGAAATTGCACACAACACTTCAACTTACATGGCATTAGCTGGAGTTCAGACACATAGCCAGACTAGGTGCAAAAGAGACTAGTAAATATAATCTTATGTTCCCAGCTTAAAATGTAGGGTTCTGGTATAGAGGAAAATCAGGAGCATGGGAGTCGTGGGAAACCATGTTGTATTTTCAAGTCATCTATAACCCTACCTTCCTGCAATGACCTCTCACCTCAGGAAATTCCACTAGCAACGTGCCTGAAACATAATATAGTAGTTAACCAATGAAAGTTGCTCAATTGGTTCATCAATTGCGATCATTTACATTTATTCAATTTCCTAATTCTTCTAATATGTACTAATTTTGATTGGTAACCCAGGAGCAGATAACAAAATATAATTAATATGTGATTTTTAAATTTTATTTATTTATTTATTTTTTAGAGATGGAGTCTTGCTCTGTCGGCCAGGCTGGAGTGCAGTGGGGCAATCTTGGCTCACTGCAACCTCTGCCTCCCAGGTTCTATCAATTTTCCTGCCTCAGCCTCCTGAGTAGCTGGGACTACAAGCGCACGCTGCCACGCCCGACTAATTTTTTGTATTTTAGTAGAGACGGGGTTTCACCGTGTTGCCCAGGCTGGTCTTGAACTCCTGAGCTCAGGCAATTCGCCTGCCTTGGCATCCCAAAGTGCTGGGATTACAGGCGTGAGCCACTGCACCAGCCCAAAATATTTTTTAAAATAATCACAGTCTATGCTATCTGTCTTAGAAACTAAATTTATTTTCTAATGTCAGATGATGTGCTTAAAGTATATTCTCTCTTAAAATGATAGACACACTTGAGTGTACATAATCTTTTGAGGTGCTTTTTAGAAGACTGATTTCTAAATTATATCCACAAAGATTTGAATTCAGAAAGTCTAGGGTTGGGCTCAGGAATCTGAGAGACAGAGAGAGTTGAGGGAAACTGAGAAGCCAACCAAGGCTGACTTCCAAGTCTCTTGACTGTTAGAGACTATAGGAAAAGGAAAAGGAACATACCTCGGTGAATACAATTGGGAACTTATTCCATTTGAAGTGCCTAAGGAATATCTGAGTGGCAATCAGCTATGTGGGCCTATGGTTCTAATACTCAACACACAGAGAGAGAGAGTATGGATGGCTGCTGCCTGTTAATCTTAGGACCATCTCACATCAGGATGTTCCAGTAAAAACCTTTCTGATAAAGTGTGTCTAATAATGAATCAATACAAATGTGAAAATGATCTTTTATTTTGGTCTTGTGGCTTAATTCCAAATAATTTGCTTCATGCTCCATCTTCACAAAAGGGTTTAGTCTAAATACTTGGAGAATTATTCGTAACAGCTCTAGTTTCAGGCTCCTCTGTTTGGCACTGGTTGGTGGTCCAGTTCCTTCCATCTGACCAAGATGTTACAGCCTACTCCAAAAACTATGCCAGGGAGTGTTCTGAGACATAATTCCTATTCTGAGATTGAGATGGGCCTGTTTGGATGGGGTGCTAAAATGAAAGAAATCCCAAATGCACAGCAAATCCATTTTTCCTGTACCCTAGTTATTGCATTTACAAAAACACTTGATTTTGCAGTTTTAAAGAGTGGAAGGTTTTTAAAGCAACAGTAAAATCTAGAAGTCTCTTTAAGGAAAGGCCAAATATATTAGAGTGGGAAACAGTGTGCCATGCCTGTGAAGCTTGCAATTATACTTGGCTTTGCCTGGTGTTGAAAGTGACCAAAACTAATCAGGTCCAGAAGAGCATTCAGTAAAGCTGCTTTTCTGACTCTCTGCCTCTGCCCTTCCTGCTTCTGCTGCTGAGCAGATTGCAAGAGACTGGTGCCAACTCTACATTGCTTAATAATAATTCTCATTAGCATGCTGCCTTGGATGTGTACTGCAGAGCAAAATTTAGCTTCTCCTTGGTGTGAATCAAGAGAAGATCATGAAATTCTCAGAATGTGCAAAAGGTTTGAAGATCTTAGTATAGGGAACACCTTCGGATGTGCTTAGGAATCTCTTTTTTCTCTCCAACCAGGGTAGGATAGACAGAGAGGAATTTTAATACCAAATGGAGAACTTTGCGTTCTTTCTGCTTCTCCACATGCAGCCCCTGAGATTTCAATTGTCTGTGCCTTATTGAACACTCTGATACATTCCAAATGTCCATGGCCTGTCCAAGCTCAGGGCCCCTGTGGAGTGAATGCTATTAGCTTTGCTCTGTGCATTTGACCACAGGGCAGCAGGCCGCATGTACCTGCAGCTCCATGACTGTCCTGAGGTCGTTCACATTAGCTTTTGTTATGAAAGTGAACGAGATGCTGTTTACTCTCCTGCAGATGCCAGGGTGACTGGATGGCACTCTGAGGAGACACGCACAACCTTGTACATTCACAGCCTATTTAGCAGGGGCCGTATTTCCCACAACGGCTTTCACATGCCATCTGCTGTCACATGATCCCACGTGCCAGGTCCTTATAAGAAATGTATTCGATCACCCAGTTTCTCACTACTCCTTTAGAAATGGCAAATTGAACTACTTACTAGTAGGTTTCACACTAAAGGAATTATGTGCATATCAAATGTAGTGAATTAAAAGGGTATTTTTATTGTCATTGCTGGCTGCAAAATGGCAATCACACACCCTCATGAAAAATTTGGAGAAGATATCAGAGTTAGTGGTTAACAGGAAAGATACTTAAATTTTTCGTGAATTTACTTCCCAACAGAATAACTACAAAACAAAATTTGAAGAGGAGTCCAAGGCATTTTCTGGTTCCATACTTTTTTCATTCTCCTGTTGGATACCATTTCTCCTGTCTGATCCAATGCTGAGCTCAGTGGTAATGAAGTGCCACATTGTGAAAGGGTAAGAGAACTGGTACAAAGCGTACCAGGGAACAAATGAATTAGTACACCTGTCACGTCTCACTCTTGAAGGATGGCACCTTCTTTGTTAATTGAAAAGAAATGTAAAATGGGAGAAATAGCAAAAAAAAAAAAAAAATATATATATATATATATATATATATATATATATATATTTCTGGCTCTTCTTTCTTTCTTCTCCTTCATGGCCTATGACAGCATACTGTAATGTCTCCAAGTCTTGCATTTTCATATATTATTCTGATACTGTCTGCAGGGAGCCTAGAACGGGGCTGCCAGAGAGACAGTCTGTAATTGAAAGTTCTTTCAAGAGAAGGACTTCTATCAGGTCTGCTGAGGGAATAGGAGCTCCACCTGCTGACTTTTTTATGTTTGCTGACTCTGAAAGAATGCAAAACATGAAGAAATTGAATGGTGTTATTTCTTTTGTAATTTCTCAGTGGAAATATTGTTTTCAAAATTATTGATAAGATGTACCAGTCTAACCAGGGCTTTCAAGAAGAAAATGCAATCTATAGCTTGTTTTAAGAGTGGGGATTATGTTGGCTTCCCTGGGCCAGTCTAAATAATTACTTTAATCTGGAACAACATATAAATTCATAAATTGTTGCCACCACGACTCTTAGGGAATCCTCGACTTTTCAAACATTGCCTCTCTCAGCCATAAATTTACACTGCGCCACTCGCCCATGTGTGTTTTGTTTTAAGAAGCTGTAGTCTCTTGTTACATGTAGTTTGGAAGAAATGCTAGATGTTTTTGATCTAAAGAAGAAAGATCAAGTCCTAGTCAAACTTTAGTATTTTAAAGGGCATAGACATTATTTGAGTATATGTCGTCTGCGTTTCAGAAAGAAGCTATGCAGTTTTGTATAAAAGCCACATAAAACCATAAACTTGTCATTTGTCTTTTCCTTGATGGAAATTGCCACGAGGAAGCGTGGAATGCATTATCAACATGCTTGATTGATTAACTCCTGGGCCAATGGGATCATGAGGGCAGGTACACCTCCTCGCTCCTTACAACCTCAGTATTGTGGGTTTCATTTCTTATCTAGATTTTGTTTACTGACAAATAATAAGCTACATGACTGGCTGGATTCTACTGAAAAAAAAAAAAGGAACCTTTATTTATGGCTTGGGTTTTAGGCTTAGAAAGACACTTTCGCATTATTTTGTATATTAGCATTGTAAGTCCTTTTCTGTATTAATGTAAACCACTGGAAGTGGATACAGAAATCTCCTCTCAGGCCCTGTAACAGAATTGACTGTACCCAGATAATTCTTGTGGAGGGATTTGTTAGCTAGTTAGCCAGCTAGCTTTTTTGGTAGTCCTAATAAGCTTCCCCCAGATCTTTCTTCTGGTGATACACTATGTACTCCAGGAGCTGCCGCCTACTCATTCTTCAGGAGAGGTCACATGACCCAGAACTGTACCCATACTCTTGGTCCAATCAGAGTTTCTCCCTGGGATCCATATATGCACAGTGAGAAACAGATGCCATCTCCTTCCTCAAATGTTGTTGAACCTCGGCTGCTTGTGGTCATGTTCTCTGCCACGTGGTGATAACCTGGCTGGAGTAGGAGAAACAGGCTAGTGCTAAAAGCAAAGTGAAAGGCTGACAGAGATGAGAGCTGCAGCAGGAGAGAAAAAGCCACGGCAGTGTTGACTGTCTTATTCCAGAGCCCAAGGCCTTGCTTCTTACAGCCCCTCCTTTGTTTCTGTGGGTTACCCTCATTGTCTCCCCATTTCTGGATTACACAAGTCTGTGATGGATTTCTGCTATTCACAACCAAAAGAGGCCTTACTATCATTGCCTCGTAAAACAGAAATGAGAGTGATGCAATCAACAATTAAATACTTACAGGTAAGGGAAGAGGCCTCATTTTCTTTATTGAGACTAGAATTATAAAGGATAGAGAAACAGAAACAGAAAAAAATTCTCTAGAGTATTAGATTACAACAATAACTAGCATTTGTGTAGTGCTCTACAGTTTTTAAAGTACTTCCATAATCATTTCTTTCATTTGACCCTCACAATAATTCTGCAAAATGGAGAATACAGTGTATAATTATCCACATGTTGCCAACATAGCAGAATGGTGAATGGAAGTGTTTCCTGTGGTTCTGGAATTATAGTGAAGGCTCATGGATGAAGACAAAGGATTCTGCATTTTGTGTTTTATATTTTGAGTCCAAGGGACCCCCAATTTGGGGGCCTAGCCACTTTCTCTACAGTTTTACTGGGAAGGGCCAGTTCAGAGAATCCACAAAATAAACTCCAAACCCAAAGGGAGTCAAGAAAATCTCATGTGAATATTGGGGCATCTACAAGAAGTGGAAGCTGGCATATCGTTCCCCAGCTAGACATCAGTTTCACCAGCAGACCTGCCTTCTTGACTCTAAACAGTCAGAGTACAGGAAAGGAAGATGGAGAGAGAGAACATGGAGTGGGAAACTAATGCTCAGAGAGGTTACTTTTTCAAGGCCACAAATAGAGTTAGCAGCTGATCTGAGGTTTGAAAATAACCACTGATGCTCACACAGCATGTGTCAGATCCATGGGGTAGGAGTCGGCCAGAGACTTGGTAACAGACAGATTGCTGGATCCCACCCCTAGACTCTCTGATTCAGTTAGTTTGGGGTAAGGCGCAAGACTGAATTTTTCACAAGTTTCCAAGTGGTGCTGATACTTCTGGTCCAGGAACTTAGTGGGAGAGAACGACTAATCTAGACCATTTCACTTCACATTCTGAGCTTCTTGTACACTGTCACACTGCATCCTTTTAACAATGCATTCCCTATCCTATTGCAATACTGACATCTCATCAATATTTTAAAACATGCGTTTTCAGAAACAATATTTTATATCAAATACTCACTTTTAGTAATATTTCTGCAATTTTGCCCTATGGATCTGAGATCTAACAAATACTATTCTGGACATGGGCTACAACAGTTGAGGCTGGAAGTAAAAATGTTAAACCCTGCTGACCACGTTATTTTAAAGTGTATTTTAGTTAAGAATAATATGGCTTAGGAGCAGGGCTAAACAGTAGCAGTACACATGGGGAATGATAACTTTGCTTTTGCACATAAAATGTACCTGAAGGGAAAAAATAAAGCAGAAAATAAACAAGATGAACTGAAAATACTGTAACAAATGTTGGGCTGAAATACTGCCAGGCGTGGAGGTGTAGGAAAATGAACACACATTTTGGTGGCAAGGCACAAAACTGTTTAAATCCTTTTGCAGAAGTTTCTGAAAACTGTAATTTTGGCATGGATCCATGAGCAGAGTTATTGGGCTTATAATGTAGGCAAACCAACAATATCTGTAAGAATTGCCTTGTCCAGCCTTGGATGTTGCATAACTCCTGTAAAATATCACCTTCACATATGCCAAAGAATGGAACAGTGAAATAAATTCAGAAATTTTCTCTATACAATAAAGAGATACCAGAAGGTGTGAATTCTCAATAAATGATAGCTTGCTTATGCTCTCTTAACAAAGTAATATTCCTACAAAGAACTAAGATTGATGTATTTGGGTATGTATATTATTTTTCATTAAAATATTTTATTAAGTTTAGTTTACTATAAAATCTAAAACTGATAACTTCTGGTCAGTGTTGATGACAGAGTAGGTTTGGGGTGTGAGAAGCTAAGGTGCACATGTGTGGTAGTGACAAACCATTTTAAGAGAATGACATCCGAAATCTGAAACTTATTACTTAAAGGGCAGGGGTGCAGCAGGGGCCCCAAATACAGTTGTTCTGCAAAGAAATAAATGAAGTGATTGCTACCCTGGAGAATGTTCATATCAGCTTCACACTTCTGATGATAGTACTGACGGACGATCAGGGTGAGGGAGGGATGAGGCCTGTGCTCTCCCCAACATGTACTTCATGCCCCCTACCTGAAATGGTTTGGCTCTGTGAACCCACCCAATTCTCATTTCCTGTCAAGGGAGGGAACAGGTGGGAGGTGACTGGATCGTGGGGGCAGTTTCCCCCATGCTGTTCTCATGATAGTGAGGGAATTCTCATGAGACCTGATGGTTTTAAAGTGGCAGTTTCCCCTGCCCACTCGTCTTCTGCCACCTTGTGATAAAGGCTTTGCCTTCCACAATGATTGTAAGTTTCCTGAAGCCTCCCAGCCATGCAGAACTGTAAGTCAGTTAAACCTCTTTCCTTTCTAAATTACCCGGTCTCAGGCAGTTCTTTATAGCACTGTGAAAATGGACTGATACACTACCTTTCTGACTGTAGGGCCAAGACCCAGCTTTACACAGAAGTTGAGAAGAAAGCCCCCTAACCCAGTGACAGAACTTTTTGTCTGTAAACCCTATCTGCAAAGTGGATTTTATAAGGTAGGATTTCTACATATTGAGTCATTTTTGGGGAGAAAAATAGAAAAAGAAATATAAGATTATAGGAAAAGAACATGAAGAAAGAAAGTATGTGAAAGTTGTGTACTGGTGAGGGAGTTTAAGTAATGCCTTTGATTCTCCAAAGTTTTCTCCTTTATCTGTGCCTAAGATGGAATATATATATATTTCTTACTAACTTCTAATCATCTCTATAGTGCCAAGAAATAGGTGTTATCACAATCTGATAGATAAGAAATTTTAAGGGTAGGGGCTCGCACACAATTAATTAATGAACGAGCTTGGATTTAGAACCAGCTCTCTCAGATTCCAGAGCAACTGATGTTTCTACTGTACCATGTTGCTTTTATGTATGGGGGAATTTTTTTCTTTTATTGATACATAATATTTTACATATTTGTGGGGCACATGTGAGTATTTCTTACATGCATAAATTGTGTAATGATCAAGTCAGGGTATTTGGAGTATCCACCACCTTGAGTATTTATCATTTCTATGTGTTGGTATCATTTCAAGTCCTCTCTTCTTAGTTACTTTGAAACACACAAAATAGTGTTGCTAAGTACAGTCACCCTAGTTGGCTATCAGACACTAGAACTTTTTTCTTCTAGCTAACTATATGTTTGTACCCATTAATCAACCTCTCTTTATTCCCCCTCTCATCCACCCACTCTTCCCAGTCTCTGGTATCTGTCATTCTATTCTCTGTGTCCATGAAATAAAAATTTTTAACTTTCACATATGAGTGAGAATGTGAGGCATTTGTCTTCCTGTGCCTTAGCTATTTCACTTAACATAATGACCTCCAGTTCTATTCATGTTGGTGCAAATGACATGATTTTATTCTTTTTAATGGCCAAATAGTATTCCATTATGTATACACACATTTTTAAAATTCATTTGTCCATTGTTGGACACTTAGGTTGATTCCATGTCTTTACTGCTGTGAATAGTGCTGTGATAAATGTGCGAATGTAGGTATCATTTTGATATGCTGACTTCTTTTCCTGTGGATAAATAGTAATGGGATTGGTGGGTCATATGGTAGTTCTATTTCCAGTTATTTTTTAATTTCCATACTTCTTTCCATAGAAGTTGTACTAATTTACATTCCCACCAACAGTGTATAAGAGTTCCTTTTATTCCACATCCTCACCATTGTTGTTTTTTGTCTTTTATTTGTCATCATCTGTTGTTTTTTGTCTTTTTAATAATAGCCACTCTAACTGCAGTGTAATGATGTCTCATTGTGGTTTTGATTTGCATTTCCCTGATAATTAGTGATGCTGAGCATTTTGTCATATACCTGGTGGCCATATGTATGTCTTATTTTGAGAAATGTCTATTTTTGTCCTTTTCCCATTTTTAGTGGGATTATTTATTGTCGGTTTTTTTTACTGTTGAGTTTCTTGTATGTTCTGAATATTAGTCACATAAAGGAGTTTACAAACATTTTCTCCCTTTCAAGATATTCTCTCCTCACTCTATTGACTGTTTCTTTTGCTGTGCAGAAGCTTTTTAGTTTGATATAGTCCCATTTGTCTCTTATTGTTTTTGCTGTCTATGCTTTTGAGTTCTAGCCATAAAATCACTGCTTAGACCCATGTACTGAACAGCCCTATGTTTTCTTCTAGTAGTTTTATAGTTTCAGGTCTTACAGTTAAATCTTTAATGAATCTTGAGTTGACTTTTGTATATGGTGAGAGATAGGTGTCCAGTTTCATCTTTCTGCATGAGATTATCCAGTTTTCCCAGCACCATTTATTGAAGAGGATGTATTTTCCTTAATGTATATTCTTAATGGCTTTGTCGAAGATCAGTTGGCTATAAATTTGTGGATTTATTTGAGTTCTCTATTCTGTTTCATTGGTTTATGTGTCTATTTTTACACCAATACTATTTTGTTTTGGTTACTATAGCCTTGTGATATGTTTTCAGGTAATATGATGCTTCCAGGTATTTTTTTTTTTTTTTTACTCAGGATTGCTTTTTTATTTGGGCTCTTTTTTTGGTTCCATGTAAATTTTAGAATTTTTTTTTCTATTTCTATGAAAAATGATGTTGGTACTTTGATAGGGATTGCATAGAATCTGTAGACTGTTTTTTGGCAGTGTTTATCATATTAATGATAATTATTCTTCTGATTCATAAATATGGAATGTTTCCATTTGCTTGTGTCTTCGGTTTTTTTAATCAGTGTTTTGTAGTTTTCCTTGTAGATATATTTTACCTCTTTGGTTAAATTTATTCCTAGGTATTTTATTTTATTTTATTTGTGTAGTTATTGTAAATATGATTGCCTTTTTGATTTCTTTTTTGGGTTTCATTATTGGTGCATAGATACACTACTGATTGTTATGTGTTGATTTTGTATCCTGCAACTTTAGCAAATTTCTCAGTTCTAAGAGGCTTTTGATGGAAACTTTTGTTTTTTTTCTAAATATAAGGTCACATCATCTGCAAAGAAGAACAATTTGCCTTTTTCTTTTCCAATTTGGATGCCTTTTGTTTCTTTTTCTTGACTGATTACTCTGGCTAGAACTTCCAGTAGTATGTTGAATAGAAGTGGTGAAAGTCTGCATCTTTGACTTGTTCTAATTCTTAGAGCAGAGGCTTTCAACTTTTCCTCATTCAGTATGTTGTTAGCTGCGTGTTTGTCATTCTATGCCTAGTTTGTTGACAGTTTTTATCATGAAGGGGTTTTGAATTTTATCAAATGCTTTTTCTGGGTGTATTGAGATGATCATATGGTTTTTGTCCTTCATTCTATTGATGTGATATATCATGTTTATTGATTTGTATATGTGGAACCATCCTTGCATCCTTGGTATGCACTTGATTATGGTATATAATCATTTTGATGTGTTGTTGGGTTCAGTTTGCTAGTATTTTCTTGAGGATTTTTGCATCTATACTCATCAGGAATATTGGCCTGTAGTTTTCTTTTTTGTTGTGCTCTTGTCTAGTTTTGGTATCAGGGTGATGCTGGCATTGTCAAATGACTTAGGGCGAATTCCCCCCTCTTCAATTTTTTAGAATAGTTTCAGGAGGATTGGTATGAATTCTTCTTTATGTATTTGGTGGAATTATGCAGTGAATCCATCCGGTCTTGGGCTTTTCTTTTTTGGGAGACTTTTTATTACTGCTGCAATCTCACCACTCATTATTAGTCTGTTCAGATTTCCTAGTTTCTAGGAATTTATCCATTTTCTCTAGGTTTTCCAGTTTGTTAGTATTCACAATAGTCTCTGATTATCTTTTTCATTTCTCTGGTATCAGCTTTAATGTCTCTTTTCTCATTTCTGATTTTGTTTATTTGGGTCTTCTGTCTTCTTGGTTAGTCTACCTAGCGGTTTATCAATTTTGCTTACCTTTTCAAATAACCAATTTTTCATTTAATTCATCATTCTTTTTAGCCTCTATTTGGTTTAGTTCTGCTCTGATCTTTATTATTTCCATTCTTTTGCTAATTTTGAGTTAGGTTTATTCTGGTTTTTCTCATTCCTTGAGGTGCATTGTTAGATGATTTGAAATATTTCCCTTTTTTTGGATGTAGGTATTTGTTGTGGAAAATTTTCTCTTAGTGCTGCTTTTGCTGTATCACACAGGTTTTAGTATGGTATGTTGTGTTTCCATTGTCATTTGTTTCAAGAAATTTTTAAATTATTTTAATTTCTTTATTGAGCCAATGGCCATTTAGAAGCATGTTCTTTAATTTTTATGTATTTGTATAGTTTCCAAAGTTTCTCTTGGTATTGATTTCTAATTTTATTCCTCTGTGGTCTAAGAAGGTACTTGATATGATTTAAATTTAGTAAAATTTGTTGAATCTTGTTTTGTCACCAACATTGGGTTTATTTTGAAGAATGTTTTATGCATTGATGAGAAGAATTGTATTCTGCTGCTGTTGAATAAAATGTCTTTAAGTCCATGTGGTCTAAGGTTCAATTTCAATCCAATATTTTTTTTGTTGATTTTCTGTCTAGATAATCCGTCTAATGCTGAGAGTGGGGTGTTAAGATCCCCAACTATCATTGTATTGGAGTCTCTCTCTCTCTCTTTAGATCCAGTGATATTTGATATATAAATCTGGGTACTCCAGTGTGTTGGGGGCATACATATTTAGAATATTATATCCTTTTGCTGGATTGATCCCTTTATCATTATATAATGATGTTCTTTGTCTTTTTTTTTAACTGTTTTTGACTTAAAGTATCTTTATGTGATGTAAGTGTAGCTACCCCTGCTTGCTTTTGGTTTCTGTGTGGAATATCTTTTTCCATCCCTTTATTTTCAGTGTATATGTGTCTTTACAGGTAAAGCATATTTCTTGAAGGCAGTATATAGTTGAATCATGTTTTTTATCCATCCAGTTAGCCTACATCTTTTAAGTGGCAAATTTAATCCATGTACATTCAAAGTTATTATTAATATGTAAAGTTTTGTTCCTGTTATATTGTCAATTGTTTTCTGGTTATTAGTATGTTGTTTGTTCTTTTCTTTTTCTCTTATTGTTTGTCCTTGTGGTTTGGCGGTTTCTGAAGTGGTATCATTTGAGTCTTTTCTCTTCCTCATATGTATGTTTGCTTTACCAGTGCATTTTAGACTTTCGTGTGTTTTTGTGATGGTAACCTTCATCCTTTCAATTCCAGATTTAGGACTCTTTTCAGCATTTCTCATAGGGCTACTTTAGTGGTAATGAATTCCCTCAGCATTTACTTGTCTGGGAAAGACTTTATTTCTCATTAATTTATGCATAATTTTTCTGTCTATAATATCCTTGGGTGGCAGTTTTCTTCTTTTAGCACTTTGAATCTATCATCCCATTCTTTTGGCCTGTAAAGTTTTTACAGAAAAGTCTACTGTTAGTCTGATGGGGGTTCTTTTATAGGTGATCTTTGTAATCTTTGTAAATGCTTTCATTTGCTGTTTGTAGAATTCTCTTTTTCTTTCTTTTTCTTTTTTTTTTTGACAGAGTCTCACTCTTGTTGCCCAGGCTGGAGTGCAACGGCGCAATATCGGCTCACCGCAACCTCCGCCTCCCAGGTTCAAGCGATTCTCTTGCCTCAGCCTCCCGACTAGCTAGGATTACAGGCATGCACCACCATGCCCAGCTAATTGCTTTGACTTTAGACAATTTGACTATAATGTGCTCTGGAGAAGACCTTTTGTATTCTATCTGTTTGGGGATTGCTTGGTGTCCTGTATCTAAAAATCCATATCTCTTGCTAGACTTGGGAAGTTTTCATCTGTTATTTTGTTAAATAGGTTTTTGAACCCTTTTGTTCTCTTTTCATCTTCTGGGATATTGGTAATTCATATATTTGGTAGCTTTACGGTGTTCCACTTTCCATATATCATGAAAGCTTTGTTTATTCCCTTTTCTTTATTTTTGTCTGACTGAGTTATTTCAAAAGACCTGTCTTCAAGTTCTGAGATTCTTTCTTTTGCTTGATCTAGTCTGTTGTGGAAGCTTTCAAATATGATTTGTATTTAATTTAATGAATTCTTCAGTTTTAGAATTTCTATTTAGTTCTTTTTAATGACATCTATTTCTTTGCTAAATTTCTTATTCATATCCTGAATTGTTTTCTAATTTCTTTGTATTGTTCTTTGGAATTCTCTTGTATCTCACTGAGCTTCTTTACTGTCAAAATTTTGAATTCTTTTTCTGTGATTTTGTGAAATTTTTTTTATTGAGATCTGTTACTGGAGAATTACTGGGTTCCTTTAGAGGTGTCATATTTCCTTGCTTTTATAAGTTTCCTGTGTTCTTACATTGATACCTTCATATTTGCTATTATTGTCACTTCTTCCAATTTTTTGTATTTGCTTTCACAGGAGAGAAATTTTTCTGACGATGCATTAATGGTGTTGGTCAGGTATGGCCCTTTGGCTTTTATTTTGGGTGCATACTGTAGTGTAGTCTCTCTGTACAATTTCTTTGGCTGTAAACAATATCAGTGGTATTCGTGATTTCCTTGGTGGCTTAGGGTATGGTTATTAGTGGAGGCTCTGGTGAGCTTTGGCTGGAAACAGAGATGCCAGATGGGCCAGTCTTCAGCCTCCAGTGGTGGCAGTGGAGGGCCAAGCATCCCTGTTCTTGGACCCCAGGATGGTGTCCACTGTCACCAGTGTCAGCAGGTCCAGGCAGGCTGATTCTTGGGCCTCCAGGGTGGCTTGTTCAGATGCTAGTATTGGCGGCAGTGGGTTGGGCATGTGGGCAGGTTCTTCAGTCCCTGGGAAGAAAGTATGGTGTGTGTGATGGCAGTTAGTAGTGGCAGATGACCCTCTGGGTCCTGAGAAGTGTATATTTGTATTGGTGATGGCTCGATGGGCTGGGCAGGACAGTCCCCAGGCTCCTAGGTAGTGCATGTGGGTGGGTGCTGGCAGTGGTGTTGGTGTCAGGTTGGGTGGGCCCATCTTCAGGTTCCTGAAGGGACTGCACAGATGCCAGAGGTGGTGGAATGGGTGTAGTGATCCCCAGGTCCTAAGGCAGCATGCTTGGGCTCTGGGGACTGGGGTAGGAGGAAGTGCCAGGCTAGATGGGTCTGAGCTCAGGCTTCAGATGGTGTGTAGGGGTGTAGGCTATAGTAGGCAGGGTAGGGAGATCTGCTGTGGTGGGTCTGGGTAAACTGACCTCAGAGCTCATGCTAGAGCACAGTGGTCCTGCTGTTAGTATGGGTGAGGTCACTATTAGCAATCTCCTACAGGCAGCTCTAAGGCTCTAGGGAGTGTACACTTCATCTCTGGTAGCAGCAGTGGCTGCATTGGTGTGTGGGGGGAGCCTGTATTCAGAAAATGCACTATAGCACAGAGGCCTTGCTCCTGGTGTGGGCAGGATTGGCACCCACACCCCTAAATAGGGAGCTCTCAGTTTCTGGGTAGCATTTGCTTTGGCTCCTGGCTACAGCAGTGACTGCAGTGTTGTGTAGAGTTGGGGAGGGACCGCAACCTCTGTGTGTGGGCCTTAGCACAGAGACCTTGCGGCCAGCAGGGTTGGGGTTGCCACTCATAGCCCCAGACATGCAGCTCTCAGGCTTGCCTGCTCTTGGCAGCAGCAGTGACCATAGAGCCATGCAGAGAGGGGAACGGATTCCTCCTTCCATATGTGAGCCTGAGAGTTGGGGCCACACCACCAGTGAGGGGTGCAGTAGTCACTCACAGCCTCAGACAAGCAACCCACTGGCTTGCCTGTCCCAATTCCCAGTGGCAGCAACAGTGCCTGTGGCTGCAGTGGTGTACAGAGAAGGGGTCCCACTCTGTGTACAAGCCTGAGTACAGAGGCCACTCTGCCAGTTGTGGGAGAGTTGCGGCCCCCAATCCCAGACAGTCAGCTCTCAGGCTTGCCCACCTGGGTTTGGTTGCAGCAACTGCTGGGGCAGCATGCAGAGTCAGAGAAGGGATTACACTCTCCAAATTTTGTCCTCACAGCCCCGTGCAGGAAGCTCTCAGGGTCTGGAAAGTGCATACTCTGGTTTCCTTTGTTCCACAGTCCATCTCCTTGGTTTGCTATATCGTCCTTTTCCTGGGGAGTAGTATTCCATGTGGGCTAGCATACTGGAAACCCGGCAACACCTTTGGGTCAGCAAGCACTGTGCCACAGCAATCCTCCAGGTGGATACTGGGAGATGTCAGTTGGGGGTCCCAAAATGTGGAAATGTGGGGGCTGTGGTCCTCAAGGCAGGATGCAGTTCGGTAACACAGTGCTTTCACAATGGTGCCATGGTGTAGCTACTTAGGTCTCGGGGTTGTGAGTGACCCAGCATGAGTCTGGTGCAGTGCCCTTGCAAAAGGGTGCAGATCATTGCCCACACTAGTCTCCAAGTTCATGTGGGTGGAGGAGCTCTCCCATGGGTTAGAAGTGCAGCAATCCATGGTGGAGGATCTCTCATATACCCTTTCCCCACAACAGGGAGGATTTCTCATTTACCCTTTCCCCACAATAGGGAGCTCCTCCCATCTCCCAGGTGATCTCAGCAGGCCTGACTGCTTGCTTCCTACTCCTTCTGTGTCTTAGGCGTTTCCTGTGACTTCTCTGTCAAACGCCAGTATTCTCTTTTGATGTTCTATTTGAGGTGTGATTATCTAGTCACAATTTTGGTTCTTCTTCTGAAAGGGCCTGTGTCCAATGTCTCTAGAGAGCCTTCTTGAACCTCTATTCCTATTTGGGGAAATTTAATGAGACTTGGAAGTGAAGACAATTCTTGGTGGTTAACATCTTGTGATGGATTTAGTGATAATTACCGGACAGTTGGGAAATAGCACAAATCTGGGATAAGGGAAGGAGAGAAAGTTGAGGGAGTACTTAACAATGACTAGAGATGACCCTCTTGGGAATATGGAACTAGTTAAATGTTATTAGCTTTTCAAGTTGGTCTAGGACTATCCCTGGCTATACTGTCCAGGACATGTAGTAATTAATCAATTCAGCACCTACTTATTGAGTGCTTGTTAAGCATTAAGCACTATATGTGGGTCATAAGATATATTCCCTGCTTTTTTGGTGCTTATGCAGTGATTCTCAAACTATTATGATTAGAATATTCTAAAAACTTAAAAGTTCTAATGCCAGGGCACCTTTCCCCGACCCCCACCGCCACCAGCAAAGTTGTTTGGATTCACTTGTTCTGGGGCAAAGCCTAAGTATTATTTATTTAAAAAAAAAAAAAAACTCTCCAGGTGATTCTAATGTAGTCAGAAATATTAACCTGCCTAACGGGTGAGATCGGTTCCCAATGATAGGATGGGAATGAATTTTAGAGGTACACTGGGCTTATGTGCCCCTTAGCCTTTGCCATGACTATACAAATATTATCAATTTTGATGTCTACTGTGATATACAAAAGGTTATGAAACACTGACAAATACTTAGTATTTTAGCAAAATAGATCATTTTGCTAATTTTGATGTGGCATACATTACATTACATTACAGCTTACATTACATTACATTACATTACAGGCATACATTACAGCTTATGGGTGTGTGTATATGTGCCTGTGTGTGTGTGTGCATGTGTGCGCGCACACACATGCGCACATGCATGCACACACGTGTCTCTATAGAGGGGCAGTGGTGAAAAATCTGACCTACAATCTTAGGCAAGTGCTCTAGGCAGTCTTTTGCAGATCTCCCTAAGTAAGTCAAAACAAACAAAATCAGAAAACCAAGAGGATTTTAGAAGTGATCTAGCCCAACCCCTTTGTCTCAGAGATAAGGAAGCTACTTTAAAGTCACAGTTGGAGCTCAGCCATGGACTTCATTCTTTCAAATCTTGTACAAATAGCTTAATGTTAAATCTAACCCCTGCACAGGATGCAGTGTTTAACTGCATAAAGTGGAAAATTAAATGCCTTGGCTAACTCATATTTATAATGAGGCATCAGCCTATGAAGGACTTCTATTCTGCCTTTGTTCCATACACTGCACACCAAGTAAAATGACAGTCCAAGAGATAGACACTCAAGTAAAAGATCTCCAGAGGGGCTGATTATTTCCTTATGCCCCACAAGAAAAAGAAAAAAAAATGACACAAAACTTTTTCCCCAGGTAGGTAAAAAGCCAAGTTCCTGCCAAGCCTGCTTTCCTCTCTCTGGGCTGCCTCTCCAGTCCTCTGCCTGCCACTGTTTTCATTGCTATCATTATTTCTGTTTCTCTGAAGGTAGAGAATGCTGCCAACCTGCTCTGCCCTCCTCAGACTCTCTCGTCTGACAGTTCTATAAAGGCCCCTCCACCCAGCCTCTAGCCCATTTCTTTCTCTGGCTTTTGCAGGATTCCTCATTCTCCCTGAGGTCTTAACTATCACATCATGCACGTTCTGCCACTGCTGTTATCACTGCTGCTGCTGCTGCTGCTGCTGTCAGCTAGCTTTGTGACTTTCAGCACCCCCACTTCCAGCAGAAATTCTAGCTGCCCTGATTGTGAGAGTCTGAACACCGGTCTTCCATCCCTGATGATGTTTGGTGGATCTCTGCTCAAATGGGTTCAGAACACACACGGGGTGGAATCACTCTTGTCCTCTGCCAAGGGTGCGCCTGCTTCCACCAGCCCTAGGGGTTCTGTTCCCAAGACTACACCCTGGCACTCTGACCCTTGTCTTCCTTTTAATTCCCTTCCTCACAGTGTCTTCTTCCACATCTGACGTTCTTAGCTCTTTAGAGTCCCCAAAACTATCTGTTACCATATTTCATTATTGTTAACTCTAAAGATTTTGGCATCAAACACCCTGCATTTGAATGCTAGCTGTGTCACACATCAGATGCTTTACTTTGGCAAATCATAGAACTTTCTGTCAATAGGGATAATAATGGTACCTATATTGTAATATTGTGAGTGTTACTTGGATAATAAAGTACATAGCACAGTATTTGGCACATAGTAATTGCTCAACAATACCAATTGTTATTATTATTAGACTGTGCCCTCTAAATTATTTGTCTACGGATTATGATCTGTATAAATGACTTATCAATTAAGAAGACCACAGGTATGCAGAGTCTCATCACTCATACAAGACTGATGTCAATTAACTAAGAGAAGTTTCGTCACTAACCAGGAGTTTCACATCATAGTTCCACACTTTGCTTCTACTCCCAATATGGCTTGTTGACTTTTCACTCTCTTTACCCTGTTTTCTTTCTATGGTTCCCAGGGCTATCACTTTTCTTTATTTTGGTTAATACATATAGCTGTACACTGACCCAGTCTCCATGAAAAATACTGTCATATACTCCCTCTTTCCCTCTTTCCCTAATATCATCATCTCATAGAGATCAAACTCACATTTTCTGGCACCATTATTCTTTTTATAAAATACTTTACTTTTAAATTTTTACCCAACTACGTCTATGTTATTTTAGCTAGCTAAGCTGCTATAACAAAGAGATCTAAATACAGTGGCTTAAATATAACAGAAGCATATTTTTCTCTCATGTAACAGCTAGAGGAATGTGTGTAGTCCAGAGCATACAAACCACAAGTCATTCATGACCCCGAGTTCTTTCTGTCTTGTTATTCTGTCATCGCCTAGGGTGTTTATCTGCATGACTGAAGCTGTTTCTTCTTGATGTCTCAATTCCAGAAGGTGGGAAAAGGGAAAGTCTGGGTTACATGGCTTTATTCTTAAAGAAGAGACCTTAAGGAAGTTTCATTAATAATCATACCCTTTGGCCAAACTGAGCCGCTACCTAGCTGGCCACATCTTTCCAAAAGGCTAGAAAATAGAGTCTGTAGCTGCATTGCCCTCTATGACTAAAAGGAAAAGGGGAGAATACGTACTGGGGATATTCAGTGACCTCGGCCACACATACAGCATGATTGAAAGTTCAACTAGGACGTGGGGTGTATCATGGAAATGACAGTCATCTGCTGTAACCTTTCTCACACTCGATACTGATCCCTATAGGAAACCACTAGTAGAATCCAAATCTCTTTCTTTCTTTTTTTTCTCTTTTTTGAGATGGAATCTCGCTCTGTCGCCAGGCTGGAGTGCAGTGGTGTGATCTCGGCTCACTGCAATCTCTGCCTCCCAGGTTCAAGTGATTCTCCTGCCTCAGCTTCCCGAACAGCTGGGATTACAGGTGCGCCACCACACCTGGCTAATTTTTCTATTTTTAGTAGAGATGGGGTTTCACCATGTTGGCCAGGATAGTCTTGATCTCCTGATCTCGTGATCAGCACGAGCCTCAGCCTCCCAAAGTGCTGGGATTATAGGCGTGAGCCACCGCATGTGGCCATCTCTTTCTTTTTAGCTATTTTGATGGTTACCTATTTATATAATAATACATATATTATTTTAAATAATATCGTAGAGACTCTAAATAGCCTATTTAAATTATGTATCTTGACTTAATATCTTATTGCTTTCTACCTTCTATAAGGCTAACATGGTATTTTGGACCAATCCCCTTGCTGAGGACAACCAAAAAGATTGGATGAAGTATAAAAAGCACTTACTTGAAAGCATCAAAGACGTCCAAGATAGTGAGGAAGTTTAAAGTCAAGATCTAGGAAAAGACAAGAAACTAGAGAAAGAAACCCAGCCGTAAAATCACTTTTTTTCCCCCCTGCGGGCTTCTGCCAAGTCTGGGGAAGCAGCTGCAAAGCTAAACTATATTTTTTGATGATTCCTCAGAGCCGGACAAACAGAAGTCAGAAACTAAAACCTGCCAGGAATAGGGATTCAGGAGTAGGGATTTAATAACTCAAGCCCCCTTCGAGCTGAGAATCTGAAAGGCCACACTCTCAATATGAGGAGTAGCTGCTAGGAAACCAGCCCTGGCACAGAATTGTAGTCAGTTTTGCATCATTTAACAGTACAAGTAAACTTCAACTCTGACATTATATTAAGATATTTCTGGAATGATAACACACACTGCTATTTGCAGCAGCAAATGAATATCCTCTCAAGAGAAAGACATCATCATAACAGGCCTCAGCACTTCCTCCATATGACTTATAAAATATAATTTCCATCATACAATGAAAAATAAGGGTTTACAAGGCAACAAGATCACTGAATGAGTAACAGAAGACAGAGAAGCTACAAAAAAAGCCTCCAAAACATGAATTATTGAAATGATCAGATATGGTTCACAAAATAACGATGCTTTTTACATTTATGAAATAAATTCCAAGCTTAAAAACATCCGTGAAAAGGAAACTCTAAAATTTAATGTGACATATTAAGAAAAAAATCCAAAAATATAATACTCAAAATTAAGATGGGCTTAAGAGCAAATGAAATGTAGCTAACATTTTTAAATGGAAGACAAGAAGAAAACATCCTCCAGAATGCAGCACACAGAAATAAAAGGGAAGAATTGGAAAAGAGTGGATAAGAGGCATAAGTGGTCAGTGACAAGTTGTAGCCCAGAAAGTGTGAAGGGAATGGGACAGATATAAAATTGGAAGAAATAACAGCTCTGAATTTTTCAAAAGTAAAAACGATATCAATCTACAACTTTAAGAATCTCCATATATCCTAAGCAAAATAAATTATAAGAAACTCACACCCAGACATTGCAGCAAAACTTCAGACAACAATAGACAGAGACAAAAATCTTAAAGCATCAGAAAAGAAGCAGTTACTTTCAAAGGAAGAACAGTTAGACTGAGAACTGACTTCTCAATAGTAACAAAGGAAGCCAGCGAGCAATGGAAGGGTTTTCAATTAACACTGAAGTTTGATAAGGCAAAAAACAAAAACAAAAACAAAAAAACATGTTGTTACTTGTAGTTAAATTACTTTAAAAAATTGAAAAATTACAACTGTGAAGATAGTACAGACAAAAATTGGAATGATAAAAAAATCCAAATAGAACAGTTGGGATAAGTAGCACAAAATAAGATGATAAATTTAACTCAAATATATCAGTAATTACATTGAATATAAAAGGATCAAAAACTCAATTTGAAAGCAAAATGTGCAAATTCGATTGAAAACAAAAGAAAATGCAATTATGTACTGTTTATAAAAACTTATCTAAAATATAAGGATATAGAAAATTTGAGAGTAAAAAGAAAAAAGAATCCTTTAGACACCAACCCAAAGAAATCAGCTATAGCTATACTAATATACCGTTTTTATATAATAAATACAGTATAATAAACTCTATAGATAAATACATCTCTACATAATGATAAAATGTCCTATTTACCATGAGGATTTAAAATTTGCACACAACTAATAACAAGGCCTCAAAATATGTGAGGGAAACATTGACATAATTAAATGAAAAATAAATCCACAATCATAGTGAGACATTTTTATTATGACTCAGTAACTTACAGAAAAATAAAACAAAAAAGAAGGAACATACAAGATTTAAATAACGTGATTAACAAAATTGACCTAATAGACACAGCTGCAGAAAACTTATTCTTTTCAAGCATGCACAGTCACAAAATTCTCAGTAGAATATGTTTTCTAATCCAATGAAGTTATACTAGATATTAATAAAAATTAATTTGGAAATGAAGAAATATACTTCTAAATAACTAATGGGTAAAAGAAGAAATCACAATGGAGATTAGAAATAATTTGAACTAAATAGTGATAAAAATACACCAAATCAAAGCTTGTGGACAGCAGCTAATGCAGTACTGTACTTAATTATGTTAGAGAAGAAGAAAGGCAAAAAAATCAATGATCTAAGCATCCTTGTAAAGATATTATTAAAGAACAGCAAACCAACCCCAGATAAATAAGAAATAAAAATGAATAATGATTTGGGCAGACGTTAAAAAAATAAAATAAACATACAATAGAGAGGATCAGCAAAGCCAAAAGTTAGTTCCTTGGAAAAGTTGATAGAACAAATAAAGCCTTGGCAGAATTGATCCAGAAAAGGAGAAAGAAGGCCCATTAATCAATAAGAAGAATGAAAAAAGGATATTGCTACAGATTCTACAGATATTAAGATGAAAAGAGGATGCTATGAGCAAGTTTATGTCAACAAATTTAAACATTTAGATGAAATGGAGAAATTCTTAGGCAAATTATTTAAGAAATGGAGACTGTTAATAGGCCCATAAAACTGACACAATGATTAAAATCCTCTCCACAAATAGAACTCTAAACCCACCCAGATGATTTTAATGGTAAGTTCTATCAACTTTAAGGAAGAAATTATTACAGGTTTAAAAACTTTAAAAAATGGGTGCAGTCCTAAAATCACTTTGTAATGCTAGCATAATCTTGATAAGAAATGCTAACAAATGCAATAACAGAAGGAAAAGCTACCAGCCATTTTCATTCATGAATATAGATGCAAAAGTTTTAAATAAAATATAAGAAAGCATTATGACCAGGTTATATCTTCCCGGGAATATAAGATACAATATCATCAAATTTAACATTGATTCATAATAAAAATTTGTTAAAAAATGATGCAGAAAGAAAAGAAATCCTTATAACATTCTTAGAATAAACAGTTGAAAGTGTTTCCTCTATGATCAGTAAGAGGGCAAATGTACTCTCTTTTCAACATTATGCTTTTTAACATAACTTGCTGGTGTAGCAAAGCAAGAAAGAAAATAAAGGATTGGATAAGTGCCCATCAACTAACGAGTGGGTAAAGAAAATGTGGTATATATACACCATGGAATACTATTCAGCAATAAAAAGAAATGAAATGTCTTTTGCAGCAACTTGGGTAGAGTTGGAGGCTATTATTCTAAGTGAAGTAACTCAGTAACAAAGATCGCATGTTCTCACTTATAAATGGGAGCTAAGTTAAGAGAACACAAAGACATAAGAATGATGCAATGGACTTTGAGGCCTTGGAGGGGAAGGTTGGGAAAGGGGTGAAGGATTAAAAAAACTACATATTGGGTAACTGGAGAAGTATCCTATGAACATATATATTGGAAACTGAAAATGTAATTATTCAAATTATAATTCTTTCAAAATTTATATATAGATTCAATGGAATCTCAATGAAAATCTCAACAGATTGGTTAATGGAACTAGATAAGCTGATTCTAAAATTTTATTTTTAAATATAAAAGGCTAAAAATAGCCAAGATTTTCTTAAAGATGCATAACAAAGTCGGGATTCATTCTATATGATATCCAATGAGTATGGCATCCAATGAGTATAGACAAACAGGGCAGGACAGAGGGAGTGAATGAACAGACACACATATATTTGGACACTTGAATGTGGATAAAAGAGGCAATGTAGGAAGGAAGGGAAAAGATAGTCTTTTCAATAGAAGGAACTGGATCAAAGAGATATTCAATGGAAAAAAAGAACGAAATTTTACCTCTTCCTCACAACATAAGTAAGTTAATTATTACAGACGAATTATAGACCTAAATGTGAAAGGCAAGACAACATCGTTTCCAGATGATAATATAGGAGATGTCCTCATGACTTTGCATTAGTGGAAATGTTATAAACCTACACCCAGATGCCTGTGCTGATACTGACATGACTTTAATAGTGTGGGAATTTGCCCAGTCTGCACTCAATGCCTGTCTCATCCAACCATCTTTAATAAGTCATCACCATGTGGCTACCCTTTAAGGAGCAACTAGAACCACTAAGACCAAAAGAGAATCCTGACGTCTGGTGAGGTGAAGGAGGAGGGCCCTAGTACCTTTATTTGTGGGTAGAACTGGGCTTCTGTGGCCTGAAAATCTAAGGACCAAACACCAACTTTACAATAAAGAACCTGAACTCTGATAGAAGGGAGACAATGGTTACTTCTTTTCATGGATTCTAAATTCTATCTGCCAGTCACTTTTTGTGTGTGCATTCATTGAGGGTGTACAGAATGGAATTACAGAGGCAGAAAAAAATGAGGTCTCTGCCAAATTGATAGTTTAAAAAACATTTTAGTGGCCTACTTAACTGTAATTTGTTTTAGTTTTAAACAAGAAAAACCTCAGCATGTAAGCAAAGCAGACTGGACTTGAACAGATATGGAATGCAAAGCACACAGGAGAGTCATGGGGATCCTGAAGGGGGATTAGAAGTTGGACAACTTTTTATGCAATGAACAACACTGCATTGGTAAGATATAAAAGCATCATAAAATACTCCTTTCCCTTTCTTCTTCCCCCACCTCCCATCCCTAAAATTTCCTCGACCTTTTCTCTGATGTTTGAAATTCCACCTTGGAGGAGTCTCTTTAGCCGAAGATTTGATTCCTATTACAAATGCAAGGCAAAGCAATGTCATTACCTGCATTTTGATATAAATAACTTAATATGGAAAATAAGTTCTGATGGGAAGAAAGCATGAAGCACTAACAGGAGTGAAGGGATGGTTTCCACGGGGCAAAAAGGCAGGAAAACAAGGAGCAGGACTTGAAGGACAGGTGCTTCGAGAAAAAGTGGAGCAGATACATCTCGGCTTGGAATTAGGCAGACAGATGTGGTTCAGGATTGTGGGGTGTCTTGGGGTAGTAACCAATCAGAGGCTCATTTTTCTCACCTGTAAAGTGGGAATATATACTACCTGCCTTTGCTTAAGGACTAAATAAAATAATTATGTTACAGCACTTGATGGAATGTTAGGCCCAGAGTAGGAGTTAATTAAGCATTAGCTCCTATATAGCCCAATTGTTTTGTTTTCTTTTTTAACCAAGACCAGTCTCTTTCTGAGTCAATTCCTTTGCAATATCTTACATCTATCTATGCACTTAAATGCTTTCATTGATGTATGGCTATTGGATGACTTAGGAAAACATTCTTTTTTATTTTTATTTTTGAGACAGAGTCTTGCTCTGTCGCCCATGCTGGAATGCAGTGGCGCAATCTCGGCTCACTGCAACCTCTGCCTCCCGGGTTCAAGCAATTCTCTGCCTCAGCCTCCAGAGTAGCTGGGATTACAGGTGGACCACGCCCGGCTAATTTATTTTATTTATTTATTTATTTATTTATTATTATTATTATTATTATTTTTTTTTTTTTTTTGAGACGGAGTCTCGCTCTGTCGCCCAGGTCGGACTGCGGACTGCAGTGGCGCGATCTCGGCTCCCTGCAAGCTCCGCCTCCCGGGTTCACGCCATTCTCCTGCCTCAGCCTCCCGAGTAGCTGGGACTACAGGCGCCCGCCACCACGCCCGGCTAATTTTTTGTATTTTTAGTAGAGACGGGGTTTCACCGTTTTAGCCAGGATGGTCTCGATCTCCTGACCTCGTGATCCACCCGCCTCGGCCTCCCAAAGTGCTGGGATCACAGGCGTGAGCCACCGCGCCCGGCCTTTATTTTATTTTTAGTACAGATGGGGTTTCACCATCTTGGCCAGGCTGGTCTTGAACTCCTGACCTCGTGATCCACCTGGCTCACCCTCACCAAATGCTGGAATTACAGGTTGAGCCACCGTGCCCAGCGGAAAACATTCTTTAGAAAAAAGCAGAGTGAGTTTATCTGGTATTTTCTGTCTCATATTTTTTTGTTACTATCTTTCGGAGGAGCTATCAGGAATCTGAAGAAAATAAAAATATCCTTTTAAATTTTTTCTTACTTCAACTTGACAATGTTTCTTATCTATTTTCCTGATGAAATGTATGGAAATATTGATAAAACTACATCATGATCTGAAATAATGTGAATCATTTGGAGATGACTCAAGGACAAGAATCTTGAGATAGAAGTCTACATCCCCTAAAAGCAATGACACCATTTCTTTGAACAAGGCCAAGACAGAATCTAATTTATTGAAAAGGAACATAGCTATTTCTTTCCCTTTTGGACAGTGGCTTTTAAATATTTTTTTTCCTTACCACAACCCACAGTAAGAAATACCTTTTACATTGTGACCTGATACACACCCATGCATGGTGTATGTGTGTATCTGAAATAATAGCTTCATGGAATAAAGCTTACCCTTATTCAATTTGGTGTACTCTGAAATATTCTATTCTACTCTATTTAACTTTTTAAAATGCTGTTTGAGACCATTATATTGATTTTATGTTCCACACTTCAAACATCACTGCTTAGGGTTTTACTTATTTTGCTTTTCTGAATGGCAACCATCTTGAGACAAGATGGTTTTAAATGCACTTAATTTAGTCCTGTTTTCTTTTCTGGGATATTCCGTATCTCTAAATACAAATATGAAAAGGAGTTTATTAGCTACAATGGAAGGATATTGAGAAAAATCAATATATGATTGCCCCACAATTTAAGGAAACTTTACCATCTTTTACATTCCTGGCCCATTCAAATTCTTTCATTCCTCTCTGTTCCTTTCATATTTTTACCAAAGACTGACTTCCAGTTGTTATTAGGCATAACAGGCTTATTAAACGGAAGAGCGGAGACTAACATTTAATAAGCACCAATTATGTACAAGGTACCTTGCATACATTATTTCTTCCCAATAACTACTCATGGTATTTTTTTATTCATACTGTTATTGCATATATTATTTATTCCCAATAACTACTTATGGTATTTTTTATTTCAGACTTTTAAGCTTATAAGAAAACAGGGATTTAGAGAGATAAAATAACTTACTCAGGGTCAAAAAGTTCAAAAAGCTGGTTTGTGGTAGAGCTGGCCCCCAAACTGAGGCCTGAGTAGGACCAAAATCACTGCAATGTATTTTCGTGTTGTCAACATAAAAACCACAAAAAAGAAAAAAAAAAAAAAGAACAATTAGACTTATGTTTCTAATCTGCTAACTGTAGGAAAGCATGTGTATATGTTTCTCTTTGAATTGTTGTTGCTGTTGTTGTTGTTAGAGTCTCATATATTTACCAATCATTATACAGAACATATGTTGAACTTCCCAACATGTATTATGTGTATACAGTCTCCCCAGCACACTATTTATTCATTTAGAGTAGTCCAGAGCTCATAACCTACTTGCGTAATTTTCCCCACAAGGACTCCATGTTTTCTGTTGGCTTTACAAAGACACTCAGGATTCTAATTTATCTGCATCACAACATTTACCTTTATTAGCCCCCTCAATATTGAAGAGAAAATCAAAATAAAATGCTTTCCTTCATAACCTTTAGTTCTAAGCAGGGCCCATTAGGGATTTTAAAATATTCACTTTTGAAGCTGATTCCTGCATTGGTAGACACTTTGCATGACATTAAATAAGCTTTGCCTGTTCTAGGAGGCAGTGGATTAAACAGTAGTGCATATCACTTGGCTGAAGTGACAGGAATAAAGAACAGAATGCATCCACTCCTCCAGTCTCATTAAGCTGCCTCTTTCTCCTGAAATTGGATTGGGATTCCAGGACACCTCTCAACCTACAGGAAACACTGGATCTAAAGCTGAAACAGGTACCCAGTGCCATTTGAAAAATTAACTGCTCTATTGAAATGTAATCTACATACCATAACCCAGTACAGTTTCTACCCACAACAAAATCCCTGATTCTGGAACTTAAAATGAAAGGAATAATAAACATAAATTTCATGCTTTCACTAGCTTGCACTCAATCAGTCTCGCTTATAATTTTGCTGTCTCCCTCTTTCCCACTCCCCCCTCCCACCCCACTGCCCTTCTACCAGGTGCTCCTCATATACTATATCGACACGTCCACTCTGCTATTTCCACTTACAGGCTTTCAAGAATTCCTTACTGATTATGTTTTATTTCAGGGTAGGGGCAACTATAAAATAGCATCATTATACTTGAACACACAGCTATCCCTGTGTTAGGACAGAATTAGAGGTACACCTGGTGCTTTCTCTCTAGAGGAAAGCAAAGTGGTAAGAACAATGAAATTTCAGGTATAGTCTTGCACATTGCCATTAACAGTGAATATCAAGTGTTTCTTCACAGAGTTTTGAATGGTGGTATGGATGGAGATGAACGCCAGTGTAGTGACTAGGCGAAAGTTGAGATTACCATCGTACACAGGATGCCACAGTGGCACATTGGAATCATCAGTGTTATTTTCTGAGTAATGTCTTCAATGGTGGTGATGTCTTTCTTAAGTTTTGATAGTCCTTCCACTACCTCTCTAGCTCATCCCAGGCTGGCAGACATATAAACATTGTTTAGGATCCAAAAGATCCTGTGAAAAATAGAACAGTTTAACTGTGGTTTCCTCACATTAATTGTGAGCCTATGTGATTCTCAAGTTAGAGTGGGAGATCCCATATGATAGAATGCTCTCCTGGAGATGAATTGATTTGTGTTTTTGACTCCATATGAGAAGGGACATGCCAGATAACCAACTTTGGAACTCACATTTGGGAGGAAGGGTTAAGAGGAAGTCCTGGCACCACTGAAGTGAACTCTACTTCCGGAGGTAGGTGCAGGACACGTGGCCCTGCGGTAATGGTAAGAAGGCCAGTGTACCCAGCAATTACGGGGGACAGGCAACATAGAAGCTGCCTCTTGAAACAAGTTGTCTTTCACCCTGAAAAGGAGGTATCATCAGGCAACTTACGCTTTAGGTTGGAAAAGTGAAAGTTATATAAATCCTGACTATAGATTCCTGAAAGGAAGAGAGGCCATTGGAAAAGCTGAAGAAGAAAAACTATAGGGAACTTTTGGCTGTGATTAAAATGGAGGGAGCTACATCTCTGAAAGGACTGCAGAGGCCTGAATGGGAATCTGCATAGTGAGGCAGTATTTTAGAGTGACCAAGAATCTTCCATGGGCCCGCAAAGGGCAGATTCGCAGTAGCAACACGATGTTTAAGTTGTACTGACATTTTTGGACTACGTAAGACCCAGGATTTTGGGGATAATTTATGGAGACAAGATGTATCTGTTTTCTGTTGCTGCTATAACCAATTACCACAAACTTAGTGGCTTAAAACGATACAAATTTATTATCTTACAGTTCTGTAGGTTTGAAGATTGAACTGGGTCTCACAGGGCTCAAATAGGGGTGTAGTCAGGGCCACATCCCTCTGGAGACTCTAGAGGCGAATCTGTTTCTTTCCCTTTGCAGCAATTGAGGACTGCCCACATATTTTGGCTGGTGACCCCTTCCTTCAGCAGTGAGGCTGAGTCCTTCTTACACTGCTGCCTCTGGTTCTTTTTCTTCTGCCTCTCTCTTCCACTCATAAGAACCCTTTTGATTATATTGAGCTCACTTGGATATTTCTCCCATTTTTAGGTCAGCTGGTTGCCAATCTTAATGCCATGTGCAACCTTAATTCTCCTTTGCCATGAAACCTAATATTCACAGGTTCCAGGGTATAGGAAACACATCTACTGGGAGGGCCTCTATTCTGCCTACCACACAAAGGAATCCAAACAGAGAGATACTGAATTTCCTGGTAATACCGTAGGTAGTAGGTAAGAGTGCAGGCAGGCTAAGGTATAGATTCAGCCCTGGTTCCCAACACTAGCTGCATATATAATCCTGTGAAAGCCTTAAAAATGCAAATGACCAGATTACACCCTCAGACATTCTAATGTAATAGATTTGGTATGGGTTCCAGACATTGTAATATTGGGATACATAGATCTGGATAACCCAGGTGATTTTTATGTGCAGGCAGGATTGAGAATCACTGATTTAGGATGAGGAAGTCGATACCTTAACTCTAGAAGGTGAGGACAGAAATCCAGAGCACTCATGTCCTAGAATTCTGTTCTTTTCTAATTTCCATCAGGTATTTTAGTTACATATCCTGTCCCACTTCTTTAATTTACCTCTAGCTATCAAATTTAATATATGAGCTTTAAGTATTATTAGAAGAAATATATGCTTAGAAAAAATGTTATTCTTAATTGCACTTTATACATTTTAATTTACTCTTCTGATCTGTCTAAACTTGTTTTCCAAAAATTGTTTTAACTAAAAAACTATATCATTAAGAGTTTATCAATAATAGTTTATTTCATGATCTATACCTCGCTCATTTGTAATGAAGAGTTAAACTATGTTTCATTTACCTTAATGAAATCTATTTTCATGTAGCTTCACTCTACAGTGTTTACTTCATAAACACTTCATGGTATTTGAATCGGTTTATGCATTTTCTATTTTGTTACTTTTCTTATTTTATTTCGTTCTTGCATATAAAATTGTTGGTAGTTGCCATGGCAATTCTAATTGATTTCTTTCTGCTGTTTTGCAGGCTTTTAAAAAGATTTGCACAATACATCCTTCATATTGTTATTTTTATCTCTGTAAGTTTGTAATGGCCTCTAAAAAAGAAAGCTGTGTAACAAGAGCATCAGATGTTACTTTGCTCACTGTTGAAGGCGGTGAAGAACAGAAGAAAACTAGGAAGAAAACCAAGCTGGGAAGGGCAATGAAGGAACAGGTTAGAGTTCAAAAGTAAAAGTACGTTCCACACAAAGGAAAGATTTCAGGTACGTGAGTCAGCGGCAATGCAAGGGCAAGAGATGTGCTTTTAGAGAGAATTGAACTTGTCAATGTGACTCAGCTCTGGAAGACCAAAAAATTATGGAGGGAGAGGCAGGAGAGGGAAACCAGGTGAAATGTCACCATTTTCTTTGTTTATCTTCTGGTGGATCTCAAAATCTTCTGTTATTCACATACACACACGAGCATGCACTCATGGAATGCGTCAGTATATCTATTGTCAAAATCAGCTCACAGTCTCATTTCAGTAAAACAGAAATGTGATCCCTCACAAGATGTTGTGTTGCTGATTAACTGCCTTCTTCTAGGAGATGAGCTACAGTGTCATTTTCAGTCCTAGAGATCATAAGAAAAAGAAGAAAGGCTCTTGGGGATCTGAAATGAATTAGATTTGATTTTACAGTTACTGTAAAACTCCAGAAAATTTACATTTGTTTTACTTACACCATATATTTTTTCCAAAAGTTAATCTCTATGGACTGCAGACAAACATGTTAAGTTAAAATAACAAATAACTCTTCTAGAGTAGAAAATGGGTAAATTTTAGACACAGACATGTGCACTAAGATGTCTGCACAATGATTAAAGTTTAGTTGTGAATTTGCCTTTGAGATTCCCATTGGCCAAAGTGAAGAGAAAAGCATGATCAGAATCAAGACTCAAAGTGCCTAGAAGGAAGCATTTGTCAGGTACGCTGGAAAAAAACAATATTTCCAAGAATTGAGATGGAAGAAATTTCTCCAAGGAGAGGATATTTTAATATAATAGACAATGGCCTCAACAATATCCCTGCAATATGAAACAGTAGGTTTCACATAGCCACTTTTAAATATTTTTCATCAAGTGAAGTGAAGGGCATAATGCTGGCACACAACTGAGAAACAGCTATTAAATGAGGGGGAAAAGTTCTGAAGACCAAATATTCTGCTCTTGGATTACCTTGGTGATCAGAAAGTGACTCTATGTGGACAGGACTATGTAGCTAGCATACCTGTTTTAGAGAACACTTGTGCCCCATCCCATTGCATGGCAAAATCAAGAGATTTGATGAGGCTGTACCCTATAACCATTTCAGATCCTCAACTTTATGACAAAGAAACATCACCTCATCCTCATTCACTCAGATGAAAAAAGATCTTGGTGATAGTAAAAATGATATATCTGAGGAACCATTATAAAAATTACATTGCACAGGCTTATGTGAAATATGCAAAAGCTTTGAAAAATAAGTGCCTAGAATAATCCCCCATAAAACTTTTAGATAGATTATTATGACCCTATTCTTCTGGTACAAACATAAATGTGTTTCTGATAAATGTATTTTATTATGTTTTGCTTCATATGAACACCCTATTATAAATTCAGGATGGTTAAAAGCAAACTTTAAGACCTCTCTCTTCCTCTGGCAGTCAGGACAAGGTTTTTTAAACCAAAAACATATGTTTAAATTTAGCTCCACATGTGCCAGCTAGCTATTGACTGAACACTGACATGTGTTTGAGCTCTAGGGATCTCAAATCTCTCTCTGCTTCTCTCCTCAGTTCTCTTACACCACACATCTCTCTCTCTCTTTCTCTCTCACACACACGCACTCTCTCACACATACACACACGCACTCTCTCTCTCTCTCACACACACACACACATGCATACACACACACCACATATTGGGAATTCAGAAATTTAGCAGGTAATAGACCTAGTATTCAGAGCAAACACTGTCCCTGATGAAAAAAACAGTATGGAACGATTCTTGGCAAATTCTGAATACCCCTTGAGCTTGTCTTGTTCATTAGCAAATTGTTTTCCTGTAACTGTTTCTCAGTTATGTACATGACATACCAAAAATAGTGATTTTCTCAATCAGTTGCTTCCTAGGTAAGTAAACATTCCACTGGTGGAGTACTGTTAGCAAATTACAGTGGAAATACAGCTTCGAAAACAGTCTAGTTTTGTTTCTCTTGGTTACTAAATCCTGGGTCAGGTGGCCTTGGTAAGGTGCTTTGCAGGCCGCAATGACGGGGAGCAATTTGACCCAGGGCCCCAGGTGGGACCTTCTAAAATTCAACCCCACACCTGTGAGTTGTGCCTGGCCATGCTTCCCAGGATGATTCCAGCCATTGGCTTCATGGGGCAGGCATACTGAGGCAGGCTCATTCCTGGAGACACAGGACTCCCTGGCAGCCTTGCTACCTCAGATGCTTCTACTCAACCTGTCCTTTTTCTTTCCCCTATACTCAGTGCCAGACTTGCATACGGTCTCCCATTTTCTCTCACACAGACGGTTCTGCCAATAAAACCGTTGCTTGTTTACCTCTGTCCTAGCAGCTATGTCCTGAAGGACCAAGACTGACATAATACACTCTGTTTAGTTTTAAAGGTAAATTGTTTACCTACACTTAAGGAAGTACATCTCCACACACTCAAAGAATGTGGCTCTAAATTAGTCTCCTGCTGAAAATGCCTAACATTGCCACTCAGATTTGGACTCTAGATTGTGACAGATTAAAATTCCTTATAAATGACTTTTTTTCAAAATAAATTCCTAATTCATTCTCTTCTCCAAGAAGCCACAGTGCTTCCTCTAATCCTAAAGTCATCAGTAGACAATCCATCCTTCCCAATAATGCTGAGATTTTGTTTTCTAGAACCCTGCACTCAGATAAATTATACCTATAAATTGTACCAATTAGAATACATTTTGTGGCCTAAACCTCAACCTTTCATTTGATTGGCAATACTGGCAATATATAGCCTTATCTTGTCACCTAAGTGAGAGATCCATTCTGAACTAATGTGGACATGTCAGTATAAGTTGAAGACCACTCAAGGAAATGCAGCCTTTTTGGGTTCTCTGAAGTAAGTAGTAGCCAAACTCTTTTCTCTCTCCTAATTAGGAACCACCTAAAAACAGACAACTGAGTCAGATAGAGGCCAAAAGATCAGCTTTTACATATTCACTAGACCTTGCATCTAGGCCATGGGTAACTATTTGCCCATCCAACCCAAAGTAGTGCAAACAGAAGACCTCTGGCCTAGAGCTCTAGGCCAGAGCATGGCAGAGAATGGTTTATGCATGGAGAGAATGCTGTATGTGGCCAATGGGCAAATTCCAGAGAAAAGGGCAAGTACCATCTGAGAACAGACCGGCTTAAAAACAAAAGCACAGAAGAGGTTTCGTTTGTTCTTGACCTCACAACTGAGATGTTAGTATTCCTTTATTGGGAAGCGAGAGAGAGAGACAGAACGATGCTTCTTAATTCTTTTAAAACCACAGCAATTTTATTTTGTGGGCCATGGTGAAAAGTCAGAGAGAGGCAAATAGCTTGTGCTACAAAACCCCAAGCCCTGATCTGCCCATGGGGAAGTCAGTGGCATTAACCTTTCATGTAAAGGACAGAACGTCACCAGGCCACCTTAGCCATGGGGACAGTCAGGATAGTCATTGCACAGAAAACAAAGTGAACTCTTCTTTCCTTCATTTTATTACTATTCACATGTTTCAGAACAATTCATTCAAGATTCACATAAAGTTAGCTATGGGCTTTTCTAAATAGAGCTCTTACATCTTAAAAATAAATCCAAGGCTTTTAAAACTCTGTAATTATCTTGTCTATTATCTCATCTGCTGCTTCATCTTTCATTCCCTCCCTTGATCTTTTTTATCTGTATGGGGGGTTGCCATTTTTGCATAGCTTTTAAAGCAAATTCTGGATATTTTCAGAGATGGGGGGAGGGGTAGGAGAATAGATATGTCACAATTCATGCTACTTACTCATTTTTCTGGAAATTAACTCCTCAAGCACCTGATGAGTTATAGGCATCTGGGCATTAGATTTTGAATAAGAATTTTAATTTTATTATTTCATCGCTGTGATCACACTTAACAATGAAAATTCTTACAGTTTCCTGAACTATGGTATTTATGCCTTCACTTAAATAACATTTTAAAACTGCATATTTTCAGGGACTCCATTCTTAATGATTTTTATAACTAACTTAGAGTTTAGTGACCTCTGCAAAGTAAATGTACTTTTCTGATGGGGGAAAACGTATAGAAAAAATGTGGTATGTCTCTGAAAGGAAATCCTTTTTGGCTAAAATATTACTTAAGTAGATGTAAATTTATGCGTAGTTTTCTGATTTAAAAAGTATTATATGCTCATGCAAAATTTAGAAATTACAAAAAATATAAGAGAACAAAAAAATATAGTAGAATAAGAATAGTTTTTAAAATTATCATTTGATCCAAGCGTTATTAATATTTTGGTATCTTTCTAGTATTTTACACCCTCCACACACATACAACATTTATAAATTTTGAGTCATACTAAACAGTTTTATATTCTTTTTTTCTCAACGTTATATTGTGAGCATTTTTCTATGTCATTATGTAGACATTAAAATATGTTTTTAATGACAGCATATATAAGAATGAGTCAAGTGTTTTACTAAACCACTCTTAGATATATAACGTTTGTTATTCCAAAAATTTTGCCATTATAAATGATACTGTTATAAACATTTTTATGCAAAGTGTTTTTTTTTTACCATATTGCTTATTAGTGTCATAGGAAATAAAATTACTGTGTTAAAAGGAATAAATATTTTAAAAGCAAAGATCACATGACCAATTATTAACTTACTTTGGGGGACAGTCACACAAAGACACTTCCTTTCTGGTTTCAGAATAATTGGGAAGCCAAATTAATAGCCAGAAGGTTCCTGAGGGGAATGTAGAATCAGGGCGGAGGTGGCAGGCAGTCTTGAAGGATCTTTCATCCTAGTCATGGTGAGGCCTGATAGCTATGACTTCTTCAGTTAAACTGATGTCTTTGTACTAAAATATTTTGTCATCATCAACCTTATTTATATTGCAATCTAGATAGCTGTTGACTTGCAATATTTACCATATTATGAAGCACTTCAAAGCTCTGGATGTGCCCAGATGACTCTGCACAATCCGCAAAGACCTTCATTTGTCCCAGCTTCAGTGACAGCAAAAGGGTCACTGCTTGGCCCTGGGCTTTCAGGAAGAGAGCACACTCCTGTAAACCACTAAGAGAGATGGTCTAGAGCAAGGCACACGGGAGAATTAAGTGTTCATTTGGGAGAACTCAGCATCTAGCCCTCAGGGAAACAGGTTCCCATATCAAAAATTGAAGATGAGAAGGAGATATTGATTGCTTAGATGTAGTTATGATAGCTATTTCTATTGGTTTAAGATAGTTATTTTTATTTTTCCACATGTGACATACATAAATGATTTAATATATGCTCTTGACTATTCTTCTTATGACAGTTTCAGTATGTTTTCATCTCTCTTGGGAGTTGGGGGAGTAGATGTGTATTTCTCACTCTATCTCCGACTCCAACCCTCACCTAAAGGTAGATTTAGAATCAGATGTGAAACCCAATTCAGATTTATATGGAGATTGAACAAGAAACTAGCAGGGAAGAGAGTCTAGAGCTGTTGAGATATGAGACCTTCACTATTGTCTTTACAGTCACATGGATATGTTTGCCTGTCTAAAACGGACACAAGAAAGTCAGGCACCCTGATGTGCAGCTCTTTGGAGGCTAAATTAGATTAATTGGCTCCCTCAATCATTGCCTTCTGGGAGTTTACAGGCTGTGGGAGTATCACTCAACTAGACAGATCTAAAAAATGAAGACAATGAAACAAAATAGTCCACAAATTCCGAAGGGAGCAGATACTTGATGAAGTGAGGACTGTTCAAAATTCACTCAGTTGAAAACTGGGTGACTCATTCCTTCAGAAAATGTTGGTTAAGCATCTAATATATAGTCATAGTAAATTAGATACTCTGAATATTGGGATTAATAACACAGATAGGACCCCTTGTTCTATTCCTTGTTCTTACATTATGATGGGGAGGATAGAAAATAGGCATATAAAAAGGCAGTACAATTTGGAGGAATCATCAGTGCTAGAAGGAAAAATGAAGCCTTGTGAGTGAGTTGAGAGTGATGGGGGTGCTATAATAGCTGGGGAGTCAGAACTGAAGGAAGTGAGAGAGCAAAGCCATTAGGGGGCCCAGAGAAGAGTTTTTCAGGTGGAGGGGACCTCAATGTCAGAGGTTCCGAGACAGGAAGAAGCTTGGTGTGTTTGAGTTGCAGCACAAAGGCCATTTGCATGGACAGAGCAGAGAGAGCAAGGAGAGAATGATTAAAAATGAGATGAAAGACACAGAGGAAACCAGGGCCTTCTAAGCAATGGGAGGAAGTCTAGATTTTATTCTCATTGCTCTATGGGATGTCTCTGGAGGGCATGATCTGAAGAGCAACATAACCTGATACACAATTGGCAAGTATTACTCTGGCTGCTCTGTAGAGGAGCAGGAATAGACACAGGAAGACTATTGGTAGTCCTAGTAAGGATGGAGAGTGACCGGGACTGTGGGGATGCGAGGAGAGATGGAGAATACTCAGGTGGATGATAGGTTTTGAGGCAGTCAATTAAAGATTAATTGACTTAAGATTGGATATGGGTTGTGAAGAAAAGTGAGAACTAACAGGATGACACAGTATTTGACCTGGCGGCTGAGAATGGGAGCACTAGGGAAGAAAAGGTAAAGGATGGAGGGAAAATAAAAGTTCTGTTTTGGACATGTTAAAGTTTAGATCCCTGTTAGACATACAAGTGGAACTCTCCAATAGGCAGAAAAGGTACGTCTGGAGTTTAGAGAAGAGGTCATAGAGAAGGCACAAATTCATGAGTTCTTAGAATACAGATGGTGCCCAAAGCCATAGGACTGGATGCGATAACTTACAGAGAGAGTGTGGGTAGTCAAGAGAGGAGAGGAGAGGAGAGAAGAGAGCTGAGTTGGAAGCCTGGCAGTATGTCAACATTTAAAGGTCCACAAGAAGCACTTCAGGGAGATTAAGAAAGAGAAGTCCAGAGAAGTGACAGTCAGATTTGCAAGATGGAGGTCATTGGTTGGATGGTTTTTTATCCATGTAATTTATACTCCAACCCATGGTTTTTTAAGAGTGACAGAAAAGTTATTAATAATTTTGCCAAGACAATAGGTGTAAGCTGGGACTGTCCTGGGCAAACAAGAACATATGGTCACCCTAGGCTTTGGTGACCCTGTTAAGACTGGTTTCAGCAGAGCTGTCGTGATGGCAATCTAATTTGTGTGGGCTGAGAAGAGAATAAAAGGTGAAGAAAAACGGAAAGCACAGATGACCTTTTGGAAGGAATTTCACGATGAAGGGAGCAGAAAAATAGGACATGGCTAGAGAGGATATGAAATAAAAGTTTGTTTTTAAATGGGAGAGATAACCTCTATGTATGCTAATATGAAGGATCCAGGAGAGATGAAAAATTTAATAGTGCAGGGGAAAAGGAATAGCTACAGAAGGAGAGCTGGGGAATAAGAAAGGGATTCTGCACACAAGTGGAACGGCTGACATTAGATGTGAGTGGATTCAGCCTGTCCATTTTAACGAGGGGAGGCAGACTATGTGGACACAGGTGTACATCGTTGCTAAATTTGGCAGTGGGAAATGAGTTGACGCTTTAGCCAAAGCAAGAGAGATTCCACTTTTTGTGAAATCCTCCTTTCCTTCCCATAAGAAGTCACAGTCTACCCATCTGGGGGCAATTTTCTTCATAGGCGTTAAGAAGAGGTATGTGAGCTATTTCTTCTCTCAGGAAAATGCCCCATCATGGAGCCTTTAATAGTTTACCAGCAAATGTGGAAATTCTCCCAGGTCCAATTTAGATCTGGCAGAGAAGATGAATATTACTAGTCAGTCAGTAACTGCCTGTAACAGATGTTTTTGTTGAATGTTAACATGAACAGTTCTATTTGGCCTTTTCAGAACTGGAATTAAGAAATAAAAGAAACAGCTAAGGGTACATTGAGACCCAGGTGGGAAAAATCCTTTGACCGGAGCCACAAAATAGAATGTCTAGTAAAAGCTTTAACACCCAAGAACTGTGTGACCTTGGGGAAATCACTGTGTCTTAATTGTTTGATCTGTAAGAGGGAGAAAAAGAGTGAATATCAAGCAAAGGCAGGTGTTTGTGGATATATGGACTTTCTACAAACTATTAGTAGGAATTTTAGGAAAATGTAAGCTTTTTGTGGGGACAGCATAAAACAAACCAAGCAAATGAGTATTTCCAACAATTTGATGCCTAAGATTAACTTAGTTCAGATAACTTAGAAAAGAAAACCAGAATTAAATGGTTCAAAATACAAATTGCATTTTTTACAGAGTCAAATCCCCTTGAAAGCAAAGCCTATTTTTTCTCTCTTTTTGAATTAAACTTCCATTTCCCTAGTCAGCCAGTACAGTTGCTTAAAGAAAATTTACTCATCTGAAAAATGGTGTATAAATAGCTATTACCAGAGGTGACTTTAGTTACTACAGACAAGGGCTCACTGCAGTGGAATTACAGTGCAGCTCACCTTTGGTGTTCTCCAGTGTAACAATCACACCTGCTGAGGTTCCGTAGGTAGGACCCAGGCTTTCGCCAATGAGACACTGCTGCTCCTGGCACTTCATGCCACCTCTACATGCCACTGTCACAGTGAGAATTCACCTGGACTTGAAGAAGATCAGTGCTCTGTAAATTGATTGTTTACATTGTTGAAGACAAAGTCCCTAGGAACAGGCTTTTTAAAATGGCACAGGAGCAGCAATTTGTGGATGCTACACTCAAGACAGTTTAAAGAACTGGTTAATGTTCTTAGTTATTGATCTAAAGGACCATTCTGATAATGACTAAGCTCAAACTAGGTGTACCTCCCATCCATTGTATCCAAATCCAGCTTCCCCATTCTTGACAGGGTAAAAGCAAAGGATGCATTGCATAAGCACTTACAGATAAATTCAGCTCATCCTCTTGTGTTGAAAATGCCAATTACTGAGAAACATTTACTATGTGATTATTTACCATCAATAGCATTTGTTTTCTTGTTTTCATTGAAACATATACTTTTTTTTTTTTTTTTTGAGACAGAGTCTCCCTCTGTCGCCCAGGCTGGAGTGCAGTGGCGTGAGCTCGGCTCACTGCAACCTCCACTTCCCAGGTTCAATCAATTCTCCTGCCGCAGCCTCTCGAGTAGCTGGGACTACAAGCACGTGCCACCACTCCCAGCTCATTTTTGTATTTTCAGTAGAGACAGGGTTTCGCCATGTTGGCCAGGCTGGTCTTGAACTCCTGACCTCAAGTGTTCTACCCACCTCAGCCTCTTAAAGTGCTGGGATTACAGGCATGAGCCACTATGGCCAGCCTGAAACATACTTTAAACTTTGCTTTTTTAAAATTAACACAATATAAACTTTGAAGAAATAGAATGAGGAATACAGTATTTCATTTTACATTCTTATTTAGGGTTCAGGTCCAGATGCTTAGAAAACAGTATAGACAACTGGAGCCATTTCCTATGGACATTGACCCACCATTCAGAATCCACCTGTGAGGTACAGAGATAATGATCATTGTGATAAGAACCATCACGGAGTGTAGACAAGGTTATTTTGATAGTTCATAGGCTCTATGCACTCTTACTTTTGGAGACTCTTATCTTTTATTACACATATTAAAATGCTCTCATTCCACATTAAATGTAATATATACATGAGTTGAATGGAGTTGCCCTCAACTAGTTGACCTAATGTCACAATCCAGAGACATTTAATTAAACACTTGTAATTTCAATGTTGCTGTCTTCCTTGCAATATTGTGCGGCCAATAAAATATTTTTAATCTTTCAAACATTTCTGTGGAGGTTGACTCAAACACTTGTTCATTTCAACACTGCAATTTTCTTTTCCTGTTTTTTTGGAGTCAATGATTTTTTTTTTGTTTGTAATGTCATAAACACTTCTATGGGTGCATGAAAAACTTATGGAACTATGTATGGCATGGTGCCTTAGGGCTTAAAAGATAAAATGGCCCTAGATGTTGACAAGGACCTTGGCCTTGAACAATGCCTGAAGCTTTAGCTGTGTCAAATTTAAGAACAAATTGCACTGCAATGTAAATATTTCTCATGGCATTCCACCTTCTCTTTACCAAATCCAATGAAATAATTCTTCAAAACTTTTCATCCAGATTTTGCTTTTCCTTTCTTCTTCCGCAACATTTTTATAGACCGTTATCATGTCAGACACAAACTATTACAATAGACTTTTATTTTGTCTCCCTGCCTGAAGTTCTTTTGTCCTTCAATAGAGGGTGAACAGATTAGCCTTGCTAAATAGTTAAGTATATTTAATTAACCAACTAATTAAATTGACTTGTCTATTTTGTAGTAATTTACTATGAATTTTTGCAGTTTAAACATAAATGTTTGGCTTTATCTAAAATAGCTTCTACGTTTCCAAGAAATCTTTTCTACTTACTTTTCTTTGACTATATTTATCACTTTCTCACCCTTGTTTGTCCATTAATCCAGGCATTCAACAAATATTATTAAGTACCTACAGAGTCTCAGACATCACACTAGTCACCAAGGATTCCGTGATGAATAAGAGCAATACCTGCCTTTTTTATTTATTTATTTTAAATTTTATTTTATCTTATTTTAAGTTCCAGGATACATGTGCAGGACGTGTAGGTTTGTTACAGAGGTAAACGTGTGCCATGGTGATTTGCTGCACCTATCAACCTATCACCTAGGTATTAAGCCCCACATGCATTAGCTCTTTATCCTGATGCTCTCCCTCTGCCATCCCCAACCCCTGTGACAGGCCGCAGTGTGTGTTGTTCCCCTCCCTGTGTCCATGTGTTCTCATTGTTTAGCTACCGCTTATAAGTGAGAACATGCAGTGTTTTCTGTTCCTTTGTCAGTTTGCTGAGGATAATGGCTTCCAGCTCCATCCATGTCCCTGCAAAGGACATGATCTCGTTCCTTTTTATGGCTGCATAGTATTCCATGGTGTATATAAGGTAGTCCTATTTTAGAAAGGGCAAATAATAAAATACATATGTCTGAAATGCCACTGGTTCTTTGATAGAGGTAAGTACAGACTACAGTGAAAACCACAAAGGAAAAATGGTCTATTCTGCCTGATTTGGGGAATAAAGGGGAGGGGAGGGTGGTTCAGGAAAAGCTTATTTCTGGAAAATGTATAATCATCTGCCTGATATACATTTGGGCAAGGGCACTCCAGGCAGAAGTAGTACTATGAGCAAAGGCATCAAGGCAAGAAAGACATTTAAAAAATATTGTTGGCTGGGCACAGTGGCTCACATCTGTAATCCCTGCACTTTAGGAGGCCAAGGCAGGCAGATCATGAGGTCAGGATTTTGAGACCAACCTGACCAACATGGTGAAACCCCATCTCTACTAAAAATACAAAAATTAGTCTGGCATGGTGGCGCCCACCTGTAATCCCAGCTACTCAGGAGGCTGAGGCAGGATAATTGCTTGAACCCGGGAGGCAGAGGTTGCAGTGAGCCGAGATCGCACCACTGCACTCCAGCCTGGGTGACAGAGTGAGACTCTGTCTCAAAAAAAAAAAAAAATTGTTGAATTGATGACTTTGTTTTTATTAAAACCAAAGCATTAAAATTATAATGTTTTTTATTAAAAATAAAATATTTGGATAAAATAATGTTGAGTTCTAATATACTTATTTTTCAACTTTTCAATATTTTTTCAGTTACTTTAATATTCTGGAAAACAACCATTTTAAAAACACATAAAAACATGGCTCTAGGAACATACATTTTTACTTTTGTCTCAAGCTCCAATATGGCTTGGCACAGCACTGTCAGATCTTATTTTTATTTAAAATTTTGACATTTTGTTCATCATGGATCTTTTGCATTAATTCTGATTTTTAAAAAATGTTTCATTAAAAAGTTAGTCATCTTAGTTACTGAGTTTTCTAAGGCCACCTAAATTTCATACTCAAGGCGAGTGCTTCCTTTGTCTTCCCCTAATCCCAGGCCTGGAAAAAGCCATCATATCAATGTTTTAAAGATCACTTTCTTATAGTGATGAGTACGGGTTGCTAAAGACTTTGGTGGTTAAAAACCGAGAAATTGAGGGAAATTCAGTATCTATCATAATAGTTTAGGTGGAAAACCACAGAGGCTTGAACCAAGGCAAGAAAGGAGACAAAAAAGTAAGTAGGGGTAAGAGAGGTGCCAGGGGTGAGAGTTAGGGAGAACTTGATAAAAATTGGATGCATGGGAATGTTCTCTCTCCTGAGATTCATGCTCCAAATTCTGATTATGAAAGCCCAACAGAGTCACCTTCCTTCAGGAATTCTTTTTAGCTCATTTCATACCTTTCTCTGTGGCAAACTCTTCCTTCTTCATGTTTTATTTCTTCAACTACATTATAATCTCTTTGCCGTGAAAGACCATATCTCATATTTCGCTGTTTCTCTTACTATGTTATAAACACAGTAGATGCTCAATAAATACCTGTTGAAAGAACTGCATCATCAATGTTTTTTAACATCGCTCCAAGGCAGTGCCCGTAATAATTAAGCCAACAGAAGAAGAGTTTGAAACTTCTTCCTTGGATATATTTTTAAGGTTAGAATACTCATTTATCCACCCAAGATGGCATAAATGACTTTTTAGGGCCCTTTGCAAGACATGATTAACAGCCCTTTTCTGAGAAGAGTTTTATATATGTTACTGCTAATAGCAAGAGAACTTCTCCTGGGGCCATTTTCCCTTTTATGTGATTACACTGATATTTTAGAGAAAATGAAATTACTGCATCCCAGCTGGGCAGTTCTTTTTGAATTTATAAAATGCAGAAATTGCTATAAGACCATAAAGTTGAATCAGGTCTCTTATCCAATCATCAATAGATAATTTTGGTTTTTATAACCCATCTTATAAAAGTTCTACTGTGGTTACCAAAGTCAAAAATTTGACATTAGTGTTGCCCTTGGCAACTGAATGCAGAGATTTCTCTGGAAATTATTCCAGTTATAGTAAAAAGATAATTAACACTTAGTTACAGAAAAATCTGAATTTAATGTATCTGAGTGTAGCTTTATCAGATTTCCTCTTATGGTGATATCTTGATACATTTTACCAGAAATTACAATTTTTATTATTCATTATTATCACTATTATTTTGAATGAGGGGGTTTCAGTAATGCTCTACAGGGACTAGATCAGTTCTGTGTATACCCCTCGTATTCTGCCTTTCACCTTCTGAATGACAGACATAATGCTGGAAGTGGAGCAAGAACTTGACGCAGGGGTGAAGTGCTGCACCAGCTTGGATGATCTGAATCTAGGCTTCTGATTTTGTGGAAAAAACAAAATCATTAATATGTTCAAACTACTATTGTTCCATTTTCTACCTTTCAGAGCTAAATATAATATCAAACTGATAACAAAATTTGGTATCTCGAAGGGGGATGCTTTCAGTAATCCTAAAATGTGAAACTGAAATTGTGGGAGAAATAGAAATGGGGCTTTGGGTAACAAGCACCTAGAGACTTTAAGTCAGAAAGCTGGTGATATTTGTTAAGTAGTGGCAGAACATTTGATTTAATTGCTGCCTGCTTTACTGGTAATGCAGGTAATCGGCTAAATGAGGTTATACGATAAGGAGAAATGATGGCAAAGATTTTATATATGGGTATGTACTAGCTCTACTACCTTCAGACAAATCTGACTGAAGAGATGACACCAGACTAGAACTACTTGAGCTACAAGCAGAGAAGGGAAGAAACGCCCCATCTTTATTTTTATTTATTTATTTATTTTTGAGATGGAGCCTCACTCTGTCTACCAGACTGGAGTGCAGTGGCATGATCTCGGCTCACTGCAACCTCTGCCTCCCAGGTTCCAGCAATTCTCTTGCTTCAGCCTCCCAAGTAGCTGGGATTACAGGCGCCTGCCACCATGCCTGGCCTAATTTTTGTATTTTTAGTAGAGACAGGGTTTCGTCATATTGTCCAGGCTAGTCTCGAACTCCCGACCTCAAGTGATCCACCCGCCTCGGCCTCCCAAAGTGCTGGGATTACAGGCGTGAGCCACCATGCCCAGCCGAAACACCTTTATTTTCTAAAGAATCTTTCCCTGACTTTTGTCTACAAGTTATGGTGAAAAGAGTCCTGAAGGCAATTGGTTCTGTCCTTCAAACTTGAAGCAATTATGAATGGTGATTGACAAATAGTAGCCTACATACTGGTGCTCCACTGGAAGAAGGCACAGAGCCTGCCAGTAGTGATGGGATCCGGGATGTTGCTTCCCCCTGGGAACTGATTGTTTCTAACTGCTTCTGGACAACAGCCATTGAATCCAGGGCAAGAAAGAAGGGCAGAGCATGGAGTCGTGAACATGAAAGAGGAGGTTCCTGAGACTTGAAATCCACATCTGGATAACATCTTTGACTATTATTATTATTATTTACTTTTTTTTTTTTTTTTTCCAGATGGAGTTTCGCTTTTGTTGCCCAGGCTGGAGTGCAATGGTGCGGTCTCTGCTAATTGCAACCTCCGCCTCCTGGGTTCAAGTGATTCTCCTGCCTCAACCTCCCAAGTAGCTGGGATTATCACAGACGCCCGCCACCACGCCTGGCTAATTTTGGTATTTTTAGTAGAGACGGGGTTTCACCATGTTGACAAGGGTGATCTTGAACTCCTGACCTCAAATGATCCACCCGCCTTGGCCTGCCAAAGTGCTGGGATTACAGGCATGAGCCACTGCGCCCAGCTGACTGTTATTTTTAAATGCGGACTTTACCAGGAGCAAATAAAGCAAAACTGTTCTAAGTTTAAAGGGAAATATATTTCCAAGGAAGTTTCTTCTCCCTAAGACTGTCCCCAGATTCTCTATGATTAGTAAACCCCTAAAATAGTCCCTGGTTACTAAAAGCACACCAATAGCAAGTTGGTTTTGAATGCTGTGTAGCCCTAGGAAGAGCATCTTTACCAAGCAACATCGGAGGGGAGAGCCAGAAGGGGAGGGGAAGAGGGACTCCGGTAGATCCTTCCAGAGAGAATAAACAAATTCAGCCAGATCGGCCAACCAAGGAACTTACCCATGACAAGATAGGAAGCCTTTGCTACTCTTGTCAAGCAGAATGGCCTAATTTCTATGATGACTGTGTGCTTTAATAACTGATGACTGTGCACTTTCCAGCCTCTTTTCCAAATGGGCGCTTATTATGGTAGTCCTGCTTCTTCTCCACTATTGTACATGGAGGGCAGACCAATTTTCCTTTGGTTTATAGGCTAGCAGACCCATAACAAACCAAACAAACAAACAATTTTCCATTTGTATCTGATGGAAAGACTGCATATCTCCCACAGTACCTACATTTTAAGCTGGATGCAAGAAATGCAAGAGCCTTTGAGGTTATCTCACTTGGAATGTTCTTTGGAAAGAAACTTGGGCTCTGATAAATGCTTAACAACCAGCTGAGATAGGGTTGTGTAGAACACACACACACACACACACACACACGCACACGCTATATATTTATTATAAATGTTGCTGATATAAAGGATGTGTATCTCATAACTTACAAATAATAATAGTAATATATACAGTACTCTTTATTGTAAACTCCTTATGACCAATTGATTCTTACAGAATGTGTTTTTTGACAAAAAAAAATTGCAAATAAGTGTAATTCCCACATGAATGATGGTTGATATGTTTGTTTTTATGAGTAAGATGAAAATGAAGCAATGAAGATGTAATGAAGAGTATGTCAGAATTTATTTATTCAATGATGAAAGCAACTTTTTTCAGATCCTAGTTGTCAAATACTGAAATAATGTTTCCTCGATTTTTGGTGCTACTTACCATATAGAGGCTATTGTCATAATATACCTTTAGTTTAATTTACATTAGTAATATTTTCTTTATGATTAAGTCTAGACAATTAATAAACAGAAAGATCAAGCCCTGATTTAGAGTATTTGCTGAATCCTGTGGTGTAAATACTCCCACCATGGCTGATTTCAAGATACCAACATGATGTCAATGAAGGTGGAATTGGATCAAATGCATTTTATCACATCACTTTGAAGTATCTCCATTATACAGATATGACACATGCAACTTCAAGATCATAGATAATAGAAAAATGTGGTAAAATAATTAAGAAGTCATGAATTTTGAGTATATATCACCTTTGTTTTAGATGCCATTTATTTAACTGTAAATGTATATAATTTTGTTTATTTATACTTTTTCAGAGAGAAGGCTTTGCTCTGTTGCCCAGGCTGGAATGCAGTGGTGTGATCATGGCTCACGCAGCCTTGAAATTCTGGGCTCAAATGATCTTCTTGCCTCAGCCTCTTGAGTAGCTGGAATTACAGGTGTGCACCATCATGCCTACCTTATATATTAATTCTTAATAATGGCTATCTCTAACAATCAACTCACAAAATGTCTGAAATTGTAACAGCTGGCATTTGTGAGCTGGTACAAGCCTTATTTCCATACCACTAGAAATAAGGGTACATCTGAATGACAGGTAACCAAGGGGGTAGATTGTGGCAAACCATGCTAGTTGCCTGCCCAATAGTTATCCTTCTATTTTTCTTGACTAATAATAGTGGATGAAGTATATGTCAGGTTAAAAAATGATATTTCTTAGCCTTCCATGCAGATAGGGGCGGCCTTATAACACATCTCTGCCTAATAAAATAAATTATTGATGTTGAGTGAGACTTCCTTAAAATCTCCTTAAAAATGGGCAGGAGGAAACAGACATGTGCTTTTTGTTCTTTTCCCATTCCATTTCTGTCGGTCATATTAGGCTAATGCTAATTAGCTACTGCTAATGCTGCAGTGAAAATTTAATTCCCAAATGTCAGCGACTTAACACAACAAAAGTTTCTCACTTCACTTCCATTGCAGGTTGCTGGGGCAGCTCTGATCCACATACGACTTAGGGACCCAGGATGCAGCTGCTTCAACATCTTGTAGCCGTACTATCTGGAATACATGGGCTGCCAGTTGTCATGACTACTCTCCTATGTTCAGCCCAAAAGCTAAGCACTTTATTTCTTCATATAGCCCATTGGCCAGAATTATTCATATGTCTCACTACAGGATGGGCCGGGAGTGTACCTTCATTATGTAGGAAAAAATAAAACATAATCGTGAGAATTATCCAAATGTGACATAGAGGCTCGAAATGAGCACATGGTGTTGGAAAAATGGCACCCATAGACTTGGTAGATGCAGGATTGCCACAAACCTACAACTGGTAAAAAACAATATCTACAAAATACAACAAAGCAAAGTGCAATAAAATGAGATACACTTGTACAAGACCAACAAGTGAAACCACAAAGAAGGGTACACAACCAACACATAGCCTTCCTTTGTCCAAGCGAAAGACACACATTCTAAGAAGACAGCACATCAGCCTGGACAACATAGTGAGAACCTAGCTCTACAAAAAATAAAATATATTAGATGGGTGTGATGGCACCTGCCTCTGGTTCTAGTTACTTGGAAGGCTGAAGCGGGAGGATTGCTTGAGCCTAGGAGTTTGAGGCTGCAGTGAGCCATGACTGTGCTACTGCACTCCAGTCTGGACAACAGAGTGAGAACCAGTCTCAAAAAAAAGGAAAAGAAAAAGAAAAAGATATCACTGTTGTTGTATTGTTGTGTATCCCTAAAGCAGAGTGATCATGAAGGTACAGTTTTTATAGGAGAAATAATTTTAAACATTAATGTTTTCTTTTTTACCTTTCTGAGTATAAGACTTTTACTCTAAATCTGTCCTCAGTATCTATTTGTCTGAGGGAAGCTTAGTAATTAAAGCAGAAGGTATGCAAAGAGAAAGAGGAGGTAATATTCAGCTCTTGACATGAGCTTGGTTTGTGCAATAAGAATATCTCGCAAACCAGATTATTTTCTTGAGAAAGAATTTTTCCAAATTTCTTCATGCTCCATTTAGCATATCAAGGCCAAGTCTGTCCTTAAGGCTAATCTTCAGTCACAAAAAAAAAAAGATATGATATAGAGTTAATAGAAAAACCTACATATCTTGTCCTTGAAAATAGGATGAGAGAGAAGGAAAGGAGACAGCGAAAGGAAGTGTTGCAACCAGACATAAATGTCTTGGCTTTGCCCTTTCTGGGTTTAGACTACAAGACAGAGGGAGATGTGTTATTACATCAGTGATGATACTCCTCAAGGTAAAGAAGAGGCATTGTTCCCACTACCCTGGGGCATAGTCACAGAAACAAACAGGCTTAGAGAGAGGAGCTCCTGCAGTTTGGTATGCCCATGCTATTCTTCCTTCTTAGGTGGTGCAGATTTTGAATTGAAGCCAATGGGTCTGCTAGGGGAGATGCTGGGGGTGAACTGCCACATAAAAGGACTAGACAGATGGCCCAGCTAGAGAAACTGAGTCACAAAAATGGAACCTTGGCCGGGCATAGTGGCTCACACCTGTAATCCCAGCACTTTGGGAGGCTGAGGCAGGCAGATCACTTGAGCCTGGGGGTTTGACACCAGCTTGGGCAATATGGAAAAACCTTGCCTCTACAAAAAATACAAAAAAAAAAAAAAAAAAGCCAGGTGTGGTGCTGTGCATCTATAGTCCTGGCTTCTCGGGACGCTGAGGTGGGAGAATCACATGAGCCAAAGGAATTCGAGGCTGCATTGAACCACTGCACTCCATCCTGGGTGACAGAGCGAGACCCTGTCTTAAAAAAAAAATTTAAAAAAGGATGAATCCTAAGTTAAATCAGCCTTAGAAGATGGCATCCAAAGGCAGCAGGGCAAGGATGACACCAGTGGGCAAAGAATATCCCAGAGACCAGGAGACCAATATCTAGCCAACACACACCCGAGGAGTAGCATGTGTCTCTCCCTACCCAACCTCCCATTCCTTGCCCCTAAACACATGAGGTTTTTTTTTTGTTTTTTTTTGAGATGGAGTTTTGCTCTTGTTACCCAGGCTGGAGTGCAATGGTGCGATCTCGGCTCACCGCAACCTCTGCCTCCCGGGTTCAAGCAATTCTCCTGTCTTGGCCTCCCAAGTAGCTGGGATTACAGGCACATGCCACCATGCCTGGCTAAGTTTTGTATTTTTAGTAGAGATGGGGTTTACCATGTTGGCCAGGCTGGTCTCAAACTCCTGACCTCAAGTGATTCGCCCGCCTGGCCTCCCAAAGTGCTGGGATTACAGGCGTGAGCCACTGCGCCCGGCCCACATGACATTTTAAAGAAAGGAGCAGGAGAAACAATAGATTATTAAGGGCATAAACGTTTTTCCCCTGCAGAAACTAAGCTTTGCCTCAAGGGACAATTTAAATTTTGGGGTTGAACTAAATTTAATCTAGATCAAATTATTTGGTTAATTTATCTTCCTACTAACCAGCAAATTTATAATGATCTTCAGGAAAAGTGTGAACTGTAACTACATAAGTATAGGCAAATTAAAAGAACTAGCTATTTTCAGCAGTGGTGTTCATTAAATTTTGTGACCTTACCACAGAGTATTTCTGCTGTCAGCCTCTCGAAATAAACGTATTTTGCAAGGTATGCTGCTGATGCCGTGAAGGTATCAAATAAGCAGATTTGCCCCCAGTGTAGGTACTGGTAACTCACTGACAGATTTGTTACATTGTTCCTCATACATAGATTCAGTACCATCTCTCCATTCATTCACTCTAACTATCTGGTGAATTATCCGGGATACACCAGTAAACAGGTACAGTTTTGCCTTCAAGTAGTAAATAGTATAGGGACTCCTCCTACTCCGAACACACCTGTGTTCAGTGTCTCTGTGTGTTTGTGTGTGTGCGTGCACGTGCATGTGTGCACATATGTGTAGGACTGGCTGCATCATTCTCAGGGCCTAACCAAAACAGCATGTTACCGGTACCAAAACAGAGATACAGATCAATGGAACAGAACAGAGCCCTCAGAAATAATGCCGCTTATCTACAACCATCTGATTTTTGACAAACCTGACAAAAACAAGCAATGGGGAAAGGATTCCCTGTTTAATAAATGGTGCTGGGAAAACTGGCTAGCCATATGTAGAAAGCTGAAACTGGATCACTTCCTTACACTTATACAAAAATTAATTCAAGATGGATTGAAGACTTCAATGTTAGACCTAAAACCATAAAAATCCTAGAAGAAAACCTAGGCAATACCATTCAGGACATAGGCATGGGCAAGGACTTCATGTCTAAAACACCAAAAGCAATGGCAACAAAAGCCAAAATTGACAAATGGGATCTAATTAAACTAAAGAGCTTCTGCACAGCAAAAGAAACTACCATCAGAGTGAACAGGCAACCTACAAAATGGGAGAACATTTTCGCAACCTACTCATCTGACAAAGGGCTAATATCCAGAATCTAAAATGAACTCCAACAAATTTACAAGAAATAAACAAACAACCCCATCAAAAAGTGGGCAAAGGATATGAACAGACACCTCTCAAAAGAAGACATTTATGCAGCCAAAAAACACATGAAAAAATGCTCATCATCACTGGCCATCAGAGAAATGCAAATCAAAACCACAATGAGATACCATCTCACACCAGTTAGAATGGCTATCGTTAAAAAGTCAGGAAACAACAGGGGCTGGAGAGGATGTGGAGAAATAGGAACACTTTTACACTGTTGGTGGGACTGTAAACTAGTGCAACCATTGTGGAAGTCAGTGTGGCGATTCCTCAGGGATCTAGAACTAGAAATACCATTTGACCCAGCCATCCCATTACTGGGTATATACCCAAAGGATTATAAATCATGCTGCTATAAAGACACATGCACATGTCTGTTTATTGTGGCACTATTCACAATAGCAAAGACTTGGAACCAACCCAAATGTCCAAGAACGATAGACTGGATTAAGAAAATGTGGCACATATACACCATGGAATACTATGCAGCCATAAAAAATGATGAGTTCATGTCCTTTGTAGGGACATGGATGAAACTGGAAACCATCATTCTCAGCAAACTATCCCAAGGACAAAAAACCAAACACCGCATGTTCTCACTCATAGGTGGGAATTGAACAATGAGAACACATGGACACAGGAAGGGGAACATCACACTCTGGGGACTGTTGTGGGGTGGGGGGAGGGGGGAGGGATAGCATTAGGAGATATACCTAATGTTAAATGACGAGTTAATGGGTGCAGCACACCAACATGGCACATGTAGACATATGTAACAAACCTGCACATTGTGCACATGTACCCTAAAACTTAAAGTGTAATAATAATAAAATTTAAAAAAAAAGAAAATGCAGGATTCCTTATTCAAAAATTATAAAGAATTTCAAGACGGCTACAGTAGAGCTTTAAACTATGTGTCGGGGTCCTTCTAAATGCAGGGCCCTGTGAGACTGCACAGATCACACACCTGTGAAGTCAGCCCTATATATGCATATGTAAGTGTGTATGTGTGTGTTGTCGAGGACATGTGTGCTTCTTCTTGGAGGAATGCATAAAGATACCATTGTCTTTTATTCTTCCACCTCAATTTTAGAGACTAGATAAATCTGCATATGAGGGCCTGGCCCCTTTTTAGTACTTTTCAGCCTCGGATAGTGGTGGAAAACATGTGAATCCTAGTTCAAATTTCCTCTCACTCTTTGTAGGGTTGTGAGCCCATTATGTATTTTTTCTGTGCCTCATCTTTTCAACTCGAAAATGGGGACATAAGGTACACTTAGTCATGGAGTTATTAAGGAGATTAAAATAAATCCGTTAATATTAGTGAAGTGCCTGGAGTAAGCCTTCCCATAGCTCTATGTAAGCAGCTGTTAAAGTAAAAATTTTGAAGCCTTTATTATGTGAGAACTTAAACTTAAACCTCCTCCCATGTTAAGTAAGGACCAGGGAACTATTAAGCTTCCCCCTAAGGGAACCATTTACGACCACAGCCCTTTCTGGGTCAGGAAGGGCATGTTGATTTGAAAGTCCCCTAACGTGTTAATGGATGCTAACAAAAGACTTCCTATTCAGGAAGCAAAGGACACCTGGGGCTGACCACCCTCACTCTTCACTGATGTTTCCTGCTTTTGTTAAATATAAAGTAAATAAATCAAAATAAACAAAAAGAAAGCCAATAACAACAACTACCAAACATCAGTATATCCTTTTAGTTGCTATGGCTCCTTAAAGGACTGGAGAATTGTCTGGAAGCAAAATCAGTTGACTCCTAAACTCTTAAGAGATTTTATTGCTATTATGGTGCAGAAGAAGTGCTAAAGAGCCATATCACCTAGCTCAACAGCGTGGAAATTGGAAACGCTGTCTTGTAATGTCTGGATAGGGAAGACAAGAGTCTATGACCTGAAAGAGAGGGGGACAGAGAATATATTTCCATTTGCCAATTACAGACACATGTCCAGTGCAGATGATTGTCTTTATGTTTTCTAACTTGGACCATCAAACATCCTTTCATTCCACAGTCTTCCTCAGATTAGCATCTGGTGTCCTTGTTTTGCATCCTCTCTTCACCTTGCCTTGAGTCTTCAAAGCCAACTTTAAATGGACTGTTTTTCCTTAGCCTTCCCCTTAATCATAATAATTAAAAAGTCCATGAAATTATGGTTTTGATAACTTTTTTCTAAAAATCATACTAAAACAAATATATAACTATTTAATTTTTTAAAAGTTTGTCCACATCTCTCCTACAATCTCTTGAACTACCAGGGTTCTGATCTAAGAGAAGCTAGAATCTACAGATGTTAACACAACTCCATGGAGGCCTGAAGCAAGAAGCTTCATAGGGTGTGAAGGGGCAGGTGGGCCAGGCAGCAGGTGAAGGCCATGCTCTAGAAGTGAGATGCTGGGCAGGTCTCTCCTTTCTCCATGCATAAAGCAGATGGGGAAATGATGGGGTGAGAATTCACTTAGGGCTACGAATTGCTGGGAGGTGTTTTGGGTAGCAACGAAAAACAAGTAACAGCAACAAAGAAGGCTGGACAAAATCATGTATACTATCGAACTGAAATCTCAGCAGCAATAACTTGAGGACCCAGGAAACTGCCAAGTCCTCAAAAGCCTTGACTTTCAGAGCTCTTGCCGGAGTAGCAATAGGAGTGGTGGGAAATCAAGAAAGTCAGACATTCCAGAGTGTCCTAAAAAGAGTGTCATCAAAAGCATCTGAGCATGGGATCGATGCTGGGCTAAAGGACTACGGAATCCACAAGGAGCTGAAGGACGGGAGAAGCAGGAGGGCCTATGGGTCAGTATGGGCTGAGGAAGGTGTTCAGTGAGTATAGGTGTGTGAGAAGATCAAACAGACAAAGTAACAGACACACGCACACACAGAGCCATACAGAGACACACACCTTTCTTTCTAAGATTTTTTTTTAAGTCTATAGAACTTTGAATTGATTTGACATCCCCTCTTTAAATAAGAGGGGACATTCCCTCTTTTGATATAAGCTCTGAAATGCATAAGAAATTCCTTGTAAAAATTTACAGTCTTTTTGAATGGATGTTTTTTAATATTTTCAATTACAGATTTATGGCAGAATTTTTCATAGGCCTGAATTGTCTGTTTAATATTAAAATGATTTTTGTAGGGAGCCATCTGTTATATGATCAGGCATGGAAATTCTTTACAGGGCTTTCCATCAGCACTCCTCCAGTGTTTGTCATGCTTCAAATATCCCCAGGCACTTGTGTTTCCATTTAGAGGAGCAAGGTAAAGGACTCAGAGGCAGGACATGATGTCTCCTCGATTGTTCAGCAGCTGTTACTGAAAACACTGTGTTCGGCATATGTTTTTTCCCCAACCTAAGCTCAATGTTTTCCTTTACTATGACAAAACAATATCCTGAGAAAAAGGACAGTTTATTAATCTTTGAATCTCGTATCAGAACAAACTTTGCTCATTGCACTAATCAACTCACGTTTTTCTTCAAAGCTGTTTTATCCTCTAAAAATGGTAAAACTTCGGCTCATTTTCCCCATGAGTACTATTCCCCTGAGTGCAATTTCATCGGAGCTAACTCTATTTTACCAAGTAGATTTCATCTCAAGTGCTCCCTTTGAATCACTGGGCTGGGAGCTGCCTGAAAAAGAATGTGGGAAGGATTTCGAGGGTGAGCTCAGGGTCAGTGGAGAGTACTACAATTGATTACTTATGTCTGCTTTGGGTGTAGAAGTAGTGAGCATGAGACACATGTGCCCTTTATTTGCTGTCTCTGGCCTTTACAGTTTCTATGTCCCTCAATTACTGTGCTCATTAATAAGCATTGTGAAATGGCTGGCCTTGAGGCAAACATACACAAAAAAAATCAACCTCTCTATCTGGGAAACAAGCTTGACCCTGACATCACAATAACGTTAACAACAACAATAATAGCAGCTACATTTGTTGAACATTTGCTGTAAGCCCCACTGTAGGTAATTTACTAACATTAAATCATTTCATTTATTCCCCACAAACTACCACAATATACATATTATTCACCCAGATTTTTGACTAAGTCTCAAAAAATGAAGTAACTTTACTGAGTTCACCCTTTTGCTCAACACATCCGCACAAATTCGTATTGTTCTGGATACCTAGAACCATCACTCCCTTCCATAACCACTCAGTCATTTTCCTCCTTACATTCAAATCCTAGCAGTCTCTCCCTCTATACATAGCTCCTCATCCTGGAAGACTCCTTGATAAAGCAGAGAGAAAGACTAGCTTCAGATCAGCTAAGTTGGACATTCTCTGAGCCATGACGCGCTCTTCTCTGTAGCTATATTATTTCACATGACCCATTCTTAATAATTCAGCCTAACCATCTGTTTGTTCAATTCCATTTAAGAATTTTTCTTTGTAATGGTTTTGTCAATTGTCTGCATTTTGAATTTAATTAAATTGTTATATATCTCAATTAGGTAGTCAATTCAAAACACTTAGTGGATCCAATCTGAGCTTTTCAATAGCTGGTCAAAATAAATAATCAATGCCATTCACCTAATGGTCCTTCCATGAAAATTAGCTGTGACCTTAGTGGTAAAAATATGGTAAAATGATTTATGGTCATATCCCTCTATATAAGAGAGAAGCAGACAATCATAATTTTTAAGAGGTGTCTGTGTCCAGTTCCCTGGTGTAGTTCTTAATGCCAAGAGAGCCAAAAGCCCCCTGTTGATCACTGGCTTTAAAATTCTCCATTATAGGTGTGAGTTAGCCAATCGTATCGTCCCATCTCATTTGCCTGGTGATGTATAGACTTGACTTTAGTTCCCATTTACACCTTGCAGAAACCAATAATAGTTCTCTTCCTCTTGAAAAAAAATAAACAGAAATATCAAAAGGAAATACCTTTATAGGGTGGAGACAGGACTGGATGAGTTGTGTATCACTGTTTACATCCAAATCAAATAACGGGAAAGAAAACAATTAGTCAAGTTCATACTCTAGGTTCTGTTTAATGTGTCTGTTTTCAAGCCTGTTCAAGCTATTTTGCCTGAGCAAAGCTTTTGTTTGCCTTCTTAAGGTTTACTTTGCTTTGAGACCTTAGCGCATGAACTGGTTTGGCAAACTTGTCTCTCTGAGGCAAAACTTGAAAAGCGAGACATTCAAACACTTGTAAAATGTAGATTTTTGCTTTTACTAAAGTCCATTCCAGGTCTAATCTAGGTTCACTCTCTTTTACCCAACAGTTCCCTGGGCAGAAATGTGATCCTAGCCCATTCACAATCTGACTCTTCCGTTTCCCAGGATGCACATTATCTAATGTTTGAGCTTCAATGCTGATTTACCATTACCAGTAAGTAGGTCAGTTTTCTATCATCTCCTTTTTTGTGAAAAGAAAGAAATTAATGCAAAAAGGTTTGCATCAATGCTTTTCTCTATTTCTCTGTTTTCCTCAGGACAATATATTTTATCCTGAGGATATAATATATATTTTGTCTATCACTTTAGTGGTGAGTTTGAATTTTACTATCACAATGACTTGGACTTGAAATCTCCAGCTCTGACTGAACAGCATCTTTTCTTAACTTCCCATTATTTTGCTTGGTATAATTTTAAAGCCTTTCCTATTTCTTCTCATCCCAGTTCAAAGAATACATAATTCTCCTTCCAGGTCCAAAACAGAGATGCTTACCACTTTCTTTTACCTTTCTGTTGATGTATCACATATTTAGATCCTTAGAAAGTATGGGTCTTATTTTTGGATCCAACTAAGATGCCCTTTTCCTCTTTGCTCTGCCCACAGACTCATTTTCTACTTATCAACAGGCAGTTTCCAGTCTTTTCATCTCCTCTGCTCACATTCTGCTTCTATGTCCTGTACACTCGAAGTATGTTCAAACAAGATTTCCCATCTTTCCTGCCACTTGGATTGTGTCATCATTTTTTTAAGATATTGATGATGTCATCAATTGTTTCCACATGAAAGTCAAACTCACCACTTCAAAGTTCTCAATATTACTTCTTTCCCCCCGTGCACCATTCCAAGTCCCTCTGCCTGCCTTCATTCCTTTTTGAATTCCATAACCACACTGTTTTGCTGCACAGGGAGAGGGGGGCATCACTGCCTCAAAATCACCTTGACCTCTCCTGGTATGCATTCTTGCTTTCTTGCCAATTGGAACGATATGAGAAGGATTTAACATGAATGGGGTCTCTCATTCTTTCCATGTTCTTCAAAGCACTACTTAAAGTTAAATAATTTTCGAATTCATTTAGTGGTAGTCGCTACCCCAAAACAGACTTAAAATCCTTTACCTTATTTTTATCCCTAATTCTTTCCCATTCAAACCGTTGTATAATGTATTAGTATACTTATTACATTCTCTTGATTTAGGAACTAATTATAAAAGTCAGAAGTCAATTTTGGGTTATGCTGCTTATGTCTGGTGGTACGTAACCATAGGGGGACAATATGTCCTTGACTCCCAGAAAGAAGGAAGAGTCTAATTTTTTTGTGTCCTCTACATTATGTACCTGAAAGAGGCACATACACAAAAGCAGGGCTCTCTCTAGTTCCACAGAGGAATGTACCCTGTGTAATTAGCTCACATCCATGACCTTTAGAGAACAAAATATTGGTCCAGTGTCCTACTTTTTGCTTCCTTCCTGATCCCCACAATTGAAATCAGAATTATTTCAAAGTTTCCAATTCAGTTTATATTCTATCTAATCAACTTGATAACTCTCCTTGCTAATGCTGATAAAATGTCTTTCTTAACCTATCTTCAGTAATTTTTCCTGTGGGAGGGTAGAGACCAAGAGAAGGGATTTAAAAAATACTTCTGAATGTGATTTTTTAGCAGCTTTAGGAAAAGGTTTGGTGATCCCAGTTCCACTCAAAAAAATTATCTATGTGCAAAGCATTTCCCTATTGGCTGTTTTCAGCTAATCCCTTTAAGCTTTGTATGGACATTTATCTATAGATTTTCTTAAATCTCTTGTTTATCTGTATTTTCAGAGACATTAGTTAGATAGCAAGATACCCTTTTTATATCAAAGTAAGTCACCTTCTAAGAGTAAAATTAGAGTCAAATAATGTGAAATAATATTTCAAGGCACAGTTTGCTATTCATACTATATTCAGTGAAAAATGTTTTAAAGCAACTTGTATGGAACAATCTCATTTTTCAATCTGTCTCTCTATCATCTGTCTATCTGTCTATCTATCCATCTATCTATAGAGAAAGCTATGTAAGGCAATACACCAATATCTTAGTAAGAAGTAGGATTATTATGGCTGATCATTTTTTTTTCTAAATTGTTTACAGAGAGGATGTACTGTTGGTATTAAAAGTATTTTTAAAGTACATAATATGTTTATGCTCCTTAATCACTTGCTGTGGATGTGTCTAGCAGAAAGATATTAGGAAGCTTCCATTGCTAATGACTTTGAAAGATTACGACAATCCTTTATTGTCTCCATTTTTTTTAAATTTTAACTGGTAGTTTACCAAAATCAACAAGGAACACAGGCTAACAGAAGGACAAGAGAGTCATTCCACTTTTCAAACAATTTGAGAACACATAGCTCTCTGCCAGCTGTCTGCTCTAGCAAGTGGTGGAGAGATGGCAGTTCTGTTCCTGACATGAAGAGAAGGTACATTAGGGTTGGAAAGGACTTAGAAGCCTCCTCCCCCATTATTCTGGAGTCCCTGCCCCAGAAATGCAATAAAATGCTAACACTTATTGAGCTTGCTACGTGTATGCACTGTTCTAAGAACTTTTTATATGTTAACTCATTTAATCCTCCCCAAACCCTATATGGTGGTAAGTATTACTACCCCCATTTTACAGATAAGGAAACTGAGGTGCAAAGACATAATAATTTGCCCAGCATCTCATCCAGTAAGCAGCAAACCTGAGGTTTGAATCAGGCACTATGGCTCCAGAGCTTGCTCCCATAAAGGTTGCTCCTTACTGCCTCTCATTTGTTCTTGCTGAAATGTGGTCCAGTTGCTGTTTAAATGACTCTAATAATAATAAATGGCCCACCTTCAGTGATAGCCAATTCCCCTTGAGACTCTGTCCTACTTAGAGTTGTACCAAGATATGTGGGTGCCTAGGCAATGGAATAAGTAGAAAGGTGGCTCTATTTAAATCCACCCCTCTTTCCCAAAGGAGATCCTGGTTGGAGGACTTTGGTGTAGGTAGTTTATTTGGAGGTGATCTTGCAAAGCAGGAGTGAGGGAGAGGGGAAAGTGAGTCAAGAAGGGAGAAAAAGCAATAAAAGGAGTATAAGTTTGTTGTGGGCAATTGCAACTTGATTATCTGAACAAAGAAAACAGCCAGAACTGTTCTACTCAGGGCTAGGGAGGCTTGGGTATTTATCTACCAACAGCCATCCCTTGTTAGTGGAGGGTTTTCCTTGGAAGCCACCAATCCCTAGCCCTTCCAGGCTGCCGTATAGGCAGGCTGAGCAAGATGCACTGGTGCTAGAGAAAGCCCTCAGGCAGAGAAATAGAGAAGCCCATGGACTTGGTTGGGAATCTGTCAGCAGTGTAGAAACTGTCCACTGGAGCTACAAGAGAACTCACAGGTGATCCAAAAGTTATGGGGTGGAGCCTCAACATCTCCTACAGTGGCCCTTCAAATCAACGTTGGCAAAATATTTCTCTAATGTGTTGTTAGAGGAAAGTCAGGGGATTTCAAAGAGTGATCCCTGGACCAGCAGCATCAGCACCACTTGGGAGTTTGTTAGAAATGCATATTCTCAGGCCCTCCCCAGAATTCCTGAATCAGAAACCCAGAGAGTGTTGCCCAAAAATCTGTGTTTTAAAAAGCCCTCAAGATGATTGTGATACAGATGAAAACTCTGCAACCAACAAAGTTTTAAAGATAGAAAGGGCCCCAACCACAAATCAATTTATCTTCCTAGGGAAGACTGAGATAGAACTTATCCAATGTCAGACATATAGAACCCAGGTCTCCAAACCCTAATTCCCCAAGGCAATGATTCAGACATTTTCCCCCAATAGGTTTGGGCAAATGCTAAGCTGCTGTGACAAAAAGAACCCAAAAGATAGTCACTTGAATGAGAGAAATTTATTTCTCACTCAAGTAACAGTTTAGCCAATATAGGCTGGTGGGAACAACTCTGCTCTACAAAAATCATTCAGGGACCCAGGTTTTTTTCATGTTGGGCTTCTGCCTTCTCCTGAGTGGTGTCTTCACCTGCATAGCCAAAACTAGGGTGCTGTCATATCAAAATGCTGACCATGGGATGTGAGGGATAGAGGCAAAGTCCAAAGCCAGAATCTTATCTGAATTTGCAAGTGACACGGTATTTGAGCACATCATATACTCTAATAGTCTATTGTTCCAAACTTAATCACATGACCACATGTAACTGCAAGGAAGGCTGAGAAATATCGTCTTGGCAACTTTGTGCCCAGGAAAAAAGTCTCTAGAAGACAACCAACAAATAGTCGTAGCATGTACCACAATATCAGATTTTCCTAATGTGAGAAGAGTTATTGCTGTTGTTATTTTTTGATTTGCTTTGTATTATATTTATTTACATCACACCTTGTTCAAGCAAGGTATTAAGGCACCTTCAGTATATGAGTCAGAAGATCTCAGTCAAGTGGCTTATTAAGATGCACATGTTACCTCGAGTGGGAGAAGTATAATCTACTACCATCTTTTAAAGAAATCCATGCTTAGGTTTAACAGATCAGACACCTGACATCCAGTAAAAAGTAAGCTACTGTGACAATGGGATATAGATCAGAGCTTTTCTGAAAGAAATAAAGGTGGACAACATCAACAAAATTTCTGGATACATGTGGGAAGGTAAGGGGCAAAGAAAGAATAAACCCAAAAGGAGATGATAGTAGAAGTCAACCCTGTTCCAATTGCATGTTTTTCCAGGCTTGGTAGGATCAAGGGATAGATATCGAGGGGTTCCAAATATACCCAGCCAAGGCACTTGCCCAGCAGGTTAGTTCCAAGGTTTGGCTCTCAAGGGGCTGAAATCGAGTGATCAAGTTATGCAATCCATGGCAAGATCAGGAGGAGCCACTGGGTCAATACTGAATTGCTACAGGACTCCAAAGGTCCTTGGACAAAAAATGCTAAAGAAGTGCAAGTCCAAAGAGTAGAAATTCAGATAAAAACAAGAGAGGCAAAAACCAAGTAAAAGACTAGGTGAAAATGGAGCAGAATAAAATAAGGTGGAAAGTAAAGTGAGATGGGTGATTTCTGAGAACAGAGCTGAATGAACACCTTTCCTGATTAATGCACAAGTCTTGTTGGTGGCTTGAAACATCAAAAGAAGGCAGGGTTGGTGCGGGAAAAGAAAACACATAAACAATGTTTTTCTGAACAGTGTAACTTTCAGAGCTAAAGGCAGAGAACCAAATCCCTATTATTTCTCAAGTAATATGTTACCTCAACACAATCTCTGGGCATTGATTTAAAATAACAACTTAGAATAAAATCATAATTAGAAAGCTAATTAACTGAGGCAATGCACAATAAAACACAGAGGCTCTGAATTGTGCCCCAGAAGCCAGCTGACTCGTGCTTTTGTATTGCTTCCTTCTAGGAGGAGGAACTACAGATTATATCTAAAATATCTCAGTAAAGCTACAAATAAGCATGAGCACAATTAATCCACTCTACATAAAGCAAAAATCCTCACCAACGTCAGCAAGCAGCAGTGTCCTCTTAAATTTAAAACTTCAGGCTGGGCGCAGTGGCTCACGCCTGTAATCCCAGCACTTTGGGAGGCTGAGGCGGACAGATCACGAGGTCAGGAGATTGAGACCAACCTGGCTAACACGGTGAAACGCCGTCTCTACTAAAAATACAAAAAATTAGCCGAGCGTGGTGGCGTACACCTGTAGTCTCAGCTACTTGGGAGGCTGAGGCAGGAGAATGACAAGAACCCGGGAGGTGGAGCTTACAGTGAACCGAGATCACACCACTGCACTCCAGCCTGGGCGATAGAGCAAGACTCTGTCTCAAAAAACAAACAAACAAAAATTCTATAAAGCCTAAAAGGAAATACCAATCCGCAACCCTTTATCCTTTCAATGAGGGCCAGCAGCTCTCATATTTTTATCTCTCTTTGCTTTACAGTACACAGAAATACCCTCTGAGTATGTTGTTTTCTCTCTGCTCAGGATTAGCAGAAAATTGTATAGCCAAAACTATTACTCTCTATCTCTTCATCTTTTCTTTCAGTAGATGAGAAATCTTCATTGCTATTTAATTATGCTCACCTGCAGAGCCATGACACATTGGATTTCAGATATGCAAAGAAATAGACTTTTGTAGATATTTTAAAGTTCCTAGCACACTTTCATGTTATATTACTATGCATAGCTTTATTTTTGGCAAAAAAAAAAAAAAAGAGCAAGCAAGATAGAAGTCATCTTTTGTACCTCTCCTCTTCTTCCATGTCCTCTGCGTTTTCCACTTTCTGCCCAAGTTCTCCATGCTTTCTGATGATGTATGATGTATGTGATCTAGAAGCTTAGACTCTAGAACTACACTGCCTTGAGGTCACACTGTAGCTCTGCCACTAATAAATTGGGTTGAGCAAGGTACTTAAGCTTTCTGAATTCCAGTTTCTTCATCTATAAAATGAGCACAAACCTTTATAGATTTGTTGTGAAGGTTAAGTCCGTTAATATTGCAAAGCTCTTTAGAACAGTATCACCATTTAGGAAGTACTCAGTGTGTAAGATGTTTTTCATTATGACCTCTGATTATGCAATACATACACCATGGCACCCCAACCTTGCCTGCCTGAACCATGAGAAGGGTACTCCAAGCCTTCACATTATCCTGCCTACCTTGTCTTAAAGCTCAACTTCCTTTAATGTTTTTCTCTCAACCAGTTGACAGGGAGAACAGGTTGAGCACGGATCAGAGCAGGACTTCTGAAATTTGACTGTTCAGGTAAATCAAGCGGAATCCTTATTAAAATGCAAGTCTGGATTCAGTAGGTCTAGAATAGAGCCTGAGGTTGTGCTATTGTTGCTGGTCTGTGGACTACACTTTGAAAAGCAAGAGGTTGGCATCTTCTAAGTCTAGGTTCTAATGCACTCAAGAGCTCTCAGACTTTGGACAAGTTCCTCAACTTCTTCCAGTCTATTTAAGCTACAAAGGTACCTGAGTGGATTAATGTGAAGATTCAATGAATGAATGGATATAAAATGTTCACTAAAGTGGCTGACATATACCAGGAAATTTCCAATAATCAGTAGCTCTTAACTTGTTAGAAGGTTACTACTCATTAATTCCCAAGGGATTTTGCATTTTAAAAGAGGTGACTTGGGCCAGGAGTGGTGGCTTATGCCTGTAATCCCTGCATTTTGGGAGGCCAGGGCAGGTGGATCACTTGAGGTCAGGAGTTCGAGTCCAGCATGGCCAACATGGTGAAACCCCATCTCTTCTAAAAATACAAAAAAAGTAGCCAAGCATGGTGGCTGGCACCTGCTACTTGGGAGGCTGAGGCAGGAGAATCGCTTGAACCCGGGAGACGGTGGTTGCAGGGATCCGAGATCACGCCAGTGCACTCAAGCCTGGGTGACAGAATGAGACTCCATCTCAAATAAATAAATAAATAAATAAATAAATAAATAAATAAATAAATAAATAAATAAATAAATAAGTGACTTGTACCAGCTGAGTTTAACTGCTATAATTTATAGTTGTAATATCAAATAAAGAAACTATAAGGTACCCCTGGCCGCTGGTGTTACTTCAAGCACCTTCCAGGCCAAAGGCAAAAATGTTCAAAGCAAGCTCTGTGATTTCTAAACAAAATTTCAGCTCTGCTACCAGTAGCATAGAATCTATAAGCTTTGAATCTCCTTTCAGCCGGCAACACAGAATTCTTCCACTTTAAAACTTCACCAGTGATTGCTGCTTCTGGCCAAAATGAAGTAATCCAGACAGTTATTTTCCAACTGAAACATTCAAACAAACAAAAAGACAAAATATATAAAACAATAAGACACTAGGCTCAGGCAACGAAAGACAGTGATTCTTGAGAGAAGGGAAACAAAGGTGAGACCTATGATTGCTGAACTTACTGATTGCCTTGAGAGAATTTCAAGGCCACAGAGCAAGAAGCAAAAATCCAGTTGGAGCCCAGGAAACTTCCTCTTTAAGTTGAGAAGACAGAGCTAAGGATCGGGGGAGACCTTAGTGGCTAGAGGTTTCAGAACAGAGGACCATAGAGGAGAGAGCTGCGCAAAAAAGTTCTCTGGAAATCTGTAAAAAGTCCCTCTGGAGGCGGGGCACAGTGGCTCCGCCTGTAATCCCAGCACTTTGGGAGGCTGTGGCAGGTGGATCACCTGAGGTCAGGAGTTTGAGACCAGCCTGGCCAACAAGGTGAAACCCCATCTCTACTAAAAATACAAAGTATTAGTCGGGAGTGGTGGTGGGCGCCTGTAATCCCAGCTACTTGGGAGGCTGACGCAGGAGAAATGCTTGAACCCGTGGGGGCAGAGTTTGCAGTGAGCCGAGATCGCGCCATTGCAACTCCAGCCTGGGCAGCAGAGCAAGACTCAGTCTTAAAAAAAAAAAAAAAAAAAAGTACCTCTGGAAGTACCTCTGGAGAATTCAGTGAATTCAGTGGAGTACTGATTGGTGCATGCTGTTCATAAGGAAACTACCCAATACTTGGAAAAGAACCAAATAAGAGGATTGAGCTATGCATGGTGGCATACACCTGTAGCTCCAGCTACTTGGCAGGCTGAAGTGGAAGAATCTCTTGATCCTAATAATTCAAGGCTGCAGTGAACTACGATTATGTCACTGCACTTCAGCCTGGGTGACAGACTGAGACCTTGTCTCAAAAAACAAAACAAGAGTTGGAGGGCACAAGGCTGGTACTGTTACAGGATCAGGAATAGTGACTATTCTCACAAGCCTGACAACTAATGAGGCATTGGGCAGAATGCCCAGAAGGTCTTGCTTCAGTAGTGGAGAACAATGGTCCCTGAACTAAATACTACTTTGGTCTCACTAACACATCTTAAAAAGCAAGTTTCCAGAAGATCAAACTGTTTCCAAGTAACTTGACTGTAATACAGGTCAAAAATATCCAGTATCCAATAAGGTAGAAATTACATCTGGCATAGAATCAGAAAATATGAAGCATGCAAAGAAGCAAGAAAATATGACCTGTAATAGGGAAAAATTAACCAATCAAAACCTATTTAAAACTGACATAAATATTAGAATTAAGAGAAGAACAGTTATTATAACTGTATACTAGATGTTCTAAAATTTTACTACATAGGAGATATAAAAAGACCCAAATTGAACTTCTAGAGATGAAAACTATAAATATCTCAGATGAAAACTATACTGAATAGAATTAAGAGCAAATTAGACTTTACAAAAGAAGAGATAAGAAAACCTAGCCTATCAATAGAAACTGTTCACATTAAACACAAAGAAAAAAAGAATTTTAAAAAATGAATATAGCATAAGTAATTTGTAAGACAATTTCAAGTGGCCGAATAAATGTATAATTGGAGTTTAGACCACACAAATGAATAAAGAACACCAGATATGGAAACAATATAGGTAATTATCGAAAATACTTTCTTTTCTTTTCTTTCTTTCTTTTTTTTTTTTTTTTTTTTTCTGAGACAGGGTCTCACTCTGTCGCCCAGGCTGGAGAGCAATGGCATGATCACAACTCACACAGCCTAGACTTTCAGGGCTCATATGATTCTCCCACCTCAGCCTCCCGCGTAGCTGGGACTACAGGCATGTGCCACCATGCCCAGGCAATTTTTTTTAATTTTTTGTAGAGACGAGGTTGTGCCATGTTTCCCAGGCTCATCTTGAACACCTAGGCTCAAGTGATCCACTTGCCTTGGTCTCCCAAGGTGCTAGGATTATACGTGTGTGCCACCACACACAGCCAAGATACTTTCTTACTATTTAAATCTTTTTAAAAGATAATTGACTATACAAGCAAAATAATAATAATATGTTGTGGAGTTCATAATGTGTAGAAATAAAACATGACCGCAATTTAAGTCTGGAAGGCAGAAATGAAAATATATTGTAAGGGTTTTTTTTATTTTTTGTTGGTTTGTTTGTTTTTGAAACAGAATCTCACTCTGTCACCCAGGGTGGAGTGCAATGGCACAATCTTGGCTCACTGCAACTTCTAACTCCTAGGCTCAAGTGATCCTCCTGCCTCAGCTTCCTGGGTAGCTGGGTCTACAAGTGTGCATCATCATGCCTGGCTAATTTTTGTATTTTTTGTAGAGACAGCGTTTTGCAATGTCACTCAAGGTGGACTCGAACTCCTGAACTGAAGAGATCTGTCTGCCTTGGCCTCCCAAAGTACTGGGATTACTGGCATGAGCCACCATGCCCAGCCTATTATAAGATTTTTATATGTAAATGATATAACATAACTGGAACATAGACTATAACAAGTTAAAAACATATATTGTAAGCCCTAAAGCAATCACTAAAATAATCAGTGTTATAGCTAACAAGCCACAAAGGAGATTAAATGAAATGATGAAAAATATTTAGTTACTCCAAAAGAAGCCAGAAAAAGAAGAATAAATAACAGGACAAATAGAAGACAAATAGCAAGATGATAGACTTAAGTCTAAACATATTGAAAATTCCACAAATGTAAATGGGCTAAACCCTGCAAATAAAATGTAGAGATTATCAAATTGGATAAGAAGCAGGACTCAACAAGAAATCAAAGGGAAATTAGAAACTATTTTTAACTGAGTGAAAATAAAAATGCAGCCTTACAAAATACACAACTGCCACTAAATCAGAAGTTAGAATAAATATTATAGAATTTCACACCTATAATAGGAAAGAAGAAGGGTCTCAAATCTTCTCCCTTAAGCCTAGAAAAAGCAGAACAAATTAAACCCAAATAAATTAGAAAAAAGAAAATAATAAGTACCAATATGGTAATCAATGAAATAGAAAGCAGAAAAGTAATGAAGAAAATCCATAAAAAAACACTAATTATTTGAAAAGATCTATAAAATCAATAAACCTTGTCAGGTTGACGAGAGAGAGACAAACAGAGAGACAAGCAGAGAGAGAATGACAAGATTAAGTCAGGGACACGAATTACTATTACTAAGAATAAAACAGGGTACATTACTACTAAGCTACTAAACTCATATTAAAATTATTGAAAGATACCTAGAAAGTAAGAAGGGAATATGATGAACAACTTTACGCAAAGAAATTTGACAACATGGGTAAAATGGACACATTTTTTAAAAGACACACTACCAAAGCTCATTCAAGAAAAGTAGGTAATCAGAATTGCCCTGTGTTTATTATAAAAAATTGAATTCATAGTTAAAGATCTTCTCACAGAAAAAACTCTAGATGGGTTAAGTAAATTCTATCAAAAATTTAAGGAAGAAATAATACCAATTCTACACAAATACCCAGAAGATAACATGACAGGGAACAATTCACAACTCATTTTATGAGTTCAGCATTACCTTGATACCAAAATCAAAGTAAGACATTATAAAAGAAGAAAACTACAGATTAATATTTCTCATGAATATAGATGCGAAAAATCAATAGTTTACCAAATAAAATTCAATAATGTATAAAAGGAACAATATATCATGACCAAATGAGATTTAGCTTATGAATGTAGAATTTCAAATGGTTTAACATTTTAAAATCAAGAAATGTGACTCACTATATTAGCAAACTAAAAATGAAAAACTATATAATCATCTCAATAAACATAGAAAAGTATTCTTGAACATTCCTGAACATGAATTGAACATTCAATCCTGATTAGAAAAAGAAAACTCCCAGCAAAATTGAAACAGAAGTGAACGTTCTCAACCAGTTAAAGAGCATCTATGAAAAACCTACTAACACCATACTTAATGGGAAAGCCTGCACACTTTCCCTCTAACTTTTAGGACCATGACATAGATATCTTCTCTCACCTTTTTTTTTCAACAATGTACTGGAGGTTCTAATCAAAGCAATCAGGCAATGAAAATAAATACAAGGCATCTAGAGTGGTAATAAAGAAGCAAAACTCTCACTTATAAGTGGGAACTGAACAGTGAGAACACATGGACACAGGGAGGCGAGTAAAACACACAGGGGACTGTCAGGGGAGGGTGGTAGAGAGAACATTAGGAAAAAGAGCTAATGCGTGCTGGGCTTAGTACCTAGGTGATGGGTTGACAGGTGCAGCAAACCACCATAGCATACATTTACCTATGTAACAAACCTGCACATCCTGCACATGTGCCCCAGAACTTAAAAAATAAAATAATAAAAAAGAAAGCAGTAAAACTGTCTTTATTCACAGAGGAAATGACAGTCCATAAAATTATAAGGATTCTACAAAAAAAATTACTAGAACTACTGAATTTCACACAGCTGTAGGTATCTGAAAAATATAATTGATTATATGTTAGCAATAGGTAATCAGAAATGGAAATTTAGAAACAAAACAATTTGTAAAAGCATCAACAAATACAAAATACTTGGAGATAAATCTAAAAAATAATGGGCAAGTTCTGTACACTGAAACTATAAAACATTGCTAAAAGATATTAAAGACCTAAATAATTATTTATTGGTTAAATTTAATATTAAGATATCAATCCTCTACAAATTGTTTTGTAACTTAAATGCAATTCTTGAGCAGGCAGAGCAAGATGGTAGAATAGAAGCCTACATTGTACACCCCCTTAGCTCCCCAACTGGAACACCAAATTTTAGCAACTCTCTGCACACAGCAAAGCACCGTCTCAAGAACAAACAATCACGTGAGCAATCACAGCACCTGGTTTTAACTTCATATTGTGGAAAGGGGCACTGAGGAGGGCAGGAGAGGCAGTCTTGAGTCACCAACACCATCCCTTCCCCATCCCCTGGCAGTGACCATGCTGCAAGGAGAGAGAATCTGTGCACTTTGGGGTGGAAGAGTGCAGTGACTGGGGGACTTTACATGGAACACAGTGCTGTTCTGTCACAGTGGAAAATAAAGCCGTGCTGGGCTCAGCCAGCTCCAGCACATAGAGGGAGCATTTGGACCAGCCCTAGCCAGATGTGGGTCACCCATCCTTTCAATCAAAACTTGAGTTTCTTGGCAAGCCTCACCACTGCAAGCCAAAGTGCTCTGGGGTCCTAGGTAAACTTTAAAGGTAGTCTAGGACACAAGGACTACAATTCCTGGGCAACTCCTAGTGGTAGGCTGGGCTTAGAGCCAGTGAACGAGGGTGGTACATGACCTAGGGAGATACCAGCTGATGGCTAAGCCATCCCTCCCCCAACCCCAGGCAGCACAGCTCATAGCAAGGGAGAAAGTCATAGTCGTAGAAGGAAGACGTCACAGAAGGAAGACGGGATGTCTTCCTTCTGCTTAAGGAGAGGAGCATGAAGAATAAAGAGGACTTTGTCTTTTATCTTGGATACCAGCTCAGCCACAGTAAGACAGGACACCGGGCAGAGTCACAAGGCTCCCATTTCAGGCCTTAGCTCCTGGGTGATATTTCTAGACACACCTTGGGCCAAAAGGGAACCCACTGCCTTGAAGGGAAGGACCAAGTATTGGCAGAATTCATCATCTGCTGACTAAAGAGCCTTGGGCCCTGAATAACCACCAGTAATAACCATGAAGTACACCTTGGACCTTGGGCTCTGAAACATGCTGGCTTCAGGGGAGACCCAGCACATTCCTAGCTACAGTGGCTATAGTGAAAGACTCCTGTTTGAGAAAAGCAGAGGTAAAAGTAAAGAAGACTTTGTCTTGCACCCTATGTACCAGCTTGGCCACAGTAAGATAGAGCAGTAAGAAGGATCTTGAGGTCCCCAAGTCCAGGCCTAGGCTCTTGAACAGCATTTCTGGACCTGCCCTGGGCCAGAGGGGAGCCCACTGCCCTGAAGGGTGAGTCCCAGGCCTGGCAGCATTCACCAAAAGCTGACATAAGAGTCCTTGGGCTTTAAGCAAATATCAGTGGTGGCCTGGCAGAACTCACCTTAGATTACTGCTGGTGGTGGCCACAGGGAAAGGCTTCTCTGTCTGTGGTAAGAGGAAAGGAGAGTGAAAATGACTTTGTATGGTGGTCTGAGTGTCAGCTTAGCCACAGTAGAATAGAACATCAGGTAAATTGCAAAGGTTTTTGACTCCAATCCCTTGTTCCCAGGCTGCATCTCTGGACACACCTGGGGCCTGGGGGAACTCACCACACTGAAAGGAAGGGCCTTCGGCAAGACCTAGTACTAGGCCGGCTTCAGGTCTGACCCAGCACGGTCCCAGTGGTGGTGGCAAGAGAAGTGCTTGCATCACCACACCCCCAGTTCCAGGTGGTTCAGCCCTGAGCGATAGAGACTCTGTATATTTGGGAGTAAGTAAGGAAAAAGAACAAGAGTCTTTGCCTAGTAATTCAGAGAATTTTTCAGGATCTTATCCAAGACCACCAAGGTGGTACTTCCATGAGTCTGCAAAAACCACACTATTATTGGGCTTGGGGCCCAAGTCCCTTTGAATACCTGGAAAGCCTTCCCAAGAACAGACACAAACATGCCCAGACTGTGAAGATTAAAATCAATGCCAAACTCTTCAATGCCCAGACACCAAAGAATATCTATAAGCATTAACACCATCCAGAAAAACATGACCTCACCAAATGAACTTAGTAAGGCACCAGGGACCAATCAGGGAGAAACAGAGATATATGACCTTTCAGACACAGAATTCAAAATAGCTGTTTTGAGAAACTCAAAGAAGAAACTCAAAGAAATTCAGGATAACACAGAGAAGGAATTCAGAATTCTATCAGATAAATTTAACAAAGAGATTGAAATAATTAAAAAGAATCAAGCAGAAATTCTAGAGTTGAAAAATGCAATTGACATGCTGAATAATGCATCAGATTATCTTCATAGTAGAATTAATCGGAATTAGTGAGCTTGAAGACAGGATATTTAAAAATATGCAGTCAGAGGAGACAAAAGAAAAAAGAATAAAAAACAATGAAGCATGCCTACGGATCTAGATGACAGCCTCGAAAGCACAAATCTAAGAGTTTTTGACCTTAAAGAGGAGATAAAGGTAGATGATAGAGACAGAGATAAAGATAGAGATAGAGACAGAGATAGAGATAGATACAGGGGTAAAACATTTATTTAAAGGGATAATATCAGAGAATTCCCAAACCTAGAGAAAAATATCAACACTGAAGTACAAGAAGGAAATAGAACACCAAGCAGATTTAACCCAAATAAGACTACTTCAAAGCATTCAATCTTCAAACTCCCAAAGGTCAAGGATAAATAAAAGGATCCTAAAAGCAGCAAGAGAAAAAAATAAATAACATAAAATGGAGCTCCAATACATCTGGCAGACTTTTCAGGGGAAACATTACAGGCCAGGAGAGAGTGGTATGACATATTTAGAGTGCTGAAGGGGAAAAATCTTTTAGTCTAAAATAGTATATCTGGCAAAAATATCCTTTCAGCATGAAAGAGAAATAAAGACCTTCCCAGATAAACAAAAGCTGAGAGATTTCATCACCACCAAACCTGTCCTACAGAAATGCTAAAGGGAGTTCTTCAATCTGAAAGAAAAGGATGTTAATGAGCAAGAAGAAATCATCTAAAGGTACAAACCTCACTGGTAACAGCACACAGAAAAGCACAGATTACTATAACACTGTAATTGCAGTGTATAAACATCTCGACTTAAGTAGAAAGACTAAATTATGAACCAATAAAAAATAACCAAAACAAATTTTCAAGACATAGTACAATAAGGCATAAGGAGAAACAGCAAAAAGTTAAAAAGCAGGGGGATGAAGTGAAAGTGCAGTTTTTAATCAGTTTTATTTTTGCATGTTTGTTTATTTATGCAGTCAGTGTTGTCATCAGTTTAAAATAATGAGTTATAAAGTACTACTGGCAAGTCTCATGGTAACGTCAAATCAAAAAACATAAAACAGATACACAAAAAATAAACAGCAAGAAGTTAAAGCATACCACCAGAGAAAATTACCTTCATTAAAAGAATACAGGAAAGAAGGAAAGAAGGATAATAAGACTACAAAGCAACCAGAAAACAAGTAACCAAACGGCAGGAGTGAGTCCCTACTTATCAACAACAGTGATTGTAAATTGACCATACTCTCCAATCAAAAGACACAGAGTGGCTGAATGGTTGAAAAAACAAGATCCAATCATCTGTTTCCTACAAGAAACACACTTCATCTTTAAAGGTACATGTAGACTAAAAATAAAAGGATGGCAAAAGATATTCCATGCCAATGGAAAACCCAAAAAAGAGCAGGAATAGCTATACTTATATCAGACAAAGTAGAGTTCAAGACAAAAATGGTAAGAACAGACAAAGAAGGTCATTATGTAATGATACAGGGGTCAATTCAGCAAGAGGATATAATGATTGTAAATATAGATACACCCAACACTGGAACATTCAGATATATAAAACAAATATTATTAGAGCTAAAAAGAGAAATAGACCTCAATACAATAATAGCTGGAGACTTCAACATCTCGCTTTCAGCACTGGACAGATCTCCCAGACAGAAAATCAACAAATATTGGACATAATCTGCACTATAGAACAAATAGATATTTACAGGATCTAATAGATATTTACAGAACATTTCACCCAACAGCTACAGAATATACATTTTTCTCTTCAGCACATGGATTATTCTCTAGGATAGAACATATGTTAGGTCACAGAACAAGTCTTAAAAGATTCGAAAAAATTGAAATAACACCAAGCATGTTCCCTGACCAGAATGGAATAAAACTAGTATGTCAACAACGAAAGGAATTTTGGAAACCATACAAACACATGGAAATTAAACAATGTGCTCCTGAATTACCAGTGGCTCGAGGAAGAAATTAAGAAGGAAATTGAAACCTTTCTTGAAATAAAAGATAATGGAAACACAACATACTAAAATCTATGGGCACAGTGAAAGCAGTACTAAGAGGGAAATTTATACCTATGTGCCTAGTTCAAAAAGAAGAAAAACTTTAAATAAATAGCATAATGATGCATCTTAAAGAACTAGAAAAGCAAGAGAAAACTGAACCCCAAATTAGTAGAAGAAAAAAATTATAAAGATCAGAGCAGAAATAAATGAATTTGAAAAGAAAAAATAAAAAATATTAATGGAAACAAAAAGTGGTTTTTTTTTGAAAAGATGAACAAATTTGACAAAGCTTTAGCCAGATTAACTAAGAAAAAAAGAGAGAAAGCTCAAATAAATAAAACCAGAGATGAAAAAGGAGACATTACAACTGATACTGCAGAAATTCAGAGGCTCATTAGAGGCTACTATGAGCCACTATATGAATTGGAAAATCTAGAAGAAATGGATAAATTCCTAGGCACATAAAACCTACCAAGACTGAACCATGAAGAAATACAAAACCTGAACACATCAATAACAAATAACAAGATTGAAGCCCTAATAAAAAGTCTCCCAGTAAAGTCAAGTCCATCATCTGATAGCTTCATGGCTGAATTCTGCCAAACATTTAAAGAACTAATACAGTCCTACTAAAACTGTTTCAAAAAATAAAGGAAGAGAGAATACTTCCAAACTCATTATATGAGGCCAGTACTACCCTGATACCAAAACCAGACAAAGATACATTAAAAAAAGAAAACTACAGGCTAATATCACTGAAGAATATTGATGTAAAAATCCTCAAAAAAATACTAGCAAACCAAATTCATCATGACCAAGGGGTATTTATCCCAGGGATGGCAGGATGGTTCAAGATATGCAAATCAATCATCAGATTGATATATCATATCAACAGAATGAGGAACAAAAAACATATGATCATTTTAATTGATGCTAAAAAAGCATTTCATAAAGTTCAACATCCCTTCCTCAAAAACCTGGGTAGAGAGGGAACATACTTGAACATAATAAAAGCCATATACAACAGACCCACAGCTAGTATTGCACTCAATGGGAAAAACCGACAGCCTTTCCTCTAAGATCTAAAAAAAGACAAGGATGTTCACTTTCATCACTGTTATTCAACGTAGTACTGAAAGTCCTAACTAAAGAAATTAGACAAGGGAAAGAAAGAAAGTGCATCGAAACTGGAAAGGAAGAAGTCACATTATCCTGGTTTGCAGATGATACGCTCTTATATTTGGAAAAACCTGAAGATTCCATCTAAAAATTATTAGAACTGATAAGAAAATTCAGGAAAGTTTCAGGATGTAAAATCAACACACAGAAATCAGTAGCATGTCTATATGCCAACAGCAAAAAAAGAAAGGAATCAGAAAAAGAAATCAAGAAAGTAATCCCATGTACAATAGCTAAAATTAAGATACCTAGGAATAAACTTAACCAAAGAAATGAAAGATGTCTGCAATGAAAACTTTAAAAAGCTAATGAAATAAATTGAGGAGGACACCAAAAAAAATGAAAAGATATTCTATGTTCATGGATTAGAAGAATCAATATTTTAAAAATGCCCATACTACCCAAAGCAACCTACAGATTTAATGCAATCCCTATCAACATACCAATGGCATTCTTCATGGAAACAGGATAACTAATCATAAAATTTATATGGAATCAAAAAAGACCCAGAATAGTCAAAGTTATCCTAAGCCAAAAGAACAAAACTTGAGAAATCACATTACCTGACTTCAGATAATACCACAGATAATAACTACAGAGCTGTGGTAACCAAAACAGCATGGTTTTTGCCATAAAAGCGGATACACAGATTGATGGAACAGTATAGAGAACACAGGAAGAAATTCACACACCTACATTGAACTCATTTTCAACAAAGTTACCAAGAACTTATCTTGGGGAAAGGACAGTATCTTCAATAAATGGAGCTAGGAAAACTGGATATCCATATGCAGAAGAATAAAAATAGACCCCTATGTCTCACCATATACAAAAGTAAAATCAAAATGGATTAAAGACTTAAATCTAAGACCTCAAACTATGAAACTACCACAAGAAAACATGGGGGAAACTCTCCAGGACATTGGTTTGAGCAAAAAATTTCTTGAGTAATACCCCACAGGCATAGGCAACCAAAGCAAAAATGGACATATGGGATCACATCAAGTTAAAAAGCTTCTGCACAACAAAGGATACTGTCAACGAAGTGAAGGGACAACCCACAGAATGAGAAAAAATATTTGCAAGCTATCTATCTGACAATGGATTCATAACTATAGGTAAAAATCTAGTAATCTGATCAAGAAATGGGCAAAAGATTTGAACATTTCTCAAAAGAAGACATACATATGGCAAAGAGGCATATGAAAAAGTACTCCACATCATTGATCTTCAGAGAAATGCAAATCAAAACTACAATGAGATATTATCTCACCCCAGTTACAATGGCTTCTATCCAAAAGTCAGACAATAACAAATGCTGGAGAGGATGTGGAGAAGAAGGAACCTTTGTACACTGTTGGCAGGAATGTAAATTAGTACAACCAGTATGGAGGAGAGTTGTAGGCTCTACTGTCCTAAACTGCAATCCCAGTTTCTTCTAATTGCTTTTCTTGTAGTTCTAGGATGCTGCCAAGATCATTCAGAGGTGGGATGACCACACAGCCTGGACATGAGTCATTGCTTCCCCCTATTCGCTAAGTTCTATTCTTGAGTCAAACCTTTGACTTTATCACTTGAAAGTAACTTTAGAATTACAATTTCACTTTATGTCTTTGCCTTTAACAAGAAGGAAGTCTAGCATTTTTAAAGTAACTATCATTGAAGAGCCCCCATGGAGCCCTGAAAGTGGACCTGGTTCTGGTAAAAAAAAAAAAAAAAAAAAAAAAAAAAAAAATTCTGGCATGCCAGCAAGGCCAGACGGTCTAAATGGTTTTCAACAAAATTTGTATTGATATGCAATATAGCCAGGCAATATAGCCAGGCCCTGGAATTTCTTCTGGACTCTTGGGTCCTTGTTGTAAGTACTCATTCCACTCATGCTCCCATCAGCCCTAAAGATACTTCCCATTATCTTGTTCCCTGAACTCCACAGAAAGCCATACAAGATAATTCACTCCATAGTAATTCACAAGGTCATGTACATGTTGGATAAAGCTTACCTTTAGATGAAAAAGTAAACATCTTCATATATGACATTGAGAAATAAGGAGCTAAAATTTTTTGTTTGCTTCTTCTCACTGCAAGCATCTGATCCAGTTACATTTATTTTTATATTCCACCATTTTCACCTTGATCCAAGCAACCATCACCATTCACCTGATTACTGCAGTAGCTACTTAATTAGTCTCCCTGCTTCTACCTTGCTCCCCTTCAGTCTATTCACAACACAGTTGTCAGAGCCCTCTTTTAAAAATATAAGCCAGAGCATGTCATTCCTCTCTACTCATGCTCCTTGGATCCTATTTAACTTTAGGGTAAAATCCAAATTCTTCAGTGTATTCAAGGCCCTTCATGACCTGGTCATCATTACTTCTGACCTTATGTCTTACCATTTTCCTCAATCTCACTCTTAGTCCTCCCAGCCTGTGCTCCGTTCCTGGGACTTACCAGGCACATAGCTGCCATAGGGTCTCTGCACTTTCCATTCTTTCTGCCTGTAAAGCTCTTCCTGCAACCAGTAGCACAGCTGACTCCATTGCTCTCTTTAAGTGTTTGCTTAAATGGCTGTCTCAGCGAAGTCCATCTTTACCGTCCTATTTTAAATTGCAAACCATGCTCCATTTAGCTTATTTATTTCTTTATTTATTATCTGTCCATAAGGGCAGGAATTTTAGTGTGTTTTGTTCTCTAATATATCTCAAGCTCCGTGAAAAGTGCCTGGCATATAGTAGAAGCTTGATAAATATCTGTTGAAAGAGTGACTACTTATGTATTCCTTGTTTTAGACGTGAATTGAAACTTGGATAACCTTGGCCTGCCTATATGCAAATAAGCCAAGGTGATCTTTCACTAGAATGAAAGAATCTGAATTCTGACTTCAGGAAGGTTAGGGTGAGTTTAGGTCCCCTCTGGCCATATTTCTAGCAAGTTGGGGCAGTCCAGCTCTTAGTATTTAAACCATTCTCCTTGAATTGTTTTTACAGTTTTATTATTATGGCAATATTGCTTGTTCTGAGAGAGGCCCATCTGTCTCATATCTCTTCCCCACTCCATCTGTCTTCTCATTGCATGCTTTCTCTCCCACTTTCTCTCTCTTAGACCTTATGATTTGAATAAGTGCAAAATGTCTTTGGCACTATCCAGAGTGAATTAAAAGCTGAAGGCTCTCTCTGTTGGTACAACAAAGGCAAGCCAAGTAAATCAATTAGAGGAATGGGGTGGAAGGGAGAATGGGGTGAGAAGTTTGTTTGCTTGTTTACTTATGTGTATGTTTGTTTAAACTTCACTTCATTCTAAAAAAAGAATTTAAGCTGAGCCAAAGATAAGGTTTGTTTTTTTCTTCTTATTTCAGTGTAAGGAAGGGAACTAACATTTTTAAACCCCTACTATTTGTGATAGATGTTTTGGACACATACAGATTAAAATATATGTCACATATAGAATATAAATTTAAAAATATTTTTAAACTCAAAATTTTTACATTATTAAAAATCTCAAATGTACAGAGAAGTAGAAGAAATAGTAAAATGAAAACCCATAGTTGCAATTTTTAACAATTGGCCATATTTATTTTATCTATCTAGATAGCTTTTTGTTGAGCTATTTAAAATAAGTTATTGACATCATGACACATCATTCATAAATAACTTAGCATCCATTTTTAAAAATTAAAGATATATCCCCACAAAACCACAATACTATTATCACACTTAAATGTAATTCCCTAATATCCATTCTATATTTAAATTTCCCTAAAAGACCCCAAAATTTATCAAACCAAGATCTCACCAGGAATTATACATTTATTTAATTACTGTATGTCTTATATCTCTTATAATATCAGAATACTTCCTTCAATTCTTTTCCTTATGACATTAGCTCTTTAAAGAATTCAGGCCAGCTCTCTTGTAGAATTGTTCCCATGTAAAGTTGTTAAACATTTTCCTGCAACTCTTGTATTCTCTGTATATTAGAATTTGGATCTAAAGGCTTTATTGGAGTCAGATTGAACATCCTGGCAAGATTTCCTGAAAGTTACTCTATATTATATCCCACCAGGAAGCACATAATATCTAGTTGTCCCGTTTTCAGTGATGCTGTGTTTGATCAGTGGATTAAGGTGGTAACAGCCAAATCTCTCCATCGGAAAGATATGGTCCTCCCTTTGCAACTGGCTAGCAAATATCCACTTTTCTATAAACCTTTTAGCTAATAGTTTTGTAATAATTGATGACTCTTATGTAAACCAATTATTTTATTAGGGTTTCAAAAATGATATTTTGTCTAATGCTATCATTCTTTCTACATTTATCAGCTTGCGTGTGTGTCTGTGTGTGTGTGTGTGTGTGTGTGTGTGTGTGTAAAGAAGCAATTACTCTCATCAAGAGCAGGATAAATGGTTAATTCTCTCTCTTTAATAACCAATTTTCAAATTAAGGAGTGGTATAATAGTCATCCCAAGGGTGTCAAATGAAGTTCATTACTCTTTTTTTTCTCTTTTTGAATCTCACATAGACTCATAAAGTTTTACATATTCACTGTGCTTCACTTGGTTATAGTAATTATTCTTTTTTGATGTTCAGGTTGTCCCAAATTTGGCCTGTGGGAGACCCTTAAGTCTGTCTTCTTTTATCATTATCACATTAATCTTTAAATACTTGTTAGCTTTCTGACCTCGAAAATGTCCCAGCTCACTTTGTACAACTGCTGCCTCAGACCAAAAATCACATATTCACATATCATTCCCCCCACCTTTTTTTTTGAGATGGTCTCATTCTGTCCCCCAAGCTGGAGTGCAATGGCATGATATCAGCTCACTGCAGCCTCCGCCTCCTGGGTTCAAGCAATTCTCCTGCCTCGGCCTCCCAAGTAGCTGGGATTACAAGTGTGTGCCACCATGCCCAGCTAATTTTTGTATTTTTAGTAGAGATGGGGTTTCACCATGTTGTCCAGACTGGTCTCAAACCCCTTACCTCAAGTGATCCACCCACCTTGGCCTCCCAAAGTGCTGGGATTACAGGCATGAGCCACCACGCCCAGCCAAATCACATATTTCTTAAAGGAGCTCTGAGTCCTTTTAGTAGGAAATAGTATTTAGAAACCAAAATCAAGGAACCGGGAATGCTTATTACTACTGTGATGTCATTGTTCTAGTTTTTCTCAATGGACAGATGTAGGAAATGTATTTTTTAGTAGTAGAAATTAATAATATTTTCAATTCTCATTTGACAATCTAGAGTTTTTGCTGAACTTATTTGGTTTTATATCTGTTTTCTTGTATCTAGAATATCTTGATTTCTAATAACTGACTTGCCATATTTTATAATATTCATAACATGGTTTCAAAATAGCAATGCCAATATTACTATGAACAATGAAATTAATGAATAAAGTTGAAGATTTACTAGCAGTATTTTTGTGATCTGTAGAAATGAGAATACTAGCATAGCAAGAAATTAAGTAATTTGCTCGGACATTAATCAAAGTGGCAGAGCTGATTTATTTGGCTAGAACTCTTTCCTCTCTGTCCACTCTACCAAACTATAGGCAGAGCTGGAGAGAAATAGAATGACAACTGGAGCTAACAAAAAAAGCCAGAAAGGGACTTGGAATGTACAAAAATCAGTAGCATTTCTATACATCAATAATATCCAAGCTGAGAACCAAATTAAGAACACAATCTCATTTGCAATAGCACCAAAAGAATAAAATACCTAGGAATAAAGTTAACCAGGGAGGTGAAAGATTTCTACAATGAGAATTGCAGAGCACTGCTCAAAGAAATCAGAAATGACACAAACTAAGGGAAAAACAGTCAATGTTCATGGATAAGAAGACTCAGTATTGTTAAAATGGCCATACTCCCCAAAGCAATTTACAGATTCAAAGCTATTCCTACCAAACTATCAATACCATTTTTCAAGGAATTGGAAAAAACTATTCTAAAATTCATATGGAACCAAAAGAGAGCCCAAACAACCAAAGCAATACTAAGCAAAAAGAGCAAAGCCAGAGGCATTACGTTACCCAACTTCAAACTACACTACACGGCCACATTAACCAAAACAGCATGGTACTGATAAAAAAACAGACATACTGACCAATGGAACAGGTTAAAGAACCCAGAAATAAAACTACATACCTACAACCATCTGATCTTTGACAAAGTCAACGATAACAAGCAATGGAGAAAGGACTCCCTATTCAATAAACGCTGCTGGGATAACTGGCTAGCCATATGCAAAAGATTTAAACTGGACCCCTTCATTTCACCATATACAAAAAAGGTGAAAGACACTTTTGGATTAAAGACTTAGATGTAAAATCTAAAACTATAAAAACCTTAGAAGAAAACCTAGGAAATACCATTCTGGATACAGGCCCCGGCAAAGATTTAATGGTGAAGATTCCAAAAACAATTGCAACAAAAACAAAAATTGACAAATTAACAAGCAAAAAAACAAACCCCATTACAAAATGGGCAAAGGACATGAACAGATTCTTCTCAAAAGCAGACATACATGTGGCCAAAAAGCATATGAAAAAGATGTTCAACATCACTATCATTAGAGAAATGCAAATCGAAACCACACTGAGATGACATGTCACACCAGTCAGAATGGCTATTATTGAAAAGTCAAAAAATAACAGATGCTGGCAAGGTTGTATAGAAAAGGCAATGCTTATACACTGCTGGTGGGAATGTAAATTAGTTCAGTCACTGGAAAGCCATTTGGAGATATCTCAAAGAGCTTAAAACAGAACTACCATTTGTCCTAGCAATCCCATTATTGGGTACATACCCAAAGGAATATAAATAGTTCCACCATAAAGATACATGTGTAGGTTTATTGCAGCACTATTCAAATCAAAGACATAGAATCAACCTAGATGCCTATCAATGGTGGATTGCATAAAGAAAATGTGGTGCATATACACCATGGAATACTATGCAGCCATAAAAGAACAAAATCAAGTCCTTTGCTGCAATATGGATGTAGCTGGAGGCCTTACCCTAAGTGAATTAATGCAGAAACAGAAAACCAAATGCTGCATGTTCTCACATAAGTGGAAGCTAAACACTGAGTACACCTGGACACTAAGGAGGGAACAATAGACACTGGAGCCAACTTGAGGGTGAGGATGGGAGGAGAGTGAGAATCGAAAAACTACCTATCAGGGTAGTATGTTTATAACCTGGTGACAAAATAATCTGTACACCAAACCCTCAAAGTACACAATTTACCCATGTAACAAACCTGCACATGTACCAGTGAACCTAAAATACAAATTGGAAGAAAAAAACATTTAAAAATGAAATAAAATAAATTTTGGGTTTGTTTCATAGGAAAAAAACGTTTGGTGATAGTTGGCGAATTTGAAAAAGTCCTGTGGATTACATGCCCATCCCTTAGGCTTTCCTTTCCCCCTATGCCTGCGTCTCCCAAAGTGTGGTCCCAGATAAGCAGAATCAGCATTGCCCAGGAACTTGTTAGAAATGTAAATTCTCAGGCAAATCCCAGACTTACTGAATAGGAAACTCTGGCAGGGGACCCAGTAATCTGTGTTTTCAGAAACCCTCAGGAGCTTCTGATTCATGCTCAAGTTTGACAACCAGTTCTCTACACCTGAAGATTTCTTCACTGGAAAGCAGAATTTCCAAAAGCCTCCTAGGAGACAGAAGAGAGGTTTTAATATTCTTGTTCCTCTACCCTACACACATATAAACGTATCCATAAATAACACATAGATTTTTCTACAAATATATTATAAATGAAAATAAGAGATCTTATTCCACACATCTCATTCTGCTCCTTTTTTTCACTCTACGTTATATACAATATATACGAGAGTATGTGCCTATTGTGGTAATAAAAAGAATTAGAAATGGAGAATGAGATATGAAGAACAGAAAAATAAAAGAGTAACTTGCATGGATCAATAATGACCACATGCAACAAATTAAGGGAGATGATCATTCTAAAGCATCTAGTTATATTTCAGTTTTTAAAGTACAGCTACACGGAAGTTTCCTCTCAATGTCATTATCAAGCCATGAGGCCTCAAACTCAATTTTTATGTCTGTAAAATGGGAATAAATACAGCCTATCTTATGAAGTTACTGAGAAAATCTCATTAAGAGTTTTATAAGCTGCAAAGAGCTATATAATTATAAAGTATTGTAAGGTATAACCATTTAAAAATAATTGTTGTGAAGTGAAAGCTGTGAGGCACATCATTAAAAGTCAGTTTCCATGCAATATCAGAATCGAGAGACAACAAAAAAGAAAGCTTGCTCCTAATGAAGAAGCATTTCCCTAATTTGAAGTATGTCAATGATCAGGTTAGAAATACACTAAGGGGCACTATGGTGGAATCTTAGCATGCTTACTTTGCCCTTTTAAAGCACCTGTATTTTGTTGAAATAAGAAGGTTATTATTGATTAAGTTGTCTCAGCTTATACATATTTATGCTGCCTTGCTCTGTGTTCTGATTTTCCTGCACACAACATCCACTGGTACCCAAAATAGCATGACTGGCAAGAAAGGAAGACACTCTGCAAGTCTCAAGGATTATCAGACACAAGATCAGATTGCTGCTAAAAATTAGCAGTCACCAATTTTCTGCCCTCAATACTCTTCTTCCTCTACACTTGCATGGTGTCAGTGATCACCTCTATGCTGATGATTCACAAAATTTATATCTCTCATCTATTCCTCTTCCTTGGACCTCAGACCCACACAACTACTAGGTTGGTAGACATTTTTGAGTCCCAAGATCCATCCAACTCAACATATCCAACGCACACATTACCTGCCTTCCAGACCACCAACTCCTCTGGTTTCATTATTTTTATACCACCACTCTTCTATATGGCAAGGCTAAATTGCTCTTGGATCACCAATTGGTGGTCAAGGTACTTCCATTCTACCTTTAAAATGTCATTTGAATATAATCTTTTCCTTTTCATGCCTACAACCTCTGTCTAGATTTAGAAATTTGTTACCTTTTATCTGGACTATTGCTATAGTTTATTTTTTTTCTTGACTTCAATCTCTTCCCACATTATTTCTTCTTCCAAACATATCTGACTATAATAACAAAAATGCATGAGTTACTCACTATGTACAAACCACTATTCCAAGCAGTTTCTATACATTAGCTCATTTAATCCTCATTCAACACAGGTATTTATAGCTCAGTTCACTCCTCTGCTCTAAAACCTTCAACAGCTCCCCACTGCTTTTCCCCTAAAATCCAAGGCTTTCATAGTACTTGCAATACAGATCTTCAGACAAATCCCTTAATAGCCCTTCCTATATTCACTAAGTTCTAACCAACTGGATTGCTTTTCATTTCCCCAACACACCATGTTTTTATGATTCTGCTTGTACCAGCACTACTGCTCAATCTTTGCAATCTTTACCATTGCTCAGTGGTAAAGATTTTAAACCTCAGCTCAAATATTGTCTCCTCCACCAAGTGTTTACTGTTTATCCCTTACAATAACTTTCTCATCATTGTCCTTTGTTACTTATTCAATAAATGTTTATTTTATTCATTATTCTTTCAACAAAAGTTTTACTGTTAGGCTCACATGCTCCTACAGCACTTTGTATCTTCAGGACAAGCCTTGGAAATCTGTCTTTGAGTGAAGATTGGATTAAGATGTTCATTTCCTATCTGTGATTATAATCTTCTTTAGGTTAAAGGCCACGTCTTCATTTTTGTAGCTCAATCTACCATTCATACCATTCATTCATTCAAAAATGGTGCTTAAAGACCATGTTCCAGGAACTGGGGAAGGACGACAACACAGTCATTGCCCTTTGAAGTTTATAGTCTGGATGGTTAAAATACTTGCTTACAAATAATTAGAATACAATGTGACATATGCAGGGAAAACAGCAATTAATTGTGCCTACGCATGGCAAAGGCAGGTGACAAAAGGCATTTGAGCCAGGTCTTTAAGAATGAGTAGGAATTCACTAGGGGAGGAAGAAAATCCAAAAAAAAAGAAACAGTATATCAAGGAGTAGTGGCATGGAACAGAATAATGTTTTCAAACAAAGGTTAAAAATTCTGAATTACTGCAACTCAAGAAGCCAGTGGAAGAAGATCAAGCAGACAGATAGATCACAAATCATTAAAGGCCTTAGACGCCATAAGGCATCATTGTAGGAAATTTAAGGTAACATAGAATAAATAATTGTTGGATTGAATAACACATTTCTAGATAGCTGAAGAATATTTTCTTTCATTTGTGCGGTTCTGGAACCTTATGCCACATCATACATTGATTCCTTTTTATCTACTTGCACTTGTGGTTAAATCCAAATTTTGCAACTGCTTTTCTGGCTCTATACTTGTTTACATGTACAACTCACATCCATTAGTAAATACTGTCATGAAATTAAGCAGTCATTCTAAGATGGAAAGGGACATGTGACATGTATGAAATCAGAAAAAGTGTCTTCCTGGCCGGGAGTGGTGGCTTACGCCGGTAATCTAAGCACTTCGGGAGGCCAAGTGGGTGGATCACCTGAGTTCAGGAGTTCAAGACCAGCCTGAGCAGCATGGTGAAACCCTGTCTCTACCAAAAATACAAAAATTAGCCAGGCATGGTGGTGCGTGATGGTGGTCGAGCTACTCGGGAGGCTGAAGTGGGAGAATGGCTTGAGTCCGGGAGGTGGAGGTTGCAGTGAGCTGAGATCAGGCCACTGCACTCCAGTCTGGGTGACAGAGCAAGACCCTGTCTCAAAATAAGGAAAAAAAAAAGAAAAAGAAAAAGTGACTTCCTCTCAACCAGGCTGGAGTGCAGTGGCAGGATCTCCACTCGCAATCTTCGCCTCCTGGGTTCAAGCAATTCTCCCACCTCAGCCTCCTGAGTATCTGTGATTACAGGTACAGGCCACCACATGCTGCTAATTTCTGTATTTTTAGCAGAGACGGGGTTTCGCCGTGTTGGCCAGTCTGGTCTCAAACTCCTGACATCAAGTAATCCACCTGCCTCGGCCTCCCACAGTGCTTGGATTACAGGAATGAGCCACCACACCTGGCTATCAACCTGGGACACTGTAACGCCATCCTCTAGGAAAGACTGTACTATAGAGAACAATGTAAATTGTATCACTTTTCTACATTTAAGGTTTTTTTATTTGTTTTGCTTTTGTTTTCAATGCAGGAAGAGCTTGTTCTTCAAAATTGATTGAATTGCCAGTAAAATTATTAATTTTCTTAGCAGCATGATGGGCAAGAAATCTAAACTTCAAGTGAAACTAGTCATGCTTGCATTATTTTTTGCAATTAATTGCTTGAGTCTAAGCCTGCCATTTAAAGAAGAAAATCTAGGATACATCATTTGATACATACCCACTTCCCTACTCTGCCACACACCCATGCATAAAAAGTCAAACCACCTATATTTAGATGAAGAAGAGGCTTGATAGTTCTTCAGTTTATAGGTGCCAAACTTCAGCCAGAGCTATACACTGTGGCCACTGAACACTGGTCTTGCCCAGTCCAGGGGATGCTTGGTTACTCCTGTGGAGATGTTCTTGTGTGGATGTTATAGGAGGCTCTACAATCAGTCTAGCTCATACTCCTGTGCTATGGCTGCCAAAATTACTACCCTATAACCAGGCCCAGAAGAATTTCAGGTTGTAGCCACATATGCCAGAGTTAGTTTTCCTTAACCCCCATTACTGAGTTCATTCAACAAGAAAGGCTAAAGAATTTGCCCAAAGTTACACAGCTATAGAGGGCAGAGATGGGTTGCAAAATTAAGTCTTCAGATTCCCAATGCTTTTTCCATTAAATCTTGCTACCTTTCCATTAAATTTGTTGGTTTCTATGGATTCAAAACTGGGAAACAAACCTTGATCAGGTTACTAAGAACCTCATATCATGTCCAGCTGATCTTTTGAAAGGAAGGATTCATTGAATCTGGGGTGAATAGTCCTATGTTGTATTTGGTGGCTTAGAGCCCATGACTTTTAGTTTGAAGGCATTTGGACATATCTTCCAACACTTTATACACAGATACTTTTCTGCCTCAGTGGCATACTGGAGAGCCTTTTCTTTTCTTTTAGAGACAGAGTCTCACTGTTGCTCAGGCCAGAATGCTGTGGTGTAATTATGGCTCACTAACCTCGAACTCCTGGGCTCAAGAAATTCTCTGTCTCAGCCTCCTGAGTATCTAGGACTACAGGTGCATGCCACCATATCTGGCTAATTTAAAATGTTTTTGTAGAGATGGGGTCTTGCTCTGTTACACAGGGTGGTCTTCAACACCTGGCTTCAAGTGATCTTCCTGCCTCAGACTCCAAAAGCACTGGGATGACAGGCATGACCAACACACCCAGCCCCAAGAGACTTTTTAATGCTACATTTACTCAATTGGGATATGTACTTCATATAGAAATGAAAGATGAGCGAACTTCAAACATGAGATAAAGATTTCAAAATGTGTCATATCCGGGTTAAAAGTCTCAGAAAATACTTGTAACAATGAGACACACAGTGCATAAATTCTTAGTAATTTGTTTGTCCTTCAGCCACATGGTGGGACACATACCTAATCACACCAATAATAGTATCATGACATACCTTTCACATTATAATGTGCTATATATAATGCTATAACTTGTCATTAAAACATGCAATGAAGTAATAAACACAAATGGACTTTGTGGTTAGAATCAAAACTACTTTTTCTAATTTGAAAAAGAAACTGAAAATTGTATAAATGTTCCTCCAAATTGAGTTGTTTCTTAAATTCTTATTAACGTTTCATTATATCCCCTCTTCACTTCATTTCCTAATTTAACAATTTACTCGATACTCCCAAGGGTGACATGGCTGTCCTCTATAAAGGCACAGAATGTTCAACATGCCCCAAAGAAGGCAGAGTGATGGAAAGGACAGACAGCTAGACTGGGAAGAAACAGATCTGTGTTTAGTTGTGCTGTATTAGAAACATCACCCAATTCTAGGTTTCAGTTTTCTCATGTTCAAACTAAGTGGAGGAATTAAACTAAACAACTTCTAAGATACTTTCCACCTTTGAAATTTTAGACCTCTGGCTTTTGATTAAATTTCCTGAATGCCAACCTCCTCATCCAGAAGGACTATGCTGAAGGCCACATAAGAAAGTGATGACTTATGTTTACTTGAGCCCCTGTAATCCCAGTGGAGAGACTGAGATGCCTACCCATGAAGCTGAAGCACATATTTGGAATACGTAATGCTTTGTATTTCTTTAAAAATTTAATTTAGTTCATTTTTAAAGAGATTTTATTAGTCCATTTTCTGCTGTTTTAACAGAATATCACAGGCTGGGTAATTCATTTTAAAAAAGAAGTTGATTTGGCTCACAGCTCTGGAGGCTAGGAAGTCCAATAGCATGGCCCCAGCATCTGGTGAGGGCCTTCCCATGCATCATCCGTGGCAGAAGGCATTATGTGGTGAGCAAGTGCATGAGGTGGAGAGAAAATGGGGGCCAAACTTACCCTTTGATCAGGACCCCACTTCTGAGATAACTAATCCACTCCTGTAACAGCATTAATCCATTCACCAGGCAGAGCCCTCATGACCTCATCACTTCTCAAAGGCCCCACTCCCCAATACCATTTTATTGGAAATTAAATGTCAGCATGGGTTTTGGAGGGAACATTCAAACCATAGCAGAGAAAAAAGGCACTCCTTAGTCTGTGGTGATTAAAAAGGGTGAAGGGAGCAGGAATAAACTCAGCAATTCAGCACCCTGCGTACACCAATCTGAGAGATATAAAAAATATTTCCTGTTCAGGCAACAAAAACTTAAAAGCCAATAGTTATGGTACGCAAATAACTGATAAGCTAAACTGTATTAACAGTATAAACTGTTTTGTATTCCACTCTATATAACTTTACCAGGTAGGTTCCATTCTGGATTATTACAAATAGGGATTTGACATTTCTTTTATAATTGGACGCCTGGGGTGTACAATAAAAATATTTCAGTCTCTGCACCTCCCCTCTCTGCTTCCTTCTTTTACAATGGCAAATTTCCCTTCTCTTCTACAAGCTGACAAAATACAGCCTGCTTTCTGGCTCGCATGTACCACATGCTGGTCACACACAGCTGTTTACAAAAATGCAGACTTTTGCTGCCTAGAAGAGTATTTTACCCGGTACTCAGCAGTTATAGACAAGTGATTATCTTTAAACTCTGATCTTAAATTTGAGTGATGTAAGATGGTTGATTTATTCTTTATAATTATTCCATAAAAATAATAAATAGATACCTAATCTGAAAGATAGTTACAGATCTTGCTTTATGGAGGTCACTGAATTCTTCAGTGTTCCATGAATAACACTGTTCGGGTCTAAGAGGTCACAGCACAAATAGAAAGTAGTGTTGGATACACATTTCTTAGTCTCTACCAACAGAGATCACCAACATGAGAATTGTTCAGAAGGATAACGATGCCTCAAGTATGTAAGGTATGTCTGTAATACAAATGAAACAGGCATTTGGGGGAGAAAAAACCTTTTGCCTTACTCGAGAGAGGAGCCATTCCAGAGGCTTGCCTGCACGGAAGTCTGTGGCTCTAGCTGCATTTCAATGCAGTGCTTAGTTTATTCACCAGGGGTCATCAAAGGTCTGGATTTTCTTTGTCTACTTGTTGACTCATATGTACTCTCTATATACACTCAAGAACCACTGGATTCTTTAGAATTGTGCATCAGGAGATGTGGCTTGCTTTCCTTCTCCCCACCACTCCAGGCCCACCCCCAGCACTTACTCTTTATAGATTTCTACCAGCACACTGCAGCAAGCAAGTCCATTAGATGCATCACAGAAATGCCTTTTCTAACTAAACTAACTTATTTAAAAAAAAAGAGAGAGAGGAAACATGGTATCTAATTAGGTTTTTAAAAAATAATCATTTTCCAAAGTTAGAAAGTGAAAGGCTTTTCACACTATTGTTTTCTAGATTCATGAACCAAATTGCATGCTTGGAAAACAAATGGGTCACGGTTCACTTCTGTTAGATTTCACTTAGTAACGGGTCACAGAGGGCCAGATCAGGTCACCAGATGAACCAGTTAACACTAGGCTGGGACTTTTTAGTCCCTGTTGAGCAAGTAAATAATGAAAGTTTTCAATGAAGATTTTGTTTCTGGCACGGGTAGGATCTCATGGGTCTTGGTGAACCTGATGTCTGGATTGAATACCACCTTTTGTGCAGCCCGCAGTTCCTATCTCAGTTTTCTGTGAAGCACCCTTAAATACCTTTAGTACATAGCTATTGCAAGTAGTTTGATACTTTCTTACCTCTATCCTCTGAATAAACCAGATTGCATCCTTTGAAAGCTCAAAAGTGAGACATATTTCAGCCACAACGAGGAGTGGATTCAGCTTATAGCTTCTTCCCAGGGGAACATAGCTTCTATTTATGAATCAGTGGTATTGAGAGGTGACAACCTGCTGACAGCCCTCGCAGCCCTCGCTCGCTTTCGGCGCCTCCTCGGCCTTGGCGCCCACTCTGGCCCCGCTCGAGGAGCCCTCCAGCCCGCCGCTGCACTGACGGAGCCCCTTTCTGGGCTGGCCAAGGCCGGAGCCTGCTCCCTCAGCTTGCAGGGAGGTGTGGAGGGAGACGCGCAGGCCGGAACCGGGGCTGCGCGCGGCGCTTGCGGGCCAGCGCGAGTTCCGGGTGGGCGTGGGCTCAGCGGGCCCGCACTCGGAGCAGCCGACCAGCCGGCAATCCCCGGGCAGTGAGGGGCTTAGCACCTGGGCCAGCAGCTGCTGTGCTCAATTTCTCGCCCGGCCTTAGCTGCTTCCCTGCGGGGCAGGGCTCGGGACCTGCAGCCCGCCATGCCTGAGCCTCCCCCCACTCCGTGGGCTCCTGTGCGGCCGGAGTCTCCCCGACGAGCGCCGCCCCCTACTCCACGGCGCCCAGTCCCATCGACCGCCCAAGGGCTGAGGAGCGCGGGCACACGGCGCGGGACTGGCAGGCAGCTCCACCTGCGGCTGAGTGCGGGATCCACTGGGTGAAGCCAGCTGGGCTCCTGAGTCTGGTGGGGACTTGGAGAACCTTTATGTCTAGCTAAAGGATTGTAAATACACCAATCGGCACTCTGTATCTAGCTCAAGGTTTGCAAACACACCAATCGGCACCCCGTGTCTAGCTCAGGGGTTGTGAATGCACCAGTGGACACTGTATCTAGCTACTCTGGTGGGGAGGTGGCAAACTTTGTGTCTAGCTCGGGGATTGTAAATGCACCAGTCAGCACCCTGTCAAAACGGACCAATCAGCTCTCTGTAAAATGGACCAATCAGCAGGATGTGGGGGGGGGTGGGCGGGGCCAGATAAGAGAATAAAAGCAGGCTGCCCGAGCCAGCAGTGGCAATCCCCTCAGGTCTTCCTTCGCTGTGTGGAAGCTTTGTTCTTTCGCTCTTTGCAGGAACTCTTGCTGCTGCTCGCTCTTTGGGTCCACGCTGCCTTTAGGAGCTGTAACACTCACGGCGAAGGTCCGCAGCTTCACTCCTGAGCCAGCGAGACCACGAGCCCACCGGGAGGAAAGAACAACTCCAGACGCGCCGCCTTAAGAGCTGTAACACTCACCGTGAAGGTCCGCAGCTTCACTCCTGAGCCGGCGAGACCACGAACCCACCAGAAGGAAGAAACTCCAAAGACGTTCAAACATCAGAAGGAACAAACTCCGGACACGCCACCTTTAAGAACTGTAACACTCACCGCGAGGGTCCATGGCTTCATTCTTGAAGTCAGTGAGATCAAGAACACACCAATTCTGGACCCAGTATCTCCCCATACCCTAACTCCTTTCCCAAAGTAGGCAGAAAAACAGCCCTGTTGTTCCGGTGGAAGCCTTAGCTCTGTATTCCTTTTAGACTGTATTTCAAAACGCATTATTAGAGCCCCAAAGTCACCTGGTGAAAGAATGTGAGAGCTGGAAGTGGCCTCAAAATCCAGTTGAACCCTCTTATTTCATATGTTTGGAAACTGAGCACTAGAAAAGGTAAGTACTGCTTCAAGTCAATTGCTGACAAAATGGATCTAGTCTATTTCTATTGCATGGTGCCTGTTTCCAAATAAGATGTGGAGAAATCTTAACAATACAAAATACATAAGGTAATACCACAGAAAAAGGCAAACGAGACTATGGAATGAGGAGGGAGTCAACTATGACAGATGGCACAGGTGGTAAATTTAGCTCTGAACATTCTTGAGATAACCCAGGGCACATGGTAGCAGTTAGGACTCCTCTCTCCAAAGGTTACTGGTCGTTTTCTTATAGACTTGTCAGGAATGCTATAAAAATACCATGGGACACATGGGGACCATGGTTGTGTCAACAAAAGAAGAGGTTTACCAAGGCTTTTTTTTTTTTTTTTTTTTTCCTGAGATCGAGTTTTGCTCTTGTTGCCCAGGCCAGAGTGTGCAATCTCGGCTCACTGCAACCTCCACCTCCTGGGTTCAAGTGATTCTCCTGCCTCAGCCTCCAGAGTAGCTGGGATTACAGGCATGCACCACCACACCCAGCTAATTTTGTATTTTTAGTAGAGACGGGGTTTCACCATGTTGGTCAGGCTGGTCTCGAACTCCTGACCTCAGGTGATCTACCCGCCTTGGCCTCCCAAAGTGCTGGGATTACAGGCATGAGCCACCATGCCCGGCCAAGGTTTGTTATTAAGAGAGGGTTGTGAGAGCTGATAGAAGATGGTGAACAGTTAGGCAAGGCCTTCTGAGAATCAGAAATCTCCACTCCACACCAGTGTGGAACAAACATTTGGCCAAAATGTACAACAGTGGAGGACACTAATTTTTAGTTAAAAAAAACACCACTACCTATGACCTGTTAGCCTCCTGACATAATATGGATGTTACAATCATGAAAAAAGGAGGGGTGGCCCAAGGTAAGGTCAGTTACTTTTTATTTTCTCTTGGCATAAAATCTTTCTTAAAAGGAACTAGAACACCCTTAAGAAGCAGAATTTGCCCACTGACCACATTCTGTTTTATGTGAAATAATATAACCCAACGTCAACTTCTGCAAAAGCACTACTTTTTCAAGCATCCTCAAAGTAAGTCACAGGGACAGTTATTTCAAAGTGACATTTACATTGTCAATGGGGAACTGAATAGCTGAAGGGTGAGATAGTGATCTAGAGAAGATTTAATCCCAGGACCAAGAGGAGGCAGATATCTGTGAGAGAGATAAGGCAGCCTGGAGCTGCTCATAGCTTCTTATATTTAGATGATTGGGAAACACCGCAAGTTGCAAAAGGCTTTACTAGTTGCTGCTAGTGTGTGCGCGTGTGCGTGTGTGTGTGTGTGTGTTCAGGAGAAACTATTGGGAACATGATCTATTTGCATATGTCTTAATTCATTTTAATTTGGGGGGCTTAAATACTTTGGAATGTATTTCAAAATTCTTTTCTCTCTATCAAGTTATTGTGTGTTTGCTTGTTTGTTTTTGTTTTGGAGGGTGTTTCTGTGCCTCCTATTTGAAAGAGATTAAGTGTTTTTTAAGGGGCTTTAAGGAACTATGAGGAAAATGAGTAAGTTTCTGTTTTGTGAGGAGAACAGAAGGTTGCAGAGGGCAGAGATCATAGCCATCGATTATGAAAGTGTCATGATAGCAGATGATGTGCCTCTGCTTTCTGTGAGACACAGAATAACAAAATGAGTTTTAGCAAAGAAGACTGTTGACAATCTAAAATGTGTCAGTGAGCAATAGAGAGATCCAGGAACTACCTGAAAAGAAGAATAATTGAAAGAACTGGGTTGGTTAGCCTAAAGCTGAGAAGACGTTTAGGCAACATACTATTATAGTTTTCTTAAATAGCCACAGGAGCTATTGAGAGGAAGTTCAGCTCTGTAGAACCATGACCTGGTGGACAGAAGTTTTGAATAGGCAGGTGCAGCATCAGCACAAGGAAGTCCTTCTTATCAATTGATTGGGTGTCTTAGACCTTAAATATTTTCTTACCAATGTCTTTTAGCAGAGGGTGGATGGCGCAACAGGGGTGTTGTAGAGAAGATTCCTGAAGTAGACAGATATTGCATTGGATAATCACAAAGGCTCTTCTTACTTAATCAAACATGGTGGACTAAAGATAACAAAATAAGATGCAAATAATCTACAAAAGCAACCTATTGAGTACATTTATACTCAAAGCTAAATCAGATGACTAAATATGACTATCTTCCTTTTTGCAAGTCTACTTAGAAGCAAACCTGAGACTTTTCCTTCCCCACCCCCACACGTCACTACTCCACTTCCCCTACCCTAATAGTCCAAAGTAATGCGTGAACATGCACTTCAAAAATTAGTAATATATTTTCAGCAAAAGGTAAAGGGTATGTGAGATAGAATTGTGCTGTAAACACCAGAAAACCCCCAAATAACAGGAGTTTTGATAGAATAATTATTTGTCATATAACAAAATCCAAAGGTACGTATTTGGGGACTGGTATGAAAACTCCATGGTGATTTCAAGGGTACAGATGTCTACTTTTCCTTTTCACCATCCTCAGTATGTGGTTTTCCCCTCTTGGTCCAAGATGACTGCTGGAGCTCCTGCCTACTCCAGGATGGCAGGAAGAAGGAAGGAAAGAAAAAGGCACACCTCTCCACTTTTAAGTAGCTTTGCTAGAACTCTCACAAAACACTTGTATTACATCTCATCAGACTATAAATTCAAAGAAGACCAGGAAATGTAGCTATTATCTGGACAACACTGGCCCAGCTAAAACTCAGATTTCTGTTCCTACTGGAGAAGAAAAGACTAGATATTGGGAGGTAACTGGAAGTTTCTCCTGAGCAGGATTTAGGTATTATACAAAACAACACGTTACTCTCTTGATATCTGTTTCCCTCAATATTTTAAAGCAAATCTACTTAAAGCAGAGACCAAGTTTTTATAGTGAATGGTAAGGGGGAAGTTTTGAGTGGAATTTTACCATGAAAAATGATACTAAAATTGTGAAAGCATATTTTATTTTATATTTAATGTAATTTAGGTTATAATATCCATTATTTATTAGGGTTTTTTTGCCAAGAATGAGTTAAGTGCTGATTATTTAATTTAATGACATTGAAATGAGAATATAATATGATTTAATAATAGGACATTCTTTGTTTCTTTTTGTCTTTGGCTACGTGATCATGGGGAGGATATTTGAAAATGTGCATCACTTTTACTAAGAGCTTCTCTTAGGCCTTTGGTATCCACATCATTCTCTTAAATACCTGATCCTAGCATCAAAATTCCAGATGTTTCACTTCAAAATTTTCACTGGTCTACTTCTGCCAGACCCTCATTTGTCAGGGACATTCAGTGTGATATGATTAATTTTCTGATAGCACTTTAATTAACTTCATGAAATCTTGTACCATGTGCAAGATTTGCAACCTCAATTTGCAATCAAGTTCACTACCAGATATTTACACTTTACTATCTAGTAGAGACTCATCTAGAAATATTATGACAGATGTATAGAAATAGCTACTACTTTTTAAGAGGGAAGGATGTTTGAATGGGTACTAATAAGTGGGCAATTCATTAGTAAATATTTTTGCATTAGGAAGACGCTTGTTTCCATATAAAACCTTTTAAGTACAGGATTTTAGATAACAAAGTTTCAGATAATGAGGACTTTCTAATTTATTCATTTTTACCCTATATGTTATATTTCAGTTAGGAAGTTAGAAAAATAAATAAAAATGGGATATGTGTACCGAGCACCTACCCTATATCAGGTGCTATGTTAGAAGCATTTCGCATGCTATTTCTTTTAATCCCCCCATCAGGTCTATAGAATAAGGTCTTAGTTTTCATTTATAAACAGAAAACCTGGACGATCCAAGTAATTTACAAGTAAAGTCAGCATTGTAGAGCTCTCATTTAAGTCCAAGACTGACTCCAACTCCTGTGTTCTTTACTCTAGAAATATGTTATGTTTCAAGGTTTTGATCAATGTGTGTATACAGAGTGTCATCATTAATGGAAAGGAAAGGCAGGATAGAATGCTTCTTCCCAGTTAGCTTAACATAAATCAGGCTTGAAACTTCCGGGAAGGCAGAAGGCTTTTACATCTTTATGTGTTTCTCAGCACCTAGGCATATAAATTAGGATGCTTTCAGCTGCAAGTAATTGAAACTCAACTCAATTGACTTGTGGGCCAGTGATTATCAAAGTATGAACCCTGGACCAGCAACATCAGCATCACCTGAGACCCTGTTAGAAATGCAAATTCTCCACTTCTACCCTGGATCTACTGAATCAGAAACTCTGGTGGTGTAGCCCAGTGATCTGTGGTTTAACAGCCCTCCAGGTGATTCTGATGAATGCTAAACTTTGAAAACCAGTGTTTCAGACAATAAGGAAATTCACTAATTCACTTTCTCACTAAGCAGGAAGTACAAAGGGTATTTCTGGGTACAGCAGGATCAGGGCCAAGTTCTGTTCCCCATATCTCTCTTACTTCTGTTCTTCTCCACACGTTCACTTTTCCTTGGACTGACTCTGCTTGTAGTCCCACACCCAGAAGCAGAAAATGAGCCATCTCTTTATCTTTTTCAAAGATTGGAGATACCTTTCCCAGAAATCCTCCCAACAGCCTTGCCCTCATGTTTCAAAGGCCAGAATCCTGTTACCTGACCAGGTCTTCAGCCAGTTACTGGCAAGTTAGATAAGACTGATGTGATTAGCTGACACCAGTCGAGACCTACCCTCTGCCATATGGCGATACCCAGGAGGAAGCACACCTGAATAAAAACAGTATTCTTGTTGGAAGAAGAAAGCAGAGAAAGGAGGTGGTATTGGGGTATAGGTATTGCAAAGGCTACTAGCAGTGCCAGCTGTAAACATGAACATGGCGGATCCATGCTGCAGCAAATTCTTTGACCCACAAGGACTTCAACTTGAAGTCTGTAAATTTGTTTCGATAATCTTATCATTCTCACTTGTTAGCCTTTTAAAATTTCAGGTCAAAGGCAGCCTAAAGATCACCACATTTTAAAGTTTTGGCGATTATTGTCTGACATTTAAAGCCAGCTAGACATAATAATATATTAAACAGTTTTTAGTAGCATCATTTAGAAGATCTGTTTCATCTATTTTAGTGAAACGTTCTATCTTTTCATACCAGAGCTCTAAGATAATTATAATTAAAAGGACACAAAACTATGACTAAAAATATGTATTTTCCTTTTACGGTCTTTGTGCTTCTTCAAATGACAGGTGCTTCTTAAGAAAGGAAATTCTATTCATTGCTATCTTTGCTATCTTTTCTCTAGCAAAAAAATAAACTTTAATGACTTTTTAAAAGAGAAAATCTGAAATGATGAACAGATTGCTTTGATCACTGCTTTGCTGAACAACTCAGACAGTTGTCTGGAGACAGGTAGGAATACAGCAAATATTTAATTTTTGCTTGATTCACACATGAAGGTATTAGGAAGATTAGTAATTACCAAATCCTCTACTAGTCAGACATAGATGCCACATAACTCCGCAATTGTTTAGCTGTAATATGAACTGATCTCGGCAGAGGTAGTAAACCGTAGTTCATAGCCATAACTGCTTGAAAAATATTCATGCAGCCTGCATTTCATTGTTGTTCTGTATCACAGGACTCCTCAGCCTTCCCACTTCTTGAGTCTTTCAATTACGTGCTTGCCTCATTTATATTGTACATCTGATCAAATACCAAAGAATGTGGATTAGTCACATTCCTACATAAATTTAAACATTATGTAACAAGTGTCCCAGCAGTTTGAGAATGAACTTGAACGTGGCAATCGGGAAGTGCCCTAGGCTGGAATATAGACACTCTCTCTGGCTTCCAACCCTATCTCTGCCACCCATCTGCCCAATAATTTGGGGTAATTCACTTTACATGTCTAGGCCTTAGATTTCGGTGTCCAAAATTAGGAGATTGGTATTTGTCTCTAAATTCCCTGCCAAATCTACTGTCCTGATCACAGAAAGATCAGAGGAGAGGCGGCTCAGCATAGTGTGAAAAATCCTTAGATTCACATCTCAGGTCAGCTAATTATTAACTGTGTGACCTTGGGCAAATTATTTAAAATATCTGAGACTGTTTTCTCATGGGTAGAATAGAGATAATATCAACCTCCCTCTCAGGTTGTTATGAGACTTGGAGAAAAATATACTGGAAGTAGCTAGCATTGTTAATGTTAGCGTTGTTACTACAATAATTTAAATGGAGAGGAAGAACTCCACCTTATTTTTTTTTCCATACTCTTCACTACTAAAGTTTCTGGGACAAGGGGAAGGAAAAAAAGTGGTAAAAGGTTGTGTCAATATCTCATGTCTCCACTTTTCTGTCACCCGTTTATTCATTGACTCCCTTACTGCCAAGATGACAGTTGACGACAGACATTTTTCTACTCTGCACAAACTTAACGTGCTTCAGAATCCTCTGCAGGGCTTCTTAAAACACAGATTGCTGGTCCCCAGTCCCGGAGCTTCTGCTGCAGTAGGTCTGAGAGCCTGGATCTCCTACATACCTACGGGAGCTGCCGCTGGTGGTCTGAGGACCACATTAGGTTGATGAGTAGAATTTCTTTGAGAAGTTTATAAAAGAATACAAGTTTCTAGACCTACTCTTGGAGGTTATGATTCAGTAAGGCTGGCTGGCTCCTAGGAATCTCTATTTTTAAAGCTCCCCAGGTGATCCTCACGTTTAGCAGGTTTGGGAACAGCGACTCTATTTCTAATTCCAGTGGTGAATGTGTTCCCAAAACCTCCTGGTGGTTTTGTTGATGCAGCAATTTCCTCTTGTAATTCTTAATCCTTCTGGGTCTCTCCTTCAATTCCATTTTCAAATACCATCATTCAGAGTCACCTCAACTTTTCTTTCTTTCTAGATTAATGTGATTTCTTCCTGTTTTTGATCCCTGCTATTAGCAGAAGCTGGAAGTCCTAATGCCTTATAATACTGTGTTTCTGCCTCTCAAGACATTTATCTTTCTATATCTTTTATTTGTGTTGTTCATTCCCCCTCACCTCAGCTCTTCTCCCCAACACCACTAATAAGGTCCTTCAGGGCAAAGACTGGATTCTATTCAAAGAATGCCCTAGTACAGAGACTTGTAAATAGTAGGTGATCAAAACAAAGATGTTGAAACTAAATTTGATCACACAAGAAAGCCAGTTATCACCATCTCCACCATCACTGTCATAGACCTATGTCTTTTCTCAAATGTTTTGGTAGTAATAGCTAACACTTATTAAGCTAACTTTATGGACTTTCTGCATGCGAGGCACTATTCCAAGCACTTAACCTATATCAACTGGTGTAATTCATGTAATTAGCTCAAGGCATCTTGCAATCAAGTCATTTTTCCCCCTTAAACAACTGCTGTAAGCTCAGAGCAGCCCCAACCATTTCCAGCAGGTAGGCAAAAATGAAGAGACCAGATGAGGAAAAGACAGAAGTCATAGCCGGACAGAGAACTACATCCCTGCTCTGTGAGTCAGAAAACCCTAACCTCTGCAGTGCTGGCTCTGCAGCCCTTAATATAGTCCCTCAACACCGTTTGAAATGATCATGCTGTTCTTGTGATGGTGAATACATCTCATGAGAGCCAATGATTTTATAAAGGGGAGTTCCCCTGTACATTCCCTGTCTTGCCTGCTGCCATGTAAGATTTGCTGTTGCTTCTTTGCCTTCCACCACGATTTTGAGGCCTCCCCAGCCATGTGGAATTGTAAGTCCATAAAACCTCTTTCCTTTGTAAATTACCCAGTCTTAGGTATGTCCTTATTAGCATAGTGAGAACAGACTAATACAAATGCTTTTGGACACCCATGGTTTAGGGAGCATTCCGTTGGTGGGGATCAGAGGTGCTATATACCTTGCAATGGGCAGACAATCCTGTATGATGAAGAATTGTCCTGCCTCAAGTGAATTTTCTAAAGTCAAGACTATTTCAATTTGAGAAGCTAGGCATTCTGGTAAGTGAAGAACTTGTTTTTGATAATCCAAGCGTAGATCCTTACTTGGTTTAACATATAAACAGCAAGTCGTTTTGCATGATTGTAACATGCACTGAATTTTCCAGATGAAAATTCCCACGTAAATTGAAAGAATACAGAATTTAGTTTTGTTCAGAACTTTTCCAAAGATTATTTGTCATTTTGTAATTTACATCATTGATGCTTCTTGTGGTATCTGAGTCACAAATGTAACACATCTGTTTCAATTTTTGTTTGTAACTAGTATTCACAGTGATTTATGAACTTGTTTATATATAAACACAAATATTCATATCTACACATATCTATGCATCTACATACATGCATAAATACACACATATATGTATATTACCCTTATTTTAAGCATGTAAAAAATTTAGAGTGATACTAGTTGAATATTATCTTAATTTCAAACTTTACAAATTTTAAGTATATATAAGCATTTGACTACTTTATTATTCTCTTTAGTGTAGTTGTACCTACATATATACATATTGAAACACATATTATTTGATTATAGATCACCTTACTCTTCACTGTCTTTGTAGTACACTTAAAGCATTATATGGGTGTTTTCGAAATTATGCTTGTAGATAAACTATTTTATCTATGAAGGAAATTTCAGAATAGTGAAAGGGCCAACACAAAATATATACTCTCTAGAGGGAGAGCTGGGACTGAGAATGTTGAGAACTACTACACTAAAGAAATGTGAGTAACTGCTATTTGTCCTTGGTTTTGCACAGGAGATTGACTGAAAATTAGTCAGGGAGAGATGGCTCTTTGCTCTTTATGATGTCAAGGCCATTATATTAAGCATCTCCCTACTTCCTTCTTTTGTCCTCTAGTGTGTGTCCATTAGTTATGGTTTGCTAGGGTAATCTATGGACAGATCATAGACAGTTTTCTGAAAGATACGTCAGCAATGGACATGAGAGCTACTCCTAAAAACAATGACCATTGGTACAACTGGACACTTAATTTGATATCCACATGTGCATTTGTGCCTGAGGGCTTAATGACAATGCCGCAGTGTCTTTCCTCAGCATCTCTGCTAAGTGCCAATTACAGCATTTATTTCTAATGTGGTTATATCCTGGGTTGTGTTTAAAATATTATTCTACTTTTAACCACTTACTGAGAAAGCTTTTTCCCTCAAATGTGTCAAAAACTATGTTGAAATGTGTCTGAACATTTGAGGAGAGCAGAGAGGATTTAAGCAAAAGTTGAGAACAAGACTCATTTCCCCAACCTTACCCCATGGATGAGGCACTTCTACAAACAATAACTTGTTCACTGTTAACAGTCACTTTATGAGCTGTGTAGCATCACCTCTATTTACACTTGAGGAAACAGAAATAAAAAGTAAAAGCACTTTTAGAGCTCACAGATATATGCAAAATTTGGGAATTGAACCCACATCATCTGATTCCAAAGTCAATGCTCTCTGCAATATATTCCCCCACTTTCTGTCCCCAGTCTATACAAATCTGTTTGTTTATCCAAATAGTCTTTGAGACCCTGTTGTTGGCAGGACACTGCAAAGGATATGACTTTGACTTTGCCTTTTGAGAAGCTCACAGAATGATAGTGTAGGCTGACAAATAATAAGAGAATATTAGGAACAAGAGTACCACAGAGCCACAAAGGAATTTGTAGTGGGCTGTCAGCAAAGATGGTCACTATCAATTTATTCTTCCCTATCTGGGCATGGCACACCTTCCATCAAGATGTCATATCCATTTCCCCTCTCTTTGAATCTAGGCTGCCCATGTGACTTGTTTTGGCCCATAGGATGGCATGGAAGTGCCATCATGTCAGTTCAGTACCTAGTTCTTAAGAGACCTAAGAACTTCCAGTTTTACTCTGTTGGAGCCTTGAGCTACTCTGAAAAGAAGTTGAACTACCCTTCTAGAAAGTGAGACTTTGCCATCCTCCAAAGATCCCAGCCTCTCCAGCTGAGGCACCAGACATGGGATCAAGATATCTTGGATCCTCCAACCCCAGTGGAGTCACCCCCACCTATTACCTCGCAGAGCAGAGATAAGCCAACCCTGCTGAGCCCTGCTTAAATTCCTGTCACACAGACTAATGAGCAAGAAAATGTTTTTCCTTTAAGCCATCAACTTGGGGATGGCTATTGTATGATAATAAACATCAGAGATTTTTAAAAACACCATGGGAATACCTGTAGGAAAGAGAGACTTTTTGGAGTAATCTGAGAGATATTAAAAAAATAATTAGAATTTGAGTTGAACCTTAAAGACATGAGTGGGCCCTGAGCAAAAAGTTTCCATAATGCCGCCTCTACCCCTACTGAGAGCACCTGTCCTATCTTAGAAGCAAAACACAACAGATGATAAGTTACCAAAATATGAGAAAAAGGCTCAATGACCAGAATTGTTGCCTTTGAGATGAGGTAGAATGCCTTCATTCTGCAGCACTCTGAAAGAGACCGCTGAGGAGCAAACATCTTTATTCCATCTCCATGTTCTTTTTTAATTAATTAATTAATTAATGTATTTATTTGAGATGGAGTCTCACTTTGTTGACCAGGCTGGAGTGCAATGGCACCATCTCGGCTCACTGCAACCTCTGCCTCCCAGGTTCCAGTGATTCTCCCACCTCTAATGTTGTCCTAATATTATTAATTATCAGAAAGATAGGACTTATCAAAAGCATTTTCAACTGTGTGCAGTGTGCAGTTTCCCAGCCTCCCAAGTAGCTGGGACTACAGGTGCACACCACCACACCCAGCTAATTTTTGTATCTTTTTAGTAGAGATGGGGTTTACCATGTTGACCAGGCTGGTCTTGAACTCCTGACCTCGGGTGATCCGCTTGCCTCAGCCTCCCAAAGTGCTGGGATTACAGGCCAGGCATGAGCCATCACACCCGGCCCTCCATCTCCATATTCTAAGAAGTGCCTGCCATTCTTCACTCCCCAGCTCAATGTTCATTTGCGGGATTTCCTCTACATTGAAGTCTGTCCCCTATTTTTCTTCAAAGTTCTCCCTCAATCTTACCAAATTCCTGTATTTGTAGCCATAAAAATCTGCTAAGATTTTCCCTCTAGTTTCTTAATTTTTATGACTTCTAAAGGAAGCACTTCCCTTTGCCTTTTTCCTAGTAGGTACTCTTAAAATGGGTGTGGAATTATATGGCACCCAGCATGCAAATTAATGTGTTACAAAGAAAAAAATTTTTTTTTCTGCAAAGGCAGCAATAAAAGCCAATGACTTTTGCTAAATTTCTTCTCACAATTTCTAATGAGTCAACGTGTGCTGAGAAGAAGAAATTAGTCAGAGAAGAATGTATCCTATTATACAGTTCCACTTTTGCAAGGATGAGTCAGACATTCCCATGTTGTGGTGTTCTGGCACCTGGCTAAGATGAGTAGGGTTGGGGTGAAAGAGAACCTCTTTCTTGAAAACTTAAAAAAGGAAACACTAGCAGAGAATCTTTCAAACAGAGTCCAATTGAGAAAAAAACAAATTATGGCCAGACTGGCTTTATTGCTAGGGGAAAATGTATGACATTGTTTTACCCTACCCAGTAAATTATCTCAACTTCTAATGGGTCTGGGCAAAGCTACTGCCCCACTATACCAGGCAAACAGAAGCAAGAAGCATTCAGCATGAAGCTCTCACAGCAGACCAGACCAGATAAACAATTGTTTTTTCCAGTTTATTCCCCACATGCTTTGTCTGAGAAACTCCTGTGCAAAGCACTTAACTGGAGTAAGAGACCCCAAAATGAGCAGAGCTCAGCTTTCCATCTAAGGGATTGATAGGTCACTGTAGGAGACAAACATACAGATAATACAATAATGGGAATGAGGGTGGGGTGGGAGGTGGCATGAATTCATGGAATGCAGTCTGAGGATTGAATTTGCCAGCCTCAAAATACTTTCAAATTGGAATGAGACATGTTTTGTTGGAGATGCCTTTAGAATGTAACTTGAGGGCCAGAAAAAAGAATGGAAGCTACCTTATATTTGGACACCTACATCTATACCAAGCATATTTCCAGAATCAAAAATGGGAACCCATTATCTAACATATTATGACTAGAAGAGAAAATCTTTGAAGTATGAGACTGACAGAGGGTTGCAGTAGCCCCAGCACAATGAGGCTGGAAAGCATGTGCACTACAAGGCTAAGTTAAGGACCCTTGCCAATCTGTGTGCCACTGCACATGGTTGAAAATGCTTTTGATAAGTCCTACCTCTCTGATAATTAATAACATTAGGGCAAGAATGACAATGTATTTGAATGGTGCTTTTCTTTTTCAAAATCTCAATTATTTTTTCAAAAAATTGTATTAGGAACTAGAAGGAGAACATATGGGAGGGCACAGAAGTGGTAAGCAATTATTTTTAAGTTGGATCTATTCAAACCTCACTTCGGCAAGGACCCAACCAGTAAATATCACTGTGGGAACGCTAACATGGAAACTGGTTTCATCTTTGTTTATTTTGTATTTAATAAACATTTATGGGGAAGCTGTGTGCAGGGTATTGTGCCTCCTACAGACCTGCTCATCCATCTGCCTGGTCAACCTTTCCGCAGAGATAGATTGCCAGGGCTGCAAATTCAGCAAACGAAACTCATTTGGCCCCCAAACCTGTTCCTCCGCCTGTGTTTCTTATCTCAGAAAATTACATCATCATCCTCCCTAATATTCTGGCCTTCACCCTTGAAATCATCTTAAGCCTTCTTGTCCTTTCTCATGGCTCCCCACGTATCACATCAATTGTCAAATCTGATCATATTGGCTACTCATCCCCTTCTTTTCATTTAATTTTTCTAGTAACTTATTGTGCCATCTGTTTAATCAGCTCTTAAATGATCTCCCCATTGTAAAGGGGCAACTCTTGTTTGGCAGCCCATCTTCTAAGTATTTACACTCTGGTAAACCAGTAGCAGTTTAGCTGTTTGGAAGAGAAACTCTTTCTTTTCTCAAGGATTCAAAGATGAGAGGATGGAAGATCTAGAGTTAATACAGGAGTCTTACAACTGGAGAGCCATGTCTGAATATGGTGCCAGCACAGACAAAGTACACTTGATCCTAATCCCCTAGTACAAACTCACATATAGTAGGACACCTTTTTTCTTTTCCCCTTCCAAGCTACTATATATATGATGGCTTACTACTCTGTCATAAAGTTCTAGGCTACACCTCTGATTAAAACCTCTAGCGAGGCTGGGCGCAATAGCTTGCGCCTGTAATCCCAGCACTTTGGGAGGCCAAGGTGAGTGGATCACCTGAGGTCAGGAGTTCGAGATCAGCCCAGCCAAATTGGTGAAACCCCATCTCTACTAAAAATAAAAAAATTAACTGGGCGTGGTAGCGCACCCCTGTAGTCCCAGCTCCTCGGGGAACTGAGGCATGAGAATGTCTTGAACCCGGGAGGCAGAGGTTGCAGTGAGCTGAGATGGTGCCACTGCACTCCAGCCTGGGGAACAGAGTGAGACTCCTTCAAAAACAAACAAAAAACAACAAAAATAACAACAACAAAATCACCTCTAGCAACTCCCTATCAGGTAAAGAATAACTTACAAACTAACATTACACAGACTCCCTTTACAATCTAACCTTAGTCTAATTTTCTTCCACCTTCTAATTTTTTATTTATTTTTTTCTTTTAAGACAGTGTCTTGCTATGTTGCCCAGGATGGACTTGAACTCCTGGGCTCAAGGGATCCTCCTGCCTCTGCCTGTGAAGTAGCTGGGACTATAAGCATGTGCTATGGTGCCTCGCTTCTAACTTTTAAAAAAGATAGGCTCTTTACTATCATGCCTCTGTAATTTTTTCCTCAGGCTTTTACTGCTTTTTAGAATGTTCTTTCCCCCATATTTCTATTTGCTGAATTCCTATTCAAACTGTGAAGACCATCTCAATTGCTATTACTAATATAAAGTCTTCTTTGTTCCAACTCCATGTTCCCAAGCTTGACTAATAATTTCCTCTTCCATGTATATAAAATCATTATAGCACTACGTTGAGTTTGTTGGTACTTGTTTGAATGCCTTCCTCTCCCCCTAAATTATGAGTCTCCTGAGGGGCAAACTACATCTCTTATCAACTTCATACTCCATAGTTGTTCAATATTTGTTAATTAATTAACAAATTAATGAGGTTGTACATTGTACAACCTCAAGTATTGGTGAGGTTATACAATGATGGGAATATACATTTGCTGCTGGTGGTAGTGTTAATTGGAACACCTGCTTTGGAAAACACTGGCATCACATGGTAAGGTTAAATATATACAAAACTTATGATCCATTGATTCCATTCTCGGCCATAGATGCCCTAGATGGGCATCAAGATAAAATGTACAAGACTGTTCACACCAGCATTGTTTATAACAGCCTAAATACCCCAGGTAACATTCAGTAGTAGAATAGATGAACAGATTGTGTTAGACCCATTCAATAGAATACTACTTAGCAATGAAAATTAATGAACTATGGGTTTACCCAACCACACAGATAAAATTCACAAATAAAAGGCTGAGTGAAAGAAGCCAGACACGAATACATAGTGCCAGGCCTCTGAGCCCAAGCTAAGCCCGATGGCATTCCACCACAAAAGAAATTAAAATGGCCTGTTCCTGCCTTAACTGATGACATTATCTTGTGAAATTCCTTCTCCTGGCTCATCCTGGCTCAACAGCTCCCCCACTGAGCACCTTGTGACCCCCACTCCTGCTCGACAGAGAACAACCCCCCGCTTTGACTGTAATTTTCCTGTACCTACCCAAATCCTATAAAATGACCCCACTCCCTTCGCTGACTCTCTTTTCGGACTCAGCCCGCCTGCACCCAGGTGATTAAAAGCTTTATTGCTCACACAAAGCCTGTTTGGTTGTCGCTTCACATGGACACGCATGAAACATAGTGTCTGATTTCATTCCAAAACTGGTAAAATTAAATCATACTGTTTGTGGATTCATATTTGGATGATAAAGTTAAAAGTTAGCAAGAGAGTGATTACTACACGTCAGACTAATGGTTACCCTGGGGAAGGAGGAAATTGCAGACTGGAAAGGGTATAACATGAACCTCTGGGGGCTGGCAAAGGATTATTTCTTGACTGGGATAGTGGTTATATGTGTGTTTGCTTTAAAATATTTGGTTAAACTTAAAAAAAATTTTTTTTTGAGACACAGTCTCACTGTCGCTCAGGTTGAGTGCAGTGGCGTGATCATGGCAGCCTTGACCTCCCCAGACTCAGGTGATCCTCCCACCTCACCCTCCCCAGTGGCTGGGACCACAGGAGTACGCCATCACGCTTGGCTAATTTTTGCATTTTTTTGTAGACATGGAGTTTCATCATGTTGCCCAGGCCGGTCTCAAACTCCTGGGCTCAAGTGCTCCACCCACCTTGGCCTACCAAAGTGTTGGGATTATAGGCATGAGCCACTGTGCCTAGCCAGGTTAAACTTTAAATATAGCACTTCTCTGCATGTCAGTGAATGTTCACTATGAATAATGATTTTTTTTAAAAGACCCAGAGAGAGAGAAAAAGAGAGAGGGAAAGAGAGAGAGAATGAAAAGAGAGGAATTGGGGGCAACATTAAGTATATTCTGTCCTCTTGTCTTTGGGTCACACTCAAGATACAACATCCCAGGAGACAGCATCCTACTGGGTGAGACTACTCCATGTGCCTATAATTGTACCAGTGCAGAGAGAGGGAGCATATTAGCCATAGTTTGGGGCCTCCCGAGGCAGGTCAAGTAAAAGGAAGGGGGATCTGGATGCCAGAAGGGCCCAAGCAACAATATCCTATAGAAGTTCTAGAACCTTCAGGGTTTTTTCACCTGTTAAATGAAGGGTAACATTCATGTCCTCATTGTCTCATCTTAGTGAGACAGAAGACCTAAAATTTCTCTGAAAATCAGAAAACTCTGCATAAAACATGGAAGGCTTCATTCATAATAGTAACCCAGAGAGGCCAGCCAAAGATGTGCTACGTTATATTTTATGGTAAGCCCATGAGAGAGCTAACCCCATTTCTAGAAACAAGGGCATGTTGTGGCCAAGTTGGAAGAACACACTGACTGGAAAATAACTGTGAAAACAAGCAAGGAATTTCAAAAAGCTCACTTCATTCTTTCAGTCCCTCCTTAGCACAGAACAATGAAGCCACAGGCTGGTGAGTTTTGGCAACTTTGCCACAGGCCAAACCACAGGAGCACATTGCCTTATGGTGGTGGTTGTTTTGAAAGTTGGAACCAGTTCTAATATTCATTTCAAAGAGATTTTAGGGCTTTTGCTTGTTTTGCTCTTTCTTTCAACAAGAAAATCAGAGAACAACAAAATTCCACAAATTCTTTCATATAAATTATTTACCAGCTTCTTATGCTGGTAAATATAAATTAACCTTTCTTATGCTACAATCATCTAGTACAAATGCACTTCCTAGAAGCAAAAGAGAAAGAAATTGAATTCCTGTAGTCACAACTTTGTTATAGGCATGTTCCTGTAGATGGGGGGAGAGTGTAAGCTTCTCTTTCCATGTGTTCTATTAAAAGGCAAAGGATAACATTGATTCGGTAGCCCTCAAATGAGATCAAGATTTGTTTGTAACATTTAAGAAGTTCTTACTTGCTTCAAATTTTCTTTATTTCCACTTCACTCTTTTTGTTCTCTTGTCTTGGGTAAATTACTCAACCTGGCAGTATGAAAGAATTAGCACCAAGACAAGGTCACTACTCCATTTAGAATAAATGCAATGAGGAAAAATATAAAAAGTTGGCAGTTTATGAGGCTTATGTTTTTCAGATTGTATCACAGCACACATGTTACAATTTTCCAACAAATATTATTTCCCATTGTGCAAACAGATGCAGTATAAGCATGGAATAATATAACAACCTTTAAATGATGACAAGTATTAGGTTGGCACAAAAGTAATTGTGGTTTTTGTCTTCCTTTCAATGGCAAAAACCACAATTACTTTTGCACTGACCTAATATTATAGGAAAAATATAGATGTGTTGCAGTGCTGTGGGTTAGTTAGCTTTTAAATTTTTTAAAACAATTGTTTGCTAGTATTATAAAATATATGCACATTGAGGAATCTGAAAAAAAAAAAAAACAACACAGTAAAAGAGAAAAGTACATATGAGAATAAAAAATCACTCCTAATCCTAGTACCCAGATAACCACTTAATATTATCGTATACTTTGCCTCCATAATATTTATTATTTTCTATTTTGAATTATGGTCATTTGTCTTAACATATTTTATTAAAAGTTTCAAAATATGCCTAAATAAAGCATGTTAAATTTGGACACATTAACTCATTCCATTATAAAACTCATAGTTCTAAAAATAAAGTCTCCAGTCTAGTTTATTTCAATAACAAATCAATGAGACTATACTCCTCCTCCTCCTCAATTTCTCATTGTACTCAGTCTCAGCTAGTGAGTTCTCCTTTTTGGCCCAGTAGGATCAGATCTTCGTCAGACACTATCCTGGTATGTCTCTGTCTTTCGCTGGAAAAGGCAAAGCTCTCCAATACCTCCCAATTTTCAAGCCCTCTGGATTCATGTGTTCAGAAAATGAAGGCCAGTCCCCAGTCATTCCAGCAATTAACCAAAACAAACAGCCTCCCACACCAGCATCCCTGTTGTCAGTCTGGATTCTAGCAGACACTTCATGCCATCTGGGGAAACGAAGGTAGAGCAGTTGCAATTATTTCCCCCCATTATACTGTGTGCCTTTTAATCTGGTTAATATTATTGGTGGAAGCAGAGAGTTTTTGTTTGTTTGTTTTTAAGGTATATATAAGTAAATCTATAGATATTTTCCTCTGTAATTTATTCATTGCTTAAGGTTTTTCTTATTTAATGTTTGCACAAGTTAGAAAATGCATGTCAGAGGTGTTGCTAGCCATAACCCAGCCCAGTTCTTTCCAACTACTCAATCTGGCATGCTCATCACCACCAATGTAGGAATCCAGTCTTCCCAAGCCCTCACACACAATTTCTGAGCTGAAAAATATCTTGGATATTGTAGACAGGGGGTGTCATATCAAGTAGTGGGTCAGGAACAGGCAAAACTCCCGATGGTCAGATAACTGGGGAGGATCAGAGCGGCCAGCTTCCCACCCAGAGAATCTGCTGGCATGAGGCTCCATGTTTAGGTAACAGGGGATGCCACTCTATGGGTCTGGGCACTTGTTTGGGAAATAGTGGGCTCTCCTAGGCATTTGAATAGTGTCCCTGCGAGTGGCCGTTCTCCAGGTCCACTTGGCTTCCCCCATTTTTGGGGCTGCCTACTCCCAGAGTCATGGGAATCTGTCAAGGACTTTCCTGCTTGCTCCTTCTTACCGGGTCCCTCATTTCCCAATTCTCATCTCACATTCGGAGCATTATTCACTATGCTCATTATTCACTATGCTCATATGCCGATTATTTCACTATGATTGAAGCAGAATCACCTGCAACAAGAAAACCCTAGGGCTTCATCTTTATCCTCCTTTGCGGGAAGGCATTTGTAAGCCAGCCTCTGGGCTGTGCTGTTCCTGCCTCTCAATTTTTGCCTTTGAATGTTACAAATAAGAAAAAAGAAGAAAAACAAAGTAGGGTTTTCTTTTTCACATTAAAATACGTTTTAATTTTTTTGTTGTTTTGTTTTTTGTTTTTGTTTCGAGACGGAGCCTTGCTCTTTGCCCAGGCTGGAGTGCAGTGACGCGATCTCGGCTCACTGCAACTTCTGCCTCCCGGGTTTAAGCGATTCTTCTGCCTCAGCTTCCAGAGTAGCTGGGATTACAGACATGCACCACGATGATCAGCTAACTTTTGTATTTTTAGTAGAGATGGGGTTTCACCATGTTGTCCAGGCTGGTCTCAAACTCCTGACCTCAGATGATCCACCTGCCTCAACCTCCCAAGGTGCTGGGATTACAGGCGTGAGAGACTGTGTCCAGCCTAAAATAATTTTTTTTTTTTAAAAAAGAAAGAAAACTCACCTATACAGTGGAGCTGCATATATGTAGGATTTGTTTCTAAAGTCAACTCACAAAATATTTTAAATCTATTAAACATTGAACACACCAGAATTTGAAATTCATTTTGCAGAATAAACGAAGGAATTTAAGAATAACCCATATGCAGTTGTCTAGTCGTTCCAACTATTCTGCCTTTAAAATAACAATGAAATCTCTAGCAGTAAATTGAGGAAGGGGTAGAAAATTCTACAGTGTTTTCTGCTTCCCTTCAGAGTTCATTCTTCTCTATTTTCATACTAAACCAAAACCTCAGTCCATGTTAAGAGATGTGTTTGTTGCTCCAAAAATTAAATGCGATAGTGGAGTGGTCATTTACCGGGAGTTAAATTATCAAATAAACAAGTAAACAAAATATATATGTCTCAATAGATAGATAGATATAGTCTACTGTAATTCTACTAACAGAATATAACCACTGTTAATATACTGATGTTTCTCTTCTACATTTTTAAACATACATGCACATATCTATGTCTACACCTAGAAATACACACACACATTGTATATATTGCAATGAACCTCTTGTAGCTAAATACTTTCACACTTCTGAATTAGTTTTCAGATTCTTTGTATTTGTAATATGTATGATCTCTTTGGACAAACCAACACATTAATTTTTTTGTGATAAAACTTAAAAAATTTTTAATTTATGGCATTTTATTTTGTGCACTGTTTTAAAAAATACTTTTTGAGCTCCAAAATAAATATTAACCTGTGCTCTTTTATTAATTTATTGTATCATGTGTTTTTAAAAATCCATAGCCCTGCTAAGATATTGTGATGTAAGGTATGTGATAGGGAACCAAACATTCCCCCCCAAAATGTTAGATGGTTTTGTCATACTAATCTGTTTTTTCTCCATTATTTGAAATGCTTCTTACATTATAAATTAAATTCTTATTCTATTCTTAGAGATTTGTGACATTCCAGTTATCTGTTGATTCCTGCACCAGGATCATATTGCTTCAACTGTTAGGGTTTTGAAAAATATTTTCTTATCTAGAAACTCTAGTATTTCCCATGTAAATATTTTTCCCTAGTTGTAAGCATCTTAACAACAGAAACTGTGTCATTTAAATATTATATTTATTGAGCTGTACATGCGCCTGACACAATATTAGCCAATAAAAATACGTTTATATGTGTAGCATTTTGGTTTTCAAAGCTTTCTTTTTTTGGTTTTTCTTTTTTTCTTTTTTTTTTTGTTTTTTGAGATGGAGTCTCACTCTGTCCCCCCAGGCTGGAGTGCAGTGGCACAGTCTCGGCTCACTGCAACCTCCACTCCTGGGTTCACGCCGTTCTCCTGCCTCAGCCTCCCGAGTAGCTGGGACTACAGGCTCCCGCCACCACGCCCGGCTAATTTTTTTTTTTTTTTTTTTTTTTTTTTTAGTAGAGACAGGGTTTCACCGTGTTAACCAGGATGGTCTCGATCTCCTGACCTAGTGATCTGCCTGCCTCGGCCTCCCAAAGTGCTGGGATTACAGGCGTGAGCCATTGCGCCCAGCCCTAAAGCTTTCTTTATGTACTTTTTTAAATGAGTTCTTCACATCCCAATTCCATTACCAGTGTAATACAGGTTAGACTAACTGGTGAAAAGCTCCTTTATGCCTCAAATACCAATACATAGTAGGTCCTCAGAGAATTCTCATTGGTTGGTTCACATTGCCTTTTGTCCTAAAGTAGGACAAGCTGAAAAACAATGAGAACCACTATTTATAGCCAGTGATTGAACATTTTGATGAAGGGAAGTGTAAAATAAAGTTCCACTTTAAGCCTTCATAAAATTTGAAACTTCCTAATTAAGACAGCTAGGTCTATTATCTTGGACTATGACTGCCTGAACAAATGCACACTGAGTATGTTGTCTATGAAGTAACACCAAAGTAATGTGGTGAGTGTATTAGCTTCCTATAGCCACTGTAACAAATTAGTGATGACCACCAATTGTGGCTTAAAACAACACATACTTATTCTCTTACAGCTCTGGAGATCAGAAGCCCAGGGCCATGCACACTGCTGAAGCTCTAATCCATTTCCTTCTCTTCCTTCCGTTCTCTAGAGCCACATTCTTTGCATTTCTTAGCACCTGGCCTCTTCGTCCATCCTCAAAGCCAGCGGTGTAGTATCTTGCTTCCATCATCACATTGGCTTCTTCTTTTATAGTCAAATCTCCTTCTGCTTCCCTCTTGTAAAAACACTTGTGATTTCATTAAGAGCCCACCTCAGATAATCTAGCATAATCTCCTTATCTCAACAATCTTTAATTTACATCTGCAAAGTCCTTTTTGCCTATAAGGTAACATTCATGTTTTCCAGAGTTTGGAACCTGGATACCTTGAGGGGCCATTATTCAGCCTACCACAGTGAATAATCCCAAACCCTCGGAGCCATGGTTTCAATTAATGAGCCAGGAGAATGTGTTTCTCTCCCATGGAGGCATCTCCATCTAGGGAGATGTTGCTTCTTCATTCACTCATAGAATAGGGTATGAGCAGGTGCTGAGGTTACAAAAATTGATATACTCTCTGCCTTCAAGTGGCTCCACAGTTTTTGCTCTTGTTATTTAAAAGTAAACTATATATCAGAGGCAGTGGAATCCGTTGGTGTGTTATTTATACAGATATTCCAAGTCTTTCAGCCTTGAAGACTTTTTCTTTCCTATTATTCTTATCCATCTAAGCCCTGCTTTCTTAATCCATTCTAGTTGTTGGAGAATAATAACACACAAACATACATATATACACACACACACCCTTAACCAAATAAATACGCACATAAAATATTTATTAACAAGGGCTATTTTTTAAGTATGGTAAAGGAAATGGAAAGTGGCAGAGCAGAGATATTGGTACTATTTCATATAGGGTGGTCAGAGAAGGCCTCACTGATCAGATTGCATTTCAACAGGCCAGGCCAGGTGCAGTGGCACACATCTGTAATTCCAGCACTTTGGGAGGCCAAGGTGGGCAGATCACTTCAGGTCAGGAGTTTGAGACCAGCCTGGCCAACATGTTGAAACCCCATCTCTACTAAAAATACAAAAATTATCCAGACATGGTGGTGGGTGCCTGTAATCCCAGCTACTTGGGAGGTTGAGGCATGAGAATCACTTGAACCCAGTAGGCGGAAGTTGCAGTGAGCCAAGATCATGCCACTGCACTCCAGCCTGGGCAACAGAGTGAGAATATGTCTCAGAAAAAAAAAAAAAAAAAAAGATTGCACTGCATTTCAACAAAGGCCAGAAGGACAAAGGAGCAAGTCAGATGGCCGGCTAAAGAAGGAGTATTCTAGGCCAGGGAATTAGCTTATGCAAAGGCCCTGGTGCTTCAATGTGTTCCTGTGTTTAAGGAATAGTATAGAAGTCAACGTAGCTTCACCCTTCCAAATATCCAACAACAATTCTTTCTTCCAGGTTCTCTTCCTCTCCCTTCATGTTCCAGTCACTTAAGTCATTTATATGTGAAAGGGACCAGGATATCATACCCCCAAATATGCAACTTTGGCATATTGATTATTTTTACTCAAGACAGTTAGAATAAACACATAAAGGAAAAGTTTTCTGCCTGGAAGCAAGGCCTAAGTTTCCCTTTTTGAAGGTAGCATGAATACTCCTGCTTTTTCTGTACCACAATGAGGAGAGCGACCCTCATCCCCAGAGGTGGAGAGTCAGCACTGAGTAGAGTGTCCATAAACAGATCTTCCTAAAATAACCCTTACCTTTCATTAGTTCTCGCAATATATTTCCTAGTCACTTTCCCACAATTTATTGGCCCTAGAAACCCAACCCCCTTTTCCTTTGTCTAGTTACTTTTCCACAATTTATCACCCTTTGTAAAAATGGTATACAAGCCCCTAAGTCTAACCACTTCTTTGGATTTTTACTTCTGTTTTGTGAAGCCCCTGTTTATGCAAACATATTAACATCGATAAAGAGTGTAGGCCTTTTCTTCTATTATTCTGTCTTTTGTCAGTTTAATTCACAGACCCTAGGAACTGAACCTAAGAGAGTAACAGAAAAGCATTTTTCTCCTCTACACATGCCATTGTTATTACTTTTTGAGTTATTTACTATTAATTACCTGTTGTTTATAAAGTTACATTATAACCACAGCAACAAATTTAATTCCCTTCAACAAATGGGTGAACTGAAGCAGGAAGAGGTTAAAGCAAGGCTGAGCTGAGATTTGAATTTAGGTAGCTTGCTTCTAGAGCCTGTCCACACTACATCTTTGCCTGTCATTTCCACTGTTATCCGAGCTTTTGTCTTTCCCTAGCATGTTCTCCTCTACCCATAGGACTATCCTTAAGATGCAGTTTGTGTTGTTCCTCTAAATTACTCTCTTGAGATTTTCTCCTGACTCCCACCTCTGCTTTCTCTGCAGCCTCATGGCATTCAGTTTTGTTCATTATATTTAGGCGGCTGTTTGTCTTTTAGGTCCATGTGTGATAGTCTTATCACCCCATACTTTCCCTAACACTAGGGCCATGTCTCATATTTCCACTAGCATCCAAGGGGCAGGCACACAAACTGCTCGGGAAATAATTGTGGACTAATTATGACTTTTCTTCAATTCAAAGATACACTCTTTTTTACATTTAACACTCTGAAATCAGTCATTCAATTGATGGTGCATCAGAATTAATTGGCAGGTTTTTTTTTTTCTTTTTTAGCAGCCTCATAGATTAGATAAAATATAGTAATTAACAATCTTGATCCTGAACCTTCATTTGGTGACTTGGTGTTATGAGAGTTTATTCAGCATAGTGGAGTGGGGAGGAAGTTATCTTGCTCTTTCCTGACCATGCTGGTCCTGTAGCAGAAAGCAGTACTACTCAACATACACTCAGTAAAATTCCATTTATTAGATTATTTCTTTCACTTCTGAAATAAAGGAAGAAAAATCACTTATAGAAACTGATGGCGAGAAACTCAGGACTTTGTTAAATATTCAAGACCTACATTACAGACTGTAAAAAGAGGAGCCCACTGCCCAATGGAGAATGTTTTTGAAGTCCACAGATAATATCGTCTACAATTTATTTTCTCTGCTGAAAAAAGAAACTCATGCAGGAAACATTTTGAAACCAAGTAAATAAAACAGAGATGCCCGCAATTTCCTGCAAGTCTGACTAAAAATAGGAAACTCTGCAATCATGAAAGTCGCTCATCTGGCAGCTGCAAGTCCATACCTTGGGAAGCTGAAATCACTGGCAGCTGCAGAAAGCGGCATGTGACAGGTGTTCATCCATGCCCTTTTGGGGGAAAAAGGCTACATTTCAGGGGCATATATGAACAAACATATAAGTGGCTTCTTAATAATAAAAGTTAGATGTCAAAAATTCTTTACTTTCTCTCCTTCTCATTTCCATCCCCACCCTAGTCTTCCAGTTCTGCCCAATCCATGCTCTCCAAAGTAAATTCTAATTCCTCGCACCCAGGAGATAGACTGAAATTCTCCCAAAAAAGGCGGCTGCAAATAAACATCAGAGTTTTACTCTCCTCTTTTTTCCACCCCAAAAAATATCACAAACCAGTGCAGATGTTAGCTCTGATGCAAATATTTATGGCTGTCTTTTTTTTTCTCCCCTCCTGAATTACGGGTACATGAATTGGATCTTCAAAGCAATGTACAGGGTTTAAGCTGAGCAGTTCTCATCCAAGTCTATGGGAGGTACACAGCAAGAACCCTGTAATATCTCAGAGGTTTTATTCCTTTTTAAATTCTTTTATAAGAAGACTTTGCTAAGGGATTTACAAGAACTAAAGATTATTTAGTGATAATGGATGAGAAATGTTGCTGGAAGTGTAAAAGGCAGTTACATTCTCACCAAAAGAATTTCTTATAAATAATGTCATTATGGCACAAAGGATACCAAATGAATTTAATCATTAGCTTCTAATTGAAGAGCTCTGCCAAATTTGCTTCTCCTTGCTACTTTAGCTATTTTCTGTTCCGCGGGACTCTGTCAAATGTAAACAAAGGGTAGGTGAAGGAGCATGATTAATCGCAAAGCTTGTGAGACAAGCCTGGGCTGGTGAATTGGTGGTGGGAACTGGATATTGCATCCTTTATTTTCCTCTTGCCCCGACATTTGCCCCATTAACTCCCAGAGGGGCCTCTAATCAATGGATTTTGGCCAGTGAAGTCAAATGAGGGCTTATAGAGGGTTGCCAGGGCAGGATTCTCTCAAACAAAGCAAGGGCTAAATAATGTTTCCAGATTAAAACACAGCACTATCTTTGAATGAATGTTTTCACTGAAAAAAAAATAAAAGTAACTTAATTATATATCACATTTTTAAGGCAAGGTCTTTATAGCCAAATAAATGTTTCTAGGAATTCTTAAAGAGGGCATGTATGTACACAGCTTTATATATAAATCCTCATAAAATCTCAATTACTCAGAAAGTTTGTGGCCCAAATCAACTGAATTGGATAATTAATTAAACATTAACCCCAAATTTTCTCATTTAAACCACTATCACTGAATAGTTTTTATAAATGCATTAACCATCTGTCATGTCTTACTCAGCATAGTAGTAGAACGACCACACTTGAATTCTTTCTTTTGATCACTGGGAATCCTCTAGTTAGTTAGGTTTATCTTTTTGAACATCAGGTTCAAAAGATCTATTTCTAAGAGAGAGATCTAGAAGGTAAACTGATCCCAAGAAATACTAGGGAAATTGTTTAAAGTTCCTCGATATGAGTTCTTAAAATTTTGCTCCCTCTCCTAAAGGAGGGAAATTCCTGTTAGTTGAAGTTAAAACTGATGTTGAATGCTTAAAATTCCACTCTCTTCCACTCACCTAATTCTTATCCACCCAAAACTATAGTAGAAAATTTTACTTCAGGAAATTAGAATAGACTGAATTCCCATAATCATGAAAATGTGGCTGGGCCCGGTAGTGCATGGCTGTAATCCCAGTACTTTGGGAGGCCAAGGCAGGCAGATTACTCGAGGTCAAAAAAGACCAGCCTAGCCAACAGGGTGAAACCCCTGTCTCTACTAAAAATACAAAAAAAAAAGAAAAATTAGCCTGGCGTGGTGGTGGGCACCTGTAATCCCAGCTACTCAGGAGGCTGAGGGAACAGAATCACTTGAACCCAGGAGGCAGAGGTTGCAGTGAGCCGAGGTCGCACCACTGCACTCCAGCCTGGGCGACAGAGCTAGACTCCCTCTCAAAAAAAAGGTGACTTGAAAACATAATCACTCATATCAACTTAAAGGAAAATATACAGCACCTCCTAGGTGATCACTATTATGTTAAGTGGGTAAATGCTTTATGTTTTTTTCACAACTGAAGCCAATGCTGAATGAAGAGCGTCTGTTCTACATTTTGCAAGGACTGGAATGTTGGTATAATCGAGACAAGATGGCTGGCTCACTGACAGTTTAGGTGAGAGAAATGCACACCAAAGCCATCTGTTTTGTTACCTCACCACAAGGAGAAGGGACACACTCTTATGAGGAATACTCACTGCTTGATATACCTTAACATGAATACAGATATTTTAAGGGCTTCATGCAGAATTAGACAATATACCTCACTGTGTTACCTGGCAGTCAAGAATTACTCACTTTCAGAGTGAATTCACTCTGGCCTATGCATAAATCAGGGCAAACAACAACAACAAAAAACCATCAAACATGCAGAGGAAGATGTGAAAGACCAATGTTTCTAACGTAATTCTCGTCAAGCTCGTCGGTATGTAGGAAAAATGTATGTAACACTTTATTCTAGAAATTTCCATTTAAAGCCACCGCTCTGAGTTCCCTGACACTCCTGCATAGTCTGACCTTGCTTAGGAAGACTGAGAATCTGTGGAGCTGCTCTAGAAAAAGGGTGGGCGGGGGTGGATAAGCAGCCCTCTTATCCCTACTTTTCCCTTTTACTAAGAACCCAGGATGGTTGAATGCAAGGTCCGTTTTTATTCTGAGGATAGAAAAAATTCAGGGCTTTCCCAGGCTATTTCACCCACACTATCTATCTCATTTGGTTTTATCTATGTTTGGTTCTAGATTCACTAAAGATAGAAAAGCCGCATATAACCCTTATCTCTTCCTTTTGTGTGGTGCAGTGATGTAAAATCACCCTATGGGATCCAAAAGAATTTGGAATTCAAATGGAGTTGTTTTCAGAGAGAGAAGAGGCAGAGAAAAGGATATCAGAATGTAAGCAGATCCTGTGAAATTATTCACATTTATATTGAACTGTCTGTTTTCAGAGTGCACGAGAGTTCAAATGTGTAAAGAGTGCATATGGAAAGTGAGTTACCAAAGGGGCAGACTTTTCCATTGATCAATTTAGTATCACTTCTCTTCTCCAAATCTAGGCCTCTGTGAAACTGGAGCTTACCCTTTCTAAATATTTTTTCCTTTGCTAGATGGCAAAATGTTTTTTGTTTGTGTGGGTTTTTTTTTTTTTTTGTTTTAATTATTGGGTGAAACTTAACCTAAAGTTTACTATTTTAAAATATGAAATTCTGTGACTTTTTTAGTATATTCGCAAAGTTGTGTAACCATTATCACTATCTAATTCCATAACATTTCCATTACCAAATAGAAACCCTGTAACTGTTCACAATTACTCCCAATTGCTCCCTCCTTCACCTATCCCTTGGCAACCACTAGTCTACTTTCTGTCTGTGTAGATTTGACTCTTCATACAGTATGTCACTTTTTGTTTTATCTGGCTTCTTTCACTTTGCAAAATATTTTCAAGGTTTATCCATGCTGTAGCAAGTATTAGTACTTCATTCCTTTTCTTGGCTAAATAATATTCCATTGTAAGGATGTGCCATATTTTGTCTATCTATATTTTTATTTATTCAGTTGATGGACATTTGGGCTGTTTCTACTTTTTGGCTATTATAGATAATAATGCTGTGAAGGTTCATGCACATGTTTTGGTGTGAATGTTTGTTTTCGGTTGTCTTGGGTATATAACCTGGAGTGTGGAATTTCTGGGTCATACAGTAATTCTATGTTTAACTTTTTGAGAAACTGTCAAACTGTGTTCTATAAGCAGTTACACCTTTTCATATTCCCACCAGCAATGTATGAGGGCTCATGTTTTAGTCAGTTTGTCCAGTTATAACAAATTACCATAAACTGAGTGGCTTAAATAATAAATATTTATAGCAGTTCTGGAGGCTGGAAGCCCAAGGTCAGAGTGCCAACATGGTGGAGTTCTGGTGAGGGCCCTCTCCCAGACTGCAAACTGCTGACTTCTCCTTATATACTCATGTGGCAGAAAGAGAGAAGTACAGAGAGATCCATATGTATTTGGGTCAAATGTCGAACTTTCTATTCTATCCTACTGACTATAGTATTTGTCTGTTCATGTGCCAGTACCACACTGTTTTAATTACAGAAGCTTTATATTATGTTTTCATGTCTGTCAGTGCTATTCCCCCCTTGTAGGTGTTCTTTTTCAGTCTTTCCTAGTGATTCTTGCATGTTTGTTTTGCCATATGACCTTTAGTATCAACTTGTCTATAAAATAGCTTGGTATTTTTATTGGAATTGCATTGCATTTAGAAATTAACTTAGGGAGAACTGATATCTCTTAATCTTGTTATCCTAGCCAAGAACAAGAAATGAATTCCCAGTTGTTAAAGTCTGCTTTTGTGTCTTTCATGAGTGCTTACAAATTGTCCAGATATAGGTTTTGCCCATTTCTGGTTAAATGTATTCCTAAGCACTTAATCTCCTTTGCTACTAATACAAATGGGCATTCCTTACTTTTATGTCTTCTAAGTGTTGTTTTTTATATGAAGTCTACTGATTTGGTATGTTAATTTTATAACCTGCTACTTCACTGAATTACTTTATTGAGTTGGTTTTATTATTGATTCTCTGGGTTTTTCAAAGTATACTGTTATATCACCTACAAATACAAGCAGTTTTACTACTTCTTCCCCCATTCTTATCCCTCTAATTGATCTCTCATCTAAGTGCATTGGCCAACACATTCAGTACAATGTTTAAATCCTGCATGTTGCTGATTACAATGAAAATACCTCTAGTGTTTCCTCATGAAACAAAATACTAACTTTAGGACTGAGATATACATACTTTATAATGTTAAGGAAGTAGCCCTCAATTCCTATTTCCTTGAGGGTTTTTATTATGAATGGGTAATGAATTTTGTCAAAGGCATTCTCAGGATCTATAGAAATAGACATATAAATTTTCCTTAGATTTATCAATATAGCGTATTGTATAAATAGATTTCCTAATGTTGAGCCAACTTGTATCCTTTAAATATATGCTATTTCGTCATATTGTATTATTATTATTATTATTATTATTATTATGTATATATTTTTTGAGACAGAGTCTCTCTCTGTTGCCAGGCTGGAGTGTAGTGGTGCCATCTCAGGTCACTGCAATCTCCTCTTCCTGGGTTCAAGTGATTCCCTAGCCTCAGCCTCCCGAGTAGCTGGGACTACAGGGGCACGCCACCACATTCAGCTAATTTTATTTGTATTTTAATAGAGAACGGGGTTTCACCCTGTTGGCCAGGATGGTCTCGATTTCCTGACCTCATGATCCACCCACCTTGGCCTCCCAAAGTGCTGGGATTACAGGCGTGAGCCACCACATTGGGCCTGTATCATTCTTTTTAATGTGGTAGTGGATTCTATTTGCTAATATTTTGTTTGCTGATTCCCTTAACTTTTGCCACACCTTTAAAAAGACCCCATCCCAATTTTTTTTTTTTTTTTTCAAAATCCCAGCTGGGTTGGGAATTTTTCATTCAGAATTTTTACAAGAATGTTCACAAATGATATTTGTCTGTAATTATCTTTCTTAATAGTTTTTATCTAATAAATGTATCAGTTTTATGCTTGCCCATAAAGGATTATGAATTTTTTCTTTCTTTTCAATGTTTTAAAACAATTACTAGAATAATCTGGTCTTTGAAGATTTGGTAGAAATCACTCATGAAACCAACAGGACATGGTAACTTTTTTGGTGTAGGCTACTTCCTTATTAATTTTATATTTTTTGTAGAAATTAGTCTGTTTAAGCTTTTACCCTAACGGTGTCAAATTTGGTAATTTTCATTTACCTAAGAAATTATCCACCCTATCTAGGCTTTCAAATTTTTTGCCTTAGAAACCTGTGAAGTGGCTTTTTATTATATTTTATATTTATTCTGCTCTGACAGTTTTATCTCCCTTGCCACTTCTTAGTTGATATGTTTGTGCCTACTCCTTGTTTTCTTGATCAAGCTAACTAGTAGTTTGTCTATTTTGTTAATTTTTTAAATTATAATTTTTCTTTGCTAATTAGATCTGTCATTTTCCTTTTCTTTGGGCACTCTTTCTGAGTCCTAGGGGGTATGATCCTTGTACATGCTATCCTTATATTCTTTAGAATTCTCTTTACTAGCCAATTTTTCATTACCACAATCTCTTTTTATAGATAATTATATTAAACTTTTCCATTCAAATTACTATGTGGCTTCCATCTCCTGATGAGACCCTGGCTGTCACTTGCATTTGTTGTTGCATTTGACATCTCTTGGATTTGTTCGCTTCTTTCCACCTGCTTAGCTACCACCTTCCTCCAGCCGACATCATATCCATCATATTGGATTTGGATTGCTATAATCTTGTAACATCTTGTTGATCTCCAAGTGTCCAGTTACAGTTCTCCTTTAATATAGCCTTCATAATAACCTCAGATTACCCTATCTCAAATCCAATCAATACCATCACACCACTTTCCAATGGAAATGCCCTCAGTTGATACACTAACCTAAATAAGAAGTCTAAACTCCTAAGCATGAAATGTAAGACCCTTTATGCTCTGGTCCTTTCTTAATTCTCCAATCAAATCTCTTATTTTGTCCCCTTCCTCTCTCTTTTATTTGCACTTTAGGCACAGTAGTAGATATTCTGAAGTACCTTGAACAAATTGGGTCATTTCACTCTCCTTATTCAGTCATTGTTAAACCGCTCCCTCCCTTGGGAATTTCATAGACTTCCGTCTCTGATCCTGTCTATCTGGTGATTACCTCCTCAATCCTCAAGACTCAATTCAAGGATACCTCCTCCTTTTTTAGATCTACCTCCGTATTTTAGAATGGAAAAGTTCCTCAAAGACAGGAGCCATGTCTTGTCTTACATCTCCAAATTCTGCCTCAAGGTGGGCAGTAAATAAATGTATGTTGGATGTTAGATGAATGGATGCATTTTTACAAATGTATTTGGTCTTGGTGCAATCACATAAGGGTGAGACCCTTTCAATGATCTAAGAAATGGGTGTGATCTACAGGACACAGAGAGCATTGTAATCTGGAGACAATTTCTGTTGTTCATAAAGTGACATGTTGAGAGTATTGACTGTGAAGTCTTGAGGTCAGTTCCTGTATTTTCTACATTCTAGGTTGGATGTTCTTGTGCAAGACATTCTGAGCATGATACTTTAACTACAAAACAGATATAATGTTATAATTATCTATAGGATTTAGGATCCCAACAAAAAACAGAAGCTGTACTCAGCTTGGATATTGAAAAAAATTAATTACTGGGGAGTCTTTATACAGGTATGGGAAAGATTTAAGAAACCAACAAAAAATGTCAGGGAATTTAGTAGCTTTCAATAGAAAGAAGCCACTACTGCCTAGCCCTAAAGGAGCAAGTGAGAAAACAGTGTTTCTGGAGCCTGATGAGAATTGAGGCTGTAAAGAGAGGGTTCCTTAGAGGAGGTATAGACTTAGAGATGCAATTACTGCCAGAACAAAGAGCAGAGCAGCAAGGCAGTAAAGGAAAAATACCCTGACCCTTCTCTCCTGCCCTATAAGCTCTTGTTGGTGCTTTCCTTTGGCTGAGAACAACCGGAAGCTAGGGCCTAGGGAGCCTGGGAGATACAGTCTGGAGAGTCCACTCCTCATCCTTCTCTAAGCACAGAGTAGGATGCAGAGGGGCAGAGAGCAGATGGGAGACTGAAAGCAAAAAACAACCAGCAATCCACCTTGTTTATTTTTGTGGGGTATAAAATGCATAGAAGAGTAATATAAAATATATGTTATAAATTTTATGCCAAAAAATTCCCATATTCAACATCAAGAGAAAACACCAAATAGTCAATATTTGGCTTTTTTTTTTCTTCTTTCGAGAAGGGATACTGTGACAAATATGGAACTCTGATTATTTGTCTCCAGTCTGTGGGTGGGTAGCTCTTTTGGTTAGAGCCTGGAGTTGATGAGGACAAATTCAGAGGTTCAGGCACATGGGCACCAGAATTATATGGGCACAGACTACACAGTCCAGGCTTTGGTGTTCTGCCATTATCACAAGGAGGCCTGAGCACATCCTTTGCCACTGCCCCCACAAATAATTTTGCGGTGTGTGTACTAGGTATATGTTAGAGGTGAGATACTCAGGCATTCGAATATATCTTTCTGCAAGTTGTTTTAAAGGCTTATAAGCCATTTCTAGTAATTATTCAATAATTATCCAACCACCAATTTCTATACTTCCTAGAATAAACAATGCTTCACAGAGGGCGTGGGAGTACATTGTCAGGCTATGATTTGAGGAACACCCATCTGAGGAGTACCCCTCCCAAAAGGATGTGCCCTACTCATTTCCTCACAATTCTAATGTGAGAATTCCTACAATTCTCACATTAGTGATCCTCTTTTGGATTATTTGCCATAGTATCAGTAGTCTCATCCTAAAATATACCCAAGGTACTTAGGGTTAATAAGAAGTTTGCATGCCGTTCCATCATTTCACTTATTAGGTCAGATTACTTGTTCATTCACTCAACAGATGTTTACTGAGAACCTACTCCGTGCCAGGCACTATGCTCGTTGCATTTATACAAACCAAGAACGGTGCAATGGCATCGGCTACTTGGAGGTGGGGGAAGGGTGAAGACTGCTCATAAAATGCAGCACTAGGAGCCTGATCAGAGAGGACACAGCATTGTGTTCCTGGTTAACCTAATGAGGGAGTGAAGGGAGAAAGCTATGGGTTTGGGGCAGAGAGAAATAATGTGAGCTCACTTTAGTTGGGCAAAGAGACATGTCTAAGGATATTGAGTAAGTAATAATATTCATAATTATGCGATCACTTAATATGTGCCTAATAGACTGTTAATATATTAGAGATTTTTTTATCTCGATGTCTTCCCTTACATGGCCAATATTGTGATGCTCATTCTTTTGATGAGAAAACTGAGGTTCAGAAAGGATGTGATTCACTCATGTCCAAGCAGCTGATGATTCCAGATTCAGGAATCAGGTCCAATTCTGCCTTCAGAGTATGAATTCCTTCCTCTTGGAAACATCGTCTTTCTGTGGGATTAAGTTAGTAAAACATCTTCTTCACCTGAAATTTAGCTGTTCTTAAAAATTGCTTAGATTTTCGTGAAATTGATTTTCTCTTTCTTGAAAAGAAAAAATATCGAAGGGGATCTCTCATCTTTACCAAAGGCTTATCATGGTTTTGCCCGCATCAGTTTTGTTTTCTGAGGAAAAACTGGGAAGACACACTAACAGATTACTCAACAAATGTTTGGTGAATGAATGGCTCCATAATTAAGCAGTTAAAAGTCACGCAACCCTTTATAACATGTAAAACACAAGAAGATGTCTCAATTCTTCCCCGAGAGTCATTTCCCATTAAATCCCAATTTTGCACTTGATGAACTGCAGGCCCTCCCAATATCAACAAAGATTAGGCAGTATTTCCTTGCCAGGCTGAGACTGTTCCTTGCTTGCTGTTGAGAAGCAAACTATAACAAATTGGGGCTGGACCAAATAAAGAACCCATAAATGAGTAACTTTGCTCAATGACCTTCTAGCTTTCTTGGCTTGGCACATCCCATGGAGAAATAAAACAAGGCAGAGAAGATGACCAAAGAGTTTCAGGAAGTTCTGTCTCCTTTCTTGGAATTTCTCAATGGGGTTATTTCCCATGGATGGCCTGTCTTTTAATTATACTTTGGCAGGCTCACAACTATGAAGTTATAGGGGTGGGTGGGCCTATAGCCAAATGCTGATCCCCTCAGCTGGCTTAATGAAAATTACCAGGACTTTGCCCACAACGGGCGAGGAACAAAAGGCCTAGGTCAGCTGCTTCGGGAGATGAGGCTGCTTCCAACTCCCCTGCATGTTTCCAGGACATGGCTGATGTAACTCAGTAGCAAGAGTTTGCTTAGTGTGAAAGTGATAGAAGAGAAAAGAGAAAACAGTTTTCCCAAACAAAAACTAGCGAAGACTGAAGAAGCCTCCAAATCATGGAGAAGGACCTTGTACTTTTCTGACCTGGTTGAAACATCATTTCCACTTCAACTCTGAAATGCAGCAGATAGGTCAAGGACTATCAAAAGATCCCACCTGTGAATTTCTACCAGTGACACATCATGGTGAACATGTCTTGGTTCTTGTTGGCCTAAAGATAGCAGGGGAAGAGAAGCCACCCAAGACACTTCCCTTACCTGCCTTCTGTCTGCATCTACATGGTCTCCAGTGATGGCTGAGTGTTCTTCTTATCTCTGATTCCCTCCAGACAGGCCCACTATGGCTTTCATCTGGTAATCTGGCTGCTGAGCTCCAGTATCACCACCCCCTCCTTTTGTCCTTGCAGTCCTAGGAGTGGTAGGTAGGTGCTTCCCGTTGTTGCTAATCTCAGAGTTGTCTCACCATCTCGTTTGGTTTCTCAGCTCCTCTATTTATCGTTTGTGTAAACAATTCTCTAAATCTACTCTGGTTCAACCCTTGAAGTGGTTTCTGTTTCCCGATTAGACCTTGACTGATACATATGTATTCTTCCCTTTATTGTAATCTTGCTACTCAGGAAGGCAAGACATCAAACACAATCACAATTCATCTAATTGAAAAGTCCATACTTTTCCTGCTCTATCTTGCTACTGACTGGACTACGGATTTGCATCAAGTGGACGAGAAACGGCAATGACACTTAGAGGGCTCTCAAAGCATATCTTTTGGACACATTAGTTTCTCTGGCATGTTGTGACATCCTAGGTTTCATGTGTCCTTGTAGCCAGCTTTTATCCAGGAAGGAGGTGATACCATCCAGGGATGAGGGAAGGTGGCTCCACCCACCTCTATGACCTGGAGCAATGGAAAAGTTTGGTAAAGTGTATGATACTTTATATATAAAAGTAACTTTAGAACACACGTTAATCAGGGCAATGTTGCAACAAATGTTAGAAACTGAATCAAATTAATTTAAACAAAAAAAATGTATTGACTTACATTATTGAAAAGCCCAGAGATAGCACAAACTTTCCACATGGGTGGGTCTGAGAGTTTAAACAATGCCTTCAGAAATCTGCCACATCTCTCTCCACCACTCTAATTTGCTCTCTTTTATGTTGGTGTCAATCTCAGACAAATGGGTACCCGTGATTGCAACAGCGCCTGCAGCAGCTCCAGGTTACCCTCAGTCTCAGAAGGACATCTTCTCTCTCCCTGGACCAATCACTGTATCTTTGGTGATTGGGATCACAGGCTCTGGGAGTTCAGCTTGAGTGAAGTTCATGACTCCTCAGCCCCCTGTGGGAGGGGAAACAGAGTTCTTGACTGAAGAAAAAAGGAATTCTGAGCAAGTGACAACAGATATAAAATACCACGAGGCAGCCAGGTACCAAAGGAAAAGTATTGGCTTTGAATTAGAAGAGTTGAAATTGAATTCTAACTCTATTATCAGTTTGCTGTGAAAGTCCAGGCAAAGTATTTCACCTCTCTCAGACTTGGTTTCCTGATTTGTAAAACATGTGGATTGGGCTTGGAACAGTAATTTGTAAGCATTTGTAACCACAAAACTCTCTATTCAAGTAAACTCTTATGCAAAACAGATAAAACCTTGCCAAATTTGCTTAGAGGGGTGATGAGGGTACTGCAGCCTTATCTCCTTGATGGGGCTACTTGAAACTCCTATAGTTCCTTGGAACACAATTTGAGAAACCTTGAAGTAGCTGATCTCGAGGGCCTCTTCCAGCTTGAACTTTGGGGAATGCTATGTAGATTGTCCAACCCTCTTTAATCTAATTTTTCTCACTTTCCCTCTATTTATTTTTTGGCTAACATCATGAACTTTGGCTATGTGTGAGAGGCCACTTAGGAAAAATAATCATTTATTCAAATGCTCAGCCAATTTACTTTGGCCTATTTGTAGCTTATTTTTCCTGACGGGGAGGGAATAAATTTATAAAACACACTTTCAAGTTGGGGCTAGAAAAGGTGAGTGTACAAGTGAGGAAAAGTAGACAACGGAAGTTGCCAACGCTGAGCTGAGCTGGAAGCTGTGAATTCAGGAAACCTCCTTCTCCCCATTGCTGCGCTCCGTTGGCATCTGGGGCCAAGTGTACGCTCTGGAACGGATGGCAGAGGAGGATGTTGTGGGTTTTGGCTTCACCACTTGTGAGAACTTGCTCTTGGGAAGACACCTTCAGCTCCAATACGAGTGTTTGATTGAAATCGAGCATCAGGGAAGAGAAGGGAAAGCGCTGGGGGATTTAGTCTTCCGATAGCCAGAAGACAAGGTGAAAGGAGGGTTACTTTGACCCAGAAAGTGCCAAGAGTGAGAAATTTGTGCTGAGGTGACTTCAAATGAGGCCAGGACCTTTGCTTCTCTTTTTCATGTAATTGTTTATTCAGATATGTGAATAAAGAGAGGCTAATAGTTGGCAGACACTCTTTGGGGGTGCAGAGATAAGTAAGTCGTGTTCTCTAGCCTGTGGGACCTTGGAATGAAATAGGGGAGGCAGGCAGATCAATGCAAAATGCTGTGTGGGAAGGCTGATGTTCCGCTGGTGCACACAGCCTGGTGACGGCTGGTGTCTGTTCTGACTGGCTGGTGTCTGGGCTATACCAAGTGTTAAATATTTTAATATCATCCCTGCTCTGTGATGTGTAAGAAGTACAACCAGATAGATGTGTACACTCCACAGTACTAGTACAGAGAAGGAAAAACAACTGGTGGGGTTAAAGAGTGTTTATAGAGGTGGTAGCATTTTGTCTGTGTCCTAAAGGAAGAGTAGGACATCATTCGGAGGTGGAAGAGGAGGTGGGAAGGGGGCATTCTAGAGGACAGAGGGAGTGGGATCATATTCTGCAGTCTGAATATGTATGCAGAGGCTGGGAAGACAAACACATTGTTTGGTGTGAACTGAGCATAAGTTGTTAGGAAGGTCATCAAGAAGTGCGAGCTCACTATCTTCAAAATATATCCAGAATTCAACCACTTCTTTCCCTTCACTACTGCCAGCCTGGCCTGGCCCATTCTCTTCTCTCCCCTGAATTCCAGCCACAGCCTTGGAAGAGGCATCTGCTTCTCTCCTGCTCCATACAGACTATTCTCCATACAGAAGACCGGAAGATCCCTTTAGAAACCAGGTGGAATCTCCTAATGTCTCTGCTCAAAATAGCGCAATGACTCCCCACATCACTAAAGCTGACGTTCTTACATTTGACTTAAGTGAGCAAGCTAATTCCACATCTACAGTATTTCATGACCTCCTCTTTTACTCCTCTCCATACTACTCACTTCGATCTGGCCACACTGGCCTCCTACTTCATCCTCAAACTTGGCAGACACACTCCTCCCTCAGGACCTTCGCTCTAGCTGTTCCCTGTACCTGGAGCTTCCACTCTTCTTCCAAGTATCCTTCATCTAAGTTTCTCATCTACAGATCTTTGCTCTTGAAGGTTGTGCTGACTGCCTTATTTCATTTTGCAACCTGATGACCCATCAGCCTGTGAATCTACCGTCTTCAACCTATTCTGTTTTTTTTTCTTAGCATTTTTCACTTTCTAATGTGGTATATATTTTCTTATTAATTATGTTTATTGTTTGTCTTTTCTTGCTAGAATATAAGTTTCATGAGGGCGGCTATCCTTGTCTGTTGCTTTGAAAAAAATCCCAAGTGGTCAGATCAGTGCTGGGCACAGAGGAGGTGCTTGATAAATACTTATCAAGTGGTAGGGAGTGAGGATTTGGTAGATTATCCAAATACGTGGTAAAGCCAGCAATTGGACTCAAGTTTGCCCAGTGGTTCGTGCCATCACTCCTGAGTGGGAAAGGAAAACCAGTTGAAGTGTTGATGCTGGTGGCACCGGCGGTGGGATTTTACACCAGTCATGCTGATGCTGGACAGCATAGACAATGCTGCAGTGAAGGAGACAGCAAGCTATCCTTGCTCAATTTGTTGCTGCAGGCTCTTTTTTTCTTTTAAATAATAAAATTCATGACTGAAAAGACATCCTGTATGTGTGTGTATGTGCATGTGTATGTAGAGGCATTGGCCTCCATCCTAGAGCCTTACCTAATTTGGCAGGCATTTAACAAAGGCAGCATTATTGAATACCAGTGAATTATCTGGCAACAGAGGGAGAGACCAAGAGATGCATGGGTATGGAGCGCACCTCATAGGATGAAATGCTGGTTATTCACAGATGTCTTTCAGAAGGAGTCACCAACAAGTGCTACATTATGTTTGCCTCGTAGAAACTCTTTATTTCCTGTAAGGTTTCTGACCTTGAGAAACAAGGCTGATATTGCAGACAAGAGCCTCAAGATTAGGCAGTTCTGCCTGGACTTCTCTAGAATTGCTGCTCAGGACCTGCACCCGCTGCTACCACCTGCCATTGGGATTTGGCACAGGGATCCGCTTAGCTGTTTCTTCATGCTCCAGGCTTCCACTGGTTAGTGCTGAGGACTGTCAGCTAGTATTGAGAGAATGTCACTACCACAGAAACACTGTGTAGAAAGAAGGCTGGGTTGTGAGGAGACGGGGGACAAACACAGAAAAGTCAAGATCTGGCCTCAGCCTGGCCGGTGGTTAGATTTTTTGCTTAAATTTAGGCTTACTCTACATGTTAAGGCTCCCAAGAATACTAGGGAAAGAATGCTTTGCTAAAATGCATGGGCTCTACTGAATGCTGTATTTAGAAAGGAATCACTCCTTCTAGTTGTGCTGATGTGTTAAATGAGTAAGGCCACCAAGCACTCTTAATGACGAAAAGGGATAAAAAGTTTCCTCCTGGTTTTCTTCAAATCACAGGCATCACTATAAGGTAGGAGGCTACTGGATAAGCTACTGCTTATCCACAAGAAACTAAATTTATTTTGCAAAGAAATCAAATTATTAAACCCCAAGCTTTCAAAGTTGTTAGATTGACAGCCACCAAAGATGATGCCAAAATGTGGTTGTCTGGGAAATTTATTTTCATATAACATACAATGCTACAATGGTATCTTCCACGGAAGAAACATTTAAGTGCCCCTCCTCCAACCCTCATTACCACACACACACCTTTTTTACCCCCAGTTCACCTGTACTGGTGTTTAGAATAGCACAAGGTTCTATTAAATCCTAACCCTGTTTTGGTCTCCAGACTTGCCAAGTGTCATATTTGACCTACTTCACCACTTAAAATTCCCATCCTCCATCATAAAACATTTCTAACAAGATACCTCCCTGGTCTTACTATGGCTTTTTCCAATTTCTTCATTATAAATGCCAATCATGCCTGCCCCATAGTATACAATGATTTTGGACACCCTCTATGCTACCAGTCCTTAAGCTTCAGCTAGTGTCTGAATCTCCTAAAGGGCTGGTAAAAGTACAGATCACTGTGCCACCCCCAGAGTTTCTAATTCAAGAGGACTGGGGTAGGGCTGTAAAGTTTGCATTCCTGACAGGTTCCCAGGTAAAGCTGATACAGCTGGCTCTGGGATCTTACTTTGAGAATGTCTGTTCTTTGCTTTCTATTTTGATAGCTCCTTGAAGAAAACAAAAACCAAAACCAGTTGATTTAGAACTGAATCGGGTGGAATTAGCAAAGTCAACAGCTATGAAATTAAACAGCAGCAGAAGGATGACTTTGGTATCAAGTGAGGTCTGGGTGTGGAGGTGAATGTGCTATAGTTCATGCTCCTTGGGGTTCCTTAAAAGATCTTTCTTCATCAAGAAAGATCCCAAAGAGGGAAGTTATCAGTATCAAAATTCTTTCAGTTGCAAGTGACAAAAATAATAATAAAAATAAATATCAACCCAAACAGGCCAAGTCAGAGAGGATATTTATTGGCTCATATCAATGAAAAGTAGAAGGATGGTCTAACTTCAGGCATGGCATGAACCAGAAGCTCAAAAGAATTTCTTTCTATAACTCTGGCCTCTGTATCCTCTCTATTTGCAACATTCTGAAATAGATTCTTAGATCCTGGTGGCAAGATAAACAAGAACCACTTTCTCTCACTGGCCAAAGTCTTTAGAAAGCATGCTGTTATAGTTGCTCTAAGAACACAGTCTGCGGGGGTCACCTGTGATCCAGAATAGAGAAGAAAAAGAGCAAGAAGAGGACCAATCGATAGTATATTAACCGTAATGGCCATTGCTCCTTGGACACTGAGGCAAGTTTGTGACAGTATAAAAATAACATGGAACTATTTTTATGATCATAGCTTCCCTTTACCCAAATCCAACTTCATTCAACTAAGAAAATGCCACTAAGAGAATTCACCTTGGGGATTGTCACACAACTTTTTTTCTCTTTTGTCACCATTAAATGTGATGTTTTTACTGGTGAGCTTCATGGCAGAACCTGTCATTGTAGTGAGAGAATTTGCTAGAGAGTGGCGTAGGCAAAGGGAAATTGTAGCTTCCCGTTTCCCCAGATCCACAGTAACTTTTTTTAAGTCTTTCTTTCTGCTGAAAAACAGCTGCCTGGCTACAGAGTCAAATAGGAGACTCTGAAGGGACAAGATGCTATTTTAAGTGATATTTTCAGTCTTATAGAGTTTTCATTTAGTTTTTCATGTAATAGGCACATGTACAAAAACAATTAAGCTAGAACAAAGCAGAAAATAACAGCAGGCAACTCACTGCCTTCGGTTACAGTGCTCCCAATCTGGAACACTGTCAGTCACTGGTGGGGCTTGCAGAATTAAACTAGCTGGGATAAGTAAAAAAATTTTTTTTTGGCTGAGTCAGCATCCAAATATAGGAATCCTTCTGAAGGATTGCAGTTTTCTCAGAGGGCTATGCTAGAGGCAAGGAGTAGATTGATTTTTTAAAGTCCATACAGAAAGAAATAATTATTGCAAAATGTGTGTGTTTCCTGAGTTGTGGTCTGGAAAAGCCATTTTTGGGCCTGGGACACTCACCTCCCTGTTTGAGACCCTGGAATGAGTCTTTATTTCATTGTGCTAAACCATCACAGCAATTTTGTTCCTAGAATGATATCAACTAAAGGATGTGTTGGGGTTTTATTTAAGTTAAGTTAGATTGTAATTAACAGGAAGTCACGTATTAAAGGGGTATGTGAGAAACACAGTGGAGGTTAATGGAATTAAAGGAAGGAAAATTTCTGGGCTTTAGGGCTTTAGGGCAAGGCTCACTCACTCGCATTCATTCTCTCCCTTCATCTCACCATATCTCCAGTCTTCATTCTCTTCTGCTACACACAGATCTTTAAATATGGTAGAAGATGGCCACCAGCAGCTCCCAATTCATGCCCTTCAATTTCTGTGACTCAAAAGGCAACACACTCTGTTCTTCTCCAGTTGGGGAAAAACCCCGAGGAAAGAGGACTCCATAAAAGAGATGAGAGAAGAGTGACCTGGAAGTAGGAGAGGGAGGGCTATGGCCACAGAAACCAGAGCAGGATGGAATTTCAAGGAAAAGGCAGTGGTCAAAGAATCAGACACTACAGAGGGATGAGGTAGAGTGTGATGGAAATATTCCTGAAAGGTTTGCAACACACGAAAAGTTAATGTTACATTTATCTGCTCACATAGTATGTGGATATATAAACAAGCATATCACAGTGCTTTTCTTGAATATTAGTTTCCTAATGCTGTCACTGGACACATCAATTTGGCTAACTGCCTGTAATTATGGCTCCTTGTAAAGACGCTTTTACCTAGTTAAAAAGTATTAATTAACATAAAAACAAGTTTTGATAAAAGACTCATGAACAACAATGAAATAAACCCAGAAGGGCAGTAGTGGGCCTAGCCTTGGTATCGTGCTCACCTTCCCCACTTGCTTTGTCACTGGGGAAGGAGGACAAGGTACAACAGTTGACCAGGTTGAGTCACATCATGGCTATTCCTGTGGGGAGGGACCAAGTGCTATGACTGACAGCCCCACCAAGATTACACAACTGGAGTCGGGGAGAAGCTATTTCCCAAAGAGGAGAAGGGAGAAAGGTATATACTTTTCTGTGTACAGCCAACAAAATGGTTACAGGAGTCCAGCCAAGTGTAAAAGTATCCCCAGTCCTCCAATAGCACCAATTATTAGTTATTCCTATCAACATTTATTTTGTACCTACTACATGTCATATCTGTGTTAGATCTTGGGTACATAAAGACAAATGGGATAAGATTCCAACCTTTCAGAATCTGAGTTATTGCTAAATAGACATGCAAAAATAAACTGGGTGTTATGGAATGAGAATTGTAGTAGAAGAATTTGAAAAGTAGTATGGGAGAAGGAGAGGGAAAAGGATGCATTCTGTTGGGAAGGAGGGATGAGAATAAGATTCATAGGAATCAAGGTTCAGAGGAGGGCTTTAAAGGAGGAATAGGAGGTTTCCAAGTAGACAAGATAGATTTCCAGAGATTTCCCAATTTAAATACTCACTTAACTCAGTTTTACTAGAGAATATTATAGGTTTGTATTACATAGGGCAGCACTAAGGAAATACAGATCTACGGCTAATTTTAAACACAGAAATTAAAATTTACAGAAGTTAGGTGATTTGATCAAAGTAATATAGCTAGAGAGTGGCAGGGCTAGCATCAGAAGTCAGACTTCTTCATCACCAGAATAGTGCTCTTTTAATTTCCCCACATAAAATCCTGAGGCTCAAGGGTCACAGAGAAACAGTGAGCTTTGTCCTGGTTTTTAGTAGGTACTATCTAGAGTCATGAATCTAACTATAGCTATTATGTGACCAGGACATTACCAACTCATTAGCCTTCAAGAATGGTGAGTAGCAAGTGTTCACAGTGAATTTTACATTCATGTACAAATTATTGGAAAATATCTGTTTCAGAAAAACACAACTGGCCACCATAGATAGCCCCCACATGTTACATCCGATAATTAATGGACCTTGAATTATATTTTAATAAATTGATGAGGACTGAATTTTAAGACAGGTTATTTTCTTACTGGAGCTGTGACTCATAGGGAGGGGACAGCCCCCCAGTTTTTAATCAGAAAATAAAAAAGCTAAGGGGAGAAGCCTTCTGTTTTACTCACACAGACTGGTAAGACAGATGTGCAGAGCTGACAGATGCCCAAGAGCTAGAAAAGTAATTGCTTGGAAGTCACTGGGCTGAGACAGCTGGAACGGTTAGTTTTTTCCTATGGATGTCTGAGCTAAAGACTCTTTCAAATTCCTCAGCAGAGGCACGGAAGCCCCTGTGCAAAGCCAGCACAGGAAGGGCTAGTCTGGGTTGGTCTGGTGGACTAGGTGGGCAAGAGGCATGGTCTAAAAGGCAGTGGGAGCTGGAGAGGTCAGCAGCACAAGCTGTTCAGAGTAGAACAGTTGTGGAAGTCACTGTCCCATTGTTCACTGCTTTCTTGGTACAGGCAGCCCTGGCTCCACAGCTATGAATTTAATGATTGGCAAGAAACTGTCAGAGAACCCTATTTTTGAGAGGAGCAAAGGTATGGCCTTGTGTGTGGGAATGTAGTCTGAGCAGGAGAGTCAGGAATTGCATAGGCATCATCTTCCAAAATGAAGAGGCTATTAGAGAAATACAGACAAGCATTATGCATTTGTGGATGGCTGGCGGAAGAGAACACATCATCCCTCAAGTCTCAGTATAATATCCGTCACTCCAGAGAAAAGATCAATGTCAACAATTATCAAAAATGGGGGAAAAACTGCCAAAAGGACTCTAAGCCAGCCATGTTAAGCATGAAATGAATTACCACTCCCCACAGTGGGATAAAATTTCTAAATTGTCAACACAATAGAAAATAAACACAAAGCCTACACGTTTCCTTGTAGGCTTTCCTCCAGCCTCTTAGACCAAGCTCACTCAAGACTCAAGTTCAAGTACTTGACCTCGGTAACGCTATTTAAGAAATCCTATTGTCCAGGCTTCCCTCCAGACCCACAACATTGGAATCTTTGGGGCTGGGACCCGGGCATCAGCATCCTGTAAAGCTTCTCCAGATATTCTAATGGGCAGCCCATGAGAACCAAGGGAGAGTAAAACCTGTGGATTTGAATTGCATCTCCACAACTCACCAGCTGTGTTACTTACAGAGTATTATTTAATCTCTCTGAACATTGTTTTCCATGTCCATAAGAAAAAATAATACCTACCTCATCAACTTGTTTTGAGGCTAAAAAAAGATGAATGTAGAAGAATGCTGAATAATGTCAAGCTGAACAATTGTCTAGAAACTAGAATAAACAGTCATAATGTGTGCTGAAGACCTGAAAGTCAGCAACAGTTTTGTCAAGAGACCCTGAGCACAAGACATTCTTATATCAGAGAGCCCTATCAAGCTAAATTCCAGAGTATGTAAGATTACTTTGATCTTTGTCAGTTTGGGACAATTTAATAATCTCCCAAAGAGCACTTCAATGAGACCAGGCTTCCAACAACAACAGACTGAACTATCCAAAATCTTTCTTTGGATTAAAAATATCTTGTTGTCAGCCAGGTATGGTGACAGTGCTTTGGGAGGCCAGGCAGGCAGATCACTTGAGGCCAGGAGTTTGAGACCAGCCTGGCCAACATGTCAAACCCCTGTCTCTACTAAAAATACAGAAATTGGCCAGGCATGGTGGAGGGTGCCTGTAATCCCAGCTACTCGGGAGGCTGAGGTGAAAGAATCACTCGAACCCAGAAGGTCAGGGTTGCAGTGAGCCAAGATCCTGCCACTGCACTCCAGCCTGTGTGACACAGCAAGACCCCATTTCAAAATAAATAAAGTAATTAATTAAATACAAATATTTTTATATCATTAGTAATTTGGGGTTGTTTTGCAATTGGAGTTAGGGTCAGATAGTTGAGGGTTTCTTTCGTTCTTTCTTTCTCTCTTTTGAGATGGAGTCTCTCTCGGTCACCCAGGCTGGAGTGCAGTGGCGCGATCTCGGCTCACTGCAAGCTCCACCTCCCAGGTTCATGCCATTCTCCTGCCTCAGCCTCCCGGGTAGCTGGGACTACAGGCACCCGCCACCATGCCCAGCTAATTTTTGTATTTTTAGTAGAGACGGGGCTTCACCGGGTTAGCCAGGATGGTCTCGATCTCCTGACCTTGTGATCCGCCCGCCTCGGCCTCCCAAAGTGCTGGGATTACAGACGTGAGCCACCGCGCCTGGCCGAGGTTTTAAAACCTCTAAACCCAGCCTCTTTCAGCTACTATAAAGATATAAAAAATGATGGCCGGGCGCGGTGGCTCACGCCTGTAATCCCAGCACTTTGGGAGGCCGAGGCGGGCGGATCACGAGGTCAGGAGATCGAGACCATTCTGGCTAACACGGTGAAACCCCGTCTCTACTAAAAATACAAAAAATTAGCCGGGCGTGGTAGCGGGCGCCTGTAGTCCCAGCTACTCGGGAGGCTGAGGCAGGAGAATGGCGTGAACCCGGGAGGCGGAGCTTGCAGTGAGCCGAGATCGCGCCACTGCACTCCAGCCTGGGCGACAGAGCGAGACTCCGTCTCAAAAAAAAAAAAAAAAAAAAAAAAAAAAAAGATATAAAAAATGTCTTGTACCAATTAGATTGTGTTCAGCTGCAAGTAGCAGAGTACCTGATTTTTAATGTCTTAAGTTGCAATTATTTTAAATTTTAATGGATAATCTGGAAGTAGGCATTCCAAGTTTGCTTTGGAAATTCCATGGTATTATAAAATATCCAGACTCTTTAGAATCTTGAGCTTTGTCAAGGGCAGTATCTCTCCTTATGATCAGAAAACATCTGCCAGATCTTCAAGAAACTCAATCTCATATGACAGCATCCCAAGTAGAAAGCTGGAGGCAGCTACAGAGAAAGTCTTTTTCTTCACATGCCTCTTTGTTATTAGGAAGGAATGAAAACTTTTTCCCAGAAGCCCCAAGAAGACTTTTCCCTTTATCACCTTAGATGAATTTGGTCAAATACTCACCCTGCTAGCAAGGAGGGAGAAGGAATGGTCGTCAGGGAAGCATCCAAGAGCATCTGCCACGTTGCTTATTTTCATACAGTGTTTTGCAGCTATGCATATGCAGCAGACAGTGTTATTCATTACAGGCAACAGAAAATGTCCCTGTCTAATTTAACCAGAAAATGACTTTATTCACAGATTTTGAGTACTTCAGAGCTGTCAGGATTTCTGAAGAGTGAAACTTGAGGTTAAGCTGCCAGAAACAATGCCCAAAACCATGCTTGAAAACTGTTCTAATGAAGAAGCCCCTACTTCTGTCAGTCACCACCCACTCAATGGACAGTTTGCACCATTGCTATTCTCCTGATGAGAACTTGATCTTGCTTTCACCATTACTGCTAAGGCTTCCAAAGAGAGAGGGTGAGTGTGCTCCTTAACCCTTTGTTGTTGCACAGCTAGCTCCCAAATCTAAGTGTGCTGTGAGCGCATCTGATTGGTGCAGCCTTGGTCATGTGAGTTTTCCAAGCTGCAAGGGAATCTGCGAAGGTGAGTAGCTGGTATTTTTGGTACTTCTGAAGACCCATAAAGAGAAGAATTTTCAACTTAGGTAGAGGTTTAGATACTAAAATTTAAACTAGGGTGAACGACGCATTCACTACAATGTTAATTATCTCAATTCTCGCAACCTTTTGTAAGTTGTCCTCATTTTATGGAAAAGGAAACTGAGGCTCAGAGATACTTTACCATGTCCAAAAATCTAAGCTCTACAGAAAAACTCAGACAAGCAAAACTAGATGTACAGGGATGTATATGGTGCATTATTATAGCAAATTAATTGAAAACATACCAGATATTCATCGTTAGGTATTTGTTAAATAAATTATGATATATTTATACAATGGAACACTGCATAACCTTTTACAAAATGAGCTAGATTTATAAGTTCTGATAGGAAAATGAGTTTAGAATATATTGAGTGAGAAAAACACAAGTTCCAAAATGATATAGATAGTACAACTTCAAAAGAGTTTCAAGAGACTCCAATTTTATATACATATAGATATATTATATATATTGTATATACAGGTAGTCCTAGGATTAGTAAGATTTAACTTAGGATTTTTCAATATTACGATGGTTCCTATACAACCATTCTGACTTTCACTTTCAGTACAGGATTCAATAAATACAAAAAGTGTTGAGCTATTCAACACTTTAATATACAATAGGCTTTGTATTAGATGATTTTGCCCAACTGTGGGATAATGCAAATGTTCTGGGCACATTTAAGGTAGACTAGGCTAAGCTGTAATGTTTGATAGTTTAGTTGTATTGAATGTATTTTCAACTTATGATATTTTCAACTTATGATGGGCTTATCTGAATGTAACTCCATTGTAAGTTGAGAACATTTCTGTATTTTATACACACACACACACACACACACACACACACACGCACGCATAGAGCCATGTATACCAAACTGTTAACAGTAGTTGTTTCATGGGGATGTTAATAAGAATTCTCACTTTTTTCTGTTATATATACTTGCAAATTTTGAATTTTCTACAAGTATGTAGTATTTTATAAGCAGCAAAACACTCAATAAATCCAATTTTAATTGAACCAAACTAATCATCCATAAAAGTAAAGTTCCTGTTGTTTAGAGAATGGAAATGGGGAGGCGGGCCTGTCCATGTAACTTAAGGGCATTTTTGCGTCTGGGACTTAGATATTGAAATAAAAATTATTGAGTCACTCAAAAATATGGGATCAATGGGAGAGAAAAAAGGCAAGGAGCTTGGCTCCCCTTCAGAGGCAGGGCTAGCGGCAACTGGGTTTACAAGGGTCACTTTCTGTTGAAGTTGAGGGAGGATAAAATAATAAGAGAGTTCCAGGCAGTAGGAGAGTCAAGAACAAATGCTTCATCCCAGATTAGGAAAGGATCCGGTAGCCTGATATATGGATGGGTGGAGAAAGCAAGACCAGTGAAATGGGTCAAAGAGATTAAACCCTGGTGGGAAATTGAGCAAGAAAATTCTTGCCTGGGAGGCTGAAACAGGCCAGGACTAAGGCAGTGCCAGGCTTTGTTCTCAGGCCTAACTGCTAGGATAGGAATCTGTAAGTTACATTGTGGAATGCTTTGGTGTGTTTTTTTTTTAATAGTAAATTTTTCTGACACAACTTATTGATGAAAACTGTTTCTAGGTATAGGAATCCTATATTCCAGTACCACAGAGAGTACAATTAAATATACAAATGCTGAAAGAGAGGCAGTATAGCTTAGAAGAGCATGGACTTCGACTTGGTGACTCAGGTGGTATAGACAAAGAGATGACTGTGGATGCCACCAGAGAAGACTCACTAATCCAATAGTTTGAGTTTTGGCCAGTCCCCATAGGAGAAATGACTTTAGTATTGATGGGGACATCCCAACCCAGGCTTTACTCTGATTTGTGGATGACCTGGGCTTCAGTTGTGAGATTTGTGGTGGTGGGAATCCACATGCTCTAACTTTGAAATTCTCAGCCTTTTGCTATAAAATAACAAAGAAAGAATGGCTACAATGAGCCAGACTCTAGTTGGTGCTGAAAGTCCTGTTGATGTGCCTGAATGGAGAAAATAAAAGTGAGCAACATGGATCATTAGTCAACACTGACTCATACTGAACGTGGGAGGACAATTAAGGAAGACCCTAGCGGAAGGGTCCCCACCAAATTGTCATCTTTCCCTTTGCTGTGATGAGGTTTGATGTTGGCAGCTCATTCTTCGCACTCCTACATATGTGATGCCTGTCAATGCAGGTATCACAAATAACTGGAGAGGCACTGGAATTACACACACGGAGGTCTAGAAAGATCATTTGAGCCAATTAAGGAGGAGTGTTTCTTCTGGAACAAACTTCCAACATCCATGTGGATATTTGACTAAGTCTTTTTGGTTAGTTCCCATGCTGAAGACATTACTTTGGTGCACAGCTTGCAGAACAACCTAGCACATGCCACATGTATTTTGTTTTGTTTCTTTACCATTTTGTTTTGCTTTGCTTTTCAATATCAAAGCAACCCTAAGCCACTAGACATAGCTTCTCCAAAGACTTCAGATCAATGATTTCCAGATGTGCTATTTGTAGTCATTCAAAATATTAATTAATTGTAGAGCCAAAATATAAATATCATCAATCCCTGGAGGCATTATAGTGTAACACTCTAGAATACAAGCTTAGGAGCCAGATTACCTGGGAGTGAATCTTGTCTCCACCACTGGGGCAAGCTATTTAACTTCTTTGCACCTCAGTTTTGTCACCTGTAGGATGGTAATAATTATAGTACCTATCTCACACTGGTGTTGTGGGAATAAATTAATTTGCTTTTTTTATAAAGGGGTATGTAGAATAGTGCCTGGTATATAAGTGATAAATGCTTAGTGTTGTTACTATTCTAGAATCCTGTCAGCCACTCCTGTAGGACTTTGGAAGGTGGAAGTGCATGAAGTCATCATGACCCTTGAGCATCCTGGTAGGATATACAGCTTTGTAGGTTTAAAAATGTGATGTACTCAGTGCACGAATAGCTAAGTGAGTTCAAGAGACTATTCCATACAGACCAAGCTCAGAAATTGACAGAAGAGTTAATTGTCCCTATACCAATTTTTTAATTTACAGTAAGATTAGAACAGGCAAGGGGGCACCAGATATTCATGTCAGCATGTCAGTGTATCCTTCCCTAGTATGCAAACCTACATGGGATGTCAAGTTTCCATTTGAAAATTATTTGGTGAGCATAGTTGTAGAGCTGGTATCCTCATGTTACCTGGTTACCACATACGAGAGAGGTAACCAGGAAAAATAAACTTGTTGGATGCAGATGTCTGAGATTATTTGTTATGGTGGGCAGTGGGGATATGAAGTCAAAATATCTGTTTAGAATGTGCAATCTTTAATGAAGCCTGACCTCCAACCATAAAATGTGTCAGATGACCCTGGAAAGGGACAAAGAACTTGATGTCTGCTAAAACATGCCAAAGCCTCCACAGATGAGAGGACTGCCATCAATCTGGGCTCTACATGGAAGAAGCAATGGGGTTTAAAGTTCTCCTTACCTTGAAGGTTCCTCAGAAGTCCTCTCTTTTGGTTTTGTTTTGCTTTTCCCTCCCTCCTGCCCTGGTTCATTTTCTGATGCCATAGCAGAATACCATAGAGTGGGAAATGCATAAAGAAAAGAGATTTATTTGGCTCACATTTCTATAGGCTTGGTAGTCCAGGACCAAGGGGCCTCATCTGGTGTCAGACTTACTGCTGCATCATAACATGAAGGACACCTTATGTGGTGAGGAGGGTGAGAGCAGGTGAGTGCATATGAGACAGAGAAAAAGGAGGTCCAACTCCTGAGATAATGAGTCCATTCACCTCATAACCACCTTAATCCATTATCAGGACAGAGACTTCATAACCTAATCACCTCTTAAAGATCCCACCTCTTAATACCATCACAATGGCATTAAATTTCAACAAGACTTTTGGAAGGGACACTTAAATCATAGCACCTCCCATCCTTCCCTTTATCTTTCCTCCTTCCTTCCCTCCCCTCCTGTCTCCTTCCCTTTCTTTTTCTTCTATTCCTATCCCTTTTTTAAGAAATTTCCCTTTCTCTTCCCTTTCTAGTTTCCCTTCTCCATTTCTACTTTCCCTTTGCTCCCCTCCCCTCCATCACTTCCCCTCCCCTCCCCTCCTCTCCCCTCCTCTCCCCTCCTCTCCCCTCCCCTCCCTTTCCTTCCCCTCCCCTTTCTTTCCCTTCCCTTCTTTCCTATTTGGCTGGTGCAATAGGTGGACTGAATGTCTCCTCTAATCTGGGCAGGAGCCTCTCCTTATCCCTTTCTTGGAAGAACAGATGAAACTAAAATGGACTCCAAGAGAAAAGTCATGGAGCTCACTGTTTATGCCTGCTTCTGGTCTACAAATTCAGCTAGAGGGACAGAAAGAGTCCTTGAGTTCCCATGTGTTTTATTTTCTAAGGGAAAACATTATAGAGGATTCATTTACCTGTCAGGCTTTCTGATGTTATATATTTCCCTGGGAGCTAGGTAAAAATGATGAAATAAAAATTGTTTGGAGATTCAATGGTTTAGAATTTTAGCACACTTTCCTTTTCTATCCTTAATAGCTCTGTGAACACAAACTTCTCTGGAGCTACAGTTTCTCCAAAAATGACACTTTTCTGTGGGAAGTTACATATGGTAGTGTATTAGTCTGTTCTCACACTGCTAATAAAGACATACCTGAGACTGGGTAATTTATAAAGGAAAGAGGTTTAATTGGCTCACAGTTCAGCATGGCTGGGGAGGCCTCAGGAAACTTCTTATGGTGGAAGGGGAAGAAAACATGTCCTTTTCACATGGTGGCAGGAAGGAGAAGAATGAGAGCCAAATGAAGGGGGAAGCCCCTTATAAAACCATCAGATCTCATGAGAACTTACTATCACAAGGCTAGCATGGGGAAACTGCCCCCATGTCTCATTTACCGCCCACCAGGTCCCTCCTACCACACGTGGAGATTATGGGAACTACAAGATGAGATTTTGGTGGGGACACAGCCAAACCATACAATTCTGCCCCTGGCCCTTCTCAAATATCATGTCCTCACATTTCAAAACCAATCATGCCTTCCCAACAGTCCCCCAAAGTCTTAACTCATTTCAGCATTAACTCAAAAGTCCAAGTCCAGAGTCTCATCTGAGACAAGGCAAGTCCCTTCCACATATGATCCTGTAAAGTCAGAAGCAAGTTCGTTATGTCCTAGATACAATGGTATTACAGGCATTGGGTAAATACACCCATTCCAAATGGGAGAATTTGGCCAAAACAAAGGGGCTACAGGCCCCATGCAAGTCTGAAATCCAAAAGGTAAGTCATTAAACCTTAAAGTTCTAAAATGATCTCCTTTGACTCCATGTCTCACATCCAGGTAATGCTGATGCAAGAGGTGGGCTCCCATGACCTTGGCCAGCTCCACCCCTGTGGCTTTGCAAGGTACAGCTCTCCTCCTGGCTGCTTTCATGGGCTGGCATTGAGTGTCTGTGACTTTTCCAGGTGTGCAGTGCAAGCCATCTGTGGATCTACCATTGTGGGGACTGGAGGATGGTGAACCTCTTCTCACAGCTCCACTATGCAGTGCCCCAGTGGGGACTCTGCATGGGGGCTCTGACCCCACATTTTCCTCCTGCAGTGCCCTAACAGAGGTTCTCCAGGAGGGACCCACCCCTGCAGCAGACTTCTGCCTTGACATCCAGGCATTTCCATACGTCCTCTGAAATCTAGGTGGAGGTTCCCAAACTTCAATTCTTGTCTTCTGTGCATCCACAGGACCAACACCACATGAAAGCTGCCAAGGCTGGGTGCTTGCACCCTCTGAAGCAACGTCCTGAAATGTACCTTGGCCCCTTTTAGCCATGGCTGGAGCGACTGGGACACAGTTCCGGCAGAGGACCCAGCCCAGGAAACCATTTTTCCCTCCTAGGCCTCTGGGCCTGTGATGGGAGACTCTGTGAAGGTCTCTGACATGCCCTGGAGACATTTTCCCCATTGTCTTTGTGAATAACGTTTGGCTCCTCATTACTTATGCAAATTTCTGCAGCCAGCTTGAAAGTTTGAATTCCTCCCCAGAAAATGGGTTTTTCTTTCATATCACATCTTCAGGCTACAAATTTTCCAAATTTTTATGCTCTGCTTCCTCTTGAACCCTTTGCCGCTTAGAAATTTCTTCCTGCAGATACCCTAAATCATCTCTTTCAAGGTCAGAGATCCACAGATTTCTAGAGTAGGGGCAAAAGGCCACCAGTCTTTTTGCTAAAGCACAGCAAGAGTCCCCTTTGCTCCATGATGTGGTTTGGCTGTGTCCCCACCCAAATATCATCTTGAATTCCCAAGTGTTGTGGGAGGGACTCAGTGGGAGGTAATTGAATCATAGGGGCAGGTCTTTCCCATGTTGTTCTCCTGATAGTGAATAATTCTCATGAGATCTGATGGCTATATAAGGAAAAGTTTCCCTGCACAAGGTCTCTCTTTGCCTGTTGCCATCCATGTAAGACATGACTTGCTCCTCCTTACCTTCTACCATGATTGTGAAGCCTCCCCACTCTCATGGAACTGTAAGTCCATTAAACTTCTTTCCTGTATAAATTATTCAGCCTTGGGTATGTCTTCATCAGCAGTGTGAGCACAGACTAATACAGTCAACTGGAACCAGAAGTGGGGCACTGCTGAAAAGATACCTGAAAATGTGGAAGCAACTTTGGAACTGGGTAACAGGCAGAAGTTGGAACAGTTTGGCGGGCTCAGAAGAAGAAAGGAAAATGTGGGAAAGTTTGGAACTCCCTAGAAACTTGTTGAATGGGTTTGGCCAAAATGCTGATAATGATACAGACAATTAAATCCAGGCTGAGGTGGTCTCAGATGGAGATGAAACTTGTTGGGAACTGAAGCAAGGGTGAGTCTTGTTATGTTTTAGCAAAGAGACTGGTGGAATTTTACCCCTGCCCTAGAGATTTGTGGAACTTCAAACTTGAGAGAGATGATTTAGAGTATCTGGCAGAAGAAATTTTAAGCAGCAAAACCTTCAAGAGGTGACTCGGGCGCTGTTAAAGGCATTGAGTTTTAAAAGGGTAGCAGAGCATAGAAGTTCAGAAAATTTGCAGCTTGACAATGTGATAGAAAAGAAAATCTCATTTTCTGAGGAGAAATTCAAGCCGGCTGCAGAAATTTGCATAAGTAATGAAGAACTGAATGCTAATCACCAAGACAATGGGGAAAATGTCTCCAGGGCATGTCAGAGGTCTTCATTGCAGGCCCTCCCATCACAGGCCCAGAGGGCTAGGAGGAAAATATGGTTACATAGGCTGGGCCCAGGGCCCCCATGCTGTGTGCAGCCTCAGGACTTTGTGCCCTGTGACCCAGCTGCTCCAGCCATGGCTGAAAGGGGCCAACATAGAGCTTGGGCTGTGGCTTCAGAGGGTGCAAGCCCCAGGCCTTGGCAGCTTCCATGTGGTGTTGAGCCTGCATGTACACAGAAGTCAAGAATTGGGGTTTGGGAACCTCTGCCTAGATTTCAAAGGATGTATGGAAATGTCTGGATACCCACGCAGAAGTTGCTGTAGGGGCAGGGTCCTCATGTAGAACCTCTGGTAGGGCAGTGCAGAAGGGAAATCTGGGGTGGGAGCCCCGACACAGAGTCCCTACTGGGGCACTGCCTAGTGGAGCTGCGAGAAGAGGGCCACCATCCTGCAGACTCCAGAATGGTAGATCCACCGATAGCTTACACCATGTGCCTGGAAAAGCCAAAGACACTCAATGCCAGCCCATGAAAGCAGTCAGGAGGGAGGCTGTACCCTACAAAAGCACAGGGGTGGAGCTGCACAAGACCATGGGAACTTACCTCTTAAATCAGAGTTACCTGGATGTGAGACATGGAATCAAAGGATATCATTTTGGAGCTTGACAATTTGACTGCCCCACTAGATATTGGACTTCCATGGGGCCTCTAGCCCCTTTATTTTGGCCATTTTGTCCCGTTTGAAACAGTTGTATTTACCCAATGCCTGTATCCCCATTGTATCTAGGAAGTAACTAACTTGTTTTTGATTTTACAGGCTCATAGGCAGAAGGGACTTGCCTTATCTCAGATGAGACTTTGGACTGTGGACTTTTGAGTTAATGCTGAAATGAGTTAAGATTCTGGGGGACTGTTGGGAAGGCATGATTGGTTTTGAAATGTAAGGACATGAGATTTGGGAGGGACCATGGGCAGAATGATATGGTTTGGCTGTGTCCCCACCCAAACCTCATCTTGAATTCCCGCATGTTGTGGGAGAGACCCAGTGGGACATAACTGAATCATGGGAGCATGTCTTTCCCATGCTGCTCTCATGATCATGAATAAGTCTCACAAGATCTGATGGTTATAGAAGGGGGAGTTTTCCTGCACAAGCTCTCTCTTTGCCTGCTGTCATCCATGTAAGATGCAACTTGTCTTCCTTGCCTTCCACCATCATTGCAAGGCCTCCCCAGCCACGTGGAACTGTAAGTCTATTAAACCTCCTCTTCTGTAAATTACCCAGTCTCAGGTATATCTTTATAAGCATTATGAAAACGAATTAATACACTCCAGTTCCCAAGAAGTTCCTCATGTCTATTTGAGACCACCTCAGCCTGGACTTTATTGTCCATATCACTATCAGCATTTTGGTCAAAGCCATTGAACAAGTCTCTAGGAAGTTCCAAAGTTTCTCTCACATCTTCTTGTCTTCTGAGCCCTCCAAGCCTCTAGGAAGTTCCAAACTTTCCCACATTTTTCTGTCTTCTTCTGAGCCCTCCAAACTGTTCCAACTTCGTCTTGTTACCCAGTTCCAAAGTTGCTTCCACATTTTCAGATATCTTTACAGCAGCACCCCACTACCTGGTACCAATTTACTCTATTAGTCTGTTCTCACACTGTTAATAAAGACATACCCAAGACTGGGTAATTTATAAAGGAAAGAGGTTTAATTGACTCACAGTTCAGCATGACTGGGGAGGTCTCAGGAAACTTACAATCATGGCAGAAGGAGAAGCAAACACATCCTTCTTTACATGGTGGCAGGAAGAAGATGATTGAGAGCTGAGTGAAGGGGGAAACCCTTTATAAAACCATCAGATCTTGTGAGAACTTACTCACTATCATGAGAATAGCATGGGGGCAGCCACCCCCATGATTCAATTACCTCTCACCAGGTCCCTCCCACCATACATAGGGATTATGGGAACTACAACTCAAGATGAGATTTGGGTGGGCACATAGCCAAATGATATCAGATAGTTACGTACACCTTTAATTTCTAGATCATTTCTCTGCCAACCATCCTTCTTCAACAGGAATAAGGCCACCATGCTACTTCAATTCTTTCTGATTTTCTATAATCTCAATTTCTCTCCCTCTCTCTCTCAGTATCTACAGTGGATATTTATTGTTTATGGGCAACAAATGATCTAAATACCCATCCTATTTCAGAGAAATCCCAGCAGAGCCCCACAAGCCCCAGTAAAAAGACCCCAACAAGTAGCACTCTTCCTGGGCCCTTAGCAGGAAGAGAATTATGCAAAGCTGCAGACAAGACAGGGCTAAGCTGCAGTGTCTTTTCTGACTGTTCCTGTGACTGGGCATGCCTGCAGCGCCAATTGCCTAGCTTCTCTGGAATACTGCCTATATTTTTTTATCCTTGTTCCCACCTTTCCCAATAATTTTTGTGAGCTAAACTAATAGCTTTCCCATAAATTCCTTTTTTAATTAATTAATTAATTAGTATGGAAGTTAATTAGAATTGGTTTCTGTTTGCAGCCAAGTACATTGAATGATACATTCTCATTTTCTCTGCAACTTAAAAGAAATCTGCTCTCTTTCTCTCTGCCTGTCTTTCAGAGTTATTTACACAAACACACAACCTCAATAAGGAATAAGTGAGAAAATCGTCACAAAGGGTAGACTTATGGTAAGAAGTGTAGGATAAAACCAGAGGTGGGTTTATTATGTAAAATTCATACATATTTAATAAATAAAATACATTTCCATGGCTTTTGTTACAGGTGTGTAACTAATCTGTATTGAAGCTTTCTAGTAGCTAAAGTGATGATCAGAACACAATTTGTTACACAATTCTGTACCTAAAGAAGAAAAATAAACCAGTAGTTCCAGGAAGGCATAGCTGATGCTGGCACCAAAGAACTATTTCTTCCATGGGTCCTTCTAAAGAGGGCACAATATGAGAAAATGAACAACATCCTGAAAAATATCTACACGGCAAATACAATACGGTTTCATAAGTCCACAGATGAATAAGACTAAAGCTAAGTGCAACACTTTTACCAAGGCATGATGCAGATCACTTGTATGAAGACTTAATCAATAGCTGCCAGTTACTGAGCTCCATGGTTGCCTGGCTTAATTTAGGACTAAATTGGAAAGAGTAAACCTTCAGGCAGCTCTCATTTAATAAGGTATGTGTTTCCCAGCAAATCTTTTGAAGGGTACTGAGGTGCATTAAATTGCAGATTATACTCTCTGACAAGTATCTAGTGTGCAGCTGTTAAGTTTTTTTCTTCTTAATTGCAAATTCATATGCTTTAACAGCTGACTGAGCTAGGGTTAGGGCTGACATTTTTGTAAGATGTTAAGAACCTGAGGAGGCAATCTGCTTGAAGAGAAAACCAACCCAGCAATTATCAGAGATGAATCAAGAGAGTACCTATGAACTGGAACAAATACTTTTTCTTAAAAGATAAAATTCTGGTTACTACCATGTTCATAATGACATTATCACAATAGCCAAAATGTAGAAGCAACCCAAGTGTCTATTGAAAGATAAATGGATAAAAACACTGTGGTATATATACACACACACACACAGAAATATTATTCAGCCTTAAAAAGGAAGGAAATTTTGACACATGCCTCAGCACAGATAAACCTTGAAGACATTAAGTGAAATTAGCCAGTCTTCCCCCCTGCCCCCTACTCCCCCCACCAAAAAAAAAAAACAAATATTGTGTGATTCCTCTTAGATGAGGTTCCTACAGTAGTCAAATTCACAGAGACAGAAGGTAGAATGGTGGTCACCATAGGCTGGTGGGAGTGGGGAGTAGAAAATTCATGCTTAATGGATACAGAGTTTCAGGTGGGGAAGATAAAATGCTTCTGGAGGTGGATGGTGGTGATGGTTGCACAACAATGTCAGTGGACTTAATGCCACTGGCTGTACACTTAAAAATGACTAAAATGGTACATTTTATGCTATGTATGTTTTATCACAATTTACAAAATGAAAAAAGTACATTAGGAACACTCCAAAAAAGGATGAATGGCTCCAAAGTTTGATACCATTAATGCCTAGCCACAATAATTTTAATTTGAAAAGCTTTAAAAGTAGGCATTGCCAAACACCCACCTTGGCCATAAAAAAAAAATCCCAATAAATCTCCCATGTTTAGAACGTCTGATTTTGAGCAATGCAGTTTCCTGGTGAACCCTCCAAAGTAAACTGACTCTAAAGCACACATTTGGGTAAATGAATGTATTAGCCTGTTGCCTCATGTTGTTCAGAAAAGCCAGTTGGGGCCATTATCTTATTAATCCCTACAATAATCCAGGATGATTCGGGCCCATTTTGCAGATGAGCAAACCAAGACTCAGAAGATCAAATGGCTTTCTTAAAGTTGCATAGCTAGTGAGGAGAGGATCTTGGATTTGAACCAACCCTCCCCAAAACATGTTCCCATAGGCTATAGGAGGGCCTCTCTCCTTTATCTTCTATTGCACCTCATGAATCCTCAAGCAGTGAAAACGCCACTCTGGTTTCCCTTTTCTGGGTTTTACAGGCTATGTGGAACTAGTACAAAACAACTAGAAAGGCTTTATTTTTAACTAAAGGCTGCCTGCCCTACCTCTGCCAAAACCTTCACAACTTGTACAGAGGGTGAGTTTAGGGACAGGAAATGTGTGTATCTCCTTTATCACTTCATTTCATTACGTGTCCTCATTGGTAAATATTACTGAAAATCTACCATCAGACTGGCCTGAGAACTGGGGGCTTAAAACAATGAGCAGAGAAAATATTTGGTAAACTTGAGTAAGAAAATCTCCTTTGATTTTCCAGTGTCTATCCTCAAGCTTGTGAGCACAGGCTCAGTTCAGAAAAGCCCTAAGCAGGCCACCTCCCACAATTCTTAGGGGAAGTGTAACTCGATCATCCAGTTATACATCCTATCCCTGCTCCTCTCTAGTCCTCGCTAATTGCTCCTCATTACATACTTCAAGAATTCCTTTCTGTCTGGGATGTGTGTTCAGAAAACACATTGTGTTTTGTCTTCTCGTGGGCTCATTAGCATTTGCTAAAGGAAGCAGCAGAGCTTGGAGCCCTCTGATCTCCTAGAAAGGCCGGACGCTCGTTTGTTTGCCTCACTGAATTTCCTCTACTCTGTTTGCTTTCTCTGTTTGGACACCTCAACTTCATCAGGAGCTAGGGGCAGCCATCCTGGGATTGGATAAAAAGTATTTCTTTTCTCTTTGTTCAGGTACCTTGTACTTTGGCAGCCTGAAAGAGTGCTTGCTGAGTGTGCTAAAAGCTCAATTTATGTTGCTTTTTCCTTTTTGCATTGCTTCAGTGCAAGCTGTATTTTATGAAGGTTCGGTGGCATTTTCCAAAGTAGAAAGTAAGCACTCTCCCTGTATTCTTTATATATATAATCTGAGCACCTCTGAATTTTTAACACAATGTCTTCTGCCCCATTGGTGCATGCAATATTTATTAACCAACTGCAAGTTTCTATTTCACCAACTTTTTGATTGATTTCCTCTTGATGGTCACTAGAGACATAAATAACTATGTGATTCAAGCTTTTTGTTTGCCCATATCTTTTTTCTAGACATGTCTTTTTGCTTTGGCCCTGCTGCTCTTTCCACAACAATACCGTACAGTTCAGTGCTGTTAAGAGTTGCTAGGTTGGATCACATTTAAGGGGAGAGTACCGTCCCCAGGAATGTTTCAAAGACCTTTGGAAAAACATGTGTTGGCAAGAGTAATAATGAGCAGAAAGTCAGGAACCCAAGGTGTATATGCATGATTCCCCCATCAGTATCCTTGGGGAGGTTACTTCCCTTCTCTGCCTCTCAGTTGTGCCAGCTCTAAAATGAAAATATTTTACCAGATCACATCCTGTAATTCTTTCTTCATTTTGTCTCATCAACTGTTTGTTGGTTTGGAGCTACAGAGATGAGATGAATTTTGTTGATATACAAATTGAAGAAAGCTGGATTTGATCTTCATTTAGCCTTGCTTTCCTCCCACCACCCCCAACAAATGGTTGCTTGGAACCACCTCCTTTAACTCAGCCAACATTTTTATTGACCACGAATGAAAAGTTCTTTGAGCTCCACCTGGATTTGTGACTTCCCCTCTCCACCCTCCACCTCCTAGACTCTCCTGGCTCTGGATCACTGCCCTTTCTCTTGTAAGACATATCCTCTGCTTTTCCTCCTGTGGAAATTAGTCTTATTCCTTCTGCAGTGTTCATTTTACTCTATTCAATAGCAAAAATCTTACCTATGTTTCTCTGAAAGATCTTTACAATGCAGAGAGTAGGATATAAAGATAAAACTTAAAGTAAATTATTATGAGCCTCTGATATTAATCACATGACTCCAGAAATAGACTCTCTTTTTAGAGAAAAGTGGACCTGCCATAATTGCACCACTTGCCTTGGCTTGGAGGTTGCCATTTTGGACAGCAATGTGAGTTTCCTTTCTTCTTTTTTTCCGCCTATGTGAATAAGGAAATGCCAGAGACCTTCCCACCCCCTCAGTCAACCCAGTACTCCCTGTTCAGGTGCTTCTGCCAACTAATTAACACCTCCTTTGCAAGCTGTAAATTGGACGGCAGATGCGCATAAATGTAGAGCCCAGTGGGGAGTCTCATGCTTTCTATATACGTATATTTCATGAAAGGCAGGAAGTGAAATCAAGTAGGCTGATGGGAAATGCATTTTGCCAAAATGGCCACCCCCATATTCTTACATATATTTATGTTATTTTAACACAAAATAAATTTCTCATGTCTTTGGAGGAGAGGCCCATTTTTGTTTTTTCAGACATAACCCAATGGGCTCTCAAAACTCTGGGAAAATCATTAAACATCTTTGGGTAGCACTAGGATGGTACTAGAGATGCAGGCACATTTGCATGTTTACATCGGGTCTGTTAAACATTATCCTTCCAACCCTCCAAGGACCAGGGTCTTGATTATTAAATCCCTGCCTCTAGTCTCAATCTGCTCCAACTATCCTAATTTTTACTGCCAGTGTTCTGTCTATAAACAAAATAGCATCAAGCTGCTTACAGTTTAAAATTGTTTTATGCTTCTCCAGATCTCATAGGATATATTCAAAATAATTTAGTGGGGGTCCATAGCCCCTGAGGCTCTGTTTCCTCCCTACCTTTCTCTCCTCCCACCCATGCACATCGTTCATACCAGCAAGACTGAATAACTTGTCATTCCCCGCACAGGTGATCTTTCACGCCTCTACATTCTAGATCTGACCCTTCCCCATCTCACTTTAGAAGCTACAATTCTTACTTTCTACAAAGAACTTGAAATTTTTTTTTCTTTAACCTGCAATTCAATTCATTTAATTCAATTCAACAAAGCCTACTGAGTACCTTTTCTGTGCCAAACACTGCTATGCTCAGGAGATATGATGATAAATAAGTCATAAAGTCTCTCTCTGAGGAGTTCACAACATAGTGGAGTAGGGGAGACATCAGTAAATGACTACAATAAATTTCAGCAGAGTCTCCCCGAGGACATGCTTGAAGGCCTGTGGCAGCAAAAAATAACTTATTCTTTAGGAATGGTGGCTGGGGTTGGGGAAGGCAAAGGTGCCAGGGAAAGGTTTCAGAGGGGAGATGGACACTGGCGTGAGTCTACTGCTCTATTTGCTTTGGCTTCATGCTTCCTGGTGTCTGGTAGGCAGCTCTGCCTAAAACAGAAGGAAAACAACAAAGAGCTGGATAAACCAAGTCACATGGGATGGACCCTGAATGCAGAGGATATTAAGTATCATGGATATTGAAAGATATGAAAAAATAATCTCCATATTATGTCAAAAATTGGCCAACTTTACTTTAAATAGCACTTGTCTTCCTCTCTGAGGGGGAAATGTGGGGGTTTTTTTGTACATACACACAGCAATAGCTATAGTAAATTGTTCAACATGCCCTGTTGTGTGTGTAAGCAAAAGTGTAGAGATTTGAAACCTATTGCTGAAAGAATTTTAGCCAAAATTTCAGAAAATTTTGGACTTCTAAGTAATTTGTGAATGATGGAATAGGTAGGGGACAGCAAGTCTAAAGGGGGGTACATTTAAGTCTCCACTTCCTTCTTACTCAGAAGCAAGTGATGACCTTAACCACAGTGTCCAAGGGAATCGCCTCTCTGTGGTGTGGTCAGTATCTCTGTAGTGTAGGCAGGTTGGTTACTACTGTGATGTCCACTTATTGACTCAGGTGCTGGTCTTTTTCTCTACATTTCATCCCCAAAGTGTGGTTCCAGATCAGCAGTGTCAGCATGGCCTGGGAGCTTGTTAGAAATGCAGAACCTCAGGCCCCACCTCAGACCTACTGAATTGGAATGTGTATTTTATTAGGATCCTTCTCTAATTCAGTGCACATTAAAGTTTGATAATCACTGTGTTAACCGCATTCAAACTTCACAACATCCCTACGGGGTTCTCAGCTCTTAACCTCAGGTTTGAAGTACACAAGAAATGCCTGATAAAATCTCTTGCAGTGTACACATTCATGTGTGTAAAGCATGATAGTTAAAAGAGGTGCCCCAGATTGTATTCACTGGCATTCTCTCCCCATCACATATGTGTAACGCACACACTTCGAGAAGTAAATCAATAAAAAACATTTTCCCCATTAAAACTTCTTCCCTTCTTTTCTGATCCTTCCCCAACATGCACACAAGCACACGCGTGTGAGCGCATGCACACACGCACACACAACTTATTGCCAACTTTTAAATGACAATTATTAAGCCAGTGGGCAGAGAAAGGGACATCTGTCAAAGGGATCCATGATTTGTCTTGGAAAAATAAAGAAAAGTTAAATTACTGTACACGAGTTATTCTGAGTAAAGAAGCCAAGTTAGCCCTCACTCTTTTATTGTTACTTCTTTTTTCTTTTAAATGTTACCTGACCAAAAGGATGAAATTGCCAAGCTACTGCTTACTACACTGATCAAAGTAAGCAGTGACCAGGAAAGGAGCAGCAGCCACCAAATACTTCTTCCTTAAGCCCAATGGTACTTGGCTTCTAAACTCTATTTAGATAGAAAAGGTAATACAGTATATATAGAATGTAAAGAGCCTAACCCATTAGCAGCAAATGTTATTCCTTCCCTGTCTCAAAATCTCTCTTCCTGTCTTTAATTCTTAAAGCACTTTATTTATTTATTCATTCATACATTCATTCCTTTTGAAGGGGAGAACTAAATACTGAGGAACTATTGGGAGAAGGAAGACTATAAGCTGTGCTTAGAAAAATGAAAAGTGCCTGTTCTATAGATACTCAATAAGTGTTTGTTAAATTTTGAATGAAATAATTAAACAGCAATACCCTGGAAGGTTGCCTAAGCAGTACTGACTACCCCAATCAATGACAGTCCTCAGATCAGATTGTCCTTCCTTCAAGGAATGTTGACCTCACAAAGGGATTTTGGTTGACCACCAAAAGAACACAGACCTGCAGTGTTCAGGATAGAGAGTTAGATTACTGCAGTACTACTTGAACAAAGCCAAAATTTGTAGAGCTATTTGAGGGAACTAGAAGCTTCCATAAAGATCTTCAGATGAAGACTGAGATCTTTAAAACTTTATTTTAAAAAATGCAGAGACAACAGTCAACACCTGAATCAAGAAGCAGACACCACAGTACAAACCAAACGGCATGATGACAAAGATATTGACTGCACCAACAGCAAGGCTGTTTCCTTACCTCCCTGCTTATGGTCATCAGTTGCTTCTCAGTAAGGGGAAAGACTTAACTATATCTCCCTTTCTATTGGTTGCCACCTGTGCATACAAATATACAACAAATTGCATAGAATTATTATCATAGGTTGTAGGCTCACTCTTTCTTAAAACATTTGCTTTCTCATTTGTCATAAAGTCTCGAGTTAAAAAACCCTGTCAGGTACTGTGTAGAGAAATTCAGTCTGTGTGGGCCCTGTGTGAGTTATACTTCTGAGACCCACAATGTGTCAAGGAGGCATCCAGCCTCTCACCACCTGTAAGTATCTGTCCTGAAGAAACCTATTTATTTTTGGCCATGCTACCTGTTAACCAAATACAGACAGTCTTTGAATTGAACTTTTCCAAGATGCAAAATTCCATTTTTGATTAAAATGAGCTAAGGGAAAATATATTGAAGAGAACAGAAAGAATTCTGTCATAGGCAAATTTGAGAATAACCCATTGACAATTGTAGGGGTAAAAGATATAGAAAATGGAAAGTAAACCACAAAGGCTAAAACGCAGGTACATATTTTATAATGATATAACAGGACTTTGCCTATTATTCAACTTACAGAAAAGAAAATCTTACTTGTATTTTTGCAGCCTCTTCTGTGTCCCTTGAAGCCCCTATATTCTTCCCATTCCTCCCAAGGTACCTACAAGCCTGAATTTCATGAGTATTATCCCTTTGCTTTCCCTATCCCTTTACCACATTTGTATCCTTAAATGGGATTGTATTAAAAAAAACAGTCCCCAACTTACAATAGTTCAACTTGGGGATTTTCGACTTCACGATGATGCTTTCTGCCGTGTATGTTAATGGTGAGTACCCATACAATCATTCTGTTTTTCACTTTCAGCACAGCATTTAATAAGTTACATGAATATTTAACACTTTATCATAAAATAGGCCTAGTGTTAGTTGACTTTGCACAACTACAGGCTAATGTAAGTGTTCTGAGCATGTTTAAAGCAGGCTAGGCTAAGCTAAGATGTTTGGTAGGTTAGGTGTACTAAATGAATTTTTGATGTATATTTTCAGCTTACAATGGATTTATCAGAGTGTAATCCTATCATAAGCTGAGGAGCATCTCTATATTCATTGTGATTGACTTGGTTTTTCAATAAAGTGTATTCCTGAGACCAATTTCTGTTGTGTGTAACCATAACTCATCGCTTGATGCTACATAATATTCCTTTATATGAATATTTTCCAACTAATATACAGGTTGAACACTTCTAATATGAAATCCAAAGTTCAAAATGCACCAAATTCCAAAACATTTTGAGCACAACACAATGACACAAGTGGAAAATTCCACACATGACCTCATGTGATCGGCCACATCCTTAAGCCAGGTGCACAAAACACAATTTATTCCACATTCCTAAGAGAATAAAGGCTCTCCCTTCCTACTTCAGCTGCAATATATCTTTTCTGCACATGCCCAGACTCCCCTATGTCAGCACACTCACAAAGGCTAATAAAATGGCACATACACATATGCAGGCGGGACATGCCAATGCTAGGTTCCACATGATGCCCTACGTGGGGCCAAGACCTATGTGCATTACTCACTTTTTGTTGTTGTTGTTGTTATTATTGTTTTTGCTTATTTTCTGCTTTCTGGTATAAAGATGTGGAAAATGTCAAAAATGTCTGCAGATATCCCTATGGGTAACAATGATAAGAAAAAGAGGAAGTGTTTATGTTTACCTACAGCACAGAAAGCCAAGTTGCTGGAGAAAATATGCAGCAGTGTAAGCCTGAAACATCTTACAGAAGAGTATAGTTTTGGAATGACCACTATATATGACCTGAAGAACAGAAGAATAAACTGTTGAAGTTCTGTGCTGAAAGTGATGTATGGAGGTTAGTGAAAAACAGATAAATACTGCATAAAGCTGAAACTGAAGATCTTGGTCCTATATTAAAATAATGGATCAGTGTCACAATGAACGTATACCATTTAATAGTATGTTGATTATGAAATAAGCATAGATCTATCACAATGAACTGAAAATTGAAGGGAACGGTGACTATTCAACAGGCTGGTTGCAGAAATTTAAGAAAAGACGTAGCATTAAATCTGTAAAGACTTGTGATAAAGCAACTGCTGATCACAAAGTGGACAAATTCATTGATGGGTTTGCCAAGATTATCACTGATGTAAATGATGCCAGAACAAGTATATGATGTGAATGAAACATCACTCTGTTGTTGTAACTGCCCCAAAAAGACATAGACTATATCTGATGAGACAGCCCCGACGTGAACTAATGATACCAAAGATAGAATGACTGTGCTGGAGTGTGCTAATGCAACAGGCACACCGAAGTGTAAACTTGCTGTGTCGGGCGAAAACTTAGATCCTCCCTGTTTTCAAAGAGTGAATTTCATACCAGTTCATTATTGTATTATGCTAACAAAAAGGCATATACTTCCAAGAACATCTTTTCTGTTTGGTTTCACAGACATTTTGTACCAGTGGCTCATGTTCACTGCAGGGAAGCCAGACTAGATGACAACTGCAAGCTTTTATTATTACTGGACAACCATTCTGTTCATCCTTCAGCTGAAATTCTCATCAAAATAATGTTAATGCCATGTACTTTCACTCAAATGTGATTTCATTAATTCAGCCATGTGACCAAGTTCTCTTAGATCAATGAAGTAAATATAAAAACACTTTCCTCAACGGTAGGCTAACAGCAGTGAACAGAGAAACATGAGTGTGAAAGGTTTTCAAAAGGAGTTTGACGTGAAGGATGCTTTATATGCTGTTGTCAATGCCTGGAACACAGTGATTAAAGACACAGTTGGACATGCCTGGCACAAATTCTGGCCTGGAACCATATTCAGTGATGATGACCAAGATGGTAACTTTGAAGGATTTCATATGTCAAGTGAGAAAAAAAATGATGTATGACTTCCTTGCATACGCAAAAAAATATACCTTCAGATTTCATCGGTAAACTGGGAGAAGCAAATATTGAGGAAGTGTTTCATATCAACAATGAAGCTACAGTTGTTCATTGACCAATGGTGAAAGAGCTGAAATGATTCTGAATCAAGGAGATCGTGGTAAATAGTGATGATAAAGTCTACATTGTCATCAGAAAAAGTGCCTGTAGATGACATGGTGAAAATGTGTGATGGGGCTTTTGAAGGACTAGGGCAGAATGCATTCATAACAAAACAAGAAATCGTGTCAGTGTATAAAATCTAAGAAAAGACTTCTAAGATAAAGCCTTGTTAATGAGGCAGATGACTTTGGAGGAAATAGTTTAAAAAAACCATTCACTGGAATGCCTTCTCATCCCTAGGTATTTATTTCCTGATCCCTCAACTGTTTCTGATGTTTTTTTCTCACCTGAAAAAATAAAATACAATGTACAATAACCTTTTATTCAAAACACACCATCATAGGTGGAGACTGAAAGCCTGTCATTGTTGTTAGCATTGTTTAACAGCTCATACAGGTATTTTGGTGATGCTACTAGGCTGCTTAGTTACCCTGAACACATTATTTTTTCACTGTATTAATGGCATGTCTTACTTTTTGCTGTTAAGTACTTATGTGTGAAAAAGTATGAAAAATGATCGCTTATTGGTAGCATATCAATTGAGAGTCAGCCATGATGGTGATGTGAGATAGTGACACTATGATTTCCGCTGGTCCAATATACACAAGCTTTGTTATATGCACAAAATTATTTAAGATATTGTATAAAACTTCCTTCAGGTTATGTATATAAGGAGTATGTGAAACATAAATGAATTTTGTGTTCAAATTTGGATCTAATTTCCAAGCTATCTCGTTATGTATATGCAAATATTCCAAAATCTGAAAAGAATCTGAAATCTAAAACACTTCTGGTTCCAAACATTTCAGATAAAGAATACTCAACCTGTATCAGTTTTGATGGTGATGATCAGATGGTTTGTTTCTGAGTTTTTTATTATTACAAAAATATTGCTCTGAGTATTCTTTGTCTCTTGGTCATATGTGAAAGAGTTTCTCTAGGATATAAAATGAGTAGAATTGCTGGGTAATGTTGTGTGTGCATATTTAATTTTACTAGGCACTGCCAGTTGTACCTATTTACACTGCTACCAGAAAAGTATAAGTGTTCTGGTTGCTTCATATTTGCACCAACATGATATTACACTTGATCCTCTGTATGCATGGGTTCTGCATTTGTGGATTCAACCAACCATGGATTCAGAAAAAATAACAATATAGTAATAAAAATAATACAAAGTAAAAACAATATAACAACTATTTACATAGCATTTACATTGTATTAGATATTATAAATAATCTACAGATGATTTAAAGTATACAGGAAAGGATGGGTGCAGTGACTCACGTCTGTAATCCTAGCACTTTGGGAGGCTGAGGTGGGTGAATCACCTGAGGTCAGGAGTTCGAGAGCAGCCTGGCCAACATGGCGAAACCCCATCTCCATTGTGGTAGTACACACCTGTGGTCCCAGCTACTCAGGAGGCTGAGGCAGGAGAATTGCTTGAACCTGGGAGGCAGAGGTTGCAGTGAGCTGAGGTAGCGCCACTGCACTCCAGCCCGGTGACAGAGCAGGATTCCATCTCAAAAAATAAAATAAAATAAAATACAAACGTATACAAGAGGATGTGCATAGTTTATACACAAATACTATGCCAGTTTATAGAAGGAACTTGAGCATCCTCATATTTTGGTATCTGTGGTGGGTCCTGGAACCAGTTTCTTGCAGATACTAAGGGATAACTGTAGTACACATACATTTTTTTAAATCAATCTAACATCTGTGAAATGTTATCTCATTTTGATTTAAATTTGCATTTCCTTAAAATACAATGAGGCTGAGCATCTTTTCATAAATGTATTGCCCATTCAAGTTTTCTTTTCTCATAAGTGCTTATTCAAGACTTTTGCCCATTTTTGGGCAAACGAGTTATTTCCTTTCTTAGTGATTTATGGTTTTTCATAAATTCTGAATACTATCATTTTGTTAGTTTTAATGCTGCAAATAATTTCTTCTTGTTTGTAGTTTGTCTTTTTGCTCTCTTTAGGAGCCTGGAAATATACGTAATATTAAATTGAATGAAGTCAGATTTATCTTCTTTATGGTTTGCACTATTTCATTTTAAGAAACTCTTAAATATCTTAGTGTCACAAAGACACTCCCCTTTATCTAAGGATTTGCCCTTCACATTTAAATCTGGCTGAGATTTATTTATTTTTAATGTGTGGAGTGAGATAGGGATCCAATTTTAATTATTTCCATGTGTATAACCAATTGTCTCAGCATATTTTATTGAATTCCATTTTTTCCTCCACTGATCTGATTTGTTACAAACGTTTTCACATATGTGTGGGTCTGTTTTTTGGCTTTTTGTTCAATTCCATTGGTTACTCGCCTGTGATGATGTCACATTATGTTGTAATATTCTTCATATTTGTGAGGGTCAGTAATCACTTTTCCAAACAACTTCTCCTTTCTCTCTTCTTTCTCTCTGTCTTCTTCTCATCTTCCTATTCCTTCTACTTTTTCTTTCCCTTCTGCTTCAAAGTTCTATTTTTTTCTTTTGCCAAGTTAAGCCCTCTTCCCTTACCTACACGTATAAAGACTTGTTGGTATTTTAAAATTCAGATTGTATTAAATATATAGATCAATTTAGTAATAACAGGCAGCTTTATGATTTTGAGTGCTCCAATCCATAAATGTAGTATTTATTTCCATTCATTTAGATCATATTAAATCAATTAATAAAATTAGTATTTTTCTTCATTAAAATCTTTTCCATATTCAGTTAGATTTATTTTTAGGCACTTAAAGTTTTTTAAACATATCATTGCAAACAATCTTTTATAAAATTACATTTTCTAACTAATCATGCCAGTTAGTACAAATGCAACAAATTTATTTACATTGATTTTGAATCCAAGAACACTGATAAACTTACTAATTTTAAAATTTTCTAAGTATGTTCTTTTAGGTTTTCTAGGAATATTCTAATGTCATCTGAAAATAATGAAGTCGATTTATGCTTTTCTAAGCTGAACCCTATGCCTTAAAAAAACAACCACCACAACAATTCAGCATCAGAGGGTAGAGTTAATCATGCTCTTCTGTTCATAGCATGCTACTATCATTGGTCTCACAAAGCCCTTCTCTTATTTATTGACTTATTTATTCCCTTTATCTTTATCCCATACTCTACTGCTACTTGCCTTTTCCCTATAGATACCATTTAAAAAAAAAAATTTTTTTTTGAGGCAAAGTCTCGCTCTGTCGCCCAGGCTGGAGTGCGGTGGCGCCATCTCGGCTCACTGCAAGCTCCGCCTCCCGGGTTCACGCCATTCTCCTGCCTCAGCCTCCCGAGTACCTGGGACTACAGGCGCCCGCCACCACGCCCGGCTAATTTTTTGTATTTTCAGTAGAGACGGGGTTTCACCGTGTTAGCCAGGATGGTCTCGATCTCCTGACCTCGTGATCCGCCCGCCTCAACCTCCCAAAGTGCTGGGATTACAGGCGTGAGCCACAGCGCCCAGCCCTTAAAATATTTTTAAAATGTATATATATTTTCAATATGTGCATGAGTTTTATATGTATGTAAATGTTATTGTGTTTTGCAGCTTATTCTTTCTTTCTTTTCTAATTTTTTTAGTCAGAGCCGTTTTTTAAGGTTTATCAATATTGCTACATGCATATTTAAATCTTGCAGATTTTCACCTTCATTAAATTGCCCCTAGTAGACATTGCTGTTGTCACTCATCTAGTTTTCCATTTCTTCCAGGATATGGGAGAATTCTATTTTCCTGCCTCTTGAAGTTAAGCATAACCTTGTTAATTTCCTTAGCCAATATAAGTAAGTGAAAGTACGGGTGTCATTTCCAGATGAAAGCATGTAAAAGCCCGGGTGCAATTTCCACACTCTTTCCTCAGTCATGGCAGTTGTGAAAAAAAAGTGTTAATGTAAAGGTTTCATAATACTAAAGCGGCCTTGAAATGCCAAGCCAATTTGGCATCATAAAGGTTTATTTTTGTAAAATTCTTCCGTATAAACTCAAAAAGAATTCTATGGATTTTATGTTTGTGTGTTGTATAATTCTTTACATATCTTTGATAAATCTACATATGTTTCTTTACTTGATCTATAAATTTCAGTTTCTGAAAGTGGTGTGTTAAAATTGGTAACTTACATTACTTATCTCTCTTTGGTTTTGTTAGTTGTTACTTGGTATGTTTTGAGTCTGTATAATTAGGTGTGTATATGTTTATAATCAATATATCTTTTTATTACTTCCTTTTATTGTATATGAGATCTTTTTAGTTTTTTTAAGACATATTTTTCTTAAATCTGATCAAATATTAGGATTGTTACTGCAGCCTTTCTGTGGCTAATATTTTCTTGTTATATATTTACATCTCTTTAAGTCTTTTTGTATTTTTGTTTTCAGTGAGCTCTTCTAGTAACATATATTTGAAGCCTCTTTTATGAATCCAACTTGAGAATCTGTCTTTTAAATGGTGAGTTTAATACATTTATATTTATTATTATTATTGTTATATTAGAACATATTTTTGTCATCTTTCTTAATATTTTCCAGCCATTATACTTACTTTGGCTTTTTCTCTTTAATTCTTCCTCCTTTCCTTTATTACTTTAGAAGTGCTATGCCATTATCCCATTATCTTCTTGCATTCAGTGTTGCTGTTGAGAAGTCTGATGTTATTCTGATGTTTATTCTCCTGTGGTTGAGCTGTTTTTTCTAAAAGTATTAGTAATTGTTCTTGCTTTTCATGTCTTTAAATTTTACTATATTTAGGTGTCAATTTTTCCTAATCTCTTACATTTGGCAGTGTATGGGTTATTTTCATCTGTGTCATTTGTATTCAATTCTGAGAAATATAACTTCATTTTTTTCTTCAAATATTTTTCTTCATTTTTATTTTCCTCTCCTTCTAGAGTTTCTAGCTTCTGGGTGTTGGCATCTTTACTTATACTATCCATTTCTTTTAGCTTTTCTTTCATATTTTCTTTCTTTTATTCTTTTTATCATCTTTTATGAAACCTCAATATGGTCTTATATTTTATTAATTCATTTTTAGCTGCATCTATCCTACTGTATTCTTTTTTCCAACCATTCTATTTGTTATAGCTAATATTTCCACTTGATTATTTTCATTATTATTTTGGTTATTGTTTCATATTGGTAATATTTTTTCTCATTTCCTTAAATATCTTAGCAGGCTTTACTGAAAGCTTTGTCCTCTATTCTAATATGTCTGCTTTGAATTATATATGTTGCAGTCTGTGGTATTATACAGGAGTCTGGTTATTTTAGTTTGCGAGCTCATGACCCATTCAGTGGTCATGAACTCTGTCAGGTAGTATGTACTTAAAAAGGTCTATTCACAGTCCTTGTCTTTTGTCAGTGCTGGAAACTTTAAGAAAGAGAGTAGGCTTAGTTCCAAGGTACATTGTCACAGAAACAACCATAGCACCACTGCTGACTATTAATATTTCTTTGCCACTCTACCAGGAAACTATCCACAGGGTTTTGACTTTAGACCATTAGGCCGAAACAGTATTTGGAGAAAGTAGTTATCTCCTAAGTCTGTACTAAAAAGTTTTGGGGATATTGAGGTGAAAGTGAACAGAGAAATGAAAGTTTAGGGAGGCTGGTCTCTTCATACCAGTTTTCATCAATACCTCATCTTAAAAGGACTTTTCTATTACTCTCATACTCCCTAGCATTGGTGTACTGGGTTGTGTCAGCTGATTTCTAAGTGAAAAGGCAGCCAATGTAGGCTCTAAGGCAATTCAAGGGAGAGGCAAGAATGCAACCGGAAATCTTAATTGTCTTCTTACTATCTCTGGTCATCCTTTCTCAGGGCTTTAGTCACCTTCCTCCCACATCGTTCCACACTCCACCTCTCACTCTAGTTTAACACTGACTTCAACATCCTCAGGAGTTTCTCAATATTATTCCAGATTTTGTTGCTGCTTCTGTAACCCAAATTTTCCTTTCACTTTTATGGTTCCCATGGATTTGATTTTGAAGAGGGAAGCAGCAGCCTGTAGTCATTCACCATCATCACAGGAATAGAAGCCTTTAGTTCTTTTTCCTGACCTTACTGTGCTGAACAGAATCTCCAGCACAATATCAACTGCATTGATAGTGGGTACTCTTCTTGTTCCCACTGTGATAGAGGATGCTAAGACATTGCTCCAGTTCATTATGAAAACGTTTTCTAAAGTTATTTTGGATTTTCAGAAAGAACTATTAAGGATTAGAGGGACAATGTTGTCTCTGATTTAACTCAAGAACTTGGGAGATCACAGAGATAAACTTCTGAAGGGCATCAGATCTTCCCAGAAATCAAGTGCGGAAGTTCAGCGGAATGCTGTTGGACACAGTAGGCACAATGGATGAAAATTAGAAAGGTCAGTGAAGAATGTTTGTTAAATTCTTGATATGTTAATAAGTACTTCTTTGTTTAAGGTGGTGCTGAGGTAGTTATATGGTTAAGAAGTGTTTAGTAAAGTTTTTCTACTTTAAGTTCTGGGGTACATGTGCAGAACGTGCAGGTTTGTTACATATGTGCCATGGTGGTTTGCTGCACCCATCAACCCATCATCTAGGTTTTAAGCCCTGCATGCATTAGGTATTTGTCTTAATGCTCTCCCTCCCCATAAAGGATTTTTTAATTGGAAGTTTTAGATAGCGGAAAGTACACACAAATGGCAATCTGTTGCTCCTACTTTTGACACCCAAAGTATTTTAAGCTCCTTCTTTCAGTGCTCCGCAGAATAATGATTCTTCAGAAAGAAGGCAGCTTCTAGACAGAATACAAGTCACACAAGGTGCTCAGGTTAGGGAGAGAGGGTGAGCTGTGGCACTGTGCAGACAGTCTTTTGTGGAAACCACAAAAGATAAAGACCCAAGTCTGAATTACTGACAGTCTGAACTCAGAGTAAATGCTGCAGCAAAAATTCATGATAATAAGGGCCCAGAAGTGGGTGTCCATGATGATAGCTCAATCAAGGCAGGTTTTGCTAAGAGTCCTGTTGGCTAAGGTTCACTATTTATTCACTATTGGTATGTGACAATCCTGTAACTATTGGGCTCCCTTTGACTGTTAGAGTCATGATTCTAGCTCTCATAGTGGCCCAGCTCATTAGGCTGCTGTGAACACCTTTTGAATCATATGCCAGGTTCACCTACTTCTTGCCCCCTCATTCATTGTGGGGATTCTTGTTAACAAATATACCAAATGTTGGAGGTTATTGATCAGAACAGGGATGAGTACCTGAACCAAGATGGATGCCTCAGAACCTCCTGTTTGTCGATTTGACATCCAGATTGATAGGATATGTATCCATATTTATGTCTATGTCTGTATCTACATCTACATCTGCCTATTTATCCATACATATAGAGAGACTGGCTGACTTACTCTCTTTTCCCTCCTCAAGATGGTGAAGTATAAACCCGGGAATGTGAGACAGGCATCACTTGTAGTTACATGAATCAGAAAATAAAAGGAGGCAGGTCTGCAAAGGTAGGAGAAAAGAACAATCAGGTCAAAATGAGTAGAGACGAAAGATGAAGAGAGAGGGAGCTGGATTAACATTTCAGTTCCATTCTGATGTCTCATTGCATTTGTACCCTGTGTTTTTCAAGATCTTTCCCTTCTCAACTGAAGCAAATGCAGATTTATTTTTGTTATTTGTAAACAAAACAGTTTTTGGCTTCCAGTCTGGTGGTATAGAATTTCTCTTCCACTCTCTGATATCTTGGCATTATCCCTCAGTACCCTGCTCTATGCACCAGTCCTGAGGTTGAAGCCCAGGGGAAGCAATACTAAGAGATGAAGCCTTGGCATTGCTCTGTGCAGCTGCAGCCTTCTTGAGTGAAGCTTCCCCTGCCCATGTGACCATTGTGGTTCTCATGCCTCAGGATGGCATCCCCATTGACTTTAGAGCCTACTGGAACCTCTCTCAAACCACAAAGAAAGTATTCTTGTCATAAGTCACTTCCTGGATCCATCTTCTTGGTGAATCATTAATAGTGCCAACTGCCAGGTGGACTAGCCCAGGCTGCAAACTTTTCAATGAACACAGCTGGGTTGAGGAGGAAAATGGCCCAAGAGGAAAACATATCATGGATCCTGGAGAAAATTCTGGAATATGAAGCCAAGGGACATCACACATGCATGTCAGAACTGTATAGATCAACCGATTCAACTCCTTGATTTTAAAAGTGGTGGAGGGGAATCAATATTTATTAATGGCCAGCTTTGTGATAGACACATGAATCCCCCAAGAAGTTTGTAACGCAGGTATGATTCCTGTTGAAAAGATGAAGAAACTGAGGTTCAGAGTGGTCAAGTAATTTGCTTATGTGGTAGAGATGGAGTGGATTCTGAAGGCTCCTCACTTCAGAGCACAAGCTCTAGTCAGAATTGACTTGGCTTAGTCACCAAATTAGAGCCTGGTTTCTAGATTCCCAGATCAGTACTCTTTACATCTTGCCATACTGCCCCTGTCATGATACAGCTTGTATGCCTGGAGCAGCACTGATCCTAGGCCAGTTGGCCAGAACTCAGCCAGGCATCTTGGTATCTACTGCAAAGGGTAAAATGGATCAAGAGCCCAGGATTTCCCATAGTAGCTTTGCCTCCACTGAGGGCTGTAAGTAGGTGTGCCCAATAATAGTTCAGCACAGCCAGGTCAAGTTTTAATAAGGGCTAAGGTCCTAGAACAGGCAGGGGCAAAGGAAGTAATCACAGAGGAAAAACAAGAGCCCAGGCTTCTTTTCCTGGTTGTCTCATTTGTTAGCTCTTCCCCTGAATAAGCCACTACCTTAGCATCTCAGTTACTGTGCAGTATCAAAGGAGGCACCTGGACTGGATAGCATTTGGTGACTGAGCTCTGAATTTCCATGGTAGTCATTTTCACTCACGTCCGTGTGAAGAGACCACCAAACAGGCTTTGTGTGAGCAATAAAGCTGTTTATTTCACCTGGGTGCAGGCGGGCTGAGTCCAAAAAGAGAGTCAGTGAAGGGAGATAGGGGTGGGGCTGTTTTATAGGATTTGGGTAGGTAAAGGAAAAAGGGGGGTTGGTTTCTGGCGGGCAGGAGTAGCAGTCACAAGGTGCTCAGTAGGGGAGCTTTTGAGCCAGGATGAGCCAGGAGAAGGAATTTCACAAGATAATGTCATCAGTTAAGGCAGGAACAGGCCATTTTCACTTCTTTTGTGGTGGAATATCATCAGTTAAGGCAGGAACCAGCCATCTGGATGTGTACGTGCAGGTCACAGGGGATATGATGGCTTAGCTTGGGCTCAGAGGCCTGACATTCCTGTCTTCTTACATTAATAAGAAAAATAAAATGAAATAGTGGTAAAGTGTTCGGATGGTGAAAATTTTTTGGGGTATGGTATGGAGAGATAATGGGCGATGTTTCTCAGGGCTGCTTCGAGCGGGATTGGGGCAGCGTCGGAACCTAGAGTGGGAGAGATTAAGCTGAAGGAAGATTTTGTGGTAAGGGGTGATATTGTGGGGTTGTTAGAAGAAACATTTGTCATTTAGAATTGTTGGTGATGGTCTGGATACAGTTTTGTGTGAATTGAAAAATTAAACAGAATAAGGAGAAAAACAGGTATTAAAGGTCTAAGAATTGGGAGGACCTAGGACATCTAATTAGAGAGTGCCTAAGGAGGTTCAGCATAGCCTTGCCAGCAAAGATTATTTATTTACTTTAAGAGTTAAGCGTGGCGGTTTGGGGATAGCACCAGGAGATATCAGCTGTGATGGCTTGGAGAAACAGTGTAAACTGGCAGTGTAAACAAGAGCAGGGCATGTGTGAGTAGTTGAGAACGGTGAATAGGAGCATGACTAGACAGAAGATAGTAGGGATGACAAGTTTTTGGGGGCACAGTCCAAGTTAGTCTGGTGTCTGGAATGAGACTGGGGCCTAATGAAAAGGAGCGTCTATACAGGAGCTCAAATGGGCTGTACCTTGTAGCATTCTGAGGACAGGCCTGAATTCTGAGAAGGGAAAGTGGTAGAAGTATTGTCCAGTCCTTTTTAAGTTGGTGGCTGAGCTTGGTGAGGTGTGTTTTTACAAGGCCATTAGTCTGTTCTACCTTTCCTGAAGACTGAGGACTGTAAGGGATATAAAGGTTTCACTGAATATAAGAGCCTGAAAAAATGCTTGGCTGATTTGACTAATAAAGGCCGGTCTGCTATTGGACTGTATAGATGTGGGAAGGCCAAACAAAGGAATTATGTCTGACAGAAGGGAAGAAATGACCATGATGGCCTTCTTAGACCCTGTGGGAAAGGCCTCTACCTACCTAGTGAAAGTGTCTACCTAGACCAAGAGGTATTTTAGTTTCCTGACTCGGGGCATGTTGAGTAAAGCTAATTTGCCAGTCCTGGGCAGGGGCAAATCCCTGAGCTTGATGTGTAGGGAAGGGAGGGGGCCTGAATAATCCCTGAGAAGTAGTAGAATAGCAAATTTGCCAGTCCTGGGTGGGGGCAAATCCCTGAGCTTGATGTGTAGGGAAGGGAGGGAGCCTGAATAATCCCTGAGGAGCAGTAGAATAGCAGTTGGAACACTGAGAAGTTATTTCCTTGAGGATATATTTCCACGATGGAAAGGAAATGAGAGGTTCTAAGAGGCGGGCTAGTGGCTTGTACTATAGCACAGCCTGCCTTTGCTGGTGTGTGGCGATTACGCCTGGTGGAACTGCCGTCTATAAACCAAGTGTGATCAGGGTGAGAAGCAGGGAAGAAGGAAATGTGGGGAAATAGGGTGAATGTCAGGTGGATCAGAGAGATGCAGTCATGAGGGTCAGGTGTGGTATCAGGAATAATGTGGGAGGCCGGATTGAAGTCCGGGCCAGGAACAATGGTAATTGTGGGAGACTCAACAAAGAGTGAGTACAGCTGAAGGAGCCGGGGAGCAGAAAGTATATGTGTCAGGTGTGAGGAAGAAAACAGATTTTGGAAATTATGAGAGCTGTAGAGAGTGAGTTGAGCATAGTTTGTGATTTTAAGGGCCTCTAAAAGTATTAGGGCGGCAGCAGCCGCTGCACAGAGACATGATGGCCAGCCTAAAACAGTAAGGTCAAGTTGTTTGGACAAAAAGGCTACAGGACGCGATCCCGGTCCTTGTGTAAGAATTCTGACTGCACAGCCCTGCACTTCAGCTGTGTGTAATGAAAAGGGGTGGGTGAGTCAGGGAGAGCTAGGGTGGGGGCAGTCTCTAAAGCTGTCTTCAAGGAATGGAAAGAGGAGTGGGGACAGGATTTAGGATCTATGGGGTCAGCTAGGTTTCCTTTTGTGAGTTTATATAATGGTTTTGTTAGGATGGCAAAACCAGGTATCCAAAGGCGAAAGTATCCAACCATGCCCAGGAAGGAAAGGAGTTGTTGTTTTGTAGAAGGGGTTGGGGTTTGAGAGATTAGTCGGGCACGATCGGCAGGGAGGGCTCTTGTGTTTTTATGAGAATTATGCTGAAATAGGTAACGGATAAGGAAGAAATTTGGGCTTGACTGAAGTAATGGGGGCTGTCTGTGAAGCTTTGCGGCAGTATGGCCCAGGTAATTTGCTAAGCCTGATGGGTGTCAGGGTCAGTCCAAGTGAAAGTGAAGAGAGGCTGGGATGAAGGGTGCAAAGGAATAGTAAAGAAAGCATGTTTGAGATCCAGAACAGGATAATGGGTTGTGGAGGGAGGTATTGAGGATAGGAGAGTATATGGGTTTGGCACCATGGGGTGGATAGGCAAAACAATTTGGCTGATAAGGCATAGATCCTGAACTAACTTGTAAGGCTTGTCTGGTTTTAGGACAGGTAAAATGGGGGCATTGTAAGGAGAGTTTATAGTCTTTAAGAGGCCATGCTGTAGCAGGCGAGTGATAACAGGCTTTAATCCTTTCAAAGCATGCTGTGGGATGGGATATTGGCACTGAACGGGGTAAGGGTGATTAGGTTTTAATGAGATGGTTAGGGGTGCAAGATCAGTCACCAAGGAGGGAGTAGAGGTATCTTATACTTGTGGGTTAAGGTGAGGGGATACAAGAGGAGGATGCAAAGGAGGCTTTGGATTGGGAAGAAGGGTGGCAATGAGATGCAGCTGTAGTCCAGGAATAGTCAGGGAAGCAGATAATTTAGTTAAAGTGTCTCGGCCTAATAAGGGAACTGGGCAGGTGGGGATAACTAAAAGGGAATGCTTAAAAGAGTATTGTCTAAGTTGGCACCAGAGTTGGGGAGTTTTAAGAGGTTTAGAAGCCTGGCCGTCAATACCCACAACAGTTATGGAGGCAAGGGAAACAGGCCCTTGAAAAGAAGGTAATGTGGCGTGGGTAGCCTCCGCATTGATTAAGAAGGGGACGGACTTACCCTCCACTGTGAGAGTTACCTAAAGCTCGGCGTCCGTGATGGTCTACGAGCAGCGTCAGTCTTCAGCCGCTAAGCCGAGAAGATCTGGGAAGGAGTCGGTCAGAGAGCCTTGGGCCAGAGTTCCAGGGGCTCTGGGAGTGGCTGCCAGGTGAGTTGAACACTCCGATTTCCAGTGGGGTCCCACAAAGATGGGACATGGCTTAGGAGGAATCCCGGGCTGCGGGCATTCCTTGGCCTGGTGGCCAGATTTCTGGCACTTGTAGCAAGCTTCTGGGGGAGGCAGTTCTGGAGGAACGCCTGGCCACTGCGGTTTAGGCATTTGGAAGTTCTTGTGTGCTGGAGATGTGGCTGGGGTTTGTCTCACAGTGGAGGCAAGGAATTGCAACTCAGAAATACTTTGCTACTTGGCTGTCTCTATTCTCTTATTGTACACCTTGAAGGGGAGATTAATTAAGTCCTGTTGTGGGGTTTGAGGGCCGGAATTTAATTTTTGGAGTTTTATTTAATGTCGGGAGCAGATTGGGTAATAAAATGTATATTGAGAATAAGACGGCCTTTTGACCTGCAATGATTGACGGCCTAGACCTAGGGTCTAGGGCTGTAAAGCGTCTCAGGGTTGCTGCCGAACAAGTCATGAACTGGGCTGGATTTTTATATTTGATGAAAAAGAGCCTAAACGCTATCTGATTTGGGATAAAGAAAAAGGAGCATTAACCTTGACTATGCCTTTAGCTCCAGCCACCTTATTAAAAGTAAATTGCTGGGCAGGTGGGGGAGGGCTAGTCACGGAATGAAACTGTAAGCCAGACCAGGTGTGAGGAGGGAGGTGATAAAAGGATTATAGGGTGGAGGAGCGGAGGCTGAGGAAGAATTGGGACCTAGCTCGGCCTGGCGAGGAGGGGAGAGGTCAGATGGGTCTGTAGAAAAGGAAGAGTAGAAAGACTCAGTGACGCTTGGGGTTGGGACTGAGGGGACAGGTGGGAGGGAAAGAAGGAACATTTGGGACGAGTCACATTGGGAACACAGACTAGGGAGGGACCAATGTGTAAAAGAATGCCTGGACATCAGGCATCTCAGACCGTTTGCCTATTTTACAACAAGAATTATTTAGATCTTGTAGGATGGAAAAATTGAAAGTGCCATTTTCCGGCTATTTGGAACTACTGTCGAGTTTGTATTGGGGTCAAGTGGCATTGCAGAGAAAATAAGACGCTTAGATTTTAGGTCAGGTGAGAGTTGAAGAGGTTTGAAGTTCTTAAGAACACAGGCTAAGGGAGAAGAAGGAGGAATGGAAGGTGGAAGCTTGCCCATAGTGAATGAGGCAAGCCCAGAGAAAAATGAGTAGAGACACGGAGAAGGGGTGGGGGCTTCTTGCCCTCCAGAAAAGCAGAGAAGGGGTCGGGGCTCAGAAATAAGGGGTTGGGGCACAGAGATAAGAGGTCGCGGTGTGGAAATAAGGGATCAGGGCACAAAGATAAGAGGTCGGGGCGTGGAAATAAGGGATTGGGGTGTAGAGATAAGAGATTGGGGTTCCTGCCCCTCCCCCAGAAAGGTGGGACTTGCCGCTAAGGGTGAAGGACCAAAGCAGGCGTCCCTGCGTGATCTGACACCTCTGAAACCTGGGGGAATAATCAGGTGTCCTTGCAATGATTAAACACCAAGGGAAGGCTGACTTCCCTAGTCCATGACCGGCGCTGGAGTTTTGGGTCCACGGATAAAACGTGTCTCCTTTGTCTCTGCCAGAAAATGAAAGGAATTGAAATTAAGAGAAGGGAGAGATTGAAGTGTGGCGCCAAGATTGACAGGAGAAGGAGGTCGAGGGATAGTGAGGGAGTTTGGAGAGGAGAGTAAAAAGAGGCCGCTTACCGGATTTGAAATTGGTGAGATGTTTCTTGGGCTGGTCGGTCTGAGGACCTGAGGTCGTAGGTGGATCTTTCTCACGGAGCAAAGAGCAGGAGGACAGGGGATTGATCTCCCAAGGGAGGTCCCCTGATCGGAGTCACGGCACCAAATTTCACTTGCTTCCGTGTGAAGAGACCATCAAACAGGCTTTGTGTGAGCAATAAAGCTGTTTATTTCACCTGGGTGCAGGCAGGCTGAGTCCAAAAAGAGAGTCAGTGAAGGGAGATAGGGGTGGGGCTGTTTTATAGGATTTGGGTAGGTAAAGGAAAAAGGGGGATTTTCTGGTGGGCAGGAGTGGGGGTCACAAGGTGCTCAGTAGGGGAGCTTTTGAGCCAGGATGAGCCAGGAGAAGGAATTTCACAAGATAATGTCATCAGTTAAGGCAGGAACAGGCCATTTTCACTTCTTTTGTGGTGGAATGTCATCAGTTAAGGCAGGAACCAGCCATCTGGATGTGTACGTGCAGGTCACAGGGGATATGATGGCTTAGCTTGGGCTCAGAGGCCTGACAGTCATGGGAGGCTGGGACACAGATGGGCCTCTTCCACCATGGGCCCTTGGCCTCACACATAAACCCTTTATGTGGACAGGCATTTGGCCTTTAAAAAATCTAGGCTGAAGAGAGTACCGGGTACATGCAGGGGGAAGAGAGATGATTTGGAGTTGATGATGAAAGACCTAGCTGTGTGGTTGGGCAATACAGCTATGCCCCCCACAGTACCCCAGGGAGACTGTTAGCTCAGTGTGCCTTAAAGATTTCCAGTAGGGGAAAGGGGGTCATTCCATAAAGCCACTCTTCAATATAATGGGTCATGGTATATTGTTGGGCAACTCAGGACTGTGTTGTAGAGATGGTCCATATACAGGGACATGGTCTACAGATGTTCACTGTTGGCCATAGAGCACAGCCAAGTCAGGAAGCACTTGGATTAGAAATAAAAATGCTTTATTTTGTTTTAAAATGTATTAGACTACAACAGATGTTTGCATGGTACACTATTTGCTGTCTGGCAACTGTCAAGGTATTCATTGAGTCCCGATGCTCTCTGATACTCCTTAATGACTTTTCATGGATTTTAGAATCGGCACTGCACATCTTCTCTCCTGGTATTTGAGGTCTACTGACTCTAAGGCTGTGAGAATTCTCCCAGGCCTGCCTCTAATATTTACAGAGCCTGGGGCAAGATTGCAAATGGAGACCAATAAACGCATAGATCTAAATATTTAAAAATTCCAAAGCTAGCTAACAAAACCTGTTAAATAAAAATGTGTTTTCATCTCTTGTTTTAACAAATACATTTTCACAGCAACCTGGAAGGCCAGGTTTGATTTAGAATGATCAGAGACTCCTTGAATATCTCAGCTAGAATGTGGTGGCACAAGGAGAGCAGTCCTTGGCCTCCTGCCTGTGACCCAAACCCCTTCTCTTCAAACCCCTGTTCCACCTTCAACCATGAGCATCTCCATGTCTAGCTTCATCCACAGTCCCACAAACAGCCACTCCATGGCCACTCCTCAAGCCTCAGGATGCACACACTGGAGACCTGATCCACTCTTGGGGGGACCATCCCAAATCCATTTGAGAAAGAAGTCCATGCTGGCCCCAGAAGTAGCACAGGCCATTTGGACAGGGAGTTCCGGGGTTCCAGATACTTGGATGAATCCATAAGGAGAAGAAGAGTGGGTTTTTGGTGGTGACATCACTTTGGCCACATGGACTCCCCACTGCGTGGGGTCGGGCATGGCTGGAGAATGGTCAGAGTGGAGCCCTTTGAAACACAGGGCCCAGTATAGGAGGTCCTCTTGTTGCTTCTAAAAGTGGTACCACCTTTTTGATGGCCCCAGGAAGGTACCAAAGAGATATCTGTGTGAACCATAGGTTGCACTGAGCTTAAGATAAAGACACTCTTGAGGCAATATCATTGGAGGATTTTACAACTTGGGTGCACTCTGAGCTAGTGCATTTCCTTCATGCCTCTGTACACTAATCTCAGAACTATGGCCCTTGCTATGATCTTCTCATAATTATTCCACACAGGGTGCAGTATCAGTGCTTTTTAAAAGATGCCAGTGACCCTTTAGAGAGTACTTAACATACACCTGGAACTGTGTCACATCATCTGTGCCTTTATCTCATTGCCTATGAGATGAGCCATATGATGCCTGCTGCAAGATGAAGAAATGGGCTCAGAGCAGTGGAGTTTAGGGATTGCTTTGGGGACTCCAAAGCACAAAGTAGAGAACAAGGTCTGCCTGATGCCAAAGCTTGTGCCCTTTCTTGGTGCCTCCCGCTAGAAAAGAAAAAGCAACAGGTCACCACCCTTCAACAAAACACACATACACACACACACACACACTATTCTCCACGGAGGAATAGTACTCTAGATTTGAGAAAGAGCAGTATTGAGAGGTTTTGTAATCCCAGTGACTGTGTGTGTGTGTGTGTGTGTGTGTGTGTGTGTGTGTGTGAAAGCCAACAGGAGAAGAGCTGAGGCAGAAATCCATATTCAAAAGTGTGTGTGCATGTGTGTGCCCAATTCATGCTTTATTACAAACTGGGAACTATAATGATTGGGGACCTATGGTTTCCCCCAATGTCTTGTGCAGACACAGAGCTCTGCCGCTCAGATCTCCAGCTACATGGATTGTGGTTCATTGATGGTGTTAATTCTTTCAGGGTCCACCTCAGCTTTCCAGCTCTTGGGAAGGACCCTACTCAATGAATGAACAAGACAGTGGTAGCAAAGACACACTCTTTTCAGGGTGGGCTTCTGCAGGGAGTGGTATGACAGCCTAGCTGTTTCTACCCAACATGGAACTCTTCTATTACATGACAGAAATCTTTGCTCTACAGCATCCCAGTGGGCTGGCCTCTGTTTGGATGGCATCACAGTCTGATGGCACCCTCTGTCTAATCCAGCTTCTGCTCTGTTCCTTTCACAGGTGTAACTCTCCAGTGAGCTGTTTACACTCCCAACTCTGTCTCAGTGTCTGCTTCCTGGCTAACCCAACCTTCTGCAGAGTCTCATACTTCACAGATAACCAAAATAAAACACTAATGCCAATCCACTAGAATACAATAGGTATGGGTTTCTTTCTGAATAGTCTCCAGCACCTAGAATGATCACTGACACATAGTATTGGATATGGAGCTCAGTAAACAATTGTTAAATGAATGAATGAAATCCAAACAGATCTTGGCATTTGCTCATGTTGGGATCAGCTGGGTCTAAAGTAATTCTTCTTCCATCACCCCCTATTTCATTACCTCCTTCTCCTGCCACACCAACATCCAGTCCCCTTTCATCTTTCCTTTCTTTCCCTTCCTCAATTCCTGAGAACTTATATCAGGCACAGTGCTCTGTGCTCAGAACACCTTCTGCAGTTCTTCCAAACCACCATCTCATCTCCTTTTCGGCTTTTCTTCTTTCTTTTTCTCAGGAAGCTAGGGGCCATTTACAGCCACCATATCCACCAATCGGGAGCAAATACTGACTCATCCTCTACTCCCATCCTTTCCAGAGTAGGAGATGGGCTCTACTCTCATACTCCTGAGAGTAGGGAATGTTCCCAAATTGCATCCTAAGTAATTCCAAAGAGCACTGCTGGCCTAACAAGGAGCTTTTGAAACCTTTAAAATTGTCTTCCAGGTATCAGGCATCCTATTAGGTACTCTGCCCACATTATCTTTTTAAAAAATTGTGGTAAAATAAACATAAAATAAAATTTACCTTTTTAACCATTTTGAGTAGTACAATTCAGTGCTTCTAAGTATATTCATAATTTTATGCAAACATCACTACTATCCATCTCCAGAACTTTTTCATCTCACACAGAAACTGTTTATTTTCAGTAAAAACTTCCCATTCTTCTTTCCCCACAGCCCTGCTAATCACTGTTCTTTCTGTCTCTATGTACTTGACTATCCTAGTTACCTCATATAAGAGGAATCATGCTCTGTCCTTTTGAATATCTCTTTTGTGTCTGACTTATTTCAGCACAATATCTTTGAGGTTTATCCATGTGTTAGCATGTATCAATTTCCCTCTTTTTAAAGCCTGAATTCTATTCCATTGTATGTATATATCTGTATATATCATATTTTGTTATGCACTCATCAGTTCTTGGGCATTTAGGTTATTTCCACTTTTTGGATATTGTGAACAATGCTTTGAACACTGGTATACTTGTATCAGAATCCTTCCTTTCAAGTCTTTAGAATTAAGAGTAGAATTGCTGAATCATATGGTGATTAACTATTTTTAGGAATTGCTTAACTCTTTCCATGTTACTAACAAGGAGCCTTTTGGAAATAGGGCTCCCTGGTCAACACACAGAATCCCCTGATTCCCTCTTGGAGAGTTACAATGCACATTGGCACAGTAAAGGATGTGAGAGGTCCTGAAGCAAAAACACCTATGTAACTTTAACTGGCCATTTCTCAAATTAATGTGATTGTAAAACCCTTTGTGCAGAGTAACTGGTAATATACGAGTCCCTGTTGGTTTGGGAAACAATGCTGTAAGCTCAGTGCCTACATAGGAAGGGCTGTGACCTAGGGCCAGTGGGTCATGGAAGTATTACTCAGAGGAGACAGAGATGGGATTACCTCCAACCCTCCAGCTAGCCTGTTGGGTGGCTTTCCTTCTCTAGGCAGCTCTGCCCATGTTGTGTTCTCTGCCTGTTATACCTTTCCTCTGCTTCTTTGCTTCTTGAAGTTCTACTTACGTTTCAGGACAAGCTCAGGCATCCTCATTCCCCTTCCTTCAGGGAACTCTGACCCTGCTCTCCTAACTCCCTAGGCAGGAATTGGGAGCTCCTCTTCTGCTGAGCCCTTATTATACAGTGTGGCCCTGTTAAATTGCCTGCTTCCTCCGCTATATCAAAGGTGGTCAGCCTTAGTTTGCAATTTTAGTTCATATAAATAATCACCTGGAGAGTTTATTAAAGATGCAGATGACTCCATCTCACTGAAATTCCAACTCAGTAACTTTGTGGTGTGCATTCAGTAGCAGCTCCAGAATGTGCATTTTTAACAAGCCTCAGGCAATATTCTCAGGCAGATGATTCTGGTGATCCCCTTTAGCTCTGTGAGGATAAGAGCCAATTCTACCCCTGTTTATTTAACACATAGTAGGCATGAAACAATGGTGAATGAGTGAGCAAAGGAACAAATGAATGATGAGTGAATGAATGAAATAATCTGTTGCCTCCTCTGAAAATTGATGAGCTTGGACCAGATGTCCTCTTTTTCTTGGCTTAAACTTCATGTAATTGAGGTTATTTTTACCAAAAATTCTACACTCTTGGCAGCTTTAATAACAGAATCATATACAATACACAAACTCAAGCACATGAAACAACCAGGGAGATCTGCCGAAGAGGATTTAGTCCAAGCTAATATCCAGTCAATGACCCAGGACTCATGAATAACCATTATTTTCGAAACTAGTAATGTTATCGCAGGCTGGAGACGCAAAGAGGGCCATACACCCATGCCATGTGAATTCAGTCTCATTCTCTCCCGTAAGTGTGAGTAGCCAACGGGCGCGCCATCAGGGGTGAAAAATCCCTAGGTTTGCCAATTAGGGAGCTAGGCATTATGGGAAACCAGGGTCCAGGGAGGGGCTTAGGGTGTTTAGCTGCCTTCCTGCGGCATGGAGGGGGCAGACTGTTAGCACCGTCAGGGCGCCCTGACTCTTCTGTGGTCACTTGTCAGTGGCGTCATTGAATATAAAACCCTTGACTCTCTTTTCTATGAGAACCCTGCAGGTTTTGAGAGGCAGCTTCAGCTTCTCACAAGAGCTGTGGCCCGAGAAAAATGAAGTCTCCCATTACTTATAACCTTTCAGCATTTCAGAGGAAAAAGGTTGGCGGTGGCTGCCAAGATCCAGCAAATATTTGGTTAGCTTGGAAAGAATGGGTGCTCATTTTTCAATTCTCACAGATTTCTCTATGCCCAGTTCTTTTTATTAAAAACTTTAAATCCAGAGTTACAGTCGAATGGCACTGCAGGCTCTAAGCATTCATCTGTATCCCAGGGAGCAGAATCCAGGATCTAAACAAAGAAAAGTTTAATCAATAGAATTCATGAATTTCCTCTAGGAATAGGACCCAACGTAGCAGAAGAATAAGCAGAGGGGCTCCTATCCATGGTTTTCTATTAGTGGATATTTCTGGGAAGGACTTTGGAGAATACCCTTTCAATTGACGAGTGTCGGCAAACTATGGCCCATGGGCCAAATCCTGCCTGCTGCTTTTTTAGTTGAGTTTTGTTTTGGTACAGCCTGTTGAGAAATTTTTAAACTTTCATGTAGAGTTGAAAAAAATCAAAAGAATATTTCACAAATATCTGAAAATTAGATGAAATTCAAATCTGTTTGTAAATAAGGTTTTATTGGAACACAGCCACATCCATTTGTTTGCATAATATCTACGGCTGTTCTTGAACTACAGTGGCAGAGTTGAGTAGCTGAGACACAAGACCACATAGCCCCCAAAGCCTAAAATGTGTACTATCTGGCCCTTTGCAGAAAAAGTTTGCAGAGCCCTCAAATAAGAAATGTAAGAGTTGCCTCTCACTATTATTTGAACTAAAAACTATAAGATATATATGCAGTTAACTAATCATAAATCAAACACTTGTATAAGCTAACACTTGAGTCAAGAAATAAAACATTGTCCATCAATCAGCACCCAGAAGTCTTCCATGTGTTCTTTCTCCTCCACCAGAGCTATGAGCCTTTGTGACATTTTCCTTGCTGTTCTTTGTACTTCTACCACCTAAACTCTGTTTTGCCTGTTTTCAAACTGTATATAAACAGAATAACACTGTATATTTGCCTTTGCGTCTGTTTCTTTCTCTCAAATTTGTGAGACTCAGCTCTGAGTTGTGTGTGGCTGTCGTCCTGTCATTTCCTCTGTTGTCACTTCCATGGCATTTCACTGTTACTTAGGCAAGCTTCATTTGTTCGTTTTACTGTTAGTGGACAGTTGGATCATTTCTCGTTTGGGGCTGTGGTAAATAACACTGCCATAAACATCTCGTACTTGAGCCATCATTGATTTAAGAGTCTTTAGAAAGTAGTGGAATTGCTGGGCTGTAGGGTATGCGGACTTTCAACTCTACCACCTGATGCCAATTTTTTCTTTGAAGAGGCTGGACAAAATCACATTCCCACCAGCCACCTCCTTTTAGGAAGCTGAGGAGCTCTTTGTATGTTATCAGCACTATTCCTACCTCCACAACCCTGGACCTAATGGTGCCTGCTCTCTGACCTTGAGGGACCAGACAAGGTTCATGGGACCATCGTCCCTTCCAGTTTGTATCTTCTCTTAAAACAATTCTCAAGTCTTAAAAAAAAAAAAAAAAAAAAAAAAAAGCAGCAAGAAAACAGTCAACTTTCTAAGATTGGTCCTTGAGATGTGATCTCTTTTGGATTCACATGCTTGGCTAGCAGGTAAACCAGATGTGAGAATATTTTGACACATCCCCCCATAGATGGGAGCTGAGGAAGAAAGCTCATCACAGCCAATGGGACAGGTGGTATTCTAAAGCGTGCACAGTGGACAGGATGAGGAAACCAGGGAAATGGTACCTGCCCCTTTCTCCAGGGAATCAGATTATATGATCAGGGCATCAGATCATGGGAAGCTGATGCTTGTGTCTTTCTCTGAAGGGTTTGGGAAAACAGGGCTGAAAAGACCCCCTCCTCCAACTGTCAGCTTGCTGAAACCCCAGCACTGGGAGTACCAAGCACTAGAGGCATTTCTGAAGCATGATGTAGCGCTACTTTGAAAAGGCACAAATAAACCCCAAATCCTAGCACACATTTATCCGGTTTGTGAAGCAGATTAATAGAATAACCAATAAAACATGTATAAAAGCTTTAATTAAATCTGATGAAATAAAACTTCATGTTTTATTTATGGACACTCCCAACATGTAAAGGACTCAGGGAGACATTCATTTTTACTGCCATTTCCTCCTCATATCTATAATTAAATCCAGGCTACAGCTCTGGCCCAAAGCAATGCAGCATTTTAAAGCTGGACTTGAACATTCCCTCCCGCATCATCTGCCTTTAATTATAATTACCATTCCCAGTATGTAAGAGGCTGATGGTAAAACAAAACAAAAAAACAAACAAACAAACAATGATGGTTGCCATTGTGTTTTAAACCGACAGGCTGAAGGAGGATTTTAGGCAGGAGGGCGTCTTCTCTATTTCCAGTTTTATTCTGTACCAAGTGCACAATCCCTTCATTTTACTTTTGACATAAAAAAAGGACTTCATGAACAAGACAAAATAACTTATGATTATATGAAACATAACTGTGACAAATCACAAAACTATACATATTAATAGAAAAAAGTGTACCTAATTCTTTAAAAGATTTATGACAATAAGCACCAGATGTGCCTCTAGAGTAAAATCGGCCCCATATCCAGTATGATATATGCAGTTCATTTCTCTACGTGAGTGTATATAACTATGTACAAGAGTCTGTGTGATTTATGGAAAACAGATTTCCACTTTTTTCCCCCAAAGTGCTTTATGTCAGCAACATTACACAGGATACTTTGCTGTCTGTACAAAATAAATCTCTTTTTACACTCACTATTTCTCCAATGAGTGCTTTTTTTTTTTTGCTTCATCTGTTGCAAAAAAAAAAAAAAATAATAACCGCAGAAATTCCACACCACTAACAAAAAGTGCTATTTAAAAATGCTTCCATAAAATGACATGGCCAAGACAGTCAAATAAAATACCAAATAATTAAATTGAAAATGTACAGTTACTATTCCCAATACTTCAAGGCAACTGGAAAGTCAAGGTTCTCAGATGAGGGAGTTGAATTTATCCTTGCTCAAAATTGGTTTTAGGGGCTACTGTGCTTGACGGCTGGTAATTTAGAAACAACTGAACAAAGCCAACACTCTTATCAGTGGTAACTCTGCTGTGATCTACTAAAGACCTTTTTTTTTCTTCTTATTTTATGATCGCTTATGTAATTTGAGGGCGACATGGGTAATGGGAGATACCCCACAGGACCTGTAAATATTTAAATAATATTTAACAGCTGATCAGAGGCTAAATTACAACTGACATTTTGATGCAGTTTCGTTAGGGAATTAAGACAATGCAGCCAATGAAATGTCTCTAGGCAGACTGATTTTTTTTTTAATGCAATAGGATAATTGTCTTTGCGCTGTGTGTTTTCACAAGCACTAGTTTTGTGTTTTGTTTCTGTTTTTAAGGGGAATGACAATCTCTGTTTGGACATTTATGAAAATGGTTACATATCAAGACTTAAAAAGACCAGGACATGAAAGGGAATGATTTTTTTGAAGTTTCCACTTGTACTGCTGCAAAAATAATGATGAATATATATATAAATCTTCTGCAGTGTGAAAGTAAGCAAGGGACAAATTTTAAGGTCAGGAAAGACTCTCGAATCTAAGCATAGTGTGTGTAGTCTGGAAGGCATCTGAACGTGTCCTATCCTGAGGCTGCAATCTCAAGCCTGCAGCTATCAGGAAAGACCCACGGTGCGGGAAGCAGGGCTGCACTGGGTCCTGTGGCCAGCATGCTCTCTCTGAGATAAAATGTCCCTCTGGGGCTCCACATTGATTTCCTGCTGAGGAAGGAGGGCTGCAGGTGCCTCTATTGCTTACGCCCTCTTTAGAGTCCCTCTTGCCCCTGTGAGGTAAGAAAGGGGCAGGGTTACTGTGAGAGGCCACAGGAAGACTGGAGCCTGGTTCACAAGCAGCTCCTCTCAAAGAGGGAGGTGATGTCCATGGTTTCTAAAGTTGAGCTTCTGTCTTGTCCTCCTTCCCCCTTTCTATTTTAAATTACATAAAGCCAAAAGGCAGGGCTGACAATGTCAACTGCAATAACAACCTTGCCTTTTCATCTTTTTTCTCATTGTACAAATGAAATGAAATGTATTTTGAGTTCCTTGTAAAGGCTTCCATATTTAAGTATGAATAGATGGTTTCTCTGAAGATAGCAGAGTTTTTTTCTTTCCAGAGTATGACAAAGGACGCATGAGGGATGCTACTAGCTGTGAGCATGCATATGTTAGGCCACTTGTTTAGGCCAAGTGACACGACCCACAAAGTCTGCAGGAAGGGTGGTACTTTACAAGCAGCCTTGGAGTTCACTTGTAAAGGAAGCCTGGTGTGCATCTTTTGTAAAGCAGAGCAGGTTTTTTAAAGTGGCTAACTCATCTCTTTTGCAGACTTTGACGTCTACGTGAAAGCTTTTCTTAGAATACAGCCCACTACTCAGAGAAACTAGATTGACCAAGTGCACTGTGAAAACAAAACCCACACTTGGTTCTTCATTCACCTCATTCTACTGCATGTTGGAATGAACTCTGGAATCAGGTAGAATACTTCCGCTTGTGGGACTGTGGAGGGAGACTGGAAGGACCTGTCAGTATACAAACTGTCACAGAATCCCATCTAACATCAAGCTGTTTTAGTTGTCTTGTTGAAGATTGTAATGATCTCAGTTTGATAAATGGCATTGTTTCACTTTTGTTCAGAAAAACATTTTTAAAAAGTGAGAAAAAATACTTGAAATATGATAGTACCAGAATGTTAGAACTTACTGTGTCTTTGGGACTGGCCAATTTTTATAGCTGATGCCCTAGGACTTAGGATCTGTAATAGCTATGTAGAGGTGTCACAGAAAATGACTTCCTATTTAGGCTTGATATTTTCGACCAAGTGCTATGTGAAAATTCCAGGCCTTCAAACTGGAACTCAGAAAAAGAATTGCCTCTTTCTGTAGACTTTTCGAGAACTGTCACCTCTACCTTCCCAAGATGATCAGACAATGGCGGCTGGTGGGGATATATGAACCACAGTCAGGAAGAGGGTAAGAGGGATGCAAAAAGAGGGTGGAGAGAAGTGTAGGGAAGAGACAGACAGATGAGTGGATATCCTGAAAAACGTTAGTAAAATCTGAGCACTGGAAGTCAAGTATCACTAGGTTTGGTTTTCCAAGGGAAGCTGGCACATGACTCAGTCTGTCCCAGTTCTCACATCTGGCACTTCTCTGGGTGCAGCACCAGAGTGGAGGCAATGGGTAAACCAGTCAAACAACATTTTTCTTTGAACACAGTCTTTGAGGTGGAGTTACTAAACAGTCAACTCAGGAAGGTTCCAGCTACAGGACTGTTGGTGCGGGAGGTGCCCACTCCATTTCCCTCAGGTAACCTTTGCTAACTGCAAAACTAACATGCTAGAGGTGGGGCCAGGCAGAACCACAGCTGTGCAAAATGTCTATAGCTGGGGTGATTACAATAATAATGATTTCCATCCAAAGCACAGACCTTTACATTTTTTTTTCATTTTAAAATACGTATAAATAACTAAGTCTTTAAAATGCAAAAACAAGGATAGGCTGCTGGCATATAAAACCTTATTTTTCTATTGAAGAGAAACACTGAGAAGCAACTGGTTAGCATGTGGCTAAGAGAAAAGGGAAACCCAGGGAGTTTCTAAGAGTTGAGACCACACTATGCTTTGGACATGGATTTCCCTTGTTGTGCCTGGCTTTGCATCAGGAGCAGCAAGGGTGAGGATTAGGTGAGGCAGGTCACTATGCCTCTCGTAATTGAGGTCTTTTTCCCTGTTTGGAGTTTTCAGGTAGAGTCATCCCCAAACTACATTTTCATATGCACATCATTTCACTGGGGTCCTTTAAGGGTTGACAGCCAGGAAGTAACAGGTATCCAGGAGAGTGAGGCTCTAAATTCCCTTTGAAAAGACAGTCCTCCTGGTCACATAGTCCAGGAAAACCAGAGAGAAAAAGGAGCAACTGTAATGATTCCTGCAAAGCTAGCTCTGCCATTCAGTCCTGCCTTCTGAAAGAACATCAGTAACTCTGCAGGGCCCGCTGATTGGGCTGACATCCTTCCTCAAGCAGTCTGTGAGAGTACGAAAACAAAAGGTGGCAAGCAACATCAAGGTCCTGGGTGTGCAGGAGTGGCCAAGAGAGCTTTTAGCCTTCGGTGTAGACAGAGGAGAGCTGGCTAGGACAGCGGTCCACGGTGCTGATCTGCAAGAAGGTAGCATCTTCAGCCCCGCTGCGGAGAGACTCCCCAAAGAGGCTCGAGGAACTTGAAGGTAAATCATACACTGGAAGAGAAAGAACGCAGTTAAGTCAGTAACTCCTGCCCCATGCCACGCCCACTGGAAATGCACTACAGTAATGCAGCTCACCAAGTGAGGACTGGGGGCTAAGGAGGCAACCATGCCAGCCTGGGCCCTATAGTGAGTCTCTGTTTCCAGCGACCTTAGTGAGGGAAGAGGCTGACTTGCAGGCAGCTGGCTAAAATATGACCACACAAAAGACAGGCTGAGAAGAAGTAAAAGAAAAGTGTTCTAGGGAAGGCTGGGGGTGGCCTCAAAAAGGAGCTGGTGTTAAGGTTGAGTCATGAAAGAGAATGGAATTCTCACAGATGAAGAAATAGGGAAAGAACATTCCAGAAGGAGGAAACAAAGAGCAAAGACAGAGAGGGAGAGGCATGTGGGGTCAAGGGTGCTGGCAAAGCTCAGGTGAAGAGCATGTAGGGAAAAATATGTGTGGGCAGGTGTGCAGAGCTGGATCAGGCCTAACTTATGGGGGCTTTGAATGCCATGCTGGAGAGTCGAATTTATTCTCTAGGCAATTGGAAACTATTTAATATATTTGAGCAGAAAAGAGGCATATTTTATCCTTCATTTTGGGGAGGCAATGTTCATGGTAGTATGGAGGGCAGAATGGTAAAGATGAGGAATCAGGTCAGGGAGACTTACTGGAAGGTTATGGCCATAGTCTGGGAGAGACATGATGGCTCCTGCACCAGGGTGGTGGAAGAAGAGGGGCTGAAGGAGGGCTGGAGGGGAAGGTGGAGATGAGAGCCATTTCAGGGGTCGTTCAACAGGATTTGATGCGGTCATGTGCTTGGTCACGTCCAGCCCAGGTCGGTCACGGGCAGCCCACCTGGTCTCTCCTGTCAGTTGACAGGATTTTCTAAGTCACAGACAACCAACACACCTGTAATGCCCGAGTGAGTCGAGAAGGCTCTGTGGAAAACATCAAAACTGGCCTGGCCCATGGATGTAGGGACTAGGCAGTCCTCAAACGAAGGCACCACACTGCAGGAGCTGACAGGCGGCACAATTCTCTGGGAATCGGGGTAGTGTGGGGGACAGAACTTCTGCAGCTGCCCATAAAATCCTGAAACGCAAGCATGGCATTGAGCACAAGTTCCTTTGGGCACAAGTTCCACAGATCATTCCAACCCAGCTAGAACCTCACTCAGCCTGGCTTCCTAAGACAAATGCCTTTAACTCTTAAGGCCACCTGTAGAATCTTCCAAGCAAACATTTGGAATGCACTGTTGGGCTGAAGCTCTTCTACCTTAGAGGAATTTCCAAGCTTGTTAGTGTGTAATGTTTTTATTATGTGCTTTAGTATCTGAAGTGGGAAGGCTTCTTACCTTCCCTAGACTCTCTGAAGAGTCCTGGACATTCAAGGCCTGACCTTCAGGGGAGGTTCCTACCCTAGACTCTCCCGTCGGCATTTAAATGCATCTTCTTTAACTTCCTTTATCCTATATTTTCTTCTGTTTTCACACTGGTTAAAATCTTGCAGAATGCTCTTAAAAAGGCCCGCTTAAAAATGCATCCATCTATCTGTCTTTCCAATAGAGAAATACATGCACATTTAGATCTTATTATCCTGGCTAGGTAGACAGTGTTCCATAGTTGGATATACTTAACTATTTCTATTGTTGATCTTTGCAGTAAATGGAAAAACTGGAAGTGAATAATGTTATGAAAATGTTAGAAAATACAACACAAAACTCCAAAAAAGAAAAAATATGAGAAAAGAGTAATATTTGAAAATAATCATCAACCTTTTGATAATCTTATTTCATCTATTCCTTTCAATTTTTTTTCCATTCAATGTAGTTTTCCTTGGGGTCCCATGTGGTTCTTCTCTATGATCCTCCACTCCTTTCATGATGGCTTACTTTTTTCTTCTTTCTCCTTGCCTCATAATACATTTAAGTCAACAGATTATTTTCTTGGAGTATAATATGCTTCTGAAAATATAATAATGAAATCTTAGTTCCGTACATTATTGGAGGGAGCATTGTGGCTCTGCTGTTAACTCTCTACATTTCCTTGTGTCTGTCTCCTCAACCGTAAAATGTGAATGTCATTGTGTACTTCACTGGGCTATTGTGAAGATTAAGTGAGTCATTGGATAAGGAAGTCCATCTCTAACGTTTTAAAGCACTTTATAAGTGTCAGTTATTATTGATATCACTATTCTGGTTTTGATGGAAAAAAAGGGATTAATAGAGGAAGTACCCCAGGATTTCTTCCACAAACACTAAATAATGGAGAATGCAGAACAAACCCATGGACTTTGGACCCTTATTCCTGTGTGCCTTCCTCTACTAGAACTGCCTCTTCTTGAGATTGGAAGGCTTCATCCCTTATTAAAGAAATGAACCACCTATCAAAAGAGAGGGAAGGTGCTATTTAAGTTTCTTCTTAGCTCTCTTTAAGTAAAACCAGGGTGAACTGATACATCCAACCTACTATGCTCTCAACCCTTCTCATTTCCCATTAGGACCCACAATGTAGCCTGTGTAACTGCTCAGATCACCCTTGCTGGGACACTGGGAGGCCTATTCTATGGTTGTTATGAATATTGCCAAAGAATGTCTTAACCGTCCATAAAGATACATACTGGCCCTCTAGGAGTCTATCATCCAAGATAGATCAAATGCAGATTTATGGACAGGGCATATTCATAGTAGAAAACAAAATAATATCCTTTATAAGCAGACTAGAGTGCACTTTATATAGAATCAAAAGAAAAATCCACATACGGTTTGGAAGAAGATTAAATGCTTGTTATTAGTATAGACTAGGAAAATACCTAAGGAAATTCCACGTCAAGCCAGAAGAAGAAAGAATGGAAAGCTATTGTCTTTTTCCCTTTTGATGCCCAAAGGCATGGTTTCAATAGACAGGCAGGCAAAGAACCCAAACAGACCACTCATAAATACTCATATAATTGATCATCCAATATGAGCAAACTGTAAACTCTCAAGCCCACAAAGAAATACAAATCAAAACAATGATAAAATGTCACATTCTACCTATCACATTGGCAAAGATTCCTAAAAATCATTCTCAACACTGAAGTGTGAATGAAGAAGGCATTTCTATGTAATGTTGTAGACATTGCAAGAGAGTACAAGCCTTTTGGAAAACAGTTTGACAACCTGTATCTAGAACCCTAAAAGTGTTCAGACTATTGGATTAAGGAAATACACTTCTGATAAAGTATCCTGAAAATATATTCTGAAGAACATTAAGAAATTCTGCACAGGGACAGAGATTGCAGCGCTAGTGATCAAAACAGAAAACTGAAGAGCCAAAATGGCCAACCATAAGAGAATGTCTAAGCAAACAGTGGTACATTTATGTGATGGGAATTTTAAATAGGTATTAAAACAATATTTATAATAAGCTTTTAACAACATGGAAAGACCATTATAAGGTTCATGTTTCAAAAAGCATGATACAAAATTGAATACAAAGCCTAGGATCAGTTGTATGGATGCCTATGTTACAGAATAAAGATGGCAAGTTACCATATCTATAGTTGTCTTTGGGTATTTTTTTTTTGCCTGTATATTTTTTCTAAATTTTAGCAATAGTGAAGAGCAAGTACTCTGGATCCTGGGGTTCAAATCCTAGCTCAACTACTTACCAACTGTGTAGTCTTGGCAAATTACTTAGCTTCTTGGTGCCTCAGTTTTCCAATTTGTAAAATCAGGTTAATAATAGTAATTACATCATACTGCGTTATAAAGATTAAATGAGTTAATACTTACATATTATACAATTTTATAATTAGCATTTATATAATATATAATTTAATAATATAAATTACATAGTATATATGTTTGCTAAATAAAAAATAAAATTATTTTATAATGACTGTATTTCTTAAAAATAAAAGTTTATTGAGGAAAATAAAATTTCCAAAAAGAACAAGTAAGTTATTTAACAATAACCAATGTAAGAAAGGACAAAGCAGCAGGTATGTGGCATACCCGCTGTTCCTAGGTGGAATCTTCAACAGTTTTGGCCTTTTGAAGACCTGAGCTGTATACCTCTTCTTGCTCATGGCTCCTCAATCCTGCACTAATTGACACACAGACTAATTTCTTCATTTACCCTATTGGGGGCTCCAAACAGCAACATGTCTGAGTGGTTTGAGGGAACCTGGAATGTGGAGATGTATAGTTTCAGTAGTTCCTTGGACTGATCTTGACTTTGATACCTGGAGGCCAGGCACAGGCAAATATGGCAGTATCATCAGGAGGAAAACGTTAGCATAAACCGCCATGGTTGGTCTACTAGAATGTAATCTCTCCTGAGCAAAATAGACAATATTTGCTATCTATATCTTTATGCAAACTCTCCTCATATTTGTCACCCATAAATTTCCTGATAGCACTCCTCAGCGTAATATCAACCTTCCAAGAAAAGATTTTTTCACTAAACTCCCACAACTTCACAAATAGGGACATTAATCATTCGGGGACAATGATAGAGACTTTCACTGGCCTTTCATGAAAACCAATTTATTCACCCTTTCCTATCTTCTCTCATTTTACTAAGAGGGAACAGAAGTGTCAAATGCTTTAGTCTATATTCAAGTGTTGTGATATATGAGAGTATAAAAGGTTTGTGATGTGGCAAAATACACCTAGAAAAGTTAAATATCAAATCCAACATTCTGGGCTTCATCTCCTAGTCTGGATCTGAGCGAGGAGGACAGAGTAGACTCTAATTCCTGCCTGTGGGTGTCTTGGCTGACACAGGAAACTGTCAAAACCAGAATGGCCCCACAAGCATGTTTTATCACTCTAACAGCCAACTCAAGAAAAGAAAATCCTCTTTATTAAATCTCTCCAAGTAGCCAGTTACTAGAGATGCCAAATACACTGGTGTGGATGGTTTTCATATATTCTCTTCCCAGCACTATTTTCACAAACCAACACTTTTTAAAAAATTCCGTTAGGGTCTTGCCACACACACAAATCCAGAGAAGGCCTAACTCATTTTCTGATGAATGGCTCCTGCATTCCAGCGGTTGGATTTCACATAGCAAATTTGGAAATAACACTACTTCTCGGACCCAAAGCAAAATGAGGCAAGATGTTAACACATTTTGTGGGCGTAAAACCTGAGAGTGGTGGCAAGGTCAGCCAATCTGTCCGTCAGTCAATAGTGGCTATCAAGTGCTGGTTAGGGTGCTATTGCTGAAACCAAAGAAATGTAAGACATCATCCTTGTCTTTGAGGATTGATAACACAGCTGGAGTGAGAACACATGCATTTATAGTAGCATAAGAACATACATATAAATGTAAGTTGGCAATAAATGTTAGTTGTTATTATACATTTAATTTCAGAATCACCCCTCTACTTTAAAAGTTATTTTGCCTTCAAGAATGGAGGAGTGGAGGAACTTGCAGATAAATGTATTCCACCTAAACTGCAGTTCCCAAAGGTCAAGGAGAATCATTCCTCCTTCTCTCAGTTTTGGGAAGTTTTTTTTCCCCCTCCTAAAAACAAACTTGTTCTAATTATAAGAATATTTGAGGCTAATTATAAACTAGAAAATGCAGACTAGTATAAACAAAGAAGGCAAAAATTATTTTTTATTTCCATGATTCAGAAATGGCCAGCTATATACCCACAAAACTGAAACGTTTTATACATTTATCTTCTGTTTTTGCCTCTAATATCATGCATGAGTTTCTTCACATTCATTCATTCTTAGAAGGCTTTTTCTTTTTCTTTTAGTCACGGAGTCACTAGTGTCTCTGTGATGACAGGTTAAAGAGTTCACGGTCCCTTTTGCTAATGATGATAAAGCAGCCCCATAAAGCTTTGGATTTCGTTTCCAAACTAGAAAGGGAGTGGGGAAGGTTAGAGGAGAAAGGAATTACATGAGTAAATATGATAATAGAAGGATACCCTCTAGGGCCATGCTGTCCAAGAGAACTTTCCATGATGATGAAAATGCTCTTTATCTGTGCTGTCCAATACAGTAGCTACATGTGGTTATTACATCTTTGAAATGCGGCTAGTGTGACTGAAGAACTGACTTTTAAATTTTATTGAATTTTAATTAATTCAAATTTAAATAGCCACTCATGGCTATTGTACCTGACAGCACAGCTCTAGGGCAATCTGAATTCCCAGGTCTAGCCAACTTTGTTTCAAGAGTATTTCAAATTAAATTCTAGAAAGAAAAACACATGACCCACCCCAAGTTTAAATAAAGCAACATGAATAATCTTAGGCTCCTGGCCTTCAAGATAGAAAGTATATTAGATTTTTTAATACATCTATCTTTTCCTTGCAAATTTGCCACTTCAATCTTTGTGGAAGGAACCAGAATATAAATACATTAATAAGTAAAGAATGGTCCCTCAACTCCCAACCCCTCAAGAAGCTGAGGAATGTTTTAGGCTAAACTGCCAGGGCACTCCAACCCTCCTAGAGGTACTATGTTCCCTTCTGAAGCAGCAGCAGAAGAAAGAAATGTGTCACCCACTTTCTTCACTTCAGATTGCAGGCCTAGCTCTCCATGTGCACCAGGGTGGCGATGTGCCCTTGTGGGTCTCCATTTATCCTACCATATGATGGTGGAGTGTCAACACAGAAGGCTCTACCCAACTGTTGAGGAACATGGATGGTGATTAATACCATCAGCCTACACTTCGTCAAAGGGATAAGTCATGATCTGTGTACTTAGTAGGTTTGTTTATGCAGCAGATGGCCTTGCAAAACAAAATGCTTGTTTTCCTTTACAGTGAGGCTGGGGAACCACCACCAAACTGTGGGCACTAGGAAAAGTGCTACATGGACAACACTCAGAATCGAGACAGCCCCTTCCCTGCAGTAGGCTCAGACTGGACCATGATGACAACTCATAGGTCCAGAAGGTCCACATATGACAATAGGAACCCCTCAAAAACATCAGGAAGGTTCCCCAGAATTTCCCCCTCCAGAGTGTGACCTAGTCAGGCTTGGCAGGATCCTCTAGGAGACTCCTTGGAAATAATGCTGGGTGTTCCAAGACCCCTTGATATGTCAGATGGGAAAACCCTTTAACTCCATGTGATGCAGACTGTATCAATTCAGGGATCCAGGCTAAGTGCTATAGTTTTTCAGCCACTACCCAAATCTCAGGAGTCATCTATTGTTTGACTTTTCAGAAGAAACAGTGACTAATGTGTGTGCTTGCCTTTGCTGCAATCATTGTAATTTAGCAAAATGAGGGTGTTAACAGTATCTACTTGTAATCACAAAGACTAAAGAGGATTAACAGAGACCATCCAATGTAAAGTGCTGGGCATGTGCCTGACACACAGTTCACACCCTATAACTGTTACTTTTACTTTTTTCTTTTTCTATTCTTCTAATAACATAAGCATTTCAATTTCTATGCTTTCATTTACTTGACAACTATTCACTAAGCACTTATTCAAGTGTTGGGGATATAGTGGTAAATAAATCACACTCCATGCCTTTTTGGAGCCTGCATTTTAGTGAGAAAGAAAGACAAACATATAAATGAGAAATCAAGTAACATAATTTCATACTACATATGACAATAGAAAATTTTCTTTACGGGATACATAGAGATGTAATTCTCTTTTCTGGAATGCATTCAAGATAGGAAGAATGAAAAGGAACAAATAAGGAAGTTTTGACTGTGGTTCCCTTTGTTTGGCCCTGTCTGCTGATGGCAGGTATAGTCAGGAGGCCACCCCACAGCTCTGCTGAGAACCAGCCCTGGCAGAGCAGATTTCCTGCCGTTGGTGCTAAGCAGTTTGTGCCTGGGTAGAAGAATAAGCAGATATCAGCGGCAGAGGCAGAATTGGCAGCCCCTCAGTTTCTTGGTCGTATGGCTGTTTGCTAGCCAAGTGGAAGGAAGGATGTATATTTATGAGCTTTACAGCTCTAATTATTTTTCCGCAGAGACTATAATTTTGTGGGTTACTACTTTAGGAAGTGTAGCGATTTTGGCCCCAGTCATATGGTGGCTGCATATGCAGGGACATGTAGAAGCATAAGTGATGAATGGGTGGACTCAAACCAGGACCCCAAGGACAGGGACACAGAAGATGCATGACCCCACTCTCCTTTGCCTTCAGATTTCTTCTTTTCCAGCACTCTATGGCTCTTTGTGGATTCCCCTACTCTTTTGGGGCCCTTGGCCTACCACCTTTGAATACTTCTCATAAACCAAGTCCAGGGAAAGAAAAGAGGAAAAGATGGTACAAAACCAGTGAAGCCCCTAGGGCAACTCGCTCCTTGGTTTAGGGACAGTGGTGGTATCCCCTAAGACCCAGCAAGACGAGAGCCATATGCTGACAGCCACACCAGGGTTGCTGTTTCCCCCAAATACTAGTGGCTCCACACTTCCACAGCCAACTGCCAACATCTCACCACCGCTCACCACCATCCCCTTCCATACTTCTGCTGTTCGTCTTCTTCTTCCTCTCTGTGACCCTATGTTAAAGGACAATCTCAGCATTCTGCTTGTTAGTTAAGCCAGAGCAAATGAAGGACAACAATCCTGGATCTGGAGGACCCCAGCCTAATGTGCAAGTCTAGAAGTTCTGGTCACCTGGAAAAGAATTCACCCTATGCCTCTGGGCTGCTTTACAAGTTGGAATATTCCCACAGAATAAGGATATTGTTGCTCAATCCACTTCAGGGTCACCAAGTCTCATATGTCACATCCATTGTAACCAAAGGCACTGACCTACGACAGGTCTGAAAAGGTGGCTATTTTCAAGAAGCACTGACCTGCACCACATAAGGCCCTTCATACTACTAACTAAGACGAATTGGAGCATCTTTGGTTACACACCTATTATAATGGTGAAAACTGAAACCAGTGATAACACCAAATGCTGGCAAGGATGTGGAGCAATGGGAACTCTCTTTCACTGCAAAATGGTACAGCCACTTTAGAAGACAGGTTGGCAGTATCTTGCAAAACTAAACATATGCTTACCATAGGATTCAGCAATTGTGTCCTCTTATATTTACCCAAAGGGTTGGAAAACTTATGTCCATACAAATCCCTGTACATGTATGTTTATAGTAGCATTATTCATCACTGCCAAAATTTGGAAGCAACCGAGATTTCCTTCAGTAGGCAAACGAATAAATAAACTGCAGTACATGCAGGCAATGGAATATTATTCAGCACTAAAAAGAAATGACCTATTAAGCCATGAAAAGACACGGAGGGAATTTCAATTTAAATGCATATTGCTGAGTGAAAGAAGCCAATCCGAAAAGGCTACATGCTGCATGACTCCAACTATACAACATTCTGGAAAAGGCAAAATTATAGAGACAGTATAAGTCCGTGGTTTCCACAGGTTGGGGGGAGGGAAGGACGAGCACAGAGGTAGCGAAGCTATTCCGTATGATGCTACCATGGTGGATAGATGCCATTATACATTCGTTAAAACTCATAGGCTGTACAAGAGTGACCCCTAATATCAGCTGTGGACTTTGAGTGAAACTGATGTGTCATTGTAGGTTTATTGATTGTAACAAAGGCACCACTCTGGTGTGGTATGTTGGTAGTGGGAGAGATTGTGTGTGGAGGGGGTGGGGGGAGGAGGGTGTGTGGGAACTCCCTGCACTTTCCACTACATTTTTCTGTGAACCCAAAACTGCTCTGAAATAGTCTATTAAATGGGTGGGCATGTATCTCTGTATTATATGCCTTCCCCACCAAAATATGTATTCCATGAAGGCAGACACCTTGTCCAGTTTGTTAATTATTGTATCCATAGCACTAAGACTAGTACCTGGCATGTAGTAAGCATTCAATATGTATTTGTTGACTGAATAAATGTAAGGAAATCTTAGTTACTTTAATAAGAATTAAAATACAGCCCTTTTACTGAGGTGATATCTTTCTTATTTCCATACACCCCAGTACTTAAGAGAGACCTACAGTCCTCAGCTCTCTGTGGGACTGGCTCATCCCTGGCCAACCCACACTTTCTTCCTGCTGAGAAGATTCTTTGGTTTCACTTAGCCTTGGAGTGCAAAGTCAGAGGGTAGAATAAAGGAAGGTTTGCTGAATCCAGGGATTCTGCTTCCTGGTGAATGGAATGGGCATGGGAAAGCAGATGACAAAGACAACAGCAAGTATAAGAAGAATCCCTGCTAAAAATACGCTTCCACACAGCCTAGGAGTGGGAGGTTTACTTGGGTCAGTTAGGTGCTTCCCAGGGATTCAAACACTCCCTGTCTAGGTTAAAGCTCTCAATCACTAATGGTAGTTATGAATTCCCCCAACCAACTACACTAAACAGTCTTTGAAAATACAAATTTTGATGGGAAAGGAAAAGGGACAGAGGAGAAAGAAGATAAATGTCCTCACTCCCCTTGGCTCCCTTCATTTCTTCTCCAACACTCGGGATATTTGTGGAGCCCTTGCTCTCTGGGGACCCTTGACCTGCTGCCTTGGAAAACCTTCTGTAATCCACGACAGACCCAATGAGAAAAAAAGAACACACAGATAACGTTGCTGAAAAAGCTCCTAGAGGGCATAAGAATATAGTCTTTGGGGTCGCATCTACTCAGCCTAATTCTATACATTCAAACTTTGAAATCAGAGAAAGGCCCAGGGAATCATACACTCACTACCTACATGGTACCTTAATATTAGAATACCATAAAAATTTCTTCTTAAGTAGCCTTCTGACATTTTTGTCCTGTAAGCAGGTACTTCAAACAAATGTTCCCATTTTAGACAATGAGATGGAAGCAGAGGAAATGTTGAGTGCCTTGCCTTTATAACCAATACTTTGTTTATATGATATCATGTCAATAAAAGTGCAAAATTCATCCAACCATTCTAATATTTCTAAATATCTAGATATTTGGAATTATTTGTGGATGGAGCCTTTGTATTAAAACAAATGGGCAGCAGAATGAAAACAGCAATCACACAATCTCCTACTAAGTCCAGAGCTTTCTTACTGGCGGGTTCCTTGCTTTGGCATTTTGGAAAAATATTTTGGTTAGTGTTATACCAACCACTCAGAATTCTGTCATAAGGAAGGAAAGGAACTAATAGTTATTTACTCAGAGACAGGCATTGCCCCAGGTGTTTTACATAGAAAATCTTCATCATTAAAACAACTTTTTGGTTAAGTAATATTGTCCCAAGTTTACAGCCAAAAAAAAAAAGGGGGGAGAAGTTAAAATAACTGAATTTATCCAAATCCTCATGGCTACCATGTTTCAGAACCAGGACTCAAATTTTTATCTATTCAAGGACATAGTTCATGTCAGATTACTGGGGCTCAGGCTCATGACCAAATCAATTTAAATACAATCTTGCCACTTTTGTTGAGGTTTCTCACTGCCAGGTTGCAGGCAAAGTTACCCAGACTGCATCAACATTTTGGAAAGTGCAGATATTCTCATTAGGGAGAAAAGTATTTAATTAATTAGTAAAATTGATCAAATCACCTAATCACTGAAAAATTCTACAAACCCTGAAGTGTAGAAACAGAGACACTTCAGAAATTTCTCATGGCCAATTTTCTGATTTAGCCCCTCTTTTATTTCCATCCATTGCATTAACGACTTGGATTTGTGTCTGAATCCCAGATGACCCATTAACGAATTGTGTGTCTTTGGATGAATGATTTTTTCTTGAGCGTCATTTTCTTTGAAATTTTATAGGGTTGTGGAAAATATTATGTATAACAGTGTTTATAAAAGCATTTGGTGCATTCTCTGGCACATAGTAGGCCTTAAGTTCAACTATGTAACCATGAAATAAGCTTAGAAATATGTAGAGGTTCTGTGTAACACATAAGCAGTTCTTAAGTAATTTTTATTACACAACCTACTACCATTAAGTATAAAATCATACTGCTCTTAAAAGTGAAATTGCCACAATTTGGTTATCATTTTTGCCTTGGCTGCTTGTCTTGGCCATCAGTACCATCCAGCTCTTCATCTGAGGTAGGAGTCTACTAAGCATCCTCCTGGAAGAGGTATAAAAACTGACTCTTCATTTTAATACAGAGTCTATAAATGGGGAAGCTGCAGGAACAGCTCACAGACTGTGTTAGGAAGACAGATTTTTCTGCGGGCTGAGAACTGAACCAGCTTGCAAAGCACTCGAGCTATTTACGACTGACATTTAAGCAACTACTCTACTAAGAAAGAGGAAGATAATGGAAATAATAACCCTGAAAATTCCATTGAGGCACATTTCTTTTGAAGGAACCCATGACAGTGGTTCAAAAGTTGACCACTGGAGCAACCGCCTGGTCCCTTTGTCCTTGGAGAGATGGGTCGTAGCATGAAGGCTTCTAATTAGAAAAGTCCACGTGGTTCCAAGAAGCAAGGCCATTTTCATCTACAGCTCTTGCTGCCAACTTGCAGGCCACAGCGAGCTGCACTCTGAACATGCTGGGTACTTTCTCCACTTGTGCCCCTCACAGCACCTCATCTGGTCTGTAGCAAGCTGGAAACAGCATTTATCACTGTGAACCACATTTTGGCCCTTAGACTTATATACTCATTTCCAGGGACGAGGTAGCAGAGAAGGAGGAGGTTCTGCTACTCACATCTGCAAAAGGTTCAAACAAGGGGATGGGAACGGGCAGAGCAGGTGGCTAAAAGCGACAATAGGGAAATAGGGGGGAAAAAACCGAGTGAGAAGGCAGCATGCTTAAAGCACTCTTGATTAAAAGATGTAATCAGTTTTCATTTGAATATCCCCAAACCACCCAAAACCCTAGTGCGTGGTGGCCTATGGCTTCCAAATTCTCAAAATGATAAGCTGCCAAAGTAAACTAATTGCAGTGTGTCTCAGTAATTGCCATGTGTGGATATATACAGTTATAGTAAAATGGTTCAGTGAGTCCTGATGGTGATAATGCACATTTGGAAAATACATAAAATAGAGATTCTCAAAACCAAGAACTCCTGAGGGTCCGAGATGGATCTGAAAGCCAGCTCTGCCATGTACTAGCTGTGTGGCTTTGAGGGAACTCTAGCCTCTCTGAGCCTATGATCCCTATTTATAAAAAGAGACAGTAACACTCACATGGCATCAGAATCCTCAACGTGGGAAGGAGAAGCAGCACAGGGAACAAAGGATTCAGTGCCCAGCTACCCATTAGTAGCCACCCACATTCCATCACCTGCCAACTACTCCCTATAACTCAAAATTCCTGGATACAAGTAAGGATCAGAATGAAGGGTGGAGGATTTGGATATTCTGTATCTGATGCAGTGTGGAGCAAACACTTTGCCAAGGTTGACAAGAAAGAGTTGGGAATTTTTCTATGAGGGGGAACACTGGTTGCTAGTATATATGTATCCCTACTGGGTGGCTGCAAGGATCAACTGAAATAATAAACACGAAAGTATTTTGCCAACAGTAAAACCCACTAAAAATTCTAGCTCCTGCTGTCTCATTATAAGCCTGGTGTTACCTGTCATCCTCCCTTCTCTGAGTAGAAAGGTAAATCTGCCCATGGTTCTATCAGTCATTTTCCCATAAACTCACAAGCAATCTTTTGACCAGGGCTACTTGGACCTAAAACAGAACAAGGGAAGCATGGTAAAGAATGAAGATTTAATTTTAAATGCCCTTGTCTTTCCAACTAAGCTTTGCTGTAAGAAAGATCCGGCAGAGAAGATTCCAGACAGAGATTTCATGGATTACTAAAAGGAAGTGCTGCTGCATCTCAATTCCCTTCAGCCTCCCCTGAAATCTGTGTGAGCCAGCCTGGTTCTATAGCTTTTTAAAAGACTTCCCCAGCTGGGTGCGGTGGCTCACATCTGTAATCCCAGCATGTTGGGAGGCCGAGATGGGTGGATCACGAGGTCATGAGTTTGAGACCAGCCTGGCCAAGATGGTGAAACCCTGTCTCTACTAAAACTACAAAAATTAGTCTGGTATGGTGGTGGGTGCCTGTAATCCCAGCTACTCGGCAGGCTGACGCAGAAGAATTGCTTGAACCTGGGAGGTGGAGGTTGCAGTGAGCCTAGATCACACCACTGCAGTCTAGCCTGGGGGTCAAAGCAAGACTCTGTCTCAAAAAGACCTCCCCAAGAGATAAAGGGAGGAGGAAGCTAGAGAGTCTTAACCTCTTGAGTCACAGGCAAATTGCTTCCTTTGGGTTATCTCCGACTGGGGAGCCACGGTGAGAGGGCATTGAGCCCTACACTTGGTGTCTAGGCCAATGATTCTTACCAGGGTTGGGGGGCATCAGCTCCACCTTGGCATGTGTGTTGAACATGCACATTCCTGAGCTCTACGGCCGACTCTGGAAGAAGTGCCTGGAATTCTGTATATTTAATAAGGTATTTCTTAAAAGTTTGAGAGGCTCTAAGAGAACATCTTTAGATGATTTACAAACATCTGAAAGTTTTCCAAGTGAAATACCAATTTAAAACAACAACAGAACGGCTCTAATTTCATTTGAAATGGAGAGAGGGAGTTCTTCCCATGGGCATCTCTTCCCCTTGGGCAGGCTCCCAGCCCTTTCTGCTGGTAGATGGGGCTCTTGGGGATAAGGTGGTGATGATTGTTCCAAAAGGGCCTTGAATTACACTCTCAGTAGATATGGATCCAGATGACTTGCCTGGCTCTCTCTCCCAATGCCTGTCTCTCACATGTCAGTTCTTGGTCAAGGTGAAATCATGGGACCTAATTTGAGTGACTCAGAAGTCTTGTTCTCACTGTTGGTCCCATACTGATCTTGTGGCTTAGACTTCTGTTGTCCAGCTGTAACCAAACTCCCACATTACATCCGCTTTACTAACTAGGTGATTTTTTGCTTCTTCGAATCCGAGTCTGTTATTACACAAATTTCCAGCACTCTAATCTAAAAGTGGGCCCCTACCTCATCCTTGCCAGTGATCCAATGACTCAATTATTTTTCCCTCCGAACCTCTGCTTCATAGCTGAGTCTCTATTATATATGGTTAGGCTTCCCCAAAACCTACTCTCTGGAACATTATGTTAAGATTACATTTGGGCTTGAAGTAAGAGTATGGAAACCTATATAAGTGGCTTTGAGATAGGAAAGTGGATGTTGTATTTGGGAAACCTGACATACATCACTGGATCCCGGGATCTCTGTTATCTCCATCTGGCTACCAGGAAGCCTGCCTTTGTATCTTGTCAGGCATTCATCCAACAAGTATTTATTGGGCAATTTCTGTATACCCATAGTTACTAGGCACTGATAAAAATTATGTATGTAAGAGTGATTTATAAAACATATATTGATATATGAATGTAGGTACTGCCACTGACCTCATGGGTATTGACAAAAATACCACATCAGCCCAGATCCACAGATGCAAAGAACCTTGGGTAATTATTTGGCCAATTCAGATTCCCTGAATGATTTTGTCACAATGGCAAGGAAATTTAAGAACTTATTTTGGGATGTGTGAGATGAGGTTGGGTTTGGTGATGAACGTAAGAAGGGAGGGTTCAGTAGTCATACTTAAGTGAACTAGAAAAAATACCGAAATGTTTTTATTTCAATAGACTTACATCTTGTAAGGCCTAGTTCTCAAAGACCTCACGAAAGAATGACATAAAGAGTTTAGTCTGAACAATCTGGTTAGAGAGGGGAAATTCCTGTAATCAGAAAGAGCACTCACAATTCTACGTAAACCAACGAGAAATTTTAAGGGAATTGGGATTGTTTTGTAACATGTTGCTGAGCTCAGAGGCTGTGAATGGGGACAGATCAAGCCAGTTCTAGCATTCTATTGTTTTTGTTGTTCTGTTTTATGAAGAGAGTGGCCTCGCTACCAGCAACCCAGATGTTCACTGATGTATTTTAAGGAAGCTCCATCTATAGCTGTTACATTTTTTTCTTCTTCTAAACCATCAATTGTTTACCATATTTATAAGGGTAATTCCAGTTTAAAATATAAGAAATATAAGACATAGATTGTCATTAACATGTTTAGCCCTGAAGAGTCCAACAGAGGAACGCCTAGAATAGTGTTATCAGAAAAACAATTAATTCATTTTAAGAGTTCCCTTCATTAGAGGCCAACTTCATGAGTTTCAGGTATAAGAACATTTGCTTCTAGAAAGATGTCATTACTTCCCCCAAAGAAAGAAAAAGTGCTAAGTCTATAATAATATTAATTAAACACTTTCTATAGGCATTTTTAAGTTGACTGACGAAGTCATGATGGTCAATGATATAAGGGATTTTTCTGGATATTTCTTTCTCATCAATAAATTTCTGAGTTCCAATCAGGAAAACAAACTGTCTTGCTGCAAATGACACAGCTTGACTGACAGGGTGAAAGATACTTAAATAATGTAAAAACCCAGGTCCTAGCTCTTGTTATTTAATCCCTGTTACTATTAATACTGTCTTTAAGTGTTCAATGAAAATATAAAAAGATGCTCAATTACATTACTAGCTAAAGGAAAAATTAAAGCAAGTCACCAATCTTTGCTTTACAAATCGGCAAAATACTAACATTCAGTGTGAGGAAATGGGCCCTGTGATGTGCTGCTGATGAGAGTCTAAATTAGTATAGCCTTCCTAAAAGAGTATGTGTCAATACCTATCCAACTTTAAAATGTGCAACTCAGTAATCCAGCATTTTCTCTTTTAGAAATATTTCCTAAGAAACTGTGCAAAGATATATATATATGTGTGTGTGTGTGTACAGGAGTGTTTATATAAACATGCATATATATATGAAGAGATTTAACAGAATTGCTAGAAAAAGTAAAAAATGAAAAAAATGTTCATCAATAAGGGAATGATTTAAAAAATGATGACCTATTCTTATGAGAGCTGTACAATTAAGAAGACTCTATATGCAATGACCTGGAAAGCAAAAGCATATATTTGACTAAGTTTAAAAAAATCAAGTCATAAAACAAAATATAGAATGTGAGGTGCAGAACGTGAGGCCATTTTTATAACAGGGCATATGGGCATATACATAGACACAGTTATGTCTCCTTCTATGAGCATTTAAAAAGGTCTAAAAGAATACTTGCCAATCTTTTAATAGTCATTACCTTTGAGCAGTGGAATTGGGGCAAACATAAGGCTGGGAGGGGACTTAAACTATAAGTTTCAGTACTGTAAGGACTTTAAAAAACTGAACAAGGAAAATTTTTCTTTTATAATATAAAAAGTCAGTAAGAATTTGTAAATTGTATGTAAGGACTGTGCTAAAAGCCCAGGAACCCAGGTTTGTTGATTTATAATAGTAATTAGGCTTCCAAAGTTTCCCCCAGCATACCCGTACTTGAGCAAGCACAGTGCATAATGGCATGTACACATACACACGTGCATGCCCACGCACGCACACACACACCCACACACACACACAGTGGGGTAATCCCATTGGGAGCCGTTAGATAGAGAGCTCTCCCCTCCCCATGGGGACAGCCCCCAATCAAAGGCTTAATAGCAGCATTGCAGAATGGCTAAAAGCACAACTCTGGAGTCAGATGGTCCTGGGTGCAATTTCCAGCTCCACTGTTTCAAGATTTAAAACTTCTGGGCACCACAGTGATTTAGATTCCCCACCTGTAAAATGGGAGTAAACAATGCCTTCTTTATAGTGTTGTTATGGAGGATTAGTGAGCAAGGGCATGACAGGCATTCACTACACTGCCTGACACAGAAAAAAGTGATTTTTCAGCTATCAGTGTCCAAAGACATGCAGTCAAGCAGTTGGTGGGAAATGACTTCATCTTGCAAATCACAGCACCTCTACTGACAGCAGAATGTTAACCCTATAAGGAACCGCATATTTATGGTTCCGTACTTAACTTTCAAGCAAAAGCAATTCCCAAGTAACTAAAAATTTCCATAATACTGTATCAGTAGGCACCACCACAAAGTATGATTGTGGGCTTTGGGGTCAGACTGGGTTTATAAAACCACCTCTGATACTCACTAGGTATATGAGTTAGGGCATGGTACTTAAGCTCTTCCATTGTCTCACCTGGGAGGTTGCTCTGGACTTGCTCAGAGCACCAGGTATCTGATACACAGTAGAAAAATAACAATAACAGCTGCAATGACGTGAGCATCTACTGTAGTCCAGGCATTCTCTCATTCTTGTGCCAAGTCTGAAACAGGGGTGTCAGTATCATCTATTAAACTTGAGAACCTCAGAATCAGGGCATTGCATGACCTGCTCATAGGATTCCAGTTAGTAACTGCCATCTTCTTGCCTCCAAACTGAAAATGTTTTCTTAAGCAAAGGACTGGTATCTATGGGCACTGTGAATTCCTCACAATCCCTCTTCCACAGGGCTGCCATGGCCCAGAACTTTACTACCACACACTCAGTACCAGCTGTGTCTCAGTATCCTCTTTTATTATGCAGATACTGACAAGAAGCAGTAATATATTAAGTTTACCTCAATGTGTAAGTGAATTGTTAGTTCATCCTATTTCCTCTGGGAAGAGGTCTCAGGCAGATGGTAAGCACTGGGTATTTAAAGATGGGGGCAGGGCCTGGCGAGGTGGCTCATGGCTGTAATCCCAGCACTTTGGGAGGCTAAGGCAGGGGGGTCACCTGAAGTCAGGAGTTCAAGACCAGTCTGGCCAACATGGCAAAACGGTGTCTCTACTAAAAATATAAAAATTAGCCAGGTGCAGTGGCAAGCGCCTGTAATCTCAGGTACTCGGGAGGCTGAAGCAGGAGAATCACTTGAGCCCGGGAGGCAGAGGTTGCAGTGAGCCGAGATCGCGCCTCTGTACTCCAGCCTGGGCGACAGAATGAGACTCTGTTTCAGAAAAAATAAAATTAAATAAATACATAAATAAAAAAAAATAAAATAAAGAGGGGGCAGAGAAACAGGCAGGAAGTGCCCAGAGAAAAGAGGGGCCCAGATAAACTTGTCTGTAAGTCACAATTTTGCCAAGGACTGGCTCTGCCAATCAGTCTAAGAAGCCATAAGCAAAAATCCCTTTATTCTTGTCTTTTCTTTCTGTTCATTCGTATTTATTTAATGAGCAGTTATTAAGCACTTACAGTGTGCAGAATATTGTGGGACAATGTAGTCCCTGTCCTGAGACTTACAATTTAGCAATAGTTGATTCAATCATTTAATACTCATATTCATCAAACATAGCACATTAATATGGTGAGTTTAATCTGTGTGGGTGCACATGCACTCATGCTTGTGTGTGCAGATGCTTAGTTATATATGTAGATTATTCACAGTTCAGTCATTTCCATAATCAATCATTCCAACACCTTTTCTGGTTCACATGACCATCTCACACCCCTTCCACAAAACTCAGCATGTTGAAATGCTTACTGCACTCTGCATATACACCTAAAATTAACTTTTGTTTTTTAGAATTAGAACACAGTCTGAATTTCTCAAGTACTACTTATGTAAAACTGTTCTTGGGGTAATTTTGTAGTAATTAAGTATATGAGAGTAATTAAGGACTTCTCCAAATCTAATCATCAATCCCTGGTACTGTGTAAGCGTTAATAACATCATGGCTGATATGGAAAATTATTCCTGATTATGACTGCTGATGATAACATCAGAATAACATGAAGTTCACTCATCGGCTCATTTCTTTTGTGAATATGTCACAACTTTCTCCATGAAATCTATTACAATGTTGATTTATAATCAATTATATTTATCTTTCTGGGATTTCAAGATGTGACACAATGCTTAAGTTCTAAGCAATACAATTTCTTGACTTACTGCTTTATTATTTCATAACCTCATATATGCAGTTATGATGAAATTTTCTGTGGGAGTGTTTACTGTCTTTAAAATCAGCCTTTAAAAACAACCTCTAGGCCGGGCATGGTGGCTCATGCCTGTAATCCCAGCACTTTGGGAGGCCAAGGCAAGTGGATCACCTGGGCTCGGGAGTTCAAGAGCAGCCTGGCCAACATGGTGAAACCCCGTCTCTACTAAAAATACAAAAAATTAGCTGGGCGTGGTGGCGCATGCCTGTAATCCCAGCTACTCTGGAGGCTGAGGCAGGAGAATCGCTTGAATCCAGGAGGCGGAGGTTGCCGTGAGCCGAGATCGCCCCACTGCACTCCAGCCTGGACGACAAGAGCGAAACTCTGTCTCAAAAAATAAATAAATAAAATAAAAATAAAAATAACCTTTAAATATTTAACACTATAAATTGGCAGCAGCGAAATCAGTCATGGCTACAGCCCATAGGCATCTTGCTGGAAAGTACCATTGCACAATCACTGTGAGTAAACAGCCAACTGAGGAAGAAGTTAGCTAAACTTGTACTTGCCACCTCGCTGCCATTTAAATATCAATGCTCTGATATTTCTACAGTTTGAAAGATGCTTTGGCTCTTTGGTGGGACAAGCCATTTACAATGTGTTTTGTTCTTGGAGTCCTGTTGGTGGCTGGAAACCCTTTGTTTCTTGTTGCAGTCAATTTGAACTGGACTGACAAGCTTACAGCTCCAGACTGAGGTAAGAAAATGCCACCATTGTCTGGGAGCTGACTGGCCTGCTTTAGGAAGCCTGCAGGCAGGGCATGCTTTAAATCATGGGAAAGACAGCTCAGGAACCACAGGAGCCGTGAACAACAGAGGGAGGGCGCCCCCTTCCCACTGCTGCTGCACTGATTTCAAACAGCCCAGGCTGAGGAGGTAGCTTCATGGTGTTTTCCTAACGAAATCTAGTAAGTGGTACATGGATGACAGAAATCTCTGTGTTGGCAACTGGAAACTCCAGAGGGATGCAAAATAAGAGCACACAGTGGAAAGTACGGAAACCTAAGAGAATGGAAGAGATGGGAAAACATGGGGTAGTCTACCCCGACTTCCAAGGAAGGATATGAATGAATCTGTCTGTGATTAGTCCCATTTTACAGATTAGAAAACCATCCTAGAGTGTTTGGCAGCCCCTCCGGTGTGCCTATCCAGTAAAAACTGTGAACGGAATCTCCGTTTTGTTAAGTATGGCAATGCGCTAAAATATCCATCTTCCCTGACCCCTTTGCCTTGTGACTAAGAGTACGCTTGTCCTTTACTCTTCACCCTCGTCTCTGCCTGAAACTGGGACAAGATGTGTAGAATATCAGCATTCATGCTGTGACCAGGAGGATGGAAGCCACCTGTTAACAATGACAAAGCACAAAGTTGGGAGGAGGCATGGGCACTGCTGACTCTGTGAGGCTCCTTCTCCACCTTGCACTGTTTCCTGTTAGACGTCTTGTCATGAGAGAAGGCTAAGGGCGGTGGCTCATGCCTGTAATCCCAGCACTTTGGGAGGCTGGGGCGGGTGGATCACTTGAGGTCAGAAGTTCAAGACCAGTCTGGCCCACATGGTGAAACCCCGTCTCTACTAAAAATACAAAAAATTAGCCAGGCATGGTGGTATGTGTCTATAGTCCCAGCTACTCAGGAGGCTGAGGCAGGAGAATAGCTGGAACCCAGGAGGCAGAGGTTGCAGTGAACATAGATTGCGCCACTGCACCCCAGCCTGGGTGACAGAGTGAGACTCCATCTCAAAAAAAAAAAAGACATCTTGTCATGAGAGAAGAGTAAACTGCACACTGGGGTTGTTGGTGCGGTTGCTGTAACGTGATAAATGAACCCCGAAAAATCTTGTCCTCTGCACAAATGTGTATTAAAAATAAGGTCTTTGAGAAATCTAAAATTGGGTCAGACCACTGAAAATCTTTGATACCTTCTAATTACAGCAGTAATAAAATATCAAGAGGAAATTTAGGCAGGCAGTTCAGTGTGGCTATAGGCTCCTGGGTGGTTATTAAAAATCACACAAAATAGACTGGAAAGGCTGGCTTACAGGTACTGAAACAACAAGTGATAGCAGGGCCCAGTGCACAGGAAGGCGTGTGATCTGCCATGAGCTGAAGGCCACGCAAGGCTGGATGTGCACCTCTGGGAGGGAGCCCCCTGGGACTGTGCTCATTTCAAATGTTATTAAAATAGAGCTGAAAGGGCTCCTGTCTGGACAGCAGCTAGGCTGAGGACGTTTTTGTTCTCTTCTCTTGCTATTCCAGCTTTTGTCTAGGAAAGACTGTATGTGAACAAACACAATTGCACATTATCCTGACATCATTCCCCTATTAACCAGTTGCACCTGAGTGAACTGAACTCTTTAATAAGTCACTGTTGTGGTGTTCTGTACATGTGGCCCAACATAATCCCAACAGTTAGAGCTTAATGTTCCTACCTCTCCCATTCCAGTCTCTACACAGCACTCTACTTGACTTTCCTAAAATACTGGGCTGACTTCTTCATTCGATAGGTTACAGTTAGCATGGCACAAAACCCTTCGTGAGCTGGCCTTGTGAGTTCTCCATTCTCTTCCTCCTCTACTCCACACCTTAACCTGTGTACTCCAGCCATCCCTTTGACTCTTCCCTCTGTGCACACACACGCCACGGTGTCATTTCCGTTCTCACCTGTGCTCTTTGCTTCCCCTCTGCCTGGAATGCCTTTACTCACTTGGCCTGCCCAATAAGGTATTTATCTTCAAAACCCTCTTCAAGTATCACTTCTACAGACCCTTCTTTGACACCTTCTTCTGAATAAATCAGGTGCCTTTTGCACCTTCTCTTATTGCATATGTCACAGTGCGTTGATTAAATGACATTCATGTTTGCATTGCACATAGTGGGTAACCAGTGAACACTTGCTGAACTGAACTTGGTGTCTCCTTGATGGGCCCAGAAGCAGGAAAGTTGTGAAAATGCTGTTGTAGGAATTCTCGTGGCATGCTGATAATCCTGGAGTGAATAGGGTATTTAGAAAGAAATGATCCATTAGTCCAGTAACAAAATGTACACATATCAACTCTTGGGCAACTAATCCAGGCAACATTCTGAAGCTTGTCTGGGCAAGAGAAGTGTCCTAAGGAGAAAGAAAAGACCGAAAAACAAGCTTACATGATTGCAGAGTGTCCCTATGTTTACATCTAAAATAAAGGACTAAAGTGCACTAAGAAGTTGCCTTGGAGATCTCACCCGAATGGAGACCCGTAAATACTACCAAGATTCAAACATTAAAGGAAATTATACCTCATTCCCTGTACTAATGAAGGCAAAATGAATGAATGAGATGGATGCAGAGTCAACAAACCTGAGCTCTGGTCCTGGGTCATTCACTAGGTAAGGAAACTTGAAAAAGCAGTGCTAGTAATCTTTCAAAGTGTGCCTTTTACAAAATGCCGCAACAAAAATATAGGGAGAGCACACAATGTCTAGGCTCAGTATCATTTAGTATTACAGCACGATTAACAAAACTTGATGGATCTCATCTTCTTCATTTGGAAGACCAAAGCCCCTCTGACTTGTAACCCTTCATAGCTCTCTGTAATGCAACAGCATCTACACACAGAGCAATCTACATTTCCCCATGGAAAAATATAAATGTATATTTATTTTAGTGTGCCTTTGCCTTAGAAACATGTTTTTGATTAAGAATATGGCTTGGGGCTGGGAGTGGTGGCTCATGCCTGTAATCCCAGCACTTTGGGAGGCCAAGGTGGGCAGATTGCCTGAGGTCAGGAGTTTGAGATCAGTCTAGCCAACATGGTGAAACCCCATCTCTACTAGAAATACAAAAAAATTAGCTGGATGTGGGGGCATGCGCCTGTAATCCCAGCTACTCAGGAGGCTGAGGCAGGGGAATTGCTTGAACCAGGGAGGTGGAGGTTGCAGTGAGCCAAGAACGTGTCACGGTACTCCCGCCTGGGTGACATAGTGAGACTACGTTCCAAAAGAAAAAAAAAAAAAGAATATGGCTTGGAAATTTAGACGTTTTGATAAAGGCACCTGCATAGTTTGCTAAGGTAGCAATGCCCAGACATTTTATATTCTTATTTGTCTCAGTTCTTGTCTCTAAAAATACAGTGATGGTATTTCTCCCTGACCTCTACCTACGGCAGGGAGTATAGAAGAAATGGGGGTGACTACACTCATTAAAACCACGAAGTTTTTGAAAGAGAGAACAAACACTCACTTGAGCTATTGCATTAGCAACCCTGACACTGCTTTGGGCTTTAAAAATCAAGTTTTATTAGGTGACGGTGTTCCCTGTTACCAAGATGCTGTACAACTCCAGCAAACTCGTCCAACAAAAGCTGAAAGGCATGATCAATAAATGCAACTCATTAAGAAGGTCTCATTTTACCCTCAGCATTGTATTGCCCACTTGAAAAATAGTAGATAAATTTTGTCCTTACCCTGAAGAGTAGTAGATAAGAACCGCTAGAAATGTTGCCTACAAAGTTCCAGAAAAACAATTTCAGAAAATGCTTGGAGAAGGAAGTAAGGCTACATCTGGATACCTACCAATTAACTACTAGCAGTGGACCAATGGCTAATACAGGGGCACGCCCTTTGCAACCTCATTGCAACAGTCACTGGCCCATCTTCCTGGAGAAAGTCATAATTTCTCAATTTGCCTAACTATATTTTAAACTTATTTTTAGGGCTGATATTAGCAGTTTCTCATTGGCCATGGGGAATTTTTTAACAATTAGAATGTGAAAGTTAGGGCCCAGCACAGGTGACTCACACCTGTAATCCCAACACTTTGAAAGGCTGAGGCAGGAGGATCACTTGAGCCCAAGAGTTCAAGACCAGCCTGGGCAACATAGTGAGACTCCATTTCTACAAAAACAATAAATGAAATTAGCCAGGTGTGGTGGTGTGTGCCTGCAGTCTCGGCTGCTTGGGAGGCTAAAATAAGACTGAACCCAGGAATTTGAGGCTGCAGTGAGCTATGACTGTGCCACTGCACTCTAGCCTTGAGGACAGAGCAAGACCCTGTCTCTAAAAAGTAAATTGTTTTTAATGTGAGAGTTAAAAAAATCCCAACAATTTCAAGTTGACAATACATTCATTATTTAACTAAAAAAAAGAAATGTGGAAGAAGAGTATTTTGCCAAGAGGTAGGGGAAAATAATGGGTAGATCCCATTTTCTGTATCCTCTTGTTCATTATTCATTTGTTGAATGAGGGAGTGTCAATCACTTAGTCAGTAAATATTTATTAAATGCCTACTTTGCACCAAGTATTATACCTGCCCTAGGGCTACAAACATTATCCCTATTCTCAAAGAGTCTAATTTTTTAAAAAAGAAGGGAATAGAAGGAAAAGCATTAAATTAATTAAGCTCCTACTCTGTGCCAGGTGCTTTTTTTGTCAAATCTTCCTAACAACTGAAGAGAGAAGATAGATGAAATGCCCCCCACTTAACAAATGTGAACTAAGACTCCATGATTTGCCCAGAGTCACACAGTTCAGGGTAGACTAGTGTTTGCATTCAAATTGGTCTAATTTCAAAACACTTTTTAAAGATTTCTTTAGAGAAAAAAGAAGAAATCACCCATTATCCTACCATCCTGATATAAAACCGTCAATATTTTGGAGAACTTCCTTCCAATTTTTCTTCTACACATAGGTCAATTTTCAAATTTTTAAAAATGTGTTTCACAGTTGTAATCAAAATGTGTTATACTGCATTTTCTTGGAACTTTGACACCATCAACTGTGAAATGCTCCATTACTCTAGATAGCACCAGAAAGAAAAATCACTGCCAATTATATGATGCCACTGTGAGCTATGTCCAGATTTCAGCGATGTTAAAATGTGAAGGTGAAGAATTTGTGTCTTAGAATCAATGGCCTACTCTACACTTCACATAGCCCACACTCAGGCTGTGCATCTACTGCCTGGAGTGGTGAGGATGGCTTCATGGCACAGGGGACCTGGTTCTCTTTCAGAGTAGATAAACTCCTCGACTGGACTGGCAGGCCCTCCTCAGAGGGAAGAGGGCTCAATTTGACTGTCTTTTGCATGCCTTGATGCCTTGTCTTGTGCACAGTAGGTACTCAAGAAGTATTTCTTGGTTGAATAAATACATAACTAAAGCTTGAGAAACAATGTATAGCCAGCAGAAGGTAAAAATGACCATGGGCCTGCAGAATGGTACAAGTACAAATTCTGATGAGGGTTTGTGTGGCTACACTGGGGAAGTGGGGAGATGAGATGGACGGAACTTTGAGCCAGAACCAATAGCTCTGGTTTTTCAAGGTCTCTTCCTTCCTACAGCTGGCTGCTGTTTTAATATCACCTCGTCTTTGCTGTTCAGGCCTTTACGTTGATGTTCTTTTTTTTTTTGAGACAGAGTCTCGCTCTGTCACCCTGGCTGGAGTACAGTGACGCGATCTTGGCTCACTGCCAGTTCCGCCTCCCGGGTTCATGCTATTCTCCTGCCTCAGCCTCCCAAGTAGCTGGGACTACAAGCGCCCGCCGTCACGCCTGGCTAATTTTTTTTTTTTTTGTATTTTTAGTAGAGATGGGGTTTTACCATGTTAGCCAGGATGGTCTCGACCTCCTAACCTCATGATCCACCCGCCTCGGCCTCCCAAAGTGCTGGGATTACAGGCGTGAGCCACCATGCCCAGCCTACTTTGATGTTCTTATCCAAGCCTAGCTCCATAGTACTAGTTGATTCTGCCATCTTAGAAAATTATTCACACTCAATTTGCATATTGATTTAGATTTGTTTGTTTGGGAACATCACCCATTAATTTCAAGTATAACTCATACAGAGAAAATTCAGGCATCAGCAAGAGGCAGGTAGAGGACAGTAGTATTTTTCAGAAGTTGAAACATTCAGCCTAAAAGGACAGTATCTCTTCTGCTTATACAGATCTGATTGCCCTAGGAAGTAAAAGCCTGTGACAGTTCAAATCTATATGACTTGGCAATTCAACTTTCTATGGATGCTCACTAAGATACGTGCCTGAAATGGCAAAATGAGTCTAAATAAAGAAAAGAAACTAAGACTTAGTTCTCTATGCATATTCCCCATTAAACACAAGATCTGCACATTTAGACAATCATTACCATTTCTCTTGCTTTCCTTTTCTCCTTTTCATCCTCCATTCACCTAACAAGTATCTGTCTCTTTGCCACTTGTGAAGAGCTGTGTTAAGTTCCCTAAAAGATATAATTTTCTGATGGGTCAGAAAATGCTCACAAAGAAGTCTGCACATTAATAGTGAAAGTATGTTTTATTCACAGATAAGTAAAACACAAGGTAGAGGAAGCATAAATACTACCAGAGAAAGACAGGCGATATAAAATCAGAGTTTAGAGCCTGGAGAGATGACATCAGCTGGGGGATCAGGAAGGGCTTCAGAGAGGAGGTGTCATTCCACCTGCGCCTTGAAGGACGGAGAGGATGTGGACCTATGAGAATGAGAGCAAAAACCTAGCAGAGCAGAGGCATGCTTGGGCACAAGAACTCCTGTCATTTCTTTCTCCATGGGCTGTCTATTGTTTAGAAACAGGATGCTATTGCTGGTGTTAGAGCCCTGGCCAATGAAAAAACCAGCAACTTGAGCTGACCAGTGCGATGTGTCATAAATCATACCATCATCAGGCCAAAGTCAGGAAAATACCATAGGATTTCATGCCTATCAAGTGTGAAATTTTAGAGGCAAGTCATGAAAGCCTAAGCCTGGTGTAGAACAGAGCATCTGAAATCCACGACAGGTAACTAAGATGAAAAGCAACAGCACAATGTCACTTTTCAAAACTCAAGGGACTGCCAGCTTCTTGCTTACCATGGACATGGATACCATTTGGTTGAAAAGAAGAGTTTGTTTCTGGCTGATAGGACTTCAGGTGTGAACCTGATGGCTGCTGGGTATAGGGAGGCTGTGTTCTTTGCAGTATTGAAGAAGGAGCTGGAACTCTCCGGGGGCTGATGTGGTGAGGAGATGGAGCAGAAGGTGCAAACCTGAGAAAACAATTATAAAAGGAAACATGAGGGACATAAAACAGCAGGAACAAAGACAAACTCTCCAAAGCCAAATTCTCACCTCCCATTCTGGCTATACAAGAGCGTGACAACAAGCCTTTTAAAAAAAAATCTTTCAGGATTTTTCTCTACCCTCTCTCCCTCCCCACTGCCATTTAACCACTGAGTTCTCAACTGAGATACAGAGGGAATAAACAAGTACAATAAAGGGAAAACCTACTCACAGTTTGGGTTTCTCAAGATTTCTAAGCTGCATTTCAAATACACTATGTTTGGTGAAATTCAAAGTACATCTTTTGCCAAGCCCTTTTTCTGCTAATTTTTAAAATCTATTTGCATTTAAGGGGAAATTTGATCCGTATGTTTCTGAATCATTTACACTTAGCTCACAAACATTTTGTTTGTTTTGTAAGATATATCTGAGGTCCAAGAAGTGTTGTTACAAGTCTTTATTATGAGCCTCTCTAATCCTATTCTCTTTGAACAATGCATTTGCTTTTGCCAAGAATGAATTAACTTAAACCTCGAAGGTCAAGTATGGCTTGAAACCCACAACCCACGAAATCTGCGTGGGCTCCGTGCTTGGCAAAGAGTGTTCCTGAGGGTATGATAGGAAGATGATGTAGGAGTCACATGCGCCAATCACAGTAAGACTATTGGTGGTTTCTGGGGTGGGGGACATGTTGATGTTTAAATAAGGAGATGTTGTCAAGAAACCTGGGATATGAAATGGATGATTGTACATTGATCTTCCAATTGTGAAGGAAAATTGGAAAGACCTGACTCACTATGTTTAAAATGACAGTTTATGCTTTCTAACATTGAAGGCAAGATGTAATTGTTAGAACAATGTTACAGTTTGGCAATGTCTATCAAATATCAAAATGATCCTCCAGGTGCCAGTTCAGTAGGGGACTGACAGAATATAGGGGAGAAAGGAGCAGGAAGTCTGTCAATGCAGTAAAATGAAGCAGCAAATGAATTGTTTAGTTTCCTCAAAAAGTCCCAGTAAGCTGAAAACTTTTAATCAGCTGTTCCTTACACTGTGTAGAAAGACAGGCTTTGTTTTGCAGTAACACGTATAGGTCACCATCTGCTTACATTGCTTATTTCACAGGAACAAATTGCTTTAACTTTGCTGGGCTTTTGTGGAGGGCCATAGATGATAAAAAGGGAAGATGAACTAGTCAAGCTTATAAAGTGATTGGAAACATTCTGAACCAGAATATTTAATAAGGCAGAGTTTCTATGTTTGTACTGTAGCAGTAAGAAAGCATGGGACAAAAATCTCATGTTCTTTTTGCTTTTCCCATGTGAGGTGTGATGAGACTATAGAAGAAAGTGAATGTAAGAACCAAGAAAGTAGGAGTAGGACTCGCTAACCTCTAGGGAAAAGAAGTCAAGGCGAGGAGCTTAAACAAACCAGCTGGGTTGGGATGCCTGTTTAATTGATCATTTACATCTTCATTCTGCTGAAAGAGAATAGTAAGTGACTGCACCGTGCTGAGTAAATACACATTTTCTGAGCATATCATCTTAACTGGTATTACCCTGAAAAGATCTGCTGAATAGCTTGAGAGAAAACACAGCAAACAAATCCTGGCACTGCCCTGAGAACATCTAGTAAAACTCATTTGCCAGGATTCCTCATATGAAGGCTATTTTCTGGGGGAACGTGTTTTTAACGTGTCTTACAAGTTGCTCTGAGGTTGTGGGAGAGCGATGAGCAATTGTGAGATCATAGACTTTAGGGGCAGAAGGAATCCAGGTTAACACCTAATCCCAAATCCCCTGGTCCTTAAAGATCCCCAGAGATGGAGGCGGGAAGGATCTGAATTGCAAGGCAACCTATGGTACTATTTAACAGTCATTGCTGGTGTCCCAGTTTTGTTTTCTGGGGCAAAGGAGCAAGATCCTTTGATCGGCTCCCCAATTCTGTTTCCTAGGTTGTAAATCAAAGATGCAACTTGCTCTAGATGGTTTTCCAGTCCCTTCTTCTGGAATATCTGCTATCCTCTTTCTGTTGAGGACTGATGGGACACAGAGATGTGTGAATGGGCAAGTCAGCAAGTAGATCTATATCTAGATCCTATATATATATGATTCTATATAATTATATGCTGATTAAAATCATTCTTATGTACTCATCCATGGAAGTTCCAAACCAGGGCCATGCTCTCTTGACTACCAAATATTACCCAGTATAATAATATCATTGAATAAAGAAAAAAATATGATAGGTACAAACCATGGTTTTAGCACTGCTATCTCAAGGACATGAAGGAATAAAATATCATGGCTTCAACTGACTCAAGATTTTGCTTTTTCCTAATTCAGGCTGAATTTTCCTCTATGTTAGTCAAATAAATGAATTTATACAATATAAAGTTAATATAATTTCAAAACATAGTATGACACCCCATATAAAGTATTAATAGAAATTTAAATATAAACTATTCTAAGTAAAATACACATTTAAAGTAGGCTTTGATTTGAAAAGGAAAGAAATAGTACAAAAATGTTAACTTTTATACATGTAGAGAAATAAAATATGACAAGAAGTGATCACAATTATCCAGACAATTGCTAGGAACAAGGAAGTAGATAGGAAGCCACCACTAAAAAGTCCAGCATAAGAAGTAAGTGTATATATAGGATTGATTTTCAAGTACGGCAGATAGAATCCATTTTGTTACTGTGTAAAAACACCACATAGTACCATACTTAAAATCTTTCAAAATGTATTAATTGAAATTTAATATTTATAAAGTTAGTTACTTGTTAACCAGCTCATAGTAGAGTAGAAATAGTAAACTAAAATCAGGGGTGAGAGGACAGGAGAGGCATGGAGAAGATGAAGAGAGAGTCTTCCTGTTTGAGGTAAGGTCCCTGGGAATGTCAAAACACAGTAATGGACAACTCTTCTCTCAGCAAGAGAGATGCCAGGAGAGTGACTCAACAAGCTAACAAGTAGTCTGAGGTTATTTATTTGGTGCAAAAGCAAACAAACAAACAGAAAACACACATACTTAGATGCTCACTAAGCAAAAATAAACTGTTTTCACTATTGTTGGAGGCAGGATGGGGAACTCAGAACCCCATTTTCTAAGTGTCTGCACCTACTTTCCAACCCTGTTTCTTCGAAACACACACACACACACACACACACACACACACACACACACACACACACACATCAAAATGAATATGTTCTGAATATTCTGTCCCCAAAAGTTAACTGAGACTTTATTTTAAATCAAATGAAGGTAAATTAAATTTTTTTGATGCTAAAATAAACAAAACATTGTAATGCCGAGGATAAATTATAGTTATTTGCCATTTTCCCTCTTATGGAGTATCTTATTCCCCAATTATGTCAGATCAAGATGACATCACTCCCATTCATCTTCAGTTACAGCGTGTCCAAGAGCCAGAAGAGACACCTTCTGACATCTTTTCTAGGTCCAACCCTGTTCTCTAGCTGCTGATCTGCAGTTGACACTTCAGAGATTTCACTGGACATGGCTTATTAGTCTCTTCTTTAGCCTTTTATACTTCTTTGAAACAATAGATGATTGCTCTGTTAAATAGGCACATAACAGACTAGAAAAAAAAATTACTGCTTACCAGAAACAGATCGCACAAAAGCTAACCAGATAACTGAGTCAAACACTTCCACTCATTTGGTAGAGGAGTTTGTATAACCCTACCATGAGCAATGGCATGCAAAAGAAAAAAAGAAAGGGAAGGGGAACAGATTTTAAAACCTCATAAAAAATCCTCTGGGGGGCCAAGCGTGGTGGCTCACGCCTGTAATCCCAGCACTTTGGGAGGCCGAGGCGGGTGGATCACGACGTCAGGAGATTGAGACCATCCTGGCTAACACGGTGAAAGTCTGTCTCTACTAAAGATACAAAATATTAGCCGGGTGTAGTGGTGGGTGCCTGTAGTCACAGCTACTCAGGAGGCTGAGGCAGGAGAATGGCGTGAATCCGGGAGGCGGAGCTTGCAATGAGCTGAGATAGTGACACTGCACTCCAGCCTGGGTGACAGAGCAAGACTCTGTCAAAAAAAAAAAAAAAAAAAAAAAAAAAAAAACCTCTGGGGGATGAGGAAACATTTAAAACATTTCTGCAAATATGTATCTCCACCTATCTTAAAGAATGTCTGATTATTTGGGGGTATTTACTTGGCCACTCTCCTTCCCTTCTATGCCCTTCTCCATTGCTTGCTCAGCCCCAACCCCCTGTTATCATTGAACTCCCCAGCCATGCAGTGGGGTGGCCCAACAGCATTCAAACTTAGATTGTTTCTCATATCAGTAGCTCCCAACTGAGACACGTAGACCCTGAGACACTGAGAACTGCTTAGGTTCATGTGCAGAAAAAGTGGGAATGGCAGGAGAAGCAGATGGGCAAAGGAGAAGACAGACAGGCCAGAAGTCACACCCACCTGGGCTTGGATGCTGGGTCTGTCTGTTACTAGCTGGGTAAACAAGTAAATTCCCCACCTTTTCCCAGGATCAATTTCAAGCATAAAATAAAGGTTATCTCAACTTTCACTGAAGGTTCTAAAGTCCATGGTGACATTTATTCATTCAAGGGGTCTTTGTTGAGCACTAAATGTGTGGCATTGTTCTAAGCACTAGGGATAGAGCAACAAAAGACACATATCTCTGTCTTTGTGGAACGTATATTTTAGTAAGGGGAGACAGGCAGTGAAGAAATTTAGTAAGCAATGTATCTACTGGGCTAGAGGAAATGAATGCTATGGAGAAAAACATGGAGACAGCAAAGGGCGGGGTGGATTAGGAATAATTTTAAATTGAGAAGTCAGGAATATCAAAGTACTTAATACAATGAAAGTCTGATGCCTTCCGGGTGATCAACACATGTTTATGGAATGATCGATTGAATGTACATTTAAGGCATCCCTGACATTAACATGTATCCCTGTGTTCGAGAGCTGTGTAAGACTGTGGTCCCAGCAATGTATTAGAACGTCTATAGAGTTCTTAGAAAATCTTAAGACTCCTTCCTTCTTTGACTATTCAGATATAAACACTAAGGCTCAACAGAAAGTGAGGCATTTTTTATATTATTGGAGGGAATGTAAATTAGTTACACAATTGTAGAAGCCGTGTGGTGATTCCTCAAAGACCTAGAACCAGAAATACCATTTGACCCAGAAATCCCATTATGTACCCAAATCCCATTACTTTGGGTATATAATTCCATTATATACCCAAATGAATATAAATCATATAAAGATACATGCATGTGTACGTTCATTGCAGCACTATTCACAATAGCAAAAACAGGGAATCAATCCAAATGCCCATCAAGATAGACCGGATAAAGAAAATGTGGTACATATACACCATGAAATACTATGCACCCATAAAAAGGAATGAGATCATGTAATTTGCAGGGACATGGATGGAGCTGGAAGCCATTATCCTCAGCAAACTAATGCAGGAACATAAAACCAAACACTGAATGTTCTCACTTATAAGTGGGAGCTGAACAATGAGAACACATGGACACAGGGAGGGGAACAGCACACACTGGGGCCTGTTAGTGGGTGCAGGGGAGGGAGAGCATCAGGAAAAATAGCTAATGCATGCGGGGCTTAATACTTAGGTGATGGGTTGATAGGCACAGCAAACCGCCATGGCACATGTTTACTTCTGTAACAAACCGGCACATCCTGCAAATGTATCCCAGAACTTAAACTTAACTTAAATTAAATTTAAAAAAGAAAGTGAAGCATTTACTCATGTGGCTGATTTTCTAGTTCTAGAAGTAGTTAATGTTGGTCTTGTGTATAGGTCTCATATCTTGGTGCTGGGTTTTCCAGTGGAGTATCCTGAGTCCACAAATTCATACAATTATAGAATGTTTTAGTTGGAAAGGGCACTGGAGCACCATCTTATTTGGATGAAAAAAACAAATGCCCAACGAGGTAAAATAATTTGCTTAAAGTCACAAAGGTAAGAAGGACTTCTCTAGCGGAGATGGAAAGCAATCATGAGTGGTGGGGTGAGGGGGGAATGAAGAAGATTCCTGAGGGCATCTGAAATGTTCATCTTTATCATGGGCTAGTGGGAGAGCGTGTCAGCAACATACTACCTTTAAGAAATCTAGCAATGGCAAGTGTTGCTCAGTGTGCTTTGGTGAACTTGCTCAGCCCTGAACTGGAGTTCTTCATGCACAACATAGTATATACCTTTAGTCTTTCTAACTAGATAACTTCTTTCGGGTAGGGCTCTTTCCCGTGTGTATAAGTCCAAAGTATTTCTTTGTCAATGTACACATTTATTTCTTTAACAAAATTTACTAATAGATTGTGTTACCAGTCAAGCATGTCATAAATATTTCTTACTTTTCTTCATTTGTACTGTACGCACAAGCAGTTCCAGCCAGCAGTGCAGGACTGTGTGTTTTAGCACTGCTTTGGGGGTTAACACTTTGAAAAGAAGGAATTTGTGTTTTTACACGATCAACTAGATTAAAAGGCGGTATGTGTTCTGGATAGTTTTTCTTTCCCTCCGCCCCCCGTCTCTTCCACGGCGGCTACAGACCTCCCAAAGAAGGAAGGATTCATTAGAACAGCTTGTTTCATTGTATTCACACGAAAAATATTATTGATTTGCTGCCAGGGAGTAGAAATAATGGATATAAACTAGTCTACGATGGATTTGGGGAGGTATTTTTTATTTCCCCAAAGAATTGTGGGGTATCATCTGTGGCGGTTTTAAAATTCATCTGTGCAAACTAATCAATGAAAAATGGCTATAGCAGTTGGCCAACTGCAGAGGGGGAAGAAAGGAATCCTTTTCAAAACTTAAAAAGAAAAGCCCAGTTTTAAGGATTTCACATCTGATTTAACATCTAAAAAAACCCCGCAATGATAATACCCCACTTTGTATAGCCAGACAGCACTCCATTTTAGCAGACTTTAGTGGTCTTTATAACGATTTATGAATCACTTCATGAATTCCTGGCTGACTCATCTGGGTGACTATAGTATCTACTTATACTTCCCTTCTGTCTCACAAAAGAGACACTTGGACTCAGTTCAATCCAGATTTGTCCCCAAATGAATCACAGCACGTTACTGGGGGAACTGCAAATTGAATTCGGCTTCTGAGACAATCAAGACCAGCTTTCAGTAAAGAAGAAACAGCCGCTGGGAAGTGTGGGTAATTGCAACACTGTCCACTGGGGCAGGACTGGGGCAGGGCAAGAGCTGTGTGTCCGTCTGAGGACTCTGTCCCCAAATAGTCCAAGAGCCTAATCTGTCCCCTGGAAGAGCTTGTGCTCCCTATGAGAGGCTGGGTCAGTATTAACTGCAAATAATTCATAAGGTTGGAAAAGACCAGGACTCAAAAATGATGGCCTGAACCTACACTGAGCATGACAAAATGAAGTCTGTGAAGTTGGCTGTAGGTGAAACGATCACAAATACTTTTTGAAGGAGATGCTCATATACATCATGAGTGAGTGAGTGTGAGAAACAGAAAGGACAGAGTGTTCTGGAGGAAAGTTTCTCCTCTTGGGTGTAGGGAGCGAGTTGTAAGTCAAAAAAACAAACTAATCAATGCCCAAGGCAGAGAAGTGTTATTTTTTTTTCTTCGAAATGCTGAAATAGGACCCACAGCATTGCAGTGTTTCTCCCCTGTGGAAAGAAAAAGGGAGGAGGGGAGAACGTCTCGGGTATGTCAGAGAAATGAATTATGCAGGACCAAGAGAGGAGTTTTCTGGAATATCCTGACTGCAGAATTGGCTGTGACTCAGTTGTTTGTCTATTTCAGAATCTGACATGGGGAGAGAGGGAAGAAAGGCTGATTCTGCCAAATCCTCTCTTTAAAAAAGCACCAAACTGAAGAAAATTTATCCAGAGTGGTCCTAGACATTTGATGTAAAAAATTCTACTATGAAAAAAAAATCTGCAATGATATCATCTCTTGGGTTTCTCTGAGTGGGTCAGAGCAAGGGGATTAACTCATAGTCCTGTAGCAAAGGCAAGAATCTTTCTCTTGTTCAGCATGGTGTCAGACATAGCGTTCAATCTACTTTACAATAGAATGCATTAGATGAAAGAAAAACGTTCAGAAGAGAGTGTAATGAGAATGTCAGATGAGAAACAAGGCAAAAAATCAGTGTTATTTTTGTCTAAGCATGAGAAATGGAGGCATGGACATACAAAAAATGGACTATCCAGTATCCCAGTATCCTTCTCATGGTTTCAAAATGCAAACACTAGTCTCTTGAACACACCAGCAGAACTTTGAGAACCAACTTTAAACGCAGTACTCCTGCCAAGTGTGGTCAGGTACCTTTGGAAGCCACAACCAGAGAAGATGTCAAAAGTCAACATAATCCATACATTTGAAAAGAAACTGGCCGGGTGACGCTTCAGTCATTAATAACATGTGCTGTTTATAGTGCTTTTTTTCTTCCCTCATATTGAATGTCAGGTGCAGGAATTTTCTGCACCTTCTCTTAAAGATAAGACTCAACATTTGACTAGAGAAATGAATGGAAGGAAACAGCATATATTTTAAAAATACACAATTAGTGAAGGGCGTTTGGCTCTTATAGATGGAAAGGGCAAAAACCCTCAGATACTTGCTACTGTTGCGTATCTCCAGCACCTTATCTAGTTCTACGAGAAGGTAAGTATTGAACAAATGTAGGTCATTGCTGCTGAAGAATTACTCTGCTGAACATGGTTCCACAGACCTGGTTCTCAACTTGGTGCCAATTCCTGTGCCCAGGTAGATGATACATTTGCCCACTTGGTGCAAATGTCCAGCTGGATATTATATTTGCACAGCTTCTGGCTCCGAGGGGAGAATATGTATTCAAGAGAATGAGCCTAATGATGTTCTCTGAGGGGAAGGATGAGTAAAACAGAAATTTTTTCTCCTTCTAACTAAACAGAAAAGCAACCAAAGACTATTTCTCAGAAAAGGACACAAACACAAAAGGTTCATCCAATGAACTTTGCCTCTGGGTTTCTGCTCACCTCCATACTCTCCTTACCAGCAATCAACACAGTTCTTCACGTGCAGAAAGATAATCTCTTAGCAGCTAAGTCTCCTGACTGTCGCTACGTGGGAAAGGAAAAGACCATGAAGATTTCTAGATCGCGCCTTTAAAAGACTAAGTAGAGGCAATCCTTTGACCAGCCTATTCTATGTCAGAGAGGAAGCACTTTGGAATATGTGGATGTCTTGACTCAGGCTAGAATGGCTTGTGGGCTTTTGCTTTGAGAATTCTGACTATATATGACTCGCTGTTTCAGAAACAGCATATGACAAGAACATACTAACAAGTTGGAATAATACCATGAGTTAGTGTGACTTCCATTGTTGCTTCATGCTATTGTAATAAAGTAGAGGTTGCAAGAAGAGAAATGCTATTTCACTTAAGCCTTTCTTGTTACTGTCATGACTCACTTTCCTGACTGAAAATCCAAGGGGACTAAGAAGACATCATCTTGGGCTTAACATGAGGTGGATTTGTTTGGAATATGGAAACAAAATAAAGATGGTTGATTTGGCTTTTGGAGGCCAAATGACTTCCTTGGCACTTAAAACATGGTTTCCTTTATAGGCATCCTAATAGTTGGTTTTTGATATGTGATTGTAATTAATCTAAAATGAAGAACCAGTGCATTTCAAAAATAAAACACAGGTGGATAAAAATCTGATATAACAAACACTGAAACCACAAGTGGAGCTGTCTGCTTGGGAGAGTGCCCCACAGAAACTGACGTCAGTGTCTCCTGTCTTCCCATGAAGTGGTCCGAAGCAGATTGTGGAGGTGGAAGAAGAACAATTGCCTGCTCTGGGATACTGTAACCACTCTCAGAAATAACAAATGAATGAGAGTAGTATTCTTGCTTCCATCCACATTCATTCATTTCACAAAATTCCTTAGGCTTCTCCTATCAGCACTGAGAGGTAAGCATTCTGCACAAGGTAGCCATCAACCTGACATAGTCTCTGTGCTCAGGGAGACTGGGGCCCCTGTAGTGTAATAGAAGCAATTAGTAAACAAACAGTGCAATTTCAGGGAGCGAGAAGTCAATGAAGGAAAATTAAAGCAGAGTTAAAGAGTAAAGGGAGCCAGCTACTCGGGAGGCTGAGGCAGGAGAATGGCATGAATCCAGGAGGTGGCGCTTGCAGTGAGCCGAGATCACGCCACTGCACTCCAGCCTGGGCAACAGAGCGAGACTGTCTCAGAAACAAAAAGTAAAGGGAGGCGGGAAAGAAAAGTTTTAGATAGTCAAGAAGGGCCTTTCTGAAGAGGTACAATTTGAGCAGACATCACAAAGGAAGGCACAGGTCATGTGAGGTTCTGATGAGAGTGGCTTTCAGGTTTCAGGAACAGCAAGTGCAGAGTCCCCAAGGCAAGACTAGTGAGTGTTTTCTAGAAACTCCAACAGGCCAGTGTGGCTGGAACAGATTAAACAAGGGAATTGACGATAGGTGAATTTAGCAGAGGCCGTACCATACAGGGTCATGTACACTACAAAATGGAGTTTGAATTTTATTTCAAGTATTAACCAGGGAGAGGTGTGAACATATATTCCATTTACATCTTAAAGGGTAGCTCTTGTGGTGTAGAGCAGTGCCATGTGTGAGCTGGTGGGATGAGGGTAGATGATCACAGGTAGGCAAGACTTGATGTAGAGAGACCAGTTAGAGGCTATTTGCTTAAGATGGGAGGGGACAGTGGCTTGAACTAGGGAGGAGGATTGGAGTTGATTAGGCTTGAAATGTATTTTGAAGATAGAGCCAACAGGACCTACAGATGAATTAGATGTGAGAGTGTTTGGGAAAAGGGAAGAATCTGAGTTGACTCCTAGGCTTTTTAGGTTTTTAACAGTAAGTTGAAGATAACTATATAGACTTAACTCTTGATTTTTCTCCATTATCAAGAAACACATTAGACTGAAAATTATGTTCATAAAAGTAGATAGGTCGGGGAAGCCAGTTTAGCAATGTTGTTTTGTTGTTGTTGTTGCTGTTGTTATTTTATCTTTTTCTTTTCTTCCGGAGCCATTCACAATCACTAGACTGGTAAAAAGAAAGCAACCAATGTCATCTATTTCCTTATAAGTGTACATGTGACTTCCAGGAGCATATCAGGGGAGTGTATTTAAGAAGTTATTAGTGAGAGAAGAAAGTTCATTCCAAAGGCCAATGACCTAACTGATATTTGCCAGAGGATGAAGCGTGGCTTTGGCCATGGATCCTCAATAGTTAAGAAGCTTAAAGACTGGCTGGCCATTCTACCCTGGAATAAACATTGAGAAGTACCAGAAATTTTCCATAGATTTAAAGAAAACAAAATAGGAAGAGGCCACCAACCTTTTCTAATCTAAAACCCAAAGCTTTCATCTCCATTTTCAAAAATAGGATATCAGAATTTTCTGCCTCTGTACTGCTCACAACATTGAGATCAGGAACAACTTTTATTACATTCAACAATTCTTGTGTGTGTGTGTGCGTGCGTGTGTGTGTGTGTGTGTGTGAGTGCATGTGTGTATGCGTGTGCATGCACATGTGTTGGGTAAGGAGTGGATTTTGGACCCCACCTCTCTTAATCTTGAATATCTGTGGAAGTTAACCTTTCTAGAGAGAAACTGGTCCTCTCATGGGATGCTAAATGAGGATAATGGCTTGACTTCTGCATAAAAATGCTGTGGCCCAAAGAGAAAGAATGATGTTCATGATGACATGGCACAAGGTGAGCCCCCAGAGGGGACACTACCAGAGGATGACATGGATGTCAACATGCAGGCTGATAAAAATGGTTATTTGAGGCTTATATTTGTCTTTTAACTATGGCTTTTCTCAACTATTCCAATGATCAAGATTGACAAACTTAATTGCCTGTGTTTATTTGTTACCCTCTAAGTTAGATATGTTTCTGTATGTGTCAGAAACTCTCTTAATTTGCATCAGTGACCACAGAGCAGTGCTCACTAGACAAATTGCAACCATAAGATGACACGCAGTCGTGCAGTGAACTCTTAGTCATATCCAAGTTTTCTCAGATATAATGGAGACAAGTGAGACCAAGTTATTGCTGGATTAGCTCTCTAATTTTCAGATGTTCATCACTTTGTCTTCAAAATGGAAGTAATTTTTTTTTTGACACTCAGCGACTCTTCAAAACCCTGGTAGTTCATGACTACATAAAATACAAGCTTCAAATTGCTTAGGGACAAAACTGTCTTTACAAATGGTATTAAAAAGGAAAATAACATAATCCCTATTGTGCTGCTTCACTAATCCAGGAGGTACAAAACAGTGTCTTTGGCTATTTGAGAACAAGATGAACCATTTTTCAATTCTTTGTCTTTTTTCTTCTATCAGGCAGAGAATACATTCTGAACTCTTTGTGGGTGGATAACAGACTAGGGAGGAATTTGGAATGTGTGCAAGAGTCACTACATCCCCCTTATTGGCCCAACACACAACTTCTTGTCCTCAAGTTAAAGCCCAAACCCCTAAATGTGGCTGATAAGGTTACTCCCTAATTTCTACACTAAGCTCCACCCTTGCCTGGCTCTCTTCCTTCTTAGCTTTTGTATACAACACTTGTTGTACATAGTGTTGTATACAACACTTGTTGTACATAGTCTTCTTGCCTGTAGGCTATCAGTTTTCAGGAAAAAATTTCCTCCTCTAGTCCTTTCTCCCCAATTTTGGGTTATGTGCTCTTTCTGTATGCATCCACAGGCCCCTATATCATCCCTTCATAATACTCTAAACTATGATTGCCTATTGGCTTGGTGTCTTCCGTTAGACTGGATACTCTGAGAGGGCAAGGCTTCTGTTGGTCTTATTTACCACTATAGCCTCAGTGTCCAGCATACTGCCTGGTATATAAACACCAGCGAAAGACAATAAACAAAACAACAGTAAACAAATAAACCTCTAGTGCCGGGGTAGATTTTGATATGCTTAATATTTGATATGATGTATATGACTATTACACATATACTACATTAAAGAGAGTGAGAAAAAATTATCTAGGGTGTGTGTGTGTGTGTGTGTGTGTGTGTAAAAGCTGAGTGGTTTAAGATACCAACATCGCTGATTACTCAGAAAGTCCTGGAGAGGAAAGAACAGCAAAGCAACAGGCTTAGTTTTTAGTTGTTCAGACGCTACATATACAAATAAGTGAGAATGGTGAGTGTCAGGCACTAGTATTCAAGATTTCAAGAAAGCAATGTAGAGAAACCACAAATGGATGGTGGCAAGGTACTCCTAGCAATGTGTTTGTGTGCCTGAATGTATATATTAGAGCAACTATGCATTGTATCAAAGTACGCAGGTTATACAAGATGGGAAGAACTTCCAGAATTACGGCTACTGCCCTTCTGATCAATAAATCAAGGGAATTGTTGCTTTCTGGAAAGACACTGGGACCTGCCAATGACCTCTTGCTTCTTAGGCATTCCCCTCATTGGTCTTTTACCTTTCTCAAACCTTCCTTAGGACCTATCACTGCATTACTCAGTACATGGCAGTATGGAGGTCACCAGGAAACTTAAGGTTCCTGCTCACCAAAAGCTAACAATTCAGTTAGCATGGAGACATCTGGTAAATAGCATATACATGAAACAGATGATAAGATCCAAGGGATTCATCAAGGGAACTTGATTTTGTGAACTGTGAGAGGCAGAGGAGAGGCTTCCTGCATCGAGAACTAAACTGAGCTCCAAAGGCTGGGTAACACTTGGTTAAGGATAGGAAGAAAAAGGAAGTTTTTATATAGAAACAAAGCCTGAATTAAGACACGGAAAAAAGGAAACTAAGTCATAAGTCAGACTGGTTTGGGTAGAGCTAAAGAACTTTACAGAATTGCAAAGCCATTGAGTTGAAAATCGTTGCTGTCTTTGACCCTTTAGCATCCAGGCAAGCAACATTACATTCCCAATGATCAATTAGAAAATGATACCTGTGAGACTACAAAATTAGTCTCAACAAATTTTTCAAATTGTAATCATATCAAGTATATTCTCAGGCTATGATGGAATAAAACAAGAATTCAATACCAGAAAGAACTTTGGAAACCATACAAATACATGGAAATTAACATGCTCCTGGATGACCACTGGGCCAAAGAGAAAATTAAGATGAAAATTAAAAATTTTCTTGAAACAAATGAAAATGAAAATACAACATCCCTATATTAGTCTGTTTTCATGCTGCTGTTAAAGACGTACCTGAGACTGGGCAATTTACAAAAGAAAGAGGTTTAATTGGACTTACAGTTCCATGTGGCTGAGGAAGCCTCACAATCATGGCAGAAGGTAAGGAGGAGCAAGTCCCATCTTACATGGATGGCAGAAGGCAAAGAGAATGAGGAGGACGCAAAAGCAGAACCCCCTGATAAAACCATCAGGTCTCGTGAGACTTATTCACTACCATGAGAACAGTATGAGGGAAACAAACCCCAGTGATTCAGTTATCCCCAACAGGTCCCTCCCACAACACATGGGAATTATGGGAATACAATTCAAGATGAGATTTGGGTGAGGACACAGAGCCAAACCATATAATTCCACCCCTGGCCCATGCCAAATCTCATGTCCTCACATTTCAAAACCAATCATGCCTTCCTAACAGTTCCCCAAAGTCTTAACTCATTTCAGCATTAACTCAAAAGTCCACCGTCCAAAGTCTTGTCTGAGACAAGGCAGGTCTCTTCCACATATGAGCCTGTAAAATCAAAAGCAAGCTACTTATTTCCCAGATACAATGGGGATACAGACACTGGGTAAATATAACCATTCCAAATGGGAGGAATTGGCCAAAACAGAGGGGCTACACGGCACATGCAATTTCAAAATCCAGTTGGGCAGTCAAATCTTTAAGCTCCAAAATGATCTCCTTTGACTCCATGTCTCATACCCAGGTCACACTGATGCAAGAGGTGGGTTCCCATGGTCTTGGGCAGCTCCACTCCTGTGGCTTTGCAGGGTACAGCCTGCCTCCTGGTTGCTTTCATGGGCTGGCATTGAGCATGGGCTGGCATTGGCTTTTGCAGGCGCACAGTGCAAGCTATTGGTGGATCTACCATTCTGGGGTCTGGAGGACAGTGACCCTCTTCTCACAGCTCCACTAGACAGTGTCCCAGTAGAGACTCTGTGTGGGCTCTCCAACCCCACATTTCCCTTTTGCATTGCTCTAGTAGAGGTTCTTCATGAGAGCTGTGCCCCTGCAGCAAACTTCTGCCTGGGTATCCAGGCATTTCCACACATCTTCTGAAATCTAGACAGACGTTCCCAAACCTCAGTTCTTGACTTCTGTGTACCCGCAGGCTCAACACCACATGGAAGCTGCCAAGGCTTAGGGCTTGCACCATCTGAAGCCATGGCCAGAGCTTCAGGCCCCTTTCAGCCATTGCTTGAGTGGCTGGGACGCAGGGCACCAAGTCCCTAGGCTGCACACAGCACAGGGACCCTGGGCCAGGCCCTGGAGACCACTTTTTCCTCCTAGGCCTTGGGGCCTGTGACTGGAGGGACTGCTGTGAAGACCTCTGAGATGCACTGGAGACATTTTCCCCATTGTCTTGGGAATTAACATTTGGCTCCTCGTTACTTATGCAAATTTATGCAGCCAGCTTGAATTTCTCCCCAGAAAATGAGATTTTCTCTTCTAATGCATTGCCAGGCTGCAAATTTTTCAAACTTCTATGCTCTGTTTCCTTTTTAAAACTGAATGCTTTTAACAGCACCCAAGTCACTTCCTGAATGCTTTGCTGCTCTGAAATTTCTTCTGCTAGATACCCTAAATCAGCTCTCTCAAGTTCAAAGTTCCACAAATCTCCAGGGCAGAGGCAAAATGCCACCACTACCTTTGCTAAAACGTAACAAGAGTCACCTTTGCTCCAGTTCCCAACAAGTTCCTCATTTCCATCTGAGACCACCTCAGCCTTGACTTTATTGTCCGTATCTCTATCAGCATTTTGGGCAAAGCCATTCAACAAGTCTCTAGGAAATTCCAAATGTTTCCACATTTTCCTATCTTCTTCTGAGCTCTCCAAACTGTTCCAACCCCTGTCTGTTACCCAGTCCCAAAGTTGCTTCCACATTTTCAGGTATCTACTGTAGCACCCCACTCTACTGGTAGCAATTTACTTTATTAGTCTGTTTTCATGCTACTGTTAAAGACATACCCAAGACTGGGCAATTTACAAAAGAAAGAGGTTTAATTGGACTTACATGTGGTTGGGGAAGCCTTACAATCATGGCAGATTGTAAGGAGGAGCAACTCCCATTTTACATGGATGGCAGCAGGCAAAGAGAATGAGGAAGACACAAAGGTGAAAACCCCTGATAAAAACCCTCAGATCTCATGAGACTTATGCACTACCAAGACAACAGTATGGGGGAAACCATCCCGATGATTCAATTATCTCCCAACAGATCCCTCCCACAACACGTAGGAATTATGGGAATACAATTCAAGATGAGATTTGGGTGCGGACACACAGCCAAACTATATCAGTCCCCACACCTGTGGAATACAGCAAAAGCAGTGCTAAAAGGGAAGTTTGTAGCAATAAATGCTTATATCAAAAAAGTAGAAAGATTACAAATAAACAATCTAAAAACATACCTCAAAGAACTAGAAAAGGAGGAACAAACCAAACCCCAGATTTGCAGGAAAAATAAAGATATGAGCAGAATAAAATGAAATAGAAACTAAAAAATATACAAAGAAGCAACCAAACAAAAAGCTGGTTATTGGAACATATAAATGAAATTGATAGACAATCTACCAAGACTGAATAAGGAAGAAATAAAAAACCTGAACAGACCAATAATGCATAATGAGATGGAATCAGTATTAAAAAGTCTTCCCAAAGGAAAAGCCCAGGACCAGATAGATTCACAGCAAAATTCTACCAAATGTACAGAAAACTAATTCCAATCCTCTGGAAACTATTCCAAAAAATTGAAGAGGGAATTCTCCCACAGTCATTCCATGAGGCCAGCATCACCCTGATACCCAAACCAGACAAAGTCACAACAACAATAACAAACAACAAAAATAAAACTGCAGGCCAATATCCCTGATAAACAGAGACAAAAAATCCTCAATAAAATACCAGCAAACCAAACCCAACAGGACAAGTGCGATTTATACGAGGGAAGCAAGGATGATTCAACATATGCAAATCAATAAATGGGATATATAACATCAAGAGAATGGGCGCAAAAAACCATATGATCATCAGTTAAATAGAAGGAATAAATTCAATGTCTGGTAACAGAATAAGGTGACTATAGTTAAATAAAAAACATATTGTGCTTGGTTGTGGGACATCCTAAATACCTTAACTTGATCACTATGCATTCTATACATGTAACAAAATTTCACATCATATGCCCCATAAATTTGCACAAAAATAAAATAAAGATAAAAAATAAAGAAAATAAAGTCAAAGAAAAAGTCAAAGTTACTTATGCAAATTACTGAAAGGCCTAGAAAGATCATACATGTATAAAAGTACCTAGAATTCTAGCAATGCTATATCTGAAATAATACATTATGGGTGAAAAGAGGAAGCCTTCCCAATACTCCATAGAGACTAAAAAAAACTGGCATTCCTTATTTGGTAAAGGTGATTTGACTACTGCTCAAAAATAATTGTTCCTCATATTTTCTGCTGCTGATTCATACACTAGATTGAATACTCTCCAAAGAGACCACACATCCCTTCTTTCTGTGATATTATGAAATATATATTTGGTCTTCCTCCCCATTCCTGGCATACAACTTCTGAAATCCTTGGAATCTTCAAAGTGATAGTGTCTTTTTGTATGCTAATTAGTTGACTGATGGCTGGCAGCCTCTGGCTGCCTGAAAGAATGAGACTGAGACTGGCAACTGGAGAGACCAAGGCAGGATTAGAGGGGTCAACTTTCAGCCTCAACCCCCAAACTCTGAGGGAAGAGGGGCCAAAGAGTAAACTGATTACCGATGGCCAATGATGTAATCAATCACGCCTATGTAATGAAGTCTCCATAAAAATCCAAAAGGACTGGGTTCAGAGAGCTTCTGGATAGCTGAACACATGGAGGTTCCTGGAGGGCGGTAGGCCTGGAGAGGGCATGGAGGTTCTGTGTCCCTTCCCGTATGCCTTGACCTATACATCTTTTCATTGGTATCCTTTATAATGTCCTTTATAATAAACTAGTAAATGTGTTTCCCTGAGTTCTGTGAACTGCTCCAGCAAATTAATAGAACCGGAGGAGGGGGCTGTGGAAATCCTGATTTGTAGTCAGTTTGTCAGATGTACAGGCAAAATCACCCAGGTCTTGCAACTGGCATCAGAAGTGGGGGGCAGTCCTGTGGAACTGTGTCCTCAACCTGTGGAATCTGACACTCTCTCCAAGTAGAGAGTGTCAGGATAGGTTGCAATTAGAGGACACCCAGCTGGTGTCTACTGCACAATTGACTGCATGCTTAGTGGGCTGGGGGAAAACCCCCACACAGTTGGTCACAGAAACGTTTTGTGTTGATTATTGTTGAGTGAGAGAACAGAAAAAACACTTTGTTTTTTTTCCTTATATTTACACTTTCTTTTCAGTCTTTTCTGGCTCAGCCATGGGCTCATAGGAAGCCCTTCATAAGCCTCTCCACTGTGGTCAATCCACAGGCCTCCTTCAGCTCTATTACCTGAACGACAAAGCGCACTGTTTGTGGCCTTCTTCAGAATGAAGAGAGGCAGCTGACATTCTCTTGTAAAAGATGAGCAAACACAAACTCAGAGGATTTATTCTTGGAATTGTAAAATTTCTGCATTTCAAAAAGAGACTCCCATCAATATTTTTGTTTTCTCTGGTCTAACAGACATACTATGAAACTCATTGAATTAACATTTCCAAAGACGCTGAGTTCCTCTCATGGGAAGCCACTGTCATAAAGTACCACTGGCTCATTCAACATGCCATAGTAAAACACCACTTCCCGTAATAAGTTAGATCAACATTAGGTGATGTAGTGTGCTGCTTAAATCACTGAAATAATGTGTCATTCAGATAATATTTCAAAATAAAAATGGAACCTTGTTAGATTGAGAGAACTTGCATTTATTTTATTTTATGATGGTAAGGATCAAAGAACTTGACGCTAACTGGGTAGATGTGGTGGACCTTTCCTGACTTCTGACAGTGACTCAGCCCATTTTTTTTAGCATGTGAAAGCTAAGTAAATGATGAATCAATGCCCGCAAGCAGGAAAAGATGCCAGTTTCCCACTAAAAATCGCAGAGTGTGATAAACCTATTTCCGTTAAGAAAACTGCCGGAGTTTTTACTGGGGGATTTCCCAGGCAAACAGAGGCAAAGATATACAAACCAAAAGCGGAAGGTAAGCACATTTCCTCTTAGTGTTTTTATGCTGGACACTAACGCAAACCTGGTGAATAAGTCAGGGCTGTTTCAAGTCATCTTCCTTTCCAAACCTGATTGGAAGAGAGAACCTGCCATACTCACACTTGCCCACTCCAGCTGGGAAGGCAAGGGATGGGGCACACGTCCAGTAGGGGAGAATATAGCAGCAAGGCAAAACCACAAAGTGCAAATGTCCATTTCATTCTCCCATCATATAAAGTACCTCCTTCCTCTCCATTTCCCCTTCCATGATTATTTACATTATCAACCCCTATGATCATTTAACAACATCCTCTGACTTCCAAACTGAATCACTCAGCTATGCCAAAGCTGCCTGTCTTTATTTTAGTATCCACAGCTATGAAAGGCCTGTTTCATGCCATGTAACTTACTAGGCACTTTATCTACTTAGTTTATTTAATCCTAATTCCCCATAAGGTGCAATCTAAATCTCAAAAAAGCTAAGAAACACCACATCATCTATGTGGTATTCCCACCAAAAATATTTACAATGAATCTGTTTAGGATAAAACAATTACACAAATCCAAACCATGGAACCCTGGAACACTGTGTAAAATAAATGTCCCGAGTTCTTCAAAACTGTCAATGTTCTGAAAGACAATAATAATAACAATAAAAAGCTGGAGAACTTCATTAGAGTCAAGAAGATGAAAAAGAAATAAAAATTAAATGCACTGTGAGATCCCTATTAGATCCCTGAATCACAAAAAGGAAAACAAACAAAAATCTCCAGCTATAGAAAACATTATTCACAAAATTTGGGAAATCTGAATAGCAAGTAACCATTAGAGAATAGTATTATATCAATGTTAAATTTCCTGAGTATGATTATTATATTGGGTTTATGTAGGAGAATGTCCTTCTTAGGAGATCCCTACTGAAGTAATTAGCAGTAAAGCTCAGTGATATCTGCAACCATCTGTCAAATGGTTCTGCAACAATAGGCAGGAAAACAAAGAATCACCAAAGTCAGAGAGAGAGAGAGAGAGAGAGAAAGAGAGAGAGAAAGAAAGAGAAGGAAGGGAGGGAGGGGAGGGAGGGGAAGGAAAGAAAGGCAAAATATTGACAATGGGTGAATATGAGTGCCAGGTACATGCATGGGTATTCATTGTACTATTCTTGCCATTCTTTATATGTTACAAACTTTCAAGAGGAGGAATAAAAAATACAAAATGTTAAAAAAAGACAAACACACAAACCTCAAGCAGCAGGAGCAGCTAAGGAACTTGCCCACAGCCAAACAGTTAGCAACCGTCAGAACTGAGATGCAAATTTCAGGCATTTGGGGTGTGATATTGTTGTCTTTGACTCTGATAATAATTAAAATCTTTTTCTACATGTATTCTTTTAAAGGCTGCGTACAAAAAGGAGACTCAATGATCGTTTTTGTCTTATATTCTTGTTAAGAGTTGTTATGACTATAGATAAGGAGGTGCAGTGAAGGGAGGTTCCGATTGATCATTCCTGAGCTTCACGACATTGTGGATGGAGTAAGATTCTCAGCCAGGCAGAATGAAATGTGATGATGAAAAGTCCGTGGCTAATATCATTTAGAACCAAACAGAAAACTATATAAAATGCATTTTTTTAAAAAAATCTTAATTTATAGGAATATATCAGACAAGTGGAAGAAAAGATTTTCTGTCTGCAACGTCTGTGAACTTAATGGATGGTTATCATTTGCGCTGCTTTGCTGACAGATCTTGTGGGAGGAGGCTAATGATTTGTTTACACTTTACCTTGTGCATAGAACTGTTTTTAAAAAGTCCAGCATCTTCTGATTCATATTGCTAATTGCCAATCAGACATATCCACATGGATCTTTTATAATCACCTAAAGTTCAAACTCCTAAAGTCAGTTTATTATTCTGTCTTCTTCCCCTTCTCCTCCACTCAACATTGTTTTTTCCTCCACACTACCACACTCTTTTTGTATTTTTCAGTTTCTATTAATGACACAATCTTGGTATCTAGGGGTAAAACTTATAAATGAATTTTGGTCCCTCCTCTTTGCTCCACATATATATTAATGATTAGTAATTCTGCCTCCTAAATAATTGCTCTTGAATAAATTCTCCATCCTCACTGCTTTGCCTTGCTTCAAGTAACCATATTGCTCACAAGGCCTCCTGCAATATTCTTCTCCTTGTTTTTCCCGTCTCTCCTTCCAGGTTCAGTTACTCAACTATCTTGCCACCTGAATTCTTTTGCTGTAATGTCAATCTGATTGTGTTTCTCTCTTAACAAAGAGCCTATAATGGTTCTTCACTCCTAGCAGGATAAGGGGCAAATTCCTTAGCATCAAATACACAATTCCCACATAAGCCAACCTAATATTATCTGACTTCATCAGCCATGTATGCCTGGATGCTGTCATCCCAAGCTACTGAGACCGTCCCTGACGGTGTCCTTTCTGTTCCTCACATCTTGGATATGTTCTTCTTGCTGCCTGGGATGCTGTGCCCCCACTGAGGCATCCAGAAGAGCCTTAGTCTTCCTTCAATGCCTACATCACTGTGTCTTTCTTTCCCTCACCCCCGAGACAGATTTAGAGACATCCTCTTTAGGCTCCTGTGGGATCTCTATTACATCATTTAACCAAACAGCCTTATTATACTTCATTTGAATGCCTGTCCTCACCATTCAAACCTGTAAGGGCAGGAGCATATTTTAATAACTTTTTGGACTCCAGCATCCAACACAGTGTCTGACACATAGAAGGTATTCAACGGACATTCATTAAACAAAATAATATTGATAAAGGAAGAAAGTCATAAACAGTAAAATATATATGGTTTATCAGAATTAAAACCACATATTACCAAACTCATAGGTCAGGCCAACAATGATGGAACCTGATTTCACCAGTAATCTCTAAGTTACAAAACTTTTATTCCTGCTGCCTATTCAACCCATTATTTTGTTCAACAATTGCCAGAACTTCTTTCTCCTCTGGATGTCTGGGAGTAACCAGGTAGGTCAACTCAAGCCAGATGACAAGTGGAGAGAGGTGACAAGAGGTGTGTTGGACAGCTCGGAGAGGACTGAAGCATCCAACCTCCTTCCAAAGCTACCTGTACTGATGCAGCCATACACTTGCCCTTGGGCAAGAGAAGTTCATTACAGCCTGCTCCACAAAAAGGGGAAGGAGATGGAGAAGCAAGAGATGCAGACTCTTATTTTGGTTTGTGGTACACAGAAGCACACGAGATTGGGAAACAGAAGTATGAAGGGCCTCGAAAGGCCTCTGGGGCCAATAAAGAATTCAGGAGTAAAAATATCATGAAGATCATGGTTGTTTAAAAAATTTCTCCCAGAAGTCCTTTGTGAGACAGATATTAATATAAAGTATTCAATGAGCAGCCTACATAAAATCCTGTGCCTTAACAATACTGATTTATGTGGCGAGGGCACCATCTGACATCGGGAAGTGCTTCGACCTGCATATACATTACCTTAAAATTGGGTCTCTGAAACAGACCGATGAAAGGTAGAAAGACAGGGAAATTCTGGTGTGTTTCCAGCATCTGAAACTTTGGCTGGCTATTGCCAGTATCATTTCATTTGTTTTCCCGTGGAAAAATGAAACAGATAATGAGATATTTGGTCCACGTGCTTTGTGTATGTACTTTTAAAATGTCACCTTTGGGTAACTCAACCCACCAACGGATTATTAATAAAATTCAGCAACTGTCAAGGCACTTGTCTGTGAAGGGAGGTTTGGCGGCGACACCTATTAGGAGAGAGAGACAGATGGCCTTACCTCTCAGCTCCTGCGTCCACAGCTGTGAGTGGAGGTAACTGGGAGGAGGGGTTGTGAGGGCTCCCCTGTACATTATGTCCTGGAGAAGGGTGACTGACAGGATGTGGGGGTGGTACGGCCCCAGCAGCTGTTCCACTTCGGCTTGAATAATTGCTGGAGAAAATGGGAGCTGAAATCAAGGGAGAACAAACATGAGACCGTGCCCCAAAGGAAGCCCACGTTTTTTAAATACCGAAGCCTGACAGCAAGCATATTTGAGGGGCTTGCTTGTTTTTCTCTCAGTGGTTTTCAGGGAACAGTTCTCCCCTTCTTGGGTACACACAGCTTTTATTTTCATGGTGGAACAGGTTCCTCCGGAGCTCACGTCTGGCTCGCTTCAGGCTGATGTTCACGGTCTGTCTCCTAAGTGCTGCCATGCCCTGCCAGTTCCCTGTCTGGACACTGTATAATTAGTCAGTCTTGTACTGTTTGCATCTGTGCCAAGGTCTCTGTATTAGCACTTTTCAGTCACAGGGGATGAGAGTCAGGTAACAGAATATTTGGTCAGCTGACTGAGAAGGGCACAGCACAGGCCTTCTTCCTCTTCTCACTGCTGCAGTGAGCCACGGTAGGTCAGCTGGGGCCCCTCTCTGTCACTGCTAAATCAATGTAATGAGAACTGGAGCTTCCCTGATCCTAGCATGAACGTAGGATCCTGCACCCTTTTAACTTTAGAGTCTAACTAACCCAGGGAATTTTCCTGATGGTGTGATGAATATACTTGGCCTTCATCAAAGGAGTCTCTCAAACTACGAAAACACAGCTTCGGGATCTCCCCCCACTGTTGCCCGTTATGACACAGAGAGTGAGTTACAGTCCCATTCGTATGGGCAGCCTAGCCTTCGAGAACGGTATGTGACCTCAAACGTGAATACGTGCCCATTTAGATCAGCTAATTGGTACGATGTCACAGAAGAAACTGGGGCTTGTCACTTTCACAGTCTATCAGAAAGGTTCCCTCAGTGTCTGGGACCTACTCCGTAGACATCTCATTATGCTGCAATCATAGCAGCAGCATTAGGCTGATTCTCTTTAACTTCCTTCTTTGTACAAAGTTATGCTGAGCTCCATACCCATTTCTGTTCTTTTTGAACTTACTCTACTAATATCAAAGAATAAATGGATTTTTTAAAAAAATAAATCAGGTTCAGGATTAAGAAAGAGAAGCCACATTATCGAAAAGATTTGAGGGTTTAAAAGTTCAGGGAGTTGTATTTTTATACCAGTACCACTTTTCCCCAACCTCTCCAGGATAGAATAAGTACCCCAGATGACCTAGCCCCCAAAAGCTTAATCCAATGGAACAAGAGTTCAAGTATTTCAAGGAACATGTGAAGAGGCAGAATTACCATCTTCCCGCTCAAAAAGCTACTGACAAGGGTGTGATCTGATTTGAAGGGTTTATTTCTGGTAAATCAGCATTCTGTCAGGTTAACTCTTGTCCTCAGAAGCCTGTACCTACCACAGTCCTCCAAAGAGGTGGTGAGGCCTGAAAATGCTTACCAGTTCAGAAAGGCAAGGCTGAGCTTCTGTTGTGTGCGTCAGCTTCCATACAAGTTGCATATTTGCAAACTCACTAGAGTCACCTTATGAATCACTAACCTCATTTATGCTCAGCTAGCTCAGGGAACCACAATTCTGCTTGTATTCCAAATAATAATTTTACTCAGGGGAGAAGGCTGTTTGGATTGACTGTGGCAATAGTTTCAAAACTGGTGTTTGTCAGCATGGAGCTTGGTGTTTTATATACTATTCCAAAATCTAATGGAATAATAAAGGTCATAGAGATACTATGAAAACACAGCTAACTTTTTTTTTTCCTGCTTCAGTGTAGAAATGTGAGTTCTCCTATTTATTTTGTTGTAGTTGCTGAATGCACCCAGTATTTATTTTTCCCCAGAGGTTTTTTTGTATGTATGTGCATGTGTTCATCACAAGGGAAGCATTGCCCCTGCTGTTTACAACCCAATGGGCAACAAGGAAACTTGGTGTGCACACTCTGTGCTCTACTCTATGGTCCAACAGAAAGTGTGCTGCTTCTCAGAGGTCTGTATTAGCTATACTTGGCATTAGCTACAATGACATAGGCTGGGAAATTGGGGATTGTTTGTAGCCTGCCACTCGCTCAGAGTTAAGCCTGGTTTAGGACCTCTCTTTCATCCCATTTAACAGCCAGGAAAAACCATCCATCATCCACCTGCCCCATCATCCATCTGTTCACCCATCTATCATTCAGCCGTTATTTTTATATTCCATATTGATAAGTGTCTATTACGTACTTGATACTCTATGTGTGTTCCTGCCCTTGGGGAAACTGTAATTTAATGAAGGGAGCAGACCTCTATATATCGATTTTACCAAAATACCAAGACCTATTAGTATAAATCATTGGACAGTGTTAAAAGCACTTTAATGCACTCATTTGTGGCCCCACAATGCATCCTAAGCTCTGGCCAAACCAGACAACTGACCACACTCAAATGTATTATGACAATTTATACTACTGAGCTTTTTTCTGTGATGTCCTCTACCTTTTTCTACTTACTTCATTACATTTGCTCTATATGCAGAGTTAACTGTGTTCTTTTTATTCTTCTCTTAGCGGGCAATTATTCCACAAATATGTATAGGGTACCTATCATTTGGCAGACATGAAGCTAGGTCCTGGGACAGGAAACAAGACATCCTCGGTGCCTGGTATCTCCAAACAGCATCAGTTCATGTTCATTGAGTAAACAAAGATGAACAAGATATAAATGCCCATGGAATCTCGGGGCTCAGTGACTAGGACAGGGACAGAAAGGAACATTTATCCACCAACTCCTATTTTTCATTTGTTGACGGTTGCGCCATTGGTCAAGATTAATTTGCTCACACTTTGAGGGGCACGTGTACCAGAGTGGCTAAATGTTCTCACAGATACCCAACATCAGGGTATCAGAGAAGCCTCAGGGAAGAAAGCCAGAGGGACATGGTGCAGTTGAGGAGAGGTGCTACCATGCTACGGCTGGTGCATTAGCTGGCTGCATTAGCAAAGGCCACTAGAAACAGGTGGTGAAGGGGATGCTAGGTGGGGCACACGAGGTGTCAGGTATAGGGCTGAGGGCTCCAGAATATGCCCTCCAGCTGTGCTGGTTTGACTGACTGCCAGTCAAGCCCACGTCAACTGGTGTTGACTGACCACCAGTCAAGCCCACATCCATAGCCCTTCCCTTGAATGCTATGGCTGGTGAAGGGGACAGAAATGGGCAGTGGTCCTCTTTTACGGCCCCATGAGAACAAGAAAGGGAGGGCTTTAGGGTTCAATTTAAAAACTGGATTTGGAAAATGTACTTCTTATCTAGGGTGGAGGAAATCACTTCTCTGGAAAACAAGGTCTATGACTTGCCTTTACTTTCTATAGTATAGGAAAATCTTACTTCTGGTGAGAAGGTGAGATTACAACCTAGTAGAAGCCTGTAAGTCAGTGTCTACATGACAGCACTTTGCATGCCAAGTCCAGGCCATGACTGCTCATTGTAGACGTTGCTTGTGACCAAGATGATGACCAGAAATTTGGAGGAAGTAACAACAGACACAAGCATGCTTTCCAACATTTATCCAATCCCCATCTCACATACCCTTCAAAAAAAATGGACAACACTCTGGAGTCAGAGAGCTGTGGCTTCAACAGAATTGTCCTTGGTCTCTGCCAATGATCCACTGTGGCATAGGAAATGCTCTTTTACTTATCCTGATTTCTAGGAATTTCTGACCATATCACAGTCATGCATCCAGAATTCAATCTTTATTAATTACTACAGTCTAGGAATATTCTTTTATGCATTCATTCTTCCAAACACAATTTTCCAGCACCTACTCTGCACCAGGCAGGTGCTAATCTCCATTAATGTTTTAAGTCTGAATATCTGCCGACTTCATACAGACTTTCCCACCACAACATATGGTTCCAGACAAATGTTCAGGTTTTGCCAAGTGATTTTTAACCTCAGGAAGAAAATCTCCACCTTAGAGTAAAACTGTAATGTCATTCGCAAAAGGAAAAACTTCCTTTCATACACATTCAAAATAATTTTCCAAACTCAACGAATAGGGCACACAATTGTGGCCTATCGATCAAAACATAAGGAAGAGAGCTGATCCCTCCAGGATACAGGGCAATATTAACAAAACTGTTGTCATCAAATCAGCCGACACACACAGGCTGCCCACAGGAGCAGCCTTCATTGTCTGTGTCAACTCCGGGGTCATTACTGCTTTCAAGGCTGCAAGAGGGCTTCTAAGTGAACTTCCAGACATACCTGATGACTGGCAGCTGGAACAACTGATTAAGCACAGCAGAGGAACATATTGGAAATTCTTATTGCTTTTGTGATTAAGAGATGGTAGTCTCCCTGAGGAAATAAAATCCTGTTCTTGAGATGAATACGTGAGCCTTGTCTTCAGCAGAGGCCAGCTACTGGCCTCCCTGCTGCCATGGGCTTTCTCTTTCTTAGTGGCCTGGCTCACTGCAGTCTCTCATCCATCTACAGTAGAGGTAGGTGGAGGTAACTCAGTTGAGCTTTATAATTTTAACAAAGCAGCATCTGTTGATCTATGTGGTTCTCAGATGCCATCTCATAGGCTACCAGAGCATTCTAGGCTGGCACCTTTAGCTCAGGTTAATTTGGTTAGTATGCAGTTCTCTTTGTCCAAATGAAAACCATTAATCTATATTTCTAATGGGTATAAACAGGGCACCCTTGGGGTTACTTCAGCTGTAACATATTTATTGTGTGGATGGAGGGAGGCCAAGAGTGTTAGTAGCATCCCCAAATAAAGATTACTTGTCTCAGGCCATCACCAGAGCGGAGGAAGGCTACTATAGGCATTGCTTGGTAACTGTGTTTTCATCACTTCAGAGGGAAAGGATGAAGACCTCCCTTGTCAGGCTAAGGTATATTAAAAACAGCCAATATGCATTCTTGTTTAAAACTATGTGAGCAGCAAGAGTCCTGCTTCTCAAGCTTTAATGTGCAAATAAATCATCAAGGTAAAATACAGATTCTGACTCACTAGGTCTTGGGGGTGCTGAGGCTGCTGGTATGGAAACTACACTTTGAGTAGTAGGTGCTGGGGATCCTGTCTCAGCTTCATTTCATCTTCTTGCTGCCCCTTGATACCTTGGAATCAATAGTTAAGACTTATTGAGCATTTATAATGTGCAAAGTTCTTTATAAACATTTCCCCAGTTTGCTGATGAGGAACTTGAGGCCTCTTCTGGTTCCTGGTTAAGTTACCTGGCTTAGGTCACGTGGCAGGCAAATAGCGGGGCTGGAATTCAAATCCGGGAAGCCTGATTTTATTAATAGATCACATGACCCAGAACACCACCCTATATTGCCTCCCAAAGGCAAGACAGATTCAAGAAAACACATAAAAGTGTTGTGTCAGGGCCCCTGAACACTCTGTTTGCAAAGGCTGCTTGTTGCCAATAGCCACTAATCCCCCACCACAAACAACACACAAGCAGCTGTAGCCATCAAACTGTGGGTTAGAGTGCAAAAAGGATATTCCCATTTCTGTTTCTGCCCATCCTGAAAGCAATTCAGCATTGAAGAGAGAAGTTTTCCAGCTCTGAAAATTACTTCAGGCAAGAAATTAACTGAATTATTTGGTTTAGAAAGCAAACAGCTGGTAGGAAATGTGCTTTTTCCCAAATAAAGATTTCAGATACTTGCTAGAGGCATATTGATCCACTGCTAGGAAAAGAAGGAAGGCAAGGAAGGGTTATTCGTGAGCAATTAGTTATATGCATCCTTTACCACAAGCAAGAATGATGTTCTGGGCTGAAAGGCCACCAGTTGTCAATAATGCACCAAGGGGAGGTTTACCGGGCAGATCTGCAACCACTGAGCTGCTTTGTAAATCTGCGTTGGAGTCATTCATGGTTGCATTATGGCCATGGTGCTGCTCCTCATGCAGGCTTGCTCTCATAGAAAAGGGGGAACCGGTATTACCCACACACTGTGAATTCACGTATAAGTAGTGCTAGAGTAATGTTGAGATCCTGACAAATGACATTATTGCTTGGTGGCTGGAACATGGGAAGAGGTGTTGGCTCACCATTCATCTCTTGGGCAGTATTTCCAGGGTCAAGGCACGGAGGATAAGCTAATCAATGAAATCAGGGTAAATGAGCTTTCACAGGGACACTGAAAAGAATGAGAAGCCCCATGTGAATGGTGAGTTCAATCTTGTCTCTTTGTCTCTCTCCCTGGAGAATTTTAGAGCTGGGAAAAGTTCGGGAACAGCTGGACAACAGAAATTCTGATTCCCTCAGCCTCATCAGAAATCGGGCACTTTATAGAGACATTGTCAGTGTGGTTATTAACAGAACAAAGCAAAGCATACACAATGTGAGACAGATAGACCTGAATTAGAATCTTAGCCTTAGCTATTAATAGCAATGTGTCTAGGCAAATCACTTAACCTAAGTTTCTTCATCTTAAATAAGGATAATACCTCACTGGACTGTGACGAGGATTATAGAATGAGCAGAAAACACTGAGCATATGCCTGAACGCCAGTCAAGTGCTCAAGAAACCACTGTTGCTATTATTTGGCTACTTATATTATTGTAATTATTACCATTATTAATAGAACTAGGGAAAGATAAGGGTACATGTTGCTCCCAAATGGTAAATCTCGAATAAAGTATGACCTCCTATCTAAACTACAGATGGAAGAATTCATACAAATATAAACTGTGGTGTTACTTTACAAATGCAGAAGAGTTTACATACCATTCTCAAATAAGCTTTTTGTTGTTCTATTTTTTTTATATGAGTTGCTATGAAGTGGGGCCTGTGAAAGAATCCTCAAGGGTTAAAATGTACTTTATTTTGCACGAGTAGAGTAATACACACCTTTTGAGTTACAACCCATAATGCATTTCAGTTTAAAAGATAACAAGTCATTTTCATGCATGACTGCACTTCGTTAAGGAGCGAAAATGGGCTGTTACTAAAATGTCAACACAATTGTCCCTCTTGAAGCTTAGTTTATCTTGAAGTATTTTTACACTTTCAGCACTTCTTTTTGTTTGTTTCTCCAAGAGCATAAAGATCCAGAATTTTCAGGAGTCAAGAAAGACTTTCCCTTCAGGCATTCTGAAGAAAATTACCAATATTGGGGGTGACTCAAGTTTTGGCCCCCAATAGTGAAAATACAAGGTCTGGTACCTTCTGCGGTCTTTTTGCATTTCACCTTGGAGCAATTTAATTGTGTTGTCCTTCAATGAAAAATGCTCTCTGAACCTAAATTCACAAACCAGAAAGAGATTTCTAGCAAGGAAAATGCCCTGTCAGGGTCACTTGGAAGGCTGCGTTTGGTATTGAGGTTAATTGGAGAACGAGAGAGAGGCCTCAGCTAATCTTAGCCTTGCTGCCAATGAGTAGAAGGAGCTGGTTTTCTTTTTTCCTTCTTCTTAATGTCTGATCATTTCCCCCCTTCCCCTGCCTCTGCATCAGGAAGGGCATCATTCCACATCCTACCTGTATTAGGAAAAAGTAGCTTCTTAAGGGTTGGCACAGTCATCTCTCTAATCTTTCCCTTCTCCTTGTGGCATGAAAACTTTTAATATTGCCAATCCCTAAAAATCTATTATTTCTGCCTGTCTTTTTTTTCCTTCCCACTTTGCAGTGTAGACTATCATTATCCAGCAGCCCTGATAAGAGGATAATGAAACAATCCCTTCTCAACTGGATCGGGTGGCTGTCAGACTAAAATGACACCACCCGTACATCCTTGACATGCTACCACAAGCTAATTGACAGCAAACATTGGCAACTGTCTCCCATGCACCAAGACAAAGGAAACATATTCATGTCACCTGATGGGAGAGCTACCTGGCAACGGATAAACAAATGTGTTAGGGAGATGTTCTATTAAGGTAAGTGAGGGCACGGCTCTGTAGAACATGCCTATTAACTTTGAGCTTAAGCGTGCTGCTATTCTCTAGGGAACAGAAATAAATAAAGCAAAATGAGAATTTATTGATGTCTGGACAGCTACATGAATATTCAGGTTCTCTTACAAACAGATATTCCCCCATGAGCTCCAAACTTCTGCGTAGGCTGCTCAATTACATTTCCACATCATGCAGCTGGATTTATAGCCAGGGAAGAGGTGTTAGTGTGTGGAAGAGGATACAGGTTTATATGCTTCTCTGGAGTACCCTGCAATACAACTAGAAGATAATGGCTGATGCCATCCACATAAATGTCAAAAGGTACCATCAAGCATTCCTAAATACCAGGTCTAATTAACTTCATGTTAGGAAAAGCTCTGGAAACATCTGCATTTCAGAACAAAGACATTTTGTTACCAGTAGAATGGCATCATCTGGCAGCTCTATCAACTTCTCTGGGATGAACCTTTCACACAGCCCTCTTAGATCTTTCCAAGCAATGCATGACACAGCTAACCTCAAATCTCCTACCTTTTCTGTCTTTTCTCCACCTCCCAACCTACCTGCTACTCACCTTCGAAGGATTCATGACACAGAAAGTCAGTAAAATAGCTGGAACAAGCAAACTATTCAGACTACCCTGTGGGAAATCTGTCATTTCCTCCTGGTCTGTGTGTTATGTTAACCCTCATTGGGGCAGAGTGGGAAGGCAGAAAAAAAGGAGAAAGACGGGGTAGACGTGGCCAATCACTCCTGGAAGTTCTTACAGAAAGATCCCTCACCTTTTTTTGGAAATAAAAGTTTTACTTGGCCACAAAAAACAAAGCTGCAGTAAAAAATACTGGGTTCCCAATCTCCTCATTACTCATGCCTCAACTATCTCCTACCTGTACCATGTTGACCACAAAAGATATTTCCTCCCTTTCAGAGCATGCTGAGACAATCCCACCCACTCTACTTTCACGTGACTTCTAAAATCACTTCACAGTGAAGGCTTCTTGGAAACAGATTTTTAGCATAGACAGCCAATCTGATTTTTAATGCACTATTATTCTAGCCAAAGTCAAGGGATGACCTATCAATCAACTCTGAACTCTCTCAAAGAGCCTCTCCCTTTCCTAGATGTGTAAAATGAAGTAACAACAGCCCTTCTGGAGAATTACGCTATAGCGAGGAGCTCACAGCTTCTTCGATTATCATGAGCCCTGGGCGAAACTGCATCGACAATGAAGCTGGTTTTGTTATGACTCCAGAGAACCCCCTTTCCTCCTTTATTCACACTCTGACCACAATCTTCCATTTGGCCATCAGGCGCTTCAGGTTACCTCCTAGCTTACTTTACTCTCAAGATAGATGCTAGAAGGTACTCACGTGCTGTCATGAGTTTATGCCCATATACAACATTTTTTCAAATAATTTTTATGTAAAGGCTTTTATCTGTATCTGGAATGGAGGGTTCAGCCTTCAGTTATATCCATTTCAAACATCCTTGTTGCTGCTAGAAAATATATTTTGAGGAAGCATGTGACATCCCTGTTAGAATGTGACTAGATGGGTCCCTAAAGTTCAATATTTCAATTATTTGCTTTACTTTAGGCTTTAATTTATGTGTCTAGGAGAGGCTTAGATTTTCGAAAACATAACCCTTGATATTCAAGAATTTGAGATACTTTCCTTTCTAGGAAAAAAAATCTTGGGCAGAATAAAACCAGGACTGCCCCTGCCTCTGATCTCTTTGCCAGCCTTTAGCACCTCATAACTAGAATGGAGCCCCACCTGTCCTGAGGCAGTTTCTTCCTAAGTGAGAGCCACGTTAGTCAGTGCTCCCACAATGGCCCAGGCTGCTTCTGCAGGTGTCTTCTTGCAATTTGTTGCCTTTAACCAGTAATAGTTCCATTTGAGGGCCACTACTTTTGGGGTTCCATAGAGTGCCCTGGGAGACCTATGAGTATTGGATAGTACATGAGTTCTGGATGCCTTCAATGGAAACAGCTTTGCCATTATCTGTTTTAAATATTGGGCCTTAAAAAGTCTCCAAAAACCCATGGACTAGAAGACTACTAAAGTATTTGCTAAATCTAAAATATTATGGGGATCAATAAAATGATAAAATCTGCATGTATTACATGATCCTAAACTGTCTTATAATACATTCTCCTCTTTAATTCATTTCAATTAATCCACTTTATGGATGCCTTGATTTCACTCAGTCATTTTGATGAATGTCTCAGATGTAAGTATAAAACAGGGCTTGGCAAACCTTTGTTGCAAAGGAGCAGACAGAAAATATTTTAGGCTTTGCAGGCAAAGAGGCAATGTTCACATTCTTCAGGCAACTGTTCTCACCTAAAGGCTAATAACTTTTAAAAAATTTTTTACATTAAAAAATCTTAAAACCATCCTTAGTTCTCAGGCCATGCAAAATCACGGGGCAGGCCAGATTTGGCCTATGGGCCATAGTTTGCTGATTCTCAGTGTAATAACTGTTGCATGCTAACTACTAAGAACCATCATGAAAAGACTAGGGAACTGTTTTTGAAATATGAAAACTAAATTTGAGGTAAGCAACAGTCAAGAACAGTTTTTTTAGACACCTGAGAGTATATTTTGAGATAAATGACATGGCCTGGAAGAGCCTATTTACAAAATGACATCAGGACCAGGGCTACATCCCAGCAATACCAAAACAAGGAATATGTAAAATTGCATTGGCCGAGGCCATCAATCCCATTTCTCCTTTCTTCCACCTGCCTCACTCTCACAAATTCACTGTTCATTAAATTCAGTTTACAAGCAGGCAATGGCACTCTGTACAACCAGTATAAGGATACTTCTACTCTTCATGGAAACAACAACAACAACAAAAGTCTAATTTGCAGATCAGAAAATGGGCCTTAGAATACAGAAGCTCCAGCCCTCCGCTTGACTTAAATTCTTCTTGGAAGGAACGCTTTATGTCAGCACATCCATTACTGACTACCAAGTAGTAGCACCCAGCATAAAAGACATGGATAGAAGGGGTTCTATTCACTGCCACAGACATTGACTTTGTTCACAATTAATAATCCAACATTTTAAGCAAGAAGGAAAGAAAAAAAGAGAAAAGAACATGAGCATCTGCCAATTGCCGGGGAGTGTACTAAACTCTTTTATGTTATCTCATTTAGTTCTCATAGCAGTCCTATGGAGTCAGTATTATTATTATTATAGAAAAGGAAAAGTAACCTCCCCAAACTGAACATCTAGGGACTGGAGATCCAGAACTGGAGTTTAGATTTAGCTCCACGTTCTTTCTGGCATAGCACGCTGTCTCTAAAAAACAAAACAAACCAAACAACAACAACAACACAACAACAACAAACCCACCAACAACACTACTTTTGAATGACCAAACCCTAGTAACCATCAAAACACAATTTTGACATTGTGAGTTTGGGGGCATTGCCACCCCAGTGATGGCTTTGTAATTCCAATTTGCTTTTCTTTAGAGAGCTACAGTAGATTTCCTTAATTAAAAAATGCCATGTGAACTACTGGCAAAGTAGTGGAATACAAAATGTAAAGAAACATATTTCAGTTTTCTTTTATTCTACTGAGTGATGTTGATTGTATTCCCAAACTTTTAGGCTTCCACTTTTCCTTCCTTCCTCAAAAAAAAAAAAAAAGAAGAAGAAGAAAGTAGGAGGAAGAGGAGGAGGAGGAAAAGGTAGGTAATTGGTAATCTGTGGCATCTGTTCTCTAATTTTCAGAACTATAGCATGTATTTTTATAGTATTTAGATAAAAGCAACAATAGTTACAACTATTAGGTGCTGAACACTTACTATGTTTAAAGAACTCTTTATGTCATTTAATCCAGCAGTTGATCGCACTAAGAGGAAAATTCGGGTTACAGGAAGAAGTGTCATTTCCATTTATAAATGTTACATTTGAGCATAGATTGGCTAAAGCGATGATCACAGGGATTGTACAAAACGTGGTCAGTAACGTAATTTAAGAAAAAAGAGCCGCTGCCATGGTTCATGCTTGTAATCTCAGAACTTTGGGAGACCAAGGCAGGAGGATCACTTGAGTCCAGGAGTTTGACGTAAGCCTGGGCAAGACCTTGTCTCTACACAAAATAATTTTAAAAATAAATTAGCCAGGTGTGGTGGCACATACCTGAAGTCTCAGCTACTCAGAAGGCTGAGGCAGGAGGATGACTTGAGCCCAGGGGTTCAAGGTTACAGTGAGCTATGATCATGCCACTGCACTCTAGCGTGAGTGGCAAAGCAAGATCCTGTCTCAAAAGAAAAGACACAAAATATTGTCCATTCTTGCTTTTTGTATAGCTATGACTCCGAACTGCCTTAGTCCTCCAGAACTATGAATCCTAGATCATTACTTTCCCAACTGCAAAATCTTGTAGGGTAGCTGATGCATCGCATCTTTCATGAAGTACATCCACTTCTCAGAAATGCTTCATAGGCATCCCTGTGAACCAGCCTGAGGAGCAAATTCCTATGCACGTTGATGAGACTTTATCACATTTTCTTTTTAATCGTGAAGAGTTCCCCTTTCTGCAGCCACTCACTCCTAGAAGGTAGAAAAAAGGACTTTCTCTACGTCCCCAAGGAAAAGGTTCCAGTGAAGCTTACAGACCCCTCACTTCTTAAGGTAGGACTAGGTGTTAGTAGAAACGCCAGGGTAAGACTCAACTCTGAAATCCAGGGCTGATGGGTAGTGAGAGTAGAAGCAGGACATGAGCAGCTAAGTTCACTAGAGAGAACGGGACTGGAGTCTCAGGAGCAAACCCAGGTCACAGCTAGAAATAGGGAGTTCTAGAAGCAAGGCAAAAAAAAAGCAGCCTGGAAATTTAGGTAGAAAAACTAAGACTCCAATAAGACTCCAAGAAGGCAGCTGCAACTTCTGATGAATCAATGCCTGCTGTAAAGGCAGTGTTAATGGTTTGAGTCACGGCCGGGGCACCTGAGCAGGGCAGATCAGCCCATGACAATATTGAGGAAGACAGCATAAAAGCCAGTATTCTGGGACAGTGCTGATAGCTGCGTGGAATGAATAAATTCCACAATACCCTCTATTCAGTGCCTGCAATATGCTCTCTTATTACTGTAAAATATGGCAAGTAATATCCAAGTTATAATTCATTAATGTCCCTTAATTTAGAGTCTTTGCTATTCTTAAGATTTTCAGTACCCATACAAGTATAAAAAAGATGAAATTTCACTGTGGCTACAAACACCCTGAATAGGAACAGTTTTTTTTTTCTTTACTCTTCACAGGAAAGAGACATAACCACCTATGTTTTTCTTTCCTTGGAAGGCAAATTCAGTTGAAGCAGAAAGTCAGAACTTTAGACTCAGCAGTCTGGTCTATAACCTCTTAACCATAAAAAGTATTAGCTTCTCATTTCAGAAATTTTATCCTGAATTCTCTGTTTTGCCACCTTCTTAAGACCTGCTTCAGGTACACCTCAGAGTATAATAGACTCAGCCTTCTCTTCTCATGTGCCAGTTGATCACTGGTGAAATTATACACATCTAACTTTTATTTTAAGTTCAGGGTCACATGTACAGGTTTGTTATATAGATAAGCTTGTGTCATGGGGGTTTGTTGTACACATTGTTTCACTGCCCAGGTATTAAGTCTACTTGTTTTTCCTGATCCTCTCCCTCCTCCCACCCTCTACCTTCCGATAGGAGAAATAATAATACAAAAATAACCAATACTTTTCCCAATAAGGATAAAGCCGCAATTGCCCAGCCTCGCTACTTGCCTCTCCTCCTCAATGAGGTACGGAATTGTTTTTGCTCACCTACAAAAATATTTTTACGGCAAAACTTGCACATATTGTAAAACTGGGTAATTCAGCTTAATCTTGCATGAAAAACTAACATGAATACAAGGGACTAAGTGGATATGAAAAACTGAAGCACCAAATTAAGCAGCCTGCAAACATCTAAAGGCATTAACATTAACTGCAAACATGCAGATGAGCCCTGTGCTGGCTGGGAATCAGAGTCTTCATTTTCTTCAGCTGAGTGGTTATAAGATCTCATTCTTAATCAAAATATGAGCAGTGTCATTATAACGCTGCTGTGGGGTGACAAGCAAAATATCCACCTATAGGTTTTATGTAGTGAGAAACAGAACTAGATACTACAGTGCAATTCTAATTCTAACTCCTCCCAGTCAAAATTCAGGTCATGTTTTCCCAGAAGTCATATGCCTACATTTTATGATCCAGAGCAATGGTTTTCAAAGGCTGAAAAACATTTGACCAGCAGCAGCACCTGGACCAGCAGCACCTGGTGGTGTCACCTGGGAACTTGTTAGAACTGTCTGGCACAAATTCAGATTCTTGGGACTCACTCAGACCTTCTGAATCAGAAACGCTGGGGGTAGGGCCCAGCAAACTGTATTTTCACAAGATTTCCAGGTGATTTGATGCATACTGAAGGACTGGCTCAGGACTAGAGGTGGGGGCTCAATTAACAGCTTAAAATGACCAGTGCCTACAACAGAGAAGTATGAAGCTTGCTCCTGACCTCACTGCATTCTCCAATCTAACTCGGTGGACCATCACAGATGCAAGAGAGGTTACAAAAACTGCAAGGTTTTGATAGCAGTTCAAAGGAATGCTTCACACAGACTTTGCCAAATGTTTACCTTTAAATCCCTTTTGTGCCCCCAAGTTTCCACCTCCTTCTGACCAATTCCAAAATTGTTCTGCTGCTTTTTCACCTTTGTGAATTCCAAACAAAGCAGTGCTTTTGAAGTTAATGCAAGTAATAACTATGCATTTTTATAATGCTCTATGTCTTTTTAAAGACTTTCATATAGTTACGTTGTTTAATCTTCACAACTCTCCTATTAAGTTTAACCTACTGGGAAATGTGTGTGGTAGTTTAGAACCCTCTAATAAATCTCTAACTTAATAACCATTTTCTGAGAACAGACTATATGAAGCACTTTTACAGAAAATTATTTCTAACACAACTCTGCAAGCTGTCCCACGACAGCAAATATACTCAATTTAAGAATGTAGAAAACATATTAAAACATGTACCATAAAATTACATTAAAATGAAATAGTAACTATTTCACAAATTTCTGTTAAATCCTGTATAGATTTTTATATGGTGCTATTTCTTACAAAAAGTAATGATATTGTAAGAGAGAAGCCGTCACCTCCCAGTAAGGAGGGTAAAGTGAAGAGAATAACACGTGACTTCAAATAATCCTGCTCCAAAAAAAGTATTTTTCCTTCTACATTTCCCTATATTATCTGAACAAAACATCTATTTTTTTTTTTTTCTTAAAAATCTAAGGTTACATTCAAAATTTGGATAATTCAACAGGAATTGTAAGCTCTAAACATAACAATTATTTTATAACCCAGTACAATTGGAATCAATAAAATTCCCTTCTTCTCGTAGATTTCTCTTGTTCCAGCTGTGTTAGCTCATCCTTGATGAGTAGTTTCTGTGGGACTCAAACATCTCAACCACACTGGCCTCTATGATGTCTTCATGGCTTAGGTCATTTGCTAAGGTCATGTTTTACTGAATCTGTAGTACAGCTTCGGTTTGAAAGGAGCCATAATTTTTGTGGTCATTCATGGGACAGATCATCTTCCATACAGCATTCACTGTTAATAAATGGACTCCCTGCCAAGACCAGGCACTGTTCCACACTGTCCATGATATCTCAGACTCACCAAATATGGGCTTCTATATATCATTAGTTCATCACAGGTGTTCACCAGAAGATATACAAGCACTAAGCCTTGAAAGTGGCATTCACACTTCGATCAACAGGCTATGAAATAGTCCCTCTTAGACTATCAGATAAATCATCTAAATTTACAGGCCTGGCCTGGGGCATTATTATATGGAACACAGAACCTTTGAACAAAAGGGCAAAAAATATAAATGAGCCATCCTTGAGGCCTGCTTATTGCTGCCTTGGCCTTCCTGTTTGTTAGGTTACAACACTGCTCTCAGGTGAGCTCAGGAGCAGGCTTGGGGAGGCCTGGGATTTTCAGAATAGTAGACAAGTAAACACCTTAATTTTATGAAAGTCATCCTCAGCATGGCCTCAAGTGATATTTGGCTGCTTTAACCTGGGACGCTATTATCTTTCACAGAAATAAAAGTATTTTCAGGCAATCCTTTCCAATCAAGCTCTGTCTTTCTTTTCAACCTGAAAAGTTTGTTTCAATGAGGGAAGGCAACACTTCAGGAGAAGTGCAAGACTTGTATGTTCCAGAACTGCCATCTTCCCTGTTCATCTTCATGCTGTGCAAAGTATCCTTCTCTTAGAATGTTATAAAGCATCATATACTTGACCAGAATTTCCATTGCAAAACTATGACTTCTTCACACCACAAGTCCTCAATCGTTGTGGCTTCTGAAAGATTATGGTGCTCAATGCCAAATTTAACTGCCTCCTATTCTATGCTCATACATACTCAACGGGTTTCCATCAAAATATTTTTGTGATAAATTAATTTACTAGCACTTAAAGGTAGAAGTGCCTGACAATCATTAAACAAATATTTTCTTGATTTTGTATAATAGAACATAAAAGGGAATAACTCCAAGTACTTTTGCTATTTAGCCAAGTCTTAATCTTCATCAAATTGTCTTAACACTTCAGATTTTACATTTAACTAATTGATGAAGTTTCCTTTTGCACCTTTGGCATTTTTCATGGTTTGGCTTCTTTCCATAGATCTAGGGCGAAGGTTTGCAGTGGATGTTAATATGCACTCCACACAAGCACATTTCTAGAACTTTAAAAGAAAGGCTTAAATTTTTGTTTTGTAATTTTTTCCCCTGCCTGGTTCTGCCTCTTGGTTTGTTGCCTACTCTGCAAAACAAAAGGCGTAACATTTTTTTAAAAGGAAGAAAGTTAGAAAGCAAAATCATACCTGAGGGAAGGAGGAATAAGGAAAGAAGTAGGGCCCGAGCACAGTGGCTCATGCCTGTAATCCCAGCACTTTTGGAGGCCGAGGTGGGTGGATCACCTGAGGTCAGGAGTTTGAGACCAGCCTGGCCAACATGGTGAAATCCAGTCTCTACTAAAAATACAAAAAACTACCCAGGTGTGGTGGTGCACACCTGTAGTCCCAGCTGCTAGGGAGGCTGAGGCAGGAGAATTGCTTGAACCTGGGAGGTAGAGGTTGCAGTGAGCTGAGATGGTGCCACTGCAGTCCAGCCTGGTTGACAGAGTGAGACTCCCATCTCAATTAAAAAAAAAAAGAAGTAGAGAGGGTAAACTTTCACAGTCATAAGGTACCTGGAGAAGTAAAATTCTGGGAACAAAGTTGAGCAACATGATCATCTGCATGTTTCAAGTGTTCTCAAGAGTTACGGAAAATGTGGGTCAACCTGAAGACACTCCACTGATGGCTGGAGCAACTTAGGTATCCTTGCCCCTTAGGAGGCAAACCTACCACAGCCGGAGGCTCTAATTCCAGAGCTCAAAATCTTTTTGAGGACCGAATATAGAATAGAGTCATGGACAAAAAGTGGACATTTGCTTGGAATGACAAAAACATTTCAAGCTGAACCTTAAAATATTTAAAACTCTAAAGCTTTAAAAACACTACCAGACATATAAAAACAGACACCAAGACAAATGTGACAGTTTCGAAAATGAGCCATATGCTGTATGCTACATACAACAAAGGTGCTAATGTTTTCCATAGATATGGATAGCATTGCTTCCCAAACCCATTTCTGAGAGGATTAAATACAGCCAGACTAGCCCATCACTAGAAACCATTTATATTGTATGTTAGGCCATTTTTCAATCACTTCTGGTTAGTGTTGACTGTTGACTATTGGGTTCCAGGTCTTAGTAAGATCATAGATTAATGAACTGAAGTAGTAGGGGAATGCTTTATAGGCTGTTTAAAATTGTTTGCTAATTTAATGTGCTGAAATAAATGTTCATATATCAAATACTGAACAAATCAGACACACAAAAACAAAAGCTAGTCATGGTTTTTCATATATATATATATATTTAATACAAAATATTTATGTATGTGTTGGTAACACTGCACATTGATATATTTGATGTCTGTATATGAACCTGTACCTGAAACCTCTGTAAGTTTGGTCAACCCTTCTTCGTCTCATCTCCCTGTGTCTCAAAAAGCAGAGGCTATGTTGTCCCCAACAGTAAGTGCTTAAAGCAACTGATAAAGGTCCAATGGGCCATGATTAAGGCCCAGTTTTGATGACTGATGCTCTTGCAATACTTGCTTACTGCCCTTTCTCTCTGCATCTGAATCAACTGAGAACTGTCAAATTTAAAACGTTGTACAAGGATGTCTTTCTCCCATTCCACTGCAATGCATCTGTAAATTTTAAATTCTAATGGCTTATTCATACTTTTCGAAAGAAAAAAACAGTCTGCTGCCAAACCTGGCTCTGGAATCAGATGGGGGTGGGGGTAGTATCTGCAACCCACAGAAAATAGAAAATTCTCATTGTCTGGAATGTGGAGCTGGTAAATCTTTTTTCTCATCTTCATAGCATGACTGTAAGAGTGTTCCATATGTAAGGACAATCACTAATTATGTTTGCATAAGTATATCACCATTACAGAGAGTAGAAAATGCATAAAAATCCAGGCTGAGTAAAAGAAAAATAACTTCCTTATGGTATATTAATCTTTTCTTATTTTTTTTGTTTTTTACTACATACATGTAATTTTCCAAATATAGTCACCTATTATTCAAACCTAGGCAGATGGAAGGTGGTCTGGGAGTGTCATCCCATCTCCTTTCCCACAATGGTTGGCAAACATGAATGAACATTCTTATAAGTTGGTTTGCTGATGTGAAAATTTCCTTAGAGACCTGGGGCTTCCTTTTAAAACATAAAGATGACAACAACTGTTTCATTAAGAAATCCACACGCAGCCTGCTACCTGCTTAAGGAGGAAACATTTCCTTCGAGTCTAAATCAAGTGAGTAAATGTAACATAACTGCGAGGGTTGGGTACACTGAATTTCTGGCAGAAGTCCATAACTAAAAGAGGTAATGCATTATTTTATTTTATTTCTTTATGAGAAAAAACAATCTGCTGCCACACCCAGCTCAGGAATCAGAAGGGGTGGAGAGCAATTTGCAGCCCATTGATAAAGAACAACACAGACGATCTTAGGAAAATTTTTCTCACGTGAGCATTCCTTTTAACCAGAGTAAAAGGCCTAAAAAAGGGTAGTTGTGGTTGGCTCTGCCTTTGCTGTCTTTACCTGAATAGAGGTCAGGCCCGGGTCCAGGGGAGCGTCCCACGGTCCCTTCAGCAGCAGCATCTCTAGGGGAAGTGGCCGGCTGCAGGGACTGCACGGTGAGGCAATCTGTGAGCAGGTCTGGATGGAGCTCTGTGCTGGACCGCAACTAAGAGGACAAAACGGAAGAGACATCGATAAGGAGAGCCGGTCCTTGGAATATTTTCCTGGGAAGGCATCATGCTCTATCAGTGCAACTCAGCCCACAAAAATTTATCAAGCAGCAACTACGGGTAAGGCACAGAGCTTAACAGAGTGTCAATAAAAGGATCAGTTCTCCAATCCTAATAACACCTGGCAAGAGCTTCTGGAAAAATGTGGCTAGAGGCGGATTTGACTTCAGTCCTTGATATTTCCACTTCTGGCAACTCAACTTCCTATTATACTTCCTTTTATTTGCTCCGTATCTTATCAGAACTTGTAACGATAACAACAACAAACTCAAGTAGATTTAGTCCATCTTGGAAAGTGCTTTTAAAATAGAAACACTGTCATGAAAACATCCCAGAGATGATTAAGAAATGCCCATTGAGATTTAACTCCTATAGATTTTCCATGAAAGGAAAATACTCAAGTTAAATTTTAATATATTATGGCATGATTCAAAGATAAAACAATGTGATTAACAGTAACAAAACTCCAACAGTCAGTTACATAAAAACAGAACAATTTAGATCTTATACATTAAAGAGTTACATGTAAAAAAAAAATCAAACAATAAAAAATGCTAAAATAAACTAGGTGAAAAGTTATCTGATCTTTTAATGAATAAGAATTTTTTAAGTGTAATTGAAATGGAAAAAAAAAACAATGTAAGATTTAGTGACATAAAAATATTAACGTTCTGCTTGTACAAAAACATAATACCTTAAAAGCAATCTAGAAATGTATTTGTTACAAATATTGCAAATGGTAATCATCTTTGGTATTTAAAGAGTGTGTGTATAAATGGATTTTATAAAGACAAGACTAAACCTTTAGATATAGAGCTAGAGTATGCTTATGCAGTCAACAAATATTTATTAAGTGTTTGTTACATACTTCTCTAGACCCTAGGAATACTGACTGCTTTTGTCAAAGTTAGACTCTAGATGGGGAAGCAGATGATGAACAAATAAAACATATACAACCTCAGATGGTGATAAATGCTATGGAGAAAAGTGATGCGGAGAAGCGAGACAGTGAGTAGGAATAAGGGGTGGCAGCTTTAGATAGGAGATCAAGGAAAGCCTCTTGAAGATGGCATTTATAAAAAGCTTTGAAAGAAGTGAGGAATAAGCCGTACAGACCTATGGGGGAAGAACCTGCCTACCCTGTGGTTGTGCGGAGAAGTAAGAGTCAAGCAGGGTGAGCCTGGGGCCTGGGGAAGAGAAATAGAAGATGAAACCAGAGATAAAAGGTGGGGAGGTGGAAATGGGAAGGAGACGTTGGATAAAGCCTTGACTTGAACAGAAACTGTTAAAAAAAAAAAAAAAAGGAGAAACAGAAATGATAATAAGCGTGAAAAATGTTTGCACACTTGCAAAGAAGTGCAATGTTAAAACGTCTTTTTACTTGCTGAATTATCAAAAACTTAAAAAAAAACAGTAATGAAGGTACAGTGAGAGAGGCATTGTTCAACAATGTTCATAGGAGTGAATATTGGTACAAACAGTCTAGATGGTATGTGGGAATATTTTTTCAAGGTCCATAATTGAAATAATTTGATTCTAGAACTTGTCTTAAGGAAATAGCCAGAGGTGTTAAAGAAGATTTGTACCCCCCCCAAAATATACACATATATATATAAAACAAATAGCATTATTTATAGCAATACCTAATCAGAAAATGTAACTTAAAATGTCTTAAATGTCCACAAATAGGGCTAATCAATGATTTTACCTCAATTTGATGGACTATTATGCAACCATTAAAATGGTATTCATGAACATAAAAGCAAAACTCAAAGTTTTATATATATACAAAATGATAATTACATAAAAATACACAGACAAAATATCAGAAAGTAATATAATTGAACATTACAACTGATTTTTGCTTTCAGTAGTACTATTATGAATTTATTTCCTTCCCTTTTTTAAAGTCCTTTCTTCTGCTTTCTGTAAGGTCCTCTGAACGGGCCACACCACGGTTGAGCCATTGTGACCCCTGCGACACACAGGTCCAGGCCTCCTGGAGTCACAAAGCTTTGAGCAACAGGAGAACCACTAAAGAAGAAGAAACAGCTAGCTCCTGCCTTAACTGATTAACCGAACTTGCAACATTCCACCATTGTGATATGTTCCTGCCCTACCCTAAATAATCAATCGGCCTTGTGATATCCTGCCATGTGAACTCCCTCCACCTCGTGACTACGCACCTTGTGACATTCTTCCCCTGCCCGAAAAGACTGCCCCAACTGTAACCTTCCACTACCTATCCCAAACCTATAAAACCAGTTCCACTCCCACCGCCCTTCGCTGACTCCCTTTTCAGACTCAGCCCGCTCGCACCGGAGTGAATAAACAGCCTTGTTGCTCACACTTAGCCTGTCTGGGTAGTCTCTTCAATTAGGCACGCGCTTAACACTTTCCAAATTTTCTACATTCAAATGATGTGCCAAAGCTGGCTCGCACCAATCTGAGGTGTCAATTTTGTGCGTCTTTTCCAAACTTTCCATGCAATGATGATAGACTGATAGCTTGAAATCGGTCATAGTGAAGTATTTACACCATGGAAATTGGCAATTCTACAAACAGGCTTTTTCCATCTAAAGAGCTGGTTGCTATACATTACCAGCACACCACTGGCAATGACGATGACCAAATTCTGATCAGAAAGAAAGACAAACACACACATACAACAGTAAGTTACTGTTTAGAGAGAAGTATTTCTTGGGTCTCAGAAAGCTTCATAAAGAGACAAATGCATGTCCAGGTCTTAGCCCAAGGATATGAAAGTGGCACAGTGACCCTAAATACAGGGAAGGGACATTTAACACAGGTAGTGACTGAGACATCACTTTGTTGTAATTTCCTCAGCTGTGGCACATTCCAGTCTCTGACCAGGACTCTCTGTATTAGTGCCTAACTAACTCTTTCAGGACCTTTGGAAGGTATGTTTGTTATTTTTGTACTAACCTAATACATGCCGTGTAAGAAAAACTGGAAAAAAAAATTCAAGGCTTGGAATGAGTTCTGGTGATCACTTTTAATTTATCTTCTATCATTAAAATATGATCTGGGGTCCACATGTTTTACCAAGGGCAGACATGGATGCTTTTCTGCTTTCTATTACCAACTACTCTAGGGTTTTATAGTTACCCGTACCAACGAGGTCTTTGCAAGGAATTTCACGGCTAGGGTTACTTCTGGCATCAAAGACGGGCAATTCTTTCTTAGCTTCACTAAATATTCATGTTTTCCAACAGTGTGAGTCCATACAACTTTGTGGTGAGAGTTAATTTGGTTTTCTCTGGGATTAGGCATGGTTCTAGAAAGGGCTTCTTAAATTGAACAAGCTTAGGAACCTTAAGTAAAATTTCCAAAGGAGAGCCGTATGCATAGAAACGCAGTCATGATATGGAAGTGTAGTGTCCCTCACAGATCTTCAGACCAGGAAAGGGGCTTTCAGATCCCTTAAGGTTTTTAAACATTCTCTAGTACAGGAATGATCTAAAGGGTGAGGCAGGAGGCACATAGCAGAATCTCTTGGGAGGGGTGTCTTTCAATGTAACATAGTTTTATATTTGGAATAAGAAGCCCAACTATTTATTTAAAAAACTGCATAATGTATATTTTACCAACATCTTCTTAGCTGTCAGGAATAGTTAAAGAAGATAGAGGGAAATTTTTCAGTGACAGGAGGGAGGGTCTTTACTTGTGGTTCCCAATCTTGGGGATGTATCAGAATCACCTGCAGCGCCCCACCCCAGAGCTGCTCATTCAGTAGGTCTGCGATGCGTTTCTAAGTTCCCAGGTGATGATGCTTCTACTGGTCTTGGGATTTCACTCTTGGAACCACTAGTCTCTAAGAATTTTTATGAGGAGAAACTAATAGTTTTCTGTTTATGGAAAGAGGAAATGAACTGTGGAAACAGCGAATTATAAAAACCTAGCATTTTTAAATATAGGAACAGAAACCTTACTATCTCATCTTCCTTGATCAACTGTGACGAATAAAGATCTTTCTGAAGTAGTGACTTTGGGCATCTAGTTAGCAGATACTAGGAAAAGTCACAGGAGGAGAGGATACCTACAAATGCTAGGAATGTCTGCAAGTCATTGGACTTGGAGATACTGGGAAGGTAAGTTCCAACTTATGCAGGGATGAATATGTCATGTTTTGTAGCTTGTTGTCATCATAAAATATCTTGGCAATTTTCTAAGAAGCCTCCTTGGGACATCTGGACCTTAAAAGTTTATGTTATCTCCTGTGAGAAGTAACCATTAAGCCCAGGGCCATAAACGCGAAGAAATTCTTAAATTTCCTATATAACACATCTGACTTTCTTCAGACCTCATAATAATACATGGTTAAATGAGGCTCATTTCTTAAAAACAACTTGGATTGTATTTTCTTTCACAGGGATAAAAAAGGTTAAAAAATTTCAGTCTAGTTTATTACCTGCTGTTAGCAGAGAGCAAAGAACTTGCCCTTTACAAAGCCTTGACTGCTCTTTGCGGAGAAAAGTGGAATTTGAAACCACTGATTGTCAATTCACCTATTTCAAAGGACTGCCGTGTTGCATGACACCAAGGACCTTTGTTCACATTGTAATCTATGTGAACGGCGTTCCTGGAATCATTCAGCTCAGCTGCCCTAACCACACTCCATTGGTTCCAGAGTGGCTCTGCCCTGATGTATCCTTCTCATTCATTTGTCGAACAAATATTTATTGGGCCTCAACCATATGCCAGGCACTGTTCTAGGGGCCAGAAATACAACAGCAATCAAAACAAAGACTCCTTCAGAGAAGTTTACATTCTAGAGAAGTCAGATAATAAACAGTAAACTAACTAAATAAATTGTAGAGAAGGTGCCAAGTGCTATGGAAAAAAGAAAAAGAAGATAAAGGTAGATGAGATTGGGAGTGATAGGGGGAATTTTGACCTTTTTGAGAAGAGATATTTGAGGAAAGACTTGAGGAGTTGGAGAAATTAGCTAAGGATGAAGAGCAAGAGAGTTCCAGAAGGAGGGAATTTCAAGGAGGTCAGCATGGCTGGGGTGGGGTGTAACACTGAGAGAGAAGGAAGAAATGAGGTCTGAGGTCACCCTGCATTCCCCAATAAGTCTCTTAGTCTTGGTACAATAGGAAACTCTTACAGGGGCTCCACCATAAATATCCACAGTCTCATAGGCACTTTGTCTCCCCTTCTTTGAGAGCCCATATGAGCTGTGAGGTGTGACTACTGTGCTGGTTAGTTTTAGGTGTTAACGTGCTAGACTTTAGTATCCAGTTATTCAATCACTCATCTAGGTGTGTGACTGCTGTACTGTGGAATTCTCTTGATGGGCTTAACATCTACAGTCAGTTGACTTTAAAAACAGAAGATTATCCCCTACAATCTGGGCAAGACTCATCCAATCAGTGAAAAGCCTGAAGAGCAAAAGAAACTAAAGTTTCACTAAAAAAAGAATAAATTCTGCCTCTGGAATGCAGCATCAGTTCTTGCCCAAGAGTTTTCGGCCTGCCCTACAAATTTCTGACTTGTCAGCCCCCATAATCTCAGAAGCCAATTTCTTGAAATTATTATCTCTCTCCACACTCCTACACACATAATATATAGATATTTATCTTGGTGAGTCTCTTTTTCTGGAGAACCCTGACTGATACAGATACTATTACAATGTGCTTTAAAACCACTACCATATGACCGTTTGTTTCAGGTCAGGAAGGAGAAAGCATCGTGCGGTTGAATCCCACAGAAAAGGGCTGGATGTGCATAGTCAACAGGAAGCACTTTTAAACACTGCATTTCAATTAAATAAATATACACCAATCTCTACAGTGTGTTGGATACTGTGTGCCTCACAACTCTATGGAGTACATACTATTGTGACTTCCACTGTAGAGATGAGAAATCTAAAATAAATTACACAGCTACTAAATGTCAGGCTTGGATTTCGGTGTGTTAGAGGGAATCCCAAATTATGCTCTCAGACATTACATTATACTGGCTCATAAAACAGCCCACCCCCAACTTTCTCCTTGTGTCCACACCACACTACACTGCACAGGCTAACACAGTTTCTCTTCCTCTTATGACTCTTTTTTTTTTTTTTGAGACGGAGTCTTGCTCTGTCTCCCAGGCCGGAGTGCAGTGGCGCGATCTCGGCTCACTGCAAGCTCTGCCTCCCAGGTTCATGCCATTCTCCTGCCTCAGCCTCCCGAGTAGCTGGGACTATAGGCGCCTGCCGCCACGCCCGGTTAAATTTTTTTCTTTTTTTTTTTTTTGCTATTTTTAGTAGAGATGGGGTTTCACCATGTTAGCTAGGATAGTCTTGATCTCCTGACCTTGTGATCCGTCCGCCTCGGCCTCCCAAAGTGCTGGGATTACAGGCATGAGCCACTGAGCCCCGCCTGACTCTTTGATATTCTAGCCGGAAGCCTGTCATTCAGAGCTTGTTCTAGGAGGGAAAGAACCTGGGTAGCCAAGTTCTCTGGAAAAGTCTCTAGCATACCTTATCACCACTGTGTATATTCTGACACCATGCCCTTTAGGGAAAGCGGTCTTTGTTGGAGTAGAGATTGAAGCAATAAAACAGAATGGACCACTTCTGTTTGGTTTTCACTGTCCCCTCCCCTGCAGGTTTGTCACTTGGTTGCATCCTGGCCTAGTAACATGAATGCCTGCAATTGACAAAAATAAAGCATGGTGCTCATCATTCCTCACCATTTGCATCCTAAGCACACACACAGTGGTCCCAGGGCCCCGTCTCCTTTCCCTTGACGATCACCCCTGGTTCTCAGGATGGGGCACTGTCATGGTAACTTTCTGATCCTGAATGAGATGATCTTGACCCAGGGAGTCACTGAACTCAGTATCCCTTGCTAAGACAGGATACCTCCCTTTACTCTTTCTCCTGATTCTGACTTCCTTCCCTTTCTCTTCCTCTTCCCCATTCTTCCACTGTCATTTTTTTGGTCCTCACTCCTTCCAGAGAGCTCAGTCATACTCTGTAGGGATGATGCACACCTCTATCTACATGCTCCCCACATGCTATTCTAGATGTGGAGGTCAGGGAAGGCCTCTGTAGACTGGACATTCTGGGCTGAAACCTGAATGAAGCGATGGAGCAAGATATGGAGAAAGGCATGAAATCTACCGAGGAAACAAACTGATGGGTTCTGAAAACAGTCATTGGAGAGGAGTGAGCAAGGGAGCAAGAGGAAGGGTGCAGGATGCAGGGCTGGACAAATTGCCAGAGGTCAGATCATGTGAGGCCTTCAAGCACATGAAGATTCCGTATTTGCTTTCCTTGTAATGGTGAACCACTGGAAGTGTGTAAGCAGGAAACAAAGTGGTTTATCTTATAAAAGATTCACTCTGATTACTGTGCAGAATACCGGAAGAGGACAAGTGTGTCTGGTTAGGGGCTATTACAACAATCTGGATGAAAGATGCCAACGGCTTGAGGGAACCAGAGGGGGTGAGAAGTGGTCCAGCTGAATTGCTCGACCTTCAAAAGTGCTCTTTCGAAGGTCGAGCTGAATTCACTGTGTAATATGAGAGAAACACAGGAGCCAAGCATGGCCTTAAGTTTTGGCCCGAGGAACAGCAAAGGAGATCACAGAAGGAGCAGGTTGGAGGTAAATCAGCAATTTGGTTTTGAATGTGTTAACACTGAGATGACTCCTGGACATCCAGGCGGAGAGAACCTGCAGGTACCTGCACACAGAGGGTGGGTTCACAGAGCACGATGGGGCCGGACCACGAATACCAACTCCTTGCTGCATTTCTGCCTCAGGCTCTCGTCTCTCACCAATCCATCCTGTGATATCAAATGGACTCTCCTAAAATTGAGTTTATCGTGCTATACTCAAGGTACAAATATCTTCATGTACTGCTTAACACGCAAGTCTCAAAAGGCTAAGACATTAAGCACCTCCATACTGTGACTGTACCACGTACCATAAATGCATATTTCCCTGGGTCCTGAAAAGAGCCTATCTCACTGTCTGCAAACTTCCCACGTAGCATACTATTCATTCTTCCTGCCCGGAACGGACTCCCTCCTCCTAATGTAACTCCTCCAAGATCCTGTTTATGACTCACCTCCTGAATGAAACCTCCCCTGACCAGACCAGTCCACACTGGGCCTCTCAGGGTACAAGAAGAACTGCAGAATCCACTTTCAACACTCCCCTGACCAGACCAGTCCACACTGCGCCTCTCAGGGTACAAGAAGAACTGCAGAATCCACTTTCAACACTCCTGTGATTGGACATGTGCACTGGGGCTTTGTTTCTTGTTATAAATTTAATCTGTACAATTGTGTTGGTCAGTCCACGAGGGCTAGGCTGACTGCCTCTTAATCTTTTAAAACTCCACAGCAGCCAGCAGTGTGGGACCAGCATCATGGTAAATCATTTAATCACTAACTGCCGATTGGATTTCTAAGAAGGAGCCACAATTCTTTATGTAAAGGAAGCTACAATCTCCTAGTTAGTGAATATGTCTAAAATAGACAACGTGATCCTTTCGTAATTTACTTTCCTAATGGAGAATTTTCAAAGATTACAGGTGATATAAATGTGGCAGAAACTACTGATGCCCCACCCAGCGCCCCTCTGATCCCTTCGATTAGCAATGTGCTGCCGCCCCTCAGCTTTGGTGTGTCCGTGCCCCAGTTTCTGTGTACTTTAGAGCCAATGGCTAGCATCCTCCACCCCCCAAACACACACACACACACACAGACACACACACACACACACACACACACACACTACTAAACAGTGCTCCTTTGCCTCAAAGTGAGACAAATGCTGAGACGTTATGTTCCAGAGCTCCCTGTGGGATTGGGCTAGGCTGAGACTACCTGAATTGGCACCCATGCCTTGCTTTTTCCCCTTTCCCCATCCTCTCCTGAGTTCTCTTGCAAGTGCGTCCTTCATAAATCACATGCACCTGAATCCTTGGCTCACAGTGGGCTTGTGGGGAAGGCATTCTAAACTTACTCTGATTTGGTTCAAGAATGTCGAGAGGCAATCAGCAGCACTTAAAAAGATGCTCTGATGAGATTCATTCATTTCTCTCCTGTACCTGCTTTGCCAACTTTGTACAGCAGGAGTATGGAAAGTAGATGTTTAATGAAAGTGGGGTGTTCTGAACCATCCCGGATAATACCAAAAGCCTAAGTGTGGAGACTAAATTAAAACTAAGACCTTAATTTGCCAGAACAATAAGGACTGAAAGGGGCTTCAGATGTCACTGTGTCCAAACCTCCATCTTATGCCCAACTTCCCTGACAGCAACCTGTAAGTGGCTTGTCAGTCTTTGCTGCTTGTTACTGTATAGTAAGGGGCAACGTCCTCATCTTGGTTGTTAGCTGCAATTTTAGACAGCTCCAGTTGTCAAAAAGACTTTTTGTACATTGAGTCCTAATCTAACCCTCAGAAACTATTAGAATTGCTTGAATCCTTTTATTCTTACACCTGCAGGAAGGCTCATGGACATAGACTTGTGACAACTCCAAGGCTCGGAAACCAATTTGTGAGCCTCTGAGTGTTAGTGATTCTGATCTTCAAGGAACTATTTTAGGGCTTAATTTCCCAACCTATCCAGTTGCAAGTAAACAAGTTGGCTCCTTCATTTTTATACAATCTCCCATTATGAAATATTTGTTTAAAATGATAGTTTTTCAACCTTACTAGTGAAATCACCTATCAAGGTTTGACAAGGTTACTGCATGCCGAAATTTGAGCTGCTTCCCTAACAATGCGGGGATTTTTTTCTAATCTATAAAAACAAGGCACCATCAATTGTGATTTGTATTTGTTTTTTTTTTTTTTTTTTTTTTGTACAGGATTATTCTGTTAATGTTTATAAGCCCTTGTAACAAGAGATGGAAATTTTACTCCCGTCATTTTCTCATTTCAGATATGACTGAATAATCGTCCAAGATTAAGTGAGTCAAGTGGAAATAATTAGGAAAGGGAAAAAGGCCCAGATTCTTCAATTTTCAGTTCCATTACATTTTATTCTAGGAGCAAAGGCATTCTGTTAGTCTGAAGCAAGACACACTTCCAAAGAAAACGAGGCACAATCAAAGGCCTTTTGTTTTCCCTGTCTCCAATGAGCACAGTCCATCTGGGCCACGCATGTTTATGCATCACCTTGTAGGGATCCCTTTGTTCTCCAGAAATCAAATGCCACCAAAATATGTTCCAGAAGAAACGAAGCCAGAAGGAAAGACAGTAGGATTTTTTCCCCAGAGGGTTAAGGTTTATTACTAGAACATTCTCATCAAGTGTTCTCTGTGACACTTCAAGCAATGTGGATCTTGTGGAATTAACTCATTGCCAAAAGGCTTAAAAATAATTACAATGAATTAACCTATTATATTAATTACAATTAATTTTCAGTTGAACCTAGGAATTCCATCTCTAGGGGATTCCTTAGCACTGACATGTAGGAAGTGGCTTTGGCATATGATAGGTAATTAATCTCTAACAATCTGCTATCAAATTCATTTCCTTTAGGAATGACCAATTTGCAAAGAGGACCAATTTGCAAAGAGAAATGAGAGTAAAGACTTAGAGAAACGGCATTGGAAGGAATCTCTTTGGGAACAGAAGTGTCCAGTTGGGTGTTCTGAACATCTGTATAGGGGATACCTATTTAGTTAGCAGTGACTCCAAAGGCCCAAAATTGTATCCATAGCTGATTAATGAGCACTCCAAAATACGTGAATGGGTACACATGCTGGGGTATAGCTCAATAAGATCATGAAAAATCAGTGTCAGTATGGACACAACAAAACTAATGATTATTTAGTAAGAAATGATGATTTATGGAAATTGTTCAAAGAAACATAGAATTTCAGAGCAAAAAGGAACTAGGGTCCAAAAGCCTTTCCTGTCAACTCTGTAGCAACACTATCCAGTTGAAATTTCTGTGACGATGGAAAGGTTCTGCACTGCACTAATTGATAGCCACTAGCCATGTGTGACTAATGAGCATTTGAAGTGTGGCTAATGCAACTGAGGAACTTTTAATTTTATTTAATTTTAATTAAATTTAAACTTATAGTAATGAAGTGCACAGCACTACTGCATACCATGGTAGCAGTCCAGCCTTTGTCTAAATCCTTTTGATGACAGGGAACATCCTTCCTTACCATTAAGCACCCTCCATTTAGAAAGAGTGCTTCAGAGCTCATCATTTAAAAAGTTTTGCTTCAAGTTGAACTATAATCTGCCAACTACAGATCCACCCCCCTGTGGTTTACTCCTCACCTCCTCTCCTAGACCACACAGAATAACTGCTCACAGTCTCTTACTGTTTTTTAGTATTTGAGAAGCTTCAAAATGCTGTAGTATCATAGAATTTCAGCCATGGAAGGGGCATGGTTTAGCTTCTTTGTTGAACCTCCCCTCTTAGTGGGTTTTTCTCTAGGCTGAAAAAATTTTGTTTTGTTATTTATTTATTTATTTATTTTGAGACAGTCTTGTTCTGTCACCCAGGATGGAGTGCTGTGGCACAAACATGACTCACTGCAGCCTCAATTTCCTGGGTTTGAGCAATCCTCTTGCTTCAGCCTCCTAAGTAGCTGAGACCACAGGCATGGGCCACCACATCCAGCTAATTTTCAATAATTTTTTCAGAGACAGGGTCTCACCATGTTGCTCAGGCTAGTCTCAAATTCCTGGACTCAAGCAATCTTCCCACTTTGGCTTCCCAAGGTGCTGAGATTACAGAGGCAGGCCAAGTTTTTTATACAGGTAAGAGGACACTTAGGTGGAAAGAGCTTGAGGCTTTTAGTTCAACTACCATGTGATACTGGGCAAGTATATTCACTTTCCTGAGTAGAGTTTCCTTTCTGTAAAATAAGGATAATACCATTTAGTGATCTTGGCTACTTTGAGAACTAAATCAGATAAGACAGAGAAAGCATCTAACACTGCTTGACACACAGAAGTCACTTACTAAAACATCAGTCCCTGCTCTCTCATATAACATGTTATTCCATTCAGCACCTTAATTACTCTCAATACAGAAGCTCAATGGCCTACATGTAAATGACATCCAAATATTAACAGAGTTAACCAGCTGTCTGACCAGGACAGAATAAATACAACAGAACAAACATATCCCTTATTCTAGACTTTCTGTCTCTACTCATACAACCTAAATAGTTAATAGCTTTTTAAAATCCATCTTCCTTCCTTTCTTCCTTCCTTCCTTCCTTCCTTTCCTTTCTTCCTTCCTCCCTTCCTTCCGCACTATTTCTTGATTCTGTACCATGTACCCCAAACTACGCTAGGCCCAGGAGATAAAGTAGTACATAAGACAATTGAAGTTCCCTGCTCTCACAGAGTTTACAGTGTGGCATGAATAAAAATCATCATCAAGTAAAATCCTTAGATCTTTTTCCATATGTTACGCTCTTTGTTTCTGATGGCTCTTTATCCTGGGAGGCTACCTTTCTAAAGCTGCATTGCTGTTGAGTGGTACAGAACCTCTTCTTGGCTACATTCAACTCAAGCACTCGGCTGGCTACCATGTACCCTTCTTCAGTGCCTTGTGAAAACTTGATTAAAACATCATCTGGCATTAAGGATGATGGTAAATGTCTGCCCCAAACTAAGTTATCTAAAAAAATTGTCTCTACCCTATGAATTACACTACAACATTAGTAACCACTTATAATAGCCTATCCACAATATGGATCATAAAATATAAGACCCAGACTACGTGGAGTTGAATTTTTGTATCCTTACTGATGAAATATTAGACAACTGTGAGAAAGTTGTTTAACATTTCTTTACCTTAGTTTTCTTTGTAAGATGTGGATAATAATGGCACCTAATTTATAAGGCTGTTGTTAGGGATAACATGAGATAAGAAAGCATTTCACCAATACCTGATATATAATCAATGTTAAACACATGCTGCCATTTCTATTATTATTTTTATTAACATTCAGTGTAGAAGCACTGTTATCACTCCGTAACATGCACTCCTGTTTTCCTTTTTCTCCAACCCACTTTTTGGGATATATTTTCTCTTTATCAACTTTTTCCTTTTGTGTACCATAGTGTGGCGACATGGCAAGAGGAAAAGGATGGAGACTTCGGGGTCAAATAGATACAGGTTCATATCTCAGCTCTGCCCCTACTGCTATGTGGCCTTTGGTAAGATAACCTCTCAAGACTTCAGAACCTTCCTCTGTAAAATGGAGTGATAACATTAACTCCGTAGGCTTGTAACAGAATTACATGAGGTGACCTAAGGACAATGGCTCTTGTTGCATAAAATTAATTTTCTTTTTTACTCAAGAAGAGGCTATTGCGTACGTTAAGAGTGAGACCTTTCTTAGTAACTCACTGGGCTCTTGCTTATTAGCCTCAGAACTAGCGTCCCGGGGCAGTCTCCTAATCAAGATATGAGCACAGTTTTCCAGGATGCATAGCGCCCTGGAATTATTCTATCTCAGGAGAATGTAGCCAGTGTTCACCCTCTTGGAAGAGACTAAAACATATTAGAAACCAGAACCCACAACAAAACTTTTTAGAACACTCCGGGAATGTTAATACTTCATTTAGATGTCCTTTTACCAAAATCTGTCCCACTATCTAGCTATGCTGGACAGAGTTGGGGAGCTGAGGTTCAAAAGGATGTTGAAATCAGAAAGGCATGCAACTTGTAATTTTTGTATTGTTACATTTGTAAAAACATAATTTTCTTCCTAAGTCAATATTTTTCTAAAACTGACATTGAGAATCTTACATTTTTTTCTAGCTAGAAAATGATACACAAATGACACACTCAAAGGTGAATTCAAGCTTCATTCAGAGGTACGTCTTAAAAGCAGAAGACTAAACTGAAGAATGCATTCTTCTTTTTTTAGAAAAACAGAGAAATGTTAATACGGAATTTCACTTTGCCATGAAAAACATCCCCCTTCACCCTTTGGGGCCTGGTTATGGAGTTGTGAAGACTCAAAGCAAGATGAAGGGTTTACTTTTATCACAGCTTCATAAATTCCTCTGACACTGGTTCATTGCACTAATGTGACCACACACATTCCATCCCATCCATTCAAGTGTAGCATTTTTCTTTCTATTCAAGTATTCTCAGGGTTTAATTAAAGCAGCCAGCTATCTAGTAATTACTTCCCCCATCCATCTTACCAGCTCCGTATTGTCTTCCCTTGAATTGGTTTCTCGCTACAGCCCCTGCCTATGTTACAGCTTAGGAAGTGTGGGGAGGGACTCACTGTAAAAGTCAGTGGATCTCATTTTCTTCTGCCTTTCATTTAATTAAAACAGATTGAGTGAAGAAGATTTAAGGCTGATTTTCATGTGCAGGAGTATTTGGACAATTTTAAAAATACCTACTTCTAAAAGTTGAAGACTGTCGTTTCAATGGAGAGCACTTGCTTTTTGCTCTCCCATCCATTCTATACTCAACAGTCAGTATAGTTTTTCTCCTCGTTCAAAGCCCTTTAGTGACTCTCCCCTAAACATTACCTACAGCTCAAATTCATGGGCTTTAACATGCTGGCTCTCACCTAGCTTCGTGTGGCTTCATGTCCCATGATGGAGGTCACACAGAGCCAAGACATTCCTGTAATCTTTGTTTATTCTCATTCATGTCTCATGCTGTACTTCTGGCCACAAACCTCCCTCATCTGGAGTCCCCTTTTCTCTGGACTCTACGTATCTACAATAAATTCTGCATATTCTCCAAGGTCCAATTCAATGTCACTTGTCCCTTGAAGTTTTCCCAGCCTTTCCATTCCAAAGTAATTTTATTCTTTTTCATATTGAAAAGCAATTTCTCTTCATCTTGCTGTTAGCACTCGTGATTTTCTACATTTTGTAATAGCTATTTAGAAATTATATCAATATGTGTGCACATCATAAAAGACAAAAAGGGCTTTATAAACAACCCTTGAGTGTTTGATCATGCAACCTAAAACAGTCCTTCTTTTCACATGAAAGGTACTCTATAAATGTTTAGGGAATGTGTGAACAAGTAAATGAATGAATGACAAATGAGCCAATGGCTGCTGAGTATTTATTAATCCATGCTTAACCTTTGGGGTAGGCCCCAAAGACAAATGAAATCACGTCACATGCAACATCAGGGGAAGAAAAGAATGGGGCAGTTTAAGTATGCCTAAATTATCAATTAAGAATAAAATGGTAAATAGCCAAGTGAAATTGAACCGAAATTTTTTTTAAAAAGACACTTGGGTAGTTTCTTTCTTTCTTTCTCTTTTTTTAGAGATAGTGTGTTTGCTTTGTCACCCAGGCTGGAGTGCAATGGCGTGATCATAGCTCACTGTATCCTTGAATTCCTGGGCTCAAGCTATCCTCCCATCTCAGCCTCCTGAGTAGCTGGGACTACAGCTGTACACCACCAAATCTGGCTAAGTTTTTTCAGATTTTTGGATTTTTTTTTTTTTTTTGCAGAGGCAAGATCTCACTATGTTGCTGAGGCTGCTCTTGAACTCCTGGGCTCAAGTGATCCTCTGGCCTCGGCCTCCCAAATTGCTGGGATTATAGGCATGAGCCTCTGCGCCCAGCCAAAGTTTATTTCTTTATAATATTCAACCCACATTCATGCCAAATTTCACTAGATAACACTATTCACATTTATATGTTGCCTCTTGGGATATGTAAATGAGCAATCCTTCCAATAGGAAATGCTAATTCACTACATTATACTTCATATCTCTCATTCATCTGGAAGGGCTGGGAACAAATCCAATTTTCCACCTTGCTTCTAAAGAGTCAATGTCAAGTGTAAATTTGGTAAGTAGAAAACAGAAATTTCAAGCTGATTAGGTCCCAAATTATACATTCCAGCCCCCTGTTTGACAGACTACACAGCCAAGATGAGAACCTTCATCTTCTGACCACGGATTGAGTAAGTGACCAGCTGGTAAACCTGATCGCACTGGCCCTGCTCCACATCCAGTCTTTAGCACTGCCCCAAAGTCTTCTTCCCCTGATGTGATGCCACCAAAGTAAAGAGCTTGCCCGTGGTGTTATTTTCGTCAATGCACAGAATTACTGTCAGTAATTTCCCTCTTCTTGTCTGAGCACTGTATGTCTTAGAGCAATGCATGTCTTAGAGCAATGCATGAATCACATGACCTTTTGATGCTTTGGTGAAATAAAGCTCCTCTCCTTGGTCATCAGAAAGGAGGCCTGGCTTGGAGAAGTGCCTCAGGGTGAAGCCCAAGACAGGGACTAGACTCTCCTAGAGCCTTCCTATAGCCTGTATAGACTCTGCCAAAGTCATCTTCATGTTTATCATCTACCATTCCTCCTTTAGGTACTGACACCATTCTGTCTTTCTTCTTATCATCCACCCCCTCCAATTATCCCAATCCCCTCTCAAAAAAACAAAATTCCATCCCAGAAGTTCAGACTAGAAAGTCAAAAATCTAAGGAAAGTGTTGCAAGAATGATGAGGACTGTCAGTGGCTGCTCACGGTATACAGATTCCATCTCACAAGCACTGTCCAGGATTGCATTAGTCTTGGTGGTTCTGACAGAATGGGGAGAAACAAGACCGGGTCAAGAGGAGGCATCAGGAACAGGTATTATCAGCCTTGCATGTTGTCCTCTAAGTTAGAGGACTGGATAATATTTTTCTTTTCCAGATGCCCTGTTATCTGCAGGTTTTAGCTTGTATACTTTTGTTCTCAAGGTCTACAAGAAACTCCAGGCTCAGCGGTCTGCTGTGTCTAACTCCATTTGCAAATGCTCCAGCCTTCATGATGTTGCCTGTCTGTCATAATTATCAGCAGCCCCCTGGAAAGATGCTATTACTGGAAGTAATTTCACATTCTGACATGGCAGGAAGCTAGTACAAGTTGTAGGTACCTCAGATCTCTGCAAAGAGTCATGTATGCTGGTAATTTTTAGTTCACTAGAAATAAATTTATCAAAGAAATACTCTCGCATATATATGCTGAGGGAAGGAAAAATGCCATAAAAAGGCATATCTCTCTTTCTTCCCCAACCATCCTCCAAAGAACTAGGGAAGACAAGTCAGTGTGGGGGCCATATTTTTTATCTGACTTAAAAGAAAGAAAATCAGATTTTTTAAAAAATCAGAAATTAACAAGTAGAACAAGTCTTCTAGTCCATGTAGAAGAAAATCTTAGAAACAAAGAGTAGAAACATTAAGGAATAATAATCAATCCTTCTGAGAATGCTGTTTTACTGTCCATAGAAACTAAAGCCTGTGCTTTTTAGCAGAAACCCAAGAGTCTGTTGACAATAGAAAGCACATGCCTTTGTGAAACTCCCATAGTAATCGAACATCAAGGAAAGGTAGTATGTGAAATACGGGCGACTTAATTTTTCCCTAGCATCACGAAGATCAAAAGAATATCTCTATTCTACCAAGGAGACACCCCAAGTCTTCTACCTCCCCACTGGGGGACCAAGCAAATTCCTTGATTTCTCATGTCATTACCACAGCCTGAAATGATGTAACAATAACAGCAAACCGGGGTGTCCCCCTGCGCCAACTCTCTAATCAGGTTCAAAGTATGTTTTGTTGGTTCTCATTGACGCCACTCAAAGGAACTGGTCACTCGTGGTCTCAAAAGTTTTACAACAAATTGTGTGATTAAATTCCTTAAACACGTCTGTCCATTACTAATCCTCTTTTGCCAACATCCCTTTCAGAGAAAAATTGCAGCGCTGCATGGTGCCTGATTTATATTTCATTTTGAGAACAGGAAGTAAAAGGATTAAAGTTAAGGATTAAAACACTTACTCTTTACTGCATTTTTTTTTCTCCTCCTGAATGGCTTCCTGGTTGCCATGGCTACTGTTCACTGGTCCTTAGCCCTGAATGCACATCTCTTTGCATTAATAAAATATTTTAAATGAGACTTCATGGAAAACAATAGGAAAAGTAGCTTTAAGTTCAATTGCTCTTGAAAAAGCAGGTACAAATTTTTAAAAATCCTTTTTCTTTGTCCTTTTATTAGTATATTCAAGAGGGAAACTTGAACTAAAAGACAGCACAGGGAGTCTAAAGATGTACAATGCAAAATCAGAATTATTCAGCAAGGGCACAAAGAGGTAACTCTGAGATAGTGAGTTGGTCCTTAGCTTACAAACCAGTGTTTGTAGGAAGATTAAGGGTCCCTGGGAATTTCTCAAATGTTGCAATACCACAGAACATTTAAAAGGCAAAAATGCACGTAAATGCAGTGTTGCAATTCCAAATTGGAAATACTAGCCAGGAAATGAAAAACTGAGGTTTTCACTACCACAAAGTTAACTTAACCATAACAATGTAAATATCATTGCTTTGTACCCAAGTTGCTGGTGTTCCTGGTACCAGCATGTCATAGGAGTGTGGCCAAAGGGGCAATACCACGACAGCATGTGCTGTCAGAGCTGAAGATGTTTGCATGAACAGTGCACTCAGCTGAGGCCAAGTTAGGCACCCAGAAGAAAGGGTGACATTGACAAGTGAGCAAACACAACTCCATTTGAATTGTTCCTCTAAAAACCCTCCATTGAAATTCATTTTAGAATATACTGCCTACATTCCTTTAAAAAGCCAAGGAAAACTGATGAGATGGAACATAATAAAACTCCTTTTTAACTTCTATTCTTAAAGCCCAATAGCAGGATGAGCTCCAGTATAAATTGTGAAGTGACTTCTAAAACACTACTCCATCCATTATTTTTTTTTTTTCAATGCTCTCTACTTCCAAGTTTTTCTCTGCCTTGTCATCTATTGGTTTCAAGTTATTCCTTTATTCCCCAGGGCCCCACTGAAACGACCTCACCCAGGTCCAAGTATACTCTATTTCTGACTTCTTTCAACCCCATATTCCTATTGAAACCACCGTTCCTGTATAGTAGCCACAGAAAACGGACATAGTTGCTCCTTGAAAATTGGTAATTGAACCCACATTGACATATAATGGGAGTGAAGTGTTGCACTGCCTTTGCTATACAATGAAAAAATAACTAATAGGGATCTTCTGGAGATAATCCTATAACTGAAAAGAATGATTGTATTGGCGGCAATTTTATGCTTTCTAGAAGGCTAGTGCTAAGAATAATTTCAGGTGGGGGTGGTAAGGAACGTCTATCAAATCATGAGATAACTGATGGCACTCATGGGCAGGACTGTAGACTCTCAAACAAATGTGGATGAAAATGTTTAGGGCTAAATGCAGACTGGCAAGATAGAGTCATGTCTTTCAAATATCCATGTTCCCTCTTTCCTGGTTTCAGTCTTTTCTTTTGGAAACTACTTTTATTTCAGGACTATCCTGAATATTTAGGGTCATTTGAGGGCAGGCTGGGATTAGTGTTTGGCTGTCCTTGCACATTTGCAATTAAGAAGGACCAACAAGAACTCCACCTTGAGAGGCAATTCTCTATGATGTGTCTTGTGAGCAGGGAGGGAGACTGGCAATCTTTCTGAACTATCTTTTCAAAGATGCTTTGAAAAACCATGACAGTGTCTCCCTCCTGATCAAAAGGCAAGCATGCTTATGTCTATTATAAAAGATTCAAGTTCCCTAAGCTCAGAATTTCCCTCTTGTAATACAACCTAGTGCCTGGCCGTCTTCATGGTACCTTATGGGAACTAGGACTTAAACAACTGGCATAAGAAAATGATGATACTCTGGCTATCACTATTACTATAAATAATACACTGTCCTTTGAGACTCTGACCCAGGAGTCTCATGTCTCCTGCCAGTATCCATGAAACTGTGGCAGGCTAACTTGCTAGTGTGTAACCTAGGGTAAAATCTCAGACTCTTTGTAATTCTTGCCCTCTACAGGGCCATCCCTAGGATACACATGGCATTGAAAACAAAACACAAAAAAACAAAAACTGTGGGGTTCTTGTCTATATAATCAATTTGAGTCACCCTCAATCAGAATGCCAGAACCACTGTAGAGGTCCAATTTCAACCAATTCAGCTAAAGAAATGCCACAATGACCAATGTTCACCAACCAACCTTTTGGAATTAGGATCTGCTTATAAGACCCCGGGAAGATCCCATAGGTGTGAGTTCTAGAGCTCCTTGGGGTACTTAGTTGACCCTACATATATGGAAGAGGGTGGGAAAGTGCCCTGAAGGATGGAATGGGGGACAGTGACCATGTGGGTCTCAGTGTAGGATCAGATTGCCCCAACTGGATGGTACTGCTGACCTAGCCACCAAGAGGAGAGCTTACACAATTTTCAATTAGGTACTCCAAAGCATGGGGAAAATCTACCACCATCTCTAACAGAGGCCACTATAGAATTCATGCCAAGAACTTGTTGATAAGTTATAAAATTTTCAGTGTTGGGAAATCAGACCGCCATAGTCAGAATGGTAAAGCCAAAAGAGCACTGCATGTTGAGTTAGAAAAATGCAGCTTGAGTACAGTTCTACTGCTTACTGAATGTGCTTTGTTAGTCATTTAACGTCTCTGAACCTGAGGTCTTTCATCTCTAAAATGAAATGTGTTCTCATCATTTAGCTCCCACTTATAAGTGAGAACATGAGAACACATGGAGACATATAGGGGAACAACACACACTGGGGCCTGTTGGGAGGGTGGAAGATGGGAGGAGGAGAATCAGAAAAAATAACTAATAGGTAGTATGCTTAATACCCGGGCAACAAAATAATCTGTACAACAAACCCTCATGACACAAGTTTACCTATATAACAAACCTGCACATGTACCCCTGAACTTAAAGTAGAAGTTAAAAAATAAAAAAAAAAAATTAAAAATAAAAAAAAATAATAAAATGAAATGAAATGGGATCAGGATACCCCAACTGGATGGTACTATTGGCTCAGTTACCAAGAAAGGGGCTTGAAGAATTTTGGAAAAGATACTTCAAAGCATGGAGGCTCTACCATCTCTAATAGAAGGCCACAATATTAATTGTAATACTAGCCTCGTAGAATTGTTTTGAAGACTGAAAAAGTAAACACCCATGAAAATACCCAGCAAACGGGTATTTGGTGATTATTATTGTTGGCCCTCCCATTTCTTTTAAACTGTTATTTCATAACTAAGGAGAATAAAAATAGCTAATGGCATCCATTATGCTATTACAGTTTTTTTTTTTTTTTTTTTTTGAGACAGAGTCTCACTCTGTTGCCCAGGCTGGAGTGCAGTGGCACGGTCTCGGCTCACTGCAAGCTCCGCCTCCTGGGTTCACACCATTCTCCCGCCTCAGCCTCCTGAGTAGCTGGGACTACAGGCGCCCGCCACCACACCCGGCTAATTTTTTGTATTTTTAGTAGAGACGGGGTTTCTCCGTGTTAGCCAGGATGGTCTCAATCTCCTGACCTCGTGATCCACCCGCCTCGGCCTCCCAAAATGCTGGGATTACAGGCATGAGCCACTGTGCCCGGCCATTACTGACTGTTTTAAATATCAAATCACCCTTTCTTGCTTTTGGTGATGGTTGAAGAGATAAAAGTGGTACTGAGTTTGTGAGTGTTTTTGCTATGTTAAAGTGTCTAATCAATTTCATGCTTAATATTCTATGGGGAAGGGAAATATTAATGAGGATAGAGACGGGAGATGGGGAAAATATTATGAAGCATTAGGTTCCTCAGTTCATTTATGCTATGATTTAGGGCTCCCTATGTGTCTGAGTCTTTGTGACTCAGAAATTCAGGAACTTACTCTTGACATATTTTTGAATATAAAAGAACAGGTTTTTTTTTTTTTTTTTTTAAAGAAGAGGTGGGGGATCATCTTTGGATCCTTGGTTGCTATTTTGAGTACACAGAAATGAAATCCGATTTCTATATTTGCTTATGTACACATGAGGAAATGAAATGTCAAGGATGTCCTTTGCACTATTATCTCAAAATACAGTTTCTATTCAAAGTCTACGATGGGTAAACATTATCTAAATTCCTATAGCCTAGCTGGTGCTTGTGTGCTAGACTAGCCCAAAGCAGTATTGTGAAACAGAGCTTCTTGTCTTCGTGCCTTGCCAGCTCTCTACCTATATTTTTCCTTTTGAGTCTCCTTTTTCAAAGCTCAGTGATGTCCTTAGAGATTTGAAATGAGGAAAACTTCTCATTACAGTAATTTATCCTTTTTACCACCAAACTTAAAGATCTTGCATCACAACCCTACGGGACTTCGCAGTATGGTTGTCACTGAATCTGAAAGCAAATTGGAGCTCAAGTTTTGATTATGCACAGTGGTGTCATGCATTATTCCTTCAAGATAAGGTGTGTAGTACAACAGCTGCCTGCGATGTGTATCTCGAAATGAGGACAGTTGAAATTGTATTCAGATCACCCACAAGAAAGTGCCCTTCTCATTTAACTAAGTTGTGTCCAGGAGAAAAGAAAAAATTATGTTCTGAGCACCTCCTACATTCTGCAGTTTGGATTTTTCACTAAGTCCATTCACAGGCATGGTCTCACTTGAATCACACAATCGCCCTGTGGAGGTAGGTTGTTTTAGCATGGGAACCGGAAGCTCAGAGAAGCTAAGTAATTTCTCCCAGAGTCAGAGCTAAGATTCAAACTCAGTCAGGCACAGTTCCAAAGCCTTACTTGTCCTTTACAAAAAACAAGAACTACCACCATCAGAAGAGTAGTTTCACTAAAATGGGAGAAAGCTGGAGTTTAAACAAAATAGTGGAATAATGAGTTGGCCTTTGTAAAAGTGACATCAAAACAGAAACCTTTAGATGGGGGAGAAAAATCTAAAAATATGTAAAAATATATCTATAGTAAATTTTCTATGATTAAAAAATCCACACAGCAAATCAAGTTTCACAAATGGCAAACTACTAAAATATATGCAATATTTATGACAATTAACTAGTTAATATCTGTTATATATAGTTACTTCAAATCAATATAAAAATTATCCATAAAATAAGAAAAGACAACAGATAATATAAAATTGAAATATAAATGGTTAATAAATTTTGAATAATCAAATCTACCAGCAATCTAAGAACTGTATATCAATAGTTCATCTATTATTCATCCATCATACTGTGTACACACACACACACACACACACACTCACACTTCACATTGGTAAAGTGTAAGAAAAAAGTTGGTTTTATATAGTCCTAACAGAAATTCAAACAAACTGTTACAAATTTTGGGGAAGTCATTTTGGCAATATGTTGTAAGGAATTTATTTGAAGCACTTTAGGATATGTACTAAGATCTATATACTAGCATATGCGCTATAGAATTGTTCATGATAGTACAATCTTTAAAATCATCTAATTGTCTGAAAATAGAAAGTTGGTTAAGTGAAATGCAGTGTATCTTTTAAAATGCAGTCATTAAAAATATAGTTACTGTCAAGGCAATATATTCACTATATACCACTTAGAAGAATCAAAACAGAGGGACCCATAATATGATTGCATATGACAGGAAAAAATATATAGAAAGATAGGCACCAAAGTTAAGCCACTGTGATTCATTGATTGTAAAATATATGCTAACATCTCTGAAATCAAGACAAGACTTACAATCAATGGTGTCTTGGTTTCAATGAAAGTTTGCATATGTCCTCATTTTCTTTTTACACAGATAGGCATCGCTTATGTAATTTTAAAAAGAAGAATGGACTCTGAACATGATATAACAACACTGCTACTACCTGGCTTATTTATATTTTTTCTACAGGAGGGAGTGGTGAAGGGGAAATGCGGAAAAATAATTGCTGGGGGTAAGGTGGGGAAGGATAGGAGAGAAGTTAACAAGAGACCTCATCTAGCTAGTCAGGGAATTCAAGGTTCTAAGTGTTCACAAACTCTGCTACCAAAAACACTTGTAAAGGTGATTATAAAAGTATGCTTTGAAAAAATATAAAGAGAGAAAGCCAAAAAAATGGAGAAAGAGATGCATATCTCAAATTTCAGTAAGGTAAAAAAGAGCCTAGAAATGTATCTAATGACCAGAAAGCTTCAACTTTATGGTTGGAAAGATTCTACGAAGAATAATGGGTTGCCAAGCAGTAAAGAAGGAAGGAAGTCAGTTGGAGTTAGGATGGGGTCATTGGGAACAACCAGAGAATCCTCATTTCCTTTTTAGATACCATTAGTGGAAAGCCACTCCTAGAATTCCAAGATAATTAGCCAAGTCTCTCATGATAGCATTTTGGAAAAGACTGAGAAACCTAGAACTGATGATAGCATGGCTGGGTGTAGTCATAGTTGGATAAGCCACTTATCTAAAGACTGTTGATTAATGGAAATATGCCAACCAAACTAATTGCCTTGTCTCCTTTCACTGTAAATACCTAATTCGTTTCCCACATTACCACTATAATTATCTCTCTAAATCACAGATCTGACCACTGTATATGTTTAACACCTTAGCAGGGCACATAAGGCCCTTTAGCACTGGTTCCTTTGTCGACCTTTTTACCTCAATGCCTATCTCAATAGCCAATAAATGACACTGCAAGCCTCACTGTGACCCTTGCTGACACTGTACTCTACACCATGAATGAAATATAGAGCATAGAGACGAATATAGTCCATACGCCAAAAAATCTGGAATCCGGGTAATAAGAAAAAATTGTGGGAAACTAGAGATATTAAAGGAGAATTTCACAGACATCAGCAAGGTCACCATGGAAAAGCAGCAGCACATTTGGAAGACAGTAGAGCCCATGTGCAAGTGTTTCAGAAAGGTGTTTTTTTTTTCTCTATAGTACAAGGATGTTTGAATATATTAGGGTTGCTAAATAACAGGAATACCCAAAAAGACTATCATAAAAGTCAGAAAGTTTAAGATTACATGAAGAAGCTTTATGAGTATCTTTTGGGACTTCCTAAATGTGTCTCCCATACTAGGCTGCAGGATGGATGAGGTGACATTTAAGGATGCATATAATGCTGATGGGCTATAGCCTAGACCTCATGTAGTGGCAGTGTGACAAGCAACCATCCTAAAAGCCATGCTTTTCTATTATAGTTAAAAGAATAGCCTGTAATCCCACCACTTTGGGAGGCCAAGGCAGGTGGATCACTTGAGGTCAGTAAAAATCTATGGAGCCTCTCCCCAGAAAAATACATTTTGCATATAATTTCTGGGAGTTCATGAGCTTCCTAAAACACAGCCATCCATGGGCCTTTGCCCATGGTCTATGAGCCCCAAGTCAATAACCCCTGAATATAATTAGATTTCACAGGTTCAAATTTGATTTAAATTCCCTCTAGCTTCGATTCCAGCTTGCTTTCCTTTGTCTGGATCTTCTGTTGTGCTATTGTCTGAGTATCTGTATGACCCAGAAAGACTGGCTCTAGTAATCACTGAAAGAATATTCAGTTCTTAGGAAGGAAAATATTTCCAAGGATATTACTGGTCTGTTGTCAGGCACAGTAGACTGCTATGGATTGCAGGTATGTGGCATAACAATGCTTTCTACTGAACTAGCTCCCCTTTCACTTCTGGGGCCCCATGTTTGCCTTTCAAGCTAGTTGCCAAGAAGGGAAAATGGAAAAACCAGGGGAATGTAACTTAAGCTAAGTCCTGAAGCAATTCATGGCAGTGCTTAAAAGAAGCCCATACCTTCTGATGTCCAATCCAAACACCACTCTAAGACATGGCCACCTGCCTGGTATCCACCATGAAAAGTTTTTGTATTAGGCTTATCCACGCCCTTGTGTGAAGTCACCCTGAAAACAAATCTTCACAGATCAGAGAGCCAAGATACAAACAAATGGGAAGATACTGCCCATGGATATCAATGACATAGCTCAACTGAAGCTGAAAAGGAAAGACAAGAGAGAACTACCAGAGGGAGCAGTAATTGCACAAAGGACATGAATACTTTGGTGGGGATGGAGAGGGAGTGCCTGAGAAGGGCAATAGTGAGCTGTGTTATGAGATTTTAGGACACTATATTTAGGTAGCAGAGAGCCTGAGCTAAACACTTTTATTCCAAAATGATTTTCATCAAGAATGCACAAAATTTAATAAGAGAAAGGGAATAAGAAGCTTAGAAGGCTTCTGTCAGTCAGTCAATCAGAAAAACAATTATCTAGGAACTCTTTCCATAAGGTAGCTGTGCTAGGCACTGTACAGCCTGAATAGCTCATTAAAACACCTGTCAGAGGGTCGTCATTCCTTACACAGTTGGCCAGAACTGTGCCCCAAAAACCCATTTTTGGTCCCCATTACCAATTTTCAGGGGGAATAGAAATAAAACTACTTTGTTACATTTGACAAAATATTGTAATGTAATAAAGAATAATACTGATCTCCTTATTGCTTTCAGACAGTAAATATAAGACTACTCCTTAACAATCTCTATCATTTGCAAAGGAACTCCCAAGTTCCATGTTCCAGAAGCTTTCTCTGTGTGACTTTATCATAGCATTTCCCCCACTATACTGAAAGCTGGCATCTCCCGGTGTGTCTCTTGTTAGAATGTAATCTTCAGGAGAGTGGGGCCAGGTCTTGCTTCTAAATCCTCAGAGCTGGCATGGGCCTCGCCTGTACTGAGTACAGCAGGTCCTGGAATAACGTGGTGTCTTTATAATGCTGATGAGAAAAAAAATCGATTCCTGGCCAGAGCTGGTGTCTGTGTGAAGTGTTCTCCCCATGTCTGTATGGGTTTTCTCCAGGTACTCTAGTTTCCTCTCATGTACCAAAGATGTTACCATTAGGTGAATGGGTGTGTCTACATGGTCAGTGTGTGTGCGTGTGCGCGCGTGTGTGTGTGTGTGCGCGCGATCACTGTGATGAGACGGAATCCTCTCCAGGCCTTGAACTGTTGGGGTAGGATCCAGCCACCCTCAACCTTGAACTTAAACAATTGGGAAAATAATTTTTGTATTTGCTTTTAATTATCTTTCTTAAAAGTACATAAGCTCACATTCACTTCAATGTTTAATGTTAAAAGTGTTTGAGATCTTTATTTAGAAGTTTGATGATGTTTTTGTGACCAGAAATATGCCCTCGGAACTTAATTCTCGTTTTATCAATTAGCCTTTGGTAAAATTGGTTCTGTTATACATCATGTTGCTTAGAGTTGCAGTTTCCAAGAACCTACTGAGGCCATTAAGTGAGGGCAGAGTGTACTCAGAGAATCACAAATGCTAACCATCTGGGTCATTTTCTTAGATGGGAGCACTAAGCTATGCTTTTCACTGTCTAGCATGCAGTCCCTCAATTGAGTGCCATCTCCGTTAAGGAGGACAGGCTGCAGAAAGGTGCAATTAAAACAAATTAAGATGATCCTAACATCTATTGCTATAGTTTAGTAGTATCAGGTTCTTTTTTTAAAAGCTCATACAGGAAGGTACAGTATTGCGACTAAAGCAATGCTTTTTCTTTTGTTTTTTTTTTTTTCTTTGACGGAGTCTTGCTCTGTCACCCACACTAGAGTGCAGTGGTGCAATCTCTGCTCACTGCAAGCTCCACCTCCTGGGGTCATGCCATTCTCCTGCCTCAGCCTCCAGAGTAGCTGGGACTAAAGGCGCCAGCCACCACGCCTGGCTAATTTTTTGTATTTTAGTAGAGACGGGGGTTTCACCATATTAGCCAGGATGGTCTCGATCTCCTGACCTCATGATCCGCCTGTCTCGGTCTCCCAAAGTGCTGGGATTACAGGCGTGAGCCACCGCACGCGGCCTGCAATGCTTTTTAAAAATTTGCAGCCAATCTATATTTTTTCATTTCTTTCTTCCTTTCCTCCTTTTCTTTCTCTCTCCTTCCTTCCTTCCTTCTTTTCTTTCTTTCTTTTGTCTTCTCACTCTGTCACCCAGGCTGGAGTGCAGTGGCATGATTACAGTTCAGCTCACCACAACCTCTGCCTCCCGCGTTCAAGGATTTATCCTGCCTCAGCCTCCCAAGTAGCTGGGATTACAGGCGCACGCCACCATGCCTGGCTAATTTTTTTGTATTTTTAGTAGAAATGGGGATTCGTCATGTTGGCCAGGCTGGTCTTGAGCTCCTGGCCTCAAGTGATCCACCCACCTCGGCCTCCCAAAGTGCTGGGATTACAGGCGTGAGCCATTGGGCCTGGCCTCATTTCTAAATTAGTCATTTGAATGTGTTCCCACTACAAATATGATCAGCTCCTCAGAGAGGCCTTTCCTGCCCATCTCACTTCAATAGGCCACCCTCTGTTAACATCCGTATCAGTTCCCTTATTGTTTCCTTATCTGTATTTATGTGGCTGATTTTCTGTTTATTTTTTTTACTGTTGTTGGACTTTCATGAAGATAATGTAAATCTATGAGGGCACAGAACTTGTCTGTCTTATACACATTTGTATCTCTGGATCTAACCTAGTGCCTGACACGCAGTAAGTACTCAATAAATATCTGTTGAGTAGAATAAATGATATTCCTTGAGACTGTACTTTGCAAACAATGTAGTAGAAGAGTAGTTTGTTGAGATCTCTGGAGAAAAACAAAGATGGTTTAGTTGGCCAAATAATTTTGAGCAACGCCTAATGTTACCTTCCTTCTGGAATACTGGTATATCCAAGGCTCTGAGAACTATTGCAAGAAAGAAACCCTTGGGTAGTACTTAACTTAGTGTGTCCTAAATTTATATGACCAAAAAAACTTTTTAAAAGAAATATCTAATAACATTCTGTGGAACGTATTCTAAAGCGCACACCTCGGGCAACAGCTTTAAGCACGAAATAAGATCCTGGACCATTACCCCAGAGATGGTGGTAGATATCTTTCGATATTTTTCTGTATTTACGGAAAGGCCAAAGACAGCTTTTCTGATCACTCAAGAAAGGAAGAGAAGCTTATTCTTACTAAGTGGTCACTTTCATTGACAACCTCTCCTAAATCCTGCAAATTATGGATTCTTACCTCTTTTTAAATGGCTCCCATCACTATGTAGCATCAAAATGCTCTGGAAAGCATAGCTGGCAGCATATTGGGTCTACCTAAAAGGGAAGCCTCCAAGCAACTGGTTTCAAATCCAAATCACTGCTATTGGCACAGGGTTAAATTTAAGATGGCTTATTTTTTCATTTGAGTTTAATTATTAATTAGCATAAAAATTTCTAACCAAAAACACTGGTGTTACAAAAGCATCTCCCAGAGCCTTTATTGAAGTAAGTTACTTTTCAAATGAGAGCATCAGGATATTCAGGTATGTCTCACCATCATTTTGAGGTGTGAGGTAAGTAATGCATCATCAACAATGATTAAAGTACAGAAGTTTGTGACTCGCTTTTAAAAAATCAGTGCCGTTTCAATGTCATCCCCGTAACAGCATCACTCTCCGTCACGTGCATTCTAATATAGTTTCTAAAATGTGAGAGGAAGAGGTGGACTAGTTCATCTTGAGATGATATGTCTGTGATATGTGCCTATTACTAATATTCTATTAATAGTATGACTGATTTTTAATTTATTCCTGAGCAGAAACAAGAAAGGAAAAAAATGAGAAGGGTTTGCAAAATCTGGGGTGGCCCTGATCATGCACCCCACTTGTGCATACACCATCTGCCGTCTAGACCATGACTGAAAGCAACTGACAGAAAAAGTGTGCCTTATTAGTCCACTTAATATATGCTTCAATTTAAAGGAAAATACATATTTTCACATAGCTCTTAAAGATTCAAAGAACTGTACAAAGCAAGGTAAGCTTATGTGATACTTAATGAAAATTTTCTGGTTTTGAGTATATGTGGGGGAGAGGTGGTGGTGGCTCTGAACCGATTTCCAAAAGTTACCAGTTCTCTATGAAGAATTACAGTAAATAGACTGCCCTAATTTTGCCAGAAAGCAATACAGAGCTGTTCTCTACGTAGGACATATAAATGTGTGTTGCATTCGCGCCCATTTCAAATGCTATGCTTGGTTTATAACAGCCTGTTTTGAGGTCACAAAAGTGAAAGCCATCAGCCACAGTGGATCATAGGTCAATGTTTAACAAACATTTAACAAATCACAAATAAAGTTTGAATCTTTGTGGAAGTGTGAAATGGATGAAAGATTCATGTCACCTCTAACTTCCGGCATCCTTTGTATGCACTTTTAAAAAGTCCATTTCGATATCAGTCTAGAATTAAAGGAAACCCTCCTGCTTATGGCACTTACAAGGTGAAAATGAAAAATTCTGATAAAGCTCATAGCCTTGAGGAAAATTTCAAGTGGCTTATTGCCTTAGTTTTCTCTTATTTCACTTACTCATTATCAGACAGAATTGAAGGACAGATTCTGCCCTTTGCTCTATAGGCGAACTTCTTCTATTCTCTGTGGAGACCACAGTTGGTGACTTGAGTATTTCGCTACCCATTTTTCTGTGTAACCCTTGATTTAATGGACTCGAGATCTGCAAAGCACATTCCATGAAAGAAGTCTGTACATCGGCTGATGGGATGTGTGGGTGTGCAGGAATTATGCAAAGAGAAAAGTTACTCTTCTGCATGCAGTGAACCAAATTATCCCCATTCCTTTGCAGAAGAGTTTTTTTTTCTTCTTTTTCTTTCTTTTCACAGCTTGAATAATGTTTAGCTGGGATTTCAGGTTTTTCTTGGTTTTCAGTAGGATCCGACAGGTGTGGGAAAGGGCCACGTGCCCACGGTCAGGGCATCACTTATGAGATCCCGACCCCTCCTCACATGAATTTATCTATGGCTATGGGTGCCTTGTCACTGGCCCCGATTCCACAGTAGGACTCATAAAACTGGCAACCTTAAGACCAAAATAATGTCATTTAATGTCTAGGGGGAGGTTACAAAGGGGATTAGAGGCAGGCAGGCAAGCAGGGTATATTAAATAAGCCCATGACTAACAGGGTGTGACAGAAAAGGGTTTTATTCTTTTCAACAAAACAATTCCCTAGGACTAGGACCATTACTCCACTGTGCCTTTATCACCTTGGAATTTTTATGGTTATTTTTGATTAATTCACATTTTTGTAAAGGCTTTTTTGAAATGAGGCCAGTTTTCAATTTTTAATTAAAGTCGTAAATAATCTTAATTCTGCCTTAAAAGGTTTATTGTTTCTTTTTTTTAATTGCTGCCAGGAAATATTTCAAATACCAAGTCCTGATGTGAGTGAGCAATTAGAATCTCTCCAAGGTCTAGTAACAACATTGTACCATGTAAATATTACACCCTGGTATATCAGCACAAGATTTGGAAATGTGGATTGACTAGTTTCAGGTTTATTAGCAACTGCTTCTCCGGGAATGACATTTCCTTTTTCTGTTGGATGGAGCAACTTGCATCATTTTAACTTCCGCAAATTAATCCATCATGGATTCATAAAGAATTTTTAAAATCTTTGGATAAAAAGGCAGGCTAAAATCGGAAAGTAAACACTGCAAACTTATCACTAAGGGCTGTGCAATGCGAGTCAACAAGTCAATGAAATCCAATTCAACCACTTGCAGAAAACAGTGAACATCAAAAGCTAAGCCATTTGAGAGACAGTGTCTCCATTTACATAAGACAAAATTAAGAGAACACTGCAATTTGACATGAGATTACAATACTGCTCCTTGAAAGTATACTCTTCTTTATTTAGGTTGTTTGTTAAAGGGTGTCTGCAAATTGTCAATAAAATAATATTTTGCAGTCTCAAGATATGGTTTTCTTTTTTCAGTTAGTGCTTCAATAATCTTTCACACAATCAAAACTACTCTTTCTTTATACAGAGGTTGAAACACAACAAATTTGAACAGGAGAAACCATTAATAATTCCTGAAAATATCCCCTGTTATGTTTCCAAATCTGTCATCCTAGGTTACCTTCTTAACTTGAACATCACAGTGTTGCTTATTTGTCTAGATAGGGGACCGATACTCTTTCATGTCCATGACAACTGTTAATCTCTACAAGGGTACTTTCCGATGTTAATGATAGATTTACTATTACAATAAAACCTTACACATTTGCACAACTTGGAGGCAAAAAATGATTAGATTTAGGGGGAAGAAAACCCCCTCATCTAGAAGTTTGTTTTTTACAACTATCATTTATTACTTCAAATTTATAAGGTATATATAGATGATAACAAAAATAATAGACGGTGGTTCTGCTGAAAGTAGTTAATAGCATGCAAAAAGGGTGTGTTATTTTAAGAAGACTAAGCACTTGCTTTCTAACTTTATTTACATTATTAATTAACTTAGCAGTTCCTTTGCTTTTCTGAAACACAAAAGCATATCTAGTGTCTGTCTAATGATCACAGATATCAATTTACTGGGATTCCAATTAAAGAAATTTAACTACATTTCTAGGAAAAAAATGATTTTAACAATTAACTTACAAGAGTGGGTTTGTATGCAATTAAGACTATCTATCAAATCCCCCTGACTGAGCATTTTTCTAACTCACAGGGAAAGGGTCAAATTCCTTCCATATACACACCCTCGGCTGGCATTGTGCTAACACTTCTCAAGGAAGAAAAAAAAAATCTCAAGTAACAAGAAGACTATAGAGCATTTCCCAACATAAAAGTGTTAAATCCCCATAAACCATGAAAGAATGCAAGATTTCTAAGTAGAAGCCACGGTGACCTGAAACCCTTGCCATGGGGTTCAATCACTTGAAATACGTTGAGTCTCAAACTGCCCTTAAATTTGTTATAAAGGGCCCTCAAATGAATCAGGAACCCATCTCAATACCAATGAAACACTCAAAAAGCCAAGATCAGCTCAACATGTTTTCTGCCATGAATAGAAGATACTCACTGATCCAAAAATGTAAAAACTTAGTTACTAGGAAATGCCTTGAAAGGTAGTAAGCTCTCTGTCTCTGGAGGGGTTGAAGCACAGTGCAGTCAACCACTTGCTAGACATCTTATGGAGTTAGGAGAGCAAGCCAGGTGGACAGGATGGTTGGTCTCTAACATTTCTTCCAAATCTAAGATATTATGATTTTTATGAACTTTGAAAATGCGTTCACCCCTCATTAATGTCAAAGTGGTTTTAAGTTCAATTCCTTTTTCAGATTTTCATACAAATCCAGAAATCTGCTTTTTCTCTAAGCTTAAAGAATGCTCTCTACTTGTCCTAGAGACGTACTTACCTTCTTCATTAGAGCTTCACGATATTGGCCAATTGATATTTTATGAAAAAGCATTTCTTTCCAGAAGGATTTCTGTGGTGTTGTTTTTCCCAATTTAATTATCTTTAGCTATCTGAACTTAACTTCTATAAAAGCTTTTTGTTGCTTTCCAGTTTGAGGGACTTTCCTTACTTTTCTCTGATTCCTATTATACAAGCCTTTCCCAGAAATTTGCATAGCTATAGCAGCTATGCAAACCATAGCCATATCAGCTATGCAAACCATAGCCATATCAGCTATGCAAACCATAGCCTTGCTATTACTTCATGGGAGACTTACCTCCTCAAACGGTCTAAAGCAGGTTATACCATGAGAAGTATAAGAATTTCAAGTGCCCTGCAGAAGCTTCGTGTACTACAAGAATAATCTGAACATGCTTTTCCCGACTGGAAGATTCTCTTTTAAAATTACCTTTTTCCTTGCTTGTTGCTCTTTGGAAGAATGTGCCTTCACATGCTTTCTTAGGGAACTTGGGTCTGTGTAGCGTTTGGTACATCCTGGAATTTGACAAGCATAAGGTTTCTAAATGAGAAAGAAAGAAAGAAACAGCTGTGGTTAAATCATAAAGGTAATTGGGGAATGTTTTACTCAAAGACTATTGACTTCAGAGCATGAACTGTTACCAATTGACTGATGTGAAATGCTAGCTAATACTCATGCATTTTAATTACAAAGTCTAGTAACTTTGTATCATGGTTAAGAGAAGGGTAAACTTTCAAGGAACAAAGAGATGCCCTATCCTTGATGATTTCTAAGAGATTGCTTTAGTGTGTGCTCTAACCACAAAACCTCTTGGGGCATTTTTTAATGTGGAAATTATTAGTAAGCATCTCTAGTCATACTTACAGTTATGTTTCCCTGAGAATAATCTTTGGTACTGTCAGAAACTAGTAAACACATATTCTTTAAGGGTTCAGGTAAAGAAGCTGTAGAAAGTCCAGAAAAAAACTGGGTATTTTTCAGAAGAAACCTGATTCAGAAAGAGAAAGGGAGAGAATTAAGAAGAGAAAATTAGTGTAAAGTGAGTAAGAGACAGTAGGTTTCAAACAGACACGTGAAAAATCTTCCAAAGAAGCATTAATAATATTAGTTGCAGAGGTGTCCTGGTGTTGAGCCTGAGTTAAGTGAATAAGCTCTTGGCTGAGTGCAATCAGAACACACATTTTGGCTATTCCATTTCCCCCATGCTCCTGGGAGATGTGAGGTGTGGTGCTTAAGGCTGAGTCTAGCCTCTTTTTTTTTTTTAGATGTTGTTTTGTTCTTGCCTCCCAGGCTGGAGTGCAGTGGCGCAATCTCGGCTCACTGCAACCTCTGCCTCCTGGGTTCAAGTGATTCCCCTGCCTCAGCTTCCTGAGTAGCTGGGATTAAAGGTGTGTGCCACCACGCCCAGCACTTTTTAATTTTTGTATCCTTCGTGCTTAGTACATAATAGAAATGAATGAATTAAGAGCAGCTCACATCCATTCACATTTCAGCACCTATTTCTGTTATGACCCTTAAACTTATCAAAAGTTTGAGGCTATGACTCTTCAGTTGTGAGATAAATCAAAATCTTCAGCCTATTCAAGAAATGAAAAATTTAAAAATCACAGGATTAACTGTGTTTATAACATATATTAATAGTAGCTGATATGCTTAGTGTCTCATCAAGTAAGGTAATAGAGCTGTGCTTGTATGATGTGAAATGTAAGGAAGAGACCTGAAACCATGTCTTGGGATTCTTGCTCTAGAAACTTGTTATAGTAAAAACAAACAAACAAACAAACAAAAAATCTGATTAATCTGATTCCTTTTTAATGTTGCTTCTGTTTTTATGTGCATGTATGTCATTCTGTGAGCAAACAAATAAGTGGATTACATTATTTGACCTGCTAGAAGCCATATTTATGGTTCACTCCTTTTTTTGTGTCACTGGATTCCAAGAACAAGATTAAATCATGAACATATAATTTAATTTGACATACCAAACTTGAATTCTATGTTTGATTATCTGCTGTGTTCATTGATTGACTGACTGTTTGACTGGTTGGTTGAATCACTCAAAAGTATGCTTCCGGGATGTGCTGGGCACTGTGTTTCAGACTAGGGATCTAAAAGTGAACAATGGATAAACCAGGTTCTCGATACCTCATGGTTTCTATAAAATAGTGAGTTTATTATTGGCTAAAGTCACTTGCCAGTTAGTTTCTACCGAGTAAGCAAAGATTTTCTTTAACCTGGGAATCTTTTCTGAATTTGCATAGCCTTCTTGCACTAGCCTTCCCTACCCTGCCCTGGTTTCAGGAGTGCAACTAGCTAAGATCTTTACTGGCGATCCCATTGTAAAAGCTTATGCTTTGAGCATTAGAGGAGATGTTACATGTACAAAAAGCTTGATGACTATTAACAAATTATATAAATTGATGCCATTATTATTACCATGGTCACTACAATTTAGGTTGGTAATGTCATTTTCTATTTGATTTTTTTTTTTTTTTTTGAGATGGAGTCGCAATCTGTTGTCCAGGCTGGAGTGCAATGGCACAATCTCGGCTCACTGCAACCTCCGCCTCCCGAGTTTAAGCGATTCTCCTGCCTCAGCCTCCCGGGTAGCTGGAATTACAGGCATGTGCCACCACACCCAGCTGATTTTGTATTTTTAGTAGAGATGGCGTTTCGCCATGTTGGCCAGGCTGGTCTCGAACTCCTGATCTCAGGTGATCCACCCACCTTGGCTTCCCAAAGTGCTGGGATTATAGGCGTGAGCCACCGTGCCCAGCCTTCTGTTTGATTTTGAGATGTTCTTGGAGAAAGTTTGACTACACACCCACTGTTCCTCTCAGCTGACCTTCACTTTCTTCTCTTGTTGTCAGCCACTAGGGAAGGACTGGTATGCCAAAAAAGTAATGTCAGGGACTGATCTAAGTAGTACTGCTGCAACTGTCATTTTATCTCAGGTTACCTAAGCTTTAACTAGCATGCTACACTTCATCCAACTATATATTTTGTTATTTTCCACCTGTACTGTACAATTACTGTGTAGATATTAAGATGCTAATAGAGAGATTAATTAATACAACTTTTAAGGGTTAGAATTAGGAACTCAGTAATGTTTATGGGAAAACCATTTTTCTACAAATAAGGAATCCACTTAGTTGAAGAAAGATACTTTATCCAAAATTCTGACAGTATTATAGTATAAGGAGTGATTAATGAAAGGGAACAAGGACCTAAATTTAAATAACAAATTCTTCAAGCAAGTATAGTTTGTTTTTAAAATCAAGTGTGTGATTTCTATATGATTTTAAAAGAGCTTACTAATTTGTTAAATGCAGTAAAAAATTTAAACAGGAGCTAGTTTGGAGCTTAAAGGAAAAAATGATGCTTTAAAAATATTTAATAGAGAAATAATTTTTCCAAAAAAAATAGCTGAGTTTTAAAAGCGATTGCATTAACAAAAATCAGGAAACCACTATATTAGGTAGCCTTCCTCAAAAGTTTTTTAAAAAGATATATATTTTTATTCCAAAATGATTTCTGAAAATGCTCTTAGCTTGATTAGCTAAAATTAGCTCCAAGCAAAGGAGGGCAGTGCGAAACCATAACACTTAGCCTCGCAACAGTTCTTGCAACCTACAGATAACTAGCTGGAGTAGAAGCAATTTCTCAAGACAATCTTGTCTCATAAATGTTCATTCTTCCATGATAAAGGTTAATGACGAATTGGAAAGTTTATTGGATCTCACCAAGACCATTTTAGGCACAACAAAATAGGGCATTTTAACACAATTTATTCTTTTTTTTTCTTTTTCTACTTAGAAAAATCCCACTATTCACCACATGTATTCATTTAGTGTTCCATTTTATTGGTCCTAAAATCACTGAATTCAGGTAGAGTAGAAACTGGGTCCATCCTACACCCATGTTGCTCTAATTATATTTGAGATATTTACTAGGCAAACCATCGCATTTATGCATATTAGGGGATAATTCTGTTTAGAAAGGTTATGTGACATATAGCTAAAATGACTTCTATGAATATGACTAATAGAGACTAATATAAAATTTAATAAATATGTCAACTATAACATCAGAAGAATCTTAAATATGTATGAGAAGGTGTGTAGAAATAACAGTATCTTTTCAAAATTCAAACTCTGGTGTAGTTTAATAATAGACATCAGAATGTTAACACCGAAAAAGTACTGTCATGAATACATTATTTGCAAGAATGTGGGATAAGAGATCTGTGATGTGTATAATACACTTATCCTGATGGCTTTGTTAAGCGCAGTGAAATTACATAGAGTCTACCTGGCCTAGTGTAACGAAAATGGCATCAAAACCTGGGAAATGCAAAGGAGGGCTATCAACATAATTGAGAAAATAAAAGACAAGAATCATAGAAAAGGCATTTGGGAATGAGCAAAATGTTGTAGCATTAAGGGACTTAAGGGTGTAATAATGAAAATCAATTGTTCTCATAGGGTTGATGTCAAAGAATATGTGGCTGCTAACAGATAGGAAGCATGAGGAAAGTGAACTCTTGGGAAAGATTTACTGTTTCTTCTTAGATCAGCTGAAGGTGAAAATACCAGGTGGTTTCTAAAGCAAAGGGCCAAATTCACTCTTGAAAATCATTCTAGCTGCAAAGTTCTATGTCAAGAGGGAAAGAACCAGGGTAGAAAAAAAAAACAAAGAAAAACAAACAAAAACTGCTTCATATTCCTAGCAATAGCACACAGTACCGACTTGATATCTCAATACTGTTTTTAATGCCAGTCTCTCCTGATCACTCTCTGTACTAAAATCTACTACATGACAGCCCCTAAACTGCTTTTGCTTTGTACACAGCGGTGACCAAGTAACCCTTCTGTCCCAGGAGGTTGTAATATTTAGAATAAACTGCTGCTACAGAAAAATGAAACAGCCAAATAAATAGGGCCCCATCTGGCCTTTTACCAGGCTCCACTGCTGCCCTTGGCATTGTCCCTGTAACCTGCAGACCATAAAGCAAACACTTCACCAGCCCACTATCAAGCAGGCACTTCCTCACACCAGGCGCTGGGTTGGAAACTGGAAAGCTCCTGCCATTCTTACGGTGTCCAGATGCGTCCGCTGGTGTTTGGCGCGGTCACTGGAGTTACTGAAGGCCTTCTGACAACCCGGATGCTGGCACAAATACGGCTTCTCGCCTGTGTGGCTCCGCAAGTGGATCTTGAGATTTTCAAGCCTTGAAAAGGCCTTCTCGCAACCTTCAAACTGCAAAAAGAAAACAATTTTTGGTGGTTGAGAAGGACCTTGAATGTTTGAGTCTGGGGGACAGCTAAAAAAAAAATGTTCTTAGTTGGTACTTTGCCGAAAATGATAAAATAAAATCAAATCCAAACAGTAATAAATATTGCTCCTAAAAATATCCGAATATTTATGTGAACTGCATTTTTCCACTGAATATACATGCCACTTTCTGTATCAGATTTGGGTCCCAAACTGATTTCTGTGATTTACTTATGTCAGAGAAAATTCACCGTGAGCCATCTGGCTCTGTTAATAAAAATACAGTAATGTGTGTCTTAAAGATTTATTAAAAATTAACACACTTTTCCATTTCCAAATTGGTCTAAATTGAAGGAACTGGAAAGGAAGAAACTTTCTGACAACTAATAAACTAATAAGAAAAAAAAAGTCAGAGTGATATATGAGAAAAAGGAGAATTGAAGATTTGAGAGTCCAGGATGAAAAAGACATGTGTCCACTAGATCAATATGATCATAAATTTCCTTAACTATATTTGTAAGTTTTTTCCAACCCTCAAAAGAGTGACCATGTTAATGTATATGGTAATGCCAAGGCTAATGAGATAAAGTTTTTAACAGGCTCTTACAAAGGAAGCTAAAAGACAATTCATTTAGTGTGAAATCATTTTCCAAAAAAGTACCGTAATACTTTAATCTTTTTTTACTTTTTAGACATTTCATTATCTAATTCATGAGGAAAAGAAGATAAAAGGCTTAAGATTTCAATAAATGTGTCACTGGTTTGTCAATAATATTTATTGACAGTAACATTTACTCAATGTCTTCTGAGGGCAAAATATCAGCTACTATTAATAGGGTCAAAGTGATTCCAATCCTTGAAGTAACAATCTAATAAAGAAAATGTGTTAGAGAAAGCCTAGAAATGAAGCATAAAGGTGAGATGGGGATTTATCTTTTAACTCTCTCTTTGGTGCTAACCCCCAGAATAGTTATGTTACTTAGACAGTTTTAATCCCATTTGAGTTCTCACTGGAAGGGAAACTGAGAAATACGGAACACCTACTGGAAAAAAAGCATAATACATTTAAAGCAATTAAGAAGCCTCACTTCTTATAGAGGAATGCAGGGGGGTGAGGGTGGGTAAGGAAGGAAGGTAAGTTCCAGATGGTTCCCATTCAAAATTAGCAGGTATAACTTAACCTTGCTGCAAGAAATTGTATAAAACTCTTTGGTTCTCTTACTTACTATAATAGATGGTAGAGGACATTGTTCACAACAGAATGATCTAGAGCTGGCCAGGTTTTGGTTATTGGAATTTTCATCTTTAAATAAGGGACGAACTAAGTAAAAAAAAATAATTAAACATGTCATCACTCCATCTATTTAAGTTGTCCAGATTTTGCATGCTGGAGTATTTTAAGAAATTTATGAAAGTTGCACTTATTTTTGATTGAGAGTTATACATGTTTCACAGACATATGTTGGTTTATTTCAATTTTGATATTTTGCTTAAAATAATTTTGGTGTTTTCCTGATTTCTATTTCACATAAAAATAAATTTAGCCTGAGCAGAAGATGAATGCTGACGAAGCCAACTACTTTTTCAGCAGAGTGAAAGGAAACGTCACTAGAGGGAGAGAGGAGTTAAGGGGCTCATTTCTGCAGCTTTTCAAGTGACTCTCAAATTTAAGAATAAAGGGGCTCAACATTAAACCCCAACTCATTGCTAAGAGGCCTCTGCTGACCAAACCTCTGTTTTTAGGGTTCTCTTTGAATGACGACTCAGAGAAAACTCTTGGAGCTCAGTTTATTTGACTTGGAATCACCTGGTGGACCACACTTAGGTCTGAAGTGAGCTTGTGGTTTTAGACACGCCAAGACTGTAGCCTGGTTCTTAGCAAGGCTCTTTTGTAGGGTGGATTCCATTTTGGGGCCAGCTCCCGGGGCACATACCCAAACCTGAGCAGGCCCCATATCCACTCTGTTCCACAGTCACCTCAGATCTTGATCTGAGAGAAAGCTGCATTGTTTCAGCACCAGGATGAGAGCGGAGAACTACTTTAGAATAAGATTAATGAGGTTTCTGTGAGTACAGGATAAAACAACATCCCTAGTTCTACCATAGAGGGATTAGAAGGATCCAAGACATGTCTCTGATTAATTCAAACTGTTCACTTGATAAGACATAAACTATATGTAAGAATACCATTTCCAAGTCTTTCCAGTTAAATGTCCACTTGAATATTCAGCTAAAACCCAACTAATTGCTATTATTACTCTTAACAGAAGCAACAATCAAAGACCAAAGGGCTTATTGCATTCCAAGCAAATCAGTGCAAAATGAACAATATCTCAGAACATCCTGACCATTTTCAAATAGCAAGGATAGAGGAAAATATAGGCACCTAGACTGAAAATGACAACAAAAAGATTATCCGTAAAATAATCAAAATCCAGCTGATATCAGATGTTTCCTCTGTAACAAGAAAGGGCAGAAGACAATAGAACAGCATTACAGTATTCTCGGGGAAAAGATTATGAATGAAGGGTTTGACCTCATTATGTTGTATGAATAAAGGCAGAAGAAGAAAGGCAGTTTCATGTAGTCAGGGGCTCATAACATACACCCCCAACTCACTCTTGTTGAAGAATTCACTTGCAGGAACCATGGAACCCAAGACCAGTAAAATCAGGCACTAAAGGATTGATAAATGCCTTGGTGAGGTGCCAAATATCCAACTCATCACAGGAGTGTGCAGGGCACTACACCTGAATGAACTTGTCACATTGACAATTCTGCCGAAAGAGAAAGGAGGTGCTGTTCATTTCTCTAATGGCGTCTGGATGAAACTTGAAAGCAAATAATTTTATCATGAATCATTATCATATATTATGGGAATAACCCTGTAATTCATCACAAGAATTTCCCCTCCCTCAGGCAGTTTTACCGCTAGATTTATAAGTTCAATTAAATGCAAATGCATTACAAATAAAACAACATTTAGGTAGGCTTATAAAAGATTGTTACAAAATATACCAAAATTGGATTCTTTGACTTTTGGGGCAAATGGATGCCTTTTATCCTTCTTATTTTTTTTCACGTTTTCCAATTCTTTAATGAGCAAGCATGTCTCACTTTGTAAACTGACATCTAAGCTTAGGGAAGCAAGGAACATTAAGAGTGTTTCCTTGGGTTTGGCCAGATGCTTTCTCATCGAGGTTCCTAAAGTTCAAGTCCATCCTGAGATCTAAGGTCAAAACTGTCAACTAATGCTTGTGTCACTGCCACTGGACAACTCCTACCCAAATTGAACAATATCCTATGTTCAGGTCTTCTGCTTCCTGGGCTAGCTGTAGGAACCATGAGCCCAGGACTCAGTGACACATGACTGAATGATGAGGCCAGAGTTTGCCCGAGGTTCAAAAACAGACTACATACAGGAAAACAAGAGAAACGTGAACCAACAAACAAACTCTCGGAATCCAAGGAGGAAACAGAAGGTGGCTGAATAGAACACAAGGGAGACAAACGCAGGGTGACAGTGTGGGGAGCAGCGATGGAGGAAAAGGGGCGTGGTGTGCAATGAGCATTTATTCCATACCAAGCTCCTTGCTAGAAAATTTCCCCTATGTTAGTAATTGTATCTACATAGCATTATTTTTTCCCAAAAAATACTGAGTAAGCTCTGTGTGCATGAAAGCAAGGTCAACGTGTACGGCTGGGCAGGTTACATACTGACGCACCCCTGAGGAGTGGTTCTCAAAGATGGGGTCCCTAGACGAGCAACGCTGGCATCGCCTGGGAACTTGTCAGATATACACATTCTCTGACCCCAGAATCAGAATGCTGGGAGTGAGGCCCAGCCATCTGACTGCTAACAAGCCCCCCATAAGATTCTGATATTCTGATGAACACTACTACAGTGTGAGCAGGTGAGTTAGGGAATGCCATTCATACTGTGATCACTGTCCATTTATTGATGAAAATCTTGTGACAAAAGTAAAGCATTTTGCAGAATCTACCCATTTCTAATTCAGACAAGGGTCACATGGACTAGCAACCATCCTAGGATGGAAGAGGCATCTCCATTCCACAGCAGGGCAAAAAGGACAAAATCTCAGACTCTCCATCTCTTACTGGAGACTCTTTAAATTCCCAACTTTTTATTTTATTTATTTATTTATTTATTTTATTTTTTTTAAAATTATACTTTAAGTTTTAGGGTACATGTGCACATTGTGCAGGTTAGTTACATATGTATACATGTGCCATGCTGGTGCGCTGCACTTTAATCTGCCACCAGGCAGATGTCTGGTTCTGAAACAGGTGTGCCCACAAGTTCCCTCGGTGGCCTCCTGACCCATAAAACATCCCATACTTCTACTGCCCATTACATTCCCCTGTTGAGAAAAAGCACAGAAGGGGAGCCATCATTTTCTGTTTGCACATTTCAGTGGCTTTGCGGACACATATGGGAAAAGGGCATGAAACTGTAAGTGATAGAACTTACACTCATGGGTCTTGAAAATACTGCACTGCATGAAGCCTCACTTTGAGAGAGAGTTCTTTAACTCTGAGGTTGTTTTCAAGTAACAAACTTTAATTAGAAAGTTTAAGTTATTGCAAACCTAAAGAATCTTAGCTTGTTCCACTTTGCTAATTTAGATTATTTTATATTTAAATAATCATAACTGGACTGTAATCACCATCTACATATATTGACTTGATTACGATTGTTGACATTAAGTGGCATTAAGATGACCTTTGAAATGTTACTTTCCCTTTCCATTAGAGGCTTTGTGTAAGGTTCTAAAAATGAAAGGCTCATTAGACACCATTAAAATAGGATTTATTCTATATGTGTAACCAATAATTAAGTAGAATATTACTCCCTCCCCTAATTAGTTACTTAGAGTGCTGAGAAGCATAAGTTCATATTCAAAGCAGTAGTAACAGCAAACCTTTCCTGATCGGGTTTCCATACCATTGCTGATGTCAACTAAACCCAAACAGAAAGGAGTCTATGATGCCAGACATGCTTTTTAAAATATACATTTGATTTGAATTAAGGCTTAGTGTTTGTGACCCTGGGAGGTACACACTTTCACAATTCCATCAATTAAGACCAATTAATCCCATTAGTGATGGCTGATGTTAAGACATGCAGCAAGAACTGACTGACGAAGTATATGCCAGTTCCCATCTCCACATACAACCCAAAGAGAAGAAAGGCATGGGCGGGAGGATCAGCAAATACTTCTAATCCTGCAGATACTGTCAAAGTGACTTCCACAATAAGTCCAAGAGTTCAAGTCCACTTGAATCAAGCACGTACCTTCAAAAGCTGTAAGTGAAAGATTACTTCTGTGACTCAGAAAAGGATGGTCAAAGGGCCACCTTACACACTTGAGGAGAGGTGAGAAATTTGATGCATGAATTCAGCTGGGATTTAGTTCTGGAAGCTTCTTTCTAGAGCAGGCTTCCCAGCTTCACCTAGGAGACTCGTTAAAACACAGACTCTGCCTCAGCAGGGCTGGGTGGGACCTGAGATCCTGCATTTCTAACAATCTCCCAGGCGACACTTCTAAATGGTGAATGTTTGGAGCTTATACTTTGAGCAGCAACATTCTAGGGATCATTAGGTCACCTTAATCTTGAAAAGATACAGTTTGGTGGGATTTTAAAAAGACGAAATAAAATAAACAAAAGAACTAGAAAACAAAAGAAGAAAGGAAAGAACTAAACTGTGGTAGTCTCACACCTTAGGTGGTGAAACAGTTAAATCTAATTTTAAAATTTAGGTGGGAAGATAATAGGAAAAAAAAAAAGTAGAAGAAAGGTCAGAAAAAAAGGACCAAGAATCACAAGAAAGACTGTAGAAGCACACTGGGGTCATCTGATTTTGCTTCTCCTTCGATGGACTTCGCATTTGGACATACGGGTCACCTCATGCCACTCTGGTTTCTGTTTCCAGTGCATTCTTAGACTGGATGCATTTACATGCTCTAGCAAATCTTAACATTTACATCAGTTTGTAGAAAGTGCTACATAAGGGAGAAAAAGAAAATCATTCAAATGTTTTGAGGCTTTTAAAAAGTAGTTCATGAATCGATTATGTGGAGTAATAGGGAATTCCTTCTGCTCCTTGTTTTGTTGGGACTAATAACTCCACAATGGGAACAGAGAACATGTCTCTATATATTCTTGCTTTGCAATTTTACTCATGTTGCAGTCAAATCACCCGCTTGTCCTTAACAGGGCACTGAACTCAGGAGTTACTGTGTTTCCTTTTGGTTTGCTAAAAGGTAATATCTGATTTTATAACATTTCAAAGGTTCTACCCAGAGTAATAACAGCCTCATTGGAAAATTATTTAGGGTTGTCCCTGGTTAATTTGAGAGTCCTCTTAACTTCAGGGAAATCAGTGTAACCCAAACTGAGTTTCCAAAGGTTCCAAGTATCTAAATAGATTTGCACTTGCATTTCCTACAACAATCTTCAAAGTTTCCCCGACCCTGGGTTTAGCTGGGGCAGTAGGAGGGGAGAAAAGGCTATGACACTTTGGTCTCAATGAGTCAATCACTCACTGAGTGCGTGCCGGTCATCTGGCATTCTGAAGTGGCCTACAGTCCTCATTTATCCAGATTATCTGGAACTACTAAAATTTTTGTAGAATTAATATCAGACTCTTTCTGTCATGTTTTCCTAAACTATAATAAAGAGATTCAAGTTACTGTGTTTTTCCTTATTATTCTGGTGTACAAAATCGGCCTATTAACTAGCTCATAAATACAACTTCCTGGCTTGTTGCGCTGCTTATTTTTGATGAAGAAATCTGTATAAAACAAGGGTTACTGAAATGGACAGTACATACACGTTTCTTATTGGTTTAAAGGAATATGTTGCTTTTTAACATTTGGGTCATGAGGAAGCAGCTGATTCTTAAAAAGGTCCTTGAAATGAGGTAGCAAATTTCATGAGAGTTCGGCTTAAAAAATGAAAATGAAAAAAATTTTTCAAGAAGCCACAAGACAATGTAGAGAGAAATATGTTATTTCTGTGGCAACATTTGAACCATATTAAATTTTTATGGAAATTATCAAGTGTCTGGTTTGTAACAATCGAAAGGTTCTGGGGACAAATGGAACCTCATCATGGGCATTATATCATAACTGGGAAAAGAACATTCACAGTGCAACATTGATATTTAAGACATATCACATGGCCCTTCTCTAGCTATTCTATACATACAAGGTATCATATATTATTCATGTTATACCAATACAATGCCAGAAGACTACAATTGCAAGTGAATAATTATTTCTGTGAGTGGGTAAATAATGAAAACTGGTTGCCTGGAGGTTGTGTAAACACAACAGTAAGTTTTTGTTGCTGCTGTTGTTTATTAGCACTGATTTCATGCAATCTGTGAATACATATCCATAAGAGCATGTATACTTCAGGGGTTGACAGACAGCAAAAAATGCATTTGATAACACGCCAGTAGAGCAAATATGTTTTATGGCTATGTAATTAGGTCTGCATAAACATACCTGTCTCAGTCCATTTTCTGTTGGTAGAACTGAATACCACAGACTGGGTAATTTATAAAAAATAGACGTTTATTTAACTCACAGTTCAGAAGACTGAGAAGTTCAAGGGCATGGCAGCAGCATTTGCTGAGGGCTTTCATACTGTGTCGTATCATGGCAGAGAAGCCAAAAGGGAAGTTGGCATGTGAGAAAAGGGGGCAGAACACAAGAGGTGGCCTCACTTTACAACAGCCTGCTTTGGAGACAACTGATGCAGTCCCACTAGGGTGAGAACTCGCTCACTCCTGTGACAATTAGCCCAGGCCCATAGGAGCAGCATTAATGCCTCTTAAAAATCTAACCACTTTTTAAGGCCCCACCTCTCAGCACTGACACATGGGGGGACCAAACTTTCAACATATAAACTCCAAGCATCATACTCGAACCATAGCAAAAGCTAAAAGCAACCAAAGTATTTGATTTTCTGTGTACCTGTGTTTCTGATTACCACATAGCCAACTATAATCCATATACATGTATCTATAATATATGAGCATAATACTTCTATGAAATATAAAGCGTACAAATAAAAGCAGTGCTCAGATGTTTTACTACTCTATATTAAAGAAAAGAATTATTTCAGACTCTTAAGTACAAGCAGTATACCAAGCGACCAATTCCCTCCTCCATGAATGGACCATGAACATATTGAGTTTCTTGCACAATGAGTACTTCATTAGGCTCTGCAGATGATGCAAAAGTAACTTTGGTTTTCATCTTACCTTTCCTGCATTCATAATGTGTTCCAGGAGATAGACATACATGCAGAATAAATTTGGAATCTGACCCTGCTTGCTCCAATACCTCCATATTATTTTCTATATATAAAAATGAGATGGCTACTGGGGAGGTGAGGAAACCAAGAATTCATTCTTTCGATTTTAGGCAATATTTTTGTATTAAAATAAAAAAGTCAGAAACATTCTCTATGACTTTAGTTTCTCCAAATGATCTGCCTCGGAAATATATTTTCAACTTTCAGAAGTCAGATAGGGAAAGATGAAGTAAAAGGCAACTAATTAAGCAAAACAAAATAAAAAGTAGAAAAACAAAAAAAACAGAGAGAAAGAGACACTACAGGTCAAAGAAGGGAAGGGGGAGGAAGAAAGTATGAGACCTATGTCTTAGCACATATGGGATCAGGCCTCTCCCCTCTTACCTGTTCCCCCACATTTCCCACCTGGGCTCCAGGCCAGCCAAGCTGCATTCCCTAATTAAGCAGCACGTTGCTTTTTGCCTCTCACCTTTGCATATACTACTTCCTGTGCCTGGTAACATCCTACTGACCCTTTAGCTTGGTGCCATCTCCTCTTGGAAGCCTTCCTTTAGGCTTCTGCCAAGGCACAACAGATCAGTGCCCACACATGCCCACCATGCTTTGCCTACTGCCTTGCTAACACTTGGAAATATAGTAATTGGATTGTTTGTTTCCCTACTAGGCTGTGAGCTTTATAAGAACAAGGTACTGAGTCTTATTAATACTTTTGTTGCCAGCTCTAGGTACAGTGCTTGGCATATACTTGGCAAGTGATTGTAGATTATTTGCTAAATAAATGCTAAGGAAAATGGAGAAAATGAACTCCTTGTAAGAATGCATATTGATTGCCTAGACTTCCTTGTGTAGTAAGCTCATTAAGGCTTTTTAATTAGGTAGGGTTGGTTACTGCTCATGATGACATCAAATGGTCAACACTGCAAAAGCTTTTATAAAATGCATTTACAGGTTTTAGATGCTGAATTTTCATGTCCTATAGAACTACTGTAAAATGTATCTTTAAATATTTGAATATTTAACCATGTAGGAAAAATACTAATAACAACATATGGTTGTATTTTTGTGAATGTGATGCATTTACTTCTTTATTGATATTCTGAGAAATTTGTAGCAACAACTTGTGAAGTAAGTGAGCTGTTTTCCTACCACTCCCTTTTCCAAATCTGAGCTAGATACACAGATCTATTGGGAACGTGTTAGTAGCAATAATTCAAGGCACATAAATGTGTGCCTTCTCATACATAAAGGAAAAGAAACTGTTTTAAATTGCCCTTTAAAAGCTGAGCTAATATGCTGTCAAATATGCCAGGGAAGAGCCTCTCATCAGAGTTTCTCATGCAAAGAAAAATGATCTTTTCGACCTTGCCCTGAGTTGCCCTGAGTCGAGTGTCACCAAACAGCAGGTCAAGCAGTTTCCCACGACGCCACGCCTCTGTCGGCCATCCTACAGCCAACCCCTCACGACGCCACGCCTCTGTCGGCCATCCTACAGCCAACCTCTCAGAATGGGAGGCAGGGACTCCAATCCAGTGTCCCAGGTTATAACTATGCTTGGCTACAGGGTCTGTGTTCAACGCACATGGGCTGAAGCAAAGCCTTGGCTCTGTCTTCCCTGTTGGCAATGGACTTGGCTGCCCAGTAATTAATTGTCTTTGACTGCAAAGATGAGAATTGCCACTTCTTGCCTTCAGTTTTATTAAGAATTGGCTTGCTTGGTTTAACAGAACTAAGCAATATATTTATTTACTATGGTGTTTCCCAAAACGATTGCTGAATTCTGTCATCTCTTGACTGAGAAACTGTTTGCGGGTTGCAACAGAATGTATGCTAACATACATACAGCAACACAAACCTCCAAGACAAACTGTTTAAGTCAATTTGCTTATCATATAGGCACATAGGTGCAAATATGTGCATATGCATTTGTGGGTACAGCCATGGGCACACACTTTAACACTTGCACACATATCCCACACAGATTCTGTAATAAATGTGTGTGTTTAAGATCTGTGTGCAGGGGTGTAGAAGCAAGCATGAATTTGCCAAGAGAGAAAAGGAAATTCACACACGAAGAGAATAATTTACCATAAATTGGCCCACACTGAGTTTATTCCAAAAAACGGAGTGCAAGATGCCAAATTTTTAATGGCTCTTGCTATTCCAGATCTGGCCCTGACAAGCTTTGGAAGAGATGCAAGTGGGCAGGAAAGATGGGATTAAAAAATTATATCTTAAGCCTTTTCACTTTCAAATGTAAAATTTCCACCACTGCGACAAGACAGGGGGAAAGAGAGTGGCAGAGATATTTTCCTGACACTGTGCTTTTCTCAACAAAAAGCCATCGATTTCCATTATGCACTTCTTAAATATAAATCCTGTACTTCTTGTTAAAAATCATCTGTGACTGGCTGCCTAAAAAAGAAAGAGATATGAAAATAATGGAACTCAAAACCTTGCATTAGCCCTGGCGGCCATTACAAAGGGGTGATCTCAGAGTGATGCCTTCACTGCAGCTCCATCGTCCTAGGATTGACAATCTTTTGTGACAACCCACACTGGTTCATCAAAACCATTCACTTGCTTCTAAAATGCATCATCTCCAGTTTCTTTTCTTTCAAGGTGGAACTTTTCTGCATAGCTTTCCCATCACAAGCCTAGCTGGCACACAGCAGGGACTCAGAAAACCCTTCATTCTTTCCGCTTGCTCTTCTCCTTTCTTGTGCTGATTTTAAACTACTCTATCCCATTTCTGAATGTCTCTTTTGGCTGATGAGGAAATCTCTCTCACATTTTACCCCTTCTTCCTATATGTTCACTCATGGCTAAGAAACTGTCATTAAATCCATTAACTCTTTCCATCGATGACCTTTTGGGTCTTAAGACCCACACTCATAGTTATTCAATCACTGTCATGCCTGCAGTGTACTTTGATCCCTATAATTCTTATGAAAAATACCTTGGCTCAGAATTGTAACCTCAATCCCCCTGACTGTTCTACTTAATACACCTTCCACCCCCTCTCTCTGGAACCTGACTCAAGTGATCCCAGGAATAATAAGTCTATGAAAAATTCTGCCTAAAAGTATAAAGTCTAGGGTAGATGAAACTATTTCATCATCTTAGTTTAAATTTGATGAGAATATGGGTCTAATTATTTAGAGTAGTTGGCCTTTGCATTGAATTTAAACTACTGTTGTTTATTATTTCCATAAAAAGTAAAAGAATGAGCAAAATGAGTTGTTTCCATGATATGTTTCTTCCTTTATTTTATCTCTTTGTCATCTTACAGAGCCAACAATTTTGGCTGGAAAGTATCTAGCACATAGTAAATTCTCAATAAATGTTACCCATTATCATCAACATCCATCCACATGTATTCAAATTATCTAATATTATGGTTCTCATTTTACAAGTAAAGGAAATTGAGACATAGAGAGGTTAAGTGACTTGCCAAAGTCACACACAACTAGTAAGTGAAGAGCCTCAACTAGGATCATGGCCTTTTGGCTCAGTTATTTAACCAAGTATTCCCTCCGTGTAATTCCAAAGGAATGTTATTTTTCAAGAGGTCAAGGAGATAAGAAAAAGAACATGTCTCAGAAGGAATCCAGTTGCTCTCTTTCTTTTTTTCTCTTACAAAGTAAAACATATTAATAATTTAAATTCACAAAGACTGACTATCCTAAATTATACTAATCATTCTCATCAAAATCTGAGCACAGCGTTAAACCATTAGCAATGACTAGAAAGTACTGTGAGCCTTATGTTCTTGGCATGATCTTCCTTTTTAACTAACTATACTTCTCAAATAAAAACAAATGCGGTATGCATCTGTGAGCCACTCAGAAGCCTGGGCTGCTGAGAAAAAAATGCAAAGTGATACCTGGCATAAAAGAGTCAACATGACAATTCTAGAAGAACCTACAAGATTGCACATTCAGCCAAACAACGAAATATCTTACAGCGAGATCCCTTTTCATTTTATCAAATATAGGATCCTGAGGATTAATACAAATTTACCAACAGTAACAAAACTTGGCCCTCCTTAGGTGCGTACTTAGCTTACCTTTTCTTCAAAGTAACTTTACTGGTGGGAAAAAGAAAGATGTTTTCGAAGTTCCCATAATCTAACAGGTGCCTAATACATATTAGGTGCTCAACAAATTGTCTTTTTTGGAAAAATAATAAATCAATGGAATATTTGCCTAAATATTTATTGTAGCACTTTCAAGTCTCTTTGAGGCAAAATGCCTCGAGAAAGAGAAAAATAGTTCATTTTGCTATTTTCCGTTGGTGGATATAAGAATCCAATCTGCGTCATATCAGAAGACACATGGCTATGGATTGTTCCGTTGTTAAACTTGGCCTAGACCTCTCCTCTGAATGCCAAGCCCTACTGCCTATTCAACATCTCTACACTGAGGGCTCACAGGCATCTCAAAGTACATATTCCAACACTTAACAATGACCTTTTCCCCCAGAGCCTTCACTGCCTGCTCTCTATTCACCCAGCAGCGCAGCCCCAAAGCCTACAAGTCATTTTTGACATTTCCCTCTCCCACATATCCATCTCTAATCTCCAAGTCTGCAACTATCTCTCAAACATAAATACTTCTCTCCATCAATATCTGACCTTCCCTAAGCTAAGCCACTATGGCCTCCCACCTGGTCTACTTCAGTGATCTCCTAATAGGTCTCCCCCATCCACTCTTGTCCTCACCCACCATCTAGTGTCACACTGCAGCTGGAGTCACTTTTGAAAACTAGAAATCTAATAATGTTCCTCTTCTGTGTAGAATTCTTCAAAGATTTCCCACTGGTTTTCAAATAAAGCCCAAAGCCTCGCCATGGCTCATACATCTTGCTTGATGTGGCTCCCGCCTACTTCTCCAGCCTCATCTTCACCTCTCCTCCCCTTCCCTTTGCTCCCTCAGCTCAGTTTCTCAAGGGCACCATGCCCCTTCCCACCTCAGGGCATTTGCACATGCTATTTCCTTTGCCTGGAAAAATGTTTCCTTCTTATTTGCCTGGTTAAATTCTATGCATTATTCACAGCTTAGTTGAAATATTTCTTTTTCAGAAAAGCATTCTCTGTCCCAGTGGTTATGTTTAGTCTCTCACATATATGCCCTTATAGCATCCTCATGGAACGTGAGTCCGCTAGGACAGGAACCAGGCTTGTCCCTTTTCATGATGCAGCAGCATGTGTAGTAAGCACCCAATGCAGATGTGTTGAATAACGGACAAGTGACTTGTTAAAAATTAAAATGCAAGTTATTCATATTAAAATGCTTTCTTCCTCTCTTCTCCTCCCTCCCTCGCTTTCTTTCTCTTTTTGAAACTATGCTTCTAGGGCTTAAAATCCACTCAGAATAACCATAAATTCATAGGAACAGTATTTGTTCTAACAATGGGGAATAATAAAAGATGAGACAAACTTACAGAACAGACCCTCAGGTCTGGAGACCAAAAAAATGTTTGTGAAGCCCTCTATAATTTCTAAGTTCTACATGAAATGCATGTTTTCTAGATTCTAACTGCACACACAGAAATATCTCAACTCATTTTGACAAAGTTATCCACCAGGGAGATGAATAAATAGCTTCACTAAATACATATGGTGCAATTACACCCAGCAATAAGTGACAACAGGTCTTGCTTTATAGTAATCTAAAAATTCAAAGCCCAATTATTTCAGCTGCTCAGTAAATAATACTGAAAAGACGTGGTAGTAAAGCAACTTAAGAACATACTGTATTAGTAAACACTAATGATCTCTTTATGATCCACAGAGCCACTTCTTTTTCTTCTGAAGAAAAGAAAGCTTTTTGTAAATTAAGAAAGAAAAAAAAAAAAGCAAGGCATCCATGAGCTACAGCCAAGAACAAAATGAAAGCAGGGAGTGCTCCTTTTGATCTTTCAAGAGTAGTATTTAGTTAAAGAATGTATGCTGGACTACAGAAAAACATGACCAGAAACATGAGCATTTGAGACCTGAAAAATAGACCACTGGCAGCTGGCCCTTTAAAAAATATATTTATAAGAAAAAATAAAAAATAAAAAAAGGGACCGACCGGTCCTCCTTAGCTCTAAACTTCAGGGTGAACGGACACTGATTTTAATAAAGGGGGTCAGTTTCAGACTTCTTTTTAGAATGCAGAAGCACTGCAAGTAATTGGTATAATTAGCAGTTTAGAAATGCAAATCAAATTCAAACTTGAAATGACTGAGATGGAAAAGCAACCTCAACAGGGAAAAGAGGAGAGAGAAAGAGAGGAATAAGCATGAACACACACACACACACACACACACACACACACACACACACACACGCACGCACACACCCACTGGCCTTTCTGGATGATTTGAGGTTAGCTGAAGACACAGTAAAGACAGATCTGGGATCCGGCTGATCACTGGCACAATGACTGAACTTTTAGACAAGCGTGGTGAGAGAGAGAGGGGAAACCAGAAACTGCCTAGCCACAGGTACCCCCAGGCCAAGATAATTTGGAGAATGACAATTCACAAGGCAGATCTGGAAAAAAAAATGCCTATTTACAGCTTCTGTTTGCATACTCCCTAGACTTTTGGTGTTTATTATTTTTCTAATTTGAGCAAACCATGTAAGCTTTTGATATCTCAAAAATAAAATCATATGGCCAATAAAATACTTGTTTAGGGGGAAAAAGGTTAGTTCACTGACACAGGTTTACTTCTTGGTCACCTTACTACTGGGAAATCGTAATCCACCTCTCTACTCTTCCGCTTCCTTGTGGCTGATTTGAACCAGAAGCCCCCCCAGAGGCACCACCACCCAGGGGATCCCTGGCACTCTCTGATGTCTGATCCCGGCCAGGCTCACACAATTTGCACCTTCTTTGCACACTGTATTTTTCCTTCCTAATTCTTTACCTATCTGACATTAAGTACAAATTTCAGTAGCCATCTGCTTAACAGCCCACTCCTGGGTTCTGCATCTATTTTGCTCATCTATTTCCAGAGCCTGTCACAGTGCCTGGAACTTGCCAGGTGCTCCATGCGTGAAAATTACAAATTCTGGGATTGATGAATAATAATGGGTCAGATTATCCAAATGTCAAATTCTCAGTAACTGAGAATTTATCAGGTAATTTTTGTATGGAAACAACACATAATATCTGAAACAAGAATATACCAAATGGTATCCTAGCACAGTGCTTCTTGCACTTTAATCTCCTTGGGAGCTCCTTATAAAGCAGACTCTGATTTAGCACATCTGGGATGGGGTCTGGATGCTACATTTCTAAAAAAAACTCCCAACCGATGCTGATGCAGCTGGTCTTCAGGCCACACTTCGTTTAGCAAGGTCCTGGGGGAGCTAACTGATAATCCCAGCCCAGCTTTTCCCTTATGCGAGTCTTATTTATGTTTAATTTAAAAAAATCATATTGTGATTGCTACCTAGGTAAGTTCCTGGTTCAGATATTAATAAAGATGTATTCTTGGGCTGGTGAAGAGTCAAGTCACCACTTCTTGTTTTTTTCTGGGATTTGAGGGATCTGCACTACATATATTGTCTGATAAATTCTGCCTCTCACTAGAAAATTTAGCCATATCTTTAGTACCCCAATGAAAGATTCACTTGCATCAAGGGAATCAGGCAGGGGAAAAAAAATGAACTTGGATTTTCCATAGGGTATTCTTTTTATGATAGAATCTTTTGAGAATATTTGTCTTGTTTTGTTGGTTTTTTGAGAAATTGTTACATATGCAGCACTTAAGTATTTATAATATACAGAAGGTCCCCTTTATCTCTTAGGATTTCTTTCCATTTATGTGATCAATATTGTACAGATCATTCCTTCCAACAGTTTCTAAGCCACTGTGGATAGACTAAAATGGGCTGATGGATATTGATATTTTGATCTTTACACTGACTTCCACATCTCTTAATATTCAATGATTCCCTTGTAAAGTGAGGGTTTGAGTTGTTTCTTCAAACAATGACACAGTAATATAGATGTTTTCTGCAGGCAATATCTGAATATTTCTTTGTACAAATGGTTTCGCCTCATACCACAATGCAAAGAGCTGGTAATGCATGTTTAATGACTTTTCAATGGATTAAAAGTAAGCTGTTGAAAACATATTTTTGATAACAATTCTTTTGTTAGTACTTGCTGTTGGCTCTCCTGGAGGAATATTGCCAATGATAATTAGATTTGCTCTCTCTCTCTCTCTCTCTCTCTCTCTCTCTCTCTATATATATATATATATATATATATATCTTCTCCATCTCACATACACACAGACACAGTCACACACACAAACACATGCACACACATGCATTTGCTGAAAAAGTAAACATGTGGCTTTATGTCTGTAGTACACCAATCAACATATCAAAATCCAAATTTAGAATCCTAATTCACAATACCACGTTTTTTTCCCTTTTTTCTCCCCCTCACTTGGAGTAAATTAAATTCAGCCTTTGTTGGAAGGAAATGTAAAATGTGTTTCACACATATATTTAACACTAATCTGTTCTCCCTACCTTAATTATGCTTTGAATTTCTGTGGGATCTTATATTCCAGGGTCTCAATTTACTTTTATAAATATTCATTGATTTTTCCCATCTCTATTAAGGGTGCTAAAAATTACCTTTCTTTTTGCATTTGGAGAAACTGAGGCACCAGGGAGAAATCTATGGTTTGTCACTTAACACAACTGTAGAGCTGCAAATGTGACCTAGAAGCTCCTCGATAAAGAGGCAACCCTCCTGCCAAAGCTTAGAAATAATGGTACAATGTTCACTGGAGGATTAAATCAGAGCCAGTCTGCTCACATTCTAGGCACAGCTACATTCTCTGTGTTGTCTTTTCCTTAGCACAAAGTGCAGTAACAGAATAGCTGCCCCGTGGTTAAAGAGAAATGATTACAGAAAAGAACAGTTGGAGAAAACAAGGCAAAAGTACTTGGATTTTAGTCAGTGGGAGTCCATCACAGTAACTAATGGGCTGAGAATGTTTCTATTTTTTCACCAAGTAATCCATATGCAAATTTCCTACAGTATTCAATATGCACTTCCAAGCTCAGTAAATGTTTTCTATTCTTTTCTGCTTAGCTCTCTCAGCTTTTTCCAATTAGGCCCTGTTTATTTAGAAAAAAAGAAAATGTCTAAAGGAAGGATTAAGCTCTGTATCTTATGGAGAAAGAATGAATATTAGAAATTCTTTCAGGATCTAGAGGATGCATTCTTTACTCATCCTCCCCGCTGGGATGGGTAATGAGAATAAAGTAAAAGAGGATGAAGCTTTTTACTTCATTTGGTTTGTTCAGCTGAAAACATGCCTTTGACGATCTGGAATTAAATCCAAAATGCATGACAATTCAGACAATGGTGCACATGGAATAAGCCGGTGGATAAAAATAAATAAATAAAAGAGAGATGCGAAAGCTCAAAAGGCCCCACCTGGTGCGCAGAAGTTCTGCAAAAGCAAGGGAATTCACGACGTAGAGGGGACAAGGGGACAGGCTGGGGAGAGAGAGCATAGGCTGGAGTTAGTGGCTGTGCCAAATGAAGACGACCTGGGGAACAGAGCCGTAAATCAGAGAGACGTTGCAAATGCATGGCCTCCCAGGGTAGTAATCAGGGAAGATGGCCCGCATGAGTCAGGCCTTCCTATCTTTAGTCATTGCACCCATGAAGACACGTGGTGTTCTGCCTATCTCTGTTAAGTTTCACATTGAAAGCTGAAGGTCAATTTGTGCTTAAAGAAAAAAGTCAGACAGTTTCTCAACTCAGCTTCAGATCTTTTCTATCTGTTTATTTATTGAAAAAGAGAAAGAGAAATAAAAAATGCCTGAACTTGAGTTCCATGGCAGACAGGATGGAGGTGTCATGGTGCCTGAGAAGGAATTTCTGCCCCTGAGGATGGCCTGCTTCAAGAGGCTGTTGTGACACCACAAGAGATATTATATATGGTATTTTACAAACTTAAAAACATCATACCAATGAAAAAGGGGTCATGAGCAGTAGTTATGGTTGGCGTTGGATTAAAGAACAGGAAATAGCCAAGATGCTTCCAGGATCTTGGAACAGATTCTTACCAAATAGGGTTGTAAAGAACTAAGCATGAAAAGTAGCAAAATGTCAGATTAATTTTCTCTCCCTGCATTTAGGGATTCAAAAGCCATAGAGAATAATAATCGATAAATTATAGTTAAGGATAGACTGTTCACCTAGTGACTGAATAATACACAAAGCTCTTCAGAAATTTTCATGATAAGTTTACTTGCCTAAGAGACCATAAAGAGGAAAAATCTGGGAGAAGAAAGAGTCAATATAATCAGCAATGAGAAGTCTCCCTTTAATGACAGCTATGGGGAACCTGAATGAAGTAGTATATACGTACAAGTGATTGGCTAGGACCATACCATAGACTGCTCCCATAAGTATTTCCTACCACAATTGACCTTCTCCAGATTCAGCAAAAAAAAAAAAAAAAAAAAGAAAGAAAAAAAGAAAAGAATTCTTCATCCGTGGTCAAACTACCTGCTTACATTGTCCATGAAAAAAACTCTTCTGGTTACATTACCTAATGGTCATTTATAAGCTGACTTCCATTCTTTAGTGTACCAGTTGAAAGAAAAAAAAAATCACCTCCAACAGCTTTTTATATTTTAAGTTCCAAGACACAGCAATGCTCTCAAATTTCAGTTTCTCAAGTCTCAAGCTTAGAGAAAAATAAGCTAGGGGAACAAAAGCCTGCCAAAAACCCAGGCTGGCTATTAAAATGTTACAACCAACCGCCATGAGTTTGAGACTATAGATGGTATCCAAATTAACAGAAATGTCCTGGACAGAAGCCTTCAGATCACCATGGAACAGGCTTTGATGCCCTTTGTCTAATTCTGTGGAGACCCAATCTTCAAGCAGAATATTTTTGGCCCATCAAATAAAGGCCTTTCCCAGGAAGCCAAAGGGCTTGGAGACATCACTCTGATTCTCAGCCCATTCTTAAGTAACTCAACACACTGGATCTAACCCCTAGCTTTAGAGTACACCAAAAGACGTTGCATGGAGGGTTTTTTTGTTTTGTTTTGTTTTGTTTTGTTTCCTGTTTTGATCTCACAGACCAGTTGTATTTTTTTCCTCCTTTCATTACCGAAGTAACTCCTTCCATGTGCCAACTTTGAATAATCCTCAAACAGTAATTTCATTACAGAAACAATCTTAGTTGACCAGGCTGTAATGACTTTGGATGTTTCATCTTTATCTGGCTTTTTTCTTTTGCAGCTTCACTGACATGATGAGAGCTCCCCAAAAAGGGCAGGCTTCTGCCTCAACTCTCAGGCACATCAATAACAAGAACAATCTACACTTACAGTCACAAGCTGATTGAGCCCCCATATCTTCCCTGGCAAATCGTCTAAGAGCTCCATCCTTGAGAACTTGCCCTGGAACTCGCAGCATGGCATCAGCAGTTGGAACTAAGACCTGAAAAATCTTTACTAGGCCTCTAAGCCACCTGCCTCCCACAGTGCAGCGGAATGGGAAGAAAATCTCAAAGTGGCTCCCTATCTACAGTCTATATCTGTTCTTTCTTTGAAGGTGTGGCCTAGGGGTCTCAAATGGAAAAGCAGGATAAAATAATCATCAAGCAGTGGGTGTGGAGCCCTTTCCCGAGAGTGTTTTACGCTGCCTACGCATTAAACCTGTTCTTGTTGATGCAGTAATCAATGTATTTGGATTGAATAACACTTCCCCAGTTTGGCTGCCTAGCCGATTAATGTCTTTGCTTTCACCTTTATAATTGGCACATTTAAAAGAAGATTTTAAAAGTTGCTATTGATGTGGCAGTGAGGAGAAGGCACTGAGCCTGCGTGTGCAGGAGGAACAAAGACTCAAACTACAGGGAGTTGCAAGATGAACCACGAGATGGGATTTGCATATTGCAGACTTGTCAACCAAGGGACTTATCAAGCAGCCCTAAGGATATACCACCAGGGCAGTACTGACATAGAAAATTAGATCCTCAGCCCAGAGGCAACACTAGAGAACAGTGATTTTAAATAGAAGTCACATTTAAAACCTTGTTATTAGGCACATACATATCGCATGACTCTGGAAAACAGACAAAGAAATGTTAGCACCAACAGACTTCTTGGTGAGGTTTCTTTCATTGTCATTCCCAGTCCATCTCAGATGCACAAAGGAAAGGGCTCTTTCATGTTTTTCCTTTTGTCTGAAAAATTAAGCATTTATATCATCTGCTCAGATTCACACAAAGACAAACACCGTAGATATTGCAAGGCTGTGCAAAATGCTCTGCCTGAAATGCCCATGTTGCAAATCAGGGAGCTTCGTGGGACTGGCAACCAAGACCCCAAACAAAGAGATTATCATGGTTAATGAATCACATCTTCAGTGAGGGAATTCCGTGGCAGCAAAATGTCACACTCCTAAAGTTCTTTATGAAAAGCTAACTGGTAATGGAAAGCTGTGGCTCCTTCGGTAATCCTAACCCATGACTGACTTTCCACCAGAATGTTTCAACATTGCCTTCCACTCTCTCAGTTCCCTGGAAATGTATTTTGGAGGTAAATGTCTGCCATACACAACTACCAAGCCCTTAGTGAACAACTGCACAATTCAGAGTTTTCATGAATCTTCATGAGCTTTTCCTCCCACATGTATAATAACAATAAGGCTTTTTGAAGATGAGAGGAAGAAAAAAATGCACCATTTTTATTGAGCGTCTAGTATGCATGTGCTATGCCATGGGCCAGACGCTTACATAAAAGTTTCCTACATCGATTCTTTTTTCAAAAAAAGTCATGAATCATTAGAGTTATTTTACTAATAAAGAGGTAAGACTCAAAGAAGTTAAGCAATAATGCCCACAAGTAATGCTAGTTGGGGTTGGAGTCAGACTGATGTACCTACAAATCTCCGCATTCTCCCCACTCTATTCTGCTATTCCAACAGTCTTAAAAGGCTTCCATTCTTAAGTGCAGGGTCCTGTCTTATACTTCATTTAATAAACACGTGTTGGGCTTCTACTCTGGGCTGGACGCTGTGTAGGATCTCAGCACACCAAGATGATTGGGATAGAGTCCTCGCTCTCAGGAAACTCGCCCAGTATTTGGCCAGATGGCCATGTAAACAAACAAATGCAATAGAATGAGATATAATAAAAGATACAAGTAAAGACAGAGACTGTAAATCTGGGATACTATACAGGTGGGTGTCAAAGTATAAATAGGAGTTCAACGTGCAGAGTGGCTGCTTAGGGAAACAGAAATAATACTGGCTAAAGCCCAGAGGTGGAAAAACAGACAACGTGCTGTCGGAGGAAGCCATAAGAGAATAGCAAGAACTTCTTGCTGGTTAACTATGAGGTGAGAAGTCTGGATTAATCTTCAGTAAAGACTATAGGAAAGCCTTGGGCTCTATGCTTTACTTGCCATATTGCTTTGTTTTCAGTAGGCACTCTATGAATATGGGCTTTTGCTGTGGTCTGAATGTTTGTATCCCTGCAAAATGCTTATGTTGAAACCCCACCCTCTAAGGTGATGGTATCAGGAAGTGGGTCCTTTGGGAGGCCACGAGGGCATTCTGCAAGGATTAATGGGCAGAGCCCTCTTGAATGGGATTAATGCCCATATAGAAAGAGACTCCAGAAAGCTAGCTAGCTCCTTCCACCACGTGAGGACACACGGAGTGGGTGCTGTCCATCAGCCAGGAAGTAGGCTCTCACCAGACACTGCATTTGCTGGCACCTTGATATTCGATTTCCCAGCCTCCAAAACTGTAAGAAATACATTTCTGTTGTTTATAAGCCCCCTAGTCTGTGATATTTTTGGTATAGCAGCCTGAGAGGACTAAGGCAGCTTTAAAATGACAATCAGAAAATGTAATTCCTCTGACTAGAATGCTCCACTGGCTTCCTACAGTACCCAAAAGAAACTCCAAATTCCTCTTTGCAGTTGCCCAGCAAGGCCCATGTGATCCAATCTCTGCCACATCTGTGACAAAATCCCTTCCCTCATCCTCACAAGCCCTGCAGCTACTCTTCCTAAAACGCATAAAGCCCTTCCCACCTCAGGGCCTTTCACATGCCATTCCCTGCCCCAACACTTCACCTCTGACTCTTCTCAGGAACATTTCTTCCCCTAGAGTCTCAACTTTATTATCGCTCCCTCCCAAATAGAGTATAGTGACTGTATTTGGAGACAGGGTCTTTCCAGAGGTAACCAAATTAAAATGAGGTCATTAGGGTGGATCCTAATCCAATATGTGTGGTCCCTTTATAGAAAGAGGAAATTTGGGCCGGGAGCCTTGGCTCAAGCCTGTAATCCCAGCACTTTGGGAGGCCGAGGCAGGCGGACCACCTGAGGTCAGGAGTTCAAGACCAGCCTGGCCAACATGGTGAAACCTCATCTCTACTGAAAATACAAAAATTAGCCAGGCATGGTGGTGTGCACCTGTAATCTCAGTTGCAGAAGAATTGCTTGAACCGAGGAGGCGGAGGTTGCAGTGAGCCGAGATGGAGCCACTGCACTCTAGCCTGGGCAACAGAGCAAGACTCCATCTAAAACAAAGAAAGAGGAAATTTGAACACAGAGACACACACAGAGGGAAGATGACGTGAAATTACAGGGAGAACACTGTGTAAATATGAAGATGGCCATCTATAAGCTAAAGAGAGAAGAGCCTGGGGAGCAGATCCTCTTCTCACAGCCCTCAGAAGGATCCCACCCTGCTGACTTCCAATCTCCAGAACTGTGAGACAATAAATTTCTGTTACTTAAGGCACCCAGTTTGTGGTACTTTGTTATGGCAGCCCTAGCAAACTAATTCATCTGCCACATTTTCTATGTATTTCTCCTACAGCATTTGCCACCATCTGGAATTGTCTGGTTTATTTATTACTTGTCTCTTACTATACCTATCCATTAGAATGCAGTCTCCATGCAGGCAGGGGTCTTCTCTTGCTTTGTTCATCATTCTTTGACACTCAGGATGATCCTGGCACATAGTGGGTCCACAGTATGTTGAATAAATTAATGAAAAGATTGTGTTTTGGTGGACCGATAATTGGTAATTATTTATTTTTCATGTACTCATATGAACCTACACTTAGTCACAGGGCCTACCAACCCTGGGCAGATGAGAGAAAACTAGCACGTGGTGAATCAACAGAATTCACCAGTAGTGAGGTCAGCACTACCCACTGGTGCCTTACAAAAATTTTGCTCTTTGCCCAAGTTTTTCATATGAACATAGTTTGAAAGATCCAGTTGTTTCTTTCAATGTCCTGATGTTTCGCCAAACCAAATTCAATTGATTGAAATATAGCCTGCTGATGCTTTTGTAAGGCTAAAGAAGTGGATGGCAACCTTCCACCCCTTTGCTGAATGGTGTAATTGGCCTGCCATAAAGAATTGGGGAATTTTAACACATTCCCCATTTGGCTGAGCTCACCAATTATTCCCCGGTTGCTATCAGAGCCACAGACTTTTCTTCTTTGGGGTCATTAAGCTTGTCAAAACTAATTTGTCACCACAACTGCTGAACCTCATTGCTCTGACAGCAGCACAAGGATCACCCTAAATAGGCCCTTGCATTATAAGAAAGTAAATGGCTCATGAGAACCCGCTGTGCTCTTGCTGTTGCCTTAGAATGGTCTTCTGACCCCAGAAGATGTGGAAACAGTATCCCATAAGTAACACAGGTCACAAAACCTTGTACTAATCATTTTGGTGTTATTAAAAATAAACAAACAAGTAGAATGAATAAATGCTTGGAATACAGGCTTGAATCTGATATGTGACCAAAATATACTATTCTCCAGCTTTGACAAAATTCAAATATATTACATGTTCTCTCCATGCAACCATCTCATGGAAGTCAGGTGGAATTAAACATGTCATAAATCATGGGTCTCTAGTAAGCCAGTCAGAATAACATTCGTTGAAAGTTTCTTGATTGTAAATGCAAAACTATTCCAAAATCAAGGTTGCCAACATTCAATAGGAAGAAGGAAACTTGCTGTGAGGAAATAGCATCCCGTTTTGAAACAGTACTTTGTGGGCTCTCCCATATTGAGAATAGTTACACACCATTTGCTAGAGTTGGCAGGTTTAGTGAGTCTACACACAAGTCTCTGCACAATTAGACAAAGGTAAGAACATATCTATTAATTTCAAAAAGTTGAGGGGATCTTCGCTGACTACCAATCAAGCATCATGAGAAGTTGCATTAACTCTTTTCAGGCTAAAGGGTACCACTTAATACAAAAACCAATGAAACCTTCAAGAAAATTAGTTATGATCACAAAGTATCTTGACATAAACATGGAATATGAAAGTAGCATTACTGGCCCGGCATGGTGGCTCACACCTGTGATCCTAGCACTTTGGGAGGCCGAGGCAGGCGGATTGCTTGGGGTCAGGAGTTTGAAAACACCCTGGGCAAAATAGTGAGATCCTGTCTCTACAAAAAATAATAATAATAAAATTTAAAAAATTAGTCAAGTGTGGTGGTGCACACCTGTAGTCCTAGCTACCTGGGAGGCTGAGGTAGGAGGATGGCTTGAGCCCAGGAGTTTGGGGCTGCCGTGAGCCATGCTGGTGTCACTGCACTTCATCTTGGGGAACAGAGTGAGGCCTTGTTTCAAAAAAAAAGGAGAAGAAAGAAGAAAATAGCAGTATCAAAGAACTTTTGTTCTTTTCTTCCTAAAAAGATGCAACCCTAAATAGAACTGAGTTTAGAATAATTGGCTGCAACTAAGTTTTCTTGGTGGTAGTATAGATTAGACACAATGACACTTTCTTTAAATAATAAAGAGAGGCTAGAAATACCTGGTGCCCACACTCATGCCTCACTAGTTTCTTCCCCAGCAATCTTAATTTTCTCTTTTTAAAGGGGGTACCAGTTCCCTAATGAAAATTAACACTGTAAGTGTACATCTGGCAAAAGGATTAAATCTCTTGACAAAAAGCCAAGTCGTTGGTTGTTTACTTATATTTATTCAAACAAATCTGTAGGCTCATAGTTTGTCACTGATGTCATGCCTTTGAGCAGTTTTTTGTTTGCTTTTTGTTTGAGAAGAGATTACAGGATGGGTTGAGGAGAGTAAATAGGGAGAAACAAGAGAAAGGGGGGAATGTGAAGTCCAGAATTTCATGGGAGTCACAGATTCAGCTGAGTGCTAATGATGTCATTTGGTCTTCACTCTAGCAAAAGGGATCCCCCACCCCGAAACCCTGCACTTTCAGGAGGAGTAAGCTAAAAACTTGGCAAATGGCATAGTAACGAAGTCCTGAATTGGCAGCCAAGATCTGGATGTGAATTTTAAGTTGTTTTCTCCCCAAATGTCCAACAAGATCTGCTGTGATTTAAGGGGGGGGGGGGGAGAGAGATTTATTGAGGTATAAAAAGCCACATTTCAGAGTTGCCAGTGCTAATCAATAACTGGAATTTGACAAAAGACCATGTTAGGCTCAAAAACGAAAAGGACACACATATAAAGGCAAGTATAATTACATGGTATAAATAAGGGAGAGGTTGCCAAAGACTGCATGTTGCCAAGTGCCTCAAATATTCATGTTCTTTGAAAGACTTATTTTTGTGTCTACGGAGGATGAATAAACCTCACTTAAAAAATAAGACTCTTCCCAAACCTTTGCTCATTTCTGGAACTGAACCCTTTTGCAGGTTCTGAAATGTTTAACTTTGTTTTTCATTAATTCGACATGTTCACACATCCCCTGCACTTCTGGAGCTCTGAACAAAACTGGCAGTGAGAGTATGCTGGAATATTGAAGTGACGACTGCTCCCCCAGTATCACTGGCCCTGCTGGAGATGTGCCGCTTGTTCTCATAAGACATTAGGGCAAACTCTGCATCCTTCCGAAGTCTGAGTTATCACAGGAAACTGAAAACTTTTGGTGCTTGGCCAAGTGGCTTCCCATCTCCCAACTGTTAGTGACTCAGCCAGAGTAAAAGTCAGCTCTGTGCACGGGGACCATCCTCTAATGCAGAGACCAAATAAGAGGAAAATTAAGTGCTGAATGATAGAAGTTTCCTCTTTGACTCTCAAAGCAGGGAGGTCATTTAAAAGTTAACTTCTGCTTTGTTCTTCAGCTTTAGAAATGCAGGTAAAGCACAGATTGGGTTCATTGCCAATCCAGATTGATAATCTTATCGTGAGGCTGAAGTGGCGTCAGGCCTCACCGAGACACCAAGGATGATGGTTCCTGGTACAGAAACTGTAAATAAGCCCTTCGGAGACAGTGCTGGCAAGGGCCTTCCACATCACTTGAGTCAGTTTCATGTTTCATTTCTGAATCTGATTGCCATGAAACTACAGTGAACCAGACACTATATTCCACCGGTTAAACTGGACACTTTTTCCAATCTGTGATGGTGCACGCACTGCTTCATGCTGCCATGCATGTTCTGAGTAAACAACTGCGTCCCCGCACACTAACTGGTAGAAGTTCCTGGTAGCTAGAGGTATTTTCCAAACAGACACCGAGAGAGTGCTGGGCTGCAAAGTATCATTGCTGGCCCAAGCCATTAGCTTCAGGGAGAGGATGTATTATGTTTACCACAGATTGATGGGACTAATTTACAGAATCATCATAAATGCTATGTATCTCCTCAGTCTCTCACATAGCCTTTTGTAGACAGAAAGATAAATCTGAAGCTCGGAGCAAGCTCATTTAATTTTCGCCTGACAGCTAGTAATAACAGAAGCATCTTATAAAAGTTATGTTTCAATGAAAAAAATCTATTACTGGGCGTACAAAACACACTTGCATTAATTACATTCTCTTTGCACTGTATTTAACAAAAGGTCAAGACGTTACCCCCCCAAAAAGGAACAAATGAAGAGAATTCTACCTATCTGAAATTTTCTTTTCTAATTTTCCAGGAATTCAATCACACACTCTGTCCTTTAATTAGTTACTACATTTAATTAAATCTGATGTTCTGAAGATGACTAGCCAGAAATATGATCAGACATATAACAAGGATCAATTATTCTCCAGCAGATGATATTTCTATATTTCTAAATTTGCCTGTGTCTAGAACATACCTTGCCTGTCATGCTGGAATACTGGAAAAGAGTAAGACACAGGGACAGAATTTTTTCATATTTTGTCTTCAAAATTGGTATCAGGTGAAATGATTTATAATAGCAAAAGCCAATACCTTTTATTTTCAGTGTTTCTGGGCAGTAGTAGGACATGAGTGTGAGGTAATGCTTTTTAAGGAAATTATGGTGCTCAAAAATTGTAAATAGTGAAGGTTATCTTAAAGAGAAAAGAAATGTTCCTGAACTAAGAAAATCTCCAGCAGGACATGGAGCTAAGGGTATTGTTGCCTGTTTGAAGTCAGATACAAATAACTCTATTCTAAACTTAGTTCCGTTAACTACCAATTGTGTGATCTTGGACATAAAAAAAATAGCAATATGAAATAAAATACTCTGAGGGCCACAGTTTCACAACTGTCATGCTTGAAAATGAAAATAAGAAATCTCTCCTAAGGTTTCTATGGTGCTTAAATGCACACAGGAGGCTGTCAAACAATAGGAGTTTCCTTTACCCTACTTCTTTTCTATTTCTTTCTTTTCTTTTCTTTTTTTTTTTTTTTTTTTGAGACAGAGTCTCGCTCAGTGCCCAGGCTGGAGTGCAGTGGCGTGATCTCGGCTCACTGCAACCTTTGCCTCCCAGGTTCAAGCGATTCTCCTGCCTCAGCCTCCCGAATAGCTGGGACTACAGGCGCGAGCCACCACTCCTGGCTAATTTTTGTACTTTTAGTAGAGAGGGGGTTTCACTATGTTAGTCAGGCTAGTCTGGAACTCTTGACCTCAGGTGATCTGCCCGCCTCAGCCTCCCAAAGCGCTGGGATTACAGGCGTGAGCCACCACGCCCAACGCCTCTTTCCTAATTCTATCACTCTAATCCACTGGTTCATAACTTTGAGTCAAATCCTATGTCTTTATCATCAACAGTCTAAAGAAAAGTTGTAAAAGATTTGTAGGAAGGTTTAAACCTTCTAACCTCCTGACGAAACATGTGCATGGGGAAGGCCAGTGCAGCAGAAGGAGTGGAAGGCGCTGCTTCCAAACCCCGCTATGTTCCTAGTATTTGCAGCAGGCAGTGATCTCTCATTCAGCAAAGACAAGCTGCAGATGTACCAGGTGATGACCCAGAGCTACTTACTGGCCACCAACTCCTCCTCTCTCACTCTGTGCTGCTTATTTAGACCCCAGGAAACGAAGAGAAATGGAGAAAACAAAAGGTAACAGATACACTACAACCTCACATAACTATAACCACTGTGTAGGCACATGTCATTGTTTGTTAAAACCTCGTTCTTCACTGTGTGGTCTTCAAACCAGCTTCAGCATCAGTGTCACCTGAAGCTTAGCAGAATTTCAGAATTCCAGATGCAATTCCTAATGAATGATAATTTTCATTTCAACAGAAAACTCAGGTTAAAAATGTGAAATTGTGGTCTTTTGTTCATTCTTAAACTTTAATCTAGAGTATAAGCTCTAAGAGGGAAGATATCTTCACCTTATTGGAAACTGATATGTTCCTAATGACTAAAACACATGCCTGGCACATACTGAATGCTCACTATATAACTGTTGAATGAATGACTGAATGGGATTGATGAAATCTATGACTGTTGCAACAAAATCCTGGCTTCCTTGGATGCCATTATGGGACATGACTATTGTAATCAGCAGGAGCAAAAAAGTGTATTCTATTAAATGCAGGAAATATTTATTGAGCAAATTCCAAGAATTATGACACTGTAATAAATCAAACAGGTGTTGATAGGCTAAATTTGACTTCAATGATGCAAAGCCTTTTTTTTTTCAGATAATGCTAATTGATGATATAAAAAAAGATGTCACATGAACTGCTTTAAAATTTTACCTCTTTAGGCCAGGCGCGGTGACTCACACCTGTAATCCCAGCACTTTGGGAGGCTGAGGCAGGCCAATCACCTGAGGTCAGGAGTCAAGACCAGCCTGGCCAACATGGTGAAACCCTGTCTCTACTAAAACTACAAAATTAGCCAGGCATGGTGGCGCACGCCTGCAATCCCAGCTACTCAGGAGGCTGAGGCAGGAGAATCACTTAGAACCCGGGAGGTGGTGTGAGCTGAGATCGCGCCACTGCACTCCAGCCTGGGTGACAGACAAAAAAAAAACAAAAAACAAAAAACCCTTAAAACAACTTTTTTAAGGTATAAATTACACACCACAAAATCCACCCAATATAAAAGTGAAATTCAATGATTTTTTAGTAAATTAACTGAGGTCTGCAACTCTCACCACAATCCAGTTTTAGAACATTCTCATCACCCCAGTGAGATTCCTCATATCCATTTACAGTTAATCCTTATTCCTACCCTCAACTCCAGACAATTTCTTTCTGCAAAAAAAAAAAAAAAAAAAAAACAAAAAAACATTTTGAGGATTTCTCAATCAGGTACATGATTGATACTGTACATGCAATTCTTCTTGGACATTTAGTAAAGAAGTCCAGTAAGGATCTCTATCTGCCATACACCTGGCCAATTCATTTTCAGTTACTGTGTACCTGAAAATCATTTTGAAATCAATTTTTCTTTAAAAATTCTCTATCCTGCTGGGCGTGGTGGCCCATGCCTGTAATCCCAGCACTTTGGGAGACCGAGGCGGGCAGATCACCTAAGATCAGGAGTTCAAGACCAGCCTGACTAACATGGTGAAACCCTGTCTCTACTAAAAATAGAAAATTAGCCAGGCGTGGTTGCACGTGCCTGTAGTCCCAGCTACTCAGGAGGCTAAGGCAGGAGAATCACTTGAACCCAGGAGGCAGAGGTTGTAGTGAGCCAAGATCGGGCCATTGCACTCCAGCCTGGGCAATAGAGCGAGACTCCACCACAAAAAAAAGAAAAAGAAAGAAAAGAAAAGAAAGATATTAGTATATGAGGATAAGTATACCAGCATATTTACTGCTTAATGTGTTACAGGGGCAGCAACACAGGACACATGCCTGAATCCTCGGTTATAATACATCAATACTACAGACTGTGATGCAGCTATCAAGAAGAATGTGTTACAGTTACATGAAGTGACCTGGAGAGATATCCATATTATGATGCTAAGAGACAAGTGCAATGTCATGAGAAAGATGGATAATATGATCCCATTTTCTGTAAGGAAAATCATATATGTGTATATATTTGTATGCTTCCACAACCGTAAAGAATGTGCAGAAGGACAGGCACCAAGCTCTTCACACTTATTATTTTAAGGGGGAGAGTGATGGAGGCTCAGGAGGTGAGGAAAATACTTTGTGCATTGTTGTGAGCAAATAATGCTTTGTTGTTTGAAAATAAGACCCCATAAATCATATCTTCAAAAACTGGAATTACATTTTCCATTAACTCAGGTTAACTTTCTCATCCCTTCCTTTTCGCCATAAATCTAAATTCATACAATCTGTCCGAAGGTGTGGGCTAAAATACGATGTGGATTCTTGAGATCTCTGGGTTATAATTTTAGAGTTTTCAAAATTGGATTTCAAATCTATTGTCACTAGTCTAAGGGGGTGAAGACCTTGGCAGCATGATTTTATCATGTAGCAGGAGCAGAATGATCGTCAGCAGGAAGCCTCACCTTTAATGGCTTTCAAAGTTCTTCTAACTGAATGGGACAGTGGAGATACGGTAAATGCTTAGATTCCCAGTGCTGATGATAGGGAGCTTAACAGCACTTGTCTCAATACTCATGGTAGCCTAATTAAATAATACAGAAAGCATATCAGTTAAGCAACAAACAAAATTTTTTTAAAGGAGGTAGCATTTTCAGTATCACCAAATGAAATGCTGACTATATGCATATGAAAAATACATATACGTGTGATAATCCGTCTATACAAAATGCTTAACAGTGATATATTAAGGAAAAATGTTTGATTAAATTATACAAATTATATAAGAAAGCTAAGGTATTGTATTTTTATGTTCTCCATAGGTAAGGTTTTTTTCACCTTTATAATGTTATTCTTGCCAATTTCATCATTTTTAACAGTAAATCTTTTAATTTAAAGTATTATATCCAGGAAACTACATAAATGATAGTACAATTCAGTTAATTGTTATAAATTGAAGAACTCATGTAACCACCATAGATCAAGTAATAGTACATTTCATTATTACTCCTAAAAGAAATTCAATCTTTAATTCTGGAAAAGAAAGTCTGAATTACCAAATACATTTGGTACATTTAGGGAGTTACTTCATCCACTGGGGTTTAGACTGGACTGTCTGGGTAAAGATCTAACTATAAGTGAGTGAGCAAATTTAAATATGACTCCACAGAGTCTAGGGACAAGACACCCTTTGCAAAAGTGTGTTAGGCTCCATCAAAACGGCTTGGCTTTTTTTCCATTGTGTCACAGAAGCAATTGTCAGGACCAATGACTTGTCCGTGTTTGAGTCACAGAACTAAAGCCAAAGCCTTGACTCACCTCTAGGTTCATTTTTCCCCTTGTCTGCTTTGTCACCAAGGTGTAGTGTGATGAAATGCATATGACCTGGCAAACTGAACAATGAGCCTCACTGTTCGAAGAAGGTAAAACAGACGATTAATTTGTCAGCACAAAGTGAAGATTCAGAAGGCTGAAATATCAATCTCCTTTTCAGTCTATTATTCTTTCTTTGAATAAAAGGTTGCTTATAATTCACATTAGGTTAGAAATGCAGAAGTTCAAAAGCGAGCAAACCTTGTGCTATACGTTCCCTACACCTCACAGGAAATATCTCCAAAGAAGAAGAGGTCTGCGGAAAGGATTTACTAAGGCCCAATGTTTCCACTCAAAGTAGACCTTCTTTTGGTCTTGCACATATCAGATACATAGCCACTTGGTGACTTGATCAGAACTGATACGAAGTAATCAAGATCAATTTCATGAAAGCAGAGATCTCAGGAATATGGACCATGAAGTGATTGTTGTTTATAGTAATCAGCACCTTCAGCTGGGCTCAAGATTCCAAAAGCCCAGGATAGCTCTTTGATTCTTCTGGAGATCTTCTTTTCCCAACCAAATACAGCCACTGTGAAGAACTCAGCTTGCTGTGTATGAAGCTACCAAAATAACTTGGGTCCCTTGTTTCTGAGTTCCATGACCAAGCTTGTCAGAAGCCCCAGATGGTTGCTTTCAGTCACTCCTAATGACAGGAAAGCTAGGCAATCCAGCACCTCTGTCCAGAAACTGAGCAAAATTCAAAAAGTGGCATTTTCACAGTATACTTTCAGGGAAGGAAGCTAGGTGAGGGGCTTTAGATCAATTCTGTTATTTCCTGTTTCAGGGGCAAATCTTGCAACTTGGTGGACAAATGCTACCTATGATAAAATATTTTATTTAGAATTGTACAGTCATTTCATGTTCCAAGTGAGTAACGTTCACTGCATTCACACACAACCAGGAAGTCAGTAATTTAGTGTTAGCTTTCGTCTCTGCCTAAATGCAAAAGTCTGGCACATAAGATAATTTGAAAACAATTATTAAGGGTGGTTTTCAGAGCTGGTACACACATATAACCAGCAAATATCTGGCACAGATCCTTCTACTTTAGCTCAGAGATTTCCTAAAGAGGACAGTAAACAAGACCCTCTCTGTTTCACTGATGCTAGTAAAGGGATTAAAATAGTCATAAACAAGATTTTTTAATGGTGGAAAAACTCAAAAGCAATGTAATATTACAGTCCTTATATTATGAGAAGATGAATCGTGTTGATTATTTTTTGACAGAAGACTCTTGATAATTCATGGAACAGGAAGTCCAAAATGTAATTTCTTTCCTAGACAATCTGGGCAAACAAATGCATTATTTGTAGAAGAAATTTTTATTTTGTCAACCTAAAAGTTTGCCATAGACATCTTCTTTAAAAATACAGAAATAAGAGACTACCAGTGTTACCTTGCCCCTGAACAAGGCCCAGGATGCTGCTAATGCACAGGACAGCCCTCATAACAAAGAACTATCTGGCTGAAAATATTAGTAATGTAGAGGTTGAGAAGCCCTATCCTATAGCATGGAGTTGCAGGATTATTCAGCAGAGCAGAAACTGAGATTAAGTTGATCATACACACAAACCTCTCACTCAGCACAGTTCAATTTCTTCTAAACTTTGGAGAACAATTTACCAAGTAAATATCCTAGTGTGAAGCTGGCAATTGAAGAGAGAAGGATGAGAAGATGAGTATTCCCAAAGTTAAACAATGAGTTCAAAGCAGGTTCAGAGGCACAACATTGGCTGTATTTGCCCTGCTATATGACTTTAGTATTCTGAGGGGAAATAAAAAAAGGATGGGGAAGAAGAAATGGAAGGAAAAGAGGGAGAAAGGGATGGAATGGAGAAAGGGAGGGAGGGACGGAGAGAAGGAAGGAAGGGAGGATCGATCAAAGGAAAGAAGGAAGGATCGAAGGAAGGAAGGAAGGATTAATTGAAGGAAGGAAGGAAGGATAGATCGAAGGAAGGAAGGAAGGATCGAAGGAAGGAAGGAAGGAAGGGAGCCTTATGCTTTCCATCACCATCAAAGAATGGAGCAATGGCAAGATAGCCATGTCACCCACCCCTCTCAAAGTGGAGAACATTTGGAGCTCATTTTAGACCTCCTGTCCACATGAAGACACTACACACTTTCTGCCTATGTCACATCAGAAGGAGCTTGAGGCTGAATTCTATTTTATGCTTTAATGGTGTCACTGGCACAAAGCAGCCCTTACTCGGTTGAGGGAAAAGTAACCCAGCCTTAAAAGAAAAAGTCATTATCTGATCCCTATGCAGTCATCCCTTATACCTAAAAATGGTATTTTTCAGAAATGAGAAAATTCTAAATAAGCCATTGGGGGAAACTAATAACAGGTTTGTGAGAAGAAGAGAGAAAGGGAAATGAAAAGGGATCTATTGCACAACAAAGACACAGACACAACTGACATGCAAGGGCTCTGTTGGCACATGACTGCCAGGATGCAAAGCTGGGTCTAAGCACAACAAACTAACCCACGGTACACACAGTAGCATGACAGGCCTATGGTTATCTGATTGGCACACCGTAACTGCTCTATTTCGTGCATTTACACTTAAGCCTCTAATAATAGTTCTTTGAAAAGCACTGTCTTGTATTTAACTGATGATTGGCTCCAGCAATTAAATCCTACCACACTTTAGAATGCTGGACTATTCTGCTGCTTCCCAGAGTTGGAAAGAAAGGAGTTGACTCACATCTTACCCATCTCACTCCAGGTCAGCAATGGCACTGGAGGCAGTGCTGGGGATACTGAGGATATTGCTGTTTTGAGTGGCATGTGTTTGCTCTGGAGAAAACAGTGAGTAACAGGAAAGATCCCGCTATTTGTGGTCCAAGAAGGGGCTTTTGTTCAGAAAGGTGTTTTGGGACACTTACTGCTCACGTAACACACTAGCGTGTTAGCATTTCGTATCTCTACTAGTTTTCATGTCTAGATCAGAATGCCATATAAAGGTATACTTTCCTATGGAAGAGTAAATGTCTATGTTGTTTACAAAAAACTTCTGCTTTGGTAAGTACTGCTTGATTTGGGGAAGATGAAACTAGATATAGGTCCTCTTATCCCCTCCAGTAAGGCTTAAGATGGTTCTTCTCTTTTTAGGATGAAATCTGTGCATATGACAAATCATCCCAGTTCTTTATTCCTCTACCTAATGTAACTTCAAACGTCCCTCATTCTATACTCTGATTATTGGTTATCTCTGGATCCTATAAATGGGAGAGGAGAGTATGGTCACTGCTCAGTTTTGGAGGGCATGTTAGCCTGCAAAGGCCCTGTGTTACAGATAATGGGGTCCTCATGGGGAGCTTCCCAAAGGAAGCATGAGCTTCTCTTTTAGTATTTGGGCTTGCCAGCTTCCATATTTCTGGTTTCTTGACTGTAGTTTCAAAAAGGGTTTTTTTTGTTTGTTTGTTTGCTTTCTGATAGATTATCATAGGGTTACATTTCACATAAGCCATCTTTAGGCACTTTTCTCCTTGTAAAATACTATGAAATGTGGTGGGCACAAAAGCTTTAGGACTTGAGGTTATAGTACTATGTGAAAACTCTTTCTATCTGTGTGTTTAGTTTATATATTTACTTTCCTGGTATTAGTAAGTTTATATGTTTTAATTTATTCCTCAAGTTGTTTTAAAAAATGATTTAAGAGAGACTTCGCTTATAGAAAAGCATATGTTGATCTTTGCATTGTAATACTTCTTCCCAAAACACGTTAGAATGAGTCACGGTAGTTCTAGTGAATCTCTCTTCTGACGCTGATTGCAAGAGTTAAGCAAACTGCAAAGTTTGAGGGCAAATTCCTCCACATTTCTGACACCACCTGTAAGTCTATGGTGGTGGGGGGTTCCTCAAAACACCTTCAGGTGCAATAATTCATGAGAAGGACCCACAGAACTCACTGAAGCTATCATATTCATAGTTATGGTTTATTACAGAGAAAAAATACATATTAAGATCAACAAAGGGAAGAGATGCATAGGGCAAGTCTGCTAGGGTTCCAAATGCAAATGCTGCCATTGTTCTCAGAGTGTGATATCCTCCTGGGATCAAATGTGTGACAATATACACGGAGTACTGCCATCCAGGGAAGGTCACCTGAGCTTTGGTGTCTAGAGTTTTTATTAGGGCTCCATTGCATCATTGATTAATTGTTTATGTGGTAGATCTCAGTCTCCAAGTTGACTGATATTGTGTGTCCCAAAGCCTCCACTCTAAATTATATGGTTGGTCTTCCTGGCATGGCCTGTCCCACCTTAACACTGTTGGGTGTGGCTGGTCCAACCTAATATCTGGTGTGGCCAGCTCCCAAATTAAACAAAGACACTCCGATCAGATATTAATATGAATTACCTCCCAGAAGTTGAGGGCAAGGAGAACTCTCTTTGGGCGAAGTCAAGTTCTTTATTACACAAAAAATTTACCTGTTATTACTAATCGTGCTAATCCTAGCCTATTCCTAACTATGATACTTTACTATAAAAATCATTTTCACACAAAGCTGTTGGGAAATTTTTAAATAAGCAGCAAATTAAATCTAAGAATAAATATCTCTAATAACATAAAATTAAGACTATCAAAACCAGAAGGCAACATCCCAATAGTAGTTAAAATGAGAATCACAGAGAAAGAGCTTGAAAAATACACACCATTTCAAACCACATAATTAAGAAGGGAAACCATTAAAATTTTCGACATCTTATTTTTGTAAAACTTTTACATGTTTACTTAATGTTGCTGCTGAAAGCTAACCAAATTTTTTATTGTAATCTCAAGCCTCACAGATCTATGTTAGATTTCTTAAAAGAAAATTCTTATAAAAAAATCAAACATTTATGAGCTCAGATCACTTATGATTCCTGTAAGTGCGAAAAATAAATGGACATATGGTACAAATTCTCACTCATTTATACTTTATTTTGCAAGTGAGATGTGTAAAGCTCTTCAAGACCTTCCCAACCATACATGAAAACAGAGGAAAGAGTTCTGGATTTACACCTTTTTTTTTCTTTCCCAACATGAAATTTTATGAATTACATACAGTGGCAGGTCAAGAACTGAGTTTGAATAAATTAATGAATGGTTTCTACTGCAATCAACAAATTCAGTGAATACAAAGAGACTATGGTTTAGTTTTACCCTTTTCCTTCTTTTCTAATTAAATTCTAGATACAGAGCCTCCCTCGAATGCAGAGTTAACAGTGGGGTTGTGTTTCTGATCAACAGAAGCTGCTGGATTACACCTTGTCCACAGATATAAAAAGGTAGTAAGTTCCATAAAGAAACTCTGTCCCCATTTGAAATCTCTATTGCTTAGTGCTTTTAATGCAATTGGGGAACTGACTGGGAGCAGAAAACTATCCCAATGACAGACATATGAGGACTCTGCTATTTTCTAAAAGTCAATCAGCACCATTTGTGCCCGCAGAAAAACCAATCGCTCCCTAATGCAGAGGGCTGAGAGTACATGGGGAATATACAATGAAACTATTACAAGTTTAAAAGAACAGCATTCATATTTTTTTTTCCACCTAGGAAGTGTTAAAGACTATGAATTGCAGCTGAGGGAGAATTAAAGTCCCTATTTACACATTTCACTGTGCCTGCAAAGCTGAAAAAGAAATGAACTCAGTTGTAAAAGTATGCAGTTCGCTCAGGCAATTTCATTGTCTTAGTGTAGGAGAAAATGTCCTTTAATGTCATCAGCTAAGAAAAGGTGAATATTCAGGAATCAAAAAGCACCAGAAATGTTAACATTAAAAAGAAAAAGAAAGGTGATAGGACTAGAAACGTGATAAGGCACATGGAGGATGTGTGGGATTTGGAGGAAGAGGCATGCGAAGAGGGGAGAGAAGCCTCCTAAATCAGGGATTTGCAGCTGGAATGGGAAAAGATTAGAATTTCTGGGGTTGCAATGTAGTTTGAAAAAGGACATTAAACAATATAATCTTATATTGTGAATATAGAAACATACCTTTCATTTTTGTAACACAAACCTTGGTGAGTCTAGCCCTATGAAATCTTCTTGGCTGATGGAGACAAGCCCATTCTAAACTAGCAGCCAAGAAGATTCTCAACAGGAGAGGGAGTGGGCAGTTGGAAGAGTAATGTACAAAACAAGTACACTCCCAGGGGGGCACAGGAATAGGGAAAGGACTGAGATTTGCTTTGTGCTTATTGGAAGAGGGCATGGTGTTTTAAAAATTGAATAACACTGTCCAAAGTCATCCTAAAAGTATTACTAACACCTTCAGAACCCTGTTTAGTAAGAGCCATTACTGCTGTATCTGTCAAAGTAACCTTGGGCGATTTGACTTTTTGGAATACAAACCTCTGGCACTTTTCTGGAACCTAGCTGACCTCTGGATAGGGTACTTTATTGTGTTTCTGCATTTGCATTGCATCATTTTTTTTTTTTTTGAGAAGCAAAAAGTACCTTATAGGTGCTTACTTTTAAGTAAAATAAAAAGTCTAAAATAGACTAGAAACCAGTAACATGCCTTAAGGTTTTACTTGCACTCTTCCAAATAAACATATTTGGTTCTTTTTTATGTCACTGGTTTTTGTCCATCGTGACAAGTCTCACAGATTCATTAGGAGGAAAAATATCAAGCTATCATCATATAAAGACCCCACAGAAAACATCAAGAAATTCAAAACCTCTCTCTGCTTCCACAGCCCTCATTAAAAAATTGCACCTGTCAATAAAACACAGATAAATTAGGTGACTGTAAGTGAAAACTGCTAAGGTAAATCAGTAACTAAAAAAACTAAACCCCAGGTAGGTGAAACACCATTAAATCTGTCGCTGTCTCATCAGATCAGCAGCCAATCAGGTCCTGGCGGGCCATATGTGTATTTATAAATATATCTGCTAATGTAAAGGTCGCACTGCTCACTGCTCAGGGAAATCAGGCACATTTGGAACCATCCCTAGAAGATTTTGGTTTCTTTAAAAAAATATTTTGACAATTTGTGACAAATGCAATCCTGCCCCCATATGTTTTGTACTATTTAAAGGGAAATGACACCCAGTTGCCTTCACATCAACATGTGAATTTTTTTTTTCTTTTAATAATGAAGTTAGAAGATGAGAGGGGAGGCAGGTTACCTTCCATACATCTTTAAAAGATGTAAATATCTTTCCAAACTTTATATTTCCACACTTGTCCAAGAGGACAGAGCTTCCAAAATCTGTGTTACTGCTCATGACATAGGAAATCACAGAAATTTTTCTTCCAAATTGGAGGCTGAAGTGGAAAAATAACTGGAATGACAAGAAAGCGATGGCAGATTCTTGCCACCAAATGCAGTCTTCTGTCCCATTGCCTATTTTTTTTTTCCGGCTCAGTAACTCCTTCCCCTTTCTAAGTATGAGTAGGAAAAGGACTCTTGAAATGCTCCCCTCTGACACCCTCTGAAGAAACCTCTAATGAATTAATTTAGAACATCTGGATGAATTCAGAACATCTCAATCAGGCCCAAGAGTAACATCACCATAAGGCTGCAAGAGCCAGAAGTGAAGAATAAGCTTCAAATAGGACACACCCATTTACTTGCATCTCACCCCATTCCTTAGTGCCAACACAGTGACAAGGTTTCTCTATGGCATGGGAGACAGAAATCCTCCCCCTGCAAAAAAAAAAAAAAAAAAAAAAAAAAAAAAAAAAAAAAAAAAAAAAAATCCACAATCGGATGACATCTTTGGTGGAAAAAAAAAAAAGCTTCTGACAAGACAGAAAGGTATGAAAATATTTTGAGAGAACTTGTTTAATCGCCCAGCAATGCCTTCCGTTCAATTTAGCCCTTGAATCAGAATAATCATGACAGATGGCTCCTGCTAGTTAAAAAAAAATTAGCTAAAATTTCAGATAACGCAGCCTTCTGTCATGTTCTCCTACTCTGAGGTTTATGCAGTTTGTTCAGCAGGCTCTGAACTGCATACTGCTAGTTGATGACCAGTTTTCACTTAGGATCTGCAGAATTCACACCACTCGATACCGAATGCTTACAACTCCCAAGCCGGGAGAAATATTGTCAGTTCAGATGACAAAAGACCTTGCTAGGCCACCCCTCCTCCACCCAGATATTAGATCCACATTTTATACACCAAGCAATGTTTAAAATGTAAGGACCGAGAGGAAAGCTCTTGGCTCTATCAGCCTTGCCATCTCTTTGTAGCAGAATAAACTCATATCTGATGCTATAATTACAACCCTAATGGACACATTTAATTTATTTTGGAGAACTGAGGTTGATATCCACTAGTGCTATTATTAAAAAGACTAATGAGAGCTGCTCGGTAAGAAAAGAAAAGATTTATTGAATTCCTTTTGGCACCCGGCACAGCTTAGCAATTTTGAGAGCCCATCAAAACAGCAGATATATACCCTGCTCAGATGTGCTGTATGGGATGTGAGCTGGGTTTCAGATTTTCAATAACAAATCTGTCACTCCGATTTTAATTAGACGGCTTAAAGCAGCCACATCAATAATGGCAGAATGACGGCTTAGTTCAAAGATCATAGAGATGTTACTTTACTTTAATAGTTCTTTTATACAAGTACATATTTCAGAAGTTTGCAAGGCATTCATCTTGACTACCCCTTTCACCAAAGAGGAGAAAAAAATATTCTTAATTGAATTGAACCAGGAACACTAGCAGTCATCACCATTTCTACAGCAGGCTGTTGCATCCAGCTGGTGAGGAGGTCTAATTTCACACCACGCAGCAATGAAATGCTGCTAACTTTTATTTGTGAGTGTGAAATGGTAATATTTCATGACAGCGAAAGGCCAGTTGACACCGCTGGGTGCACCCTCCGCTGCTCCAAACCTGAGAGACAAATGGGAGGTCTTGGTTGAGTACTGACAAGCAAATGGATCTTTCTCATGAAAAGCTCCCAGAGAATGAAGGGAGGACTCAATTTGGGATGAAGGGTGAAGCCCGCTGTAGAAGTTCCCATTTAACTGTGGACACTCCTCTGCACAGATGGTACAGGAAAGCGGATGGTAATCTCAGAGTGAAAAACTGGCCAAAGTCTAAACCTTTTTTTTTTTTAAACTGGGTGGGGATAATGAAGAGTTGTCATTGTATTCCTTTCCATTGATTCTTGTTACATGAAGAAAAACATTGGCTGAATAAATATTACATAAATAAACACTATTAGTATATAGAAACTATTACTATATTGGTATATATCTTCCACACTTTGATGGGAATATGTGTGTACACTTTTCTTTAAAAAATAAAACCATTCTATACATACTGTAAAGATTTCTGCTTAATATTTCTGCTTAATAATATGGGTATTATTTTCCATATCAATAAATATATACCAATGTCATCATTTTAACAATTATATACTATTGCATTGTATAAATAATCCATACATTACTGAATCAATCCCCTCTTGCTGGACATTCAGATAATCTCAGATTATTTTGCAATGTTATGTGTATATGTGTGTATATATATATATAAATACTAATACAGAGTACATGAACATGTACTTTCTATATATGAGTATGTATTATACACACACACTATATAATTTGATTATTATATTCGAATAAATTATCTTAGGATAAATTATTAGAGCTGGCACTCCCAAGTCTAAGTATCTGCATTTTTAAAAAAGATTTCATATGCAGTCAGCACTCTACATCCTTGAGTTCCACATGTGCACAAAACCAACCCTCAGATTAGAAATATTTTTTAAAAATACAACGATAAAAATAATACAAATAAAAAATACAGTATAACAACTATTTACATTACATTAGGTATTATAAATAATCTAGAGATTATCTGATGTATACAGGATGTGTGTAGGTTGTATGCAAATCCTATACCATTTTATATCACACATTTGGGCACCCATGGATTTTGGTATCCTCATGGGGTCCTGGAACCAATTTTGCATGGATACTTAGGGAAAACCATATATTATATCACTGTTCTAATGGGTAGAGAATATGTTTCTTAGAAGCATCTTCTCCTGGATCAGATCCTGACAAAACACTCTAAACCTGTTACTACCACTTTCACAGCATCATTCAAATCCTCAATTCTATCTCCACTTCCTCTGCAATGCTATTCATCACTCCCCAGAATAACCTGAACATTCTCTGGACCCAATCCCTGCAAGTCTCCCTCACTGTTCTGGTCAACCTTCAGTGGTGTAGCCAAAGTTGTATTGACTCCTCATAGACAGGACTAACATCCTTCATGTTGTCTTAACACTGACTTCTGCAGCATCTAAATAGCACACGCTTCGAGCGAAGACCACAGCCCGTGTGCCAATGCCATTTCATTGCTCTGCACCAGCTCTGCCTCGTTTCAGGCTATGTGACTTTGGGACAGTGACTTCTCCTCTATGTGCTTCAGTTTCTTAATTGTTCTGAGTACTTCCTTCAGGAAGCCTTCTTGGACCTCTTATGTCTAGGTTAGGGCCTTTCCCTGTGTCCCCATGACACTCCATACTTCACCCAGCACAACACTTACCACACAGTTTTATGGATGTCTGGTACCTGTTTTCCCCAACACTAGACTATCACAGTAGGATCCACAGGCATCAATCTTGGTCTCTACTTATGTGCCATTCATTGAAAAAGATAATTATTGAGTGCCTACTTTAAAAAGATAATTATTAAGTTCCAGATGGTATTTCTGGAAGAACTAGGGATACAACAGAGAACACAACAGATAAAGTCACCACTCTCATGTGGCATATATTCCAGCGGGGAGGAGCAGACCGACAGCAGAATGGGTCAACGTAAGGAACGGCAGATAACGGTAAGTACCATGGAAGCAGGCAAAAGAGAGGGTGGGGTGGACTTGCCGTTTAGGAGTCTGGGGTCAGAGGAGGTCTCCCCCAAAAAGTGACCTTAGGAGAAAGGACTGTTGGTGTCTGGAGTTGGGAGAGACCAGTTTCTTTGAGCAGTGGACTTCTTCCTGTTGGTTTCAGAACACAGGCCCTATATCATATTTTGTTTAAAGTAAGAGGTCTGCTGCTTAAAAAGAAAAAAATTTTTTTCCAACACAGCTTCTAGTGTAAATGGCTTTTTGTGCTAGGCACTATATAACGTGACTTTAAAGCTGGCATAATTCCCCAAACAATGAAAGCTTCTGGTGAGAAGCACGTAAGTGTTGAGAGAAGTGATACACCAAGAGGAGGCCCAGGTTCACACTCGACGTAAGTGGCAGAGCTGGGATTAAACTCCTTGTCTGCTACCTCCAGAGTCCATATCTCTCTCCTCACCCTGAAATGTAAGCCAGACATACCAGCAGGCTGCCAAGTCATTTTAATTCAAATTTGATGGAGCTGCCACAGCACTGGTATTGCTTTGTTCGAGTTTGCTTCCCAGATGACCTTGCTGTGTGTTTAGACACCTTTGACAGCCCATATTGAACATACCTAAAATGGTCTTCACTGTAAGAGTTCATTGATTGTGCCTCTGTATGTTCAGAGTGATAATGTTTTTTAATCAGAGGGCATTTTATTTGGAATTTCTTTTCAAAAAGTGCAGGTAGTTCTAAACACTAAATACAAGGTAAAGGTTTTTTAAGAATGTGCCTAGAAAGTATTGCTCTTGGCCCAATTTCTACATCAGATCACTGTCCAGTTCTGCCTTCTGCTTCTCACTGACTTTTCTTCTTCTTCTTCTTCTTTTTTTCTGCTTGCTTCCCTACTTCCAGCTGCCAGCAAGTCAGATAATTAAATGCCAAAGTAGTGACACTTGGCATTTCAATGAGCGTTCTGTATTTACTACACGGTTTCTCTCGACAGCCCTCCTGCTCAGCATGCGTGCAAGCTCTACGCTGCTCTGCTGAACTGAAGCGCTCTTTTGTTGCAGGGCTGGACGAACTGAAGAAAGATGAACTCGGGCAGCAGCCAAGAACTGAGAGGAGGGGGTCAGCAGATTCCCTAACTTCTCTCCTCCGCTACCTCTTGGAGTTTATGTCCTCATTTCAATTAAACAAGCCTTTGTTAAAACCTTAGCCCTCTGTGCTCAGCCCTCTACTGGGACATTTTTAAAATGAATTTTGTATTAAAGGAGACAGGACTTTAGGTCTTTTCACTTCAACCAGGTACTGCCAGAATATTGCACTATACATGAATCAGAAAGTGAGTTCACCTTAATAAGCTCACCCAATTTTATACAAAAGCTATTTGTCAGAGAGAAGTCGACATTGGATGCAAAAGCCTGACTCTAGCTTCCAAGGCTGTAATTTAGACCTTGGGAGAACTGTCTAATTCAAAATGTGCCTCTTCACCATAAGGATCATGCGGTCAGGCGGCAGCTCAGCCATCACCTCCTTCTGGAAGCCCTCCCTGACCCCATGAGTCCGGGTTAAGTGCCCTCCTAGGTGGCTCTGATGCAGCCAGTCCTAGACCATAAACTTAGAGGACAGGAACCCTGTCTTACTGAGAATGTCCCATGCCAAACACAGCACCTGAAACATATCAGGGGTATGATACATAGTTCCAATTAAACTGCTTTGCAGTGAGATGATAAAGCCTTTTCAAATTCCTTTAAAAACCTTTAAAAACCAGTGTAGCTGGTTTTCTGGGGCTTTGGAAGACATCATACTAATACTTTTCATGAGACCTCTTGTAGCATATAACCTTACCAAGCAGATCCAGAAGACTAGAACCTCCCCAGGTGGATGCCTAGCCACTTTTTGGCAAATTGCTTTCATGGGACATTCAAAACCCTGAGAGCTACTTCAAAAGTTTCTGGAGAGCTTTGGCAGGCTCTAAGCTCCAGTGTATCTGCCACAGAGGGAGAGAGGGAGTCATGTTAACAGTTTTAATCTTATTCCACCTGCAAAGTAATTGCTTACACTTAAAAAAAAATGCTGGATTGGCCTGTCTAATTCCATTATACCTTTAAAGAATGGCACATTTTAATTCCTTTGCTGTTTCCACATAGTGCTATTGTATTTACTTGCTAATGCATAGAACAGAAAAGAACATGACATTCTCAAAGTTTTTCTTTCCCATGATTTGCCCTTCCTCTACCAGCAGGAGGTACCTTTACCTCTCTGTTTTTTTTTTTCCTACATAGCTACATAAACTTTAAAAAGAGATCATCTGACTACACTGCCTCTTATTGTCTCTTTTTTCACTCCTTTGTATTAAACGCAGCTCCTATCCAAGGCAATCTTGGCAGGAAGACACCATCTCTCCCACATTTCCCCTACCCCAGTACAGTCCTACTTGCTCTCACCAGGTTGTGCACAGCTCATTACAACTCTAGTCATCTGGAATTGTAAAGATCAAAGTTTTGCTACTTACTACAGTGTTTCTATGAATGGCTGCATTCCTCTTTTACAAGTAACCCATGACGGAAAACACAGGGGAAGCTTCTTCTTTTTCTTGTTGACAAAAGCTGGATCACTTCATGAATGCAGGAAAAAATTTGCTATATATTTAATATCGAAATAAGTGAAAACTAATACATTTATAAGATCCTTTCTGTTTCTGGCCAGTCAGAAAGGCCAAGCCTAGCAAAGATACTACATGTCTGCTCCCTTGATTTTAGCCAACAGATAGTTTCAAACTCTTTTCTTCATCAAAACTTTTCTCGCCAAAACAGAAAAAAAGTTGGCTTGCATCTCAACTTCTCTTATTTTCTCCATCCTATATGGAAGGCTTCAGGCAGCTACCCAGAAAGAAGGTAGGATAATTGAGGCCTAAGTCACCATAGGGTCACTGGCTCTTAAATATAAGCACAAATGAAGCCATAATTCCTAGAATTAGAAGAAACTAGAGTGAAAATCAAAGTGAAGGACATTGATTGAGGGTCTCTTGGCCAAGAAACAACATTCTCTTGCGCTTGTTATATTTCCTGCACATGGAGCTTGATGTGGTTGGCTGTGTCCCCACCCAAATCTCATCTTGAATTATAACTCCCATAACTCCAATGTGTCAGGAGAGGAACATGGTGAGAGGTGACTGAATTATGGGGTGGGTCTTTCCTGTGCTGTTCTCTTGATAGTGAATGAGTCTCACAAGATCTGATGGTTTTAAAAAGGGGAGTTTCCCTGCAAAAGCTCTCTCTTCACTGCTGCCATCCATGTAAGACATGACTTGCTCTTCCTTGCCTTCTGCCATGATTGTGAGGTCTCCCCAGCCATGTGGAACTGTAAGTCCATTAAACCTCTTCTGTAAATTGCCCAGTCTCTGATATGTCTTTATCAGCAGCATGAGAACAGGCTCATACAGTAAATTGGTACCAGCAGAGGGGGGCACTACTGTAGATACTTAAAAATGTGGAAGCGGCTCTGAGACTGGGTAACAGGCAGGGATTGGAACAGTTTGGAGGGCTCAGAAGAAGACAAAAAAATGTGAGAAATTTTGAAACTTCCTAAAGACTTGTTGAATGGCTTTGACAAAAATGCTGAGAGTGGTGTGGATAATAAAGTCCAGGCTGAGGTGGTCTCAGATGGAAATGAGAAACTTGTTGGGAACTGGAACAAAGGTGACTCTTGTTATGTCTTAGCAAAGAGAGTAGTGGCATTTTTCCCCTGCCATAGAGATGTGTGGAACTTTGAACTTGAGGGAGATGATTTAGGGTATCTGGCGAAAGAAATTTCTAAGCAGCAGAGCATTCAAGAGGTGACTTGGGTGCTGTTAAGGGCATTCAGTTTTCTAAGGGAAGCAGAGCACAAAAGTTTGGAAATTTGCAGCCTGAAAATGCGATAGAAAAGAAAATCCCATTTTCTAAGGAGAAATTCAAGCTGGCTGCAGAAATTTGCATAAATAATGAAGAGTCAAATGTTAATCCCAAAGACAATGGGGAAAATGTCTCCAGGGCATGTCAGAGGTCTTCATGGCAGCTTCTCCTATCACAGGCCCCGAGGCCTAGGAGGAAAAACTGGTTCTGTGGGTTGGGCCCAGGGACTGTGTGTGCTGTGTGCAGCCTAGGGACTGCTAGGGCAGTGCAGAAGGGAAAGGTGATGTTGGAGCCCCCACACAAAGTCCCTCCTAGGGCACCACTTAGCAGAGTTGTGAGAAGATGGTCATTGTCCTCCAGACCCCAGACTGGTAGATCCACTGACAGCTTGCACTTTGTACCTAGAAAAGTTGCAGACACTCAACATCAGCCTATGAAGGCTGCTGGGAGGGACGCTATACCCCGCAAAGCCACGGGCAGAGCTGCCCAAGACCATGGGAACACACCTCTTGCATCAGCATGACCTGGATGTGAGACATGGAGTGAAAGGGGATCATTTTGGAGCTCTAAGATTTGACTGCCCCGCTGGATTTGGGAATTGCATGGGCCCTGTAGCCCCTTTGTTTCGGCCAATTTCTCCCATTTGGAATGGCTGTATTTACCCAATGCCTGTACCCCCATCATATCTAGGAAGTAAGTAACTTGCTTTTGATTTTACAGGTGGAAAGGACTTGCCTTGTCTCAGATGAGACTTTAGACTGTAGACTTTTGAGTTAATGTTGAAATGAGTTAAGACTTTGGGGGACTCTTGGGAAGGCATGATTGATTTTGAAATGTGAGGACATAAAATTTTGGAGGGGCCAGGGACAGAATGATATGGTTTGGTTGTGTCCCCATCCAAATCTCATCTTGAATGGTAACTCCCATAATTCCCACATGTTTCAGGAGGAACCCAGTGGGAAGTGATTGAATTGTGGGGGCGTGTCTTCCCTGCACTGTTCTCGTAATAGTGAATGAGTCTCGCGAGATCTGATGGTTTTCAAAGTGGGAGTTTCTCTGTACAAGATTTCTTTGCCTGCTGCCAACCATGTAAGATGTGACTTGCTCGTCCTTGCCTTCTGCCATGATTGTGAGGCCTCCCCAGCCATGTGGAACTGTAAATCCATTAAACCTCTTTCTTTTGTAAATTGCCCAGTCTCAGGTATGTCTTCATCAGCAGTGTAAGAACAGACTAGTACAGAGCTCAATTCACAAAAAAAAAAAAACCCATTTTTCCTCACCATTTCAGTCAAAATTATTATTATTATTAATTATTACTGAGACAGGGTCTTGCTCTGTTGTCCAGGCTGGAGTGCAGTAAAGAGCTTGGCTCACTGCAACCTCCATCTCCAAGTCTCAAGCAATCCTCCCACCTCAGCCTCCTGAGTAGCTGGGACCACAGGTGTGTGCTACCACACCTGGCTAATTGTTTTTTGTACTTCTTAGTAGAAACAGGGTTTCACCGTGTTGCCCAGGCTGGTCTCAAACTCCTGAGCTCAGGCAATGTGCCTGCCTCAGCCTCCCAAGGTGCTGGGATTACAGGTGTAAGCCACTGCACCCAGCCCCAGTCAAAATTAAATACAAGTGTCCTGTCAGAATGAAACTTCTACAGTTTGAGGAATCATTAATTACAAAGCATTGCTTCTTGGTACATGAATATTTGGGCCCAGAAAGCAGATGTTTGCTCCTCTCTAGAATGTCATCTTCTACCACAGATTGTGTAGATATACAACAGCTACTATTAGATTCACTATTTTCTAAGAAACAATGTCAATTAGTAATAGGAAGAGATGTTTCAAGTAATAAAAAATTTTAGCAAAGGAAGCAAAATTTTAGCTCATGTGAGAAATCTAAGATTGGGAAAGAAGTTTTCTCATATGCAACATTCAATGGAAGCAGAGGTCATCCACGTTAGAAGCATTTTGTACAAAGTCAAACAATTTTGTGATGGAACAATCTACTTTTGTAAAAGTTACTTTCCCTCTAGTTCCTGGCATTCCCAGTTAAAATTAAAACTGTATAATATTGCTAATCTATAAACTACATAGTTTGTTCTACCCACATCAATTAAAAATTCATTTGTGGAGAAAAAGAAGAGAAATAAATCAGTCATGCTAATTAAAAAGAAATTAAGCAAGAAACAGTCAAGAAGGACTTTCCTGAAGAAAAAGGAAGTCTTCTTTAGTTAAATTACAGAATAATTTGTGGAAAATTAAAACTACAAAATGCATTTTCAATATCTTAGAGCCACTGGGTTTGGTGAACAGTGGTGTTTTGCATGTCTACATTGCAGGCATGCACTTTCTCCAACAAGATACCCTCTGTCTTCTGCTAATACCTCTCGTGAGCAGAGAAGATGTAAATGTGTTCACTCAGCAGTTTAGGAGTCCATCATGACCGAAAAATAAAGGCACGGATACAACTGTAGATAATTTTGCTTGGCTCTGATGATCACTATGAATTAAATTCTAAATATGGACTGAAGCTTCCTTGTGTCATAAAAATTCACAGAATTCCACTCCCTTCTCACCACCCCCACTGTGATCTCTCAAGCAGATTTATGAAAACTGTGTACAATTAGGAATACTTTTCTATCAGCATTAATTCTGCCCTCTGACCTTTCTTCCCCAGTTCCATTTGTACCAATGAGTTCTCAATTCATATAAGCTATTCTCCAGAGGCACAGGACTGGGCTCCTAATTAACTATTAAATGTCTTGAGAGCAGGGGCACTGGCAGGGAAATCTCACCACAGGCCTCCTCCACTGAAAGTCATCTGGCGGCCTGACTGTGAAGCCCTTTTGCCCCCTCGGGCAGTACCAGCAGGGACCAGTGGAAGCCCCAGCAGCATCCAATAAACTGAGCCAACCAAAAATAGTAAAGGCTTTGAAAACCACTGCCCTTGGAAGCACAGCCCACTAAAGTAGGCAAAGACCCATGTGCTAAACTTAACAGGGTGTCTGCCTGCTAAAGTAAAAGTTTGGAATGCAACCCAGAGTTTCCAAACATATGAAATGTGCAGGATATAATTTAAAATCACCCATCAACTAAGAACCAAAAAATCACAACTTGAGTAAAAAAAGACAGTCAACTAATGCCAATACCAAAATGGATCAGATGAATTAGATCTTGAAATGATCTGAAAAGGATTTTAAAGCAGCTGTCATAAAAATGCTTCAACAATGAATTACAAATTCTTTTGAAACAAATGGAAAAAATTAGAAAATTCCAGAAAAGAAATGGAAGCTACAAAAAATGAAAAGCGTAAATTATAATAATAAAATAATAGTAATACAGATTTTAAAACTTGCTGGAAGGGCTCAACAGTAGAGGTGAGAGAGGACAAAATTAGTGGACTTGAGGGCAGGACAATAAAATTTACCCAATTTCAACAAAAAAGGCAAACATAATGAGAAAAAAAATTAACAGCTCCTCAGGGACTTGTGGGACACTAGAAAAAGACCCAACATTTGTATCATCAGAGTTCCAGAAGAGAAGAAAGAGAGTAGAACCGAAAGAGTATATAAAGAAATAATGGGCTGGGTGCAGTGATTCACGCCTTTAATCCTAGCACTTTGGGAGGCCAAGGCGGGTGGATCACCTGAGGTCAGGAGTTCGAGACCAGCCTGGCCAACATGGTGAAACCCTGTCTCTACTAAAAATGCAAAAATTAGCTGGGCGTTGTGGTGGGCGCCTGTAATCCCAGCTACTCAGGAGGCTGAGGCAGGCACTTGAACCCAGGAGGCAGAGGTTACAGTGAGCCAAGATCACGCCACTGCACCCCAGTCTGGGCGACAAGAGTGAAACAACGTTTAAAAAAAAAAAAGAAAAAGAAAAGAAAAGAAAAGAAATAATGGCTGAAAACTCCCTGGATTTGGCAAAAAAAAAAAAAAAAAAAAAAAAAAACAAAACACAAACATAAACCTACAGATTCAAAAAACAGTGAATCCAAACCAGATAAACTCAGGAAAATATACACTAAAACACATCATAATTAAAAATTTAAAATCTAAAGAGAAAGAAGATCTTGAAATAATCCAGAGAAAAACGATACATGAACATCAATTCAATGACAGCACATTTTCCCTCCAGCTTCACTGAGGTATAGTGATGATTAAAATTTAATATATTTAAGGTCTACAACTTGATGATTTGGTATATGTATACATTGTGAAATATTCACCACAATCAAGCTAATGACTGGGCTTTTTAATCTGTAACCATGGAGTCCAGAATCAAGCGGTTTCAAGTGGTGAAAGGAGAGACTTGTCAACTGTGAAGTTTATATTCAGAGAAACTATCCTTCATAAATGAAAAAAATAAAAAAATAAAAAAACATTCTCAATGAAGAAAAAGACTCTGTCACTAGCAGACCCACCTTTAATGACTGACTAAAGAAAGATCTTCCAACAGAAAGGAAATGATAAAAGAAGGAATCCTGGCACATCAAGAAGGAAGAAGATACAATGAAAAAAGCAAATTTACTGTTATGTTGATGACTGAAATAAAAGTTATAATACCACTTGATACTCAAGACGATGATAAAAATGGGAAAGGTAAAGAAACCTAAATGGAAGTGAGGTTCCCATAATTCTCCCAAAATTTATATGAAAAGGCACAGCCCTATATTAATGTATAGCTACAGTAATCAAGACAATGTGGTATTGATGAATTAATACATAGATCGATTGAACAGAATAGACAACCCAGACAGGCCCACATAAATTCCTCAACTGATATTTGACAAAGATGCATAATCAACTCAGTGAAGGAAGAATAGTCTTTACAACAATTGGTGCTGGAGCCATCAAGCACGCATAGACAAAAAAAAAGAAAAAGAATCTTGACCTAAACCTCATACGTTATACGAAGATGAACTCTAAATGGAATATAGACCTAAATGTAAGAAACAGCACCATACAACTTTCAGGGAAAAAAAAAGCCAGAAACAAATTGTTAGGATTTAGAGTTAGGCAAAGACTTCTTAGACTTGATACCAAAACCATGATCCATAAAATGTATAAATTTGTTCTCATCAAAATTAGAAACTTTTGTTTGGTGAAACCTCATGGGAAGAAGATGAAAATACAGAGAGACTGGGGAAAACATTTGCAAACCACATATCCAACTAACGACCAGTAAATAAAGTATATTATAAAAAATCTCAAAACTCAATAGTAATAAAACAAGCAATCCAAATAGAAAATGGGAAAAGATATTTAACTAAAGAGGATATACAGACGGTAAATAAGCATATGAGAAGATGTTCAACATCACTAATCATCAGGGGAAGGCAAATTAAAACTACAATGAAATATTACTACATGCCTATCAGAATAGCTAAAAATTAAAAAGAGTGACAATACCAAATACTGGCAAAGATGTGAAGAAACTGGATCACTCATACATTGCTGACAGAAATGTAAAAAGGTACAGGCACTCTGGAAAACAGTTTTCTTATAAAACTAATCATAAAATTACCATATGACCCAGTAATTGTAGTGGTGGATAATTATCCAGAGAAATGAAAATTATGTTATAACAAAAACTGTTTGCAAATATTCATAGCAGCTTTACTTGTAATAGCTTAAACTACAATCAGCCCAGATGTCTCTCACCAGGCAGATGTCAACTACTGTGGAATAAACATACCATGGAATATTACTCAGCAATAAAAAGGAATACAATACATGGAAACTTGGATGAATCTCCAGTGAATTTAGCTGAGTGAAAAAGCCACTCCGAAGAAGTTACATACTGTATGAGTCCATGTATGCAACATTTCTTAAATGAAAAAAATTACTACTAGAGGAAAGATGAGTGGTTGCCAGGAAGGTTAGGGATGGCATGTATAGGAAGTAGGTGGATGTATTTATTAAAGGGAAATAGGATAGATATTAGTGGTGCTGGAAATGCTTAGTATCTCAACTGTGATGGTGAACACAAGAAACTGCACTAGCAACACATTGTATAGAACTTACACACACACACACACACAAAGAGTACAAAACTGAGGAAGCCTGAATAGGTCATGATTTGTATCAAGTTCAATATTCGGGTTGATATCATACTGCAGAGTTTTGCAAAATACTAACATTGGGGGAAACTAGATAAAGTGTACAAGGGCTCTCTCTGTATTACTTCTCACAAGTGCATGTGAATTTACAATTATCTCAACAAACACTTGAAAGCTGTCACAATGTGAATGAAGAAACCAGGAAATATTACTACCACGAAGTTCATTTTCAAAGATGACATGTGACAACCAAGGCCTGCTGTACAATGTGGAAAGAGCCGAGGGCAAACTGCTTTTTTGCATCATTCTTCATCATTCCATTAATCATCACCAAAAAGCCACCATTTCATAAAAGCAAGGGGAGGGAATGTTACATTAACATAATATTAGAATCATTCCGGAGGAAGGGAGATGCTAGCAAACATCCTATCAATCAACTGGCAATTACTGATACCAACAGGTCTTAAGTTGCACACGGCAATGGCGCATGTTTTCTTCACCAAAGATCGACCTGCACCTGGCACAGTCCTTGGCTCATGATGGAAAGAAAACCAGTAGCATTGATCAGTGAATGAGGAACAAACTCACCTCATGCATCCCTAACCTTTCTGGCAATTTAATCTGTGGCATGCGAAAGAAGTTCCCATTAAGTAGGAGTTTACAATATTCTGGCTCTGTAGGGTGAACAGAAATTTCCTGGCACCCTGAGGATTGTGTGAATCCCTACTTCTTAAAGTTTCCCTCCAAAATAGCCCTTGCCTTCTACTATACAGAAGAGGGAAGGAAAATTTCACACTCAGACAGCCAAGGGTGTAACTAACCTGAAATTGTGCAGTCATAACATTGGAATTAGTTTTCAAATAGCTAAACGTATGTATATTTTAGTATTTAAAAATGTTAAATTTTCTACAAATTAAATTTCATACAAATTTAATGACAGAACTGATTTTCTCCCTCTCTTCCAAAATATACAGGTTCATCCCTGACATCAAGCATGCCCTCAATTTTGAAAAACAGGCCTAACCAACCAAGGGGTTCTTTGAAATACGGAATGTCTAAGTGAAGCAGTTTTGTTTAGCCAGGAATCAGATTGATGTTTCTGATGACAAAAATTAGGGTTAAGGAACTTGACAAGCACCTTAGAGTCTCTTTATCACAACTAATTCTCAAGCAAAAGGTTTCTCTGAGAATAGCAGCAGAAACACCCAGCTCCTGCAACCACTTGTAGGGAGAGAATGTTAGATAAAAAGGAGTCACCTGCCAGACATATTGTAGGAGGAAGCTGTGTTTGCATTTAAAATGGGAAGGCACTTTACTGAGATGCCTTGGAGATAAGTGTACAAATGGGTACAATAGTAGCCATCATTAAGACAAATGTCCATTTTGACTTTTACTTTTACTTTCCCCTCAAAGCCTCTTTAATGAAGATACAAAAAAACAAAAAAAAAGGGTTCACAGCAGATGTCACTGGGTACAAGTCTGAAGAGACATTAAGTACAAGAGACAGCATAAATAAAACAAAATGAATCAATTAAAAAACCTGGACATAACAGCTGAAGTTGTGATTTCATTTGGAGGCTTAATATGCTGGGAAACTCAGAAAAATTAAACACGTCTCGGAGTCTTAACTTCCTATATCTTAATTTGCCATACTTCACATGGTAATCGATGGAACTATTGATACTTTCATTTTTGTTTTAATTATACTTTCATATTTTAACTGTTGCTTATCTTGGGGTTACTGTCATATTATTATATAGTTCAGAATTTCATTAAGTAGGCTGATTTTTTTTTTTTTTTTTTTTTTTTTGAGACGGAGTCTCACTCTGTCGCCCAGGCTGGAGTGCAGTGGTGGGATCTCGGCTCACTGCAAGCTCCGCCTCCCGGCTTCATGCCATTCTCCTGCCTCAGCCTCCCGAGTAGCTGGGACTACAGGCGCCTGCAACCATGCCTGGCTAATTTTTTGTATTTTTAGTAGAGACGGGGTTTCACCGTATTGGCCAGGACAGTCTTGATCTCCTGACTTCGTGATCCGCCCGCCTCGGCCTCCCAAAGTGCTGGGATTACAGGCATGAGCCACCCTGCCCGGCCAGTAGGCTGAATTTTTAAATGAGACACTGTATCTTAAGGCCAATTACTTTTAGACAAACTGAAGTCAGATTTTATAATATAGAGTAAGTAAGAAAATAAGATTCCCCATTTAAAACTCTGCTTTAGGGCAGCTCTGTCTGTTCCTGTCACAGTCACAACAAATGATGTTAGAATGTAACATTTGGAGGACAAGGAGTAGTGGCATTTATTTTCACTTTATACAGTGCCTAGACTAATGCTTAGTGTAAAAAAATATGTTTTCCAGAAGTAATTTTTTGGGGAAAAAGTGATTCATTTCAGTTATATGAAATGTGAAAGAAAACTAAAGAAAGCAAATAAAAGGAAATAATAAAAATGACTTGTCTGTGTAATGATAGTTGCTTCTCTTGGGAATGAGGGCAATAAAGAAATGTGTTTCCTTGTTAAAGGTTCTGCTGAGAAGAGTTCAAAAAAACTGCATTTCCCTTCCTCCTCATGCATAAACAGTGAATGCACACAGGTACTAAAGCAAATCCTCAGCGTAAAGGAGGAGATGGTTGTTTATGAGATAGAGTTGGTACAGTTATTCCCAGAAACTCAATATGAACAACTGTATTTATTTCCATTATTAAGGAGTAAACAGTATTAAAGCTGGATGATGGACTTATTCAACATAACTGTTTTTTCAACTTTTGACAATTTTTTAAAAATTTTCATCGTAAGAGTAAAAACAAAAAATTAACAGTGTCTTCACTACCTTTGTAAAGGTATCCCTCTCTCAGTACTTTTCCAGTTTTAATTTGGCTGGTGGAAAACAAAAGATCAGACAGTGTGACATCTAATAATCTCTACCATGACCAATTCTGATAAGGTCAAACACTTTTATCCCTCAGGAGGTATCATACAACATTTTCTTTAGTTTCGTTTGAGGTGTATGAAGATTTTCCACTTGTGAATAAAATCCTCAGCAAATCCTTATAGGGTGTTTTTCTTGTGTGACATGGAGCCAACCAGCTAAGGCTCTCAGTAAGGCCGGCTGCCAGGGTAAATCATATCTTTCCTGGCTTTACACGTGAGCCAGATGTTGGGGATTTTCTGAGCTACAGGATGGTGGGGAAAAAGGTTTTTGCATTTCCTGTGTTCTCACTCCAGCTCTCAAGCTTTCAAGATTCATGGCCAGTCAACAGTGTCATGAACTGGCCTGAAAATATTCCAGATTAAAACCCACTGACAACATACCTGACTCTGCCATTGCCTCATACTGTTTGTCAGATCAGGATCTCTTTGTACTGCTGCTTCCCCTGACAGTTCCGAGGGCAGTCAGAGAGGCAGGTGTAATCTTTAATCTTCTGAAGCCTGAAATTCAGTGGAATTCAACTACCACTTTAAAAGTAGCTTATTTTCTCGTTAATATTAGTAGTATTTTATGAAATTTGTTAATAAAATACTATTAGTACCAAGTCAAATATGATAAACTTTTTATCATATAGACAATTTAGAAATATGTATAAGTATGAATGTATATGTACATTTCATGTATATGTAAAAATCCACAATAAGTCCACTATCTGAGGAAAACTAACATACACCATTTTCAGGTATTTCCAGGGACAAGTAAGGAATTCCCTAGGTTCCTAATGAATGTCCACATATGCCTACATATGCCATCATAAGCATATTTGTTTGTATATATCAACATTCATTTAAACATTCTATCATAAGATTTTCCTCATTACTAAATATTATTAAATAATGTTGATGATTGCATGATTTTAGCAAATGGCTATACCATAATTCATTTAATATTGGCCTACTGCTAGATTACTATTGGCCTACTGTTGTATTACTGCTGGTGTCACAAAAATTGTCATTTTTTTTCTGTTATAAATAATTTGCAGTGCTACATTTTAAAAGTATTTTGACAAAGAAAATTTTGCCTTATCTTTTCTGAACACTCACTTCCTTTCTGTTCTAACCCAGGCTTCCCAGGAGCAGTCATTTCTAACCTCTACTACGCATCAGAGTCATCCAGAGAGCTTGTTAAAACACAGATTTCTGCGTCCCACCCTCAGAGTTTGCTGACTGAGAAGGTCTGGGTTGGACCAAAGAATCTGCATTTTTTAAAAGTTCCATGGTCTAGGACCACACTTTGAGAACTGCTGTTCCAAAGAACCACCTGCTTTATACTCTGGTTTCTCTTCGGATCATATAAATCTGCCTTTTAAAAAAGCACCTGTTGGATCTATGAAACTGATGCAGCCGGTAGTTTCTCATTATGGTCTCATTACCCTTTACATTGAAAAATACAAAGCCACTTCAATTGCCATTTCACAGTACAGCCCATGGCCTGGAACGGGCACAGCTGCCCTCTTTAGGTTGAAAATATTTGGCAAATAAGGAATGCTGGCAAGAGAGGCTGCAGTTTTGACACCTACACCTTGATTTGGGATTCATTTTTCTCACTCAGGATTTGGCAAGCGTATGTCTTCTTTAAAGTGAGACTGAAAATAAGCTCTGACTCACAAACCTAGCTTAAAACACCACAAAGAGTAAACAACTATTTCCATAACTAATAATTATTAAAATATGTTTTTGAGTTTTTGCATAACTTGCCTGTATAATGAGATCTAAGTATTTACATGGAATTTCTACATTACTGTGTGAATAAATTAACAGAACTAAAACCTGCCTCCTGACCTCTAGCCTCTCCCTGATGTCAGCCTGTGCTCAACCCTGCCACCAACACTGTCTTTTTAAAAATCAAAACTGATTCCTTATTTACTTCTTTCCCCAGCAATATGGCAAATGAAATGTTCCGAGAAACCACTTCTGATGCAGCACATCTAAAAATGGCGGCTAAAGTGTTTAAAAGAATCTCTTTTTTAATGCATGGCTGCCCTACAGATAAAGTGAGGGAATGCCTCAGAGGCCAGAAAACAAGCAAGCAAACAAAAAGCCCAGCAATCAGGAGCAGAGAGCAAGAGTTGGGGCTATTCTAACAATTTCAGGTACCCTAGAGCTTGGCTTCTAAGGGGCCAGTTGAGAAGAATCAAAGTATGGGTCTAGATTTGGATCTGAGTTTAAACAGACATCCACATTCACAAAGCAAGAACTTCTACATGGCAACAAAGTCAGCAAATAAACTGGGAGGAGCAAAACCAAACCTGACCTACAGAGTGAGGCAGTTGGCAAAGACGTCTTGGCTCTTGGTGGGGAAGGGAAAAATGAGTCTCTTAAGGATTTTTAACCAGAAAACCTGGGTTTGAATCCTGAATTCATGTTTCTCATGTGGTCCAAAACACTCAAAAACTGATATTTTAGTTTAAATTCATATAGAGTTAATATAGTCTCTAGGCTTCAGGTAGCAACAATGACAACTACTCCATGGAAGAATGCATCTAAACCTAGGTCTCAAGGAATTTCCAAAGATAAGGTTCTAAAGAATGGCAGCTTATACTAAAAACTACTACCGTGAATAATAGCAGAAACAGCCAGTAGAAAACACAGTGTAGAAAATAACTGAAAAGATGATCAGCTATGTGTAAGTATGGAAATATCAGATATATAAGTATAAATAAATTTTTTTAAAAAAGAAAAATGAATGCATAACAAAGAAACAAGAGGCTGTGAAAATTGACCAAGAAGTTTTAAAAAATAAAATCTACTTCTAAAAATTAAAAATGTAATTATTTAAAAAAAGCTTCACTTATGAATTAAACAGTGGAGAAGACACAGCTAAAGAGAGACTTAGCGACTTTGAAAATGGTTGTGTATAAATTAAGTGGAATGCAGCAAAGAGACAAAGTGAGAAAAAAATATGAAGGACAGTTTAAAAGGCACAGAAGGTAGATATAAAACACATAATAGCCTGCTAAATCAGAGTTCCAGGAGGTGATAATACAGTGATGGAGGAATGGCAACATTTTGAAAAAGAATGAATAAGAACTTTCCTGAATTCAAAAAGACACAATAATTTTAGGTTTTAGGAATCTTAATAAATTCTAAGCAAGACTAATAAAAACAAGTTCACTGTAGCAAAAAAAAAGATAAAAGGGTGACCTTAAATGCAGCCTAAAAGAAAAGTCAGATTACTTAAAAAAATAATGACAATTACACTCAACAGCAACATCAGGAGGAATCATATCTTCAAAATGCTGTGAGAAGTAACTGTCTATCAAAATTGCATGCAATTTACACATACCTTTCAAGAGCAAGAATGAAATAAAAATGCTTTCAGAAAAATAAAAACTGACAGATCCTCACTAAAGGAACTTCTAAAAGATGTCCTTCAGAAAAAAGAAAAAATATCTCAGAAGTAAGTTCAGATATAAAACAAAGAACAGAGACCAGAGAAAACAGAAAAATATGGGCAAGTCAAATATTCACCATGAAAATAATAACACTAAGGTTTAATTTGTGAGATCAAAATAGATAGATAGATTCTGGAGGATGGGGTGACATTCTGGTGTGGTGTGAATTGAGTTAAAGTGTTGTTTGGGATAAAGGTAAAGATACTGATTAACTTTACTTTCTGTTACATTAAAAGTGCATGTTGAAATGTCAAAACTTGTAGGATGCAGCTAAAGCAGTTTTTCAAAGGAAATTCATAACCTGATATGGTTATGGTAGCAAATAAAAAATTGTTTACTTAGGAGTTAGGAAAAAAACTGCAAAACTAACCTGAAATAGTAGAAGGAAGAAATAACAAAGATAAGAAAATAAATTAACAAAACTGAAAACAAAGACCCAACATAGAGAATGAATGAAGTCCAACATTGGTTTTTTTAGAAGAATAATAAAGTTAACAAATTGCTGCCTAGGCTAATAAAGAAAAAGAAAGATGACATGTGTTAATAATAATAGGAATGAAAGGGTGATATAATTTCAGATGCAGCAGAGATTAAAAAGGTAAATAAATGTATGTCAATAAATTTGTAAACTGAGATGACAAATGATAAGTGTCTAGAATAATACAAATTACCATAGAACGCTTAAGGAGAAAAAATACATCTTAAATAATACCATAATCACTAAAACTATTGAATCCGAAATTTAAAATCTTCCTACATGGCCTAGACACCTTAAAAATTGAGTTGCGGCCGGGCGCGGTGGCTCACGCCTGTAATCCCAGCACTTTGGGAGGCCAAGGCAGGCAGATCACCTGAGGTTGGAGTTCAAGACCAGCCTGACCAACATGGAAAAACCCCGTCTCTACTAAAAATACAAAATTAGCTGGGCGTGGTGGTGCATGCCTGTAATCCCAGCTACTCGGGAGGCTGAGGCCGGAGAATCGCTTGAACTCAGGAGGCGGAGGTTGAGGTAAGCCGAGATCGCTGCATTGCACCCCAGCCTGGGCAAGAAGAGTGAAACTCGAAATTCCGTCTCAAGAAAACAATAAAAATAAAAATAAAATAAAATAAAATAAAATAAAAGTTGAGTTGTAACATTCAATAAACAGAAAAGCTCTAATTTACATAAAATCTATCAGAAAATAGAAATGGGACAAGAAATGAACATTTTATGCGATCCTCACTCATGACTATACTGCCAAAATCTTAAGAAAAATATGGGCAAATTAACTCATTCAATATATATGTTAAAAATATATACATCATGACCAAGTTGAACGTTTTTCTAGGAAAGTAAGATTCATTGATCATGCCACTGAGAAATCAAGGAGAAAATCATATGACTATCTCTGCAGGAATAAAAAAAAATAGCAAACTAAGCATAAAGGAACTTGTTAACCTGTTAAAAATATGTAGCAAACATCAAACTTAGTGGGGAAATATTTCTCTAAATGTCTTTAAAGGAAATAGGAATAAGAAAAAGAGTTATGCTATGAGCATTTCTATTCAGCATCACCTTGGAAGTTCTAGTTTATACAATAAGATAAAGAAAAGAAATAAAATATATCAGGATTAGAAAAAAAAGCCATAAAAATAAATGCATATAGATTATATAATCTTATACATAAAACCCCTACAGAAAATGCAAATTATCAGAATTAAGAGTTTGAAGAAGCTTCATTCATTTCTTTTTTATCATTATGTGATAATCCATTATTGTCACTGTTCTTTTTGGTGCTTAAATTGCCTTACATGACTGTGGAAATCCCTTTAGGCCAGCTCAAGCATCTCTATGACATGATTCCCATTACTCTTTGAGCATCTCCTTGCTTTCTGCTCCAAAAAGATGATCTAGACTCATCTTAGTCTTTCCCTAATCCAGATCTGGAAGTAGCCATTTGTATAAAAAGTACTGTTTCCTTTGGGTAGAAAACGGTACTTAGAAATCAAGACATTAGTGCTGAATGTGTATATTGTTAATGAGGTGTCATTCTCCAGACGCCTTCAATGCACAGAGCTAGGAAATATATTATCTGAAATCACCAATTCATTTAATAGAGTCAATTCAAATATATCACAGAGTTTTTCTTACCTTTATATTTACACCTCTTTTATAGTAAAAATTGTGGTTTAGAATTACAATAATGTACTTACCTACTATATACTACTGTATTTATTTTTAATAATTACAATATAAATACTAACACTAACAATAAACCTAGTAAGTAGAGTTTAAGATTTCTTTGCAGATTTTTTGTCCTTAAAATTTGTCCCACAAAAATATATATTCAGAGCACTATGCTTAAAAATAGTGTGAATTAATTAATTGCTCTGTGGCTATGTAATCTATTTGATATACAGTTAGAATTCTTTTCTTTCTGTTTCCATTCAGTTTTAAGGTTTACTACTTTTTATCCTTTATGGTTTTAATTTTATGTTTATTAAAAATAATATTAAATATTAATAATATTTTAATAAAATAATATTTTATTAAAATATATTGGTTCAAAAGTCGAAACTATTTAAGTAGGTATTCTCCAATCATTATCACTTTCAATACAATTACCACTGACACCATCTAGTCAACCTTTTTATTACCTTCTGGCTTATCTATCCTGTACTTCTTTTTGCAAAATTAAGCAAATAAATACCAAGACATAAGCACATGCATACATAAAGTTACTTCCCTTTCTTTCTATAAAAAAAGGTGGTATAAAATACATACTCTTTTGTACCTTGCTTATTTCCATTTAACAATTATCCTAGATATCGCACCACATCAGCTTATAGAAATATTCCTCATAATTTTACAGCTTCATAGTATTCAACTGTATGGCTATGCCATGGTAATTGAACCAATCTCTATAGTCGCAGATTTGAGTTTTCAATATGTTGCTGTTACAAAGACTACTACAACAAATAACTGATAGTGCTGTTGTTTCATATTTGTAGAGGTGTTTCATCAAGGTAAACCTTTAAAAGTGAAATTGTTAGCTGGAAAGATACAGATTTGCATGCAATTTCCCTCCATGGAAGTTTTAATCATTTTGCATTCTCACCAGCAATGAGTCTGAATGCTTGTTTTTCCAGATTCTCCAAGAGTGCTTTTTTAAAAGAAAGGTTGCATTTCTATGCACCAGCAATGAAGAGTTTAATATTTAATTTTTAAAAGTTACCATGTATAAAACAATAATGAAAATTTATAATATACCATGGGGGGAAATACTAACAAAAATTGTATGAGATTTTTAAATAATAAATGTATAAATGTTCATTGAAAGACATTAACAAAGATAATAATTAAGAGACAAAGCATATTCATGGACAGCATATTCAACAGGAAAAGTCACTATTGTAAACATGTTAATGATTCTATAATTGATCTACATATTTAATAAATTCTAACCAAAATCTTAACAGGATTTTTCAAGGACCTTAATGAGCTTATCCTGAAATGAATATGGAAGAATTAACAGCTAAGAACAGCCAAGTCAGGTTTAAAGAAGAACAGAGCTGGGGGACTTGCCCCATCAAATAATAAAACATAGTAATTACGCAATGCAACATTTAAGTGTGGGGATAGAAAAATAGAGAAATGGAAAAGAATAGGGGTCCCATAAACAGAACCATTAATATACGAAAAAGGTATAAAAGGGTGATTTCTCTCCAAGGGAAACTCTCGTACATATGCTTCCAGTAAACAAGTATAGAAGTGATCAGAACAATGTTACTCAGAATAAGAAAAAGCTTGAAAAAATCCAAATATCCATGATGGTTAAATGAATAATAAAATTTGGTATAATTACTTGACAAATATTCCAAAGCTGTAAAAAATCAATGATCCATACGTAGATTCACACATCAACATGGATAACTCTTGAAAACAATGCTGAGTGATGAAAGGAAATCACAGAAGAAATATATTTAGTAGGATCCTATTATATACACTTCAAAAGCAGGCAAAACCAAACAATGTATTTTTAAGGATGCCTATATGTGTGGTAAAACTTTAAGGAAAAGCAAGAAAATTCTTAATACAAAATGAAAATTAAAGTAGTAATGTCTTCTAAGGAGAGGAGGGAGAGGAAAGAGACACAGAGATTCTAACAGATCAAGAATCATCTGTCTCTGAAATTGGATGTTGGATTCATCAGTGTTATTTTATTTATTATTCTTACTTAAAAAATATATGTTATATTCACTCTGGTAGGTAAAATACATTTATCTACCAGAGGGTAGAAAATATCTACACCCAAAGCTCGTTTAAAGAAAAAGAAAAGGTTATTTTCTTAGTCCTCTGCCTAAAAGCTTCTAGTGGCCCCCTGCTGCTTACAGGACAAAATCTAACTTCCAGCAAGGCAAACTAGAATCTTCCCCATCAGCCCTCCAGTTACCTTTGCAGCTTCCTCCCTGCCGCTCACCTGCATTCTAGTGACACACTGAATTATCAGATGCCCAAGCCCATAGCTGAGCTATGTACCTGCAGCTTCCTCTGCCAGGCATGTGCTCCTCCTGTCTCAATCTGGCCAGTTCCTACACTTCCAAAATCAGCAAAATGCCAGCTCCTCAGTGGAGTCTTCCCTGATTATTCTGATGGTCACTCTCTCCTCTGTACTTTCACAAAGCTATATGCCAATTTTTCTATTTATATTGTCTCCCCTCCTTTGCCTGTGAGATTTTTGTAGCCAGGAGCTGTGTTTTCAGCTCAGTTAAACCAACATTTCCCGTGTGTTAATTTTATGTCATGCACTGTGCCAGGCACTAAATTTACCACGAGTAAGCCCTACTTCCTACCCTCAAACAGCTTGCAATCTAGTCATAGTCATGTCAGTGTTCTTCATGCTTATTACAATCCCTGGCATGTTACATATACTTAAATTATATCTGACGAATAAATGAACAAATTAAGAGAGAAAGAATAATTACCAGTTTCTTATTCAAAAAAAATCTTTTGGCAATGAATCATGCTTTCAATGGCTTTTATCCATTATTTTTTAAGGCTATAAATTGTATATGCCTGTCAAAGACTAAAGTTTACCTAAGGAAAAAGCACCAAATGTTTATCTTAATGGGTGTATTTTAATTATTCTCATAGAATTTCCAGAGACAAATAAATTTAGGCAACCAATTAAAATTCAGGTTCATTATACCACACAATATCAAACAATAACACAAGACAAGTTGTATTAATGGAAAATGTTAATGAAAGTATTCCTTTTTGGTCTCTCCCACGTAAAGCTGTGTTTGTAAACGTGTTTACTTACTGTTCATTTTCTTTAAAAGGAAAAAAATTCCCAAGGAAGATTTCAAATTAAGCCTTCTCTTAAAATTTTTAATTTCTAAGTAGCTTCAGGCATCTAAGTAAGCAGTCAGTCATCATATCTGCCATTTATGAATATGACATGCCAAGGAATACTTTCAATGATGCATTTTGCAGATACCAGCTTTCAATAAACCAAATACAGGACAGCAAGTAATGATCATCTGTACAATGTGGTTATGCCATCTGGATACATCTTCATTGTTCCCAAACTGGTCTCTATCCTTTGGTGGGACAAATGTATTAATACTAGCATTCTCCCATATACATCTTATTCTGGCCTGCCTGGGTGGTTCTCACTAGTCCCACTGTGATACTATAAACAGTGGCCCCTCTAATAACGTCCACTTCCTATGCCCAGACTCTGTGGATATGTTGCATTACATGGTAAAAAGTACGTGGCAGCTGTGATTAAATTAAGGATTTCTGATATGGACAGATTATCATTATCCCAGATTATTTGGGTGAGCCCAATTCAACCACAAGGGTCTTTATAAGACAAAGATAGGAAGATCATTGAGTAGTAGGAGATGTGACAATGGAAGCAAGAGGTTGGAGTGACATGAGTAAGAGGTCACAAGCCAAGGAATGCAGGCGGCCTCTAGAAGCTGAAAAAGTCAAGGAAACAGATTCTTCCTTCAGAGCCTCCAGAAGGAACCTTCTGACTTTCATCCAGTAAGTCCAGTAAAATTCATTTCCGACTCCTGATCTCCAGATATGTTAAGACAATAAATTTGTGTTATTTGAAGCCACTAAATGTGTGATAATTTGTTACAGCAGCAATAGAAAACTAATTCACCTACTGAGTAGGCTTTACCCCTGCTTGCATTATCTTGCTCCAGCATTGTTCTAGGCCCTACATAATACTCAGTTCTCTCATATTTGAAACTATCTTCATGCCTCATTGGTAATCCTTTATACTCTGATTTGTATTAACCTGATACTTGTTTTTCACCTGTGACAGAGGCTATTGATTGGTCACCTAAAGTCATTCCCCACTCATTCTGTCTTGCTGCCTCATTCTGCAGTGGCTGGAAAGGCAAACACTTTCCAATCCCTCCTAGCAACTGGGGATGGCAATATAACCCAGTTCTGGAAACATGAGGCATACATGGATGTCTGCTGGGAGAAAGAAAATGTCTGAGGAAAACTTTTGTTTCCCTGGTGAAAAGGGAAGTTATCACCGATGTTACCATTTCTCTGTCTTCCTGCTTTAAATATGAGCGTGATGGTTAGAACTGCAATAGCTGTCACAACCATGAGGCAAAGGTCAAGAGATCCACAACGACATGGCTCTGATACTGCTAAGTCACTGAGCTAAAGCCATAGTTGCATACTTCTGGAAACATCCGGTTTTGTGAGAACAATATTTGTTTAATCCACTGTAGTATGGTTTGGTGTTACCTGAAGCTGCAAGTATTTCTAATTTAATATACTACTTTTCAAAAGTTTTATATATAGGCTGAGCACAGTGGCTCATGCCTGTAATCCCAGTACTTTAGGAGGCTGAGGCAGGAGGATCACTTGGGCCCAGGAGTCTGAGACCAGCCTGGGCAACATAGCAAGATCCCATCTCTGTTTTAAAAATTTAACATACTATCTTTCTCTGGTAGCCCCCATTATACCACAAGAAACTGGACCACTGAGGCTTAAGAAAGTATATAACAGAATTCTCCATAGCACAGTTATAAACATTGCTATATATATTTTAAAAAGAGAAAGAGGACAGAGATAGAGGTAGGAGACAGAATAGGGAGAGAAGGAAGGAAGGAATTTAAACCTGAACTTGAGTCCCTCTTACCAAACGACAAATTGAAAAAGAAATGCTTAAGAATAGAGTGGCATCCCCCTTAATTGTCTCAATCTTATAGAATTGCATGCTATAAATACACACTGAAGAACCGTGATGAGAATCAGGTTGACAGTTCCAAGCTTCCAACGATTCCTTCTAACATCTTGCTCAATGTTTTGAGTGTCTCTAAGTCTCTCCATCACCATTCTGCACATTTGAATACCAAAGTAGCTCAAAGAATTGCTAAAAGAAGCTTCATTCACTGGTTCCAAATAAGGTGCTCCAGGGAGCTGGAGAATCCACATAATAAAGTTCCCAGGACAGTCATCTGGATGATGGTGAGCTGTCTCATGGAAATAAGTGTCAATGAAGACAGACGCTTACTCTTGCAACTTTCTAAAATTCTTTCTTTGGTGCTTGTATCATGGATTACCCTATGAGATTTGAGATTTGTTAAATTTATTTGGTAAATCTTTCGTGGTTAAGGCAGAGATCTTAAAAGGGCTTTTTCATTAGTACATTCCACTTACGATGACTATTATTATGATGCCCCAGTGCACCAAAACATTCAGAAGCTGAAATAAACAACCTGTATCAACTACTTACTCCATGTCAGGTAAAGTGTTAGAAACTGGGGCAAAGGGAAACCACAGTTCTTGTCCTTGTGAATTTCAGATTCTTATTCAAGTAACAGACATGAACAAATAAATATGATATGTTAAAGGTTACGAAAAGGGAATTGCAAGTTCTTTTGGAGGAACAAGGGAATGAATTAAAAATATGAGGAAAACAACTCCTTTTTATCAGTTGACTGATTGATGACCAGACCAAGGGAGGTAAACAAGAAAAAGACTCCTTGATATTTGGTAGGTCAATAGAGAAGGACCGTTCTCAGTAAAGAAAATAACAGATTGGATGGAAGTGATGGGGCCAGGGAAGGAGTTTAATACATGAATCACCTAAATCCCTCTACAAATACCAAAAAAATGTTTTTGATGATGAGGCTGGGGAACGAGTTAACAGCTAGTAGCAAAGTCATCCAAAAGGTGATGGGATGAAAGGAGGATCCAGCCAGATACTGTTGTGTGAAATCACCTCAAACAGTTGGCAAGCAACTGGGAATGTTGATCTACAAGAAAAAAGAAAAGGGCAATTTGGAGAAGTTTGGCATCACTGAGCATCTCTATGGCATATCCAGGGCCAGGCCACTGAGCAGCTCTCTTGGTTTAGGGGATACAATGGAAATGGGGGTACTGCTTATTAGCCCTAAAGTTTCATAGAACACTGAAACAGATGGAGACTAACATTTACTGAGAAGATATACTGTGTGGTCCTTACAGAAGTTAACCTATTTAATCCTTTCAACGACCCTGTGAGATACTTAATAGTGATCTCAATTTAGTAAACTTTAGAATATGGACTTTTAAATATACTTATATTTGAGTCTTGGCTCTATTATATATTGTTTCAACAATGGCATACATTTAAAATGTAATTGAATAAAGAAGTAACCTTCCCAATGAAGCATAGCGAAGCCAAAGTAGGATTAAATTCTACAGCTCCTCAATTCACAGGCAGGAATCTAGGCCCCTGAATCCTGATGCCCCCAGTGGTGAATTCTCCATTCTGTTCTGAACTGTCATCAAAAACATTCAAACTACAGCTCCCACTTTCCCACATTTGTGTCATTTCTGCATTTGGTATTCTTTGAGGCACCCAAAATGTCTTGAAATAACTGTTGTAAGAGAGTAAATTGGTGTTTTCTGTTTTGGAAGGTGGAATAGGGCAGGCAATTTGGCAATGCTTATCAAAATTTGAAATGTGCATACTCTTTGTCTAACAATCCCACTGTTATAAACTTAACCTGTTGTTAGACAATAAGAGTATGTCCTGCCATTCATTCATTCATGTGTGCATGGATGCATATACATAGATATGTTTATATACATACATCATGCACACATCCATAGATACATGTATATTCATACTCACAGGGGGCTAATAGGAGGCAGAGTAGCACATAGCTAAGAACATGGCCCTAGGAGCTAAACTGCATGAGTTCAAATTCTGATTCTACCACTTTCTAATTGTGACCTTTGGCCTACTGGACCTCTAGTCTCAGTTTGATCATCAATAAAGTGGGGATAAGAATAGCACCTACTGCATAGGTTTGTTGAAAGGACCAAATTAATTGTACGTGTAAAGGACTTGGGCCAGCCGCTATTAAGTATTATACACATGCTAGCTGTTGTCATGAATATCAAACATTGTAATAGCAAAAGAATCTGAAAATAACCTAAACATCTGCCAACAGAATGAATTCATGATGGTATATCCATATAAAAGAAAATGATAATGCCATCAAAGATACTTAAATTATCTACATGAGTGGCTTGCCCAGAAGAGAATGAAAAAACATTTGTTAGGCAAATAATTCTATTCTGGGGTTCTCTGGAGATTTCCTTCCCTTCAGTTGTCTGTTAGTCATTTGCTGAATTACTACAGTACTACTGTAGTCTGAAGTGGTTCAGCATAGACAGAAATGTGAGTGTATTTGCCATGTGGACATAACATCTTTACAGACCCACACAGGCCCTTCCTTACCTGCTGTTTCACTCTGAAATTCATAGCTATTATGGGAAGGAAACACGCAAACCACCTTCCTCTCTCCTCTGCTTTCAATGGACTTTCCACAAAAGCTGCCAAAATAATTTGGGAGAATGCATGTTTTCCTGCCTGGATCTCTAATGTTAGGCCCTTTGCTGTAAACTCTCTTTTTCACGCTCCTTGCCTTGCCTGACAGGTAAACAGCATGAGAGCTCCTTTTACAGATTATTCTGAGCACTGCTTTTAACTAACGTTACTCATATGTCTCAAAAAAAAAAAAAAAAAAAAAAAAACTAGAGTATTTCTAAATCGCAAACAACCATACATATGAAATTTTTAAAAAATAGAGTAAATGGGTAAACTAGTCAAGAATATAATTTAGCTGCAGGCCAGATGATAAAAACATGCCATTATTTAATTGAAGTCGTGCCCCGAGCACATCACTGAGTTGAGGAACACTTGAGGACCTAGGATGGTTTGCTGGTGAGGGGTGCAGGAAGGACAGGGAATGCAGGTATGTTCCTTGACGACCAAACACCTAGCCCTTTATATGCATTAAGTACTCAGACCAATCTTATGAACAGAGCACTGTCATCTCCATGCACTAGATGAAAACACTGAGGTTTAGGGGTCTTAAAGACTTGCCTAAGTTTATTTAACAGGAAATGGATACAGCTTAGATTTAAAATCCAAGCTGGCTTGTTCTAAAACTACCCTGCTCTTTCTTCTAAAGACCAATATGTACAGCTAAGAGTTTATTATTAGATTTCCGTAATGGTAAAAGCTAAATGTAAGGATGAAGGAACGGTTCTATCAAAAACTCCTACGGTGCTGCTGTACTCAGCAATGCTACAAGGTGACAGATGTTTCATAAAGTCCTGGATGCAAGCTGTCTAGGGAAGAAGCAAAGATTACAGCCAAGGCACAATGTCATTGAGGTATTTTGCTGTTGGCCAAAATGAAGTGATGATATATTGGTGATCTAAGCATTACTGAGACTGACACGGAAATTCTTGTTTACAAGGAATAAGCCTGGAGACCAAGAATTCAACTCATCTTTCTAGAAGAAAAGACTAATAGGAGAGAAGCCCAGGATACCCACTGCACATCCAAACACCCAACAGGGTCACAGTGCTTGGTTCAGCCGTGCTTGAGCCTGCTTGGTGCTGCCCAGCCTCAGAAGCCCCTAAAATAGGGGGGACATCAGGATTAGGAAAAGTAGCAAAAAGCCCTGGCTGCCTTCCTTCTGATTGGACAGTAGAGATCTGAGCTTTTACCCCATCTTTCTCTGCCCCCACACCTCAGGCTGAAGAGGGAAATGAAGTCCAAAGCTCTCTTTATCCCTCTCCCTCTTCCTGGTTCAAGGTCCCCTTCCTTACCCTGGTACCAGATACATCCCTCTTTCTGAATGTCTTCCTCTCCATTTTCTGCCACAGGGAAGAGATGTATCAATCTTTGCTAAAATGTCAGCTAAAAAAGAAATATGGTACTAACCATCTCAGGGATAGCTGGAATTTCAATGGGGATTCATCAACAATTTAAGAAAAAAGCCTAAAGACACCAAAATAATCCACATCTGATGGTAGAATTTCAGATACTCTGAAAAAGAAACTGATGAAATATACCAATTTTTGTAGGCACACATGGGCACACATACACACATAAGAAATACATAAAGGAAAGATCACACACACAAATGTAATTACAAAAGAAAGTGTATCTGGAGCACATAAATCAAGAAGTACATATGTGCTCTCTTGCTTTGGAAGGATCAGGACTTGGGTAGCAATCACAGACATTCGTAAGACTATTGCTTACCTCCAAATACCCATGGCAGGTCGGGCGGGGGTGGGTGGGCGTTGGGGGGGGGGGGTTACTCCAGTCTCTTATCACTCCAGATAGCTTGGGCCCTTGAGCCCAAAAGCCAGTCTTCTGTCAGTGTGCTTCTCTGTGTACACCAGGGTTGCATATCCACACTCCCTCTGCACCTAAGCTCCCCCTGGCCTGAAGAAAGGCCTTAATTCCACAGTTTCTTAGATTCTATCTAAACTTATCTAACAAATGTTCCCAGTACCTGAAATATTTGTTGACCATAAAAGGCCTGAGAGTGGCTGAGAGTGGGCTTGGCCTAGTTTTTACACAGCTCAGAGGGATGCTATAAGATCCCTGAGGTTCATTTCCACAGTCCCAGCAATACATCCTGCTTAGCTCAGAGTAGGCCCTAAAATTATATTTGTTTAGTGGCCCTGAACCGCTTGGCCATGACAAGTCTGGCATCTCAGGCAGGCTCAGAAATATCCATCAGCCCCCAGTAAGAACACTGGTCCCAGAGTGGCCAGTGCCATTTTCCCTGCCCTCATTCTGCACCAAAGTGAAGAGGAGGACAGAATGTGTTTGTTCAAAATGCTCCCAGTGTACATTCAAAATCCAGCCCCTACTAAGACCCCTAGGTAAACAAAGCAGGGCTTGCAGAATTCTGTGTAGGTGACATACCTCCAGGTGTTCCCTTATCCTTAGCTTGACATCTTTTAACAGAGGGGCAAAAGTTGATTTCTGTGGCCAGCTGGTGACTCTCAGAAGACTCTGTATTCATCTCCCCACCTAGACTGTGAGCAACTCACAAAGTACATGCCCCATGTGCTTGCTTATGTGAATTCTGTGACATAAAAAGAGCCACAGGCTGGGAATCTGGAGGCTTCTGACCCTGGTCTAAATGCCACCAATTGAACTCTAAAGCCAGTGACATTTAGAGTTGAAAGAAACTTTAGAGATGACTCTGTTCCAACATCCACCTTTTATAGGTGAGGAAATGGAGATGAGGAGAAGTGAGGTGCATAACACGGTTATGCACTTGACCCAGCAGAGTCAGAAGTAAAATTCAGGTCCCCTAACTCACAGCCTAGGGCTCTTTCCACTACAGCATGTGTTCTTCACAGGTTGGCTTTCTGCAGTGCATGAGAGAGATGCATTCCTGAACCGGAGCCACACATGCAACTCATCCACTTGACCCTCCGATATTCCTTCTCTTCTCTTACTCAAAAGAAAATGATGCATTTATAGATTAATGTCATAGAATCTAAGTTCAAACACTGAGTCAGTCTTGCTCACTTTCTCTCTCCTTCCAGAGCCGTTCCTGAACGCCATGTGCAAGAGAAAACAACAGAATGAAAATTGCTCACACGGAGCATGAGGAGGCTGCCCACCTCCCTCGCACAGCCCGTGTGCAAAGACAGCCCCTCAGCTGTGCTGCAGACACAAGGTGGTTCATGCTTATTGTTTATTGTGACAGCCGACAAGCCAGCTGGCACAGATCACTCCTCATTTCCAACAGAGACACCACCAGGACACGTGTAACAGGCGCCAGCTGCCACTCAAGAAGATGGGCGGCATCCCTGCTGGCCAGCAAGGTGCAGCCATGGCCCCGGCCCTGAGACCTGCAGCCCTCCACATAACTTCCCACCAGAGAGCAGAACTGGGACCAGTTTCGTGCTGGGGACTGGGGGAAGGAGGCAGCAGCACATTCCTGCTGGCCAGGTGGTTGGGGCCATGGTTAGAGCCAAAGGTTGTTCTAATGCTCCCCAAGACTCTGTGTTACGTTTGGCAGAAGAATGGCAGTTCCAGAAGAGCAAAGAGGAGAAACAAGAGGCAATAAGGTGCATCTGAAACAAATGTCAGGCACCACCAGAGCGGTGGGCTGAACATTCAGGGATCTGACAGCCTCAGGCACAGGAAAAGCCTCCTGCCCTCCAACCTGGGCAGGTCCACGTGGATTCACTGCACATGCAGAAGTGGTCCCTTATGCAGATAGAGGCAGGGTCTGAGGAGGGGTCTGGCCGCCCCGGTCATAGGACACAAAGGAGGCTCTCAAGTAGTAGGGGCTTTCAATAGTCCCTTCTGCTCCCAAGTTTTCCTCTGCCAAACTGCTCAGCAGAGTGTGGAGCATGGGGTCTCTACGTCAGCACTGTTGACATTTTGGGTTAAATAATTCTTCATTGTGGCGGGGGGCCAGTATCCCTGGCCTCTCCTCACTAGACTCTAATAGCACCCTCCGAGTTGTGGCAATCAAAAATATCTCCAGGGATCTCCCCCGGGGTGGGGTGAGGGCAGGGGTAACAAGATAGATAGAATAGCTGTCAATGGAGAGCCACAGGTATAGAGGTCAAGAGCACAGGCTTGGGTCCCAGATGGCTTGGACTCTTGATCCCAACTCTGCCACTTACTAGACATATAACCTTGGCCAAGTTATTCGACCTGATGTGCTTCAGCGTTTTCAGTTGCAATATGGGAAGATGATAACATCAATCACTTTACAGGACAGTTGCAAATATTAATTTATTTCCTACAGGCAAAGCCCTCAGACTGGCCCAGAGTTAGCATTCCTCTCCCCTTTAGAAGCCCAGGAATACTCCATATCTCCAAGTCCCTTACTGCAGGGCTCCAGGTTATGGTCTACCACTGAGAGGCATCTGTGTACAAATTGGAAAGCAGAAGTGAAGAAGAAGCCACAATTCCTCTCTGGTAATAGCAGGCAGGACCGTGTGAAAGAACAGACATGAAATTTGCCTCAGCTTCCAGACTTTCCCGTGAAAATCGCCTGCTTTGGTGTCATAAGTGGCTGAGATCATCTGTGGCTCTTTCCTTTGATTTCTGTAGCCTCCTAATCTTCAGAAAGCCAGATACAGTTTTCCCTGTCCCATGCTCCACCAGCCCTTCTAATAGTTCTGTAAGGCATAATTTTACTAAATCTCTTTGTGCATCAAATACCTAGAGTGGGTCCTGTGTTCTACACCAAACTCTGACGTATGAACCCATGAACCTGATGGAGGTTCCAAAGTCCTACCGTTAGGAAAATGTTCCTGGGAGTAATCACGCACTGGTATGTATGTAGATACGCATGCATGTGTATGGATGTACTTAGAGTAGAACATTTATTTTTAAAAAATTGCAAAAGAGAAAATAGGTTAAAATTGAGCTACTCAAGATGGATAGGAGCTCAGCGGGGAGTGGAGGTAGATGGACTGACCACTCACTTACATTTTATTCCCCATACTTGTAGAATCCTGAGGTTCTGAAACACCCTATTTGCAAATCCCTTTAGTAAAAGCAGAGTCCAAAATGCATGCCAGTTTTATGCATAGGAAGCGCTACAGCAGATGTTCAAATAAATAACGTGTGCGCAGAGTACAAAGAGGGTGGCAAGCAGCTGCTGAGGTGTGGCACTGGAGAATCGGGTTTGTAAGAGTCATCTGCCAGGCCCAGGGGAGAGAACAGGGTGAGTAAGAAGCAGAGTCTCTGTCCTCAAGGAGTTTGTGGTAAAATGGAAGATGAAAACAGAAGCAAATGACCAGAAGACAAAGAGAACATAGAAATGTGTTTTGTTACGAGGCACTCGGCATTCAGTGGCCTGAGTGTCTTAGGTCCTATTAGCAAGGCCTTGGGGAACAGATGTTGGACTGTGTGGTGTGCACGGTACCCTCATTGATTCACAGAGATGTACGGGCAGCCCATTCACAAAGGGTCTAGAATACAAAGCTGCCTGAGCTAAGACCTGGCAGCCCATCTACCTGCTGAATAGTGGCGAACTGCCCTGGACCTTCCGTCTCTAGTCCAGCTAACCTCACTGAATAGGAGGGAGTTGCCCTATGATCTTTATTTTCTAATTGATTTTTGGTAAATTACTTTCATCTGGCCAGTTTGCTTTGGTAGGCCAGACACCTTACTCTGACACTTCATTTTCATTTGATTCTACCCTTCCTGAAACTCTAGGTATTCATGGGAAACTGGGCATATCTGCTCTTAACATTTTTTTTTATTGTTTTGACATACCCGCCAAGAGATTGGTCTCTCTTTCCAGCACTGCTTTCAAAAGTCAGACTGCTATGGTTGAGAATTCTCATTAAAAACGATTACTTTTGGCATCAGAAGTCAGAAAGGTGACAGGGGAGGGGGAGGTATTAGAGGCACTGAGATCTTTCTTCCGTTTGCAGAAAGCCTTCCCGTAAAACAAACATCATGGGAAGAAAGAAAAAAATGTAAAACATACAACAAAACCCCTTCTAACTTTTCTATGTGCTATTCAGAGAAATTTCTTAAGTATAGGGGCTAAACCACCATCCCATTACCTCTTCATACCTACTCATTAGGCTGCAAACAATGCAAGTATGGGGCAGTGTTTTCCATAGCTCAGATGTCTCTACAGCAGGCACCAAAATGCCTGGCATGAGCAACATCAATAAATGCCTGGTGAATAAACAAACCGATGAATTTCTATTAGGTATTGGAAGAGTGTGGTTAAAAGTAGTCAATGTACATTTTGAAGAACCAATATAGAACATCTAGCAAACCAGATTCTTTTCGGTGATGGTTATATGTCTTTTTTTACCTGTATCAGGGGAAAAAAATAGACCCACACACACAAAAAAAACAGTCAATGATCATTTCTAACTTCCTTCCAATAATTTTGTAAAGGACACTGGGCACATAAACTTTTCCTTGGTGCTTTTTAGATATTCAAGCAATTTCTTGAGGACACTGTGATTCATGTTTCTGTTGGACTAGTGTGTAAAAACATTCTTCCATACATTTTTGTGAAAACCACTATGTTCTTTTATGAGCTGCCAGGAAATGTGGGGACCGGTGGACCCTAGCCACCATCTCTCTTGATCTTTGCCTTCTATTTGTTCACATCTTAGATCTTCACATATCTCTGGTTTCTTTTTTTTCTTTTTCTTTTTTTTTTTTTTTTTTTTTTTTGAGACAGTGTTTTGCTCTTATCATCCAGGCTGGAGTGCAACGGCACAATCTCAGCTCACTGCAACCTCAACCTTCTGGGTTCAAGTAATTCTCCTGCCTCGGTTTCCAGAGTAGCTGGGATTACAGGTGCCCGCCACCACGCCCAGCTAATTTTTGTATTTTAAGTAGAGACGGGGTTTTGCCATGTTGGCCAGGCTGGTCTCAAACTCCTGACCTCGTGTGATCCTCCTGCCTCAGCCTCCCAAAGTGCTGGGATTACAGGTGTCTCTGGTTTCTTATATGGAAATAGAGCAAAAATGTGGTATCCTTTGGGCATCTTCAGCTCTCTGTGACAGTGTAGCTGTTGGTGATGCCTGTAAGGAAATTTGGGTTCTCTGGTGGCCCGTGACATCCCACATCCCCAACCTCCCAAAAACCAGTGCATCCACTTCCCAGAGGAAGAGCCACTACAGACGTTAAGCAGCTTAAAGACTTACGTGACAGACTTTTAGACAGCCTATGAGCTTAAATACTGCTTCCATAGCAAACTCTCTGTCTTCCTTGTATATTTTCTTTTTTAAAGGTTTGTTGTGACTTTTATTCCCAATATCCAAGGAAGCTGTAATAATTATGTTAAGATTCAAGGTATACTTTCTTATGATATAATCAATTGTCTGTCCTTGGAGATTCATTGTTTCATTCTATATGACTGTAGCATTTAAAGAAGTTAATATGAATAAAAGACTAATCTGCATACACATCTATACATTTATAGCCTGCATACAGGGCCTAGCACAGAGCAGGACTTCACTAAGTGTTCATTTGGCTTCTCTATCAAATGTAGAACACAGGAGGGCTCAAGAGATACTATTATTGGCTTAAGTTATTCTCTGGGTAGAAAGTACTAGGCCACCTTTTCTTCACTTTTCCAGTCAGTGCTTGATCTTTCAGTGGCAAGAGGAAGTCTTGAGTTAATAGAGTCTGAGGGGCAGAACTCCTCCATGAATTAGTATTGTCACAGGCAGGCTAGGTAGGAGATAAAATCTGGATGATCCAACTGTGAAGGGACGAGGCAAAGCACATGAACATTAAGTCCAGGTAGCACTTGTCAGGAATTGAGAGAGGCTAGGCCCTTCATGTACAGTTGGGCAGGTTGTATTTCAGCACAAGAATGCTCAAATCCCAAAGACAGGGGAGTGCCTTTTACTTCTTCATGCAATGGTACCACGTGGCTCACCGTGATTCTGAGAGAGCCTTGAAAAATGAAAGGCAGACAAATTGCAGAAGAGGCTTCACATGTGGCCCAAGAATCAAGATAACCCGCATGAACTCAACATTTTCTCTCAGCCAGTAAGCTTTGATACTTGCCTTTCTGGTGGCAAAACCAATGGCTGGATTTGGCCTCAATGAAACCTACAAGGTTTCTAAAACCAGTGTGGAGAGAATGGGGCCTTGAATATGGGAGAAAAGAACTGCAGAAGGTTAAGTCACAGAATCAGAAAACTGAGAAGTGGCCTTAGAAATTGTACTGGGCTAAATGGTGTCCACCCCCTCCCTACCACTGCCAAAGTTCATGTCTACTGGGGACATCAGAATTTGACCCTATTTAGAAATAGAGTCTCTGCAGATGTAATCAGTTAAGAGGAGGTCATATTGAAGTAGGGTGGGCCCTTAATGCAAAATGAATGGTGTTTTTATAAGAAGAGGAGAGACACAAAGACATACAGAGGAAAGATGGCCATGTGAAAATGCAGGCAGAAATTGGAGTGATGTAGCTACAAGCCAAGAAATGCCAAGAATTGCCAGCAATGATTAGAAGCTAGGAAGAGGCAAGGAAAGATTTTTCCTTAGAGCCATCAATGTAAGCATGGCCCTGCCCATGAACTTGATTGAAAACTTCTAGCCTGTGAACTGAAAGAGAATAGATTTGTTTTAAGCCACCCAATTTGGGGTACTTTGTTAGGGCAGCCACAGGAAACTAGTACAGAAATCACCTCGTCCAATGCCTTCAAAGTGCAGATGTACACACTCACACCTGGAGAGACTTGAATGGCTTACCCAATGTCACAGGGCTGAATACTGGCAGAGCTAGGACAATTCAACCATTCACTCACTGGTTCTTTCATTCCTTTCGACATTCACTGAGCTCTTTCTGAGGTCACTGCGCCAGACTCTGGAAATGATTAAAGAACACTAAGACAGACCCTTCCCTTCATGGAACTTTCATTCTAAAAGAATTGATAGATAATAAACCATTATTTACACAACCAAATATTTAACTGCTAGTAAAGTGAAAGCTATAGAGAAAACATAGTGTCCAATAAGAGCACATGTGGATTTGACCTAACCTGAGGATTAGATAAAGTGTCCATGAGAAAGTGACATTTGAAAGGAAATCTGAAAGATATATTAGAATTAGCTGACCATGGCATGGAAGGCCGTGTGTGCAGGGATGTGAGGAAGGGGGTGTTTGAGGGGATAAATTGGTAGCATTAGAGAATTGCCCAGGTAAAGAGTCTAACCTTCTCCTCAATCTTCTTTCTTCTACACTGCCTTTCCTGGAAACGCATACCAAAGTAAGACAATGTCATGGTTCTTTCACAAAATGTTAATGAGATGTTACCTGTAAAATATTTACAGTCTAAAAAAGACAGAGGAAACTCTCATTTGCAGCATGCACAGAACTATGTCTACCCTAGAAATATTATAACATGCTATCTGAAAACTTTCACCTTTCATGAAGCTGAGAACACCCTCTCCCATCCTCCCATCCCAAATATGAAGTTATATCTATCTTGTCTACAAAAGAAGTTCAACAACAATAATAGGGATTTTCCAGCCAAGTGTGGTGGCTCACGCCCGTAATCCCAGCACTTTGGGAGGCTGTGGCAGGTGGATCACCTGAGGTCAGGAGTCTGAGACCAGCCTGGCCAACAAGGTGAAACCCCATCTCTACTAAAAATACAAAGTATTAGTCGAGAGTGGTGGCGGGCGCCTGTAATCCCAGCTACTTGGGAGGCTGAGGCAGGAGAACTGCTTGAACCCAGAAGGCGGAGGTTGCAGTGAGCTGAGATCACGCCATTGCACTTTAGCCTGAGTGACAGAGCGAGACTCTGTCTCAAAAAAAAAAAAAAAAAAAAAAAAGATTTTCCTCCACAACAACCGTCATAACCAACCTGGCCGTCATAAATAGGAATTTGGTAAATACTGTATAGCTAATAAATTGTCTCAATTATACATGCCTGTGGAATTCAAAGGTTGTTTGTGGAAGGCTATTAAGCGTATAGTACTATTACAACTGTCCTACACACAGTATTTCTTCTCTGCATAAGTCATCAAATGGTAATCCAAAATGGGTCATGTTTTCCACTCCAAGTTCATTACATTCAAAGTAAACTGAGTGAGTGAATGACTGGCTAATCCCAAACACCCCTCACCCAGAAAGTCAATGGCCACATAGCACTGTCATCTCATAAAAAGCCTTGGACATCTGAAGCTCTATTATATGGAGTCTAACCATGAAGTCAGGAAGACTCCAAAACTACTGAAATTCCCTTTGTTTCTTAAAACGAGCTCCTGGCCAAGCTGTCTTATTTTCTTTCCATAGTGGGACCTTAAGTTTTGTGATTCCTTTACTTTCTCATTTCTATTCTACATTTAAGTAAATAAGAAGAATTATACATTTCTAAACAGAACAAAGGGACTTGATGAGCTCGACATAATACATCAATTCAGAAATGCCAATGGGGCATTTCAGAAGATTTCATGTGAGGTGACAGAGAGGTTCCCCAATGCTGAAAAACAATGCAACTCCTCTGCCTTGAGATTTCTGAGCTTGTTTGCAATAACTGCCTTTGCCCACTCATGCCATCTCATTCAGGGAAGGCTCTGATGTCTTTCCACAATTGCTCTGCTCTGATGTGGACTTGAAAACACTCCTCCACATGGATGCACTAAATCACCCAGCATTAAATGAGACATCTAAGGATTCTGCCACTCACCAAATCTGTCAGGTTTTCTCAGCTCTTTTAGGACTCCATTGTTGGGCAAAGCCACTACAATCCTATTACCAGCTGGCATATGATCAGATGATAACTAAAGTGAACACAAACACTTAAACGGCACAAGGAACTGCTGAGGTCTCACTCTTGGGTAACGCAGCCCAAGAGATTTTCTGACACCCGATCCACAAGCCGAACAATCACATTGCAAAATGCTTTCAATGTCCAGGAACAACCATTCAATCGGCCATCATGTGCCTGTCATCTGGTCCTGAGTGCTTCTGAGAAGGGCAGTTTGGCCTTTATTCTCTGCAAACCTTTCTCTTTCAGAAACCACTACATTTTTCTAGACTTCTTCCCACCACACTGCCACCCAGATATCTGCAAAGGTCAGTTCTTACTACAGACTGGCTTTGTATATGACTCTGTACGTTGGCTAGGCATTTTCTTAGGTGAAGAGAGATGCTGGTTTAGTTCTAGACAAATAACTATAATTAGTCAGAGTGGTTTAACTGTTCATTGACTAGTCTATACTCTGCAGCAGGAATAGCAAGCAGCATGTCCTTCTTCAACCAACACAAGATGTAATTTGGGTGCTGAATGCAAAAGATACAAAGTAGACAAAAGATACACTGTCCAAGAAGTTGGCAATCTGTGGAAGCTTGCGTGCACACACACACACACATGAGCGCGCGTAATACAAGGCAGTATACAAATGTCACATGAGGGATAGAAACCAGGCAAACATAAGCAACTGGAGAAGGGAGACATCTCTCTTTGAGCAGAAGTAGTCTTAGAAGTCTTCCCAGAGTAGAGATGATCAGAGAGAGGCTGTGAAAGGTGGCGAGGGTTTAGACACACAGTTAAGTTTGTGGGGATTTTCAGGAGGAGAAGAGTCACAGACAAAGATAGAACCCAGGATGCATAGCCTGGTATCAGAGTGTTGGTAGAGAAATCCAAGAATGTGCAGGGGATATACCCCTCCTAAAAATACATGCTTCCAAAGTGGTAGTTTTTCAACAATATTGAAGGACGGGCACTAAGTCTCTGATGAAAAGAATTCAGCAGAAGCTGTGTGATTGCAAAGGTCAGTCAGTTCAGTATGTAATTGGAATATGGGCAGCAGGACTGTGAGATGAATTGACCACGCTGATTGAAACTAATGTCTTTTTAATATGGCAACTTCCCTACCAGCCAAGGGGGCAGGCCTTGTCCCAAGGCCCAGCCCCTTACTGGGGAACCTACTTCTAATAAAACACAACTACATCTCAGTGCTGTGATAATCCTCATAAACACGTGCATTTTCGAATCTTGGATTGAAAGAGAGACAAAACTCTTCCGATAAAGGAATCACAATTATAAAGTCATCTGAAAAGGAAGGCAGGAAGAAAGGAAAGGAGGTAGGAAAACTGAAATCAACTTGACTGCTTGCTAGGCCTTTGTCACATCCTCACAGGAGGAGAACTGAATATAAAATGAGCAATTAGGGTGAGGTTTAGAAATAACTTCTAGGCTCTGCTTCTTTATCCTCTCTCCTTGGTTACACAGGACTGGCTCTGGCAGCCTCGGGGCAGGGATGCACATATCTGTCCCCAGAACCCACAGCTGAAAGAGAAGTCACTAAGGAAGAAAGCAAGATGAATTACTTCTCTTGCTGGTTGTTTCCCATAAACTAAAGGAACACTTGGGGTGTACTTTTCAAGTCATTGTTTATCATCTTTGGAATTAAATTAACCCTGTTAAACAGAAGAAAAGGTAAGGGGCTTCACAGGTTCTTGGCTATCACTGGGATCTTGACTGGGGTTAGTGGGTTTCAAGAAGGGAAAAGCTGCGGAGGGTGACACAGAGTAGTTTCCAAATCAAAGGAGCAATGGTTCTCAACTGCGTTCCACCTAAACTCTGAGATATGATAGTCCCTTAGGAACAGCTTTGTCAGTGATGCCCAATCCCCTGGAAGGCAGGTATACACACTTGGAAAAAGAAAGTTTCCCCAGTGATTCTGATCCATGCCCCTTGGGAATCACTGCAATGGAGGGAAAGAATATAAATGGGGACAAGCTAATGAGACCAGTTTTCCCTGACTAGAAAAGAAAGATCCTGTGTTCTCGCTTAGAAAAGCAAGTGTGAATAATCTTTGAATGTGACAGGCTGAGGTTCAAATTCCAGGTATTTTACTCTGTGTGCCCCCTCTGGGTCTCGAAGTCCTATTAAGGCATGAGGTAACAGCAGTCACTTCACGCAGGGCTGGTGAGGGGCAAGAAGGTGACGTGAGTCAAGCACCTGGCACAGTGTCATTAAGCAGGAAGTTGATGAACACTAGTTCAATCCATTTGATGCGGGATGAAGGATGGGGTTAGGAATTAGATGAAAATATAAAGAATGTTCACTCTTTGGAACATTAAAGCTTGATAACAAAAGATGGAAGTTCTTATGGAATGGCGTTTAAAGTTTAAACGGTGCTCTCATCTTTGTGACTCCTTTGTCCCTCACAATCATCCTCGAGGATCATTAGAAGGTAATGGTGGCCCAGGAGGTTAAGTCATTTGCCTGACATCACAGAGCCAGCAAAGAAATACAGAGGTAGGAATAGACACCACATGTAGATCTGTGATTATATCACACAGCCTCACTGTTTGGCAGCTGTACCACCCACTATGTATATTTTTTCAGCACTCACACCATAAATATGCTCACTTAGCAAATATGTATTGAGTGCCTACTATGTGCCACTTGCACTGTCAGTGAACAATGCAGCGAAGACTTCTGCTCTCAGAGAGGGCAGTGGAGAGGAAAGGCAGGGGAAATCAACAACAGGCAGGAGACATAGTAAATAAGTAAAGCCTATAGCATGCTACACACAGATAAGTGCTATGGAGGAAAAGAAAAGAAAAATTAGAGTAGGGTAAGGGAGATCGACAATGTGAGACTCATGGGAAGATGCCAGCTGCAATTTTATTTTTATTTTTATTTATTTACTTTTAGAGACAGTGTCTCACTCTGTTGCCCAGGCTAGAGTGCAGTGGGGCAATCACAGCTCACTGTAACCTCGAAATCCTGGGTTCAAGCAATCCTCCTGCCTCAGGCCACCACGAGTCCCCCACAAGTAGCAACGACTACAGGTGCATGCCACTTAAAAAATTAGCATCTGGCTAACATATAAATTTTTTTTGTAGAGACGGGGTATTGTTATGTTACACAGGCTGGTCCTGAACTCCTGGCCTCAAGTGATCCACCTCCTCCCAAAGCACTGGGATTACAGGCATGAGCCACTGCACCTAGCCTACAATTTTAAATACAATGTTAACAGTAGACCTTATGGAGAAGGTGACGTCTGAGAAAAGCCTTGAAGGAGGTGAGAGAGTCAGAAAGTGGGTAACAGGAGAAGAGAGTTCAAAGCAAAGGGAACAGCCCATGCAAGGAAGCTAAGTCAGGGGCATTCCTCCTGGTGTGCAGCAGGAACAGCTGCCCTTGTGGTAGGAATGGCTGTAAAAGGGGAGGGTAACTTAAGGGAAAGTTCTGTTTGTTTTGTTTTTTTTGTTTTGTTTTGTTTTGTTTTTTTCTTAAGACTGGTGCAAAAAAGGCTTGGGTGCTGTGAGCACACTGCCACTCTTCCTGGCAGAGATGTGGGTTGTCAAGGCCCCTCTCAAACCAAGCATGCTGTTCATTGAGTGCTTGCGTTTACATCGTACCCAAACACCTGGTCAATTTGAAAAAATTTCACCAACCCTTTTGCTTAGTATAAGAGCATGATGTGTTTTTCATCCTTTCAACCAGTTAGGTTGGCTTTATGTGCAATCTAAGAGGCATAAACCACATACTTATGCAGTGACATGGATTCTGTCATCAGGCTTTTCACCTTTGTTCTAATCTTGAGATGTAACAGATTTTGCAGTAAAAGCCTGAGCTTCCAGCTATGAGATGCATTTTAGACTTCTCCCAATTATTTACACGGTGTCAGATTATAAATGTCTGATACTACAAGAATTAGTGTCGAGCTGCAAGAACAAAGCAAATAATTACCAGCAGCACACATGGAGGACTGTGTTTCAAATTCTCTCTTGCTGCCACCCTGACGTAAGCAAATGATACTGGTCGTGTATCTCCTGATCACAGCCACAGTAACACTCACCACAAATCAACTTCCACCTGCACACAGTTCCAAAAATAGAGCAGCACAGAGACTTCTATGCGCTAGAGAAAGTAGTCGGTCTTAGGGATTGAAAAAGACACAGTTCAGATGCAGGACTTGTTCAAGACTAACAGGAACTGAGCATCTGCAGTTCTTGGATAAGTCCCTCAAAGAGCTCAGAAAGTCTCTGAAACTGTCACCTCAGCATTTTACTACATCATACAAAGTGTATATACTATAGTATGCTATAATATCTGTACATGTATATGTATATGTATATGTATATGTGTATACACACTATATGACACTACATTAGAGATAAAAACCAACTTTGGAGGATGGTTCAAACCACATAATGTGGGCTATCAAAGAACAAACCTGAATCAATAATTCATATTCATTTTTAAATGATTTATAACATTTTATATGTGGTTTTGATGCAACTGAATAAGAGATTTCTCATGGTCCTTTGCAAAACCTATCCTAATCAAACTTAGCTAACTAATGTTTAGTTTAATAAGTTAATGCCACCATCAGGTAGAGACAAGATTGTATCCTATACACAGCAAATCATCACAGAATACGGCAATCTGTAGCTTCATATCTGCTTGATATGTGGTAACTTCAAGGCTTGGGTAAATTCTCTTTATTTTGTGCTTTACAAATATAAGCATCCATTGTACATTAGTCAGCTTTCCTATTCAACAGTTGAACACTGGTAGAACCTCATTTTCAATTAATATAACATTGCACTTAACAGAATGAGGTTACTGCCACCGTTCCTCCTGGGATACCTTGGGGCTTAGAGACTTTCCTTGAGCTAGCTCTAAGAAGTATCCAGGTATTCTGTCAGAAACAAGCTGCAAAAACACTTGCCAAGCTTCCTGAAATTTTTCCAGCATGTGACCAGCTGGGCTTCACCAGGGGAATTCACAAAGCAATAGTTTTTTCAGTTTATCGGGCACAACATATCTCTAACATTTGAAGCTCCCCCAGCGGTTATTTGGGTACCCTCCTTAGCCAAAGAGTAGAAACCAGACACACACAGTCACAAACAAAACATGTTAAATAGCGGCTCGGTTAGTGTGTTTGTTTGTTTTTAGTCTCCAAAGCACTTAGGCACTTCTCAGATGGTTTAATCAAATCCCTCCCTAAATATAAGACAGGTGGTGACAACTTAATGTCTAAAGACTTGCTATGCCTAGGCATTGTGTTAGGACCATTAGATAGAATTTCTCATTTAATTCTTACAGCAGCCTGCTAAAATGTCAGCCCACTAATATCATCCCTATTTCACAGGTAAGCAAAAAGAGGCCTTAGAGAGATTAAGCAGCTGATGCACACTGCATGGCTAGGAAATGCTACAGCTTACATCTCAGGTCCTGCGCTTGGTTTGATACCTTGATGATTATAATTCACTCCATTCATATTTTAGGTTTTCCCCCTTTTTAAGAGCATATTTTATAAAAGCACATTTTCAGCATGCGTTTTTAATGGAAAAATCCTTATCCAGTCCCCAACCTGGTTCTATCCATTTATGCAAAAAATATTAAACTTTCTAAAATGCAAATATGTATGCACTGCTTGGTGGCTGGATTTAGCAAAAATGCCCTGTCCTGATTCCCTAAAAAGTTAAACATAAGCCTACCCTATGACCCAGCCATCTCATTCCTAGTAATTTGCCCCAGAGAAATGCAAACATCTGTCCACAGTGAGACTTGTAAACAAGTGTTCATGGACTTCTTATTCACAATAGTCAAAAACTGGAAACGGTCCCACAGGGAAGTGGATAAACAAAATACAGTATGCATCCACCCAGTGAAACAGTATTCCACAAGGTAAAGAAATGAGCTACTGATACATGCAACAACATGGATGAATATCCCAAGGTGATTACGGTAGTGAAAGAAACCAGACACAAGAAAGTATACACTATATGATACCATTTATTCTAGAAAATGCAAACTAATCTACAGTGACAAAACCCAGATCAGCGGCTGTCTGGGGCCAGGGGCTGAAAGAAGACTGGATAAAAAAGAGACATGAGGCAACTTTGGAGGTGATAAAAATGCTCTCTCTGTTGTCTTGTTTATGGTGGTGATTTCACGGAGGTACACAGCTGCAAATCCCATTGCATTCTCTCTCTAAAAGAATGTAATTTACTATACACAGATAAAACTTCAACATATTTGAAAACAAATTATATAGGTTTGTACGCATTTACATATTGAACTCCAGTGATCAAATCTTTTTTAAAAATATACTTAAAAATTTTTTTAAGTGGCCAGTCCTTACCCAGTGCTACACATGGTTTGAGCTATCTGCATTATCTGTTTTAGATTCTAAGTTCCTGGTACTCAAGAACAAATTTTCCTTTTTAGTTTAAGTCCTGTGCAGTACCCAACACAGCATTAGGCAGGGAAAGTATTCAGAAAATTTAAACAAAACCCCATTCTGCTATTTTTTATTGTTTTCCAAAGAAACCCTTGGAACACAATCTAGAGTGAGCCTGCTAGCTTGGCCATCAGACCCCAAAAAAGTGTCATCAAGGAAATGTTTGCTTTTGTTCCTAAACATATAAAGATTGCCAAAAACTCCAGACGGTGGGTGAAAAATCACCTGCAAGAAAGTCTCAGAACTTTTCCAAAATCCTTTTCGTGTTAAGAGACGTGTTAGATTTTGTGGCCCACAGAGCGAGCATTGCTTCTGAAAGCCAAGTGCAATCCTGTGTGCTTGAACTTTCAGGTTTTCTACAAGACAAAGGATAAGGGGAAAGAAGGTGTCAACACAGAGCTCATCCCACAAGAGGTCAGAGACCAGCAAGAATTAGCAGCTCTAGGTTTGCTCCCATCTCCTCTCCTTCCTGTTGCAATGAGACAGAAGCCTTTATCCATGTGACTGAGGGTGCTGGTTCACAAACTTTGTTACTGACCCTCAATTAGGTAAGTACAGAAACTGAGTGTTTAAAAACTCATACAGCATTTTGACTTTGCTGTGATCGGTGGCCTCAATGCTCGTTAAACAGGGTATAGGCTGGATCCAGGGTTGTCAAACAAGGGTGGTGAATCTAGTCATGAAGAGTAAGACCATGTTTCATTCATAGAGGATAAAATTAAGAAGGAAAAACAAAAAAAAACAAAAAAAAAAATACAGTGGTCCTCCTCCACAGGTGGTTTGAGAGGCAGAGTTGTATAGTGCTGCTTAGTCCATGAAAGTTAATTTTTCCCAAAGTGATAATGCCAAGAGCCAGAGCGAGGCAATTCTCTAATAGCCAGTCAAATCCATGCAACCCCCCAGTCTGTCTGCAGGTGTTCAGACCGAGACTGTACAGTGAATTAAATAAACCTTCTCAAAAAGGAAGTTTATCCAAAGTGCTGTGTTTCCATTCTAATTAGCATCACGGCTGTACGAGCTGCAAATACGGCTGTCATCACATCAAGAATCAAAATGAAGGTCATGATAATGACTGTGTGGATAGAATTTATTATTTTTTTTCTGCATCCCTGTAGGAACACACTTATTCTTGAATCAGCCCCATTAGTTTTTGGAGCAGCCAAGGTAGCAGACACAGATGGGGCTGCTCCATGTGGCCACTGCTTAAATCTAATTAGGGCAGAACTAAATGAAGCCCAGGAAACTCAGTCTCTTCATTTCTCCTGTTTTTCACAATGATTTACTGGTGGGAAGCTCAGAGTGTATGATAGATAGGTTGCCTCGCATAACATAGGGAGTGCATGGGAGGAGGTCTGCTCTTCCTGATTGCTGATAAAACTGTACCGATTCACAGGGCAAAGACAGAGGCCAGGACTTTTAAGATTACAGGCAAGATTTACTTAATTCTTCTTCTTCTGTATAACAGCTCAATTGTCACAATCTTTCCCAACTTCACCGATTAGATTGCTTCCTCCTGTTTATCACAGATATGACCAATTTAGATCTGTGATTCTTAGATTGGTATCCATCTCCCCTACAGTTCAGTAATCTCCACAGGGCAGTAATCATGCCTGTCGTGTTCATCACTCGATCCCTAGCACTTAAGCACAGTGAGGAGTAATAGAACATACTCAAGGCTAGGCACGGTGGCTCATGCCTGTAATCCCAGCACTTTGGGAGGCCGAAGCGGGCAGATCACCTTGAGGTCAGGAGTTCGAGACCAGCCTGGTCAAAATGGCGAGACCCCCATCTCTACTAAAAATACAAAAAATTAGCCAAGCGTGGTGGTGCACACCTGTAATCCTCGCTACTCGGGAGGCTGAGGCAGGAGAATCACTTGAATCCAGGAGGCAGACGTTGCAGTGAGCCAAGATGGCGGCACTGCACTCCAACCTAGGCAACAGTGAGACTCCGTCTCAAAAAAAAAAGAAAAGAAAAGAACGTACTCAAATAAACATGTGCTGAAATAAAGGATGAGCAAATGGATGGACGGAAAAATAAAGCCTCTAGATATCAGACCATATATACAACGCTTTGACCCTTGGTTGGTTTATTTGTTTGCTTGTTTGTTTTTTGAGACTGAGTCTCCCTCTGTGGCCAGGCTGGAGTGGGGTGGCGTGATCTTGGCTCACCGCAACCTCCGACTCCCTGGTGCAAGCGATTCTCCTGCCTCAGCCTCCCGAGTAGCTGGGATTACAGGCACCCACCACCATGCCTGGCTAATTTTTGTATTTTTAGTAGAGACGGGGTTTCACCATGTTTGCCAGGAGGGTCTGCGTCTCCTGACCTTGTGATCCGCCCGTCTCAGCCTCCCAAAATGCTGGGATTACAGGTGTGAGCCACTGTGCCTGGCCTGGCCCATGTTTTAGATCACATGATAGAATTAATCATGAGTCTCACATAATTATTAAAAATTTTAAGGACAGAGGATAGGCCACAGAGGTCTTATTATCAACTCAAAAGAAAATATTCATAAGAATTCAGGGGTAAGAAATATACTAACAGTATTTAAATCATGGTTTTTGCCCATGGGGAGTTTTATAAATGAAATAGCTCTCTTTTCTGGAATAATCAATAGATTATTGAGAAATAATAGAGAAAGAGACCTGGGTTATTCTGTATTATAATTAGGACAAAATGCTACAGGTAATGTTTAAAAGTAGAAGTCATGATAGGGAAGAACAAATTTGCTAACATAATCTATGCTTTGAGTCTAATCATAATCCCTACAACATTAACATTATTAATTATAAATAGTAAAAAACCTGAGACTATATGATTAGTCTACAAAGGCTTTCTTCCAACATCAAGATTATAAATGCACAGGTATTCAATCAAAGAGGCCCTCAACACTCCAGTGGCTATCTCAGTTTTAGTTGAAGAGAGTGGATTTACCCACGTAGTATTTACTGAGAAACAGTGTCATTAGACAGACTACAGACCAGTCTCAATCATCAAGTCATATAAACATAGGTCCATTAATTTTTTCCTAGCAAACACAAATTATTTTTATCATTGTACTATCTGAATAATAATGCTTTTCTGTTATCATGAAGCAACAATGCCTACAATGAGTTTCATTAACATGCACTGAAGTATGAAAGCTCAACAAAAGCATAAAAATCTATGTACTTTAAACTTTATTGTTCTCCATTTTCCAAAAAGCATTTGAGATGACCCAAAAAGGAGGAAAAAAATCTATCTATCTATCTATCTAAGTATACATATATGAGACAGAAGGAAAAAAATTCATCTGCATACATAATGCAGTTCAAAATAAAGTAATTCAATAAAACACAGATCATTTTGTGATAAATAATATACTTCTAAACCTAACTAGTAGATATTTTGACATCTCTTTTCTTTAAGCATATTTATTGGACTATTTTTAAGATATGCATTAAAGCACTTCTACCAATATCATTTTATCCATTCAAATTATCAGGGGAAAAAGAGGTAAAAGTGATAAAATTAACTTCTATTGGCCAAACACTGTAAATATGATCTCATTTAATCCTCACAATATCCTTTCAAGGTCGTGTTACTCTCTTATAGATGAAAAGAGAGAAACAAAGATAAAACTTACACACCTGAGAGGAGGTGGGGCTGAAGTCAAACCTAAGACTGTCTGACACTAAATTCCATGGAGTCTCATGATTTAAGGCCACATGTGGGAGAGGGAGAAGGAGAGGGAGAGAGCAATGGGGATCCTTTACATGTCAACCCTGCCCCATCTTTCTCTCAGCAATAAATGTGAGCCAAACCTTTGGACACAAACACAACCTGACCGACTGCAGTGTAATCAGTTCCACTCACACAGTAGTTAACAATCCACTGGGATGCAATGTTAGCAACCTGGCTAAAAGTACACATTTATTTAACTGAACAACGCTTAGCCATTTCAGCGTCACTACAATGACTGCAGAAGATTCTGAAAGATCCATCCAACCAGGTCTTTAAGGCACAAGAAGACAATGTAATTCACAAACAGTGTAATTTAGCAATTATTCACAGCAGGAGTTTTGCTAAAATAGTTCACAATTGGACATACTAGGATGCTTTTCTCATTCCCAGATTTGGTAAAGGACAATCAGTTCATTTGAGGACTGAAACATTTTCAAAATGCACTGTAAAATTAGACATATTCACTCCCCCCACCTCATCTAGGTTTGAGGCTCTTTTTTTCTCCCAATTCTATTGTTCAGTTAATCTGTGCATGCATGCCAGAATATTCTAATTTAAATCTGAGCCTGGAACATGCTATATTTTGTTTCTAGCTGCAAGAGTGTGAATGCCATAAATAACATGTACTGTGCTTGTTCTCTGTTCCTAAACAGTCTGATAAGCTCATACTGAAATCATTTCAGCAATCACATTTGACAGCTCTCTAGAATCCTGTTCTATCCAGCCTCCTAACCAGTCCATTATTTCTGCCAGTTTCCAGGCAGACGAGGCATTCAGACACCTGTCTCTAAATGAGAACAGACAGCCCCGGCGGAACCCTCGTAGGAGAGGTACGCTCCAGCTAATAGGCCATCAATCTGTCAGTGGCTCTTAAACCCCCTCAGCTTTGTCCAGCTGAAGGCCAGCTCAGAGCCTCGATCAAGGTAGAACCCAGTGGGTGAGAGTCACGTCAAGTCCATTCCAAGAGACCTGTATGCAAAGTTGTATGCTAGACCAAACCAGCGCAACCCGGATCCACTACAGCGGCAGCATAGTACTTATCTTCCTGTAACTCATTCATCCTTTAAATAAATAGTAATTGAACATCAACCAGGTCACAAAGACACCACGTGCCATAGAGAATTTTGAAGCTAGACAACTTCTAGGGTCCATTCCTGACTCCAATGCACATATAGGAGCCTACGTATCTTAAATTTTCTGGGCCTCAGTTTCTCCATCTGCAAGATGGTGATAACATACATCACTTCGCAGGACTGCTGTGAAGATCAAATGAGATCATGCATTTTGTAAGACATCTAGCATAATGCATTACTTCATAAAGAGCTACTTAATGAAAAACCAATTATCTTGTTTCCTTCTCTCCTTGGGACCAAAGGATTTCCCATTTTCTCAAATCACGCAGCCTTTATATTAAAATCAAGAGCATATAGGACACTGAGAAGGAAATAGGGCTTTTCTCTTTTCATTTTTCAGTAAAATGGTTATTGAGGTATAACATTCATATAGAAAAGAGTATAAATCATAAAGGTAAAGCTCACTGAATTTTCACAAAGTGACATACCTGTGTAGCCTAGATCAAAAAACAAAACAATAGCCTTCCAGGAGCCCCTTGTGCCCAATTCCAGCCATTTTTCCCCAATGCTAATTCCTTAACTGAATCCCAACACTATAGATCACTTTTTCCTGCTTTTGAATTGAGTAAGATTTTAATTAGATCTGCACATACAAGTGGCAAATGGAAATACAGAACATTTTATATGGATTTGTAGCTAATGAGCTAAGTCAAAGAGATAATAAGCCATAAAAAGAAATACATACATTGATAGCAGTGAAGATAATAAAGGTAATAAATGTTGCCAGGACTGTTAGGTTCCCTCCCTTCTCTTATTCCTTATGCAAACACTGTTGAACAAGCAGAGAAATCTTACACATTCAGGTGGTAAGATACATTATATGTGCTGTCTGTGTGGTCCTTGATTGAGAAGTAGACATACTACTCCAAGATGATGATGAAGAAGGAGGTGTATTTTGTAGAAAGAAGAAAAAAAGATCTAATTCTAAAAGTAGTTTCCATTACCCAAGCTTAAAACACAAACCAGTAATTTCCTCCAAAATACATTTAAGTCTTACTGATAGCCTCCTCAATACCTTAAAAACTACCTGTGAAACCCTTGGAATCCTTAGAAAACAAACTTTGGAAACTCTCATCTAGTCAAATGTAACAATATTTGCCCTTCAGGATTAGAAATTCCAGCAGACCTTTTCCCCCCGAGACCAAAATGTGTGCTCCCCATCATTTTTAAAAAATGTTTGTGGGTTCATAGTAGGTGTATATATTTATGGGGTACATGAGATGCGTTGATACAGGGATGTAATATAAAATAAGCACATCATGGAAAATGTGTTATCCGTCCCCTTAAGCATTTATCCTTCGAGTTACAAATAATCCAATTAAACTTATTTAAAAATGTACAATTAAATTATTGACTATGGTGACACCGTGGTGCCATTGAATAGTAGGTCTTATGCATTCTTTCTATTTTTTTGGACCCACTAACCATCCCTGCCTGTCCCCCTCCCAAGCCCCCCACCACCCTTCTCAGCCTATGGTAACCATCCTTCTATTCTCCATTTCCATGGGCTCAATTGTATTGATTTTTAGATCCCACAAATAAGTCAGAACATGTGGCATTTGTCTTTCTGTGCCTGGCTTATTTCACTTAGCATAATGGTCTCCAGTTCCATCTATGTTGATGCAAATGACTGGATCTCATTCTTTTTTATAGGACATTGTGTATATATACCACATTTTTTAATCCATTCATCCGTTGATGGACACTTTGGTTGCTTCCAAATCTTAGCTACTGTAAACAGTGCTGCAACAAACATAGGAGTGCAGATATCTCTTCAATATACTGATTTCCTTTCTTTTAGGTATATCCAGCAGTGGGATTGATAGCTGGATCTTACGGTGGCTCAATTTTTGTTTTTTTGAGGAATCTCCAAACTGTTCTCCACAGTGGCTGTACTAATTTACATTTCCACCAACAGTGTATGAAGGGCCCTTTTTCTCCACATCCTCACTAGAATTTGTTATTGCCTGTCTTTTGGATATAAGCCATTTTAACTATGGTGAGATGATATCGCCTCGTAGTTTTGATTTGCATTTCTCTGCTGATCAGTGATGTTGAGCACCTTTTCATATGCCTGTTTGCCATTTGTATGTCTTCTTTTGAGAACTGTCTATTCAAATATTTTGCCCAATTTTTTGACTGGATTATTAGATTTTTTTCCTAGAGTTATTTGAGTTCCTTATATATTCTGGTAGTTAATCCCTTGTCAAATGGGTAGTTTGAAAATATTTTCTCCCATTCTGTGAGTTGTCTCTTCACTTTGTCGGTCGCTATACAGAAGCTTTTTAACTTGATGTGATCTCATTTGTCCATCTTTGCTTTGGTTGCCTGTGTTTTGTGGGGTACTGCTCAAGAAATCTCTGCCAAGACCAATGTCCTGGAGACTTTCCCCCATGTTTTCTTGTAGTAGTTTCACAGTTTAAGGTCCTAGATTTAAGTCTTTAAGCCATTTTGAATTTTAGAGACAGGGGTCAACTTTCATTCTTCTGCGTATGGGTATCCAGTTTTCCAAGCACCATTTATTGAAGAGAATGTCTGTTTCCCAGCGTGTTCTTGGCACCTTTGACCCCATCCCTCTTGATGGCATGACTGGAACTTCACATAACTCGCTGAGAGGTCAACAAAGAGTACAGGACACCAGGATGAAGCCAGAAATGCTGACTTATCTGCTTTTCAAATATTCTACAATGTAATGAATCTTAGTCACTAACACTGTAGCATCATGTGCTGACATTATCAAAAGCTGCTCAAAAAGATGCTCGGCATCATTAGTCACTAGGAAAATCCAAATCAAAGCCACAATAAATAACACAACCACCAGGATGGCTACCAAAAAAATGGAAAATAACAAGTGTTGGCCAGGAAGTGGAGAAATTTGAACATTCGTGCACTGCTGGTAGGAATGTAAAATGGTGCAGCTGCTGTGGAAAACAGTTTGGCAGTTCTTCAAAAAGTTAAATAGAATTACTATATGACCCGACAATTCTACTCCTAGATGTTATACCCAAAAGAATTGAAAATGGTACTCAAACAAATACGTCACAGCAGTACTATTTACAATAGTCAAAAGGTGGAAATAACCCAAATTTCCATCAACAGATGAATGAATAGGTAAACAAAATGTGACATGTACATGCAATGGAATATTATTCAGCTATAAAAAATGAATGAGGCACTGATACATACTGCAATGTGGATGAACCTTGAATACATGCTAAGTGGAAGAAGCCAGACACAAAAGGTCGTATAATATATGATTCCATTTATGTGAAATGCCCAGATTATGCAAGTACATAGAGACAAAAAGCAGATTAGTAGTTGCCTGTGGCTGAGAGGAGGTAAGAAGGGAGAACTACCGATTGATGGGTAGATTTATCTTAGGGCGATGATAATGTTTCAAAACTTGATATAAGTGATGGTTGCACAACATTGCAAATGTACTGAATACCACCAAACTACAGACTTAAAAATGATTAATTTTATGCCATGCACATTTCACTTCCATTCTTAAAATGTCGAGAAAGATAAACAAAAACCAAAAAGATGGGGAAAAAGACACTGCTCATAGGTACCAAAGGAAAAAAATACTCCTAAAAGTATAAAGGTGATGATGGAACAGTCAAGCAATTCAACTGAGAGGTCAATTAGAAATTGTTCCAATGGTTCTAGTCCCTCTCTCTTTGGCGATACAATAAAGGTTCTTTTTAAATCCTCTTCTTTAAATAACTCTTTTTAAACCCGCATTTTTTCATGCCAATATATACAGGGCAGGGAGCCTAGACTCTGGCTAGCCAGGAAAGACCTAGCAGATAGCAAGAGTCTAGACAGATAGGAGGTTAAGTTGAGCAAAATCAAAGGAGCCCAGGAGGTCCTTTTAGCCTAGGCAGGTAGGGTACAGGGATCAGGAGGTCAGACAAAGGCAGCCTGAGCAGCCCTGCAGAGCAAGGGACACCAAGTGAGACCCACCGTCAGGCAGATCTAAGTGCCTTCAGTCCTGTGCAGACTGCCTGATGTATGGATGTGGAAACCCTGAAACCACAGACGTTCACTACACACAGGAGGAGGTTTCAAAAGTGCAGGTGAACATTTAAGGCAGAGCAAGAGGGGCTGGTTTCAGCGGAATACCCTTCATTCCTTCCCAAGTTTCTTAGAATTGGCTCTAAAATCTGCATTCCAGCTAGGAACTTTGGTCCTTAGCAGCGTAATCACCAAGAACCAACTTTCACAGAAGTCTATAAAAATTACAAAATGCAAAAGCATATCATCTCACTTTCTTCTGCATAGAATGCTTTTTTTTCAAAATTTTATATTTTTATATATTTTTAAAAATCTTATTTTTAAAAGAAGTTGTCAGCTGACAAATATATTTAGAGATGGCAGAATGGCTCATAAAACAAACTGAAGGCGTAGAGCTATATATCATGTAGCAGCCTAACAAATTTGAGTATTTCTAATGTGCAACAAGGAAAACATACGCAACGTGTCAAGTGACAAAGGAATAAAGCACTTCACTCAAGTTAGACATGCTTCAACATTTTCCAGCCCGGGGCAAGTATATGGAAGCCCATATACCCTATGCCATGAGGTTTCTGCTTACCACATCCAACTTCTGTCACCAGGATGCCCCTGCCCCCACTGCCAATAGCATTCTCCTTTTAAGTTCTTCAAGGAACCTGAGGCTGGAATGCCAAGTGGAATTGAGAATTCTTTTTTTTTTTTTCCTGAGACAGAGTCTCGCTCTGTCGCCCAGGCTGGAGTGCGGTGGCGCAATCTCGGCTCACTGCAAGCTCCGCCTCCCGGGTTCACACCATTCTGCTGCCTCAGCCTCCCGAGTAGCTGGGACTACAGGCGCCCGCCACCACGCCTGGCTAATTTTTTTGTTTTTTAGTAGAGACGGGGTTTCACCGGGTTAGCCAGGATGGTCTTGATCTCTTGACCTTGTGATCCACCTGCCTCAGTCTCCCAAAGTGCTGGGATTACAGGTGTGAGCCACCACACCTGGCTGGAATTGAGAATTCTTGAACTTCTCAGAGTTCTGCACCAGAATGGCACAGTGCTGGAAGAGCTTCCCACACCTGACTTGACCCTTTCTCTTTCCACCCTAAAATCTATCTTATAGCATAAAGGGTATTTCTCCCTCACCCAAAACAGCTGTCCCTTGGTCACCCCTTAAGGCTGCAGCGCACCCACTTCAGGAAGATGGAACTAAAGAAAAAGCCAGAGAAGACCCCAGAAGAAGGCTCCAGGCCATTTGGGTAGAGAATTTTAAGGCCCCAAATATCCACAGCAAGGTCTAGAAGGAGGAAGCACAGGCTTTAAGTAGGTACACCTTCCTGGACGTGCAGACTCCCTATCCCATGGGGAAAAGAGAAGATGGAGAAGGGCCAGAATAGGGCCCTTCAAAGCTACGCTCCTTAAAGTGTTTTCCAAATAGGAGCATGGACTTCCCCTTGGGAGCTTGCTAGAAATGGAGAATCCTAGGCTCCACCCTGGACCTATTCAATCAAAATCTCTAGGTGATTCCTATGCACATTCAAGTTCAAGGGCAGGTACTAAAACAGGGACCTATTTTGTCCAAATCAAAGGGCGATGCTGTATACAGAGACTACTAACTCCTTAAATGAATGCCAGCTATTTAAGATGAACTAAAATCCCTTTCATGCACATGGCAACACAAGGATTTGTTTAATTGCCCCCAAAAACATAGGCGAAGGATAAAAAAAAAAAAAAAAAAAAAAAAAACTAGAATGAGATAGGTCCTATCTGCATTTCTGGGTTCAGATTAAGCCATAAAGTTTTAAAAAACTGTAATACTATAATTCTAGCACTTTGGGAGGCTGAGGCAGGAGGATTCCTTGAGCCTAGGAATTCAATAACAGCCTAGGCAACATTGTGAGACCCCATTTCTATTAAAAAAAAAAAGTTAAAAAATTGGCTGGGCATGGTGGTGCATGTCTGCAGTCCCAGTTATTCAGGAGTCTAATGTAAGAGGATTGCTTGAGCCCAGGAGGTCAAGTCTCAGTGATCACACCACTTGTGCTCCAACCTGGGCAACACAGTAGCACCTTGTCTCAAAAAAAAGTCGTAACAGATCCCCAGAAACTTTATTAATTCTATCAAGGCATAATACCAACAGAAAACAAGTTAGAAACAGAAAAAAAAGTCTGTTTCTATAATCAAAAGCAGGATTCCATAACCTAATTATTATATTTTCAATTAAACCAGAGCTCCTGGTATGTTTTCCCCCTTGTTTCTTGAATTAGCAGAGACCTGTAAGCATGTTCAGAGCAGGGATATGTTAATTAAGGAGAGAATTTCCCAGTAAGAAGCTCAGCCCACAACACCTGATAATTAGGAATGTTATAACAATTCACTGACCCTTCAGGGATCCTTTGGTCGTGTTGGCTGTCCTCGGGGATTCACAGAAAGCGGTATCACAATTTTTCCCAGTTGTCACTTCTGCTGCTGCTTTTGCAGACTGCCACATTTACAAGTCTTCAAGAAATTGTTTGGGGAGCCACATGACACCGGGATCACAGGAACTCTCTTTTTTGACAGTATCTGCCTTTCTGCCCTCAGGAGCCCTTTAACCTCAACCTGAGCACTTCTTGGGGGAAGAGTTCAACAGCACAATTCCTCACACCCCAGAGTATGGAATCTTGCCTTCAGAACCTGAATGTCACTTGGTGTCTTAGAATGACCTTCTTCTTCAGAGGGTGAGTGGTGAGGGGGACCAAAACACAAATGTGTGTGTGGCAGGGGGGATCTTCGTTACTTCATATTCTCTTGTAGTAGCAGGAGGGTGCCTGACTTCACCACACTGCTATGTGTACTATTATTGCTAAGCGAGCCAGGACACGGAGTTTCTGAATATGTTTGCTTCTGATAGAAGAACTGCAGATGAGACAATAAAGCAGAAACTTGAAAAGAAGCAGCAACACTAGTCTAAAAGTACTAGGAGTAGAAATAATCTCAACAAGACCACTTACTACAGCTGTACAGAGTGCTAAGCAGTTTCCAAATGTGCACGTTTTCATTTCATCTTCACTATAACCTTTTATGGCAAATGTTATCTCCATTTTACAGGTGAAAGCATTAAGACTTGGATTACTTGTTAGAAGATCCTACAGATAGTGAGCCATGATTCAAAACCAGGTCTAGTTAACTAAAGTAAAAGCTCCTGACCAGTGTATTATACTGTAGCAAAAACAGAAGGCTCCAGAAGGTCCAACTGGATCCCTGCATGTTTGACAACCCCAGAATATCCCAAAGCTACCTCTCACCTATCTCGTATTCCACCTTCTATCTCTCTCCTACTTAAATTTCCACATCTGGCCACATTCTTTAACTTTAGCTCCCATGGATTCTCCATTTTCTGCTTTCCCTTCCCCCTGCCAGTGGCCTAGTTGAGGCTCTAGTCACTTCTCTTCTCTGTTACTGCAGCAGTGCCCTAACTCATCTCCTCCATGTAACTCTTGTTTCTGTTATACATCTCCACCTGGTGCCAGAATAAGCTTCCCAAAGCACGGGTCAGGGATGGCCCCTCCTCAGAAACTATCCAACTTCCTAGAAGGCACAGACTCATACTAACCCTCCTTCCTGTCTTGCCTTCCACCACATCGGTCTTCCTGTACTTGACCCAAACGATTGTATCCCTGCCCCACTCAAATGCAAGCCCACGACACTGACCATTGCTCCTTCATCTCCTGGGACTGGAATGCTCCCGTCTTCACTCTTGCAGTCAAAATCTATCCATTTACTCAAGGCTCACTCAGGTGGAACCTCCTGCTGCCTGCCCACATCCCTCTGTCACAATGAATCCTTCTTTCCTACATGCTCCTATACCAGATGACTTGGCCTTGAGCCGCCTGGAGTTTACTCTGTAGGTTTCAGTTTGCCTGATTCCTTGCTAGGCTGAAAGATTCAAGGTCATCTTTAAGACCTCAGTGCTTTTCACAGGGAATTACCATCTGAAAAAAGCCCCAAGTGAGGATTTTCCTTTACCGTTTGAAGACTTTTTTAACTCCTCACCAGCAACAAAAATTCTGGGATGCACTGCGTTTTACATTTTGTTTTTGTTGTTTGTTTTATTTTTTCTGGCTAAGAACACAGAAATCAAATCTCTTTTTTTTTTCTCTCAGGCCTTGCCCTACTCTAATTTCAATCCTCTCTAATCTTTATTTTCTACTTTATACTTGTAGTTTTACTATTCTCTGCTCCCCTTAATTTCTGTAGAACAAGATAGGATATAAATAAACAGATGTATAAATAAAGAGTGGGTTTTTGAAAAATGATTGACAACTTGAATTGAAAGCAAGACTCCTGTTGTGAAAGAAGTAGAGAACTCAGCCCAAATTGGTAACGGTTTCTATCAGTAGCCAAAATGGGAGGATATAAGACTCAAACCAGAAAACAGTTTTCTCCCTGAGACTCCAAGAGTGCTAGAGGAAAAACAGAGAGGCTACTGTGAAGACCTGCAGCCTTAAGCCCTGAGACTCACCTACTAAATAGGTGCCCAGCAAACGGCGCATTACCTGAGAATTTTTTCCTTGAACTTTGACTCCCAAATTAATTCCCACCATAGTGATTACTAGTTGTTCATAGAACAGAGGTGTGAGAAGAACTGTGGGTGATATACCAGGAGGAACTTCAGGAAAGCCGTTTGGAGGACTCATTCTTGATGCCAAAATCCCTCCCTACTCCTTGCGTTTGAGTATCAACTGCTGATCTCCAGGAGAAATAAAGACCAGTAGAGGGGCTAAAAATAAAAGGGGCAGACCGCAGTGGATTCTTAGTCCTATCGAAGTTACTACCCCACTGCAGCTATGGCAGAAAGAGAGCCAGAGCTGAAGACAGGGGTGTCCATGTTCTAACCTTTGCTGTATAATTTACTAGGGAAGGAGATTTGAAAAAAATCACCCCACTCTCTGAGCACCAGTTTTCCCCATCTGAAAATGGGAATAGCTTTACCTTCCTTACTGAATACTTTGAAGATTAAATGAAATGACATGTGAACTTGCTTTATAAACTCTTCACAGACAAAGCTGTTAATTTCATTTCGAGAAAGATTTCTTGAGAGAGGCATCGTAGCACAGGAGCCTAGCACGGATACCTAAACTAAAGCTTAGGACTTGCATTCTAATTCTGTCACTTCCTAGCTTTGTGACCACAGGCAAATTACTAACCCCTCCGTGCCTCAGTTTTCTCATCTGTAAAATAGGATGGTAAAAGTGTCGATCTGATAGGTTATCAGGAGATTAAATTAGCTACATTTTTACCTGAGCAAGGATTGGCATATAATAAATGTTATACACATGTTTTATAAATACATCAGTTGAGAATACCCCACAAGCCAAGTTCCATGCTGAGTGCTGCAGTGGGCAGATGTGTGTGCACACAACACACACACACACACACACACACACACACACACACAGAGACAATAAATCCTGGGGGAACTTTCACAGGCTCAGGCATTATTTTAATCTATGATCTAAGCACTAGGAGATAAATTTCTCAGAAACAGAAAAATAGGTAATAACCTTGCCAACAGACTCGGAGTCACCATTCTCTTGAATTTCAAACCTCAGATTGTCATCGTGCCCTTATGGTCACTTAATTAATTTGCAGTATCTCTCCAAGAGTTGCTTATGAAATGTTCAAGTCTTTTTTTAAATACACCATTTTATTTAATGAACTATTATTATGACAGCTGTGGAGAAATTTCACTTTGGTGTTTTCCTGGGAATATTTTATACACACTTTTCAGCTGCCCACATTCAGGGGAGATACAAAATCCAGGAAAGGAAAAAAAAAATCACTTCATTGGATAAAATGTTTTACAAGATAGCCCATCTGTCTTTGTGAGTTCAGAGTGTTTTTGTTTTTATTTATTTAAGTGGAACTTTAATGAGGGAGAAGAACATCTTTCCCCTCTTCCTGTTCACCTGGCTTGGAGGAAGCAACCTGGTAAAACTTCAATGAGGCCCAAGTAAATTTTGTCACTCTTGGATTAATTTATTTGTAATTAATCAAGAGTTTTATTTGGGGATGATTAGCAGCCAGCCATATTCCAGTTTCGACATCCTAAAAATATTATCCCATGATTAACTACTTCTTTTGAAGTGTGGTAGGAAACTTGTCCAACTTGTTGGTTCCAAAAATCCTCTCTGTTGACACAGAGGGAAACCTCTAATTACATGAGTCACTGTAGTTTTACAACTGAATAAACTGTTAAAGAAATTGGAAAAATTGTCATCAAGATGATAAAGGCCATTCTGGAACTCAATGCCAAATAGTCCCAGCTTGTACCTTTCAGAGAAATGACCACTTGTAAAGAGACTGACGTATGGGAGATCAAAGGTGAAATCCAATACACTTTCCCAGGCCTCAACAGGCCACTTTATCCTGATTAAAAGGAAAAGGAATTTCCCAGGCATGTCTCTTTAACGTTTTTATCCTGAAAGCAGGCATGAGAATACATTCTGCAAACCACTGTGCTAGCATGTTATAAAAGATGATGACTGGCCCTTTGGTAAGTGACATAGTTTGGCCACACGTATTCAGCTCTCCACTATTCTTTTTTTCATTGTTTTCTTCAAAGTTTACATCTGTACAGCTTCCTTAATCCTGATTTCTTAAATGTGTGGATCCAGCCTTTAAATGCATTCAACACTGTGCATTCAAGTATCCCTGTCTGTAGAAACATCATGAAGATGACAGACTGGGCTCCGCATAACTCTGATCACCTTTGCCCCCAGTGACCTCCAAGGCAGTCTAATTTCCCCAACTGAGGAACTAACTGCCCTCCCCATGTCTTCTCTCACTATGAACCGTTGGGTAAAGCTGAGCAGCTTGCCACAACAATAGGAATCATCCGTCTCTTACAAACTTGAGGAGGGAGAATAAAAAAGGAAAACCAATGTAATAAGCCTGGGCACCATACGTTGCTATAATCCTGCCCTTTGGGAACACTTTAAGGACTCTTTTCACACCTAGGGTGGTTCCACACTCTACCCATTTCATATGGAATTTAATAGGGCACCTGGTTATTCTCTGGAGAGGGTCCTACATATTTATTCATAAAGGTATTTCTGCATATATTATGTAATTGGTGCCGAGGACCAAAATTTGAAGACTTGACTGAAAAAAAATTATTTTTCCCAGCTGTCCAATGCAGTATTATCTAGCCACTGAATAGCAAAATAGAGAAGCCACCAAACATTTTCTACAGGTATCCAAGCATCTCTCTCTCTCTCTTCCAGACAATGTATTTCCTGTGAGCTATGTGGAAAGAGGCCTGTGCTTCTTGGAAACAAGCTGCTCTGATGGGTCTCCAGCCCACAAAATACAAAACTTCACAAACACAGGACGGCAGCCTCAAAAAGGAGCTTACAGACCACCTCATCTAACTCCCTCAATTTTCTAGGCCATAAAAATACAGGCCAGGTAAGAGAAGTGACTCGTCCAAGGAAACACCACTATTTAGTGCCAAAGCCTGACCCAGAGCCTGCCTGGCTCCCAGCCAGTGCTCTTTCCCACTGTATTTTCTAAGATCTATGTGTTTTCCTCTACAATCGGTCCAGATTCTGTTAGGGTCATAGAAATGTCTGGGAGATGTTGAGTGTTTTTCAATGACTACTACAGTATAATGTCACAATGGTCAAGTACTACAGGAGTTAGAGCACTCAAGTTAGAAGCAGATGGAGCAAAAGTATCATTTTAGAATTTAAGTGCACAGTATAAATTGGAGGATCGACAAGGCCAATGGGTCAATGCCAAGCCCAAGGCCAGTGCATCACAAATGTGGAGGCCAAAACTGTTTGGGAAGATTTGAGTCTTAAGAGGAGAGCCAAGAGAAGTCCTACTTCAGTGGATTCCAAACAGAGGGTAACTGAGACCTCCTGTTTAATGAAATTACATCCTCTGCCCATCTGCAGGAAAGCCCCCTACACAGTCCTGGTACTTAACTGGCCAAATATTTACCCATTAATACCTTTATTTATGGAGGGGTGGTGATTTTAATAAAAATATAAATGGGGACATGTAAATCACAGCCTTGGTCTTCAAAGGGTTTTGCAAACTTCAAAGCATTTTAAATAATATGTCTGAATTACAAAACATTTTACTTCACAAGGTAAAAAAAACAAAAAACAAAAAACCTGCTACATTGAATATATAGTCCCCTAGTTACAAAGGTTTTCTGTCAAAAATTATTAATTCATTGTTTGAAAATGGCTGTTAGGTTTTTAAATTAACTCCCAAAGTCTCTTTCAATAACAAACTATTACAGCGTGCTACATTTACGATAGAAAAGGAAGACATCCCCGCTGATAGTATATCACAAATAAGGACAATCTGAACAACAAAACCAGATTTTAGGTCTTTTCCTAAAATCTTTAATGCAAGCAAGTGAAGAAAAATATTCAATCAATAAGGATATAGAAGGAATGGAAAAAATCTGAACGGGAACTCCCAGCACTTTGGAGAACTATTAATGTGGACGATAAAGACAGAGTTTCTTCAGTGGAACTAAGTGGATAGTGAGTTATAAAAGATGGAGAAAAGGAGAAAACACTATAAAAAGATGAAAAGAGGTGATGGAATGAGGTGTTCAGTAGATCGTTCTACCACAGTCTTCAAGTGGTGCTGTCAACTGGGTCAACTGGGTCATTGTTCTTTAGGTAAGAGTTGAAGTGAAGGTCATCAACAGTGGTTCTCAAAGGTGGTCTCCTGGTCCAGCAGCATCAGCACTGCTTGGAAACTTGTTTGAAATACAAAACATCAGGACCCACTCCAGACCCAGGGAAGGAGAAAGATTTCTTTCTCAACATTCTAATCCTGTCCCACCTCGTGATTCTAATGCATGCTAAACTTTGAAAGTGAAGGATAGTTATGTGGAGTGAGTACCATCAAGAAGGTGTTCATTACACAGGACATCTGCAAGGCAGGCATTTTGGCCATGTCCAGTAGTGACTGTACTTCTTTAAAACACTGTTTCTCAAATATGACTGCACATGGGAATCCCTGGGAAGCTTATTAAAAGCCCCGGGGGATGTCTAGCAATGACTGGAGATATCTTTGGTTGTTAAAACAAGGGGGTGGGAGTGGAAGTTTGCTACCGGCCTCTATTTCCCTCTACCAACTAGGGATAAGGGAAACTGCCAAACATCCTACAGTGCACAGAACAGCCTCTGCTGAAACGAACTATCTTGCCCCCAGTGTCATTAATGCTGCTTTTGAGAAGCCTTGCTTTAGGCAAATCAACTATCTCAATCTGTTTTAGTTTTTGCACCTTAGACTTGGTGGAAAAAAGCTTGGGTCAACTTCATGGGCACCACCATTGAGACTCAATTCTGCCTTACCAGAGCTCCATTTTTAGTGTGTGTGTGTCTCTGTGATGTTATCAGGTGCCTACTTAATTGTTCATAAAACGGTGCTTCGTTTCCTAATCAGTATGGTTCTTGTTTGCCTATGCTCTGTGAGACAAAGTAACAAATGTAAGATGGCATGTTTTATTTCTGTTCTCTGGAATCTAACGTCACAAAGTCCCTGACTCTCTGAAAACGTGAAGCTCTCCAGAAAGATGTTCTGAAGATAAAACCAGGTAGAACACCCAACCCCACTTCATGTCTCTTGCTTGAGTCACTATTTCCTTAAAAGATAAATGACCCTAGTCCTTGCCTTTTTCTGCACATAAGACAATATCTGACAGTCTTAGTGATTATGCTTCTGTAACCTATATCCAGGTGTACTCTTATGCCCAAACCTTGATATGACTCTGCTTTAGTGTAATTCTGGACAAGTTTGATGTGATTTTGCATGTCCTGAACCTCCACCACCTGTATATACGCAGTGAGCTGAAACTGTGCTGACAGAACCTCTCAAGAGAGCAACTCTCAAGCTACAGGCCTCATCTACAGTCCTCAATAAGATTTCTGAATAGAACGCACGTTAATCATTTCAAAAGCTTGGGTTTTTGTTTTTTTTTTCTTTAGTCAACAATCTCTTGGTCAGGAGCTTCCTGAAGGAAGGAAGGATGAGTGGAGAGATTTGGGTACCAAAATTTCACTCTGACACCCTAGTAATTCCCATGGCCAGCCTTGATTCTTCATTTGCAAGTATCCAAGATGTAAACATTATCAAGCCCAAGGGTCAGCAGAATAGAGAAGTGAAATGGGAACAGTGTTAACTGTCAGCCAAACATAGACTAAACCTAAGCTATCTTCATTAAAATGGATATTCTGAGAGCTGCTTCCGGTTAACCCATGAGTACATAAAGCATGCCAACTGCTGCTGGGAATCATCTGTTCCAAAGAGGCCAACACTTACTCGTCTGTTTTTATTTTGCGTAAAGAATGAGTAGAGCATAAAACCCCTCACCATCTAGTGCCTGTTTTACCCCAAATCTTCTACATCCACTGTTCCGAAGATTTCCACACTGATTCTGAGCAATTTATGTAAGCCCAGGTGTTCAAAGTTCCAGGTTGAAACATTTGGTTAATTAACATCATGCTGCAAACACTCAAAATCACTTCAGCTGCCACTATAACAAAACAAAACTCCCAAAAACAAAAACTGTAGGGAAATATAAACAAATGGCAGTATTCTTTGGAAAACAATATATGATTTTAGTGACAATAAAAGCAGCAAGGGCTTTCTTGATTTAATACTGTGTTTCTCAAAAACATTTTTCTAAAGGAAATTATATTGAGTTTGAGTAAAAACTTGAAAGTACACATTATTATGAGCAGAATGCAGCTATGTGCCAGGACGCCAAGTCATTAGAGCTTGCTTGAAAAGAAAAAAAAAAAAAAAGGTACAGTGAAAAAGAGCGCAAACCCCAAGAGTGGCAATCTTGGAAATATCAAAAGAAATGGCTATTCTTCTACTAAGAACCCAAAATGGTTTTTCTCCCCCGGAGCCACAATGCTCTCAGCTGTGGTTCTCTGCATTCACAGCTTCCCAGCCCCTCCCCTTCCCACAGCCCCACTCAAGGTCCCAATTTAACTCCTGCATTTTAATCCCTTTAAGCATCCATTTGTTCCTTTCCTCCCAATCACTTTCAGTGAGACTTTACGTCTTTGGCAAGGGGCCAGAGGTGGTTCTGTCAGAATTAATTTTTTTTTCAAGTATGAAGTGTAGAGTGTTGAGCAAGAAATCCAGTTTTCTTAGTTTTGAGGTGGGAGATCAGGGTGAGGTACACTGAGTTTTTTATGTATTTTCTAAGAATTAAGGCAGGTGGGGTGAGGGTGGGGAGCAGTTCTGATTGAGCTGTGGTAGGATTCCCAGGAGATAATCAGGTACGGCTGGTTTGGGGTGACTGGCAGGCTGAAGGCTCCATCAGTCAGTCTGTAGGAAGGGCTGGGAAGGGGCCTTTAAATCATATCCTAAAGAAGGAGAAGGTCAGCACCATGAGTTTTGTCTCAATGACTCAGTTATTGGAGGGCTGGGGAGGTGGTTTTGAGCACACTATTCTACTGCTGAGTTTGCTCCCAGGAAAACCTTCTTCTCTACAAGTCCCAACAGCCATGGACATGTGAATAAGCCTGAAAAACTAACAGAAAGATCTGTTTTCACACCATCTTTGAGCTACTGGGAACTGACCCAGTACCTCTTTAGAATAATGTGACTGAGTAACACAAAAGAGAGAAGAGTAATTATTTCCTATGAAGACAAGAACAGGATGCAGCTTCAGAGTTCACTTGTAGTTCTGGAGAACACAATGCAAGTCTTGGGTTGGGGGCTCCCAGATATATCAGCTGCAAGAGCAGCAGAACCTGACACCTGCAGCACTGGCCAGCACCCACAGCCGGCTGTTGTCACCAACAATGGAAGGCAATATGATGGGCCTTGTCAAGAGCACAGGTAAGGGCCAAGAGGGCAGAGCAGGCAAACATCACCAATAGGGTCCGGCACAGAAGAGAAAACTGGCAGACACCTTCAGTGTCCCAGAGAAGCTGAGCAACCTTCTGAGGATGCCCATCAGAAAGGACATGGGGAGGGAGTCTGTTCAACAGGAGAATGAAGTTCTTACAACAAAAGAAAGATCAAAGTCTTCGGAACAGTGTGTGGCTCTTAACTCTACCTGTGAAACCAGACACTCTCCATCCCCTAGTGCCAAGTTCGACTAAATAGACATAAAGCATTTATGCATATGATTATACAGATCTGTACGAAGACTGTAGGAGATATTAAGTAATCTCCCAACGCCCCTTAGCACGTCAACATTTGTTTTCCTGATTGTTCCTTTCCCTTAGGAAAATTAACACATAGTCTCTCTCTGGTCTCTCATAGTCTCTCATTTCTCTTTAATTTTCTGTTCCTGCTACTCCACGCCTGGTCCTATTCCTATTTTTCAGTGAAAATTATTCACAGAGAAGGAATCCAATGGGTCCATCTTATCCTATGTGGGAAAGAGCTTTTTGCTGGCCAGCACATGGAGTGACTGTCTTTGGGTCAGGTGCACATTGCAGTCTGGGTTGGGTACAGTAGACCTGGTGGTCTACAAGGTGAACCACTACCTCAGAAAGAGGTCATGGGCATGACTGAGGGTGACTGCTCACAGTACTGTCACAGAGTTAGAGACACTAGCATGCTTTCTCATATTTCTTTGAAAAGAAAAGCAAAAACCTGGGACTAACACAGACTCTTCACTTTCTTTTTATCTTTGGGCAGATCCATTCCTAAATTTTTCCAGACACCATCTTGAAAGTCCCCCAGGATAATAGAATGAGTAAGAAACAGACTACAGAATGCAGTGGGTGAGGAAAAACTTTTGATTAAGCCAAAAGCAAGGGCAGATGTAAATTCCGAGGAAGGGAGGACTCAGAAAGCTGTTTGGTAGTGCAGGCATAAAAAACAAGGCAGAGAACAGAGCAGAGTCTGTTTTTAGCATAGGACTAGGGTGGAAGTCACTCAACTGCAGCCAACAGCAGTGGCCAGACAACCTAGCACCTAGAGTTGCCTTAGATCTTTGAATTCCAAGTCCTGACATTTACTGATTCAATTTTGTGTTTCCAAGTTGCCATTTTGGCCATATTGATATTGCATCCTTATCGTAAGCCCTATTACTTGAAGACGGTCCCCTTGCAAATGAAGGAAACTGATGTACACACTGGACCTTGTGGATTTCACGTAACTAAAAAGCTGCAGGAAGATGAAGTGTTCTGAACTTTTTGCTATAAAAATGAAAAAATTTTTTTTGAGCCGGAATCTCGCTCTATCACCCAGGCTGGAGTGCAGTGGTGCGATCTCGGCTCACTGCATCCTCCACCTCCCAGGTTCAAGCAATTCTCCTTCCTCAGCCTCCCGAGTAGCTGGGATTAGAGGCACACACCACCACACCTGGCTAATTTTTTTTTTTTTTTAAGGTAGAGATGGGTTTCACCATGTTGGCCAGGCTGGTCTCGAACTCCTGACCTCGTGATCCTCCCACCTCAGCCTCCCAAAGTGCTGACATTACAGATGTGAGCCACCCCACCCAGCTGAACTTTTCTTTTGTACATGCAATGTAACAACTTGGAAAAAGAAGAAGTCCTGGCCCCAACAGCAGATGCCTGGAAAGAATCAGACAAGAGGCTGAAGGTGAAATTAAACACAGTCTCGCAATCACAGCTCTAGATATTATGAGTCCTTGCAACAGAGATCACTAATGTTCCGCCCCGTCAGATATCTTTGAGTACTCTTGGAAAATGAAAGATGTGCCAAAAGTTGGAGGACTGGCAAATGTCATTCATACTTTTAAACTGAAGAAGAAAGATTCTAAAAATTATATAGAGGTCGGTCACCTTGGGAGATCGGGGGGGAAATCATAAATGGTTTATTAGGCTGCTCATGACAAGACAGAACAAAAAGTGCAACTGCCAGGAGGCAGCAAATTTTAATTTCACTCAGAATTGGCCACATCAGCCTAAGCTCATTTTTCCCTTCATTTATATTGCTGTACCAAAATATGGACTTCAACAATGTATTTTATAAGGTCTCTTATGGCAGTCTTATAAATTATAGAGGGGGGTGTAAAACTTGTTATAAACTGTTTTCAAAGTTGATACTCACCTTAAGAGAGGATTCTAGTAGCTTACCACAGGGCTCTATTCTTGACCTGCCCAGTTGAACATTTTCATCATGCACCTATGTGAAGACAGTAAAGGCAACCCTACCAAATCTTCACAGGCACAGTGCTGAGAAAAACAGTAAAGACCCTGAATGGTACAGTATGGATCCAAAGAGAGGGTTGGCAGGCATGAGAGGTGGGTTAGATCTAGCAGGATATAACACTTTGGGGCCCAAATAAACAACCCTATAAGGAGGGGCTGAGAGATACATGACTTAAGCAGCAGCACACAGAAATGCTCTGTGTTCATCAACAGAAAACTGAACATGGGTCAAAGGTGGGGCCAGCAATCAATGAAGCTAATACGATAAGTTGTACTTAATGTGCATGTGATTTTTAGAATTAGGTAGGTAATAAATCTTTTCTACTCTGTGCCATACTTGAAGTATTATCTTCACTTCTAGCGTTGCATTTTTTGAGGGAAGTACATTCACTGGAATATATTTAGAGTTCCTCTACCAGGATAATGCAGGAACTCTAAATTGTATTATATGAAGAATGGCTGAATGAACTAGGCATGTTTACTTGGCAAGTATGGGTTGAGAGACATGGCAATTCTTCTTCAAATAAATGAAAACTGAAGAGAGGCAATACTTCATCTAGGTATTGCCAGAGGACACAATTAGGGATGAAAGCTGTAAAGGATATTTTACCTCAATGTGAAAACAGTTTAAGCCCTGGCAGATGCTCAAAGTCTCAACAAACACTAATGGGAAAGTTGTCGGAGTGTAGACTTCAAAATGGGTTGCTGAGTTGGTGATATTGTTTGGCTCTATGTCCCCACCAAAATATCACCTGGAACTGTAATCCCCATGAGTTGAGGGAGAAACCTGCTGGAAGGTGACTGGATCATGGGGGCTGTTTCCCCCATGCTGTTCTTGTGTTAGTGAGTGAGTTCTCATGAGAGCTGATGGTTTCACAAGGGGCTCTTCCCCCTTCGCTCTGTCTCTCGCCTGCCACCAGCTAAGACGTGACTACTTTCCCTTCTGTCATGATTGTAAGTTTCCTGAGGCCACCCCAGTCATGCAGAACGTGAGTCAATTAAACCTCTTTCCTTTATAAATTACCCAGTCTCAGGTAGTATCTTGATAGTAGTGTGAAAACGGACTAATACAATTGGGTAATCTTTTAAGGTCCTTTTAAATCTTAAGAATCTTTATTTTTATATTACTTTTTTAGACCCATATTCTAATTCTGTTCATTTCACTAATTTCAAAAACCTGTTACTGCTCTGAATTACAAACAAACTTAAATCCACACCTTGTGACCTACCCTTTCTGGTTCACTTACTTTGCATTTTAGCTTCACAAATAATAAAGTACCTATTATGCTGGGAGCTAGAGATGCATAAGTGACTTACACATGGTTCCTGACCTGAAGAAGCTCACAATCTAGGGAAAGAAAAAACTGTAATATAACGATGTCAGTATGAAAAGAGGTGGGAGTCGGCTCAGTGTGCTACCCCATGCCAGCACAGAAAAGGGAACCCTAGTTGATTCAGGAATGTTCTGGGAAAGACATGAACCTGGGTGTTATGGCTCCAAAGCCAACATTCCTGACCTCTCTGTCTGCTTTTTCGGTTACATAGGAAAATAATTGCAATTAGTGTAGGCAAGGCCAGTAAACTTTTGTGAGATGAACTCTGTTGGGACAGCAGAAATCTACTTCACCAGCTGGTAGGCCTAAGGAGGTCTTTGTTCTCTGGTTCTTACTTTTCCAACAATCTCTGGGTAAGAAGTGTGGGCAAGACTCAGGGCTTAGGCAGTGGGGAAAGGGGCCTCACTGTGTTCTCCAATTGAACCCATGATTGGAGAGCCCTAAATAAAACTGGCATTTTGCCCCCATTTACTGCAGTTCTGTGTGTTCACACTGAATTTATCCGACCCCTGAAGAAGAGTGAGGGGTAATGACCTTTTAGAAAATTTTATTATGTAGGGCTGGCTATAGTTAAACATAATGCAACATTTAAATGAAACCAAGGAAAGTAAATGGTATTTTTAAATTCAGAATGATATGTGTGAGGATCAAGAAAACATGTTTAGCAGAAGATGGAAGGGCAAAAAGCTGTTAGATGGTTCACACACTGTAAGGGATCCTGCTGGAAACTTATTACCCTGTGGATCTTTTTAAACAGTCCACCTTAAATGCTGATATTATATGGGGCTATCATATAGCCATGCCATGGCTCAGTATGTGCATAATATAAGCCATTCTCATAAATAGAAAAAAAAAGTAGCTAGCACGGTCAGAAACAGCTGGCTTAACCACATTATGGTATTCAACTGTGTGCTTATTTTTAAATTGCGTCAAATTGCTCTGAAGCCAATGACCTAATGAAGACAGAAGCATCTCTTCAAAGAGAGCACAAAAGCATCTTTTAAGACCATGATCAATAGGTGGCAGCATCTCTTCCAGCACTGAAGTCCTCTCTGTGGGGCTCAGATGAAGCAAATTTTCTCAGTAATTTCACCCCTCTCAAGGGCTGTCTTTCCAGCCACCCATCAGGTGACTAGGCCTAGCCTATGCACCTGTTAGGATTCCTGCACAAATATCTGACCAACAACTTAGTTACTTCCAACATTTGAGCGCTTTTCTAGAAACAGGCAATGTAGACCTCCTAACAACCATCTCTGGAATGCCAGTGACCCTACTGCATGCTTTCACTTTGAAATAGTCACCAACACGTGGCAGGACAGGAAATTATTTGGGGATCCAACCAAGTCAGCAGACCTCAATCTGGACTGAACACCATGGACATACAGAGAGGGCTAAGAACAAATGGTGAGGTTCTAACCAAATAGCAGTTCAGACACACACCAATGATGTCTGAGCAAACTATCACACAAACACACAATGCAAGAAAGAAAACACACATCTAATAACAACAACAGCTGCACCTGGATAGGAACTACTCCAGAAGTCTAGGATACAGAGAGATTTCCAGAGCTTCAGCCAGTGTACTGCTTGTCAAAATACTCAAATACAACCATACTGGTTGGTAAATAACCTCTGCCTTGATACCTAAGATCCCCCTGCTACTGGCCTGGCCATCTGGACTACTTCTGCAGGGCCCCTTCCTCACCTCCCTACAACGTGATTGTTAAAGGATAAAAGCCTAGCATGAAATGGGCCATCAAGGACCTTGCTCCATTAGTTGATGCCCATTCCAATTGGTCAGTGCCAATGCCAGGCTGGCTGTTAAAGGCTGCAACTACTGCCAATGCCCACAGCCCACAGATGCCGGCAGGAGTGTCGTGTACTGAGCTATTCGTAGTCTGATTCTTTCCTTCATTCTCTTTCATACATATATCCCCACCTCCAACACACTTGCGCACACATAGGAATAAGCTTCCTGCATAAGAATCTTCGGAGGAATGACCATCAGAGTGAACAGGCAACCTACAGAATGGGAGAACATTTTTGCAATCTACCCATCTGACAAAGGACTAATATCCAGAATCTACAAAGAACTCAAACAAATTTACAAGAAAAAAACAAACAACCCCATCAAAAAGTGGGCAAAGGATATGAACAGACACTTCTCGAAAGAAGACATTTATGCAGCCAACAGACACATGAAAAAATGCTCATCATCACTGGCCATCAGAGAAATGCAAATCAAAACCACAATGAGATACCATCTCACACCAGTTAGAATGGTGATCATTAAAAAGTCAGAAAACAACAGGTGCTGGAGAGGATGTGGAGAAATAGGAACACTTTTACACTGTTGGTGGGACTGTAAACTAGTTCAACCCATGTGGAAGACAGTGTGGCAATTCCTCAGGGATCTAGAACTAGAAATACCATTTGACCCAGCCATCCCATTACTGGGTATATAACCAAAGGTTTATAAATCATGCCGCTATAAAGACACATGCACACGTATGTTTATTGCGGCCTATTCACCATAGCAAAGACTTGGAACCAACCCAAATATCCAGCAATGATAGACTGGATTAAGAAAATGTGGCACATATACCCCATGGAATACTATGCAGCCACAGAAAAGGGTGAGTTCATGTCCTTTGCAGGGACATGGATGAAGCTGGAAACCATTATTCTCAGTAAACTATCGCAAGGACAGAAAACCAAACACCGCATGTTCTCACTCACAGGTGGGAATTGAACAATGAGAACACTTGTACACAGGGCGGGGAACATCACACACCAGGGCCTGTTGGTGGGTGGGGGTCTGGGGGAGGGATAGCGTTAGGTGAAATACCTAATGTACATGACAATTTGATGGGTGCAGCAAGCCAACATGGCACATGTATACCCATGTATCAAACCTGCAGCTTGTGCACATGTACTCTAGAACTTAAAGTATAATAATAAAAATAAAAGTAATTTTAAAAAAATCTTCCGAGGAATGTTTGAAGAATGTGGAGTATATATCTCTGTACAGAACACGCTATGTCATGTTAGGGGCCTTTATTGTTTTTATACCTTTCCTGTGGGATTCTGATCTTTCAGTACTAACTTTTTAAAGCCTTCAAACACTAGAGTCCACTGAAAGTCACTGGCATCACTTTTACAAGACTGGTTAGGCTCTCACCCCTCCCCATCAGAGATGGGCCTCCACGTAAGAGGAGATAAAAAGTGTAAGCCTTCACACCTGCAGGTGAAATCCTAAACCTGATAGTCAGGGTCCTCACAGTTGGGGGAAGCTGAAGGTTTCACAATAAACTACAAAGATTTATTTTTCCTCCTGTTGGAGAACAATAAACTCCTTCTGAAGAATGTAGGATCCTAGGCAAATTAATTACTACTAAGGCACATGTTTCAGAGGACTGTCTGAAAGCATCCATTGATAAGCTCCCGTGAGGCCTAAAATTCTCCTTGTTCTCCCAGCCCCTAAAGAAACTGGGTCAAAATGGAAGCAGACAATGAGCCTCAAACAAACAGAGCAGACTAAGCCTCTCTTCTCTCACGTGTGTGTTTATGAGGAAATTCAAACATGGCTTAACAAGACATTCAATTGCTTATTTCGAATGTGGAATGTGGTAGAAAAGTATCTGAAGGAAAAAGAAAGGTGTGTGTGGCAGGGGCGGGGATAGGGGGTTGCCACTTACAAGTGGTTAGGTAGACAGAAGCTATCGGGAACATTCTGGACTGCTGGAGATTGCTATAGTCTCAACATTTTCTAAGACAGTCGGGTATAGAGCTTTGTATCTAAGCCTAAATGTATCAAAATCCATCCCTTGAAAAATGTAGCCAAACATATCTCCACCTCCTAATAACTATGTGGATCAGAGGAACTGAAAGAAAAAACAAAAAGCCCAAAGAGGCCTAACTAGTATTTTATTCATGTAATTCAAAGAAAGAACATGGTCATAAAGACTTGAGAAACTAAATGCATATTATTTGAAAACTGAGTTTTGTTTGTTTGTTTTTAAAAAAGAACATAGCAATAATTTTTACCAGAAGTTTGAAAACTCTTCAGATGTCATCAAACACTATTCTAGGCTGCAGTATTTTCACCAATTTCTCCCATATGTCAGATGGATGACACACCAAACTCCACTAACAAATAGGGCACAACTGCTGTGGCTAATATTTTAATGTTCAGTCAAAGGTGGGCTTTTTGCCATTTGTATTTATTTTAGGTGCTGGAACAGTGGAAGGTACTAACGTTTATAGATGATACATACATGTCGAATGTCTATGTATCATGCGTATATACAGGGGCTGAATCTGTCTCATTGCTCATTTGTAGAACACAATTACAGATTAGAGTGCATTGGGAGAGGCCCGGGTATAAAACACATCCTGTTCACTTCTAAATAATTTGGGGCTTAAAAGAATCAATGGAGAGATGTGCACACCTGAATATTTGCATACCTGTGTTTAGGTTCAGTTATATTTTGGTAAGTCCATGAAAGCCTTCTTTCAGAGGGAGTGGCCTAAATAAATACCAAATAAAACTTTCTCCCCATCCTCCTGAAATAAAGAACTAAGACAGATAGGTACATTTCGTTTTCAGGATATTTTTCAAGTATATATAAATGTTGCTTCATAAAGACTCGTGTCAAACATCACAATTGGTTTAATTTTTTTTTGTGGTAAAATTCATGTTAACATTTACCATTTTAGCCATTTAAAAGTACATACTTCATGATATTAAATGCATTCATAATGGTGTACAACTATCACCACCATCTAGTTCCAGAACATTTTCATTACCCTGAAAGAAAGCCCTATAGCCATTTAGCCACTCCTCATTCCCCACTCACACCCTGGCCCCTAGTCAACCACTAGTCGGATTTCTGTCTCTATAGATTTACCTCTTCTGGACATGTCGTAGAAACTGAATGATACAATATGTGGCCTTTTGTGCCTAGCTTTTTTCACTTAGTACAATGTTTTCAAGGTTCATCAATGTTGCAGCATGTATCAGAACTTTATTCTAAAATTTCACTATATGGATATACCACATTTTGTTTATCCATTCATCCACTGATGGACATTTGAGTTGTTTCCATCTTTTGCCTATTATGAGCAGTGCTACTAAAAACATTCATGTAAACGTTTTTGTTTAAATGTCTGTTTTTAATTATTTTAGGTATATATACCTAGGAGTAGAATTGCTGGGTCACATAGTAATTCTGTTTAACCTATGGAGGAACTGCCAAATGGTGTTCCACAGCAGTTACGCCATTTTTCATTCATGTTTAATTTAGTATTTTAATTTTTATTTTTTTGAAAGAGTCTCGCTGTGTTGCCCAGCCTGGAGTGCAGTAGCATGATCTCAGTTCACTGCAATCTCTGCCTCCTAAGTTCAAGCAATTCTCCTGCCTCAGCCTCCTGAGTAGCTGGGACCACAGGCGCACACCCCCACATCTGGCTAATTTTTGTATTTTTTGGTAGAGACAAGATTTTGCCATGTTGGCCCAGCTGGTCTCGAACTCTTGGCCTCCAGCAATCCACTTGCCTTGGCCTCCCAAAGGGCTATGATTACAGGCGTGAGCCACAGCGCCCAGCCTCATGTTTAATTTTATAACCGGTATTAACTAGCATGAGGGGCCATTGTGGGATCAAGCAATAGCTTCTCCTTATCATCCAGGCCCAGCTCACTGACCACCTCCTGAGACAGAACCTTTTGGTCAAGCAAGTTGCAAAGCTCCTCCTCCCACCCCAGGCACTTTGCTGACATCATTGTTTCAATCTCTTCACAGCACTTTCAGATTCCCCCAAATTATTTAATCATTCACTAGTTAATTGTCTACTTCTCTTCCTTTCTAGACTTAAACTCCACGAGGGCAGGACTGTTCCTGTCTTGTTCGACAGAATATCTCCTAAGCCTAAAACAGTCCCAGGCACATAGCAGGTCTTTCTCTAGTGGATAAATGTCTCAATGGTGCTCAAGGCTAAAAAAAAAAAAAAGAGCTACAAGACAGAGGAAGAGCCAGACTCAGTGCCTACTTGTTTTCTTTCTTCATAAAAAAAAAAAAAAAAAATTCTGGATAGCAACTAGCAGCAAAGCCACATGAAGAGAAAGGAATATGGCCCCAGAGGCCACCCAATTAGTGACACCATTGGCGAACTGTAGACTGCTGAGATTTCCAATGTTCTTCTAAAGCTCTGCCTTTCTTTATGTTGCACAGACCATCAAACACGGCAATCTGTTGTTTTTGTTCCTGAGGTAAAGACAGTTTGCTTCAGGCTTTGAGTTTTGTTCTGTTTTGTTTATCAAATAAAAGCCTCCAAGAATTTACTTCAAGGTCAAAACAAAAAGTCAAGTTACTCTTTGAATAGCTTCTTGCTATTTGAATGAGAAAGAAGAACAAATAAAAAATGTATGAGTTAAGCACAAAGCCTTCAAAAGGTCTAACTCCTTCGAAGATGAAGAGTTGAAGATGAAGACACAATAGCTTGGAGAGGTTAACCACCCACCCAAAGTCACAGGACTCTCTGGTGGCACAGCAGGAAGCCTGTCCACACTCACCAGCAGAACATCAGCTCTGTGAGGGCAGAGATCTCATCCTTCACGGTCACTGCTCTATTCTCAGCACAGACCAGAGCCTGCAAACAACGTACTCTACAGATGTTTCCACAACTCCACAAGACCTCCACCTTTCCAAGCTCTCAAAAGGCACAGAGCAATAAAACGTATTTTCCCAAGCTCAGAGGAACCATCTGAATTTAACGGTTGGTTACAAACACTTTGGCGAGAGTCACAGGAGGATGTGCTCTGGAGTGAATTCTTCAGTCAGGGCCTACGGGTTCTGCAGGTACAGAAATGGCAGTCTACAGAGAAGGAGGCAAACACAGATCTGATCAGTGCGGAGCAGGTCACAAGTCACACCAGTCACAAAGCTGCCTCCTTGACATTCAGAGCTTAAAGATCTAATTGTCATTCTTCCTGAAACTTGACCTAATTATTTCTCCTATAAAACTGTGCTGTTTCTCAACAAAAAAAAAGTAATAGCACATTGCTGTTGGTCAAACTAGAACATTTTGAATCCAGAGTGGATTTTTTTTTGTTATGTTTCATTTTATGGTCTCTCTCTGTGTGTGTATGTGTGTGTTCTTGAGCAAAACACTTGAGAAACTGTCAGTTTTCCACATTTTGCCCCTTGAGATGCTTTACCACATTGGGTTTTCAAGGCTCAGAAGATTCCATTTGTTAAAAGGAAGATATTGGTCCAAATAATGGTCTCCCAAGTCTTCCCACAGCAGCTACAAATGAGCCTTCCTGGGATTTAACAAGGATCTGGCTAACGTTGATATCTAGAGCTTTTAAAAAATCATGATTATGGTACTTGATTTTTAAAATTGTATTTTCCTCTTTTCCTTGTCCAGTGGGTAAGGGGAGAATGAAAGAAGGCAATGCCTTTTTCATCTTTCTCCTTTCCATTACTTCTGCATCCTGAACCAAGAATGAACAGTGCAACTGGGGCTCCTTGCTTCTCAGCATATGGAGTTGTCATTCTTGACATCAATAGAGTTGGCAAGAGCCTCTATTTTCTCTTTCCTGGGCTATTCTGAGAAATGTAGCTACAGATGTCGAGTCTGACTAAGCAGAATCTGGCCTCAGATTACTCTAAATTCCAGGTGCATTTAAATCAAGGGTGCCTCCGTCCATCCCTGTTCCTGATCCTATTTTTCTATGTCCCTCAGTATCACTGGCAAGCCCCTTTACTGAACTCTTTCCATATGCCAAGTTCAGGGCCTGACCATGGGAGTTCCAAGATGATCAACAGAATAAGTTCTCAGGAGCTTGCACTCTTGAGATGCACAAAAGCTTAAAATATGTCATTACACTGTAGAGAATTTGTGACATCAAACCTCCTCAGAAGGCTTGCAGGACCTTCCTACAGAAGGTTCAACTTGAAATGTGAAGCAAATATGTTGCTCTGCTGCATGTTCAAAGCCCCGCAGAGGAAACGAGGAATGATGGTGTTATCACTTTCAATGGCAGGCTTCTGTGATCAGGTCCAAAATAAAATGCACAAAGGCTTCTGTTTTCCGTGGATCAACCACAGCAAGCTGGCTCAAGTTCAACAACAGCCAACTTCCAGCTTCATTGGAGGGATGTAAAGGAGCCCTACCAATGGTCTGGCTTTCAGAACAGGACTCCTCTTCCTTTCTTAGAACATTTCTTTTGCAGGTAAAATTGGGTTGAATGAACATCGATGGCAGTGACGGAGGAAGGAAGGAAGTCTATATTCTGAAAAGGGTAAGGAGGCAAAGGAAACTCTCTTCCTCCTTTGCCAACATGATGGGGAGAATGGTGAAGGACTGATAGGATGATCATGCGCAATTAATACTAGGCCCTGTTTAGTTCCACACATCAGCTATGTCTGTCCCTATTGTAGGCATCATCCAGCCCCCATTTGGCCGTGATTATATGCAGCCTAGATATGATTCATCCTAGCGTATAAGAATGGCACCAAATGGGGTTTGCAATAGCAGGGTGTCCTGCAAAGTAGAATTTCTAATTTATCTCTAAAAGCCCTTCCAGCTCACAGAGCCTACATTTAAGGACCAACCTTGAAGACATGGGAATCAAACAGTCCTCTTGGGGATTTTATTCTTATTTCACTGTCATAATGTAAACTCTCTGTGGATGCAGCTTCAAATACAAGACTCCTTTTTAAGCTACTAGTTTTAACAGTGGCTGAGATGGGCACCATCTGCTCACAGGGTTTCCTTTAAGTTGTTAAAATCTTCCTTTTCCCATTTAGAATTGAAAGTTTCAAATGGAATACCTTTGGGAGAGGTAACAAATGAAATGAAATTCAACCTAAGATTCAAATGCCAGCTTTGCAGGAGACTTTCTACGAAGCCAGACTTTGGGAAGAAAGTAAAGGTTGAAGAGAGAAGAGAGAAAAAAGCAAAGGGAAGAAAACAGAGATGAGGTGAGAGACGGGATATGAAAGAAAGGAGAAAAGAGAGACAAATTCAGACACACATGCACGTGTGCATATATATACAGAGTGACACACACACACCCCACCACGCACACACAAACTATGACGTCAAATGGGCACTTAGTAAAAAGTGGAATCAATCTATAAGGAAAAGAGAAAATATTAATGGATAGGGAAAAGAGTTGGCAAAAGCAGCCGACTAATTGCCCAAATAAGATCATCTTTGGGTAATAGAAAAAGCTGCTCCTCTTCAAGACACTTTTTTTTTTTTTTTTTTTTTTGCCATCTGCCAGGAAAAAAAGCCACAATAATCATCTAAATTTATGATGACTAAGAATGTGAATCGTGCCCCCTAGAATTATCTAGTGCATTATCTGCATGGCCTTACATACTGGCCATGCATCTCCCACCACAACTAGGCTCCTAAATTTCATCTCATTCAAGACCACAATTCTAGAACACCTGGATGTGCAGCTTCATGAAGCGTCAACAATGCCCTAAGGAACCAGAAGTAGAGAGAATACTAATTCCAGGGCTGGCTTCATGGGCATCAAAGGCCATGCAGTCCCATCGGCCCCTACCCTTAGAAGGCCTCCACACTATGTTTAATACTCTGCCATTATCATTTTAAAATTCTTAATCATTTCTGAACAAGGGGCCCCACATTTTCATTTTGCACTGGGTCCTGACAATTATGAAACTCGTTCTCCTTTATTTAGGACTAAATTCTCCCTGGGTGGATCCATCCCTAATAAAGATATCATAACATTTTTATGCTAAAGAGCTTGATAGGAAAGCACAAAAACAGGTAACAATGCACAATTTTTAAATGGATAATCACAGAAAAATTAAAAGCAGTACTTTTTTCATTTCCTGGAAAAAGCTTGAGTTCAGCAGGCATTTGAGGTCTGTTTCAGAATCATTATTTGTCCTTGAAAAAAAAGCACAATGTAAAGTCACATTTTGTGTGAACCAGTTTACTCCTCTTCAAATGAAAAAAAATTGAAGAAGAAATAAAAAAGAAAGAAAGGTCAGATCGACTTCCTAGAGAACAGAAGAATGCAGCTAGGAAAAAAAAATAGTTTACTCAACTTTTTCAATGGTACCAAAAGGAACCTTTGACACTTCTTGGCAAAGACATGATAATACTTTTAATGCTATAAGAGAAAAAGGATCGTCACTGAGAAAACTTCAGAAAAGAGGTCTTGATGATGGGCTTATGCAAGATGTACACGGCCTCGCTAAGAACCTTGATCTTTTTCACATGTAAAAAAACAAAAAGCCCAAACTGTAAAGAAAATATAATATTCTAAAAATATGTATAGGTGTTTATCTTTATTCTGGGTTTTAGAACTCAAACATTTTCTTCCAGCACACCTGGTCTTTTGAATGAGTGACCTCTCCAAACAAAGCTAAGGACAAAAGACAAAGAGAACATCCCCTGATGCATGGATTGTACCAAATCACAAATGTACCTATATCACAAGACTTGTTTCTAGAGAAAAGGAAAAGGAAGTAAATCCAGGATTTAGCTATGAGCCTAGCTTCTTGGGTCACTGATTGCTCCAGCCAGTGACTGCAGGCCTTGTATTTTTCCTTGTTTTTTTTTGGCTTTGCTTTTTATTTGTTTGCCTATAATTAACAACTATGAACCACACATACACAATAAGGCATAAAAAAAAGCATGGCAGAGAGTAAGCAGATACTGCTCTGGGTTCAGAAATCACAGCTCTATTCAACAGTGTTTTTCTTTGCCTACTGATCTCTTTGACTTTCCAGACTCCCGAGACATATTTCCTTTCCCCTATTTAAAAAAAAAAACAGTTCCCATCTCTTTGCTCAAATTTCCCATCTATTCCTGCATGTTATCTATTTTTTCCAATAAGTCCTGGAATGTACTTAGCATAATAATTTTAAACCCTGCCTAATAATTCCAAAATTGGGCCATCTCTGTGTCTACTTCTATTGACTATTTCCTCTCTTGGCCAAGAGCGACATTTGCTTGCTCCTTCTTATGTCTTATAACTGACTTTGTGCCAAATATTTTGTGTAAAAGAACCATAGAGTGCGGTAGCTCAAGCCTGTAATCCCAGCACTTTGGGAGGCCAAGGCGGGCGGATCACGAGGTCAGGAGATCGAGACCATCCTGGCTAACACAGTGAAACCCCATCTCTACTAAAAAATACAAAAAAATTAGCCGGGTTTGGTGGCAGGTGCCTGTAATCCCAGCTACTGAGGAGGCTGAGGCAGGAGAATGGAATGAACCCAGGAGGTGGAGCTTGCAGTGAGCCAAGATTGCGCCACTGCACTCCAGCGTGGGCCACAGAGCAAGACTCCATCTCAAAAACAAAAAAAAAAAAAGAAAAAAAGAAAAGGCCTCACACCTTCTGCTGTCAGGCTGCTAGTTGACGAAGGGGACCCTGAGTCATCTAATCTATAGTTGATCTAGGTCTGAGTGTTACTGCAGCTTTAATCAGATTCAAATCACCACTGGCTTAAATATTTTGAGGGTGGGATCAGGCCTTGACCTTTTGGCAAGTCTTGAGATCTGAGCACAGACGAGATTTCAGACATTTTTTCTCTATGCTTTATGCTAAGCTGTCAGTTTTCCAAACTAGGGAATATTTCTCTCAGCTTTAAAGCACAGGAGGCTGCTTTTTAAGTCATTAAAATATTCTCTTTGTTCTCCACTACACTCCTGGTTTTTGGCACCTCTGGAGATCTCTGCACTGCTGCTCTGCTTTCATCCTTCAGACAGTGACTACAGAAAACTGCCAGAGTGCCATGATGGGATTTCTCTCAGCTCTCCTGCCCTGTTCTCAGCCTGTAACAGGCCATTGCCTTGCTTTGTGGAAAAACCACAAATACCTTAGAGAGAAGTACTATTGGCTTTTCTAGCCTATTCTTGGCCTTCTGCCTACCATCCTTCTGCACTTGAACATCCATGGGAATAACCTGGAGACTGGTGCAGGGATTGCTTTGTGGTTGGAGATCCTTATTATTCTAAACAGCCAACATGTGGCCATTCCAAATTAGTTAAGTTGGGCTACTTTCTTCTCACTCTGACAATGATAGATTCCTCCTCTTGCCAGCACTTTGCCAGGGATGAAAGCAGGCCTCAGCTTGTTCTCTCCTGAAAGGGCTTGTCACTTACTCAGCTTTATTTGTGTGTGTGTGTGTGTGTGTGTGTGAGAGAGAGAGAGAGAGAGAGAGAGAGAGAGAGAGAGAAAGAGAGAGACTGGCTCTCCTACTAGCTCAAAAAATAAAAAAATCTATGATTTTGTTTTTTACTCTCATTTTTAAGGCAGGTGTGAAGGTTCCTTGCAACTTTCTACACATGTTGAATCAGAACCTTACCCCTACTTTTAAGGCATGTTGAATTCCGAATGCATCCTTCCTCCTGGAACCCAAGGTTCCTGGCCAACCTGGTCAACTCATGTGAGCCCATTTGGTAGCCCTGGTAGCGCATATCAAGCATTTTACTGAAAGATGTCTCAGGCAAGCTCTGAGTTTGGACATCCTAGCCTACCCTGAAACTCTCAGTGGAATTCCCATATCTCACTTCATACTACTCTCAGTTCTTCAAGACTAACTGCCTATTTAATGGACTAAACCTCCCATTTCTGTCTTTACTTCAACTTTCCATTCAACAAACATTGTCTTTTGAACCTCAAATCTGGTTCCTGATTCTCCTTCTAGCCAGCCTGCTTCTCGTCACCTTCAGTGGTCATCCCTTTCAACTGAACCTAACTTTACTTCTTCCCAGCTCACTAATAGGTGGTGTTATGATTTAATATTTGCCCCCGTGTTGAAACTTAATCCCCAGTGTGGCAGTATCTTAAGAGGTAGAGCCTTAAGAGGTGACTGGGTCATGACAGCTCTGCCCTCATGAATGATGGGTTAATGTATTAATGGGTGATTATGAGAGTATAACTTGTGGCTTTATGAGAAGAGAAGAGAGACCTGAGTTAGTTCGTTCAGACCCGTTGCCAGGTGATACCCTGTGTGCCTCAGAACTCTTGAGGAAGTCCCCACCAACAAGAAGGCCTTCACTGGATGCAACCTCTCAACCTTGAATTCCTCAGCTTCCACAACTGTAAGATAGAAGTTCCTTTTCTTGTTAAATTATCCAGTTTTGGGGATTATTTTAATAAGCAACAGAAAAATGGACTAAGACATGTGACATATTAATTTATTCTTCTCTGTAGTTCATCCAGCCTCTGCCCAGGAATCAAAATTCTCAACTCTGCTCACAGGTACCATTTGAATGTGCCACCACTCCCACTTTGCCCATGGATTTTCTAGACTCAGAGCCTGCCTGCTAGTTCCTACTTTCTGGCCTATCTCTTGCATGCTTCCAATACCCCGTTCTTCTGGTTCAGTTACACTTCTGCATCATCTGCTTCATAATGGCTACTGATCCATTTTTTTTTTTTACTATTACACTTTAAGTTCTAGGGTACATGTGCACAACGTGCAGGTTTGTTACATATGTATACATGTGCCATGTTGGTGTGCTGCACCCATTAACTCGTCATTTACATTAGGTATATCTCCTAATGCTATCCCTCCCCCCTCCCCCCACCCCATGACAGGCCCCGGTGTGTGATGTTCCCTTTCCTGTGTCCAAGTGTTCTAACTGTTCAATTCCCACCTATGAGTGAGAACATGCGGTGTTTGGTTTTTTGTCCTTGCCAGAGTTTGCTGAGAATGATGGTTTCCAGCTTCATCCATGTTCCTACAAAACATGAACTCATCCTTTTTTATGGCTGCATAGTATTCCATGGTGTATATGTGCCACATTTTCTTAATCCAGTCTATCATGGATGGACATTTGGATCAACTGTTAACATTACATCACAACATAAGAAGAGAATAAAAAGGAGGACTTTCCATTCTAGACTTGGAACCTCATATAAATAGCCATAAAATGGTTTAATTGGACACTTATAAAGACTGAACTACAAAGGATATATATTAACACAGTTTAGTGTAAAAATGAGATGTTGATACTTTTTTAGAGTCTCGGGTACAAATGAAAGTTCAGCAAAATATCTGAATTATCAAAAGCTTCATGATAGCCAACAACATGACGTCCTGAAATGTTTCTAAAGAAAAAAAGCAGTATGATATTCTTTCTGCAAGCTTGTACTGCACATACTCCCTGAAGAATTATGCAAGAATGCCACAAGTGAGAAATGAGAACTGTCAATGCACATGTTACCGTGCTCCTCCTGGTTTATCAGTGTTCAGGGTGTCCTGAGACAGCTTCCTCTGCCTAGGAGATCTGAGCTTCTTTAAGTCACATGGCAAAAGGGAGCATAAAAAATGGGGAAGGTGGCAGGACTCCTCATCCTCCTTGTCCTCACTTCATTTACCCAAGATTTCAGGCTGTCCCAGCATCTTTCCTGGACACAATTTCATTACCACAATATGAAGACTGAATTACTTCCTTGCCAAATCACACTAAGTACATAGGTTGTGAAAGTTAATGTCTGTAAAGGACTGTGCGTTCTTTGACGCAAAGGAGCTCAACAAATGCACAGTCATATTAAAATGATACATTACCCCTGTGCCTTAGCGACTAATTTAGGAGAGAAAGGCATTTCATAATGAAAATCTTCATGATGTTGTATAAGGTGTTCCTTGAGGACCGACTGTCAGTTTCCCATATTGAAAATACTGGTGGGATTGGGAGAGAGGTGGAAAGAAAAGGAAAGAAGGGGTTCTAAACTCGTTTTGCTTCTGTACCCCAGTTGCTGCTACATATAAGGCTTAGCTTTAATCATACAAAATATCCAAGGCAGAGATAGAATGAATACTGGGTTTAGGATTAAGAGGCTTGAGGGACTAGTGTCAACCATATCACATATTTGCTGTATGATCTAGGTTAAGGCACTTACTTTCTCTGAGCCTCATTTTCATACCTATAAAATGGGATTATAACTCTTCTGCCTACCCCATAATTGCTGTGAAGATGAAATAGCATATGTAAGAATGTGAAGTGGCCAGGCACAGTGGCTCACGCCTGTAATCCCAGCACTTCGGGAGGCCGAGGCGGGCGGATCACAAGGTCAGGAGATTGAGACCATCCTGGCTAACACAGCGAAACCCCATCTCTACTAAAAATACAAAAAAAATTAGCCAGGCACGGTGGCGGGCACCTGTAGTCCCAGCTACTTGGGAGGCTGAGGCAGGAGAATGGCATGAACCCAGGAGGCGGAGCTTGCAGTGAGCTGAGATCATGCCACTACACTTCAGCCTGGGTGACTGAGCGAGACTCCATTTCAAAAAAAAAAAAAGAAAGAATGTGAAGTACACAGGAAGCACAGTATGCAAACGACACAAATTCTTATTGCTGTTATATGGACCAAACACTTGGAATAAACTCTCTTGACTCTTTATCTCACCAGATTAATATACAGATGGCAAACTGAGTTCCATATCTGCAAAAAAAAACAATGCACAAAGAAAAATGTACATCTGAGTCAGCACCACCTTATGTCTGCCTAGGGATTTGATTTGCACATTTCACAATATTCCAGAAGCAAAATGTATGAGATGTGTCCTTTCTTACTTATTACTCATATGTGTTTTTATTCCCCACTTAGTGAAATTTACCTTTTATAAAACATGTAATATGATGGATAACTCAATATGGAAGAGACTTTTTATGGGTATGTAACAAACCATACTGCAAAGGGGATGATATGCTTGGCCTGTCAGTTCAGGAAAGCATAACAAGATTGAAACCACATCCTACCACCAAGAGTGGCTTACCCTAGGAATGAATGATTATTAAACATCTGAAAAATCTATTCATGTAATTTAGCGCATTAACAGAATAAGAAAACCAACCAGGTGATTGTCTCAATAGAGCTTTTAAAGCCCTTGGTAAGAGCCATGCAAGTTCATGATTTAAAAAAAAAAAAATGGTGTTGTATTAAAAGCATATTCACTAAAATCAGAAGTACTGCATATTTGCTATTAACTCACTACTAGAACTCAATAATGTATAAAAGGTCCTAAATAAGACAAACAAGAAAACGAATGAGACAAATATTAGAAAGGATTACCTAGAACATCTTAGAAAATAAATTGAGAAAAATTAAGGCAGATGAGAGTTCAGTAGGTTGGTCAGACACAAAATCATCATAGAAAAATAACCTCTACACACTACCAACTAATTAAAAAGTGAAGGTATAATGGGATCTCATCTCATTCAGTGTACGTGTGTGAGTTCCCAATATTCAATAATACACCTACTGAAAAAAGTGAAATCATAAGTAAAGAAGAACAGATCACAAAATTTCCTGTTTAGCGAAACAGAAAAGGTCCTGTTCCAGATGTCAAATATATTTCAAAGACTTTTTTTTTCAACTCTGAAATGTAGAAGCTCAATAGTTGACAAGTAGACCACTGAAACAGAGGAAAGAATCAAGTAATAGAATAAGGCAACATTAAAATATAGTTTATGCTAAAGGTATCATATTGTCTCAATAGGAAAATGATAGACCGTATTTAATTATGCTGAGAAAACCTATTTACTGAGGAAAAAATCTAGATTCATACCTTGTATTATACAGTACATAAAAATAAATTCTACAAGGAATAAAGATAGGTGAAGAAAAATTATAAAAGTATTAGAAAACACAGATTTTTTAAAAATATTAAGCTAAAGAAAACCTTCTTAAATAAGATAAAAATACACAAATCATAGAAGTTATTGATAGCTATGACTACCAAAAATTTAAAGCTTTTATACAACAAAGCACAGAAATGATACTTACATAAAATGCATGCATTAGTTCAAGATTTTCATTGTCTTATTTTCTATGGGGTTCTGCAATTTTTATTTCAGAAAATATACCTACTGGATTTATAATAATGGTTATGCAAGTTCACATCCCAAGGCCGAGGCAGGCAGTTCACTTGAGGTCAGGAGTTTGAGACCAGACTGGCCAACATGGTGAAACCTTGTGTCTACTAAAAATATTATTAAAAAAATGCCTGGTGTTGTGGCGCACACCTGTAATCCCAGCTACTTGGAAGGCTGAGGCAGGAGAATCACCTGAAGCTGGGAGGTGGAGGTTGAAATGAGCTGAGACTGCGCCAGTCAGAGAGGAAACTACTTAAATCTTATTTCATTTCCATTTTCTCATATAGGGAAGTAGGCTTCAAACTGAAATTGAGGACTAATTCGGAAGGAACAAAATAGCAAGAGAGCATGTTAACTAGGTCCCAATGTCCTGATCCAGATGGGTCCTGAATCCCCAGGGAGCTGTAAGTATTTGTAGATGTGACTGGAGCACCACCATTCATCCTCCAGGGGCAGGGCAAACAGGCTTGAAAATTAAAGCTGGCACTGTTACTAATTTTTTAGAAAAGGGAAAAAGTTGGATTCTAGAAACTACAAAAGGCCAATGACTTTAGTCCCATTCCCAGTCAAGAGTATAGAGCTGGCTATTTTTTCTTCTGTCGGCCTAGATTTCTGATTTTTCCCAGAACTCTCCCAGGCTGTGGAGTTTACAAACCAGCCCTTCCTAGGGGCAAAAACACCTCTGGGATCCCCTTCTCAGGCTTTCCCTAACTCACAGCCACCCTCCACAGAGCCCTGCTGTGCTAGCAACACAGCCCAAGGCAGAAAAAGGAGCATTAGAGAAACCGAACAAAGGATGATTCAAGAGCAACTGGAAAGGGTTATTTTTTAAGTACTATAATATTTGTTTTATTTTAACACACTGTATAAAGACCTTCACTTTTTATTTTACCTCTTTTGAGTCTTTTCATACTAACGCTGTAAAACAGCCAAAGTGAGAAATTTTCTGTCATTATTCAAAATTTAATATCAAATTTGTTTGTTTTATACAAATTCCCAACTCTTCTGCCTTAATGTATTAAGTAACACAAATGTCATGTTCTACCAATTAGCAAACAGGCTTATGAAAAACAGCACTGTTATGTATTAACTGTGTAAGTTTCCTTTGGGCCAGAAAAAAAATAAGTAGCAAGTTCCAAATGTTTCTAAATCCACAAAGCAGTGTTTTATTAATTAACTAAACTGACAAGCATAGAATTTTCCAAGTGAAGAGGTCTAAGATGCTAGTGTTTGGCTACACTTTTATGGATGTATAGATGACATCCATAAAAATTACATGGTTAAAGCATACAGTATATTTTAGCCCTGAGATGATATCACACAGTTCTAACTTTAATTAGAAAGGACAAAGGAAATACAGGCTAAGAAGACCGTAATTTTAAATATAAGATTAAAACAAGGATAGGAAAATAGATTTTTGGCACATAAAAAATATGAGACTTCCTGGTGAAAAGGTGGTATAACCATAAATATATCGCTCTGCCTCCTTCCAACATCTCATTAAAATGACCCAAAGAATATAAAAAAAAAAAAAAAGAAACAGGCGAAACTTAAATCCTTTAATGAATTTTAAGAAAAAAAAATCACATGTCAAGCCATTTCTATTTAATGCCTATTTCAATTTCAAGACATTTCTATTTAATAAAAGAGCAAACAGCACTTGTTTGTAGGTAAGGCTAACCCTATCTGTAACACCCTGGCACAGAAGCGAAAGAGACTCCAGCAGATCATTAACACTCATTGCTGTGGGGCAGATGGGAGCCTATCTGACCTCACTAGGGTTTCCAGAAGCATCCAGGCAGGGAGGCACCGTGGGTGGGAAATCCTCTGGAGTGCATATTCCTGTCTTATCTTTGATGCTGATAGGTACGCCTTCTGCAGAACACATGCATTTTTCCAGCCACCTCCTGGTTGTGAAACAAGAGTATAAAAGCAACTTACCAGCCCAGAGGAGAAGCTCCCTGCCACTGCTGCTGCAACCCCACTTCTCTCCCTACTACTCTAGGCTGCTGGATTTCTGACCAGGTAATGTAAAACTGTACTAAAACTCCTCCTGCTTTCATCTGAGCCTTACAGAACCCATCTGCATCAGTTGTCAAATTATTGACTGTCAATTTCAATTCCACCCTTCTTTGTCCTGCTCTGCCGTACTACAGCTGGACCCTGTAACATTTCTCCTTTGCCAGCTGGAGAAATATTAGGCTTTGCCAATAAAGGAAGCTAGAGAGACACTGCAAGGTGAAGTGGAAGGAGTAATTCTCATCCTTGTTCTAGCGTGCTTGTCTGCTTGCTTTCATTGCACTGCTGCAGCAGCATGTGGGACGCCCAGTGGCACTTACGGTGCAACAAGTTTCTCCAGTACCCCAGCGGGCATCTTTCCGTGGATCAGCCCCGGCTCACTGACACCCAGGCAGGGAGCTTCTTGTTCAACAGCTCTGGCCCACCAGCAACTCACAAACCTGTCCACCACACAGTGACATGCAGCCAGACCCTCCCCAATGGGATCTAATTCTCAATTTTGTTTGGACAGGAAGTTATCCTTCTTCCAAATTCCTAGTTCCTTCCTTCCACAGTCCCCTTCTGCCCTGGAGAAAAATCTGCTCCCTGAATTTGCCATTCATGTAGACTTAGAATCTTCTTTTATTTTTTTTTAATACTTAACACCTTTGACTCGTTAATACTTTATATTAAAATTCTTTATATTACTTTAAAGTATAATAGAAAGTATAATACTTTATATTAAAGACTCACTATATTAAAATTCTTTAATATAAAGTATTATATTCTTTATAAAATTCTTAACAATACTTTATTTTAAAATTATTCTCTCCAAATGACTGGTGAAGTTTGCCTCCTGATTGGAACCTGACTGATACACTGTCTTACCACTTAATTTTGCATAAGCAGAGAAGCTCCTTTATAGGAGTGAACAAGGAGAGAAAGAGCACAGAACACAGAAAAAGACGCTGTAGGTCAAAAGAACACAACAGCCATGAAGAATCATTGTAAAAACATCCCTATGAAATAATTCTACTGCAAAAAAAGGAGAATATTTTTTAGAATTCCCAGTTTATCTCCTCAAATTCAACAAGATTCAAGCGGCCACTTTATGTATGAAACTAGAGCAAACACTCACAAAGGGGGAACTCCAAAGACAGTATAGAGATGAAAAACAGATTTGCCAAATTTAAAACATGGTAAAGACATGAATTGCAGATTAGATTATAGGAGAGAAAACAAATTAATAATATCTCATTTCAAGAAAAAAACCATGAACATTAGAGCAAAAAAAAAATATATGGTTACCAGCAAAGAACAGATTGATCCCAGACTTCTCCATAACAATAATAGTTAAAAATAGAAATGAAGCAATAACCACCGAGCTGTCAAAGAAAAAGATTATGATGCAATTATTCAATATCCACTAGTGTCATCATTCTTGGGTAAAGATAATAGAAAAAGTCCTCAGAATATATAAAGTCAGAGAGCATTATGCTATGTATCTTTCCTGAAAAAATCCTCAAAAAACCTGCAACTAGTAGAGAAAAGACTCAAAATAAGGAGCTTAGAAAATGGAGAAGTGTTACTATAAAAGGGCTGGTAGTAAGCATGAATTTAAATGTTCTAATTAAAATTTAATGTCATTTGCAAGACTGTAAAAACTTAAGGCAAATTTTAAAAACCGTTTTTATTTAAAATGCAAAATGTAATAAAAACAATAATTTTTAAATCATAATAATCAAATCCTAAAACTTCAGCGCAAGAAAGTTATAGAAAAGGTGCCACATTTCTTATCTTACAGAGAATCAGTAGTATTTTATTCATGATTTTGAAAACTAGAGAAAAATAAGTAAAATATTTAATTAGAAAATTAATCTGAATGAAAAAACAAGATTTATAACTTCCAAGTTGCAAAAGGCAAAAAGGGCAAAGAAATATTTTATGTAGGCAAAGAAAAAAGGCTAATGATGTTTTTTAAAATGTGTTTGAGCAGTGAATTTATATCCTTTATAGCTATTTTCTATTTTGTTTACAATGACCAAGTATAACCTGTATAATCAGAAACCAAAAATAAATATTAGAGAAAATCCTGGGGCTCAAAGAGCAAGAATTTCACAAGAGACATTCCCATTTGTCATCACCTGCAAAGTCAGTCAGTCAACATGTACATACAAATGGCCTCAGAAGACCAAGTAAGGAGACAGAGCCTAGTCACACAGTGAAAACCTCGAAAAAGAGCACTGTCAAGGGATTTTTTTTCTTTCTTGACTACAGGTTTTTGTTATTTTTTGTGCATGCATGCATGCATGTATGCATGTGTGTGTGTGTGTGTGTGTGTTTAATATGTCTATTCAATTTCTTGCAATGCACACTTGGGCAATAAATCCTGGTCTGTCCACTGATTAAAGGGTATCAGAAAAATAAGGGATTTAAAAAAATCAACCGTAATGTAACCCCCTTGCCCTACCCATGGAGAACTAAGGCCCAGAAAAGTAAGTGGCTTGTTCATGTCAGGCCAATAGAGTTAGTTCCAATAAATGTATGGGATTAGCAGGAATACTATAAAACTCACAGTTTTATGAAGCCTTGAGGGCCTTGGATAAGGCTCAATAAAAATGCCCTGTTGAATATGTAGGAACCTGCCGAGCAGAGGAGATTTCTAAGATACTGGCCAGCTCTAAAACTTTATGGTTGGGGGAATTAATTGGCTACTTTGTCTTCCAGATTTTGAGACTTACAGGTTGCTCTTCTGGGTCTCCTTCAGATTCTGGCCTGAAACTATTGGAAAGCCTGCCTGGCTGGTAGCTGAGCTATTGGATCGGCTTCTCAGCCATTCCAAAACTCAGGCTCAGAAATCTTCCAGTTGCTATCTCCAGGAGAGAGCAAGATTGGAGATAAGATACCTATATATAAAATCATTAATACATTTAAAAAGTACATGAGCCTCAACGCACACTAAAAGACCAGTCCCTGAGTCTGGAACAGCCAGCAGTGACTTTCACAGATTCTTATTATCTGTGACTAAGGTTTCTTTTTAACTTATCTGTCAAATACTAGCTTGTTGTTTTTTCCAGAACGTAAAACAGTTTCTTTTTTTCAACTGCATGCCTACCTTCAGATTGAGGTGAGAAGTGCCTTGAAATGAAAGTAAATGTAGAGAGGTGCTTTTTTGGTCTACAGTGCATACTTACAGGGAAATTAAGCCATTAAATTTAGTCAAGAGCCTTTTACAGCTGTTTTGTTATTTTGCCAAAGCTCTTTTATGAAAGATTTGGGAATCATTCTAAAATACCATTGTGCATTTTAGAAGAAAAACTAACTCCAAGGACACTATGCCTTCTCCAGCTTGAGGTGTAACTCTGAGAATTTCCATCTGGAAGCGGAAGCCTGTGGATGTCAGGAAGATAAGCTTTGGACATTCTCCAGCTGTCCCTGACATGACTGTCAGAGGCCAGGAGAGACCCAGGGAACATGGCCTATGGTATCAAGGCACAGGGGCAGCCATTTCAGCCACAGTCCATTTTGTCCAGCTTACTTTTATCTGTAATCAAAATACTCAAGTGATTCTGACTATAAATATATATAATATATGACTTCCATATTGGATCTTAATTCTCACTACCTCTGCTTAAGTTGAGATTTTGTGGTTGAGTCAGCTTTATAGAATAGTATTTCCGATTCTTCAATTAGTTCACCCCCTCCTTATCAGAAGTTCCATACAGATCCATTCTGAGCTGAATTCCCCTCTCATGGGGATAATGATTTAATGGATAATGACTTAGGATAAGTTCAGCTTTGCACCAGGGAAAACTAGTAAGCAAATTGACAAAGACTGCTTACTGGGAAGTTTTGTTTGTTAAAGAAGGTCTCTCAGACATGTAATAAGGCTATGTCCCTAGACACAGTACTGTCTCTCTATACACTGTGACCAAAAAGTCTCCACAGGAAGTGGTGGTTACTCTGTGTGTGTGCATGTGCGTAAGTATTTGTGTGTGTGTGCGTGTGCGTAAGTATTTGTGTGTGTGTGAGAGAGAGAGATGCAGAGCAAGCGAGAGAGAAAGGAGGGTGTGTATGTGGGTAGTGAGTATGTATGTGTGTGTATATGTAAGCTGTACATATTTCTCTCTCGCATATCCAGGTGAAAGACTTTGGGTTATTATTCTGTTATTACTCTGCCCCAAATATCCAAATTGTTATATCCCAAAGCAAGTAATCAGCACTTAAATATTTAAATAATTATGCAATCAACTAATCAATTAAGTCATCTGTTGCCAGCAAGTCTCCAATTATTTACAAGAATGCTTTTTACAGTTCTTTTATGGGCTAGGTATAAAAGCCTAGGTAAGACAGAAAAGAGCTTCTCAACACAGTAGCAAAATTAAAGCACCCTGCTTTATGTACCTGTATGTTAGCACTCAGAAATATGCACATGTACCCTCACAGGAAACAGCTTTGTCATTATTTTTTCCTTTCACCACTGAAGTCTTTTTTCTTCCTTTAAAACTTGTTTATGATGCTTTGACCAATGTTATGCAAAAAGATCTGTAAGATCTTTCAGTTTGAACTAATACACTAGAAGTTACCACTCAGGAATTAGCAATTATCACAAAGTAGTCCTTGAATTTAACTAAGGAGACAATGCAACGTTGGGAGGCATGGGCTTCAAATGCCTATAGACACATTTCAGAGGTATGATGTATGGGAAATGTCCCAGCAGATAACTGTTATGTAACCATTGGGCCAATGTGAATAAAGAAATAACTCATAAGTAGATGTCCTTAATCAAAACCTTGCAGTCTCTCTCTCTCTCTCTCCCGATTTTTCAAGGTACAGAGGAACACTTTCAACATTCCAAAATGATCCTAGAGAAACAGAAAATGTTATCAATTAACTCTCCTGAAGCCAAACTAAACACTAACTTTGCCAATGAGATATGATGGGGTTAGATTAGAATAAGGATTTGAAATAAACTATTTCTAATTCACCCATGACCTTGAAAACTCCATCAATGTTTATTTTTCTACCCTGGATATCAGATTTTGAGTTTTAAAAGGAGTGCATGAATATCTGCTAAATGCTAAGGAAAAGAATACTATGCAAAAGCTTAAAATGGCAGCTGCCAATATTGGTACCCTTTAGGAGCTCTTACTATTACATGTCTGTTCCCAGAACTGCTAAAATCAGAGGAAAGAAGGACAAAACTCACTTTTCCCTTTGCCATCCTCCTTGAAACACACAATTTCTAATTTGCCATTTTCATTCTTTGGGAGAAAAATTATTAAGGTGGTTTTATAATTTTAAAGCATTTTCCTAATATATCATTTTAAAAGTCACCCTGAGAATTTCAAGAGAGCCACAAGAATGTATCCATAACAATGCAAAAGATAAACAATAGAATATCAAGAAACACACCAGAGGAGGCAAGGCAACAGGTAACACTGACCTGCATTTGTAGAACTCGCTTTGGCCAGAGAATAAAGCAGACAGCTCTGTACAACATAAAAGATGGAGTTCAACATATGCTAGGTCTTCCTGTTGTCTCAGCCACTAAAGAAGTCCAGGCAAAGCTGTGCAGGGATGTCTTCTTAAATCATGAAAATCAACCCTTTATCCTTTACTTCCATTCTGTATTTTGTCTTAGGGGTCTTTCCTTTATAGGATGGACTGCTTTCAAGTTACTCATCTCCTTTCTTAGAGGTCACCTTGATAATATTAGTTAGGCTTGACCATTTTCTAAGTATAGGCTCACATACAACTCAAACCCGTCAAAGATGGGCTCTCTACGCCATTCACAATCAGTGCAGTTTGAAATACTGTGAAAAGATTCAAACTATTAAGCCCTTAGTTGACAAGTCCAAAGCATACAATGTTCCCATGTGGTGGGTGGGTACAGTCTCATGGCAGGTCAACTCTCCCACGACAATGGAATCAGCATGTCTTTAATCTATGCATAACACTTGGACAGTAATGGGTTATTTTTATTTATTTTTTTGAGGTGGGTGTTTCTTTAAAACTTCCAGCAACATTTAAAAATAGTCATTATTGAGCTATCAGGATTTGATTCCCATGTATAAAATGCATTCACTGTAAATAAAACATGACATTTTTCCTCTTTATAATTCACTGAAAAGTTTAGCCAAGCATGAACTTTTTTTTAATGACATCCTGCTTATTACCGAGATTTCTGCACATGACAGGGTATTGGCTTTCTAAAGAGAACTGTTTTTTTTTGTTGTTGTTGTTATATCACTGTGCTGCTGTTGTTGTTTAGTTTCTTTCTTCTATATAAGTAGAATGAATTTAAAAAGAGAACCTTGTAATACACATGAACAGCCTAACCGAGTCATACTTATCATTTTATAGTTCACGTACAGCCCCAAATCGAACTGAAAGCCCAAATTAACAGTAAAACAACTCTTAAATAAAAGCATATGCTTTAACTATACAGCATGATGTTTGTATTTATAATTCTTTTTCACTTGGGTTTACTGCTTTTTTCTTTAAAAAAAAAAAAATTGGTCCCTTAAGTAATTATACACCCCTTTTTGGTAAAAATGGCTGCCAATCTCAAATTGGAAAGCAGGCTTATAACCTTGCAACCGATACATTTGAGTTGCACGCCTGTTCCTCAAACACCCATCAACTGAAATGTATAGTAGAGACAGAGATACATTCACCTGCCACAATCTACAAGCATGATCGCTACAGCTGGGCTAGCATAGAGCACTGACGGCAACATTCATCTGAACACAGGATGCTCCAAGTAGTGCGTCTCAAACCTCAGTGCACAATCAAATCACCTGGGGATTTGCTGTATCTTCCAATCACCAGGTCTCACAGCACACCTTTTGGATTCAGAAGATCTTGGATGGAGCCTAGAATTTTGAATGAACACCCAGGTCATTCTAAAGCATTCATGGGCTCCCACTTTCTGAAAGTCACTCATAAGTGGATCCTGCATCTCCACGCCCAGGCTTAGAGAGCTGGTAGACAGACACTCAGGGTGGGACAGGTAGGCAAAGCTAGCTAAGAAATACAACGCACAGCTGCAAAGCAGAAACTCAGGATTGCCCCTGCTGGTGGTTCATGAAAAGGCGGATGTTGCTGTCCTATCATATTTCTCTCCCTCAAAGAACTCCTCCCTAACCCTGACCAGGACATACCACCTACGCGGCAGTCGGATTACCTGAATTCAAACGCTTGCTCCCCCAATAGCTTAGCTTCTGCCTCAGTTTCTTCATCTCTCATATGGGTATAATAATGAGTTACTAGAAATTGTTTAAATAAATTATTTAAGTAAAATTACGCATGAAAGTGTATATAGAGCAGCACCTGGCACATAGGAGGTGCTCAGTAATTGCTCTGTGTGTGTCTGATGTGTGTAAGTACACAAAGTCCTGCTTACAATGCAGAAGAGAAAAGAGTCACTGAAGAAGTAAGCTGTAGAAGGCCATCATACGAACTGAGAGCCAAGGTGCAAGTTTGAAGTTTTATTCATTTAAATTTGTACAAGACATGCACTCCAAGCATTTCCTCCCACTCTCTAGTATTTCTATTTCTCCAGCTCCCTTCCGCCGGACTGGTTCCTCATCCCAATGCAAGTCACAAGTTAGTCTTCTTGCTAATTTATTGTTGAGCTAGCTCCAGCCTAGGGATGGTCAATATCATGAACCAGGGGTCTCTAGGGGAGCAGGGTCATTTCAGGGTGGGTCCCCAAACCATAGTTTGGGTTCAGGCTGAAACAGCACCCAACCTAAGCCATGACTTGGTGTCCTCATCATCTGGGCTTTGTCAGAGAAATTCTAGAAATTTAGTTCTCCTCTTTCCTGATTCCTTGTTTTGTATGCCCTTTGTGGCTCATATATCTGTAAACACTCACCTACTCCTCCTGTTAGTAATTTATGGAAGGCTGATGTCATCAAGCCCCACAATCCTGAGAGATTCAGACAAATTTCCATCCCGGTTCTCCATCTCTTCTGTGATCAATGTCCTAAGCTGGTTTCCTCCCTCATCAGATATAAAGATTCTACCCAACTGTATTATATTTTCTTTCTTATGGCTCTATATTTTATAACTGAATCATTTACTGTATCATAGGAGATGTGCTTTCCCTATTCCATTGATTTGGAAACTCCATCACTATGAAGCCAAGTTTGGGGCCCCACTCCTCTACCAGCACCTTTTCTTAGATAGCATTAACTTAAAGCAACATCATAGGACTTAATTTCATTTCAGCCTCCTGGTCTCAGCCATCTCTGTCACTTCCAAAGCCACCATGATCTTGGTAACGAGATCTTGCCTCCATTTGGTCATTAGGCATTTTTACCAAACTACAGAATTTTAGAGCCTGAAGCCAATTCAAGAGGATCATCTACCATGATCTTCTTTCTTCTCCAAATACAGAAACTGTAGTTCTCCTTTAAGAGACTTGCTCAAGGTCACATAGTTAGGGAGCAGCATAGAGTTTTCTGATCTCATGATGAAGACAACAGACGTACTCACCAAATAAGTAGCTACCATAGGAAGAAAATTCATTCAGTGATGGAATTGAGCCTTTAAAAGACTGAGATGAACAACAACACAACAACAACAACAAAGGGAATTTCTGGAGGAGATGAATACGTTCAGTGCATTTACTGTGGCGATGGTACCACGAGTGTATGCATATGTCCAACCTCATCAAAATGTATACATTAAATATGTGCAACTTTTATCAATTAGATGTCAGTAAGATTTATTGAAAGCTTAAAAATAAAAAAGATATTCAGGCCGGGCGCGGTGGCTGACACCTATAATCCCAGCACTTTGGGAGGCTGAGGTGGGCGGATGACAAGGTCAGGAGATAGAGACCATCCTGGCTAACAAGGTGAAACCCGTCTCTACTAAAAATACAAAAAAAAAAAAAAATTAGCTGGGCATAGTGGCGGGTGCCTGTACTCCCAGCTACTCGGGAGGCTGAGGCGGAAGAATGGTGTGAACCCAGGAGGCGGAGCTGGCTGTGAGCCGAGATCGTGCCACTGCACTCCAGACTGGATGACAGAGCGAGACTCCGTCTCAAAACAAAACAAAACAAAACAAAAAAGATATTCGATAGGGATCAATATATAGCCTAGACATAGGTGCTAAAAAGAGTTTTTAGGATATTTGCAAAAGATTTATTCAAAATAGCTCAAAACCAGAAACAACCCAAGTGCCCACCAAGAAGTGTATGCATAGGCAACCTGTGATATAGTCGTACAATGCAACATTAATCATCAATAAAAAGGAACTACTTAACCATGCAGCAACAGATAAATCTCAAGAACATTATACTGAGGAAAAGAAGTGAGAAACAAAAGTGTACATACAGCATTATTCCATTTATGTAAAATTCCTTTAAAGGCAAATCTAATCTAAAGGAATAGAAAGCAGAGAAGTGGCTCCTTAGGCCCAGAGCCAACAGAAGGATTGACTGCAAAGGAACACCTCACGAAGAAAAAATTAGTACTTTGTGAGGTGATGGAAATGTTCCATATATTGACTGTGGTGGTGGTTTCACAAGGGTACACATTGGTCAAATTTCATGGAACTTTATATTTAAAATGTAAAATATTTACACTCTATTTAATGTAAATTATAGCCCAACAAGTTGATTAAACAATACATTTTAAATCTGTAGAGTGTAGGAAGACTTGATTAATGAGTTCCATCTACTATCCCATAAGAACTATAATCTCCATGTGAAAAAAATATTAAATTTTAAATGATTATAAATTTACCACGGAGTAACATAATTGCAAAAGAAAAAGAATGCCATCTTAGGTTGTCTTACTAAAACTATGTTTCTCAGAGGAAGGGAAACTGTGATCCTATTATACTATGCATTCATCAACGCATACCTGTAGTGTTATCTCCTATGACCGATTCCTATGCTCCCATACCTAAAGTTTTGTTCTGAGTACCACATTAATTTTTCTTTCTTACAAAAGGAAAATGTACTATAATTAGTATATTCTAATGAACTGTAAATTGTAAACTATATTTAAAATACAAATAAGTAGATAAAAAAGAACATTGACCATTATCTCTCCACCTCAAAATAGCCACCAACCATATGTTGGATATTTATCTGTAGTACACATCCTCCAGTCTTTCTTTAAAAATGTGAATTTAAATATGTACTAAAAAATGAATGTTTCTGTGATGCCACTTCATAGCCTGTCTTATTTTTCCTAAAAATATAATGTGACTTTCTTTTCATAATGTTAAATTTTTTGGCTGGGCACAGGGGCTCACACCTGCAATCTCAGCATTTTGGGAGGTCAAGGCGAGGGAATGGCTTGAACCCAGGAGTTTGAGACGAGCTTGGGCAACATGGCAAAACCCTGTCTCTATCAAGAAAATATAAAAATTAGCCATGCATGGAAGCACATGCCTGTAGTCCTAGCTACTTGGGAGGTTGAGGTGGGAGGATGGCTTGAGCCAGGGAGGTGGAGGTTGCCGTGAGCTGAGCTCAAGCCTCTGCACTCCAGCCTGGGTGAGAGACCAAGACCTTGTCTAAAAAAACAATAACAACGATGATGTCCAATTTTCTTCTTATTTGTCATTGATATCTGCTGAGTATTCCACAGTCTAAAGCAATCCCCTATTATTGAACATTTATGATTTTTCCATGTTTTTAAAAAAATTGTCAGCAACTTTGAAATTAATAACCTTATAGCTTAATTTCTAGGCAGACAAAAATTTATAAAGATAAATTCCTAGAAGTGTAATTGTTAATACAGAAAGTATGCACATTCTTAAGGCTTTCAATTGGCACTGACAAATTGAGACCCACATTTAAAAGAGATGCTGAGAAACTGGCATCTGTCCAAAGGATGGCAACCAAAACATCCATGCAGCATGTCTTAGAGACAGGAGAGGGACTGGGCATAGTTGGCCTGGAGAAAATAAAACTTAGAAAGGAAAGATACTTCTCCTCAAAAAAAGGAAAGAGATTTTGTTTTTCTGTCTGCTTCTTTGTTTCTCATTTAAAGCTGATTCAACAACAGAACAGGAAACCCTGGGTTGGCCGTTAAGCTATTGCATCTCAGCTTAAGAAAATATCCTTCTATGCTGTTCTTTGAGACACTGGAAATCTACAATATTTCTCCTTTGCCAGGGTAGTCCCTGTCGGCCTCTACCAACAGGGGGCGCGGGGGGGTAAGTGAAGGAAAGAGAAAGGGCGGGCTGGTCCTGTTCTCTTGTCAGCGTCCCTCCACTAAAGGTTCTTCATCTTGGCAGCAGCAGTGGATTCCAGTTTGTCATTTTGCCAACACTCCCAGAACCAGCCTCCTTAGCAGTCTCTTCCTCAGAAATCTGGTTCCCAGCTCCATACCTTCCTCTGAGCTTCTAAGTTTTAATAATTCCAATCTCTTTCCTTTGTTCCTATCTCAAGAGGGAATAGCTATTTTATGCAGTCACTTTCTTCCCTTTTTTACTTTCCCAGTTTTCTGATACCTAGTTCACAATTCTTTATAGTGAGCTCTCTGTTAAAATGACTGGTGTGATTCCAGTCTCTTCATTGGACCCTGAATGATATGGTCCCCCATTGCTGGAGCTAAGTAAATTGAGAATGAATTATCTCTGGCCTAAGAATTTGTAAAAGAAATTTCTGGACCGAAAGTAAGTTACACCAGACCAGTGGTCTTAAAATCATTTTTTTCAATATAATCCTTTTTGCAAATATAATATTATGTCAAACCCAATATGTATCAAAGCAGTGGTGCTTTGGCTAAAATGGAGGTATGGAGTATCCTGCCCCTACCTGCCTGGCCCCATTCCACCAGATGCTTCTGCAAAGTCCTGCTCCTGACCCATTCTTCTGGGAAACCCCTGGGTTCAGCAGGGGTTTGTCTGACAATTTCTGATCTACACAACTCAAGTGCACTTCCAAATCTTCTGATTCTGTAACAATATAATTCTTCTTGCATGGCCTCAAGGCTCTCTGGAGATCTATGTGGCCCAGTAACAGCTCAAGCAAAACACAGGAACCACCACAGGCTGCCTGGTATTTACCTAGCTGTCCCATCTACAGATCGGGCCGCAAAAGGAAGCCAAGAGATCTTTGCCAGCCAGGCAGGGTAAAGCGGTGGAGAAACCATTATGATTGTGGTGCTGCCATTCCTGCTGTTAGGTTAAGGACAGGTCAGCATTTTTCACTATAATCCCCCTTCTTTCAGAGGTTTCTAACATGGCTATAAAACTCTGCCCTAGCTTAAAGTTTGGCATGAAAGTTTTGGCTCCAGGCTGTCCTTTCTTTCAGTGAAACTACTATGAATGTGTTTAGCTACTTTAGAACTCAGAGAGGGCATTGGATCATCAGAATAAGAGAAGTCTGTGCTTTGAAATGCCTCCCCTCTGTCCCCCGCCCCACCCCACAACATCAGAAAAATGATTAAGCTACCTTTTCTTAAAAACAAATGTTTTCCAGGTCTTTGGCTGAAAATACAGCCTTCCTTCTTTAGGAAACTGCTAAATAGAACCAAACTCTTCCAAGGTAAAACAGCTTAATGCAAACAAGATATTTCATACTAAAGGAGGGTTTCCTGCACTCACATTCTACTGTGGTTTGGTTTCAGCTTGTATCATCATTACCTTCTCTGATTCCCTGAAATAGGGTCCCATTGCTTTTGGAGTAAATTCCAAACATTTAAATTTTGCACAGATGACATTTATGCCTTGCACATACTCAACAATAGTCAACATGGGTGGTAAGTGAAAGGTATTAGAATTATTCCCTCTTTGCAAATTAAAAGATTGAAGCCCAAAGAGTCTCACAGGCTTAAGATCCTAGTCAAAGGCAAACTAGGAAAAAGACTGTCTTGTACTTCCTCTGAGAGGTATGCTGCCTCCTTAAACTGCAGGATTTGCAAGCCATAGCGAAGAAAGCAAAAAGGGAGCCCACCACCTGAAAGCCTCTACAAGTCTGGGGCAGTTCATCCCACTGATAAGATTCTCACCTGCATGTCCAGCAATGTTCCTGTCATCAGCGGAGGTCAGAGCAGTTTCAAAGTCCGCATTCTGTTCCTCTGCCTTTGGGATGCCGTTAAAGTCACAACCAGAGGAATGCCTTTATCCCCAAGCATGTCCCCAGTGCTGGGAAGAGCATGGCTATGGAGCCAGAGAAACCTAGCTTAAAATTCTACTTTTAAATCCACTCAAAATAAGGAAAGGCCTTCTTTTCTACCTTTGAAAGATGGATGTGAAAAAAAAAAAAAAAGAAAAAAGAAAACCTACCTGAAACAGGTTGCTGTAATCATTCAAAGCACCCAACACCCAACATGTAAGAGAAATTCAATGAATCAGAGCTACTGATAAGTAAACATCAACACTGCTCTCTCAAAATTTAAAAAAAAGGGAAGAAAATAGAAGAAATAAGAAAAAGGTAGTTATTTAACAGACACTTGTTGAAAAAAGAAAGGATACTCTGAATACTCTCCTCCTTAAGGGTGGAAAATATGCACAATGATTTAAGAAGGTGACATACAGGATCCATTTGGAAAATGCTATTGTAAAAGTGTTTGTGCAGGAATCTGCCTGCTTGTCAAATTCAATGACTAACTATATTGGAACCCCCCTGGCTTTATGACTGGGTTGAAAACCGTGTGCTGTGGTTCCTATACTATCCTTTCTTCCAATTCTAAGACACCTGACATATTAGTTTTCCCATTTATTTTTCCAGCATTCTTGCATTCGTAAGCATTTCCTGAGCACCCACCATGTCTCAGGTATTGTGCTAGGCACTAGAGACACAGAGGTAAGTGCCAGAGCTCAGATTAGGGTGAGGCATGATGTATTCCCCATAGGTGAATCATTTAAGGGGGCTCCAAAAACTCAGTAATCAGGATAAAAAAACATTTTGATGCAGTATTTAAAATAATCAACATTAGTACAAAAAAATGCATGATGAACAAATTATCAAAATTTTAAATAAAGACAAGATGATTTAATACTGCCCTGTTGTGCCATACTGGAGCTAAGGGAAAGGATAAATCACTAATGTGTATTCTACCCCATTTAAAATTTTGATATTTTGTTCACCAAGGATTTTAAAAATTAATACTGATTAAATATTACATTAAAATATTATTTACCTTTATTATTGAGCTTTTGGCACCCCCTTAGATTTCTGACACTAATCCTGGCCCTGAGTAGGACATATTTTGTAGTTGGCTGAAAACTGAAATACTAATGTCAACAAAAGAGAGAAGTCTAGGGGCATTAAAATACATTACAAATATCAAAGAAAGATAAAGTGAGGGGGCAGATAACGCAAGGCTCTTCAGTGGCAATACCTGCAGCCAGGCCTTCCGTTGGATCATCTTGACCCCCGGGCGTACATCGTACAACCTTCACACCCCCTTCACCTCTCAAGGAAACGGTGTTTGAGGTGGGTCTGCTTACCACAGTCCTTGTCAACTTGCAGCAACACAGGGCAACTGATTTCATGAGCAGGGTTTCTACTCCACAGGGCGTTTTTCCAGTCTTGCCTGGCTTGTCCTTGATTACGGCAGTAGAGGGTAGAATCTGCCCCAGAACTGTTTGGCCATTAGCTATTCCTAGGTTACACAATGAGCTTCATATTCAGTGCAGGCCAGGCACTCAAATTCTTGCACATCACTAAGGAATACTGTGCTAGAGGGAAGCATGACTACCAGACAGAGCTGGTACAAAAATGACCCACTTACCTTCTATACAAAGTATTATTAAGCATCTGGACCCTCCTAGCCAGGCCTCTGCAGTCCTTTGTCCTCACCACATTAACCCTTTTTACCCTGTCGCATATACTTACTGCAATGGCAGAGGCTGCCAGCTGTGTAGTAAATTAGACTACATTTCCCAGCCTCCCTTGCACCTACATTTGGCCATGTACCTGGGTTTTGGCCAATGGGATGTGAGGAGAGCCACTTACCCGCTGTCAGTCCTCTCATGAGGAATCCTCATTTTCTTTGCTCTTTATCTGGCTAAATGGAGAAAACACTGTGGACCCCCACGATACTGGAACCTAAGGTGGATGGAGCCTGGGTCCCTGGATAAACACGTGTAAAGCCCTCCCAACTAGTTGGAAATATATTTTGATTGTGCTAAGCCACTGTGATTTGGAGGGACTGTAATAGCAACCAGCCTATCGTGACTAATACATTTCCCCAACTAGACTATAAACTCCTCACTGCCAGACTCTGAATCGGATGCATCTCTGTTTTCTCAACAGTGAGCTGCACTGCAGTACAATTCTATCATAAATTAGCCACCATAATTTCCCTCCAGAAGCCATTATATACAAGCAATTCTACAATCATTACCAAGAAAATGACTAATGGTAAATTGTTCTCCTTTTTGTATTCTCAAACTTGAAAATGAAGGCAAAATACTCCTAGAAGCCACTGTTCATTATGATCACTAAATAGAAAAATTCATGCTTCTTAAATGCCATTTCATATGCATAATCAGCTAATAATCTAAACATAAACAAACATCCAAAGACAGAGGACAGAATCGGAATGGGAGCCCCAGACACATAACTTGAGTTTTCCTCTGGAAAGATTTCTAATGCACTATGGTGTCTTAGGATATGTTTGTGCTCTGTGCATATCACAGTTGACATCTTGTCAAAACCAAGGGAAATAATTGCATCTCCGAGTAAGAGCATCATGCAGGCAGCAATTTAAATGTGGCACTGCTTATCAGCACCAATTTACTAACATTTTACTGTATATAACTATGTGTGGTAGAAGAAAAACTTCTACATCCTTACCAAGATTCAGGCATAAAAACAAAATCTGTTACACTTCCAGTTCAAAAGAAGATAGAACGAAGGAAAGGGAAATAAAATGAGAAGCTGTGTTTCTTCCCCTAAGAAATAAACTTTTAAAGAAATTTAAGTCCTAAACATTACATCTTCATTTGAAATGGGGTGGGCAAGATATAAGCCATTTTGCTCAGGTCTTGAGGGAGAAGAAAAACAACCTATCTTATGAGACTATTAAGCTAACACCTCAGCAAGCTGCAGGCATGCTTCTCATTTATTACACGAAGCTGAAATCTTCTGACAGTCCATAATTATGTGCTGAGAACTCTAATGAATAACTCTGCATCAGAAGGATTCACGAAACTTTGATCAGTGTCCCGGGAGGCAGTGGGTCAAGATGAACCCTGAAATCTGATTAACTTCACCATCTTATCTAACATTCTACAAACACTGCTTTGTAACTCTCCACTCTTTACTTGCATATTCTGGAAACACAATTTTGTCAGACATACTAAAGTAGTTCTAAAAATTGTTCATATTCACTTTCGAAACAGACTTAAGATGGAGTTTGTACCATTTCCCATACATATTTTTCGACACCTCTTTTTGTTCCAAGGCCCATGGTCATAAAAAAGTTATGTTTTGGGGCTCAATGCTATTTTAGATGGGTAACTAGCTGTAATTTAGTACCTTGTTCTCTGCAAGTGCCAAAGTTTTTAGAAGACCTAGGTCTGAAGTGGTGACATGTTTAAACTGAGTTATCCACAAACCCTTTTCTCTGTTCCCTTTGGGTTTGAGATATATAAATAAGGGAACAGAAATTTGATTTAATTGAAGCTGAATCATCTGAAAATGGAATAGAACTCATGCCTGTGGTTTCATCCACAATTTGGTTCAAGTGGTGTGTGTGTTTATGTGTGTTTAATGAAAACACAGTTGTCTTGTGGACCCTCTTACTAGAATTTGGGCAGCAATAGAGCACAAAACATGTGCCACTACTCCTCATCATTGCACCAAAGCAGACATCACTAATCAATACCCTACTCTTTTCACTGAGCCTGGCAGTCCATAATCCTTACCACAGCCCTCTAGGTAGCTGCTACTAGATACATGGAATTTAAATACTAGGTGAAATGCAGCTCCCAGCCTTGAATTTGTCCTGTTACTAATGAATGTTTGAAGTGGAGAAGATGTTGCCATTTATGTTGTTCAATTCTCCCATTCTATGGGTAAAAATACCTGAGAAATTGAAACATTAATTTACTTTCCATAGGTCATACAGCCAATCTATAGGTAGGAACTTTTTAGTTAAAATCGGAGTTATTTTTTATGTTCCTTCTTGGTATGATTTATACCACTGAAGATGTGTATGACAATGTTTAAGAGTAAGTAATGAGGTCAAGAAAAATATCTCAGGTGTGTTTTATAAACCAAGCCAAAAACACAAGAAAAAATCCACTGCAGAAAGTGCAAGGAGAGCTATAAAAATTACCCTCTACCTTGAAATCTATGCAAGATGACCAGCTAAGCTTACAGTACTCTTGCCCTATGTACCATTTGCTTACATCAATAATTTCTGGTTTCACTTGCTACTTCATGCCAGAATAAAAGCCAACGCATGTAGAAATCATCTCTAGAGAAAGAAACTGCCTCTGTTTAACTACTCTGGGTTCATCACCATTTACACTATTGCAGATGACTTCCTGCCTCTCTCCAGGAGTTCAGATGGAGCTGCTCAAGGCTCTGTTACCATTCAGAGTCTGAGGCCAGGATTTTTAGAACAAAACACAGCAACTTTTCCAGGTCTGTTTTTAAAAAGCCCATTCTGTGTTTCTGGCTTGGTAGTATTAAAAAGACAGCAAGAACTCCTTTGGGAGGGGAGAAAAAGACTACGAAGCCCTCAAACCAACAGCAGAGTGATATGATGCCAGCAATGTGTAATCTCTCTCTCCTTCCTTCCTCTCTCTAACACACACACACACACACACACACACACACACACACACAAATTCCTAGCCTCCCCTTAAACTTAGAGGGGCCTGTGGGATATCTCTTATCTTGCGGTTCTCTACATTTGAAGAACCTTTGGTAGAAATGCATGCGCAAGGAGAGGAAAAAATAATGGCAAATTGCTAATGCTATCAAGCCAAGAGCCTCCAGCAGGTTCGCGTGGTGGAGAAGAAACAGCCACGGGAAAGGACTTCACACAAGGAGACGAGGAGGAGCAGCTGGGGAGGAGGTGGAAGTGGGTGACGGAGACATGGAGCCAGAAACAGAGCTGTGAGGAAGAAGGGGAAAAAAGGCTGAGCAGCCGAAGGATGGTGGTTAAAATAACTCGTGGTAACAGAGTGTTCTTTGTTACCACACACTGCTCTTTGTTATCACACATTACAGAAAGTTATAAACAACAGAAGCATGCCGTACAGTAAAGCTGCGCTTCAAGCTCCGAGCTCTGGTGACCTAACAAACTCCTTGGCTTCCTCCTCGTGTGGACTGACGCTGTTTCTAGAACACCACGTTAGGACTGTGGCCATTAATCTGTACATCTCAATCCATGCACAGGAATCTTCCAAAATGCTTGGCATTGTGTTCTTAAAGAAGCCTCTTGCATTCATATTGATGCAGGTCAAAAAGACGCAGATAAGGGTGACTCCATCCTAGATGAAAAGTGGCTATCAAGTTTTACAAACAACGCAATGCAAAAACTTTTGGGAGGAATAAAAAAAAGCACATAGAAAATGATCTTGTTAGTGTTTATACATAAAATTATATACTCAACAGAAACAACAAAACAGCTTGCAAATGAAGGAATGGATAAATAAAAAGCTCTCTCTCAATCTTGACTTGACTTCAGGTCAAGTAAAGCAATGGTCAGACACTAAGGAACACTCCTTGCTCAAACTCCCACCACTGTGCTTTTCTCTACTGTCATTCCGCCTTTATAATCAATCAGTTTGCCTCTATCACTGATGGCTTTTTTTTTTTAAATCTTTCCTCCATTTAAGCATTGATATTTTCTAAGGGTTCTTTTTTCTTCTCATTTCTTACTCTGCATTTTGAAGATGCTTTGTTTCTCTCCAGATTGCTGGTGTCTTCCTGTACCAGCAGAGCTCACCACTTCTCCTTCTGTAGTATCTCTCAGACCTCACTTTTCTTGATGGCCACTGCCACCCTCTCATTTTATCCTGTCCACGTGATAGCCAGAATTAAAATCCCCACTGATCTCTACACTGACCCTTTCTCCCCTGCCCATTCTATCCTTCTGAGAACCATCAAAATTATTGACATATTATAAATATTTGTCCCTGCCCAAATGTCATGTTGAAGTGTAATTCCCACTGTTGGAGGTGGGGCCTGGTGGGAGGTGACTAGCTTTATCACGGGGGCGGATTTCTCATGAATGGTTTAGCGCTATCCCCTCGGTGCTGTCCTCGCAATAGTCAGTGAATTCTCATGAGATCTGGTTGTTAAAAATGGTGGCACCCCACTCTCTCTCTTGCTCCTGCTTTTGCTAAGTGATGTTCATGTCGCCTGCTTCCCCTTCCGCCATGAGTAGAAACTTCCTGAGGCCTCCACAGAAGCACATGCCACTATGCTTCCTGTAAAGCCTGCAGAACTGTGAGCAAATTAAACCTCTTTTCTCATAAATTACCCAGTCCTGGGTATTTCTTTATAGCAACGCAAGAATGGCCTAATACAATTATCCTTCTAAAAGACAGCTATGTTAAAGTGCCTACCATGTGCACGTGCTTTTAACCATTTCTTTGTCCTTACACGAGTTGTCCAAACTTCACAGGATCAGAAATTCAATGTCTCTCACAATTTGACCTCAACCACCAGATGTAACTACCACTGCACATACCCTACTCAGACATGTATTTTCAGTATTCTATGTCTTTGAACATATCACTCTTTTGGCATGTAATTTACTTGTCTCCACCTCAGTCTAGTGAAATCCTCATCCCCCAAGTCCCAACTGAAGAATCATGACCTCTATGAAACTTCCCCAACCCCACCCTGGGGCAATGAGTCATTCATTCCCTCCTCTGAGTTATCACAGCACTTCCCCATATCTCCATCACATCGCTGAATATGTCATATTCCAAGCCATAACTTTATGTATATCATACTGTGAGCTCTCAGAGACCAGGATCCTATTCGTGGTATTCCCACGACCTAACACAGCACCTGGCACATATGCAGAATGTTTATTACATTGGGGTGAATTCAATAAAATTGAAAAAGGATCTTCCAGAAAACAAATCTTTAACAATCAGTCAGACACAGGAAATTGTGAAAAGCATGTGTCTCCAGAGAGGAAGGATGACGGAATGTGTTAAGAGACGGACTTTCCACTGTATGTCCTTTTGGAGAGTTTTAGATTTTTTTACCATGTAAATGTACCACTTGTCAAAACAGTGCTGAGCAGGCTCTACAGCATGTGCCGGGCACTGTGCACAGGAGGGACTTTCAGCATCATGAACAACTTCACTAACTAGAGAGAGCCATGAACTTGAATAACCCCTGTGGAGATTAATCTCTTTTTCCCCTCAAGTCCCACAGAGCCTTGCTGTTCTTCAGTTGTAGCATTCTCCACAGTCTAACTGATAACGGCATGATTTAGAGACATGTCCTCCACATTGGACCTTGAACCCGTAGACGGCAGAGGCTCCCTACTCTTCACCTCTGCATCCTCTACAAAATCCTAGTTTAGTGCTATGTGTACATGTGGCAGTCAACTTGTAATTGTTTAACTGAGTTGGACTGGCCCTGAAAACATGGCAAAGTCTGAAATGAAAATAAAAGGAATAACTATATTTGTTTGCAGCCAATAAATCATGTGAAGTGGAGGCAAAGAAGACAAAACCTAAAATATTACTAATAAGTAATAATAATAAATACTAGGTGATTATGGTCAGATGAGTACAGAGGTAGAACAGCTATAAAAATGTATCAGCTGTTTTTTCATCCCTTATTTAGGCCATGGATAAACATTTATTATTCCTTCTCCACTTGCGGCAAAACATACTTTCAAGTGAGAGCCTTAAATAGATGCACATCCAAAGCTGTACAGAGCTACTACTGAGTGAAGATGAAAAAAGTTTTGAGATGAAAGAAGAAAAGGAAAATGGATTCTGAAATGATAGCCTCATAAACAAAACAGGAAAACAATCGGCAATTTCCTGATAGATCTAAGGCCTCCCTCCTCCAGTGAAAATACCCCAACTAGAGTCTTTAGTGCCAGGGAACAGTTTGAAAACCCCATGATATGGAGAAAAGCAAAAAGTACAGGATGTGGGCTCTGGCCTCATAGAGCTTAAAAATAGAGTTGTATTAACACCCACATGAAAAGTTAAAAAACAACAGATTTAAGGGGGAAAGGTGGTACATCATCATAAAATTCATATCGGTGAAAAAATATTCATTGAGTACCTAATACTGAAATTTTTAGTATTCATATTCCTACATGAACTAAGGGTAAGGTACCAATCCTGCTACACAGTCCAGGCCTGACCGCTTCCTCCATGAAGCCTTCAGTTTCTTCCCACTCACAGCCACAAGGAATTATTCTCTTTGGCCCCTCAACACAGGAATTTATCCATACCTTGGTTACCTCACTTCTATTGTCCATCTCGCATTATGGTTAGTTATGTACATGGATTGGCCCCCAATGAACTTTAGACTTCCCTAGACAGACTCCACATGTCATTCATGCACTAACAACTCCTCAATGCCTTTGCCATAGTCGAACTCAGCTCACTGGCTAGACAAGGTGTGAGGATAGCCATGGCAGATCTGGGTTTGTCTTCAACCCCAACATAACCTACAAGAATTCAACTTCTGAAAGGGAGAAAGAATAAAGAAGAAGGGAAAGAAAGGAGATGAAAAAAGAGAGATTAGTATCATGTACCTCAATCCTTCTATCGGGGCACCTGCCACACTTAATTTAATTTACCGACCTGCCTCCTTTTGGGAGAAGGCATTGGTTTTTATTTACCTTTGCAGTCCTGTGGGTCTAGCCCAATCCTTGGCATAAAACATATGCTTAGGCTAATAATTATTTGGTGAATCCAATAATTAAAGAAGAGAGAAAGGTTGGAAAAATAAATGTTCTCATTTGATTAGTGCCCACTGAAATGAGAGATGAATGACAGCCAACAGAAGTACAATCCTCCCTTATTTTCCTTATCTTAAATTGGTCCTAAGTGATTTAATCTTGTGTCTGTCCTTAAACCAACTTTGAAAGATTACAAGTCAAAATTCACAGGAAAATTATCTTCTTATTTCTTAAAACTGGCTAATCCCCATTGTAGATGGAATTCACTTCAATAAATATTTACTGAGCACCAACTATATATTGGATGTATTCCTAATGCCAGAGAGTAAAGCAATAAATGTGACCTTGTCCCTTCTCCTCAAGGAACCTACAGTTTAGCGTGGCATTCCTTGTAAATTTTAGTGCCTTTTACTATGACGGAAATAAAATTATGTAGTTTCACATTTATGAAGTCCCACATTTTAAAGCCAAGGCCAAAATGGATATTTCTTTTCAAAAGTTGAGATACTTCACAGCCAAAATCCTACATGGCAGGATGCCAGTCCAAAGGGCTTCACCCCAAAAGGCCTGTCTTCATTCCTCGAGAAAAAAATGGAATAGACAGCTCCTCAGATGGAGTTACCAATGACTTAATTTTGACAGAAACATCTATATCCATGAGCTGTGTTAAAACAAAGCTGGTAGAAAGACTTTCCCCAGCAACTTGCTTTAAAACAAACTGTAAATGTTTGCTTTACTTTTATTTTTTATGAACTAGTCCCAAATATTTTGATGTGGCCTAGTTTTTTATGTTTCTTAATAATCCAAATATTCATGTCTGTCTCAACTGCAGTGTGGAAGTTTAAACTCAGGTTTTGTGGGGATGCACTGATCCATTGTATAAATGGAACAGTACTAACAAGACACGTATCACCTCTGAAAATTGCTGTTTAATGTTGGTATATCTCAAAACTGAAAAATGAAGATGTCTAAACAGTCTCATCTTGAAGAGTGGATAACATTTTTTTTTCCTTTACAAACGTTTTAAGAGAAAATGTATATGTGTGTGTATGTTAATAAAAAACTGTGTATTTACATACACGACCTTACAAATTCAATCAACATAAATATGAAAAAAGGAAAATATATTATTATTATAAAATTGCTGAGGAATTATTAATGAAGAACATTGCCAAAATGTTAAAAACATAAAAAATTGGCCATGTGTAGTGGCTCACACCTGTAATCCCAGCGCTTTGGGAGACCCAAGCAGGAGGATCTCTTGAGGCCAGGAGTTTGAAACCAGCCTGGGCAAACCCCATCTCTACAATTTTTGTTTTTTAATTAGCCAGGCATGGTGGTGTATACATGTAATCTCAGCTACTTGGGAGGCTGAGGTGGGAGGATCGCTTGAGTCCAGGAGTTTGAGGCTATGGTGAGCTACGATCATGCCACTGCATTCTAGCCTGGGCAACAAACAAGACCCTGACAAAAACAACAACAAAAACCCATAAAAAATTGAATTCTCAGGTGTCTCCACTAATTAGACAGTGACAAAGGGAAAAATCCACATTTCCGGGTGATCATAAAGAGGAGTATTTATTTTTGTTCAGACAAAGTGGTGCCTCCCACTGTGTGCCATGCCCACGGCAGAGGGGTGCAATGTCCAGAACTCTGCTCCTCGCTTGCTCCCTTCTGCCCTGTGTCAGTGGGTTGTCCTGCCTGGGCTCACAGGGACTGCAGGGGGTATGATTCCTATTCCCATACCAGCTTTGTCAAAGCACTTGTCCCAGAAGTGGATCCCATCCCTAAAACCCATTTTAGGCAGAGTTGTGACACAGGTGACTGGCATTGCCCCTTCCCTTCTACACAGGCCCACTGTCCTCATTATCTTTTGGGAAACACTAGATTTCTCCTTAGTGCTGCCTTCCTGCCTACAGCCCAACAGATTCAAACTGCGGTCCTGGCTCAATATATATTTGATTTGAGTTTAAGAAAAGCCCTTGAATTCATTCATCTCGAGGATCTAAAACTGATTCACGCTCAATAAAAACAAAATAAGACTTGGTTACAGTACCCAGGATGTGACAAAGAATCTGTAGTTTAGCCTTCTTTGGGACTTAAAGTTTAAAAAAAAAAAAAAATTAATGAGGCTCTCCAGGCAGAATCAAGTGAGACAAAGCTAAGGGCGGAAAGAAAAGGGAAAGCTTCCAAGTCCACTGAACACATAGCAGTTGGACCACCTGGTCCAAGACACAGAATCCCAACTGGAAACGCTCAGGGTGGCATTCAGGGCAAGGACACTGGAATCAGACAGGTTTAGGCTGAAATTATGGCTCCACCACTTGGTGGCCACGGCATCCAGTGTTCCTTAGTTTCCGCTAGTAGTAGCTCCCTCATAAGGCCCAGGGAAGAAGAGATAAGCTTAAGCACGTGAAGTGGTAAACATAGCACAAAACACACCCTCTGTCAACTGCTACTGCTGAGGTTGTGACTATTACTATTGCTGGTATGCTGGAGTCACTAGACTGTACATTCTGCAAGAGAAGTTTCATGCATAGCACAGTCGTTACAACTGCAGGTTCTAGAATCTGACTGCAAACCCTGGCTCAGCCATTTTCTAACTTAGGTAAGTTCCTTGAGCAATGTATTTAACCTCTTTGTGCCTTAGTGTCCATATATAAAAAGGGGGATGATGATATCCATTAAGTTGTTGCAAGTAAAGTTAGTATGTATAAAATGTTTGAGGCTGGGCATGGTGGCTCATGCCTGTAATCCCAACATTTTGGGAGTCTTGGGTGGGAAGATGGCTTGAGTCCAGGAGGTGGAGACCAGCCTGGTAAACATAGTGAGACCCCATCTCTACAAAAATAATTTTTAAAATGTTAAAAATTAGCCAGACGTGGTGGTGTACATCTGTAGTCCCAGCTACTTGGGGGTCTGAGGTGGGAGGATCTCTTGAGCCTGGGAGTTCGAGGCTGAAGTGGGTCATGATCAGATCATCACACTCCAGCCTGGGCAACAGAGTGAAACCCCGTCTCAAAAAAAATTAAGTTAAAAAAATAATTAAACGTTTGTAAGATTGGTACACGGTAAGCATTTTCCATTTATCCTTAGTGGAAATAAAAATAAAAACAATAATAATAAACACAGATCACTTACCATAAGTCAGGCACTTCATTAGACTACACGCACACGTGCACACAAACACACACACACACAACCACATAAGTATGAATGTGCAGTCATGTGTCGCTTAATGACAAGAATATGTTCTGAGAAATGTGTTAGGTGATTTTGTTGTATAAACAGCAGAGTGTACGTATGGCGAGCATCCCCCTTCGCTCGACTCTCACTTCTCCTTCCTGCCACCATGTGAAGGAGGATGTGTTTGCTTTCCCTTCTGCCATGATTGTCAGTTTCCTGAGGCTTCCCCAGCCCTGCGGAACCCCTCTTCTTTATAAATTACCCAGTCTCGGGCAGTTCTTTATAGCAGCGTGAGAAACAGAATAATACAGTAAGTATCTGTGTATCTAAACATATCCAAACATACTATGGTATGGTATCCAAACACAGAAAAGGTACAGTAAAAATACCATATAAAAGATAAAAAAAAATGATACACTTGTATAGAGCACTTACTAGGAATGGAGTCTGTGGGACTGGAAGTTGTTCTGGGTGAGTGAGTGCTGAGAAACGTGAGACCCTAGGACATTCCTGTACACAACTGTAGACTTTACAAATACTGTACACTTAGGCTACACTAAATCTATTAAAAATTTTTCTTTCTTTAATAATAAATTTATCTTACTGTAACTGTTTTACAATTTTTTTTTTTTTTTTTGAGACAGAGTCTCGCTCTGTTGCTCAGACTGGAGTGGAGTGGCGCAGTCTCGGCTCACTGCAAGCCTCGCCTCCTGGGTTCACACCATTCTCCTGTCTCAGCCTCCCGAGTAGCTGGGACTACAGGCGCCCACCACCATGCCTGGCTCATTTTTTTGTATTTTTAGTAGAGACAGGGTTTCACCATGTTAACCAGGATGGTCTCGATCTCCTGAGCTCGTGATCCGCCTGCCTCAGCCTCCCAATAAACTTTATTTTTTGTTTGATTCTTCTGTAAAAGCACTCAGTTTACAACACAAACACACTGTACAGCTGCACCACAATATTTCCTTTCTTTATTTCCTTATTGCATAAGCTTTTAAAAATTTTTTTAAACTTTTTAAATTTTTTGTTGAAAAGTAAGACATGAATACACACATTATCCTAGGCCTACACAGGGTCATGATCATCAATATCACTGTCTTCCACCTCCACATCTCATCCCACTGGAGGGTCTTCAGGGGCAGTAACAAGCCTGGAGCTGTCATCTCCCATAATAACAATGCTTTCTTTTGAAATACCTCTTGACGGAGCAACCTGAGGCTGTTTTATTAACTTTCTTTTATAAACAGAAGGAAAGCACTCTAAAATAATAATAAAACGTATAGTATAGTAAATACATAAAACAGCAACACAGATTTTTATTATCAAGTATTATGTGCTGTACATAACTATATGTGCTTTATTTTTATACAACTGGCAGTGACATAGGTTTGTTCACACCAGAATCACCCCCATGCACGTGAATAATGAATTGCTCCATGATGTGACATTAGCAATGACGTCAGTAGGTGATAGGAATTTTTCAGCTCCTTTATAATCTTATGGGGCCACTGTTGTATGTGTACATAGCCACTCTTTGACCAACATGTTGTTATGTGGCACATGCCTGCATGTATATTTAATTATCCTCATTTACAGATGAGAAAAATGAGGTACTAAGTGGAAAAGTAACATGCTGGCCTCACAGCCTGTAAGTGGCAGAGTCATGATTTAAATCCAGGCAGTCTGGCTCCAGAGTCCACGCTCTTAATCACTATGCTATGCTGCCTGGAAAAAAAAAAAAAAGTTAATATAATGAATGAATGTTCCTGCTGGAAAAATACTGAAAAGAGCCAGTCACTTTGCCCCCAGTGTTTGCACTGAGTAAGGCCCCCTCTTGCAAAGCGTGCACAAGGGAAGAACCAAAGCATGTGGAAGACAGAGGAGAGCAGACTCAGAGACTCGGTACTTCCTCCCTCGGGTTGGCAGGGGCTATTCAGCCAAAGCCTGAACAGAAGGGTGGCCTGAAGGCTTAAAAATAACTCAGGGTGCTGGCCCTAAATCCAAAGTCACTTGGTTTTCTAGCACATTTTAAACTGGCAAGGAGCAAATGCTTATTATGGGCTTGGCCTTCTAGTGGTATGATAAGGGGCTATAAATACTCAGAAGACTGGATACTGGTCTTGAGGAAGCTTATCACAGGACAAGGCACCTTCAGCTTCCTTGCTAACCCACTGGCTGAGTTTGATTTGTGTATCTGCAACTCTTCTAGATTGCAGTTATGTGTGCTGGATTTCATGCTGCTAAATATCTATATATATATTTTTAAATTTTAGGCCATTTAAGGCCAAACATGTATTCTTTGGCTATGACAAGACAAGTTGACCAGAAGGCCTTATCAATACTTCAGTAACCCTGAGGTCTCACCTTATAATACCTCATCTCAGAAACTGTGGAATTGTAGGTCAACTGTGTATTGAATCGATAATTTGCTGCTGTCTAGTTCTTAAGAGTGATTCATTGCTTTTTTTCATCATCCTCGTTGAATTCAGTTTCCTGCAAATATCTGAACTCTGGGTTCTTCCAGATCATCTGTTCCGTGGATGCTTCCCAATCAATGGCTTTAAGCACGTGAAAATCTCAACCAAAAATACCTGATGATAGACAGAAAGAGATGGGAGTGGAACATGGAAGAGAAGAGGAAAGCAGGAACGAGAGGAACTGAGGAAAACAAGCTGGGTCATCAAATTATTAAGAAGACAAACATTTCTTACCTACCAGATTAGTAAATATCAGAATCTTGCTAATATACTGTGTTGGTGAGATGTAGGAGAAATTGACATGCTCATATGTGGCTAGTGAGAGTGCAAATCAGTACAATCTCCTATGTTAGTGAAATCTGCCAACATTTCCTCTGTTTTAATTTTTGTTTTTTTACTCTAAATAAAATATACTTACTAGTTGCTATTTTTAGAGACAGGTTACGTGCCAGTGCTATAAAGGTCAAAGTGGGATAATATGATCCTCAACAATTTAGATTAGTAACATTTTACAATCCTCAGCCTATAACAGGAATGTTCCGTTACTACCATGGCAAATACAATTGAACATTCATAAATAACTGAATGAAAGTCATAAAACCTGTAAGGGTATTTATGTGCACATATCAAAATCCAAATACTCTCATTTCTCAACTAGCCAGTGTTAAAGGACCATGCCTGTACATTTCTTCTATTCTAAGACAACATGTTCTCATTTAACATTCCTAAAATTAGGAGGTCTTAAAATTAATGATCTTAGATCCGATGGCTTATTTTAATGTAGCCACTTGAAGTTATTTGGCTCACAAACTAGGACAAAATTTTAAAATCACAATGCAAAGATATTTGCTATATATCAAATGAAGTATTTTTAATTGCTTAATTTTATTTTTATTTAACATAATAATTGTACATATTCATGGAGCACATAGTGATGTTTCAATACATGTAATACATAGTGATCAGATCATGGTAATTAGCATATCCATCACTTCAAACATTCATCATTTCTTTGTGTTGGGAACATTCAATACCCTCCTTCTAGCTATTTGAAACTATACACTATGTTATTATTAACTATTGTCATCCTGCAGATGAATAAAACACTAGAACTTATTCCTCCTATCTAGCTGTAATTTTGTATCCTTTAACAAATCTCTCCCTATCTCCGCCTTCCCCCTACCCTTCCCAGCCTCTAGTATTCTCTGTTCTATGTACACATCCTTTGAACTAGCCTTTCTACTTCTGGACATAAATGTTTTAACCGGGTGTCAACTCATGCTGTACCAAAAAGCTATCCAAATTCTGAGTATTTCTAAATTTCAGGAGAGATAGTAATGAAGGGGTTTCATAACAACCACAGGACCTACAAATTATATGTACTATAACTTTGCCTTCACTAGTAAGTAGATAGAGATTGAGATTGTATTTGCTCATAACTCCAAATCTTTTGGTGGGACTAGATTGGGAGGGTTGCAGAAGTGGCTGCTATGTTTTATAGAATTCAACAGTAAGGATTACTGAATGATGGGTCAAGCTATATTAGAAGAGGAAGAGTCTGGGCCTAAGAAAGGAACATATGAGTTCTAATGTTTCCTCTACCAACAATTCTGTCCTCTTGAACAAGACAACACTACTCATCCGTGAATGATGAAAGTGAGCGAGCTATAAATTTGCTTCATGTTTAATGATCCATCTGTACTACAGCTAAACTGAGCTAAACCCACACAAAAGGAAAAAGGAATTAACACTTAAGAAGTGAGTTCTTACTAATTGTCTGCCATTGTAGTTCTCCAATACGTCTCTTAACCCTGCCAACAACTCCACAAGGTAAGTATTATTCTCTTTTTACAGGCTAGGAAACTGACATTCAGAGAAGTTGCTGTCCTGGTTTCAAAGCCAACAAGTTACAGAGCAAGGAATCAAACCTAAATGGTTCTGCCTACAAAAATGGGCTCCTTGCTCTTTGTTGTATTTTCTCTACACCCAGTAACCTATACAAAAAAAAAAAAAAAAAAGTCTCTATCACAGATTTTGTCACAATAGAAACACATCTAAATACAAAGAAGAGAGATATATTTTTAAAGGAAAATAAGGAGAAAAAAACAAAGATAAATTCATTGACCAAAGGATTAAATAGTTCACATTTAAAAAAACAAAACAAAACTCTGAATCACCAAAAGTGACTTAAAATCTGTGTTTCTACATAGTGCTAAAATAACCAGACGATGTGCGGTTAATTAACTCTGTTTAGACTAAGGTAAATTTGGGTGTTTGGTTCTTTTTTCCTACCAGTTGTGTTATAAGGACATACAGTGAATCACTCCTACATAGTCCAGGAATAGTTTTCAACTGAAAGGTCATTTGTATTGTTAACTCATACGAAAAACAAAAGTAACACATTCATCCTGCACATAACTCCAGAACTCTAAGTTCTCAATGACCCTTTCTTTAATTCAGTAGTCATTTATAATTTTTAAAGGTGGGGTTGGAGCTGGGGGTGGTGGAGTCCTTACTGAATTTACTTAAAGTTAGTGGCTGAAGGACTAAATTAAAATTACATTTAATCCGAATTTACTCCTAGTGTGGACGATTCCCTCCCTGAGCTCAGGAGAATTATCTGTGATGTGATCCAGTCTTCTAAACAAGGCTGGAGAGAGAGGAGAGGGGAGAGGTAGAAATGAAGGGGGCGGAGAACAGCTTATAAACTAAAGGAGGTTGGCCAGACATGGTGGCTCAAGCCTGTAATCCCAGCACTTTGGGAGGCCAAGGCAGGTGGATTGCTTGAACCCTGGAGCTCAAGACCAGCCTGGGCAACATGGCAAAATTCCGTCTCTACTAAAAATACAGAAATTAACCAGGCACAGTGGCAGGCGCCTGTAATCCCAGCTACTCGGGAGGCTGAGGCAGGAGAATCTCTTGGACCCAGGAGGCAGAGGTGGCAGTGAGCCGAGATCGTGCCACTGCACTCCAGCCTGGGCAACAGAGCACGACTCTGTCTCAAATAAATAAATAAACAAACAAACAAAGGTGGAAAGGAAACAAAGGGTGAGATACGCTGGAAGCAAATCACTCCTTACTCCATGGGGAGGGCTTCTGTTCACAGAAATCTTCCTCCCATTAGGGCCCTAAAGGTTTGGCGAGCTGCACATCTCCAACTTGTTGGGGCAGAACATCCTTTCTTCCATCTGCCTGCCACCAGAAGCCACAGAGAACTGATATTGCCTCTACCATAAATTAAGAGTCAAAAGGAAAATATTTTCCAGGATTCAAAGTAAAAAAAAGTATGAGTGAGTCTCTGCTTGAGTGAAGATCTATAACATAACAGGATGTCCATCCTAGAAGAAGGAACAGGGAAACACACAGGCCTAGGTGAAATCCTGGGCCTCAGTGCCCACCTGGGCAAGAAGGGGTGGGCTCAGCTGATGGTCTTCTCACTCTATCCTAGAAATCACCAGCACACCCTTCAGTGAGAAGGCAGAGGAAGGGAGGAGGCATCTCTTAGGACCACCTCCGCCAGCTTCCTCCCTCTTTTTTGATTAAAGATCTCAGGAATTTATGGGTAATTCAATGCAAAATGCCAGAGATTTTACCAGCTTCGCATACTGACCAAAATATTTTGCCAAGATAAAATATTTTAGAATAAAAACAACCATCGGTATGTGCAGTGCTATTGTTGTTGAATGTGAAGCACACTGAATTGCTCAATATGAAAAACATCTCCTGGTTAAATCCTGACTCTGATAAACACAGGCAGTTTATTGAGATCATATCCTAAGAACCCCAAAGGTGCCAGATTTGCATCATCCACAAAAGCAGTGGGAAGGCCCACTAACCAATTAAGACACACACAAAAAAACCCCACAAAACAAAAAAGTCTGAATTCTAACATATTTTCAATTTTTTTTGTGGGTCATTTCTAGGCTCCATTCTGTTCCATCGGTCTATTTTGGTATTTGTCATATTACTCTTACAGTTTTACGTATATCAGAAATAGTTCATAACTTTTTAAAATCAGGGTCTCAGCATCACACTGAAAGGCACATAGAGTCTTCCACACAGCAGGACACTGGATGATTAAAGAATGAAGAGCTGGTGCAGTTGAGAGATATGAAAATAAAAACAAATTCCCATCTCTCAGGATCTCACTGAAGCTACAGAAGAATTCACTTTCGAAACTTTGTAACACGTTCTTACTTAAATGCTAGTTCCCTTTTGCAATCTGAGTAATGACTGCCTTTAAAAAAAATCTTGCAGCAACACAAAGCCATGTCATTCACTGACCTTGGTATATTCCTAATGAGATGTCCCTCTGTGACACAAGAATTACTAATGGGGGGCTGGAAATAATGAATGGAGGAGTAGAAGATGAATGATATAGAAGGGACACCACTAACATTTTCCATGAGCAAGATCGATACACGGTGTAACAGAAACATAACAAATGGCTTCATCGACTAACCCTCACCCCTGAAGAAAGCAACCCATAGGTTTGGCAGCAGAATCCAGTAAACAAATTACCCTGAGAGATTAATTGGATGGGAACTAAGGCCTCTGCAGCATTTCTTTCTCCCAACTATGTATCCTACAACTGTGCCTTAAAACCATCGGTGTAGTTCTAAAAACGTAATCTCAAATTTATTGAAATATTCTGCCTCATCCTTTGCCGTAATATCATACTTCTTTACCTTTTTACTTTCTGTTTATCGTAAAAAGTTTTACGATCGAAATGGAAATGTAAAATTCCAAGGATCACGATTTAAATAAAAATATACTCTTCAATTAATTTCCCCTAGAAACTTACTCATTTGTCACCCCAAATTAGTTCTCACGTACTGCCAACAGACATAAACCCGCATGCAGAGCTCAAAGTAGGAGATACTCACATCCAGGTCTCAATGTGTTGATCCCAAAACTCCCAATAGTCAGCTTCAGAAAACACACACTACAAGTAAGTCTGAAGCCCTGACACATAACAGACCAGAATGTGTCCCGAAGACACATCTGGTTGACCCTTCCCACTGCCCTCAAGACAAAGTGCAATGTCCCACAGCTTGGCTTACTGCAGTCATGATGGCAAGAAGGAATAAGAGGCATGGGCACCTGCAGCAGCCTGCAGGTGGCCAGCACATAGGGCTGTCTGAATTAGATTCCTAGGGCTGCTATGACAAAGCATCACAACCTTAAAATAACAGAAATGCATCGTCTTTAATGGGTGGCTTAAAATAACAGAAATGTATCATCTCATAGGTCTGGAGGCTCAAAGTCTGAAATCAAGGTGTGGGTCTGAGGGCTCTGAAGGAGAATCGGTTCTATGCCTCTCTGCTAGTTTCTGGTGGTTTGCTGGCAATCTTTGGCTTGCAGATGCGTCACTCCAATCCTTGCCTTCACCTTCACTTGGAGTTGCCCCCCCGAGCCTCTGTCTTTGCACATCACCTTCCCCCAATGCACACATGTCTTTGTGTCCAACTTTCTCCTTTTTATTAGAACACCAGTTGCACTGAACCAGGGCCTACCCTAATGAATGCATTTCAACTTGATTCCCTCTCTAAAGACCGTGTTTTCACATAATGTCACATTCTGAGGTACTGGGGGTGATGACTTCAACATACCTCTTTTAGGGGAATGTAATTCAACCCATAACAAAGTCCTGCTCCAAAATGCGGTTTGACTCTCTCTAAGTCCCTTCCCAACTTAATTTCTATTGGTTTCTGTTTTGCAGGATACAATAAGTTGCATATTAAGTATGAAGAGAAATATCATATTTTAAAATGTCTGCATTGTACTCATACCTCACCTCATTCCACAGAGAATTTAAATTGATAAAAGATTTGTTTTCACCTTCAAATTCCTAATATTATTTTGGGTGAAAATGAAAAGATTTACATCATAACATAAAGACTTCGTCATCTGTTTAATAATCTCTTCACTTGGGCAATTCTCTCATGTAATTTCTCTGACTCTCAGTTTCCCAGCCTGTAAACTGGAAATAATTAGACCACTCATTCTGCCTCCCATACTGGATTTTGTAAGAATAAAATGACACATACTACAGAAGAATGTTTTGAAACGTAAAATTGTGTAACAATAAAAGGTCATGGTATTCTCAATCTGACTTAGTTTTCTTTCTGTTATATATCGGTAAAAGAGTTCCTAGAACAGAAACCAGAACAGGTGGTGTAGTATGCGGGTACTAGGTTTACACTGGGAAGTCATTTCCCTTCCACCATAATTGGCCCCGCTCCCTGCCAGGGCTGAACTGTTAAACCACACACTATCCTAGTCATTAACCTTACACCCTTACATGCATTTTAGTCCCAAGGAAAGAAGATAAATAACTTCTGGAAACATGAGAGAGAGTATTTGTATGTTTTAAATGGGGGAGTACAACAACATAGGATAAAAGACACCTGGATAATCAGGGAAAACAAAGGGGAAAAAAGCTCACTTCCGATACACCATGAAAATATGATTCAGAGATGTACAGTTTTTTGCATTAAGTAAAAACGTACATTTTCTGGAATAACCAAATTCAAAAGGACAAAATTACATAATCTTAAACAGGATGAAATGATTCTGTGTCAAATTCTGAGGGCTTTTTTTAACCAAAGGAATAAACCAGTGGTGTCTCTTTCTTTTTAATTTAGCAGGACTCAGTTGACTGTTTCTACAAGTAGTAGTATAGAATTATCTAGTGTTCTAAGTGGTATAATATTGAGGGGGGGACAAAGGAAAAAAACTAATTCTTGTAAGTCTCCTGAGCATAGAAAGCCATTTTACTCATCTATGTTATCCCTCTACGGTTTTAACTAACCCTGGGGTAGAAACTGCCCCCATAGATGGAATTCTACGTAATCTATGTGCATGGCACCCCTCCTGGAACCCTCTCGTTGTACAATATCAGGGAACACAAAATAAATGGCACTGCTGGAGTTATGTAATATAATAGCCAGCCCTGGTGTGAATGGAGGAAGGAACTGGGCTGGGGGCCCCTGGAAAACAGCAGAGTATGAAATGAAGGAAACATAAATCACAGCATCTTCACGGAAGGCTGCGGTGGAACAGAAAAAAGTACTGGCCAAGGAAACCAACAACCCTGGGTCCTGGTTCACAACCCAGTACTTACTGGTGTATGACCTTACATAAAATCACTTGAGCTGTTTCCTCGCCTTAAAATGGAAATAAAAATTGCAACCATCTTTTCTACTGCAACGGATTACTGTGAGAGTCCAGTGAGATTATGCATGGGACAGTGCTTTGTAAACTTGACTTCAATGGAAGATGTTACTCTCTGGGGTATAGCACAGCTTCCCTACAGTGTGTCTCAAACTATGAAAAGTCTTTTCTCTCTGGGGTCCAAAATTAAATGTCCAAATGCAGCTGTTCTTACTTAATTTTGTTCTTTCATGAGCATAGTGGGATATTTATTATTCTGTATAAACCATATAAAGCTGTTATCATTTGTCAGTGTCTATTATTGCTACTAGTTGTTCTAAACAAAATATCCCAAAACTCAGTCTAGATTCAAGTCTCCTGGGTAGAACACGTTAGCTAAACAATCTTATAATTTAGAAATTATTTTTCTAGGGTAATACATGTAACCACCAATAATTATACCTACTATATTCCTGATTAAGATTCAGAAAGCTGTTTGTTTTTAAACTGTTTCCAATTAGCTGGTTTCAAAAAAAGTTTAATCTTATAAGCACTGCCGGCTTGACATAGTTGTAGATCTCAAGCTTCTTTTTGGCTTTTCTTATCAAAGTTGGGTCATGATGGAAAGATAACTCTTTCCTGTTAATGAGTCACTGTATCTCATGCCATCTTGCACCAAAAGTGCACCCTTTCCACAACTTATTCCAATCAGAAGAATGAACTAGGTTTCACTTCCAGAACAAAGTGGCAGAGCATCCAAGGACACAGATGCTGTAAAACTGCAAACTTAGACCACACATTTTCTGTATATTTTCCATATATTATGGTTTTAATATCAATGCTGAAATGGATGAGCAATTGATCACTTATAAGGATTATTCTCCATCTAAGTCTAGAAATCTGGCTTAAAATACTGCACTATTTCTGCCCCAGGGTTTCTCCACCAGAAGAAGATAAATTCTAGACACAACCATTCTTCTAAGACAATTCTCCATTTATGTCAGTATTTCTATAAGAAAACCCCAGGGTCAACTAAGTACTTGGAACAGTTTACATTCCTTCCTACTATAATTCTGGAAGCATGAAGCATTACTTCCCCCATCAAGTAGTCATCAGAAGCTAAAGAGGTCATGGTCAGGGTCCTTGTGAGGCTGGGGAAGCGGCTAAGCGAAGTGGTTTTTTAAGCCAAGTATCTGTGTTTCAGGCACTGACTGAAATCTCAGAATAACGGCCCTGTCTCTACAATGAATAAGGCTTATAAATTCTGGTTCCTGTCACTCAGTGTTTCTCAACCAGGGGCAGTTTTTCTCCACAGGAGACATACAGCAATGCCTGAAGACATGTTTGTCACTACTGAGGGTACAGAAGGTGCTATCGGCATCTGGTAGTTAGAGGCCCGGGATGCAGCTAAACAACCGACAATATCCAACAGAGCCCTTCATCAACAAAAACCCAGTCCAAATGTCCAAAATGTCAATAGTGCTGAGCTTAAAAAGCACTGCCGTAACTAGTAGGATAGTATATCTTACTAGAGAATATAAATATTATAATAAATAAATCTCAAGTCCCTAAGACACAGTCTTAAATATTAAATGTCACCTTTTTTAAGCACTGGATATGCTTTTTTTCGTAGTCAGTGGATGGAAAACACACACAAACAAATACACACACATAAGCCTTTCAAGCACTGTTGCAACCTCCATTTTCTTTTCTATGTCATCCTTAAGAGCTTTACATAGAAGGAAAAGACAGAGGAATAAGTAGGTGTTGGAAAGACAGGAGGCAATAGAAAGGAAAAATACATGTAAAATGAAAAAAAAATCCCTATCTTTTCTCTGTGTTTGGACATGACATAACACTCCAGTCAAATAAAAGAGGCATCCTGCTGGAGCCAATGAAGTTTTATTGCCATAGACATGAACATCATAAAATTTTCCAAAAGCTAAAACACAAAGTTTTGTTCCCTAGCTATCATAATCACAGTAAACAAATTCAACACATAGTACACAAAAGGTTTTTCATTTAGCTGTTTCTACAGTAAGAAGAAATATAATTGTGTAATCTTAAAATTAAAATTATTTTTACAGACTCATTAGGCTTCGTTGGTCAAGAACAGCACAGGAGCCTTGAACATTTAGAATGTGAACCTGAGTACAACCCATAAGACCTTCCAGCCAGTAGCCATTTCATATTGTTTCTCATCAATACCATGGAGACATTACCAGAGCAGGCACTCTAAGGAGAAGCCCGGCAACTGAGAAGATACATTCAGGGAACACGAGATACCACCAAATTCACTGAGAGATTAACTTATTAAAAGATATAACCTTATAATCTCACTGTTGGAAAGACAGAAAAAAACTACCAATTGCTGTTTGAATCCTCTCAACACACAATGACCAAGAAGTCTTCCAGTCTGTTCCTGGACTCTGTCATCCCCATGTCACCCTCATGGTAGAACTAACACAATACCGTTTCTCAGAGTGTCTGCTTACACACTGCTGAGTTCTGTAGGAACTCAGATGTATGGATACTGTTTTTAATGCCTACCAATTTTAAGAGCATAAGACCATGAGGGTGGAAATCAATGTATTCTCTTGGAAGAGGTCCCTCTTGTTTTCTGTTTGACTATATTCTGGTCTGGAAGCATAAACACAAGTATATTGATGGCAGGCTAACTTGGAACAACCTCTTCAATTCCACCTTGTTGCTTTCAATGGCCCCTTGCAATTCTCCTTGATACATCCAAGGTGGAGTAAGGGTAACACAGCAACGCAAGACTAAGGACATACACAGTGTTTGGTAAACAGAAATTCACTCCTTCTTCTACTCTTCTCACCTTCCACCAACCTGTCCCTCAACGATGGAATACAGGGTAGGCACCAATGTTGTCATGACTCTACTCATTTCACTTTAAATTAGGTAAGTCAGTCTCATAATTTTAGATGTTACCTAGAAATAGGTGGTCCCAAAAATGGCATCAGTCTAGACTTCTCATCTGATCTCCAGATTCACTATTTGAATGTCTAAAAGGCTCCTCAAACTTAACAAGTCCAAAATCAACCGATCTGCTTCCCTCCCTAAATCTCCCATGATCATCCCTATCTCAGTTAAAGATAACCCCCCTCCTTCCAGGTGCATGAACCAAACCTTAAAGTTACCTCTGACACTTCTGTCTCTATACCTCATATGCAATTCAGGTCTACCTATGTTTAGATAGCCAGAATCCAACCAGCTATCCCAACTTCTACCACTGGATATTAAGTAGAAAGACCAGACAGAAGGCTACGGCAGTGCCCTCAATTCTAAGAGGTTTGGTCTTCCAACTTCCACTCCTTGTTCCCCTTCAATCTATTCTCCACATAGCATTTAGGGATTCTATTAAAACATAAGTCAGACCCTATCACTCCTCTACTCAAAAGCATCCTTTCAGTGGCCTCCAAGGTCCTAAACAATCTAGCCCCCATTTCTCCATCACAGTCTCTTCTCTTCTTCCTCTTCACTCCACTCCATCCACCTTGGACTCCTTGATGTTTCTAGAACACACTTGGCCAACACTCCTGCCTTGAGGCCTTTGCACTTGCTATTCTCTCTGCCTGGAACTTTCCTCCCCCAGGTATCTGCATTATTTATTATCTTCCCCCTCCAGAGTGTAAGCTCCAGAAGGATGGGAGTCAGGGGTCTGATCTGTTCCCTGCTGGATCCCCAGTGCTTAGAAGAGAGACTGGCATGAAATAGTTGCTTAATAAATAGTCAAATGAGTGAAATAGAGATAGTTGTTAGAGGCCTTGCTGTTTTGCACCTGAAAGTCACATTTGGAGACCAAGAGAACATGCACACCTATAATTAGATGAACAATTCAGTATTAAAATGTAAGCCAAATATTTAAAGATCTAAAATATCTATAAGTGAAATAATTATGTTAATAACCTTAGAATTTTTCCTTATGAAGACAATTTTATTTCCTTTCCTCTTTTAAATTTCATATCATACCTATCTGAGTGAAAATGAAGGCAGAAACAAAACAAAGTGATTTAGAGATGGTCAGTAGGATGTTTTTTAGAAATGCATGGATTCTGTACTTAAGAATTTGAAATTATCCCCCATTGGAGACACCTTCAATTAAGCCTATTCTAATCTTGGCTAAGTGAGAATCCAACTTCATAATTTCACTCCCAGGCACAGCTGTTTGACAAGTGCAGCAGGAGCCTGTCAAGACACTTGGCAGCATCATTCCTTTGGAACACAATGGACTTTATTTTTCCTTTTTGGCAACCCCTATTACTCACTGATGGCAATTAGCAAACCATCTTTGGAGGAAATGTATAATCAGGCAACTAAAAATGCCTTTTATGAAATTCCTCCTTGAAAATAAATCATTGACACTGCAAATGGTCAATATGTACTCTTAATTTTAAACTAAATTGCCCATTGATTTACCAAGATCTATTTTCCTGACTCTGTGGTCTAGTGACATTCATTTTTTCCGAAGTTCTGAATTCTTGAAAAGTGATAGTGACACAGTTGTTTGTTTTGATTTACTATCTCAATAGAGTAAGCAGTTGGAGTGATTTCTCCCTTATTCAGATTATACAGCTCTGTTCTTGACTGATTCCACCATAAAGCCTCATTCTATGGGCACAGCACAAAACCAGAGTCACAATCTAAATCTGGCCTTTCCAGGACACACAATAGAACACGATCGGGGTGACCCAAGCTGTAAGAAGTTAGAGTCCTCACCAGCAGTGGGTCAATTCACTAGGCTGCTGGGGGAAATACTTGCTACAGGGAGGGACAACTAGAGATAATTACAATAAACTCAATCCATGCCGCAAGAACCTGAATACTTCCCACCTCAATTTACGATGCAGTTTGGAGCTTTCAGAAACAAACGGCACCTGTCCCATTGTCACACCTTTATAACAACTTGTATCCCAGTACACCTTCCACCAACACCTTAGACAAGTTTCGACAAGCACTGCTGAATCACTTGAGATGGGCCAAAAGGTCAGGGCCCTGAAACTTTGTCAGCGTGATTATCTAAAGCCACTGGAAAGCACTCCATGTGTTTCAGAGAACAGGTAGAGTTTTCATTACACAAAAGCAGCTTTGTTTCTGTATACGTGACGCCTCCTAATTAGAATCAATGATTTTTTTTTATTGTCGCTCCTGATAAGCTTGTTTGCCTAGCTTCATTTTCCTAAAACACTTTAAACGTTTCTAAGAAGGGCGAATGCCGGTAGAACACTGAGACAGGCCTTGACCCAGGGCTGTGGTATTGCATGATGTTTACAATTTGTCATCCTTGGGGGTAATTTTGCAAGCTTAAACACACTAAAGGACATATTATAAAGAGCCAGGCAATTTCATTTTGTTTGAATATATTTATGGAAATGGACCAAAAGTGTCCATAGAGGCACATTGTCATTTTTTCCTTGAGTGTGTGCCAGTTCATGACCAAAAGCAAGCATTCAGAGAATAGAAGAGCATTTATGACCACATTGTGTGTATCAAATAAGCTACTTTATGAACAGATGGGGAATATTGTGTTTCAGGGTCTTAGTAAAATAGCCCTTCACACCAAATTTCTGTGCACAATGGTAGAACTCTCAGTGATTCATCTATAACCTTGCCCTTGATAATGAGCAGATCTCCCTTAAGGGTAAGTGCCTGTGGGACATGAAGACATCACACACACTCACGGCTTAGAAAGATGACGAGCAGCGGGGAATTGTGCCCCAAGAACATGTAATTTGGACAAGGTGGGAAAAACTGAGTAATCCACTTGAGATAGGGAGCATTTTCCCAGCAGTGGTGATTGTATGGCAATGGAATCCTTGGAGAGTCAATAAGAAAAAAAATGGTTGGGCTGGGAAAGATTTAATAAGTTGAAAAGCAAGTTATAGGAGCCAGCACTGGAAAGAAAAAAAATAAATGGTCTTTAAAGCTCTTTGATGAGACCAGGTCGCCACTCATGGAAAGCTCCAAGATCAAGATTGAAATGTGTTTTCTTTTCAAGGAGATATAGAAAACTGAGGTAAGTCAGAGAAGAAGCAGGGGGCACTTCTAGTTCCTTGTGGCAGATACTATACTCTGTGTTCACCAATACTCGGTGTTTAAGTGTCCTCCTGGACACACAGGAAGACCACTCTTTTTCCAACTGCCCTTGCAGTTAGTTGAGGTCATGTGACTGAGTGCTGCCGAATGGGATAAGAGAAGTCAAGCCTGTCACTTCCATGCCTGGATCCTAAAACCTCTCCACAATCCTCAACAACATGTCTTTCACCCTAGACTCAGATTGCAGAGCCATTAGATTGAAGGATCCTGAGTCACTATACAATCATAAGGAGTTAGCCATATTAGAACAAAAACAAGAAATAAACTCTTATCATAGCAAGCCGCTGAGATTTGGGTTAAATTATTTTAATGCATTGCAATAGTATTCACTTCTTATCATTTGCCTCTTTAAATATCATGTTACTGCCCAAGAGTATCTTTCATCTCATTCCTAAGCACAGTGATCTCAGAGACAATCCAGAGCAATGGAAAAATTAATTTGTTTTCAGATCAGAAGAACACAGGTTACCTAAAAAAAAAAAAACATGGCTGGCATCATTTTCTGAGGAGCCAGAGACAACAAACTGTTCTTTTCTTTCCTATGAATTCACTCAAAACCATTTTATTTCTTTATTTTTAACATTTTATTATGGGAAATTTCAAATCTTCACACAGTGCAAATAACAGAATAATAAACCTCTACGTATCCATCATCTAGCTTCAAGTGTGTGTGTGTGTGCATGCATGTGTGCACATTTGAGGTCTACAGTATGTTAATCGTTGAGCCACGTGCTATGGTTAGGACTCAAAGGTGAATAATTAATGATCTTTGAATATGTAGTAGGAAGAAGAGAGTCTGAATCTCAAATCCCAGAAATTACTTAGCTCTGAGGGTGATAGTGAGAATTAAAGTAATATAGTAGCTCAGAATTTCTGTAACATAGTCACTTTCTTTCACCTCCATTTCTCTGAAAGAGTTTTTGGTCTAAGGAAGAGGTTTAATACTTTCTTTCTCGTTAAAATGTAGATACCCTTGGGAGAGCCAGCACACTGAATCTTTTCTCAGCTGTTCACCATTATATATATGAATTTCTCTTTCCCACAGTTCTTTCCCAAAAGCAAGCCTCAATTCGATGGAGAGCAAAAATAAGGAGCAAGGCATGGGGCCTGTGAAGCAGCATGGAAACTCTGAGGGAAGAAGGTAGTAGGGGTCACCACAAATGAGATGAAAGACAGATTTCTATTTCAGAATTTTGTTTAAGGCTGAGTCCTCCATTTCCGCTTCATTACAACTGTTCTCCCAACCCCAAATCCATTCTCTTGGCTAATAAATCACCATTTGCTTTTCTGGGCAATTTTCATACTAGCCACTGGGACGAGGGATGTGGAAAGAGAGTGACAAAAAAGAGTCAGCAGTGACAATATATCTCACCAAAAACACAAGCAACAGGCCCAATACCCAGGCCCCTATTTAAAAATGAAACCACTTTCAAACAAACATTCTAAAACACAGAAAAGATAACTGTCTGGTGAGAGAAGCCTGAGAATCTGCCTCATAAATTTTAAAAGCAAGGATCCAGGACCAATCAGATGCCCTCTCTAGAACATTCTGAATGCCTGAGTCCACTGACCTGGGCCTTCAGCTGTGCTCTCCGGTCAACAGACAAATGACTCTACAACCTTGGGTGGCTCAAACCCCAGGGGAGGGCTCGTGCTGCCAGAGAAAGAAGCTCAAGTAACAAAAGGCAAGTCTTCCTTTCATGCTGCCTTCCCCGGTCTAGAGAGACATGGGGTTCTATGGTGTTCAGGACTGAGTCACTGGGAATGGGTGCCATTTTGATGGGAATTGATTTAATTTGTTCTCCTCTAAACAGCTCAAGCATTTCACTCTGTTCTGTATTAATTTAGTCTGAGCAGAAAAAAAAAATGTCAAAGTAAATCTCAGCAGTGAAGGAAAAAAATCTTGAAAAGGCTGACAAGCTCAGCATAATGAGCACCAGTCCAAACCTTTGTTTAACAGTACAATACTTCACTCTCTTTACAGATTATAAAAGGAAATATTTAACTAATGGAAAGCTACTCATACACAGGATAATGTATGCAGCCTCTGTCCACATCTTAATCATTCTACATAACTGATCAAATAACTTTGGTCTCTAGTCTTCCCCAGATTTTTAATTGTTTTCTTTAAAGTCTGCAACAGAAAATGCTTTCATGCTAGTCTACATTTACGTGTTTCCCTAGCTGATCACTTGGCATAAGATAAATGTGTGTTTCATATGATAGCTGCCAAGAGATATGTTTTAATGAGGAATTAAACTATAAACTTTAAGAGATAATGGAGAAGACCTGGGGAAGTCAAAGTTTCATTTCACATCCACTGAAACACAGTGCTTGCTACCTCAGTGATGCTACCCTCCTAAGATATTTTTTATTGACTAGATTTGCATTTATATTAACTAGGTTTCCAATTCCTAAACATGATCCCTATTTGGTAGTGTAAGTCCTTCATGACTTCCTCCAGCCTCACTTCCACTCCTACCTAGTCTTGGACCATCAAACTACTTGAGAATTGTTTCTTCCTCTGTGCTCTTTCATACTCCTGTGCTATTTCATATGGTGCTGTGCAGGTTTAAATGGCCTCCTTTACTTTCTCTGTAAGAATTACTGTCTTCTTTCAGGATGCAGTTACCTCCTCTAACAAGCCTGCCCAAACTCTACAGGCATACTTGAGAGCTTCTTCCCCTAGTTTTCCCATTAAAAGTTTGCATAGCTGTATATCACAGCCCTTGTTTTACTGTTTACACAACTGTCACCCCAATAGATTGTGAGCTCCCAAAGGGAATGTCTCATTTATTTCTGTATCCCCCGGGTAAGGTATGGTACATGGCTTGCACTCAGTGATCAAACGAATGAATCAACACACAATGAGTGAACACATCAGTACACATACTATTTGGGTAAGGTAATTATATACCCTAATTTTTTCCAGGACAATCCTGATTTAGACTGACATTCCAGTGAGACAAACTCACTTTCACTCTCAAAAGTGTCCTAATTTGAAAAATAAAGTATATGCTCACCCTAATTGTAGAGCATTAGGGTATATATTTACCCAAGCATATTGCTCCTGCCTGCCCAGAAACTGGTTATATCATGTTCCAATTTCTCAACAACTTTTTAAACTAATCATTTAAAAAATTATTCAAAATTCTCCTTCTAACAGATTAACCATTCTCCCTACTCAAGCTCAGAACCTGTGGCCCAAGAAAAGGAAAATAAATACTGTGCCGTGAAATAAAAACACACAGGTTTCATTCCACTTTCTCACCAAACCCCTATCTATGCCAACCTCCTATATGAGCGATGACACCTATTAGACAGATTGGTCTCCCCTCTGGATGAAGGACACATGGCTTCCCAGAGTTAAAGCAGACGTAAAATCAAGCCTTCCCTACTCAGGCTCTGGGCTAGCCAACCACAGATCCACTGTCCAGGGTTACAACAAGCATTGTCTTATTGATGGCTTAGAAGCCCTGACTCAGCAATTACAGTAGAAACTAATAAATCTACCTGGAAAAAAAAATAAACATCTCTTTCCCAAATCATTCTACTCAGAACTTGAAGAAAACATTTCTGAAAGATCAAAGAGAATCAGACGACCGCTTCTTTTTGGAAAAATAAATGTGTTTGGTCTTTCACTCTACACATTCAAATTCTATCTGGACCCTAAAATGACAACACGACCACTCAAAGAAAAGGTAATCAAGAAATATTCCAAAGGTCACAAAGGGTGTTTCTAATATATTGCCAAACAAATTTTCCACACTGGTGCAGTCTGAAAGAACTGAGAAAAACACATTTTAGAATCTATATACAAACAAATCTCCAAAGGTTCGACATACATTCCCTTAATCAGATCATTTATGAAAAGATGTACATAATTCTTTCTAATTTTAAAGACATTATTTCAAGGCATGAAATTAGAGAAAAAACACAAAACAAATATGAACTAAAAGGAACATTAACCATCATGTAGTTAATGATTTTGTTTAATGAGGATAAAGCCTCAAATATTTAACCTCTTAGGGTTGCTCTCATTATCTATTGTTTTTCATTCATCCTAGAATCACAGGGCAAAGAAACATAAACCACGATTAGCTTTGAAATGTTTGCCCAAATCTGCTACGAATTTATTTTAAGGACAAAGTTCATGAAAGGTCAGTTCCCCAGGTAAACTGAATTAAATGCCTTCTAAAGGGAAACCAAATTAAACCTTTACCAAATGGCAGGTTTCTAAACTGTGTTTTGGGATATGAAATCCTATTTGACAGATGCCTTATAGACTGTGGTCAATGCCCCATCTAATGAGGATTTCTGTGGTTTCACTTTTACCTATACTAAGGGATTTGTAATTTATGGTGACATATATGTGTCTACACTATGTTGAACATGTGCTTACACAGATACATATGTTTGTATCTCTTACGTAAAATCGCTGGGAAAGAAATCTTAAGATTTGGTTTTATTTTTTAAATCAAGGAGTTTGCTTTTAATATCTGACAGACCGATGCCTTGTGGGATATGACTTGGAAGCTACACTCACTCTGATCTTTACCAGATGTTCACTGGTGGTGTTTCAGCCTCAAGAGACAAAGAGGATATTAATGTTAATTTTATTTATTTAATCACATCAGGCAGATTTGATAAAAGAGAAAATTCAATATTTTAGTAATTTACCAACTCTTCAGAAATGTCCATAGTAGCAAAAGTGTTTTGAAGATCATTTTCTATTAAAAGCTGAAAGTCTGCATTGTGTTTGGAAGAGAGAACACTCTATCTTACCTTTAAAAATGGGAACAGGGTGACAAATTTGTCAGTTCCACTGCCAAATCAAGGAGGCAAGGAGGTGGCAACAATGTATACATGGTTCAGCACAAGACTCCTCCCAAACTTCGACTAATAATTGTGAAGAAAGAGACTCTGAATGTGAAATGGACACTCAGTTGAAAGCCTTCTGCCACTACCAATCATTCTAATATCTTATCTCGTCTCTGAATTTTATTACAAGAGAACATTAAACTACCCTAATCATTGTCAGGACATTGATAATAATGTAGAGATTACTGTCAGGCCATTGAGAATAAGTAGAGATGTACTCTACTAAACACTACATCCCTGCATCTTAACAGAAGTAACAGGGTAGGCTTTTATTTATCTAGCACTAATGTTAGAACTGGAAAACTTTTATAATACTGTTCTCAACCTTGACTGCTCATTAGAATCACCTTGGAAGCTGCATCCCAGGCCAATTACATCACAAATTTTGAAGATGGGACCCAGGTACGGGTACTTCGGATGATTCCAGTGTCAGCCAGGGTTAAGAACTACAGCCTCAGAAGTTCTAAGTATGGAACAGCTAAATAACAGTCGTGGAAAGATCAATTTCTCTAGGCTTTGTTCTCATCTAAAAAAATGATATGGGTGGAAAGAAATTGGAGTGTGATAGTAATTGGCTTTCATTTATTTTTAGATAAAATATATCCTTATAGTTATGAAATATTTCAAATAGGCAGTAAAGTATACCAAATACTATAACAGACACCTATGACACCTATATTACCACCATTAGGTGGTAATATCTGTTTCAGTTCTCTCTCTGGAAAAAAAGAGAAAGTAAAACCCTCACATCCCATCTCTTTTATTTCTTTCCTTTTGAGATGTAACCACTATCCTAAAATTACTAGTTACCCTGCCCCCATGATTTTATTTATCTACATAAATCTAAATAAATATCACATAATTATTTATCTACCAGAACTATATAATATTGCCCGGTTTGTGTTTAAATATACATAAATTGTATTAATACTATATATACCCTTTTGCACATATTTTTTTCACTCAACAGTGTTTTTTGAAATGTATCCATGTTAATAGATATATATGTAATATATATATGCGTATTTTAATTTTAAACTCCTTTATAGTATTTCATTAGGAATAAGCCACGGTTTATTGACTTATCTATGGACAGTTACGTTATTTATACTTTTTTGAAAAACAAAAGCAATAAACACCTTTTCTCATGTCTCCTTGCCACCATATACAAAAGCTTCTCTAGGGTAGGCACCTAGACACAGTTTTATTGGATAGACTCATCTTCAACCTTACTAGGTATTACCACATTGATCTCCAAAGTGGTTACACCAATTTAGTCTCTCCAACAACGTTAAAGGGTATCCACTTCTCCATACCCTTATTGATACTTGGTATTATGATAATTTATTCATTATTGCCAATATGAGGATTATGAAGTGGGGATTAAGAATTATGCTTACATGATATTTTCCTAAGGTCCCTCTGGTCATAGACCACATCAACACTGAGTCTTATCAGAATAAAAGCGAATGTGAAAAAGGCCTTCCACAGCTTACAATAAATTTACATTTCCTCAAGACATGTCTTATGAGGCCAAAGCTGGCTTGTGTACCCATACATCAGGCCACAAAAGAGGAATGGGGACATGGTCCCAGCTCTGTATTTATTTTCTTGAAATCATAATCCAATGTTACTTAAAAAGCACCACTGCCCAATATTCAAGCCAAAGAAAATACTCTGGATTTTGCCAGGCAAAATGCCTGTGGAGAAATGAGTCAATTCATACAAAATTCAAAACTGGTCTTTGGTCAGTGACATTTTCATGAAAATCCATGGGTGGGTAAAAGTTTTGAACAATTCCTTTTTGCCATTGGATAAAATTCATCCAGGAAAAATAAACAAAATTTAAGCGGAGGCCCACGTTCCCCCAATTCCCTTACCAGCACTCCCCAACCTGCTAGCACAACTGCTTTCAGTCGTACGTGAAGGCAAGTCATCAGTGTTTCTGATCCTAGCAACAGAACCCTGGGTCCCTCTACTCACTCTGCCCCAGATAGGCAGACAGCCTTTCTCATGAGAAGCACCAACAGACAGAGCATGCCCAAGCTCATTCAGAACACACTTACTGGGCACCGTTACCCAACCATTGCACAGTCTTCAACTTGATGGTAAAAAGATCTACAGTACAAACGTTCTCAGGGTGCACTCTGTTGGAACCATTCACTATGGATATTGTTAGGGATGATTAGTGTACATCTATTGTTTGGGTTTATACTTCATGTTGTCCTTTTAGGAACATGAAACAGGGGTTTGGGAAAGGGACAAATTCAGAGACTCCATGACTTGTTCTGACCTGTGACCTTACCATCTCAGAAAAACTTAATAGAATTCAACAGTTATAGCTGATAATGCTCAAATATTTTGATAATTCTGAGATTTACCAAGGTTGCAGTTGGTCTAAGCTCAGAAGGTCAAAATAAAGAGATTCAGCACCTAGAAAGTACTATAGTTAATAGATAGCAGTGAATGGAGTCGGGTATTTTAAAATGTAATATTGGCATATCCCGGTTTCTGACTAGCTGAGGTCTGCCTGTCTGTCTACAGAGGCCTTTACTTCTCAAGCCCTTTGCCACTGGGTGGGAATGTCTCTGCAATCGAGGCCAGGCCTGGAAAGAGAGCAGCTGGTTGGGCTTTCCACAGAAGCAATAAGAAAGAGATCTACACAAGGGTGGAGTTGTCGGGGTAAAAGGAAAAGAACCCATTCTCTTCTTCCAGTAAGTTAACCAAATAATAAATTCACAGCCCTCCCCCAGTTCTGCCACCCAGAATCCTGAATGATGTGAATCCCAGGGTTCTGATAAGTCCAGGGAGTTATGGTCAGAGATTCTGAGAATGCGTTCTCTCATGCATGACATGAAATTTGGCATGAGGGAGGATACCAGTGGCAGCCACTTACTGTAAGCAAGCCGTCACTGAGTAGCCCTCTCACACACCCCTATTTTACCATAACTTCCAGAAGCTCTTTGTGTTGCTTGTAGTCATGGCCACCAAACACAATGTGGTCATCATTTCTTTCTTGGGTCAATAAGCTAAGCAAGTGAAAATGACTAACTCTATCATACACAGAAAATAGCAGTTAAACATATATAAAACTAAAAAATGGCCCGGCTCTTATCATTTAGACTGCTCCTAGCCCTGCAGTGTATGACACAGCCACAAAAACCAAAGGTCACTTCGCATTTCCAAAAGAAGAATGTGGCCATTTTACTTGTCAAGGATCGTGAGCTTTCAGTCAACTACCATCAGATTTGAAGTCAGTGGGATATGAAACATTTTAATTGTAACAGTTGTATGTGTGTGGACTCCAAGACTATAAATATGTGTTTTGCAAAAGGCAGAAAAATACATTTTTTTCCAGGTGCATATCTACTTTAAAAACCAGGTATTCTATCTGTGGATTACAACTTAAGAGGACTGCTAAACTTTCACAGCAAAATTAATTGCTGCCAGTTGGCTATCACCCTACAAATCAAGCAGATGACAATGTAGCAACCTAACAGTTTTCAGAAGACACAATGCCCATAATATGTATGTTTTAGAAGAAAATGAAGGCTTCCTGCTAAAAATATATAGCCCCAGAACTAGAATTGCAGCATTAATCAGCTCCTAAGAAACCCTGTTTATTATGTGCACTATTACATGTGTAAATAAATGCTTTGTGGTCCTAGATTCGATACACTGTTAAATCATCAATCTGAATTTTATAAAGATTCCACCTAGAAGTGGGGAGTGGGCAGATCAGAGGAAGAGAAATCATCTCCCATACCCATTCTGAACAATACAATGAGAAGCTATGCATAAGCCTGCGAACATTAACCTATCAGCTTATTCTTTCACTGAAGTATTTATATTTTTGATATTTATCGTGCACTTCAGCAAAAATCAACTTTAAAAAGTTATATGTCTTTGCAAAGCCTGGCAACAGTAGAAAAATGGGGAAATCCTATTGCACAAAAATTAATTTTGCAATGCAAAAAATATTTTTCTGGATAATTCGAGCCTTTATGTTTATTTCAGTAAAGCCAAATCCAGTGAACTATTTTCAGCCAGGATTAGTCAGAACTAAAAGGTTGGACTGTTTTCCTTCAGAGGCTGAATGTCTTTCCTGCCTGCAATAGGCCGGTGTGTTCCAGAGTAAATTGAATTGCCTTCAATTGCTTGTTTCTTTGTGGCATTTTTAATGCAGAACCCTAGTGACAGAGTAAGGTTTTGCTGTCTGGAAAGTAATTATTCTTTTCACTCATATAACCTGGCATTCTCGCAATGTATCAGCTTCAGGTTTTCCTTGAGAAAAATCACAATGTGGTGCATAGCGTTGTGACAAGAAATGCAATTCCATTCCACAAGACATTCTTAAAACTCTTTCAAAAATACCTACCGGGCAGTGAAAAAGTGCTTTGAATACTTGCATTATAGCTATCACCTGTTTGGTTTGCTTTTACATGAATAAGAAACCTTGGCCAATCTATAATCAAGCATACACATAGTCCAGATTCTTTTTCATCACTGACATACTACAGAAAGAAGGAACTCGGGCTGGGGAACCACAGTACAAATAAATTTCTGTTTAAATTGATTTATATATTTCACATATTTAGTACCAGCACCATACTCAATATCCAGGGAATATATAGAAATCTTAGACTTTAAATGAAATATTTCTGTCCATCTAAACTAATATAAAACACATGTTCTTCTTTTTCCAATACTTAAGTGAGCTGTCTGAGATTGTGCAAAGCCATCCTGTGATCCCAAGGGTGATGCCCTGTTTATAAACCCTGAGGGTTTCTGTGAGGTGTGAAATTGTTGTGAAACCATTTAAGAATCGTATTATTCAAAAATAGTAAATTTTGCCAAGAAACAGAGAGAGTTCCAGGATGGATGCTGTGAAAGGCAGAGGCGAGGAAGAAAGAGACATCAGGCCCACTTCCCTCAGCACCAAAGGCTTCCCTGCTCTTTCTCCTCATATCTCTCTACAAAATTACCTCTTAAAATTAGTTAGGATCCTGTGAGATTCTGCTCCTGTGTATCCCCTGGGTGATTTTATGCCGACTATAAATCATTAGCTAGTCTCTCAACCCTGGAAGGTACAGAGCGCAGGCATGTGGATGCATGCCGAAACACTTTTACTAGCCAAGTTGCTAAGTGGTGAGTTCCTTTTCAAATATCAAAACCACTCTTCTCTCCATCCCAATTCTAGCCCGGTTATTGGAGGGAAGAAAAAGTCACTGCATATTTGCTTTGGAAAAGAACTAAAGCTTGCTGATGTGCAATCTGTGTCCTTCTGCTCTTGCACATCCATACACATTAAGGAAATTCAAAGTTGGTACCTGGCTGGCATCTCCTTTCCAAGATTTTACAGAGTGTGGCAGACTGATCACCTGCTGGGATGGATCGTGTACCTTTGCAGAAGGAAATATAGCAATGGAGAGCCACTAACCATGAAAGAAATCTTCCCCTTCCTCAAGCTGAAGGGGAACCCCATCTCATGGATACCTAGACCCCCACGCATGCAAACTCCATGGGCCGAGTTAGGAAAAAACACACGTACGCAAAGCAAGCCGGGCCTTCAAGAGAGGTCACCCCTTGCGCTTCGGAAACTCACCGTACACTTGTTGGGCTTCTCCCCAGAGTGGACTCTCATGTGGATCAGCAGTTTATAGCGGGCGTTGAAGGGCTTGTATCTTCGAGGGCAACCGGCCCAGAAGCAAGTGAAGTCCTCCCCTTTGCGCTGGTCGATGTGGACCTTCTCGATGTGCCGCACGAGCTCCTCCTGCTGGTCGTACAGGGCGCTGCAGTCGATCCAGCGGCAGCAATGCTTGCCCCCGATGCCGTCCATCTCCCCGTCGTCGTCCAGGGTGGCCTGGGGCAAGGCCAGCTGCTGGGCGTGGGGCCCGAGCTCCGGGTGGTGAAGGTGCGCATGGGCATGGTAAGGGGGTGGGGGGCCTGGGGGCGGCGGCAGAGGAGGGAGCGGAGGCGCGGGGGGTAGGTCTACGGTGCTGCCCGGGAACTCCTCCAGGCGTTCGGTCTTGAACAGGCCGGCCGACTGGCTGTCGGGGCCCGGCAGGCCATGCTGCACCACCATGTGGTTGACCAGGCCTGGCTGCAGGCCGCCGTGCTCCAGCTGTTGCATGCGCTCGTGCTCCAGGGCCCCGTCCTCGCCGTAGGCCGGCAGCGCCAGGCCTCCAGGGGCCACCAGCACGCCCTTCTGGCTGCCGGGCACCGGGCGCGGCTGGGGAATGCAGCTGCCGCGCACGCCCAGGAAATGCCCGTAGACCTCCGGCTGCGGGGACAGGTTGGCCGGCGAAGCCCTCGACCCGTTGATGTAGGCCACCAAGGACGTGGGCGACGTGCGGATGATGGTATTGAAATCTATCCCGATGCCATCGGACAGCGGGGACAAGGACAGCGCTCTCTTCTTGGAGCGGGCCGAGTGGGACCTGGTGGATGAGTGCCGAGGACTAGGGTAAGGAGAGTGGCTACTTTCCGTGCCAAAAAGGTAGGATGGTAATGAGTTAGAGACACTATTGCTGGACATGGATGTCCCGGGAGGAAGGCTAAGGAGATCCCCTAGATCAAGGCCATTCTGAGAGCCGTGGTTGGAGAGCGAAGGGAGGGCCCTGTAGCCCTGGGACCACTCCTGCTTCATGCTTGAGGCCGACTGACTTTCCGTCAGACTCAAGGTCGTGGACGCCAAAGACTCACGCGAAATAAGGGACCTGGAACAGCAGCCAGAAAGGAAGAAAAAAAAAAGATAAACATTTTAGCAGGATACGGATTGCTTAAGAGCTAAAAGAACACTGCATTGACAATCCCTTAAGTATTTCCCCTAATTACATTCTGTGCTAAACACACATTCTTGGGCTAAGATAAAATCCAAGGCTTCCAGTTCCAGGTAAATAACATTTTACCAAGAAGAACAATAAAACCTAATGCTCACTGAAATAATGTAACAAAAGATCTATTGTTATAAATAATCTTAATACTTGAGTAATAAATAGTCCTTGCTTTATTTTTAAATAACTTTTTCAATATGGGGGAAAAAGGATAGAGACCTGGGAAAAATTACTGATACCTGTCAAAGCCAACCAAATAAGTATTTGTTGAGCACCTACTATGTGCAGCATGTTATGACAGGCTTTGCAGAATCTCAGCCTTCAAGTAAAATCTATTTGGGAAAGTAACATATAAACTCATGCTTTATTTGAAAAAAAGTAAATCCTCAAAGTCAAAGGGTTGTCCAGGGGACTTAATAATTTCACAATTTAGTTTCACTGATATTAAGGAATTACTCTGATTTTTTTAAAGATAGTAATTCACATTGCCAGTAATTAGTTACATCAAATCACCCCAGAAAATGAAAACAATATAAAAAGCAGCTATAATATATAAGGGAGTAACAAACTGATAACAAGTCATATCTGGAATTATGCATTAGAGCCATTCGGGATTTAATCACACTTGCTAGTTGGGTTTTCTGTGAACTCTCGTCCTTAAATCCAAGCAGCTTTGGGCCAAGAGCAGATCGTTCACTTTCTGTAATTGACTTTTGCAACAATTCCTCTCCTATTCTTCTTACCCTTTACAAACACACCCTATGTCTCACAATATATTATCTGCATATCAAAATGGTTCATAATGTAGCTCTGGTCACTTTAAAATTCATTTTGCTTTACTGTGACATTGTTGCCTTGAAAATAAAAATCACTTCTTGATCTTTTGGCTAACTTTAAGTGTGAAAATAATTGAGAAGAAAAGATACGTCCCTTGGAAGGAAAATTTGCCACAGAGGCAAGACATAACACGCTGTATTTCTTGACTCAGACATGGTGTGTATCAGAAGAACCTGGCTTATTATATGTACCTGCATTGACTTTCTACTGAAGTCTTTTTTACTGACAAAAAATTAATCACAACAAAACGTTATATAAAACGTGTCTTCTCAAAATGAACACATTGTTTCCAGCTGTTAAACATCAACCTGTCTCAAAGGAACTGAGGTAAAAGAAGCATTTTCATCCCACCTGTTCATCTTACTCTGTTTCACAAAATGGAGGCCACAAACACCATTTCATACAAGCATATGATATTAGCAAGAAAAACATCTCAGCTCCAAAATGCACAGTACAAGGTGATAACACCATCATCAACGAGATGTTACCATCGAGTGAAGTAATGTTTACCAAAGACAAACACAGCAGGAATTTACATCCAGTTGCCCTTGACATAGATTTTCCTCTTGGTCCACATCCTTAAATTCGGGTTGTAGTCTTTTTGCAACCTCCACAGTGGTTCTGGAACCATCTAGTTTTTAATTCCCCACGGACACTTTTCAATTATTTTCCCAGCACACTTGCAGCATGTGGCTCTTCCTGCAGAGCTCAGCTGAAGGCTCCTGGTGATTGGATGTCAAGGGCCTTTTGGTCTCTTCCCCAGCAAGATCGAGGAATTGCTTTCGGACCCAAACTAAATTAGTAGTCCTATCGTATATGAGACAGAGACAACTGACTGCTTTACACCCGCAGGTTGAGAAGGTTCATAGAACATAAAGAACCAGAGCTTTGGCAGAGCTACATGCCTGAATGGATGCACATTCTCAGGTGCTACAATTGCCTGTCACTGTCATACTGGAGCATATTAGATTGTTAAGTCATGACTAACAGACAGAAGTATGTTATCCACCTATATATACTTTGCTTATAAAATTGTATTATTTGGTTTCAGGGCAGCCTATAGTGAAACGTTCATTTGCTCCACTGTTGAGAGATGATTCTTATTTCTCTCAAATTATACTTAAATATGGCTCAATCAAAATCTGCACATAAAGCCATGCAGGCACATTATATAACTTTTTGGGCATCTGAGTTTTCTAAGACAATTATATATTTTTCAGAAAGCAAATTCTATATTCTATTCATTAAAGTATTAATATGAACAGAGAACTCTCTTCTATCTCAAACACCTAATGAGAACAAAACTTCCCCAAATGGCCTTTGCCTAGCAGCCAGTCTTCCTCCTGTGTGATTACTCAGATCTTTTAATCTTTCAAAGCTCTAATCCATGACATCTCTCCCCAGTACACTAGCTCCCAGTGGAAGTTCTCTTCCCAAAGAAGTTATATACTGTCTGCAATGTGTCTTAAATGTAGTTAACTTCAGGCATCTGTGGGTGTTATATTCTTCAATAAATTTCAAAGTCTTTTAACAGAAGGGATCATTTTTATCTTCCCAGTGCCTGCCAGAATGTAAGATACATACTAAGTACTCAAAAAACTGTTGATTAGGAAAGTAAATAAGTAATCAATATAGTGACAACAGAACATTATTTATGGCACTCACAAAGCATTTTCCCTATATATGATCTCATTTGATACAACCTGTCAGTTAAGTAAACTGGATTTTAAAAATAACTTCTATTTTACAAAGAATAAAACAGGGTTTGGGAAATTTCTCCCAGTGACACACACACACACACACACACACACACACACACACACACACCCCAAAGTTCTTAGAGAAATACAAGTGAAGCTGTGCTTGATAGGCAGTGACCTACTGGATCATACACATTCTCTATTGTTTTCTTTACATTGTATCCCACATGTCACCCACAATGCTCTGCTTAATTGAAAGACCTGGTATAACAGGCTTAAAGTCACACAAGCTACGATGGGCACCCAAATTTTCTGTTCTTCCTGCAATAATATGTTGAATGAATGTGAATGGTTCCAAAGGATTCTGGCCTCTAACTCCTGCTGCTACCCACACGAGGCCCACAGCAAAGAAAGTGACAGCTGTATCATTATTTGAGAGCAATCTCCATTTCCATATGCTCATCTGATCCTACTGATATTACTTCTGGTGATTGGTTAATTTGGAACTATATGTAAAAGGAAAGGAGATATATCTTGAACAAAATAAAACTAATAGGAAAACTCAGAAACCATCAGCAAAAATGATTAGGGTGGCTGGTTAACCAAGAACTCAGTAACTTGTATGGGGCCATAAGAGCATGAGAGGCATGATGACCATGTTAGATGTTTGCTTCAATGTCAAGCTCAAAAGAAGTTCTAATACATCACATGGAGAATTCCTCAAAAGAAAAAATATATTCCCTATATATGTAGATCATGAAAAAGACGGCCAGTCCTAGTCTATCTGGAAATTCGTGTCTATGTGCCTCAGCAAATCCCCTAAAAGAATTAGTACTGTATCTAAAGACAGGATGGCTTTATAAACTGTTACAATTTACAGAGAGCCTGGAGTGCATCCTCAACCCCCTTAGCCTTCTCTGACCTTTGTGGATATACTCTCAAAGGAAACCATCACCAAGAATTTCTGATTTAGGAAATAAAAATCTAAATACAGTGCCTTTTTGGATCTGGAATGACATTCGGTGATGGCTGAACTTTGTCACTGACAAGCTAAGCACTTGGACTTTCTGTGTCCTGGTTCCATCGGGTCTTAAACAGAAATATTTGCAGGTAGTTTATGAAAATTCAATCATAAAATGCAGGATTACAATGCATGTGAAAACACTAGAAAAGCTAAGTATGCTACCAAAGCCATGCAGGTGGCATCTGAGTAGAATGTTTCTTCTACTACTCAATGTTTGTTAGACTGCTCTATGAAACTGCTGTATGATGTTACTGTATCAGCACCTCAGCCTTGTCATTTTAGGGGAAATATATACAATGGCCTCTGTATTCGAGTTTTGGCAAGGCCTAAATCGAGAATGACTCCTGGATCTTCAAGACGGTAAGGTATAGTTTGCATTTATCATTAAGCACAGGTAATCAGAAATGGTTGGGAAATTAATCTAGGCAAATATATAGCCTTAAGGCAGGATTCTTATTATTGGATTAAATAGAATCCAACAAAGCTAAGGAAAAAGAGCTTTTCCCCAAGATGAGCACACCCAAAAAACATACCCAAAGGAGGTCAAAAGAAAAAATACAAACAGCCAATAAATCTATGAAACTTCATAGATTTATTTATGAAAACTTTAATATTGTCAATAATTAAGAATGCAAATTAAGATAAAATAACATTTTACAGATCAAACTGGCAAAGTTTCTAAACTAGTAAAAGTTCTAAAAATAATAATACCTAGTAATGAATGGTGTATTAGAAAACAGGCACTCTCTTGGACTGCTGGTTAGTTTATAAATTGCTAGTGAGTTCCTGCAGTACAGTTTGAGAATATGTATAAAAAGCCTCAAAACTCTTTTAACACAACAAATTTTACTTTTAAGAATTTATTCTAATAATCAGAATTGTGCAACAAAAGATGTACAGAGCTGATCCAATAAAGCATTATTTATAATTTTTAAAGAATGGGAAACAACTAAGTGCCAACTAACAAAAGACTAATTTTTAAAATTATAATTTTATTTATACACTTTCTTTATAAAGTGGAATCCTGGACAGGAAGAAGCCATTATATGATGTTGAAAGAGGCTTTTATTATAAAAGCTTATAATATATTAACTGGAAAAAAGTAATTAAAAACTATGTAGATTACTAGATCAATTTAGTGGAAAGGAAAGCCTATGTTTATTGTATATGTTTGACTATAACTGGAAGGATGTATATCAAAATTCCACCCATGGTCGTCTCTGGGGACAGAATTCAGGATGACTGTCATTTAGTGCTTGGTACTTTTCCATGTTTTCCACATTTTCTACAGTGAATAAGAATTACATCTTCAGGAAAAACAATACATTTTGCAGCTTTTCATAGGGCAGCATCTCTCAAACTGGACAGTTCATGCCCCCTTTTCCACTTCCATCCACTCCCAGCATGCCCCCAATGTATAAAACGCTAAGCTGATTCTCTCTCCATCTTCTCTTTATCTCCAGTAAAATGTTGAACTTTGCCTCTTATTGAACTGTTGCCCCTTATTCTTTCTCTCCATTGATGAAATACACAAACCAAGGCTCACAAATAAATGCAACCTTTCCAAATTGCTAAAAGTAAGTTCCATATTTCACCAAGCAATTCCCAATTCCTGTTTCTTTGCTCATCCTGAAAAAAAAAATTCCATAGAAGGACTCAAATAATAAATACATAGTCAAAAACACTTGTCAGTGAATCGTTAAGGTGTTGTCTTTTAAGGTTATAAAATTATGCTAAGGAATCAAATATGCCAGAAAACAATGAGATAATGACCCCTCTCTGGCCGACCCATAAAAGGGACTGCATAAGATACATGGCTTAAGCAGTCTGTGCCCTGACTACTGTCAGTTTCACCGTTAATTATACTTCTGCCTTCAAGGCATGGGCTGGACTTGCCACAGAAAGGAAGCTGAAGGCTTCCCAATGACACCCACCCCATGAGCACAGTTCATTTTACATGCAGCACTCAGCAAGTCTGAGAAGTCCCTTAAGGCATAATCATCAATGGGAAAATGACAGCAGCTTCCCATCACAAAAAGTCTCAGGTGAAAAACAAGTTTCTATCTCATGAAAAAATTGGCATAAATAAATGATTCAGGAACTATGATTTCAGAGTCTCAAATAGTGACTAGGAGGGACAGCACAGAGATACAAGAGGGGAGAACAGGATTAGGAGGAAGGAAAGGAAGAAGACACAAGACCTCAGAACTGCAAGGCACATAGCAGGTTACAGATCCTAAAGAAGAGGAAGCAGGGGCTTAGAGAGTAAAATTCCTTTGCAAGACCATAGTTATGGCAGAACTAGGACTAAGGCAGAAACTGTGGATTGTGTTTTTCCAAGAAAATAACTTCTAGAAGATAAAATAATTTATTTCAAACATAGACACAGACCTTAAACACTGTACAGTATTTTGGCTTTATGCCCCCTCCCACCTAATATCAACCTTGAGAGAGATAAAGCTTTGTCTGAGGGGGTGATTTCCCTTTTCTATTCAATTCCCTCCCTTGGAGATAGACACATGGCATTTATAGTACCTACTTACTATGGAACCTAATCGACATTGTGTTGAAATGTTATGTAACTCAAACACAAAAGTATGCCTTTCCAGACACATCATAAAGTCTTAAAATTTATGCTTTCTATCTTTACTCTCTCTACTAGGCCCCTAAACTTCAACTATTATATTATGCAGACAGTAGGAACTTAACAAATATTTAAGTAGATGGGTAGCTGGATGGATGCACAGATGGACAAGACAGATTGTTGAGCTGCCTGGAAACTCTGCATCATATTCATAGAAAACCTGGCAGGTAAGATAGGTGTACATGGACCATGCAAATTTGCTAGGCCATGATATGATTGCTTCACCAGAAATTGACAAATTTACACACCGTGTTTCAGTCACTGAGGCCCCACAATCTCAAATTAGGTATTCATGTCACTCACACCACAAGACAGTAGGTATTAAAGCATTCCTCCCAATTAAGATGATAAGATGGCACATACTTAGTTTTAGACATATTCCCCTACAAACCTCAAATTGAGAGAGTTGCTTGAGTGTGTAAGTGTATGAGTGTGTGTGTGTGTGTGTGTGTATTCAGAAAGAGAACGGAAAACACTTGTGGGGTGTGTTTATACCATAAAGAAAGGGGAAAAAAAAGTTAACTTGAGACCTGGTATCTGAAGGAGGTATATTCAGGTTGGCTGCATTCATTGCCCTCTGTAAGCTAGGACTGATCTGGTTGCATGCTGTAGAGACCTGGCTTGCTGGAGGTGAAATGAGTCCCAGTCGCTGAACCATCATGGGACTGCTGGTGACCACTAGATTGTTGCAGCTGCCTTTTCCAATGGACTTGCACTGAGGCCCAAAGCCAAGAGCCCCTAAAAACAAATGAATCAGGTTAGCTTTCATGTCCCTTACATCAGAAATCAGTAAATACAGACATGTGCACGCTTATATCAGGACCCATCTTTAGAGACAGTCCTCAGATCATTTTTTTTTTTAGTATTGGTGATAGCAAAAGGCTTTCTCCAATTCCAATGACAAAGCCATAACGCTATAATAGAAACCTTTCCATAATCAGCACTCATACAAAATGTGCTTAAATTTTACTCCTTCTATGTAGAAGTGTCCAGTTATATTAAAAATCATATTTTATAATATCCTTACCTAAAGGGTTAAGGTGGTAAGTAGATGGGATTGCCTGTATCAAACCAAGTTTTTTCCTAGAATAGCTAATATCTTGAATCACCCAGCAAGGAAAGTTGACACTACTGGAAAAAACCTGTTTAACTGGTTTACTTCATTCCAAATCTGTACTTCCAAAAAGTCCCTTCACAAGGATGTAGTCTGGCTGTGTCTCTCTACTCTTGATTTTTTTTCTCCTCATCTCAACACATTGTCATTGGACATCTACTCAATTTTTTAAAATATCAGGATGAGAGAGTTGTAAACAAAATGCTCATTTGAAAAACAGCATGGTAACCAAATTGGACATAGATTTTTCATTTTCATTAGTAACAATCTTTCAGTGTAGTAAAAGCTGGTACATACCCAAAGGGGAAAGAAAAAAAGGAACCCACAAGAATCTGTGTCGTTATGGAAAAGTGAAAAGCAAAGAGTTTGAGAAAGGCAAACACTGCCATGACTCATTTATAAAAAAATCATAATGAGCTGAATCATTCTAGACATTCTTTTTACATGGATGCACTTTTTCAAACTTTTTTTGTCAACTACCTGGTCAAGTCTCAGTAACTATACACTCTGTTCCCATTTCTAGCAAACAAAAATATATACGATCTCAATCTTTAACAAATTAAGCTTTACATTGCAAATTTCCCATCTTTTTCATTGATATATTTGGGATCGAAGTAGGAAGAAAAGTGTCACTGTCACTTTTCTTAGCTGTAGGGGTCATAATTTCCTATTTTGTTTTCCCCAAAATTAAATCAATAGCCCAAAAGTGCCTTTGTCATCTTTTGTAACATTCTTCCCAAGAGCCCCCCAAAACAATAGAACAAACAAGACATTGGAGCAGTCACTGTTTCCATCAGTGCAGCCCTATCTCAAAAATGCTGGGGGAGTCACAGCATCATTAGCTGCCAGGAATCCTGGTCTAGTGCAGACTTATGGGACACTAAAATCCAAGTGGTAATTGACCTGCACAAAATCACACAGGGATTTAAAGGGAGAACAGAAACTGATTCTACGAGAATGTATTTTTATGACACCTGTGTGCTTAAATTTAGGCTCTGATATGCCTAGTTTCTTCCTTGTACACTTTCCAAGATCATTTGCTCCAAAAGAAATTTCTCTGATTTTCTTTCCCAGATACATAAACCAGAACCTCTCCTTGACCCCTCCCATTGCAGTTTATATCTGATCCATCTTCTTGTGCCTTAAAAGATCAGTTATAGATATTCTGTTTTCGTAACTCATAAAGCACTGTATTATCCGGGCTTCATCTTGACACCAAGAATAGTAGGTACACTTTTATGTAACTGCATCATAAATTCAATATCTTTAAAAATCTCAATAAGCTACATGCATTAGCTTTTCATATTCCCTTTTTACCTTGAAAAAAAGGCAATGTGATGGTTCATAGCCTAGTCCAGTATATAAGACTGAATGAATGAATTCTCTATATGAATTCTTTCCCCAGGTCCCATTGCTACTAGCCACTATTATTAAAAGCAACATCAATTATCAAGTATTCTGTCAAATTTAATGTCATATATTTATCTAAGGAACTCAGTCATTCCATGCCTATTTCCTTTTCAGAAAAAAGGTATTAATATCTATCTACCTCTAAAACAAAGATATAGCAGCTGGAACAGCATCCAAGGAATACTACTTGATGGCAAAACATACCAATAGATTATTTCATAAAACTAAAATGGCACATATTGTAAGGTGTACCATTATTTTACGTACCAGTAAGAACATGAACTGCCAGTCCAACTAGTGCATGATGTCCAGATTTCAGAGATGTTGTAATGTAAAAACATGCACACCTTAGAGCCAATACAAACTAATGTGATCACTGAAACATTTATTTTAACCCTTATCTTGTTCATGCTCTTCTCTTTGCCTGGAATGCCCTTACCCTAACTTATCCACCTAGTGAGCACCTCTGCATCTTTAAGGTCTCAATGCAAGGGTCACCTCCTATATGACCTCCTCCTCCACTACCTGTTAGGCAGATCTGACCACTGCTTCTTTCATTTGTCCACATCTCCCATCACACATGTGCCTCAGCACCTATAGTGCTTCAGGGAACTAAACTCTTTACATGCCTGCCATCTTCTCACTTTTATACTTCACTGCTGTTTAAAGACAAAGCTCTTGTTTGAAGCATCTCTACTTCCTTAGCACCTAACCTAGGGTCTAATGCACATTACATAATAAAGTCTATCCAGTGAAATTAGAATGAATGAAAGAAAACAAAAGATACTTATAAGTGAATATTAAATACTGACAAGTTATTCCACTGAAACTCTCCTGGTCATCTTTGTTGATGATATACAGTACCATTTTTCAAAAAGCAGAAACAAAAAAACTCCAAGTCAATCCTTTGATGTCTCTCCACATAATTGCTAACTAGATCTGAATGGAATATGAAGTCAGTGGGGGTAGTAATTATAAATCCATCTTCCTGGGCCAGAATTTTACACTGGTCAAGGCTGCCTCTGTAACTCTCTACTCTGGATTCATACATTCACATTGTTTTCTTGCTTTGTAATAAAGAAATGCTAATTATCTCCCTAGTATCTCCACATTCTTACTATACCACCTCCTACTCCCAAATTCACTGGTCAACTTTACACTTTACACTCAAGTGTAAAGCCAAAAGGCCAAGAAGCGATCACTGGTCAACTTTAACCCCATCTAAGCACAAATGGTGTCACAAATGGTATCCTTGAAGCATGAAAATTAATGGTGAACTTCTTGGGAACATGTAAATGTTTGTGGTACAACTATGAGGATGTTCTGGAAAATGGAAAATGGCAACATCTGTCTCACACATGCAGGCAAACAAGTCTGACCAAGAACCACTGTGCTCAATACAGCCATCTAAGTGTTTTTCATAATGCCAGAAACATAATGAACACCTATACCTCCAGACTTCTCAGAATTGTGCAGTGTCTTGGAGTGTGGGCTCTGGAGATAGCTTGCCTGGGATCTGCTATTTGGGGACTTACGCAAATTACTTAACATTTTTGTGCCGTATTTCTCCATGTCTATGTCTTCTCATCTGCCAAACAGGGATAAAGTTAACCCTCCCTCTGATATGGTTTGGATCTGTGTCCCCACCCAAAACTCACATTCAACTGTAATGACCAGTTTTGGAGGTGGGGCCCAGTAGAAGGTGATTGGATCATGGGGGGTGGATCCTTCATAAATGGTTTAGCACCATCCTTTGGTGCTGTTTTCATGATAAGTGTTCTCATGTGATCTGGATGTTTCAAAGTGTGTGGCACCTCCCCCTCTCTCTCTTCCTCCTGCTCCAGCCATGTAACACATGCCTGTTTCCCCTTCGCCTTCCACCATGATTGAAAGTTTCCTGAGGCCTCCCCAGAAGCTTCTATGCTTCCTGTTAAGTCTGCAGAACCATGAGCCAATTAAATCACTTTTCTTTATAAATTAGCCAGGCTCGGGTATTTCTTTATAGCAATGCGAGAACAGACTAATACCAAGGAGTGGGGCATTACCATGATACCTGAAAATGTGGAAGAAGCTTTGGAATTGGGTATGGACAGAAGTTGAAAGAGTGTGGAGGACTCAGAAGAAGACAGGAAGATGTGGAAAATAGTGGAACTTCCTAGAGACTGCCCGAATTATGACCAAAATGCTGACAGTGATATGGACAGTGAAGTCCAGGCTGAGGAGGTCTCAGATGGAGATGAGGAACTTGTTGGGAACTGGAGCAAAGGTCACTTTTATTATCCATTAGCAGTGAGGTTGTAGGCATTGTGCCCCTGCTCTCGGGATCTGTGGAACTTTGAATTTGAAAGTGATTTAGTGTATCTGGAGGAAGAAATTTCTAAGCAGCGAAGAGTTCAAGATGTGGCCTGGCTGTTTCTAACAACATGTGTTTATATATGTGAGCAAAGAAATGAGCTGAAACTGGAAGTTATATTTAAAAGGGAAGCAGAGTGTAAAAGTTTGGAAAATTTACAGCCTGGCCATGTGGTAGAAAAGAAAAAAGCGTTTTCAGGAGAGGAATTCAAGCAGGCTGCAGAAATTTGCATAAGTAAAGACAAGGCAAGTACTGACAGCCAAGACAATGGGGGAAGGCCCCAAAAGCATTTCAGAGAACTTTCTGGCAGCACCTCTCATCACAGGCCCAAAGGCCTAAGAGGGAAGAATGATTTTATGGGCCAGGCCCAGGGCCCTGCTGCACTGCACAGCCTCCAAACACTGCTCCCTGCATCCCAGCAGCTCTAGCTCCAGTCTTGGCTCAAAGGGGCCCAGGTACAGCTCAGGCCTCTGCTTCAGAGGGTGCAAACCATAGACGACTTGGTGGCTTCCACATGGTCTTAAGCCTGTAGGTGCACGAAATGCAAGAGTTGAGGCTTGGAAGCTTCTGCCTAGATTTCAGAGGATGCATGGAAAAGCCTGGATGTCCAGACAGAAGCCTGCTGCAGGGGTAGAGGCCACACGGAGAACCACTTCTAGGGAGGCGTGGAGGTGAAATGTGGGGTTGGAGCCTCCACACAGTCTCCACTGCAGTACTGCGTAATGGAGCTGTGACAAGAGGGACACCATCTTCCAGACCCCAAAATGGTAGGTGCACTGTCAGCTTGCACCCTGCACCTGGAAAAGCCACAGGTACTCAATGCCAGCCCATGAAAACAGCTGCCAGGGCTGCACCCCACAAAGCCTCAGAAGCAGAGCTGCCCAAGGCCTTAGGAGCCCACCTCTTGCACCAGTGTGGCCTGGATGTGAAACAAGGAGTTAAAGGAGATTATTTGGGAGCTTTAAGATTTAATGACTGCCCTAGGGGGGGTTGGGGCTTGCATAGGACCTATAGCCCCTTTATTTTGGCCAATTTCTCCCTTTTGGAATGGGAATGTTTACCCAATGTCTGTACCTCCATTGTATCTTAGCAGTAATTAACTTGTTTTTTGATTTTACAGGCTCATATAGGTGGAAGCACTAGCCTTGTCTCAGATGAATCTTTAGACTTTGGACTTTTGAGTTAATGCTGGAATGAGTTAAGACTTTGGAGACTGTTGAGATGGGATGATTGTATTTTGCAATGTTTGAGGACATGAGATTTGGGAGGGGTCAGGGTGATATAATATGCTTTGGATCTGTGTCCCCACCCAAATCTCATGTTCAATTGTAATGCCCAATTTTGGAGGTGGGGCCTGGTGGGAGGTGATTGGATCAGTGGGATAGAGCCTTCATGAATGGTTTGGCACTGTCCCTTTGCTGCTATTCTCGTGTTAGAGTTCCCATGAGATCTGGTTGTATAAAAGTGTGTGGCACTGCCCATGGCTCTCCCTTCCTCCTGCTCCAGCCATGTAAGATGTGACTGCTTCACCTTCACTTTCTGCCATCATTGAAAGTTTCCTGAGGCCACCCCAAATACTGTTATGCTTCTTGTTAAGCCTGCAGAACTGTGAACCAATTAAACCTCTTTTCTTTGTAAATTACCCAGTCTCAAGTATTTCTTTACAGCAATGTGAGAACGGACTAATACAACCTCATAAGGTTGTTGTGCATCTAGTATTAACAACATACATAGAGGACTCAGCACACTATCAAGCACGCAGTAGGTACTTAATGGATGTTAACTGCTACTGTTGTTATTGATACTATGATTGTTACATGCCTGTCATTGCTTTTTTGCTCCATTCTCTTTCTAAAGAAAATATTCCTTTATAATTCCTTGCACAAAACAAGATAGTAAATAATGCTGTTTAATTCTCTTCTCATTTCCAATATTCTTTCTGCTTTAAGTCTACGGCCAATGTTTTTTTTAAAAAAAAAAAAAAACAAAAAACCACATGTCATCACAGAAGAAAAGTTTCCTGAAAACAAACCATACAACTTTTCTGACTACCAGATGTGCCAATGACTTGTGCACTGGTTTTCATTTTGAAACACTGCTTATTTTTAGAGACTACATGATGTATTTGAAACATGTGTTTACTGCTCAAATGAGGACCTAAGTGGATGGCATTCTGAGTACCACATACATTCTAGCCAAAATCACTGTATGCTAGTAGGGAATGCAAACGTTTTGCATTTTCAAATTTCTGAACCTAGAGTTCACCTTAGCAGGGCATGTTTTTAATTAATGTCTTCATTAGTTAAAAGGGTTCTCTTGAAGTCAAATGGCTGATTATGTCACAATTATCACTACTGAGGCTGCATCATTCAGAACTATTTATGTGTATCCACTGGTTTTAAAAATGACATAGATACAGGGGGAACAAGAATGAAATATATCTGGGAAGAGCGGAGAGAAGCAACCAACAATAACGTTATTGTTCGTTATCTGACACTTATCAAATGCCAACCACTAGCCAGGCAGTCCACAGAGACAATGGTGAGCAAGATTAACCCAGTCCCCCATGGAGCCCACAGTCTAGCCATGAAGATGCACACCAAACCAACCATTCATTATAAAAGAGGTGATCCCTGCTCCTAGGCTGGGTCATATAAAATGATATTCTTAATAGGTCCAAAATGATCATACGAGAGCAATTTCTATATGGTTCAACCTAACACACACACAAGGTGTTACAGAAACAGAAATATACATATTAGGGTTTGAGTCTTGCCTCCCGCCCTTACTGGCTGTGTGATATCAGGAAGGTCCTTAAGGTCTCTGTGCCTCAGCGTACTGTTCTAAAATGGGGTCAGTAATAATACCTAACTCATAAGGTTGTTCTGAGGATTAAAAGGGTTAGTAAATATCAATATATGCCTCACTGCCTCTAAGCAGCAGGGTTTTCTTCCCACACTTTTCCTTGAAAACATTTTTAAAGCTACAGAAATGTCACAAGAATAGAACATTAGATAAAGTTGAAGCTCATCGTACTATCTATCTATCTAACCATCTCTATATATAAACTTATTTTGTATTACAGTATTAATTTTTGAACCATTTAAGAATAAGTTGCAGATTCCATGTCCTTCATTCCTAAATATATAACCATAATATAATCATTGAATTCAAGACACTTAGCAATGATATAGTATTAGTATGTAATATGCCATCTACACTCAAATGTAACTTATGGAACAATTGTTTTCCAATCCAGGATCATGCATTGCAAACATAGGTTTTGAGACTCCCATTCAGGTGGGCATTCAAGAATGGGTTATCACCAACTAGGGTTGGGATATCACTCGACACTTGGGTACTAAAAACAGACAGAAAAGTGGAAAAGATGGTGGAAGGAAAGAAGTGAGAGGTTAACAGTACATAACACAGTAGCTAAGAGCCATAGATTTCCATCCTGGCTCCACCACTGACTAGCTGTGTGACCTTGGACAAGTTACTTAAGCTCTCTGTGCCTCAGTGTCCTGATCTCCCAATGAGGTTAACACTAGCAGTTACCTCAGTTTGGAGGATTAAAAAGTCTAATATATGTAATAGGGCCTGGCACTTAATACATTGTTAGTTCTATTTATATTTTATTAAAGAACTTGTCTCTCATATGGTACCTTTCTGATATTGTTTCTAGCACCTCTTCTCCTGAGTGCCCAGAAACAGCATGCTGATGCCTTCCTGCCCAAGACCTTCTACACACACACACACACACACACACACACACACACACACACACACACACACCGTACATCTGTCCTCGCCTGAACGGGATCCAGGTTTTATTTAGGCCATTCTAGTTCCTCATATCCATTTTCTCTTTCTCTCAGCTATTTTAGAAAACAATGATTACTTCGAACTAAGGTGTCAGGGACTAGCAAAATACCTCAAGAACATTTTACTGCAAAACACTAATACAACAGAAAATAAGTAAAATTTCAAAACGTGGCAAGAAAGACTGAAAGGAATTTTTTTTAAAACCTCTCAACCATACCCTTTTACTGTGCAAACCTGTTTTATATAAGCCTGGCCCTTTTATTTCCTAGCAAGCACAAATTCAACTACAATTGAAGTAGAGTTGAAAGCCAATTTAGATCACTTGCAATTGAAGTTTTTGCAACTTTGAGGCTCAAAGTTTCCCATTATTTTTAGTTCTAAGCACCTAACTATCCCTAACTGGCAAGGCTTCCTTTAATAATGAAATCAATGCCTAATATAAAATATGAGTCTTACACCTCCTTCAAAAGCAAATAAGTCCCAGATGCTATTGGAAAATATTTTTATTTTGCATGGGAAATGGTGGCTGGCCTCCATACCCAGCTTGTGAATGTAACTTTGGTCATTTAGCAGAGTAATTTTACCTCTTAGCCTTAGTTTCTTCCATCTCTAAAAGACAAATAATACTATACACCCTACATGGTTGCTTCGAGGATGAGTGAGACCCAACATATATGATGTGCCTGCTCAGTAAAGAGTAGTTGTAATTTTTGTTAATGTTATTGTCATGATTATGTTACGGAATGATATTTTTAGTAATGCAAATTGAGCCATAATGGGGAGAATGATTATCTAACTTAGGTGTGCAAAATGGTAGGAACACTTCTTTCTAGCCATTTTTTAAAAAAGGAACTGTCTCTCAGTATGCCCTTCTCTGTCAAAGTAGAAAGAATAAGCGGGGATGAGTAGTTCAGGAAACCTTCTTGTTTTCCTTTGGGGACTAAGCTTACCATGGAAAGACAGAGTTCTTTGCCACACGGTATACACCTTACCTAGAAGGCTTGTCCTGAAAGAGCTGCCCTGGACTAGGGAGATAAGATGGCCTAATTCTACAGTGCAGTCAGCAGGTCCACTGGACTCTCACACAAAGTTATGCCTTCCAACACATCCTCTATCAGAAAAAAAAAGATATTCTGGTGGGAAAGAAATACATTATTTATTGTGGGTCCCCTCATAGACCCCAAATTATGTTAGGAATTACGGCATATACATTTCATCCCTAAGGTTTATTAGCTTAACACATGTCAAAGCGTTGTCTAGAATTGTCTACTTAGATAGCATTATCTCTCTTTTATTTGGGATTATCTTTATTGCTATTTTAAATTTAAAAATAATATGTATTTGTGTATGTGTCCATGTGCTTTAAAAGGCAAATAATGCAAAGTTATAAAAAGAAAAAGCTCATAATCCACCCCCGACATCTATCATTCCCTTAAGGTAATGAACTCTAACAGGTGAATGTGTATCCTCCCACATTCTTCTCTGAATTCATTCAAATATGAGTATGTATGTTCTAATTCTAAAGGCAATGTGAGTTAGGCACACATTGACCCCTATATTCTTGAGAGAAGTCATCGAACTATGACTGTTTTGACAAAGAATAATGTCTCTAAGCATTATTACTTATTACTCTAAACTCTTACTGCTACTCTAAACATTATTATATTACTCAAATAACATATCTAATATAATATACATATTCATTCTTATAATGAAATATAGGTACCCACCAATAAATAAAGAATAGAATCTTAGGCAAGGCATAGTATCAATCCAAGCCTTTCCTCTTTTCTCAAATGGGAGAAACATCAAGTATATGAAAGAACTTTGAAAAGTATATTCTTTCACCACAGAAAGAAACAAGTACCCTTCTCTCCCATCTGCTATGCAAAAACAGATCGATGAAGGTAAGCACAGGTCATCAAATTCTCTCACCTTTCATGAATACTCCTCCTTAGAGCTAGAAACATCCTGCATACCAAACACCCTAGGCTTGCTATGTAGTGTTTTGTCAAATTCATAATATTTCACTGCTGAGATACATTAGTAACAATTTAATGAACATATGTGACTGTATGGTGTATTACTCTGAAATACAGTAAGGCATGGCTAAATGGCTACGAACACCAAAGGATGACAATTAGAATGAAATAACCGGCTCCTATATTCAGGGGCAAAGCAATCGAATTTGGCAATTGTGACAAATGCTCAAAACTGTGCAAAACCTATGGAAGGTAAGGAATGCTGGATATAACATCCTACCTCCATGGCGCTCACAACCTCTGAAGAGATAAGATATACTCACCTAGGAACAATCGGATAATGTCGCTAGACTGTACAGTATTAAGCATGAAGCTAAATCATAGAGACAGGAGCTCAGAGGAGGAGGGCAATCCCTTTGTACTAGGTAATTCATCAAAGAAGAAGAGTATGAACTACAAACACGTTTCCCAAAGTCCTTCAGGATGTCCAAAGATGTTAAATGACAATGAAGTTGGCCTCATGGAGATGTCCACAGTCCAGTAAGCTTGGGAACCCCTAATACAACAAAGTTAAACATATCTCTTTACTGTAAGTCTTCAGGAGCCTTTAAAAATGTAAATGCATGTGATAAATCTCCCAGAAGACCAAATAATATTTAAAGTACATTTGTTTAGGGAGGTTTTTCCCAAGGGACTCATCTAAGACTGGCATTCTAAGGAATACCCTTTAGAAAAGAATAAGCTAAAACATGAAGGAAGAATGAGCACACAAATGAGAAGGAAGTAGTAGGGTGTAGACACAGAAACGAAAGGGAGGAGGCACAATGCGTCCTGGAGAAACAAAGATGAGCTAGGGCTGCCTACAAGAGGAGAAAGGGAGAAGACAGAGCTTAGAGGGTTGGTTCAATCAGCCCTGAAGAACTGATTTAAAAGCTGGACATTACTTATCCAACAGTGGTTCAAACCTGGCTACATATTGGCATCACCAGTGAAGCTTCTCAAATGCAAATTCCTAAGCTCCACTGCAAACCAACTAAACCAAATGATGCTGATATAACTAGTCACCTGATGTGCATCTGGGACCTTGTGCTATAGGTAGTGGCGCATCCCATTAGGAGCAGAGTTCACCCAAGATTAATCTGGAAGAGATGGGGAGAAAGGCTGGAGGAGCACATGAACCAGCTGTACAGACGGCATAGCAGCCACAGGGTGGTAAATGACAAAATAAGAAAGCAATGGTTATGAAGCAAGTTAGAGTAAGGATTTTATAATTAGTTGCTAAAGATTTAGGCGATCACATTTAAATGGGAGAGGGGGGCCATATAATGTCTATTTGGTGACTTCATTACAAAGACAGCCAATAAATAGGTCAAATCTGAACCCAGGGAGATTCGCATGAATCATGCAATCTCCTACCACCTTGTCTTCAGGAGTTCAGCTTGAATCTTCCATGTTTATCCCACAAAGAACATAACTTTCATACCAACATTCTTCCAACCTTAGTCAGCATTCAGGAATGCTGTCCACCAAGTATGGAATCACCAGCATTACTCACTGCAATTTATCCCTGTATTAAATGGAATCACATTTATACCCAAGAGATTAAAATGTATCATATTCCTTTCTGTACCACTCAGTGCCCTGGATTCCTGTGCATGGAGCCTCAATCTTGCTCCCCACCACTGGGCACTCCCAGTAAGATGATATTATTAGGAACCTACATCTCTGAGCCACTTCATAAGGATGCAAAGATAAATTAAGCAATATTCCTGGAGTTTGTATTCTAAAGTCCCATCCGTCAGCTATTGTATATCAATTATCAACTAATTAGTAGAGAGTGCTCATGCTGACCCCTCTGTTCTCTCTTGTAATGATTTGCCAAGTTAACTGAAAGCTGCTCTGCTCCATAGAGACTCTTAGTATAGCAAGAGTGTTAAATAAAGTTCACCAACAATTAGCCTGGAAAACCAAAGAGGAAATGTAAGCACATTTTACTGCTTCTCCCTCGACAAATTTTCTAGCAATCCCAGGGGAAGTAAGCAGATACATTTGTTAACTAAGCAAACAAGTACTCTGAAAAACTGAAACACCAGCAGAGGCACAACTTAGTAATTTATTGCTCACAGATCAGGTATTTGTTTATTGTGTCCCTGCTCTGTGCTACACTATATACTCTAGGGATTGTGGACACACAGATGAGTCAAATCATTCTTGCCTACCATCTAATTTAATAGGCTTAGATCAAGCCTCATCTGGTGGACACATCTGTGAAAATATATAAAAGTGGAATTATTATACTTACTGTGGAAAAAGAGGACTTCCACAAATATAAGAAAGAATGAATGGAAGGGAGGGAGAACGCATATTGTCATGGGAGAAAACTGCCTCAGTTTCCCAAAGACACATTTACTGGGTGTTAGGCTTGGTCCTAGGCCGTACAGCTAGCCCTTGGTCAAAGATCTTACAACCAATTGGAGAGAGTGTTAACTAACACAGGAAACAATTGGCAAACACCTAATCTTAAATTGAGTTGCTTCACTGCTGAGTACAAAAAGAGCTCAAATGAGGAAAAGATCTGAATACACTGGAGGAGGCTTAGTAGAGGAGTGAGACTTCATCTGAGCCTTTTAATGGCAGGAGGAGAGGGGGCAATATGAAGAGTTGGATGGCCAAAATGAAGTGAGGTGCATGTGCTGAGGAAGTATTATGGAGGCAGCATGGGGGAAGCCGTAAAGAATGAGACACTAGGGCCAGAATAGCTTCCCTTACCAGCTGTGTGACCTTGGGCAAATGCCTTAAGCTCTCTGTGCCTCTATTTCCTTGTCTGGGAAATGGGGATGATAATTGTTCCCACCTTCATAAGGCTGTTTGGAGTATGAAATAAGTCACGTATGTAGACCACTTACAACAGTTTCCAGCACACAGTAAGTACTCTATAAGCTGTAGGCATTCATATTCTTACTAAGATGTTATCAGATTGCACACAACCTCCAAAACCAGGCACCCCAAAGAGCTACAGTAGACTTGCAAGCATGGGTATGTTGTAAGGAGGGAGCAAGAAGATAACAGTCTATTTCCAGTACATTTAGAAGCAGAGCAAAGGCTGAAGGCAGGAAACCAAGCTAGTAAGATGTTGCCATAATCTCAGGGTGAGACCAGGCTGGGAAGAGCAAACGGAGCAAACAGGGTAAAGCCCAACTTATCTTATTAAGAAAACAAGTAAGATGGTTGCTGAAGTGCCTTTAAGGAATACTAGATTCAGAACCTTTCTTCCATAAATCAAGGTTGTATATCTCTCAACCTGCTTTTTCCCCTGCCCCAAGCCAAACAAAAGCAGAGGCTGGGTGAGAAATGGCAAAGCTGCCTCTGGGTGAGACCCCTCACTGTACGGAGCAATGACTGGTATCCCCCAGACAGCAAGTGCTCACCAAATATCTGTTGGATGAATAGGTAATGAATACAACTTTTAAGAACAATTCATAAGTCAAGTACAGTTCAAGGCCACGAATCAAATTGAGCAGTTCCTCTGAAATGTGTGTAAGTCATGATGCTAAAGAAGACTGAGGTCCCTGGTGGACACAACTGTTGATATGTCTCTAAATTACTCAACAGACAGAAATATTACTCGTTCGCCCCCTCTGTCCATATTCCCTCCTGTTACATACAGATACACACAAACACATTCAGTGTGAAGGGAGGGTAGTCTAAGCCAGCAGTCCCCAACCTTTTTGGCCCCAGGGACTGGTTTCATGGTTCGTGGTTTCATGGAAAGCATGGAAGGGGTGGGCACGGTTGGGTGGGGTTCAGGATGAAACTGTTCCACCTCAGATCATCAGGCATTATAATTAGATTCTCGTAAGGAGCACGCAACCTAGATCCCTCACTTGCACAGTTCACTATGGGGTTTCTGCCTCTATGAGAATCTAATCCCACTGCTGATCTGACACGAGGCGAAGCTTGGGCTGTAATGCCCACTGCTCACCTGCTGTTGTGTGGCCTGGTTCCTAACAGGCCACTGACCCATACAGGTCCACGGCCAGGCAGTTGGGGACCCCTGGTCTAAGCTACTCAATATAAATCAATGGGACTTTTTTTTCAGTATGTAAGAGCTGGTTCAGAGGCAAAATCGCAGCCAATTCTTCATATTAGATATAACTTCTTAGCCTGTAAAAGGCATATCTTACATAGTCGTCATAGCCGCCAGACCAGGTAGATCGCTTGAGCTCTGGAGTGTGAGACCAGCCTGGACAACATGGCGAAACGCTGTCTCCACAAAAAATACAAAAATTAGCCAGGCATGGTGGCGCGTGCCTATAATCCCAGCTACTTGTGGGGCTAAGGTGGGAAAATTGCTTGAACCTGGGAGGTCAAGGCTGCAGTGAGCCAGGATGGCACCACGGCACTCCAGCCTGGGTGACAAAGTGAGACCCTGTCCCCAAAAAACAAAAACAAAACAGAACAAAAAAAGCCACCAGACTACCTTTGTTTTTCCCTAAGCAGTAATTTCCCATTACTGTCCAAAAAGACACATTCTCTATCATAAATTGTTTCTGCTCCATATTCTGCATGGGCTTGCAAGTCCAGATGGGATGCCCAGAAGCCTCAGACCCAGAGGGAAGGAAAATAGTAATGAAGATTACATTATTTTGCATTAAAATGAAGTCACCCCTATTTCCAAGAAATGGAAAGTACCCAGCTTCCTCCCAGAAGTCCCCCAGAGCTGCTCAACTATCTCATAGGCCAGATACCCTTTCCTCCTCTAGACTGTAATTGTTAACTCTGAGCTCCAAAGCCCATTCAGCAGCTCATGTTTATGGCAAGAAAATTCAGCGAGCTATTATTTGTATTTTGTGCTCCTTCGTCTCAAGAGAGGTTATTATAAAAGGGCCAAGAGTAGACACTGTTTGAATTTATCTTTTTTTTTTTTTGAGACGGAGTTTTGCTCTTATTGCCCAGATTGGAGTGCAGTGGCACAATCTCAGCTCACTGCAACCTCCGCCTCCTGGGTTCAAGCGATTCTCCTGCCTCAGCCTCCTGAGTAGCTGGGATTATCGGCGCGTGCCACCACGCTCAGCTAATTTTTTGTATTTTTAGTAGAGACGGGGTTTCATCATGTTGGACAGGCTGGTCTCGAACTCCTCACCTCAGGTGATCCACCCTCCTCGTCCTCCCAAAGTTCAGAGATTATAGGTGTGAGCCACCGTGCCTGGCCAAATTCATCCTCTCTCACAGTCTTGTGTAGAAATCTAAATTCACTGAGATTATTCCAGGTGCTCTGAAGGTGGCAGAGCCTTCTGAAAGAGGATAGTGCCTCTAGGAGGGAGACAGAAGGAGAGAGAGAGGTGGGATTGCCCAAAGTCTGGGAAGAACAACAGTTTGATGGTCCCTGAGTAGCAAGACAGCTCCCAAGGAAGGCAGTGGGGGTAAAAGGTATGGCTGCCTGGCCAAAATACAAAGGCCAGACCTTCGGGCCTGGGCTCCCAGCTCCAGCAAAACCTCCTGTGTCCAAGCAATGCACAGAGCAGCAGACTCCTAGAGGCTATGTGGGGCTTGGTCAAAGGGCATCTCAGCAGTAACCTGAAGAACCAAGAACACAGAAAAGCTCCTGGAATGTTCTGCTCTCTACAAACACCCTGGGATTCTGTGTCACCTTGGTAGTGTATCAGGCCACCCCAACTAGCAATAACTGAGATTAAATTTCCCACTAATGAGTAAGATGGAATCTTGGCATCTGATTTGTTGTGATTTAAAGGAAATAATTTAAACAACCATTTCTTGTATACATAAATTGGTAGAATAAGTCATACTACAGATTTGCTGAAAATTGGAGAGGTAGGAAGGCTGAAATATCTACCTTTTGGCTCAGAAAATTTGTCATTGTATAAAATCACATAACTTTAACTAAAATACCAAAATATAAAAATACAATTTTAACATCACAAATCTCAACACACAGGCAATCTGGCTGAGGCCTACATAATGTAATTCCCTTCTGTTTCTTTTATTTAATGCTATTTTTTAACTTATAAGAGAACTAGAGTAATGTAAGCATTTCTGTAAACATGATTGGAACATGAGTTAGTATCGAAGTAAATGTGACTTTCATCTCTGCACCTTGTAGATGCGAATCCAGACACGGTACCAGCAATAACTCCCAACTAATCATATCTGAAATTAGGTCAAAAAATGAGGAAGAACAGAGTAGGTGCTCACTTACAACCCAAATTCTTTCCCATCAAAATGAAAAAGCAACCATAATACATATTGATGCCAGTATGAAAAAATCTAAATTAAGAGTTGTGCTTATGTTCTCCCTAAAATAATACTATTTTAAAAGTAGCAGTATTTATCTGAATTTGAATGCTAAAGCTGAGAATAAACATGAAGAAAAAGTTAAATGTTAATCAAGTTGATAGCTTATTCCCTGAATAATATACAAAGTCTTAGAAGAGAGTAAATAACACATAATAAACAACATAAGATTCTATGGTTTTCAATGTTAATGAGAAGGAGAGAAACAAAATCCTTTCCTAATTATCAAAGAGTCAATTAAGTAGAGGCCTTAGCTTGGGGGTTAGAGTGCCTCCTCATTCAACTGTTCCAGGTGAATCAAATTATAAACTCTGCCAGGATGTGGTCTCCTGTGTTCTAAACATTCTGTAGCAAAACAAAAATAACAAAACTACAGGCAGAAATCTCACTTTGATCTTCTTATACAATGAGTGGAATACAAACCTTGAAACAAATCCAGTTTGAAATAAAATATTATAATAAATCCCCAAAAGTCATCGGGTAATATTAGCACCTTACAATGGGCAGAAAAATTATGAAGAGATCTCCAAAGTATTTCCAATAAGGAAGACTGTTAGACATTAATCTCAACAAGCTCATACTAACTCCAAATTCTCAAAATGGAATCAATACAATTTCCTTCCAAACCTAACCCATCTAAGTGTATGAAATTTTCACACTTAAGGATATGCATGTTTCAGAGAAATTTTGAGAAATCAAATTATGTTTTAAGGCTGAAAGATCAGTGAGGAAATAAATCACTTTGGCCAAATTTCACAGGTATCCGCTTCCCTTTCTTCTCTCTTATAGCTGTTGGGTACTAGTTAGCCAAACCTACTCTCTGACATACTCACCTTGCAAAATATCCAGAAAAAAAGAATAAAGATATGTGTCTTTTTTCAGCTTTTACTGGAGCATAAATGACAAGCAGAAACTGTGTAAATGTAAGATGTATAATGTGATGATTTGACATACGTACACACTGTGAAACAATTACCACAATCCATAGTTAACATACCCATAACCTTACATGGTTACCTTTGCATGTGCGCACGTGTGTATTTGTGTGTGTGTGTGTGTAGTGAGAAGTTAAGATCTACTCTCTTGGCCGGGCACAGTGGCTCACACCTGTAATCCCAGCACTTTGGGAGGCTGAGGCGGGCAGATCACCCGAGGTCAGGAGTTCGAGACCAGCCTGTCCAACATGATGAAACCCTGTCTCTACTAAAAATACAAAAATTAGCCGGGCATGGTGGTGGGTGCCTGTAATCCCAGCTACTCAGGAGGCTGAGGCAGGAGAATTGCTTGAACCCAGGAGGTGGGGGTTGCAGTGAGCCGAGATTGCACCACTGCACTCCAGCCTGGGCGACAGAGCAAGACTGTCTCAAAAAAAAAAATAAAAACAAAAAAAAACTACTCTCTTAATAAATTTCAGGTAAACAATACAGTATTGTCAACTATGGTCACCACATTGTGCATGAGCAATCTCCAGAACTTATTCGTCTTGCATACACTGAAACTTCGTACTCTTTGACCAATATCTCCCATTTTCCCCACCTCCCAACCCCTGACAACCACTATTCTACCCTCTGCTGCTATGAGTTCCAGCATTTTGGATTCCACACCTAAGTGAGATCAGCCAGTATTTGTCTTTCTGTAGCATCTTTTGTCTTTTTCTATCAAGCACACTGAACTATCTATGGCGAAACCATCTAAATGTTTGAAAGAGATTTTCCACCATCTTCAGAATTCTAGGATCAAGCCAGTGAGAAAGAAAAGAGAATAGACGACGTCTCCCTTCCTGTTTAAACATAGTGAGCACCTTAGTATGGAAAGATTTTCCCATTATCTTCTTTCAAAAATGTGTCAGCATGGTTTGGGGGAGGGTGGGACGACAGGGCAAGTGGGAGAGCTGTTATTGGACCTCAGGGGAGAAGGCAAGGGAACAAAGATCGAGAAACCTTGCTCCATAAATGCTGTCCTGTCATCTGACACCACAGCGCAAGGAATGCTACTAACACCTCCGTCCAAAGGAGGAAAGAATAGAGTCCGAAAGAGATCTGAAAAGAAGGCGGATAATTCAGCTCAACCGACTTGTTTTTTGACACGTAGCCTTGAAAAGAACAATTTTACCTCAGAAACTTGGCAAATACAAAGTGATATTTTTTGATAGGTTATAACATGCATTTTACTAAATGCATGAAGAGAGGGCGAGGGAAAAAAAGGCCAGGTATCTGAAGACAGGAAAGTTGTCAGGTTTCTCGTTTCTGTGTCATTTTTGTTTAGTCGGTCAAATGAAAATTCAAAACCATATAATTAGATGGTTGTTTATACATGATTAAGCATGAGCTCATTGGACTCTACATGCCAAAAAGTCAGAGATGTGGTTAAGGGCAAGAAGGAACTATTAATAAAAGGAAATAAAGCTGTAATACATTTTTCACTTATGAATAAAAATAACTCAAAGGTCTCTAGATGGAAAAAGAGAAACAAAATCAACCATGAGTAGGGGCAAGAAACCAGATAATTTTATAAATGGTTAGAATTCAATAAAACATAAGCCACTGGTATGAAAAGGCTTTTTTTCCTCCTCCATGATTCTAATCCTATTTTTTGCTTCTCGTAAACATAACTCACAATGAGAACATAACAAAACTTACCTGTATTATATTTCTTTAGAACTGTTCTGGGAAATATTTAAGCAAGAACATGCTGTTTATTTACAAGAGTTACTTGTTCTTCATAACTGTCTTCACCAGTAATCCTCTCCGGAAAAACCAATAGCTGTCAGCTCCCTTGGAAAAGGCAGTGTCCTTTTGTTTTTAACAACTGCAGAATTTTCTTCCCATAGCGAAGTGAGCCCATTGAAAGCAAGGCTTAACTGACCATAACCTTCATAAAGGTAAGGCAGATGCTCCCAGATCCCCCACAGGATCTGTGATTTTAGACTTGGGCTCTGAAAACTGGTGAATCAACTGCTCATAGACCAAACACCACACTATGGATGAGGTCAGTGGGCAAGTCTTTGGGATGGCAGAGAAAATAAACTGATCCAGGATCAGCCTACTTACTCCTTGTTAGGTAAGGTTTTTAAGCCAATACTACAACGTCCCACTACTGGGAAAATACATCAATACAGGGTACCTCTGGAGAACACGCTGGTAAATGAAAAACTACACCCAAAGGTGGTTCAATTGTGTGTGTTATTTTCTATAAGCAAACATATCTTTAGGTTGCCAAGGCTAGTACCTTTTGCACACAACTGCTGTGATACATATAGTACAACCAATTGATTGGAACAACATGATCTAAAACCAAAAATGACCAAAGCCCACAGGATATCGCAACACACAGTTCTTAAGAATGAGGCTAAAATGAATCTAATAACATTCAAAAAGCCCATAATGCCTAAGAGGCATGAACACCGACTTTTACAGCCCGACTCTGAGAGCAGTCTCCAAGTCACATCAGTGCCCTCTGTCAGAGGGACCTAACATCTCAAACTTCCCTCTCTTTCCTCTCCCTTCCTCCCCTTCTCTTCCTGCCAGCTTCCCTCCTCCCTTTGTTCCCCCTCCCTCCCTCACTTTCTCCCTTTCTCTCCCTCTCTCTCCTTTAGTATCAGCCAGTTCTGACTCCCAGAGAGAGTAATCTTCTCTGGGAAGTGCATACCCGCTCAGTAGAATTTAAACAATATACTTCATTTAAGCCTGTATGATAAACTACAAAATATAGAAATTCCTAAAAAGGTCATTTCCAAGAAACTAACATGACAAAAAAGTACAAATCTGAAAAGGCATGGACAATTGAGACAAAGCACAACATTCATAACTAATTTGGCAATTTTAACCTATAAAACCTATATATTATCTACATGTCTTACATGAGATAGGTACTTTGTTCTAAAGATACTTTTTAATTATTGACCTGATTTTGTCAAATTCAGTTCTTAACATATTCATTTAGTGCAAGAAGCTACCCAAAGCTGGGAGGAAAGTGCACTTTCATGAAACAAAGTCTTTATGCACCAGAACTTTATGGATTTGTGTCTTTAATGTTGAAGGAAGGGGGGACACCTTACTAACTTAATAAATATCGATTATTTGAAACCGTTGAATATCTACTATAGTTCTAGATAAGAAATTTGATAATTTATTCCTAAACAATGTGTGGCATGTAACTCAAAACTATTTTTCATCAATAATTAGTATTAATAATTAACAAGGGTAAACAACAAAAATACCTTTTGGAAATATTTCAACTTGGCCCTTTCCTCATTCCACAGGCTGCCTATTGCCAGTCTTTACCCTCAATTTAGGGTTAATGACTAAACTGTCCTCATCTCTGACATGCAACACTACTCAGCAGCAATCTTCCCAAGTATGTGCTCACAAATACATAAGATTGAAAAGAATAAAAGTCTTATCAAAGTCACTGGAATCTGGCGAACTGATTTTTAAATTAGCAACTGCAGTTACGATCCACTCAGCAGTGAATTAGATTTTTCAGCAGTAGGGACAGAACCCTGAATAAACTTCATCTCAAACGCCTATTCTCCATCCTAAATATGCAATTTATGTCTTTAATGCAAGAATTAGCCTACTAATAAAAATTAAACAGTTCTCTAGATAAACACAGCAAAGAGGAAGGATGCTACAAGAGCTATTCATTTAAAACAGGCCAGAACCAATGTACTGGATTTTATTTGACACTCATTCTGAAGAGTATTACGTTCGACTTTTAAAAACTATCTTGCTATTATTTCTCAATTTGATTGTCCCAAAGCATCTTTAGAGTCAAATGCACTAGATCTTATACCAAATTAAAGGCATTTCACCGTATGCCTCTAATTTTCTAGCCACCCTGACCTAGCACCTGACATTTAGAAATTTAAGCCCACTGCAATTAATCTCCTCTGGCCATTCATTTCTTCCCCAAATTGAACATTATGCAGGCAATATCCTAAGAAGTTCTGAAAGTTCAACGTCATACTATATTTTAATTTCTTACAGCAAATACAAATTCTAAAATTCCTAGTCCTCTTCCTTCACGTACCTCCATTCTATTATTGGAATTTCAATAATGGAATTTCAATTTGGAATTTCTTAACAAATTTCTTACCATTATTCTTCCTGAAAAATGATCAAAATCATCAGCAAAAGCATCTCATGCTTAAATTATTCATGTTCTCAGGCTGTTTGGCCACTGACATTTTAAAGTGTTAGAAGTAAGAAGTCCTTGCACTGCGGGGCTTCCATATGCAGTGTCTGCTTGTGTACCTGTGTGGGTATAGATTGTTTATATCTTGCCCTTGGCTGGGGGCCTCAGACAGCTGTGCAGAGTACTTGGCATACATTTCCAGGGCTACTTGCTCTTTGGTTTTATAAAATGCAGGCAGCAGGAACATTCAGGAACTGCCAGGACATTCAGCAAAGGCTGGAGTGCAGAGAGGAAAGCATCTGACAAATGCAGAGTAAGAAACAATGACTCCCTTCAAGGGGAACTGCTGGTGAAGTCAGCCAGCGCTGGCCAGCGCGAACAATACTTGGGCAGGTCATTAACTTGCCTGGGTCAGAGCAGGTGGGTGAACTCACCCACCCACCTTTCTGGAAGCAAAGTTTCACTTGCTGAGTTCATACCAAAAAAAAAAAAAAAATTATAACATTCTAATGGCTAAACTAGGGATGTGTCTGAAAATAGCTAACTCTGCAAACCCTGCAGAAGACATCCAGGGAATTCACAAAGGTAAGTCAACTTACTGTCGGCTGTTTCATTTTGCACACATCTCTATAATAGCTACGTATGTATTATGTTGAAAATAAGCAAACACATTAGCAAACCAGGATTTTTTGAAGTGAGGTGGTTACCACTGTATTATGTTTCTCCCTCTCCTTTTTTTTCTTTTGCATAGGAAAGAGTAAGTTACTGGTTAACTACACAAAGGAGTTAACATTTAACTTGAACACCAGGAATGCTTGAGCTCTTAATCCCTCCCCCCTTTTTCTTATTATAGCAAAAATAGCTTCAGGAAAACTCTTACTAATTATTGCTGATTCTAGATGAGATCTGGCTACATCGGTTTCCTTGCTACACTCACAGGAGTTTGATTTCAGCCTGAATTCACCACTATGGTTCTTTCAGACATACTCCACTCCAGGCAGCCTGAAATCCCTGGTCACCACATCCCCACGTCCCCATACTCTCCATATTTCCATCCTCAAAGATCAGCTCAAATGCTACCTCCTCCTTGAAAGAAACCTTCCATATTCCTTCCTCCAATGCCAGGTTTACAGTGCTCTATTCCTCCTCTAAACTCCCACATAGTTATTCATTTGTCTTTTGTGCTGTGGATCAATTCTACCTCATGTATCTATATCTCACCTTTCCCCCTAAACTGGCAGGCCCATGAGGACAGGGACTGTACCTAATCCACCTGGACCCCTACCCATCACCCCAGAATATTAGGCCTCAGCTTCCTAATGCCTATGAACAGGTAATGCCCACACCATACCTGTAGCAAGTTTTAGTAAAGAACTTCTTTGCACAGGTAGGTGGAGAGAGGGCTACAAGGAGGGTGGGATTGTATAATTTAAAATAAGGGGAAAAATAAAAATAAAATAAACAGAGAAATTGCTGAGAAGCCTGGAGTGGGGGTAACGTGGCCAGAGCTGCCACTTTGTTGTCCTGGCCATTCCTAACCCATTCTCCTCTCTCCTCCACAGGCTGACTCCACACCTCACTGCACACAAAGCTCGTCCCTATCAACAGAACCTTTTCCAAACTGTTTGACTTCTCACCTTTCCCATGAAGCCCTCCGTGGAAACAAGATTATAACAAACCTCTGTCTCCTCTCCAAATACTCCAAAGGAGGTGCAGAGTTTACCTAGCTATCAACATGGTGATCATGCTTCCTCACCAAGAACTTGTACTATTACAGCTGCTACTACTACTGCTACTAAGAATAATAATGATAGTGATTCATCTATACATTAAAAATGAAGTGAAAGTTAAAGTAAGCTTAATGGAAGGCTTACTTGGTGCCAGAGGAGGATGCCTAGCTCTATTCCCAGATTAACTCATTTAGCTCCCACAACAACCTTGATTATTACCATCCCATTTCACAGGGGAGGAAAACTAAGGCTTGAAGACCATATTAACCTGCTAAGAGTGAGTATTCAAACCCCAGCTAGCCCAACTCAAAAAACACACACAGATGGCTATGAGTTCATTCATATTCCCTTAACCATCACCTCCCACATAACTGGACAAATACTCCTAGATGGAGAGAACACAGGACAATTGTCATTCTTCTCCCAAAGCTGGAACTCACACTCACGCGGAGCCTCCAACCTCTTGGTTTCCATATATAAGCAATAGTCAGGCATGACACCTTAATTTATTCTGTGTAGGTACCATAAATGGTGTCAGGCATGCAAGTACAAATAGATGACACTAGTCTAACCTTTAAAGCAGTGGTTAAGTGTCTATTACATAACCCCTTTTACTTTCAGGAATTTTTGATGCATAACATGAAATTCATTTGTTATCTCACTCATTCAGGAGTTAAAAACTGCATGGTAGGAGCAGGTGAAACAGAGATCAAGAGAATCACAGCACAAAATAATGTCTGGTAAAATAAGGTAGGATAAAAAAGCTACTGAGACACAGAGAAGGAGATGACGATGATGATAATGATGGTGATATTTAGAAACAAGATATGAAGTATCTTATCTGCACTTGCATATATCTTACTACAAAAGGGATTTACTAACTTTTTATTCACGAAGAGTCTTGAATGCGCACAGTTCATACGGATATATGTTAGGAATATAAGAACATAATGCACGTGCGGGTGCACGCATGCACACATAAACACACACACACAGATGAGCACAAAGATAATTTCACAGTGAATCTGGTACAATAAAAGGTAAAGAAGAGCTTCCCCAGAGAAGCAACCTCCCATACAGACCCAAAGCTTTTATAGGGCCCCTTTCTACTAGAAACCAACCTACCTTAAAAACAACAAAAATAAAGCTGAAAGGGGGTCTTTTCTAAAATTCTGCCTCAGTAGCCCAAACTTTGATCTTACACAACTGGACTGACCTAAAAGCAGAGTCCAACCAGCCACTGACTGTCCTCTGCTTTTACTAACCAATAAAAATATTCACATAAGGAGGAGGAAAACGTAAATTTGTAGGTAGATGGGGCCAGCCATATGGAGGCAAGAGGAATCTATGCCAGGGCAAAGTCGCAGGCCAGGAGGCCAAGTTCAGTCTGTGGCAAGCTCAGCCAAATCACCACATTCAGCCTGGTAAGATCACATACCATCTAGCACACAGCCTGGCACAAACCAAATGCTCAGAAAATATCGATTCCTCTTCCCATCTGCAAATCACATCAGAAAACCTTTACTCTCTCATATCTTAAAAGACTATCTTTAAACCAGAATAGATGATGAAACAATTTCAAGGGTTTCCCTCATAAGAAAAAGATGTATCTCTGCCCCCACCATGCTTTGAATTCATAGATTTAGATGCCAAGAAGGAAGATTAGAAATCATGTGTCCAACCTCCTTATTTTATAAATTGTAAAATTCAAGTCCAGAGATGTAAAGTGACTTTCACCCGGTCACACAGCTAGTTAATGGCAGCATCAGGACAAAAATCCAAGTACTTGGGCACCCAACTAAACCCACTTTCTAATGTATCCTACTACTTTTTTGGGGCTGTCAGTTATAAATGGTGCTTAATGATGCAAATACCTCTGAGGCAGTTAAAAATGTCTTTTGCCTTCAAAATAGAGTGAAGATGGCAGATGATCGACTCCTACACAATGAGCATTGGGTTGGGGACAGGAGCGTCCATGAAGAGATGAAGAGCTGAAGGAAAAAAAGGGGTAAGCACAGAGGAGGAGATCAGGATGAAAAGCGACATAGAGATGCCTACTTAACAACTGTGCCTAGAGATCGACTCTGTTTCAGTCCACAGGTTGAATCTGAAAACGCCACCAGAGACTTCTCTCTTCCAAGTGTCTTTGAGCCTAGAAGATACAAAAGCCTGCATTCTCCCAGATCAGACAAAATGTATGACTCTTCAGGAGAAAAAAGAAATCAGATTGTTACATTTTTAAAAAGAGGTTCAGTTTGAGTTTGCCTCTATCTCCTCAAACTATATGTTTTAGCAGAAACACAGCTAAACCACAGGTTTTATTAGAACTAGTGCCTGCTTATTCATCCACCAAATGTAAATCTGCCACTGAACCAACATTCAGACTGCTCAGGGAGAGCAAGCACCTTGCTTAGAAAGGGGGAAAGTCTAATTTAAGCATATGGAACTTGACAGCATAATTTTTTTAAAGATTCTCTTCTCAAAGAAAGTTTACAAGCAGTAAGTGGGGCTCTAAGGCTATTATTTCTTGGCAAAATAACTGCAGAACAATTGTCCAGTTCACAGTTTTGCACTGAGGGGATTTCTTTGGATTGTGGCCTTTCTTCATCTTTGTTCTAAGGAAAAAATCTGCCTTCAGGAGTCCTAAACAATGAAAGCGCTCTTCATTATGTCTATGAGTTTGGATAGAGTCCTGTGGCACAGAGACCATGCCTGGTAATGAAGCATAATAATCATCTGTTCCTAGTTAAACATACTCATACCTTCCACAGCAGGAGAGAACCTTTGGAAGGCGACAGAATGAAGGGCATTTGAGGTTGAGACCCTCAGTCCTCCTTGGGCTCAACTCTTACCCAAAGGACTCTCATAAAAAAGAATGAGAAGACATAAAAACATCACGTAAAATTCAATGTTATTCAACAAATATTTATGGGATCTCCAGTTTGCACAGGTCTTGTATGAAAAAACCAGAACCTCAAACCCTCCCAGTCTCATATCTCACCTAGACAACAAACAAGTAACACAATATTTTTCTACGGCCATTCAAACCTCTATTAGTTGCCACTTCAGCAGCTGATGAAAACTCTGCTTCCTCCAACACCCTTCAACCATAAAGGATGTGTGAGCCTCAGGAAGGAACCAAAGGAAGAACTTTCTAGAAATCAGAAGTGACTGGGAACCTTTGTGAGGCAGGGTTCTTGTTCCTGGAAGAATACACGACGGGGTTGCCAGGATATTGCAGAGAATGTAGGAGGAGGGGAATGGAAGAGAAAAATCCCTAAGGACATTCCCAACTCTATAACATCTCAAAGGCTTTAAACACAATAACAAGGTTTACATTTTAATGTAGATTATGAGGATTTTCACAGCCTTCATCCAAAGGCTATTGTTTGGGCTACTTTCCATTCTAGGAGCCTACACAAATTATGTGACATGAAGCAGAGTATTTAACTTCTCTAGGCCTCAGATTTATCACCACTAAAATGCAGGTGAGTAATTAAATAATCTCTCAAATCCTTTCCAACCCATTTTCTGAGTAAACGTGGTGTTCACTCTCTCCTTTTCACAAAGTTAAATTTCAGAAATTCTTTCTACCTATAAAATTCAACAGAATCCACTAAAAATTGTTATAAACGAAAATTCAATAAGGTGACAAGACGCAATGTAAATTTTACAAAAGCAATAGGTTTCTTATATACCATCAATTATAAGTTTTAAAATATAATGAAAAAAAGAATTAAAAATTCTTAAGAATGGCATGTAATATGAAGAAAACTACCTGTTTCTGAAGACCTAAATAAACATAGATATGTAAATGTTTCTGGAGGAGAAAGCAACATATAATAAGTATGTTCATTCTTCCTAACTTTCTTATAGGTTGAATGCAGTGCTTCTTAGCCTCTGCATTACTGGCATTTTGTGTTCCATAGTTTTTTGTTGCAAGAGCAGGAGTGCTCTGTGCATTGTAGGATGCTGAGCAGCATCTCTAGCCTCTTACCCACTAGATGCCAGTAGCACCCCTCGTGGTGACAACCAAAATTAAACTCTGTCTAGACATTGCCAAATGTCCCCAAGGAGCAATATCATGCAGAGAGAAAACCACTGAATTAATGCAAAGTCCTAATGGGCCTTTCCTTATTCACTACCTTGACAATGAATTCTAACTTGGAAGAATAAAATAGTACTAATAATCAAAAATATGAAAATAAAAATTGTGGGCTGTGCATGGTGGCTCACACCTGTAATCCCAGCACTTTGGGAGGCTGAGGCGGGCAGATCATTTGAGGTCAGGAGTTCAAGACCAGCCTGGTCAACATGTTGAAACCCTGTCTCCACTAAAAATACAAAAATTAGCCAGGTGTGCTTGTGCACTCCTGTAATACCAGCTACTTAGGAGGCTGAGGAAGGAGAATCACTTCAGCCCAGGAGGCAGAGGTTGCAGTGAGCTGAGATCACACCACTACACTCCAGCCTGGGCAACACAGTGAGACTCTGTCTCAAAATATATATATATTGTGGAACACAGAAGGAAGACTAATTAAACTAAATAAAGAAAGAGAACAGAAGTATAAAATCATGACCTCAAATATATAGTAAAGTTTGCATATTATTGCTTTACAAATGAGTGGATGAAAAGAGATCAATAAATGGTAGTGGGTCAACAGTTTATTATAGTTTGGAAAGAAAAATCAAAGTTAAATGCTTATTCACATGACTTGTATACATGTTCTGATTATCTACTGCTACATAGCAAACCACTCAACAACTTAGCATCCTTAAAACAACAATTTATTATTATCTCTTGTGGTTCTAGGGGTTGACTGGGCCCATCAGGATGCTTCTCATTTGGGGTCTCTCATGCACTGCAGTCACATGTCACCTAGGACAGCAGTCATCTGAAGGGTGGGCTGGATGGACATCTAAGTGGCACACTCCCGTGCTGCCAGGTGATGCTGGCTATCAGCTAGGAGCTACGCTGAGGCTGTCAATAAGAACACCAACACATGGCCTCTGCACATGACTTGAGCTTCCCACAGCATGGTGGCTGGTTTCCGAGAGGCAGAAAGAGGGGGCTTTCAGGCCATTTAGAAACATGCCTCCAACAGATGTAGCATCACTTCTACTGTATGTAATTGGCCCAAACAGTCTTGGAACCCATGCAAATTCAAGGGGGTAGAGAAATAGACTCCATCTCTTGACATAAGAGTGGGAGCGTCACATCACAAAAGAGAATATAGAATGGGAGCTATGGTTTTAGTCATCATTGGAAAAGACAATCAGCCATAATATGCCACAAGAAATTCCAGGGAAATAAAGAGATAAATATTAAAATAAAATGTAAAACAACTAAAAGAAAATGTATTTGAATTTTTTACTTCATTTTAGGATGCAGAAGGCAAAGATAAACAGATATAACTACAAAAATATTTTAGCTCAAAAAGCACCACAAACAAAATGAAAAAGCAAACAAAAGACCAGGAAACATATTAACATTCTATATCACAAAGAGTTAAAGACTTACATAAACAGTCCTTGCGAATCAATGATAAACATTCATGTAGGGGGAAAAACAAAGGGCCTAACCAATTCACAAAATAATCTAGTAGATAAGACATAAAATGAACACAATATTCTGCCAGTAGATTGAGTTGAGAGTGTAATATGTTATATAAACCTTTGGGGAAGCAACTTGGTAACACAGTCAGAGGTATTTAAAATGTTCATCTGACCAAATAATCTACCCTATGGACATATTTAGACATTTAGACCATCATTTTTAAAGATATTTGGTACAACGTAAGTTCAGTAAAAAAGAAAGCAAACTTGACTAAACAAATTATAGTACACTTTCCGTATACATAAAAAATGTCTGCTGCACTTAAAAATTATATTTTCAAAGAATACTGAACTACATGGGGAGTTTGTAACACAATGTGGAAAAAGAGACCATGAAACTTTATTTAGAATAAGGCACAAGACACATGCATGTATTTGCTTACTAAAATATTAACAAATGATATCTGCATCTACAAAGTACTTGTAGATAAGTTTCTTTTATTCTTTTTTCGGTATTTAAAAAATGTTCTGCAATAAACATACATAATTTTTCTACACTGAAAAAATAATGCTCTGAAGAAAAAAATACTAGTGTTAATGTGTAAAACACTAAAAAGGTCACGTTACTGGATCACTGCCAAAAGATTTTTAAAAAGCAAGTTAAAAAGCAAGAGAATAAGCATGATTGTGCAGCAAATGACATCAGCAGTGGATTACACCTGGAACCACTGACCCATTACATGGCGCATTTTGTCCATAATCAAGTAACTTTCCCAAGCTCGTGACCTGGCCGTGGCGTAGATTCTTAGGCAGTTGTGCGGTGTGACTGCTTTCTAAACTTTTCTCTTACCCTTTTCAATATTTAGCGTATTTGTTTTCTTTGCTGAACTCAAAACGTTTGTGCCTTCATAGGCCTTTTAAATGATGAAATATTTAGCAATAATTTGCACTCACACATAGGACATTAGTCACCGGTTATCTTTTAACCAAAAGCCCTCCTGAATTTCAGAGAGTCCGAGCCAGGTACAGTGTCTACTTCTCCTTCAAATGGAGAACCCATAAGTCGAGCAACTCCCCAGGCCCACAGTTCTCCACTTAAGTGTGCATCAGAATTTCACGGACGGCTGTACAAGCATAGATTGCTAGGCCCATCCCAGAGTTTCTGATTCAATGGGTGTACGGTGGGACCTGAGATTTTGCATTTCTAACAAGTTCCTGGGTGATGCTGATACTGATGCTGCAGGTCCTCAGGCCCCTCTGCTGTGGGAACCACTGCTCAAGATCATAGGAACACCTAAGCATCTTCCCACTACATGCTACTGCTATTCATTTATCCCCTATTATTCACATTAACAATATATTATTTGGTATCTGTTAACAAATTTAATCATCCATAACCCAAATAAATCCCTGAACTCCTCATACCAGTTTCAGGTGGAGAAGTACATTCAAACCCCAAGTCCAGCAATGGATTAAAAAAAAAAATCACCTCTTGTGTGGCCATTCCTCTTGATTGACAACTCTTATACCCTTGAGCAGCCCTGAAGCCTTCCTTCACTCTTCCATTCTCTCACATGACAAAACAAACTCTCCTCACATTCACATAGAAATAAGGTTATTCCCTCCCTTCTTCCTCCATTATCTTAATTCTTTAATGCAGTCTCTGCCCTTTCCTACACGAATTTCTCTACTTCCTTTCCTCTCCTTCCCTTACCGATTAGCTGATTAAACCTCAGGAGAGAAGCACTAAATCACACAAGTTTTTGTCCCTGTACACTTCATACATTCATCCTCCTTATCCACCCAATACACACTTAGCAGGTGCCAGCTGTATAACAATTCCTGTGTTAAGTATTACAGACAGAATGTGGAAACAAAGGTGGGATCATCTAGAGGTAAGTAGGGCACAGAGATGCTTCAAGGACAAAGTGTATTTGGTCTGAATGGTGAATTCAGGTCTAAATTTTATATTTCCCAAAACCCTTCAACCCACTGGAAGATAAAATATCTTCTTCAGAGTTTCATTCCTTTGGTTTCACCCCATTAAAATTTACATATCCTTGTGAAGGGTAGCCCTTTAAGGGTCATTATGCTTAAGCGTCAGTAAGTTTCATGCCCTTATCTGATGAGGAGGACCCTGGATATGCTGAAGAACAGAAACAACCCTTAAGGAACAAAAGGGTATATGATAAGAGTGTCTCTGAAAAAAAAATGCCCTCTCCCAGCTTAGCTTGCAGTGGTTCTCAAAGTGTGGTACCTGGACCAACAGCATCAGCATCATCCTGGAGCTTGTCAGAAATGCAAAGTTTCTGTCCTCACTCCATATCTACCGAATCAGAAACCTGGGGGTAGGGTCAACCCATTGGCATTTTCAACACTTACATTTGAAAAGCACGGCTCTAACATCTGTCACAGTCCCTGTAACGCTTCCATTAACATATATGATTACTACAGGTCCTAATAATTTGTCAAACTCCTTCATTAGTGTATGAATATTATTTTCAGAAAGGTGCGTGCGGTAATTATAAGCTATTTGTTATGAGCTAGGCTCTGCAGCAATGGGGTAGAGGTAGGTGCCTGTGGCTAAGAATAAGGAGACACCAGGTGAAAGGAAGATGGCCATTGATAAAGGTCAACATTAACAGTTTTGTTAGGGTTAGTCATCTGCCTCCCAAATTGGTGTGACTTACAGTGAACACCAAAGCAGGACTGATTTTGCCTGCTTCTGAAAATTCTCCGAGCTCTCAACAGGGCACGATTTTGCATGTAGTTGAAAAAGGCCCACATGAATCCCTGTTGCACAATGAAATGTTCATCTCATGTTATTTAGCATCCTTGGTCTCTCTTTGGGGTGGGGAGCAGAGAGGAAGGAGGAAGATGCATATTTTTAGTACCAGGGAACGATCTATCATTCAATGAAAGAGCATACATAGAGGCTTAAATCAAGTATGTGGAAATAATATGTTATTATTACTAGGCCTAACTCTGCTAAATTATAACCTATAAACCCTCAGTGCTTGACTTAAATATTCAATCCACATTTGCAGGAAATCTAAATGGTTATTTCCTCCTTTAGTGCATGCATTACAGGAGGATTTACGAGTGCTTCCACAAAGCACATATGAGGAGCATGTTATCCAAGATGTCAGTGTAACCAGGCACAATTGATAAGCACACAGTCCACATCACGTATGCATTCTGGGAGCCTTTATGTGCAGTTAATTAGTTTAGCTATTGCTTTCATGGTTCATTTAGAAACTTCATGCTTCATTAAATATCAATAAATTTTATCCTCAAAAAACCTTTTCAGTAAAAATATGATTGTCTCTTCAACTGATAATCTTGTTAACGGATGTATATATTGCAAGCATGCCTGTCAGGACCGACAAAACTCTGAATTGCCATGGTTGCAGCACCCTGAAGTAACATGCAAATTTTATTCTGTAGTTTAACACACATGCCTCATCCACACATATTTTCTTACAGTAGAGGGGAAAAAATCTTTTTTTTCCTTTCCAAAACGATGCCTCTTTTAAGCTGCTATTTTTATTCTGTCGAGAATTCCTTCTTATGTTTCATAAGCTCCTTTCTCCATTACATCAATTCTGAGTTTCTCTTTATTGGAAAGACGAGCTTTTAGCAACTTTCTGTAGCATGAAAGAGACGTTTTCAGTAAACACATGTTTGCCATATCCCTGATACATGTGTCCAAAGAGGGCAGAGGTCACAGTTACTGGGCTGTTACTGTCCCCTCTGTCACGGAATTATCTGGGCTGTTCACTGAATACCACGATGAAGTGGGTCAGGCAGGAAGGGTCGAGATTAAGAAAGAAGAGCTTCATTTACCTAAGCAGAAGTAGTGCCTTCAGCTATACTGTCTCCTGTCTTCCAGATCCAGCTCACATGTCTTTTAAGATGTCCCCGATATGCTGAGATACAGAAGTTGTCAGACTTTTCCTCATTTTCCTATAGCACTTTGTTAAGGTTTTCACTACTAAATGTATTATAATATATGATAGCATTCATTCATTTGTCCATCCATTAATTCAATAAAAACATATTAACCAAGGATACAATGGTAAATAAGACAAGTAACATTCCCCCATTTTCATAAAGTGCACATTGTAGTGGTGAGAGAATATACAATAATATGAGTGAATGAATAAGTGAACACGATAATTTCAAATAAGCGTAAGTGCCATCAAAGACATAAAATAGATGAGATGGGAGGCTACTCTGAACTGAGTGGCAGAAAAGGCCTATGGAAGAGGTAGCTCATAAGCTGGGATGCAAATAGTGAGAAGAAACCAGCCATGTAACAATACGGGGGCGGAGTCCCGGGCAGAAAAAAATGGCTAGTACAAAGACCTGAAGGCTGAACCAGCTTGGTATGCTAGAGAAAGGAGAAGAAGAAAAAAAAAAAAAAAAGCCAGGCTAGCTGCAATGTACTCGGCAAGGGAGAATGTGGTACCAGATAAATTTGCAGATGGCTCACCAGTCTCAACTTTAGACTATAAGCTCCTTGAGAACAGGGCCTGTATATTACTTGAATTTGCATCACTAGTCCCCATCCCATATATGATTCTCATGGTTAACAAATGCGGGTTGAATGAATCAGATGAACCATCTCCAGGGTCATATGTGAAACACTGGAGAGTTTTCTCGCATTTTGTACAATCTCTGCCTTGTCTTGGCCCTTTCTTTCAATACGGATGATCATGTTCTACCCTTTCTATGCAAAGTTAATAGACCATAGGCTCTCAATGCTGGAGAAGGTACTTATAGTTATTTTTCCATAAGAGATAATAAATCTGTGGCCAGGCGCAGTGGCTCATGTCTGTAATCCCAGCACTTTAGGAGCCCGAGGCAGGTGGATCACTTGAGGTGAGGAGTTTGAGACCAGCCTGGCCAACACGGTGAAACCCCGTCTCTACTAAAAATACAAAAATTAACTGGGCATGGTGGCACATGCCTGTAATTCCAGCTACTGGGGAGGCTGAGGCAGGGAAATTGCTTGAATCCGGGAGGCAGAGGTTGCAGTGAGCCGAGATCGCACCAGTGCACTCCAGCCTGGGTGAAGAAGTGAGACTCCATTTCAAAAGAAAAAAAAAAGAAAGAAAAGAAAAGAAAAGAGATAATAAATCTGTGCTTGGGGGTTGGCCCACATAGTTCCACAGATCTCTCTTGTGACCAACAATGAAATACATTCAGGAGAGAAGAGCCAGGAGTTAAGACGGCAAGCCAATAGGGTTTCCAAAGTAACTCAGAAGAGCTCAGACTCATGTCCTCAGACTTGTTTATTTATACAGTATTTCAACTCAGCCAGTAAGAGACAACCAAGAATGAATGTTAGTATTAATATCATCATTGTGATCATCATCACCATTATTATCTCTTTGAACACAAAATAATGCAAACGAACTTTTCCAGTGAACTTTATTATCATAAAGGATGAGGAGACAGAGGAAAAGGAGATAGCCTGCTAGAAATACTTTCCACTCCACAAAATATTTTCAGTCCTTCCGAAATTGGTCTATTTTGCCTCCGCTATTTCTTCCTCATTACAGGCATAGTAGGTGAGAGACAATTTTTAAATAATGGATGAACGAATACCTGGTTTCATTTCTTCAGAATAACCTCCAGTGGTGCTAAGGAACTGACCACGCTGGCACTGACAGGCTTCAAGACCACCATAAATCCGCAATGCCAAGTGTGACTGCACTGGATATGTGTGGGAAATAGGAACTCGCCGGGTTTATGCAAACCAGTAAAAATTCCAAAAGGATCTGATGCCAGGAAAATGCCTTATTTTGTCAGAAAGTACATCTCCCGCACAGCGGCAGGCCTGGCATAGCTTGAACCACATATTAAAAACAAAGCAAAGTGACATGCGATACAGGCCTTACTGCCTGATGACAGAATTCACGAGCTGTCTTCACTCTGAGCTTTTCTGGAACCAAATGAGTCCACGTTAACCCAAGCTTGTTTGACAGTTTTGTCTTATCATGTGATTTTCTTCAAAGTCCTTGTATTTTAGGTAAGACTTACTTTTCTTATTACAATTTCAATATTTATCCCAGATTACAAATAATAATGTAATTCTAACGAACTCTGTACTTTCCAACCTATTCTATAGCCAAGTTAGGGTTTCAGATATATTCTTTTTTAACTTCTGGAGGCATGTAGATGACTTCAAAAGAATATTTAAATCAGCTGGTAAACCAGGTAGTCACCTGTCTCAATACTCATTGTGTGTGCAACACCTCCATATCCGTATTGGTAATCACTGCAGTCTAGAGGATACTGCTTTTATGAAAGTCAAATTTTAAAAAGTAATGTTGGCTGGGAGTGGTGGTTCATGCCTATAATCCCAGCACTTAAGAAGGCTAAGGTGGAAGGATTGCTTCAAACCAGGAGTTCGAAATCAGCCTGGGAAATGTAGTGAGACCCCATCTCTTAAAAAAAAAAAAAAAAGAAAGAAAGAAAGAAAAGAAAAGAAAAAATTTTGTTAATTATTCAGGCATGTTGGTAGTCCCGGCTACTCAGGAGACAGAGGCAGGAAGATTGCTTAAGCCCAGGAGACCAAGGCTGCAGTGAGCCATGATCGTGCTACTGCACTCCAGCCTGGGAGACAAAGCGAGACCCTGTCTCAAAATAAATAAACAAATAAGAATCTTAAAAATTTAAATAAAAAATAATATTAGCCTCAAATTTTAATCAATTAGAAAATTTCTGTTTTAGCATTTCCACAACACCTGCTCTGATCATGGACAATAAGAATAAAAAGAATGTTTATACACATGGGGAAGAGGAGCCCCATGACAAATAAAGGGTTTCAAAAACACCCCTTCGTGGATGCATTGGACTTTCTTTTCCCCTTTAGTCAGTGTCTACTTGTCTCTCTCCAACTCGTCCAGCCCCAGTTATTATGGTAAGAAGCAGATACTTCACTTGCTGTATTAGTTTTCTAGGGCTGCCGTAACAAAAGTACAACAAACTGAATGGCTTGAAACAACAGGATTTTCTTCTCTCCAAGTTCTGGATGCTAGAAGTCTTTTTTTTTTTTTTTTTTTTGAGACAGAGTTTCGCTCTGTCGCCCAAGCTGGAGTACAGTGGCGCAATTCTCGGCTCACTGTAGCCTCTGCCTCCCAGGTTCCAAGCAATCCTCCCCACTCAGCCTCTCAAGTAGCTGGGATTACAGGTGCATGTCACACCCAGCTAATTTTTGTTTTTTTTTTTTTTCAGTAGAGATGGGGGTTTCACCATGTTGGTCAGGCTGGTCTCAAACTACTGACCTCAAGTGATCCACCTGCCTCGGCCTCCCAAAGTGGTGGGATTACAGGCGTGAGCCACTGCACCCAGGCTGAGGCTAGAATTCTGAAATCAAGGTGTTGGCAGGGCCAGGCTCTCTCTGTAGCCTCTAGGAGAGGATCCTTCCTTGCCCCTTCCCAGCTTCTGGTGGTTGCCAGCAACACTGACCATCCCTCAGTTTATAGATATGTGATCTCCCATCACCTCCTCTGTCGTCATGTGGTGCTCTCCCTGTATGTCTTCTGTGTTCACCCTGCATTCTTGTCTCTGTGTCCAAATTTCCTTCTTTTTTTAAGAACATCAATTACTGGATTAGATCCCACTCTAATCCGGTATGACCTCATTTTTTTAACTTGATTACATCTACAAAAGCTCTATCTCCAGAAAAACAAAAGTCACATTCTGAGGTTCCAGGTGGGCATTAATTTGGGGGGATATCTTTCAAGCAAGTGTGATTCTCAGCCAGTATCCTTTCAATTGTCACTTGGTCCAAGGAATCTGAAGAACATTTGCAGACAAAATAATTACCCAAGCAAGAACAATGGAAGGAAGGTGATATAATTCAATGAATAAGTCTATCAGGAAAACCTGTTAGAAGCTTGACCGTTTCAGAATGGAAGATTCTCATCTATAAGATCAATCACTGGCCGGGTGCGGTGGCTCACGCCTGTAATCCCAGCACTTTGGGAGGCCGAGGTGGGCAGATCACGAGGTCAGATCGAGACCATCCTGGCTAACACGGTGAAATCCCATCTCTATTAAAAAATACAAAAAATAAGCTGGGCATAGTGGCACACACCTGTAATCCCAGCTAGTCAGGAGGCTGAGGCAGAAGAATGGCCTGAACTCTGGAGGCGGAGCTTGCAGTGAGCCAAGATTTCACCACTGCACTCCAGCCCGGGCGACAGAGTCTCGCTCTGTCAAAAAAAAAAAAAAAAAAAAAAAAAAATCAATCGCCAACAGATCCATCCATGCAAAAATACCTACACAGCCACCTCTTCAAGAAAATGTTCTTTTTAACTGAACTAATCTCTTCTCTGGACCCAGCTCCCTAAGTAGGGTACTTTCTACCCTCTCATCATCCACATGAGGATGGAGAGGGGAAGTAGCAACAATGCCTGGGCATCATGCTAGGGACTCTACACATGTTATACATCACCTCCACTAGAAAATAAAGAAACTCAAGTTCAAAGAGATAAAGCAATCAGCTCTAAAGTCATACAGGAGAGTTAGGGTTTGAACACAGATCTGCCTGGGTCCATAGCTGCTGCCTCATTTTTTATGTCTCAGCATGTGCACGCATGTGCACTGGCACACACACACACACACACACACACGCGCACGCGCGCACACATACCATTTCTCAAACATGCCCATTTAATTTACCTATGTCTGAAATTCATCATTTTCACAATCCATGGAATATTAAGAGCTGGAGGATACCTCATTTAACATAACAATTTCATTTTACAGATGAACAAGAAATGATAAGCAAGTGATTTGTCCAAGATCATGGGAATAATTTGTGACCAAACTGAGACGAAGTCCTCACACTTTCTGGCTTCTAGTCCAGCCTGGCCACATGTAGCCTCTCAAGTGGTATTTCTACCCAGGCAGTAAGACCACATTTCACAGGCAGGACAGCATGGCAGTTTGGAGTGTGAACACTGAAATTAGACTGCAAAGATTCACATTCTAGGCCCATTGCTTATATATGCGGGCCAGTCATTGAGTAGCTACACTTCAGTATTCTGAAATATTAAATGGAGGTAATAAAAGCATCAGCCACATAGTATTTAGTATCTCACAGGATTCTTGAGAAAATTAGGTATGCTCAGAATTGTGCTTAGTGTACAGTAAGTGCTCAGTATGTTAGTTGGTGGTGGTGGTTTTGTTGTGCTTATTACACTATTATTACTGTTAATAATAATAACAACATATAATGAAAAGGCTACAAATGAGTAAGGCCAGTGCTTTTCATCACCATGCATTTCTAGCAGCCACACTGGCTATAAGCCCTCATTCATGGATACCATGGTACAGTGATTTCCTGGTCCTTCATAAGAATTAACTTTAACCTTATTTCATAATCTACTTTATTCTCATCCAATTGTCACGTCTTCCTCTAAACACAAAATATGCAAAGGTCTATATGCTGGTTTTAATTTCCCGGATGTTATGAGTCCACATTTAACTGCCTCCTTCAAATGACAGTGGGTCATTTAGTGTCCTTAAAAGCCAACAATGTTATTACATCCTGACTCTGACAAATCCTTGCTCTTTTCTCTCTCAGCTTATCTCTGTCTCAGGAAGGCAAACCCTGGGAAAATTATACAAACAGCCCCAAATATTTGAAATCAGCATTGTCCTCCCATGCTTATGCCTCTCTGAAAGCTTAGAGGACTTTGCTTTCAGTTTGATTCTTTCATTAGCCCAAGGCTTGCTAATTAATTGGAATTTTCCAGAGCTTTTGTTGTTGTGATAAAGAGGAACAATGCAAAAGCTCATTTCTTCATGTTAAAGAGGGTCCATCCACCCTCCAGAGAGTAGCACGGAGACGACAGGGATAAGAGGTAGGATTAACTCGACTGTGAAAGGGTCAGACTTTCTGAGTTCCTGCTCCCCTCACTTCTCCCCACAGCTGCCTTCATCTTCACCAAAACTGATTTATGGGAAGTGACATCTTAACCATGGCTTTTATCCCTCCAAAGGAAAGGCTGCTTAGAGGGCGTTATGTATGATCTAAAATTAGATGGCAAAGAACATCCCATGAGCATGCAACAAACAATATTGGAAAGCAAAAGATATTGTATAAAGTGAGAGGCTTACTGAAGAATGAAAATGAATAGATCAGGGAGGAAGGCAGTAAAACTCAGATGAACACTCCCAAGCAAAGCAAAGACCAGACTTAAAAGAAACAAAAAGATGCTTAATCTTGACAAAAATAGCACTGTTTAAACCAAAGATAGCAGAGCAGCTGGAGTCTAGGGGAAGTGAAGGGAAGTGAAGAGAGATTGATTCTGAATTTTGTTCTTGGTTTCCTTTTTAAGGTATCATGCTTTGCTTTGGTACACTGGGTTACTGGGACTTGTGGAAACCCATGTAGGCTGTGTTTCATCCACACTGTGAGAGGCTCTAACATACTTTGAGGGTCCACAGATGCAGGAGAACAGAGGCTGGAGGGGCCCTGAAACATGGCAAATAGACCATTCCCAACATCATTCCTGGCCGAGCACGATGGCTCACACCTGTAATCCCAGCACTTTGGGAGGCTGAGATGGGCAGATCACCTAAGGTCAGGAGTTCGAGACCAGCCTGGCCAACATGGTGAAACCCCATCTCTCCTAAAAATACAAAAATTAGCCGGGCGTGGTGGCACATGCCTGTAATCCCAGTTACTCGGGAGGCTGAGGCAGGAGAACCGCTTGAGCCCAGGAGGCGGAGGTTGCAGTGAGCCGAGACCATGCCATTGCACTCCAGCCTAGGCAACAGGAGCGAAACTCCGTCTCAAAGACAAAACAAAACAAAAAACCTACATTCTTTTCCATGGGGGGAAAAAGATTTTCTAAGTTATTTGTTTACAGATAAATGCTTATGAAAAATAGTTTCTACTATCCAGACCCATACAGTCTGACATAAAGCTACACTCCGAGTTTCACTGCAGCAGAATCAGGAAGGCTTCCAGAATTCCTGCTCCGGGCTGATGCCTGATGGGCGTCACTCCAGTCACCTAAGATGCCACGTGGTTTTGAACAAGTTGAGTATGATGTGCCTATGCAGATATCCAGATAGAACTACAAATATACAGTTGGAAAGGAGAGCCTAGAAATGGGGCTAGAACAAGTTTCTGGGGATAACAATAAGATAGTCTTCAATTGGGTGAGATTGCTCAGGCATCATGCATACAGGGGATGAAGAACAGGGACAAGGATAGAACTCTGGGAATCTCCAATGTTTGGGGAGGCAGGAAAAAAGGAATCTGCAAACAAGGGAGAGAAAGTACTACTGTGCTTGCAGACAGGGGAGTAGGAGGGAGCTGGGTGGAAGGGGAACAGAGCACAATATTTAACAGGACAGGTTCTGAGGCGAGAGACCAGGTGCCTTCAAAGCCTGGGCTACTGCTTATTAGACTTGGAACCTCAGGCAAAGCATGGAACTTCTCTGCACCTCAATTACTCCCTCTGGCAAATGCAGAAAACAATGGCACATCACATAATTGTTCTGAGGGAAAGTACTTGACACAGTGTCGGGCTCATATTAAGCATCCAAAAACTGTTAGCTATAATCAATACGTTTATTAAGAGGCAAATAGGAATTGAAGAGATCTATAGGGTTGATGGTGACTAGGAGCAACTCAGATCCTTTCCCAGGATACACTTTGATACAGTGAAGGGTGGAAAGGAAAGCTGCAGCCCAGGAGACACTGGCCAAGAACCAGTAAGGACAAGAAAAACCACAGAACAAGGCAGATGGGGGCCTCGAGCTAATCTTTACTATAAAAAGAGGCACATGATATTTGATCACTTAAGACGTGATGGGAAGAATAAATCAAAAAAATAACCATTCTTACAGCAAAGGGCAGAGTGAAAGAGAACTGCACTAATGATATAAGTTCAAGTGCTGGCCTGAGTACTAACCAACTGGCCAACCTTGGAAAGGCCCCTTCTCCTTCCAGGAGTTCAGTTTTATGTATTCCCAAGTGGCCACTAACGTCCCTTCCAGTTGGCACTATTTATGATTTTCGGTGTTCTATAATTTCACTTAAGGATTCCGTGGCTACACATAAAAGCAGTTACTCTGATGAAGGCATAAGTGAACAGAGGGTCTTCAGTCTCATGTGTTCTCAGCATGAAACAGAGGACTCAAGAATCACCTAAGGGTAATTAAGAGGGCAGATGGTAAGATGTAGAGACAGCCAAGTCTTCCTCCTCTTTCCTCTTCCATTTGCTGCAAAACCAGAGATGAGAGGAAGGAAGGGGATAAAAGCAACTAAACCAAGGTTAAAAACAAAAAGTCACGTGTGTTCCTGTTTGCGAACAACTCCAAAAATCTCTTTGAGTGTGAGGGTCAGGAGAAGGTGGATATAAGAAAGACAGACGAACAAAACATTGACGCAAGTGGAGAATCAGAAGTAAAATCAGTTCATTTGGATCCGAAGGGATAAAGATCATGCCTAATTAATCCCAAACCCTCATTGTACCATTGACAGAAATGACATCCAAAGAGGATAAGGGAGTTGCCCAAGAGCAAAGCTGCAACAGGAGCTCCTGTTTGCTGACTCAGTCCAGTACAGATTCCATAGAAGTATGTATTTCGTTGGTCAAATTCCAAATTATGGCAATTCCTGCTAAGAGATCCTGTGTGGGAGGTAACTGAGTGAAATTGCTAAATTCTTGGGAATTTTTTTTTATTTCCCCATGTTCATGAAAGGCTCAGAGGACAAACAGGAAAGAAAAATAAATATATTAAGCCACTACTATGTGCCAGATTTTCTGCTAAGTGATTTCACATATATCCTCACATAAGCCTGCCACTCTGTGAGTCTAGCAGGCTCTGAGCCACTTGAAGAGAGGACAGTGTCTTACCCATCAGTACATTCTCCATGCCTGACAGAGTGCTGGTACACAACAGGTGCCCAATATATGCTTGCTGAATGAATGTAAGATTTTCCTGGTACATAAAGTGAGGATTAGAAAGATTAAAAAACTTATTCAAGGTGTACACGTTGGTAGCACAAGTGGCAGTATCGAGACTGGAATTTGGGATTGCCTGATACCACAGCTCACTCACGTTCCTTTCACTGAACTTTCACTGCCTTTCATATACTTTTCTGCAAATCCAACAGTAATACTTATTTTCTAACAGAGGGACTGACTGGTTTACACGGCACCTATGGCTTCCGGGTCCTCTTTGTGAGTGTTTCCTATTCCGAAGTGTTTGTTTCAAGGTGCCACTTTCGGTCTGATTACTCCTCTACACTGGCCAAGCCTGATCAGAATCTCCAAAGGCTCTGACCAGGACACATTCTAAGGGCCAGCTGCAAGGAGGCAAGGAACCACAGGAGGAGCACCCTGGCCTAGGGCTTTAGTTGGAGTCTGTTCCTACCAAGTGGAGATAAAATACCTGGCCCGGTTAAATGCAATCATTTCCTTACCTCCTTGACAGCAAAGGCTTTCAACTGAAAACTCAGCAAGCAAATCAGACCAGTTGTTGCCTTTCTTATCTTCTCTCTCTTCTCTCTCTCTTACACACACACACACAGACGCACACACACACACATACATACACTTGCCAAAGCTTCAGACTAGCTCTCTGTTGTAAATCACTGTCTAAAGTATATTTTAAAATAAAGGGTTTTTTTCCTAATTATACATATAAGACAAGTCATGTCTTTAAGATATTTTTGACTTGAGACTGTTAACGGGACTCTATTTGTTCCATCCAAGAAAGCCCAAAGAAATGGATAATGATCCAAAACAGACTACATCTGAATGGTTCTGTGTATCATATGCAAAGAAATGTTCCCACAACAAAGTCACTAAATGAACGTCACTATGCTTGAATAGAAGAATGAAATTGAATTGTGATAAAAGCAAGTGGTTTAAAGCTCTTTAGTTCATGTCTACTAAATTATCCTGAATATTATGTGCTAAACAAAGGCTGATACTCATATTATTAAGTAATAAAAACATTTTGAGAAATAAGCCAACATTTTTACTTTAAAAAAGATTTATGTATCATTTTCTGGTTTTATGAGTGTTGTAACTGTCCTCCAAACCTTTCAACAATGCCAAATACTTTTCCAGTTGAACATTCTGCTATGGAATTTTCTCTTTAACGCTGAAGGCCACATTGGGATGCCTATGGTAAATTAAACAACAGACTCCACAAAAATAGACAGAAGCCTTGGTCCCTCGTTAGGCCTAATTGTCGAAACATCAATCTGTTTAATCTAGATTCTGTAACTGTTAGATAACGAGAAAATTTCATTATGCAAATCGTGGCAGCAATGTAGAAAAAATATGAGTTATTTAACTTATAACTGATGAGCTTTTTAAACTAAGTCTCAGGTAGTATTTGGATATTTTTTCCTATGGGTCACAGATCATCACCACCAGCTTTAATGAGGAAGATGGGAGAGGTGATTGTCCTGTCTCTACATTTTAGGAGTCTCCAAACCTAGTTAATTGTTGGTCAAGCTTTCTGCAGCTGTCCAACTATCAACTGGTACTCCTCTGACTTTTTATCTCATAAATGAGACCTCTACTGATTGGCAGACACAAGGAAAGCATGAGGAAAGTCATCAAGATTTCTACTTTGTATTCACTGACCTTTAAAAACAAAAAACATCATTACTAGCCTCAGATTCTGGAAGTTACTAACCAGTTTGAACACCCTAAGAAGTATACGAAGGCTTTCAGATAACTCCACAGTGTTGTCAGAGGTGAGGTCTACAGATGTCATTTTAATTTAATGAGGCAGAAAGAACACAGGAGAATGAGTTGGAAGATCTGGGTGCCAGTCTCACAGCTACCACTTAATGTGCCGTGTGGCTTTAAACACTACGCTTGTGATCCAGTATTTTCTTTTGCTACAAAGCACACCGGGAAAATTGGTGAACTCTCTAAGGTCTGTATATTAGGTAACAGTATTTATCACTGTTAGTTTCCTGATTTTCACAGTTGTACTGTAGTTAAGAGAATAACTTGCATAAGAAAATGTGCATGTTTGTAGAAACTGTACATTAACGTATTTAGGGGTAAAAGGGCATCGAGTCTATAACCTACTCAAATCGTTCAGGAAAAAAACACAGGGAGGGGATGATGAAGCAAATGTGGTAAAAAGTTAACATTTGGGAAATCTGGGTAAAGAGTATAGGAGAATTCGGTACATTGTTCTTGCAGTTTTTTTTGTTGTCTGAAATTATATCAAAATTAAAACTTAAAATATAATAAAGGATAGGAATATAATTAGCAATCAGTAAATATTGACCAAATGTCGCTTCAATTTCTCTTAGACACAAGCGTCCTCACATCAAAATGAAAAAGGGATACGCCAGAGAATTATTTAAAACCTGGCCGGCCCAAACCGTCTCTGATTCTGTGATAAGCAGTAAATCACGGATATAGAAACTGCCTTAAACCATATGGAGAAAACAATAACAACACTAGTACACATGATTCCTGCCTTCAAAAAGGCTGAAGTGATAAAAAAGAAATCAGTGTCCAGGATGAGTTAAAGCGATCTGAAGAAACTTTTCTTGAAAATACGAGTTTCAAATGGGCTCTCAAAGACTGTGAAGATAGGAATTAACAATAAAATTAGAGAAAAATTTATAGAAGGGCAACTCTTTTGGACACAGACTTGGAAATAGGCTGAAGGAAGTCTCTTGCCAGAATGGCCAACCAAGTATGTATGGATGGCTAGGATGAGTGAAGCTGGGCTGGTCAACAGATCTGCACTGTTCCAGTCAATTTTCCAAAACCACACATGAGTCAGCAACTAAGACATGGCACACGGTGTTAGAATGCCCTCCCAGCTCTATGGGAAATCTCTAATTCCACATGCCATGTACAGTGTATGGAAGTGAGACAGTCATCTAGGAGCACACTTCAATCTTGTTCTCCAAGCACATACCCAACACAACATGCCAAAGATCAAGCATGTGTTCAGTCAACAAACACACTGTTCTGACCCTAAAACAGTAAGCCTCCATCAGAAGGCTTACACGAAATGTACGGTGGAACTCCTTTCTCCATTTTGGAAAGACTTCGAAAGGCAAGGCTATCCATACACCATCTGACTTTTCCTGTATGTTCAGGGTGTGTGTTTTATTAAAAACTACCTAAATCCACATAGGCAGGAGGAATATTCAAAACACTTCCATTGTAAATACTAGTAAAAAATGTTCATGAAATCCTCATGAATTCTCATAACTGGGGATCCTACCTAGAGACAGGCAGGAAACACAATGAAGTAGAAAATGTTGTCATTTCATTTCAATTAACAATTATTTAATTAAAAAATCATATACTTAGAACTGTGTCATGGTAGCACATGCAGATCACACAAAGGGAATCATACGAGAACAATCAAGCTTCTATCAAAAGATGAGATTTATTGCCACCCACATATATGGTGAATGCACTTTGATGAGTATCACCTGTAAGTCATATTTAGAATACCAGACATTCACTTCTGAAATATTATCAGTTTCCATCATTAAAGGGCTATTACAATTCAATTTTGCAGGGATGGGCATGGCAATATACATATACATATAAGTACACTCTTCACCATAACAGTATAAAGATAAAAGGTTCTATTTATTCACTAACAGAGAATCTAGGGAATAGCTTAAGTTAAGCCTTCAAAAATGAAATGTGTTGTACCCAAGCCTAGTAATAAGAAAGATTCCGTAGATACTGCTTAGAGAGAGATTAGATTGAAATTTAACCTATCACATTCTGTTCTCCAACTTGAAAAAAAATGTTAAACTCTGTCTTTGGGCTTCCATTTTTAGTGTCGAAAGAAAGAAAGGAACACAGATGGAATAAACCTCATTCACTTAATTTGAAAATCAGATGCAGACTTCAAAATTTGGAATAAGGAAAGATTCTTGCTGGTTGATTTCGTTAAAGGATTTATCTTTAGCTATCTGAGGGGAGAACTGCTTACATCATTTAGTGTGACCTTTAGTGGATTGATAAGTCATCACATGATATAAAATTTTATGACAAAAGCAATCATACAGAAGCAATCTAAGATGACTTGAACTGTTTTTCTTTTGATATGGATTAAGCTTAGAACTTGGTCTACAGTGGTTAGGCATTGCAGATTTATAATGAGTGTAATTTGGAACTACAGTACCATACGCAGAACAAATACTCAAACGTCAAATTGGCTGATGATTAAACGACTGAAGAGGACTGGCTGCTAAGGAATACATTTAAAAAGTCATTTAAAGGGAAACCAATAAGCAAAGGTCGAAAAGTGGCAGGATATATTTTTATTTTATTTCACTTGAGGTGATAATAACCAGAAGGGTTTTTTGTGGTAGTTTGGTTTTTTTAATTCCAACAATTAACATATCTGCTAAATATTTCTCTTTTTGTAAAGTGCCTCTTTTATACCAAGTTCTTATATTTAAGGCTATATGAGAAATGAAGTTTAGCTCTGCCTCCAAATGCTAAGATCTGAGAAAAAAATGAATCACATTCAGGCTTGGAATAAATCCACATGAATATGTATTTCTTATTTACTTGGAAAGTCTTGTATTTGCATCTGTCTTTCTTACTATCAGTGAGCTTTCTTTTCCAGGGTAGTGGCTCAGCTCCAGTCCTCAATATGTGCAACTCCTTACCTACAACTCCATTCCTAAAGGGAAGCAGGGCACCAACACAGGTATAGGATGGTCCACTCCACCGAAGTCACTAGGTCTCCATACTGAGTAAGACACATGCAAGCAGTTTCTCCTTGTTTTGTACAGTACATTAATTGGGAATCTGGAGTTGATTCTCAACATCTGAGATTATTCCAAATCCAAACGTACAGTATTTTTAAAGTCCACTTTTATATAGGGTATTTGGCACTTTCAGAAATACTAACTATAGACAGTTATCTGGACCTGGGTTTTGGTAGCAAGCATGATATAAATATTTTTGGAATGAATGATAAATGAATAAATGAGTGAATTAATATTAAATGAGGATGTGTCATCTGAAATGAATCATAGTACAAAAGGGCTTTGCCTGTCCTCTCCACAGGTTAGGGTGAGGAAAGTCTATAAGAAGGCAAAAATCATTAAATCATTAGGAAATAAACTCAAGCTATGCAATACCAATCACTGTTAGAAAGACTGCAAGCTCCTTGCAAGCAAGGGTTGTCTTAATCAGGGGCCATACTCACAAATGCTCTCCAAGGCCAGGCAGATGGAAATACTGCAGGCTCCATTTAAAGATCAGGCTATCATGTAGGGAAGCAGGCCAGATGGTTGGTTGCTCTTTCGATTTTCCGAGAAAAGCCAAATTCTGAATTTTTTTGTAAAATCCTCTCCTTTCTAAATGTTGGCTCTGTATTTATTTATTTTTTTAACACTATGTGGACTTAAGAAAGCACAGCTGTGGGCCACATTCCACCCGTGGAGTTGGAACCTCGCCTCTAAATCTTTCTACGTATCAATAACTCATTGCTTATTTTTACCTTATCTTTAAATCTGGCAAAGGGTGAGAGGTGGTGGTGTCATACTAATATCACCAAAGAAATTAGCCAAAACAGGAATACAAGTGGGAAAAACAAGCAGACCTTTTAAGTGGCTACATTTCAGTAAAAGCTCCTATTATATTAAGGCTTTAATGCCTTCGAGCTCAGCAATTATGCTCAAGCTTCAGGTGGCAAATATGTTTTCTCCTTTTTCTTTCACCCTTATTCTCATCCTCTAATTTGTCCCTAACTCTTCCTATTTATTAACCGTGCCACGTGTGTCTTCTTATCATCTTGTAAATAGCTTCAAATTCTTGGAACAATGTGGGGCATAAGTAAATTTCAACAAAGTATTTCAGATGTTCACATTCTAATTAAAGGCAAGTGTATTACTATATATATAATATGTATATGTGTGTGTATAGATACACACACACACACACACACACACACACACACACACACACATATATATGTTTGTTTTTGAAACAAGGTCTTGATCTGTCACCTAGAGTGCAGTGGCACAAACACAGCTCACTGCAGCCTCAACCTCCTGGGATCAAAAGATCCTCCCACCACAGCCTCCGGAGTAGCTGGAACTACAGGCATGTGCCACCATGCCCAGTAAGATTTTTCTGAAGCAATATACATGTTATTGAAAAGTTCTGTATCTAAAATTTAACACTGGAAAATACTGGAAAATCTTTTCTTCAAATGATTTATGTTCTTGGGCCTTTAGCTAAAGAAGACATGAATCCTAGTCCGAGTACCCAGTTAAAACACACACACACACACACACGCACGCACGCACACACGCATTTCTATATAGAAAAATAACCGAAACACTCCCATTTGTTTAAAAAAAACTTAATTTCCACATTTCTATCTCAGTTTTTACTCTCATGTTTCAATATATTTAGACCTCTTTAGGAAAGTCTAGTTAAGTAGGTCAGACTGTAAAAACCTTTTGCAGCAGAGACCTCACTCTAGGAGAAAAAGCAATTAAAATAATAGTTTGCCCCCAAAGAATAAAGGTAACTATAAGAATGCAAAAGATAAAGCAATAACATGAATTTCTTCATATTACAATAAGCTGCATTTAAGTCCTTGTTATCAGCAAAGTAAACAGGTTTCATGTATTATACCTACTTAAAACATAACCTGTGAACTTCAGCTAAAAAATATTGCTTGGACATGCCAAGGAAAATATACAAACAGATACTTTCCAATTCACCGATTTTTTAAAAAAGTTCCAGGAATCCAGTGACGAATGTGGTATACAAAAAAATATATAAATTCTTTCAACTTAGAATAATTAAGTCATAAAATACATAGGGTACAAATACCACATTCCGTTCTAAAATGATATCTTAGGATCATCAAAAGAAAAAGAGGATTTGGATTATGCAAAAAATGATTCCTATATATATAATCAATTATCTAACTGACATTTTTACAAATCTACCACAACTTCGCCTTTTATTGCATATGCTAAACAAGCAGATGCTAAGTCTGTAAACTGTGAATTAACCTCCTTTTTAATTAATTGTTCCTTTGGAAATACTGGCTTTTAAATCCCGTGCTGCAGTTGCTTCATCTTGGAGATGTGTGCCAATCTCATATTCAGGTTCGCGGGCTATATTCCAGGAGGCAGTACACGTTGATTCCACTTTTAATTATTTAATGATTCATCTGCATTTTATTTATACATTGGCATCTGACCTGGTTTAATTTTAGTTTATTCCAACAACACGCCTGCAAGAATCTAGATCTGACCGTCTTCACAGCAAATATGACTGACGACGCTGGAAGTAGTGACACAGCTCAGAAATAGGTCAAGGGTGCAAAGGGAAGGGATCAGAGTGTACTTAATTGACAGGGGCAGGCCCTCCTCAAGCACATGGTTTTCTGAGCTCAGCACTCCTTCCTTCTTTTAAAGAGCAGGCATTTTAAGCAGGGAGTTTCCTCAATAGTTATTTCCAGGACTTTCTGAATGGTCTCTCTACATCCAAAATTCTCCCTTGCTAACTGGACCTGAGAATTCCTCCATTAGAACCTCATACTCTCAGCCCCAAGCCTCTTTATTAAAAGCAAATGCACTGAAGGTAATATCAAAATCTGTTGATAATGTTATTTTGTCAGAATGAAGGATTTGACAGCAGTTTTCTGAAAGGACAAAGAAGGGAGACTGAGAGCTTTAGGGAGTTGGGCACTGGGTGAATGGAGGCAGAGAAAGAGGTCTGAAAAGAAATGTCTCCTTCTCCACAGTTCTGGAACTTATCCCATGCTAGGCCTTCTCCTAGTCATGAATACATAATAAAAAGCTGGACCTCCAGCTACTGAACACAAATAACTTTAACTTTTATATATCCTTTGAGACACACACATAAACACACACGAGGTTCTTAACCGTGGTGGCTCACAGACCCTGAAAATCAGAAACTGCCATTCGTTACTCTCCTGGCAATGCTGGAATGATCTATCCTTCTGGGACTAAACTTCTGATTCTACCCAAGTCCCCACTGTACTGGATAAGAAATAAATTTTCAAAGTCCAAGTACTTTCCCCCATACATAACCACCATAACGCTGGGAGAAGGCCCAGAGGAAGTGAAGCAATGTAACAAACAGGGATTGAATACTCCTTTTACATCAATTCATGCACTGTATTAGGCATATTACATGTCTTTTTTTGGTTCGGTAACCCCATAAAAGAAGTATCATCATCCTCATTTGACAGATGAAAAAACTGAGGCTAGAGGTTCCACAATTTGGTCCAAGTCTCCCAGATAGGAGATGACATAGCCAGAATTGAAATCCAGGGCTTCTCCTTTTTCTGAGCTAATGAAAATATCTTTATGTTGATGAGTCCTGATTGAGCTCCAACCCTGCACACAGAGAACTGCAAGTGTGCCAAATGACACATGAAAATCTCTTCTGTTCACAGAACAAAACCATGCAGTGAAAGGCAGGCTCTAGCCCCCTCCTCATTCCTGGATTCTATCAGAAAATAACCCAGAATCAAGATCTGGTGGCACTTTCGGCGGACTTGTCAGGAAGAGAAAAAAACTCATTTCTCCCTCTCTTACAAAAGTAACACACATACAATGTAAAAAATTGGGAAAATAATTTTAAAGTCAAAGAAGAAATAACAACGATTTGTAATGTAACTGCCCAGAGATAATCATAGTGTTTTAGGCTATTTCTCTCTAGTCTGTCCTCTCCACCTATACATGTTTGGAAACATTCAGCTTATATTTTATAGGCAATTTTGCATGAAGTTCTGTTCATCTAGTTGTACTTTAAAATTATTTTAACACTTCTTGAAAACTATTTGTAGACTTAATTTTAATATTTTACCATTCAGCATTAAGTCTACTTAACTATTTCTTTACTATTGCACTTTTAGGGTAGGAGGAATTTTTTTCACTATTAAAAAAAAACACTGCAAAGAACATCTCTATGCACATTTCTTTCATCATATTTCTTTTTCTCCTTTTTTATCTTGAGACACAGTTTTGCTCTTGTCACCCAGGCTACAGTGTAATGGTGCCATCTCAGCTCACTACAACCTCCGCCTCCCGGGTTCAAATGATTCTCCTGACTCAACCTCCTGAGTAGCTGGGATAAAAGACACCTGCGACCACGCCCAGCTCATTTTTGTATTTTTAGTAGACATGGGGTTTCACCACATTGGCCAGGCTGGTCTCAAACTCCTGACCTCAGGTGATCCGCCCGCCTTGGCCTCCCAAAGTGTTGGGATTACAGGCGTAAGCCACCATGCCCGGCCTCTTTTACCGTATTTCAAATGGTTTTTTCAGGACCAATTTGTAGAAATGCAGTTATTGGGTTATGTGTCAGAGCAACATCAGTACATTTAACCCCTGACAATATGGGTATCCCCCGAAATTTACACCATCATTACCAATGTATGGGAATCCTAGTCTCAAGGTGTGCTACTTACCCACTGAGTGTTATCTTGTCAATTTGATGAGCAAAAACAAAACAAAACAAAACAAAACAAAACAAAACAAAACAAAATCACCATTGCTTTAATTTATACTCCCGAGTTCAGTTTTCTCCAAAGGATTATTTCCCCTTTATGAGTGGTCTCTTCATGACTCTGCCCATTTATCTATTGGTTGGCAACATATGACCTCAAATTATCTTTTTGTAAGGTGTACCAATATAGCAAAACAGGAGGTTCACAGAATCAGGAGACCTAGACCTTGCCATTAACTAGTTAGAACACTTGGGGCTAATCACTTTTAGATCAGCCCCAAATTTTGGTTGACATACATGGTCAATGGAAATTTTACACAGAGCCCAATGTCTGAAACAGATACAGGTGAAGGTGCTGGAGCTGAAGCAAGATACCCTCCCTTCTCCTCATTCACTCAACTCCTCCCATAGCTTCTGAGATACCACAGAGGAACCCTAGAGTTTCAAATAATAAAATCCTACTGAGCTTGTTGATTTCTAAGATCTATTTTAGCTTCTATGAAACCAACCTTTCCCAGGGTGTAAAAAGAAACCTTAGAAACTACGCTAAGATTGGATGAGTTTGGAAAGCCAGCATCCAAGAGACATAGTAAGAAATCTTCATATGGAAAGTGTTCCTGGTGGGTTTGGAGGTATTTTTTTTCTTTCTGAAAGTGCAGTTGGTGCCAACAAAGAAAGCAGTACTGAATAAGCTATGCGACAGAAAGATAGTATTCACAATGCTGAATGTTTCCAGCAGATGTATCAACCATTATTCAGAATTCACTAACTCCCATCACAGCTTGGTTCCTGGATGAGATGAATCCACATGAAATATTTCTTCCTTGATTCTTCCAGCTGAAACTGAGTGTCAAAGCACATTGATTATCACTACCTTTGGGGAAATACAGTAATTTATGGAGTGAAGCTAGCAATTATTATATCCTTTCTCAAAAGCCCCACATTTCAGAACATCTTTTCATAGGACTGTTTCTTATTCTTAAAGATATGTTCCTATCTCCAAGTGAACTAGAATGACTCTGGTCAGTTGCATAATGCAGGCTGGGTAGGTGGACTACGCATTTACACAAGGAGATCTTAGAGTTGCTGAGTAAGACAGCCCTGCCCCCAAAATTTCTGCCCCCACAATTTACTCTGCCACCGTGCCTAAGATACCTACTTACTCTTCTAGGTCACTTTTCTAAAAGATATCCTGCAAAGGAGGGTGGAAGAGGTTGGACAGGAGATCATATGACCTATGATCACTTATGAACGGCCTTTAGGTTGAGTAGAGATGTGACTCTTATGGCAATGAGATAGGAGAAGGAGGGGAAGGGAGGGACGATACTAGAAAAATCTGCAGCTAGGAGCATCCAATGTCTAGACTGCTGCTGAATACAAATAGTTACAGAGCTTTGGTGAGCTTTGCTTGTTTCATGGTTTTGCCTAGGGCTTGACCTACATATACCTTAGCTATTCCAAACACGCAAGTGCAAATATAACCCCTGACATAGCAACCACAGTTTATCATAAACACAGGAAAATAAAAACCCAAATTTTCTACAGAAATTCAGAATGACTACACTGTCTTAGAGCGTATAGAATTTTTCCTGATGTATATAGGTTGATCAGAAGTCTTTCACTGAAGACATTTTTCAGTTACCTACCCCACACCCATTATTCATTAAAAATATTTCACAAAAATCACTAAGAAAAGAAACAAACATCTTTGAGGGTATCTAGCATAAACATTAGTTATTTAAATATTAATAAATTAAAAAATTTGAAGAAGGGGTTTTATTATTTGGGTTTTATTTTACAGTTTCTACTAACTTATAAATAGATAGTAGTTTAAAGAAAATGTGAATTATTTAGGGCTGCAATTACCAGAGTTTTTGTTATATAACTTGGCAGACAGCCATTCTGCAATCACAAAAAGTCACACTTCAGCCTGAGTTTTGGATGGTGCAATAATTCACACCTTGGACATTGTTTCGCCTCGGTATCTTCCTGCTTCATTAAAGATGCTTACATTTGGATAGTCTGCAAATGTTCAGTAGGAAAGACTGAATCCAAATGTGTGAACCAAACATGAGAAACTTATTAGCAATTTGAAAGCACAGGGGCTATTAATAATGAACAAGCCAAAAAGTTACTCTTCTTTCCCTGTGTCGAGGTTTGCCCTGGAGACATGCATGCATTTTCTTTAAAATTACTGAGACAGCATCTAAAACAACTTGCAGTCAAATTACAAAACATGTGCGAGTAATCCCCAGCTTTCAAAGGTCTTCTAAGATTCCCTTATGTAGGTAGCTATACTCCCTATTTGTTTGGGATAGTCCTGGGGTATTATTAATAACATCCCTTTAACCCTCAAAAGGGCTCCGTTTAGATGATACATTATTTGGAAACACTATTTATTAAGCCTCTCTAGTTTTTAACCCAGGACACACTCTCCCATAGACAGAAGAAATATAAGCCTTTAAAGATCATCGTTTAAAAGTTAATTTCTAGGCCAGGCACGGTGGCTCACGCTTGTAATCCTAGCACTTTGGGAGGCTGAGGCAGGCAGATCAGCTGAGGTTAGGAGTTCGAGACCAGCCTGGCCAACGTGGTGAAACCCCGTCTCTACTAAAAATTCAAAAATTAGCCGGGTTTGGTGGCGCATGCCTGTAATCCCAGCTACCCAGGAGGCTGAGGCAGGAGAATCGCTGGAACCCGGGAGGCAGAGGCTACAGTGAGACAAGATCGTGCCACTGTACTCCAGCCTGGGTGAGAGAGCGAGACTCTGTCTCAAAAAAAAAAAAATTAATTTCTAGCCGCGTTAACAGCATTTTTATGAAAAAGTAGGCTGGAAATTCAAACTTGATATTTCTCCATGAGCCTGCATCACCTTCTTGGATCTCCTACACATTGTTTATGCCATTTGACGGATACCTGACTTAGAGACTCCGCCACCTCTAAGTTATCAATGGTTACCTATGTCAAGGCTGAGCTGGGGAGAGTCAGTGAGGGGCAGTGATAGAGGTCCTAGGATAGAGAACAGAATGAGGGTTTCAGGCGGTCCATGCACAAGGAGAGGAGATGGGGACTGGAGAGACTTGGGAACAAAGAGTATGGGACAGTTTCCCACCGGCATGATCTCCAAAGCTACTCCGGTCCTAGGTCAGCAATGATCCTACCCCATTCACATTCTTCCAACCCTGCTCACCAATTTAGTCGCAAGAGGAAGTATACCACAATAGGAAGAACAAAGCCTCTCTGCCTCTTCCTAGCTCAATGGGCAGGCTTGGGCTGTTTAGCTGCTCTGAGCCTCTGTTTCCTCATCAGCAAGGATGCCCCCACATAATTTTTTACGGCTATTTTGGGATTAAATGAAACACCCTTTGTGACATACTGCCCAGTATCACACATAGTTGGCACTCACCAAGTATGAGGCCTATCATCAGAAATATTTAGTTTCTGTAAACTTTCTCTTTCCAATTTTAATCTGAGGATTGTGTCCATCCTGCTCCATGAGAGAACAGCAGATCTTAAAAGGGGGTAGCATAAAATCCTTCTATCTTATATGCAAGCCAAACCCCCAATTCTTGTGCATTGATTTTATTTTACATATGTAAGAGTTATAAATTGGACAGTCACAAACTAGAGGTAAGTCCACCACCATCCCAAACTGAGGAGCGGCGGTGTAGCAGAGGGCAAAATACCAGTCAATAAAATCTCAAACTGGTTTTGCTCCGATCCACCCAAGCACAGGTGCTGGTCCCAAGTATAGGTCCCACCCAAGTACAGGTCCCTTTTGCTCCATGACTGCCACCATCTCCCTGGGCATCCTGAATGTGACTCTATTTTGGAGGTGGGGAACAAGGGGCTAACAAATGCCCTTGGATGTTGAAGCAAGGTGTCCACCTCAGACAGGTAAGATGAGCTGAGTCAAACTTCCAGGCACAGGCATGTCATTCGTACTCTAAGATGAGCAGATGCCTGGCAGCCAGCCAGCTCCTCAGAATGCTTTTGCCTGATGGTAATGAGAAGGGCTTCAGGCATAGCTCCTCTCTGCAAGCATCATTCAGAGATGCTCCTTTAAAGTTCCATAGGTATTGGCCAGGCCCCACCCATCTGCTGGACACTAGGGCTGACCATGGACAGCACTCGCCTCATGCAGACACTTTTTATTTCTGGTCTTCCGTCGTTCACAGGAACCATCCTCAGACCCATCCCAGCCACTTGGCTCCCTTTCCTACTCCTCCTGATCTCTCTGAACTCTGCTTCCCTGCTGGTAACAGCCAGGTAGTCCAGAATGACTGTGCTCCATGGCATCTAGTCTGCTACTGCCATGCTGGCTTACACAGAGGGGTGGGACCCAAAGGCACTATAGTGGACATCTGTCCTTCTTGCTTGACCATCATCATCACCTCCTTCCTATATTTAGAAATTTTCCCACCAAGCCCAGCCCTCTTTCCTTATAGAAGCTAAAAGTACTGTACAGTCTGCCATGCACATGCAAGTGACTTTGCTATTCCTCACACTGAGAGGTGGAATCTATCTATATATTCTTTGAAGCCGTACTTCACTGTGAGTCTTGCTTTGGCTAATGATGCAGAGGAAGGGACTTGAAAAACGCTTGAGCATTGGAGCTTATTGCTGCTGGGAGTCCTGTGATCACTAGGCAAAGAAGTCTAGGCTAGCATCCTTGAGACTGAGGGGTCACACAGAGACAGACCCCGTTCCAATTATCCAAGCTAAGGGCCCAGATAGGTGAAGCTATCCTATGCCATCCAGCCCCAACCGAGTTAGCCCAGACCATAAGAAGCACTCAGTCAACCCACAGAATTGTGAGAAATAATAAACACGTATTAGCCACTAAGTTTCAGGGTGGATGTTAAGCAACAGTAGACAACTGATAAAGCAAGTATAGCTTTATGAAGATGCAAATGCATCCATTCTTTAAGTACACCTATGTTGAGCTATTACATGCCAACGAGAAGACAAGCAAAGAATAAAATGGTTCCTATAAGGACCGTTTTTTCCTTTGGGGTTTGTTAACGTTATTGTTCATTTTGATCTGAGTTTTCAAATTGGTGCCATCTGGCTGAGTTCTGTAGACAAATAGTTTAACTGAGCAGTAGTGTGTAAAAAATTTTTTTGGAATGTGAATCCCTTCAGATGGGGCATGTATTCTTCAGTTCTGCCACAGTCCTCATCACTCTACAGTGGTGTCGTCCGTACTCCTTCAACACTCTTAAATTGCCTGCATGGCTTTGAGAAATACCTGATTTTCCCCAAATCTTAACCAGGTAGGGTAATAAATTATGGAACACTATGTATAGAAAACCTGAAACTTCTCCACACTGTCGGGGATATTTTATCATCAGTGACAGTATAGGGCAGAGGTTGAATTGAAAAATGGATTAAAAACTGAGAAAAGATGATGAGAAAGCATGGGGAGTTGTGGGTATCACCACAAACATCTTGGAGAATGTTCACAGGGAAAGAGATTCAATCGCACTCACTCTTCATCTTCCTCTTTTATATGGGCAAGATCTCCATGAGTCATGGTTCTCCCAATAAAGGAATAAAACACAAGATAATATATGAGATCATTGGCGACTATCTTGGAGACTTAGCTACCACTAATGTCTTGAAAACGCAATAGTAATGATGATCAGAATCACTCAAGGGTGATGACAACTGCTACCATTTACTGAACACCTACCATGAGTAAAAGCATCTGAGTGCTCTCTATGTATCACCCTGTCTGATTCTCCCAACAACTCCTAGTTTACTAATAAGGGAATTGAGAAGCAGAAATACATGGAACTTGCCAAAGGACATACAAAAGCTTGTAAATGACACCCCACCGCTCACACTCTAATCCCCTTTCTCAATCGCAGTGAAGGATGGTTATGGGTAGCTGACACAGATAGTGGTGAGGCCCACGTGCTGTCTGGAAGTCATTTCCTGTGATGCTATTTGGCCTGGAGAGGACTGAAAAGACAGCTATCTTTGGGTTGTTAAGGCACTGCCACAGTGAAAGAACAGTACATGACTTCCATGTTACTTCTGAGAAACAGGCTGAAGCCAGGTGGTAGATATCATAGGAACAAAAATTTAAATTCAACATAGAACTTTAAGGAGAAATTCACTGACTGTTGGGGTCACTTCAGCCATAAGAGTCCATGGTTTTAAGGATGCAACATTAACCATAAGCTCAAAGGTTCTGAAAGGAACCCACATTCCTATACCCAGATGTCTCCATGCCATTCATTACTCATATAATAGATATTCTGAGCAAAGACTCCATGCCTTTTTCATTAATTCATTTAGCCTCATTCCCATTAACTTAATCTAGCTTAAATTGCATAGTCCAGCACACTATACTGAAGGAAGCAGCGATCCTGAAAGCCTATGAATTTTTTTCTGAGCCCTAGTTCCTTGACTCCAAGCTGTGTGACCTTATAAAGTCCCTCTACCAGTCAAGACCTCTGTTTCTCCATCTGTAAACTAAGGACACTGATTAGATTTACTTTGAAGGTCTCTTTCAGCTTCAACTTAATATGTTAAGTACATCTTACAAAATTTAAAAAATAATACTTCCTAAATTACTTTCAACTAGACTAGCTTTACATGACAACTGATTAAAGAGTTCTTTCTATTTCTTACTGCCTGGTCATGATTCTGAATGTTTATTTGATTCTTTCACAGGTTAGTTGTTTACATGTCTGACTTTCAATTAGCCTTTCAGATCCTTAAGGGCAGAGAACTATAAATGATCCTTCTAATATACTGCTGCTGTCTAGCATAGTAGGCATTTTAATTAAACTAAGTAGCTAAATTAGCTGTACTTGCAATTTAAATTCATGTGACAAATTTCAATGCATTTTATTTTTATTTCCATAGGAAATCAATGAGGAACATGAAAAATGATCTTATGGTTATAAAAGAAACAAGCACTGAAAAAAAATTTTAACTTAGGCCATTTATACTGAAAACACCAATTAAAAGGAAATAATATTTACATATAATTAATCACACATTCCAAAATCAAGGGTATAAGCAATTACAGCCAACTCTTGATTATCCTTGGCAATGTGGAGGGCATGGCTTAAGCACAATTGTGGATAAACACTAAATCTAACCTAAATTCAATAGGGAGCCCTTGTGTCTTTGCATGAAGATATGTGACTGCACAAGGATGTTGTAAAGGAGAAAACTTGTTTAAAAGTTTATCTATAAAAGAAAATATCATGCAGCAACCAAATAAAGAATATAACAATATAATCTTACTTTTCCCAGCAGCTGTATTCGAATACCCCCACTTCAAAGGGAGACATTTGCTTTTGTTGGGCAAATACTTGGATAAGTCCCCTTGGTGAGCATCTGAGACTGAGGAGCGCCTAGTCCTCCGTCCCCTAATCCGGGACTGGGAGACACAGGTAGAACTGGTCTGCAATAAGCATGATCAATGTGTTTGCTTAAAAGAGAGAGAGGAGAAAAGAGCACCCAACCCAGGTTGGTACTTCATGTAGGTGAAGAGTTCCTACTGGGGGAACCCCTGGTTGGAGGGGAGATTTAGAGAGACTTAAACAGCAGATTTCTCTGTGTGGATGCTAACTCTCCCCTATACAACATCTGATAAAGTCTACAATATATTAAGTGCTTTTATGTAAGTAGATTATTGTGGGGTGGAGGAGGGAGTGAAAAGGAACTGAGGTTGTGCATCTGTCAACATTACGTAGCAAAAAAACAATGAATTATACACAAAAGTATTAAATATTGGGTTACATTACAGCCACAGTTGCTGACATAAAAAGACAGTCAATGTGTACTTTGTGAAAAACAACAAATTTATTGAGGTACATTTTACACACCATAAAATTCACCTTTGATTATTAGTAAACTTATCAAGTTGTATAACTATCACTGTAACCTAAGATTAGACCATTGCCATCATCCCAATAGGATCCATGATACCTATATATAGTTAATCCCTGTTCCCATCTCCAACCCTAGGCAACAACTTGTCAACTTTCCGTCCCTATCAATTTGACTTTTTTAACACTTTGTACCAACGCAAAATGCAAATCACAGTCTGTGGTCTTTTGTGCCTGGTTTCTTTCACTTAGCATAATTTTTCTTGAAGTTTGTCTATGATGTAAGATGTTTTAAAATTCATTATTTTTTATTGCTGAATAGTATTCCATTATATGGCTAAACTGTATTTTGTTTATCCATTCACCAGCTGATGGACATTTGGATTGCTTCTATTTTGGGCTATTATAAAGAATGCTGCCATGAACATTCACATGCATGTCTTTGTGTTGACGTACTAATATATACTTTTTTGTAGGGAGAAAAAAGTGGTAGAATATCAACAATTCTAAGAGCTTTATATTTTAACATCCTGAAAATTAGAGTGTGCCTTAAAGTTGATGGTTTATGTATTCATCAATGTCCCATAAGGAAGCAGATGGCACATTCAAATTACAATGCTTTAAGGAAGGTTTAATAAGGGGACTAAATATAAAGGTAATGGCCAGTTTGAAGAAGGGAATCAGTCAATCATGTGGATAGCAGTCTGCCACCTTGAGAAGAAAGTGCTCTTTCTAGCTAGGACCATGTTCAGCACAAGGCATCAGTTAGGGACAAAGCTATAGGAATGAATCGCCCTCCCTCACTCTTCTCCTTTCATTTGGCCTCTTGCAAGAGTTCCCCATTGGCCAGACCCAACTGGAAGCTGGAGGGCAAGGCAGCCCAGGGACATGTTCCACACAAACCAGCCTTTCAGGGAAGAGAGCGAGGTGGAAAATGGAAGGACAGTCAGAATACATATCTGGCGCAGTGTGTCAAAGTTAAATTGGCAGAGTTTTCTTCTTTTTTTTAAATTTTATTTTATTATTATTATACTTTAAGTTTTAGGGTACATGTGCACAATGCAGGTTAGTTACATATGTATACATGTGCCATGCTGGTGTGCTGCACACATTAACTCGTCATTTAGCATTAGGTATATCTCCTAATGCTATCCCTCCCCCACCCCCACCCCACAACAGTACCCAGAGTGTGATGTTCCCCTTCCTGTGTCCACGTGTTCTCATTGTTCAATTCTCACCTATGAGTGAGAACATGCAGTGTTTGGCCTTTTGTCCTTGCGATACTTTACTGAGAATGATGATTTCCAATTTCATCCATGTCCCTACAAAGGACATGAACTCATCCTTTTTTATGGCTGCATAGTATTCCATGGTGTATATGTGCCACATTTTCTTAATCCAGTCTATCATTGTTGGACATTTGGGTTGGTTGCAAGTCTTTGCTGTTGTGAATAGTGCCACAATAAACATATGTGTGCATGTGTCTTTATAGCAGCATGATTTATAATCCTTTGGGTATATACCCACTAATGGGATGGCTGGGTCAAATGGTATTCCTAGTTCTAGATCCCTGAGGAATCGCCACACTGACTTCCACAATGGTTGAACTAGTTTACAGTCCCACCAACAGTGTAAAAGTGTTCCTATTTCTCCACATCCTCTCCAGCACCTGTTGTTTCCTGACTTTTTAATGATTGCCATTCTAACTGGTGTGAGATGGTATCTCATTGTGGTTTTGATTTGCATTTCTCTGATGGCCAGTGATGATGAGCTTTTTTTCATGTGTCTTTTGGCTGCATAAATGTCTTCTTTTGAGAAGTGTCTGTTCATATCCATTGCCCACTTTTTGATGGGGTTGTTTTTTTCTTGTAAATTTGTTTGAGTTCATTGTAGATTCTGGATATTAGCCCTATGTCAGATGAGTAGGTTGGGAAAATTTTCTCCCATTCTGTAGGTTGCCTGTTCACTCTGACGGTAGTTTCTTTTGCTGTGCAGAAGCTCTTTAGTTTAATTAGATCCCATTTGTCAATTCTGGCTTTTGTTGCCATTGCTTTCAGTGTTTTAGACATGAAGTCCTTGCCCATGCCTATGTCCTGAATGGTAATGCCTAGGTTTTCTTCCAGGGTTTTTATGCTTTTAGGTCTAACGTTTAAGTCTTTAATCCATCTTGAATTAATTTTTGTGTAAGGTGTAAGGAAGGGATCCAGTTTCAGCTTTCTACATATGGCTGGCCAGTTTTCCCAAAACCATTTATTAAATAGGGAATCCTTTCCCCATTGCTTGTTTTTCTCAGGTTTGTCAAAGATCAGATACTTGTAGATATGCTGCGTTATTTCTGAGGGCTCTGTTCTGTTCCATTGTTCTATCTCTCTGTTTTGGTACCAGTACCATGCTGTTTTGGTTACTGTAGCCTTGTAGTATAGTTTGAAGTCAGGTAGCATGATGCCTCCAGCTTTGTTCTTTTGGCTTAGGATTGACTTGGCGATGTGGGCTCTTTTTTGGTTCCATATGAACTTTAAAGTAGTTTTTTCCAATTCTGTGAAGAAAGTCATTGGTAGCTTGATGGGGATGGCATTGAATCTATAAATGACCTTGGACTGTATGGCCATTTTCCCGATATTGATTCTTCCTACCCATGAGCATGGAATGTTCTTCCATTTGTTTGTATCCTCTTTTATTTCACTGAGCAGTGGTTTGTAGTTCTCCTTGAAGAGGTCTTTCACATCCCTTGTAAGTTGGATTCCTAGGTATTTTATTCTCTTTGAAGCAACTGTGAATGGGAGTTCACTCATGATTTGGCTCTCTGTTTGTCTGTTATTGGTGTATAAGAATGCTTGTGATTTTTGCACATTGATTTTGTATCCTGAGACTTTGCTGAAGTTGCTTATCAGCTTAAGGACATTTTGGGCGGAGACCATGGGGTTTTCTAGATATACAATCATGTCATCTGCAAACAGGGACAATCTGACTTCCTCTTTTCCTAACTGAATACCCTTTATTTCCTTCTCCTTCCTAAATGCCCTGGCCAGAACTTCCAACACTATGTTGAATAGGAGTGGTGAGAGAGGGCATCCCTGTCTTGTGCCAGTTTTCAAAGGGAATGCTTCCAGGTTTTGCCCATTCAGTATGATATTGGCTGTGGGTTTGTCATAGATAGCTCTTATTATTTTGAGATACATCCCATCAATACCTAATTTATTGAGACGTTTTAGCATGAAGGGTTGTTGAATTTTGTCAAAGGCCTTTTCTGCATCTATTGAGATAATCATGTGGTTTTTGTCTTTGGTTCGTTTATATGCTGGATTACATTTATTGATTTGTGTATATTGAACCAGCCTTGCATCCCAGGGATGAAGCCCACTTGATCATGGTGGATAAGCTTTTTGATGTGCTGCTGGATTTGGTTTGCCAGTATTTTATTGAGGATTTTTGCATCAATGTTCATCAAGGATATTGGTCTAAAATTCTCTTTTTTGGTTGTGTCTCTGCCCGGCTTTGGTATCAGGATGATGCTGGCCTCATAAAATGAGTCAGGGAGGATTCCCTCTTTTTCTATTGATTGGAATAGTTTCAGAAGTAATGGTACCACTTCCTCCTTGTACCTCTGGTAGAATTCAGCTGTGAATCCATCTGGTCCTGGACTCTTTTTGGTTGGTAAGCTACTGATTATTGCCTCAATTTCAGAGCCTGTTATTGGTCTATTCAGAGATTCAACTTCTTCCTGGTTTAGTCATGGGAGGGTGTATGTGTCGAGGAATGTATCCATTTCTTCTAGATTTTCTAGTTTATTTGCGTAGAGGTGTTTGTAGTATTCTCTGATGGTAGTCTGTATTTCTGTGGGATCGGTGGTGATATCTCCTTTATTATTTTTTATTGCATCTATTTCACTCTTCTCTCTTTTTTTCTTTATTAGTCTTGCTAGCGGTCTATCAATTTTGTTGATCCTTTCAACAAACCAGCTCCTGGATTCATTAATTTTCTGAAGGGTTTTTTGTATCTCTATTTCCTTCAGTTCTGCTCTGATTTTAGTTATTTCTTGCCTTCTGCTAGCTTTTGGATGTGTTTGCTCTTGCTTTTCTAGTTCTTTTAATTGTGATGTTAGGGTGTCAATTTTAGATCTTTCCTGCTTTCTCTTGTGGGCATTTAGTGCTATAAACTTCCCTCTACACACTGCTTTGAATGTGTCCCAGAGATTCTGGTATGTTGTGTCTTTGTTCTCGTTGGTTTCAAAGAACATCTTTATTTCTGCCTTCATTTCATTATGCACCCAGTAGTCATTCAGGAGCAGGTTTGTTCAGTTTCCATGTAGCTGAGCGGTTTTGAGTGAGTTTCTTAATCCTGAGTTCTAGTTTGATTGCACTGTGGTCTGAGAGTTTGTTATAATTTCTGTTCTTTTATATGTGCTGAGGAGAGCTTTACTTCCAACTATGTGGTCAATTTTGGAATACGTGTGGTGTGGTGCTGAAAAAAATGTATATTCTGTTGATTTGTGGTGCAGAGTTCTGTAGATGTCTATTAGGTCTGCTTGGTGCAGAGCTGAGTTCAATTCCTGGGTATCGTTGTTAACTTTCTGTCTCGTTGATCTGTCTAATGTTGACAGTGGGGTGTTAAAGTCTCCCATTATTATTGTGTGGGAGTCTAAGTCTCTTTGTAGGTCACTCAGGACTTGCTTTATAAATCTGGATGCTCCTGTACTGGGTGCATATATATTTAGGATAGTTAGCTCTTCTTGTTGAATTGATCCCTTTACCATTATGTAATGGCCTTCTTTGTCTCTTTTGATCTTTGCTGGTTTAAAGTCTGTTTTATCAGAGACTAGGATTGCAACCCCTGCCTTTTTTTTTGTTTTCCATTTGCTTGGTAGATCTTCCTTCATCCTTTTATTATGAGCCTATGTGTGTCTGCACGTGTGCTGCTGATACCCAGGCAAACAGCGTCTGGAGTGGACCTCTAGCAAACTCCAAGAGACCTGCAGCTGAGGGTCCTGTCTGTTAGAAGGAAAACCAACAAACAGAAAGGACATCCACACCAAAAACCCATTGGTACATCACCATCATCAAAGACCAAAAGTAGATAAAACCACAAAGATGGGGAAAAAACAGAACAGAAAAACTGGAAACTCTAAAAAGCAGAGCGCCTCTCCTCCTCCAAAGGAACGCAGCTCCTCACCAGCAACGGAACAAAGCTGGACGGAGAATGACTTTGACGAGTTGAGAGTGAAGGCTTCAGACAATCAAACTACTCCGAGCTACAGGAGGAAATTCAAACCAAAGGCAAAGAAGTTAAAAACTTTGAAAAAATTTTAGACGAATGTATAACTAGAATAACCAATATAGAGAAGTGCTTAAAGGAGCTGATGGAGCTGAAAGTCAAGGCTCGAGAACTACGTGAAGAATGCAGAAGCCTCAGGAGCCGATGCGATCAACTGGAAGAAAGGGTATCAGTGATGGAAGATGAAATGAATGAAATGAAGCGAGAAGGGAAGTTTAGAGAAAAAAGAATAAAAACAAACGAACAAAACCTCCAAGAAATATGGGACTATGTGAAAAGACCAAGTCTACGTCTGATTGGTGTACCTGAAAGTGACGGGGAGAATGGAACCAAGTTGGAAAACACTCTGCAGGATATTATCCAGGAGAACTTCCCCAATCTAGCAAGGCAGGCCAACATTCAGATTCAGGAAGTACAGAGAATGCCACAAAGATACTCCTCGAGAAGAGCAACTCCAAGACACATAATTGTCAGATTTACCAAAGTTGAAATGAATGAAAAAAATGTTAAGGGCAGCCAGAGAGAAAGGTTGGGTTACCCACAAAGGAAAGCCCATCTGACTAACAGCTGATCTCTTGGCAGAAAGTCTACAAGCCAGAAGACAGTGGGGGCCAATATGCAACATTCTTAAAGAAAAGAATTTTCAACCCAGAATTTCACATCCAGCCAAACTAAGCTTCATAAGTGAAGGAGAAATAAAATACTTTACAGACAAGCAAATGCTGAGAGATTTTGTCACCGCCAGGCCTGCCCTAAAAGAGCTCCTGAAGGAAGCGCTAAACATGGAAAGGAACAACTGGTACCAGCCACTGCAAAATCATGCCAAAATGTAAATACCATCGAGACTAGGAAGAAACTGCATCAACTAACGAGCAAAATAACCAGCTAACATCATAATGACAGGATCAAATTCACACATAACAATATTAACTTTAAATGTAAATGGACTAAATGCTCCAATTAAAAGACACAGACTGGCAAATTGTATGAAGAGTCAAGACCCATCAGTGTGCTGTATTTAGGAGTTTTCTTCTTTCTTAGTGATACACAAAATAACGGTGTATTTTCAACTGAGCATTTTAGAGTTGATGAAATAAGATTCCAGTTTCATAAAAATCGTTATCATAATAATGTCCACATATGCATGAAATAAAATCTGGACATAAATACCTCATCTGCAAGAGGGGAATTTAAGATGGAATTTACTTGTCTACATTAAACATTTCTGTAATTTGAGGAGTTTTTACAATGAGCATATCCTATTACCAAGAAAGACCTAGATCTCTGTGGTTTCTGAATACCATGTCTTATTCTTCCTCTTCAAACTTCCTTTCATTCTTATTAACTTCATTTTGTTTTTCCAACCCTTTTCCCTAAATGATACAGAGCCTGGCCTTCTGCCTTACAGTTAGAAAGCATTTTAATAAATATGTGTTAAATAAAGGGAATATTTAACAAACAAGTCAATTAGTAAATGAAAATGAATTGAGGAACGTGGTTTAATCATTGGCTCTACTGGTACCTACCTGTTCCTGTACCAAGGTCCAAGGAAATTGAAGACCATATGAAAAATACTGATGAATCAGAAAGGAAAATGAAGAGAGAAAGAAAAATTAATATTAAATATTAATTAATATTTCTAAAGCAAGAGAAACAAATTAGATAAACCAAAATTTTGTTAAAGGAGGTTGGAAGTGAATGGTGAAGATTTTTTTTGGAGGAGGTCTCTAAAATGTGTCTATATATCTTTACATTTGATTCTCAAAAAAGGGCCATAATCTTTCCAATGATCTCAAAAGGAGTTCTTGTGATAAACATTGAGCATGGCAAAGAAAACGATAATTTCTGAAGTAGAACAAAAATAGTAAAGAATTGATGCTCTTAAAAACACTCAGTTTCCCATAAAATTTTCACAATCTCTTTATCTCCCTGCTTTACCCACACTAAGCCTTTACCAGCATTCAGTTTTGTTTCATTTATAACATTACACAGTGCCAGAAAATGTCTTTTAGAGTTTCTTGAGATGAAATGTGGGCTTAAAATATTTTAATAAAATGAAAAGGTGACACCTCAGTTATTTTCTAATTTTATTTCAGTGACATGATGCCTCAAATAATATTTTTGTGGACTAAGCTGAATAGTTAAGCATAGTTTAGTTTATAACATCTTTATATGGGAAAACATGTTCCAAGTTCTGAACAACCAATTTCCAAACAAACTTTTGGAACTCAACACATTCCTATGTTAAGAACTGCCTGTACTGGTTTCAACCTGTGAACTCACCAACAGCTTGGTCAGGGTTATTAGCAAAATATCAAAATTGGCTCATTTAACTATTCCATTCCACTTATTCATTTGTCCATTCATTCATGCATGCATGCATGTATACATGCATTCAGCAAATATTTATGAAGAGCCTACTTTAGCAGGGCCCTGGGCAGGAAGTGAAATGATAAGAACACAGAATAGAACGAGACATGGTTGTTCCGTGTCTCACTAGGGAAACCTCTTAGTGAAGCAAATAAACCAACAATTCTAATACAATATTTAAAAAAAAAAAAAGAAGAAGAAGAAAGGAAGAGAGATAAAGAAAGAGAAAAATAAAGGTAAATGGGAGACACTCCAGGAAGGGAGGTCAAGGCCTCAAAAAGAAGTATCTCAGTGTGGACAGGATACTGCAAGGAGGTCAGCATTCTGAAGAGTGCAGTGCAAGCTATGAACTGGCAAGCTATGATGCTGGACCTGTGATCATGAGGGAATCAATAAGCCATTTTAAGTAAGGTAAGCCTTATTCTTGTAGTCCCTGTTGGCAAACCTTTGATGGGTTTAAGCATTCGAATGAAATGTTCAGACTTATATTTTACTTAGCTAATTCTGGTAACCAGGTAGAACTTGGTCAGCAAAACTATAGCCTGCGAGACTTTTGTATGGCCCTATGGGCTAAGAATGTTCTTTACATTTTAAAACGGCTTTGAAAAATCAAAAGAAAAATCAAATTTTGTGGCACATGAAAATTACATGAAATTCAAATCTTGGTGCCAATAAATAAAGTTGTACTGAAACACAGACAATATTTGTCCATTTACATAGTGTCAATGGCTGCTATCAGAAAGGCAGAGTTGGGTAGTTACAACAGAAACCATATGGCCTAAGAAGTCTATAATTTTGCTATCTGGCCTGTTACAGAAAAGGTTTGCAGACTCCTGTTATAGAAGATGGATAAAAGAAGGAAGATCAGTAAGATGGCTTCTGTAACTCAATAGACAGCTGAGAAAATGACACACGGCTTAACTAGGTTAGTGGTAACAGGAATGCAAAGGGCAGGGCAGTTTCAATAACATAGGGTACAAAATCTGCAAGCTGTGGGAACAGAGGTGATGTCAGAGATAATTTCAAGTTGCTGTTTTGAATAACTAGGGAAGATGGTGGTGTCCCCACCTGAGCTGGAGGGAGGCTGGGAGGAATGAGGTGCTCTTGAGGATCTGTCTGTGCAGATGTCTTAGAGGCAAATGAAAATACGTTGACTAAAACTGCAGGCTGCACCGAACCTCCATTCATTTTACCTCTGCACATTATACACTAAAATCAATAAGTCACTTTTCATGTGCCAAATATGGACTTTGTTTCCCTGGCTGACGAATGAACATTTTGACCAATCATGTGGTAAGCGTGCTTAACAACCAGATGTTGTGGTTCTGGCAGTAACGGCAACATCTTTACCTAACAATGTTTATGTAATTTTGTGGCTGCTGATGTTTATTACATTTTGGCCTTGCCGCTTTATTTTTATTTATTTATTTATTTATTTTCTTTGTAGAGATGGAGTCTTGCTCTGTCGCCCAGGCTGGAGTGCAGTGGTGCGATCTCGGCTCTCTGCAACCTCCACCTCCTGGGTTCAAGCAACTCTCCTGCCTCAGCCTCCTGAGTAGCTGGGATTACAGGCCCACGCTGCCACGCCCAGCTAATTTCTTTTGTATTTTAGTAGAGACGGGGTTTCACCATGTTGCCCAGGCTGGTCTCAAACTCCTGAGCTCAGGCAATCTGCCCACTTTGGCCTCCCAAAGTGCTAGGATTACAGGCGTGAGCCACAGCACCTGGCCTGCCACTTTATTTTTTTAAAAGGCAGAGGTAAAAAATAAAAAAATTAGAATGTTGAAACTAGTAACAAATATAAACTTCATAAATGTCATAAATTATTTAAAAATTTTTCCAAGATGGTAGATTCTCTCATCCAGATGCCTGGAAATCTGCCTATGTGAGAGGATTTCAGCATGCCTCAGCCACTTGGAAACAGCAAAAGAGTGCATAAAGATGAACTCTGTGAGCTTTAATTCAAGAAAGCAAATGGAAGCCCAGCAGAATCATTATAGACACCCCAAATCCAAGGGAGGAGAATAGAGACAAACAGCCCCCTGTGGCAGCATCTCGCTGATAAAAGTGAGTGAAGCCCCAGTACCTGAGAGAGGGAGGGAGTCTACCTCTGTGACTCACCTTTCCACTGAAGCTCCGGGCAACCCTGGCCAAGGGAGAGTACTTTGTTTTTCCCAAGCCCTGGAGCTAACTTAGGGAGACGCTTGAAGATGCTGTGAGGGAAAAACACTGCGAAAAGCTGCATATGTTTTCCCAGACCCAGGACCAAGAGCAGGAGGCCATTTTTAATCCAACTGCGTACAAAGTCAGTCATTCTGTGACAACCTGGCAGTGTAGCCACAAAGGCATTTTAGTCTCAGCCCAGAGATTGCAGTGCCTTCTCTAGAGCAGGGTAGGGGCCTCCACAGCCAGAACTGTGAAAAGTGCCTCAGCAGTAGGGCTAGAACTGTGCTCTCCCCAACTGCAAGCCAGGGGCAGGAGAAGAGCTCCTCCAACTGAGAGGTGACAACATGCTGGCGGCCTTTGCTTGCTCTCAGCGCCTCCTCGGCCTCGGCGTCTGCTCTGGCCACGCTTGAGGAGCCCTTCAGCCCACCACTGCACTGTGGGAGCCCCTGTCTGGGCTGGTTGAGGCCAGAGCTGCTCCCTTGGCTTGCAGGGAGGTGTGGAGGGAGAGGCGCGGGTGGGAACTGGGGCTGTGCACGGTGCTCGCAGGCCAGCGCGAGTTCTGGGTGGGCGTGGGCTTGGCCGGCCCCACACTCGGAGAGGCCAGCCGGTGCCACCGGCCCCAGACAGTGAGGGGCTTAGCACCCGGGCCAGCAGCTGCAGAGGGGATGCCGGGTCCCCCAGCACTGCCGGCCCGCCAGCACCGCGCTCGAATTCTCGCCGGGCCTCAGCCACCTCCCCATGGGGCAGGGCTCGGGACCTGCAGCCCGCCATGCCCGAGCTCCCCTCCACGGGCTCCCACGCGGCCTGAGCCTCCCAGATGGGCACGCCCCCTGTTCCACAGCGCCTGGTCCCATCGACCGCCCAAGGGCTATGGCATGGCACTGGCGGGCAGCTCCGCCCATGGCCACAGCGCGGGATCCACTAGGCGAAGCCAGCTGGGCTCCTGAGTCGGGTGGGGTCTTGGAGAACTTTTATGTCTAGCTGGAGGATTGTGGATGCACCAACAGGCACTCTGTGTCTAACTCAAGGTCTGTAAACACACCAGTGTTCTGTGTCTAGCTAATCTAGTGAGGACGTGGAGAACTTTTATGTCTAGCTAGAGGATTGTAAATGCACCAATCAGCACTTTGTATCTAGCTCAAGGTTTGTAAATGCACCAATCAGCACCCTGTGTCTAGGTCAAGGTTTGTAAATGCACCTATCAGTGCTCTGTGTCTAGCTAATCTAGTGGGGACTTGGAGAACTTTTATGTCTAGCTAAAGGATTGTGAATGGACCAATCAGCACTCTGTCTAGCTCAAGGTTTGTAAATGCACTAATCAGTGCTCTGTGTCTAGCTAATCTAGTGGGGACTTGGAGAACTTTTATGTCTAGGAGAACTTTCATGTCTAGCCAGAGGATTGTATATGCACCAATCAGCACTCTGTATCTAGCTCAAGGTTTGTAAACACACCAATCAGCACCCTGTCAAAACAGTCCAATCAGCTCTCTGTAAAATGGACCAATCAGCTCTCTGTAAAATGGACCAATCAGCAGGATGTGGGTGGGGTCAGATAAGGGAATAAAAGCAGGCTGCCCCAGCCAGCAGTGGCAACCGGCTCAGGTCCCTTTCCGCACTGTGGAAGCTTTGTTCTTTCGCTCTTTGCGATAAATCTTGCTGCTCCTCACTATTTGGGTCCGCACTGCCTTTATGAGCTGTAACCCTCACCATAAAGTTCTGCAGCTTCACTCCTGAGGCCAGCAAGACCACGAACCCACTGAGAGGAATGAACAACTCCAGACGCGCTGCCTTAAGAGCTGTAACACTCACCGCAAAGGTATGCAGCTTCACTCCTGAAGCCAGTGAGACCACAAACCAACCAAAAGGAAGAAACTCCGAACATGTCTGAACATCAGAAGGAGCAAACTCCAGACACGCCATTTTTAAGAACTGTAACACTCACCGTGAGGGTCCGCAGCTTCATTCTTTAAGTCAGTGAGACCAAGAACCCCCCAATTTCGGACACACAACTACAGTTTCTACCACACAATGAGATGTGCAACCAAGTCCAGCTTGGCAACCTGGAACCAATCTGCATGTGTCCTTGCTGAGTGCCCCAGCCTGTTCCCCTGAGATCATGGTGCAGTAGGGCCCTCTCCGCTCCACCCCTAGGCAGAACTCCAGGCACTTGGAGCATCTGCTTGCCTGGACCAGCAGCCTAAGCCACCCCACCTTTCACGGACATAGATCGTGGTGCAGTGGGGCTCTGCTCCATGCCCAGGCAGATCTCCAAGTATTCAGAGCCCCTCCTAGCCTATATCAGCAGCCTGAACATCTTACCCTTCCTGTGCATAGATTGTGGTGCAGTGGGGCTCTCTGTGCTCCACACACAGGCAGTAGGCAGATCTCCAGGCCTTTGGAGCACTCCCTCACATGGACTAGGAGCCTGAGTTGCCCCACCTTCCCTATGCAGAGATGCTGTGCAAGGGGGCCCTCTCCACTCCATGACTAAGCACATCTCCAGACATTTGGAGCACCCACTTGCCTGGATCAGTAGCCTAAACTGCCCTACCCTCCTTGTGTAGAGATCATGGTACAGGGAGGCATTCTCTGCTCCATACACAGGTAGATCTTTGAGCATCCACAGCATTCACTCTCCTGGATTAGGAGTTTAGGCTGCCCCCCTGCCCCCACCCCCAACTCCATCACCTTGCAGAGAACTTAAGGCCAAGGAGGTTTCCCAGCTCCATGCCTAGGCACATATCTGGGCATTTGGTGTCCGCCCACTGGATTCTCCCTTGGTGCTGGTGCTCGTGCCTGCTGCTGGGGAAGTGTAGGCAAACCTGCCCAGTCCTGCCCTGCCCATCTTGCCACCCACTTCACCGGGGCTGAGGAGGGAGCTCAGACCACTATGTACTCCATGAATTAGCCTGTTGTCTAAGTCAGTAGAGAGTTTCTGCCAGTGAGCAAGGACACCCAGCCACAAAGGCCACCGCCAGCTCTTACTCATCTGCGCCATCTACTGGCTTGTAGGTCAAACTGCACAGCCCAATATAAAACCTGCCAACCAAAGTGCACAGGGCTGTAGAAGTAAAGCCAAAAGACCATACCCAGCATTCTCTACAATCACGCCCCCTAGGAAGGGAGGGGAAAGGGAAAGGGAGAGGGAAAGAGAAAGAGACAAAAAGAAAGAACAAAAATATATATGGAAAGAAAGAAAAATAAAAATTCCTGCCTGCATGAAATTAATTACAAAAATTAGAAGTGCCAGCACTTCCAGATGAGAAGGAACCAGTGCAGGAATTCTAGCACCAAGAAATATCTGAATGTAGTAACGCCACCAAAGAATAACACTAACTCTCCAGCAATGGCCCCTAACCAAAATGGAAATTCAGTTATGGCAGATAAAGAATTCAAAGCATGGATTGCAAGCAAGCTCAATGAGATCCAAGACAAGGTTGAAAAAGCAACACAAAGAAACTTTGTAAGGCAATCCAGGAAATGAAAGAAAAGATAAACATCTTAAAAAGAAATTAATCATTAATCTAATTCTAAAAATTGTATTTTCAAATTCCTTACATGAGTTTCTAATTCTAACTCTAGAAGTAGAAAACTCACTTAAGGAATTACAAAATACAATTGAAAATTTCATCAATAGACTGAACCAAGCAAAAGAAGGAATTTCAGAGCTTAAAAACCAGTCTTTCAAACTAACCCCATCACACAAAACTAAAGAAAAAAAGAATTTTAAAAATGAACAGTCTTTGAGAAATATGGGATTATGTAAATAAACTGACAGATCTTACAAATTACTGGCATTCCTGAGAGAAGTGGAGAAAAAGAAAATACCTTGGAAAACATATTTGAGAAAATAATTCAAGAAAATTTCCCCAATCTTGCTAGAGAGGCAGACACCTAGATACAAGAAATCCAGAGAACACCTATGAGATGCTACACAAAATGAACATCACCAAGACATATAGTCACCAGACTGTCCAAGGTCAATGCTACAGAAAAAATCTTGAAGACAGCTAGAGAAAAAGGTCAGGTCACATACAATGGGAGCCCCATCAGTTTAACAGCAAACTTCTCAGCAGAAACCTTATAAGCCAGGAGAGATTAGATGTCAATTTTCAGCATTCTTAAAGAAAAGAAATTCCAGCCAAGAATTTCATATCCCACCAAACTAAGCTTCATAAGCAAAGGAGAAATAAAATCTTTTCCAAACAAGCAAGCCCTAAGGGAATTCACCACCACTGGACCAATCTTACAAGATAACCATAAGAGAGTTCCAAACATGGAAAGGAAAGAACTATACCTGTTACCACAAAAACACACTTAAGCAGATAGCCCACAAATCCTATAAAGCAATCACCCAATAGAAACTACAAAGCAACCAGCCAACAACTTCATAGAAGGGTCAAAGTCTCACATCTCAGTATTAACCCTGAATGAAATGGCCTAAAACCCCCCACTTAAAAGGCACAGAGTGGCAAGTTGGATGAAAAACGAGACCAATCTATCTCCTGTCTTCAAGAGACCCACCTCACATGTAATGACAACCATAGGCTCAAAGTAAAGGTTTAGAGAAGATCTGTCACACAAATGCAACACAAAAAAGAGTATAGGTAACTATCCTTATATCATATAAAACAGACTTTTATAACATATCATATATAAGTTATATATAAGTTTATATATATAAGTTATATATAAGTTTATATGATATAACTTATATCATATAAAACAGACTTTTCCAACAAGAGCAAAACAGGACCAAAAAAGGTAATACATAAAAAAAAAAGTGGGGCTCAATTCAACAAGAAGACTTAACTATCCTAAATACATATGCACCTAACATTGGAGCACTCATACTCATAAAACAAGTACTTCTAGACCTACAAAAAAGACTTAGAGAGCATTATAATAATAGTGGGGGACTTCAACACACCCACTGACAGCATTAGACAGATCATTGAGGCAAAAAACAAACAAACAAAATCTGTAGTTAAATTCAACACTTGACCAATTGGACCTAATAGATATGTACAGAATACTTCACCTTCAACGAAAGAATATATATTCTCTGCATCTACACAAGGAACATACTCCAAAGCCAACCACATGCTCAGCTATAAAGCAAGTCACAATAAATTCAAAAAAATCGAAATCATACCAATCGTACTCTTGGACCACAGTGGAATAAAAACAGAAATCAATACCAAGAAGACCTCTCAAAACCACACAATTACATGGAAATTAACTTACTTCAGAATGACCTTGGAGTAAACAATAAAATTAAGGCAGAAATTTTTTACAAACTTCAATATAAATGAAAACAGAGATACAGCATACCAAAATCTCTGGGATGCAGACAAAGCAGCGCTAACAGGAGTTTTTAGTGCTAAACACCTACCTTGCAAAATTATAAAGATCTCAAATTAATGAACTAACCTCAAACCTAGAGGAACTAGAGAAACAAGAACAAACTAACTCCAGAGCTAGCAGAAGAAAATAAATAACTAAAATCAGAGCAGAACTGAAAAAAAAAATTGAGACCCAGAAATCCATAAAGAATCAGCAAAATCAAAAGTTGTTTTTTGAGAGAATAAATCAGATTGGTAGACTACTAGCTAGATTATTCAAAGAAAAAAAACAGAGAAGATCCAAATAAGCACAATCAGAAATGATAAACGCAACATTACAACCAATCCCAAAGAAACACAAAGGATCTTCAGAGACTATTATGAACACCTCTATGCACACGAACTAGAAAGTCTGAAGGAAATAGATAAATTCCTGGAAACACACAATCTGCCAAAATTGAAACAGGAAGAAATTAAAACCCTGAACAGACCAATATCGAGTTCCAAAATTGAATCAGAAAAAAACAAACAAAAACAAACAGAAAAAATCCTACCAACCAAAAAAAGCCCAAGGCCAGATGGACTCACAGGACTCACGGCCAAATTCTACCAGACATACAAAGAAGAGCTGATAATAATCCTACCGAAATTATCCAAAAACATCAAAGTGGAACGACTCCTGCCTAACTCGTTCTATGATGCAAGGATCACCTTGAGACCAAAACCTGGAAAAAACACACTGAAAAAAGAAAACTACAGGCCAATATCCCTGATGAACACAGATGCAAAAATCCTCAACAAAATCTAGCAAACCAAATTCAGCATCACATCAAAAATTAGTTCACCATAATCAATTAGGCTTCATTCCTGGGATGCAAGATTGGTTCATCATATGCAAATCCATAGATGTGATTCACCACATAAACAGAATTAAAAACAAAACCACTCGATCATCTCAATAGATGCAGAAAAAGCTTTTTATAAAATCAAACATGCCTTCATGATAAAAAACCTCAAGAAACTAGGCATCAAAGGAACATACCTCAAAATAATCAGATCATCTATTACAAACTCACAGCCAATATCATACTAAACAGACAAAACCTAAAAGCATTCCCTTGAAAACTGGAACAAGACAAGGATGACCACTTTCACCAGTCTTAATCCAACATAGTACTGGAAGTCCTTACCAAACCAATCAGACAAGAGAAAGAAAAAAAGGCATCCAAATAGAAAAAGAAGAAGTCAAACTGTCCCGTCTTTGTGGAAAATCTGATTCTATACCTAGAAAACTCTAAAGACTCCACCAAAGGCTCCTAGAACTGATAAACGACTTCAGTGAAGTTTCAGGATACAAAAATCACTGTACAAAAGTCCGTAGTGTTTTTATACACTAATAACATTCAAGCTGAGAGCCTAATTAAGAACAAAATCCGAGTCACAATAGCCACACAAAGAATACAATACCCAGGAATAGAGCTAACCAGGGAGCTAAAAAATATCTACAACAAGAACTACAAAAAACACTGCTGAAAAAAAATCAGAGGTGACACAAACAAATGAAAAAACATTCTATGCTCATGGATTGGAAGACTCAATACCATTACAACGACCATACTGGCCAAAGCAATCTACAGATTCAGTGCTATTCCTATTAAGCTAATAACTTCATTTTTCACAGAACTAGAAAAAGCTATTCTAAAATTCACATGAAGCCAGGCATGGTAGCTCATGCCTGTAATTCCAGGAGTTTGAGAGGCCGAGGCAGGAAGTTCACCTGAAGTCAGGCGTTCGAGACCAGCCTGGCCAGTGTATAGTGAAACCCCATCTCTACTAAAAATACAAAAAATTAGCCAGGTGTGGTGGCACGCACCTGTAATCCCAGCTATAGGGAAGTTGAGGCAGGAAAACTGCTTGAACCCGGGAGACGGAGGTTGCAGTGAGCCAAGGTCACGCCACTACAGTATAGCCTGGGTGACAGAGCAAGACTCTTTTTTTTCTCCCCCTTTTTCTTTTTTTTTTTTTTTTGAGACGGAGTCTTGCTCTGTTGCCCAAGCTGGAAGACAGTGGCACAATCTCGGCTCACTGCAAGCTCTGCCTCCTGGGTTCATGCCATTCTCCTGCCTCAGCCTCCCGAGTAGCTGGGACTACAGGCGCCCGCCACCATGCCTGGCTAATTTTTTTGTATTTTTAGTAGAGACAGGGTTTCACCATGTTCACCAGGATGGTCTGGAACTCCTGACCTTGTGATCCACCCACCTCAGCCTCCCAAGGACTCAGTCTCAAAAAATAAAATAAAATAAAATAAAATAAAAATAAAAATAAATAAATAAAATTCACGTGAAACCAAAAAAGAGCCCAAACAGCCAAAGCAATGCTAAGCAAAAAGAACAAAGATGGAGGCATCACATTGCCCAACTTCAAACCTTACTATAAGGCTACGGTAAACAAAATCGCATGGTGAAAGTACAAAAACAGACACACAGACCAATGGAATAGAATAGAGAACCCAGAAGTAAAATCTCAAACCTGTAACCATCAGATCTTTGACAAAGTCAACAAAAGTAAGCAATGGGGAAAGGAATCCCTATTAAATAAATGATACTGAGATAGCTGGCTAGCCAAATGAAGAAGAATGAAGTGGGACTCTTTCTGTTCACCATATACAAAAATTAAGTCAAGATGGATTAAAGATTTAAATGTAAGACCTCAAACTGTAAGAATCCTAGAAGAAAAGCTAGGAAACACCATTCTGGACATTGCCATGGGAAAGAATTTATGACTAAGTCCTAAAGTCAAAGGCAATTGCAACAAAAACAAAAGTTGACAAGTGGGACCTAATTAAACTAAAGAACTTCTATACGGCAAAAGAAATTATCAGCAAAGAGACAACCTGCAGAATAGGGGAAAATATTAGCAAACTATGTCTATGTATCTGACAAAGATCTAATATCCAGAATCTACAAAGAACTTAAACAATTGAACAAGCAAAAAACAATCCCATTTACCAAAAAATGGGCACAAAACATGAATAGACAGTTCTCAAAAGAAGACATACAAGTGGCCAACAGACATGAAGAAATGCTCTGCAGCAGTAGTCATCAGATAAATGCAACTCCAAATCATAATGAGGTAGCATCTCACACCAGTCAGAATGGCTGTTATTAAAAAGTGAAAAAAAAATCAACAGATGCTAGTGAGGCTGTGGAGAAAAGGGAATGCTTATATGCTGTCAGTGGGAATGCAATTTCGTTTAGCAACTGTAGAAAGCAGTTCCGAGATTTCTCAAGGAACTTAGAACACACATTTACCTACGTAACATGACTGCACGTCCTGCACATGTAGCCTGGAACTTAAAATTAAATTAAAATTAAAAATGTAAATGAATCAATATTTAAAAAGAAAAGGAAAAAAACAGAATTATTAATACTATTTCACCCCACAATCCCATTACTGGATCTGGGTATATATCCAAAAGAAAACAAATTTTTCAACCAAAAAGATATATGCACTCGTGTGTTCACTGCAGCACTATTCACAATAGCAAAGACATGGAATGAACCTAGGTGCCCCCGTCAGTGGTGGATGGGATAAAGAAAATGTGTTACATATACACTATGGAATAGTACACAGCCATAAAAAAGAACAAAATCATGTCTTTTACAGCAACATGGATGCAGCTGGAGGCCATTATCCTAAGTGAATTAACACAAGAACAGGAAGCCAAATACTCCATATTCTCATTTATAAGTAGGAGCCAAACAGTGGGTACTCATGGACATTAAGATGGCTACAATAGAAACTGAAGACTACTACAGTGGGGAAAGAGAAATGGGGCAAGGGTTGAAAAACTGTTGGGTATATGCTAGGTACCTGCGTTAACATGATCCATCCTCAGCATCACACAATATACCCAGGTAACAAACCTGCATGTGTCCTCTGAATCTAATATAAAAGTTGAAATTACTTAAAAAAGAGATTACTAAAATGTCAGATAGCCAATGAATTTAAGCTGATGAAAGAATGATCTACTATGAAGGAAAAGCACTAAAGAAAACAGGTGCACAATTTTGAAAATATCTTCTGATTGAAGATAATATGTAAAAAGAGGAGTACAGTTAGCGATTTTATAACGATTCTTTCACACACACATCCCAATGCCTTCTAGAAAATATTTGGCTTTGGTTTTTGTACATATAACCATCTGATACACTTTCAGGAACTCATTAGGTCTGAGAGTAAGAGACTCCATGCATACATCTGCAGGCAGAAGCTGAGAAGATACAGAATATGAAAGGAACCAGTAAAAAAGCAAGGGGAGGAAGAAAAGGCTGCATCCTAGGGAAACCAATACTTATTAACAAGCAGAGTAAGAGGAGCCCACCAAGGAACTAACGTATGACAGTCCAAGAAAAATGCAGAGAACCAGGGAGGTTGAACACACCAAGATGGAAGGGAGTTGATACCAAGAGAGTCAAGTATCAAGAAGGAATCAGGCCGGGCACAGTGGCTCACACCTGTAATCCTAGCACTTTGGGAGGCCGAGGCGGGCAGACTGCCTGAGCTCAGGAGTTTGAGACCAGCCTGGGCAACTCAAACCGTGTCTCTAGTAAAATACAAAAAATTAGCCGGGCGTGGTGGCAGGCACCTGTAATCCCAGCTACTCGGGAGGCTGAGGCAGAAGAATTGCTTGAACCCGGAAGGCGGAGGTTGCAGCGTGCCAAGATCATACCACTGCACTCTTGCCTGGGTGACAAAGCAAAGCTCCATCTCAAAAAAAAAGAAGGAGTCAGTTGGGAGGCCGAGGTGGGCAAATCACCTCAGGTCAAGAGTTTCAGACCAACCTGGCCAACATGATGAAACCCCGTCTCTATTAACTACAAAAATTAGCTGGGCGTGGTGGTTCACACCTGTAATCCCAGCTACTTGGGAGGCTGAGGCAGGAGAATTACTTGAACCCAGGAGGTGCAGAATGCAGTGAGCTGAGATCACCCCACTGCACTCCAGTCCCTGGGTGACAGAACGAGACTCTGTCAAAAAAAAAAAAAAAAAAGGAATCAGTTATGACTATTTCAAGACAGCAAGCCACTATTATTGCTGCTCAAAACCCTCTCTCTCTCTCCTTATGTACAGCACCCCAATTCAACTATTTCCCCACTTGTAGTCATGTGATCTGGATTTACAGCTCCAAGGCTAAGCCATGACTGGCTTCAGTCAATCCTCATATTCCAAAGCTCCTGGCCAGAGTTACGAATTGGTTCAGGGATAGGCAGGACCTGAAGCAGAGACAATGGGATACAAGGAGATATGTTCTGGGGATTCTGAGAAAAAGACATGCTGTCTCTTCCCTGGAAGATTTGATGTGAGAATGTGATGTCTGGAGCTGCTTGCAGGCCTAGTGCTATAAGAGAGGAAAGTCTAGAGGTGGGGGCTTGGAAGGTGAGTGAGTAGCACGGAGGAGCTGAAGGATGAAGCCAAAACATGGATGTGGGGAGAATCCAGGTCCTTGGTGAATCATTTCAGGCACTGGATCAAACCTCACCTAAGGCCAGCACCCACTTTAGGATTTTTCAGTTACATGAGACAAGAATTCTCCATGATTGTTTAAGCCAGTTAAAACTGTTCCAACAAGACAAGACTAAGAATCCAGGCTGACAGAGAGGTTCAGCAGTGACCTCAATGAAAGCAGTTTCAAGGGATAGGTAGACATATTAAATATGGATGACTTCTCCTTTAAGAAATATGAATAAAAGAAAACTGTTTAGGCTGCACTCAAAGGATCAGGTGTGGTCAACAGGATTTCTTTTTTTTTAGTTTGTTTTTGTTCATTGTTTGTTTGTTTGCTTGCTTGTTCCAAGATGCAAGATACCTGAATCTGATTTAGAAGCTGACAGAACTGATCTAGAAGAGAAGAGTTGAAGGTATGGAAGGGAAAATATATAAGTGGTACAAGATCCCCCCATTTTCAAATTATGAAGGCAAACTCTACATGCTTTCTGGTCACTAGATCTAAGAAAATCTATAACAGAACTATCTGGAAAGGGAATCTTAATAGTGACCAAGGGATATTGCAAGTGAGTATTAGCTTCTATATATTTATTGAAGACATTTTAAAAAGAGGTGGAAATGTTTCACTGTGGAAAGAAAAAAGCTCAGAGAGGCTGTAATGAGGGTGTTCTAAAAAATTACTAAAAGACTGGCTTACACAGGATCTCTTTCACCAAATTGCAGTATATGAAGACTGCCTAACATCTAACCTTGAAAGAGGCTTATTTTCTATTACTATTTCCAACTGAAAGTCATGATAATATAAAACTCAGACGCCTATTAGCAGAAAATAGAGGCGTAGCTTTATGAACTGCTTTGGAAAATCCCACACAGCCTATGTGCAGTGGACATTTAAATAAACTACAATATTCCCTGATCTCTGAGGTCAATGAAACAAGAGAATACTTTATAATCTCTCCCAAAGCATGTTGCTGAACTGGAAGAACTCTAGGCCTCACACCTTAAATTCTCAGGTCTAATAAGGGGTGTGAACCATCCATAAATGAAATGATATACTGGTGAAAAATGCAGAATTGTGGTAACGGTTTGAATGAAAATCTTTGATAGATCGAAACTCTGCATCAGTTTACCAAGAGCTGAACTGTTTAACTGTTTATTGAAATGCGACCTGTCAAATCTGAGTACAACTGAGAGATTAACATAGTTTTCACAATTCAGTGTAGATACTTGGCATATCGCGCTGGGAGGAAGGGGGGAGGACGAAGTCCATGATACTGACAAACAACAACTGCTTAATATCCTTATTTGGACATTCGTACTCACTGACGCCAAATACATATTTTGTAGAGCCAGAGGGGATGGAAGCCAACAAAGACAACTTGCCCTTTTAAAATAACAGAATCCCTAGACCAGAGGGCCCCTACAAAGGCAACACATTCATCCCTACCTCTGGGCTACACTTCCCAATCCATAATGGTATGTGGAGAATAATCCATAACATCTTTCATAACCCAGTCCAATTTTATCATCCAACCCCACCTCCCCTCCCGACACAGAGCAGCCACATGCTGAAGCTGCCCCCTTCGTCCCCACACTATGCAGAGGGAAGGTGGACTCTGCCAGCCCCACTAAACTTAAGGATGCACACAAAATATTTACAACAGCCAGCATGACAAGAGGAGCACTCTTAACTTAGGAATTTCCATTCAGCCCAAGGCAAATAATCGCTGGTGATTTATGCTCCTCCACTGGATGGAAAAGAAACATTTGCAGGATTAAAATGTGTATTTTTTTCATTATGCCTTTACCTCAAAATGATGCTTATGGAGCAATTTAGAGACAGGTTACAAATCTGGGAGGATTCATAATTATTCCTGCTTAAAGTTAATAATAACAGCTAAACAAATAGCTAACATGTTACTACGTGCCTTACACATAGTAAGATCTTCACAGACATTATTGCCTTTAATCTCCACAGCCCATACTATGTGTGACATAAGCATAATCGTACTCATTGTGCCTGCATCGCAGATGAGAAAAAAGCAGGAGAGAGAGGATATACTGGTTGCCCAAAGCCACACAGCTCATGAGTAGCAGATGGGGAACCCAGAACAGGCAGCCTGGCCCTGGGCTTGCATCCTTAACCATTACACCTCACTTCCTCCAAACAGGTATGAGGCAAAAAAGCAAAGGGAATGATCTTTTTAAGATCACTTTTGGGTCACTGATTCTATAATTCTAACTTCGCTTTCTTTATCTGGCTAAAATACTTCCACTTCAGCTGCCCCAAAAATGCTATATGTCCCTGGAACCACGTTGGGGGTAGCGGTGTGCTTTAAACAGCACAGTTAGTGTGTGTGACTCAATAACCATTCTGTACACCACCAGGAAAGTGACTTTTATACCACTAACGTCACATTAACCTCTTTGCCTGCCAAGAGCAGGCCTAACCAGGCCTGCAGTTTTCATTTGAGTTCAGTCCCCTGGGAGAAAAGCTTTTATTTGACAAAGCAGATTCTTGCCACACATGAGTAATCTAAGAAACTGATTTCTAAAATATGGCTTCTTTATACGACAACAAGTAGACATTCTCCCCAAGTTAAATGACAAAGGAGATCTGATAATTAAGCGGCTTGGGCATGGGGGATGGAGAGGACTCCTGTTTTAAATCTCGAGACTGCAATGGCCACAAACAAGTTCTGATCTTCAGTGGGCACATCTCCCTGCAGCTCAGCCTGACGTCAATGGCAAGGGGACTGAGCAAGGATCATGCCTCTGAACAGCTTCCAGAGAGTGGTCTTAAGAATATAAAGTCATGCTAAGTTGCTCAACATGGTGTAACATGAGTGTCTGAAAACAAGTGCTCTCTTCTGCCATTGCTGGAGTGGGCAGGATTGGAAGAGCCATTTCTTCTGAAGGCCCGTTTGGGAGAGGGGATTTTACAATTTAACCATGTCCTGTGCTCTCTGTAAAGTGTGACTGAAATTGTCTGTTAGGGAATAGTATGTTCCGCACTTGGGTAGAGAATAATTTGAAAAACCCTGGATGGTTGCTAGCGTTTAAAGAGTCTAACTCTGTGTGACAAAGATAGGTGTCCAGTTTTGCCCAAAGCCTTATGCCACCCTCTAAATGCCTGGAGATGGAACTCAATGGGTGGCTGGCTCTTGGTGACACCAGTGACCAACACCTTGTGTGCCCTTCAGAGGAGGTGAATCTGTGGCTAGAAAGCCTCCAGCTTTCATGATATTCCTTTCCATAATAAAGGCTGTCTGGATGGGAGGAGGTCTGGATCCCCAGCTTCTCTGATGGTGCACTTCTTCATAAAGCACTCTTGAGAACACTTCCCATAAATGTACATTTTCACATAAAGTTGCATCCATGCTACTGCTCATGCCAGGTGTATCATAAGATATATATAAAAGTGTCATTTTAAAAGATGACATATAAATTACGTAAGTCCTAAGATTTTCTTCCTGCATCAAAATGGACGCTCATGCACCACTCTGGAGACCCCCTGATCTAACCCAACCCCCTCATCTTATAAATGAAGATGCTCACTCAAAGACGTAAAATTACCCTGAGTTCATCTAGAACCCACACATCCTGACCCATACACTGGTGCTCCTTCCTGAAGATTTTCAACAGGTGCTTGTGCTACCTCCTTTCTGGGACATTTTGATGCATAGGGTATCTGGGTTTCTCATAATGTCAGGGCATGTTACTGGCATTCATGGGTGTGGACCAGAGAAACTAAACGTCTTGGAATCTGTACAACAGTCCCACACACAAAGAACCCTCCTACTCCAGGTGGCAAGAGCCCATTTGCAGAAAGCTTCTCAAGATGGACTTCCTTTTCCCAATAGAAACTTCACCAGCAACAAGTCTGTGCTATTCTCATTGTGCCTGCCATCCTCTTGGACTCTTAAAAATCACAGTAATTCCATTTCATTTTTCTCTCCAATGTTAATGATAGCACTTGTCAGGAGAGGCTCACTGCTAGAGCCTTCATAGAATTCCTATCATGTTCCTCTCTGCCAGGGTTTCTTAACGTCACTCCTACTGACATTCTGAGCTAGCTAATTCTTTGTTGTGGGGGTTATTCTGTGCATCTCTGGATGTTTAACAGCATCCCTGTCCACTGTCCACCAGAATCCAGTAGCATTCCCGCCCCCCCCCAGTTGTGACCATCAAAATGTCTCCAAGCATTGGCAAAATCACCCCAAGTTGAGAACCACTGCTCCAGGCCAAGACTGCAAAGAGGATCTGTGTACAAACACAAAGGAGACAAGACATCCCATCCCCTCATCCGTAATGTTTTCCATCAATATCAGTCTATGGCTTAACATCAAGATAGGCTGCACATTTCAGGAAATGTAAGGATGATATTTTGTTCAGCTTGGTGTCCCCAGTGCTGGTATAATGCCTGGCACATAGTGGGCACCCCATTGAGTATTTACTGAATAAAAGATGCTTTCTTCAGAACAATACATACCTTAGTTAATTCAAGCCTTAATAAATGAGCCTAATTCCAGTAATAGAAGCCCCAAAGACCTTCTTGAGAAAACATCAGAAAGTACCTATTATGATAGTTTTGCAATATGTAAAGGATTTGTGGTATGGTTAATCATTCCATCTTTGAACAATCCAACCAGAAAGTAACCATCAGATTATCATGCCTCTTGTTATCAGCGAAGTTCAGCATCCAATTGCCTTTTCTATTTTGTGGTGGCCTTAGTTTATCTTAACATCCCTCTGCATTATCTGGGAAAGCATTTGAATTGCCAATCCGAAAACAGGGCTGTGCAACATGCTCTGAATTAGAATAGAATAGAATTTCAAATGTGGCCTGCTTAAATTCATATCCAGCAAGCTATTTATGACTGCTAAGCAGCAATTTTTTTTTTAAGAGCAAATTTTAGTGAGCTGCCCTGGGACTCTTTTCTTATGTGGGAATTCTACAATGCAGAAAACTTAAGTCTTCAGTTTAAAAATAAGCAAGGCTTTCTGGGAAATGACAGAGCTTCAAAATAAGGAAAGAAATACAATGCTTATCCTGCTCGTCCAAGGAAGCAGGGTACCTGCAGGCCCCACTGGCTGTACGCTTCGATGCAGCTTCACCTGCTAGAGCCAGTCTCCTTATGGTCTCACCAATAAGCAAGTCATGGGCCTGCCCACTTCTGGGCTTTCTCTTGTCCCCCAACTTGGAATGTCTGCCATTTTCCTTCTTCCAAGGTAAATTCCACACACCCCTACCCTCCCTTATCTAGGAAGCTTCCCTGACAGCTTTAGCTCCATGGGCCATCCTCTGCGCAGAGTTTCCACTATATTGATAAATTTGGAATCTGTACCACACTCTTCTCCACTTAAGTAAATCCTGTCTTGCAAGGTTAGGCTGTGATTTCCTACGGATTAAACAGGCGCCCTCAACAAGGCTAAATTCCTTGAGCATCTGCACCATCCACACTCCACCAGCATCTAGCTCCATCCTGACCACATGGTAAGTAACCAGTAATAACCTGTTTGCTGGACTATTCCAGATTGTGCCGAATACATGAACTTGTGCCCTAATCTTTATATGCATTTCCATGGACTCCATTTGTTTATGTAAGTTCAAGGTCCACTTGGCTCCACTTTAATAAAATGCAAACAATATAATTCTCACTGGATGGCTGTCAACAGTGGGTTTTCCAGCAGGCTCCTAAGACAGCATCACTGAAAAGGTCCCAAATTCATTCACACTCAGTGCAGAAAGAGATCTATCAAGCCTTGCCACCATCTCACCCATCCTGCACGCACCTTTTTCTGTAAGGAAAGAGACACTGTGTTACTAATTGCCAGCACACAACACCAGACGGAGGGATGAAAGGGCATATAGCCTTGGTTAAAGTTAGCCCTGAAGGCTAAGGGCTGCCGCATGCATTCTTAGCAGACATGTAAAATGGTGAAGCAACTTTGCAAAACAGTTTGGTAGTTTCTTAAAACGTTAAATTTAAATTTACCCAGAAATCCCACTCGTAAATATTTATTCAGAAGAAATGAAGTCATCCTTCTACTGAAAGACTTGTATGTGAATGTTCATAGCAGCACTGTTCATAACAGCCAAAAAGGGGAGACAACCCAAATGTCCACCAACTGATGAATGGAGAAGTAAAATGTAATATACTCATTCAATAGAATGTTATTTGACAATAAAAAAGGAATGAAATACTGATACATGCTACAGCATGGATTGACCTTGAAAACATTTTTCTAAGTGAAAGAAGCCAGACACAAAGACCATAAACTGTGTTATTCCAATTGTATGAAATGCCCAGAAAAGGCAAATCCATAGAGACAGAAAGTAGATTAGTGGTTGCCTGGGGCTGGGAGTGGGAAAGAGGATTAACTGTAAATGTGCAGAGGAATCTTACTGGGATTCTAAAACTGGATTATGGTCATGGTTGCACAATTTGGTAAATTTACCAAAAGTCACTGGATCATATGCATCGAGTGGGTGAATGATATATGTAAATTATACCTCGATTTTTAAAAATTAAATATAAGAACAAATAACAAGGGTCATTGATCTGCTTTCTTCAAGGACTGACTTTCATCTCTTTTTCCCCAATGGCTGAGTTCTAGGTGCTTCCTCTAATGATCCACAGTGATGTCTTCAGCTTCATTTCACAGCCACACTTGTAGTGGCTCACATCTTAACAATGGATCAATCACGAAACCCATTCATTCATTAAGAAAAGATTTTCTGAGATCTTTGTATGAGCCAGGCACTGTGCTGGATACTTAGGACAAAATAGGAAACAAGGCAAATGTGGTCCCTTGCAGTCCCAGGGCTGAGGGTTACAGACACATAAGCAGGCAAAACAATACAGCAGTGTGTGCTACAACAGGGGCAGGGATGGTGGGGAAGACACACATGGCACACAGGTGGCGCCTCTCACCTTGATTTTGATATCAGAAATTCCTGAAAAACTAACTTTTAGCTGAGGTCTAAAAGGCAACTATGGAAACAAGGATGAGGCCAAAGGAAAAGAGTTTTCCATGCAGAGGAAACAGCAGATACAGAAGCCTAGAGGCAAGAGAGATAGAACATGTGAGGAACGGATGCTACTCCATCTAAATAGGGCATAGTGTTAGAGGCAATGAGTAGAAGAGAAGTTTCAGAAAAGTTAATGGGGGCCAGATGACAAAGAGCTTCATAGGCACATTAAAGAGCTGGGGCTATACCCTGAGGGGTATGGGGAGGCAGTGCAGTGTTCTCAGCAAGTGAGTAATATAATCAGATTTGGGGTTTGCTGGAGATGAATGGAAGAAGCCAAAACTAGAAACAGGAAGACCCGTTCATTAGGAGGCTGTTGGAGATTGTGACCTGGGCTGGAGAAGAGGCAGAAGCTGCCATGGAAAAAAACTATTTCCCTTATGAGAAGTGGCTTGCTCCTACGTGCCATCAATTCACCCCTCCTTAGGCCTTGGTATAAAATACCAGGGCCTCCTAGAATTGACCAGGTAAAACATCTCTTATTCTAGCCCTTTCTACTCCAGCTGTTTCCTTGATGTAGATATCCTCCTTCCTTTGTCTCCCTTAGCCTGTCGAAACCCTATGCATCTTTGTCTCAGTTTAGAAGTCCTCCAGGAAGCCATCCCTGACAACCCAGCCACACCCTAATCTGGGCTAGTAGCCTCTCCTAGATGCTCCCTTTAAAACCTGTACATATTCTTTACATAGCATATACTGTATCCCTTTGCAATGGAAGTATCCCCATGTTGATTTTCTCTGTCTTGTCACTAAACAAGGACTGTCCAGTAGAACTTCTGATGATGATGGAAATGTTCTACATTTGCACTCTCCACTATGGTTGCCACTAACTACGTGTAAGCACTTGAAATGTGGCTAGTGTAATTAAGAAATTGAATTTTTAATTTTATTTAATTTTAGCTAATTTACGTAGCCACATGTGGCTAGAGACTACCATATTGAACAGCACACTAGACATTACATTTTGTAAGCACAGGTTGTGTATCTTGTTCACTGCTGAAACCCTGGCATGCGAAAAAGCACTAGGCACGTAATAGAAACTTGATAAATATTTGGGAATTAATGCATAATATACATGTGCTCTGAGTGCACATATTTTTATTCATTTATTCATTCATCCAATAAACATTAATCAAGCATCTATAATGGGCCTAGTAGTGTTCTAGATATCAGGGTCACAGATCAAGTGTCCTGCTTTTGTGGAGGTTATGCTTTAATAGGGAAGGCAGAAAATAAACACAGAAGCAAAAAAAAAAAAAAACAACTAAAACTGAACAAAAATAAACAAAAAAAATTTCAGAGACAGACAGGTTATTAAAAAAAATAAGTAAGGCAAGGTTAAGAGATAGTGCTGGAGTGAGTATGTGTAGTCTTAGTGACACCTCATCTCACTCATAGCCTTTGCCACAGCCTCTGCTGCCCAGCATAGGCTGCATTCTAACACATATCAAACAAAACTCATGGTGAAAGTTAATGGAACAAACTTTAACAAAAAGTAGGATAATTGCTCAAAAATAAATTCTGCTCTCTGATCATCTTGTCATAAAAGCTTTCAAGTGCGCATTTTTGTGGAATGGAGGCAGTGGCAAAATTGACCCATATTCTGTTTCAAAGCTATCAATGTGTCAAACGGTTGGCCCCAGCAGGCGGAGAATTTCTGCAAACTTTAAGGAAAAACATCTTCTGGATTACTTAGTGTCACAACATGTGTCGGAATCAGCAGCCAATCAATATCTCCATCGGCACGTATGTCTTCTGTGTGCGGTAACATTCACCCCACATTGACTGAGAATCTCCCTAACTGCCAGGGCTATGCTAAGTCCCAAGATAGAAACCTTTTGGTGTCTGCCCTCCCCAAGCTCCCACGCCAGGAGGAACAACAGAAATCACACATAAAATACGAAAGACAATGTGGGCGCAGTTTAGTGTGTCACTTTTTTTCTTCTGGTTTTCATTTAGCTTCCTTAATGTTCTTTATCCCTGTCATAAAGTCTCTAAGGACGCTGTATTCTTTCCTAAGACCAAGGTTATTTCACAATTTCACTTCTTGGATAAAATGAAATTTTCCTTAGCTACTGTGGCTTGTTACACCATTGAGATTACAAATTGCGTAGCTGGGAAACATGTTAGAATACAAAATGCATTTCATAGGCTGGAAAAAAAATTAGCCTTGCAAGGCTGGTCAATGGCATATAACTTGAACTAATCATTTATCCAAGAGGGGATTCACAGACAGGCTCACCTGGACTTTAAAAACTATTTGCTCACCTCACCTGTTTGTGAGAGTTAAGTGAGAGAGGGTGAGACAGCTCTCCCTGTACTTTGAAAAGCCCTGTACAGTGATTAGAACAAAAACGATGGCTCTACCCTTACAGCATTACTTGATGGTGCAGAGATTCACAAAGAGTGGAGCAAAGAAGGGAGATTGGAAATGCAGTCTCATGAAGGTAAGGACAAAACTCTAAGACCACTTCCAACCTCCTCCTTGAAGAAGTGGATTAATACACAGGCAAATAAATTTACATGAAAGCCTTCCAACCTCCCCTCTGAAAGTCTCCAATTAAAACTGGTCTAAACATCCACATGCACCGTTATTGGCCACAGTTTTGCCTGTGAGGGGAGAGATGAGAGGAGTGTGTGTGCATATGTGTGTGTGTGTGTGTGTGTGTGTGTGTATAAATACATATGCATATGTAATATATACAGTCAACTTACAGTTGGAGAGGAAGTTCCCCTCTTTTTAAATCATGATTGTAAGTGTTGTGGGGGATGCACAAAGCCTATCATTTATGGTGAAGGAAAAAAATCTGTTTGGTCTTATTACAACTCTACTAAGAAAAGATTCCTGAATTTCCCAATGCTCTGCTTTCATTTTCCAAATGTCCATCAAAAAACCCTGGAGCTTCACTATAATGCTATCGCCTGGGTCTATTCCACAGAATCATCTTTCTATGATTCAATTCCCATGCAATGAATGTTCCCATCATCAGCTTCCATTTCCAATACCTACTGAAAGCTGTAGATTCTGAAAACACGTCCATATAATTTAACCACTTCAAAGTTTCCTCATAACATTGTGGTACTACAAAGTCATGTTCCAGCTTTCAATGTTTGTCTTCTTCAACAGTATGACAATACTTGGTTGGTGTTTGCCTGCCTTTAAAAGAAAGGCACACTCAGTAGTTTTCAATATCGTTTTCAAAAATGGTTCAAGCAATATAGGGAAAGACATTTAAGAATTTAAAACTAAAAAAGCTGATTCTAATGAAATTATTAATTCAAATATAACTCTCATTTTGATGCTGGACTCCATGATGCTTGGGCTGATGGTCCAGTTGCGGCCTTCCTAATGTTTGAGAAAATTAGGTCCACATAAATTGACTACATATACTCAGAGAAGATTGTTTAAAAAAAAAACTTTGACTTTTTCTTCCATTTAAATAGATGCCAGGGTAGTTTTTATTCCTTAGTTCTAAATTAATTTCATGCAAGAAGAAAATGTGGGTTGAGGCCAGGCACGGTGGCTCACACCTGTAATCCCAGCACTTTGGGAGGCCGAGGTGGGCAGATCATGAGGTCAGGAAATCGAGACCATCCTGGCTAACATGGTGAAACCCCGCCTCTACTAAAAATACAAAAAAATTAGCCGGGCGTGGTGGCGGGTGCCTGTAGTCCGAGCTACTCAAGAGGTTGAGGCAGGAGAATGGCGTGAGCTTGCAGTGAGAAAGGCGGAGCTTGCAGTAAGCTGAGATTGCGCCACTGCACTGCAGCCTGGGTGACAGAGCGAGACTCTGTCTCAAAAAAAAAAAAAGAAAAGAAAAGAAAAGAAAAAGAAAAAAAAAAAAGAAAATGTGGGTTGAATTGGAAAATTCATTGGACTTAGAGCCCCAGCCAGGGTTCTGAAGGAAGGTTGGGGAAAGCCAATGTTCGGCTGCCATTTATGAGTTCATGGTGATGCATACCTAGTTGCTTCTTGTTTTAAGCTCTATCCCAATATGCCTATGCCTTCCAGTGCACTCAAAGTCCAATGTGGCCTAGGATTCAGGTTTCGAAACTCCCAAGACTTTACTAGTAAACTTATTCTTACCATAGCTGTTCATTCTCCACCTGAAGAACAGGATGTGGGGGAGGGGCTGTCATAACAAACAGAGATGAAGCAGACAAGGAATGTCACGTGCATTATGTTAAAAATCAAAACCCCTCCTCTCTTGAATAGCAAATTGAAATTGATCTGATTTGCACAATAGCCTAAGAGCACAGAGGCCTCAATACATTAACAAGTGAACATTCAAAGGAGAATGGAGCCACATTAAAGGGATTCAGCTGCTACCAGGACTTGTGGTTCTGTAAAATCCAAGAGTCATGGTTCCAAAGTTAACTCCAGTTTGTATTTGTCAGCCCCTTCTGTGATTTCTCCCATGCCCAAGGAACAATTAAATGCGGTCTGGAAACATGAAGTAGAGAACCAAGGTGACAGGCTCATCAACATAGTCATGAACCCAAAACCCTAGCACCCAAAGAGGACTTTCATGCTTCAAAAGAATGTGTGCTGGGAAGAACATAGGGTATGCATGTGCACTCATTCATTCAGCTCAGGCTCCATATCTGGTTGTAAACCATTTGCCCTAAAAGCACTGTGGTATTTAAAAATAAAAATTTTAAAAACTTGTTTAGTCTTCATCCCAAGTCTATCAGAATCCAGCCTCTCACCCTAAGGGCAGTCACAACAAAGACAACTGACTCTTTCCAAGCGGGGACATCATGGGCAGACATTTCTAAGAGTGAAGTGCACTTATATATAGTATACAGCATGGACTACTGTCCATGTGTCTCAAGGTATCATCTGCCTATAAAGAGATCAAGAAATGTCACTGTGTTTAAGGCAGGCTACTTGTAGTACCCTCAGCTCCCCACAGTTATTCCTTCAAAAGACATGCCTTATGTATATATTTTAGAGTGCTGAACTCTGAAAAGATAAAGCCAATGTGGTTTAATTTACCTGTCACAGGCCCAGGGCAGGATTCTAGAACCTGTGGTCTCTTAATAAGTAAGCCGTGAGCAAAAATAACTCCTCATTTTCAGGTCACTTTCAGCTGGCATCCCAAATCACAATTCAAACAAAATTAAAACAAACAAAGGGATTTCCGTGGAATTAAATTCTGCAGCAGCATGAAATAGTATTTAATAAAACAACCAACAGACAATAATGGCCTCTTTAAAATTAATGCAAGATGAGGACTTACAAACATATGGGACTTATTTAGCATCTGCTGTGAGATTGAAAAGCTCATCAAAATGGACTTTTCCTTCTCCCTCCACTCACATTAAGATTTATTTGGATTCTGCTACAAAAGAGATAGCATAATATGTCCAAGTGGATCTCCTTATTCACAAACCCAATCCTGTTCCTCCACAATCTTATCCATCTACCCAGTTGCTGCAGCTGAAAAGCCACATGCCATCCTTAATTTGTCTCCTCCTTTCTGCTACCACATCGTATCAATCAGCGAGTCTTTGATGATATTTAACAAATCTATCCCAAATCCATTTACTTCTCCCCATCTCCACTGCAACCACCATGGTCTAAACCAGAGCTGTTTGGTTGAACTTTTTTTTTTTTGAGATGGAGTCTCGCTCTGTCGCCCACAGTGCAGTGGTGCGATCTCGGCTCACTGCAAGCTCTGCCTCCCGGGTTCACGCCATTCTCCTGCCTCAGCCTCCTGAGTAGCTGGGACTACAGGCACCCGCCACCACACTCGACTAATTTTTTGTATTTTTAGTAAAGACGGGGTTTCACTGTGTTAGCCAGGATGGTCTTGATCTCTTGACCTCGTGATCTGCCTGCCTTGGCCTCCCAAAGTGCTGGGATTACAGGCGTGAGCCACCGCGCCCGGCCTTGAACTTTTTACAATAATGGAGATGTTCTATATGTTACTGTCCAATCTGGTAGATACCACCCACATGTTCCTATGGAGCACTTGAGATGTGGCTAGTGCAAATGGGAAAAAACTGATTTTTTTATGTTTATTAATTTTGAATTAAATTTAAATAGCCACATGTGGCTAATGGCTACCATATTGGACTGCCAACTCTCAGTCATCATCACCTTTCTCCTAGTCTCTCACAAGAGCTCTTCACTTCCCAAAGCCCAGCTGATCTTTTAAAAATGTAAATCACAGCTCCCAACTCTAAACACTTTCATGGCTTTATCTTCCACAGAGCACTCATAACTATCAACAATTGTCCTTTCTCTTCCTTTATTCTTTCTCCTTTTCTAGAATGTGAGCCTCATGAAAGATAAAATTGGTCATTACTGTATCCCTATTATCTCCAGCATTGCCTGGCATATAAGTAAGAGCCCAATGAATAAATGAATTTAGAACAGAAAGCAATGACTGATTTACCACAATCCTCCACTAATGGAGGTGATTAGTGAATCCTCCAGGAATATAGCCAAATGCTTTGAGCTTCTGAACCTGACATGCCAGTAGGTTGTCCTGAGACATCCATGTCCTCTTCCACGGTCTCCCCTGTGACCACTGACATAAACGAGACCTGACCAACATCAAGTACATAGGCTAGAGACACAAGATTTAGGTCTTCAAACAATCTTAGCATCTTAGGAGTGCCATGTTTTAACTTAGAACTTTTTAAACACTGTATTCTTACTGTGGTATGACAAGACAAGGGTAATCTGGACACTCACAGCCCCCAGGCCCATTGACTGCATCCTCTACAAATTATATCCATTTAACTTAGTGTAGTATACAAATGTCACTGTTTCCTATGCACATCAGGATACAAAAAGGGTTAAGAAGCACTCTAAACCACTGAGCCTACCCTCAATAAATGTGACCAAACCCAGCAATCTCAAACGATCATTCAAATATTTGGAACACAGTCACATCTCTCATACCCATAGTGAACAGAAAGAAAGATAAAATACCTCCAGTTCCTAACTTGATGTTAGTTAAGGCGGTCACTATTCTGAGCATCTTTCAATGAAAAAAACATGAATACCTTTTTTTAAAAAACCCACAAATAGTGCAACTGAGCTGGGAGGAAGTGGGGGCTTTGGCTGGTATCGGCAGCACGTGCAGCAGGTCCACGCAGAGCAAAGCAGGGGTGGAGCCTGTCCAGCTGCTACGTATTTCCTAGGTCTCCCTGCTGAGAGAGCCTAGAAGCAATGACACCTTAGTAGCAATAAGCACACCCAGCACTCAGATCTTGGTTTCTAAATACCACTGTCCACTAAAAGTAACCACAGCTCTCTGTGGAAATGGCTGATTCCAGAGCTAAGGCAAGAAAGCAGTGGATGAGCTCAGAAAATCTTTTTGTACCAAAAAGTAAGGAATTGATCAAAGAATAATAAGGACATTTTTATAGGACTCAACAGGCTGCATAAAAGGGCTCCCACTGACTAAACAGGGACATTTTTAACATCAAAATAACTATTGATAACAATGGACTATAATGCAATGAAGTAACAGTAAAAATCCATGACATATTATATAAATAAATAATCTTTCTAAAACTTTGTAATAGTACAACCAATAAATTTAGAAAGAATGATGGAGTTAGAAAATGATTAGCTTTTATCCTAAGAGCAGAGGGTAAAAGTTTGATGAGCAATAAGATATTTAAATAATCTCAAAATAGCTTCACATCAAAAACTTATTAATCACTTGTAAATTCGTGGGCACGAAATCTTTATTAATTAACTTCACAGTAGAGAAAACTGGCACACAGTATCTTAGCCAAGGGATAGAAGTTAACACCACCAGCATTAGACAGATTGATGCCCACTGATGTAATGCACTGAGAACATACATCATGTCTGTGGTATTTCTGCCCAAAGTATATAGCCTGGGCCTCACCATGAGGCAACATCAACAAAGTAAGTGGCAAGTCTTCAAAAATGCCAAGTCAAACTGGGCATACTGAGGCATGTCTGGAGTCCCAGCGACTCAGGAGGCTGAGGCAGTAGGGTTGAGCCAGGAGCCAGGGGTTCAAGGCCAGCCAGTGCAACATAAGTGAGACCCCATTTCAAAGAAAAAAAAAAAGCTATCATCAAAATAAAAAATAAAAGACTGAGGAACCATTCCTCATTAAAAGAGCCTAAAGAGACATGACAGCAACAATATGTGTCTCAAATTAACCAGGCATGGAGGTATGGACCTGTAATCCCAGCTACTCAGGAGGCTGAGGTGGGAGGATCGCTTAAGCCCAGGAGGTGGAGGTTGCAGTGAGCCATGATCACAGCACTGCACTCCAGCCTGGGTTACACAGCAAGACCCTGTCTCTAATTAATTAATTAATTAATAAGTGTTTCTCTGGGTTGGATCTTAGTGCAAAAAGGAAAGGGAAAAATAGAGGATATCTTTTTTCTTTTTTCATTTTCTAGGACCTACACACTGAAGTATTTTGAGGTTGTAAGACAAAATGCCTACAACTCACTCTTGAATGATTCAGCAAAGAAACGTACATACATACATGCATAGGTAAAAACTCTTGTCATTTTTGAAGAGTAGAAAGAGAAAATGATAAGGCAGAAATGAGGTAAAATGTTAAAATTCAGGGAATCTGGGTGAAGGGCATATGGGAATTCTTTATATTATTCTTAAACCTTTTCTGTAGGTTTGAAATTATTTAAAAATTTAAAACTTAACCAAAAATATATTGGTAACAAATGAAAAGAAAAAGAAATAAATTATTTTTTACTTGGCATTTTCTTGGAAACTTCAAACATGTGCAAAACACATGTATCATGCAGGGTCCATGAATTAGCTGGAAAATATTCTTCTCCCATTCTCCTTAGATGAATGGAAATGTAAAGATCAATTAGTGAAGCAAGAGGCTTCGAAATTTCTCTAGATTTAATTCAGATACCTGACTTGATTTTTTTTTCAAGTCCCCCCTTTAATATCAAAGAATGTCTGAATAAAGAACTACCAGTGTATGGAATGGAAAATCTAATACTTGCCTTTGGTTACCAGGGGGTTATACCAGAAGAGAAAGGGGCAAAGATAACATATGGAAACACATTACAAAGGAGCAGAAATGGTGGAGAAAAGCACCGTGTGCCTCCAATGAAAGAAAGAGGCCACAACTTGTCCCCAGTTTGAGACAAGAACCTAAAAATCTTGCCTTTCAGGCCACCATATCTCCATCTTCTATGCAAAATAGTTATTTTGGGATCCATCTGTATGGCAAATCCAGGAAGACTTCATGCCACTTATTTAAGAGTCTGGGCTCCATCCTATGTACAGCTCTGCAAAGCATGCTGGGACCCGATCAGCTGCCTGTGCACAGAACCAGAAAGGGAAGGAGAAGCTACTTTGGCTCTTGAGTTGAAGTTTAGCCACAGACCTCAAGGGAGCATCCAGATTTATCTGGTTTTGACCATTCATGCTGCCAGTAACACCTCTGGACTCCCTTCCTCCCTCCCTCTTCTCCACCAGGGTCAGTGAGATGATGAGTGTTCCATCACTTTGTAAGCTCTAAGTGCTGTACAGCTATAGGCCATTATGTACCACAGCTTCTTCACTAAACACGGTAGCAAAGTACACCTTCCTCTTTCTCTTCTCCTATTGCAACCCCAAACAAAATACTATTCTCTCTACCAAAGTTCCTCCCACTACCTGCTTATTTAACAAATTCTCTCTGCATCAGATTTCTCATAACTCAGTTCTTCCAGAAGGCCATATGCTGATTCATCTTAGGACCTAGAAAATGGACAGGCAAGAATGAGATGCTTAGAATCGGCCTACCCTATCCCCCTGTGTTTACCTGACCCTTTCTTTTGTGAATCACTTAACACTCACCACCTACAATAAACATAAATAGACCCAGCCAAGACTTTGCTTAACCCCATGGTACTGGAGTTTGCCAAATGTTTCAAGTCACAGTGTCATTATCTAATGTCAAGTGCGTGCACAGATCACTAATTTTGCAGGCAAGTGTTTGGATGTGAAGGTCAAAGAACAGTGCTACTGTAAGAGGAAGAATAAAAACATCACCCAGACTAGATATGGGCAGCACCAAGTCCAGAGGAATGCATTATACTTTAACTGTGGGCTCGCATTTTGTGTCTTAACAAATTTGTTTAGCAAGTGCATATGTTTGAGATAAAAGACATCAAATTCATTTTGCTGTCAGTAAGATTCTAGCATTCCATTTCTCGGGCTGAAATGCTCATTCACGAAGCTGCACTGAGCAGAGGGAACGGGGAATAATGGATTATGCTCTGTTCTGCTTATCTCAGTAGCCTTCAGGTTTACTCCTTTAACTGTTGTTCCTTAGGGAATTAGGGAACAAACAGCACTCCTTAGGTAGGCTGGGATCTTTCCAAGAAAGAGAAAGATCACTTTTTGAGTACAGACATCTCCCACACCTACACTTCACAAGCAGAAACCTTTTCATATTTATGAAGTGTCTATGAGATAATCTGGTCCAAATTTTTCATTTTACAACTTAAAAAATGAAATGACAGCTGGAAAAACGAATTGAACATCCGCACTGCCTCTTCTTCCTCTCCACCCCAGCACATTGCCACATACCTTGAAGTTGGAGTAAGAAGACTCAGGACTTACTACCACTTCTACTGTGTCACTTTGGACAAGTTATTTAATCTGGTGGGTGAGAAGGATACACAGCCTAACACTGCTTCTAATATTTACATTCTACGATTCACTCCCCTGAGATTAAAAGCCTGTTAAGTGTGCCTCCCTCAAAGACTCAATCGGATTGCCTCACAAACAAACCATACAGAGCCAAGTTTCTCTAATATTTCTCAAGCCCACTGCCTCCTCCTTTTAGAGACCCACCTTTATTTTCTCTAGAACCTGGGTCCCCTGTTTATTCTCAGGGTTGATCTAAGTTCCCTGATGAAAGAAGTGTTTTAATCGGCCTCTAAAACACCACGTGAACAACCACTACTCACATTCGAAGTCACTTCCCATGAATGTGAGCAAACAAGTTTGCTAGAAAAGCTAACCTGAAACTCCCTTAGGCTTCTGGCCAATATTTTTAAATTCCACCTATGTTTCAAAATTAAGGTTTTGGATTTTTCTATTTGCTTAAAATACTGATTTTTTCTACATTTTCTGGTTTTGAGTACTAAGGATATTTTATGAGGAGGAACATCCCAGGCAGTATAATTACAAATGTCGGGAATTCTACATGTGAAGACCTGTTCTCTAATAAATTTCTGATCCAATTTCACTGTTGTTCCTACAGTGAAAACAAAACAAACAAATAAACAATACGGGGAAAATGCCATCAAATTCAACAGCTTCTACACTTCTACAAAAAAGATCCAGAAAAAAAAAAACCCCACCAGAGTAAACTGCTAAACTCACAATTAGAAACATGTTGAAAGTGCCAAATGGTATTTATACTGAGACAAAGAAAGCTTGCAAATCACACACAGTGGGCTCAGAGCAAACTGCGCACTCTCACTTGGAGCCCCTTGCACTCTGATTAAAACCCACATTATAACCCTGAGCCTTCACTCAACTCCTATAGGGCTCAGTTTCCTCATCTAGAAAGGAAAGTGATTGACCAAGGTGATCTCAGAGAATATTTCCAGTCTTAAAAAAATATTCAATCGTGATGATAACCAAGTAAGTAACAGCTTGCTAACAAACTGTGACTATTTCAATGATTTGTCATCTGGCCGTCTCACTGGTGACAGCTTCCAAAGGTGTATGAATGTTTACCATTGAGATGTTCTGTGAGATGTCGTTCATCATACACTGTCCTCTTTATGAGGACTCCCTGGGAAAATCACTATCTTGTGTCTCATCATTAGGAAGAGTTCTGTGCTTCACTATTTAACCTTATGGACACTAAGATTCTACACAGCTGATTGTTTTCTCACCGCATTGGCTACAGGAAAATCCAGAACCAAATCTCTGGCACACCTCTAGCAAATGGAACAGGGCTTACGAGACGCATTTTGAGTCCTAACTTCACCCTTTGTTACATCCCACTTTCCCTTCTCCTATTCCCCCACTTACCTGTTTTTCATCTTTTTCTGTTTTTTTTTTTTTATTTCTATCTTTGAAAGCTGCTTTTAACTGTTTTTGGAACAAAGGAAGTATTTCAAGCTATTTTCATTTACTGACATCAATGTTGAACAGCAAAATCATTCTTTTAGTGACTTGCACTTTTCAAACACTGTCAATATACCAACCAATGTAATGTTCTGGTATACATAATTCTATGCCAAGATTTAGATCACGATTATCACTATGAGTATCGTTATCATTACTACAATATTTTTAAACTATAATAATATACTATTTATATAGATCTTCCTACTATTTTTCTGGTAAGCCTTCACATTTGCAATCTCATTTGACTTGCACAATAATCACACGAGATAGTTAAGCAGGCATTATTACGGCTGTCTTCATTTCTACAGATAAGGAAAATGAGCCTCAGAGACGTTAAGGAGCTTGCCTATATATACAAAGTTGGTAAGTTAATAAGATGAGACCAGTTTTTTTCTTCTAAGTCTTGCATTTTCCCCTACAACTGCAAAAGGTTGACTCTCATATACTTCGCTCTTTAAAATTTTGGCCTAGGACCTGTGACTCAAATGTTTTATTTAGTTGATTTTCTAAGTAGTATAGACCTGCTAGTCAAAATTATACAATTACTCTTTGGTAATGGAACCTCTGCATGATGAGAACTAGACAGCCAAGACACTGGAAAATTTTTTAACCATTAGAAAATGCATGAGTAATTTATTTCCTCCATTGGAATTCAGTGATGGCATTAAGAAAACTCATTCCTGCAACCTAACGAGGAACATAAATGCTTTAATGTGGTCTGCTAAAGTAGTCACACAGAGTAAAACTGCCTCTTGAGTCACTATAACTAGTAAAACCATTTAGTAGTAGAAGATGAAATTTAGACAAGGCAGGCTAAAGAGAAAAGCTAACTAACTGCTTCTTAATGATGAGCTCACGGTACTTCAACCACATCTAAGGGAAAGAATCATGAAGTTCAAACCATATTAATTTCCAAGTCATTGACATTGCTAATGTATGAGAGGGTGAAATGTTGACAACTTGAACTCTTGAGACCTTGAATAAACCAGAGTCTATTCATCCTACGAGTCATGAATTTGAGAAGTAAGGGGAAGACTGCATATGCAATTTTTCTGAGTTTTAATTTCTTCAGGGGAAATGAGGAAGGAGAAGGTCAAAGCAACCCACAACATTTTCTAACTCAACATTCTATGAGTGCAAGAACACTTATTAGCGCCACCTACCTGAAACGTTATCATTTTAACACTGGCCAGATTTTTAAAATATTGCCATGTAATATGTGGGTAATAGGTAATGTTCCAGCACATTTAAATCGTTATTCAGGAATCTGAATATTTTCCTTTAATCAACTTCAAACATACGCTGGTTTAAATTACTAATTCCTGCCTCTGAGACAGTCACATTCACAAAAGTGACTCTTCTCAACAGATAACGTATTGGATACTCAAATTAATTCTGCTTTCCAATATCTTGACAATAAGAAGGAACAGAAGTAAACTGACCTCTTGCTTGGTTAATTATTTTGTTCTTATTTAGATATAGCCTGCATTCTTCCCAACTAAACTATAAAACTCCGTAAAGATAGGTCCATATACATCTTTTTAACAACTTCATACTCAGTATTTCGCATGTTGTCATTATAATAAATATATGTTGAATAAATGAAGAAACTACCAACAGAGACAACATCTGAAACTCAAACAGAAAGACGAGCTCCTCCCAAGAGAAAGTTAGGGTGTGCTATGCTTTGGCTCAAACTCCGCCTCACAGAAACAACCCGACTATGCCTAAGGGGGAGGGAATGGTAAGGTGGAGCTAAGCAGAGGTAAAGATAAGAAAATGATATGGCTTCCTGCTTCCTTCTGAAGTAGAACTCTATAGCATTGCTTCAAAGTTTGGAGATAGCAAGGTCTCAAGAGAAAAGCCAAGTCTCCTTAGCTGGCTACTCCTTATCTGTGTGACCTTAGGCAAGTTACTTAATTCTCCTGAATCTTGGTTTCCTCTACTGAAAAATGAGTAAGGAGTAACAATATTTATCACATAAGAGCTGTTGGTGAGGACGAAAAAGACAGTGGATGCAAAGTTATCTGTTTACACCATGGCCTCAGTAAGTGGTGGCAATTATTATTAATTAGTTTGGAGTAAATTCCTGGAAAACTGACCCATCCAGTTTTAAAGGGAATCAGAATTATTCATGCTTAAGAGGTGCATAGCTGATCTCAGCCATATAGAGATAAATCTGGTGAGAACTAGCAACAGGAGCATCCTGGGAAGGAAAACAAGAGTTCTTGCATGCAAGGGGGAAGCCTGGTGCAGGGAGCGGTCTGTGGAAGAATGACACAGCAGTTCTGGGCCTTTGCTTTGCAGATGGGCACGGGCACAGAAGGAGGCACTGGAGCCTCAGGTCTTGCTGCAGCAACTGGCAACCTAAGCAAGCACCCCTAGTTTTCTCTTCCTCCCTCGGTTGGGTGTTCCATCCTGAGGCAGGTTATTTTACCCCGTCCTAGAAAGACAGGACAGAATTTGCCACACTCCTAAAGATGGTTCTGGGTCACGTTATGTTACCAAAAAAAAAAAAAAAAAAGTAAGTAAGTTACGCCCACACAATGATAGCCTTGAAAGGAAAATTAAGAAAAGCTACCGAAGGTTTTAAAGCAGGACTTATGGAAGAGGCAGTGACTTTCAGATTGTATTGATCTCTCTGATATGGAGCTCCATCCTAGCACAAAGGCAAAATATGGGGCCGATCAGTATTCTCTGGGCCAAAGAATACTCAAAATTCTCTGTGTGCTGTAGTAATTCCATGTGAGTATCTCCTATTGACTGCAAGAGTGACTTGAATCCTGGAAAAGCCAGTAACTGCAAGAGCTTTCAGGAACTCTGGAATGTATAAAGTCTTGGGATAAAGATATACAGCAGACCTATCCGGGACTTCTGTAAGACCAAAGGTTCTATTAAGACAGAAACCCAACATATTATCATGGGATGAAACCACTGCATAAAGTCAGGTGAAGCCAAGGAGCTCTGAACTCCCTTGAGGAAGGAAAAGCAAGGGAGAAGCAATTCTGATTCAATTAAAAAACAATGCTGCTAAGGGTCATAGAATGAAATGTTCTTCACTTCCCATTTCCAAGTTCTGTCCAGGGACCCGAGGGACACAGGCAAAGAAATGGTGGCATCGGAATGTACTTTGTGTTGAAATTGTTTGGGATCACATAATTTGTTGGGATCAGTACATGTCTAACTTAGAAAACTTTGATGAGCCCCACTGTATCCATTTCTCATCCTCAAACCAGGAGAATTTCTCCCCATACTTATAAGAACAAAAGGGAAGGGGCCAGGAGAATCACACAGTTATCAAGTGATCAGGGCCTTGTTGTCAGGGAATACAAATAAAGCAAATTTTTTGAAAGACAAAAGGGTAAAGTAGAAATTCATAAAGAGAAGTCTAAGGTGGCAAAAAAAAAAAAAAAAAAAAGAAGAAGATGGGAACCGCTCTCATGAATGATGATGAATTTAGTTTTAAAATGCTGTTTTAAATGCTGACGGGACCTCTAGGCACAACTGACAAGGGAGTATAGGGGAGGAGTCGGGGCTGAGCCGGAGAGGGGCTGTCCATGCGAATGTAACAGGTGAAGCTCTGAGAGTACATAACCCTCCAGTGCAATGATACATTCTCATATGTGTAGCCAAGACCAAATTTCTACCACGATAAATCTCAAAAGGATGCACCTGCAAAGATCTACTTTGTATATAAAATCATATTCATCATTATAAAATCTCATGTATTAACTAAGTGTCTGGTCTCATTAGATGAAGCTGCAAATACAGCCAGGGCAAGGGAAGAGCTGTAGCATCGCAGTACAGGTACCGTTCTACAAAGTGCTTCTTAATCCCCTATGTATGCATGTATCCATGTGCAAGCCTCTAGGCCTTCAGGTAAACACATCTTTGCTCTTAATAATCTGTGAACACAATATGAAATGAAAAATGATCAAAATGATGATGCTTCCTCTCTACATACAGCCCAAATACAGAAATTGCTGGTGCCACCTATTGTTGAAAACACAGAACTGAAGAGCCACACAGTGGAACTCTGCTCTGTTATCTCTCTGAGTATGAAGTTTCAAAATCTACCCACCAGAAGGGCCAGAGAAAGAGGGTTCATCCTACTCTAAAATAAAACAAACATGTCATGGACATTAACAACTCCTACATAATGCTTTGTTGAGTACAGCAAGATTCTAGCAATAGTTAACTGTTTTAATGTAAAAAATCATGAGGCAGTTTTGTATATATGGATGGGGAATGAGCTCCAAAATTAGTTGTTAGGTGTAAAAAACAAGGTTCATAACAGTGCGTATGATATGCTACCACTGAGGAAAAAGGTAATATCCATGTATAAAAGATGTGAGGAAGGATACATGAGGGAACAGCAACATTGGCCATCTCTGAGGAGGAAGCCTGAAGGCATGGGCTGGAATTAGAGAGATTTGCTTTCGCTGAAATCGCTTTCACTTTGTGCAAAAATTTTACCATGCGCACATACTTTCAAAAGATTTTAAGAATAATTGTTTTAAAGATAAATACTAATTTTGAAAACAATAGTTAATATTAAACTATTGTACATAAAGAAAGAATTGCAAGTTGTCTAACTTTGGTTGGTTAGCATGACCAGAGTTCTGGATCTGAGCAAAAGAGCACAACCTACTGGAATAACAGAAAAGTTATAGTGGGTCTTTAAAAGATTGTAAAGGAGGGCTGGAGAAGTGTCTCCTGCACAGTGTTATCCTTAAACGTAAAGTATTCACGGTACATTTAAAAGTGCCCTGAAGCACGGATATTTTCTGGTTCTCTGGATTTATTAAGATGAAGAAAAAAATATTTCCAGTTTTATTAACATTTGCTTTTTAAAGAGCTTTGATATAAAAAGGTTTTTATTACAATATTACTTCTTATTCAAAAGTAAAAGAAAGAGAACTCTAACAACACATGAAGCTCTTTCAGCTATTTTATAACACATATAAAAGCTAAGTGGAAATTTATACTTGAATACACATCACATCAAATGTCACATCTCCTGAAAATTGGTTCCTGAGAATAATTTCTGTAAACTTACTTATTTCTTAATATTATTCTCCCTAGCTTGGAATAACACTGATATTTACACTGAAGGTGGAGCTCTGAAATTTATTCTGAACATTGCCCAATCAAGGTAACACTAGGAAGAAAGTAAATCCCTTAATTTCTGAAGAAACTTTGGAAGAGAAGGAGGAAAGGACAGGAGACAGCAATAAAATAGTTCCTTGGCATTCCTGGGGAAAGGACTTCAAAGAAAGGCCGACGGGCCAAGTGAAATGGTATAGGTCAGGTCAAGTCAGTCCTGTAAGTTCAAGCTCCAAAACAGCCCCTCTGATCTAAACACATATTTTATATTGAAAATTTAATTTTAAAAAGTGAAAACCAGTAAGCGTCATCAGCCTTAAAGGCCCGATAAATCTCCACCAACTAAGAAAGAAACAGAAATAAAGAAAGTGGGGCGAAGGTCAATGAAATACCGAACTGCAGGCCAGAAGCAGGCAGGGGCAACAGAGAACTGGACTTGCGAGGGGTATGAGAACCCAAACTACCATGTGCTAGATGGGAAGGGAGTCTGGCTCACTCCTTCAAGCCAAAGACTGAGGTAGGGCCTCCTCCCTTCTCTGAAAATACCCAGATAGCCACACATTTGTAAAAGAAAGCGATAGAAAATGATGGAGGACCTATTATTTGGGGCCCCAGGGGTATCAGCAGCTGTGGACCTAGAAAAGAAGGAAAGAAGTCTCAGGAAAAGAATTGAGTCAGGTTTTCTGCTTACTCGATGCATCTGTGATACTGCCCAAGTCATCACAGAGCAGGGAAATATAAGCACCATTATAATACCTAATTATGGACTGCGCATGGGGAACCAGGTGAAAGTAACTGTGAAACTACAAAAGCATCCGTCAAAGAGGGAGAATAAAAGAAATAGCATAAAAAGCAAATATCTCTCAAGTTCAAAATGAACCTGCAAACTAAAATTCCAAAACACATAAAAGAATCTAATTCTAAGAAAGCCAAATCCCCCATCCAATTATAAATTCAGCCCACATGAAATTAATTTCATAGAACAGTCATACAAAGACTTTAAAATAAAAATGTTTAGAGCCAGGTGCAGTGGCTCACATCTATAATCTCAGCAACTTGGGAGACTGGAGTGGGATGATCACTTGAGCCCAGGAGTTTGAGGCTGTAGTGAGCTATGATTGTGACACTGCACTCCAGCCTAGGCAAGAGAATGAGACTGTCTGTAAAAAAGTAAAAAATAAAATAAGATAAATATGTTCAGGATAATGAGATGAATAAAGAAGCATCCATTTAAACAATTATAAATTTATGAAAATTAAAAAGCAGAGTAAGAACAGGTAGATATAAAAAACAATTAAGAATCTTAGAAAATAAAAGTACAGTCAACTGAACTAGAAAAACTCAATGAATGAGTTCAAATCTATACGTGACATATTAAAAATGAACAGTAAATTTGAAGATAATGGCAAGGAGCTGTTATCTTACTTTACCTAAGAGGAAGCATGGGAGAGAAGAGTCTGTTCTCTAAAATTAAGGTTCGGTTGAAAGGCCTGTAAGATAGATTGGCCAGCTCCAATATATATCTAATATCAATTTCTGAAAAGAATGGAAAAAAAATTATGAAGATACAATATTTGGAGAGATCTTCCAGAATTAGAGAAAAAGTCCTTAGATAGAAAGCATGAGCAGGAGAAAGATAAATCCACATCTAGATACATTATGATGGAACAGAAAAACATCAGAATAAAGCAAAACTCTTAAAGGAACAACAATTAGATGCTTAGGAAACGTCTTAAAAATAAACGTCAAGGCCAACAATGTAAAAATCTTCAAAGTTCTAAGGAAAACAGCTGTAAATCAATAATCTTATGACCAACTAAGTATTATTCAATCATTAAGGCAAAATAAGACATTTTCAGGCATTCAAAGATCAAAATTTTTACCAATGTAAACAATGGTCCTACTACTCACAGACCCATATGGGGAATATTAAAGGATGTACTTCAAATGAACTTAATGGAAGGCCTGCAACAAAGCCAATCAACAAAGCCCTGTGGTTGTCATTATGTTCCTGTTAAAGCCCCACCCTCTGATCCACAATAGGCAATTTGCCCAACCAATACTTTTTTTGGGTAACCAGAAAGCAAGAAAAATAATTTCACTCAACATTTAGCTTTGTATAGGATTTGTATAATTTTAACTTGCTGTTTTACAACTCAAAAAAATATTTTTAAAAATGAAACAGACAGGACTGGGCATGGAGACGCACACCTGTAATGCCAGCACTTTGGGAGGCTGAAGTGGGAGGACTGCTTGAGGCCAGGGGTTCAAGACCATCCTAAGCAACATAGCAAGATTCTGTCTCTACAGAAAAATTTAAAAATTAGCCAGGCATGGTGGCATGCACCTCTGTAGTACCAGCTATTTGAGATGCCAAGGCAGGGGGATCACTTGAGCCCATGAGTTCAAGGCTGCAGTGAGCTATGATCGTGCCTCTGTACTCAAGCCTGGGTGACAGAGGCAGACCTTGTCTCTTAAAAAAAAAAAAAAAAAAAGAAAAGAAAAAAAAAGAAAGAAACAAAGAAACAAAGAAGACACCTACCTTTAGCACAACACTTCAAGTTCCTATGTTTACTCTGCCATTTACTGGCTGTTTGACTTTCAGCAATATGATAACTCCTCTGAATTTCAAAGTGTTATTGAAAATATAGATAATAATCTCTGACTTACTGGTTTGTTTGGAAGTCAATATAAAAGAAATTTCCTAAACATTATACCAGTACTAGCAACAGGTAGGCTACTACAAAACAAAAGTAGTTATTATTACCATTATCAATAAAGGCTTCTGGAAGTACCCATAATAAAGATGAGGAAGTTGGAGGACACAGAAACGTTATCTAATATTAAGAGACTATCTGTGTCATTCCTATTCTTTGTTTTTCCTCCTAAAATGTCCAACCACTAGTCATATTTAAATAATTGGCACCAAGATCTAAATAGTGGTAAGTTAAAAATACCCAGGGAACTTTGACCATCCCAAAGAGCAGACTGTTAATCTTATTATACCTCCAGTGGTAGAATCAGTGTATAGACAAAATGTTTTTGTATTTAAGCCAGGTTCTTCTCTGTTTCTAGAATATCATCTGCTACTCCACTTCCAAGACCATTACTACCACCACACGACAGCAATGCTTATATTAATAAGGAGGATGAGCTCTAATGGCCAATTACATAATTTTGATACCAACGATACAAATACAAAGGTGACATCTTTGACATCTTTTCCAAAGAGAGAGTGTTCCCAGGCTGTCTTTGATCTTCAAACCTGACAGATGAGGTGAACCCTGATGCTCTTGGTTAGCTATTGCTTCTCTTGTGATCATCTCCATTCAAACACCCCAAGTTATAGCTGGCCACTGTCACCACAGAAACCCTCAATCTAGGCACTAGACAGGCCCCCTCCAAATAGGCTTGTACTTTATACCAGGACCAAACTGAAAGTTGAAATTACTCCTTGATCCTTGGGCTGCAGAAGGGATGTTGTGTTACCAATCATGAAAACACATTAATCTCCTTGTACATCTCCATCAGAGCTCTTCAGTAACCAGGTGCATTGTTAATGACTAGTAATATTTTGAAGGAAATCTTTCTTTTTTGAGCAGTAGGTCTCAACAGAGGACTTAAAATACTCAGTAAACCATGACGTAAAGAGATGTGCTCTCATCCAGGCTTTGTTGTTCCATTTATAGATCACAGGCAGAATAGATTAGCATAATTCTTAAAGGCCCTAGGATTTTCAAAATGGTAAATGAACACTGGCTTCAACTTAAAGTTACCAGCTGCATTAGCCCCTAACAAGGGAGCCAGCCTGTCCTTTGAAGCTTTGAAGCCAGGCATTGACTTCTCCTCTGTAGCTATGAAAGTCCTAGATGGCATCTTCTTCCAATAGAAGGCTGTTTTATCTACATTGAAAGTCTGTTTAGTGTAGCCATCATCATCAGTGATTTTAGTTAGATCTCCTGGAGAACTTGCTGCAGCTCCTACATCACCACTTGCTGCTTCAACTTGCCCTTTTATCTTATGGAGACAGCTTTTTTTCCTTAAACTTCATAAACCAACTTCTGCTAGCTTCCAACTTTTCTTGTGAAGCTCCCTCACGTCTCTCAGCCTTTGTAACACTGAAGAGAGTTAGGGCTTAATCTGGATTAGGCTTTAGCTTGAGGGAATTTTGTGGTCAGTATGACTGTCCATCCAGACCACTCAAACTTTCTCCGTATCAGCAATGAGGATATTTTGCTTCCATATCCTTCTTGTGTTCATGGGAGGAGCACTTCTAATTTCTTTCAAGAACTTTTCCTTTGCATTCACAACTTGGCTAAATGTTTGACACAATTGGTTTTAGACATGCCTTCCTCAATAGGCTTAAGCATTTCTAGCTTTTGAGTTAAAGTGAGATATGTGCGACTCCTCCTTTCACTTGAATACTTAAAGGCCATTCTAGGGTTATTAATTGGCTTAATTTCAATACTGCTGTGTTTTAAGGAATACAAGAGCACAAGGAGAGGGAGAGAGATAGGGAATGGGCACTCTGTGGAACAGTCAGAATACACACAACACTTATTGGTTAAGTTTGTCATTTTAGTCTTATATGGGCCAGTTCATGACACCCTAAAACAATTACAATAGTAACACAAAACATCACTGTTCATGGATCTTCGTAATAGATATTATAATAACAACGGAAAAGTTTGAAATATTACTAGAATTATCAAAATGTGACACAGAGACATGAAGTGAGCACATACTGTTTGGAAAAAATAGTGCCAATGCACTTACTCGATGCAGGTTTGCTACAAACCTTCAATTTGTCAAAAACACAGTATCTGCAAAGTGCAATAAACTGAAGCAAAATAAAATGAGGTATGCTTGTATTTGTGTGTTTATTGTTAATATAAAGAGCTTAAGTGACCTGCTCAAGGTCATGCAACTATTTCAGAAAATAGGTTTATCTGACTATGGACCTCTTAGTCCAAGCTCTTTGCTCCCTAAGAGTCCCTAGAGTTGGAAGGACTCAAAAAGGCATCGCCACATACACTCCATGGCATCAGTCCTGCCTCAGTTATGCAAGGAAAGCTGCACCTCACTGGACTTAATAAAAATGTGATGAGGGAGCCAGGCGCGGTGGCTCACGCCTGTAATCCCCACACTTTGGGAGGCCGAGGTGGGTGGATCACGAGGCCAGGAGATCGAGACCATCCTGGCTAACCCGGTGAAACTCTGTCTCTACTAAAAATTTAAAAAAAATCGCTGGGCGTGGTGGCACCTGCCTGTAGTTCCAGCTACTCCGGAGGCTGAGGCAGGAGAATCGCTTGAACCCGGGAGGCGGAGGTTGCAGTGATCCGAGATTGCACTACTGCACTCCAGGCTGGGCGACACAGTGAGACTCTGTCTCAAAAAAAAAAAAAAAAAACTGATGGGGGGAGTCATTGAGTGGGTAAAGTTGGGGAGGGTCTCCTGAAATATGTGCACAGACAGAAGGCTCATGCATGTGCCACCGCTTAAGACTCAAAATGCAACTTTTATCAACTTTAAGTTTCTAACGACTTGATCTCAGTCATTCAGCCATGCTGGAATTATGTTCAGAAGGTTTCTTGCAGTGATTTAGTCCTTTTGGTAAGTGCCAAACAGAGCAGAAGAATTCATTTACCCCCAGTTACTCCTACCGGCTCTAGACTAGCACCCTTTCCAATAGCCAGCAGTCCTCCTGTCTGTCCTCTTTGGAACGAAGGTCTTCTGTGAGTGTGAATGTATAAATGCAAGTGTCAGTGTGTAAAAACTCCATCGGGGCACTGAAGTATTCCCCAAGCTAGAAAAAAAAATCTGTTATCTTGGATGAAAACCAAGATCATTATCATTTAACCACTTTGCTGTACTTAAACATCAATAATAACATGGCTGTGCTCTGGTGAAAACTGATTAAAGAGAACCAAAAGAAAGAAACACAGGACTGAGTCAATCTCACTATGCAGAAAGCATCCCGGCATACTGATGAACTTCTTTTTCAAATGGTGCCAACTGACAGAAACAACGATCACCTCTAATGAACAAAATAACTATGTAAAAGAGATTCTGAGTATGGCTCAAGCTGCTTACTGATTAACGCTTTTGCACACAACACTCTACACAAACCTGTGTAGTCATTGTTCCTAGTAAAACAAGCCTTTGTTGACAACTGGAGACAAATGATCCTTGCCGACCAAGTTCACTGTTCTCACACAGCTTAATAGCTGGAGTAGTGCTCCCTGGCCACAGCTAGGAAAACTTGACGTGGTTGTCACAAAAAAAAAAAAAAAAAAAAAAAGAAAGAAAGAAAGAAAGGAAAAAAAAGAAAAACTAGAGAAGAGGGGAAACCTTTGTTCTGAAGGTGAGAAGGAGCCTGAATGATCTCATGCCCTAAACATGTTTGTGGTTTACATCAGTACGTCTCCTTCACTTATTAAAGTTGTGAGTTTTTAAATAGTTCCTGCTCCAAACAAACAGATTGCAATACTTAAGAATTCCCACTTTTTAAAAGTATTTCCCTTTTCCTCCCTTTTCCACATGGGTTGGGAGGTGAAGGATTTAATATTTGTTTTTAAGTTAAACAGTTTTTTTGTTACAGTATTTGCAAATATTGGCTGTAACTGTAAGCTGTAGAGGCATACCTCATTTTAAGAAAACCTGGGTGGAAAAAAATATCTGAAACTTAAAGCACAGCAGTCTAATTTCCACCACATGACCAAACATAATTCACTTCAGGGTTACCGTCAATGACAAGGTTCCCACAGTGCCTCATTTACTCATAAATATTATTGAGCCCCCACTATGTGTAAGGCAATTTTAGGTGCTGTTTACATAAAACAAGATTAATTTTATTAAAGTTTCATCTAATCCCTAAGTTTTTAGGCCCCAAATCTATTACATAAGACAATGCAAACTGGAAAAACAAATCCTTCCAACTGAGACTAAAACTTCCCTTCTGATTGGCAGATGCCTTTCTTACTTTTTTCCATAACAATTCATTAAAAATATTTTTTTGAAACCAGGATGGGCTCAGCATCGTCTCAGGTGAGAATCATTTCCAGTTGCACTAAATCTAGGGAATCCTTCACTCTGTAGCTTCATTAGGCACATGTGGCCACTCTTACTCTGCCATGTGGAAATCACAGAAATGTTTTAGAAAGCAATTTAGCAATAAGTATAAAGAATCACCAACATGTTCACTTCCTTCACTGATTTATTTCAAAAATAATCCTAAGGAAATAATCCAAAACAAGGGAAAACTGTATTATGTATTATAGCAGGTTATTTAGAATACAGAAAATATCCTTCAAAATAACCTAAAACGCCTTTGAAATAATTTAAATATTAAAGGCATAGCCGGTTAAGTACAGTACAGTCTCTAGACGGAATATTACACAGCCACAAAAATGATGACACAACATGAAGAATGAATAACCACTCATGGCAACTTTACATTAACTGGAAAAAAATCAGAATGTAGAATTAAGTCTATAATATAACTACAGGTATTTTAACATAAATATGCAAAAAATAAAAAAGTAGTAGTTTTACATGAAAGATAGATGAAATCGCTACTTCAGGCTCAGTCTACTGAGCCCTAGGGCATGGCTGAAAATCTACAAATGGCATCATTATCATTCAAAATGATAGTACTTTTTTAAACCAGCTGTTTCAGTGTAGCACTTTCATTACCAAATTCTGTTACCATTTTTACCCCAATTCCATAAATGTACATTTAGAAGTACAGTTTGTCAAACTGTTGATTCTCACCACTTGATTCACCCTCTCATTAATCAGGCATGCCTTTTGTTTTGCAGTATTTTCCCCACTGTTTCATTTGAGATTAACTTTAAATTGAGAAAATAACTACTGACAGGTTCTTTTCTCTCTTCCTGTTTTGGGACACACTGTAAGCACATTTTGTCTTTCCCAGTTCTCTCCAGCTTCAGCATTTTATCAGTTTGATGTGGCTTTAAACAACTTTCCCTTCCCTAGTTAATTCACTAGCCCAGCAGCTGCAAGGGACAAGATGAATCCTTTCCATGTTCCCCTTATTCTCCCTTTGAGCAGGGACTGTCCAGAACTTCCTCAGAATTTCTACCTAGGAATGTTCTAGACCAGAAATTTTCCTCAGGAATTTCCTGTTGCCACCCTGTCCTGCTTCTATACCAGTGAGCACAAAGTCAGGAGTAAGCCTTTAGGACCACTCCGTAAAAAAGCAACTGGGACTTCTCGTTCCTACTTTACATAAAGTTTATTCCCTGCCCCCTCCCGCTGCGCAAAGAGCTTCCTGAGAGACCGAAACAATGTGGCTAAAAGGAAGGCCAAAAGGAGGGAGGTGATCTCTTAATAGAACTCAGTATTTAATCCTCCCCCACCCCTAAGCTCTGCCCAGAATAGATGACACAGAAGGAGAGGGAATTGTTGTTTTGGTGGAGAGGAAGAATATGACCGTGAATATACTCCATTCTATTTGAGAATGAGAGAGTCTACCCACATGAGAGAAGATGTAAATCATCCCCCAACATTCTAACTTCCTTCCTGAAATACACCTAGACCTAGCAGTTTACAATAATTTTTAAAAAGTGCCAAATATGCCCCCAACTTACAGTGCTAAAACCACCGTGGCTACCTGAACTCAGAAGGCCCGTGTGAAGCAACCAAAGAAAGCTTAACCCTTTCTGGGAAGTAGAATAAGTTTTGCCAGTGTTCTCTCAGTTCTTCATAACCAAAAACAAAACAAAACAAAATTTACTGAGCACATGTTCTGTCTGTGTGTCATTCCTCATGAGTCAGACACCTTCTTATCCACTATACTGTGTGCCCACTTGACATCTTTCTTCCAGAGTTGGCTTTAATTAAATCCTTCAGCACTAATGTCCCAAAGCATTCCGTGAGTCAAGCTTTCCCTGGGGTTAAGACTTTTGAAATGACCAGCAGAGAGATGGACTCTAACTACTAAGACTACTATAGCCACAGCAGCTACTGCAGTGACTTTTTCACCACGAGGCAGCCAATTCAAAACAAACGTTGTTTTTTGTCCCTGCAGTAGTTTGCTGAGAATGATGGTTTCCAGCTTCATCCATGTCCCTACAAAGGACATGAACTCATCATTTTTTATGGCTGCATAGTATTCCATGGTGTATATGTGCCACACTTTCTTAATCCAGTCTATCATTGTTGGACATTTGGGTTGGTTCCAAGTCTTTGCTATTGTGAATAGTGCCGCAATAAACATACATGTGCATGCACTGTTGTGGGGTGGGGGGAGGGGGGAGGGATAGCATTAGGAGATATACCTAATGCTAAATGACGAGTTAATGGGTGCAGCACACCAACATGGCACATGTATACATATGTAACAAACCTGCACGTTGTGCACATGTACCCTAAAACTTAAAAGTATAATTAAAAAAAAAACCAAAAAAAATGTTCTCTTAACCCATAGACGTTCACGACTTTTTTTTTTTCTCTGCGATGAGGAAGATGAAGTTGTTAGACTACTGTATTCGTATTCCAATGAACGAACCTAGATTACAGGCTGCAGGGTTGGGGCTATTCCTAGAGACCTAGAGCAAACTCTACTTCATCATTAATGAGAAAACATTTGTGACAACCATCCCAACACATCAGTCATTGAGATCTTGGTATCAAGGTTGAGAACCACCATACTGATGTGCTCTAGCTTTCTATAAATTCAATGTAACAGAAGGTCTACGCTTTGGAGGCTATACTGGATCTGAATAAGTGATCTAAAGATTGTTTCTGACTTTTCCATTACCTACTTCCCTCCCTTATTAGATTGCATCTAGGACACTAAATAGGTTTTCATTTAAAAAGACCAACAGCTGATTACAAAGTATTTTGAAGCTATGTCTAAATGCAGTAGATAAAAGAACTGTGGTTGATTTGTATCATCTACCACGGTCATTAGATTTCAGGAGTGTTTGCAAATGGCACTTTGTATTTCCTAACTCTGTATCATTAGACCTTTACAGGAATAAAGGATAACAGCCCCATCTCAAACTCATCTGCCTTATTTTAGTCATTATTAAGTTACTTTTTTCTAACTTCACTTTTTTTACGTTGAATTATTTCTGCAACCATTTAACTTGATTTTTTTTTCAGTTCCAACTGAAGATAGATAAAATTATAGTATGTAAGTAGTGGACACATATTTTATCCTTCTTACAATTAATTCACCATCTAAAGCAGCGGTCTCCAACCTTTGTGGCATCAGGGACCAGTTTCATGGAAGACAATTTTTCCACAGATGTGGGGGAGGTGGGGGGGGGGGATGGTTTCGGGATGAAACTGTTCCACCTCAGATCATCAGACATTAGTTAGATTATCATAAGGAACGCACAACCTAGATCCTCACATGGGCAGTTCACAATAGGGTTTGCGCTCTTATGAGAATCTAACACCAGTGCTGATCTGACAGGAGGCACAGCTCAGGCAGTCATGTTCACTCACCCACCACTCACCTCCTGCTGTGGGACCCAGTTCCTAACAGGCTACGGACCAGCAGCAGTTCGCGGTCTGGGGATTGGGAACCCCTGATCTAAAGCATAACTTCAACGGTCCATTCCTGAGATTTTCTCTCCAAAAAAAAACTAGTAAAAATTATAAACAAGATTACAAGGGAAGATTACAAGGGGGTACTAATATTACACTTTATCTTCTTCACATAATCAATATAAATTAGCCTTAAAATCACAGAAAAGTAAAAAAGTTAGAAGAAATTCAAATACAAGTTGGAATCCTAAAAGGAATGAGACAACTATGTAACATAGTCCTGTTCATCAAATCACAGTAAAACCAATATTCAAACAAAAATGGATACTAGGCTTAATAGCTGGGTGATGAAATAATCTGTACAACAAACCCTCATGATATAAGTTTACCTGTGTAACAAACCTGCACATGTACCCCTGAAATTAAAATAAAAGTTAAAAAGTGAAATAAAACTCCATATAAATAAAAATTAATGACACAGGAGGAAAAAAAGAGAACTTTAGATACTCTTAAGAAAATATGTATGAGTGTGTGTGTGTGTGTGTACGTGTGTACATATTTTAAACTAATTTTCTATTGAAATGAATCTTAACGTGCATTTATTATCCTGTTCTTTCAAAATACTGATTGCAAATAAACATCTCTCCCCAACTGGACAAACCACCTTTATGATTATGACCTTACCAGAAAAACAAGGAAACCTGCTTCTTTGTGCACACTCTGAAATCTAAAGGTACATTCAACTCCAGACTGGATGAAGTGTGGTGGAGTAGACGTGAAAGGAAAGCAAAGGAAAATGCCCTCCAAGCCTGAGGCAAAAGATGGTGTCTCCCAAAGCAATTCATTGTCAGCTCAACTCTTTTTTTGCAAGACTTGTATTTTATGTTTTAAAATACAAGGCAGAGAGGTTGATTAATGAGTACAGATATACAGTTAGATAGAAGAAATAAGACCTAGTGTTTGATACATCACTAAGTTGACTATAGTTTAGAATAATTTATTGTATTTTTCAAAATAGCTAGAAGAGAATAATTCAAACGTTTCTACCTTAAAGACAATACTTGAGGTGATGTACACCCCAACTACACCCCAACTACCCCAAAACTATAAAGATTCGATCTTTATAAATTATATAAATGTATTATCACATATATCCCCAAAATATGTACAGCTATTATCAATTTTTAAAAAAAATTTAATGCAAGGGAATTTAACATTATACTCACAGCACACTTGTGCTTTTTTTGTTTTTTGTTTTGTTTTTTTTGAGATACAGTCTTGCTCTGTCTGGAATGTCCAGGCTGGAATGCAGCAGCGTGATCTTGGCTCACTGCAACCCCTGCCTCCTGAGTTCAAGTGATTCTCATTTCTCAGCCTCCCAAGTAGGTGTGATTACAGGCACGTACCACCATGCCCAGCTAGTGGTTTTATTTTTATGTAGAGACGGGGTTTTGCCATGTTGGCCAGGCTGTTCTCAAGCTCCTGGCCTCAAATGATCTGCTTGCCTTGGCCTCCCAAAGTGCTGAGATTACAGGCATCGGCCACCGTGCCTGGCCCCATAGCACATTTGCTTTAATACAGAAATCATATTACTGTTCTCTTCTTACATGTTAGAATAAAATTATGCCATATTTATCCTGCTGCTTTGGGTCTCTCAGCAATGAAAAGGAGTGTGCAGGGGTGCCCCAGGAGTCTGAGCAATAAGGGAAACCTGGCTTGCTGCTGTGTATACTTCCTGATCCAACCTGGACCCCATGAAACAGCTCCCACCTTGGTCAGTTTTGGATAAACGCTACCATTTATGGTTCCCCACGGTAACACAGGGCCGTCTTTTATCTTCTAATTCTAGGACATCTCCAGGAAGTGGGGGAAAAAAACGTGCCAACCAATCTATAGAAAACCTGCCCAGGTTTGGCTATTACCCAGGAAATCCTATACTTATTGCTCAAAAACTTGCTTTCTGAGGAACAATTCCCTTTATTCAGGGCTCTATAGGAATCCAGCTGCTCCCTCTGAGGTGAAACCAACCACAGTGGCATTCCAAAGCCCCACGTTCCACCAAACACTGATTCCGGCTACCTGCTGGGCATGACCAATGCATACTATGGAACCACCCTGGCTGAGGGAGGTTGTCTCACAACAGGCTCCCCATACCCAGTGGGTTCTAAGATTTAAAAGGTAACATGCTCCCTGTCCTCATCATGGGACATTCTATATCTGTGCATATCCAATAAGAAGCCACTAACTGCATGTGGCCACTGGGCACTTGAAATATAGCTAGTAGGAACAGAGGTGTGCTGTATAATTACACCCCAGATTCAGAAGATTTTGCAAAAATAATGTAAAATACCTCATTAACAAATTTTTATATTATGGGCTGAAATAGTATTTTAGATAAAAATGTATTACATAAAATATATTATTAATATTAACTTGTTTCATTTTACTTTTTTAATGTGGCTACTAAAATTTTTAAATTATGTATGCCATTCATATGTGTAGCTTACACTATATTTCTATTAGATAGTACTACTCTTGATAAGCCATAAATACAGAAAAGCTCTGCCTTGTATGTACATCAATGAGGTTTTAGTATATTCCAGATATTCTACCATGATTAATCCTTCAACCACTTGGTTCTACATTAGAGATTCCAGCCTTGGGTCTTCAAGGCCTTCCATCACCAAGAATCCTCTCTTGAGAAACAACCCTAGGGAGACTGACACCTTAATCCGATTTTGGTATCAAACCCACTTAATAATTAAGGGAGCTTAGCAAGCTCATATGAGAGTCAGATCTTGTTTAACCTGTGACAGAGTACAGTACAGGAAGGAGGAAGAGGAAGTGGCCAGAAAGGATCAGTCAGAGTGATTGAGGTGAGAGGGTATCAAAAAATCAACTTTCCCTGGTAGTCAGGTGATCCCAGTAGACAGAACCTCCATATACATGTTTACACATGCACACATACACGCACACACACACACACATACGCATAGAGTACTAACACAGGTATACACATTTAGTACTAACACCAGGGTAATCTTGAAAACTGCCAATGAGAAATGGTTCTAAGCATTTTAATTTCGCATTCTCTCTACTTAGTAGATTTAGAATAAAGAATATATGAAAAGATGGTTATTTTGCTGGTTATTTTGCTTTGGGATAATATAGCCTAGACCTTGGAAGAAAGATTTAATAGCCATTTTCAAATATGTGAAGGGTTATTACAGAGTGTCAGAACATCATTGTGGATCACTAAGGAAAATCAAAATGCCTCCCTGGCAGTTTTCTTAAAATAGTGTAGCCTCTCATCTGCCTGGAATGGATTAGGTGTAATCCACGTTGAAGGTGGGAGGCTAAACAGCTGTCGAGTTTGTAACTACCACAATGATTTACATTAGGAAGTAAATCAAAATCCCCACCTAACCCACCTGGTACAGGAAGATTTCCTTCATGAGGTGGAGCTTAGAAGAGGATGTGGAATAGAGCAGGGTCTACATGACTATTCCACTTTTTTGTATTACAACAAAATGAACTTCTTTCCCTTGCTGAGAACATCTGGCCATTCCCTGCCTTCTCCTTACTCTCGCCTCAACCCCCATGCACATACGTGCATACAAACACTTAAAATTTCCTTTCTGAATTCCACTCATCTTTCCAGCCCTAACTAACATTCCAAGCCTTCCATAAATCCTTCAGGGCCACCTCAGCTCATCCGTACTCTGTACCTCTTTAGTGTTACATGCACCTGTAGATTAAATTGCAGCTAAATCTCTCAATCAACTCACCAGAATAGCTCATGTCCTTCATTGCCTGTGTGAAACGTACATGGCACAGTAAATACACTTGGCTAGGAAGTTACTTTCTAATATGTCAGTGTACTTCAGCTCCTAACAATTGACTTGGATACTTACCAAGAGTCATTGTGTTTGTTCCCAAACCTGTTAATGTCAGACATGCTTATGACAGGCGTATGCTGTTAGTATTTACATAATTTAATTAAATATTACATAAAATGAGTACAAAAAGAAAGCAGGTTGTTTATTCTGAAAACTACATTGGAAAGAGTTTTTTTAAGGTGAACTGCTTTTTTAAAACTGCTGCTGAATCAGATGTGAGGTAGATATCTGTTAAAGATCTCAAGGAATTTTTTTTCTTTTTTTTGAGACGGAGTTTTGCTCTTGCCACCCAGGCTGGAATGCAATGGTGCAATCTTGGCTCACTGCAACCTCTACCTCCTGGGTTCAAGTGATTCTCCTGCCTCAACCTCCTGAGTAGCTGGGATTAGAGGTGTCCGCCACCACACCCAGCTAATTTTTGTATTTTTAGTAGAGATAGGGTTTCAACCATGCTGGCCAGGCTGGTCTCGAACTCCTGGCCTTAGGTGATCCACCCGCCTCAGCCTCCCAAAATGCTGAGATTACAGGTGTAAGCCACCATGCCTGACCACAAGGAATTTTTAAATCTAAAATGATTCTACACTCAAGAGTGGTTTACAAATATTTTTAAGTTCTCATTCTACGTTAAAGAATACTTTTAAATTATAGAAGAGTTATCCAAGAAAAAATGATTGATGTAGACCCCAAGAAGATCCTTAATCAAATAAAAGATCTTGGTTCTACATCAAAAGACTGGTAAATAAATACACATCTAGATGCTCTAAGTTGCTGTAACGTGTCTAGGTATGTATGTATCACAGATTTATGACGTCCCACTTGAACCATGTTTTCTTAATGATCTGAGCAACAATCAGTCCAGATCATGTTGGTTTAGAGGGATTCTATTGTTTTTGTAGGTATGTGGCCTCAAACCCACAATGATTATTATTATGTCTTTCAGAGAAGAGACTGTTGTGGTCCACAGCCCTCAGCATTCCACACGGGATCAAGTGTTTTACAAAAGGTAAAAGTCACAGTTGCCTAGGAATCGGAAGACCCAAATTCGGGTGCGAACTCATCACTTTGCCAAATTTCAATTATAAGCAATTTTCAGGTTCTACATGTTATAAAACAGGAACCATAACACTAGACCTACTTACTTCATGGTGTATGTACAGGAAACAACGTAGACAATATTAGAAAGGCAATTTGAAAAATGCGAAGAGCTATATAAATGTAAGGATGTGCAGTGGATGCTAAATACGTTTTTCTTAAATGAGTGAGTAAAGAACAATGGAAACAAACAAGCAACTCCCTTAGACTCCAATGGCACGGAGAAAGGATTGTTTTGAAAACTGATATAATTTTCAATGTTTGAGGTGATGGATACGCTAATTATCCTGATTTGATCATTACACATTATATACAGGTATATAAATACCACTATATCCCATAAATATGTAGTTACTATGTGTCAATTAAAAACAATAATAATAATAAAGTGCCCTGTATTGATGCAAGGTTGGCCTGAACACAGAATTTCAACTGACTAGCAAAGTAGGTAAATCTCACAAGTTTTGCTGGTCTTTCATATCTTCTATTATTTCCTCCGGTATTTATTTTTATTTTTTCAGACTGTCTTAGCAAACTACATAAAATCAGAGAAAAGTAATTCTCGGCTGTGTTTCTACCTCCTCTATCTGCCAGAAAAGGAAACATCCATTGTGAGTAGGACCCATTTCATTCATGAGGCTAAGAAGCAATAAACCCTCTTAAAATACCTATTTCAGGCCAGGCACGGTGGCTCATGCCTGTAATCCCAGCACTTTGGGAGGCTGAGGCAAGTAGTTCAAGGCCAGCCTGGACAGCATGATGAAACCCTGTCTCTACCACAAATACAAAAATTATCCAGTCTCATAACCCAGTCTCAAAAGAAACAAATTAAACACAATTTTAAATAACTATTTCATTTAAATGGTTAGTGATGCTTTTGCTGATCAGCAATGAAGAGCCTTTGCATACACAAATCAACTTATATGAAGTTAGTCACTGCCCAGAGGAAGAAACAGGCCACTGATATTCCCAAGAATGTAGACAGGAAGTAGACTTCTCAGGATCTTGTTTAAGGTAAGATATTTTCACAACTCAAGAGGTATGGTCTTATACGGCTACCATTTCCATGCATTTTCCCTAAGTGACATCTGCAGTTGTTTCAGGATGTCTAATGTCTCCCTTAAAACATAAGCCGTGAGTAATCGCTTGAGAAGCCATAGCCCATTACTGCAGCAAAGCATTTTCCAAACTGAGACTGGAGTTCAGTATCCCCACTAACTGCTACTGACTCAAGGCAGCTACCTGATATGAAATGGTGCTAAAGTTATATGTAAGAGCTGGTCTCATCCTTTACCTCCTATCATTTCCTAAAACAAAACTGCATGTGGCCTGTTGTAGCAGCTATTTGGAGTTCTTAAACGGGTTTTTCAAGTTCTGTTCTTTTGGACCCCTGACATAAAACTTTAAATTGTGTTTCATTGGTTTTTATGAATATTATTTAATGAATATTGTCCAATGAGATAATCTCTTATTTTCTCCAGGCTTTTTCACATTGTTTACCCAAACATTGGCAATAAAGAAGATCAAGCCAGCTCACAGCTAGTTTGATTTAAGCATAATACATTTGTGAAAAGTGGTTGAATTGTCTGTTCCACATTTTTTCACTAGAACAACTGAGTTTTTAAACCACTCTGGGTTTTAAAATCCATGGATGGCTTTTGTCAGCCCTCCTTGCCTTGGTCTTCCTGAGTTCGGTGCACACCAAAAGCGCGATAAAAGCAGACTCCCTCTGCCATTCGTAAGTATCTCAAGTCTCCACAAAGTTTACATTTCACAACTACTTGAATTCTCTTAATAGCTGTTTTCCCTATGCTAACAGACTCATCAAGCAGTTGTTTTAAGGGGATATAGCCTTAAAGCTGAAAGTACGGTTGTTTTAAAACAAAAGTAAAGGTGAACTCAAATAAAGGATAATAATCTCATGGTAAAAAGAAGTACAGAAATAAAAAAATTTCTTATTTACATGGTTAAAATTATAAACAGAAGCATAATATAAAGTATGCAAAAATAATTATAAGAATAGATCTATAAATACACCCTCTCATGCACCCTGTCTCATCAAATCAAATTTGCGCATATGTTCTGGGGGTTAACAGACTGTCTCTAAAGCCCATCCACAGATTCCCTAGGAATGTTCATTCCTGTACCAGAAATGTCCTATTAAAATCAGGGACAAGAATGCTTACTATCACCATTACAATTTACCATTTGGGGAAAGATACAGACAATTCAGTAAGATAAAAAAACAAATATTTAAATATTAAAAGAAGTAACAGAGCTATTATTACTTGTAGATTATGATAGTATACTGAGAAAATCCCAAGATTATAAACCGAAAAACTAAATTAAGAGAAGTTTTCTCATAATTATTTTACTTTTATGTAGTACAATGTGATGTTTTGATATATGTCTATAATTTGCAGTGATTAAATCAAGCTAATTAGCATATCCATCACTTCACTTCATTGATACTTTTGTGGTGATACATTTGAAATTACTCTCAGTTATTTTGAAATATACAACATATTATTGATTACAGTCATCCTGCTGTGCAGTAGATCTCAACTACTCTTGTGTAGCTGAAACTCTGTACCCTTGGACCAGTAATTCCCCATCCCTTCACTCCTCTCCTACCCACTGTCTCTGAGAACCATTATTCTTCTATGAATTCAACTTTTTTCTTATTATACTTTAAGTTCTGGGATGCATGTGCAGAACGTCCAGGCTTGTTACATAGGTATGCACGTGACATAATGGTTTGCTGCACCCGTCAACCTGTCATCTACATTACTTATTTCTCCTAATGTTATCCTTCCCCCAGCCCCCCATCCCCCAACAGGCTCCAGTGTGTGATGTTCCCCTCCATGTTTCCCTGTGTTCTCATTGTTCAACTCCCACTTAGGAGTGACAACATGTGGTATTGGGTTTTCTTTTCCTGTGTTGATTTGCTGAGAATGATCGTTTCCAGCTTCATCCATGTCCCTGTAAAGGACATGAACTCAATTCTTTTTTATGGCTGCATAGTATTCCATGGTGTATATGTGCCACATTTTCTTTATTCAGTCTATCATTGATGGGCATTTGGGTTGGTTCCAACTCTTTGCTATTGTAAATAGTGCTGCAATAAATATATGTGTGCATGTGTCTTTGTAGTAGAATGATTTATAATCCTTTGGGTATATACTCAGTAGTGGGATTGCTGGGTCAAATGGTATTTCTGGTTCTAGATCCTTGAGGAATCGCCACACTGTCTTCCACATGGTTGAACTAATTTACACTCCCACCAACAGTGTAAAAGCATTCCTATTTCTCCACATTCTCTCCAGCATCTGTTGTTTCCTGACTTTTTAATGACCGCCATTCCAACTGGCATGAGATGGTATCTCACTGTGGTTTTGACTTGCATTTCTCTAATGACCAGTGATGATGACATTTTTTTCATGTTTGTTGGCCACATAAATGTCTTCTTTTGAGAAGTGTCTGTTCGTATACTTCAACCACTTTTAGAAGGGGTGGTTATAGATCTGTGGCATTATTTCTGAGGCCTCTGTTCTGTTCCATTAGTCTATATATCTATTTTGGTACAAGTACCATGCTGTTTTGGTTACTATACCCTTGTAGTATAGTTTGAAGTCAGGTAGCATGATGTCTCCAGCTTTGTCCTTTTTGCTTAGGGTTGTCTCGGCTATATGGGCTCTTTTTTGGTTCCATATGAAATTTAAAGCAGTTTTTTCTAATTCTGTAAAGAAAATAGCTTGATGGGGATAGCATTGAATCTGTAAATTACTTTGGGTAGTATGGCCATCTTCAAGATATTGATTCTTCCTATCCATGAACATGGAATGTCCTTCCCTTTGTTTGTGTCCTCTCTTATTTCTTTGAGCAGTGGTTTGTAGTTCTCTTTGAAGAGATCCTTCACATCCCTTCTAAGTTGGATTCCTAGGTATTTTATCCTCTTTGTAGCAATTGTGAATGGAAGTTAACTCATGATTTGGCTGTTTGTCTATTATTGGTGTATAGGAATGCTTGTGATTTCTGCACATTGATTTTGTATCCCTAGACTTTGCTGAAGTTGCTTATCAGCTTAAGGAGGTTTGGGGCTGAGACAATGGGGTTTCCTAAATATACAATCATGTCATCTGCAAACAGAGACAATTGGACTTCCTCTCTTCCTATTTGAACACTCTTTCTTTCTTTCTCTTGCCTGACTTCCCTGGCCAGAACTTCCAATACTATGTTGAATAAGGGTGGTGAGAGAGGACATCCTTGTCTTGTGCCAGTTTTCAAAGGGAATGCTTCCAGCTTTTGCCCATTCAGTATGATATTGACTGTGGGTTTGTCATAAATAGCTCTTATTATTTTGAGATACATTTCATCGATACCTAGCTTATTGAGAGTTTTTAGCATGAAGCTGTGTTGAATTTTATCGAAGGCCTTTTGTGCATCTATTGAGATAACCATGTGGTTTTTGTCATAGGTTCTGTTTATGTGATGGATTACATTTATTGATTTGCATATGTTGAACCAGCCTTGTATCCTAGGGATGAAGCCAACTTGACCGTGGTGGATAAGCTTTTTGATGTGCTGCTGGATTCCGTTTGCCAGTATTTTATTGAGGATCTTTGCATTGATGTTCATCAGGGATATTGGCCCGAAATTTTCTTTTTTTGTTGTATCTCTGCCAGGTTTTGGTATCAGGATGATGCTGGCCTCATAAAATGAGTTAGGGAGGATTCCCTCTTTTTCTATTGTTTGGAATAGTTTCAGAAGGAATGGTACCAGCACTTCTTTGTACCTCTGGTAAAATTCGGCTGTGAATCCATCTGGTCCTGGGCTTTTTTTGGTTGGTAGGCTATTATTGCCTCAATTTCAGAATTTGTTATTGACCTACTCAGGTATTCAACTTCTTCCTGGTTTAGTCTTGAGAGGGTGTATGTGTCCAGGAATTTATCCATTTCTTCTAGATTTTCTACTTTATTTGCAGAGAGGTGTTTATAGTATTCTCTGATGGTACTTTGTATTTCTGTGGGATCAGTGGTGATATCCCCTTTATCATTTTTTTATTGTGTCTATTTGATTATTCTCTCTTTTCTTATTAGTTTTGCTAGCAGTCTATCAGTTTTGTTGATCTTTTCAAAAACCTAGCTCCCGTATTCATTAATTTTTTGAAGTGTTTCTGTGTCTCTATCTCCTTCAGTTCTGCTCTGATCTTAGTTATTTCTTGTCTGCTGCTAGTTTTTGAATTTGTTTGCTCTTGCTTCTCTAGTTCTTTTAACTGTGATGTTAGGGTGTCAATTTTAAATCTTTCCCACCTTCTTTTGTGGGCATTTGGTGCTATAAATTTCCCTCTAAACACTGCTTTAGCTGTGTCCCAGAGATTCTGGTACGTTGTGTCTTTGTTCTCATTGGTTTCAAAGAAATTATTTATTTCTGCCTTAATTTCGTTATTTACCCAGTAGTCATTCAGGAGCAGGTTGTTCAGTTTCTATGTAGTTGTGCGGTTTTGAGTGAGTTTCTTAATCTTGAGTTCTAATTTGATTGCACTGTGGTCTGGGAGACTTATGATTTCCATTCTTTTGCATTTGCTGAGGAGTGTTTTACTTCCAACTATGTGGTCAATTTTAGAATAAATGTGATGTGGTGCTGAGAAGAATGCTTATTCTGTTGATTTGAGGTGGAGAGTTCTGTAAATGTCTATTAGGTCCACTTGGTCCAGAGCTGAGTTCAAGTCCTGAATATCCTTGTTCATTTTCTGTCCCATTGATCTGTCTAATATTGGCAGTGTGCTGTTATAGTCTCCCACTACTATTATTTCGGACTCTACGTCTCTTTGTAGGTCTCTAAGAGCTTGCTTTATGAATCTGGGTCCTCCTGTATTGACTGCATGTATATTTAGGATAGTTTACTCTACTTGTTGTGTTAATCGCTTTACCATTATGTAATGCCCCTCTTTATCTTTTTTGATCTTTGTTGGTTTAAAGTCTGTTTTATTAGAGACTAGGATTGCAATCTTTTTTTTTTTTTTTTGCTTTCCATTTGCTTGGTAAATATTCCTCCATCCCTTTATTTTGAGCCTATGTGTGTCTTTGCATGTGAGATGAGTCTCCTGAATACAGCACACCAATGAGTCTTGAGTCTTTACCCAATTTGCCAATCTGCGTCTAATTGGGGCATTTAGCCCACTTACATTTAAGGTTAATATTTTCATGTGTGAATTTAATCCTGTCATTATGATGCTAGCTGGTTATTTTGCCCATTAGTTGATGCAGTTTCTTCAGTGTCGATGGTCTTTACAATTTGGTATGTTTTTGCAGTGGCTGGTACCAGTTTTTCCTTTCCATGTTTAGTGCTTCCTTCAGGAGCTTTTGTAAGGCAGGCCTGGTAGTGACAAAATCTCTAAGCATTTGCTTGTCTGTAAAGGATTTTATTTCTCCTTCACTTAAGAGGCTTAGTTTGGCTGGATATGAAATTCTGGGTTGAAAATTCTTTCCTTTAAGAATGTTTAATATTGGCCCCCACTCTCTTCTGGCTTGTAGGGTTTGTGCCGAGAGATCTGCTGTTAGTCTGATGGGCTTCCCTTTGTGGGTAACCGGACCTTTCTCTCTGGCTGCCCTGAACATTTTTTCCTTCATTTCAACCTTGGTGAATCTGATAATTATGTGTCTTGGGGTTGCTCTTCTCAAGGAGTATCTTTGTGGTGTTCTCTGTATTTCCAGAATTTGAATGTTGGCCTGTCTTGCTAGGTTGGGGAAGTTCTCCTGGATAATATCCTGAGGAGTGTTTTAAAGCTTGGTTCCATTCTCCCCGTCACTTTCAGGTACACCAATCAAATGTAGGTTTGGTCTTTTTACATAGTCCCATATTTCTTGGAGGCTTTGTTCATTCCTTTTCATTCTTTTTTTCTGTAAATTTGTCTTCATGCTTTATTTCATTAAGTTGATCTTTAATCTCTGACATCCTTTCTTCCGCTTGATCAATTCAGCCACTGATACGTGGGTATGCTTCATGAAGTCCTTGTGCTGTTTTTCAGTTCCATCAGGTCATTTATGTTCTCTCTAAACTTATTATTCTAGTAAGCAATTCCTCTAACCTTTTTTCAAGGTTCTTAAATTCCTTGCATTGGGTTAGAACTGCCCTTTTAGCTTCCTCCAGAGGAGTTTGTTATTAGCCACCTTCTGAAGCCTACTTCTGTTAATTCATCAAACTCATTCTCCATCCAGTTTTGTTCCCTTGCTGGTGAGGAGTTGTGATCCTTTGGAGGAGAAGAGGTGTTCTGGGTTTTGGAATTTTCAGCCTTTTTGTGCTGGATTTCCCTCATCTTCGTGGATTTATCTGTCTTTGGTCTTTGATGTTGGTGACCTTTGCGTGGGGTTTTTGTGTGGACGTCCTTTTTGCTGATGTTGATGCTATTCCTTTCTGTTTGTTAGTTTTCCTTCTAACAGTCAGGCCCCTCTGCTGCAGGTCTGCTGGAGTTTGCTGGAGCTCCACTCCAGACCCTGTTTGCCTGGGTATCACCAGTGGAGGCTGCAGAACAGCAAAAATTGCTGCCTGATCCTTCCTCTGGAAGCTTCATTCCAGGGGGGCACCTGCCAGATGCCAGCTGAAGCTCTCCTGTATGAAGTCTCTGTCAACCCCTGATGGGAGGTGTCTCACGATTAGGAGGCACAGGGGTCAGGGACCCACTGGAGGAGGCAGTCTGTCCCTTAGCAGAGCTCAAGCGCTGTGCTGGGAGATCCGCTGCTCTCTTCAGAGCCGGCAGGCAGGAACGTTTAAGTCTGCTGAAGCTGGGCCCACAGCCGCCCCTTTCCCCAGGTGCTCTGTCCCAGGGAGATGGGAGTTTTATCTACAAGCCCCTGACTGGGGCTGCTGCCTTTCTTTAGAGATACCCAGAGAGGGGGAATCTACAGAGGCAGTCTAGCTACAGTGGCTTTGCCAAGGTGCAGTGGGCTCTGCCCAGTTTGAAATTCCCCGTGGCTTTGTTTACACTATGAGGGGAAAACCACCTACTCAAGCTTCAGTAATGGTGGATGACGCTCCCCCGACCAAGCTCGAGCATCCCAGGTTGACTTCAGACTGCTGTGCTGACAGTGACAATTTGAAGCCAGTGGATCTTGGCTTGCTGGGCTCTGTGCGGGTGGGATCCGCTGAGCTAGACCACTTGTCTCCCTGGCTTCAGCCCCCTTTCCAGGTGAGTGAACGATTCTGTCTCGCTAGCGTTCCATGTGCCACTGAGGTATGAAAAAAACTCCTGCAGCTAGCTGGGTGTCCGCCCAAACGGCCGCCCAGTTTTGTGCTTGAAACCCACGGCCCTGGTGGTGTAGGCATCCAAGGGAACATCCCGGTCTGCAGGTTGTGAAGACCATGGGAAAAGCGCAGTATCTGGGCTGGAATGCACCATTCCTCACAGCACAGTCCCTCATGGCTTCCCCTGGCTAGGGGAGGGAGTTCCCTGACCCCTTGCACTTCCCGGGTAAGGTGACGCCCCACCCTGCTTCAACTCTCCCTCCATGGGCTGCACTCACTGTCTAACCAGTCCCAATGACATGAGCCAGGTACCTCAGTTGGAAATGCAAAAATCACCTGCCTTCTGCCTCATTGGGAGCTGCAGACCTGAGTTGTTCCTATTTGGCCATCTTGCCAGCCACCTCGAGGAAGAGAATTTAATGATGACTGGTTAACCAGACAGATTTCCTAAAACTGGTTGTTCATTTCAACAAACATTTATTTAATATTTACTGCATGTCACATAACAGGCTAGGCATAAAGTGTACAAACATAAATAAGATTAAAGCCCTGTTTAATAACCTCTATTAGTAAAACCAATCAGAAGATACGTGAGAATAAAGAGTCCATTCATGATATCAACAACATCAAAAACAATGCAAAGCAACTTTACCAAGAAACGTGTTGGATCTGTCTGAAGAAAATTACAAATCATCTTGAGAAATACAGAATTTTTTAAAAGACTGAATAGAGACATATACTATACTACTGGTGGAGAAGACTAGCCATTATAAAGCAATTCCAATGAAAGTCCTGACAGTAAATACTGCCTTTATGGAAACAGACAAAATGTGCCAAAGTTTATCTGGAAGGGTTAGAAGAGCTAAAACATTTTGGGAACAAAAAGATAAGAAATGACCCAGCACGGTGGCTCACGTCTGTAATCCCAGCACTTTGGGAGGCTGAGGCAGGCAGATTACCTGAGGTCAGGAGTTCAAGACCAGCCTGGCCAACATGGTGAAACCCCATCTCTACTAAAAATACAAAAATTAGCCGGGCATGGTGGCAAACGCCTGTAATCCCAGCTACTCGGGAGGCTGAGGCAGGAGAATTGCTTGAGCCTGGGAAGCGGAGGTTGTAGTGAGCCAAGACCGTGCCACTGCACTCCAGCCTGGCCAACAGAGCAAGACTACGTCTCAAAAAAAAAAAAAAAAGAAAAAAAGATAAACTGCTTTGTGACAGACACCTTCAAGGGAATAAAGACAGAAGCCACAGACTAAGAGAAAATATTTGCAAAACATTTATCTGTTAAAGGACTGTTTATTTGTAGTATATTTAAATATCCAAAATATATAAGGAACTCTTAAAACTCAACAATGAGAAAACAACCATCCCTATTAAAAAATAGGCTAAAGACCTTAGCAGACATTTCACCAGATATACAGATGTCACATAAGCATATGAGAAGATCTGCAACATCATACATCATCAGAGAAAGGCAAATTAAAATAATAGTGAGATACCATTACACACCTATCATGACTACCTAAATTCAGAACACTGACAACATCAAATGCTGACAAGAATGTGGAGCAACAGGAACTCTCATTCAGTGCTGGTGGGTATGCAAAATGGTACAGCTACTTTGGAAGACAGTATGGTGGTTTCCTGCCAAACTAAATATATCCTTACCATATGTCCCAGTGACTGTGCTCCTTGGTATCACCCAAAGGAGTTGAAAACTTAGGTCCACACACAAAAAAAACCTGTACATAGATGTTTATAGCAACTTTATTCACAGTTGGCAGAACTTGGAAGTAACCAAGATGCCCATCAGTGGGTGAATGGATAAACAGTCGTATATCCAGACAATGGAATATTATTCAGTGCTAAAAAGAAATGAGCTATCAAGCCATGACAAGATATGTAGAAAACTTAAATGCATATTACTAAGTGAAAGAAGCCAGTCTGAGAAGGCTACATACTGTATAATTCCAACTATATGATATTTTGGAAAAGGCAAAACTATAGAGAGTAAAAAGATCAGTGGTTGCCAAGAGCTAGGGGAAAGGGAGGGATGAATAGGCAGGGCACAGAGGATTTTTAGGGCAGTGAAACTATTCTATATTACACTATAATACTAGATACATGTCACTATAAATTTGCCCAAACTCATAGAATGTACAATAAGAGTGAACCCTAAGGTAAACTATGGACTCTGGGTAATCATGATGTGTCAATGCAGGTTCATCCACTGTAACGAGTGTACTACTCTGTGGGGATGTTGATAATGGCGAATGCTATGTATATATGCGTGCAGGGAGTATATGGGAAATCTCTGTACCTGTTGCTCAATTTTGCTGTGAACCTAAAACTGTTCTAAAAACTAAGTCTATTTTTTTTTTAAAAAAGGATAACAAACTTGCCCAAGCCCTTATTTAAAAGAGTCATAAAGGTAAAATAACAATGGTATTGGCTGAAGATACAGAAAAGACACTGGAACAGATGAGCGACCCCAGGTAAAGCACCTCTATTAAAAAGAGCATCACAGTTCAATGAGAATAAGAGAGGCAATATTTAATTCTAATTTGGGGGAACACTGTGCAAAAAAAGAGTCCTTTTAGATCTTTGTATCATACCATTCAGCAAATTAAATTAGTGATGGTTTTACATTAAGTATGAAAGGTTAATGTTTTAATATTAAGTATGAAATGTTAATTTGCATAAGCTAAGAAAATACCTGGACAACTTTAGTAACAATCAATGAAATCCAATTTAAAATAATAAAGACATCTAATTTTTCACCTCTTAAATTGTGAAAGATTAAAAATTATGATGTTGAATGCCGGTAAAATTGAAGTTTGGTGAGCATCCTAAAGGACACTTTGGAAATAGAAACTGGTATGATCTTTCTGAATGGTAAGTTGGCAACATATATTAAACATCAGGCCTATTGATCCAGTAATTCTACTCCTAGATCATCATCAGAGAGGTAGTAAAAGGTCTACGTAACACAATTCACATTAAAATTCACTTTATTGTAGACAAAAGTAGAAAGAGCCTAAGGGCTGTTTATCAATAGGAGAATGAGTAATTACACAGTAGAATATGACTTTTTAAAAATTACACATTCACAAAAGAGTACGGAAGCTCATCAAAAAAGTTAAGAGAACTACCATACGATCCAGCAATATCTCATCTGAATATACACCCAAAGGAAAGGAAATCACTGTCTTGTAAAGATATCTGTACTCCCATGTTCACTGAAGCATTATTCTCAATAGCCACGATATTGAAACAACTGAAATGTCCCTCAACAGATGAATGGACAAAGAAGTTGTGGTATACATACATATTAACACATATATAGTACATATATGTGTTAATATTAATGTACATATAGGTATTATGTATTATGTGTACATATGTATGTGTACATATGTATGCATATATGTATGTATACCACAACTTCTTTATCCATTTGTCTGTTGATGTGTACATATGGAGTATTATTAAGCCTTTAAAAGAAAGGGATACTGCCATTTATGACAATATGGATGAACCTAGAGGATATTATGCTAAGTATAAGCCACACAGAGAAAGAAAAATAGTGCATGATCTCATATGTGGAATCTAAAATTTTTAAAAATTGAATACAGTACATAGAAGCAGAGAGTAGATGAGTGGGGTGGGGATGTGAGATGCAAGTCAAAGGGCACAAAGGTGCAGTTATGTAAAATAAACAAGTCTAGAGTCTAACATACAGCATAAGGACTAAAGTTAATAATATTGTATTGCATATTGGTAATTTGGCAAGGGAATAGATTTTGGGTACTCTTACCACAAAAAAGCAAACCAAAAGAAAGAAAGGTAACTATATAAGATGATAGACATGTTAATTTGCTTGACAAATTAACATGTATATGTTGTTGTTGTTGTTGTTATTTTTTGAGACGGAGTCTCGCTCTGTCGCCCAGGTTGGAGTGCACTGGCACAATCTCGGCTCACTGCAAGCTCCGCCTCCCGGGTTCAGGCCATTCCCCTGCCTCAGCCTCCCAAGTAGCTGGGACTACAGGTGCCTGCCACCACGCCCGGCTAATTTTTTTTATTTTTAGTAGAGATGGGGTTTCACTGTGTTAGCCGGGATGGTCTCGATCTCCTGACCTCATGATCTGCCCGCCTCTGCCTCCCAAAGTGCTGGGATTACAGGTGTGAGCCATTGCGCCCGGCCAACATGTATATGTTTAATATGTATATTAAAATATCGTGTTTTACATTTTAAGTATATACAACAAAAAATACACATTTATATCTAATTTGAAGATTTTTAATTAAATTTCTACCAAGCTAATATTATATAAAAAACACACAATTCAAAACAATACTGTAGGCATAATGAACTTCATTTGCTAATGTATGCCTATGTACACACAACACAAAACTAGAACAGCAGTAGGGCTAGGGTTAATTTTATTTTATTCTTTCTATTTTCAGTACTTTCCTAATTCTACAATGAAAAAAAATACGTCTTTTTTGTTTTCAGAGGGAGGAAAACAACATTATTTAAATAAAGAGGTACTAGAGACAATATCAGAATTCAAAAAAGGACTTAAAATCATACATAAAAGATCCATAAAGAATAGTGAAATCTGAATAAAGTCTACAGTTTTAGTTTACAGTAACATATATATACCAATGCTGGTTTCTTAATTTTGATAAATGTAATATAAGGTAATTTAGGTCATATTGGTGAGTAAGACGGTATTGGGAAATACCTTAAAGTTCAGTTACCTTAGTCAGAGAACTGGCCTGCTAGGAAGTGTTGGGAATTTGTCTTTGGGGCTTTGTCTTCCTATTATCTTTGCAACTTTGCTGTAAATCTAAAATTATCCTGAAAGAAAAAGTTACTTTAACAAAACAAGATTCATAATGGGTAAAGAATTCACATATCTGGAAGATGGCCTTTGCTTTTGAGGACATCATCACCAAGGGGAACCATGTTCACTTGTAAATCACCCCTTAGAAACCTCAGAAACATCAGTTAGTTTTGAGTGGCAGAACTGGGGGTGATCTTATGTTCTCATTTATTGATTTGTTTTATTAATTGCTAGCTACATGGGTCAATGTAAATATATTTAATACTTTGAAGCTACCTGGAAACAAAATACTGCACTACCCCAGCAGGACATTACTTGCATTCTTTTCTTTCTTTTCTCATTTATCCAAGCAACCTTCCACATTCCTAACATGTGGCAATAATTCAACCTCTGTACTTTTCCAATCGTATTTATAAACACAGTTTTTCAGACTTTACTATCACAAAGCCCCAGAAATAACCTAGCAAACCATTTTACTCCAGAAACGCCAATGGACCCTTGTGGGTTTGCCATCTCCTGCCTGCTGCTGCCTCCCTGCATAACTCCTCCCCAAACATTCCAGATACTTCTCTAATTAATGAAGACCTCACCACTTGGATCTTATCTCTTTGTTGCAAGATGAACATTTTTAGTATTCTGCAAGACTCAGAAACCTAGAAACTGGTAATATGGAGAAACTTCAGATTTCATGAGATCCAAAGGTCAGGGTCTCCAGTTGCTCATTTCATTTATTTATTTATTTATTTATTTATTTATATTTTCTAAGAGGAGTTAATTGATTGCAGAACCAAGAGCCCCCAGTCCACTACTAGCAGTCAGATCCCTTCCACCTTCCCCTTTACATATGGGGGATTGAAAACAGATCCTCCCCATGAAAAACACTGGAGAGTGCTCATCTAATTCAAACTCCTCATTTCATAGGGAAGAAAATACAAGGAAGTTAGGGGTGGGGGAACTAAGATGGGAGGAGTTTAAGTTGACTATATTCTTATTTTATTTACCAAGCTGTTGACAACTCACTAACTCCCCCCACCGCCCACCCCATAATCCTATCCCTTCGTCCTCAGGGCAAACTGAGACCAAAGTTAAATGGGTGTGCTTTCAGTTTTTGCTTGCAATGGTGTTATGCAAGAGTAACCCAAATAACACAAGATAATGCTTAACCTAGCGAAGGAGGCAGGACCTGTTCAAACTTGCTCTATTCACAGATGGGGTGGGGTGGGCAGCACCCTCTTGTCACTGTGACATGTGAGCTAAGAAAATGTATCCCAATTGCTGGCTTTTGAGCCTTTCTGGAATTAGATGCCATTTTGTAAAAAAAAGTAAATCTCCTTCTTTGCCATGTGAACTAAGGTGTAAAACGGAGAAAATGTGTTTTCAGGATTTAAAGGACCTACTTATGCTCTTAACTGCTGAGTTATTTTCACCAGCAGACTTTGTCTTTGTGTAAGCCCTAGACTTCCAAGAAGTGGGGAAATTTAAGCAAGGGAGATGGAAACACAGAGGGAGAAAGGAAAGAGAATTAGGTGGTTCTATAGAAGGAACGATAGTGACCTCTGATCTACACACTTCAGGCCAAATCCCCATACCCTTCAGCTGACCAGGTGTCTGATTAAGGTTCTTAAAAGACTGACATTGGGCCAGGCCCGATGGCCTGTAATCTTAGCACTTTGGGAGGCCGAGGCAGGCGGATCACAAGGTCAAGAGATTGAGACCATCCTGCCCAACATGGTGAAACCCTGTCTCTACTGAAAATACAAAAATTAGGCCGGGCACAGTGGCTCACACCTGTAATCCCAGCACTTTGGGAGGCCGAGGTGGGTCGATCACGAGGTCAGGAGTTCAAGACCAGCCTGGCCAACATGGTGAAACCCCAACTCTACTAAAAAAATACAAGAATTAGCTTGGCGTGGTGGCAGGTGCCTGTAATCCCAGCTACTCGGGAGGCTGAGGCAGGAGAATTGCTTGAACTCGGGGGGCAGAGGTTGTAGTTAGCCAAGATTGTGCCACTGAACTCCAGCCTGGGCAACTGAGTGAGACTCTGTCTCAAAAAAAAAAAAAAAAGATAAATACAAAAATTAGCTGGCCATGGTGGTGCATACCTGTAGTCCCAGCTACTCAGGAGGCTGAGGCACAAGAATCTGTTGAACCCGGGAGGCGGAGGTTGCAGTGAGCCGAGATCGTGCCACTGTACTCCAGCCTGGTGACAGAGCAAGACTCCGTCCCAAAAAAGAAAAAAAAAGAAAAAAAGGACTGACTTGTCAAACACTTGCTCCATTCACTCAAGAAATACTTCTGGCTCATTACTGGCCTGAAACCTCTCTCTCTTTCTCTCCATGTATTACTGCCTAAGGCTGTACTGTCTAATACGGTAGCCACTAGCATATGTAGCTACTGAGCAACAGAAATGTGGCTACTTCAAATTGAGATGTGTATACTAAAGAAATTAAAATTACATCCATGGCTCACATTTGTGGCTGTAATTATATTTCTACAGGTCAACACTGCTCTAAAGACAATGTAGTACTAGAATTAGAGATGTTTAAGCCCAAGCAGCAAGTACAAGCTAATCTTCCTAAATTTTATGGCGTTCCAGAAAACTGACTGGGGAACTGAGTCTTGATTAACTCATCCCAAGGTAAAATTCATTCATAGGATCATCTGACTTCTATCCATGAGTTCAACACGGAAAATATTGCAAAGCTCTGATGCTCCACTCAGGTGCAGAATAAACGCTCCCAATTCAATGTGAGCAGCTCTTTCCTCTGGGGATACATGAGAGTGAGACGTGGGACTTGATACTCTGCCATAATGGAAGCAAAGAGAAGAGAAATAGGGATGGAAGAGGAGGGAAGAAAGGGAGACAGGGGAGGGTACAGATTAAGATAAAAAGAGAACAGAAGGGATGGTGAAAGTATGAATGGAAACATGGAGATTAGGAAGAAACAGAGGTAGGGAAGAATATCTCTATGGTAGAATAAAACCAGGCCTTTTTCTTACTGCTCAGAGTAATTCTGAAGGCTAAAACTGAGAAGGCCAGTAACAAAAATGAAGTGACAATGGCCCAGAGAGAGAACTCAAGAGGGTTACTCTACTCAGCAAAGAAAGGCAGCCCTTAGAATGCCCCTGAGCGAATGGATGGAGCCACATTACGTAACTCACTCACTTCTCTGCCTTTCATCTTTGTCAATGGCCATAAACCCGCAATTTCACTAAACGCAATTCCCATTTCAGAGAGTCTTTAAAGCAAGCGGCACTGCCTCACAAACCCATGAAAATAGGTCCTTTTCACTCTCTTATCTTGAATCTCAAAAAAACATACTCTTGCTATGAACAGATATGGACTTCTTTGAGTTTTTAAGAGCCAATTATAGCACATCGCAACTAGTGTACCCTGTAATACTGTCTCCAAAGAGGGCTCTCCAGCAGATGCAGGGGGTCCCCATGATACAAAGGGCTGTGTTCTAAAAGTTCCTGTGTAAGGTGGTTGTCTAGTGCTTAGAACATATTTTCATGGAGAGGAAAATAAAACAGCAATGAATGGCTAGAAAGAGACCCGGTCTAGTCCAAACAGTCTCCTTAACCATGTGTCTGAACTATGTGACTGAAGAGTGCTCTCGGATCTGGGAGCCATAGTGCAGTGCAAGGGGGAGAAAAAGGAAAAGGAGACGGAAAACTCTCCGGCTACCTCCTGGATGGGAGGTGTCACTAGCCATTTCTTGAGGCCCCCAACAAGATATAAGGTAAAAATCCTCATTTGAGAGAAACTGCACTGCTCACTGACACCCGCTATTTTTGCAAATTCACTCAGTGGCTCACAGAAACACTTGACAGAGTGCTGAGTGGCATGGATTTGGGAAGGATGCAGGGCAGCAAACAAGCAAGCTGGAGAGGGCAGCGGGATGGGGGCCCAAGAGGCTAAATCGGAGGTTCTCAAATGTTCTCAGTCCATGTCACTCTGGCGTCTCAGGTATTTTTTTCATTATACTTCTAGGCAGAGAGGAATACCTAACAGTTCCATGAGTTAAATAGGTAGATCCAAACAACTCAATAAATATTTACGTCCTAACAACTTAGTAACTATTTGAAAAGAAAAAGATATAAATTGATGAGAAGGTGGTATTTTTATTTCATTCTTATATAGCCAAAATTTTCAATGAGACCTATGTGCTGCTGGGCACTATGCAGCTTTTCTAACTTTGGAATTAGATGGGATTCTGCCACCCCATTTCCTGCTTCACATTGATTTTTATACCACACTGGCTATTTATCACAGCATCCCCTGAAAGCCCAGCTTTTCACAGATATGACTTCACCGAAAGGAATGTAGTGATCTAGTGTTAAAACTATGAACTACCTTAAGCCCGTAGTTCACATGGTAGCTGACAGATGTTGATTGTTTCAGTGTTTGCCTCAAAAAAAAAAAAAAAAAAAAAAATCCCACAGCCTCTCCATGAATTCACTGTGGCACCCCAGGGTGCCTTCAGAGAATAGTTTGGAAAAAGGCAAGGCTAGAATGTTTCCAGTGCAACCAATCAGGAGTATCCTTTCTGGTTTACATTTCACAGTAAGAAAAATGTAACCCACACTGAAATGGCCATGGGCTTGACCTCTGAAGTAACCTCTGCCCTGCCCTTTTAAAAGTGTTCCACATTCAATTCACAGCATCCTTTGGGTAAGTGATAAACTTCTCAGTGGCTCACAGACATATTCTGCAGACTCTGGGACAGAGAGGACAGGTGATTCTGTGTTGATGGGTGAGATCACGTTTTTAAAAACGACTTCACTCTACAGTATAATGTAGACAATTATTAAGAACTATTATGGTTTAGATGTTTTTCATTAATTGACATGTGAGATAAATGTTGAACCAAATACAGACTAACAGAGAAAGAAGATGCCAGGTGTATGTTTTATTGATAATCATATAATTTTGCCCCTGGCAAGACTAAAAGAAAAATAAAGTCTAAGACAAGCAAAGATTGCATTGAGGCCAAAAAAAAAGGAGGAAATTCAGGTTTGTCAATTCATTCATTCATTCATTCATCCATTCATTCTACAGATGTTTTAAAGTTTCTGTCATTTTCCAAATACTGTATGTCACCAGAGACACAGAAGTGAAAAAGCCAGCCACAACATGGCCTTTGAACTCCTGTCAAGGTCAGTAGTGACCTTCATCTTCCCCAATGCAATAGAGTATTTTGTGGCTTCATCTTATCTGACGTCTCAGCAACATCTGGCCTAGTTGATCACTCCTTCCTTCCTTTCACTTGTTAACTTGGTTTCTGAGACACCCTCTACCCTGGTTTTCTTCCTACCTCATTGCCTGCATCTTCTTAGTTTCTTCCTCTTTCTAGCCTCCAATGTTGATTTCTTCATGGCTCAGTTATTGGCCATTTTCTCCATCCTCACTCCCTCCTTTGGGTTGGTCCTTTGCAGTCTTATGACATCAAATATCATCTCTATGCTGTTAACTCCTACATTTCTATCTCTATCTCCCACTTCACTCCAGAGCTCCAGATTTGTATATCCAACCATGTACCCAACATCCCCACTTGAAGAACTAATAGGTATCTCAAATACAATTATTTTCAGAACAGAAACCTGATCTCTGACCCCCAATTCCAGATTTCTCCATCTCAGGAAATTGTATTGCCATTCACTACATGTTCAAACCAAACACCTAGAGGTATTCACTGATTCTTCTGTTTCTTATTGCTGCACAACCAATCCTCAGCAAGTCCCATTGGCTCTACCTTCAAAACCTACTCTGAATCTAAACCCACCACCACCACCATGATGCTAGTCCCAGCGACCATCTCTCTCCCCAGGGCTACTACAATAACCTAACTGGTTGTCTTGTTTTCACTCTTGCTTTCCCATCCGGACTATTCTCAATATGGTAACACGATGTCCTTTTTTAAAATGTAAGTTACATCATGTTAATTCTTTACTTAAAACCCTTGGAAGAGTTCCTATCACACTTGAAATCTCTGAACTTCCTATCTCAGTCTATAAGAACCAAAATGACCTGGCTGTACCTCAATCAAATCAGGACATAATGCACTTGCTTTTTTTCTCTTCTGGGAACACTCTTCCTTAGGTCTGCAGATGCCACACTCTTCACTCAAATCAGAGAAGCCTTCCCTAAATGTCCTTTCTACAATATTCTCCTCATCCCTCTGAAACCCATTATTCTGCTTTGTTTCTCCCTATAGCACTTATTAACCCCCAAGAAATTACATCATAGGTATTTACTCACTGATTGCTACTTTCATTAGAACATAAGGTGAGTGCAGTTACTTTGCCTTACTATTCACACAGCAAGCTGTGGACTCTCAAATACTCAGTGAAATAACAATCTTCGGCCAGGCACAGTGGCTCACGCCTGTAATCCCAGCACGGTGGGATGCCCAGGTGGGTGGATCACGAGGTCAGGAGATCGAGACCATCCTGGCTAACATGGTGAAACCCCATCTCTACTAAAAATACAAAAAAAAAAAATTAGCCGGGTGTGGTGGCGGGCGCCTGTATTCCCAGCTACTCGGGAGGCTGAGGCAGGAGAATGGCGTGAACCTGGGAGGTAGAGCTTGCAGTGAGCCGAGATCACGCCACTGCACTCCAAACTGGGCAACAGAGTGAGACGCCGTCTCAAAAAAAAAAAAAAAAAAGAAATAACAATCTTTTGCCTTCACAAGGTCTACATCTGGTGAAAGGTGATAGGAAAAGATCTGGTTTACCATCTGTGCTAATCTCATAATGCGCTACTTAACATAGTAGCATTTCTCATGTACCAGGCATTATACTAAAATTCTAGCATAATGTATCGCCTTATTTAATTTTTCCAGGTTTCTATGAGGTAGGTACAGATATTATCCCTTAGAAAGGGTAAGTCACTTGCTCAAGGTCCCAGAGCTGGTCAGGACAGAACTGGGATTCAATCTCACATCCGTCACATTCTATACCCTTAGCCACTATGCTGTGCTATATACTGCCTCTATCTGTCATTTCCAGAAAGTGGGATGATCAAGCTAGAATTACCTCTAATGCTTCCATTCTACCTCCTAAAACAAAAATGTTGTCACCTGTGTTGCCTGAAATTTAATTAAGTCACAAGAACTCTTTTATCCAAATATAGTTCAACAAAGACAACTGGCCATAGACTAATGCAGAAGCATGCACACAGAGACCAAGTGTCATGTTAGGGTGCTGAGGCATCAAATGGAACTTCTGTCGTGCCATTTCATCATCATATTACCCACAGTATGAGTTTTCCCCTCTAAAGATGATAAATTTAAACAAGAACTACCAAGGGTGACAACTTCACAACTGAGTGTCAACCAAAAGCAGAATGTTTTAGTAAAATGCACTCACCCTGGTTTTTTTTTTGTTTGTCTGTTTGTTTGTTTGTTTGTTTGGAGACGGAGTCTCACTCTATCGCCCAGGCTGGAGTGCAGTGACATGATCTCGGCTCACTGCAAGCTCCGCCTCCCAGGTTCACACCATTCTCCTGCCTCAGCCTCCCGAGTAGCTGGGACTACAGGCACCCGCCACCATGCCCGGCTAATTTTTTGTATTTTTAGTAGAGACAAGGTTTCACCATGTTATCCAGGATGGTCTCGATCTCCTGACCTCATGATCCGCCTGCCTCAGCCTCCCAAAGTGCTGAGATTACAGGTGTGAGCCACCGCGCCTGGCCCGCACTCACCCTGCTTCTTAACTTTTTCTGTCATCAGGAAAATGAGCCACCTGGCTCAAGAAGAAAAAAAAAAATCTTTGCTTCAAGCTTCCAGTATCTGACTATGCAGGATGGATGAAGTGCCTCCAATGGACCCCTCTCAGTCTGACATAGCTCTAAGAAAATTTTCTGAGACCCTATCGCTGAATTCAAACCCAGCTCCAGACAAAAGAACCATCACCACAAGTTCAGAGATGCAATAGTGACTTTGTTTCTTTCTTCTCCTATAATTAGGAACAAACCATCTGTGCACCCTATTAAGGTACCACTGGTTCTTACTGCCCACCCTCTTCAGCATACACAAATATAGGCCTACATTTTACACATGCATGCGCGTGTACACACACACACACACACACACACACACACACACACTTTCCTTAGCAACCTCATGCTTCTGGACTGTGTACAGAATGAATGACAGCCACTATGATAATGATACATAGTTATTTTACTCCAAAATATGATAAATAGTAAAAGCTATCCTGATGCAATTCAAAGATTAGAAGTTACTTGGAAAACAAACTATGCATCTGCATTCAACTTCACTACTGAACAGGAGCCAAAACTATTCTTTTCTTCTAAATTTACCAAAGACAACATCAAATATAACATTTGGCAACTCTCAGAACCTAATTTGAAATCCATTTTGACTCTAAATAAACCCATAAATTTTACAGACCTGCTGATAAGTGCTACATGCTGTGATATAACCCGTTTATGGAAATACTTCATAGACTCAATTCTTTCCTAAAAATCAAGACTTGGAAAATGTTGGTTTGAGAAAAGAATCAGGAAGCAAAATGGAGAATGCATGAGCGTAAAGGTGAGTGTCACTGCTTGGAGAATAAGAGAAAAGCTGTACCCCCTGCAGACACCCACCCCCACACACACCCATGTCCCCTTCCTTAACCTTATAGGGTTTCCTAAACCGTCACATCTCCCATCTTCTAAAGTGGGAGTGTTTTTACTAGACTATTCTAGGCAATTTCTGGTATCTGGACTCCAGGTCTCCAGTCTTCAGATCAAAGATGAGTTTATAGATAGATTATGTATAAATTGAGAGTAGACAGCCCTTGAGGGTTAAGTGAAGACAGCAGAAAAGACCATCCTCTCATGGCTAAATCTTGAGATGAAATGGCTTCTAAGCAGTGCTTTGCCAGTTCCTCAAAAGATTAATTTCTGGATGTAGAAAAATATGAAAGTAACAGCAAAAATAGAAAATGAAATTGCCAACCCCACAGTACCCAAATATCTGAATAAAACAAGTCTTTAATCTCTTTGTCCTTGACAATCCCTAGCTACTTAGCTACCGATAGCACCACCACTACCAAGTCTATGTCTGGCACATCTTAGGAAACTTTGCTAACTCATCCTGAAAATCAGGTTTCCTCACTAGCTCCCAGTTCCTAAAAGGTGACCAGGATCCTCACAAATCATAAAACAACGATAAGAAGAAAGGAATATCTTAAGTCATTTCATTCAGCTTCCTCATTTTACAAAGAGTACAGATTCAAATGTTAGTCTCTTGAAGTCTCAAAGTTAGTGCCAAGAATGAGTTTTTTAAGCCTCATTCTCCTAATTCCCAAGACAACGTTTCTACTAGGTACATCATTGCTAAAGAAATAAATAGATTTGCTATCCAGACATCCATCCACGGATAAGTAAAAAACAGATTATAAAAATACCTGTGTGTGTGTGTGTGTGTGTGTGTGTGTGTATGTGCATGTGTATATATATGTGTGTGAATATATACATAGATGTGTATATATGTGCATACACACGTGCGTGCGTGCGCACACACACACACACTCACACACACATAGCCAGTATGGCTTAGTGATTAAAAGCATGTATTCTAGAGCCAAAGTGGCTGGTTCAAATCCTGACTCTGCCACTTACAGGCTGTATGACCTTGCGAAAATTACTCAGTTACACCTTAGTTTTTTCATTTGTAAAACAGGAGTCATAATAACAACAACAACAACTAACATAATGGTACCCACTCCACTGGGTTTTTGACAGCTTAAATGAGATAATCTCTCATTTAAAAAATTAAAATTTCAAGTACTTAAAATAGCATCTACCATATCATAAGTGTTATCTATGTATTGCCTACCATTATTCTTTCAAATATAATTGAGACTATAAAGAAATTCTGAAAAGGAGGTCATGGTCTTGCTTTGCATTATTACTCTGGGAATGTTCTGAACACTTTTCAAATATACCAGCTTCATTTGATATAGAGCGTTCTGAAAGGAATTCAATAATATGGTTTAGTGTACTTTGCCTAGACCTAAGTAGTCCCATCATTCTAGGCAATGTAAGAGCAAGAATAAAAGGTAGGAAAGGTATTATTATTCATAGGTATAATCCCTGACTTCTGTTTTAAGAATCATTATTGATTGACACCCACATAGAATACTCCAAGATAGGTGGTGATACCCCACAGAGAGTAGGAACCCACACTTGTTGATTTGATTCTGGAAGAGTTACTAGGAGACCAGTTTATTCCAGATCTCCAAGGTCCCAGTACCAGCTGGGCAGCATCTCCTCAGCTCTGGGTCCCAGCTCCAAGCCTCTAGGTTCTGGTATCTCCCAACCCCTTCCTTTCGATCCTCCAGCACTAGGGCAGTAGCTGTTTGCTGCAGCTACTATCTACACATTTCCTCACAGTTCTCTTTTTCTACCTGTTCAATACTTCAACAGCTGTTTAACAAAGCTCTGGTATTAAATTCTCTATGTTAAAAATAACCATAGCAGCCTCTTTCCCTGACTGGATGCTGGCTAACATACCATCACATAGACATTTAGTCCAAGCTTTCTCACACGACACAGAATAACTCCTTATCATTAAAATTGACAGACAAGACAACTCCAATCCTTCATGTGAAACATGTTAAAATGTCTCTGCGTCACTCTAAGGGATCTCCTCTCAATGTCTAATTTCAATTCTTCCACTTGAGATTTGTGACCTTCTTTGCTCAGCCTGTCATCAATATAAACCATAGACATACCCCTCCCTGCCCACAGATATTATAATATCATATGCACAAATCATGTGACAAGACCTGTCCCACCAGTCTTGATCTGCGCTTAAAACCTATGTCCACTTTATTTCATGATTCTTATTTAGGCTACACTTATACTGCCAGCTACAGTGCAAATCAAGAGAAGACTGATCACAGTTTTCATAAAAATATTACGAAGTATTGTCCAACGTTATATCAGTTATATCGCTGAAAGCAAATAACCAGATGTCTGAACCACCAAAACGATCTACTTAAATCATCAGAATTTTACCTGATTTCATATTTAGGCACAAGCTTATCTAACTACATCATTATGTGTTCCAGTGTAGTTGGGCTGGAGTATTTTCATATTTAAATGCATATTATTTTATTATAAATTATATTGCTTTTACAGTTCCTGTGTATTTCAGTTAGGAAATTATATTGATTTTTTAAAATTATTAGTATTGGTAAATAATGCTGTCTATTAATTTTGTCTGAGAATAATAAAGAGGGTAAAAAAATAGTGTTGTGAAGCACAGGTTTAGACGGAGGGCAGGACGGGAGAAACAAACAAATATCTGGTGGGGACACACAACAAGGTGGGTAGAAAGTGAAACCTGGAAACAAGCCCAAACAGAGTACCTATAAATACTTAAAGATCAACTGTCTTTGTTTAGTCCTTTTCTCTAGGCAAAAATGCCCCACAGGTGTTTGTAATGGTTCATGGGAATTAGCCAAATGTTTGGAAGGAACCAGTGCTCTGCAGTAAGACAGACGTGCATTCCCACCCTGGCTCTAGACACCTCTTATCAGCCATGTGATCCTGAACAATTTCACTTCTCTGAATACTGGTTTCCACATTTCTAAAATGGAGATAACAGAGAAAATCTTGCAAACTGGCACTGCTGACTCTTAGAGCCTATCACCATGTCTGGTGTATCACAGGCCCTTGACAGAAATTACTTCCTGCCTTCCTGCTCCTATATTTTGCCTAATTTTCTAGTATATCTTAAAAGAGGAAAGCCCAGACAATAACTGTACTAATTATCTATTGCTACATCAAAATTAGCATCAACTTAGTGGCTTAAAACAATACACATTTATCACCTCAGTCTCCATGGTCAGCAATCTGAGCATGGCTTAGGTGGGTCCTCTGCTTCAGGGTCTCCCTAGGATGTAATTGAGTTGTCAGCTAGAGCCCCATCTGAAGGCTCAAACGGGGAAGCATCTGCTTCCAGGCTCACAGGGTTGTTGACAGAATGCAGTTTCTCAAAGGTGGGTTGGACTGAGCCTCCAATTATTCTGTCTGCTGGCCAGAGGTCACACAGGCCTTTCCAGCATGGCAGCTTGCTTCATGAAGCACACAAACCAAGAAGACAATACAGTCTGACAATAAACATAAGTCAAACTTCTTGCAGCCTAATGAATTCACTCTCCCTGTGTGACGATCTCTGAGCTAGAACATTGGTCTCCTTCTGCCTTCAGCCTCAGGCTGGAACGATACCAATGGCTCTCCCAGGTCTCCAGCTTGCTGACTGCAGATGGTAAGACTTCTCAGCCTCCTTTACTGCATGAGCCAATTCCTCATAATAAATCAATCTCTCTCTCAATCTGTGTGGTGTGTGTGTGTGTGTGTGTGTGTGTGTGTGTGTGTGTGTGTGTGTATACACAACTGACCCTTGAACAACACAGGTTTGAACTGCACAGATTCACTTAAATATAAATTATTCTGCCTCAGCCACCCCTGAGACAGCAAAACCAACCCTTCCTCTTCCTCCTTCTCCTCAGCCTACTCAATGTGAAGACAATGAGAATGAAGAATTTTATGATGATCCACTTCTACTTAATGAACAGTAAATATATTTTTCTTATTAATAATAATACTAGAAAATTAGGAAAAATATAGAAACGGGGGCAGGAAGTAACTTCTGTTTCTCAGTAGCATTTTCTTTTCTCTGGCTTACTTTATTGTCAGCACACAGTATACAATACATACAAAATACATGTTAATCAACTATGTTATCAGCAAGGCTTTGGTCAACAGTAGGCTACCAGTAGTTATGTTTTGGGGGAATCAGAAGTTACACACAAATTTCAACTGCATGGGGGGTCAGCACCCCTAACCTCCATATTGTTCAAAGGTCAATGGTATATATCCTATTGGTTCTGTTTCCCTGTAGAACTCTGAGTAACACAGATACTAAAAAACAGAAAAGTTATCTCCAGGGAGAAGAATGAAGTGATGTATAAAGAGAAGCACAGAAAAGATCATGTTGCCTAGGAAAAAGCAGCATAAGCAAGTGGCATATTCTTACAGTTTCTCAAAATATCTGGCTGTACACCCTCCTCTTAGGTGCCATGAGACACCCCCCTGGATTTTTATAATTAAATCCCCTTTTACCTAAGGTAGCACAGTGGGTTTCAGGTACCTGCAACCAAAAGTCTTGAATAAGGTACTTGGGGAATCAATGCATTGCAGTAGAAAGCACTGATCTCCTGCTCTGCTCACCATAATGCTACCAGAAACTAGGCTCTCTGACATCCCAACAGTACATAGTAAGATGTTTAAGATACAAGACTGTGGGGTCGGAGCAAACCTGGATTCAGTTCCCAGCTTTGCCACATATTGGCCATGTGACCGTGGCTAAGTTACTTCATCTCTTCAACACTTCATTTTCTTAATCTAATAATGCAGGGGATCCATAAAATTCTCATTTGTGAGAATTAAAGAGAAAATGAGCTCCAGGCCATCACAGAAGGCCTTGCAGATTGTGCCCTCGTCATGCGGCCAAGCAACTGAGCTCAGTGCAATGGCCGACCCAGAGTAAGGGCTCAAAAAGTTAGCCATTACTCTATTTTTCCCTTTCAGTTCTAATTGCCTACCTGACTGCACCAAAACCACTATTTTAAGCAAGTTGCGAATGGCACTTTTAACTCACATAGACACAAACACCTGCAACAATTTAGTTGGCAGTGGTTTCTCTGCTTCAGCTTGCTGTTCTTTTCAAAATAAACATATGCCAGACACTACACCACCACACATAGTAGAAATTCTGGTAGACATAATGTATCTTTCAGGAAATCACTCCCAATTGCCAAGAACCTAACCTTTTGAGGCAATCTCTGCCAAAAAACAAAACAACATCCTATGGAAATATTTAGGGCTCTGAAGTCAGCATAACATGGGGTAAAAAATACCCACCTCCTGCCGGGTGTGCTTGGGCAAGTTTCTTAATCTTCCCAAGCCTCTCTGTTCTCTTATTTTCAATGGGAATACCTCATAGGGTTATAGGGGATTAAATTAAGATATATAAAGCTAAGCATAGTTCTAGAATATATAAAATGCTACATAATTGCTAGCTGTTTTATTTTCAACTCTAGAATAACCAGAAACTTGTGTGTTTTACGTAATACACTAATAATCACTCACTGGCCCCAATAAGTAATTTTGCTATTAACTTATATGAGGCTAATCCTTTCAAGTAGGTTGAATGACTTGATCGGAAGGCTGTTAAGATTCTGAATCTAAATGTAATGAAACTTTCCCCAAATGTCAGGTGATCTGACATTCTGGTTCAGCCAGGATAGTCCTATGCGTAATTATTAATAGGGCCTCATTTAAGTCTTGACAGTGTCCTAGTTTGTACAACAAATTATATGATCACCCTACCTAAATAAAGTAAAATCTTTAGATGGGAGATACAGGTTTAAAATACTTTATTTCACCTCAGTGCATGTGTATTGTGGTTTACATTTGTTCTCTTAGTTTTTGAAGTAAACTGAAAATATAGAGCTTTTACGGTTCTAAATCCATATATCAAGTAGCTTTTCATACTGCCTAGACTGGAGAGTTATGACTAAGCTGTAGGCCTTTATTTCAAAAGACAAGTCTCAAGAATGAAGACAGAAATGCAGCAAGGCCTTCTTGTGCAGCGCAGTTGCAGTGGTTTATAGAGATCTATACTACCTCACACAGATGTGTAATCAAGGAATGACAACACTTTACCTGCCCTACCAGTTTGCCACTTAAAATGCACTTCTGCACCAAGCACGGTGGCTCATGTCTGTAATTCCAGCATTTCGGAAGGCTGAGGCAGGAGGGTCACTTAAGCCCAGGAATTCCAGACCAGCCTGGAAAACACAGGGAGACCCCATCTCCACAGAAAAATAAAATTAGCTGGGCATGGTAGCTAATGCCTGTGGTCCCCACTACTCAGGAGGCTGAGGTGGAATCATCACTTGAGCCCAGGAGTTTGAGGCTGCAGTGAGCTATGATGGTGCCAATGCACTCCATCCTGGGTGACAGAGCAAGACCTTATCATAAATAAATAAATAAATAAATAAATAAATAAATAAATAAATAAATGTATTTTCACATTTATCATCTAACTTCAACCTCAGAAGTAAATGCCATTTTCTGTTCCACCATCTTACGTGTGCCAGAGATTTCCACACAAGTGGGTGACTACTTGAAAAGTCAATCCACATAACTCGAAGATTCTCTGATGCTCACTCTCCTCCCTACCCAAGATCCCCAATCTCTTGTCTTTCTCAGCTTCTTGACTCCAAATTTCCAAATGCTCCTATGAATCTGAAAAACCTGGTTTTTGGCCTTCTTGTCCCATTTCGTACCCTGCCCTGCACCTCCATTCCACCCTCAGGCCATAATGTGCAGCTTTGTTCATCAGCCTCATGAAACCAAAGAAAAGAGCATGTCCTTGCATAGGACATTCTCCTACTCCAGGACATGTGGCCGAGTCTGCCCTTTGCCTAGACTCTGCCCATTTGTGAATGAGGATAATACATTATCCCCCACCTTCCAGATGAGGAAACTGAGGCAGGAGGCCTGGTGGCTTGAAAAGGTCACCATAGTGGTAAAGCCTGAACTGGACAATGGGTCTTGGCCCCAAAGTCCATGTTGTTTCCCTACAGCAATGCTTCTCGAATGTCAATGTACACTTGCAAGGTCAGTTACATAATTTGTGGGGACCAGTGCCAAACAAAAATGCTGCATCCCTTGATCAAAAAGCAAGAAGAAAGCTTTTTCCTTTCTTCTTAGGTCTCTCTCTGGACTTGTTGGGGTGTTTTTTCATTTGCTACTTAACATTGATTGGGTTCCTTCTGCACAGGGATATTCTCAGGGCAAGCGCAGACCCTCAAAGGTGCCCAGAGCCTCACTGGCAATTGGGCATATGGGGCACACACACCCCACTCCACCTTCCTCATACCCTCTTGCAAGTCCCCATCCCTGCCAGAAGCAGAGGGTGGCAATGAATATTGGGTGGAAGTGGAAGAGTCAGCGGTCATCCTGGCAGGGGATGGGACCACACATTAACTGCTCCAGTATCCCATGGGACTTCACTAGCAAAAAACAGATTCAAAAACAAAATTATTAAGAATGCCAAGAAGGTGACCACAGAACACTAAACCCTAAGCACAGGGCACCCCTTCTGAGTGCAGGACCCTGTGCAGTGACTGCTCACACATCCATGAAGCCAGCCCTGTGCACATGAATCACCTGGGAATATTGTTAAAATGCACATTCTGATTCAAGAGGTCTGGAGTGCCCTGTACATTTCTAACCAGGTCCTGGGGGAGGCTAAAACTGCTGGTCCTCAAATTATACTTGAGTAGCAAGGTCCTACACCACAAGTTGCATTTTGTAATGTGTTTATTATGTCAGATCCAATTACAAACTTTTTACGTCTTTCATTATTCAAATAAGGCAGCCATGAAAATAAGCACTAAATACAAGCCACTATCTATTGTGTCTTTAAAATGTGACAAGTCAGAAGTAGCAAATCTATTCACATTCATAGTATCTGCCTGCCTGGGTTTAAAGACTTCATATAGATAGAGGCATGGAAAGGTGCTTATGCATATACCGATGTCACTCAGGTGGCCACACAAAAGGCTGCCTAACTCCTCCCGAGTAGGCAACGCTCTCCATGTTCAGAGGGGCCAACTGTTGAAAAAAGTCAAGTAAAATTTTCGAAAAAAGGAGTAAGTGCCCATTTCTTCAGCTCATGGATGGAAACGACAGCTGAATGGTTTGAGTTTTTAAAAGTATACTTTTTCAGGAATGGCAGCACCCTGTATTCAAATAGAGAGAAGGAGAAAGATTTCTCTGAACTCCTATAGCAAAAGATCTAAGACCGTGGGGTCCTATTCAGTGTAAAACCACACAGCACATAAAGAATGAGATTGGGCAGAGCATGGTGGCTCACAACTGTAATCCCAGCACTTTGGGAGGCCGAGGTGGAAGGATCGTTTGAGCCTAGGAGTTTGAGACCATCCTGGGCAACACAACAAGATCCCATCTCTACAAAAATTAAAAAAAAAAAAAGCCAGGTGTGGTGATACACCCCTGTGGTCTCAGCTACATGGGAGGCTGAGGTGGGAGGATCACTTGAGCCCAGCAGTTCAAGGCTGCAGTGAGCTATGATCGTGCTACTGCACTCTGGCCTGGGGGACAGAGCAAGACCCAGTCTCTATAAATAAATAAGCAAGTAAGTAAATAAATAAATAAATATTTTTAAAAAGAATGAGATCACCAGCAAACTGAGCCTTGATGTCTTCATACCTAAAATGGGGCCGATTACCCCATCTCATAGGATGCTGCCTTTAATCAAATCACATGAGATAATCAATATGAAAGTTTGTGAACTACAAAGTACTGTACAAGTCCAAGGCTGTTCCCCTTTAACCACCTTAGAAAATGCTACAGGTTAGCCAGGAGCAGTGGTTCATGCCTGTAATCCTAGCACTTTGGAAGGCCGAGGCAGATGGATCACTTTGAGCTCAGGAGTTCAAGCTCAGCCTGAGCAACATAGAAAAACCCCATATCTACAAAAGAAATACAGAAATTAGCCGGTGGTGACACATGCCTGTGGTCCCAGCTACTTGGGAGGCTGAGGCTGGAAAATCACCTGAACCTAGGAGGTGGAGGTTGCAGTGAGCCCAGATAGTGCCAGTGCACTGGGCAACAGAGTAAGACTGAAAGAAAAGAAAAAAATGAGAATAGAGGAGAAGAGAAGAAAATGGAGGGGAGGGGAGGGGAGGAGAGGGAAGGAGAGGGCACGGGAGGGAAGGAGAGGGCACGGGAGGGGAGGTGAGGGGAGGGAAGGGAAGGGGAGGGGAGGGAAGGGGAGGGGAGGGAAGGGGACGGGAGGGGAGGGAAGGGGAGGGGAGGGAAGGGGACGGGAGGGGAGGGAAGGGGACGGGAGGGAAGGGGAGGGGAGGGAAGGGAAGGGAAGGGAAGAGAAGGGGACGGAAGGGGAGGGGAGGGGAGGGGAGGGAAGAGAAGAAAGAAAATGCTATAGGTGACTAATGAAAGTTCCATTTCTGCTTCATGTCCTGTAGCATTTGAAGTGGGGAAGGGTACTAATGGAATAGATTCTTTTAAAGATGTAATGTTATAAGACTGAAACCCCCTTTTATAATTGGAACAAATCACGCCTCCGATTGAGTAATACTTGGAAATGCATCATCAATTTGATTTATACAAAGCATCAATAAATCATACAAACTGGACCCTGTGTAGCTCAGAGAGTAAACAAAAGTAAACATTGTGTTTCACCTGACTTGTTGGCAAGACAAAATGAAAACTCTGGCTACCTCAACTGGAATAATGTCTTTGGTCTCTGGCTGTTTGGTTATTTTTGGAAACTTTTATGGAATATTAACTTCATTTGCTCTAATTCTGCAGGAAGCCACATTGGAAGTGCAAGAAAATATAAATGATTAAAAAGCAGAAGTGAAAAAAAAATAACCACGGATTTTGCCCCAACCTTCTTTAGGTAATATATTAACTGCATCTCTTCAAAATTGCGGGACCCCAATCTCCACTATTATCCCAGTTCTAACATGGCTGCATTCAACACGGTACACACACTGGTGTTAGCAGACTTTTTTCATTGTCTGTTGTTTTCCCAGAGATAAACCTAAGTAAAGGAAATACTTTTCCTAAGTATAGGAAAGTAACATTTTAAATCAGTGTATTTTAAAATCTATGATGTGGCAGTGGAGAAAAACACACAGCTAGCTAACCAACTGACCAAGCAAGCTCTAACCTAAGCTCTAGATTAAAACCAATTGAAATAGCCAAACACAAACAGTAAAAAATAAACATGAAACTTGATGTATTATTTAAAGTACATTAAGTTTTTGACTTCCCAGGTTCTCACAATACATTATCTTTCTTAAACCAGGTCTTTACAAGAGACACCAACCTTAAGTGACACAAAAGAGTTTTTTAATCCCAATTAGTTTGGTGTCCTTTGTTGATATTATTCTGTCTTTTTTGTCTGACCAACAATAATGAATAACCCACAAACGCTAATGAATAACTAACTCCCTTTGTCTCCAAGGACAGCAGAGCCCAGCAAGAAATGTCAGAAGCCCTGAAGTAAAATAAAAACTCTTATAATGAAAATCTTCCCAATTATATATTCCTCCGGGTACTACAAATGTAAAATTGTCTTAAATATTTAAATAGTTGTGTCAAATGTACTTAAAGTGGGGATCATAAAGCTGATTTCCCAGACGCTGTGAAAAATGCATTTCTACGAGTCAAATTACAATGAGTAACTGTTGGAGCAGGAAGTAGGGGAAATACAATATAACCGGGATCCTTCAAACACAAATCCTAGCGAGACTAATAAGTTGCCAACTGCACCCTGTCCTGCCTGCTTACTCAGTGGCTCAGATACATAGGAACACATTCACCTCCGCTCATTAAAAATTTACATGTAGTAAGTGATCAATTTTTAAACTAATTTCTATTATCTTAGAAACATAAAACTAAAAGTAACTCTTCCTTGTCGTAGACAGAGCAAAAAAAATACACTGATGTTGCTGAAAACACTGACAAGTGTGCAACAAGATAGTGTGACGAAGAACTCAGTAATGTTGTATTTTAATTGGAACTCACTATCTTTCTCTAATATATTTCCTAACTCTGTCCGTAGAAAAGGCTTACAAGCAATGACATCCCACAGTCAACAAGAACACCCTTTCAGCCAGTTTTCCAGATATTCCCCACTAAGAGGGACTTGAGCTTCTTGGGAAAATGCATGATTCCAGGTATGGGGCACGCAAATAAAAGTGAGCCTAGAACATCTTGTTATGCCTGTAAGCAAGGAAGTACTTAATGGGAACATGTCATAAAGACACAAGAATTGACTTCAAGGGGCTCCCACTGGTCAAATTTGGGACAGTTTGAGCATCACAAAGAATAATGATGGTAATGAATTCTAACAGAATAATTTAAAAAAAATCCATGAGTGATTCTGTAGTGATTCACAAAAAGAGAAGGGAGAGAAACTCCTCTCTCTAGAAGAATACCAGCTAATAAACATAGCAGGAATAAAAGAATCAGAAAATCACCACTATGCAACCAACCATGTAAAAACTGATTCTGACAAGTATCATCAATGGATGCTATGAAAGATTGTTGGAGGACAAGATATTCGCACAAGGTTACTTATACATTTTGAAAGAGAAAGTGTCCTTCACAATGCAGAGATCTGGTAACACCACCTTAGCCAGGTGATCAAATATAGCATCACAAATACTAGGATGAAGCAGCATTCAGTGCTTCTGGGTATAATGCAATGTGTGGTACACAAATCACCTTCATAGTGTTCTTGTCAAAAATATTTAACCTGAATCCAATCATGAAGAAATTATCAGACAAACCAGAGTGTGGAACAAGACAACTCACCTAAACTCTTTAAAAATATCAGCGTGGCTGGGCACGGTGGCTCATGCCTGTAATCCCAGCACTTTGGGAGGCTGAGGCAGGTGGATCATGAGGTCAGGAGTTCAAGACCAGCCTGGCCAAGATGGTGAAACCCCATCTCTAATAAAAATACAAAAGTTTCCGGGCGTGGTGGCAGGCACCTGTAATCCCAGCTACTCATGAGGCTGACGCAGAGAACTGCTTGAACCCAGGAGGCAGAGGTTGCAGTGAGCCGAGATCGCGCCACTGCACTCCAGCCTGGGCAACAGAGCAAGACTCCATCTCAAAAAAAAAAAAAAAAAATATATATATACACACACACACACACACACACACACACACACACACACATAATACATATTATATATATTTTATATTATATATATATCAGCGTTTTTTTTAATGAAACACAAAGAAAGGTAGAGGAACTGGAAGAAAAAAAACAATAATATCAACAAAGGACACCAAACTAATTGGGATTAAAAAACTCTTTTGTGTCACTTAAGGGTGGTGTCTCTTGTGAAGACCTGGTTTAAGAAAAATAATGTATTGTGAAAACCTGGGAGGCTGAAAAATTAATGTACTTTAAATAATACATCAAGTTTCATGTTTATTTTTTACTGTCTGTGGTTGGATATTTCAACTGGTGTTAACCTAGAGCTTAGATTAGAGCTTGTTTGGTCAGTCGGTTTGCTTAGCTGTGTGTTTTTCTCCACTGCCACATCATTAATTTTAAAATACTGATACTAGTTTAAAATGTTATTTTCCTGTATCATTCCTTTACTTAGGTTTATCCCTGAGAATACCACAGACAATGAAAAAAGTCTGGTGAAGTAGGCTAAAGAGATATGACAACCAAAGGTAATATATGATCTTTGATTAGAAAAAAAAAACAGCTATAAAGGACAATTAGATAATATCATAAATCTGATATAATAATTTATATCATATTAATAATGTAAGTAGAATGAAATAAAAAATAATATAAAATTGAAATATGGATTACTATTTATTTATTTATGTTTGAGGCAGGGTCTCACTCTGTCACCCAGGCTTGAGTGCAGTGGCACAATCATGGCTCACCGCAGCCTCAAACTCCTGGACTCAAGTGATCCTCCCACCTCGGCCTCCCGCATAGCTGCGTCAACAGGCACATGCCAACACACCCAGCTAATTATTTTATTTTTTGTAGAGAGAGAGGGGTCTCACTTTGTTGCCCAGACTGGTCTTGAGCTCCTGGCCTCAAGCCATCCGCCCACCGTGGCATCCCAAAGTGCTGGGACTACAGGTGTGAGCCACATGCCAGCCTGGGCTGTATTTTAAAATGTAACTATATATAAATAATACTTTGTATGAAAATTAACTTTCTTGGTTATGATTAATATATTTTGGTTATATAACATGAAAGATACTGGCTTAGGAATTTGGAGGTCACAATGTCTGCAACTTACTTTCAAGTGGTTCACCTTACTTGAGAGAGATAAAAGAGGCAAAATGCAAAAAAAAGTTAAATGCAGTATAATACAACACAAAACAGCAGAAGGCCAGATCAAACTTTAAAAAATGATAAATTCAGCGTCAAAGAATGAATTGTATTTAAGAAATAAGTTATGCAATGATTGGTTAATTTAAATGGGAATAGCTGGGTAGGGCACCTGGGAAAGCTGTTTGAAGAGGAACAGATCTGGGAGGAGTTGTTCTTTTTCTCTTTTGCCTTTTATCCTCTTCCTTCCTCCTCACTCTTCTCAGAAGGCAGACTAGATAGCTGGAGCTGGAATGAGGCAAATGTTGTGCAATCTAGAAGAAGACTAAAGAAAGCTCCACGATCTTGGACCAGAGAGAGCGGAGTGGCCAACCACTAGCAGCAAGCACCTACTGCAGTCTTCTCTGTATAATAAAAATAAACTCCTACAACAAAAGTTCCCAACTGTTCTCAGTTCATAGCATGCTCAGTGTTTCAGTAATTTTTTCTTGGTTCCCCTAGGCCAAAAGAAACACCTAAAGTTGCATTTATCAAGTAGTTAGGTGTAAACAACTCAATAACATGTATGTACTAACAGCTTATTAGTCGTTTGAAAAAATAATACAAATAAATTAAAAGAAAAATAGTATTTTTATTTCATTCTTAAACAACCACAAATACTAATGGGATGTGTGTTAAATTGTGCACTCTAGTGTTTCTCAAATTTTGGAGTAAGATTGGACACCATCACCCGTTCCACGTTGATTTTCACTTAGTATTTGCTCTTTTAAAATTGTGGTAAAATATATACAGCATAAAAGCGATCGTCTTAATCATTTGTAAGTATACAGTTCGGTGGCATTAAGTACATTCACATTATTGTGCAACCATCACCATTACCCATCTCCAAAACTTTTCCATCCTCACCAACTGAAGCTCTGTACCCATCAAACACTAACTCCTCATGCCCCCTTCTCCCCAACTCCCAGCAACCACCACTCTTTCTGACTATATGAATTTGACCATTCCAGGAACTTCATACAAAAGGAATCATACAATACGTGTCCTTTTGTGACTGGTGCATTTCATTTAGCATAATTTCCTCAAAGATCATCCATGTTGTGGCATGTGTCAGAACTTCCTTTCTTTTTCAGGCTAAATAATATGCCATTGTATGTATATACCACATTGGGTTGTTTCTTCCTTTTGGCTATCATAAATAATGCTGCTGTGGACATGGGTGTCAAAAGTACTTGCTGCTTCTAAATCACAATTACTGAAAATGGAGCTTCTCAAAGATATGATGTCACCAAAAGGAACATAGTGCAACTTACTGTTAAAACTGTCAACCTCCTCAAGCTAGTAGTTTGCCTGGTGTCCAAAGGATATCACATATCCCTGTTTCCTTCTAAATTTAAAATACCCTGTGACTCCCAAAGTTCACTGTGGCACTCCAGTGACCTTTAACACACTGTTTGGGAACCACAATCTATGATATTAAAGCCACTGTTATTTGAGTTTTCAACTGAGCAGAACTCAATTTTTAAATAATATAAATAATATCAAATGTATACTTCTCATGAGCCTTCCATCAAAGATTCTTCAGTCTTCAAGTCAGATGCTTGTCTGTGTAGCAATTCTTAGGCAACTTAACCTTTCTCCGTACACAGCTCTACGCTTCCCTAAGAGTTGCTATAATCACTTTCAAAGCTTAGAAAATGCATTTTCTTAGCCGCCGTGTAAACTGTACCTTGCCCCAAAGCAATGATACTGCTTTGGTTAAAATTTATGTGTCAACTTGACTGGGCCACTTGGTGCCCCAATATTAGGTCCAACACTACTCTGGGCATTTCTATGAGGGTGTTTTTGGGTAAGATTAACATTTAGTCAGTACACTGAGTAAAACATATTGCCCTCCCTAATGTGGGTGGTTCTCAGCCCATCAGTTGAAGTCCTGAATAGAACAAGGTTGACCCTCGCCCCCGACAAGAGAAAATTCTTCCTGCCTGATTGCCTTCCAACTGGGACACTGGCTTTTTCCTTGCCTTTAACTTCAAACTGAAACATCAGCTCTTCCTGGATCTTGAGCCTGGCAGCCTTCAGACAGGGACTACATCGTGGGTTCTCCTAGTTCTCAGGCCTTCAGACTCAGACTGCAATGAAACCATTGGCTCTCCTGGGTCTCCAGCTGATTGACTCTCCCTGTAGATCCTGGAACCTGCCACTCTCCATAATCCCAAGGGCCAATTTCTTATAACAAATTTCTTTATATATATACACACACACAAATATACACATGTAGATATGTATCCTATTTGTCTATTTCTCTGGAAAACCCTAATTAATAAACCCACAAGAGTCCCATGTTCCATCAGCGTCCTCAAAATGGATCCAAACTCCTTGGCACATCATTCATGGCCCTTCCTCTGGCTTCTGCTGATTCTTCTCCAGCTTCATCTCTTACCACTGTTTTCTGTACCCCTACCTATGTGGAACCAGGTGCAAGTCCATGACATGCACCAGGATTTCTTCCCTCCAAGTTTTGAGTGCATTTTTCTCCCTTCCCAGAATAAGTCCCAGACAACCCCCTCCATGCAAATATATGCGTGCACACACAAACACATACACACACACACACACACACACAGGAATGCACTTTGCAGGATTGCAAAGCTAGCTCTTTACCTTCCAAGTATCTGCCTATATAGCACAGGCCAGGAACCCTTCTATGTGGCCATATCATTCTGAGTGTATCCCTACCGGAGTCCTTACTGTGCTGTTTTTTTGTTTTTTTGTTTTTTTTTTTTTTGAGATAGAGTCTTGCTTTCTTGCCCCGGCTGGAGTGCAATGGCGCAATCTCTGCTCACTGCAATCTCTGCCTCCCAGGCTCAAGCAATTCTCCTGCCTCAGCCTCCCGAGTAGCTGGGATTACAGGCGCCCACCACCACACCCGGCTCATTTTTGTATTTTTAGCAGAGGCGGCGTTTCACCATCTTGGCCAGGCTGGCTTCAAACTCCTGACCTCAAATGATCTGCCTGCCTTGGCCTCCCAAACTGCTGGGATTACAAGCGTGAGCCATCGCACCCCACCTACTGTGCTGTAGTTTAACTGCCCACTTGTTTGTATGAATTATCCAACTCCTTGAGGGAAAGGACTATGCTTTATTGGCTATTGCATCTCCAGAACAGTGGCTCACCCATAATATATGCTCAATAATTATTTGTAGAGTAAATGATCAAAGTTCAAATAATCCTAGATCACCATCCTCAACCAGTTATTGGCTTAGTATAGGAATTGTCAACCAAAATCTGGAAGAAACGATACATTCAGCCACTTCTTGCACCATCTAGACCACTGATGGTATCTAAGCTCCAAAGCTAGAGGTGATAATAATACAGCTGTCCTCTACCCCTCATTTGTGCCTATGCATGTGCCAACCATGCAGATCCAGGAGGAGCACTGTAAGCTAGGAAGCTGAGCAAGGAAACAAAAAGCCACAGGGAAGAGAATCAAGAAGCAGCACTACTTCTGACAGGCATTTCAAGGTGTATCAACCCTGAGAATTCACTAGCACCTGAGGTTTTTTAAGAAAACATGGCTTTAATTACAGCCACTGCTGACCGCCATCAAAGTTAGTATTCCCAAGCTCCTTACTGGCTGGTGCCTCTGAAGTTACTTACTCTTTCTAGACCTTAGTTCCCTTATCAGTTAAATAACCATAGCATACAACTCAGTGCTGTTTGAGGAATAACTGAGACTACGTATTGGAAAGCACTTAACACGGTGCCTGACATATGCTGAGTTATGATACAATAAAGGCAAGTTATTAATATTATCACCATTATTAGTGTCAGTCAGGATTGCAAACACAAGTACATATAAAAGCAAGCTACGGTTCACTAGTCAAGCATGCGCTAAAAGGCTTTATCGGGCCTCAACCCCTGAAAATCTGAACACCTAAATTTAACAGGAGGGAACTTAACTTGCCACATCATGGACATAGCAACCTGACAATGAGCAACCTATTTTGGATGTAGCCCCAGGGAAACTTTCTCCTATACTTATGCTAAATATCAGTACCTCTAAGAAATAAAATGACTCAAAACTAATCTAGACCAAAAAAAAAGAAGAAGAAGAAAAATAAATAAATTAAGGCCTGGCACGGTGGCTCACGCCTGTAACGCTAGCACTTTGGGAGGCCAAGGCAGGCAGATCACTTGAGCTCAGGAGTTGGAGACCAGCCTGAGCAACATAACGAAATCCTGTCTCAAAAAAAAAAAAAGAAAAAAAAAATTAGCCAGGCGTTGTGGCACGCACCTGTGGTCCCAGCTACTTGGGGGACTGAAGCAGGAGGATCACTTGAACCCAGGAGGATGAGGCTGCAGTGAGACCAAGATCATGCCACTGTACTCCAGCCTGGGTGACAAAGTGATACCCCGTCTCAAAAAATTTTCTAATTTAAAAGGCACATGTATGTTTAGTGCTATTTTTTTTTTAAACCTGCCCATTTATACCAATTTATCCAAACACAGAAATACACAGACTCTAAAACAACTTTTTGGCTACTTGACTGATAGAAATCATTATTCACCTTAATTAACTGAATGACTGGCTATTCTGAAGGTTGCTAGTAATTCTATTTGCTGGTGTAAGCATTTTTAACATAAACATTTAAGACGGAATGCTAAAAATACCTTAAGGAATATATAATTGTGCTATTTTATACAGCAAAGCTATATTTTACGTGGGGTGCATGCTCTTTCTCTAAATACATACGTCATCTACAATATAACCTCATTAATTCAACATCAATTTCTAATGTGTCGCTCAAATAACTTGCTATTCACCAACAATTATTCTTTAATTTAAAATATATGGTAATTAAAACACTAATGAATTAAAAGCACATTCTCTCTATACTTCAAATTGACCAGGTTTTCTAGTTCTCCGCAAGCACAAAATACATCTTTTCATTATTCCCTTCTAGCTTGCTTCCCTCTTGCTACTAGCTATATGATAAAAATTACAGGCTTTGCTCTTAATTTTTCTTATTTATATTTATTGATTCCTCATTTTATTGGTTATTAAAATTTCCCTTTTTTATTCTTTTCCTTCCAAACACCACCTTTCTTCTACACTATACTTTTAGCACTGGCATAAGGACAGTTCCAGTCGGTCTTCTTGTCCATGGCCTGGAGAATTCAGCCCCCAGGGAAACAGGGCAGCGCTACCTGTATCCGGAGGGCATGATCTTGCTAACCTAGCTCTTACCCTTCCACCACAACCACTCAGCCTGCCTCCCTATTTTTTATCTTTCTATCTTACTGTTACTCTGTTTCACAGTCCCAGGAGATGTCTCATACTCAGCATTTACCACTGTGGTCCCCTCCAACACATACACACCCATTCCCTTACTGAGCAAGCTATATATCATTATGAGACCATCATCTTTGACCCTGACACTGAATCATGTATTTTTCCATAGGATTTGCTGGCAGAAAATGGGATGGGGGAGAAAAAAATCGTTTCCATTTTTAAAAGGTTCCAGAAAGACAATCCTACCTTTCCCAGGATTTGGAGGAAAAGGGCTTCCAAACTCCTGCTGCTTTGGCTTTAAAGTATGTGACCCTGACATGCCTCCAGCCTGGGTGACCTGGAATCGCGGCTTCCCATTGGTGAGCATTTGTCTCCTGGGGCTTAAGGCAGGCAGATGGATGCGGCTCTCAGCCACGTTGTTCTGAGGAGCCATCCCTCCTCCTGAGGGCATCTTGAGATGGAGGTTGTTAGCAAGGCTTGCCATAGTGGGACTCGATGTGCTGCCACAGGGCGAGGGGCCAGGAGTCCCGGAGTGGGCTCGGATGGCAGGAATGTGATGACCACTGACCATCCTAGGCCCCTGTGGGGTTCCCGATGTCCGGTGGAGACTCATGCTGCATGATCTTCCATTCATTCTGAAAAACCTGTGGCCAAGACGGTCAAATATCCAATGTCACTAATGACTCCTTTCAGGCAAAGTCCAATAAGTTATCCATGGTGTGGGTTATAAGCCTGTTTAAAAAAATAAACGCAGGCATTTTTAAAAGCAAAAATGAAAATAAGATACAGTGAGTTTTTCAACCTGTGTATCATTCATAAGGAAGAAAAGCAGCACTCTTAGCAAGATGGCCTTTTATGTAGAAAAGGGTCCTCAAATACACGGCTCATTGGCAGGCACTCTCCCCTTCTGCACTCATGGTGGACATGGATTATGGATCACTGCATTGTTTTGTTTGCCACTGAGCCCTTCTCAATACAGTGCTCTCGGCAACTACAACAATCTACTGGTGCCAGCTTGCAAAACAAAACTTATTTTGTTCCCTAGAGGATCTGTCCATACTAGTTCACTTTTGCTACAGTGGGTCTTGGGAAACCCAAAAGCACCACCTACCTGAGCTGTGAGACCAATGCTTCAAAGTTCCAGTAAACAACCACAAAGCAGACATGGCTTCTAAATGAGACTATGGGGACACTAAACCATCTCTGATTTTCACTTTAAGAGCTATCTTGTCACAGTCCCTAGATTCGAAAAAGATGAACACCTAGGCCTGGGAATACCATAAAATTTTTATATATCCACATATTCATATATTCAAATATTCATGGCAGCATTAGAGTCTTGGTTCCATAATGATCCTGAGTTATGGGGATGGGAAGAGAATCAACAACAGGATACTGCAACCTTCCACTAAAATCCTAGAAAAGAGAAGGGCTGTGCAAAACGCCTTACAGGGAGCATAAGGAGAGAACGTCCCTTCTAAAAGTGACCTGTCCAGTATGTACATGATACATGACATTCAGTAAATCTACCATAGTTCCATAAAGCTTCCTAACATTAAGGAAGCAGAACAAGAACCAAGAGAAGCACTGACATGATCGCAGGACGTCATCACCCACCCACGTGATGATGCCGGGTTGTAAATCACTAAAGAAGGCCCCTCCTTCCCTTGACCAATAGCTCCCCAAAATGTATGCGATGAGGTGGTAAAGTGCCATGGTTGTGCCACTATGCCAAATGTATTATAGACACTGTCACAATCTGTCTTTCAGAGATGACAGTCATGGAAAGAAGCCAAAGTTCAACAAACACAGGAAATAAGGACTGAGTACAAAGCAGGAGTGACCAGATATCCTCAAGTGGATGATTCCTAATTTTTGTGTATGATCCACTCAAAGTGTTGAACAAACATTTTTCAACTCAACTTCCAAATAAAGGACTCCATAAATAATCGAGAAAAGGCTATCAAGGAGAAACACTTTTTGTGAAGAGTTTATTTTTCATTTTTAGAAAATCAAAAATATCTAATTTTAACTCAAGCACTCACTATGCCTTCTGCAAAGTTTGCTGTGTGTGCCTATCTTGAGGAAATTCAAAAGTAATTAACAATATAAAATGTAGAATGTTTTCTTAATTCTTACTAATTCTCTATTTTCACTAAGAATGCCATCAGTTTGTGACATTTAATACTATCATGCCATCTAGTTCCGGAAAACACTCAGCCACATTCCTCTAAGTCAGGTCTCACTCCTGCCCTCTTCTCCCATGAGTACGAAGCAGGAGTGACCAGATAACCTCAGTTCTTACATTGGTAAAATTCCAATGCTTTTTATGGTACATTTATGTAGGAGAACTCCTGTGTGTCACCAGCCAGTCTGTAAATCCATTCATTGGTAGATCATGAGCAACAGTCACTTAATGTCTCTGTACTTTGCCAGATAAAATTGGCCATCTATTTTCCTCTCATTGATAAAATAGTGTTTTCTGAGCACTCTGAACCCTGCAGAAGAAAGCACGTATTCAGCAGCAACCCACCCCCCGCCAAAAAAAGGCAAAAGAAATATGTCACATTGGCAACTTTTTTAAAATAAAGAATTGTTCAACATGACTGGAAATATGAGTCACTAAGACCATGGTCCAAGTGACAAGTGTCTGCAGATTTTCAGACTGTGCCCATTTCCAGGTTTTTAAAAATAAAGGAGTCATTTTTTTTGGCAGCAAGATCATATACGAGCAGGAATTCTCATCAAAAAATCTGGATAAAAACACATAAGGAGGTACTTAGCACGATCATTAAAAAGGTGAGTTTGCAAGAAGGAAAAATAATTAGAGCACTGACAACTTAATTAAGTATCAGGCATTCACATCTGCCTGTCTTGGAATGAATATTTATTTTATTTTATTTTTTTTATAAACTACACTCCCGTTTTAAATAGTTTTAGGTTGAAAGTAAAAACAACAAAAAGTATACTTAAATTTTATTACTAAGAAAGCAACAGCCAGAAAGTAAAGTGATTAATACCATAACGAAAAAACCAATAGGCCAATGGCATGTAAGCTGAGCAAAACCAGCCTCAAGACAAAAATAAAAGAAACTAAACATGAAAATATGGCGAATATTCCAGTTTTCACATTAATTACGCCAACAGATTTCTCAAACATTAGATATTAGAATGTAAAAATAAATTTCATCTATTTATATGATAATATTTTCTATACTTTTTAGCTAGGCCATATGATGAAGATATAATCCTAAGTCTCCTTGGTAACAAAAAAAGGGATAAAATGCTATTATAACTTTTAAGAAAGACCCTCATAGAGTGTGAATGAAATGGCACTCAAAAAGTCAAGATACCCAAGTTCTACTTCTGACAAATCATTTATAACTTTTCTGGACTTACAGTTTTTCATCCATAAAAAGTTCAGGAATTTGGATCTATTCATTACGGCCTCTTGAAATTCTGTAACTCCAGGTAATTTAGAAAAGAAAGACTATCAAGAACACCCATTTGCTATAATCAAGAATAAATATGTAGATTTTATACCTATGGCATTTAAATCTGGACGGTAGACATGGAAGCAAAAAATAATAGCATTCTCTACCACCCCCATCAAAGTGCGAGCTGATAGAAAAAGGCTTGCCCATCAGCGATGTGTTGTCTATGGGCAATACTAACCATGAACAACAAATTTCAACATTGCATTTACACTTTGCCAAAAAGGTAAAATCACAACTAATCACTGTCAAAAACTTAACTGACAGGATTCCATCGGAAGAGCACCTTTCTAGTTAAAAATCCAATCACATTATTCTAGTCAGCATTTTCTCCTCTGTTCTCCATCGAACTACTCTACCCCAGGCTACCAGTAACAAAAACAAAAGAAACAAGAAAAAGAAAAAGCAAGGAACATCCAGAGGTATAAATTAGGATATTTTGGATCTGACATTGTGGCATAGCTAGAGTTTTATACTACATTGGTTCCTACAATGAAAATGTTCATTCTGCTAATATGAGTCAGCATGAAAGTTAATAAATCTTTCCTTTTGACCACTTTCAAACTCTTTGAACACACTTCTGTAAATCAGGTCAGAGAGGAAATTACTTAACCCTAAGGAAACTAAGGCACAAAACCATTTAGTAATTCCACTAGTTTTTCTGAAAATGCGTGACTTTAATCAAAATATAAAATCATGACTCTACCTTCTACCCAAGGCTCCAGGCACTGCTCATCATGGATTAAAAGATTAAACAAACGAAAAGCAATGTTAACTCATCCATTCCAGAAAATTTCAAGAACATGACTTCCATAATGCCTATTTACAGCTAAAGGCCCTTTCTTAGTAAATATCATTAACAGACCCATCTAGAGTCATAACTCATCTGATGAGCCAGTTAATTATTAATTTTCATACATCATTTCATTTCCTTAGGCTACATTTAGCCTTTGTTACATTTTCCATTTCTTATGCCACAAGCACTTCTTACTCTGCATAGAAAACCCGATAATGAGGCACAAAATACTGGCCAGCAAACAAACTGCTTCTGACTCTACTTCTTATATATCTGTCTAAGCCATCTACAATAAGAGTTTTTATTGATCCTTTTTATTTTTTCCCTTTGGGTTCATGACTGTATAATTTCATTAATGCCGCCTTTTCAACATCGCTGCCTTGTTAATAGGTCCCTGCTATTCCCATGGGCTTCTCTTGTTACAGCTTTTGTAGCCAGAAGAATCTAGAAATGAAAAGCCTATTGATAGATAATATAAGTTATTCTCATGCACGGCTGCAGTGTGAAGCACATTTCGCAATTCAATCAAGGACAGATAGAGCTGAATGTTCTTAGATCCTAGGAGTTCATTTAAATAAGCAGAATGTCCCTTGTCCTAACACAGGTGACTGACTCCTCAGAAAAGACTGTATAAACAAAAACCAATCACGTAAGTCATTTTATTGGCAACAATATAAACACAGCTATATTAGATGTCACCAATAAATCAAAATTATTCTTGTCTGCAATTTTAACCAGAGGAAAGTGCAAACATGTGCCTGTGAAACTGGAGGATATTATAGAGGAAATATATTGGATGTGTACAACATTATTTCCCCAAATTGAAACTGGAGGATACTATATTATGATATGATAACCCATAACAAGGTAGAGTTTGATCATTTCTGTGGTTCCATAATTTTATGCAGTACAACTGACAAATTCATAGAATTTGCAACCGAAGTTACACAGAAACAGAACTGAGATAATTCCTCATTATTGAAATGTGGAGCAGAAAGTTAGGGAGGTTACACCTAATAACTAGAATGTATAGACCTATTCACTTGGGCACTCCCAAGGCCTAACGTTGGTAATTCTAAGAATATGAATATATTTATTCTGAACACCAAGGTGTACAAATGTTACTTAAGCAATATAATCACCAATAAGACGAAATAAAAGAGGTTTTATTTCTGAGTTATACCAACTGAAGACAAATTAGTGTCCTCTGCAGGGATTCTTCAAGACCATTCTTCCAAAGACTACTCAGAAAAGATAATGTAATGAACATGAGGGACCTCACCTAATAGAAACTCTGACTTTGTTTTATCTGTCAATTCGAACCTGTGCAATCTAATCAGAGATATAAATGTTTTAACTTTTCATTTTTATATTTTATAAAATTTTCTCAAAAATTAAAATAATCTTTCCTAAGTTTATAGAGTGAAAGGACTGGCCATGTCACTTTAAATTTAAATTAATGGCTATGACATTCAAAATATGGGTAGTAAATATGAACAGGACACAGAAGAAAGAAAGGAGAGAAAAGGGAGAGGAAGGGAGTAGGAAAAAAAGAATGACCACATCCGATTCAGGAATTTACTCCTCTTAGTCAATCCTCATTTAAAAATCAGAAGCAGCATTGAGAGCCTTCCACACAGTGATAATGGCTACAGATTGCTGGAGCAAATTCAGGACCTTCAGGAATACACCGCTCGAGGGCAATATTAAAAGTTCAATAACCTCTCTTAGAATCTCCTTTGCACTCTTCAGTGCATCTATATAACTTTCATATCCTCCTAGTTTACTAAATGTCACTACTTTCACTAGTAATTATTAGAAGTGTTTCATTTACTTTGCCCCAGTCATTAACTCATCAATGAGTACAGAAAGGTCTAGAGAGCCATGGTCCTACCAAAAATGGCAAGGGAGAAGAGGAAAATTAGGGGTTTTCTTGGTCAGTTATAAGAAATCACACAAAATGAAAACGAACTTGGAACCAAAAAGATTTTTAAGAAAAACGTAAATAAGTTCAGAAAGTACCATGCCTTGGGCCCACAGGCTGTAAGTTCCTACATCTACATTCAATGAAGTATTCATTTTAAAGTAGTGTTTTTCAAACTGGATTGCAATTCATTGGTGGTCCATGAAATTAATTGTTCAACGGAGAAAGCATTATTTAATGAAATAGGACTACTAGAATAAAATAGAAGCTATTGGAGTGCATCAAATATATTAATGGTGAACTATTGGTTTTACTTCACTTATTTGTGGGTATACCTATCTGCCCATTTGTATGCATATACATCTTCTGGGTAAGACAAAAAATATATTGTAGGGTGAGTCACGGCCAAAACAGTATAAAAGTCACTGTTAAAAAGCACTTGGACTATTTGTCTACCCAAGTACTTACCAAGAACAGCTGCAGGTACAGAGTTGAACAGTCAAAGTAAAATAAATAACAAAATATAGCTAGAATGAAGAACAGAAAAGATCTAAGGGTTTGACATTTTTGGCTTTATAAAACGTAAGGATTCAATGATACAAAGCTTCATTCCTACCACTGCTATCTTTCACTGTGCAGTAAGTATCAATTGATCAATTGTGCTCAATAAGTAATAACTGATCAACCAACTGACAGAATAAGGATCAAAATTACCGAAAATTTTGGATCTTTTTCATTGCAGGGGATAGGTAACTTCCCTGGAATAAAACTCCCCTCTTACACTGCTAAAGTGGGTAAAGTTTAAATTAACACACAATGTCTTTGAGAACTGAGTCTTTCAAAATGTGTTCTTAATATGAGTTAGCCATCAGATTCTGAAAAGAGGAATTTGAAATGGAAAAATGAACACATTCCTGATGATGTCACTGCTGAATTAATTACCTGAACTGCAAACACTGAATAGCACATGGCCAGGGTTTGAGACACAAAGGCTTCTTCTTCAGAAGTATAGAAGTAAAATAACTGGCTGGAGATGTTTCTTTCAAGAAAAACAAACAAACAAACAAAAAACAAGCCCATCCTCACACAAGAGGGTACATAAGGAATAAAATGTGGCAAATGAAAAGAGCATTCATTATCCTTTAGTCTGTGTAACTAAACACTTAGTCCATATGACTAAGTATTTGCAAGGCTAAAAAATCACAATCCTTCAAAAAGGGTAACAAACATCTACCTATGGAAGATTCTAGAAATAAAATTTATCACTCAAACCAAATATTCAGGCATCTTATTGTGTCCCCATCACACATGTAACTGAGTGATATTTTTCCTTCAGCATAGTTATTGCTTAAAAGTGACCGATGTAACTATTTCTGGCTGTTGGTAGACAGCAGTTTTACAGAAGTTAAATTATGTTCACTGACATCACTGCGGAAGTATGAACATCCACAACAATGACTAGGCCCTTAACCAACATGACAACATATTTATTAAAAAGATTTTTTGAAAACCTCTGTGAATGACTCAGCCAAGTTACAGACAGAAGTGGAATCTATCGGTCATGCTGAAAAGGTTGGGAAAACATTAATCCATTTCTTCACACACAAGAATAACAAAACTTCGTAACTAGCCCTGGCATCTGGTTGGTTTTCTGTGTACAATATTCAGCAGGCCTACAAAAGAAATTTGATGGAGCTGGCTTAGAACTTTAGAAATCACTGGTATTCAGAAAGTCTGATCTCTTTATCATGGAGCATAGGACAGGATCTGATCTTGCATTGTGACGCTATCTGCCCATCTGCAGTTGAGCAAGTCTTGCTGCTCCTGAAGGAATGTGCAGTCATTCTTGTTCCTGGCTTTGAAGAGATCATGTCAGACAAGGGTGGCCCCACCAGCTTTCCTTGACTCAAGTCTGCCCTCAGCTACTGAGAACCTCATAATTCAAGTTTTACAAATTCCTTTTCTTCCCAAAGTGGAACATGATTGGATCTTTGTTTCTGTTAATTCTACAAACCGCCTTAGAGTCCAGCTCGATGGTCTTTTCCCTCCTCCTTTATTTTGTTCTCTTTTCCCCCAAATCCAGATCCTACTTATCCTCTAAGCCCACCCCAAACACCCACTTTAGGCCCTCCTTGATCCTTTTTTAGTCTCTATAAATCTGACCTGTAAAAATGGGGATAATGATGCTACTGTGCATAGTTCATAATATTACAGAATAATGGGCCAGGTGCGGTGGCTCACGCCTGTAATCCCAGTACTTTGGGAGGCCAAGGTGGGTGGATCACCTGAGGTCAGGAGTTCGAGACCAGTCTGACTAACACAGTGAAACCCCCATCTCTACTAAAAATACAAAATTAGCCAGGCATGGTGGCACATGCCTGTAATCCCAACTACTTGGGAGGCTGAGGCAGGAGAATCACTTGAACCCAGGAGGGGGAGGTTGCAGTAAGCCAAGATCACACCATTGCTTTCCAGCCTGGGCAGCAAGAGCGAAATTATGTCTCAAAAAAAAAAAAAATTACAGAATAATAAATGAGAATCCACATCACATGCTTAGCACACTGTTCAGCACACAAAAGGACCCAATAAATGTTATTTTACTCTACACACCTCTCTTTCAACATTCATAACTTTCTACACTACATTACAGTTATTTGCCTGTGTTTCACTTTCCTGTCTAAATTCTAATTTTATTAAGTTTTGGGGTCATAGCTAATTTATCTTTGAACTTTCCCCAGCCCTTACATGTACACAGATTGTTTTACACCTATATATATTTTTCACAGTACATTTATCATATAGTTATGCTACATCTATATATTCACATACATTTATTCTATTTATATTGTTCATTCTGTACTGCTCATACTGAAAAACATGGTGTAAGTGAAATATACAATTATAACCCACATCTATAATTTACTGCCTGAATAAATACAATATAAGTGAGGTGTGACCATAATCATGAATCCCATGGCTTATGGAACCAGTTTAATTACAGTTGCATGTTTCCTAGTCTTTTCCTTTCTCTACTAGGAAAAAGTGGCACAGAAATTCTATTCCATTCTTCTGGGTAGGCATGTTATTCTTGCCTTTATCTTGGCCTACTGGTGAACAATGAAAAATCCCAGCTAAAAGTTGCAAATGAACAGTTCAATACTGAAACCAGGCACTTACTTTTTTTTTTATTATGGGGGTTGCTGGCCCTCACGAAAGGACGGTGAAATACACTCTGGGTTGCCTTAGTGGAAGGAACGCCTCTGAATTTTCCTGCTTCCTACACTGGTGTCACATTAGACATTTCACTTGTGTCTGTTTGGTCTCCCTAACCAGACTGTCATCAGAATATAAATATGGCTTCAGTTTGGTTAGTGTTTTTCCTTAATTCTATCATATTAAGTAATGCCTCACTAATTTCTGCAAGCCAGACTGTTTCCATCATCTTTAAAGGGGGAGTCCAAATTATTTGACCTAATAAAAGGTTGTTGTGTTGAGCGAAAGAAGCCAGACCCAAGAGTGCATATTGAATTATTCCATTTACACAAGATTTTTTTTAAAAAAACCAGACAAAACTAATATATCTGTTAGAAACCAGGGCAACGGTTACCTTAGGCAGAGGTGGTAACTAGAATGGAGTGTGAGAGATGTTTCTGGTGTGTTGATAATGCTCTGTTTCTTGATCTGGAGACTAGTTATGTGGGTGTGTTCCACTTGCAAAAAAATGCATCGAGCTCAAGATAAGTGTGCTTTTCCGTAAGGATATTTCATCTCAATAGAAAATTTGGCTTTTGTGTCAACTCTGCCTAAAGTAAGTGGGAAACTACAAAAACTGGGGACTTGGACATCTTTTAATCAAACTATGTATCAATGTCATTTCAAAGGTTTTGTTATGTGTCATCTTCCTTGAATGAGAATGGCAACAAGTTTTTTTTTTATCACACAGATTTCCTATGTGCCTTTTTTCCCCAGTCCTGATAGTCTATGAACCAACCAAACTTAGGGAAAAGTAAAACAGTTAAGTCCTGTATTTCCACCTTATTTACAATATAATGCCCTCTACAGAAAATAATCACAGAAACACAGAAAATGACTTCTCCAGAGATGAGAAATGTGCATGTGACGCCACTCTGAGTTATCTCCTTCAAGAAGTATGTATTCTATAATCTGGGAGAAGAGTAAATTAACACTCCAACTCCAAAGATCAATAATTATAATATGAGAGAGACAACAGTGGAAAGAATGAATGTCCTCAGGCTTAATTTACTAGCAGGAAAGAACAGTCAGAGGAAAAAAAAAAAAAAAAAAGACCGAGAACACTGAGCTCTCTTCTGGAATGGCAGAAGGACCACTTTCTCCTGCATAAATGAAGGCAGGGCTAATACAAAACGTTTTCTGGGTATTATTTAACCTCTCCTACCCAGGCTATTTTAGCTCAGTAGGAAATTCACCCACTAGGTGGACCTTGGAGTTCATCCACCACCCCAATAAAGATTGCCTTTCTTATTTGAAGTGATGATCACTTCTTCCAAGCAAACCAACAAACCCTAGGTATTCAACCTCTGATAACCTGCCTACTAAGGAACTTCAGTGGAATCAGGGGATCAACGATGCTGTCCCCAAACTGGCCTAAGGTGAACCAAGGGGAGAAGTTAACAGCAGCACTTAAATTGATCTACTCATACTCAAGGATTACTGAGTCTTCTGGGCAAGAAAAGAAAGCAATTACAAACTACCAATAAGGACAGGTGTTTTGAAAATAGCGAAAAAAAAATGTCCCCTACACTTCCTTTCAAAGGTAGCCTCAGAGCTAGTCTGGCTGCGCAGATGACCAGTGAAAATAAATGAAAACTGCAGTACGGTTATAGATGATCCTTACACCTCAGCTTGTTCTCAATTGCAAAAAAAAAAAAAAAAAAAAAAAATGCATATAATCTAACACTCTCCTGTCTAAATTGCTTCAAACTTTCTCAGAACGACCTTCATCGTGGCGGATTCTTTTTCTGCAAACCTTTACAGGTTGCACCTGCTTCACACAGAACCAGCGGAAACAAACTAGGAGGAGATAAAAGAGAAGAAGTAGGAAGGTTTAAACCAACACAAGTCGATTTTGTACCCAAAAAAAAAAAAAAGTTTAGTCTAAAAAGGGAGGTCCAGTGAGGAACAAGACAGAGGGTGAAACAGAAGTCTGGCTTACTCCCAAGGCAGAAATCATGACTCATCAAAGCTTTCAGAGGGGACAGAACCAGACTTTGCATTTGTCTTGAGGTCATCTTCGAGCCAAGAAATGCTCTCTTAACCGGGACCTGAGAACTTTAAGGGTCTGCGACAACTGGCTGTGAGGCCTTGGGCAAAACCTCTAACGTCTCTGGGGCTCGGTTTCCTCATCAGGTGAAGCCAGGGTCCACTCTAGCTTTAATAGTCTCTCCTCGAGATTCCCGGCCCCATACTAAAGGGACCTGGTCCACTGGGGGGAGCTGCAGAACTTCCCTCTTCTCACAAACTCCAGGGCCCTGGGGCCCCAACTCTCGGGAGATGCTGAAGTCTTGGAGGAAGTTGGTTCTGCCGGCTCGGGGAGAGGGTGCAAGAGCAACCCTCTTTGTGAAACGGGGCCGCGACTCCACGAGTCCTGTCTCTACGGACCCTACTCCCTGTGATTCCGGAAGCACCTCCCTACCCCTTCCCCAGGTTTACATGCTCCAGAGATGAGGGCCAAGCGGATACCGGGGCAAACTAGCGTGGGGCTCAAGGAGGCACACAGAGCAGTGGTCTCAGTCCTCGAGACCACTCCTGCCAAGAGGAGGGCTGGAGAAGTCGGGAGAGGTGCCGGGAGCGGGGGAGAGGCGCGTAGGACAAGGCAGGAGGAGGGCGGCCCTTATCGGTTCCCTATAGGACTGGCTTCGCTGCCGGGGTCGGAGATTCCTCGGCGCGGAGCTAGGGGCGGGTCCGGAGGCGGAGGCGACAGCGCCCGGCGGGGTACGCGCGGCTGCGACCCCGTCACTCCCCCGCCGCCTCCGCCCCTAACCCTCGGCCCCGTGCGCGAGCGAGCGAGGGAGCGAACGCAGCGCAACAAAACAAACTAGTGCCGGCTTCCTGTTGTGCAACTCGCTCCTGAGTGAGTCGGGGGCCGAAAGGGTGCTGCGGCTGGGAAGCCCGGGCGCCGGGGACCTGCGCGCGCTGCCCGGCCTGGCCGGAGCCTGTAGCCCGGGGGCGCCACGGCCGGGCTCGCAGTCCCCCCACGCCGGCCCCCCGGTCCCCGCCGAGCCAGTGTCCTCACCCTGTGGTTTCCTTTCGCTTCTCGCCTCCCAAACACCTCCAGCAAGTCGGAGGGCGCGAACGCGGAGCCAGAAACCCTTCCCCAAAGTTTCTCCCGCCAGGTACCTAATTGAATCATCCATAGGATGACAAATCAGCCAGGGCCAAGATTTCCAGACACTTGAGTGACTTCCCGGTCCCCGAGGTGACTTGTCAGCTCCAGTGAGTAACTTGGAACTGTCGCTCGGGGCAAGGTGTGTGTCTAGGAGAGAGCCGGCGGCTCACTCACGCTTTCCAGAGAGCGACCCGGGCCGACTTCAAAATACACACAGGGTCATTTATAGGGACTGGAGCCGCGCGCAGGACAACGTCTCCGAGACTGAGACATTTTCCAAACAGTGCTGACATTTTGTCGGGCCCCATAAAAAATGTAAACGCGAGGTGACGAACCCGGCGGGGAGGGTTCGTGTCTGGCTGTGTCTGCGTCCTGGCGGCGTGGGAGGTTATAGTTCCAGACCTGGCGGCTGCGGATCGCCGGGCCGGTACCCGCGAGGAGTGTAGGTACCCTCAGCCCGACCACCTCCCGCAATCATGGGGACACCGGCTTGGATGAGACACAGGCGTGGAAAACAGCCTTCGTGAAACTCCACAAACACGTGGAACTTGAAAAGACAACTACAGCCCCGCGTGTGCGCGAGAGACCTCACGTCACCCCATCAGTTCCCACTTCGCCAAAGTTTCCCTTCAGTGGGGACTCCAGAGTGGTGCGCCCCATGCCCGTGCGTCCTGTAACGTGCCCTGATTGTGTACCCCTCTGCCCGCTCTACTTGAAATGAAAACACAAAAACTGTTCCGAATTAGCGCAACTTTAAAGCCCCGTTATCTGTCTTCTACACTGGGCGCTCTTAGGCCACTGACAGAAACATGGTTTGAACCCTAATTGTTGCTATCAGTCTCAGTCAGCGCAGGTCTCTCAGTGACCTGTGACGCCGGGAGTTGAGGTGCGCGTATCCTTAAACCCGCGCGAACGCCACCGGCTCAGCGTAGAAAACTATTTGTAATCCCTAGTTTGCGTCTCTGAGCTTTAACTCCCCCACACTCTCAAGCGCCCGGTTTCTCCTCGTCTCTCGCCTGCGAGCAAAGTTCCTATGGCATCCACTTACCAGGTAACCGGGATTTCCACAACAAAGCCCGGCGTGCGGGTCCCTTCCCCCGGCCGGCCAGCGCGAGTGACAGCGGGCGGCCGGCGCTGGCGAGGAGTAACTTGGGGCTCCAGCCCTTCAGAGCGCTCCGCGGGCTGTGCCTCCTTCGGAAATGAAAACCCCCATCCAAACGGGGGGACGGAGCGCGGAAACCCGGCCCAAGTGCCGTGTGTGCGCGCGCGTCTGCGAGGGCAGCGGCGGCAGGGGGAGGAGGAGGCAGAGGCGGGGTGGCTGGACCCTCGGCATCAGCTCATTCTCCCCTGCTACACACATACACACACAAATAATGTTTCTAAAAAGTTCAGTTGCGACTTTGTGCCTCGCCTGTCCTGTTCATCCTCGTCCTGGGCCGGGGAATGCTTCTGGGGGCCGACCCCGGGATGCTGGCTAATTGCTGCCGGCGGGTTCCGTCGCCGGTGTGACCCTGGACGGCGCGGACGGCGTACAGGGGGTCCCGGGAGGGGCAGTGGCCGCGGCACTCGCCGCCGGTGCCCGTGCGCGCCGCGCTCTGGGCTGCCCGGGCGGCGCAGTGTGGACGCGGCTGCAGGGAGAGGGGAAGGGGGAAGAGGGAGGGAGGAAGGCAGCCGGGCGAGGAGTGTGGATGTGTGTGCGGCCGCGAGGGCCGGCCTGTAGCCAGCTGCTTCCTGAGTGTGAGCGCCGGAGGGGGAGGGGGAAGAGTGGGGGCGGGCTCGCGGGTCACTAGGCTGGCCAATTCGAAGGCCGAGCTTGTGTCTCCCTCTTGACGCATTCACACACACACACACACACACACACACACACACACACACTCCCCGTGCGCCAGAAGTCGAGGAACTCCAGAACAGGGTAACAGCAGGGAGACACTTCGCCTTCTTCCTGGCCTTATTTGTTAAACTGACTTATTTTAACATGAAAAAGTGTTAGTGTTTAGACAGGATTTGATGTCAGGTCATAAAAAAATAAACAAACAACCAAAAAAATCCGGTAGTAATACGGAGAGAATAACACAGTGAAAAATGGCAAAAGGGTTGCTTTGAAATATCGGATCGGATGCACATGACAGCTTCGAAACTGGATAGGTGAAGCACTAAGGAAGGCTTTGGCATCCTTTCCAAGTATAGGCAGGGAAGAGAGGAAGGTGATGGAAGTGTTAGAAGGGTATAAAATTCTGAACACAGGCTGTTAAGAATGGAGGTATATTCCCTGCGTATGTTACGTCTATAAAGTGGCACTTTATCCTTATGAATTCAACATCCTCAGCCTCATACCCCACCTAAGCTCTGACTCGCCACCGCTTCTGCTTGTGTTGACCAGAGCCCTCAAAAGGTTGTTACAAGAAAGTCTGCTCCTAGTAGTTCATCACATGTATTGCCACAGATGCAAGGACTTCCATCTTGGGAATCTAGGTATGTAATGCACACAATATCCTCCAGGTAGGCCTTTCTGCAGTTGACAGTATTATTCACCATCATGAATGAAATGAGTGAGGATGCCACCAGACACTTAGAATTTCACAAGTCCTTATATTCTATTCTACTGTTACCACTCCAATATAAATTAGCAATCAGGTAGTAGATGCTTTGATCAAGACAGAAGTCCTCAAGGACACAAATGACTTACCCCAGAAAGCCAAAACTAAAAGACTATTGGCAGTTTTCATTTATCTAATTTCAGTGGGAATACTACTAGGCTTGGTCTGTATCCATGATATTAACATAACCAAAAGAAGCCTGGTTTCCACAGTACTTTTTCTTTTCTTTTCCTTCACCTTGGGACACAAACTCATCAGAATATTTGTCAGCAGAAGTAGGGGATGAAAAATAGTAAGAGGTCAGGATATGTCATTCTGTCAGTTTTCCAGTTTCTCTCTGTTCATCTCTTTTAAATACAAGTATTCAAGCCCAAGATGGCAATAGATGGGCTCAACCACACGTAAGAAAAGAAAATACTCATAAAATGAAGCATGCAGCAACATCACAAAAACAAAGAAACCAAGTGGTGGAAATTGCCATGACTATTCCATTGTGGCTAGTTATTGCAACATGCCTGACATTCACATAAAAACTCTTCCTCATTAACTCCAGCCTTAAGGAACAGAGCAAGATGGCAACACTAACCCTTCAATGCATCATGGGAACTTCTGTTCATCAGATTCTTGTGCTGTACAACTGCTTCCCAGGAGCAAGACAAGCCTGGGTGGAGACTGCAAAAAACCTTTCCAATGTCCCTCAAATATCATTTTAAATACAATGGTTTTGATGCATAGAATGGTATCCTAGGGGCTTGCAGAAGCTTCTAAAACTTCCCAAATGATGGGAACAGCTTAGCTGGAAGAGAAAAAAATATAGTGCTACACCCAACTTTAATCAATAGCTCATGGAAAAAAACACTGGGAAAGTTAGGAGTCATCAACCTGGAGATCCCCAAAATCTCTTCATTTATAAGAGCCCAAGAGTGGGAATGTCATTTTATTTAGGTGTGATTTTCATGAACCTCTAACATTCCTAAAATATTTACCACTGAAGAGGTATAGTGCTTTGGTTGAATTTTTTTCTTTTTTTTTTTTTCTGGCCAAGAATGTAGATCTGCAATGTTCTTATATTCCATGGGTTATAGTAAAAATGCAGTTGTTCTTGTACCAGTACAACCCTGGAATGACTCAGAATGAGATCTGTACCTCTTCTGGGCTGAATTGGTCAGCAGGGGTGAGGGAGGGTGGTAATGAGAGACAGTGAGAAAGGAAATCATGTAGTTCCAAAATGATACTCTCCCTTACCCATGAGCTCTCCATCGTGCTTAGGAATCATACTCTGGCAGCCCTTCAGCCAGATAGGTGGGAACTGCAGCCCAGTCAGTATCTTCCCTCTCTAGAGACCAGTGTTGTATGTGCCTCAACCGCTGACTCAGGGCAGCTGACTCAGCAGACAGGCCCCTGCTGCCAGCTCCAGTCCAGTTCTCATTCATCAGAGAAATATTCAGTGAGTACACACTCTGTCCAAGTATTGGGACTAAAGGAATTAACACTTGTAGGCATTGTATATGGGAGGATATTACAGAAAACTTTTTGCCCAGTGTCTTAGTTGTAGCAAACCCTCAAGAAATGGGGACTCTTTGCATATATTACCTCATCTAATTCTCAAATCAAATGTATGATGTGGCTATGAATAATCTCCTACTTAGAAGCAAAGAAGTTGAAGCTCAGTAAACAGTTAAAGAGAGTCAGAGACAGAGCCAAGTATGCCAGTTTAGAAGCCCCAAGTTCAATCAACATTACTGTACTACAGAATAATTGTGCATGCTCTTTGAATGTGTATAAAACATATTGCAGGTGTATAAAGTGCAAAGCATCTTGTGGTCAGTGTTAGATGAGCACAATGAAGTTTGTAGGGAGTGTGGAGGAGGCAGGAATAATTTCCTGCAATGTGACATGGAGTAGCTTGGCTGTTTGAGCTGGACTTCAAAGAATGAGTAGAGAAGTGATAAGCAAAGGAGACCATTTCAAGTATAGGAATCAGCATCAAAAGGGGCACAGAAGGCATAAGTCCTGCATAGCAAGCAGCTCACTCAAAGCTAGAGTACAAAATAGGAACATCCACTGTCTCACAGCAATGAAACTCTCCCGAAGGAACATCCTGACAGCAAAACTTCAGAACTGCTATTTGAGTCACCCTGAGTGCTCTGACAGTAAACCACTTACAAACTTGCAAAGAACTATGATCAGATTCCTCCTCCCACAAAGTGTCCGTGAAAAGAAACAAATTTGAACCCCAAAATACAGATAAGTTGAGCTAATAGCACCAGTGATAGTATGCCTAGCTATTAAAACACAGACACACACACACACACACACACGAGCTGGCAACAGTCCAGTTACGTAGAAATGCAGTGGAAAAAGTTAGTGTTTGCCAACTTTAAGGGGGGAACTAAATGTGTAAAATGGAAAATTTCCATTTTACTTTCCTGAGTAGTACAAATAGTGGAATGCAGCAAATTTCACATTATGTTATCAGTGTGTGATATACTAAGAAAACTTAAGCTGATTTTTCTACTAATTTGTCACAAGTATGTTCAGCCCAAACTCTTCGGCTCACATACATGTCAGTGATGTAATTTTTTAAAAAATTCTTATTTACACATATCGCATTCACAACATCATACCTCTTTTCCTTTCTAAAGTCAAAACTGTAAATCAGAGTCTAAAATGTGTCAGACCAAATGCAACTGACCAAAATTTCAAATATTTCACTCCATACAATATCTCTCAATCTTGTCTAATTGGTGAAATGTTTCTTCCTTTTTTATACAAACCAAGCTGAGATGTATCTAAAATTCAGAGAAAGGTTGATGATGTATTCCTTGACATATTACTTAGGTATATCTACAAAGAGCTTACCATAACAAACATAAATTCATAGATAAATACAATATTCCGCAGGCAGCCAGTTATTCTTTCACCATTTAACATCTATACTGGCCAACTATATGTGATGTTGTAAAATTAATTATCTAATCACAATGCCATCTTATCTATAACTACCTTCTATAAATGCCTCTTAATGACCATAACTTACTTTTCTTCATATGCCTTTCATGGCCTAGCAATAGTACTGGGCACTAGTAAGTAACTAATGCTAATCTGATAAATGGATTAATTAATGAGAGAATGAAAGAATGGTTTCTTCACCTTCAGAGATGATAAATGACACAACTCATTGTTATGTATGTGTATAATCATTTCAGTGTTCCAAAAGAGACTAACAGATGCTCTTTGAATGTGTGCAAACCACACTGCAAGTATACAAAGTACAAGGCGTCTTGTTATCAATGTCAGATGAGCACAGTTAGTGTGTAGGGAGTGTGAAGGAGGCAGGAATAATTTCCTACAATGTGATATGAAGTAGCTTTCTGTACCCCTAGGCTTTTTATTATAAACTGAAGATTTAAATATTGCTTCCTATTTCTTGAGGAAGAAAATTCAAAGACTTTATGCAATGCTTAGAATAAGGAGGAGAGCCTGTCTGCGCCCTGCTCCAGTGACCCTCTCCTGTCTGACACCCACTACTAAACCAGGTCAGTTGCATCATACCCTGAATTCTAGCCTCAAAATAAAAATATATACTAAATAATGGGGAGAAAAGGGAAGAAAAGAAATGGAAAATAGGGAACGAGGGTGCAGAGAAGAAGGTGAATTATTTAAAAACTAGTGGAAATGAAGAAGGCAGCGCAGCACTGATACCTCAGAATAATTGAGAGCAACTAGTTAGTTTGGGGCAGAATTAAGCTCTGGAACAAAAGCAATTCAGTGGCTTTTCAGACTCCTCCCCAACTCACCTCAAGTCTTAAATATACCTGCAAAGGGGTTTGAAAAAACTTGGAGATTTTCCACAAATCCTAACTTCTTACGATGTTAAAAGCACTCAGGAGATTTTCACGTGTATACACATTTCTTTTCTTGTTTAACCCTATACAGCAGGGAAGAGTGTAATTTTATTGTCCATGGAACAAATGACCAATTGCCCCCAAAGCAGACCTGCCCCGGGTAAGAGTGTTGACTTCCTTCAGGCTGGGGACACTGCCCCAAGCTCATGATCTACATTTTTTTTCACTTCATTCTCACAACATCCGAATCAGGTAAGATCTAGCACAACTTCCATTTTACAGATGAGAAAAGAGAGGCAGAGAGAGGTGGAATATCTCCCCACTGTCACCCAACTCATGTGGGACTAGCCAAACTTCTACCTATTAACCATTGCTCTATTACCTTTTCAGGGCAGGAAACCCTACTTCCACCAGACATGTATTTGTTTATTCACTCAGGCAGGTGGTATGTTGGAAGAAGAGTGGACTTTGGAATCAGAAAACCTGGAATCCCAACTTCACCGCTAACCGAGAGACCTTGAGCTGGTTCCTAAACCACGGGGAACTTCAGTTCCACTACATGAGTTATTGCAAAGGTTGAATCGGAATTGTGACACTGGCCAGCACACGTGTGAAACCAGGGGCATCCCCTATTGATAAGGAGCCCAGCCCAAGAGCTTCAAGGGAAATTGACCCCAGCCCCAGCTCCACTGATGGGCTCGATGATTCAGAGAGGAATCTCACTCCCTTGGTCAAAGTGAATGGCTCATAAATCTGGGCCTAAGTCAATCCGTGCAAGACATTCCCCTGGCCATAGGGATTGGTTAAAAAATGGACATGTAACCCAGTTTGGGCTAAATGAGATGTGAACAGGAAAGTTATTTGATAGCTTCTGAGGAAGGTAGCTTCTCTTCTTTCTAGAGAGCCACTGGAAAGGTAGCCTTTTCTCCTCTGTGTTGTGGAGAGAAAAAAAAAGTGAAACTGTCTCCCTCTCAGCCCACACAGAAGGCTCACACTTGGTGAAGGGAAGGGTGGAGAAGATTACAGAGAATAGCCCTGATGGAACCACACCTGATTTCTACCTGACCTCTTAATTTTTTCATTTGTACAAGTCAGTAAATGCCTTTTAATTTTTAAACAAATAATTACAGCAACTTATAGAGGTACCTAAGGTATTAAGTTACCATCATGAATACAAAGATAAGCAAGACAAACTTCAAGGGGCTCACCACCTAATAAATATTATACTTTGCTTTTATGACATCATTTTAGTCTTTTTTGTTGTTTTTTGTTTTTGTTTCTAAATAGGATCTTGCTTTATCACCCAAACTGTAATGCAGTGGTGTGATCATAGCTCACTACAGCCCCGACCTCCTGGGCTCAAGTGATCCTCTTGCCTCAGCCTCCTAAGGAGCTGGGACTACAGGTGCGTGCCCAGCTAATTTCTTTTATTTTTGTAGAGGCAGGGGGGTCTCGCTATGTTGCCCAGGCTGTGGGTTTTTCAGGGTAAAGTTATGGCTCATTCTCTCTTCAGGACCCTGCTACCATTTGGTCAATTTAATATTATGCAAGAGAAATTCCATTTCCCTAGTAGTTACACAATGCCCGCTTTCAGACCAGCTAGTCAACCCTGTGAGGGTCAGATAGAGTAGTTTATCCATTTGGTTGTCAGACAACTGCCTCGAACAGCCAGGCCATTTCTACATGTTCTCAGTTACTGGTTAACAAATGTTGCCCCAGAATTCAGCACCTAATAGGAAATACATTCATTTCCAAATTCCTACTGAAATAGGATTTTTCTCATTCCTAGATAAAACAGAGGCACCCAGATTTTCCTGGAATGGCATTCAGAAATAGAGAAGGAATCATAGAGAAATGTCTGCCCAGGCATCTCTGAGTCTCATGCCTTTTTGCTGTTGCTGCTGTTATGACTCCTACCTTGGAAAGTTTCAGTCATCCTTGAACATCCTCCCCACCCCCATGCTTTCCTGTCTTCTGTTTCATAACTAAATGCCATTTAAAACTCTAGCTATAGATACCCCTTGCTGATATAAGCAACAGAAGTAGAGAGTCCTTAGATTCTAGACTGAATTTAGGGCCCAACAGTTAGACAATTGGAACTTGATAATAACGTTATCTCAGCAGATTGCGTAAGTCAGAAATGTTCTCCCTGTCACTGCTTTCTTTTTCCTTCCAGCAAGAAGTGGACATTAAGGAGAAAGTGAAGGTGGCAAGTTATGAGTGATCTGTTTAAGACACAGTTTAGTTATGGCAATGATAACAACTCACATTTATTAGGGGCTTATTATGTATCAGGCTGAGCAAAGTACGTAAGATTCTTGATCTCATTTAATTCTCACAGTGTAGAGGCTAATGAGTGGTGGAGGTGAGAGGAGGACGCAGCCTCCCTTGGCTCCAGGGCACACACTCTTAGCTGTAACACTCTATTGCCTCCATAAAGTATGCTTAATTGTAATACATGTTGATGAGATATGTGATAAACATAATTTATGTAAAATTTAAGAACAAGATCTATTGTATAAATTATACATGTAATGACCTGTTTATACGACGCTACCGTGATACTGAACTTCCTGTAGTTCCTCAAAGCCTGCTTTGCAAACCCTCCAGAGCCCCCAAGCCTGCTGTTTTATCTCCACAGGATGACCTTTACTATCCACCTCCTCTTACTCTGTGAGGCTTTCTCTGATAGGGAGAATAATGTCCCCCCGGCCCCGCCCTGCATCCCAACAAAAAAAAATCCACATCCTAACTCCTGGAACCTATGAATATGTTAGATTACATGGCAAAAAGGACTTAAGGCTGTGGATGGCATTAAGGTTGCTAATTAGTTGCCCTTAAAGTAGGGAGACTATCCTGGACTGTGGAAGTGAGCCCTGGATTATGAATGTGATAGGGAAGCAGAAGCATAGAGAAACTATGTTACCAGGTTTGAAGGTGCAGGAAGGAGCTATTAACCAAGGAATATGGGCAGCTCTAGAAGCTGGAAAAGCAATGGAATAATTCCTTCCTAGAGCCTCCAGAAAGGCACACAGCCCTGCCACACCTTGATCTTAGACCAAGGAAACCTGTGTCAGACTTCTATCCTACAAAACTGTAAGATAGAATTGCGGGTTGTTTAGGGTGCTATTTAGGGTAACTTGTGACAGCAGCAACAGAAAAGTAATGCACTTTCTCAACTTTCCTCTCTCCCTTCTCCCCCAGAACCAAACACTGCTGGCTCTGGGCTCTCACAGAACACTGTCCTTACAGTATTTAATGCTCTTGATACTATCTGGGGCCTGGCCACGTGCATCCCATCCTTCCCTTAGCTTCTCCAGGAGCATTGTGGCTTGGTGTCACGACCTATCTGAAAGCCTTAACCCTGCCACCACCCACTTTCTGCTGGAAGGACAGGCACTGTGAAGTGAAAGGACCCACAGCCCATGAACTGGAAGGAACAGGAAGGGCAGGAGAAAGAAGAAATAAGAGGAGAGCAGCAGGGGGATGCAGGGAGGAGGAGGATAAAGGGGTTACCAGAGGAGAGGAGGTGAGAAAACAGAGGGAAGGAATGAAGGAGGAAGACAGGGTCAAAGAAGAGGAGAAGGAAGGAAGGGCGCTGGAGGAGGACACAGAAGCTAGGGTGGCAACGAAGAGGAGAAGGGAGAATGAAGAGAAAGGACCTTGTTCTGCCCCCACCCATCTCCCACCTGAACACCCTCTCCTCCCTCCTCCCTGAGATCTCCCCCAGCCTTGAGGATCCAGTCCTAGTGCCTCTTCCTTGCAGTGGCTCTCAGTGCTGGGTTCTCCTTAGAATACCCAGGGAAACTTGCCAGGCCCCACCCCCCAGAGATTCTGACTTAATCAGCCTGGATGGGATCTAGGCATCAGGACTCTTTATAAGCTTCCTAGGAGACTTTAATGGGCAGCCAGGGTGAAGAACCATTGTCATAAAGCCCTCTTTGATCTCTTTGTCTCACCTGGGATGGCTCCTACAGTCAAACTCAAAGCCCTTGTCTAGGTCTCACACTTGGCAGCTGGAGAGGCTGAATTGAGACAATTTTAGAACCCAGACCCCAGAGCCAAACTGCTGGGATTTAGTCCTGGCTCCACATTTAATAGCTGAGCAACTTTAGGGTAGTCACTTAAGCTCTTTGTGCCTGTCTCTCTATCTGCAAAAGGAGAATGAATATAGTCAGGTATTTGCCTCACAGCATTGTTTTGGAGACTGAGTTAATATTTGTTAAGTGCTTAGAACAGTGGCTACCACACATAATGTATGATAAAAGCATTTTTTAAGATAAAACAGAATCAGCCTGCATCATCTCCGAATTGTTACTCTATCTTGTCAAGCTGTTCAACCTTTTGTGTATATGCCCGTGCCTCGTTTACAACTGCACTCTCCTGTCATTCCCTCCAGCCAAAGCCATTGCTGTCTACATAATAGGCACTCAATAGTCTGTTAAGTGAACAAAGAAAAAGCAAGAAATAATTCAAAAATATATATAACCTGTCATTAAAATTAAGACTTGGCTGTAAGTTAATACTTTTTTAAAAAACAAGTCATTTAAACAATTTCCACTTATGAACAAAGGTCTTAAGCAGTGGTTGGGGCGGGGGGAGCACAGTATAAGTAACAGGAATTGTGTGGCATAAGGAAGAGTCCTGAGTGGGTTCTCAAATTGGACAATTCTGACAGGTTACAGAAGGTCATAAAATAGGCTGAAAAAAGGAGAGGGGTGGAGGTTATGAAAAAATACCCAGGTCAGAGGAATAAAAGGCCACAAAAGGCAAACTTACTACTTTATAATTGTGCCTAAGTCAGGCCCAGTCTACATTTCTATTTTGATGACTGATTTACATACACACTCATATACATTTTAACTCTGAAAGTAGAAGTTCCATATGTGTTTTATTTACTCTCATTTATTTTTTATCTTTACCAGTTGGCCTATTTTTTTTTTCTTCACATGACATCAGGAGATCATCATTGCAACAAGCAACTCAGCTTAGAAGCGCTGGGATAACTCCGAAAGAGACATGTGAGACAAGATGTAGAACTTTGTATTAGAGTACAATAAAATTTATAATGCACAAATTTGGCGGCCAAAAGATTTCTCTCAAAGGTATGAAAAAAATGTCTGTGCTATATTTTCAAAGAAACCAAATAAGACATGGTCCCTGAATCACTGTCTGAACGCAAACAGCATTTGGCTTTGATCTGAGTTGTTGAAAACTATGACCAATTTATCCTGAGGATGCCAAACCATCAGAGAATGTTTTTAAGTCTGGATTTCCATATCAGGATTCTGCTACACACTTTTTCTCTTCATTTCACATTACACAGGGCCAACCCAAAATAGTACTTCCAACAATGGATGTAGTTGGTATGATAATTTCACATCTAGCTATGGGCAAGGGGTAGATGGGCCTTTTTCTTACTGACATGCTCATGTGGCCCAGGAAATATATATAAAAATATAATTGAACAGTAAATGAAATTATTAGGTATAATCCCTCTTCTATACTGTATTGATAGACTTCTTAGGCAAACTCAGCCAGTTTCCGAGTGAATGGGGGATAAAGAAAATTTCAGAAACTCACTTGTCTAGCAAACGTGCCCCATTGTGCCTCTCCAATCTGCCCGAGCCACACCTGCTGCCGGCCTTCTTCCTGCTCTCCACCTGGTCCAAGAAGAGTCACTGCCGATTTTTTGAATTTCATTTGCAAACCTAAACCCCAAATACATCCATTAGTTTCAGTGCCGAATCACATTTGCAGTGCCCCTCCCTGCCTCCAAAGCTAAACTATATGTGTCTGAAGGTGCAGACACGGGGGGAACAGATCCAGCCCCATGAGGACACACACCAGCCATCTTGCAAGCATGTGTGACACCAAGGACCTCCTACAATGAGCCAATCACCCAGGATTACCCGCTCTTGGGTCTTAGGAGGATTTTTTGGGAAGGTGATGAGGACTTGATCAGCACATACAGTCTCTGAAGCACTTTCCACTCTGCCCACATCCTTCTGAAATAAGTAAATGGGGGTGGTGATGTTGATGTTTTACACTTCTCTACATTTTAGGGCATCTAAATCACCCAAAGGTAGGTCTTTGTCTAAAATCGTAGTCTGAAGCTAGAGATTTGGACCCATTCTGCATTCAGGGTGCATCTTCAGATTTCAATACAGACAAGGTGTACAGGATTTGGAGGGCAGTGGGCAACTTCTAAGGATGGGGACTTTATAGAAGTGCCTAATCCGAAAGCCAGAGTGTCTTCGCAGGAGTTCTTAATGCTAAGGAGTCTGTGGATAGAAGTGTATACCTTTTGGCCAGGCGCGGTGGCTGATGCCTGTAATCCCAACACTTTGGGAGGCTGAGGCAGGCGGATCACTTGAGCCCCGGAGTTCAAGACCAGCCTGGCCAACATGGCGAAACCCCGTCTCTACTAAAAATACAAAAATTATCCGGGCGTGGTGGCACATGCCTGTAATCCCAGCAACTTGGGAGGCTGAGGCAAAAGAATCACTTGAGCTGGAGAGGTGGAGGTTGCAGTGAGTTGAGATAGCACCACTACACTCCAGCCTAGGTGACAGAGCAAGACTCTGTCTCAAAAAAGTAACTAAATAAAGTGTTTAGCTTTTGTAATCCCATGTATTTCATTTTAGACCTTACTCTGAGAAGCAGTCCACAAGCTTCACCAGACTCCCAGAGAAATCCATTACACAATAAGTTTCCGACCCCTGCAACTGTCAGGGCCCACTCTCCCTCCCTCCCAAGCCAGAATAACTCCACACTCCCCAGCTCCTACCCCTACCCTGACTTCCACCATCTGTCTTCCCCAACAGCAACATGGTGGCCCTGACCCTCCTGCATCGGCCTTATCACCGCCCTCCTCTTTTAGAGCCACCTCCCCTGCCTTCTATAAAACACTGTCTTGTCCTGGGAGTTTGAGTTGTATGTTTAAAGACTGTCAGCAGTGGTCGTCTGACAGGAGCAGGGAAAGTGGTTAGGTGACAGGAATTCAGTTAGATGATGTCTTCATTTTTAGAGTAAGCCCATTTTACTTAAATGATCAAGAAAACAGAAAAGATCCTTTAAAAATCTATTCTTCTTGGAAGTGGAAACTACATGATGAGGACACGTGGACACAGAGAGAAGAACTACAGACAGTGGGGTCCACCCAATGGTGGAGAGTGGGAGGAGGAAGAGGAGCAGAGAAAAATAACTACTGGGTACGAGGCTTAGAATCTGGGTCACAAAACAATTTGTACAACAAACCCGCATGACATGAGTTTACCTGTATAACAAACCTACACATGTACCTCTGAACCTAAAATAAAAGTTTTTGTTTTTGTTTTTGTTTTTTTAAAAGAAAGAAACTTTACAGGCTGGGCATGGTGACTCACGCCTGTAATCCCAGCATTTTGGGAGGCCAAGGCTGGCGGATCACTTGAGGTCAGGAGTTCAAGACCATCCTGGCCAACATGGCAAAACCCCATCTCTACTAAAAATACAAAGAAGAGCCAGGCATGGTGGTGCACACCTGTAATCCCAGCTACTGGGGAGGCTGGGGTAGGAGAATCACTTGAACCAGGGAGTGGGAGGTTGCAGTAAGCTGAGATGGCACCACTTCACTCCAGCCTGGGTGACAGAGTGAGACTTTGTCTCAAAAAGAAAAAAACTTTCCAGTTGTACACATAAACAGGCACCCATATGAGCATGCATGTACATACATGCCAATTTTGCCAATAAATTATGTACAGTATAGTTATACATATGAAAAACAAATCTGCTCTTCCTCCCAGTTTCTTCTTGATTGCACTTGCATTCCTTGTCTTCCTCTCTTCACCTGACTATGCTGTTACCTTAGGCCTTTTCTATCCTTTCCCTCTCTGTTTTATGGCTCTGCTCACTTCGTTGTGGCTTAGTGGAACTGAAGGAGGCCTTGGGGCTGGTGGAGCTGGGTATGCCAGCCCTGAGGGCTGTGTCTTCAGCCAGATCATTTAATCTCTGCTCCTCAGTTTACTCATCCATAGGAAAAGCTAACATTTTTCAGGTGCTTACTCAGGCCAGGCATGTTACATATATTAGTTCATTTAATCCTCACAGTAACACTACGAGGTTGGTAACGTTAGCCCCACATGCACACACTGAGGTACAGAAAAATTAAATCACCTCCCCAGGATACACAATGACAGTAGCTCCTCTACTTTTTCCAGTCTTGTGGCTTCAGAGTCTGTCCTTTTAGCACTATGCTATGCTGTTTCTTTGGGGAAGACAAAAAAGCCTCAAACTGAATTCCACATACCTGTGTAACAGTACTCTTTTGTTGATTAGAGATAACATGGGAGGTGGAGGTTGGACATACAGAATGCCTGGCACATAGTAGGTGTAGCTGTCATCAAACTCCTCTAATGAGTGTCACCCTAAGCTTCCTCCGCACAGCTCCATTAACTCTGGCAAGTGTGTCTGCCTCCATAGCCCACAGGGATCTTAGTTTGAGCAGCTGTCTTCTTTCTCAGCCATTGCTGCTCCCTCTTCAGCCATTCTGCTCACTGTGCCACCTCCCCCTCTCCATCTCACCTTCCCTGCTTTCTGGATGTTTCTGGCATCAGCTTCCATTTTTCAGAACCCGTCTCCTCCCACCACCCAACTTGAGGTCCTCAGTTCTCTCAGCCAGACCATTTCTCTAACCTCCGCGTGGCTCCATTGGCCTCCAGTCTCTCCCCACACAAATTTGGCTGACAGGCAGTTGTCAGATTAATGGTCCTGGATGTGACTCCTTGATCTTGGACCTTGATTTTTCTCTCTGGCAGTATCCCCTGCCCAATACTCTGTTCTTGAGTCAAAATGGACTAGTTACTAGAGTCTCCAAACACACCTTGAGTTTTACCTCTGCTGAGATGCCCTTCCTGGACCAGTCTCCCACCTTAAGATCAAGTTCCAATGCCACCTCCTCCCGCAGCCTTCCCTGGGAGTCTCAAGTGCACGTGGACTTCCTCTCCCTTGCATTTTCCACTGGGTGTGTGTTGCAGGAGGTAGGTGATCAGCGTGCATGGTCTTTTACACCTCTATCTGATTTACAAGGTCTTACACAGGCTTGGGCCTCAATATTTGTTAAAAATATAAATGTGTAAATGGGAAAAACTGAAGTCCAGAAAGAGTCACTGACAAAATCAATAAATCAGGTAGTTGAGAGATGGCGTTACATAAAAATGTAGTTAGCCATATTGCCTGAGTTTAAGCCAACTCTAGCGTTTATTAGCTGGTGTGACCCGGGGCAAGTAACTTAACCTTTGTGTGCCTCAGTTTTCTCAGCAGCAATGTGGGAATAGTAATAGTACTTATCTCATAGGATGGTCATGAGGATTAAGTGAATTAATATTTATAAAATGTGTGAAATGATACTTAATACATTGTAAGCACTCAAATGTGAGCTGGTGTTGTTTTTTATTAATGGCAGGATCAGAATTAGAATCAAGAACCCTTGACTTCCAGTCCAGTGCTCTTTCTCCCAGGCTGCATGTCTTGGCACTGTGTAGCTACCTGCCACCCAATGCTCTCTGTTTCCTCAGTGTCCTTACTCTTTGTTCAACTTCCCCACTCCATGCAAAAAAAGATGCATGCACACAATATGTTTGCATGTGCATATACAATGAAGTCAATAGGTAAATACTGCTTTTTCCATTTAAGGCAGTCTAGAACTTTGATGATGCTATGTGGTCTTCAGGCAAAAAAGAAAGAAAGTAAGGGATCTTCTGTCACTCACAGTGCAGGGTAAACCTCTACTAAGAAAAGAGACAGCTACGGAATCTTTCATATCTTCTCTAGTTCCAAGATGCTTCCACTAGCAGTTTCTGAAAAGCCACCATGAGAGGTTCAGAACTCACATGAAAAAGAACACTGATTTTTCTGGAGCCAGGCAGAACTGGGTTTAGATTTCAGCTTTCTCATTCATTAGCTCTGGGATTTTGGGCAAGTTCCTTTAACCTCTGTCCCTGAGCCTTCATAGGGCTGTAGGGAGAATGGATGAACCAATCTGCAAAAGGCATTAAGCTCAGGGCCGGGCACCCAGCGAACCCTGCTGTTAGCTCTATTCCTTTGGGATGAATAGTGCTGGAACTCTCAGGGATTCAGAGCTGCTGAGGGTGAAAATGGGAAGCCCCGAAAGCCAGTTTGCCAAGACCATAGCTTGTGAAGCCATTCTATAGCTACTGAAGAAATATTTCCTCTCTTCCCTTGTGGTCCTTCCACTCTCTCCTGCTCTTCTGTGTACTGACTCAACCAGAGTGTCTTTTCTCGGAGATACAACTCCCACCAAAGAGAAGAGAAAGAGTCTAATTTTGGATCTCAGTTAATTTGGGAAGTGGCCTTTCTCACACTTAAAATCATGTGTCCCAGATGCATTTCCTAGTGGAAGAAACAAATCTCGTCATCTTGTCAGTCTCTAGTGCACTTTTCAAGCTGACCCAACATGATGTTGAGAGGACAAGTGATCATGCCTATCTCCTACACAAGAAGCCTGAGACTGAATGGTTTGCCGGGAGACTCTGGGGTCCTTATTGTTAGTATTTCAAGGCCTGCTCACTCAGTCCATGTTCTAAAACTCTATATGCAATGACAATTTTCTGTATGCTCTCCATTTAATAATAAGTTTAAAGTTTTATTTTTAAATAAAATGAACCTCTATTTTTTAAAGCCTTTAAATTGATTCAAACCCTTCTAAAACAGAGTTAATTCCTAAACTTCACCCTCTGCCGCCTACATGCCTTAGAAATAGAGTTTTCCATGGAAAACTCTTTTCATGGAAGACATACACTCAGAACACCTCACTTTGTGTGGCTACATTCTCATGAACTTTCCTGCAAAACACAGTGGGGACTGGAGACAACCTCCCTGGGTCTTTTGGGGCCAGCCTCTCTTGAGATACTGCTCTTAACCAAACCCAAGAGGGAGGTTCCTGGAAGGAGAAAGAGTGACTTGGGCCGTCAGTAGGTGGCGCCCGTTCCCCAGCATTAGCCCTGACCCTAGCTCAGCAGTACCAGGACATGTTCTTCCAGGTATGGGGTTCTAGAATGCAGGCCTCTTAGAGCAGATATCTCGTATTACCTCTTGGGATGCTGTTGCCCTGAAACACCAAGTTGTTCACAAAACTCTGCTACTCTAAATTTTAGAAAGGAAGCAGGATATTACATATTGTATTTTTAAAAGAAAACACATATTTATCTGGGATGATCACAATGGAAATTTTAAATACATGCATATCTATGTATGTATGTATATGCTATTCCCCTTTATGAAGCATACATCACACCAACACACCTCTCCTAATGCCACTGTCAGTCTATCCTCAACAAAAAAGATTTCTCCACCTTTTTCTGGTTTTGGAAGAGAGGTTAGGATTCCTACAAGCTAAATTGTAAAGAATAATCATTAAACTCATCTAGCTACCTTTGCAAATCCAGTGACTGCTCACATAACCCCTTCACAGATTCTCCCATAAGGTCCCACAACTTGTTTTGCATTTAAAATACATATTCATTTTTTGTGGGTCCTTAACTGGACTGACTTTATTGCAAGTCAACAGATATTTTAGCAGCTCCTACTCCTTGCTAGGGACAGAGTAGTACAGCAGGTCCTTAAATATCATCATTTCATTCAACATCATTTTGTGATAACATTGATGAGAAAAACAAAATCAGTTCCTGGCCAGATTCACTGTGTGGAGTGTACATGTTCTCTACATGTCTATGTGGGTTTTCTCTGGGTACTCCGGTTTCCACCCATACCCCAAAGTGTGCATGCTAGGTGAATCAGCATGTCTAAATGGTCCCAGTGTGAGTAAGCGTAGGCATGTGTGTGAGTGTGCCCTGAGATGGGACGGCAGCCTGCCCAGAGTTGGTTCCTGCCTTGCCCCCTGAGCTGCTGGGATAAGCTTCGACCATCTGCAACCCTGAACTGGAATAAGCTGGTACATAATTATCTTAGTTATTTTTATTAATCTTTTAAAAATGTATGCATAGCTCAAATTTATTTCCGTGTTTAATATGAGAAGTGTTGGTGATCTTTATTTAGAAGAAGTTTTTGTGACCAGAAAAACCATCATAGGAACTTAACTCTTGTTTATATCCATTAGCCGTTGGTAAAATTGGTTTTTTAATATGTTTTGCTTAAAGTCACAGTGTCTAAGAACCTATTGACAATGTTAAGTGAAGACTTGCTGTCCCTTCAAGGAGATTAATCTAGTTGAAAGATGAGGATGCTTGAGCAGGGCACTTAGAGTAAAGAAAAGATGGTCTTTGATATCCTATTGGCTAAGAAAAAGAAAGAATGTATTCAGTGCCTTTCGACTGCAAGGTTAAGCTCAAAATATATTCTTGCATACTTTAAGTACCGGTCTTTACATCAGAAATGAGGTGGAGATCAAGTTCTCTTGTACTTAGCCTGTGACCCAAGCTGCCATCATCAATCCTTAGCACAGCCTTTCCTTACCCATGCACTGGCTTCTCAGTGAAATCTTCCAGAGAGTTTTTTACAGTACTGATGCCTACCCTAAAGATTCCGATTTAATCACTGTGGGATGCAGCCTCCACACACATTTCCCGAGACATTCTTCTTGCAGCCACACTTGAGAACCACTGCTTTAAAGGCATTTGTAATTGGTATGTCTTTAGGAAGCAGATGTCTTTTTAAAAATATCAGTCTAAAGAAGACACAAAATCCCTATGAAATAACAATGGCAAAAAATGCTAAAGTGAGTATAAAACATTTTAGATTACGTATTGCTTACGATTATTCATCCTTTTATATGATACCTATTTTCATTAGTCATAGATTCTAAATGTATCTTTTTTAAAAATCAGCAGGTTGATCACAAAGGTGGTCTACAGAAAAAATTAAGAGAAAGAAAATGAGCAGGCATTATTCAAGTTCCTACTATGTGAAACATTCATGAAGCTCAGAATTTATTTACTGTTCATTTTGTCTGGGACCTAAAGAATTCAAACCATTGAGAGTGAATGAAGTAGCACATGTAAAAGAGTACTCTGTAAACTTTAAGCTGCCAAGCAGATGGAAGTTATTATCAATAACCTTCTTCAGCCTTACTCAAGCCAAGGGAATTGTTCCTTGTATGATTGATGATAAATAATATTAAAAAAGCACATCTACATGGTAAAATCTCTGTGAAGATAGACTTAGAAAGAACATGTGTATAATGTCAGAAAAGCAACTAGAAAAATTATAGAAACTGAGGAATGTCAAAGTAAGTTATTTCAGCAGCTGGGAAAGGAGGAAGCATGCTTTAAAATGCATGCTTTGAACAAATGTATTGGTATTCTTGGGAGCCAGGGTCTTGCTGCGGGAGAAGTGGTGGGTGGAAGGCAGTTACAATGATGGAAAGTGGGGAGGTAAGGAAGAGTTATCTGGTGTTTGATGGGAATTCGAGGGGCCAGGATGAACCCACAAATTTAAAGAAATGTATATCTCCCAGTTCTGTTCACTGAAAGCACCTAGAATCAATGACATCTCAGTAGTCGTGAGCACACCTAGGGCCCAGAGTTTCGTTTCTGAATACATCCCTCACTAAAAGGAAGCACGGAGAAATGGCTGATTCCAGGACTAGGGCAGGGAAAGTACAAAGCGAGCCGTAAGCATCTTGTGACAGAACGTAAACCCTCAAAAATATAAGGGGCAGTGTCAAAATAACATAGGAGCCAGCTTGAAAGAGCTCCCTCTGGCCAATTATGGGCAATTTTAGCTTCAAAATAACAACAATAAGTTATAAAACATTGGCAGCAAAAAGAGTCCAGATGTTCACACAGAGATAAAAAAATATATAAATAAGTAAATAATGGGGAAGAGAAACCTCTTTTTTACAGTGAAATACTAACAAACATAGAAGAAATGTTTGTTTTAAAAATCACAAACTTGCAGCCTCTGCAGTAATAACAGATGAAGATGACAGTCTTCAAAAGATGCTAAAACTATTAGGTGAAAGTTTGTTGGTGAACAGGATATTTTCAGAGCCTCAAAATATCTCCCCACAGATTACTTGCTGATTGCAAAGGGGGGAAGTTCCTGTACAGTGGGTTCATCAAAGTGACATCATGTGCCTCCCGGAGTGAGCTGCTGAGGACACAACAGTATTTACATGGTATTCCTGCCAAAAATGCACAACCTGAATCTAATCATAAGGAAATGATCAAGCACTCAATTGGAGGGGCATTCTGTAAAACAGCTGGCCTGTACTCTTCAAAAATGTCAATGTCATGAAAGACATGAGGAACCATTCTAGGGTAAAGGAGACAAAATATACATGACAACAAAATGAAATGAGTGATCTCAGCTGGATTCTGAATGAGAAAAAAATCACAAAATTGAATATTAATTGTATATTAGGTAATGGTATTGCATTAATCCTGAATTTGATCATCATACTGTGGTTATGTTAGAAAATATCACTGTACTTAGGGGCAACATTCTAAAATTTTATGGCCATTATATCCATAGCTCCCTCTCAAATGATCCAGATGGGGGAGCAGGAAGAAACAGAACTCAAATGTGGCAAAATGTTAACAACTGGTGAATCTGGGTGAAGGTACATGGAAGCTCATTATTCTATTCTTGCAACTTTTCTGAGAACTTGACGTTTTTCTAAGAAATGATTTTAAACATTTTTAAATGTTTTAAAATTTATTGTGTAATGTGTTTTGGTAAAATCCAAATACTAACACTTTTTTTTTTCTAGAAACAGGTTCTTCCTCTGTCACCAAGGCTGGAATGCAGTGGCATGATCATAGCTCACTGTCACCTCAAACTCCTGGGCTCAAGTGATCCTCCTGCCTCACCCTCCCAGGTAGCTAGGACTATAGGTGTTTGCCACCACGCCTGGCTAATTTTATTTTGGGAGGTAGAGACAGGGTCTCACTATGTTGCCCAGGATGGTTTTGAACTCTGCCCTCAAGCTATCCTCCCACCTCAGTCTCCTACTAGTACCTCTTAAAATGTTATCACAAAATTTCTACCCCAATAACGTTATTGAAATATACTTGATCAGTAATATGAGTAAACTAATATTAATGAATGATTTAGAACCAGAATTCTAATCTGTCTACGCATGGCTCACAGATTTGTTTTGTTCGGCCTATAGAATTGGTCCTTACAGTAGGTTAGTAGAGGGGGTTGTGTGTGTGTGTGTGTGTGTGTGTGTGTGTGTGTGTGTGTGCGCGCGCACAAGAGTCAAATTAGTTGCTAAGTAAGAAACATAAAAATCATGATTTTCAGCTTCTTTTGAAAAATCAAAAGCTGGCAACATTTGACTTCCCAATGGGCGTATCTGAGTCACAGCCACCCCACTTTTGACATGTCATGTTTTTTATAGGTCAACAAATTCCCTTCCATTCTGAATGTCTCTGAATGTCTCCCTGACCCTGCATGCTTCATTCACTCCAGTTGCCTGACTAGCCCCTAAAAGAATTTGAGTTTGTGAGCTGACTTTTGGATAATAAAGAATAAACAGGAAAGTAAGACCATCACCTCTGGAAGGGAGTTGAGAAGGAGGTGGGACTGAAAAGGCATCTTCAGTTCACCATGCCTCAAACTGAACTCTTACTTTCCCCTTCCTGACCCATCCCCACTTTATTGCCAAGCCAGAAACTTAGGGATTTATCCTTCACACCTTTCTCTCTGTCAATACATCTATCAAATCTATTTCTAAATTCTGTAGATTTTACTTCTTAAATATTCTCAAATCTGTCTGTTTCTCTCTATTTCCAACACAAAACCCATCATCATCACCAGCACTACCAATACCACCATTACCACCTACACCATCACCATCATTACTGTTGCCACCATCACTACCTCCATCATCACCACCGCCATCACCACATCACCACTACTACTATCTCTACTATCACTGCCAGCACCCCGGGAACCATCACCATCATTATCACTGCTATTGGTTTCAGCACCATCACCACACTATTCCAAGCACCCAACATTGTATTATGTCTTAAGAAGGCTTCCTAAGCGGTCCATCCATATTCATTCTGGTCTCTCTTCAATCTGATCATTACACTGAAGGCAGGTAAGTTTTTTCAAAATGCAAGTTTTGAAAGTCTGTCTCCTGCTTGAGCATTTTTCAATGGCTCCCACAGCTCTCGAGATACAAAGAACGTTGCTTGAGAAGGCTGTAAGTCTCTGCTTGGTCTAGACCCCAGCCATTTCTGCAGCCTTATTTCATACCTTTCCCTCCTCTGCTCTTCTATTCCAGTCATCCTGCTAATTTTTAAGTCCCCAATACTCAGCATGGTCTCCGCTTTTTTTAAAATCTCAAGGCCGGGCGCGGTGGCTCACGCCTGTAATCCCAGCACTTTGGGAGGCCGAGGCGGGCGGATCACAAGGTCAGGAGATCGAGACCATCCTGGCTAACACGGTGAAACCCCGTCTCTACTAAAAATACAAAAAAAATTAGCCGGGAGTGGTGGCGGGCGCCTGTAGTCCCAGCTACTCGGGAGGCTGAGGCAGGAGAATGGCGTGAACCCAGGAGGCGGAGCTTGCAGGGAGCCGAGATGGCGCCACTGCACTCCAGCCTGGGCCACAGAGCTAGACTCCGTCTCAAAAAAAAAAAAAAAAAAAAAAAAAAAAAAAAAAAAAAAAAATCAGGTGCCTAGAACTGGATTAATCATAATCCTTGGTATATGTTATGCTATTAAATTACCCAGTGCATGGTCTTCTCTATTTACGTAATTAAAATAAGAAAATGAACATTTCAGAACTCCCCACCCACCCACCCCAGTATCGAGAGCATTACCAATAACTTACATGTCTCTTTGTGAACCTCCCATTTCTTCTCTGCTATCCCTCCTCCAAAGGTAACTACCATCTCTGCATTTTGTGTTTATTTTTATTGGCAGTTTTGTTTTGTTTTAGACAGAGTCTCACTGTCCAGGCTGGAGTGCAGTGGCATGATCTCATCTTACCACAGCCTCCACCTCCCGGATTCAAGTGATTCTCATGCCTCACCCTCCCGAGTAGCTGGGATTATAGGTGTACACTACCACACCCGATAATTGTTTTCATTTTTATTATTATGCTTTAATTTCTGGGGTACACGTGCATAACCTGCAGGTTTGTTACATATGTATACAAGTGCAGTGTTGGTGAGCTGCACCCATTAACTAGTCATTCACATTAGGTATTTCTCCTAATGCTATCCCTCCCCCATCCCCCGAGCCCACGACAGGCCCTGGTGTGTGATGTTCCCCGCCCTGTGTCCAAGTGTTCTCATTGTTCAGTTCCCACCTATGAGTGAGAACATGCGGTGTTTGGTTTTCCATCCTTGTGATAGTTTGCTCAGAATGATGGTTTCCAGCTTCATCCATGTCCCTACAAAGGACATGAACTCATCCTTTTTTATAGCTGCATAGTATTCCATGGTGTATATGTGCCACATTTTCTTAATCCAGTCTATCACTGATGGACATTTGGGTTGGTTCGAAGTCTGTGCTGTTGTGAATAGTGCCACAATAAACATATGTGTGCATGTGTCTTTATAGGAACATGATTTATAATCCTTTGGGTATATACTCAAAGGATTGGGTATATTACTCAAAGTAATGGGATTGCTGGGTCAAATGGTATTTCTAGTTCTAGATCCTTGAGGAATCGCCACACTGTCTTCCACAATGGTTCAACTAGTTTACACTCCCACCAATAGTGTAAAAGTCTTCCTATTTCTCCACTTTTGTTGTTGCCTCTCCAGAATCTGTTGTTGCCTGACTTTTTAATGATTGCCATTCTAACAGGTGTGAGATGGTGTCTCACTGTGTTTTTGATTTGCATTTCTCTGATGACCAGTGATGATGAGCATTTTTTCATGTGTCTGTTGGCTGCATAAAAGTCTTCTTTTGAAAAGTGTCTGCTCTTATACTTTGCCCACTTTTTGATGGGGTTGTTTGATTTTTTCTTGTAAATTTGTTTAAGTTCTTTGTAGATTTTGAATATTAGCCCTGTGTCAGATGGGTAGATTGCAAAAATTTTCTCCCATTCTGTAGGTTGCCTGTTCACTCTGATGGTAGTTTCTTTTGCTGTGCAGAAGCTCTTTAGTTTAATGAGATCCCATTTGTCCATTTTGGCTTTTGTTGCCATTGCTTTTGGTGTTTTAGTCATGAAGTCCTTGCCCATGCCTATGTCCTGAATGGTATTGCCTAGGTTTTCTTCTCTAAAGTCTTTATGATTTTAGGTCTAACATTTAAGTCTTTAACGGATCTTGAATTAATTTTTGTATAAGGTGTAAGGAAGGGATCCAGTTTCAGCCTTCTACATATGGCTAGCCAGTTTTCCCAGCACCATTTATTAAATAGGGAATCCTTTCCCCATTGCTTGTTTTTCTCAGGTTTGTCAAAGATCAGATAGTTGTAGATGTGTGATATCAAACTATACTACAAACTATACTCCTGACCTCAGGTGATTTGCCTGCCTTGGCCTCCCAAAGTGCTGTTTTATCACATATATTTATATATGTAAACAACATATTGTTCCCTTTTCCTTGCTTTTAAATTTCATAAGAAGAGTGTTATGCTGTGTATAGTCTCTAGAACTTGCTTTTTTCCACCCAATGTTATGTTGTCTGTATTCGTCCATGTAGCTGTGTGTAGCAGGGATTCATTCATTTATATTACTGTGTAATATTCCATTATGTGAATGCCTTCCTGCCTGCAATGCTTTCTGTCTTCTTCACCTATTTAACTCCTACTTACCTCTCAGATCTCAGCTCAGGCATCATTTCCTCAGGAGATATTTTCTGACCTTCATAACTAGGTCAGACCCCCTTATTTATTATAGACCTTCAAAGCATCATGTATGTCTCCTCTGTGGTCATTACCACCATAGCAGCCTCACATCTGCATGATTGGGATCTGTCTTCTCCACTTGACTGGAAGCTCCTTAAAGGCAGAACCATGTCTATGTTTGATTGCTATTAAATCCTCAGCCTAAAGCACATCATAGGGGCGCAGCAGAAGTTGCTGTTTGAATGAATCATGAAAAGAAGCATTTATCTCTACTATTCAGTACATCTAACTAAACATATTAAGAAATAAGTAACTGAAACCACTTTCTCTGCATGACTTTGTTATATTTTTAGCACCATCGTCATTCTTTCATTTACTCAGTTTCAAAAATTTTGATATTAGGTCTGTTTCTGGTCTTTTTGGGACCCTTCACATCTGTTCATTTACTCACCTTCGTTAACTCTTCTTTGAAAATGGTGCTTGTCTCAATATGCCATCTCAACCCTATGTAACTCCTGCACACATAACTCATATTTAGAAAAGCTGCACTCTGTGTTCCCTAAACTGTGCATAATAATTTCCCATCACTTTATCTTTATTTATGCTGTGCCCTCTTCTGAAAATGGGCTACATAAAACTTGGTGTTTTTATTTTAAAGATCACTTCATAGTGAGGCTGAGAGCTTAGGATGCTGACTTTTCCTATAGGCAGAGGATGTGGAGTTGTGACCCTTGCCACTTATTTTCAATGTCATCTTAGATAAGTTACTTAACTTCTTTCAACCTCAGTATTTTCATCAGTAAAATGGTATTAATAATAACATCTGCCCTAGACACCTCACGGGATTGTTTTGAGAACCATATGAGATAAAACAGGTGAAAAGTTCTTTGTCAACTATAAGAGACAATACACATTAGTTACATTATGGTAGTTATTATTATGATTCGTATTCTTCCTTGATGATTTCAAACTCTTTCTCTTCCTTTTGCACATAAGTTTGGCAGCAGATTTAGATTCTGAAATATCTTCTCAAAAAGAGACTGAGGTCAATCTGAACACATAGTCCAGGATTCAAATAAATCACTAAGAAAAATGCAAGGAAGCGGGAAGCCTGCCAATGACTCAGCAAGCACCATTTTCTGTAAATCACTTGATTTGCTTTGTACCATTTTCTGTAAGTCATTTCATTTGTTTTGGCTCTGAGTGACTTGTTTCAAGTTTCCAAAAATAAAATAAAATAATCACTTCAATCATCAATTTCTCTTACCTTGCTTTAAAACCTAAAAGTTATACCCCTACAACCTTAGGTAGTATCTTTACGTGCTAAATAGCAGTTAACATTTACTGAGAACTTACTGTGTGCTAGGTAATATGTCAAATAGTTCCATTTAATCCTCAACAACGGCCTGGTGCTGTAGGTACTATTTTTGTCCACAGTTAATTGCTGAGACCACAGAATCACTCAGAAATTAAATAATTTGTCCAGGCCACACAGCTGGTAAGTCCTCAAACTGGGACCTGAACCCAACTGGTATGTCTATAAAGCCCATAGCTACACCACCCTCTCTATACTTGAATGCATAAATGTGAGTTTTCCAAGCTGCAAATACAATCACATTTTTTCTCCTGTATGTTTTACATTTGAGGCTAGCACAGGACCTATTCTGGGGCTGTTTATGTCTTCTTGATGAGTGACAAGTTCCCCTTGAAACCACTTAAAAAGGGTAGAGTACCCCTTAATGTGGTGACTAGAACCCTGAAAATGTGCTAGGGCATAATGTTTGGACAAACATGAAAGAAAGAAAGGTTTAAGGAACAACATACAGTTCATCTTTAAATCAGCATTTGTGACAGACTTTCAGAGCCCACTGAAATTTTTCACTAAGCCCACTTCCCTCAAAACCATCCCTACTTCACCTTCCAGTTGCTCTCGATTCTCCTATGATTCTTTCCTTTCCTGCAAAATATCCACATTTCTACTAATAACCTCCAGGATGCCTTTTCTACTTTCTTTTAACCTTCATTAGCACTGGAACCAGACAAGATACACTTAGGATTCACTTCCACCTAGAGTTTGAGCCAAAATCAACTCTCTTTTTTTTGAGATAAATATGTTTGTTTTTATTTTTTTCATCTATCAAAGTAATCTTGTTCATGATGTGAAGCTTGAGAAATAAAGGATAAAAAGATACATGAAATCAACCTAGATGCCCATCAATGATAGACTGGATAAAGAAAATGTGGTACATATACACCATGTAATATTATGCAGCCATGAAAAGGAATGAGATCATGTCCTTTGCTGGGACATGGATCGAGCTGGAAGCCATTATCCTCAGCAAACTAACACAAGAACAGAGAAACAAACACCACCTGTTCTCACTTATAAGTGGGAGCTGAATGATGATGAGAACACAAGTACACACTGTGGGGAACAACACACACTGGGGCCTGTCGGGGGTGGCAGGGAGGTAGAGCCTCAGGAAGAACAGCTAATGGACGCTGGGCTTACTTCCTAGGTGATGGGTTGATCTGTGCATCGAACCACCGTGGCACACATTTACCTATGTAACAAACCTGCACATCCTGCACGTGTACCCGGGAACTTAAAATAAAAGTTGAAGAAAAAATAGTCTGTTGAAGAAAAATATATACACCAATGTTCACAGCAGCATCATTCACAACAGTGAAAAAGGTAGAAACAATCTAAATGTCCATCAGTGGATAAATGGATAAACAAAATGTGGTATATACATACAATGGAATATTATTCAGCCTTCAAAAGCAAGGAAATGCGGACACATGCTACAACATGGACACATCTCGAAAACATTATGCTAAGTGAAATAGTCACAAAAAAATACTGTGAGATTCCACTTACATGAAGTATTTACAGTAGTAAAATTCATAGAGACAGAAAGTGGAGTAGTGTTTACCAGGGGGAGGGAGGAATGGGGGTTATTTTTTATAGGTACAGAGTTCCAGTTTAGGATGATGAAAAATGCTGGAGAGCGGATGGTGGTAATGACGGCACAACAACGTGAATGTTCTTAACGTCATGAAACTACACACCAAAAAGTAGTTTGAATAGTAAATTTTATGTTTTATATATTTTATCACAATAAAAATGGAACCTACAGCAACAGCAAGGACAAAAAAAATGAGAGAGAATTGGAAACATAGGCTGGAAGTGCCTGCGAAGGAGAAAGGTAGGTTTGGGGCTGGGTTTGGAAGAACAAGTACATAAGGACTGGCATAAGCGTGGAGCATCTTGGCTGTGGGTGCATGTCCTCTCATGCCAGCAAGGTTTTTCCTTCTCACCACCAAAGGATAAAGTTATTCCTTTAACAACAACACATACTTATTGAGTTGCCTGTGCTGACACTAGGGGTACAGCATAGAGCAAGATACACAGCTTAGAGTCAGGTGGGGTAGACAGACATGAAACAAGTAATCTCATAAATGGAGGTTACAATGTGATCTGTGTTAAGGAGGTCAGATGAAAAAGTGGGACAGGAGCTGAGAGAAAGATTGATTGAGAGTTAATGATGCAGTTGGTGTAGAGGTGAGAAGGGAGAGTGTCCAGTGTCCCAGGCAGAGTGAACAGCAGGTTTCAAGGACCTGAACAAAAAGGCCAGAGCAGTGAGACTGAGAGAGCAGAGGGAGGTGGGCATGGCCAGAGGACAGATGTCAGGGTGTAGGGCCATGTTGTATTCAGAGCAAAGAGGAGTCATTAGAGTAGGGGAAGAGGGAGGAGAGGAGGATGTGATATTGTGATCCAGTTTGAGCTTTGGAAAGAGGTGTCAAGAGAAATGTGGGAGATCAGTTAGGAGGGTCCTGCAGTAGTCCAGGTGAAGGAGGGTGGAGGGTGCACTAGGGAAGTCCTGGAGCAGAGGAGACCAGACAGATTCAAGTGGGATTTAGGGAGTAAAAGGTGAGGATGAATTGAAATGAATTGGGTAGGAAGCATGAGAGAGGAGGAGGAGTCACCAACAATTCTGAGCTCTCTGCTTTGTGAAGCTGGCCGGAAAGGACCTTCAGACCCACTGAATAAAGGCCAGTCAGTGCCACCACATCACACAACTCCAGGGGGCGCCATCCACTTTGCAGTTAATGGGGCTTGAGCCCCTGGAATTTTGCACAAGCAACAGCCTGTGTGGCATGAGCAGTAGCACAGTAGGCAAGAAGTGTCTCCCTGGACCTGGGCCTAACTTCCTCCTAAATGTCACTCCTCGAGGTGCATCTGAAGGTTGCGATCAGTGACCGGTGTAGCAGAAGCCCAGTGGAATCAAGTTTCTCAGTTGAGCTGTCCAAGTTAATTCTGCTGAAATTGCATCAAGAGCCTGGGCCTTCAGAAGGCTCTCGGGAAAAAGGAAAGTAGGAAGGCAAAAGCCTCCACATGCACGTGACTCATGTCGAATGCATGTTCCTGTGTTGTTCACTCTCCCACTCCTCACTGTTATTAGGGCTGGCAGAGCCCAGCACATATGGTCTTCTGGTCACGTGGCCCACTGATGGAAAAGCCCTGGATGCTGCTACCCCGGGGATCCAGTGCCAGTAAGTCATGTCCTGTTAGAATCTGCCCCAAGACCCGAGACTGACTAACCCTTTGCAGCTTCAGAGGGCAGGAACAAGAGAACCATCTCCATGCCTCCTTTAGGGATTTCAAGGTAGCTTGGATCATGCTGTGGCCCCTGAAGAAGAGCTTGGTCACAGCTCCCCCTGAAGTTCCAGTTGAACAAAACCAGAACCCACTCAACCCACTAACCAGCAGCAGATAGAGGTGTTCATGGCTCAGAGAGTCAGGAAAACAGGGAGCACTAAGTGGAATCCATGGATGCTCAACACCCCATTCTGCTCCCACCTTTTCACCAGTGTGTACAGGTAAAATGTGGCTCTGCCCTAAACCATAATCCCCTGACAGATCAGCCCCTCCATAAAGGGGAAATCTAGAGGGGCCAAGCCCAGAATCCCAAGAAAGATAAAGCTCCTGACTTCTGAACCAAATCATGATTATGTATGTTAAGAAGCAAGGAAGTCGTCCTGAAGCCAGAGAGCCTGGGCTGGAATCTTGCTCTGCCTCTCTATAGCTTGTGACCTTGGGTGAATTTCTTAGGCTTTCTGTGCCTCAGTTTTTCCCTGCGTAAAACAGGTATGGACATAATCTCTCTGCCATACCAGGTGTTGCGAGGACTGAAAGCATTATGGCACATGCAGCATTTAGATCAGTGCCCGGCACGTGACAAGCATCCAATAAATGTTCACTGTTATTACTATTAGAAGAGGAGTGTGACTCAGCTCCCAGGCCTAAGATGGCAGGCTGACAGAGTGCAGTTCCCTAATAGTTTCTCATAAGCTCCAGCAACCACAGCTCTTGAGGTGAGTGTAGGTGCACCAACAGCATTTGTTACAAAAGGCTTAGGATGATGAGTAAGAGTCTCTCAAATCTTGCCTGCTTGCCAGGCTATCGTTTTAACACTTAGAGAAATAGCCTAGACCTTTTTCAATCCACCAATATACTGCCGACTTGGGCAGCTGTGTGAGATCGAAGAATTTTCTACCTCTGTGGCCCTTCATTTCCTTGAACCAAAAGCTCTCTGAAGCCCATTCCCACGATAATGTTCTGAGTCCACGACCCCCAGGCCTGCATGTTGACCAGCTAGGGGAAACCTCGCATGTGTGTGTGCAGTGCCATTTTTTCCCATTCATATCCTCACACTTTTCTCTGTTAGCTTGTTTCCGATAATTAATGTTTTCATTTTGACGTCAGAGTAATTCTCCAAATTTACAAATATTGACAACTGAAAAAAAAGATACCTCCAAATGATAAAATGCCCCCCAGTGGTATTTCAAATGCCTTTCATTTGTCCTGGAACTAGGTGGTATCTGGGGGCCTATAATAAGACCACCATAACCCCACCTACCTCACCCTCACCAGAGAAGTCAATAGGCTAGAAAGCATTTAATAAGAATGTGCTACACACTGTGCCAAGTACAGCACAACCCCACCCTCTATCTCTACAGGGTTCTATAGCAAAGGATCACAGCATTCCAGGATGAGAGAGAAATTTAAAATTCATCTAGTCTGCCCACCCACCTGATATGCGAACCTCCTCCAGCATATCCGTGCCAGTAGCATCTACCCAGTGTTTAAATACCTCTAGCAATGGGGAACTCACAATCTTTACAACGTATTAATACTGTCATTTCTTCAAGTGATGAGGCCTACTTCTGGTGCTGGTAATGCAATGATGAATTCGACTGAAACAGTTCCTGCCCTTGGAAAGCATCTAGTCTAGATGGGGACACAGATGAATAAATGAATGCAGCATGATATTATATTTATTTTAGTGTATCAATTAATTTCAATTAATCTTTGTGTTTTTCTTCTCTATATTTCCTTGAACAGAGCCCTTGCCAAGTCAGCTGGAGGTTTTCACATACCCTTAATGAAAATTAACACTTTCCATCAGGAATGCAAATACACAGAAATGACCAAAACTTACTTTTAGGAAATTCAGTGTAGACTCCCAAAACCCACATCAGAAATAATGGTTTTGAAAGCCAAATCATTTCTGATTTGTGATGTCTGGATTTTGCCAGTAGAAGGAAAGGAAAGAAGCAGGGCTCCCAAGACAGCAAGGTGTAGACAAATTGTTCCCATACTTTGGTGCACATTCAAATCACCTGGAAGGCCTGTTAAAACACAGATTGCTGGTACCCATCCAGAGTCTCTGATTCAATAGGTCTGGCACAGGCCCTGCGAGTTGGCACTGCTAAAACCTTTCCAGGTATTGCTGATGCTATTGGTCCAAGGATCACACTTTGAAAACCACTGGTGTAGTGTTTAGGCTTTGATAGTTAATTAAAAAGCGAAAGACCCAGTCAGTCAAAGATCCCAGAGAAATTAAACAACCTCCACTTAGGTGGAGGGAGATGAAGGGAGGTGGAGATGAAGGTTGAGATGGAGATGAAGAGAGGTGGAGGTGAAGGTTGGATGGAGATGAGGAGAGGTGGAGGTGAAGGTTGGATGGAGATGAGGAGAGGTGGAGGTGAAGGTTGAGATGGAGATGAAGAGAGGTGGAGATGAAGGTTGAGATGGAGATGAAGAGAGGTAGAGATTAAGTCGGAGGCAATACCTGGGAGGGAGTGGGAGCCCACTGAGAAGAGGGACTGGACTCAGGAGATAACTTAGAAAAAATGCAATCGATGCTGAGAGACTTTTCAGAATCATCCACCACCAGCACCAGGCGAGCCAGGAGTGGGTTAAGCTGATTCCTGCAGATCACCTTTGCCATTAGAGCAAGCACTGTTTGTCACTGTGCTGAAGGATCACATTAGCTGTGCTTCACTTTGCTGTGTGGTTAGGACCCTTTACTGGCAGCTACATGCATGTCACCATAAGACTGTCCGGGAGCAAACAGGCCCATCTTGCCCTGAGCCATCTGTATTTGTTTCCTAAGGCTGCATAACAAATTAGCATAAACTGCATGATTTAAAACAACAGAAATGTATTCTGTTACAGTTCTAGAAGCTGTAAGTCTCAAGTTGTCAGCAGGCCCACACTCCCCCTGAAAGCTCTAGAGATGAATCCTTTGTTCTTCCAGCTTCTAAAGGTCACAGGCACTCCTTGGCTTGTGGCAGCATAATTCTCATCTCTGCTTCCATCTTCACAGGGCCTTCTTTTGTGCGTGTGTGTCTCTGAGTCCTCTCCTTGTCTCGTGACATCAATCATTGGTTTTAGGGCACACTTTTATCCACTACAACCTCATCTTAACTAATTCCATCTAGACCCTATTCCAAATAAGGTCACATCCAAGGTTCTGGGTACACATGAATTTCGGGGGGACACTATTCAACCCACTGTACCACCCAAGCTACCATCACTCAACTTCCCTTTCTCTCCCATTTCAACAGCTCATGACACTGATTGGTCCGTTGAAGCAGAAGTTGCAGTTCTTGACAACCAGATAAATAATGAAGCTGCAGGGAAATCTATGGAGCCTGTACTTGAGCGACAGCGGTCAGTGGTAAATTCACCCAATTACACAATGATGATAGAGTATGATGGGTTATGACGAAGAAATATGATGAAGGCAGGCACTGGTCACAGACTTGAGTGTGAGCCAAAGTTTCCCAAAGTTCAGAATGTCTAAGGTGAGACCTGAAGGATGAGCAGGAAATAACCAGATGAACATCTGGGTGGGAAGAGAGACATTGGGAGTGGTTCAGACAGAGAGAACACATGAACAAAGGCCCAGAAACAAGAGAAAATATGATTTATTACAGGAACAAAAAGAAATTCAAAATGCCCAGGTTGTCAACTGGTACAAGGGGTGGAATGGAAAGATACCAGGGAGACTAAAGCATGAGCCCTTCCTAGCTCTTCTTCAACTTGGGAGTCCTTATGTACTTAAAGACAGAAACCTGTTATCCCTAAATCTTCTCTCTTTTAGGTTAAAAATGCTTAATTCCTCCAAGGATTTCTCATATCCTTTGGATTCCCATCCCATCACTAACTATTCTGGTTGAAGTTCTGCAAATCCATTCCAGCTTATCTAAATTTCTTGAAGTGGAAATCCCAAAATAGAAGAAAATACCCCAATCCAACACTATAGGATCAACACACTGACCCTAATAGTCAACATTCACTGATAGCGCCTTTCCTTCCCAGGTCCAGGTGTAGAATTGGGCTAGGTTTTGGAGGCAGGGACTGTTAACTGGCCCTCATTACCCACTATCACCTTCTTCCTCTCAGTGACAGAAGCACCCAAGCTTTAGCTGAGCACACGGCTGCTCAACTGGAGACTAACATCCCTGCCTTCCTTATAGCTGAGTATGGCCACGTGACTAAGTTCCAGTACACAGAATCTTTTTCACAAAACCACTTACTTTTGTCTTCCTCTCTCCCGTCTTGCTGGCTGAAACAGTGACAGCTGTAGTAGCCTTGCACCCAGATGGAAGCTCCACATTGAAGACAGCAGAGCAGACCAGCCCACCTGGGGCTCTGGATGCCTTCTTAGGGCAGACAACAGTATACTCACTCTAAACTACCAACCTACCTCTGGACTATTAGATGACATAGAAAGTTCTCTAATCTTTGAGCTATTGTAGCTAATAGGCGGGAGTCAGCCTCATGTGCTCTCTATTGATACAGATTAAATTTGATACAAATGTACATAGGTGTTCCTCTACACATCTATTCAGTAAATATGTCAAAACGTCTACTGGGTACTAGATACTACATATTCTGAACCTTATACATGATAGTATCAATATTTCTGGGATGGGTGGTATTATTGTTCTTTGTTTACAGTCTTTATTATTGTGACTAACAGGACTGACATTAATCTTGATTCAATGTTAACGTTTTCAGCTCCCTAATTTTTATAGCATTGAGTGCTTACTCTGACAGCTGCTTTATCTAAGTCATCTCCTTCAATCTTCAGAACAACCTTATGAGACAGGTATTATCACTCCAGTTTCACAAATTAAGAAGCTAAACCTTAGCCAGGTGCTGCACTCTTATAGTCCTAGCTACTCAGAAGGCTGAAGCAGGAGGATTGCTTGAGACCAGGAGTTTGAGTCCAGCCTGGGCAACACAGTGAGACAAGAATGAAAAGGGAAGGGAAGGAAAAGTGGAGGGGAAGGAAAGGAAAGAAAAATGGGAAGGGGAAGGGGAATGGTAGGGGCAGGGGAAGGGAAAAAGGAAGAGGAAAGCAAGGGGAAGGGAAGGAAAGGAAAGAAAAAAGGGAAGGAAGGAAGGAAAAAGGGAAGAAAGGAAGGGAGAGAGGGAAAGAAAGAAAGAAACTAAGTCTTTTTTAAAAATTGACTTTAATTTGCTTAAGAACAAGCAAATAATCTAATCTTAAAACAGAAGGAGAGATTTCTAGTCTTCTGAGTGGTTAAGAGTGACAGAACAAGATCTTGCTCAATGACCTTTCAACATTGCTCTGGGCTAGTTTCCCAAATTTGATACATGAAACAATAGTTCAGAAAAGTGACCTATTCAATTTGTTTTAACCCAATGTTTCCCTAACATACTTGGCTATGAGACCCTTTTGTCAAATAATGCTATTAGCTTCCAATGGGATTTTTGTGAAGGGTGGCTCTAGACGTAATTGTGAAGCAATGTGATGCCCCCCCCCACCCCCCGCAACTTCATCTGTTTTGATTCCCCTCACTTCCAGCTGTTACACCTGATTGGAAATATCCTCCCAAGAGAAATTATATTATCATAAAGCTCCAAACAACACTTTACAAAAAGGTGCGATTTCAGGCAACGCCAGGGAAAACCACTTTGCATTGGGAATTTCTTGGATTCCTTAAATCCTACCTGGAATGGTGCCACCTTGTCTGCTCTGATGACCTCTGCAGGAGAGGAAAGGACTAGGGTTCCTGTTAGGAGCTTAAGTGCTTAGAAACAAAAGTGACCTCTTCATGAGGCAGACAATACTCTAGTCTCATAATTCAGAGGGCTTGAATTTGAGTATCAAGACAAACAGTTACAGCAAGTTCTGACTGAGCAGTGAGATCTCATAAAAATTCACCCAAATTTAGGTAATAGGAATTGATTCTACTACAGGTAAAGAAACTGAGTAAAGGGGACAGTGAAAGACCATCTGATAGTGTAAATTCCAGGCAGGTTCTAAATCTGTTTCCCAAGGAGCTTTCTGGATATAACATTCAGTCCTTCTACAAATTACAGAGAGATCACAGAACCTCTCAAAACAAGCAACAATTAAAACGTGGCAGCTACAGAGTATGTGGGTAGACAGAAAAGGTTGGCTGTCAAGGAGCTGGTGGCTGGAGAGGCAAGGAAGCTGGTCAGTGCCCTCTGTCCCCTCCACCCTTCCTGAAACAATTGTAGTGCAAATGCATGTTCATTAATCAGCAAGTCCAAGCTAGGGCAGACTTTTCTGGCTCTGTTTGCAGTGCCAGGGCTCTTGCTCCAGCGTTGTCATGGGGAAGTTATTGTTGTCCTCCTGGCAACAGGTTACCTAGGTGAACGCCAAACAGCCCAACCTGGCCTAGTGAGCACTGGGCCTGTTCAGCCACTGTCCCCATGCTGCTTTGCCTGTCTTCTCCTTATACTCCCTCAATCCACACTACTGCCCTTATGAGTCACAGCATTCATTCTCACACACAAAGGTGCTACAGAAGGCCACTTACAGCGAACCTGGGGCTTGTCCAAGGCCATTTTGTACTCTGACCTTTAAAAGCATGCCCAGCCATGGGCAGTCATGCCTGCTCTCTTCAACCCACAACTACAATAAGAGCAGCTCTCAGAAGAGAAATCATTTCCACCTTTTTTTTTTTTTTTTTTTTTTGAAACGGAGTCTTGCTCTGTCACCCAGGCTGGAGTGCAGTGGTGTGATCTCGGCTCACCGCAAGCTCCACCTCCCGGGTTCATGCCATTCTCCTGCCTCAGCCTCCCGAGTAGCTGGGACTACAGGCGCCCGCCACTATACCTGGCTAATTTTTTGTGTTTTTAGTGGAGACGAGGTTTCACCATGTTAGCCAGGATGGTCTTGATCTCCTGACCTCGTGATCCACCCGCCTTGGCATCCCAAAGTGCTGGGATTACAGGCATGAGCCACCGTACCTGGCCCCATTTCCACTCATTTTTACTGAGCATCTTAGTGCCATAATTGAAACAAATTAGAAGCATAAGAAATAACTCCAGTGACGATCAAAGTCTATACCACAAAGTGAAATGAAGCCCTAAGCCAATTAACCTGTGAAATTGATCAATTAATTGTAGACAGCTAAACCAAATGGTTCAGTTAAAGTAAATCCTCAGTTGCTCGTAAACTTGCCAGATATAGCAAATAAAAAGATCTGGTAATGCTACTCCATAAAGGGCTTCTGCTCTAATCATCTGAATTATCACTTCTGCTCCACGTGCTTTCCTGTGCAAAGCCTTCAAGTGTGAAAAACAGGCAGAATTCAGTGGTTCTGGTGTCTATCTCCCTCACCAGCCCTGGGGATGGCGTTAACCTAGCTTACACCTGGCATCTCACCTGTAGTACCCTAAGTAGCCCGGGGTTAAACAAGGGCACTTTCAACACGGCTTAGGGTTTTAGTTTAAACCTGAAACATCAGGATCTATTTAGACCTCTCTTAGAGGCATCCATCCCTTTCAAGAAGCCTCAGAACACACTTGGCATCCCCTGGGTCCCTTGCCCTACTCTGAATTGCCCCAGGGTCCTTCCCCCATTGAACCAGATTTAACAGGATAAGGTGATTCTTCCCTCATTCCAGCCTTGGTGTTTGTATCCAGTTCCAAGAAATTCAGTTAGTTAATACAGAGCTATGACAACCTAAGGTAAAAATTTGCGGACTTCGGTAAATTTACTTGGTGACAGGTGATGAAGAAGAAAGGGCAGGGAGCAAGCAGTTAGAAAACCTGAGTTTGGAGATGATGTGCTGTGAGATCTTGAGTAAGTCATTACACCTCTGTGGGCCTCCATTTCCCAATCTGTTTGTTACCCATAAGCCACATGGCATGATATTAAAGTAGGGTCACAATAGCAGTAGAAAGCAATAGTTCTCTGGCTCTAGCCCACTGCCAACTCTTCTCCCTGACCTAATCTTGGGAGTCTCCAAAAAGCATCTCATGTGGATTCAAAATCAGTCCTCTCCATGGCCACATGTGATATATGGGTTTCCTCTTCTTTAGCTCTGAATACTTTCAGAGATCTCTATGGCTAAGCTATCTATCCACTAAGCCCCTGGTGCTGCTGTAACTAGCATTAAAGTTGCTCCACAGGGCCAAAGCCACCAGGCCAGGCCAGGTCACCAATACTCTGGGTGGCAGTTCTGGGTCAGGGACCTGGATCCCTTAGGATCATTGCTACAGTTTCTGGTGCCAGACCCTGAGGGCACTGATACATGTGTCGGGGTGTTGATATCACCCTTTCTCTTGGCATCCTCACATGAGCCCTGAAACTGAATATATAGTTTCCGTTTTATGGAAAAGGAAAGTAAGACTCAGGAAGATAAAACAACAAAACCAAGACTGCAAAACCAGTAAGCGACAGAACTAGGGTTTAGACCCAGATCCACCTAACTCCAAACCTTGCCATTCCTCAAAACTATCACTTATGGGAAACGTGCGATGTTCACTGCTCCAGAGCTCATGTCCCAAGTCCTATACAATTTGTATATTCCTTTAGTTGGCAAGTTTTTATGATAGTAGAGAGATGTTCATACTAATTACACTACAGATCTGCTAAAAAGATCTATGAAAAGAGGTCTACAAAGTTATCTGTCAATTCTACATGAATACTCATATATTCTGATAAGGAAGACACTAACTCACTAAATTCCAAGAGAAAAATAGATCAAGTAAATGGACAATTTCCAGAGGACAGAATATAAATGACTAATAAATATTTAAAAATCTAATATTACTAGTAAATGTTTTTAAATGCACTAAAATGAGATACTACTTTTAACCTATCAAATTAGGAAAAGAAAATACTCAGAGTTGGTAGTGTCATTGGCTTCTAGTGCACAAACAAATTGGTACAACTTTTCCCGAAAGTAATTTGGCAACACATAGAATCATTAAAAGTGCAAATCATTTAACCCCAAAACTCTCATTCTGGGACACAGTCCTGAGGAAATAATCAGAAGCTCAGAAAAATACTTTATCTACAAAGACCTTCACCAAAGTGTTAATTATTGTAACAAAGCTGGAAATAACATAAATGTCTAACAATCAGAAAATAGTTAATTAAATACAGCCATATGATTAGATAGTATGCAGCTATTAAAGTGATATGGTCAAAAAATTAATGACATAGGAAATGTTCATTTGAAAATAAAGATACAAAATCGTACGGACAGTATTTTCATACTTTTGATTTAAACGAATGAAGGCAATATTTTGCAATGATTCTGAACATTTCTATGTACTCTACAATGATGTATATTTCCTTTATAATCAAAAAAATATATCTAACAAACAAAAAGCTTCAGGCTCCTTCCGGTCATTTTTTCTGACATGCTGAGTTGGACAAGGGCCTCAAGCATCACTGAAGTAAAAGAACATGGAGGATCCCTTTGGGCCAATATCTGACTCATTCTACCATATCACAAGGCCAGACAAAAGCTGATTAATGTTCATAATAATGATCACAATAGTAGCATAATAGTAGAGGTGGTAGCAACCAGTTTTGTTTACTCAGTACCAGGCTCCACTATCCATCTTTCAGATATGTTGTATCATTTAATCCTCACAAAACTCTATGAGGCAACTATTACCCCCATTTGAAAGATGAAGAAACTGGGGTTCAAAGAGATGAAAATATTTGCCCCAAACCACACAGCTTATGTGACCAAGCAGGAGCTAGGACCCAGATCTGATTTCCCAGGATGGTTTGCTCTTTCTCTAATGTCTAACTGGTAAGATTGGCAAGGCTGTGTGTGTGTGTGTGTGTGTGTGTGTGTGTGTGTGTGTTTAGTTTTGAAATGCAAAAACTGTATTTGTCCATAGCATGACTTCTTTTCACAGGAGTCAGGACACCTGATTCTAATCCTATCGCTTCTCCTGACTAGACAAGTTTCCTTGAACAAGGCATATCCCATTGAGATTTTGCTGCTGCTATGTGTTGGCAGTGTTGGACTAGATGAGTTTCCTTTAAGCTTAGCTTGTTAAAACACAGCTTTCAGGTCTTTCTGTAGACCTACTGAATGAGACTTTCTGGTAACAAAATTATACGTATATATAGAGAGATAGATGGATTTCTATTATATATGTGTGTACACACACACACACACACACATACACACACACACACACACACAATTTTTTAAACAAGCTCCCTGGATTATTCTTATTCAGGATGAGAATTCAGCTCAGGACTGGTATTTGGGAGTCACCATACTAGACAACCTATGAGGTACTGTTCATATCTACTAGTCAATGACTGTATAGGGCCCCAAACTTGAAGTCAAGATGTGGCTACCACTGAATTTCAAATAGGTCTGGAAGAATCTAAAGGGCATGTGACTTGTTCACAGGCATTGTTCTGCATGAAGTTTGGGGACAGACCCAGGGAGAAAAAGGAACTGGGGGAAAATAGTGTAAGTACTGGAGATTGGTTCCTGTAGCCAGCCCCATGGGAGAAGGAGCTGCAAGTAGAAAGTAGAGGAACCAAAAATATAGCCTCATATTGTATCACCTAAGGAGCCTGGAAAAAGCACTGTTGCTTGGGTCCCAGCTCCAGAGATCCTTATTTAATTGGTTTGGGGTATGTGCCTGAGTCTTGGGATTTTTTTTAAAGCTCCCCAAGTGATTCCATTTTGAAGCTAAGATTGAGATTCTGCATTAACACACAAGGACACAAAGCCTTCAAAATGAGACGGCTTTATGTGTTACAGGCTTACCCTTAAAACTATGTTGAAAAGCGGCATTTCAAGGACCCTCCTGGTGAGTTCATGAAGCAAAATAATCATGTTCAAAACAATTGAGACTGTCCATACAACACTACCTCGATATGTTTGGGAGGATAAACTCAACACCTCAGTCATGATTTAGTGGCTTGGCTTATATATTTGGTGGCATAGATAGAATTCTGTCCCCAGGTGTGTAAGTCACATGAAGCCAGTCCTCAATGACTGGATTTGTCTTCTTCACTGAAGTGAATTGATCTGTTGTTTTGTCACTATGTAGCTAAAGCCAGTGGGAGGGTGCCAGTTATTTGGAGAAAATGTTTCATTTTGAAGTACCAAAGACAGCCGATGAATTGTGTTCATGAAATACATGCTTCACTCTACTTTTTAATTTGCTCCTGTTTAAGTTAACTGAGAGTTTCGTCTTTATTTTTAAAGAATGACATTTATATAGACGTTCAAACTGCCAATCTGTTACATAAACAGCCTTGTTTTTTGAAGGGCTGGCGCCGCCTAGAGGCCAAATAGGTGCAGAGGTTTGGATTGCTAACCGGAAAGAACCTCTCCAACCTGTTGCTTCTGGTCCTTCTGTGATCCGTCTCTGTTGTGTGTATTTAGGGTCAGGTAAAGCTAATCAGACTTTTCATTGAGCAAAGTTTCCCAAGCAAGGGTGGAGATGCCACAGTGACATTTCAAAGCCAGATAACAATGCAATGATGGGATTTGGGAAGTTTGGTACAAAAGAAGCTTCTCACTGGGATCAAAACGTGCCCAGAGAACCAGAAACTGTAGGGGGAGGGAAGGGGGAGGGGAGGGGAGGGGGAGGGGGGAGGGGGAGGGGAGGGGAGGGGGTAGGGGAGGGGTGGGGGAGGGGAGGGGGAGGGAAAGGAAAGGAAAGGAAAAGAAAAGAGACAGAAAGGTAAAGCAAGTTTTTGGTGGGTAGTTTCCTAGAGTGAACTTAAGAGCAAACATTCTCTCATTTGGTATTGACCAAGACACAAAGACTAGGGAGAAGTCAACATTTAATACCAGCTGACAAGCGGCTTTGCTTCTTGCTCATCAGTGAATTCACCATGTCCTCACGGCTTGGCTTAGCATGAGGTTGATATTCCCCTAGAATCTCTGGATCTATTCCCTTTTTCTACAGCCTTCTCCATACTTTTAATATTTTCTTTCTTACATGGCCAACTTTTAATTACCACAGGGGAACAGAGTTAGTATGTATTTTTTAAATCTCTGAATAATCCAAAACGTCTGTACCCAGATAGAAGTTTAGGAATTACAAATCAAATGAGAAAAAAAAAAAAAAGTATGTCATTTTCCTTTATTTGCCATGACTGATGTCATCTGACTTTTGAGCTGAATAGAAGTGAGGGGGTGGGGGAAAACTTCAACTTCCCAATTAAAAGGCAACTCAATTCCAGGATGAAACATTCTTTTATTTTGTCTTACCCAGTGTCTTTGGGGCAAATTCCTCATCTTTCAGGATGCATCCTCCATCCCTGTTCTCCTTGCCCGGATGGTTCCTGGGTCTAGGGTTAAGCTTCTGTGTATTTGTGGTGGCAGGACAGCAGGAATGAGGGAGTGAGGGTGATGGTCCATGTGCTCATCTCCACATCCACGCTATTAACCACCATGGACACTTGAACCTGGAGACCGTTGTCGGAACCAGATCCCACCTGATTCTTGTTTTTGTTTAATTTTTTTGGAGACAGAGTCTCGCTCTGTCACCCATCACCCAGGCTGGAGTTCAGTGGCACTATCTCAACTCACTGAACCTCCGCCTCCTGGGTTCAAGCAATTGTCCCTGCCTCAGCCACCCAAGTAGCTAGGATTATAGGTGTGGGTGACCCCTCCTGGCTAATTTTTGTATTATTAGTATAGATGGGGTTTCGCCATGTTGGCCAGGCTGGTCTCAAACACCTGCCTCGGCCTCCCAAAGTGCTGGGATTATAGGTGTGAGCCACCGTGCCTGGCCTCACCTGATATTTTAGCAACTCTGCAAACACCCACAACTGGCATCTGACATCCTTGAATAGCCTCTGGACTGCAAGTCTTTCTTCCCTCTAATCCAAATGATCTGTTATCTCTTCTGGTCCAATGGTATGCTTAGAACTTATGTGTTTCCTTTTTGGGGACAGACTTTCCTAGTTGCATTATCTGATCCACAGGCTTGTGCAATACTCTCTAGGACAAAACAAGACTGCTCTCTATCCATCTACTTCCACTTCTTCTTCAGCCATTTCCAACCTATCTGGCATCACTGGAGCTTAAAGCTCTCCTGGCTTGCACTCACACGAGTGAAAGATAAGCTCTATTACCCTGGGATTACACACTTGTAGTTATCAGGCAACATCTGACCCTGTTCAAATCAACTCTCCTTCTTCTCCAGGCTGATGTGCACACAGCTCATTGTGTGCTGGAGAAAAACTCACCATTGTGAAGACTTGTCTCATTTCACATTCAAGGTCACTGATCTCCAGTAGATCCTTAATGCTGCCCTATATCATTTTTTCTCCCACTCTCCTCCATGACTTATTTCCCTCATTCTCTTCTGTCCTCAGACCCCTAGCACTTCCTCACCTATACTCACTTCCATCCAATGCATCCAATCCAAGCTCATCCCATTTATTGATAATTTGAAAACCAATAGAAAAAGACCACAGTCTTACAACCAGTGCCTCTGGCCAGCTCTGATAACTGTGCCCAGGTACTCTGCCTTCCCTCCTATGAACAAGCAATCAGTTCTAAGGAAAATTCCTCCACTTCAGCATTAGATCCCATGGCCAACAAATGGGATCTCCGCTTTTTTTTCTGTCATCACCTTTTTCCCACGTTACTGATTAAATCTCATAACAGTTAAGCATACTACATGCTTGTTGACCACGTATATGTCTTCTTTTGAGAAGTATCTGTTCATGTCCTTTGCCCATCTTTTAATGGGGATGTATGTTTTTGCTTGTTAATTTGCTTAAGTTCCTTGTGGATTCTGGATATTAGACCTTTGTTGGATGCATACTTTGCAAATATTTTCTCCCATTCTGTAGTTTGTCTGTTTAATCTGTGGATAGTTTCTTTTGCTGTGCAGAGGCTCTTTAGTTTAATTAGGTCCCATTTGTCAATTTTTATTATTGCTTTTGGCACTTTTGTCATGAAATCTTTTGTCAAGGCCTATGTCCAGAATGGCATTTCCTAGGTTATCTTTCAGGGTTTTTATAGTTTTGGGTTTTACATTTAGGTCTTTAACCCATCTTGAGTTAATTTTTGTGTATGATGAAAGGAAGGGATCCAGGTTCAATCTTCTGCACGCGGCTAGCCAGTTATCCCAGCACCATTTATGGCCTGGTGCTTTCATCGCTTTCCCCATTGCCTGTTCTTGTTGATTTTGTCAAAGGTTGGGTGATTGTAGGTGTGTGGCTTTATTTCTGGGTTCTCTATTCTGTTCCATTGGTCTATGTGTCTGTGTACCACTACCATGCTATTTGGGTTACTGCGGTCTTGTAGTATAAAGTTGGGTAACGTGATCTCTCCAGTGCTTAGAATTCTAACTTTTTGCTTAGAATTGCTGTGGCTATTTCAGCTGTTTTTTTGGTTCCATATGAATACTATAATAGTTCTTTTCTAATTCTGTGAAGAATGTCATTGGTGGTTTAATAGGAATAGCATTAAATCTGTAAATTGCTTTGGGCAGTATGGCCATTTTAACAATATTGATTCTTCCAATCCATGAGCATGGCATGTTTTTGCATTTGTTTGTGTCATCTCTGATTTCAGCAGTGTTTTGTAATTCTCACTGTAGAGATCTTTTACCTCCCTGATTAGCTGTATTCATAGGTATTTTATTTTGTGTGTGTGGCTATTGTGAATGGGATTGTGTTCTTGATTTGGCTCTCAGCTTGGGCATTTTTGATTATAGAAATGCTACTGATTTTTGTACACTGGTTTTGTATCCTCAAACTTTGCTGAAGTTGTTTATCAGATCTAGGAGCTTTTGGGCATATGAAAAAATGTTTAACATTGATAATCATTAGAGAAAAGCAAATCAAAACCACAGTGAGGCCCAGGCATGGTGGCTCATGCCTACAATCCCAGCACTGTGGGAGGCCAAGGCAGGAGGATCACTTGAGCCCATGAATTTGAGACCAGCCTGGGCAACATAGCAAGACCTCATCTCTTCAAAAAAAAATTAAAAAATTAGTCAGGCACGGTGGCACACCCCTGTGGTCCCAGCTACTTGAAAGGCTGAGGTGGGAAGATTGCTTGAGCCCAGGAGTTCGAGGCTTCAGTAAGCTCTGATTGTGCCACTGCACTCCAGCATGGGCAACAGAGCTAGCACCTGTCTCAACAAAACAAAACAAAACAATGAGATACTATCTCACACCAGTCAGAATGGCTATTATAAAAGGTAAAAAAATAACATGCTGCGAGAGTTGTGGAGAAAAAGGAATGCTTATACACTGCTGGCAGAAATGTAAACTAGTTCAGCTACAGTGGAAAGCAGTTTGGCGATTACTCAAAGAACCTAAAACTGAACTACCATTCAACCCAGCAATCCCATTACTTGGTATATGCCTAAAGGAATATAAATCATTCTACCATAAAGACACATGCACATGTATGCTTATCACAGCACTAGTCACAATAATAAAGACATGGAATCAACCTAAATGCCCACCAACGGTGGACCGGATAAAGAAAATGCGGTACATACACACCACGGAATACTATGCAGCCATAAAAAAACAATGAGATCTTGTCCTTTGCAGCAACATGGATGCAGCTGGAGGTCATTATCCTAAGTGAATTAACTCAAGAACAGAAAACCAAATACCACATGTTCTCACTTACAAGTGGGAGCTAAACATTGAGTACACATGGACTCAAAGAAGGAAACAATACACACAAGGGGCCTACCTGAGAGTGGAGGGTGGGAGGAGGGTGAGGACTGAAAATCTACCTATTAGGTACTGTGCTTATTACCTGCATAACAAAATAAACTGTACACAAAACTCCAGCAACGTACAATTGACTCATATAACAAACCTGCACATGTACTCCCTAAACCTAAAACTCAGAAAGAAATATTATAATAATAAACACACAGAATTCCATTTCCTACCTTAACATACCTCCTCTTCCATCCCTTTCCATCTACCAGCCCACTTCTCTGGTCCCCTTTACAGCAAGTCTCCCGATAAAATTCATATTCACCATTTTTATTTGCCCCAGGGTTTCCTCTCTTCCCTCCCACCCCCACTACCATTTCATTGAAACAGCTCTCTTCAAGGCCACTAATGACCTCCGTATTGGTAAAGCCAGCAGTCAATTCTCAGTCCTCATCCTATTTCACCTGCATTTGGCATTTGGCAATTCATCAGCAGCATTTGGCAAAGTTGTGTTTTCTCCTTGAAATATTCTCTACTTGGCCTCCTGGAAATCCTGGTTTTCTTCTGACTTCGTTATCACGTCTTCTCTGCCTCCTCCTCTCACCTCTAAGTGTAAAGTAACCCAGAGCTCAGTCTTTAGGCCTGTTTTCTTCTCTTTCACACTCGCTCACTCCCTGGGTGTTCTCATCCAGTCTTCTGGCTTTAAATATCATCTATGCTAATAACTCCCAAATTTCATTTTCAGTCTAAACTTTCCAGTGAATTTTAGAATTAAATATCTAACTGTCTAGTTCACTGTTTCACTTGGATGACCAAGAGGCATCCCAGAAACATGACATATCCACAGCTGAATTTTCTCCTCCTAAAATAGGTCCCTTACCACAATCTTCCCCACTGCAGGAAGTAGCACTTCTATCCTTTCATTTCCTAAGGCCAAAATTCCTTGTCTGCTCTCTTCCTTTCAGATTGCCAAGGCTCACCCATCAGCGAATCTTACTGGCTCTACCTTCAAAATATATCCAGATTTCACACTTCTCACCATCTTCACCACTGCACTCCATTCCAAGTTGTACTTATCTCTCATGTGAATTATGGCATTAGTTACCTGGCTGGTCTCCAGCTTCCACACCTTATGTCCCTCTTCAGTCTATTGTTAGTACAACCACGAAAATGATTCCTTTAAACTTAAATCAGATCACTCCTCTATTCAAGTCTCCGCAAGTTTCCCCCTCAGAGCAAAAGCCTGAGTGCTTACAAGATCCTACACAATCTGACTCATCCTTTCCTGCCACTGGGCCCCTGCGTTACCTCTGTGACCTCGTTTCCTACCTTTGCCCTTCCTTCATTCTGCTCTTCTCAGAACACACTTAGCCAGTTTTCTCACCTACGTCAGGCATTTTTGCTCAAATGCCACCTTCTCAGTCAGGCCTTCTATAATGACCCCACTTAATCCCTCCTCCCTATCCTATCTACTTTATTTTGTTTATTTTCTTCATAGCATTTTCTTTTTTATGACAATTGACATATATTTTCCATATCTGTTTATTGTCTGGCTCTCCCATTAGAATGCAAGTTCATGAGGTCATTTTTACTAGAATGGTAGGTGCTCAATAAGTATTTTTAAATGTATCATAATTTAGAATACTTATCAAACCCCCAACTGGGATTTTGGCCTGCAGAGGAAGAAACAGGTTCCATGTATCTTACCAGTTGCTCTTGTTCCTCTTTCCCCCATCCTTAAAAACTTTAAATGTAGCAGATTGGATACAGAAATTTATCTTCTTTTCCCTCCAAACTCATTTTCCAGAGTAGAATGTTAATAGGTAACATTTAAAATTTAAAAGCCAAAGTTACATGGAATTTTGAAATATGTAGGTAACCACAAGAAGATAAAGCAAAAAGAGCTGAAAGTGATTGCGTCTGGGGAGTGAGAATTTGGGGAAGTGGGGAGTAAGGCAGGGAATGACACGTCTTTTTTTCTTGTTGTTTTAAGCATCAGAGCACAATTTGACTGCAAAAGAATATTGCTTTGATAAAAATGAAATTAAATTCAAAAAGAATATTCAATATTCAAAAAGAACAAATAAAATACAGTTCGAGTGGGAGATTCTAATACACTTTTTTCAAATCAGTGAGATCTAGGAGACAAAAAATAAATACAGACACAGAAGAACTAAAATTATGATCAATTCACTTGTTTTAATAGCTAAAGAATTTGACATCCATTGAAAGAAAGACATATTACAAAAATCGATTATGTACTTGCCTGTAAAGGAAACCTCAAGAAAATATGAAAACTAGAGGTTTTACAGACCTCATTCTCTAATAGGAATCCAATAAGATTAGAAATAAATGATACATAAAGGGAGCTTTGTAAATTTAGAAATTCCTTTCTCTCTTGATGCAGCCTAGCTTTCAACAGCACTTTCTCCCTGGGGATACAATACATACAAAGCTTCATTTGACAGTCAAAGCAGAGCGATGACTTTGGTGTTCTAGCCAGTGACTGCCCTGCCCTGAAGCATTAAAACTCATTGATTAAAAGGATGAAGAGCCATATGGCATCTTGATTTAGGAAGAATAAAAAATACATTAAATAATTTCTAAAGTATTATATCCATTATTCATAAGTGTGGCCATTACTTTACATCCAGAGCCACAAAATGTCAATCAACTGATAGAAAAAGAGCAGAATTGCCAGTCTCAGTTGCACCTTTATGGCCATCCTTGGTCAGCTTCTCTAGTAGGACTAACAAGCAGTGGCAACAAGATTTAATAATGGATGGAGCCGGGCGCGGTGGCTCACGCCTGTAATCCCAGCACTTTGGGAGGCCGAGGCGGGTGGATCACGAGGTCAGGAGATCGAGACCATCCCGGCTAAAACGGTGAAACCCCGTCTCTACTAAAAATACAAAAAATTAGCCGGGCGTAGTGGCGGGCGCCTGTAGTCCCAGCTACTTGGGAGGCTGAGGCAGGAGAATGGCGTGAACCCGGGAGGCGGAGCTTGCAGTGAGCCGAGATCGCGCCACTGCACTCCAGCCTGGGCGACAGAGCGAGACTCCGTCTCAAAAAAAAAAAAAAAAAAAATAATGGATGGAATTTCAGGCAATAGCTGTGTCTTAGTCCATTTTGTATTGCTATAAAGAAATATCTAAGGCTAGGTAATTTATAAGGAAAAGAGGTTTATTTGACTCACGGTTCTGCAGGCTATACAAGAAGCCTGGTGCTGTCATCTGCTTGGCTTCAGGTGAGGGCCTCAGGCCACTTCCACTCATGGCAGAAGGTAAAGAGAAGCAGGCCTGTGCAGAGATCACATGACAAGAAAGAGACAGAGGAAGTGTCAGACTCTTCTTAACAACCAGCTCTCATGGGAACTAATAGAGCAAGAACTCACTCACTACCCCTCCTCGGGGAGGGCATTAATCTACTCATGAGGGATCTGCCCTCATGACCTAAACACCTCTCATTAGGCTCCACCTCCAACATATGGGATCACATTTCAACATGAAGTTTAGGAGGACAAACATCCAAACTATAGCAACCTGAAAAAATCTTTAAAGTATCTGGATCAGGGCTACTCTCAGTGGTATGACTGTTAAAATGCAGATTCCTACACCCACTCCAGATCAAGTGAATCAGAAGACCTGGAAGTGGAGCTCAGGAATCTACATTTTCTGATGAGCTTTAAGTGAAGTTTTATATGTGTGCTGAAGTTTGAGAATTATTGACTCACATAACTCACTAATAATAGTCATCTTTCAAATAATCCAGAGTGAACTAAAATCAGGGAAAGTAATAAACCTCACATGGTAGCTTTTTGTTTGTTTGTTTTTGGTTTGGTTTTTTTGAGGTTTTTTTTTGGTGGGGGTTGGGGGAGTCTATCGCTTTACAATTTAATTCAGATGAAAATCTTAAGAATAACTACCTGACAGGCTTGAACACAACTATTTTACTGGGTAATTTTTTTAGCCTTTTGACTGTGGCTCATTAGCCATTCTAGTAAAGGGAACAATAGAGTGGAGTTTTAGCCACACATTTAGGATATGTGTATTCTTACCTCATTTGTTCATTGCCCAGGAGTACCCTCATTAAAAATCCCTTCCCAAATTAGACAGGATATGCCAAAAACCAATTTAAAATGTTCATAAAACTTTTAACTTATGATTCAACTTCTAGAAATACATTATCAAATTTCTAAAATGCACAGAGATCTTTGAATAAGTATGTTAATTACAGCATAACTTATAACAGCAAAAATCAGAATCAGCCTAAGTATCTGTGTTAGAATTAGGTTTGTCTGCATGTAAGAGAACATTTAAATAAAGCTGAAATATATTTCTTTCTTACCTGAAAGAAATTCAGAAATAGGCCATCCATGCTAATATGGTGTCTTCACAATATCATCGAGGACCAAGGTTTCTTTCCTGCCAGTTCAGCACCCTCGGGAAACAGCTTTCTGAGGTTATCTCACGATCCAAGTGCCTGTTGGAACTCCAGCCATCACCTCCACATCCCATGCAGTGGGAAGCTGATAGGAGGCAAAAGCAAAAGAATGCTGCTCTCAAATGAGTCAGCCCCCTTTAAGAAGTTTTTCTTCAAATTGATAATAACTATTCTACTTATATCTCATTGGCCAGAACTCGGTCAATGGCCACACCTACTCCAAGGAGGCTGGGAGATGTGACCTTTAATTGGACATAATATAGTCCCATTTAAATATGGGTTATCTTATTATGAAAGAAGGTGGGAACGAAATTTGAGGACTCAACTACCTGACTTTCTCCCAGTGACTCACAATATGGTATTGTTAAACAAATATGGTAAATATGCGGTCATTAAAAGTTATGTTTTAGAGGAATCTTATTCAAAAAGGAAAATGCTCCTAAGTGAAAAAAAAACAGATTAAAAAGATATAAGCTCAATATGATTCCAACTTTTATTCAACATAAATGTGCATAGAAAATACGGAAATTATAAAATCAAAATTATGTCTATTGGCTTTGTAGAGTAAAATTATGGATGGTGCTTTCTTCTTCTTTATAGTTTTTCATTTTTTCCATAGGAAACATATATTACATTTGTACTCAGCAAACATCCAGTAAACATTATTTCTAATTAGAAAAGAAGCTGAAGGAGGAAAACATTCATGAAACTCAATAATAATAAAATAATAGGAGAATGCAACATAAAAATAGGAGAATGCAACACTACTCCTTATCTAAGCTTACTAAACATCAGTTGATCCCTCAACTTTCAACTTAAAATAAGCCTTTGCCATGAGGGCTTCACTGAACACCCCAGTTGATAGCAATCTCTCCTTTCCACAACAGTTTATGATAGGTGTTGTCAGTGGCACTGGTATGCACACTTGCAGAACTGCAGACTAATGTTATTTAAATATTTTATGCAACCATATTTCTCCAAGTAGATTATATGACCCATAAAAGCCAGGCATTTGACTCTTCTAAATGCTTTATAATAGTAAATGTTCCTATATTTACTTAATAATTAACTGGAATTATTTTATTTGTATCCTGGCATGCACATTGCATACAATACCCTCTCGTAGAGTCTAATTGGTGTTGAGGATTTATATTGATGAGTAGAAAAAGAGAATGGAAATGGTCATTGCACAGAAAAAAATCCCTGTATGCTAGATGACCAAAAAGGAAAAAAATACCTAACAAAACTTTGTTAATTTAGATTGCATTTACTTAGGGAAGGAACTGAAGTACTTACCTTGCAAATTACTAGCAAAAATAAGATTCCAGGACTTCCAGACAAGAGGACACACAGAGCATCACTCTAAGCACACAGAAATGATGAATAAAAGACAGAAAAAAAAATACTTTAAGCAGGGCTTGACAGCAAAAAGGAAAAATATCCGGGTACCAGAAATGAAGAAGAAACCTAAATTCATGGTGGCAAGAAGAAATGAAGTCATGAAGCCTTCAGGGTGTCCTGAATTGGTCATTAGCCTTCAGTTTATCTGGAAGCCAGTTGAACTAGAAATCGATGAATCTTCTGTGGGGCCTGTCCTGGCAAGAGTGAGATAATCTGCTGCAGAGGCTGTGGGTGGGCAGCCCAGGCCAGCTGGCTTCAGGAATGTGAAAGAGACTTAGACGGACCAAGAGCAGTGGGGCAAAACTGACTTTGACCAAACTGAGAGAGTCAGATTGCAAGTTACACCAGCTCAGAGACAGCTGATAGCAGCATAGTGAGAAGGGATCAGGCATAGGAGTTCCATCACCGCAGAGGTCAGAGAAGACCGAGAGCTATCACAAGGCCCAGTGGCGATGGGAGACTCCCTTCCTCCACCACCGCATGGCCATGTTTGCTATACCCGCAAGGCACCTATTCACCAGCACCTTGGAGAGCAAAGAGGGAATAGGCGGAAATGTGAGGAACTGGGCACGTTTAAATCAAAAGACTGAAAATTAACTTAAAGAGACTATTTCAGTTATTGCACTGGGCCACATTTACTGGATTTGACTTAAAATTTATATTTTTTCCTCCCATCTCTATATGGATAGAAACAATTGACACAAATGGAATCAAGTAATAGAAAATTTCTTTAAACTGCATTTTCACTATTCACCTGTGCACAGTGTAAATTTATAATCCTGCCGTACTATATCTCTCTGAAATTTTTAAAAATATTTTTATTTTAAAGTCTCTTTCAGAACTGCTTTATTATCTCTATTTTGGGGTGGGGATAAGGAAGACTGAACTCTTCTTCCAGAATCCAAAATGTTAAATTGGACAAAAAGACCCCACCTTTGGTATTTCTCTCAAATCAAGTAATATCCTCCTTCATTCTGGACCAAGGAAGAGTTGGGATTGATGTGTCTCTGCTGCCTCTATGTCTCTTCTACCCAAAATGCCTTGGGGTAAAAAACATCAGGGTTTGTTTTGTTTTGTTTTGTTTTTGTTTTTGTTTGTTTTTGTTTTCTTCCAGTTTCTGTCTCCTCAGGACTTTCCCTAGTACCACTAGTACCAGAACCAGCTACGTAATTTTGGGGCCCAGTTCAAAATGAACAAGGGCTCTTTGATCAATAAACCATTTGTGGCTCTTCTAAGCCTGGGGCCCTGTGTGTCTGTGTAGGTCACACCGCCATGAAGCTTGTCCTATCTATATACAAGGCCTTGAAGTGCTGGGCCCTGGGCTTCACTTCTCTGTATAATAATCCATTTCTTTCTGATTCTGGCCTGTTTCTTAGACCTTAAGGCTGGTTGGGATAGCCTCTCTACACTTACAGGGAGCTGGAGAATTGCTTGAACACAGGAGGTGGAGGTTGCAGTGAGCCAAGATCAGGCCACTGCACTCCAGCCTGGGAGACAGAGTGAGACTCTGTCTCAAAAGAAACAAACAAACAAACAATTAACTGGGTGTGGTTATAGTCCCAATAAGCTGGGAGGCTGAGGAAGGAGGATCACTTGAACCTGGGAGGTTGAAGCTTCAGTGAACTGTAATCGCACCACTGCACTCAAGCATGGGCAACAGAGTGTCTCAAAAAAAAAAAAAAAAAAGGGAGGGTGAGGAGAAATCTTTTACATATCTCATAAAATATTTAGTGCTTGAGTTCATTACAAAAGTTTAGAATATACACTGAAAAACACAAAAATATCTTTCTCTAAGAGTTCTTTATTACTCAATTTATCACAGTAGTTGAAAAGGAATTTTCCATTTAATTGTTCAGATTTAGTGAAATTTTCATGGGCAAAAAGAGAAAAAAGTATGTAGTTCGGTAATGATGAACATCAAATGATAAGGAAAGATTTCATTTTTTTAAAAAAATGTTGTTTTTCCTTGAACTAGGGAGCACAAATGATACCCAAAGGACTCTCTGTCACTTACTGATGGGCCTTAGATTTTTAAAATTAGTTTCTAAGCCTCTTCAAAGAATCCAATTTTATCTTTAAGCTAGAAAACTGGAGCACAAAGAAGTCATTTTCAGAGAAAATGAATGCACAGTTTTCTTAAAAAAAAAATGCACACAGGATTCTGAATCTGGAGAAAAATATAAAACTAGTAGTGCCTGTATTTGAGTTACATTTTGGATCTAAAGAGTTTGATGTAACTCCTAGAGGGTTAATAGCTGCTCTTGGTTAAAAAGTAAATAAGCAAGATCAATTTTCTAAAATCTCTTTCTTTTCATGAAGTAAACTTCAGCGTAAGTACAAGCTACAGTGTTCGTGAAGACAGACTCACAACTACGATGGAAAAGTAGATTTCTGTTATTATAGAGGAAGCTTGTCTCAATCCATGCTTTGTCTCCTTTACATAAAAAAATACAGTCATTGTATTAAACTCTGCCAACATCAGTAAAACTCAGGCGACACCCAGTTGTGTTCTCTTTGGGGAGGCTAAGTGATTTTCTCAAAGTCATGCAGGAATATGGCTCAGGAACAAGGGAGCCACCTGAGGTTGGCCTATGACTACTAAAATTACACTGAGCCCTTTGTGTAGAGTCCCTTGGTCATTTATCTCCAAATTAAAATAGCTCACAATTCACCTTGGGTCCTTTTGGCCTGTGAGGGTATGGGGACATAGAAATACAGAGGACTAAGGCATGGTGGGGCATCTTTTGGGTAAACCCAAGGGCCTTCCCTGATTCCCAGGATCAGAGAGCACAGAATGGAAACCAAACAACCATGCTCTTTAGAGATGGCCGTTTAAGTGAACTCTGTCTTGGGTTAGGCTACTTCTGTAGAGGGAGGTTTCTTCCTTTGGCCATCACCAGCTTTTGTGGGCACAGACCTGGTTAGTGGGGAGATGATCAAGACCATCGCAGGCCTGAAGGGCTATGTGTGGCCATGGGCAGTTCAGCTGGCCCTTGTGCCTTTGTGCTGCTGGCTCTTGGCAACAATACTTGGATGGAGAGATCAAAATACAGAATTGGTCATAAATAAACTTTCTTGGATGTTGGCCAAAAATGAATCTTCATAGTTAGGTAAACCATGAAGAGAATTTGTGAACTTTAAAAGAAAACCATATCCTGTGGTGCATGGAAAAAATCCAGTTTTCTATACATTTAGTAGGTGTAAGTAGCCACTTGTCAGGCTAAGATATAGGGTCCTCTCGCTCCTTCAGGGTTCCAGACCTCAGTGGTTTTTTGGCTCATTGGTTTGGTTAGGAGATCAGTCAGCTCTCTGGAAAGTTTTTTCAGCCTGGGGTATGGTGGCCACCTCTCAAGACTCAGCCGTGTCTTTGGATTCCTGGGTGAACAATACAACTTGACCGAAATTTCTGTTGCTCTGAGACTCTGAGAAGTTCCCTCTCTTGACATCCCTGTGCCATTAAAGGCTAAAACTTGAGGCAAAAGTAAGCAGACTTCTGTACCCTACCAGCCAGGCAAAACCACAGGCTGGGTACAGATGTCTGTAGCCCAGCAACTCCTCAAAGACTCCACTGTCTTTTTTGTGCATGAAATTGCTTGCTATATGATCTGATTTTGTGAAGTCTCGGTCCTCTGATTTCAGGCAGCTTTCTTTAAACTATGAGAAGGAGGTGTGGGAGTTAACGAGCAGCAAAACTACTCAAGTCCATTGAGCCTCAGGATTCCAAAGTTCAGGGCCAGGGATTGTCTCTGGACTCAGCCCAGCCAAGAAATGAGTAAGGCATTTCCAGAACTGCCTCTGGGCACTGGCATGTGTACTTGTGTGTTGACAGCAAAACTAAGGACTGTACTCTGATTCCTTACTGAAGAGTATCTCTCAGCGGGTCCAAAGTCAAGAAGTTACCCAAAACGGGCCGTAATCTGGAGTAAGCTAGAGTCTAAGATCATCTCGAGATAGAGCCAGATCCCTCCCCTAAACCACACAGCAGAATAGTCCTCCGTCGTTTTTCTGGGGGCCTCCTTATCCGCTGCACAAAGATGTATGTTCTGAATTATATGTGTTGAACTTAATTCGGTGCCTGTAGCTGTTGATTTGCTTTTGTTTCCCACAGTCTCCTCTGAAGAACTGCAGGAAATCTGTCGCCCAGGATGGAGTGCAGTGGCGCGACCTCGGCTCACTGCAAGCTCAGTCTCCCAGGTTCACGCCATTCTCCTGCCTCAGCCTACCCAGCAGCTGGGACTACAGGAGCACGCCGCCACACCCGGCTATTTTTTTTTTTTTTTTGTATTTTTAGTAGAGACAGGGTCTCACCGTGTTAGCCAGGATGGTCTCTATCTCCTGACCTCGTGATCCGCCTGCCTCAGCCTCCCAAAGCGCTGGGATTACAGGCGTGAGCCACCACGCCCGGCCAACTGCAGGAAAATTCTTGATAGCCAAGAGGGCTTTTTAAAAAAGAGTGTTATGCTAAACTTGCAAATCAGACAATGGCAGGCAAAGGCACATGAAATTAGACTCCCCATCTGAAACTGAGTACTTTCTCCAGCCAAACTTCCTGAGACCTTTTTGTGTGTTTGAATGAGATTTAGTTCGCACTCTTGAAACAGGACACCTCTCTTCATGCCATATGGATGAGGGTATAAGCACCCTGTTAGCAGGCATGGGGTCCCTAGCCAGAGTCACCTCCTTGAGTGAGTGGGTGATTATTTCTTTTCTTTTGCTATATTTAACCAAGAATTATACACTACATCCCAGGATCTCACTTTCTATAGACTATATTCCCTACAATAATAACTGCTTACCCTCCAGAATCCACGTGACCCATCTTATTCAGGTCAAAACCTCAGTGCACGGGATTGTCCCAGGCACAGTTTAGCACAGCCGCACTCACATGGAACAGTGCACTATTCAAGGGGCTTTCTCGAGCCTCTCACTGCGGTCCTGGGATCAGGAGAATAACCCCATTGGCAGCACTGGAGTGATGCATAAGTGTCCCTGAGCTCCTTGATCAGATGACACTCTCCCTCTAGGAAAACATGCTACCCCAAATTCCACCCTCAAAGAGTCATTCCTTTGGAATAAGCTACTGTCACCTTTAAGAGTTCCCTGAGTAGCCGGACATGGTGGCTCATGCCTGTAATCCCAACACTTTGGGAGGCCGAGGTGGGCGGATCACTAGGTCAGGAGATCGAGACCATCCTGGCTAACACGGCGAAACCCCATCTCTACTAAAAATACCAAAAATTACCCAGGCGTGGTGGCGGGTGCCTGTAGTCCCAGGTACTCGGGAGGCTGAAGTGGGAGAATTGCTTGAACCCTGGAGGCTTGAACCCGGGAGGCGGAGGTTGCAGTGAGCCGAGATCACACCACTGCACTCTTAGCCTGGGCGACAGAGCGAGACTCCATCTCGAAAAAAAAAAGAAAAAGAAAAAGAAAAAAGAGAGAGAGTTCCCTGAGTCAAAGTAGTAGAGTTGGAAAGTGTCCTGGATTTGGAGTTGGGCACATCTGGGTCCCAAAGCAAACTCTGCCACTTGGCGGCTGTGTGACTATCTGCAAGCAACTTAACCTCCTTGAGCCTCAGGTTGGCTTTGTGTAAACTTACAGGGCTCCTGTAAGGCAGGGCTCATTTAGGCAATGCATATAGAGGGGTAAGCACATGGCTGATATCTTGTAGGTGCCCAATAAACTATAGGTATCACTATGATTATTAAATACAAGCACTTCTAGGAACAATAACTTGGCACGAAATAGACAAGTTTCCTTTGACACAGTACATAGCTAGCTCAAAATCAGGTAAAGAATGAAATGGGTGCTACTCTCCTAGTGACACCTCATAGCCCAGGAACTGTAAGAAGGATCTCAGAAAAGAGGGGAAGGAGGAGTCAAAGACAAGCTTTATCACCTTTGGAATCTGGCTTCTTAATCATACCCCATCTTTTAACAGCTAGGGACACTAACTCAGCAAACCTCTTGGCTAATGTCATATAGTTAATTGAGCAGCAGCTGGAATGAGAGCCTATACACCCTGTTTCCAGCCATAGACCCTTTTCACCAACTGAGCATTGCACCTATACAATGATGAAAGAGTCAGTGGTGGCAAAACACTGGATCAGGAATCAAATACCTGCTTTCTAACTAGAAAGGGGCATGTGGGAAAGTCCTGGGGGCAATGAAATGTTCTATATCTTGATTAGCATGCGTTTGGTATGGTTACATAGACATACATATTTATCAAAATGTATCAACTGGGCACTTCAGTTCTGTGTGTTCTATGGTACAAAAATTATACATCAGTAAAATTAGTTAGTCAAAAAATATATTTTCCAGCCCCAGCTCTAACACTAATGAGCTGAGTGGTCTTGGCCAAGTCAATCCAAGTCGACTCTCTTTGCTTTACCTTTCTTTTCCTTGTAATGATGGGTTATAATTAGACAAAGTTCCTTCCACCTCAACAATATGATTTGGTAAACAGGACCTCTTTCTTTCATTTCAGTCGCTATTGTATTCACACTGAGTTCAGCAGCAGAGCCGGAGAGACTGGCCCACAATTTAGGAGGACTGGGGACTGGTATGTGCAAGTGATCCAGTGTCTTTCTTTTGCATCACTAACTCTCCAGCTACACTTTAAAGAGCATGATTGGTTTTCCACAGGGATCCGACAAAGCAATATGATTGAGCCCTGGTATGAGAATGATCTGGCCTCAGAAAAGTTGTATCTGCCACCAGAGATAACAACTTTCACATGGAGAGCAGAGAAAATGTTTCCTGGACAATGGGAATGACTGACAGATATTAGATGGGAGGAAATTGAAGGCTTTGCCAAGTTTCATGATAAAATGCTATTTCTCACGGTAGGGTCAAGCTGTCTCTATTGCAGCTATTGCTTTTAAAATACAAAGGGAACACAGCAGATTCAACAGAGTGCATCAGATTTTACAAAGAGTATGTGATCAAAGACTGCTTGTTTCATTTATAAATGAAATCGCATGACTATTAGAGCAACAAAGATCATCAACAATGAATTTGGAATTTGCTGATGAACCAAAAGCTGAAAAACATCAGTAAGAAAATCTCTAAAGGTTTGATTACAAAGCCTTTTGGATGTAAAATGCCCACCAATGTTTGCAAGATTACACATGTAAAAAGGTTAAATTGGACTTTCAGGCAAGAGCATTATACCAGGAGCTGGAATTGGCATTTTCAAAATATTTTAATAAGTGTTTCAAAAGGTGGAATATATTGACTGGTACGAAATCTTACTGTTTCCAAAGACTAGAAATCTAAAATTGAAATCTAGCATGTATAAATCATTGAATATTAGTGAGTTTACTTATACAAACAGAACTGAAACAAAAGTTCTATTTTAGTTTCAAGTTGCATTTAAAAATGAGTGGAATTTGTTCTTATTTAAAATCTTTGGGGAATAACCCTGTGATCTTTAATTTTGTATCAACTTGACTGGGTTACAAGGTGCCCAGAAGTTTGGTTAAACTTTATTCTGGTTGTGTCTGTGAAGGTGTTTCTGGATGAAATTAACATTTGAATCAGTAGATTGAATAAAGCAGATTGCCCCTCCCAAGTGTGGGTGGGCCTCATCCAATCCCCTGGAAGCTTTAATAGAACCACAGCCTGAGTAAGGAAGAATCCCCTCTCTGACTGTTTTCAAGCTGGGAAATCAGTCTTCTCTTGCCTTCAGTTTGGACTAGATTTTACACTATCGCTCTCCTGCTTCTCAGGCCTCCAGACTCAGACTTTATCCCATAAACTCTCCTGGGTTTCCAGCTTGCTGACTGTAGATCTCGGGACTTTTCAGCCTCCAGAATAATGTGAACTAATTCCTGTGTGTGTGTGTGTGTGTGTGTGTGTGCATGTGTATGTGTCTTCTATTGGGTCTGTTTCTCTAGAAAACTCCTCAAATGACTCATTGACTCACGTGAACATCATTCAACTTTCAACTTTTTGGGGATTAGGTATCAAAATTTACATTGAGCATAAGCCTTTGATCAAACTAGTGGCCTTCTAGGAATTTATCCTACAGAAATACCTGGACATGGTCAAAGAACTGAATACAGGGATCAGGGCCACCACATTGCATAGTGTCAGGAGGCACCATTCCCATTGAATCTGTGTCAATGGTGCCTCTGAAGTGGACAAAGATGTTTGCTGTTAAATTGTTTGAAATGGCAAACGAACAACGCAAATTTCCACCATTAGAGGGTCATTAAACAAGTTATATTACATCTACATTATAGGATATTATGGATATTATGCCTTTGTTTTTTAAAAAATAAGATAGGTCTGTATGATCTAATAAGAACAGATGCCCAAGATGAGAAAAGCAAGGACAAGGGCAGAACAGTGTGTACAGTATGTTCCCATTTGTGTGTATGTATATGTGTGTATGTACATATCCATATGTATATATGTGTATGTGTGTATATATGCAAAGAAAATTTCCAGAAGGCTGCATAAACTGTAAATACTAGTTGCTGCTAGAAAGTGAGACTGGTCGCCAGAGTAACAAGGAATTCTGCTTTTTTTTGTATACTCGTTTTAATGCTCGATTTTTTTTAACCATGGCCTAGTATCACTTTTGTAATTTACAAAAAAAAGAGACTAATACAAAGTTGATAAATTTATTCAATAATTATCAGGTACCAAGCAATGTCCCAAGTACCTTCACAAACCGAAATGTTCATTGTCCAGTGAAATTTTCTCATTTCATGGTATAGTTTTTGCTGGTAGTATAATTGGTGGTGATGTTAGGAGTGGTGAATTAAACAAGCATTTTTGTGTACCTACTATGTTCCAGCACGTTTCTAGTTGCTGGGGATACACCAGGGCCCAAGAAGAGAAAATATTGGCCTTCGTAATCCTTACCATCTCCCTATTTAGATGGGAGTTTTGCAGTCTGTGCACCACATTCACATGGCCTTGGCATGCCTTGTACAGTAGTCTTTCTACAGATGCTCCAGAGGAATGGGCACACGTGTGTATGTGTGCACATATGTGTTTATGTGTGTACATATGTGTCCAGGTTACAGTCTGACTGGCATTCAACAGATAACCTATATGGTAAGCAGATGAGGTGTGTAAAAGGTCCCTGTAAGATGTAAAATCTTAGTAATGACCAGAGTCATCTTATAGAAGTCAGTGTGGGCTACCACTGCTGCTGCCTCCACTCTCCCACTCCAAGACTTTCAGGCTGGCTGTAGTTCAAGATGTGGCTGGGTTCCTAATCCCTTAACACTCCTCACTAGTCCCATCCTCAGCAATCCCAACTGGTAGGACCATGGTGGCTTGTAGAGGCAGAGACTTGCAAAGTTTCCTGAAAGGGAGGTTCCAAGTACCTCATTCTGGTTTGTTGGTCATCCAGGTTTACTACTCTCCTGCGGTCGAAAGTGGCTTCTTCCAGTTAAGTCAATTGCTGCAGTTGTTCCAGTATGTCCCACACCCTAAACGTTCAGGAACGCCCACCGCTCTGCATACACCGAGATGAGCGCGTGTGAATCTCCCTGAGCACTTCCTGCTTCCTGGCTCCATTGCTTGAGTGGCTGGAACTGGCATATGGCTCATCAGATCTTTTCTCCTTACCTTACTGCCTTTACCTAGTGGATTCACCCAAACTGCTTTTGGAATCACTGTCCTTAGAAACAGCTGCTTACCTTCCTTCACAGCAAAGAGCAGGACAGGCTTCTGCATGCTATTTCTACTGTAATGAGACTAAATCCTACAATCTTTCAGCTGACCCCTTGGTGAGCTACTGCCCACCTCCTACCACCTTTAAGTGATTCCCTCTCATCTGCAGAGGAATAATAGCTTCTGACTGTTGACAGGGGCAACAGACCCACTAAATGTTTTATTTAATATTTTGTAGAAAGAACTTGGGAGTATACAGTACCCGTGAGATCCAAGACCTGGATTTTAATTTAATTTTAGAACTAAAATGTATTTAAAATGGTAACATTGCCTGCATTGGCTCTTGGGAGTACAATAAACAGACATTGATTTCTGCTGAAGTTAACATCAAGAATTATTGAACTGAGAGGTACACACTGCCCCGGTCTCCACTTTAGTTAATATTTACCTTGAAAAATAATTAATCTTGATGTTAAATAAAAGCGGGCACCAATATATGTATTCTTCCTTTGTTCTATGCTGAGATGAATGTTAAGTATATAACATATAAATGTATTTTCTGTATATACTTATATATACATTTATTTTCTGTATATATTTACAAGTGTGTTTATATATACATATAATGTATTTTAAGCATTTTACTGGAATGTCAGGATTTGCAAAAAAAAAAAAAATTACACAAATTGAAGCCCACATAAGGTATTCCCCATCTCCTAATGAAGTCATCATTTCCCTTTGCTGTTTTTACTCAATGAGGGCACAGGTTTTATGCAAACCATGCTATTTGTTCTGGAGAGGCAGCAGGCTGAGGAGGATTGGAATCATCACCCAACCGCCTGACCCACCTGTGGCTTTTAGTCAGTTTAACATCAACGCGCTCTGTGTCTCAGCATGTTTTCCACATGTGAAGAGGAGCAGCAACAAAAGAGCATGCGACTGACTATGTTTGGTCATTAGGAGAAAAACATGATCCATCTCAGAGACTGAAACCCTCCCAGCCAAAGTCCACTTGCTTTCTGTACCTGGAAAATCATCCCCACCAGCTCAGACAGATGTGACTGATGGCCAGTAATGCTAATACAAATATTACTAGTAATATTAATTTGCTGTCGTTTCAATAACTGCTAACATACCTTAAGCCCTTTGCATTTACTTCGCCACTTTAGCCTTTTCCGAGGATTATCTCATTTATTCCTCACCTTAACTCGATGAGTTGATATTATCGGACCCATTTTATAAAAGAAAAAATTGAGGATGAGAGATATCCAGTCCTTTGCTCATGGCAAAGGACCATTAATAAGTTTCAGGGTTAACGTTTGAACCAATCCTTTTTTATTCCAAAGCTTATGTTCTTAAAATTGTGTTAGGCTGCCTTTTCCTGACACAGAGTTGTGTTGAGTGTGTTGAGGCACAGACACCTTGAAGGGTGCTGCAGAAAGAGTTGTTCACTTGGGAGCAGGCATTTCCTAGCCATGTGCATTTGGGAATGATGCCACTGAGGTGGAGGAGCTGGCTGCTCAGGGAGGCACATGACAAGAGGAAACAGAGGAATATCTGATGGCATTATTTCCACAATAGCCAGCCTCCAAATAGCCTTGACCTCATTCTTGCATTGTCCCAATGCCTTTGTCCTAGCCTTGACATTTTCTTTCTGAAACAGGCCACACTTTGCAGCATCAGTCAAGAGTACACATGAAACTCAACACTATTGTTATTGGATGCTGTGGAACACCTTTGGTCCCTACTTTAGGGCCGATGCACTCATTCCTGGGAGTGTTATTGCTGCCAGCTGCCAGCTGTCCCTCTTTGGAAACTGTCCTCTGTAGAAAGGAGCAGTTTCACTGTTTTCTCTAGGCAGTCTTAATGTAATGACTGGTGGATGTAAGGCAGTACCAAAGACTGACCTCCTTGTCTCAAGAAGGGACTCCTCTGATGGGACACCTCAGTTCCAAAGGTCCCTGTGAGATTGGCTGAAATATCTCTTGCAATTGCATTAAAGTTAAACTTCTCCTTCTCCTTCTGACCAATCTTGCTTCTCTTACTCCCCTAAAGATGCTGTTCCCTTTCCTGTGGAACCCAATCTAAGACAACAGTTCATATAAATACAATAGGGTTGACCCCGTTCCCTTCCATTCTCTAATCAATAGTGTTCTGCATGCAAGGAGATTTAGATTTACAAGGCTGTGGTGTATTAACCACTTCTCTCTGTTACTCGCCTGAGATGCCAAGATAAATCCTGGAACAGAATCTAAGTAGAAGCCCAAGCTTTTGGGTCTCCACATTTCTACCCTAGCCAGTCCATAAGCAGTTGTGATTTGACCTTGCTCTGACCTCGCAAATATAAAGGGAAGAGTCGGCATTAAAAGTCAGTGAAGGCTCCTAACCACCTTTCCTTACCTTGTTGTAACATGATCATTTTATTACATCTTAAAACCCTAAATTTGGTTGCAGATCAGTAGAAAATCTACAGCCTAATTTGAAGCTCTTTCCCCAATGGTAAAGGGAGGGACCTTGTAAATTGAAGTTTGTATGTTGTTTTTGCAAGTTTGGAATGTTATCTCTCTTCTCCTCATCCAAAAGAAAGAAAATATGCAAGCAGTTTAATGGGAAAAATCTAAGTGAAATTCCAACGATTAATTGATATCCTTTCCCTAGATTAGCAAAAAATAAATGGTCAGCAAAGAGGGATAAATCTACTTACAAAATATTGGATCACTAAAGGGTGCTCACCAGCTCCCCGCAAGAGCCACACATGCCTAGGGAGGCAGCTGTCAAGACAAAACCCAGGACTGGCCATTGTGTCTCAAATTAGTCTCTTTTCCCTGAAACCAGTGGAAAGGGGGAGATTTTTTAAATGCATTTTTGCTATGGATTTTTTTCCTTACTTCTTTCCTTCTTTCTTTTTACCTACTTTCCTTTCTTTTAAAAGAATATTCTCTCAGCTAGGAAGGAATCTCTCATTCTTTTTGCTGACTGGCTTGTGCACAACTGGAAATTATAAAAGAAATTGCTGTATCATTGATGTAGTAAGAAAACAGGAAGACAATTTTCATCCCAAAATGAGCCATCTCAGCTGAAGCTCCCTTTGTAGTTGATGACCACACGCTTTCCATCTCGGCATGGGGCCAGTTTTATTAAAATCCTATAGCAACGGCTTATTTTTCAAACAGCACTCAAAAACAGGCATTTTATGATGAATTTCCCTCAAAGTTGCTCATGGTCATGTGTTTGCTGCCTTCAAGGACTCCAGTGGCAAAGGAATCTTACCTTATGCGGCAATGCCTGGATATTATTCTTGTGGTCAAAAACATTTTTGCACCCTCAGGTAACGCCCCATCAAAGAGGAGGATGCATGGAAAAGCACAAAGGAACTAGGGGCCCAGCTTTTGGTGCATCATTTCATTCCACAAATAGAGCAAACTCTGCAGGACCTAGAGAGCTTGCCAGAGAACCCTGCTATCATGTTGGAGAACAATGGGGGAGGCATTCAAAATGCCTAATTTCAAGGAGCCTGGATCAGAATGAGGTAGAATTTGAGGAGTTAGAGGGAGGAAGGAGAGAGATGAAGAAGGTAGCAAGGGAGAAATGCTGGCAATCAAAGAGAAGATAGAGGCAGAAGAAAAAGAGAGGAAAAGAGAAGAGAGGAGAGAAGTGAACACTGGTCCATTATTTACTCTGTGAATTGGAGATCAGTTCCATTAGGCCCAAGAGACAGCTTTGACTTAGGAAACCACCAAAAATAGAAGTGATCAAAAACCAATAATTAAGAATAAGCTGGCTGGGTGCAGTGGCTCACACATGTAATCTCAGCACTTTGGGAGGCCCAGGTGGGTGGGTCACTTGAGGTCAGGAGTTCAAGACCAGCCTGGCCAACATGGTAAAACCCCGTCTCTACTAAAAATACAAAAATTAGCCAGGTGTGGTGGCACATGCCTGTAGTCCCAGCTACTTGAGAGGCTGAGGTAGTAGAATTGCTTGAATCCCTGAGGCAGAGGTTGCAGTGAGCTGAGATGGCACCACTGCACTCCTGGGTGACAGAGACTCAGAAGAAGCAAAGAAGGTTTTCAATAACTTGGTTGTTTTAACACCAAAAATCTGGGAATCATTAGGATAAGTGATTAAAATTAACTTGCTTTTTTAAAAAAAGCAATTAAACTTCAAACATATTTAAGATACTTACAAATTAAACACAAATTTCAGTGTAGAAATTCTGCAATACATATTGCAGCAATAAGAGTCCTGTCCAAGAGATGTTTCCTAGCATCTGTGTAGCTGGCATCCAGAACTGGATTCTCTCCACCTCTATCAATTTTCAACAGATAGGCACTCAGCAACATTTCTAAGTACACTGGTTCACGTCTTTGCTCTACCCATAGAAATTTCATTTCATTTGTCTTGTCTGAAAATACATGCATACAAATATGCAACGATCATTGATCAACCCTTAGTACCAGCTAAATAATCCCACAAGAGCTGGATGGCTGTTGAAGTTAATGAGCTGGGTCACAACTTCTTGGAACAATTCATGCTAGGCTCCAAGAGTGTTTCCAGTTATGAGGAAGCAGGGTGGGACTCCTAGTCCAGTATTACAAAAGAGATTTCAAGAGTTCGCAATCTTTGGCCTAAATTTCCCTTTGGTAGCCTTGGTTCAACAGTAGGTAGCATATAATCCCTATAGAGACTTATCTAATAAATATTAAAAGCATATACCATTTATGCAAAATGTGTGGTCAAGTCACAAAGCCTGTCCTTCAGCTGAATAAAATATCCAAGGGTCTCATTCTAAAAGTGGAAATACTTAATAATTTTCATTTGATCTTCAGATATATCCCTCAGTCTACTGAAAAACTATTAACAAACAGAACAACTAATCCCTCCCCAAATCTCTGTAGACCTTTGGTCATCTCTTTGAAATTAATTCTGAAAAACTGGATATTCTTAGTTTACATTAGAAAATTCCTTCTTCAGAAACAGTGTATAGCATACCTTGGGTGAGGATAAGTCTTAAGGTACAATATTTGGCCATTTTTAAGTGTGAACAGTTTCATTAATAGGAAATTGGTTAAATTGCTTCAATAAATGATAATATTTTCAGTTAAAGGAATTGTATGCTACCAATTAAAATTATGGTGTAAATGATGCTCACAATATGTAAGTAGTGAATAAAGTCAGGTTACAAAACAATATCCATAATGCAATATTGCTGAGGCTCAAAATGTCTATGTAGGCATAGAAAAATATCTCAAACATTATGTTCCAAAATGTTAATACTTTAACAGTGATTATTTTCTAAAGATGAGATAATGCTTATCTTTTTATTTTCTTCTTTATATTTTTATTACACTTTATATATATATATATATTATGTATTCATGCTGTCATCATGTATTGCTTTTTTTTTTTTTTTTTTTTTTTAAAGAGACAGGGTCCTGCTATGTTGCCCTATTGACCAGGCTGAAGCACAGCGGCTATTCACAGGTGCAATCATAGCACACTACAGCCTTCAACTCCTGGGCTCAAGCAATCCTCTTGCCTCAGCCTCCCAAGTAGCCAGAACTACAGGTGTCTGCTACTGCACCTGGCATTTGTTGCTTTTAAAATAAGAAAACTACACAGTGATTTTTATTTTGGAGTGAAAAGAAATTGGATATTTTTAACTTATGAAAAAAGTCCATGCTCTTTCAAGACAATTTCTTTGTAAGACAGAAATTTCTTTGTTCAGAGGATCCTGTTCCTGGTGTAGGTCATCAGATATTATCAGAAAACAGTACTTCCAGTTTCCACAGACATACTGCGAAGTGTTATGTGTGGGTGGAGAAAGGTAGTTGGAATAGAGATGGCTTATACCATGCAAAAGATCACATGCATGGCGTAAGATATGAGAAAGTTCATATGCAAATTAGAAAGATCAAATCAGGCTGGGTGCGGTGGCTCATGCCTGTAATCACTTTGGGAGGCTGAGTCAGGTGGATCATGAGGTCAGGAGTTTGAGACTAGCCTGGCCAATATGGTAAAACCCCAACTCTACTAAAAGTATAAAAAATTAGCCTGGCATGGTGGCGGGTGCCTATAGTCCCAGCTACTCAGGGGCTGAGGCAGGAGAATCGCTTGAACCTGGGAGGTGGAGGTTGCAGTCAGCCAAGATCATGCCACTGCACTCCAGCCTGGGTGACAGAGTGAGACTCCATCTCAAAAAAAAAGAAAAAAGAAAAGAAAAGAAAGATAAAATCAAACATAATAAAAACCTTGCATTGCATCTTATCACCCTGACTTGCTCACTTGGATGGACAAAAGTTGAGACTCAGAAAACGTCATCTGAAAAACTGGATGACTACTTGCTTGCAGTGCTGCAAAGCTCTGCTCCAACTCACCCTACTCCACTGACTGCCAAAGTATTTCTTTTACATAATATAGTGGAAAAATCACGTTATGCTTCACATCTAAAATGTCACCACCAAGTATTCATTTGAGGTATCAATATCTTCTTTTAAAACACAACACCCCTCCACCCCAAAGGGTCAAGGAGCTACGAGAATGTGATGGGTGTTCATGTATTCACACTCTAGAGTCTATTCAAATCAGTTTAACCAAATTCTTTGTTTCAAACTCACATTCTAAGGTGTCATTGAAAAGTGTAGGAAGGAGAGCTAGCAGGGAAGGAAAGGCCGTTGAAAATGCTTCGGTGGTGAACTTCGGACTGATTTTGAGCATAAGGGTATGGGGCACCCAGAAGACAGGGAGAAATGGGCCCAGTGAGATAGGACAGAGGATATAAAGGGAAATGTGGAATTAACTTTAACCGTCCTTAATTTGGTCTATCCTATCCTTATGGCTGTATTTAAACCAACCAAAGCAAAGCAGTTCACCTGAACATTTAATTAGATTTTACTTTGATCATATACCCAGCCAGAATCATTGTCGTCAAATAATTTTAACTAGAAAAGAGTAGACTTCTTTAGCTAATTGCCTAAGCCTGAGTACTTTCAAGCGAATCCAAGGCAACGAGTTAAAACGTGAAAAAAAACCCTCACAACCTTTTCCTGGGATGGGAGGAAAGGAGGCCCACACCATGCCAAATAATTGGCTTGACTAGATTTTTCCCGCCTGAGATGACCCACAGCTTGGGGGTCATAAAGACACTGCCTCTCTGTTTCTTTCCTGTATTCAGAGAAGGAACGTTCCATTCCACGCAATTCATGAATTTTAAAAACCATGAACCTTCCTTCACATTCTGGAGGAACACAAACGTTTTCCTGTAAGAGAGCTGTTTTGAGCATAAATGCTCAAGTGATTGCGATGGCGACGAGGAGAGGCCTTTTCAGACTGTCTTTGTTCTGAGCTGGCTGGAGGCTCCAGGCCTAGGAGTGCCAGTAAGTTCTGGACATATGGTTGGGCACAGAGAGCAGGGACTGAATTTACCAACCACCAACTGCCATAACGGTCTTGTCACTGGAAAATGGCCAAACAGTTGAGCCAACTGCCAATGCCACCATGTTGTCAGGAGACAATGGGCCAGAGGAAAATTACAGGCTCGTGGAAGACCACTAGCTCCCTCTTGTGGTCGAGCACAATGGCTAAATTTCTGCCACTTTCCAGCAGAAAGACATCCATCCCTGAATTCCGTGAATGAAGGATGAGGATGCTTCCTAAAGCAATCCTATCAGCCTATTTGAATAGCAGCCTTTATCTATACCTTTCCAGAGAGCTAATATTAAAACCCTTCTAATTTCAATGACAAAAATCATATTACTCAAACTCAAAGCTCTCCAATGATCCTCCACTGCCTTTGAAATCAACTTCCTAAATCATTATCATGGCTTGTAAGCCGCCGACGGCATATACCCTGCCCACTCTCCAGCTTCATCAGTTGCCCCTCTCCCTCTCGCTTTACATTTGTTGAACTCTCTCCCTTCAGCATTTTCACACTTGATTGCTGCCCCTGTTTGGGATAATTGTGACTTCCCTTCCCCACTTTCACCCCATCTAATCTGTCTAAGTCTTACATATCCTTTAGGATTCAAGTGAAACACCATCACCTTCCGGAGGCCTTCCTTGATCCCCTAAACTAGGTCTTCCTGCTTGATCCCCCTGGGCCTCCTGAATTTCCTTAGCTAACCACTCATAACACTCCATCTTAATTGCTTATTTAATGCTTATCTTCCCCTTTTAAAAATGTTCTCTGTAGCTTGAACCCGGAATGTGGAAGTAGCAGTGAGCCAAGATCATGCCACTGCACTCCAGCCCGGGCAACAGAGCGAGACTCCATCTCAAAAAAAAAAAAAAAAAAAAAAAAAGTTCTCTATGTGAGCAGATACTCTGTCATTCTGTCATTTACCTCCTTATCCACACCTAACACAAGTACTATACATATTTATTGAGAGAATACATTTGAAGAAGTAGCAAATTCTAGAATGGAAAAAAAAGAAGAGACATTTATTATATGCCAAATATGGGCCAGGTTTTAGGCTAGGTACTCACACATCTACCAATTCATGTAATCTTCATTTAATACAACGAGGGAAAATGTTATTATCTTCAATTTTATAGTGAGGAAAGTTAAGTTCAGAGAGGTTTGTGTAGCTTGGCCAAACCTATAAGAAAGAACATGTCAAATCCAGAATTTGCAACCAAGTGTAATTCCAAAGCCCCTGGACTTTCTACTGTATGATGTTTCCTCTTAGGTAGCCCAAGTTAACCAGTCAATTCTTGCTTATTCATGTCAATGAACGTATCACATGGCATGACTATTCTCAAATAATGAATAATCCTAAAATCACTTATATCAGCTTTTAAGTGGTGTTTTTATCCTTACGTTTTAAAAAGGACTTCTTTTAATGTTCTCAGTATCTCCAAAGAAAATAACTAAGTCATCCTGGAAAGCCCTTACTATGGAGCTTTCTCAGCCAGAAGGCAATAGAGCATCACGAGGCAGAGAAATGAAAGAGCACTGGGTAGGGAGCGCACAAGAACCCTGTTTTTTTTTTTTTTTTTGGAGACGGAGTCTGAGTCTCGCTCTGTCACCCAGGCTGGAGTGTAGTGGCACAATCTCTGCTCACTGCAAGCTCCGCTTCCCGGGTTCACGCCCTTCTCTTGCCTCAGCCTCCCAAGTAGCCGGGACTACAGGTGCCCACCACCACCACGCCCGGCTAATTTTGTTTTTATATTTTTACTAGAGACGGGGTTTCACCGTGTTAGCCAGGATGGTCTCCATCTCCTGACCTCGTGATCCACCCGCCTCGGCCTCCCAAAGTGCTGGGATTACAGGCGTGAGCCACTGCGCCCGGCCTGCACAAGACCCCTCTTCTTAAGCCAAGCACTGGCCAAAACCTAATGGATGACTTTGACGAAGCCACTTCGTGCCTCTGAACCTTGGCTCCTCAGCTTTAAGAAGAGGAGGATAGTAGCATGCACTGGAGTCGGTTTTGAAGGACCCCTCTTGCTCTTAAATTCTCTCGTTCTAATTCAAAGTGGAACTGGTGTCTAAGAACTTGCTGGTTTATACTTGAAGCAAGGTGGCAATTTTGGTATTAAAAGACCTCTTCAAAGCTCTTCAATGAGAATAATCTAAACCTGGTTTATGTTAACCAAGGGCTTAATTAAACAGAACAAACAATGGGAAAAAGAATGATGTTTTCTTTTTTCCTGAAAATTTTCTCCATTTCTCTATTTCTAAATGTAGAGAAATAGACTCAGAATTTTAATCAGACCACAAGTACTTAGATGCTTTCTTATTATGTATCTCTTTGAAAATCAGCTTCACCTTGGAATTTTTGCACATTATTAAGACTAGTATCTCCGCCAGACCTTGAGGTCCTCCCATTTTAATAATGTCTGATGGATTACTCAGCCACCATTCTAGATCTTCCGAAGAAGTGTTCCCAAAGATGTTTTAAGAATCCCAGGAAGGGAAGCTTTCTAACCTAATTCTTTTCTGGATATGAGCATCCACTTTGCTCTCTGACATGGAATAAAAATATTTAACCTGCCTGATTCTCTCATCTGTAAAATAAGAACAATAATACCAATTCTAGTGCTGTCAGAAGAATTGATTGCAAAATGTTGATGCATGCACTGCTCCAAGGGTAGGTTTCTGTTATATAGTTTCTAGGACTTCTACCTGTAAGTTCCACCATATGATCAAAATTGTCTTGAGAGAACATGGTGCCACAGGAAGAACATTAGCCTGAGAGTCAGAAGACTCAGGTGTAGTCCTGGCTCTGATACACCCTCCCCTGGCTGTAGGCCCTTGTGCAAGCAGTTATCCCTCTTAGCCCTCCATTCCTCACATGCACATGGAGGATTATGATATAACAATGGCGTGATGGTCAAATGTGATTATTGGAAGACTTGGCTTTGAAGATCACTGACTATCAGAATCCCAAAGGACCTTGACAAGTTGGAACCATGAACTAGATCTAAAAAGAGTCTATCTAATAGAGATAAAATCCTATGTTCATGGCCAAAAAAAATAAACAGTTAAAAAGGAAGCATGCAATTGCAGGACGTGGTGAATGGAGAGATAGCAAAAGGAATTCAAGAGAATCAGGCTTGGCAAGGTGGCTCATGCCCATAATCCCAGCATTTTGGGAGGCCGAGGCAGGCAGATCACTTGAATTCAGGAGTTCGAGACCAGCCTGGCCAAAATGGTGAAACTCCGTCTGTACTAAAAATACAAAAATTAGCCGGGCCTGGTGGCGCATGCCTGTTATCCCAGCTACTCAGGAGGCTGAGGCAGGAGAATCACTTGAACCCAGGAGGTGGAGGTTGCAGTCATCCAAGATTGCACTCCAGCCTAGGCGACAGAGCAAGACTCCATCTCAAAAAAAAAAAAAAAAAAAACAACCAAAAAACAAAAAACAATATAACCAAAAGTTCAAATTGTCCTGGGTTTCTGGATCAGTGGGGCCCTCCCCTTCCATGTGACAGTCTTCAGATGAGTGAGCAGCATCACTTCCTCAGACTCCTCCAGGACAGCAGCCCTGCTCCTCCTACCCTTCCCTGAGAGCCATGGGGTGTTGCCTTGTCTCTAGCCCAGTGTTGCGTGTTTCTTGGGTTCTCGTTAGATTTTCAGCTGTAAATATAGGACTTCATCTCACTTAGTTAAATCTCCTTAAGTTTGGTTCCTTTCCTTCATTATTCCAAATTGTCAAGACCTTTGAGGATTTGGATTTGATCACACCCTCTTTTTCTCTGGATCATGATAGATCTGAAACTGTGCCTCGTGTGGAAGGACAGAAGAACGGAAGCTGCATAATATCAGGATTTCTAAATATTAAACATGCTATATTTAATATGTATTTAATATACATAATAGAGTGTATTTTATATTCTGTAATAAATAAAATATATTATTTTTAATTAATTAAATTTAGCATAGTATTATATCCTTTCATTCAATTAAAGTATGAAGTTCACCCATTCTCAACGTACATTGGAAATTCAAAAGAAAACAGCAGACCTGCTCCTGCTTCCAGAAACACTCAAAATAAAGACATATGAATATATAGGAACCACAAATTAGTGAAACCTCAGAAGGCAAAAGATATCATAACGCCTTCAAAATAGCATAAAAGACTCCTATTTTTGTAAATTAAGAAGGAAAATTGCAAAGATTAAGCTACTGAAGATGTGAGCCCTCAAATGTTAACAGTGACCTGGGTTGGGTAGAATTATACTTTCCTTGGCTTTTTCATTTTATTCACTTGTATTGTCTAAAATTCTAATTTTTGTAATAAGAAAAAAATATAATTTTTTGGTTCTTTTTAAAAATGCATGCATAAACCATTTGGTCAGGCCTGGTTACTAGGCTTGGCAGCTCCTCTGTTCCTCACAAAGGGAAACACAATTTCCATCGGCTGATTCAGCGCTTGCTCAGGACAAATCCTGGCTGACTGGGACAGGAGGCATTTAAGTAACCATAGTGCACTGTAGGGAAATAGGCATGGCTGAGTCAGTCCCTCTTATGGGCTGTCCCCGAAGGCCCACTCCACTTCTTCCACTGGATATGACCTCAGTCGTCCTAAGCCCCAGGCTCCTCCTCCCCATAAGTGCTAAGCCTTTCCTTTGAACTTCTGTATGTGGCCTGTGTTGCTCTGCAAACTCCTTTACTCGAAGGTTGGAGTCTTGTTCACAAATCCTGGCCCAGTAACAGCAGTTCAGATGGTTTTCGCTGCCTAGACTTGCCAATGGGGACACCCTACCACCCCTAACCCCCAGCCTGTGCCCCTCCTTGCTGATCTCTCACTGGGATCCACTAGGTATAGGACTACCACTACAACCTTTCAACTGGCCTCTGCCCCCTGCCTCATCTCTCTCACTACTCACTACTCCATTGTGGCAAAAGTCATCTTTGCAAAACAGAAATTACACCACGTTACTTCTCTTAGGCTTTAAAGTGGGTCCCCATCTCCTACAAAATGAATTTAAAATCCTTAGCCTGGCTCCAGTTGCCCTGAAGATCTGAACTTTTGCTTCAAAGATAGAGGCCACTTCTTAGTTCTTTTGAATATCACACAATAAACGCATCCAGAATTGAACTGTGTCCTCCCACCTACTTCGATGCTCAGCTCTGCCTGTCTGCTCACCCCTTCTCTGGCCATAATTGCACCTGGGTTTTTGTCAGCCCCCTTCTGGTCCAGCCTCCATGAATAGGTCTGGTCTTGGGTCTTGCCCCCTCCTCTCCTGTGGGATCCCTGTTATTTTGAAGATATGACTGAGTAACTGCTATTGAACCAGTTCTGCTTATGCTGTGAAGGGTGGCCGAAGTGTCCTGAGGCAGGAGGAATTAGTCTAGAAAGAATTCCAGATGAAGAAAGAGAGAGTGCCAGTTTCATCATGTATGTACCACCCGTGCAGTTGCCAGGACCCCGTGCTCAGATGGGCTTGGTTTAATGCTTTGCTGTTGCCATCTTGAAACTTTTAATAACTTTATTTTTTAACCAGGTTGTATTAATCATTGATTTTATTTTCTGTATTTGATGGTGCTTTGACATCTTGGGGCTTTGTGGATCTGGGGTGGTACTGCCCCTCCCATGGTTAGCTAATTCCTAGAGATAGCAAACATCAACTTGCCTGTAAGCATGTCTTCAACATGCAAACCAACCAGTCCAGAGTCGATACTTCAAATCACCTCCTCTATCTGGCTTTTACACTTCAGGAGGCAATACTCCTCTGCACAGTGACCCTCCAATAAAAAAAAAAAAAAAAAAATCACACAGCGCGTGCACCTAAATTCTAACTTAAGGAATTTGCGTCAAATTTAAGACTTTCTAAATTTAACTAATCTTAGGGACCGATGACCAAACGGAGAAAGTCTTGTGGCTTGGGGAGACCCAGATCTGCTTAAATACATGATTTTCCTAAAGACTCCTAAAAATAGAATCAAGGGAAGATGCTATAAAGTTATGATAGCTCATCTAACTTTTGAAGGAATCTTGTGCTATTATCCTTATTTCACCTACGTTCTCACCTCCTGCCACTTTGGCAGGTATTACCCTAAGCAATGATAGGGACTCCACCATTCTTCCCCAGCCTCTAATGGGCAGTGACTTCTCAGGAACAAGGAGAACGGCTGATATTTCTATCTACCTCAGGGCCTTGTGCAGTGATTGGTACTAGTAGGTACTGCACAGAAGTTTGCAGAAAGCAAAAATGTACCATAAAGAAAAACACAAGTTGGAATATTAAATGGCCTATCTCAGAACTAGGGATAACCCCCAGAAAAGTGGCTTCCCTGTTTCCTAAGTTCCAAGCACAGAAAAATACGGGCTTTTGTGATTTCCCCATCTCAAAATGATGCTTACTTATATAAAACTGAACTTTCCTGATAGTACCTGGTGTACCTAGAATGCCATTCTCAGACATCACTGATCACGCATGCATTAAGGCAGAGTATGAGCAGTTAACAGCTTCCAGGTCCCCTTCACCTAAATCAGTAGTTTCCCATCCTGGCTGTATTTCAGAATCACCTGGGGGAAATTGGGAAATCTCAAGATTCACTGAAGAACTACTAATTCAGAATCTGGGAGTAGTAGGGGATGCGGATGGGAGGTTAAATCCTTTCCACATGGTTCTGATAGAGTTGATCCACATCCAGCATTGGGGAACAAACTGCTCTGGGGGGAAAAACTGTTGAAGCTGCACGTATTTCTGGGACCACTCAATTTACACCAATAATCAATTTGAAATATTTAAATACGATGCAAACTCCCTGGCCAAGTTATCCTTTTGGGAGCTAAAAAAATACTTCCTAACACTTAGAAATTAATGAGTTTTTGTTATCTAGGGGAAAACATAATTTTCTTTTCTTTTTTTTTTTTTTTGAGACGGAGTCTTGCTCTTGTCGCCCAGGCTGTAGTGCAATGGCACGATCTCGGCTCATGCAACCTCCACCTCCTGGGTTCAAGCAATTCTCCTGCCTCAGTCTCCCGAGTAGCTGGGATTACAGATGCGCACAACCACGCCCAGTTAATTTTTGTATTTTTAGTAGAGACGGGGTTTTACCATGTTGGCTAGGCTGGTCTCAAATTCCTGACCTCGTGATCTGCCTGCCTCGGCCTCCCACAGTGCTGGGATTACAGGTGTGAGCCACCGCGCCTGGCCGAAAATGTAATTTTCAAACTGTGACTATTGAACAATTTACTTCATACATGGGCACCTTTTTAACAGTTACATTTCACATCTTGCAACGAATGGAATAGGTAATGGTGATGCTTTTGGCGGATACACGAAATCTGTCCACCTGTATTCCTCTATTTAATTTTGCTACTGAAGGGCAGAGAAGGACCTGCTTGTTGAAACTGCTTCAGTGATACTGCCTTCTAATTGGATGCCAGCACCATCAGGTATTTCTCCTCCAAGAGAAGTTACAAAATGAATTAGAACAACTCCCCTTCTCTGAAGCAATGGCTGTTATGGGCTAAATCCTCTATATCTTACTCCCTGCTTTATCTATCCCTGCAAAGGAAAAAGATGGAAAGGGCTGCTGTGGATACTTTTGACTGTTCTCCGGGCTCCTTGCTATCTTGAAACTTCCACCTTATAGCATATTTCAAAAGAACCAATATTGGGTCTAATATGGATAGGATTTCCAACTAATTATTGGCCAGTCTCTAAAAGAGCCCCTCACACAGGCTCAGCCTGAAGCCCTTAAGATGCCCTTAAGCCTGTCCAGGCAAAGCTCACACATGGCGGCTGTCTCTCTCACATCCCTTTCTTGGGGAACTATTCCCCCTTCCTCCTCTGTGTGGTTCCGACAAGGCTGTCAATCAGGGCATCTTGTCTTCTCCACCAGGAGGAAGAGAATGAGACCTAAGTTGGCAGCAAAGCCCTCTCATCTTCTAGATGAATGATCACATACATAAAGCAGGCTTATAATAAAAAATGTATACAAGACTCAAACGTCCAAGAAAGTCAATTAGCTACACTCGGAGAGAACCACCGTCACTTATTTATTGCACGCATCTGCCATCAACACACATGCACATATGTGCACACAATTGAATATACTATTTTGCCATCCATTTTTTTCCACCTGACAACTCATCTCGAGCATTTTTCTATGTGGTGAAATATTATTCTGCAGCTTGCTATTTACAATTTGCAACAGTTTGCCGCTAGATGATTATTTCAACCCCCCTACTGTTGGACATTTGTGTTGTTTCTAACTTTTCACTATTATTATAAAATGATGCTTTGATTGCTCTCTGCTTGATCTTAAATGCAAATCCTATCTTATCCTGACAGAACCCACTGTTCTTAGTCATTTCCCACTTTGCAAAAATGAATTTGGAATTCTTTCAGGAGTGCTGACCTCCTATAATCAGCCTCGTTCAAAAGAGGTTTGAAGGGAAGGGGAGTTACAATCAAGTCTAATGAACTCCCAACATCAGAATGACAAATATCTCCTTCAGTAGAAGTAAAGGAGATCACAAAGTTCTCGTGGAACAAACAGAACTTTGGCTTTTTTCAGGTTGAGAGTGTGGGTACAGAGAGAAAAGGGATATATCAAATTATAGTATATACAAGTTTCCTTTATACCTTTAATGAAGGATGAAAACAATTTGCGACTGTTTTATAATATAAATGTAAGGTTTCTTCTGTGTTTGTGCTACATTGAAGATTAATCTTTCTGAAGATGTTTTCAGCTGACTGATGCTCTCTCTAGGTTGTGCAATGGTACCATCTTGTGGCTAACAAAAGATAATCCACAGACACATGGCTTTATAATGTGTAAGGATGTAAAAAGTAACAACTAAGTAGAACTACACGTCCCTCCTTATGGAATGTTTGCTTCTACAGTCATAAAACATGCTCATCATTGTCTAGTGGCTTTTTAAAATATGTGCACATAAAACAAATGTTAAGAGTATTTCCTGTTGCCAACCAATAACAGTCAGTGCGAGTGGGAAAGTTTTAGAACCTTCTAAAACACTAGTACTTGACAGAAAACATGGTTGTGTGAGTCTTTAGCTCTCCTGTCGTGATAGTAAGTCATTCCTAAGAAACTTTGGAATAGTACAAAGATCACAAGAGCAGGCATTAGAATAACCAGTTTCTAGTGCCAGCTACACGTTTCATTGGCTCACTTAACTTCTCAGTCTTTGTTCATCTGTAAAAGAAAGTGAGTCCCTGAGCTGTGAGCTTCACAGGAATGCTGAGGTCACATATGAGACATATGCTGAATTCTGCTGAAACACCAGACAAAATATAAAGCCTTATGATCGTTCAGAACAGTTGGGTTAGCAATCTGGATTGAAAAAAAGTTGGGGTGGGGTTTGGTGTGCGCTCCTTCAAAGTTCTCAGGCATGACTCTGGTGGAGAGATTGTCCCTGAAGCAGAGACAAATGGTTCCTTTCAGGGGAAGATGTTAGGAAGGAAACAGGTTGGTGGGGAAAACTTACGAAAGAAAAACTAATTCATCTTTTCAGGTGTCAAGAATTTAAAGCATTAGGAGTATCCAAGGAGAGATTTCAGAGGCTGAAGATTGTTTTTCCTGGGGAGAGCCTTTGAAAAAACAATGGAAGACATTATTCAGTTTAAAAAGTAGAATCTATATGCTCTCTTTCTAAACACAAGAGCAACAGAAGAAACCACAAAGGAAAGACTGACATATTTCTATTTATGTTTAAACTTTATAAGCCAAGTGTCCAAACACAAAGCTAAAAGACAAGCAAACCTGACTTTTGTAAGTCATTAGCAAGTCACGAAAATAGAAGTCATGTAGGTAGTTGGTTCCGTCCTAATATGCCAGTGGGTACTAATGTAAATATACATCTTATAAAAGAAGAAATATAACTTTTTCACCCTGACAAAAAAGAAAGCTCAACCTATTGTAATCAAATAAATATAACAAAAACTATTAGATACTATTTTTAACCTATCAAATATGAGAAAAAAGTTTTAATGAGAATACTCAATGCTGAAAAGGCTACACTGAGATACTCCTGTGTTCTGGTGGGAGAGTATACAGGCACAGTCTTTGCAGAAGGTGACTTTGCAATATGCATCAGGATGCTTGCAAATGCGCGTGTTCTTTGAGCCACTGATTCCACTGCTGGAGGCTGATTAGTGCAATGGCAAAGGATGCAGGCTCTGAGCCAGACCACCTGAGATTGCCTCCCAGCCCCACCACTTACTAGCCCAATAACTTGGCAGAAAATTCCCTGACCCCTTTGTGCCTCAAAGTCCTGATCTGTAACACAGGGTTTGTGACGGTTAATATTAGGTGTCAAATTGATTGAAGGATGCCTAGATAGCTGGTAAAGCATTGTTTCTGGGTGTGTCTGTGAGGGTGTTGCCAGAGGAGACTGACATTTGAGTCAGAGGACTGGTAGAGGAAGACCCATCCTCGATGTGGGTGGCCACCATCCAACTGGCTGCCAGCGCATCTGGAACAAAGCAGGAGGAAGAAGGTGGGATAAGCTGGCTTGCTGAGTCTCCTGGCTTTCATCTTTCTCCCATGCTGGATGCTTCCTTCCATTCCTCCCACCCTAGGACATCAGACTCCAGGTTCTTTGGCTTTTGGAATCTTGGAGTTACACCAGTTGTTTGCTGGGGGCTCTCAGGCCTTTGGCCACAGCCTTCCCTGCTTTGGACTGAGCCACTACTGGCTTCTTTCTTCCTCAGCTTACAGACGGCCTATCGTGGGATTTCACCTTGTGATCCTGTGAGCCAGTTCCCTTTCATATATACATATATCCTGCTAGTTCTGTCCCTCCGGAGAACCCTAATACAGGGTAATAATGCTATCTTATTTCGCAAAGTAGTGTGAAGATTCTATTATGAAATGTAGGCCATCTAGAATATGGCTGGTTTTACATTATTACAAGACACTAATAATATTATTGTTATATAGTATAAGATGCTATTAATATTATTTTTTCATTATTAGACAAAGCTAGCAATAATCTGAAAGTTGCACTTGTTTAGGCAATATTTACTGAGTATTACTTTTAGTTGGGCAATGGAGGAAAAAACAGTCGTGATCTCTAACCTAAGAAGTTTTTAACGTAGTTGTAAAAAACATGCTCTTAGAAGTTCATTTAATAATATTTATAATAGCAACCAATATTAAATATTCAAAAATACATGTCTATAAGATTGTAAAGCATACCATGGATTACTCTGCAGCCAGTAAAACTTATGTGTATGAGGCTTAACTCCTTCATCTGGTAAATGGGTATACCACAGAACCATTAAAAGATTAGAATGATCGTGAACATGAGAAGACTTTGGAGATAGTAAAGTAATATACAAATGCTAATTATTACCACTTATGAGGGTGTGTAGAAGCTCAATTATGAAAGTAATTTTAATGAGCATTTACTATGTGCCAGATACTATATATATATATAATTAATCCTCAGTCTGGGTTGCCAGGTTTAGAAAATAAAATTACATAATGCCAGTTACATTTCAGTTTCAGATAAACAATGAACACTTTTTTAGTATAAGTATATCCCAGGTGCAATTATTCAATGTTTATCAGAAATATTTCAGATACACTGAAAACATATTCACTGTTTCTCCAAAATATTTAAAACATGTTTTTGTTTGTTTATATTTTTTTCTTTCACCCTCTCAGTCCAGCTTTTCCTGACTCTGGGAAGAACCAGGAAGAGAAGGCCTTAAAATATGTTTATACCAAAAATGTATTTATCTGAAATTGAAATTTGACTAGGCACCTGTATTTTCTCTGGCAACCCTACATCAATCCTACAAAATAGGTACAATAACTATATATATAATGAAAACAGAAAGAGAGATTCCATTTTGGTTGGTGCAATGGGAAATCACCCACTATTCCTAATATGGACTATGTAGAGAAGGAAATCCTAAATCCAGAGGCAGAATGAGAAAGGCACATATTATTTCTTGGTTCTTGATAGCATGTGTAGGGTAAACTTCCCTGAGAGCAATAACTTAAACACACCTTTAGAATGAGCTTGTATGGCAGAAGCACCTGAATGTGTGCTCCAAGTTAGGGAATCTGGGCATGGCCGACCTGGAGACTGATTCTTCCTCTATGAGGTACATCTGAGCCCCCATCAAGCCAAGTGTTTGGGTTAAATGAAGGGGATTGAGGCCAAGTGTTTTGGGTTAAATGAAGGCTGACAGGTGGAGATTGTTAAGGGAAGAGTGTTAAGTGAAAATGCTATATAAGCTCCGTGCTGTTTTCAAGTGCTTGTGGTTTTCTTGCCTAACCTGCAGCCTCTCGGCCGTGTCGTTATGTTATCCATCCCACCACCACTGGACTGTAGGAAGGCGGATATGTTGTCCAGCGCCCCATCACTGTACCATTTCTGTACATAAGGCAGTTCTCCTATCCAGCCTGTCACCACTGCACTCTCTCCCCTCTATGTAAGCTCCTAATAAAACCCCATGTCTCATTTGCTGGCTATGGGTCTCTTCTTCAGCCTCTTGAACCTGGTGCCTTCCCTACTGAGGTTAATAGGGGTTTGGCAAAACACCATGCTACTGTTATTTAAAATGTTATAATTTCTCAAACTATATTAATCCCAAATTCAAATGCTAAAGATAACAACATATTGCAAAGCTGACTCTAAATGCCTCTGGATTTTTCAGCCCTTTTGGAAGATTGACAACATTAGTCCCTTCTTTTAGTGCAAACTATCTAGAGATGGGAGATCAAATGTGGAAATGCTTATAAGATGTTTTTAGTTGATGAGATTTCAGGATCTGGGAGCTAAACCTTGAGTTATTTCATTGCCATTGGGTGGTGGCAGTTGACTTGTTTTCTGCTGTTTCAGTGGACCTTGAAATTATCATGACTATTTGCTTCACTTCAGTGTACACCATCCCGCTCCATTTGCAGTCAGCACCACTCAGGGAATAAAACATATTCATTCGCAGTGTCCCTAGCAATGACAGAGGTATTTTCAAATATCTTTTTGCTCTTGAAGAAAGGAGCTCACTTTGCTTTTGCAAAAGACAGGTGCAAAAAGGACCAATATTTGACACACATCATATTATATTGCAAAGAATAGGAGTGTATGTGTGTGTATGCATCTGTATGTGTTTTAGCATAGACATCAAACCAAAAAAAAAGGAGGTCTGTCTTAGAGGCAGACAGAGTGAAAGACCCCCAGGAGGACTTGGGTTCCAATCTTGGCTTTGCAAGTAACTAGTTATGTTACCATCCACAAGTCACCTACTCTTTCTGAGTCTCATTTTCACTATCTGTAGTGCATCAATATCTGCTCTATTCCACCGGAGCATTGTGGGACAAGGTTTCAAACCTAGAAGGCATCTTGGCTGTATACAGCTAGGAGAAGGAATTATAATTGGTTCATTATTGACTCTTCCTTAAGAAGTTCTAACAGAATAAATTTGCCTTCTTGCCTGCTAATTAGACATGTATTTAACTGTTTCTTTTTTAAATAACTCTCTGCTGTTATTTGAAATCTTCTATTATATGTAATAAAAATCTCTGTCACACACACATACACAAAGATAACAATTGGCTCTAAGCAAAATGATTTCAGAAATAAGGGGGCAAACTTCAAATTATTACTGCCCATCAAGGAAGTCAGGTGACAACAGAGTATTGTTAACAACAAAAATATTTTCAAAAGCACCAAAGAAGATAAAAATTTAAATGTCAGAGCTGAAGACAAAGATTTCTATCAGTACATCTCACACTTTTGCATAATCAGAATCACATAGGAGAACTTGTTAACTATGCAGATTTCCGGGCCTCACACCAGAGATTCTGAGTCAATAGGACTGAAGTTGGCCAAGAAATCTGGATATTTAGCAAGCTACCTGGCTGATTCAGAGGCAAGTAGTTCTTTGAGAATACTTTGAGAAACACTGGTCATTACCAATCAAATATGAACATATTGTTAAAATTTTTAAATAAAGTACGAAAGAAACTGGTAGAAAGGAGAATGTGGATTTAATTCAACATAAAGTTTTGGGATGGGAGATGCAAGACCCTCCCAAGAATAGAACGAGAAGAGAAGGACTCCCTGCAATGTCTTATCTCTCAAAATGTCTCTAAGGTGGATCCACAGGAGCTAGTTAGTGAAAACAATGGAGGAAAATGTACAAACCCAAGAGGAAAATAAGCCATATAAAATTAGAAGAAAAATGTGGGAGGACAGGCAGAAATGGCCAGAGGGTAAGTAGTCTCAGGGATGGTCAAATTGTTGATGGGTAAAAAGATAGGAGAAATTCAGTAGTCACTGGTCAGAGGGGAAATCTTACTCATCAAAAAGGAGAGGAAGAACCAAGTAAGTGAGAAAACAGTAAAAATGTGAATGACTTTACATTTTTAAGAAAATGACATACAATCTTCATGGAAAATTTGGTGGTGGGGAAATAAAATGAGTTCAACATGAAAATATCTTTAAAAAGTATCTTAGAGGAATTTTAGGATAGAAGATGAGAAAGTACTTTGAAAAGTATAAAGAATGAATTACATGATTATTGCTTGCAGTATTTTCATGATTATCAAATTTTTTCACTGTCTGCCTGGCTCATAAGGTAGTTAAAGAGGGCTCTATGACATTATCTTTGGATCCCCAGAGCCTAACAGTATCTGATATATAATAAGCACCAACCGGACGGACAAATGGATGGGTAAATCAAGTTAACACAGGAAAAGATAAGAGTTGCATGGTCACATAGTACTCACAAAGCCTTACAGGTTTCATTCTCTGATTTTATGAACACAGCACTCACGCACATTTTGGTACTAATATCTGCATGCATGAACCTCCAACTGGGGCATGCCTGTTTGTCTTCCTGAAGGAAGTACTTCTTGATTCATTTTACTTGGTGCATCAGTTGTCTACCTGCTGCCCCTGAGCTGCACTTTCACCTTATTCCATCCTGTCTGTATTGCTGGGGCTGTGGGAATCCACAAACTCCATTTTCCAGACTCCTTTACTACCTGGCTTTCTGTTATGTCTGGCAAGAGGAAGAGCCATTATTTCTTTCTTATACTCTCTTTGTTTCTGCTGTTGGTTCTGGAAGTAGCTGTGCCCCTTCAGTGACCCAAGGTTCTGCTGGAACTGCCCTTAATTGGTCCCGGCTGTGGCTAGGGAGACCATCCTTGGCAGTCCCAGCACAGGCTGGGTGGAATCCCTTAAGGCCTGCTCCTGGACTTTGACAGCTCCTCTTCAGTTTCATTCCCCCAGTTCCTAAGGCTGGTAGCCGCTCTCTACAGATACTAATCTCGGAATGTCACCCTTTTCCCTTTTTGCTTCTTTAGCTCCCTTGCTTATCTGTTCCAATGCCCGTAATACCAAAATCTGTAGTAAATCCCTTTTATTTGAAACATCTAGAGTGGTTTCTGTTTTTCTGGCCAGATGCTGAATGACACATCTGGAAAAATCAGGGTAAATATTATTACTCTAGGTATTGAAAGTACAGATTGGAGAACATTTCGTTTGTTCCAGAAGAATCCTGAATGAAAACCGAAATTCAACTGGAGAGTTAGAGCATTATTGAACAGTATGTGTAGGGAATAAAATGCCTTTCCCCCATCCTGGAATACCTCCCTGATTATACTACCTTATTACTGTGATTGTTTTTTAACTTCTCTGCTTTTTCACACAAATCTACAAGAATCTCCTCTTCCTGGAAGCCTCTCTGATTACCTCACACAAACATCATCTTGCTTAGTCTGAATTCCTATGGTTCTTTTGTTCTCTGACTTCTAGAGTATTTCTCCAGGTATGTTAGCAATCAGTTTTTCTCTTGATCACTCCCCAAACCTGAGTGATCATCAGAATCCTCAGAAAAATATAGATACCAGGCCCTTCTCCTTGTCCTAACCTCCTGAGACAAAATTCTAGAGTGATGAGTGGGTACTATAGGGTCGAGACAGCATCTATATATATTTTAATACCTCTCAGATGATAAACCCTTCAAGATCAGGGCCTTTCCATTTCTCATGTAGCTTTTACTGTACCTAATACAGTTTAAGCAGACCATAAAAATCTGTTCATTTTCTAATGAATTACATGAGGGAAGATTCCCAGGAAGACCAGCTGGTGTCACTACTGCCTAATTAATATTTCTGGCCCAGGGAAGGGCATCTCACAAAGCAAAATTTGACCTTACCTGGATTCACCGATTCTGTGCTTGAATCCATCTTCCCATCTGTCTATTTTCCTAAAAGGAAGTTGCAGAAACCTTGCCAAGAAAATAGACAGCAAAACTTCAGCAGTACCAATAACTTGGGTTTTCTGAAAGGAAATGATGCCATGACCTGAGGCTGCCAGACTTAATGTGAGAAAGCAAGAACTGAAACGAGTAGAAGTAGGCCTCCCACTGGCCCAAGGCCTAAGATTTCATTGCACTTGCTTCTTGGCATTAACATTCTGTAGAACAAGTTTCAGAAAAAAACGCTTAACGAATTTGCAAGCACAACCAAACTCCAACCAGATTGCATTTTTTATTCACCTTTTACAATCTCATTCATTTTCCATAACATTTGGAACTGCTGTTTGAAAGTTTAATTTTCCTTTTTATCTACTATTTTCTTATTATTGACTTAAATTATTCTTGATTCATGGATAAGCAAACTAATGTGGGTCTACCCTGAGTCATTTATTATGTATCAAAGATAACATAGAACTCTTCACTTCTGGCAGAAGCTGTTTAGTAATTACTTCTAATTACTAACAAATTAAGAACAGCATGTGCTCCAAAAGCAGTTTCTATACAAGCTCAAACCTGGCTATATTTCAACACTTCTAAATTCTAATTCTCTGGATGCAGAAAAAAATCTATTAAGATGGTTAAAAGGAAATAAAATCTAGATGTATAAGTCCAAAAGAAGTCTCCAAAAGTCCCCTATAACCTTTCTTAGGTAATATGACTTGATCATCTCCATTTGAACATTTACTTCCAGAAAAGTAGATTTTTGGGATAATCAGCCTCTTTGTGTTGATTGACCACAAACTTCTATGTTCAGAAGTTTACATTTTAATTAAGAGGGAGGTATTGAATGGTAACTGGATCTCCAGTAGTTGAAATGGGCTTCTCCTTGTCTAGAATAAAGGCCTTTGTTAGCTAGGTGGTCCTAGAGAGAGCACGAACCCCTCAATTCCTCTCCTTCAAGACTTACAGCCTTAAATATCCATGGAACTACCCCCACTTCTCAGGGAGTTTGTGTGCCATTGGCTGCCAATCAGTCATGTCATTTATAGGGCAGATGAGAGTAGTCTCTTTTATTTCCCACTTGGTACTGAAGAAGTTGTGGCCTTTGGGGGTTAACCAGTTACTGCCCAGCACACTGTACACAGATCGTGCCAATGAGGTGTACACGTTTTCCTCCTGCTCACTTTGTGGAGCACACTGGTGGTGAACACAGGGTGCTGGACCTTATAAGGGGTTTCCATCATGGAGGAATCTTTTGAAACAACAGCAGTGCTGCCAGAGGTGGGAAAACGGAACTACTTTTTAGATAATACTGTTCAGTTAGCCAGGACTCACCTTCACTGGAAAAAAAAAAACTTTTTAGAAATTCCAAATGAAGATAAAAATTTATTTTCTAAGTTGTCAATATCAGCTTTGTGTTCTTTAACAAGGACTATTACTCATGGTTGATTGTTTGCCAATGGCATTGAAATTGTTTCTTTTTCTCTTTCTTTCTCTCTCTTTCCCTCCCTTCCTTCCTTCTTTTCTTCCTTACTTCTTTCCTTTATATAATATATATAAAACCTCTTTCCTTTATATATAATATATATGTATATATATTTATGACTCTCTAATTTCTTCCCTGGACAGCAAGATGCCACCCACTGCCTTATCCCTAACCTAAATCATGGTCTCCCAGCTTACTGCTTATTCAAGGGCTAGGTAATAAATTCCATTTCCTTTTTAAAAATTTCCTTCACCAGCTGGTTAATATCCAGAGTCACGTGTCTTCCTCTTCCTACGCTCCCATGTCTCCCACTCCCACCCACTCAACCTCCAGCCCCGTGTACACATCCAAAACATATCAGATAGAAGACTTTCCTTTCCTTGAGATCCAAACTGGGAACCTGGAGCCAGACACTGTTGCACAACATTGGGTCCTAACTGTCATTGTAACGATTTTCAACTCACCTGTCAGCATTCAGCTATACAAGCTTCATAATGTTGCCCAACAGAGGCGCAGAAACCAAGGGCAGATGCCTCAGCCTTTTAGAAGTTGCTTGTAAAACAATAGTGGAGCAATATATTTTGAAGTGTGTTTTGAATTTCTTAAAAAAGGAAAAATCTAACACTCCTCAGAACAGTTTACTGTACACAGTGAACTCTTAGCACCTAGGATCTCATGGGTTGCAGTGTGCCTGCAGGACTGTTTCTGCATTCCCTTCGATTTCCCACATTCCGTTTCTTCGTGGATTCCCTCTGCAGCTAAAAATTTCAAGGATTTTCCCAACCCCAAAGATAGAAGTTGATACCTAAAATCCAAAAGCTGCATTTTCCAAGCAATATAGATGTTAGACTCCATGAACCTCAGACTTAGCCTGGGCTTCTAGAAAATACAGTTCTTGGCCAGGCACAGTGGCTCACGCCTATAATCCCAACACTGTGGGAGCCTGAGGCCGGTGGATCACCTGAGGTCAGGAGTCCGAGACCAGCTTGGCCAACATGGCATAACCCTGTCTCTACTAAAAAATACAAAACTTAGCCAGGTGTAGTGATGGGCACCTGTAATCCCAGCTACTCGGGAGGCCGAGGCCGGAGAAATGCTTGAACCTAGGAGGCAGAGGTTTCAGTGAGCTGAGATCACGCTATTGCACTCCAGCCTGGGTGACAACAGTGAAACTCCATCTCAAAAAAAAAAAAAAAAAGAAAAAAGAAAGAAAGAAACAAAGAAAGGAGAGAGAGAGAGAAAGAAAGAAAGAAAAAGAAAGAAAGAAAGAAAGAAAGAAAGAAAGAAAGAAAGAAAGAAAGAAAGAAAGAAAGAAAGAAAGAAAGAAAAGAAAGAAAGAGAAAAGAAAGAAAAAATGCCGTTCTTTTTCCTGGTGCACAAGGCTCACCCCAACCCTGAGCCAATCCCGAAAGAGATTCTAATCTCCTGTACCACTTACCATCTGTACCAATCATGCAACACTTAGCAGAGAATGCTTCAGGACACAAAGAAATATATTGAGATCCCTATTCCCATCTATTTATGGCATCTTTGCTGCCTCATCACTCATGGCCAACCAGTGACAAACTACCTCTGGGGTGAGAATTTATCCCTTCTGCAAATGCTTTATTTGGATTATTCCCTTTATTGTAACAGCACATGTCCACAGTAGAAATCAAGGGAGAAAAACAAGAGAGAGAGAATAAAAACAGAATCTCCTCTAATCACCCTAATCACCCTACTCAGAAGGAGCTTTGGTTACTAAGCTATATTACAGTTATCTCATTATAATAATAAAAATTGTGTCTATACATGTGTATTATAGGGCTGCAATGAACATTTTCATAGCCAAATCTTTTGTGTGTAGCCAGGAATATTTTTATTTTTGTTTTTATTTTTATTAGTTTTTCTTCATTTTCTTTTCTTTTTAAAAAAAATTATGATTTTTTTAAATGAAACACTTCACAAATTTGCATGTTATCCTTGTGCAAGGAGCATGTTAATCTTCTCTGTATCATTCCAATTTTAGTATATGTGTTAACGGTGGAAGGTGTACAGATTCTTGGCGTGTTGAACAAAGAATTGGACAACACACACAAAGAAGGGTTTTAATGAAAATGAAAGTACTCCATGGTGTGGGAGCAGGCCTGAGCTTGGGAGCTAAAAGGTCCCGTTACAGAATTTTTGGGAGTTGAAATACCCCCTAGAGGATTCCACTGATTACTTGGGGTATGCCCTATGTAAATGGAAAGGATGACATAAAGTTACAAAGTCATTTACTTGGCTCTATTCCCAATGGAGAGGATATTCCTGTCATAGCTAAAGTGTGAATTGGCCTTATGTTCCCTGCCTCCAGACCCTATTTTCCTGCTTCATCTCCCCACTGAGAGATGTGATCCCCATACATTTTATGAGAGTCAGAGGGACCGATGGTCTTTTTTCTGTAACTGCTTCATGCTGGCTTGGGGCATAGTCCCTGTTGAGGATCACAGAACTCTCACCCTACTCTGTCTATTGGTGGCAGGGTAGCTCCTTAAATGGCCAGGGGTGGTGTCTTCACCTGGAACTTTTGTTGCATGATCATCTGAAGCTTGATGGTCTCTAGGCAACAGGAAATGAATTTGGTTAAAAGATTTAATGGCAACTTCAGGGAGCGGATACCTACGCTGTCAGAAATGTTTGTTATAGAGATGTGCAGCAGGAAAAAAACAAAACCTGGACTGTTCTAGAATCTCTGTGCTTCCTTAAAGTCTTAGCATGAGCAATTCTATTTTGGTTTGGTTTGTTGGGGCCTAGTGTATGAGCTCAATCCAAAACAATGGCCTCCCAGAATTTTTTTTTTAATTCCCCCTTTTTTTGGTCAGGTTCTTACTTACATGAGAGTGTGACCAAAACTTACGGCCTTAGTGCCACTCTCAGTTACCATCATTTTGGGTTTCCGATTTCAGCATGTCATTCATAGGTTACGGTGTCCTCACGGTTGCACATTTCTTTCAGCTCTTGTCGTTCAAATTGGAGACAGACTATATGACATTCTAGAGATGGCTGCATGCAAGCATTTAAAATTTTTGAGAGAATACAGTGCAGCAGGGAGACTATTACTATGACTATTGGGAGGATAATACCAAGAGTTTGGAATATGCTCCTTATCCAGGGTCCCCATAAACCAAATCTCCTAAAATTAAATAGATCAAAGAATGAGCTAGGTAGTTCACTCATTTGACTAAGCAATTTCTTCATCAATCCCCTACCACTGAATTTCTATAATCTTCATTTGATGTATTTCCCCATAGGCCAAAATTGCCAGCAGCTGTACAGGTACTTTTCTGTTTAGCTAATTCTATTATTTAACATAACTTTCACAAGAGAATTTAAAAGTCTGTTGTGTAACTGTAGCCTTTACAGCAGAATTTGTTATAGAACCTTTCATGAGGGATACATTTCTAATCATTGCTTCTTTTATTTTAAACTGTGGAAAAACGACCTAACAAATGATGCCCTTTTAGAAGAGTGAAGGCCTTCTGGCAATGTTCTCTTTAACCCATGATGTGGGTTAAAAGGAGCGAACCAATGTTTTGTTTTTGACTGATTATGAGGCAACACATGTACCATTAAAGTTTCTTACCTGCATTCAGCCTTTGTCTTTTATCTATCAAAGTATAAGGTTATCCATGCGTAAGACTGGCTACAAACCCCTTCACAAATAAAAGTATACCCATAAGTGCACATAACAGACCCCTTTTCCACTTCTATGTTCATAGAGGAATAAGCAAGCAAAAAATATTAAAAGATAAGAGTTTCATGATAATAGAAGTAAGTCTTAATCTGTGAACTCGGGAAAAGCTGTTCACATCAAGGATGCCATCCTCTTCTTGGGAGAAATTTCCATGGTTAGCTTTACCTCCAGGGTTTATCTTAAGAGTAGAGAGGCAGGGCCAGGTGTGGTGGCTCACGCCTGTAATCCCAGCACTTTGGGAGGCTGAGGTGGGCAGATCACGAGGTCAGGAGTTCGAGAGCATCCTGACCAATTGGTGAAACCCTGTCTCTACTAAAAATACAAAAATTAGCCAGGCGTGGTGGCGTGTGCCTGTAATCCCAGCTACGCAGGAGGCTGAGGCAGGAGAATGGCTTGAATCTGGGAGGCGGAGGTTGCAGTGAGCCGAGATGGCGCCACTGCACTCCAGCTTGGGTGACAGAGCGAGACTCCATCTCAAAAACAATAAAAAAAATAAAAATAAAGTGGACAAAAAATAAAAGTCTCCAGAATTCATAGTACAATATAAAATCATCTAACATATATGTAATTGAAGTCCCAGAAGAAAGAGAGTAAGAATAAAGCAGGAAAAGTATTTGAATTAATAATAGCCAAAAACATTCCAAATGACATTAGATAGCTTTGGGGTTGTAAGCTGCTCCTGGAACAGAAGAGATGCTCCAGATCACACATTTGGAAAAGCTAAGCTCTTAGATTTTTCAAGAAGTCAGAAAGTGAAGAAAAGGGGATAGGGTAGGGGTACCAACAATTGCTGATTTTAAGGGGATTCTATATACAAAATCAAAGCAAGAGCACTTAAGCCGACTGAGGTGCCACAGCCTCCGTAAGCCTGAATTGGATGAATGACCCAGCAGCTACTGAGTACCTACTCTGAGCTGCATGTTTGATGTGCATTAACTGACTGAATCATTAGGAAAACCCTGTGACATAGGTATTAGAGGCTAAGAGCAATTCAGTAACTTGTCCAAAGTTGCACATCTGACAAAGGATAGAGATGAGATTCAACCTCAGGGCTAATTTCGAAATCAATTCTCCTAACAGCTCTGCTACCCTGCCTTCATCTAGGTTGCTAATTCATGAATATCTCTTCCCCTTCAAGGAAGTACTGGATTTCCCTCCTATACAATGTAGGGCGTGACATGACTTACAGCCCAGAACTCGTAGGTTGTGAGGGAAGGGGATTCATTTTGCCTGGATATCGCACAGTGCATAGAGCCACGTGGGACTTCCAAAGGCTGCTGGAACTAAAAAGCCCTTGTTGGTGAAATATGGTCCTGTAGAGTCTGCATTTCCAAAGGTTCTTGGATCTTGAACTAACTAAAAATTTAGAGTTCAATAGAAGAATCTAAATCAAAATAACCAGCTAAATATACTTCTTAGTCCTGGACACTGGAAGTATGCTAACTTCTGCCCAAGACAATCACATCACGTCAAGCCAGAAAGCCATATTACAAAAACACCTGCATTTGAGGAAAGACACACAGACGGCACCGCATACAGACATACAGGTGCCCAAGTGCAGTGAATAAGCAGATGTCCAAGAGGGAGTGAACAGTTCAGATCAATTCAACAATAATTTGTTGAACATTTGCTATATTTCAGGCACTCTTCTATTGGTTTATCCTGCCAGGCAGCAGTGCTCGACATCAAGAATCTGTGGCAGATACGTAAGAAGCAACACAGTGTGATAAGTAAAATGAGTGACACATATAGAACGTTCTAAGACAGTGGAGAAGGGAATTATTCACTCATTCTTTCTTTCATTCCATCAACACTTCCTGAACAAATACTATGTGCTGCAATGGGCTAAAACCCAGACTAATAAAAAATTTCTGGCAGAGGAGAAAAGAGAGACATTTGAGGTAGAGGGAACCACGGACATGTATAGATGCCTGAAAGATCATGACATGTTTGAAGATCTCTGAAACATTCCAAATTGTGGAGAATAAAGTTGGAGGGGGAAAGCAGCAGCCGCAGCTGAAGTATGCAATCACTTCTATGTATTGAGAGCAATCATTCATAATATGCATAGGGTGCAATACTTTGCACTATGTGCAGGAAAGAGCATAAGTAGACTTTGTGGCAGTCTAAACCCAGATATTGTTTTTATATATTACGTACTTGATAAAAGTCTTTTTTTTTTTTTAAACAGGGTCTTGCTCAGCCTCCCAAGCTGTAGTGCATTGGAGCATTCATATCTCATTGTACCCGCAAACTTCTAAGCTCAAGTGATACTCTTGCCTCTGCCTCCTGGATAGCTGAGACTATGGGCACACACCATCATGCCCAGTGGTACTTGATAAACTTCATAAACTGCAAGTAGGGTTTATACGCTTATACCCATGGGAGTGCCCAGTCTCTCTGGCCTCATACAGATATCTGTGGTGACCCTCTGAAGAGGGTGAAAAGTCAAGGGAGTTAGGAAATCACCTTTCTCTCAGGCTAGAAGATCCAGAGTTGGTGGTGGCTCTTCCCCACCCAGTAGTCCACTGTGGGACAGGACAGATACTCATCCTATACAATGGGGCTACCTCTCCTTATCCTAACTTTCTACCTTCCTTGGACTCCGCTGGGACAGGGTTTAGATCACTGTCTTTCTGAAAGATTCATGTATGACCCAAAGCAGTAGAGAGCTGGAGGCAGAAACAGGAATCGTACCTTTTTAAAAAAGTTAATGCCCTTTCTTATGTCTCAGAAGGGAAACAAGTTCTCCACATTGGGGCCTTTGAGAAAGTATCTCCACAAAGGCTTGCTTCCTGCCTATTTCTCTGTCTACTCATCCTCCTGTCTTCTCCTCTGTTTGGATGTCATTCCTCTCCATCTCACTCTCCCTTTCTATCTCTGCCCACCATCGCTGCCAGGATAGAAAGCCCTAGACCCAGCCACCTCTTCAGTCTGTAATATTCTGCTGCCTCTGGCTTTACCTGGAGGTCAGTGAGGCTTCCTCTGATCCCCCTTTCATAGATGCACTCATCTCTGGTGGAAGGGACAGTGGGGACATGGGGGGTACCTCACCTCCAGAAGAGCCTGCCTCCAGGTTTCCTTCAGAAATTCCTTAGAGACCATCTAATTTTTCTGTGAGAAAAGCAATTTCTTCCAAAGATTGCTTGTCTAGTCTATATAGGGGGTGTGTTCTCTTATTGGTATAGTTTTAACTCTACTTCTTTTGGATTAATAACAGTAGACTTTTTTTCTGAGCCTGTTTTCATTAAGGTTTTTCCCAATAACTGAAAAATCACTCTGCCTGTGTCACCTGGCACCAGGTTCAAGTAGTTTCTTCCTCATTGCTAGATTTATTCCATTCTAAGAGGGGTGTGTGTGTGTGTGTGTGTGTGTGTGTTGGGCTCGGGTAGGTTGAGATGGTCAGTTTATTCTACCAGATATGTAAATATTTAACCGAAATTTGGGGGAAAATTATATTTTAAAAATCTCGATTAAGAGCAGGAAATTCAGATAGAGGTTTGTACTGTCAATAGGGATTTGGTAAAGCACTTAGTACAATGAAACACACATCCAGTACCTGGTACTGTTAATATTCTTACAAATGTACATATTTTTGGGGAGGAATGTAAATTAGTTCAACCATTGTGGAAGACAATGTGGCGATTCCTCAAAGACCTAGAACCAGAAATACCATTTGGCCTAGCAATCCCATTACTGGGTATATACCCAAAGGAATATAAATCATTCTATTATGAAGATATATGCATGCGTATGTTCATTCCAGCACTATTCACAATAGCAAAGACATGGAATCAATGCAAATGCCCATCAGTGACAGACTGGATAAAGAAAATGTGGTACATTATACACCATGGAATACTATACAGCCCAAGGAATGAGATCATGTCCTTTGCAGGGACATGGATGAACCTGAAAGCAATTAGCTTCAGCAAACTAACACAGGAACAGAAAACCAACCAGCACAAGTTCTCACTCATCGCTGAACGATGAGAGCACATGGACACAGGGAGGGGAACAACACACACTAGGGCCTGTCGTGGGGCGGGGGTCGGGGGAGGGAGAACATCAGGATAAATAGCTAATGCATGCTGTGCTTAATATCTAGGTGACGGGTTGATAGGTGCTGCAAACCACCATGGCACACGTTTGCCTATGTAACCTGCATATCCTGCACATGTATCCTGGAACTTAAAATAAAATTACATTTAAAAAATAATAACAAATGTTTATCTTTCCCAGGGGATCTTAGGGATGCACTAGTCTAGGTAGAACCTGCCTCCTCTCCACCTCGCTGGTATCTGTAACCCCTTCTGGGGAAGGGAGATTGAAGTCAATTACCTTTCACTATGGCCCCAAACCTTAGATTCTAACAGGTGACAGTTCCAGCTTTTTCTTTTGTATCTGGTCCCAGACTTTAATGTTTTCTTTTTTCTCCCAAATTACCTCATAAATGCAGCAGCTTTTGAAGTATTAAAACTAAGGGAGGAGGGACACCCTGTTTATGACATTCTTGTGTTTCTGAATGAATTAATTATTTGCTTCTGCTATCACCCAAGGGAGCACCTCAGAGTAGCCCTATTCTCTGAGTCAATCCTACAGGTCCTTATAATGTTAAGTAGAAACACACAAGAGTACATTACACATAGATGCCCTTTGCCAGAATGAAATAACTGGAAAAAAATCCAGAACTACTTCTTTAGATCACTATTCTTCCTGAATCACCATATATTGGATCTTTTTTTTTTTCCCCACATATTGGATCTTAACTTGTTTTTTAAAGTGAGGGAGTTTTACCCGATCCCCCAATCCCACTTTGGAAGATTTGATAGAAAAAAAATGACTTGCATAATGGTGTGTAAAAAATGTTTATTGTAATCAATGGCAGTCTTTTTTATATTATAAATTAATTTGTATATTTTGCAATAATAGTATAAGGAACTCTGTATATCTTTTACACAGGTTCACTGGTTGCTTACATTTTCTGTTTTCTCCATTTGCTGTACATACCTGTATGTCTCTCTCTACATACACATTTCTATTTCTGTTACTATTTCTATTTCTAGCTCTAACACTAGTTATGGCTTTTATCCCCTAAGTCATTTGAGAGTAAGTTTGGAGACACTATGCCCCTTACTAAATATTCAGCGTATATTTTACTTTTTTTAAAAAAATGATATCCTCTTATATAACTACACTGTGATTATCAAGACCAGGAAATTTAACACTCACACAGTATCATTAGCTAATCCACGTTCCATATCCTCTCTTCATCCATTGCCTTATAATATCTTTTCTAACCATTTGGTTTTTCCAGCCCAAGATCTAATCCCGTATCGCATTAGTTGTCATGTTTTGTTAGTCCCCTTTAGTCTGGAACAGTTTCTCAGTCATTCTTTCTGTTTCTGACCTTGATATTTATGAAAATTAAAAGCCAGTTATTTTGTAAAATGTCCCCCACATTGAATTTGGCTGATGTTTCCTTGTGATTAGATTCAGGTTATGCATTTTTGGCAGGAAAACTGAAGAAGTAATTGCTGTCCTTCTGCGTACATCATATCAGGAGGTACATTATGTTAGTTTCTCCATTTTTAGTAATGTTAACTTTGATTAGTTAAGACATAATCTTTTTCTTTTACGTTGTTAAACATGTAAGAAGGGCTCTGTTTTAATCTGATTCTCTTTTTACCGCCAGTAATATAATGATCCTTTCTATGACCTTTATGACCCAGTGGGCCTGAGTGTGAATTTATTACCCTAATTACAGAACTGCCAAAACTGAAACAGAAAATGGTTTTTCTGAATGAGCCAGTAGAGGGTAGAATTTGGACTTGCTGAACCCAGTTCCATTAAAACCCAATCCCAGGAAAATTTGTCTCTTAAAAAAAAGAAAAAGAAAAAAGAGTTTTTGACTGAATTTATTTCTAAATTTATTTTGACCCCCTTGATTGCTAACCGTGAGGACCCAGAATTCTTCTCAAGGAGTGTATAAAGCCCAGGATGGCTTGAGGATTTTTAGATTTTCTTTTAGGAGACATTGATTCAATTTTTAAAAATTATTATCTCATAATTTTAAAATTATGAGATTTAAAATTATTTAAATTAAATAATTTAAAAATTATTATCTCATAATTTTAAAAAATTATTATTTAATCTTTAAGCCCCTAGCTCAAAGATTACAGGAGTAATATGGGGTGGTTGTGAGTCTTCATTCTCTCAGGAAACATGGCATTAGGCTTTGGGATCTGTGCATCAAATATAGAAGAATTCATTATGGTTGCAGTTCTTGAACAACAAGCACGGGAAACCTGTAACTGTCAAGCTTTAATTTGGTGATGCTGTGTATTGTTGAGTGGGTGGAAGGAAAATTTACCTGTAAGTCAGGTTAAGTATATCTGAGAAACAATTCATACCCATTCAAAAGGTCAGCTTCATATCTTACCCCAAAGTCTTTCAGAAAAGGAAACCCACTGCATTCATTTCATTTTTCTGAAGAAAACCTAATTTTGCACATCTGACTCTACGTTTGTTTTTGCCGAGTACAGACTTATGCAAGCACATTTTCCATTCTCTTCACCACTAATGAGAAAAATTATAACCTCATAAGCTCTCCCTGTATTATAGCAATAACAAAACACTGCCAAATATAGCCTTGTCTAACTATTATGAATATCTTTATACTTGGAGACCACAGCCGCAATAGCTAGCACTATAATTAGCTATCTAATCCATCTGGCTGGGGAAAATATACTATTATTTATGAGTGCTATTCTTGCACTGAATATCCCGTAGATGACTAATTGCTGATTTAAAAATTCGGAACCACGAATCTAGAGTATCTATAATGGTGTACAATGTTTTCTAGTTATTCATCAAGAAGTAAAGGGGCATTTATTGCATGTCTCCAACATACCTGAAGGTTAATGTTAAGGGTTTTATGCAGACCATGTTCATACATTTACAAATTGGGCCCATGAATTTAAGTCTTAGTAATTCAGCATATTAAACTCCAGTCACATCTTCTCCCTTAAAAGGCACTATTTTACAAGTATAATATAAATGTATTCATTGACTCATAATTATTTACATGACCTCCAAAACAAGGTGAGTCTTGTGTGTAGTGTGGGTATTTTGTTGAGGCGCTGACATGATTTTCTTTTTCTCCCTTCTCATTTATTACAGTGTTTTAGTGTGAACGTTTGATCCTTACAGAGATTTTAATCCACCTGCCTTCTTAGGCCTCCAGTAGGCAGCCTGAGATACCTGGTGGTGTCTGCTACCCAAATCCAGCTCCGATGCTCTAGCTGAAGAAGAAGAATCTCCTGCAACTCCTGAGTCATTTTGGTACTGGTGCCTGGGAAGGTGATACCTCTCCTTCGTCCCTGGCCTCTACCCACTTGTCAGTACAAACCCCTAGTTGAGGCAACCAAAATATCTCCAGCCTTTGCCAAGTGCTCTTTGTGGGGCAAAACTAACTGCTCTAACTTGAATTTATTTTATGTCTGATGTCAAGCTTTTGTTATCGTTTACTACGGACACTGAGAATAATTGGTCACCATTTTCTTTTTTCTTTTTTTCTTTTTTTTTTTTTTTGAGATGGACTCTCGCTCTGTCACCGGGCTGGAGTGCAATGGCACAACCTTGGCTCACTGCAACCTTCGACTCCCTAGTTCAAGCGATTCTCCTGCCTCAGCCTCCTGAATAGCTGGGATTACAGGCATGCACCACCACGCCCAGCTAATTTTTGTATTTTTAGTAGAGACAGGGTTTCACCATGTTGGCTAGGATGGTGTCGATCTCCTGACCTCATGATCCACCTGCCTCGGCCTCCCAAAGTGCTGGGATTACAGGAGTGAGCCACTGCGCCTAGCCTGGTCACCATTTTCTATTGAATAACATCAAGGGAGGCCATTTTTACTTTTTTTTTTTTTTAGATGGAATCTCACTCCGTCACCCAGGTTGTGGTACATTGGCATGATCTCAGCTCACTGCAAACTCTACCTCTGGGGTTTAAGCGATTCTTCTGCCTCAGCTTCCCAAGTAGCTGGGATTACAGGCATCCACCACTATGCCTAGCTAAGTTTTCGTTTTTTGCATTTTTAGTAGAGACAGTTTCACCAGGTTGATCTCGAGTTGGCCAGGCTGATCTCGAACTCCTGACTCAAGTGATCTGCCCACCTTGGCCTCCCAAAGTGCTGGGATTGCAGGCATGAGCCACCATGCCCAGCCCATTTTTACTTTTCTAAGCAGATACAAACATTTCATCATCCTCTAACTGGACTTCACTATTTTAAAATAATGACAATGTAACTCTGGACTGATTACTTTGATTTCTTAGTGACAAAATTTCTAGTTTCCTTTCATTTCCTCTTTTTCATTGAAAGATTATCGAAGACAGACTTCTAGCTAGCTTTAATCTTGAAGTCAGTGATTCTTAACCATTTTTATATCACCATTTGATATGCAATTTGATGAGAGGTAAGTAGCCCCTCCTTAGAATGATATGTATATGTACAGACATAAATTTCACATACGATTTCAGGAGATTCCAGGACATACCTCGTTAGTCCTTTCATGGAACCCAGGTTATAACTCTGTTTTAAAATTAGTGCCAGTCCATTGAGTTACGGGCTTGTGAGGTTTTGAAGTAAAGCGAGCCTGAGTACGTCTGAGCAAGTCTGATTTCATGAGAGTTTTGCTCCTTCGCCTCGTGTTTTCTGGGAAAACGCCCAGGCACTGTTAACCTTTTCCTAAGCAGCTTCTTCTCTTGTCTCCCATGTTATTGTCTTGCCCTGTGGTTTTGTCAATCCTTTTTTCTTTTTTTCTTTTTTTTTTTTTTTTTTTGAGAAAGAGTCTCGCTCTGTCTCCCAGGCTGGAGTGCAGTGGCGCGATCTTGGCTCACTGCAAGCTCCACCTCCTGGGTTCACGCCATTCTCCTGCCTCAGCCTCCCGAGTAGCTGGGACTACAGGTGCCCGCCACTACGCCCGGCTAATTTTTTGTATTTTTAGTAGAGACGGGGTTTCACCGTTTTAGCCGGGATGGTCTCGATCTCCTGACCTCGTGATCCGCCCGCCTCGGCCTCCCAAAGTGCTGGGATTACAGGCGTGAGCCACCACACCCTGCCGTCAATCCATTATTTTTATTTTGTGGGTTTTGTTTGTTTGGTTTTTAACCTATTGCAAGTTTGAAGATATTTTCCAACACATTATTGTTCTTTGCTTCAATTACTGATTTTGATAGCAGTACAGTCAGAATACTCAACAATAGTAGGTGGGATGTGTCCCACTGCTTCCCCCTGACTCCCCACCACCCAGAAACTGTTGAAGAAAACCAAGCAAGGGACTTCAAGGCTAGTGTAACCCTGCTGTGTGCTGTCCCCTCATCTATCTCTTCAAGCCCATTCCCCCTGCAAAGCAATAAAAGAAGAAAGGAAGGAAGAAAAGGAAGGAAGAAAAGGAAGGAAGGAAGGGAGGGAGGAAGGGAGGGAGGGAGGGAGGGAGGGAGGAAGGCAGGGAGGGAGGGAGGGAGGGAGGAAAAGAGGGAGAAAGAGGAAAGGAGAGGAGAGGAAAGGAGAGGAGGGGAGGGGAGGGGAGAGGAGGAAGGAAAATTACATACACGAAAGCACCGCTGAGCAATCCAAAGTATTCCTTGGATGGGATGAAGAAAAATGAGCATACTGTCAAGCAAACAACTTCTGAATATCTCTATAGACATTCCTCCATTGTGGGTCCCTGCATCCAGTTCCCCATTCACACTGTTCCCCGTCTCCTACAGACAGCCATTCTGTTCTGCCCTCAAACTCAGATGCCCCTCTCATTCTGATGCAGAGACAAAAAGACCTTGAGTCAATCGGCCCCTTCTTAAGAAAGCAGTTTAAGATCTTCAGTTACTATTTCAATGCATGCTTTGGTGAGTCATCCCACCTACACCTCAATCCCAAGTGATTTATCAGAATATTTTTTCCAAACCCACAGAATATTCTTCCCCAATGGAATCCTCACAAAATTGCTGAGGCATATTTTTTTTAATATCATTACACAATAAGAAGTAGCATAAGTGGTTATTTTCTACATCCTTGATACTCAAAATATGATCCCTGAATTAGCAGCATTAGCATGACCTGGAATCTTATTAGGAATGCAGAGTCTCAGACTCCACCCCGTATCTATGGAATCAGAATCTGCAATTTAAACAGCATTCCCAGGTGATTCAAGTGCACATTCAAGTGTCCTCTACCACTATTCTCATACCCTTACAACCCATGCTGGAGTTGCCTTGGGGTCGTGGACATTGCATTGAGGGGGTGGGGGCCTGGAGAACATTGCCTCCTTCTTCTTTCTTCTTCCACCCCCTGCTCCAGCTCAATTTAAGGGCTAGGTCAGCAGCTCTCCCTTTAGCTAAAAGTGGCTCCTCACTCACCCTCTTCCCCTGGCCCCAATCACTATCATTCTCTGGACTGTGAAGTAGTTGCTTAAGCTCTTTTGTTGTTGTTGTTGTATTTTGTTTGAGACAGAGTTTCACTCTGTCACCCAGCTGGAGTCCAGTGGCACGATCTTGGCTCACTGCAACCTCTGCCTCCCCATTCAAGCAATAATTCTCTGCTTCAGCCTCCCAAGTAGCTGGGATTACAGGTGCCCACCAACATGCCTGGCTAATTTTTGTATTTTTAGTAGAGACAGGGTTTCACCATATTGGCCAGGCTGGTCTTGAACTCCTAACCTTGTGATCCACCTACCTTGGCCTCTCAAAGTGCTAGGATTACAGGCGTGAGCCACCGTACCCAGCCTGCTCAAGTTCTTAGATTCCTTTGTTTTCTGCTCTGCTTTCATATATTTTATGCTAGGGGTGAGATAGACCATAACATTTTACGATAACAACCACTTCCTAGTGTTCTATACCATTGCAGGATGATTATAGTTAACACTAATATGTATTTTCAAATAGCTAGAAGGAGGATATTGACTGCTGCCAACACAAAGAAATGATAAATGTTTGGGATGATGGATACGCTAACTACCCTGATCTGATCACTCTACATTATATGTATCAAAATGTGACTATGTACCCCATGTATATATTATTTATCAACTTGGGGTAAATAGTGATTTATTTTTTAAAAAAACTGCCTCTTCTGAGTATTCTAATATGTGCCAAGCACTGCGCTAAGCTCTTTTATATGAATCATTAAACTGATTCTCTTACAACAGCACTGAAAGTAGATAGTTTCATCCCCATTTACAGATGAGGAAACTAAGGCTTATGAATATGAAATAATTTTCCCAAGGTCTCATAGCTGGCCAGGAGGCAGAGGCAAGATCAAGTCCTGGTCTGCCATTTCCCCTGTACCATGCTGCATTTCTTTTACAACCATAATGCCACGTTTAATCTTGTAATTTGTTATTCGGTGCTCAGGATCAAGATAATTTATATCTAAATCTATATATCAAAGAGTTATTTTTTTTCCTCAAGACTTTGTCCCTTTCCTCAAGCAGCCCACATCTGGAAGCTGTAAGTAACAAGTAAAGTAGACTACAATGTGATACATGCTACAGTGGTTCAATGTGTGGGATGCTATGAGCAGCTACAGAAGAGGCATCTAACCCAGCCTTGGGCATGAGGTTAAGTTTACTTTGAGGCATGATGCTGTAGCTGAGACCTGAAGGAAAAGATGGAGGGAAAAATATTTAAGCAGAGAAAATAGTGTGAGGGCCAGAGGTGAGATACTACGTGGTCTTTTCAATACAGCATGGTTGGAGCAGAAATAGGAGGTGGGAGTGGGAGTGGGATGGCGAGTGAGGAGATTGGGCAATGGGATGAGACAAGGCCACAGGGCAAGCAGGATTCAGATTATGAAGAACCTTGGAAGCCATGTAACGAGTTTGCTCCTAATCCCAAGGACCAGGAGTATCATTGGTGTTTTCAACACAGGAGGTACATGTGTATTTGAGAAAGATGGCTCTTCCCCTATCGCTTCTCGGCCTTTTGGCTAAAATCAAGTGGAGAAAGATCACTCTTCTGTGTGATGATGGATTGAAGGGAGGGCATGTAAAGAAAGATGGAGAAGAGTTAGGAGGCAGTTGAAATAATACGGACAAGAAATGATGGTGACCTGAACTGGGATAAAAGCAGGCAGGCTAGAGAAGCAAAGGGTAGAGCTCTTTATGAAGTTGTAAAAATAAGTAATTCAAAATCAAAGCTGTTGGAACTTCTTAAATTATTTTGAGCCTTAAAAGAATGTGATTATGAGACATGAGTTATGTGACAGCCAGCTATAACCTACAAGCCATAACCTTTGTTCCTCTGATTATAGATTAGCCATTTCTTTACCTATATTGATTTGTCAAAAGTTGTAAAAGACTAAAGGGCACCAGAGAAGACTCCTTTCCTCTTCGGTCTTGATCTTCATTGTAGATTAATTTCCCTTACTTCTCTTACACAAAAACCTCACAACTATCACATTGTCTAAAATGGAATGTTAAATATACTCTTTTAGAGGACTTCATCTTGCATCTTGGATACCACCTTAGCCACAGTAGGATAGGGCTCTGGGCAGAGTCATGAGGACCCTGCTCCAGGCCCTAGCTCCTGGATGACATTTCTAGATGCACCCTGGGCCAAAAGGGTATCTACTGCATTGAAGGGAATGACTCAGTCTTGACAGGATTCATCACCTGCTAACTAAAGAGCCCTTGGTCCCTGAATAACCAGCAGCAATACCCAAGGAGTATGCCGTAGGCCTCGGGCTCTGAGATGTGCTGGCCTCAGGGGAAACCTAACACATTCTTAGCTACTGTGGCTATGATGAAACATTCTTCTGTTTGAGAAAAGCAGAGGGAAAAGTAAAGAGGACTTTGTCTTGCACCTTAGGCACCAGCTCAGCCACAGTAGGACGAGCAACAAGCAGGCACTTGGGGTCCCTAAGTCCAGACCTAGGCTCTTGGACAGCATTTCTATATCTGTCCTGGGGCAGTGGAGAGTCCACTTCCCTCAATGGTGAGTCCCAGGCCTGGCAGCATTAACCATGAACTGACAGAAGAGATCTTGGGTTTATTTCTGTTTGTTTGTTTTTGTTTTTTGAGACAGAGTTTCACTCTTGTTGCCCAGGCTGGAGTGCAATGGTGTGATCTCAGCTCACAGCAACCTCTGTCTCCCACGTTCAAGCGATTCTCCTGCCTCAGCCTCCCGATTAGCTGGGGTTACAGGCTTAAGCCACCACGCCCAGCTAATTTTGTATTTTTTTTTTAGTAGAGATGGGGTTTCTCCATGTTGGTCAGGCTGGTCTCGAAATCTCAACCTCGGGTAATCCACTTGCCTTGGCTTCCCAAAGTGCTTGAATTACCGGTGTGAGCCACCGTGCCTGTCCTTTCTTTCTTTTTTTTTTTTTTGCAACAGAGTCTCACTCTGTCGCCCAGGCTGGAGTGCAATGGTGCAATCTCAGCTCACTGCAACCTCTGCCTCCTGGGTTCAAGCGATTCTCATGCCTCAGCCTCAAGTGATTCTCATGCCTCAGCCTCCCAAGTAGCTGGGACTACAGGTGCATGCTACCATGCCCAGCTAATTTTTTTTTTCATATTTTTAACAGACAGTATTTCACCATGTTGCCCAGGCTGGTGGCCTTGGGCTTTAAGTGAGCATTGGTGGTGGCCTGGCAGAACCCCTGTGGACCAGTGGTGGTGATGGCTCCAGGGAGAGGCCCCTCTGCCTATGGAAAGCAGAGGCAAGAGCGGGAAGCACTTTATATTGTGGTGTGAGAACCAGCTTAGCTATAGTAGAATAGAACAACAGATAAACTGCCAAGGTTTTTTGCTCCAATCCCTGGCTCCCAGACAACATCTCTGGACATGCCCAGGGCCTAGGGGAACTCACCGTCTTAAAAGGAAAGGCCTTGGGCAAGACCCAGTACTATGTTGGCTTCAGGTCTGACCCACCACAGTCCCAGTGGTGGTGGCCACAGGGGTGTTTGCATCACCACACTCCCAATTCCAGACAATTTTAGCAGAGAGTAAGGGAAAAGAACAAGTCTCCAGAAAATTCTTCCAAATCTCATCCAAGACCACCAAGGTGGTACCTCTACAAATATGCAAAAACCACAGCATTACTGGGCTTGAGGCCCAAGTCCTTCGAATACCTGGAAAGCCTTCCCAAGAAGAACAGGCATAAACAGGTCCAGACTATGAAGATTACAATAAGTACCAAACTCTTCAATGTCCAGACTGTGATGAACATCTACAAGCATCAACACCATCCAGGAAAACATGACCTCACCAAATGAACTAAATAAGGCAATAGGGAACAATCCTGGAGAAATGGAGATATGTGACCTAGCAGAGAATTCAAAACACCTATTTTGAGGAAACTTGAAGAAATTTAACATAACACAGAGAAGGAATTCAGAATTCTATCAGATAAATTTAACAAAAAGATTGAAACAATTAAAAAGAAGCAAGCAGCAATTCTAGAGTTGGAAAATGCAATTGACATGCTGAAAAATGCATTAGAGTCTCTTAATAGTAGAATTGATTAAGCAGAAGAAAGACTTATTGAGCTTGAAGACAGGCTATTTGAAAACACACAGAAGGGGAAAGAAAGATAAAAAAACAAGGAAGCATGCCTAGAAGATCTAGAAAATAGTCTCACAAATATGAGAGTTATTGGCCTTAAAGAAGAGATGGAGCTAGAAATAGGGGTAGAAAATTTATTCAAAGGGATAATAACAGAGAACTTCCCAAACCTAGAGAAAGATATCAACATTCAAGTATGAGAAGGTTAATAGAACACCAAGCAGATTTAACCCAAAGAAGACTACTTCAAAGCATTTATTAATCAAACACTCAAAGGTCAAGGATAAAGAAAGGATCCTAAAAGCAGCAAGAGAAAAGACACAAATAACATGCAATGGAAGTCCAACATGTCTGGCAGCAAACTTTTCAGTGGAAACCTTATAGGCTAGGAAAGAATGGCATGACATATTTAAAATGCTGACGGAACATAACTTTTACCCTATCTGGTGAAAATACCCTTCAAGCAGTAAGGAGAAATAAGACCTTTCCAGACAAACAAAAGCTGAGGGATTTTATCAACACCAGACCTCTCCTACACAAAATGCTAAAGGGAGTTTTCAGTCTGAAAGAAAGGGATGTTAATGACCAAGAAGAAATCATCTGAAGGTAAAAAACTCACTGGTAATAGTAAGCACACAGAAAAACACAGAATAATATGACACTGTAATGGTGGTGTGTAAACTACTCTTGTTTCAAGTAGAAAGACTAAATGATGAACCACTCAAAAATAATAACTACAACAACTTTTCAAGACATAGACAGCACAATAAAACAAAGAGAAGCTACAAAAAGTCAAAAAGCAGGGGAACAAAGTTATAAAGTGTAGAGTTTTTATTAGTTTTCTTTTTGCATGTTTATTTGTTTGGATATACAGTGTTAAGTTGTCATCAGTTTAAAATAATGGATTATAAAATAGTATTTGCAAGACTCATGGTAACCTCAAAACAAAAACATAACAAATAAACACAAAATAAAAAGCAAGAAATTAAACCATACCACCAGAGAAAATCACCTTCATTAAAAAGAAGACAGGAAGGAAGGAAAGAAGGAAGAGAACAATGCAAAACAACGAGAAAACAAAGAATACAATGGCAGGAGTAAGTCCCTACTTATCAATAATAATACTGAGTGAAAATTGACTAAATGCTCCAATCAAAAGACAGAGAGTGACTGAATGGATGAGAAAATAAGATCCAATGATCTGTTGCCTACAAGAAATATACTTCACCTATAAAGGCACACATAGGCTGAAAATAAAGAGATGGAAAAAGATAATCCACGACAATAGAAACCAAAGAAGAGTAGGAGTAGCTATACTTATGAGAAAAAATAGATTTCAAGACAAAAACTGTAAGAAGAGACAAATAAGGTTATTAAATAATGACAAAGGGGACAATTCAGCAAGAGGATTCAATTGTAAATATATATGCACCCAACGCTGGAGCAACCCGATATATAAAGCAAATATTATTAGAGCTAAAGAGAGAAATAGGCCCAAATACAATAATAACTGGAGACTTCAACACCCCACTTTCAGCATTGCACAGATCTGCCAGACAGGAAATCAACAAATAAACATTGGACTAAATCTGCGCTATGGAACAAATGAACCTAATGAGTAGTCACAAAACATGTCATCCAACAGCTGCAGAATATACATTCTTCTCAGTACATGGATTTTTCTCAAGAATAGACCATATGTTAGCTCACAGAACAAGTCTTAAAGCATTCAAAAAAATTAAAATAATATCAAGCATCTTCTCTGATCACATTGGAATAAAACTTGAAATCAGTAACAAAAGGAATTTTGGAAACTATATAAACACATGATAATTAAACAACATGCTCCTGAATGACCTGTGAGTCAGTGAAGAAATTAAGAAGAAAACTGAAAGATTTCTTGAAACAAATGATAACGGAAACACAGTATACCAAAACATATGAGATACAGTGAGAGCAGTACTGAGATAAATTTATAGCTATAATGCCTACATCAAAAAAGAAGAAAAGCTTCAAATAAATAAGCTAATGATATATCTTAAAGAACTAGACAAGCAGGAACAAACTGAACCCAAAATTAGTAGAAGAAAAGAAATAATAATGAAGATCAGAGCAGAAATAAATGAAACTAAAATGAAGAAGACAATACAAAAGACCAACAAAACAAAAAGTTAATATTTTGAAAAGATAAGCAAAATTGATGAACCTTTAACCAGAGTAACTAGGAAAAAAAGAGGGGAGACCCAAATGAATAAAATCAGAGATGAAAAAGGAGACATTAGAACTGATACCACAGAAATTCAAATGATCCTGCCTGGCGCAGTGGCTCATGCCTGTAATCCCAGCACTTTGGGAGGCCGAGGAGGGTGGATCACCTGAGGTTGGGAGTTCGAGATCAACCTGACCAACATGGAGAAATCCCATCTCTACTAAAAATACAAAATTAGCCAGGTTTGGTGGTGCACGCCTATAATCCCAGCTACTCAGGAGGCTGAGGCAGGAGAATCACTTGAACCCAGGCGGCAGAGGTTGTGGGGAGTCGAGATCGTGCCATTGCACTCCAGCCTGGGCAGTAAGAGCGAAACTCCATCTTAAAAAAAAAAGAAAAAGAAAAAGAAAAAAGAAAAAAGAAAGAAAGAAAGAAAAGAAAGAAATTCAAATGATCATTAGTGGCTACTATGAGCAGCTATATGCCAATAAATTGGAAAATCTAGAAGAAATGGATAAATTCCTACGCATATACAACCTATTAAGATTGAATCAGGAAGAAATCCAAAACCTGAACAGACCAATAACAAGTAACAATATTGAGGCTGTAATAAAAAGTCTCCTAGTAAAGAAAAGCCCAAGACCCAACGGCTTCACTTCTAAACACTACCAAGCATTTAAAGAACTAATAGCAACCCTACTCAAACTGTTCTGAAAAATAGAGGAGAAAATAATTCCAAACTCATTCTACAAAGCCAGTATTACCCTGATACCAAAACCAGACAAAGACACATTAAAAAAAAAAACTACAGGTCAGTATCTCTGATGAATATTGATACAAAAATCCTCAACAAAATACTAGCAAACAAAATTCAACAATACATTAAAAAGATCATTCATTATGATCAAATGGGATTTATCCCAGGGATGCAAGGATGGTTCAACATACGTCCATCAATGTGACACATCATATCAACATAATAAAGGACAAAATCCATATGATCATTTCAATGGATGCTGAAAAAGCATTTGATAAAGTTTAACATCTCTTCATGATAAAAACCCTCAAAGAACTGGGTATAGAAGGAACATACCTCAACATAATAAAAGACTACATAACAAAAGACTGTATAACACAGCCAGTATCATACCAAATGGGGAAAAACTGAAAGCCTTTCTTCTTAGATCTGGAAGACAACAAAGATGCCCACTTTCGTCACAATTATTCAACGTAGTACTGGAAGTCCTAGATATAGCAATCAGATAAGAGAAAGAAAAAAAAGGGCATCCCAACTGGAAAGGAAGAAGTCAAATTATCCTTGTTTGCAGATGAGCAGATGATACATTGTTCTTTTTTTCTTGAGACAGAGTTTTGCTCTTGTCTCTTGTTGCCTGGGCTGGAGTGCAATTGTGCGATCTTGGCTTACTGCAACCTCCACCTCCCAGGTTCCAGCGATTCTCCTGCCTCAGCCTTCCAAGTAGCTGGGTTTACAGGCACCCACCACCAGGCCTGGCTAATTTTGTATTTTCAGTAGAGAAGGGGTTTCTCAATGTTGGTCAGATATGATCTTATACTTGGAAAAACACTAAAGAGGCCATCAAAAAACTATTTGAACTGATAAATTCAGTAAAGTTACAGGATACAAAATCAACAAACAAAAACCAGTAGCATTTCTATATGCCAACAGTGAAAAATCTAAAAAGGAAATTTAAAAAGCAATCCCATTTACAATACCCATACATAAACTTAAGTACCTAGGAATTAACCAAATACGTGAAAGATCTCTTCAATAAAAACTATAAAACACTCATGAAAGAAATTGAAGAGGACACACACAAAAATGGAAAGATACTCCATGTTCATGGATTGGAAGAATACTGTTAAAATGTTTATACTAGCCAAAGCAATCTACAGATTCAATACAATTCCTATCAAAATAACAATTACATTCTTCACAGAAATAGAAAAACAATTCTAAAATTTATATAGAATTACAAAAGACCCAGAATAGCCAAAGCTATCCTGAGAAAAAAGAACAAAACTGGAAGAATCACATTACCTGACTTCAAATTATACTACAGAGCTTCTGTAACTAAAACAGCATGGTAATGGTATAAAAATAGACACATAGACCAATGGAACAGAATGGAGAACCCAGAAACAAATCCACCCATCTACAGTAAACTCATTTTCAACAAAGGTACCAAGAACATATATTGGGAAAAGATAGTCTCTTCAATAAGTGACACTGGGAAAACTGGATATCCTTACGCAGAAGAATGAAACTAGACCCTTATCTCTCACCATATACAAAAATCAAATCAAAATAAATTAAAGACTTAAATCTAAGCCCTCAAACTGTGAAACTACTGCAAGAAAACACTGGAAAAACTGACCGGGCAAGGTGGCTCACACCTGTAATCCCAGCACTTCGGGAGGCCGAGGCAGGTGGATCACGAGGTCAGGAGATCGAGACCATCCTGGCTAACACTGTGAAACCCCGTCTCTACTAAAAATACAAAAACAATTAGCCGGGCGTGGTGGCGGGCGCCTGTAGTCCCAGCTACTCGGGAGGCTGAGGCAGGAGAATGGCGAGAACCCGGGAGGCGGAGCTTGCGGTGAGCCGAGATCTCGCCACCGCACTCCAGCCTGGGAGACAGAGCAAGACTCTCTCAAAAACAAAAAGGAAAAAGAAAAAAAGAAAACATTGGAAAAACTATCCAGAACATTGGTCTGGGCAAGAATTTATCGAGTAATACCCCGCAAGCGCAAACAAAGCAGAAATGTACACATAGAATCACATCAAGTTAAAAAGCTTCTGCACAACAAAGAAAACAATCAACAAAGTGAAGAGGCAACCCGCAGAATGAGAGAAAGTATTTGAACACTACCCATTTGACAAAGTGTTAATAATAGAATATATAAGGAGCTCAAACAACTCTAAGAGGAAAAAAAAATCTAATAATCGAATTTTAAAATGGGCAAAGATCTGAAAAGACATTTCTAAGATGACATACAAATGGCCAATGTATATAAAAAACTGCTCAACATTAATAATCATCAGAGAAATAAATACAAATCAAAACCACAAGGAGATATCGTATGACCCCAGTTAAAATGGCTTTTATCCAAGTCAGGCAATAACAAATGCTAGCAAGAATGTGGAGAAAAGGGAACCCTCGTACGCTGTCAGTGGGAATGTAAATTAGTACAACCACTACGGAGAACAGCATGGAGGTTCCCTAGAAAACAAAAATAGAGCTACCATATGACCCAGCAATCCCACTGCTGAGTATATATCCGAAAGAAAGGAAATCAGTATATCGAGGAGCTATCTGCACTCCCATGTTTGTTGCAGCACTGTTCACAAGAGCCAAGATTTGGACTGTTCTCTATAGAGAATAGAACGATGGTTACCTGGGGCGGTAGGGAGGAAGGTGGGGATGGTTAATGGATATTAAAAAAAAAAAAAAAATAGGCCGGGCACCTTGGCTCAGCCTGTAATCCCAGCACTTTTGGAGGCTGAGGCGGGCGGATCACAAGGTCAGGAGATCGAGACCATCCTGGCTAACACGGTGAAATCCCGTCTGTACTAAAAATAGAAAAATTAGCCGGGCGCGGTGGCGGGCGCCTGTAGTCCCAGGTACTCGGGAGGCTGAGGCAGGAGAATGGCGTGAACCCGGGAGGCGGAGCTTGCAGTGAGCCGAGATCACGCCACCGCACTCCAGCCTGGGCAACAGAGCCAGACTCTGTCTCAAAAAAAAAAAAAAAAAAAAAATAGAGAGAATGAATAGGACCTAGTATTTGATGTCATAACAGGGGGATTATAGTCAATAATAATTTAATTGTACATCTTAAAATAACTAAAAGTATAATTGGATTGTTTGTAACATGGGATAAATGCTTGAGGAGATGGATACCCAGTTTTCCATGATGGGATTACTACACACTGCATACCTGTGCCAAAATATCTCATATACCCCACACATACATACACCCACTATGTACCCACAAAAAATAAAAATTAAAAAATTAAATATATATGTATATATGTATACACACACACTCTTTTAAATTGGAAAAGAAAAAAACAAGGTGTAACTTATCAAATTTCTGTAACTCATAAACCAGTCTTGTATGGGAAATGTTGTAATCCTGTTAAATTTCTTCATTTTCTGCTTATATAAGCAAGACCTTAACTTCTCCTCTTGGAGCACTGAGACCATTCTTTTGGAGTCTGTTGTTACCAGAATGGTTATTATCAGCTTTGCCCTGGAATGAACTCTTTTAAACTGGATTCTGATCCTTTAAATTATTTCAGGTTGACAAAGTAAACTTTAACAGGGCTTAATTGATGAGATGTGAGTGAGGGAAATGGGACGTCAGAATAATGTTCTCCATTTTTTACTTAGGGATGTAGATATTACTATAATATACTTAGATATATTATCTAAAATATTCTAACAATGATCTCCAAACATCACCTTACTAGTATACTTATGGCTCAATTTGCCCTTGTCATAATTACAGGCAGTCTCCTATGTCATTCATTATCAGATGAACACGCTTACTAGTATAATGATAATTATGGAACATACACAATGAGAATGATTGTCACAGGGTGATGTCATAAACAAAGATAATTAGAGAAAATATTGAAAATTCTAGTAATTTCAAACAAATTATGCTTCTAGATGCAAATAGTCATTTGGCTGGGGAATTATTAAATATGGGTTGAAGAAGCAAGGAACAAATGATAAATCACAAACTATCAAAGTGAAAAAAAGGGAATTTCTCATAAAACAAAGATTGTCAAAGAAAAAATGTATTGGTCACAGGAAAAACAAACCTGGACTTGCTTGTTATTGGCTAGTTCCAATTTCAGACGTGGCTACCGGAAGATCCCCCATATCCAAATGCCTATAAGTTATTTTTACTATCTTTTTTGACAGTATACATAAACACAGAAATAATGTGGTTTAAAAACTAGGTTTTGGGAGGTCTGTATGGGTTTCTTTGAGACAGGGCCTCACTCTGTCACCCAGGCTGGAGTGCAGTGGTGAGATCTCAGCTCACTGCAAACTCTGCCTCCCAGATTCAAGTGATCCTAGTGCCTCAGCCTCCTAAATTGCTGGGATTACAGAAATGCACCACCATGCCCGGCTATTTTTTTTTTTTTTTTCTTAAGCAGAGACAGTGTTTTGCCATGTTGGCCAGGCTGGTCTCAAACTGCTGGCCTCAAGCGATCCACCTGCCTTGGCTTCCCAAAGTGCTGGGATTACAGGCATGAGCCACCACACCCGGCCCTGAAAAATTCAGTTCTTTATTAGGGTTTGCATATTAAGAAAAAGCTAGAACAACAGAGAAGCAGTTGTTTTTTCTCTTTAGCATAGAGCTATGGAGAAAAACCATCCTTAATTCTTTAGTTACAGTTGTAGGCCAAAAAGGAAAAAATAAATTATGAAAGTAAAATATTAGGATTTTAAGTATATATAAAGAATTCATGCATCTATTGAAACTATGATTGAAAACATTTCATAAGAATTTCACGTAAATCAGCTAAAATTTTACTGAATTTATTAAAAACTGAAAGAGGTCAGATGGTTGTACATTTGCTTTGATCCAGCACAAAGTTATTTTAACTGCCATGTAGCCTCCATTGTTTTGCATAAATGGATGCTACAGAAATAGCAGCATTAAATTCACTGTTTTAGTGATCAGGGGACGTTGTCAAGGATACTCAACTTTGCATTCATCAGCATTACTCTGATAGGTACTCTTTGGCAAAATTTAGCTCATATTTAACTGCCAGCCAAAGTTGTCCTTCTGAACAAATGGGATATTTTAATCTTACTGATAAGATTAATCTTTAGCTGATCAAGTTCTCTTTTAGTTTTAGCCACCAGGAAGGTCAATGCAGATTTCTGTGGCCCACCTTTAGTCACTGTGAGAAATATAATTCTCACAAACTCTTGGGTTTTTTTCTTAAATTGTGTATGAGCCTAAAAAGGGTTATAATTCCTTATGTAACAACCTTTACACATTTGTAAGAACCAAAACAAGTATGTAAAATTTAACGCAAACAAAATGATAAAACTATTACAATTCATTTAAATAATATTAGTAAACACAACAGATGAAGCCATATTGTCAAAACTGGTTACCACTCACAATGTCCTCTTGAATTTTCGGCCTAATTTTACATGTGTGATGTGATAATTTAATTCACTCACACTTTTTCTCAATTTAAATTACTGTGAAACCTTCACTCCTACAATGTGTTATAATGACTTCTGTCCTTCACTTGGTGCAAACATGCCATTTAGATCTTAGGTCTATCTCTACGCCTTTTTCATTAGTCCACACGACCTCCCAACTGTAAAAAGAAATACAACCTCAGGCACAAAATATTACCGGCAGTACTGGGTTATGAGGTCGTGATACAGATGACCCATAATGTTCTTGTACATATTTTTTAGTTATCATGAAAATCAATATGCAAATGTAGTAAATGCTCACAGAAAACTAGTAATCCCTCAGAATTTATCTGTGTATCCCAGTTTGGGAACCACTAATTTTGGAGATAGTGACATCCATTTTCCCTTTGGTCCCATCTTCTCATTCTGCTTTAATCTTCCATTTGACCTAATTTTTAGAAAATCCATATTTTTGATTTATGGTGCTGTATGCTGTATGGTAGACAACCTTAACTTCTCTTCTGCAACAACAGAATAAAAACTCACAGCTCATGCTCCCAAAGAAATAACCCATGGACAAGTGGCTTACAACACCATCCACCACAGTCTTATGCCGAAGTTTTTGCATTTTTCTCTGCAATCCTCTTCTCCTACAAGCTTTCAATGTGTTCTCTCAAAGTCAGAGAAAGCTAATAAAATAATTTTAAAAACACTTTTGGTTAAAAATACCATTTAACATTTTGGCTCATGTATGGTCCTAACTAGTTTAGATAAAATAATCTGGCCTAATACTAAATGAGTTTTAAACATAGAAAACATTTAAGAGACAGCACACAATCTTAACATGGATATCAAATGAGAAGGTTGTCAAATCCTTTAACAAAATTATCCAAGTCTCTAAACAGCATCTCTGTCCTCAGTGAGTTTCTGAAAATGTCTTGCTCATCCTACCACCCAAATAGCCCAACAGCCAAACTAAAGCTTAGGTGGCACTCTTCCAAGAAGGCATACCTTCAGGCCTAGCAAGGTGGAGGGCTTATCCTGCTATGATAGCTTAATGCTGTAATATGAAATTAAGTTGCGAGAGGTGAACAATGTGACTTTGTTACATTTGGGGGTGTCTACAAATGGGTTTCTTTAACCAAAGTTTTTTAGTGGACTAAAAGTTACCTTAGACTGGCGCCTAAGTTTAGATCTTGAAGCAGACAATTCTTGGGACTAAAAGCATCCAAATCATTAATTCTGAACTAGAGAGTATTCCATCATACCTAGTGTAACCTAAGACACAAGTGGTCTAGAACAGTTAATCTATGTAAGAATGGATATCACCCTTGCATTTGTATCTCTGTGTATTCCCCTGCTAGACTTAGGGACATGGATTTCAGCTTATTCACTGGTATATCCCCAGAAACTAGGATGGTATTTGGCACTGGGTGAAGGGCAATATTTATTATACTTAAATTCTGATAATTGTAAAAAAGCACAAATGTGGTAGAGACTGGCTGTTTACCAAACCCTTACCCCTTTCTTCCTGGGCCAGTAACTAGTCTACATTTCCCAGACTCCCTTCCAGTTAAATTTAGCCATAAGACTGAACCTGACTGGTAGAGAATGGTCAAAAATGAATGTGCCATTTCCAGGCCTGGCCCATAAAAACTTACCAAATGAACCATCCCTATCTCTCTTCCTCCATCTGCCTCTTGTTGTTGGCATCCAGAGTTACCTTAGAAACTAGTGTCAAAGATGAAAGACCTATGTCAGCTTGGATCCCAGGGTGACCACGTGGAGCACAGTCTCTTTCACCAGCCCTTTCTTCCAATTACACTTAATATGAATAAGAAACTTCTGTCTTGTTAGGCTACTGAGATTTAGAGTTTGTCTGTTTCAACATCTAGCACTACCCTAACAAATACAACATGCTCAATAGATGATGCTTTTTGGCTTATTAAAGGCAGGTAATCATAATGTAAAGTGTGCCAAATAGAGTAAGACATGGTCTTGAGTTCTGGATGTGATACCCACTAACTCAGAGATTTTGGATATACATTTAATACCACAATCCCAAATCAGGGTTGTTGGGAAGAATTAAATGAGATTGTATATGGCCATACCCTTGCATAGTGCCTAGCACATTAAATCACACCATTGTGTTTAATATGACTGTAAGAAGTGTCATCTTCTCTGTTTAATAACACATTCTTGGTCTCTTCCAATCTCACGGTCATACTGTTAATCCCTGTTCTAATCAACAGAAGGGTTTCTATAAGAGTTGTACTTGCCTCCTAAGCCTGCACATTTTGAACTCTGGTTATTTTTCAGCTGTGTATTGTCTCAAAGCTGTGCAAGCTCCAGTTTCCACCTCTAAAGAATCATCTTCTCCAGTATATCCTGCTTGTGGGTAATCATTAGCTTGCCAAACTCTTCAGTGCTCTGACATGAAAAGTTCTGTAAAGGGCCCAGATTTGACTCCATGACTTAGGAGGGAACCCTAGTAGCATCCTGAACATTGCCACCCAGACGTTGCATGGCTCCCTAACACGGGGGACTCATTTGAGACCCATGTTCCCTAAGTCTTATACCAGGCAGGGAATGCCTTCCACTGACCATTTTTACCACTACTTAAAAACCCCAAAAGAGCCAGTTTCATTTTTCAAATTATTAACTAAAACCCTGTAAAATTTAATCCAACCAAAAACTTGGATTTTGCTAAATGAGGTTCTGGCTATCCAAATATGGCTTAACTTCACCAGCTTATGGAATTTAACTATACCCAAGGTTATCATATGCATTTACAGACCTGTGGCCAGATGTTTCTTATTTGCAAGCTTAGAAGCCTCAGGCAAGTCAGTGAAAGCCAGAACCATGCCATATTTCTCGGGAAAACACTAAAGACTCATGTACATTTCCTCTGAATCAACTGGAATGTGAAGCTGGCAAAATCAAGATGATCCCCAGCCACAGAGACCATATGAAAGTAACACAAAAGGGTAGAATTGAGAGTCAAAAGGATTAAATACTCAAAATGGCAAGCACTGGGTCAGCCCAGTTCAGAAAAATGTAGCAGGGAAGGACAGATTTTAGATTAGATAATCCAGCATGAGCAAGATTTCTGATAAATGGAAGACATGGCAAAACATGTATGGCCCAGAGGCATTTTTTAAGCACTTCAGAGAAACCGTAACTCAATGTGAGTATGCAGAACTTCAGAAATTAAACTTCAAATCCTAGGCCCAACACTTACCACCTATGTGACAATGGACAAGTTACTTAACCTCCTTACACCTCGGTTGAACCTCAGTTGTCTCAGTGATATTGGGGTGGTCAAACAATTATAGGATTGTTTTAAGGGTTAAAAAAGATTATACCTATATAATGCTGGTGGATAGCTTTTATCCTGCCTGCTTCAGGATTGCCTGGTCATTCTTGATCACTGACTAGACTTTTCAGAACTTTTTTGGGTAACAAGGATTCATTGCTTGACCAATCTGTAGTCAGGTTGCTCAACCACCTCCTCCTAGCCCATCTGTGCACCTCTTTGAAAATTCCAGTCTTAGCAAGAACCCTGCTAAATTGTTTTAGCCAGACTCTCCCATCCTGCATATCTGATCATCCTCAATGTCCAATTTGGTTTCTCATCTTCCACCGTATTCCAGATGATGTCTGATCACCCTGGCTTGTCTTCACCGAGAATCCTGTTAGGTCAGTTTAGCTAAAATCCTCCTTACTCCTGAAGTTTCCTTTTAGTAATTTTCTATCCACTGATCCCCACCCTGCTCCTTAGCTTAAATCCCCACTTGTTCTTGTATTTGGAATTGAGCCTAGTTCTATACAGAGTTCTTTTTTTTCCTATTCCAATAGTTCTAAATAAACTGTTTGAACTGCTTCAACTACTACTCAACTTAGGTTTTCTTTGACACTGGTTAAAATAAGCTTACATTTTCTGAAGGACCTCCTCATCTATCCAGGAGACCTCAGAGACTATGATAGAAGGTGTAAATCCATTGTGTAAATGGATTAGGGATCTGTGAGGATCTTACCACCCCATTGACTCCCTCAGACAAAGTCCTGGTTGCCCATCCTGGATTAGTGGTTAAGTTCTCAGCCTCATCCACTTGGGACCCTTCATTCTCTCACTATCTCAGTCCTGGCAGGGTAAATACATCAGGAACCTCAACATTATTTTTCCAAATGCTCATTACCACGCATTTGACATTTGGTTTGCCAGCCAGTAAATGTTCAGAGTTGTGCACAAGGTCATACTTTGCCTCAGCCTTTCTGGCTTCTAAACAGATGGATGTTAGTCACCAGACACTACAGAGGCATTTTGTTTAGGGCATCTGTTTGCAAATTGCACTTGAACATCACCATCAGCTGGTCTTGTTCTCGGCCACTTCTCCCATACACAAATGAAATTAACAACTCAGATCACATGCAAGCCTGAAAAAATTGCATATTTTGTAATCTTTCTGCTAAGAAACAGTGCAAATGTGACCTTACAACAATAGATTGACCTTTTTGATGTCAAATTCTTTTGAAATTCTTGATCAAAGCTTCAGATTATGTCCCCAGAAAACAGAAACAAAAACAAAAAATCACAGATCATATACATATTTTTTAAAAAATTTTAACTTTTCTTTTTTTTATTAATTAGGTTTTATACCAAAAAGAAATACATACTAATGGAACAGTCAAACAGTTCAGAAGGGTATAAAATAAAATTTCCCTTTGCCTTTACTCTCCCTGAGCCCCACTCCTCAGAAGTAACCACTATTAACAATTCTTTGAATATATACTGCCATTTTAAAAAATACAAATATATTATATACATTGTTTATATATGTAAATATATAGATGTATATATTTATATCTTATATAAGCCGACCTCACTTTGCAGAGCACAGGATCTAATGACTGCACTAACTAAAACCATGCAAAGTGGCCAGGTGCAGTGGCTCATGCCTATAATCCCAGCACTTTGGGAGATCAAGGCAAGAGGATCGCTTGAGCCCAGGAGGTTGAGGCAGCAGTGAGCTGAGATTGAGCCACTGTACTCTGGCCTGAGTGAGAGAGTGAGACACTGTTTTTAAAAAAAAAAAAAAAAAAAAAAAAAAAGCATGCAAATTGATCTTAATATTCAATGGAAAAAATTACAACTGTTCCATCACCTTTACAATTTTTTGTCAAAATTTTAAAACCTCTCTTACTGTTGGTTATAAATGTAAGGGAAAACAAAATACAGTAATATTGCTATGTAGTACACTGTAATATAAAACGTTAGGAATATTGACAAGTATCTTGTTCTAAAAGGTTTATAAAGATTAAACATTGCTTGCCTTCTTTTTGTAATATAAATAATATGAACTATATTTTTTATGCCTTGCTAAATTGTCATATTTCTTTCTAAATTTGGATCAGCTTCCATTATTTTATTCTTTGTACTTTCAGTGTTACAAAGTGACTCCAAGACTTCCTTAAATATGAAGTATTTGGCTGTTTGGCTGGTGTCACTTCCTCTGGGACACCTTCCTCCTTTTCATCACAACCATTTTTCTTATTAAGGTTGACAGACTCGCCTCCACTAAGTTCCTCTGATTGCATATCTAGAGTCTCTCAAATGGCAGCATGGTCAACATTCCCATAGTCAGTTTTTTTTTTTTTTTTTTTTTTTTAGATGGAGTTTCACTCTTGTTGCCCAGGCTGGAGTGCAGTGGTGTGATCTTGGCTCACTGCAACCTCTGCCTCCCAGGTTCAAGCGATTCTCCTTCCTCAGCCTAGTGATTTCTTCTATAACCCCATTTACGCTGACTGTGAATTTATCTGCCAGTGTTATCTCTGTTCCGTTCTTTGTTGGGCTTAATTCCTTCTCTCAATTATGCATTTTTGTAAAACGTCACATGAGTTTAGAGTTTATCACTGGAGACAGGCTACACAATTATACACTTTTCCGTCTATTAGTAAACTGAATAACAAATAGTCGATGACCAATCAAGGGTAGACTTTGAAGGGTATCGATTATTTATATAGTGATTTGTGGACTGAAGAGCCAGTAGTTAAGTTTGTGATTTATCTAAATGACTCACGGTTAACATGCTGTGGTGACTGAATTTGAACTGTGTTGTTGGGGACTGATATTATTTAACTAAAACATGGTAACTGAATTTTGTTCGTATCAAACCATGAAAAGCAAGGACTGTCTCTGTTTGTATATATGTACATTTATACACTTTGAAGATAAATCAATCATATTTTGTATACCATGCTTCACTTTTTTCTACTTAATGTATCTTGGCAGTCTTTTCATATAGTCACGTACCATTATTTGGATGTACCAACACTGACATAACCATTTTCTTTTTGGTAGATATATAGTTTGTTCTTGCTGTTTTGTAATGTCAACCAATGTTGTAATGAACATTCCTATACATGCAATTTGGGGCCCTTGTGTAAATACATCTGTAGGGCGAATATCTTGTAGTGAAATTGCTAGGTCAAAAAAGTGTGCATTTTAAATATCAATAAATTTTGTTGTCCTCAAAAAGGTCATCTAATGTTACATTCTCACTTACATTATGTGAGAATTCCTGTTTCACCAACCAGGTATCATTGAACTTTGTAATCTTTGCCTATCTGATAACAAGCCCAGGACATTTTGCTTGTGACTTTAAAGTGAGTTTTAGGAGCTTCCCCCTTTTCTCCAAATCAAGTTTATTTTTTATTTTGTAATGTGGATTGGTATATCTGTCAATATAGGTTTAGGGGTTGGGGAACAATTGATATTTTCAATGTGACAACTCTTTTTGTGAGGAAACTTTGCACAATATCTAGCATTCCTGGCTCCTGTCCACTAAAACCCGCTAACACCTCCAGTCATTGTGATAATCAAAAAACATTCCACACATATCCATCTTAGGAATGCACTGCCTAATTGAGAAACACTGGGCTAGAGGTCTTAATCTTTTTACTGAGACTTAACAGTCACTCATGAGCCATCCTGAACAAATGTACTGGATATAGCCAGATGTCCTTTGAAGAAGCTATTCTGAAAGTTAAACTCTGCTAGAGATGGCTGAGGCAATTTTTAATTCCACAAATATGTATTGCAAAAAAAGAGACTGGGCTTTAACTATTGAGGTCATTGGCCTCAGGAGGGAAAGATAGACATGCAGATTGTAGCCTTATGCAAGTCACAACATTGCCCAAATGGGTAGGTTAAAATTCGGATGTTACAGGATTTGCTCTATCTGTAAAACCTCTGAACTAAGTATTGGAAATGACTTTGTAAGAATTTGCAAAGACTAGAACAGAAATAAAAGTGGTGTAAAAACATATTGGACCAGGCTGGCCAACATGGTGAAGCCCCGTGTCTACTAAAAATACAAAAATCAGCTGGGCGTAGTGGCAGGTGCCTGTAATCCCAGCTACTCAGGAGGCTGAGGCAGGAGAATCACTTGAACCTGGGAGGCAGAGGTTGCAGTGAGCCGAGATCACGCCACTGCACTCCAGCCTGGATGACAGAGCCAGAGTCCATCTCAAAAAACAAACAAAAAAAAACATATTGGAGAAAGATGTTGATTCCAGAATTGGAGGGAGGAAAAATCTTCATGAAAAACAGTAGTATTTGAGTTGGGTCTTTAAGAAAGAGTAAGATTTCAAGTGGTACAGATGAAGAGAAAAGTATTGTATGTAGGAGGAGCAATGTGAGCCAGGACAGGGGATGGGAACATTCAAACCTTCTTCAAGTTGCTGCCCTGCATGGTAGAAATGTAGACTGTGAAGTGCAATCAACTCAAGATAAGGCTAGAGATGGTGGTGGAAACCGAATTGCTGAATCTTTTGGAAATATGACACAGGCCTTGCAATCTGTCATTAAGCAATTAGATTAAAATCCAATAAATTACAAAATACACCATTGCTGAGAGCTGGAATTTTAAAATATCTCAGAATTAGTTCATGAGTTTTGCTTTCTGACGTCAAATATGAGAAATTTGTGCTCCCTTTCTCTCCCAAATGTTTAATCCTTCTGATTACATCAGGGAGAAAGACTCCACTAGGTGCTCATCTGGGTTGAACAGCTGCTAATCTCTTTTGAACAAAAAGCACGAGCCACAGTGTACCAGTTTGTTCTTGCATTGCTACAAAGAAATACCTGAGACTGGGTAACTTAAAAAGAAAAGAGGTTTAATTGGCTCACCGTTCTGCAGGCTGTACAGGAAGCATAATTCCGGCATCTGCTCAGTTTCTGGGGAGGCCTCAGGAAACCTACCACGAAGGCGGAAGGCAAAGTGGGAGGAGCAAGAGAGAGGGAAGGGAGGTGCTACATACTTTAAAACAACCAGCTCTGGCCAGGTGCGGTGGCTCATGCTTGTAATCCCAGCATTTGAGGAGGCCGAGGCGGGTGGATCACTTGAGGTCAGGAGTTCAAGCCAATATTGTGAAACCCCATCTCTACTAAAAATACAAAAATTAGCCGGGCGTGGTGGTCCACGCCTGTAGTCCCAGCTACTTGGGAGGCTGAGGCAGGAGAATCGCTTGAACCCAGGAGGCAGAAGTTGCAGTGAGCCGAGATCACGCCACTGCACTCCAGCCTGGGAGACAGAATGAGGCTCTGTCTCAAAAACAAACAAACAAACAAACAAAAACAAAAAACAACCAGATCTCATGAGAACTCACTCACTATCTCAATGACATTACCAAGGGAGAAATCTGCCCCCATGATCAAATCATCTCCCACCAGGCCTCACCTACCACATTGGGGATTATTATAATTGAACATGAGATTTGAGCAGGGACACAGAATTAAACCGTATTACCCAGGTTGAGCACCGTCTACAGGGATCTGAACAGAAATACACTGAGAGTAGTTATGGGGAATTTAGAGCAATGTCCTGAAGCCTGGCTGTTGAAGGCTATCAGCTGTGGTGCTCACTCCTGGAGAGGGGTCCAGGCATGTGTGGTTCAAAAAAACAAAATCACTCCCAGGTAATTCTAATGGGCAACCAAAATTGAAAACCACAGATTCTCAAAGAATCACTGAAGAGGGGGCCACATGGAGAGGAAGATGCAATTTGAGAATCAAGTCCACTGAGTGCCACATTTGCAGAATAGGCCAGGAGTTTTAAGGAGTTTAAAAAGAGGGGACATCATTTTCTTCCATCACTGAAGCCATATTCTATTACCTTGAGTATCTTATCTGAGACCATGTATATCCCACTAACCTAACGAGAAGAAGGATAATTAGATGATTATCTAGCTAGACAAGCATCTTGAACCTCAAACCATTACTCGTAAGGTGCTGTGATCCAAGGAAAGTATAATTAGTCACCACTTAGTATCACGTTAAGCAAGCCAATAAACTCGGGGGTAAGGCAGGTGGGGAATACCAGAGCATGTTTACCATTTGATCTGCTTGTTTTCTCTCCCTAATGTTTAATCCTTCTGATTACGTCAGGGAGAAAGACTCCACTAGGTGCTCATCTGGTTGAACAGCCGCTGATCTCTTTTGAACAAGAAGCATGGGGCCCCAGTGTACTAGTCCATTTTTGCATTGTTACAAAGAAATACCTGAGACTGGGTAAATTACAAAGAAAAGAGGTGATATTACATAGGTTGAGTATATAACATAGAAAGATGGATTGCACCTTGCAATTACAATAAAACTAGTCCATGTATAACATCTAGTTATAATAGCCACCTGAAATTGTTATATATTTTCCCCAAGCTATTTATATCTCCCCCATTAAGAAATAGAGCCTTCATTTTTGTAGCACTTGCATGAATATTTATTTATTCTGGTCTTAGAAAGCATTCCAAAATTTTAAAAAAGTGTCTGCTACCAAAGTTGCACGTTCGCTTCTGCACTGCTGACATATTAAGAATTTTTCTGAGGCATTGAATAGTGAATTTGACATCTTCACCAGCACTGAGTTTCCCTTTAATTACTGTCAGTGACTGCTGACTTGTAAAGCACTGTGAAAGCAATAATCTACATAGCAGTGGTCTTTCCAGTTGATATTCATGAAAGGCTGAAATAATCTCTGTCATATGACAGGACCAGCTTACTAGTGAGCCTGCTATCCCACAGGACTCTCTCGTCCCACAGGACAGGAAAGGGGGTCCATCCAAGACAATTCACCAAGGGCAGGTGGTGAAGGCAAGCCTGGTTCCAACTGAAAGATGCTGTCAAGCAAAAGACATTGGCTAATAAAAGCTGCTGATGCTGCTATGAAAAAGGAAACCAAAGACAGCCCAAAGAGAAAGCTGGCTGGTCTGATGGAAGTCCCAATGCACTGATCCATCATACCTGATCAATTACAGGTGGTGTTTGTCTCTCTCAGGTTTAGCGGCGTTTCATCATTCAAATACTTATTCAGTGTTAGTTGTGGGTGAGGCACTCAATGGATTTCACCAGAATAAAAAGGACCTCACCCAAGATACAGTTGTCACTGGAACCGGCAGGGGAAGAGGGTGCTCTCATTTATTACTGCATAGCTCACTGCCTTGTCTGCAGAATTCACTCATTCATTCAGCAAACTTGTTCTGAGAATAGTGTTAGACACAGAAAAGTCCCTTCCTTTCTTCCATTCACAAATATGTAAAGAGTACCAACTATGTCCTAGGTGCTAGTGTTAAAATAGTGAACCAAACATAAGTGATATATTCTACTGCGGGAATTCTTAACCTAGGATTCAGGGATGCCCCCTAGAATGCATGGATCAGCTTCAGGGAGTCATTAAACATGAGTAGGAAAACAATCAGATGTTTATTTTCAGTCATCTCTAACTGAAATTTAGCATTTTACTCAATTGTGAATGCAGGCAACAAACCACAGCAGTAAAAAAGGTCCTGTGCCTCTGTCACCAATAGAAACCACAGACATGTTCATATCAAGTTACAGTGTTTGCAGATTTCTCAAAAAGTCAATTGTGTCCATCACCGCTCAAGAATTATGGTAGGTTTAAATCTTCCACCAGATTTTGTGTTAATGAAAAAGCACATATGTAACCATATCATAAATTTGTATTTCAACACTTTGATGATTGTATTTCAGTATAATTGGTCTTCTTCATAATCCTATGTGTTTTATTTTATGCATTGTTCTGAGAAAGAGTCCATAGGCCTCATCAGATAACAAAGCAAACCTTGGCACAAAATGATTATGAATCCTTGTCCTAGTAAGACAGACAGGCCTTAAATAAATAATCTTACAAATACATACTTACAGACAGTGCTAAGATCTCTAAAGAAAAAGTCCATGTATGTGAGATGATAAAAAGAAGACATGGTTTCCCCAGGATTTGGGGTTAGTGGGCTACCCCCAGGAGTCTAGTGGGATCCACCTGGATTCTGTTTCCCCTGGAAAATATCACATTCTGCTGCAGTCAACCAGTCCATAAAAAATATCAGTTACATATCTCTCCTGTGCTAGGTCCTATATGAGCACTGGGGACACAACATCTCTGCCTGCCAGTCTACCGGGGGAAGTCAGAGCAAACCACACATGAGGAAATACAAATCTCAGATAAGCTCAGTTAGAGATCAGAGCCCTGAAGAAAGTGAAGCAGGTTAATGAGATAAAGTGTGAAAGTCAGGGAGTGCTGGGGGCGGGGCAGCCCAGGGAAGGTCTCTTGCAGAGGTGATATTTGCACTGAGACCTAGAGGAAGAGATTTGGGGGATACATTTAAGACACAAGGCAAAGACCCTGAGATAGAAAAAGTAAACCCTCAGTTCCTTTGAACCCCAGGACCCAGACTTCTTAAACAGTGGTCATTGTTGCCTTGCTATGCCCTGTTTTTGGAGAAAGAAGCACATCACAGGAGTCAAAAGAGAAAATTAGGTGTGTTCTAAGGGTCAGGTGGACAGAAGGGGTCAGAAGCAGCAGTGGGGACATGGATCGAGTGCCTGAGTATATGCCTCCATAGGTGGGGTCCCCTGAAAAAGGTCAGGGGACCCTCCCTACCTCTGGGCAACTCCGATCATTTCCCAGCCCAGTTCATCACCATCTGCCTTTTAAACAACAAGTGCCGATTATCAGAGAACCTCCTCAGGTCTGGAGAGGATCCACAAATATTTGTCATCTGACGTCACAGACCCCAAGACCCCTAATTTTCAGGGAGCTGAAGCTGAAACTAAACTCCACCACACGGAAGGGCGGCTATTTCCCTCTGAGTTGCATCTTAGTCTTAGCTCCCAAGGCCTCCTGGTGGGCACAAGAGTTCTACTCAACCCATCTTTTCCCAGCTGGATCCAGAGAAAGCTACTCATTCCCCCAACTTCCCACACCCCTCCCCCAGACCTTTAGAAAAACCACTCTCTTTCCCAATGAAAAATGACACCAAAGCTCCTATCTGGCAGCAGCCTACAGGACATCACTTATACCTTATTAAAACCCACAAAAACCCTCTCTAGCAGCTATTAAACAAGCTCGTATAAGGGATTTATTTTTGAAAAACCAATAATTTCTAGAGGATATCACAAGGTCACAGAACGTTCAGCCCAATGCCCTATAATAAATATTGGCTAAGTTATTGCACAAATGCCATAAGGGGTACATGGAATCATTTTTATTAAAAATGAGCCAACTGCTTCTATCAGGCTATCTTTCCTGGTATTTCTAGACCTTCGGCTACCTTATTCTTGTTCATAACATTCACACAAACACATACTTATAATGTCAGAAGAAAATCAGTGAATATTTTGCATCTCTTATAAAACATTGCTAAACTTTAATCTGTAGTGAGGTGGGAAATGTGAGCTGATGACCAAACAATGACCCTAATCCACCACAAAATAGTGCAAACTTAAAGAAAATATAAATTCCATCTATCACACTTAACTTGAATGAGGTCAGGAAAAAGAATTGGTAAATGTTAGAAATATTCCCTAAAATCAATTGAAGCAAAGGGATTTTGACAGAAAGTTCAATTACAAGAAAACTCCCAATATCCTTGAATTTCCAGTGAACCATCAGTGTAAAAGTTTTTCTTTTTTAAGTGATATTTCAAAAGAAGCCTATGAGGTAGCAGGAAGAACTTTGGACTTAAAATCAGTTGATGTAGGTTCCAGAGCTAGCTCTGCCCCTGATTTTCTTCATGACCCCAACCTGTTTTCACTGTGTATTTTTAAGTCTCTATGGGCGTCTGTTTCCCTATCTGTGAAATTATGCAGTTAGAAGGAACACCTTTTAAGCCCTCTTGAAGCTGTAAACCACTATGAATCTCTGCCTCTTTAATTAGAATAGGCCTGTAAGTACCAGGCAACAGATTCTAGCCTAGATTCCTAACAGGAGTATGACCCGAGAAAATAATCTTTAAAGGTCTAACGTGGTCTCTTAGAGAATACTTGATTATTGCAACATTCACTGGGAAACTGTAGCAGATAGTGGATTTGCTTTTGTTTTTGTTTGTTTGTTTGTTTTTGACAGAATTTCGCTCTGTCATCCAGGCTGGAGTGCAGAGGCATGATCACACCTCACTACAGCCTCAAACTCCTGGGTTCAAGGGATCCTCCCGCCTCAGCCTCCTGAGTAGCTGTGACTACAGGCACTTGCCCTCATGCCTGGCTAATGTTTTTTATTTTATTCATTGTAGAGACGGGATTTTGCCATGTTGCCCAGGCTGGTCTTAAACTTCTGGGCTCAAGTGATCTTCCTTTCAAAGCACTAGGATTAAAGGTGTGAGCCACTGTGCCCAGCCCATTTTTTTTTTTTTAATTAGAGATTTTCTGATGAAAAGAATACACTGGGCATTATATTTGTGGCCAACGTGTTCTGGACAGTGAAATGTAAACAGGCTGAAACTTGAGGCTTCTGGGGAAGTGTCCTTAAAAGGAAGGGAGCTCCCGTATTCCCCTCTTCTTCCTTCCTCTGTGCTGGCATATGAACACAATGACTGGAAGCTGAGGAGTCATCCTGGATCATGAAGCAGCCCCCGAAGTTTAGAAGAAAAACAAGCCAGAAGGAGCCTGGGTCCCTGCTCATCTGGAATCAGTTGCCAAAACAGCCCTTATTGCCCAACTCCAGATCTGATTTACATGAGAGCGATATAAATTTTTATCATGTTTAAGGCACTGCTGTCCTGAGTTTTCTGTCACATGCAGAGAGTCTTAATCCTAAGTAATATACACAAGACTGTTTCCCTTTATCAAAGATATCATTATGCAAAATATGCCACTAATGACCAAACCAGCCTCTACCACAGCTATTTCCATGAATCAAAGGATTTGCCTGGAGACCCTGTTTTCATCTCTGGCATATCTGCCTTCCTGCCCTCAGTCACCTCAGCTGGTATTGGGAATGGCAGGGCCTGCCAGGCAAGTGTTGAAATGATGTGACAAAGAGAAGGAAATGAAGGATTTTCTCATAGGCTTTGCCCACAGATTGCCTCATTCTCAAGACTGCTTCCTTGCTGAGTGACTCCAGTGGGTTGGGTTTGCAATGCAATGGGTAGAGATCCTTCCAGACAGCTGTCATCTGCCTGGAAACTTCAGCTTCCTAATACTCTTGTAAACCTCCTGGGACAGAAGCTCCAGTTCCTGCTGACACCTCACATGAGATGTGCCTTTACCTAGTACCACCTGCTCGGGACTGCCCAGCAGGGTAGCCTGCAATCCCAGGGCAAAGGTGAACACCAAGCAGGCCTCCACTGATGCACAGCGGTGGTATTTCCCTGGGAAGTTTTACTTGTGAATCTGGAACTTAAACTCTCAGTTCTGACTTTTGCACAACATTGGTTCCAGTTCCTCAGTCCCAGGAAGGCCCCAGAAAGATGGGTGCTGACTCTGTGCTCAGAACAGTGGTTTGCAAAGGGTATTTGATCAAGTACCCTTAGAGAAACTGAGGCATCTTATGAACAATCTTCCTCGACAAAAAACACATACGTTCATGCAATGCAAAACTTGGCCCACAATTTCCTGAGGTGCCAAGCGCCCTGACACCCATCCATGAGTCCAGAGCCCCCAGGTTAAGAAGCCTTGCCTTTGAACTCCAGAAAAGATTTTAAAACCTCCAAAGTCATCTGATTTCCTCCTTGGGATAAATGCCCCACTACTGCTCCCAAACAGAGAGTAGGCTGAGTCGATTTTAGAAGCTTCAGTTGTTCATAGGATTTACTGTTTTTATGACCAACAGTGAGAGAAATGTCACTTGTCTCTTCCCCACCTCCTGCTCCAAAGGTCTTCATCTGAAACTTAAGTCCCAACCAACTCTTCTTTCCTCCTTTATCTCACATTCAGCCACGTTGAACTGTTTATTTTCAGTTTCCCAAACATGCAGTGGTGCCTTCTTCTGCCCTCTGTCTCTGCTCAGGCAATTTCCTACTCCTAGGACACCTCTTTGCCCATCACTATTTGTCAGAATATTACTCATTCTTTAAGACTGTGTAAAAACAGATTTCTCTATAGAGCTTTTCCTGAGCCTTCCTTTGTGCACACAGCCTGAGCTTGAACATCTGTTCCAGAACATATCACCATCCATCATGGATTATTTGGGCAACCATATAGCAAAATATTTGAACCTTTGAGGTCTGAAACTAGAATGATTGGGTTTCAGTCCTGGCTCCATCTCTTTCTTGCTGTGTGACCTTGTGGATGTTTAACTTTTCTGTGCTTCAGTTCCGTCATTGGTAAAATGGAGACAATAATAGCTCCCACTTCACAGAGTTGTGTAAGGATCAAATGACCTGATCCAAGTAAAAGTCTTAGCACAGTCCCTGGCACACTGAAAGCATCTGATAAGGAATTATTACTTTGACTTCAGTTACTTATACACTTTTGCCCACACCCATTACAGTTAAACTGTAGAGTGGATGAGGACAGAGAGTAGAGCCCATGTCTTAGTCACCATTTTGTATCTGATAGAACCTAGCAAACAAATTTTGCACATAGTAAATAATCAGTGTATGATATGTGAATGAAAGTGAATTATCCATAAAAGTTTTATCTAAGAACTTCAGACAGTAGTGTTGCCATCTATATTTTATGCATGGGTGAGAGGCGATGGAACAGTAAGTTGGATGCTCCATTGAGAATACAAATCATTCTGGGGTTTGGAAAAACCATCCTGATTGCAATTCTGTGTCCCAATCACAGAATTTTTATATCATCGTGAAGCATATGCCAAGAACTCCCCTCTTCTCCACTTATAATTGTTTCCATTTCAATTCAATGACACAGACATTTATTTAGCAACTATTAGATGCCAGACACTGTGGTAAGGGGTGGGAATCAGAGATGTCCTTCTGAAGGTCTTGCAAAGCAACTTCCATCTGACATCAAACTTCAAGTTCAGCACCCAGGATGTATACACACTCTTATATTCCTTGAGCCTGAAGCCCAGTCCCAGATAACAACTGGTCTGCAGGATTTCCCTGCCATGTGACAAGAGATGCATACTTACGTCAAATGGCAGAAAAGTGGCTGGGCGCAGTGGCTCACACCTGTAATCCCAGCATTTTGGGAGGCTGAGGCAGGGGGATCACTTGAGGCCAGGAGTTTGAGACCAACCAGGTCAACATGGTGAAACCCTGTCTCTACTAAAAGTACAAAAAGTAGCCAGGTGTGGTGGTGTGCACCTGCAATCCCAGCTACTCAGAAGGCTGAGGCACAAGAATCGCTTGAATCCAGGAGGCGGAGGTTGCAGTGAGCCAAGATTGTGCCACTGCACTCCAGCCTAGGTGATGGAGCAAGACTCCATTAAAAAAAAAGAAGAAGAACAATTAGAAAATAATTATACTAATATGTGTAGAAAATTTACTAGACTGCTTCTGACCACCCAGACCACTGAGTTGACATAAACAGGCCCCTTACTACACAGAAATCCTGAACAAAATATAGAAAAAATATTTTCCACATAACCAAGTTCAATCAGAAAAAAAGAAATTTCCAGTGCCGGGAATAGCATGAAATCAAGTCAGAGGAATAAACATGAGCTGATAACAGGAGGAGGCCATGGGAGTTTCAGGTGGCAATATGGACCCCTTAGGGAAAGGGAGCTACATTTCTCATGCCTACCAAAAATAATAATAATAATAATAAGGCCAGGTGTGGTGGATCATGCCTGTAATCCCAGCCCTTTGGGAGGTTGAGGCGGGCGGATCACTTGAGGCCAGGAGTTCAAGACCAGCCTGGCCAACATGGCAAAACTCCATGTCTACTAAAAATACAAAAATTAGCCAGGCTTGGTGGCATGCACCTGTAGTCCCAGATACTTGGGAGGCTGAGGCACAAAAATTGCTTGAACCTGGGAGGCAGAGGTTACAGTGAGCCAACATTGTACCACTGTACTGTACTCCAGCCTGGGTGACAGAGTGAGACTCTGTCTCAAAAAAAAAAAAAAAAAAAAAAAATTCAGGCCTAAAGAAGGGAAAGAATGAAATTGAGCTATCTGCATAAACAAGCTATTATGTGTGGTTTCAGAGGGCTAAAAAAACATTCACCAATGAAAATCAAACTACGATCTTATACTACCCACAAGTCTGGGGCCTTAATTTATAAAACCTTCATGGTGTGGAACCTTAAACTGATAATTTAACATAGTATATAGGGTCATTCAAAGCCCTAGGAATCCCGCAAAAGCCAAAGCAAGATATTTCTATAGAGACATTGAGAGACCATCTCCTCTTGGTTGTTGCAAAGGCACTTTTAGCTAAAAGGGAAATCATTCCTGCCTACCAAGCCTGTTCATCTGCCAATGCACCCTACTCACAAATGGCACCACTTCCCATTAAGGCACATGAGTTGTCCCTGACACCCCCATACCAATTCATCACTAAGGCTAATTAATTTTACTTTCTAAATATCTGCCCACTCTGTCCATTTCCAAAACCTCATCCTAGTTCAAACCACTATCATCTCTCACCAGTCTCCTAACTGGTCTACCCTGCATCCACTCTATCAGGTGGTACCATATAAAATTGCTATCTTGTAAGTCAAAACCAGCCTGGAAGTGGCAGTTCCATAGCATTCAACCTAATATTTCCTCCCATCTGATGTCCTCACTCCAGATAGAGTTACCTTTTCATGAAGGAAATTTTATCATGTTGCACCTACCCCTCGCTGAAATCTTCTGTGGCTTTCCCGCTATTCTTAAGATGATAAAGTTCCTGAACATCACCTGCAATGCCATTTGGCCCCTACCTCCCTCTCTCCAGCCTCATGCCCCCAACTCTCCCTTATTCCCCCTTCTCTTGACCCACCGGATTTCTTCTAGTGCCTTGTGTTTTCTATGTTTTCTCTTCCCACAGAGCCTTTGCACATGTGGCTCTCACTGCCTAGAATATTATTTTCACTCCTCTTCAACTGAACAATTTCTTCTTACCTTCAGATCTCAACTTAGCAATGCTCTCCACAAGAGCCTTGTCTGACCCCCTGGCCTTGTTAAGAATCTTGTCACATGTTCTCTTAATGCTAAGGTGATCCACTTCATAGTGCTTGACCCCATGACAATTTTACATCTATGTGTATGACTATTTGATTAGTTCTGCGTCCCCCAGTAGCACTGCAAGGTTCATGAGGATAGAGACTGAGTCTGTTTTCACCAAACATTGAATCCCCAGCTCTGTGTCAGACACAGAGTAAGTGCTCAACGTAATTTAAAATTATGGAATGGAGAAGTGACGAAACTGTATGCAGGTGACCAAGGTGGAGACTGATGCAGTGGCCCTACAGGAGAAGATGAGAGCCTGAAACTAAAGCGGGTTTTTCATGCATTACCTTGGATAACCTTCTAAACACTCCATCTTTTGTTTTAGGCATTTTATAAAAAAGGAAACTAGAGACATCAAATAACTTGTGTTCAGGGTCACATAATGGTAGATCTAAGATGCCAATCCAGGTTATCAGAATCCGAAATCTGTCCTCTTTCTATTAAACAAACAAACAAACAAACAAACAAAAACTTTGAGGCAAGCAGAGGAGACAACAAGGAGCCCGGGAATGAGATCCAGGAACTCTGATGCCTACAGATGTCAGAAAAGTAATGTAAAAACCAGCAGGCCCGGGCTAAGATAAGAGAGGGCATTGGAAACCACACCAAGCTAGAAGGTGCATGCATGCCTGTCTAATTCTAGCTCCAACTTATCATTAATGCATGAGAATATGGGTCCAGTATTTTTAGATCATCCTATGTTTTTTAGAGAAGTTCAAAGCTGCATTTTTGTGTGAAATCATTCTGATTTTGAAACACTATATGGGTCACACATAACATATCTGCAGGAGGAATGTGATACCATTTTGCAGCTCCCCGTCTAGACAAATAGGAGATCAGCAGAGAAGCTGCACTGTTGCCAGTAGTCACCTATGCCTATGTCTTTCGTGCAAAATATTTGGGCAGGGCCCTCATAAATAATCTTAGCAATAGTTATCCAACTTGAACTTTGATGATTCCATGAAACTGAGAAGCTAAGATCAGTTAATTTATAACTGGCTTTATGGTTTCAAGATCACTATGTTCTGATAAATCAAAGAACAACTAGCAAGAGGATAGATATCTTCATTCTGTTATCCCTAAGGAAGGCCATGGGTTAGGAGCCCCAATGGCCACTGGAGAATGTGTAAATTACTGACAATGCTATTCTCCTTTCAAAAAAAAAATACAATCCAAAGATAAGCAGATAAATGCTGTTAACTTAATTCAAATTCCAACTAGGACATTGAGTCACTTCCAGCATGCCAGAAATCAGGGGAAAGTTCATGTTTATCTCTGGGTTCATTTCCCCAGCATTTCTCATTAAAGAAATAAAAGGTTGTCACAAACTGCTCTTTCAAGAGAGAAGCTGTGAGAAGTGAATATCTGCTCCTCAGTTTCAGTTCCTCTAACTCTGGAAGATCCTGGCACACAGAAGAGCTTCACACATTTTCTCAATCTTTCCTTCCTCAGTTGAATCCCAACCAAGTATATGGATCAGAAATTGTTGGGCCTTTTTTCCTACCGTTCTTACTGACTCAGTTAAATCACTAGCAACTCAATCGCCACACCCTTCATGAAAGTTATTTTGTGGAGCACATTCCTGTTTTGAGTCTTAGAATTTCCCTTATCCTCTTCTAATTTTAAAAGGCCTTTGATGCCAACAGAATAACTTAGCAGCAAACTTCACATATTCGTGAATCATGGAAAGAGGAATTGTTTGGTTGCCATCCAGATAGTTAGCATCCTTACTTCGCTCTTGTATTAGTGAAGCCAGGCTACCTACTGGAAAAAATAACTAGGAGATTTTGGTGTATTAACAGAATAAAAACTTGTTTCTCACTTCTATTACAGTTCAGTGTAGATTGACTGGATTGGGGAAGATGAGGAGTTTTGCTCCATGTAGTCAATCAGGGAGTCGGGATCTTTTCATCCTGTGGTTCCACCATACTCTTAGTCCAGAGGCTGGCAAATGTTTTCTGTAAAAGGCCATATAGGGCCAGGCATGGTGCCTCATGCCTGTAATCCCAGCACTTTGGGAGACCAAGGCAGGTGGATCACTTGAGATCAGGAGTTCGAGACCAGCCTGACCAACATGGTGAAATCCCATCTCTACTAAAAATACAAAATTAGCCAGGTGTGGTGGCACATGCCTGTAATCCAAGCTACTCAGGAAGCTGAGGCAGGAGAATCCATTGAACCTGGGAGGTGGAGGTTGTAGCGAGCCTAGATGGCACCATTGCACTCCAGCCTGGGCAACAAGAGCAAAACTCCATCTGAAAAAAAAAAAAAAAAAAAGCCATATAGTAAGTATTTTAGGCTTTGTGTGCCCTATGGTCTCTGTCACAACTATTTAACTCTGCCACTGTAGCACAAAAGTAGCCATAGGCAATATGTACATGAATGGGCATGGCTGCATTCCAGTAAAACTTTTTTTACAAAATCAGGCAGCAGGACCGATCTGGCCTGTGAGCCACAGTTTGCCGACTTCTGCTCTCAAACCTTGTCCTCCTGTGCATTTGGCCAGTCAGTAGAGAAAGGGAGAGCACCATGGAAGAGGCACATCTGAAATGCATGCCTATCCCCATATAATTTCATGATGATTATGCTAAACAATGTTTCTAAAGTGCCTCGTACAAAGGTCAGTGTATAGGAGTTGCCAATAAATGACAACTGTCATCATTTTTAAATGATAAAGTACCTTTAGTACTTACAGGAAGAAGTGATCATGTTTAATTGATCAGGAAAGGCCATAGTTGATTCTTAAAGCTAGGGTAGGATCTTAACAAACAGAAGTGGGGGGACAGCATGAGCAAATGTATAGCAGCAAGAAAGCGTTGTAGGCTGAGTAAGCGCATGTAGTTCAGTTTGGCCATAACACAGCTAGGTGGAGCAAGGTGAGAGGTAAGTCTGGAAAGGTAAGAAGGCCTCAAACACCATGTTTAAAGTTCGGATGTTCAGCAGCAATAGGGACCCATGTAAATTTGGTGAGAAGTATATACACAAGCCTTGTGTTCCAAAAATCTGTTTGTAAATTCATTGTTTGAAAAACAGACTATATTTTTTTATTTCCTTTTTTTTTTTTTTTTTTTTGAGACAGAGTTTTGCTCTGCCACCCAGGCTGGAGTGCAGTGGCACAATCTTGGCTCACTGTAAACTCCGCCCCCTGCGCTCAAGTGATTCTCCTGCCTCAGCCTCCCGAGTAGCTGGGATTATAGGCGCCCGCCACCACGCCCGGCTAATTTTTGTATTTTTAGTAGAGATGCAGTTTCATCACGTTGCCCAGTCTGGTCTCGAACTCCTAACTCCAGGTGAGCCACCCGCCTCATCCTCCCATCCCTCCCTGTGCTGGGATCACAGGTGTGAGCTACCACACCCAGCAACACAGACTATGTTTTCTAACACAGGGTAAGCAATGGGAGTTCAAGTCCCAGACTGGTTCACGGAAACCTGCCTCCCAGGTGTTTATAACCCTTACCTATCTGCAAAGGAGAATTGTTTTACTCAACCAACATGCCCAGAAAATACTTCAGTTATCGAGCTATATAAATGTTGCTCTGATTATCATGATCTTAATCTAAAATGGCCAGGCGCTATGGCCCACGCCTGTAATCCCAACACTTTGGGAAGTTGAGGCAGGCAGATCACCTGAGGTCAGGAGTTTGAGACCAGCCTGGCCAATATGTTGAAACCCTGTCTCTACTAAAAATACAAAGATTAGCTGGGCATAGTGGTACACACCTGTAGTCCCAGCTACTTGGGAGTCTGAGGTGGGAGAATCACTTGACCCCAGAAGGCAAAAGTTGCAGCAAGCAGAGATCGCACCACTTCACTCCAGCCTAGGTGACAGAGCGAGACTCTGTCTCAGAAAATAAAATATAAATAAATAAATAAAATGAGCTTTCATAGGAGAAGTTTCTCAGTTAGCACATACAGAGATTTATAGCCAACTACTAAAATTCCTGGAAGGGTGTACCATGATAAAATATGGACTCCGTTTTTTGCCAACTCATTTGGATACTGAGAAATGATTTGCATAAGGTGAAACTATGAAGTCAGAAATATGTTTAGCTAGGCCTTCGTTTCTAGATCCCTAAAAAGAACTACTTATCTCTAAGTGATGCAAACCTGTTGGGCTTCCTTGTCAGAGCCCATCTGTGTTGAAAGCTTGACTTTGGCTGGCTTTTGCACAGAAATCCCTGCTTCCACTTGCTAGTGGTGTAATTTGTTCTGATATTCAAGAGTGGTTGGCGGGGCGCCGCTGCTCATGCCTGTAATCCCAGCACTTTGGGAGGCCAAGGCAGGTGGATCATGAGCTCAAGAGTTAGAGACCATCCTGGCCAACATGGTGAAACCCCATCTCTACTAAAAATACAAAAAATTAGCTGGGCGTGGTGGCACAAGCCTGTAATCCCAGCTACTTGGGAGGCTGAGGCAGGAGAATGGAGTGAACCCAGGAGGTGGAGGTTGCAGTGAGCCGAGATTGCGCCACCACACTCCAGCCTGGTGACAGAGTGAGACTCTGTCTCAAAAAAAAAAAAAAAAAAGAATGGTCTACCTAAATTGCAATTGTGTAGAACGCCTCAGAATTGGGTACTCAGGCCAATGCCACATTCTAACATTTAATGTATATAGTTATTTATCCATGTATTTATTCCACATATGTTTTATATATTTCCAAGCACCTGCTGTATGCCAGATGCTCTACTGGTGTTAGTGGTAGTAGAAGTAGTCTGTGGGAGTCAGATCTGAAACAAGCATTAACATGACAATATTATAATTTATTTTATGACAGTATGTCCAGGTCAAAGTGGTACGTAAGAAAAGAAGCACCTAAAACTGTCTATGGGCTCAAAAAAATCTTTCCTAAGAGATAATATCTGAGCTGAGACATTAAAAATAATAGAAGCTTTGGGGAGAATGAGAAAATAGCATCTCAGGCAGGGAAACCAGCAGATACCCAAAGCACGTGATTATGGAGTGTTGTGTATATTCAATTAATGTTTGCTGAGGGGGTGATAGGTGGGTGAGTGGATGGATGAATGGATGGATACATGGAGGTGAAGAAACCTTCTCTAGAGGTGTGTATTTTCCAAGACTCCCCTCAATCCAGATGTAAGCCAGTTCTTCTTCCTTACAGATCTCCAGTGTGTCTTGAAGTTTGATTCCAACTTCCCCAGAAGACATTTAACTTTTCTCACTCCATTAAGTTAAAACTTAAAAATCCTGACATTGAGGAGGTTTCATTCTAATGCCCATTTTAAGCAAGTGGGATGCTGACTACAACCCATGTGAGACCAGTGCTGAGCTGGGTGCTAGAGAGAGAAATTCAAAGAAGATGTGATCCGGGCCACCAATAAATTATCACCTCACTGGAGAATCAAGAGTTATACTCAAGAAATAAAACAAAGCTGTCAGGTACCAAATTGTATGATTTGGACTCAAAGTTGTACAAGAATTTGGGTTGTTCACAATCATTAATACAGCAGAAGCTTCAACGTTTGTCTCTCACAGACAATTCTCTGCAAAACCATAGAGATAAGATTCTTTGAGCTGGTTGGCAGGGTATGAATATGGTCAACCTGACGAACTCCAGATTCTTCCTCTCAATGACTGCATGCTTGGTCTGGAAGACACTTTCTTTGCTTGCTTTTTCCCTTCTCCTTTTCGCACTCCCCAAATATCTGTTTCATACTCAGAATTATAATGGATTGTAAAATTGAATGGGATTATAGTGTAGATTGAATGGGATTATGAAACTCAGCAGCAACAGACACAAGGAAGGTTGGGTAATGTCCCAGGATGACTAATCAAGAGGCAGAGTTTCCGGGAGCTTAGCAGATCCTCGCTTTTTCACTTGCATGTGGAGCACATTCCTCAGCCTGCCAGACCAATTCCCTTTCCCTTCTCCGCATCTCCTGACCCTTGTCACAAGATCATCAAAAGGCATCATTTTACAAAGGTCCTTTGATGTTAATTTTGTACCATCCTGGATCTGCCTAGTACTTAAAGACAGATTTATCACTCCACTGAAAAGACTGTTATATTTAAATCTCTGCAAAGAAAGCTGAGACAATAGCTGATGACAAAAATCTTCCCCTAGGCCAGGCGCGGTGGCTCACGCCTGTAATCCCAGCACTTTGGGAGGCCAAGGCGGGCGGATCATGAGGTCAGGAGATGGAGACCATCCTGGCTAATACAGTGAAACCCTATCTCTACTAAAAATACAAAAAATTAGCCGGGCGTGGTGGCAGGCTCCTGTAGTCCCAGCTACTTGGGAGGCTGAGGCAGGAGAATGGCATAAACTCGGGAGGTGGAGCTTGCAGTGAGCCAAGATCGTGCCACTGCACTCCAGCCTGGGTGACAGAGCCAGACTCCGTCTCAAAACAAAACAAAACAAAACAAAACAAAAACAAACAAATAAAAATCTTCCCCTAAATTATCTGTGGGTTGTAATATATGAAGGATAATAGCTGTAAATGTTAATATTTGAAAAAAGCTCATTTGTGGCTCACAGCACTGACGCCAAAATATTTTAGACATTTGCTATATCCTTGGACTCAACAATGCTTCTCTAAGAATTTATGTATGAACATAGTTACAGATATGAAGATGATCACAAAGCTTTGTAGTAAAAAATTGGAAACAACTATAGGGAAATGTTTAATACATATTATGGGATATTATGCAAAGAAAAATGGTGTTATAGAAAAATATTACAGACAAGGGCAATATTTGTAATATATTAAAAGGTGGTTTTAAATTAATATAAACAATATTAGCTTGTGTTAATAGGAAATAAGATAAAATTGTAACACGATAATATTCACATTCTTCCTTCTCCCTCCAAAGTGAATTCAATCTCTGTCTGTTCAGGTTCCTCATATCACTGCCACCATGACCCCCAAGCTACCTTCACCATCCCCATCAATGACATCTTACCTTAAGAGACGGCAAGGACTGGGCTGGGTGGCTCAGCCTGTAATCCCAGCACTTTGGGAGGCCAAGGCGGGTGGATCACCTGAGGTCATGAGTTCAAGACCAGCCTAGCCAACATGATGAAATCCTTTCTCTACTAAAAATACAAAAAATCAGCTGGGCATGGTGGCGGGCACCTATAATCCCAACTACTCTGGAGGCTGAGGCAGGAGAATTGCTTGAACCCAGGAGGCAGATGTTGCAGTGAGCCGAGATTGCACCATTGGCCATTGCACTCCAGCCTGGGCAAGAGTGAGACTGCATCTCAAAAAAAAAAAAAAAAAAAAAAAAAAGAGATAGAAGGCAAGAATTTTCCTGGTTTTCTGTTTTCTGAAATTATTTAAGTTTTGTGATGTGTAATCAGAATAATGGAGAGAGAACAGGAACTAAAGAGGAAGAAAAAGGAGCAAGACTTCCACCAAAAGAGCAACTAAATCCACATAATAAAGAGCTGCAGTAGAAGTATAGAGAGAAGGTATCTTGAGCTGGAGAAGAGGAAGAATTTTCTAGAAGGTGTGGAACAGCATCAGGGTATGAGGAAATAGGATAGAAGAGGACAGAAGAAGAGGAGACAGTGGCAGTGTGAAGATTTTCTCACCTGAATCGTTACTATGAAAGTGTATTTGAATCCTTTCATGGTTTTGGAGAAGTGGCAATGAAGAATTTGAGATCTTTAAATACTACTTTTGATTGCTGGACCCCCAACTGCATGAGGGTCTTGGATTCATTATATTTATATGCAAAACCACAAGGAAATAAAAGACAGCAGCTTTAACCATCAAAATATTTGTATGATTTGAATGAGATTGTTTTATTCTTTTTACATATTCATATTTTCTAAATTTTCTAGGTATTTGACTGTATGTATGTATGTATGTATCTATCTATCTATCTATCTATCTATCTATCTATCTATCTATCTATCTATATATCATTTAATCCTCAATTACCTCTAAGAATTAGGCACCATAATGACATCCATTTTACAGAGGACAAAACTGTGGCATAGCGAGAGATTTGGCAGCTGGCCCAAAGTCGCAAAACTATCTTAGTTGACCTCTGAACAACATGGGCTTGAAGAGCCTAGGTCTACTTATACGCAGATTTTTTTCAATAAAAGTTATACCAAGTGTGCCTGCCTTCCCTTCCACCTCCTCCACTTCTCCCTCTGCCACCTCTGAAATAGCAAGACCAAACCCACCTCTTCCTCCTCTTCCTCAGCCTACTTGTTGTGAAGACAATGAGGGTGAGGACCTTTAAGATGATCCACTTCTTAATGAATAGTAAATATATTTCTCTTTCTTACGATTTTCTTAATAATATTTTCTTAGTTACTCTATTGAAGGATACAGCATATAATACATATAGCATAGAAAATATGTGTTAATTGACTGTTTATGTTACTAACAAGGCTTCTGTTCAACAGTGGGCTATTCATAGTTAAGTTCTCAGGGAGTCAAAAGTTATATGTGGATTTTTGACTGTATAAGGGATTGGTGCCTCTAACTTCCTATGTTTTTCAATGGTCAGCTGTAGTTGAGAAGTTAGGAAATAACCCAAGAAACCTAACTCCAGAACCAGTGCTCTGAACACTTATGCTAAATAAATGGCTTCTTTTGAATTTTGGAAATTTATTTTCAAATAAAATATTTCCCTTCTACAAAAAAGTATAATAATGAGGCTAAAGTAATGAATGTTCAGGTACCCTCATGCCACCCCAATGAATCTTAATGTTTTGTGATATTTTGTTTACATATGTAATATCTAAAGAAAAAATCGCAGATATAGCTAAAATGTTTTAGTAATGAAGTTTATACTAATTAAAAGCAATTAAAGGCAAAATGACAAATAGACTTCATTTGTTCATGTCCCAGAGAAGCTTCCCCACCCCGTGATTATTTTTCTAAGGAGGGTGAGACAAGTCAAAGGGATGATGAGATGGTGGCAGTGTGAAGATTTTCTCACCTGCACTCTCAACCCACATCAGAAGAAATAGCTTATCCTGAATCTGGTGTTTTTCATTACTTTGCATGTTGACATGGTTTGGCTGTGTCCTCACCCAAATCTCACCTTGAATTGTAATAATCCCCACTTGTCAAGGGCAGGGACAGGTGAAGATAATTGAGTCATGCAAGCAGGTTCCCCATGCTGTTCTCATGGTAGTGAATAAGTCTCACAAGATCTGATTGTTCTATAAATGAGAGTTCTGCACAAGCTCTCTCTTGCCTGCCGCCATGTAGGACGTGTCTTGCTTCCCCTTCCCTTTCTGACATAATTGTGAGAACTCCCCAACCACATGGAACTGTGAGTCTATTAAACCTCTTTCCTTTATAAATTACCTAGTCCTAGGTATGTCTTTATTAGCAGCGTGAGAACAGACTAATACACATGTTTTGTATAATCCTACTCTATAAGTCAATTTTCTTCAAATATAGCACTGTTTGACCAACTTTTAAGAATCACAGACATGGGGTTATAATGTGCCATCAAAATATAATGGCCAATGTTGGTTCCTCACCACCTAGCATCTGTTGTCTCTTCAACACGCTTTCATGTTTTACCCCTTTCTCTCTCTGTGCTGCATGCTGAGGGCATTCTTCAGTACTACCTTCCAATTCCCTAATCATCCCTGTAAGTATAAAATTTTTGTATTCCAAAAGCCATAATTTTTTCTATTTTCCAAGATTTCTATTTTTAAAATGTTTATTGAGATATAATTCACGTATCATACAATTCACACACTTAAAATGCACACTCCAATGTTTTTAGTATGTTCACAGAGTTGTGCAGCCATCTCCACGATCAATTTTAGAACGTTTTCCTCATCCAATAAACTCCACAACCATTAGCAGTAATTTCCCCATTTCTCTTCTTCTCCTCCTATCTTCTCCCCAGTACCTCCTGGCCACAGGCACTCACTTGTCTGGTTTCTGTTTCTATATGTTTGCCTATTCTGGGCAAAAATTTTTTCCTCCTGCCTTCTATCTGTGATTGATTATATATCCTTTGACCAACATCTCCTCATCTTCTCTTTCATAACCACCCCAGTTTCTGGTAAACACCATTCTACTCTCTCCTTCTATGAGATCAGCTTGTTTAGATTTCACATGAGAGATTATGCAGTTGTTTTTGGTTTTTGTTCTTTTTGAGACAGAGTCTCACTCTGTTGTCCAGGCTGGAGAGCAGTGGTGTAATTAGTTTTTCATTTTTCATATTTGGGAACCTTCCCAACTCAGGTGATCCTCCTACCTCAGCCTCTCAAACAGCTGGGATTACAGGAACACCCTACCACACCAGGCTAATTTTTGTGGGGTTCTTTTGCAGAGAAAAGGTTTCACCCTGTTGCCCAGGCTGGTCTTGAACTCCTGTGCTCAAGCAATCTGCCTACCTCAGCCTTTCAAAATGCTGGGATTACAGGCATGAGCCACCGTGCCCAGCCTACATGTCTTCTTTTGAGAAGTGTCTATTCAAGTCTTTCGCCCATTTTGTAATAGGTTTGTTTTCTTGCTATTGAGTTGTTTGAGTTCCTTTTATATTTTGGATATCAACCTCTTGTCAGACGTGTAGTTTTCAAATATTTTCTTCCAGTCTATAAGTTGTCTCTTTACTCTGCTAATTGTTTCTTTGCTGTGCAGAAGTTTTTTAGTTTGTTGTAATCCCATTTTTCCAATATTGCTTTTGTTGCCTGTGATTTTGAGGTCTTATCCAAAAAAATATTTGCCCATACCCATGTCATGAAGCATTTCTCCAATGTTTTCTTATAGTAGTTTCATCATTTGGGGTCTTAGACTTAAGTCTGTAATCCATTTTGAGTTCATTTTTTATATAAGGGTCTAGTTCCCTTCTTCTGCCTGTGGATATCCTGTTTTCTCAACACAATTTATGGAAAAGACTGACCTTTCCCAAAATGTGTTCGTAGCACCTTTGATGAATATCATCAGTTGGCTGTAAATTGTGGATTTATTTCTGGGCTCTCTATTCTGTTCCATTAGTTTGTCTGTTTTTATTGGTTATTTTAGCTTTGTTGTATATTTTTAAATCAGGTAGTGTTACACCTTTGTTCAGCTTTGTTCTTTTTGGTCAGAATTGCTTTGACTATTCAAGGTTTCTGTGGTTCCATTCAAATTTTAGGATTTTCTATTTCCATGAAAAATGTCATTGGTATTTTGACAGGGGTTGCATTGATTTTGTAGATCACTTCAGGTAATATGGACATTTTAACTATATTAATTCTTCTAATTCATGCACACAGGATATCTTTTCATTTACTTGTGTCTTCTTCAATTTCTTTCATCAGTTTTTTTGTAGTTTTCATTGTAAAGATCTTTCACTTCCTTGGTTAAATTTATTTCTAGTTATTTTTGGTAGTTATTATAAATAGAACTGTTTTCTTAATTTTTTTTTCAGATAGTTTGCTATTAGCATATAGGAACACTCCTGATTTTTGTGTGTTGATTTTGTATCCTGCAACTTTACTAAATTCATTTATTAGTTCTAACAGCTTTTTGGCACAGTCTTTAGGGTTTTCTGTATGTAAGATCATGTTATCTGCCAACACGGATAATTTTACTTCCTCCTTTCCAATTTGGATACCTTTTATTTTTCTATCTTGCCTAGCTACTCTGGCTAAGACTTCTAGTATTATGCTGAGTAAAAGTGGTAAGAAATGGGCATCTTTGCCTTATCCAAATCTTACCATAAAAGCTTTCAGCTTTTTCTTATTCAATATGATGTTAGTTGTGGGTCTGTCATACATGGCTTTTATTGTGTTGAGGCACATTCCTTCTATACCTAATTTATTGTTAGTTTTTATGATTAAGTGATGTTGAATTTCGTCAAATGCTTTTTCTACATCTTGGTTTTTGTCCTTCATTTTGTTAATGAATCACATTTATTGATTTGCATATATTGAACCATCCTCATTTGCCTGGAGTGGATTCATCTTGATCTCACTTGAAGATGGTAAATAATCTTCTCAAAGTGTTGTTAAATTTGATTTGCTAGTGTTTTGTTGAGGATTTTTGTGTCTAAGTTCATCAGGGATATTGACTAGTAGTTTTCTTTTCCTTTTTCTTTTTTTTGAGACAAGGTCTGGCTCTATCACCCAGGCTGGAATGCAGTCATGTGATCTCGGCTCCCTACAACCTCTGCCTCTCGGGTTCAAGCCATCCTTCCACCTCAACCTCCAAAGTAGCTGGGATTGCAGGTGCTCACCATCAAACCCAGCTCATTTTTGTATTTTTTGTAGAGACGAGGTTTTGCCATTTGCCCAGGCTGTTCTAGAATCCTGGGCTCAAGTGATCTGCCCACCTCGGCCTCCCCAAGTGCTGGCATTACAGGCGTGAGCCACCCACCGCACCTGGCCATCTTTTTTTGTTGTTGTCTTTGTTAGGTTTGGGTATCAAGGTAATGTTGGCTTTAGAGAAAGAGTAAGGAAAAATTTCCTGTTCTTCAGTTTTTTGGAATAGCTTAAGAAGAGCTGGTATTAGTCCTTCTTTAAACGTTTGGTAGAATTCACAGTGAAACTATCAAGTTCCAGGCTTTTCTTAGATGGGAGACTTTTCACTCCTGACTCAATCTCCTTACTCACTATTGGGCTGTTCAAATTTTCTATTTCTTCACAATTCAGTATTGGTAGGTTACATGTGCCCAGGAATTTATCTATTCCTTGTAGATTTTCCAATTTGTTGGTGTATAATTGTTCATAATTGTCTGTTATGATCCTCTGTATTTTTCTGGCATCAGTTGTCATGTCTCCTTTTTCATTTCTAATTTTATTTGTTTGGGTCTTCTCTTTTTCTTTCTTAATCTAGATAAAGGTTTATTGATTTTGTTTATCTTTTTGAAAGTTCTCTGGCTTCTCTTCCCTCCCCACCCCCTAAAGAATTTCAACTGGTAATCATCCAGTGGCAAGTTTACCACCCTGAGTATTCCAGAACTTGGGAGTGAAAACACGATCAGATAATAAGGGAAACACTGCTCTATTTTCCAAAATTTCTAACTCATTCCTTTTCATTTCAGATTTCATTTTTGTTGCTTTTGTTTTATAATTTCTTATTTTTCATAAATTTTATGCCTCCTTTTTTCTCCTTAAATACCTTAAATATATATATTTCAAAGTCTTGGTTAGACTAAGTTAATAAAATAAAATTAATAAATTAATCTTATTTGTTATTAATCCATTTCTTTTTTACCATTAGATTTCTTTACATGTTTACAGTTATTAAAATGAAGGCTTATTTTAAACTGAATGGATTTTGTTTTCATTTTTTTTCTCCCTCTTCGCTTTCCCTCTCTATAGAAGTTTTGAAGTTGCCTCTGTGTAGTTTCCCAGACCCCAGTCCAGAACACAAGCTCATAAGAAGAGTTTAGAGATTCCCTAGGGTGATAATTGAGGTGTTACAAATCAAGGCACTGAGTCAGCAGGCAGCTTGGTTAAGCTGCTGGTCAAGCTGTCGAGTCTGTGTCCTCCCACCTCCCAAGTCAAGCATTTGCCAGGATGTAGAGGCTCCAAGCATTGATTGGTAGCAATTTCCCCATCCTTAATCTTCCTTTATGAAACATTGAGTCCCATTCCGGTACTAGCTTCAAGTAACAAATTTGTGTCCAGGCCTCCAACTCTCATGGAACATTCTAGAGTCCCTGTTTCTAGTAACAAGCTACTGTCTGCTTCTAGACCCAGAGCCCAGCAAGCCTGTAATTCCAGCCCCACTCACGGCTTAAATTGTTTGTTCATTTCTGATAAATAAGGACTTTCTTTAATTTTTTCTGTCCATGTCTGCATTACAGAGCAGCGAGAAAGTGTTAAAATATAAATCTACTTTTCCAATTTGACCAGAAATCTCTTCTCTCCCTTGAATCAATGAATGAGAACAAAAATGAATGAATGAATGAGAAAAGAAAATTCTCATTCATAATAAATTAGAAGTTGACTAGCAGAAAAATAAACAATGAAGATGCAGTTTCTTAAGATCAGAAAGAACGATCAAGGGAAAGCAGTGTCACCCATTTAAGGAGACTAACATAGCAGGAAGCAATGATGGAAGAGAAAGTAACCAGGGTTGAAAAGAGAAGCAAGATGAGATTAAAGGAAGCAAGAGCACAGCTGTTAGAGAAATCACTTGCAATGCATGTTTCTAGAGGCCAGTTCAAGAAGTGGCTGTGGGGAACAGGAAAAGGAGTAACAGGCTTATATGTCAAATGATTGCAAAGAAAGCAGCTTTTACCTAATTCCAGATTGCCCCAGGAACCTAGAAAAGTCCTTGTTTTCCCCAAATGCAAGAAGAAATAACTTAGCGGGCCTGGTGTCAAAAAGGTTGGCTCAAAGAAGTCAAAATTATGTTAATCTGTCTCAGGTTGACACTACAATTCCACTGTGTGTGTCTCTATCTACTGGCCTGGTGTAGACAGGTTATATCCCATGCTTCTCTACAATACAGTCAAAGTCTCAGTTAAAGCTGTGTAATGTGTTGATGATTCATCATAGATGAGGCACCCCAGAAAAAAATAAGGAGTGGGACCATGGTCAAGAGAAGAGTAACCTCTTGATCTGGTGGTCAGTCATAGAAATGATGACCAGGACAAAGTGATGGGAGCTATTTGTTTGAAATGTGATCCAGTTTTCATTCAATTCAGACTGCCCTTGTACCAATCAGCATAAAAAGACATACAAAGGCTCTTCTGCAAAATAAGATACACCACTTATCTTAATTCACAAGAACAGCATAATAATTACTACGCTTCTCATACACAATAATAAAGACATCTAAGCAATGTCCTTCTGTCCTCCCCATCAGAGATATTATGTAATCACATGCTAAGTTTATGTTTTCCCCTAACCTTCCTGTCTGCATTAGTTAACATCATTAGCTCAACTATCTTTCAGTACACACAGTTTTTGAATGAACAGAATGATAATCTCCTGGCTCTAATCTGTCTGTCCTATGCGAATCATTAAGCCAGACTTCTGTAATTCTTTTGTATTCCAACAACTTCAAACTCGCCCACATATGAAGTAAAACACCTGGCTGCTGACATGACTTCGCAGGTCTGGTAATCTGATAACTTTGCCGATTATCATGAAGAAAGCAAGCCATCCCATCATTAGAAGTCTGGCTTTCACTCCCTTTAGATGAACACATATGAAGAGCCAAAGCCCCTGGGGTATATGGAACCAGTGGCATTTGCATGCCTTACACACATCCACTCTCTCTAACTACCACAGGCTTTGCTGCATCTGGGGGTTGAAATTTTGTTTTCAGACTTGATTACAAAATTGCTTCAAAGATTTCATGCTTGGATAAATTGTCTGAAAAGAGGTAAGTGAAAAACCTCCATAGGGGCTCAGTTTAGCTCCTTCCTGCCTAAGATGTCAAAACATCTCATAAGAAACATGAGGGTTAAAAAATATACGACTATTTTTTTCACATGGAACCTCTCCCGTTGCCCTTGGAGTTACATCTCATATGTTTTATCTCATATATACTAGTTGGTTGCATTTCATTATTTTAATCATTATGCATCAACTCTGGGGAATATTAGAAAGACGGAAATTCAAGCACGGCACAGTGGTGCAATGAGGTGTGGGAGAGAAGGCACAGGATTTGTTTCTTTGCCTCACTGGACCTCAGTTTATTCATGTGGTCAATCAGGAACATACTATTTATCTCACAAAGGCTGTAAGAAATGTATATGAAACCCTTGAAAACTGTAAAGTGCTGTAGCATTTTTCATCACTGTTTTTATTATATAAAGTCATAGAGTGATGAAGCAGGAAGCGACAATAGAAATAAATTCGTCCAGGCCAGGTGTGGTGGTTCACGCCTATAATCCCAGCATTTGGGGAGGCTGAGGCTGGCAGATTGCTTGAGGCCAGGAGTTCAAGACCAGCCTGGGCAACATAGTGGGACCTAGTCTCTACAATAAATACAAATAAAAATAATTAGCTAGGCATGGTGGCACATGCCTGTAGTCCCAGCTACTTGGGAAGCTGAGGGAGGAGGATTCCTTGAGCCCAGCAATTCAAGCTTACAGTGAGCTATGATTGCACCACTGCCCTCCCACCTGGGTGACAGAGCAAGACTCTAACTCTAAAAATAAAAATAAGAAATAAAAATAAACTAGTCTAGATTTAAGGGCTGAGAAAACTGAGGACAAGAGGGACCAAACGACCTACTCATGGACACAGCATGTTAGGCGCAACTCAAACTTTCCATGCAGATGTCCGAATCCTTCTCAAGTACACACCCCACTATGAGGGCCATGCAGATAAAAAGAGATGCTGGCTGCCAGTTGAGGAATCAACAGCATGGTTGAGACTGTAGAGAACTGGAAATGGACCTGTGCCATCCAAGAGGACAGATAGAATTTGTCTCTAGGTAGTTTTCACCATATCAGAGTATAGGCCCAGGATTGCCAGACTTTCTTGTTTTCCCTAGAAATACCAAAATTTTAGATTTTTTTAATATATGAAATCTCCCAATTTTTAAATTATATTTCAATTTTCAAGATAATGGTGTGTTGCCAAACAAAATATCTGAGGGTCAAAACCAGCCCATGGTTTACCAGGCTGTGATCTCTGATTTACAGATGTTCTGGTCTGAATGTGTCCCTCCAAAATTCATGTCGAAATTCTATGGTAGTGGTATTAAGAGGTGTGGTCTTTGGGTAAATAATTAAGCCATGAGGGCTTTTCCCTAATGAATGGGATTATTTCCCTTATCAAAGAGGTTGAAGGGGGTACCCTTGACTGCTTCCATTATGTGAGGATGCAGCCAGAGGCACCATCGATGAAGTAGGAAGCTATGCCTTCACCAGACACTAAATCTGCTGATGCCTTGATCTTGGACTTCCCAGTCTCCAGAAACATGAGAAATAAATTTCTATTATCTATAAATTACCCAGTGTAAGGTAGTTTGTTGTAGCTGTCCAAGTGGACTAAGACAGCAGGAAAATATCCAAATTTTTTTTTTTTTTTTTTTTTTTGAGATGGAGTCTTGCTCTCTCACCCAGGCTTGAGTGCAGTGGCATGATTTTAGTTCACTGCAACCTCCACCTCCTGGGTTCAAGTGATTCTCCTGCCTCAGCCTCCTAAGTAGTTGGGATTACAGGCACACACCACCATGCCCGGCTAATTTTTTTTTTTTTTTTTAAGTAAAGAAGGGGTTTCACCAAGTTGGCCAGACTGGTCTCAAACTCCTGAACTCGGGTGACCTGCCTCGGCCTCCCAAGGGGCTGGGATTACAGGCATGAGCCACTGCGCCTGGTCCCAAATTCTTTCTCATGATGTGAAAGTGCTTTCATTGTGTGACCTCTGCTTCCTTCTTTAGCTCACTTCCTACCTCTCCTTGACTGTACTTAGGTTCCAGCTGCACTGAATGGCTTGTGGTTCAACAAACACATACACCAATTTTTGCAAACGTGCCCCGTGATTCTTACTCTGCTACCCTTACTCTTTGCTCATGATGTACCCTATGCCTGTAATGGACCTCTATGCCATAATGCTTAATTTTTTTTTTTAATAGAGACAAGGTCTCACTCTGTTGCCTAGTCTGGAATTCAGTGGCACAATCGCAGCTCACTGCAGCATCAAACTCCTGGGCTCAAATGATTCTCCCACCTTAGCCTCCCAAGTAGCTGGGACTATAGGCATGTGCCACCATGCCTGGCTAATTATTTCATTTTTTATAGAGACAGGGTCTCACTATGTTGCTCAGGCTGGTCTCAAACTCCTGGCTTAATCAATCCTCCTGCCTTGGCCTCCTAAAGTGCTAGGATTGATCCATTTGTGAGCTACCATGCCTGATACAGGAGTGAGCCACCATGCCTGGCCTTAAATTTCTTTTAAGACATTTCAAATCTTATTTCTACCAGGAAGTAGTCCCTGAACAATCTCCCAACCACAGCACCACCACCACCATGTTCACCCATTATATTCTCACAATGTCTTGCATGTCTTATTTCATTTATCCCATAGTATTACAGGTACTTGTTTTATACCTATTGTCCCAAGCAGAATCTCAGTTAATGTTAAATTGAAATTAAACTCTTCATTCTTGCTTAGAAGTGACCACTAATCTCCCTTCCTGAACCTCAGTCTGCTTCTAGACTGACCTTTGCCTCCAGGTACTGCTGATTTGCTGAAAGAGATGCTGAAATTTTTTCTCCATTAGATGGCTTCATGGAGGACAACTTCCCCAAGGACTCAGAGGACTTCATCTCTTCTTTTGCCAAGAGGTTATGGAAAGCAGCCAGCCTCCTGAGCCCAGTCCTCTGTTCAAAACCTAAGACTGGTCTGTTCCATGTTCTGGTCATTCTTTTTCTGGTTCCCTTTTACATTTTTCACTGTTTGTTTCTGTCCTTTTTAAATTTATTTCTATTTTTATTTTTTCTAAAAATGAGCTCTCAATATGTTGCCCAGACTGGTCTCAAACTCTTGGGTTTAAGCAGTCCTCCCAAGTCAGCTTCCCGAAGAGTTGAGATTACAGTCATGAGCCACCACAACCTGCCTGTTTCTATCTGTACTCTGATAGAGCCCAGCTTTCCTTGACTGGTACCGGTTACTAAAGTCAGCTCCTTAAACTCTCATGTGATTCCTCATTTCCTGTCCCAACTAAGATTGATTGTCTTCTAAGACAATCTCCTTAGCTGCAGATATAATCGGTTCTTTGCTAACTCCCCATTCCCATTTGCCTATTCATCTATCGGGGATCATTTCATCTCGTGTTTTCCTAGAATTTGAGAACCTAGAGGCAAATCTATTCCCAACAAAGCCACACAAGTAGAGTTACCCAGCCTAGCCACTCAGGCAGCCAGAACCCATCCCATGCTTGTGAGCACAGAGGCTGAAAGTGTCTCAACAGCTCCAGTATCTCCTGATGGCAGAGAAGTTGAGCCACTTCTCAAAGCTGAGCCAACTAGCAAAGTGGCTTACAGGCAGTCAGGTCTTTAAGTGATCTCCCCACTTCAGCCTCATGTTCTTTCTTCTGCACATTGTTGTTGTCATTATAGACATTTACAGATATTTCCAGCTTCTTGTGGGCATGCTGTGGGATGCATTTCTCCTCCTGCTTTGAAGCAGGTGTGACCACATAACTTGTTCTGGACAACAAACTATAAGTCAAAGCAACTTATATCACTGCTGGGCAGAAATTCTAAGAGCCTGTGTGAAAATCATTATGTCCTTTTGATCCCTAGCACCATGCTGAATTGAAGTTTCCAGTAGCCTGGAAGGCTATGCTAAATTTTGTTACCAGCTTACTTTGTGGTTTGTTTGTTTGCTTAAAAAAAGAAAAAAACTGATAGTCCACTCCAAGATGGCCAAATAGGAATAGCTCCAGTCTGCAGCTCCCAGAGTGATGGGTGCAGAAGACAGTGATTTCTGCATTTCCAACTGAGGTACGTGGTTCATCTCACTGGGACTGTTTGGACAGTGGGTGCAGCCTATGGAGGGTGAGCTGAAGCAGGGCAGGGTGTCACCTCACCTGGGAGGCACAAGGGGTCAGGGGATTTCCCTTTCCTAGCCAAGGGAAGCTGTGACAGACGGCACCTGGAAAATCGGGACACTCCCACCCAAATACTGTACTTTTCCAACGGTCTTAGCAAACGGCACACCAGGAGATTATATACCATGCATGGCTTGGCGGATCCCAAGCCCACAGAACCTTGCTTACTGCTAGTGCAGCAGTCTGACATCAACCTGCGAATCAGCAGCCTGCCAGGGAGAGGGGCATCTGCCATTGCTGAGGCTTGAGTAGGTAAAGAAAGTGGCCAGGGAAGCTCAAACTGGGCAGAACCCACCACAGCTCTGCAAGGCCTGCTGCCTCTGTAGACCCCACCTCTGGTGGCAGGGCATAGTTGAACAAAAGGCAGCAGAAACTTCTGCAGACTTAAACATCCCTGTCTGACATCTCTGAAGAGAGCAGTGGTTCTACCAGCATGGTGTTCAAGCTCTGAGAATGGACAGACTGCCTCCTCAAGTGGGTCCCTGACCCCCGTGTAGCCTAACTGGGAGACATCTCCCAGTAGGGGCCAATTGATACCTCATACAGGTGGGAACCCCATTGGGATGAAGCTTCCAGAGGAAGGATCAGGCAGTATTATTTACTGTTCTGCAATATTTGCTGCTCTGCAGCCTCTGCTGGTGATACCTAGGCAAGAGGGTCTGGAGTGGACCTCTAGCAAACTCCAACAGACCTGCAGCTGAGGGACCTGACTCTTAGAAGAAAAAAACAACAAACAGAAAGGAATAGCATCAACATCAACAAAAAGGACATCCACACCAAAACCCTATCTGTAGGTCACCAGCATCAAGGACCAAAGGTAGATAAAACCACAAAGATGGGGAGAAACTAGAGAGGAAAACCTGAAAATTCTAAAAACCAGAGCGCCTCTTCTCCTCCAAAGGATCACAGCTCCTCACTAGCAATGGAACAAAGCTGGAGGGGGAATGACTTTGATTAGCTGACAGAAGTATGCTTCAGAAGGTCGGTAATAACAAACTTCTCCAAGCTAAAGAAGGATGTTTGGACCCATCACAAGGAAGCTAAAAACCTTGAAAAAAGATAAGATGAATGGCTAACTAAAATAAACAGTGTAGAGAAGACCTTAAGTGACCTGATGGAGCTGAAAATCACGACACGAGAACTATGTGATGCATACACAAACTTCAATAGCCGATTCAATCAAGTGAAAGAAAGGGTATCAGTGATTGAAGATCAAATTAATGAAATAAAGTGAGAGGAGAAGTTTAGAGAAAAAAGAGTAAAAAGAAATGAACAAAGCCTCCAAGAAATATGGGACTATGTGAAAAGACTAAATCTACGTTTGATTGGTGTACCTGAAAGTGATGGGGAGAATGGAACCAAGTTGGAAAACACTCTGCAGGATATTATCCAGGAGAACATCCCCAACCTAGCAAGACAGGCCAACATTCAAATTCAGGAAATACAGACAATGCCACAAAGATACTCCTCGAGAAGAACAACCCCAAGACACATAATTGTCAGATTCACCAAGGTTAAAATGAAGGAAAAAATGTTAAGGGCAGCCAGAGAGAAAGGTCAGGTTACCCACAAAGGGAGGCCCATCAGACTAACAGCAGATCTCTTGGCAGAAACTCTACAAGCCAAAAGAGAGTGGGGGCCAATATTCGACATTCTTAAAGAAAAGAATTTTCAACCCAGAATTTCATATCCAGCCAAACTAAGCTTCACAAGTGAAGGAGAAATAAAATCCTTTACAGACAAGCAAATGCTGAGAGATTTTGTCACCACCAGGCCTGCCTTATAAAGAGCTCCTGAAGGAAGCACTAAACATGGAAACAAACAACTGGTACCAGACACTGCAAAAACGTGCCAAATTGTAAAGACCATCAATGCTAGAAAGAAACTGCATCAACTAACGGGTAAAATAACCAGCTAACATCATAACGACAGCATCAAATTCACAATAACAATACTAACCTTAAATGTAAATGGGCTAAATGCCCCAATTAAAAGGCAAGTACTGGCATATTGGATAAAGTGTCAAGATCCATCAGTGTGCTGTATTCAGGAAACCCATCTCATGTGCAGAGACATACATAGGCTCAAAATAAAGGGATGGAGGAAGATCTACCAAGCAAATGGAAAGCAAAAAAAAGCAGGGGTTGCAATCCTAGTCTCTGATAAAACAGACTGCAAACCAACAAAGATCAAAAGAGACAAAGAAGGCCACTACATGATGGTAAAGGGATCAATTCAATAAGAAGAGCTAACTGTCCTAAATATATATAGACCCAATGCAGGAGCACCCAGATTCATAAAACCAGTCCTTAGAGACCTACAAAGAGACTTAGACTCCCACACAATAATAATGGGGGTATTTAACACCCCACTGTCAATATTAGACAGATCAACAAGACAGAAGGTTAACAAGGATATCCAGGAATTGAACTCAGCTCTGCACCAAGTGAACCTAATAGACATCTACAGAACTCTCCACCCCATATCAACAGAATATACATTCTTCTCAGCACTACATCGCACTTACCCCAAAATTGACCACATAGTTGGAAGTAAAGCACTCCTCAGCAAACGTAAAATAACAAAATCACGACAAACTGTCTCTCAGACCACAGTGCCATCAAATTAGAACCCAGGATAAAGAAACTCACTCAAAATTGCACAACTACATGGAACTGAGCAACCTTCGCCTGAATGACTACTGGGTACATAATGAAATGAAGGCAGAAATAAAGATGTTCTTTGAAACCAATGAGAACAAAGACATTATGTACCAGAATCTCTGGGACACATTTAAAACAGTGTGTATACAGGGAAATTTATAGCACTAAATGCCCACAAGAGAAAGCAGGAAAGACCTAAAACTGACATCCTCAATAAAATACTGGCAAACGGAATCCAGCAGCACATCAAAAAGCTTATCCACCACAATCAAGTCGGCTTCATCCCTGCGATGCAAGTCTGGTTCAACATTCATGAATCAATAGATGTAATCCATCACATAAACAGAATCAATGACAAAAACGACATGATTATCTCAATAGATGCAAATAAGGCCTTTGATAAAATTCAACACCCCTTCATGCTAAAAACTCTCAATAAAGTAGGTATTGATGGAACGTATCTCAAAATAATAAGAGTTATTTATGACAAATCCACAGCCAATATCATACTGAATGGGCAAAAACTGGAAGCATTCCTTTTGAAAACTGGCACAAGACAAGGATGTCCTCTCTCACCACCCTTATTCAACATAGTATTGGAAGTTCTGGCCAGGGAAGTCAGGCAAGAGAAAGAAAGAAAGAGTGTTCAAATAGGAAGACAGGAAGTCAAAATGTCTCTGTTTGCAGATGACATGATTGTATATTTAGGAAACCCCACTGTCTCAGCCCCAAACCTCCTTAAGCTGATAAGCAACTTCAGCAAAGTCTCGGGATACAAACTCAATGTGCAGAAATCACAAGCATTCCTATAAACCAATAATAGGCAAACAGCCAAATCATGAGTTACCTTCCATTCACAATTGCTACAAAGAGGACAAAATACCTAGGAATCCAACTTACAAGGGATGTGAAGGAACTCTTCAAAGAGAACTACAAACCACTGCTCAAGGAAATAAGAGAGGACACAAACAAAGGGAAGGACATTCCATGTTCATGGATAGGAAGAATCAATATCTTGAAGATGGCCATACTATCCAAAGTAATTTACAGATTCAATGCTATCCCCATCAAGCTGTTTTCTTTACAGAATTAGAAAAAACTGCTTTAAATTTCATATGGAACCAAAAAAGAGCCCATATAGCCGAGACAACCCTAAGCAAAAAGGACAAAGCTGGAGACATCATGCTACCTGACTTCAAACTATCCTACAAGGCTACAGTAACCAAAACAGCATGGTACTGGTACCAAAACAGAGAGATAGACCAATGGAACAGAACAGAGGCCTCAGAAATAACACCACACATCTACCACCATCTGATATTTGACAAACTTGACAAAAACAAGAAATAGGAAAAGGATTCCCTTCTTTATCATGGTGCTAGGAAAACTGACTAGCCATATGTAGAAAGCTGAAACTGGATCCCTTCCTTACACCTTATACAAAAATTCATTCAAGATGGATTAAAGACTTAAATGTTAGACCTAAAACCATAAAAACTCTAGAAGAAAACCTAGGCAGTACCATTCAGGACATAGGCATGGGCAAGGACTTCATGTCTAAAACACCAAAAGCAATGGCAACAAAAGTCAAAATTGACAAATGGGATCTCATTAAACTAAAGAGCTTCTGCACAGCAAAAAAAAAAAAAAAAAAAGAAAAAACTACCATCAGAATGAACAGGCTACCTACAGAATGGGAGGAAATTTTTGCAATCTACCCATCTGACAGAGGGCTAATATCCAGAATCTACAAAGAACTTAAACAAATTTACAAGAAAAAAACAACCCCATCAAAAAGTGGGCAAAGGATATGAACAGACACTTCTCAAAAGAAGACATTTATGCAGCCAACAGACACATGAAAAAACGCTCATCATTGGAACCAACCCAAATATCCATCAATGATAGACTGGATTAAGAAAATGTGGCACATATACATCATGGAATACTATGCAGCCATAAACAAGGATGAGTTCATGTCCTTTGCAGGGACATGGATGAAGCTGGAAACCATCATTCTGAGCAAAGTATCACAAGGACAGGAAACCAAACACTGCATGTTCTCACTCATAGTTGGGAATTGAACAATGAGAACACTTGGACACAGGGTGGGGAACATCACACACGGGGGCTTGTCATGGGGTGGGAGGAAGGGGAGGGATAGCATTAGGAGAAATACCTAATGTAAATGACGAGTTGATGGGTGCAGCAAACCAACATGGCACATGTATACCTATGTAACAAACCTGCACGTTGTGCACATGTACCCTAGAACTTAAAGTATAATAAAAATAAAAGAAAATAAATTTTAAAAAAAGAAAAGAAAACATCTTTACTTTTTCTTTTAAAAATCAGCTTTATTGAGGTATATTCCACATCTAATAAAAGCTACCAGTTTAAAATGTTCAGTTTGATGAGTTTTGACAAATGTATATGATGATAAAAAAAAAAAAAAAAAAAAGAAGAAAGAAAAAAACCAGAGACAGGGTATCCCTTTGTTGCCCAGGCTGGTCTCAAATGCCTAGGCTCAAGGGATCCTCCTGCCTTGGCCTTCCAAAGTACTAGGATTACAGGCATGAGCCACCACAACTGGCCACCACACTACTTTGGATATAAAATGGGGTTGAGACTTCCATTTTCACAGAACTGATGTCAAAATCAGATCGAACAAGAAAATGTGGTGAATGAACCCTGCACATACCTCTAATTTTACAGATGAGAAAAATAAAGCCTATAAAGGTTATATATGTCTTATCTAAAGTTATGGAGAGCTGAAGTTCAAATCCAAGTCCAGGTCCCTTTGCCCTACATCTTGCTGTTTCCCAACACATTATGATAGTATGCGAGGGAGGATGAAAGGGTAAATCTAGGAGATACTAGTGGACACCTGTTATTTCACCCTTTCCAGCATGTATCTCCTCTTATTTCAGTAAATGCATCTCTATTTCTGTTTTGAAGAGCTACTCTCCTCTATTGCAGGGAATATATTTTGCCCTCTTCTGGTCTATGGGTTTGATGTGTTCCAGGTCGGGACAGTTAGGTTCTCTCTCTCATAATTTCACAATGAGGGGAGTTATTCAAGAAAGAACATATAGTTGGAGGTGATACATTTCTTTACTGGCACCCTGAAGTAGGGGATCTCACAAATTTGAAGAAATTTTTGTTTCATATAATCTAGAATTGTACACACACTCACATGCCTTTAATTCTACATTTTTCCTTAATTTTTCTTAATAACTCTTTTTTATTCTTATACCATTTATCTCCTCAAAACTATTAAGAATTAAGAAGTGCTTAGTGTTTTTCCACTTCACTAGGTAATTTATACCTTTTTCCAGAGTCCTGGGTGGATAGGGCAAAGTAGAATTTAGCTCCAAGATAGTAATCAATTTCTCATCCTAAAATAGCAATATAAAAAGAGTACTCATGAAGAGCCTTAAGCCTGCCTTTGTGGCATATTGTAAAGTTACTATTCTTTCACATCGGTGAGTCCATAAATTGCTGACTTTGGATTGATTTATATTTAAATCATGGCTAGCATGAGATTGCCTTCCATCTTACGGTCTTCAGTTATTCTCAGTTCATTTAAAATGTGTCACCACACTCTTTGTAGACAACTAAATAGCATTATCCACAAGTTATTAGTGGAGAGATTATTAATAGAGTTTATGTGGCTGCAACCTCCAAGAAGAGGATGGAAGTGGAAGGGCAAGAAAAAGTTAGGCATCTTGTATAGTAAAAAGAGCCTGTACTGAGGATCAAACAGACATAGGATCTTAGGTTCTAGTTCCAGCCCTGTCACTAAACAAGTTATCCTGGGTGGATCATATAATTTGTTTGAGCGGATGAACTTGCCTCTAACATTCTTTCCAAACTTAACATTGTAGGATTTCTCCAGTCGCTTATGCAATTAATTTTTCAAAAACACTCTATTTTTAATATCTTCATGAAGTGATCAATAATGGGACATTGAAAGATAATGTGTTGATTGTTTCTTTCCAGATCCTGAAAGGCATACTGTGGGGATATTGCAGGTTCGGTCCCAGAATAAAAAGAATATTGCAATAAAGTGATTCACATGATTGTTTTTCATTTCCTAGTACATATAAAAGTTATGTTTAGGCCGGGTGTGGTGGCTCACACCTGTAATCCTCACACTTTGGAAGACCAAGGCATGTGAATTGCTTGAAATTAGGAGTTCAAGACCAGCCTGGCCTACATGGTGAAGCCCTGTCTCTATTAAAAATACAAAAAATTAGCCGGGTGTGGTGTTGCACACTCCTAGCTACTCAGGAGGCTGAGGCAGGAGAATGGCTCGAACCTGGGAGGGAGAGGTTGCAGTGAGCTGAGATCACGCCACTGCACTCCAGCCTGGGCGACAGAGTGAGACTCCATCTAAGAAAAAAAAAAAGTTGTGTTTACACTATACTGTAGTCTATTGTGCATGCGATAGCATTATGTCTTAAAAAGCAATGCACAAACTTTAATTTTAAAATATTGCTTAAAAATGTTAATGATCATGTGAGCCCTCAGAAAGTTGTAAATTTTTGGTGGTAGTGTCTTGCCTCAATATTGATGGCTGCTGACAGATCAGATTGATGGTTGCTGAATGTTGGGGTGGCTGTGGCAATTTCTTAAAATAAAACAACAATGAAGTTGCTGCGTGGATGGTCTCTTCCTTTCACAAAAGCTTTCTCTAGCATGTGATGTTATTTGGCTTAGGGAGGTGTTGTGACTGATTTGATCATCTATCTAGACTACTAAAACTTTCTCGCTATCAGCAATATGGCTATTCTGCTTTCTTATCACTTGTGTGTTCACTGCAGTAGCACTTCTAATTTCTTCCAATAACTTTTCCTTTACATTCACAACTGTTTGGTGCAAGAGGCCTAGCTTTCAGCCTCTCTTGGCTTTCAACATGCCTTCCTCACTAGGATTAATCTTTTCCAGCTTTTAATTTAAAGCAACTCTTCCTTTCATTTGAATACTTAGAGGCCATTGTAGGGTTACTTATTGGCCTAACTTCAATACTGTTGTGTTTCAGGGAATTGGGAAGCCTGAGGAGAGGGAAAAAATGGAGGAACAGCTGACCAGTTGAGCAGTCAGAACATACATATTTATCAATTAAGTTTGCTGTTGTATATGGGCATGGTTCATGGTATCCCAAAACAATTGCAATACTAACATCAAAGATCACTGATCACAGATCACCATAACAGATTAAATAATTTAAAAGTTTGAAATATTGCAAAAATTAACAAAATGTGACACAGACATGACATGAACACATGCTGTTAAAAAAATGACACCAGTAGACTTGCTCTACTCAGGGTTGCCACAAACCTTCAATTTATAAGAAATGTAATATTTGAACTGGGTACGATGGCTCAAAGCTATAATCTCAGAGCTTTGGGAGGCTGAGGTGGGAGGATTGCTTGAGGCCAGGAGTTTGAGACCAGCTGAGGCAATATAGTGAGACCCTGTCTCTATAAAAATAAAAAATTACCCTGGCTTGGTGGCACACACTTGTAGTCCCAGCTACTTAGGAAGTTGAGGTGGGAGGATCATTTGAGCCCAGCAAGTCATGGCTTCAATAAGCTATGATCATACCACTGCACTCCAGCCTGGGCGACAGAGTGAGACCTTGTCTCAAAAAAAAAAAAGCAAGATATATCTGCATTTATAAGGGAATTGATTGCATTGATTGCACCCTCTGGAAGGAGGAAAAGAGATATTTAGTGAGCTCTAGCTGAACATCTTTCACTCTTAACACCCTCTGTGGACTTGTTTTGGGTGGGTTTGGACACATACATCTTTGGGCCCTGTAATCAAATAACGACTTAAAATGCAGAGACTGGCCAGGCGTGGTGGCTCACATCTGTAATCTCAGCACTTTGGGGGACTGAGGCGGGTGGATCATGAGGTCAGGAGATCGAGACCATCCTGGCCAACATGGTGAAACCCCATCTCTACTAAAAATACAAAAAAAAATTAGCTGGGCATGGTGGCACATATCTGTAGTCCCAGCTATTCGGGAGGCTGAGGCAGAAGAATCACTTGAACCCGGGAGGCAGAGGTTGCAGTGAGCTGAGATTGTGCCACTTCACTCCAGCCTGGCGACAGAACGAGACTCCATCTCAAAAAAAAAAAAAAAAATTGCAGAAACTGCAGTATGATACTAGGTTAAAAATCCAAGACCTAAGTTCTGACCTTAAGTATAGCTCCTTCTATGTAGATGACCTTTGTGTACTTGTTAGGACCACGTTAGTTTCACAAACCCCACTCAAAGCTGTTCAACACAAAGCCCCATTAACTCCATGGAAGGACTGAACCACCAACCCACAGGATAGCAGGTATGCACCTGAGCACCAGGAAAAACTGGAGACTCAAGCTCAGCCAGAACTCATCTTCCCTACCTGATCTCTGCCCTCCTGTCATGCCAACTTTGTTCTCTCTTATTGCAGACTGTCTTGCTCTACTTGGGAGAAAACATGGCCTCCCACAGCTCTAGAAGGTTAAATTAATTTATTCACTCAATCAGCTATCGTTTTGGGGCCCAACTGCATGGCATGCATTGTTCTAGGCACTGGGGACACAGTAGTGACAAGGCAAAGGTCTCCCCTCAAGGAGCTCTTGTGGTGTGGAGAGAGTCAAATAATGAACAAATGTACAAATAACATGCCAGGTAGTGGTAATTGCTATGGAAAAAATAACCAGCATAAAGTTAGGGAGTTCCAAGTGATGATGATGGTGATGGTGGTGGAAGTAGAGTGTGTTACTTTATTAAAGGTGGCCAGGGGCCAGGTGCAGTGGCTCACTCCTGTAATCCCAGCACTTTGAGAGGCCAAGGCAGGCAGGTCATGAGGTTAGGAGCTCAAGACCAGCCTGGCCAACATAGTGAAATCCCATCTCTACTAAAATTACAAAAATTAGCTGGGCATGGTGGCGCACGTCTGTAGTCCCAGCTACTCGGGACTACTCGGGAGGCTGAGGCAGGAGAATTGCTTGAACCCGGGAGGCAGAGGTTGTGGTGAGATGAGATCGCACCACTGCACTCCAGCCTGGGCAACAGAGCGAGACTTGAGTATATCTGAACAAGTGAAAATGTCTGGGAGGAAGTAATAAGTATATTTGATGAAACAGCAAATACAAAGACTCTAAAGTGGGAAAGTGACATGTTCAAAGACAAGCAAGGGGACCACTGTGCTAGAGCAGAAGTGGGTGACAGGAAGAGTGATAAGAGGCAAGATCAGAAAGGTAGCGATGGCCTTACCACATGGATCCAAGATTGTCATTAGGATTTGGGCTTTTACTCTGGGATGGCAAGTCACTGGAAAATAATGAGATGAGAAGAAACATGATCTGATTTATGTTTTAGTAGAAACACTCTGGCTGCCATGTGTAGGGGGCAAGAGTGGAGACAGGGAGACTATTTAGGAGACCATTGAATAATCCTTGTAAGAGATGATGAAACTTGAACCAGGTGGTAAAGCTGATGAGAAGTGGCCATATACTGAATATATGTGAAGGTTGTCAGCATTATATGCTGAAGTACTGGATGTGGGAATATAAGAGAAAGATAAAAGCAAAGACAGCCCAAGGTAGATAGAGGATACAGGAGGTCTAAAGACTCAGCCCTGGGGCTATCCAATCTTTAGGGATTGGGAATCTGGGAACAAACCTGTAAAAGAGACTGAAAAGGAATAGCCAGTGAGGTACGAGGGAAAACGAGAGTGGTATCCCAGAAAGCAGATGCAGAAAGCAGAAGAGGCAGCCAAGAGCAATGGCTTGTGCCTGTAATCCTGGCACTTTGGGAGGCCAAGATGGGAGGATCACTTAAGCCCAGGAGCTCGTGACCAGACTGGGCAACACAGTGAGACCTCATCACTAGAAAAAATTTTAAAAATTAGCTAAGCATGGTGGTACACGCCTGTGGTCCCAGCTACTTGGGAGACTGAGGCAGAAGGGCTGCTTGAGCCCAGGAGGTCAAGTGAACCATGAGCCCAGGAGGTCAAGTGAGCCACTGCAGCCCATGGCTGCAGTCAGCCATGTTCACACCACTGCACTCTAGACTGGGCAACAGAGCAAGACCCTGTCTCAAAAAAGAAAAAAAGAAAAAGCGGGAGAAAAAGAAAGTGGAGGAGGAAGTGATTAACCATGCTAAATGCTGCTGAATGATGGAGAAAAATGAAGCCTGGGAACTGATCCCTAGATATCACCATGGTGGGGGAGAGGGAATGACACAGATGACCTTAATAAGAGCTGTTTCAGTAGAATAATAGAGGCACACTCTAAAAGTTTGTGCCGCTAAAGTGGTGCTGAATTGTCCATTCCAATCTTTAAAATCCTAGAGACAGATCTTGATTAACTTGGTTCAGGTCAGGTACCCATCAAGCAATTATGGCCATGAGGAAAGGCAATTTGGTGGCTCGGTGGTGGACCAGTCAACAGTGGGGAATCTCATGCTGTCATGGAAGACCATGGGCATTCTTGAAATATAAATGTGGATGGAGAAAGGGGGCAATTCCTAGGAAAAGAAAGATGACATCTGCATGGATCCCCTCCATTGGTTCTATCACTTAATCTTTAATTATAAAATGGGGTTGAAAGTTCCAGTTTCACAGAACTGATGTCAAAATCAGATTGAACAAGAAAATGTAGTGAATGAACTCTGCACATACTGTAACTTCTATACAAGCATAATGGGTTACCATTAGGTTGCCATAATGGAAGTCCACACCATATGGTGCTTCTCCAGCCACATTCCTGTGCGCCATGAAGATGTAGGTATATATACTCCAAGTTTAGCTTGATGTCCTGGCTAGTGCAGGAAAAACACAATTCCCCCCACCACCCCCCGAGTTTAAATATGAGGAGCTCTTAGAAAAATGTGCTGTTGACATCTCACTAAACAGAAGCAGAAGCCATCCCAAGAGGAGCTTAAAACAGTAGTAATGTAAGGCTCCAAAGAAAAATAAGAAATCATTGGCAAAGAGGGACAGAAAAGAAGCAAATAAAGGAGTTCTCTTTCCTTTTTTCTTCTACATGTCTGCATGCTGTGGGGATTTGTCCTTGTTCTTTCTTTCTAGTTCTGACAAAGTATTTCAAATCTGGAGTGTTTTTAATATAAAAAGAGACCTTGAAGAGCTTTAACGCCAAATGAGCCCAATTACTCCTTGGCTGTATGTTTGGTACTTAAGGAGGCTTATTAATTCTTTGATACTAAAATGAGTCCTATTTGAAGACAGATGGGAGAAAATTTTGTTCTCATCCATAGAGAATTAAGAATTTTTAAAGACTACTAAGACCAGTCTTACTTTTTTTCTGGGAGTTGGAGATGTTCTCTTATTTTACCAAATGAGGAATTCTCTAACAAGTCTCAGAGCATGAATATGTCACTCTTTTTCTGTGATACTCTCACCTTTTAAATGAACCATGCAAATCAAGAGAAAAGATGTTAAAGTTTTGAAACCTCAGGCACAAATTAAGTTTGTATCAGGTGGGACTACATTCTCATTTGTGTTTACTTCATGGGTATTTGTATGTCAGCCTTATATACTCCAGAAAGATGGATCAATGCCCATGATGGTTTTCTTTTTAATATGAATCATTTGTAATTCTTACACAGGGAATACATTTTTCAATTATGCACTTAAAGAACCAATTCTTCTCACAGAGCCTTAAAATCAGAGTAAAATGTTCTCATATTGGTATTAAAATTAGTAAAAGTAATTTTATCTTCCTTGTTTATGGGATAGATTTCTCACATTCTGAAATGCCTCTACTCTTTCCTCAACTCTCACTCAAATTTTCAAAACGATTACAACAGGTGTTACTAGGGTTTGGATTCTTTGCTACTCCTCCCTCCAAAATCCTTCCTCTGGGAGCTTGTTCTTCCTTGCCTCCTTGACTTCAGGCTTGGTCATGTGACTTGCTTTGGCCAATGAGATATGAAAGAAAATAATATGTACATTTTGGGGTAAAGCCTTAAGAACTATCACACGGCTACCATCTTCTCTTTTCCCTCACCCAATATCAGCAGCCATGTCCCAACTAGCATTACACCCTCAGCATAGGTCCTAAAATAAAGATCAAGTGGAGCTATATGATGGACATACAGCATGAACAAGAGATAAAAGTTTGTTGTCGTCAAGCTCTGCGATTTCAGAGATCCTTTGTTACTGCAGCAAAACTTAATCTGAGAATGAGAAAGGGCTTTGTAGATTGTTTTACATATTATGTTTATGTAATATAAATATTATAATAATTGGTAAAAACTATAAGATCTACAAATTTTCTGGTACAGTTCAAAGGAATGGGAATAGCAAGAAGAGTACACGAAGTGAGTTGGCATGTCTGTGTTACAGAACAATAATTCTCAGATTATTTTTGCCCATGGGCCACACCATTAGATTACGTCTACTCTAGGTCTATAAAAGGACTCCCCAGGGCTGCAGGAGTCTTGTCATTTTATAAGAAGGACTCTCAGAGCACACCTACAAGATCACTATTCAATGTATGATCTGTAAACTTTTTCACCATTCTGCAATAAGACAAGCCCAGAAATTAGGAATAAGTGTGTAGAAATTCTTATAGCAACTTGATATTGCCAGAATATCCAAGCTCAAGATTGGTGAAATTGTCTTGTTGAATGAGGTAAGAGACCAGTGGGGGTGTTTTCAGACTTGTACACTGAGTCACATGTGGCACAAACTGCATTCTAGGATTCTACCACAGATCAGAGAGTTAAAAAGAAGGAGATGGCCAGGAGCAGTAGTAGCTCATGCCTGTAATCCCAGCACTTTGGGAGGCAGAGGCAGGAGCATTGCTTGAAGCCAGGAGTTCAAGATCAGCCTGGGCAACATAGCGAGATTCCATCTCTATAACACACACACACACACACACACACACACACACACACACAGACACGCACACACACACACACACACACACATTAGCTGGGTGTGTTGTATGTCTGTAGTCCCAGCTACACAGGAGGCTGAGGAAGGAAGATTGCTTCAACCCAGAAGTTTGAGGCTGCAGTGAACCATGGCTGTGCCCCTGTGCTCCAATCTGAGCAACACAGCAAGATCTTGCCTCAAAAAAAGAAAAAAGAAGAAAAAGTCTGGTCCTTCATCCCAAATCGTTTGAAAAGCACTGGTCTTGAACCTGCTTGAAAGTCATCAATAGAAATATTGCACTTAAAGTGATGGGAAACCCAATATAGGACCTAAAGGACACAGGAACACTTTATGTAAAATTTAACCATTCTCTGGGGGAAATCCATGTCTGTACCAACAATCTTCCTGGCATTTTTCTGTCCCACTGGAGATTTACAAAGGCAGAGAGATAAGTAGCATTTCTTAGTTACTGACTGTATGCAGAATCAATACAGATAGTTCTCAGGTTACCAAATACTGTGTCACAGAACGCAGTGAATATGTTGGTTGTCACAAACACAGAATACATTTTTCCTTAGAAGCAATTTTACTAATGGTGGGGAAAGTCCTAGCCTATAAAAGTTGACTTTAAGAAGTAACTTAACTGTCATTTTCTATACTCACCTGACTTCTGGGTTTGTAAGAAAGGAATTAAGCTGATAGAGTAAGAAAAAGGGGAAAGAGAGAAAGCATTAAACTATTCTTAAACTTTTATTTGGGACTCTCTCACCTTCCTTTATTGTTTCTCTTCTATCTCTTCATGCTCTCTCACCCAACCCTCTCTCCTCTTATGCTCCCCCAGGCCCTGAAAATATGCTATTCATCAAAATTATTTCTTTCTGTTTCTTTTAATGTTGGCAATCTCAGGCATCAAGGAAATAACCAAGCCGATTAGATTAATTTATACTAAGGTGTGGGTAGCTGATGGCATCTTAATCCGCCTAGAGATATCTGCTGTTTTAGGAGAATACACTTATTTTAACCCGAATAAACCTCAAATGGGAAGTACAAGAAAGTGAAAAAAATATTGGGGAAAACAGATAAAAATGTTCCAGGTCAAAGATGCAGGATGCCTTTTGTCTGAGCTATTGTCTCCTAATTACTTCCTACTTTACACAGTTTTCTCCATTTTTCTGTTTCTTATATAAAATTTCCAAGTTTTTTCATGGTGACGTTCAGCACTAAGAGTGCAGGAGTGCAGGCAGTCATTGATAGAAAGCAGTCATTTGTACGTGTGGTATAGGTCAAGGACAGTTTCCATGAGTGAGAACTGAGTGAGAACTGAGGGAGGAAATACAAAAATACTTCGAAGAAAAAAAATTTGGAATGTCATAGATGCAAGTTGAAAGAAATCTTAGAGATGATGCAATCTAGTGGGTCCTAAAGTGTAGAACATGAGGAGCCTTTATGTGGTACACTGGCAAATCATTGAACAAAGTAGAATCACACAGGAAAAAATCACTCCCTTTTCATTTCTGTGTCAGGTTTTTTTTATTATATTAAGGAGAACAGCTCAGCTTATGTAGACTTTAAAACCTCTCTAACGTTGCTTATTTTAATAAAGAGAGCAGGCCTGGGGGTCAGAGTCTCCAACAGGCAATGGTCTCTTTGTAGCATTTAATAAAATTGTTTTAGTTTCACTGTTTTAATTTTTACCATGATTTTGACAAGCAGTATTGATTTCAATTTGTGATAGTAATATTTTCTTTTATTTATTTATTTTTTATAATTTTATTTTTTTAATTTTATTTATTTATTTTTTTGAGACAGAGTCTTGCTCTGTCACCCAGGCTGGAGTGCAGTGGCACAATCTCAGTTCACTGCAACCTCCACCTCCTGGGCTCAAGCGATTCTCCTGCTTCAGCCTCCCGAGCAGCTGGGATTACAAGTGCCCACCACAACACCAGCATAATTTTTGTATTTTTAGTAGAGGCGGGATTTCACCATGTTGGCCAGGCTGGTTTTGAACTCCTGACCTCAAGTGATCCACCTCCTTTGGCCTCCCAAAGTGCTGTGATTACAGGCATGAGCCACCATGCCTGGCCTGATATTTTCTTTGAAAAGGCATTAATTGAATAAAAAGAAAATAAGTTCAAAGAAAATCTTAGGCAAATAATATAAGTGGTATATAGAAGAAGAAAAAAATTGTAAAGGTTGTATGCAGAATATTGAAGCCAGGAAATGCTGATCTGAAGAGACTTCACATTTGAGTTTAAACCTGATGGAAAGACACATGTGAATATGAGAAGAAACCCCCCAAAATGGTATTAAGATAAAACACAAACCTGTCACTGGTAGCTAGTATAGTGTATTCCTCTAAGCAGACATATTTGCACAAGCTATAAATGGATGTGGCCAAGGGGTTAGCAATAACAAACTTCAGTGACACATTTCTTCAGAAACTCTGCTTTATATTTGCATACTTAACCTACAGCATTACCAGAATCAACATTTCCCTCTCTCTTCCTCTTACAAAATAGTCCTTGGGGACTGCCCATCAGTTACAGATGTTTCAGCACATTTTTCAGTTCATGACCAGAGAAAGGATAATCCTGTAAGAATGGAGGAAATTTACATATAACATTGCATACATTCTTAGTCTAAATAACGATAATAGGCCGGGCACGGTGGCTTATGCCTGTAATCCCGGCACTTTGGGAGGCCGAGGCAAGGGGATCACCAGAGGTCGGGAGTTCGAGACCAGCCTGGCCAACGTGGTGAAACCACATCTCTATTAAAAATACAAAAAATTAGCCATGCATGGTGACACGCAACTGTAGTCCCAGCTACTAGGGAGGCGGAGGCACAAGAATCTCTTGAACCCGGAAGACAGAGGCTGTAGTGAGCCAAGATCATGCCATTGCACTCCGGCCTGGGCGACAGAGTGAGACTCCGACTCAAAAAAATATAAAAAAGAAAAGATAATAAATAATAATTCTTGTAACTGGATTTATTTGTAAATCCAAGGATAAATGCTTGAGGGGATGGATACCCCATTCCCCATGATGTGCTTATTTCATATTGCATGCCTGTATCAAAACATCTTATGTATTCCACAAATATATACACCTACTATGCATCTACAAAAATTTTTTAAATTCAAAAAAATTTTCAAAAAAAATTATACCTCTTGGATTTCTGCCTCTGGCTCTAACTAAGTAACATGTGGTAGATTAGTGCTCCTGCTAAGAACAACTTGAAAAGCCAGAAAACATAATTTAAAAATCTATTTGAAAGCATTAAGTGCATTTGAAGTTGATAGAAAATTGCCAAGATTTGAGAGTAAAAGATCACAGAGATGAGACTACTTTAAAAATGTGGCCCACAAAACAGAAAAACAATACAGAAAATCAACGAATCCAAGAGCTGGTTCTTTGATAGAGGAAATGGTAAAATTCACAAACTTCTACCATACTGATTCAGAAAAATATGAAGAGAAGACACAAATTACCAATACCAAAAGTGAAAGAAAAGGCATCAGTGCAGATCTAAAGGACCTTAAAGATACAAGGGTATATAATGAACAACTTTATGCCAATAAATTTGACAACTTAGATGAAATAGACAATTCATTGTAAGACACAAATTACTGAAATTGACCTGAGAAGAAATAGAAAACTCGAACTGCCCAATACCAATAAAAGAAATTAAATTCATAGTTGACAGCTTTCCACAAAGAAACTCCAGGCCCAGATGGCTTCACTGATGAATTCTACCCAATATTTTAAGGTTATAATCCTACACACACTTTTTCAGAAAATAGAGAAGGAAGAAACATCAAATCATTTTATGAGGCCAGTATTACCCTTAATCCAAAACGAGACAAAGGCATCACAAGAAAGTAGGATAACAGAACATTAGCCCTCATAACATAGATATAAAATTTTTTTAAATGTTAGCAAATTTAATCTAACAATATATATAAAGGATAATACATCATAACCAATGGGATTTATACTGGAAATGCAGGTTGGTGTATCAGGCAAAACCCAATTAATAGAGAGAACTAGGTGGAGGTTCCAAGATGGCTGAATAGGAACAGCTCCAGAATACAGCTCCCAGCGTGAGCGACGCAGAAGATGGGTGATTTCTGCATTTCCAACTGAGGTACAGGGTTCATCTCACTAGGGCTTGTCAGACAGTGGGTGCAGCCCACGGAGTGTGAGCTGAAGCAGTGCAGGGCATCGCCTCATCCAGGAAGTGCAAGGGGGTCGGGGTATTCCCCTTCCTAGCCAAGGGAAGCCGTGACAGATGGTACCTGGAAAATTGGAACACTCCCATCCTAATACTGCGTTTTTCCAACAGTCTTAGCAAATGGCACACCAGAAGATTATATCCCGCACCTGGCTCGGCGGGTCCCATGCCCACGGTGCCTCACTCACTGCTAGCACAGCAGTTTGAGATTGAACTGCAAGGTGGCAGCGAGGCTGGGGGAGGGGCATCTGCCATTGCTGACGCTTGAGCAGGTAAACAAAGTGGACAGGAAGCTCAAAATGGGTGGAGCCCACCACAGCTCAAGGAGGCCTGCCTGCCTCTGTAGACTCCACCTCTGGGGGCAGGGAATAGCTGAACAAAAGGTAGCAAAAACTTCTACAGACTTAAACGTCCCTGTCTGACAGCTTTGAAGAGAGTGGTGGTTCTCCCAGCATGGAGTTTGAGATCTGAGAACGGACAGACTGCCTCCTCAAGTGGGTCCCTGAGCCCGAGTAGTATAACTAGGAGACACCTCCCAGTAGGTGGCCACTGATACCTCATATGGCCACAGGACCCTCGGAGATGAAGCTTCTAGAGGAAAGATCAGGCAACAACATTTGCCATTCTGCAATATTTGCTGTTCCGCAGCCTCCGCTGGTGATACCCAGGCAAACAGCGTCTGCAGTGGACCTCCAGCAAACTCCAAAGGATCTGCAGCTGAGGGACCTGACTGTTAGAAGGAAAACTAACAAACAGAAAGGACATCCACACCAAAACCCCATCTGTACATCACCATCATCAAAGAACAAAGGTAGATAAAACCACAAAGATGGGGAGAAACCAAAACAGAAAAGCTGAAAATTCTAAAAATCAGAGGGCCTCTTCACCCCCAAAGGAAGACAGCTCCTCGCCATCAATGGAACAAAGCTGGATGGAGAACGACTCTGACGAGTTGAGAGAAGAAGGTTTCCGATGATCGGTAATAACAAACTTCTCCGAGCTAAAGGAGGATGATCAAACCCATCACAAAGAAGCTAAAAACCTTGAAAAAAGATTAGACGAATGGCTAACTAGAATAAACAGCATAGAGAAGACCTTAAATGACCTGATGGAGCTGAAATTCATGGCATGAGAACTACGTGACACAGGCACAAGGTTCAGTAGTCGATTCAATCAAGTGGAAGAAAGGTTATCAGTGATTGAAGATCAAATTAATGAAATGAAGTGAGAAGAGAAGTTTAGAGAAAAAAGGGAAAAAAGAAATGAACAAAGCCTCCAAGAAATATGGGACTATGTGAAAAGACCAAATATCTGATTGGTGTACCTGAAAGTGACGGGCAGAGTGGAACCAAGTTGGAAAACACTCTGCAGGATATTATCCAGGAGAATTTCCCCAACCTAGCAAGGCTGACCAACTTTCAAATTCAGGAAATACAGAGAATGCCACAAAGATACTCCTTGAGAAGAGCAACTCCAAGACACATAATTGTCAGATTCACCAAGGTTAAAATGAAGGAAAAAATGTTAAGGGCAGCCAGAGAGTAAGGTTGGGTTACCCAAAAAGGGAAGTCCATCAGACTAACAGCAGATCTCTTGGCAGAAACTCTACAAGCCAGAAGAGAGTGGGGGCCAATATTCAACATTCTTAAAGAAAAGAATTTTCAACCCAGAATTTCATATCCAGCCAAACTAAACTTCGTAAGTGAAGGAGAAATAAAATACTTTACAGAAAAGCAAATGCTGAGAGATTCTGTCACCACCAGGCCTGCCTTACAAGAGCTCCTGAAGGAAGCACTAAACGTGGAAAGGAACAACTGGTACCAGCCACTGCAAAAAACATGCCAATTTGTAAAGACCACTAATGCTAGGAAGAAACTGCATCAAATAATGAGCAAAATAACCAGCTAACATCATAATGACAGGATCAAATTCACACATAACAATATTAACCTTAAATGTAAATGGGCTAAATGCTCCAATTAAAAGACACAGACTGGCAAATTGGATAAAGAGTCAAGACCCATCAGTGTGCTGTATTCAGGAGACTCATCTCACCTGCAGAGACACATATAGGCTCAAAATAAAGGGATGGAGGAAGATCTACCAAGCAAATGGAAAGCAAAAAACGCAGGATTTGCAATCCTAGTCTCTGATAAAATAGACTCTAAACCAACAAAGATCAAAAGAGACAAAAAAGGCCATTACATAATGGTAAAGGGATCAATTCAACAAGAAGAGCTAACTATCCTAAATATATATGCACCCAATATGGGAGCACCCAGATTCATTAAGCAAGTCCTTAGAGACCTAGAAAGAGACTTAGACTCCTACACAATAATAATGGGAGACTTTAACACCCCACTGTCAACATTAGACAGATCAATGAGACAGAAAGTTAACAAGGATATCCAGGAATTGAACTCAGCTCTGCACCAAGCAGACCTAATAGACATCTACAGAACCCTCCACCCCAAATCAACAGAATATACATTCTTTTGAGCACCACACAATACCTATTCCAAAACTGACCACATAGTTGGAAGTAAAGCACTCCTCAGCAAATGTAAAAGAACAGAAATTATAACAAACTGTCTCTCAGACCACAGTGCAATCAAACTAGAACTAAGGATTGAGAAACTCACTCAAAACCGCTCAACTACATGGAAACTGAACAACATGCTACTGAATGACTACTGGGTACAAAACGAAATGAAGGCAGAAATAAAGATGTTCTTTGAAACCAAACATAACAAAGACACAACATACCAGAATCTCTGAGACACATTTAAAGCAGTGTTAGAGGGAAATTTATAGCACTAAATGCCCACAAGAGAAAGCAGGAAAGATCTAAAATCGACAACCTAACATCACAATTAAAAGAACTAGAGAGGCAAGACCAAACACATTCAAAAGCTAGCAGAAAGCAAGAAATAACTAAGATCAGAGCAGAATTGAAGGAGATAGAGACACAAAATCCCTTCAAAAAATCAATGAATCTAGGAGCTGTTTTTTTGAGAAGATCAACAAAATTGATAGACCACTAGCAAGACTAACAAAGAAAAGAGAGAAAAATCAAATAGAGGCTATAGAAAATGATAAAGGGGATATCACCACTGATCCCACAGAAACACAAACTACCATCAGAGAACAGAAAATCTAGAAGAAATGGATAAATTCCTGGACACATACACCCTGCCAAGACTAAAACAGAAAGAAGTTAAATCTCTGAATAGACCAATAACAGGCTCTGAAATTGAGGCAATAATTAATAACCCACCAACCAAAAACAGTCCAGGACCAGACGGATTCACAGCCGAATTCTACCAGAGGTACAAAGAGGAGCTGGTACCATTACTTCTGAAACTATTCCAATCAATAGAAAAAGAGGGAATCCTCCCTAACTCATTTTATGAGGCCAGCATCATCCTGATTGCAAACCCTGGCAGAGACAAAAAAAAGAAAGATAATTTTAGGCCAATATCCCCGATGAATATCGAGGCAAAAATCCTCAATAAAATACTGGCAAACCAAATCCAGCAGCACATCAAAAAGCTTATCCACCACGATCAAGTTGGCTTCATCCCTAGGATGCAAGGCTAGTTCAACATATGCAAATCAATAAATGTAATCCAGCATATTAACAGAACCAAAGACAAAAGCCACATGATTATCTCAATAGATGCAGAAAAGGCCTTTGACAAAATTCAACAATCTTCATGCTAAAAACTCTCAATAAACTAGGTATTGATGGGACGTATCTCAAAATAATAAGAGCTATCTATGACAAACCCACAGCCAATATCATACTGAATGGGCAAAAACTGGAAGCATTCCCTTTGAAAACTGGCACAAGACAGGGATGCCCTCTCTCACCACTCCTATTCAACATAGTGTTGGAAGTTCTGGCCAGGGCAATAAGGCAGGAGAAGGAAATAAAGGGTATTCAATTAGGAAAAGAGGAAGTCAAATTGTCCCTGTTTGCAGATGACATGATTGTATATCTAGAAAACCCCATTGTCTCAGCCCAAAATCTCCTTAAGCTGATAAGCAACTTCAGCAAAGTCTCAGGATACAAAAATCAATGTGCAAAAATCACAAGCATTCTTATACACCAATAACAGACAAACAGAGAGCCAAATCATGAGTGAACTCCCATTCACAATTGCTTCAAAGAGAATAAAATACCTAGGAATCCAACTTACAAGGGATGTGAAGGACCTCTTCAAGGAGAACTACAAACCACTGCTCAACGAAATAAAAGAGGACACAAACAAATGGAAGAACGTTCCATGCTCATGGATAGGAAGAATCAATATTGTGAAAATGGCCATACTACCCAAAGTCATTTATAGATTCAATGCCATCCCCATCAAGCTACCAATGACTTTCTTCACAGAATTGGAAAAAACTACTTTAAAGTTCATATGGAACCAAAAAAGAGCCCGCATTGCCAAGACAATCCTAAGCCAAAAGAACAAAGCTGGAGGCATCACGTTATGTAAATTCAAACTATACTGCCAGGCTACAGTAACCAAAACAGCATGGTACTGGTACCAAAAGAGAGATATAGACCAATGGAACAGAACAGAGCCCTCAGAAATAATACCACACATCTACAATCATCTGATATTTGACAAACCTGACAAAAACAAGAAATGGGGAAAGGATTCCCTATTTAATAAATGGTGCTGGGAAAACTGGCTAGCCGTATATAGAAAGCTGAAATTGGATCCCTTCCTTACACCCTATACAAAAATTAATTCAAGATGGATTAAAGACTTTTAAGTTAGATCTAAAACCATAAAAACCCTAGAAGAAAACCCAGGCAATACCATTCAAGCCATCGGCATGGGCAAGGACTTCATGACTAAAACACCAAAAGCAATGGCAACAAAAGCCAAAATTGACAAATGGGATCTAATTAAACTAAAGAGCTTCTGCACAGCAAAAGAAACTACCATCAGAGTGAACAGGCAACCTACAGAGTGGGAGAAAATTTTTGCAATCTACCCGTCTGACAGAGGGCTAATATCCAGAATCTACAAATAACTTACACAGATCTACAAGAAAAAAACAAACAACCCCATCAAAAAGTGGGCAAAGGATGTGAACAGACACTTTTCAAAAGAAGACATTTATGCAGCCAACAAACACATGAAAAAATGCTCATCATCACTGGTCATCAGAGAAATGCAAATCAAAACCACAAGGAGATACCATCTCACACCAGTTAGAATGGCAGTCATTAAAAAGTCAGGAAACAACAGGTACTGGAGAGGATGTGGAGAAATAGGAATGCTTTTACACGGTTGGTGGGACTGTAAACTAGTTCATCCATTGTGGAAGACAGTGTGGCGATTCCTCAAGGATCTAGAACTAGAAATACCATTTGACCCAGCCATCCCATTACTGGGTACATACCCAAAGGATTATAAATCATGCTACTATAAAGACACATGCACACATATGTTTATTGTGGCACTATTCACAATAGCAAAGACTTGGAACCAATCCAAATGTCCATCAATGATAGACTGAATTAAGAAAATGTGGCACATATACATCATGGAATACTATGCAGCCATAAAAAAGGATGAATTCACGTCCTTTGTAGGGACATGGATGAAGCTGGAAACCATCATTCTGAGCAAACTATCACAAGGACAGAAAAACAAACACTGCATATTCTCACTCATAAGTGGGAACTGAACAATGAGAACACTTGGACACAGGGTGGGGAACATCATACACGGGGGCCTGTCATGGGGTGTGGGGAGGGGGGAGGGATAGCATTAGGAGATATACCTAATGTAAATGACGAGTTAATGGGTGCAGCACACCAACATGGCACATGTACACCTATGTAACAAACCTGCACGTTGTGCACATGTACCCTAGAACTTAAAGCATAATTTAAAAAAGAACTAAAATTGTCGTCATTTACAGATAACACGTTTTATATATATATAAAATCAGAAATTATATATAATTATTGATATTAAATGAACTTAGCAAGATTGCAGATCTGAAGATAATTATTGTAAAAATCAACTATATTTCTAGATATCATTAACAAACAATTGAAAAACATTTTTAAAAAATACTGTTTACATTCCTTTGGGTATATATCCAGTAATGGGATTGCTGAGTCTAACGGTAGTTCTGTTTTTAGATCTTTCAGGAATCACCACACTGCTTTCCACAATGGTTGAACTAATTTACACTCCACCAACAGTGTATACGCATTTCTTTTTCTCTGCAACCTTGCCAGTTATTGCAGCACTATTCACAATAGCCAAGACATGGAATCAACCTAAATGGCCATCAATGATAGACTGAATAAAGATAATGTGATACATATACACCATGGAATGGAATACTACGCAGCCATAGAAAGAATGAGATCAGCCTGACCATCATGGTGAAACCTTGTCTCTACTAAAAATACAAAAAGTAGCTGAGCATGATGGTGGGCGCCTGGAATCCCAGCTACTCAGGAGGCTGAGGCAGGAGAATCGTTTGAACCTGGGAGGCAGAGGTTGCAGTGAGCCAAGATCATGCCATTGCACTCCAGCCTGGGCGACAGGGCGAGACTCCATCTCAACAACAACAACAACAAAAAAAAAGGATCATGTACTCCTTTGCAGGAACATAGATGGAGCTGGAGGCCACTATCCTTAGCAAACTACTGCAGGAACAGAAAACCAAATACCACATGTTCTCACTTACAAGTGGGAGCTAAATGATGAGAACACATGGACACATAGAAGGGAACAGCACACACTGGGGCTTATCAGAGAGTGGAGGGTGGGAGGAGGGAGAGGATCAGGAAAAGTAACTAAGCTTAATACCAGGGTGACAAAATAATCTGTACAACAAACCCCTGTGACATGAGTTTACCTACATAACCAACCTGCACATGCACCCCTAAACTTAAAAGTTAAATAAAAATAAATAAATAAAAATTTTTAAAGATGCTATTTACAATCATATCAAAACACCTTAGATACTGAGAGAAAAACCTAATGAAGATGCACAAGACCTGTATGTAGAAAACTGCAAAATATTATTTAAAAAAACTAAAAAAGACCTAAATAAATGCAAAAATAGACCAGCTTCATGTATTAGAAGGCTCAAAATTCATGAACCTGGTATATTGTAAAGATGTCAGTTCCCCCCTAAAGCTATCTAAAAATTCAAGTCACTCCCAAACAAAATTTCAGAAAGTGTTTTTCTGTGTACATCTGTAAGCTATCTAAATTTTATATGGAAATTCAAAGGATGATTAATAAGCAAGACAATCTTTAAAAAATGTTCCAGGATTTACAATATCAAATACCAAAGCTACATATAAAGCTACAATAATCAAGGCAGAGAGAATTAGTGGAAAGATAGACAAATAGATCAGTAAAACAAAATAGAAAGTTCAAGGTGGGCAGATTGCTTGAGCTCAGAAGTTCAAGACTAGCCTGGGCAATATGGTGAAACCCCATCTCTACAAAAACAAACAAACAAAACAACAACAAAAACCCTAGACGCAGACACACAAATAGAAAGTTCAGAAACAGACGCACACATATACATATGCCAAAGTCATGTTGCAATGCAGAGGAGACAGGATGATCTTTTCAATAAATGCTCCTGGATTAATTGGATATCCATAGGGAAAAAAATGAATCTTCATCCATATCACACAAAATAATGAATCCCAGATAGATTTTAGATTGAAATGAAAGAAGCAAAATAATAAAGCTTCTAGAACAAAACATATAATATCTTCATACCTTTGGAGTAAGCAAATATTTATTTTTTTTATTTTTTCTTTTTTTACTTTTAATGTGAAGTCCAAAGCAATTTTTTTTTTTTTTTTTGAGATGGCGTCTTGTTCTGTCACCCAGGCTGGAGTGCAGTGGCATGAACATGGCTCACTGCAGCCTCAACCTCCCAGTCTCAAGTGATCCTCCCACATCAGCCTCTGGAGTAGCTGGGACTACATGCACCTGCCACCACACCCAGCTGATTTTTTTAAAAAAGTTTTTACAGAGACGGGGGCTCCCTATGTCGCCCAGGCTTGCAAATATTTCTTAAACAGAACTCTGCTCCAAACTTAAAGGAAACTTTTCATAAATTGGACTATGTTAATTTTTTTTTCTTTTTTTTTTTTTTTTGAGACGTAGTCTTGCTCTGTCGACCAGGCTAGAGTGCAGTGGCATGATCTCGGCTCACTGCAAACTCTGCCTCCTGGGTTCAGGTGATTCCCCTTCCTCAGCCTCCTGAGTAGCTGGGATTACAGGCGTGAGCCACCGCACCTGGCCAAAATTTTCAAATTCAGAAGAAATCACTAAGACAGTGAATAATGAGAAAGGGTATTTGAAATACATATGTCCAGAAAAGGGCTCACATAGAGGAAAGAATAAGATGGACAACCTTATAGTAAAGTAAGAAGAGGCTGAACAGATGCTTCACAGAAGAGGAGCTATCCAAATGCCCATTAAATATTATGAAAAGGTGCTCAATCAGGGTTGTTTTTCATTTCATTTAATTTTTCCAGAGAGCTTGTTGGCAAACGTTTACCAGAGCATTCTTGAGTGAGGTCTATGCTATTCTTTGTGGTATTATTTGTAACAGCAAAATACTGGAAACAAACCAGATTTCTATCACTTGTGAACTTGTTAAATAAACTATGGATACACCCACACAGTGTAGTATTCTGCAGCAGTGCAAAGGAATCAGGAAGATTTCTTTATAATAAACCTACACAGAGAAATATTAAGTAGAAAAAGAATGAGGAAGATTTCAGTATTATGATATTGAGTAAGCACAAGAATATATTCTTCAATGAAAAAAGGAGGCACAGAACAGGGCTTGTAAGCTGCCATTTTGTGTACAAGGGAGGGGAATATGAATATAACTGTGTGTTTATATTTTCTAAAAAGAGGCAACTGAAGAATAAACCAAACACTAATAGATAATTAGTCGCTACCTACAGTGGGAGAGAGGGTAGTAGAAGAAGAGAGTCGTTGGATATTAATGTGAGAATTCTCTGATTGTGCCAGTTTCTTGTTTGTCTGTTTTATTTTTTTGAAATACAGATGGGGTCTTGCTATGTTAACCAGGCTGGTCTCAAACTCCCGGGCTCAAGTGATACTCTCTCCTCAGCCTCCCAAATTGCTGGAATTACAGATGTGAGCCAACATGCCTGGCCTGATTATATTGTTTTATAGTTTTGAGTGAACTATGTAAATGTTTTAAATAATTTAAAAATTATGAAATTCTTAAAAACCAGTTTCTGACATTTGAAAACAAAGGGATGAATGTAATCCACTGATGAACAAAATCATATTCATACAATGAATATAATCATAGCTGTATATCAAATTGATGGAATAACACAGGGAAAATAATTCTTTACAGTATCTTTTAAATATAGTAATTTGATTATATATCTTTACTGGTGTATCTCTGGGGACCATGAGAACCACAGAGAAATCTTAAACTGAATTCAGTGGGGTTTTTTTGTTTTTGTTTTTGTTTTGAGACAGAGTTTCCCTCTTGTCACCCAGGCTGGAGTGCAATGGCAGGATCTCAGCTCACTGCAACCTCCGCCTCCTGGGTTCAAGCGATCCTCCTGCCTCAGCCTCCCAAGTAGCCGGGATTACAGGTGCCTGCCACCATGCCCAGGTAATTTTTGCATTTTTAGTAAGGATGGGGTTTCACCATGTTAGCCAGGCTGGTCTCGAACTCCTGACCTCAGGTGATCCACTCACCTCAGCCTCCCTAATTGCTGGGATTACAGGCGTGAGCCACCATGCCCGGCCCAGTGGTCTTATTATTAGAAATAATATGGGTCTTGTTTTTTTTTTAACTATTATGTGTACATTATAGTATTAGGAAATAAGTACTTGAATTAATGTTTTTAAGAACCAAGATTTTCAAGGAAAAGAGAAAAGAAATAAGAATAAAAATTTCTAAAGTGTAGCCACAATCCTAAAAGCTTAAATTTGAATTGATTCATCTCTGTTAGAATAGCTGTTTTTAGACAGAATTTTAAAAACTAGAAAATATAATAACAAATATTGGTGAGGATGTGGAGAGACTGGAACCCTTGTTCATTGCTGGTGGGATGTAAGATGGTACACCTGCTATGGAAAACAGTACGGCAGTTCCTCAAAAAATTAAATATAGAATTACTATATGTTCCAGTAATTATGCTTCTGGGTATATGCCCAAAATAATTTAAAGCAGGGACTCAAACAAATACTTGTACGTCCATATTCACAGCATTATTATTCACAATAACCAAAAGGCGGAAGCAACCCAAGTGTCCATCCACCAATGGATGGATAAACAAAAATGTGGTAAATACATACAATGCAATCTTAGCCTTACAAAGGAAGGAAATTCTGACACGAGTTTCAACATGTGTGAACCTAAACGACATGATGCAAATTGAAATTAGCCACTCACAAAAGAACAAATATTCATAGATACAGAAGTAGGATGGTGTTTGCTGGGAGTTAGAGTGGGGTGGGGGTGGGAGGTGGGGAATAGGACATTAGTGTGTTTTGGGGGGGCTGGGTTTTTTTTTGAGATAGGGGTCTCTCTTTGTCACCCAGGTTGTAATGCAATGGCGTGATCACGGCTCACTGCAGCCTCAACCTCCCAGGCTCAAGTGATCCTCCCCCCTCGGTCTCTGGAGTAGCTGGGACTGCAGATGTGCACACCACACCCAGCTAATTTTTGTATTTTTTGTAGAGATAAGGTCTCCCTATGTTGCCCAAGCTGGTTTTGAACTCCTGAGCTCAAGCGATCCTCCCGCCTGGGCCTCCCAAAGTGCTGGGATTACAGGCATGAGCCACCACTCCTGGCTAGAGGTTAGTGTTTAATGGGTTCAGAGTTTCAGTCTGGGAAGGTAAAAATGTTCTGGAGATGGATAGTGGTGACGGCTGCAGAGTAATATGAATGTACTTAATGCCACCAAACTGTACACTTAAAAACATGGTAAAATTAAAATGGTAAAATTCATTATGTATATTATACCATAATAAAAAATGAAATTGGAAACAATAATATGAACTTATCATTTGTCTCTTGCTATGAAATACATATTTCTAAGCCTTGTCCACTGAAAAGGCCCAGAAACAACATAGCAATGAGCCACGATTACCAAGACTGTAGCTCCTGAATACTATTTCCCATGAACCGGAACCTGAACGCTTTAGAGAAATAACTGATTCCAGTTTCAGGGCAAAAAATATACAAGATGGTCTTGGGACATCTTGCTGAGTCAGAAAACAAAGACACTATTGAAACAAGTGGTTGTTTAAAAAACACGGATGCCAGAATGAAGGGGCTCCCATTGGCCAAAGATGGGATGATTTGAGCGTGGGAAAGGATCATGATTGTAACTGATTGGAACACATAAATCTATCCAAAACACATATAAATCCATGTGTTTGTACTAATACTTTAAAAATAAAAAGCCCCGGCGCAGTGGCTCAGACCTGTATGTAATCCCAGCAATTTGGGAGGCCAAGGCGGGAGATCACTTGAGGTCAGGAGTTTGAAACCAGTCTGGCCAACATGGTGAAACCCCCTCTCTACTAAAAATACAAAAATTAGTTCGGCCTGGTGGCGGGCGCCTATAATCCCAGCTACTCCGGAGGCTGAGGCACGGAAATCGCTTGAACCCAGGAGGTGGAGGCTGCAGTGAGCTTAGAGTGTGCCACTGCATTCCAGCCTGGGCGACAGAGATTCCATCTAAAAAAAAAAAAACATCAGTAGTCACCTTTGGAAGTTGCAAGTGCACTAATTCATTATTGAGAAAACCAACCAAGGGAAAGAAATTAAGCATTTATCCTGCCTTTTCTGTATAAAATCTATTTAGGGTAACCAAATAGTTGATTCCAGAAAATATATGCAGAAGAAATGTTAGAATTAGAATGAATTTTTTAAAGGTCTTCACCATCACCAATAGATGCTAAAACCATATGTGAAGGGTTGATGGTGAATTTATCGTAGTTGAATCAGGCTGACATCAGAATCCACTGTTCAATCTTAGCATTATGAAATAGCAAACCTCTACATCTAACTACCAACTTATAGGAAATATTGGGGATAGAGAAAAAATTAATTTCCACTATGAAGAAGGAATTAGCCAAATCCAGAATGTGGGGAATTTTGTAAGACAAACGACCAAGTACCTTTATTTTTTTAAATATATATATTTTTCAATGTTCCTGCAGAATTTTTTATTATTTTTTGTAGAGACAGGATTTCACCATTTTGTCTAGACTGGTGTCAAACTACTGGGCTTGAGCAGTCCACCTGCCTCAGCCTCCTAGAGTGCTGGGATTATAGGCATGAGCCACTGCACCAGGCCTCAACCTAGTCCCTTTAACAAATAAATAAGAGAGATTGTAGAATAAAAGATACTTTACAACTTAACCAAATGTCATGTGTGGACTTATTTAGATCCTGGTGTCCAGAGCATTGTCCTTCATGTCCCTGCTTGCAACATTCCCTGTGGGCCTTTGTGGATAAAATCTACAGCTGTGAAGATGTATTCTTTCCTGTCTTTTGGCTCAATTAGGGCTCAGGGCATTTACCTACACCTCACTTCAAGGCCTACACCTCACTTCAGCTACTGCTAGTAACAAATATGCAAGTCTGTACATTGGGCCAGTTCACAGAGGTTCCCTAGACTCTAAGGAGGGTCACTCACCCAGCCCATGACCATACTGTGGCTCTCAAGTCAGCACCCCTGCCTCCAGTTACCAAGGGTGGTTAGGAAATGAAATCTCAGAGTATCTCTCCACCTGGCCACACTGCCTTGCTGTGTTGGTGTTGGTGTGGTTGTGGCTGCACCCCAGGTTAGGAAGGGGCAACCTGGGAGGCAGACCCCTATCTGGGGAGTGGGAGACAGAGCTGCTACCCTCCTTTTTCTAACATACACTCCTTCCTGGATGAAGCTTAGAGAGAGAAAACAGGACCACCATCGCTTCTCCTGTCTCCCTTCCTTCTTCCCATCATTCTCTTGACCACACAATAATTTCTTCTTCTTTTTTTTTTTTTTTTTTTTTTGTATTTTCAGTAGAGATGGGTTTTCGCCATGTTAGCCAGGCTGGTCTTGAACTCCCGACCTCAGGTGATCCGCCCACCTTGGCCTCCCAAAGTGCTGAGTGCTGGGATTGTAGGCGTGAGCCACGGCGCCTGGCCTTGACCAGAAAATATTTTCTTCTGATTCCCTATGTTTTCACCTCCTGCTGTGATAGAGTGACAGATGTTATAGGTGGAGACGTGTCTTTCTTACACTACAGAAGAATTCTGTGAGACAAGTTTTCCAGGCTGGGCTTTCTTTTTTTTTTTTTTTTTTTTTTGAGATGAAGTCTCACTGTGTTGCCCAGGCTGGACTGCAGTGGCATAATCACAGCTCACTGCAGTCTAGACTACCCAAGTTCAAATAACCCTCCCACCTCAGCCTCCCAAGCAGCTGGGCCTACAGGCATGTGCCATCACACCTGTCTAACTTTATTTTTTGTAGAGTCAGTGTCTCATTATGTTTTTCAGGCTGGTCTTGAAGTCCAGGTTCAAGTGATCCTCCCTTTATGGCCTCGCAAAGTGCTAGGATTATAGGCATGGGCCACCATGCCCAGCCAAGCTTTAGATATTCTAATGAAGAAATGGAGGAATATGGCATATTCTTTCTCAATAATCCTCTTTCCTGTACCTAATGCTATATATCATACAGAAGTGGAACGTTACCACATTTTCAAAATTCCTCTGTAACAAATCATAATATCCTCAGCATACGAACGCCTTGGCCTACCGGGGCAAAAAGCATGTGCTCAGGAAGGCAAAAAGAAAAAAAAGCACATTAATAATTTTAATATTACCCTTAACACACACATACATTTAATTGGAATTGTAGAATGCATATTGTAAATTTTATATTTTCAAGTATACAAGTAATAAATTACTACACCTTCATTGAAAAAAAAAAAAAAACCCACCTACTGGTTTTTTTTCTGAGACAGGTATTGCTCTGTTGCTGAGGCTAGAGTACAGTAGCTTGATCTCAGCTTACTGGAGGTCCGGACCTCGGGGGTTCAAGTGGTCCTCCCACCTCAGCCTCCAGAGTAGCTGGGGCCATGGGCAAGCACCACCACACCTGGCTAATTTTTTGTATTTTTTGTAGAGACAGGGTTTTTCCATGTTGCTCAGTCTGGTCTCAAACTCCTGGGCTCAACTGATCCTCCCAAGTGGGCCTCCCAAAGTGCTGGGATTACAGGCATAAGCCACCTCACCCAGCCCTATCTACTGTTTTATAACTTACTTTTGCATTTAAAAACATAACTAGGCCAGATGTGGTGGCTCATGCCTGTAATCCCAGTACTTTGGGAGGCCGAGGCAGGCGGATCACCTGGGGTCAGGAGTTCAAGACCAGCCTGGCCAACATGGTGAAACCCTGTCTCTACTAAAAATATAAAAATTAGCCGGGTATGGTGGTGTGTGCCTGTAATCCCAGCTACTCAGGAGGCTGACTCAGGGGAATCGCTTGAACCTGGGAGGTGTATGTTGCAGTGAGCCTCGCACCATTACACTCCAGCCTGGGCAACAGAGCAAGACCCCATCAAAAAATTAATTAATTAATTAATTAATTAAAAACATAAGTGTGTGTGTGTGTGTGTGTGTGTGTGTACCGTTTTCCAGTGTAATTCATTTCCCCATGTAATTCCCATGTAATTCAGGTCAAAGCTAAAATATGCTTTTCAATCTCTAAATGATGTCTCATTATCTAGTGTACTTTTACACACTTAATCTTTAGCCAGTTCACTTTACTAGACAGTTAAGTTGTTTCCAGCTGAGCTGGGGTGAAGAGCCCTTGTGCACATCTTTGGGTATTTTTTTCGTTATAAGTTTCTAGAGGTAGAGTGTTTGAGTTAGAGAATACATGCACTTATGACTGATGTTACTAATTGCCTAACTGTCCTCAGAAAAGTCACAGCATTGTCTGGGTCTACCCGCAGGGTGTGACACTACCCATTTCTCCATACCTTCTCTAAGTTTACAATTTATAATGTTAAAAGTATAAATTTTGCAATTGTAAATTTTAAAAAACGTATGTCAAAATATCTTTACCTAGCTGGTAAATATTGGTTTAAACTTGTATTTAGTTCTAGTGAGATTGAAGATTTTTTCATGTTTTAATATGTATTGACTATTTGCATTTATTAATTTAAATGGTATCTTCAGATAAGAAAATTGAGTTTCAGAAAGTTTAAATTACTTGGTCAAGGACATACAGCTTGTGTGAGGCAGACAGAGAACTTTTCTTTCATATCCTAAAATGAAATGGAATTTTTCTTCAATTTGTCAGAGTGAGCAATAAAGCCCATGAGGTAAAGTTCTATTGAAGCCAAGAGTTCAAGGTCATATAACTAATAGATAAGTTCTTTCCAGCCATAGTATCTTTATAAAATATTACTTGGAGAATTGTCGTGAAAGTTTAATGAGTTACAGTTCTTTTCTTCTTCAATTTATAGTTCCAAGATAAGTTCTATCTAGACTGAGATTGGAAGATGAAGAGACTGTTAAAAAGTGTGTCTAGCTGCGCTGACACCATCTTTCTCCCCACCCATGGGTCACGAAAATCCATGCAGCTGAGATGCTGAAGGAGACTCTGGTACTCCATGACCTCCTCCTCACTTGCCACCGCATGAGGACAAAGCAATCAACCATAAATGTTTTATGATGATAGAATACAACCAGGCAACTATTTCTAGAGATACTCAGAAGCTGATGTCTTACTTTTTGTTTCTGAATGCCCTTTTCATTTGTATCCTAATTAATATATGGTCTGTTGATGTAACTTTTTGTGGCAAAGTCAAAGTCTCCTTCCTTTAGTAACTAACAGGAGAGGCCATGAGTCAACTATTTTTTAAAAAGGGAAAAAAATAACAACAAAGGAAATACCAGAATCACTTAAGTCTTTAAAAAGCAGCAACAGCATACTAGCAAAATGTAATTAATAAAAACTAGCCAAAGGTTTATTTGGATGGTGGAATTTGAAGGACTTAGGGAAAAAAAGAGAGAAGCTAACATTTATTGGAAGGAAAAAAACATTCTAACAAGTCTTTCAATTTGGCTTGGAGAAAGAACTTTTTCTTCCAGGAGCTGAGTGGCCAAGTTCTTTCAAGTAGAGCTTGCAAGGGAAATGCCTCTCAACTTTTGTTCAATTTGAGATCATTTGTGTCCATGACTATTAGAGGACAATAAAGTAAAAAAGAATCGAAGTTAAAGATTAGTATCACTAGACATCCCCCCAAAGTGATGCTTCATATACTATATCTTGCTTTAGGCAGAGAAATGCCGTAAATTGGTTGCAAGCAGCAGTTACAGAGGATTCAGGAGTTCAACCACTGCCGCGTGAAATGTATTTAGTGCCCAATGGAGCACAGCACATTAGAGACCAAAGTGTCTGCTGGACACAGGTGAATGGACTCTTAAAGACCTTGCACAAAATACAACATGTAACTCGGCTAGTTTTTTTTGTAACAACTCTATATTTGTTCCTTACATAAGAGGTGTTGGTGGCTGGGTGCGGTGGCTCACGCCTGTAATCTCAGCACTTTGGGAGGCCAAGGTGGGCAGATCACGAGGTCAGGAGTTTGAGACCAGCCTGACCAACATGGTGAAACCCCATCTCTACTAAAAATTCAAAAAAATTAGCTGGGTGTGGTGGTGCACGCCTGTAATCCCAACTACTCAAGAGGCTGAGGCAGGAGAATCACTTGAACCTGGGAGGCGGAGGATGCAGTGAGCCGATATCATGCCACTGCGCTTCAGCCTGGGCAACACGAGTGAGACTTCGTCTTGGGAAAAAAAAAAAAAAAAAAGAGGTGTTGGTTAAGTGCACAAATTCTAGAGCCAGACCATCTGGCTCAACCCTTTCTCCTCCTGTTACTGACAGGGAAAACTTACACAAGGAGCTGAATCTTTTTGTGCTTCAGTTTCCTCAGCTGTAAGATAATGATGATAAGCCATCATATCTCATTTGATTCTTCCAGCAGCCTCATGAAGAAACAATAATCCTCACCTCACTGAGATACTGAGAGGACCAAGTGAATTAGTTTGGGCCAAGTGCTTAGAAGAGCGCCTGGTATATAAGTGCTTTGTGTTTGCTTTTGTTGTTGTTGTTGTTATTACCAGCTAAAATGGAACTTCTATGTAGCAATAGTATAAATATAGTTTAAAATCCACTTGGCCCGCTGAAATTGCCTTTGCAAAATTATAACAGTAAGAGAAATCTGACATAGCTGACTCTACTTGGCTTCTAACCTCTAAGCTATCCTTGTTCATTCCTGGGCATAAGCCAAACTAACTTTTTTTTTTTATTTTTTTTATTTTTTTGAGACGGAGTCTCGCTCTGTCGCCCAGGCTAGAGTGCAGTGGCATGGTCAAGACTCACTGCAACCTCTGCCTCCCAAGTTCAAGCGATTATCCTGCCTCAGCCTCCCGAGTAGCTGGGACCACAGGTGTGTGCTACCATGCCAGGCTAATTTTTTTTTTTTTTTTTTTTTTTTTTTTTTTTGAGACAGAGTCTTGCTCTGCTGCCTAGGCTGCAGTGCAGTGGCTCAGTCTCAGCTCACCTTAACCTCTGCCTCTCGAGTTCAAGCAATTATCTTGCCTCAGCCTCCCGGGTAGCTGGGATTACAGGCCCTGCCACCACACCTGGCTAATTTTTGTATTTTTAGTAGGGACAGGTTTCACCATGTTGGCCAGGCTAGGCTCGAACTCCCGACCTCAGGTGATCCACCCACCTTGGCCTCCCAAAGTGCTGGGATTATAGGCGTGAGCCACTGTGCCCAGTGTAGGCCAAACTAACTTTAGGAGGAAGTTATAGTTTAACCTTAAAGTAAAGATAGTAATAGCCCTTCCCAAAACTATCCCTTCCTCATTGGAGGTCAGGAATCGTCTTTGTAGAACCAATGAAAAGACACAAGATTAGGATTATGAAGGGAGCCTGAATTCTGCTAAGTTGTAGGCATAAATTATAACCAACCATCGGTCCAGAGGACACAAGATTTGTAACTTCTCCAATTTACTCCTGTAGATAACATCATCATTATTGTAGAACCTAAGATTGGTTTTCTTTTTCCTTTTTTTGGGGGGGTGGGGGTGGTGGGGGGACAGGGTTTCACTCCCGTCGACCAGGCTGGAGTGCAGTGGAGCCATCTCGGCTCACTGCAACTTCTACCTCCTGGGTTCAAGCGATTCTCCTGCCTCAGGCTCCCGAGTAGCTGGGATTACAGGCACTCACGACCATGCCCAGCTAATTTTTGTATTTTTAGTAGAGACAGGGTTTCACCATGTTGGCCAGGCTGTTCTTAAACTCCTGACCTCAAGTAATCCATCCTCCTCGGCCTCCCAAAGTGCTGGGATTACAGACGTGAGCCACCGCGCTCAGCCCTAAGGTTGGTCTTCTGAGATGTTTTTCAGACTTGGATTTCTGAGGACTGGCTGACTACACTCAGATCCACAAATCAACCAGTCCTGTAGCCCCACCCCAGAGACCGACTCTGCATAAGGACCACTTTCCACACCCCTGTGATTTCATCTTCATCCAACCAGCAGCATCTGTTCCCTAAATCCTGACTACCAAGTTATTCTTAAAAACTCCAGCCTCCAAATTTCCAGGGAGGCTGATTTGAGTAATAACTTCCTGTCTCCCCATGTGACTAGCTTTGCATTAATTAAGCTCCATCTTTACAACAATACCAGTGTTTCAGTGAATCAGCTCTACCTGTGCGGCAGGCAAGAACCCATCAGGGGATTGCACTACCAGTGATCTACTTTTGAGACTCCTGCCTCTGCTTTTTTTTTTTTTTGAGACGGAGTTTTGTTCGCTCTTGTTGCCCAGGCTGGAGTGCAATGTCGCAATCTCAGCTCACTGCGACCTCCGCCTCCCCAGATTCAAGCAATTCTCCTGCCTCAGCCTCCCAAGTAGCTGGAATTATAGGTTCCTGCCACCATGCCCAGCTAATTTTTTGTATTTTTAGCAGAGATGGCGTTTCACTATGTTGGCCAGGCTGGTCTCAAACTCCTGACCTCAGGAATCCACCCCCCTTGGCCTCCCAAAGAGGTGGGATTACAGGCGTGAGCCGCCGCACCTGGCCCGACTTTTGCTTTTAGTCGGGGAGATTTTTATTATTTCAAAATGTTTGTATATATTGAAATTTTTAAAATCTTTTATATTGTACTATTTTCAATGCATAATTTAAATGAACATAAAACAAGTATGCACTATAGGAGCTTTAGGTGTTGTTGGGCTCAGAATCCAATACCCCAAAATATGGCATTTTGACATGTTGACATGGAGAAACCTCAAGGTCTCTCTGACTTCCCCTGCCACCGTCTCCCACAAAGAAGTGGAAGTTCCTTTATCTGCGTAAGATTCAGACCCATCAAAGAAAGTAATTGCTTGTTCTTCCCCTCCCTGTAAGACCAAGAATGTAACCACACCTGAACACTTTCACTATCAAAGAGAACTATTCACACATTAATCTCTGTTCAGAGATCCATTCATTCTCCCTAGTAATCCCCTCAGCAATTCCTCTTCTCTTCACCTCCCAAAACCTGTTTTACCAGGATTCAAGCCCCCATTCTTTCTGTAACCTCCAGATAGTATATAAACTTCTGGACCTCATTGGGAGGCTAGGTCTTCATTTTGAAGTCTCCCGTGTGTATACGTTCAATACATTGGTATGCCTTTTCTCCTATTAATAAATCTGCCTGTCAGTGATTTTGAAGCAAACCTTCAGGGGACCAAGGGCCTTGGTCCTCCCAGTGTGAAAGTGCAATGGGTGATGTAAGGCCTCTTGTCACCCAGGCTGGAGTGCAGTGGTGCAATCATAGCTCCCTGCAACCTCAAACTCCTGGGCTCAAGCCATCCTCTTGCCTCAGCCTCCCAAGTAGTGAGGACTACAGGCATGTGCCATCATGCCCAGGTTATTTATTTATTTTTTTAAGTTTTGTAGAGCCAAGATTTCACTAAGTTGCCCAGGTTGGTCTCAAACTCCTGGCTTCAAGTGATACTTCTGCCTCAGCCTCCCAAAGTGCTGGGAATATAGGTGTGAGTCGACACTCCCGGCTCTATGGTAGACACTTTGGAAATGCAAAAAGTAGAAGGCAAAGAAGACCATTGTTAAAATTTTGACATATTTCTTTTGTCATATTCTCCACCTACTGGGTTCAAGCGATTCTCCTGCCTCAGCCTCTCGAGTAGCTGGGATTACAGGCACCCGCCACCACGCCTGGCTAATTTTTGTATTTTTAGTAGAGATGGGCAATTCCTGATGATCAATGAGCAAGAGTTCTCGTGGGTCTGAAGGGGTTCAGAGTGTGTTAATGACAGGCAGGTGTTAAAAGATGGTGTTAAGAGATGCCTGTCCAGGTTGACTCCAAGTAAAATTGGTGGTGATATTTGTTTTGTGCCAGGGAGTGTTCTAAGCCTTTCACACAGATTATTGTATTAAATTATTAAAATACCTCCATGAGGTAAAGATAATTAATGCCCCCATTTTACAGATGAAGAAACTGAGACATAAAAAATTTAAGCCAGGTGCCCAAGGTCACCAAGCTGATAAGTGGTGGTGCTGGGATTTAAGCCTAAATACTTTACCCCGAGAACCCTAGTGTAATTGTCTTATTACAACCCAGAAAGTTGTGATGTACACATAGTTCCTCAGATGCTTCCACTTTTTTCTCCCCTCAGGAATGTTTATTTTGTAAATACTGCCCTATCTACAACTGTAATGAGCATGGGTATGCTTATGGTCAACACTTTTTTTTTTTTTTAAATAGATAGAGTCTCGCTCTGTCACCCAGGCTGGAGTACAGTGGTACAATTATAGCTCCCTGCAACCTCGAACTCCCGGGCTCAAACTATCCTCTTGCCTCAGCCTCCCAAGTAGCAGAGACTACAGGCATGTGCCATCATGGCCAGATTATTATTATTATTAAGTTTTGTAGAATCAAGATTTCACTAAGTTGCCCAGGTTGGTCTCAAACTCCTAGCCTCAAGTGATCCTTCTGCCTCAGCCTCCCAAACTGCTGGGAATATAATTGTGAGCCAACACGCCCAGCTCTATGGTAGACACTTTGGAAATATAAAAGATAGAAGGCAAAGATGACCATTGTTAAAATTTTGGCATATTTCTTCTGGTCTTTTTTTCTAAGCACATGGTTTTATTTCGTCTGTTTGTTGGTTGGTTGGTCGGTTTAGTTTTTGTAGAGACAGTGGTCTAATTATGTTGTCCAGGCTGGTCCTAAACTCCTGGGCTTAAGCAGTCCTACCATCTCGGCTTCCCAAAGTGCTGGGATTACGGGTGTGAGCCACTGCACCTGGCCAATATGTTTATTTTACACACATGTGATCAAATTGTACATGCAATTTTAGTATTTCTTTCTTCCCTTTATATTTATAAATATAGATTTATAACATGTGCCATCCCATGCTGTTAAAAACTTCATAAACTTCCTTTATGTAGGCTGCATAAGGTACTGTTGCTTGGCAGTTCCATAATATATTTACCATTCCATTTATGTTGGACATTTGCGTTTTTTCCAGCTGTTTTTTTACTGTGGGACAAATCTGTTCTCTCGCGCACGCTCTCTCTCTTTTTTTTTTATGAGACAGGGTTTCCCTCCGGTCGCCCAGGCAGGAGTGCTGCAGCGTGATCTCGGCTCACCGCAACCTCCACCTCCTGGGTTCAAGTGATTCTCCTGTCTCAGCCTCCCGAATAGCTGGGATTACAGGTGCATGGCCCTAAACCCGGCTAATTTTTGTATTTTTGGTAGACGGGATTTCCCCATGTTGGCCAGGCTGGTCTCGAACTCTTGACCTCAAGTGATCCGCCTGCCTTGGCCTCCCAAATTGCTGGAATTACAGGTGTGAGCCATCGCGCCCGGGACTATTCTCCCTTTCTTGATAGTTTCCCTTCTGACATTTCCTTCCTTCTTTCTTTCTTTTTTCTTTTTTTTTGACAGTCTCGCTCTGTCGCCTAGGCTGGAGCGCAGTGGCTTGATCTCAGCTTACTGCAATCTCCACCTTCCAGGTTCAAGCGATTCTCCTCCCTCAGCCTCCCAAGTAGCTGCGACTACAGGCACGTGCCACCACGCCCGGCTAATTTTTTTGTATTTTTAGCAGAGACGGGGTTTCACTGTGTTAGCCAGGATGGTCTCAATCTCCTGACCTCGTGATCCGCTCGCCTCGGACTCCCAAAGTCCTGAGATTACAGGCAAGAGCCACCGCACCCGGGTCCCCTTCTGACATTTCTTCAGATCTTCCTCGGACACCCAACGACCTTAAAATCCCTCTAACCTTCTTTCTCTCAAAGTTTACTTTCTATAAAGAGCTGATAAACTCATTCATACTAAAGTCTACAGGGTTGTAAATCTTAATCTATTATCGCTTAAAAGATGCTTGTATCAATTTACACCAAAGGGATGAAGCTCTAATTGTGGGGATTTAGTCATCAGAAAATCTAGTAGGGGAAATTCTCCCTACCCACAATCAGAGTAGATTCTACAATAGCAAAAAGGGTTCCAGGCTCACTTAACTTTAGGAACGCTGATAAGAAGACCGCTTACAGCTGCGGAGGTACTGATTTGGTAAAGGGAGGGAAAGAGATTGTATACGTGAGAGTGAAAAAATTGGGTAGAAAAATGGAAGAGCATCAGAAATTCACTTAGCAACACCAAATATATTTGGCACCACTAACCTAGTTTCTCCTGTGTTTGCCTTTCCAATCCGTTGGACCTTAGGGGATGGACCGCCCACTTTCTCCCCAGAGCGGCTCCCGGGTCCGGTTCTCAGTTCTAATCACTGCCCCAAGCCTCCATGCTCCAGGGCCTGTGGTCACAGAGCAAGTCCCAAGGAGCAGAAGTAAAGTTCTAAGAGAAATCACCATCTCCTTGTGCAGGGAACACTCCCAAGCCCAGTGTCCACAGACAAATCACCTCCAGCGACTCGAAGAGGAGAATAATCCCTGTGGGGGCACTGGAGGCTCCGCGTGAAAGTTTCCAAAGCCATGTTCTGCCCCAGGACTCCTTTCTCTCCTCCCAGAAGCTTCAGGCTTTCGCGGCTGCTGGCACATCCCAGCCTGAGTAGCCGAGCAAGAGGGACCCAAGGCAGGATCAGCTTCCCCCGACTTGAAAGGGCACCCGTTCTGCAGGTGCCGGCGCTGGAAATAGCTGGTGTGGAGAACGGAGAGGGAGACGTGCAGGATGAAGTCCGCGCCCAGGAGGGCAGTGGCTCCGCCTCTCTGGGTTAGGGACAGAAGAAAACCCTTAACCCAAAGCCCTAGCATGAGTGAGGCGTGGAAAGCGAGACAGACTCCAGTGGAAGGCTGTGGGGCGGGACTCAGGGTTCCCGGAGAGGCCGCCCCAGCTCCTGCCGCAGCGCTGGGCGCCCTACCACGCCTGCTCCCTAGGGACCCCGGGCGTCCCACGCACGCACCCACCCTCCTTCCCGGGCCTGCCGCTCCTCCCTCCTTCCTCGCTGGTTGGCCCAGGCGCCGCAGAGCGCGGCGGCAGCAGGAGGAGCCGGGCGCGCCTGCCACGCAAAACTACCGGGCTGGCAGGGCGGCGGGCGCGGTGCGCGATCCCGGGTGGCGGCGGCAACGGCGGTGGTGACGGCGGCGACTGCAGCGGCCGGCTCTCACCTCTCCCCTGTGCACCCGCATCTCGCCGCGCCGCCGAGCAGCCAGCAGTCCCCGGGTCGCCCAGCCCACGCGCGCACGGCCGAGCCCAGCGCACAATAGCGGCGACAGCCATGGGGAAACCGGCGAGGAAAGGATGCGAGTGGAAGCGCTTCCTGAAGAATAACTGGGTGTTGCTGTCCACCGTGGCCGCGGTGGTGCTAGGTGAGCGGCGCGGCGGGTGGGCGATGCGCGCACCCTCACGCGCTCTCTGCGCCCAGGCCGCGTGCGGCTGAGGGTGGGCTTGGCGCTGGCGCACTCCATGCAGGGTCCCTCGATGCCCCCTCGGCCTTAGCCTCGGGCCCCCTGCGGGGGCTTTCCCCCAAGCGCTCTAATTACTGCACACCAAGAACAAAGCTCCTCTGGGACTCCCATTTGAGTGCTCCTTGAGCTGCTGGTTCCTGCTCTACCCAAAATGATCAAAGGGGCTTGGGGGTAGAAAGGGAAGCAAGTAGCTCTTGGTTCTGCTCGTTTGAAAACAGGGTTCGATTTTTTTCTTTGTTAATCCCGCACCGTATCTCCCCCTATCACCGCCACCTTCCTCACCCCACACCCCCAGCCTCGCTGCGCGGGCAGAGATTGAGTGTGGATTACAGTTCTCAGTCGAATTGGAAGAGGCACCCTGGCCTCCGGGATGGGCCGGACCCTTAGGGGAGGGAGGCTGAGAACGCTGTCGCCGCTCATCCTGGGCAGTGCGTGGAAAGGTGCCTTCCCACGCGGCGAGCGCCGACTGCCTGCACCCGGGCTCTGAAAAGCTGCCAGATTCGTGCCTGAATTCTGGGATGTGCCACTGTGGCCCGCGGGAGGTCACCGGGGAAGAGAGCTAAGAGAACTCAGCCGTCTCTTCTCCTGCCTTCCTTGCTCTCCACGTTGTTTTTGTATTTAAGATAATGTTTAAGCCATCCTTGCCTGTTTTTAAACAAGGGTGTATTTAAGTGATCCACCCCTCACAGATCACTGGACCAGGTGGATGTCTGAGCCATTGCTCAGAGGTATGAGTTATTCCTATTTAGATTCTGATTTTTTACCAAGGTTGTGTGTTTCTAGCTCCGGCCCGGGGATGCACTTCCTTGGGATTAGCGCCATATCTGTCGCCTTCCCAGTGATAGCTCCTCAGCAGGTGAGGGCTGTTGCACCCTCTGAGGAATGTGGATTCCTCGGCAGGCTCCACCTTCCCCTTGGAAACTGCAGCTGTGTTTGCTGAAAAGGCAAGTGGGGACAGCTTGTTTCCTCCCAACCTCAGGTACCTTCCTCTCCAACTGCTGCTCCTAAATCTCAGAATATATGGTGTTGCTTGCTTCTCCTCCGAACCGCCCCCTCCCCTCAGGGTGGGGATAGGGCATGGAAATGGCCTTTGGAAGTTAATGGGATTCTTGGGGTCAGATTGGATTCTCCAGAACCTTGGGGAAAGGAAAGTCAGGTTTCTAGTAAATAAATAACATCCTGGAATGGCCCTAGCAGAGGCTATTTGTAGGAGGAAAGGAGAGAAGTACAGAAGCAAATCTTGACTATTTCCCCCAAGAAGTGCCAAGTGGTTTTGGAACTTTTTTTTTTCGGTTTTGAACATTTTTAAGGGAAAGTTTATCCTACTCTACCATATTTAAATAGCATACGCTACAAAGAACGACTTGATTTCCTTTAGGCCAAAGAGAAGAGATGGCCTTGTTTGTTTTCCTAGTGATAAGAGTCGAGGATTAATTGTTAAATCTCTTTTTGAAGACTGAGAGATGCCAGGGCAAGGTGGCTCATGCCTATAACCCCAGTTACTCGGGAGGCTGAGGCAGGAGAATTGCTTGAACCCAGAAGGCAGAGGTTGAAGTCAGCCAAGATTGTGCCACTGCACTCCCGCCTGGGTGACAGAGCAAGAATCCACCAAAAAAAAAAAAAAAAAAAGGAAAAGGACTTTTAGAGGGCCAGGCACGGTGACTCACACCTATAATCCCAATATTTTGGGAGGCCAAGGAAGGAGGATTGCTTGAGCCCAGGAGTTGGAGACCAGCCTGGGCAACATGGCAAAATGCCATCTCTACAAAAAAGTACAAAAATTAGCGTGGTGGTGCACATCTGTAGTCCTAGCTACTCAGGAGACTGAGGTGGGAGGATCACCTGAGCCCAGGGAGGTCGAGGCTGCAGTGAGCCGTGATCGTGACTCTGCACTCCAGCCTGGGCAACAAGAATGAGACCTTGTCTAAAAAGAAAAAAAAAAAAGACTTTGCAGGATAAACATTGGCTTGAGTCTCCCTCCTGATTCCCTGTGGAAGTGGAGTTATCCTGCCTTTTCAGCATGGGGCTCTCCAGAGATACTCACTTGCTACCCAAGTGTTGCACACCACTCGTCAGCATGCGATTCACTGGAGACTGGTTTGGAGAAGGTTTTAAGCAATTGTTCCCTGGCCTTTGGAATCAGTTGCGTGAATAAGAAGAAGTACATGCTCATTTTGCAGACATGGCCTTTGGTCTCAGATGGGCACTTTCCTCCAATTTTAATGTCTGTGAGCCCCAAGAGCTTAGTTTGAGTACTTTTCTCCAGAAAGGAAAGTCACCACTTAAAAATCAAGTGCCCAGCTGAAATCTTCCTAGATATTTGTTCCTTCAGATGGCAACAAAGGGCAGTCCTGCTTCTGGTCTGAGAAGTCTCAAACCTAGACCACCCCCGATATGCCCATTAACAGGGGTCCTTTTCTTGTCCTTTTTCTTCAGAGTACTGGGCCTGAGTGGAAACTCATACTTGTTTGTGTAGTCTGTAAGGGCTGATTTGTTTAATTGACAGTGAAATTCCAGTGACTTATAACAGTGGCACTGAGTCTATTCATAAACCCTTGCTAGATAATGATAGTAAGAGCTTATTTTATAACTGCCTTAACTGATCCAGAAAAATCGCAAGAGCTCTAATGCAGCCTCCCTTTTGGACTTTTCAGCATGTGGAACTTAAAGAAGAAAAAAAACTGTGAAATTTATTAACTATCATGACAAAACATCTTCTTCTGATTATAGCCGTTCAAATGTTTGGTCCCTGACCAGGTGCAGTGGCTCAGACTTGTAATCCTAGGACTTTGGAAGGCCAAGGTAGGAGGAATGAGTGAGTTCAGGAGTTTGAGACCAGCCTGATCTCATCTCTATTTCTAAAAAAAATAATTTAAAGAAATAATAATGCAATGAAATGTTCAGTCACTACTATAATTCAGTAGCCCTAATACTTTGAAATATTTGATTATAGAAATAAGAGGCAAAGATTTTTATGAGCCAGCTTAAAGCCTGATTTTTCAAGATACAGCACATGAGGGGAAATGTAATAAGGGTCATCTTTATTAGGTGTGGAAGTTCACTCTTTTCATGGACAAGGAAATGCTAAGAACTAAACATTTCTCAAATTCTTGTTCACAAGATGAAGGGATTCAATAGTTAGGTGACCATCTTTTTAAATTTCTGCGACACCCTACATGGTCCTGAAAATAGTATCTTGGATTTTCACAGGAAAATCCTCTGCTAAAATACCACTAGAAACACTTTCACGGCTTTCATTACAATTCTTATAGGCTTATTCTCTGCTTCCATAGAATGGTAGAATGAGCACAGAGCCTGGAGTGAAGAGTCCTTGGGATTTGAATTCTGGTACTATCAAGCTCTATCATGCAGGCAAACTGTGTATTTCCCTACAAGCCTCAATTTCCTCATCTGGAAATTGGAGATATTACTTATTACTTCGTTTGTTATTAGAGGTGTGAAAGATACTCAGTTGTGTGGCTGGCATATATTCAGCACTCAATAGTTGTTATTTTAAGGTAAATCTGAATAATTTGATTATGAGAAAATTAATATTTTCTTATGAAATAAATTCTCTCATAGTATGTCTCTTTCTGTGTCCTGCTTAGTGTCCCGCCTATAATTTAGGGTGACTCAAGTGTTTTGATGACCTGCTCTGTCTGAGCTAATAACTGTCCCTGTAGTATTATTCATTTCTTTAAAGAGGAAATGGAAAGAATGAATCATTTATTTTTGTGCCCCACCGGCTAATCCTCAATTCATTTAAATATAATATTTAAATATATAATTTATATAAATATAATTTAAGTATGTAAATTCTGAAGGAAGGTTTTATGCTCTAAGTGGGAATTCTGTCCAAGCAGAATTACTGAGTGAGAATTCTGCCAGCCTTCTAATGCGGGTCATCCAATAATGATTATATAGTATATGATGTTGTTAAGGCACTTCTTATATCCTCACCCTATTCACAATATAATACCTAATCTTTCTCTCCAGACCAGTTATGCCATTACTTCTGTCATTTGAAAAATCTGTGATTTCAACTTAGAGCTATTCAGAAAAAGCAATAGGTATTGGCATTTACATGACAGAGCTGGCAAGCTTATTCATTCTAAATTGTTTTCTTTGGAGCGCTAAGGAAGCAATCATGCATAGATTCTGATTCCATTATCTAAAATCAGAAACAGCTCCTTCATGGTCTTAGCAATACCCTTGCCCAGCCTCGTGTCTCTACCCTGGAGCTCATGTAGCGTGCATCTGGCAGTGCTAATTTGAGACGTGGCATAGGCTTTCCCGCTTTGTCTGTGAAGCCCCTGAGGACAGGGCCCAGCGGCGGTTCACGCTGGTTCCAGGCCCAGCCCCTCACCTGCATAGAACCTTGGCTCAGCAGTGTTTAGGAATATCCCTGTAATAATCAACACTTAAGCCATTCATTCATTTAACAGATATGTATCAGACCCCCACTGTGCACCAGGGATTGTTCTACAGCCGGGTCACACAGCATGTCCTCATGGGACTTAATGTTCAAGTAGAGAGAGGTAGACCATAAATAGAATACATAGGTAACCTACTGTATAGAGCATGTTAGATGAGAATAGTGTTCTGGAGTAGTATAGAGCAGGGAGTGGGCTGGCAAGGTGGGGGGTTGCAATTTTAAACAGGGTGACAGGGGAGGCCATACTGAGAAGGTGACAGTTGAATCAAGACGGAGGAGAGGTGAAGGAACAAGTTGCACAGGTATCTGGGGAGCATCCTAGTTTGTGTGAGAAACATCAAGGAGTAGAATGAGGGAGGGAAAGAGTAGGAGGAGATGAAGTGGAGGTGAGGCTGGGGGCAGAGCAATAGGGTGGTTCAGGTCCAAGGTCCAGGAAAGGGGAAATGGGTGCCTCAGCTGAGCAGCCAGGAGTGGAACAGAATGAAAAGACAGCTGCTTGAGGTTAACCTGCAGGGCTTGGCTGGATTTGGTCCAAGGGAGAAGGCAGTGGCTATCTCCAGCAAAACAGAGAGTCCTGGAAGGGGCACCGACTTGGAAAAGAACATGGCATGTTCCACGGTGGACGTGTTGAGTTTGAGGAGCCAGAAGGGTGTTTGGGTAAAGGTAGGCAGCAAACACCTGGCTAAGTGAGTCTGGTGCTCAGGAGACAAATGTGGAGTGGAGTGTCGACTTAAGACAGCATGTCAGGGACCTGGTTAAGGCTTTGGGAATGAATGAACCTATCCTGGGAGAAAAGGGAGAAGAGAAGACCAAAGACAGAGTTCTGGACAACCCCAACATTGGAGGTCTGGGAAGAGAAGGGGCCCACAGGAGAAACCGGACGTGGTGTGATAGAAATTAAGAACAGGAACAGTGATGGGTGAGAGGCTCGGGGGCAGGAGTGAGAGGGTCTGAGGAGGAAGTTCAACAGCGTTGGGGATACAAAGGACAGGGATGTGACCTTCTGGGCTTTTATTTGGAGGCACTTAGGTGTGAAAGAATTCAGAGAAAGTGGAAGTCACGTTTAAGATCCAGAGAGTATTTTTCTTTCTTTTTTTAAGAGACAGGGTCTCGTTTTGTTGCCCAGGCTGGTCTTGAATGCCTGGCTTCAAGCTGTCCTCCTGCCTCAGCCTCCCAAAGTGCTAGGATTACAAGTGCAAGCCACTGCACTCAGCCTTGTTTTGTTTTGTTTTTGTTTGTTTTTTGTTTTTTAAGGAGACTTGAGTCTGACTGAACCTGAAGAGAAGTGATCATTAAAAATAAAAATGCAGCTGAGCATGGTGACTCATGTCTGTAATCCCAGCACTTTGGGAGGTGAAGGTGGGAGGACTGCTTGAGGCTAGGAGTTCAAGACCAGCCTGGGCAACACAGCAGGACCCCTGTCTCTGCAAAATAAAAATTAAATTAGCCAGGCACGATGGTGCGTGCCTGTGGCCCCAACTACTCAAGAGGCTGATGTGGGAAGATCACATGAGGCCAGGAGTTCCAGGCTGCAGGGAGCTTGATCACATCATTGTACACTCCAGCTGAGGTGACAGTGCAAGATCCTGTCTCTGAAAAATAATAATAATAAATGCAGAAGAGAGAGAAAATAATGAATGCTGTTGGGTGGAGTGAGGCCTGGGACAGTAGAAGACAGTGTGAAATGGAGGGACCTAGTTGGGGATTGGCCAGAGAACGGGACTTTATACTCCTGAGATGGAAGGGAGGAGTTAAGGGTGAAGCATTGTATTCCTTTCCTGTGGCTGCCCTAACAAATTACCACAAACCGGGTGGTTTTAAAAAACAGAAATTTTTTTTTGAGACTTAGGTGTATCCATTACTCTGTGCCAAGAACTGTTCTGAGTGCTATATAGGTATTAAATGATTTAATCTTTCCATCAAGCATATTTTCAGGAAACAGAGGCACAGAGAATTAAGAAACTTGCCCAAGGTCGAGGGCAGAGCCGGGATTCAAACCCTGGAAGTCTGGCTCTAGAGCCTCTGCTTCTAACCACTATCCTCTCCCGCTGCTGTGTGATATTATTACCCTATATTCTGATGTTTCTGCCTCCCTCACCAATTCAGGAACCCTAAGGGAAGGACGTTTGTGTTGCTCTTCTCTGTGCCCATAGTACCTATCACATTGCACAGTAGGGTGAATACATTTGTTGAATTGCTGAGCCATTTATGACCCAGAGAGTTAGTAAAATGTTGTCCTTGTTTGTCAAGGGAACAAATGAGCCTAAAGCTTAAATCAAACTCTATTACCTCCATAAATTCTCCTCTGCCTGTTTCAGCCCCCTCTGATCTATGTCAGCAACATAGATTAACACTTGATGAATCTATATAAATATCAAGCATGTTGATCTTTTCTTTCTCAAAACTAGATTACAGACCCCTTGAGGTCCCTCTTATTACATTTCACAGGCACTAAAAAATAAAATGAGGCCATAAAGTAATGAGACTGACTCTTAACTGTTTTTTTAATTTTTAAAAAAGTATATCTGATACCTATACTCTCTGAGTCTTTGTTTCTTATTAACAAGAAAGGGACTTAGATTAGCTGGGAGAGCAAAGAAGATTCTATTCATGCATCTATTACCACTTATAGGTAGTGGACTATCTGGTATGATCTTTATTGAAAAAGAGTTGAAAACAAAAGTCTGAAATTGATTACTGCTGTCTGGCACTGGCTTAGGATCAGGAACTAGTGGTATGCGTGCTGAGTAATTGTTGACTTGGGTTATAAAACCTCTGAGAGTCCTTCTAGCTTTAAGAACCTTTAGCTTTATGACTGTATATTCATTCCTCAGTTCATTGCTGGGAGCCAGAGGAACTCTTCTGTAAGGAGCTAAGGGGGTTCAAAGGGCATTACAAGATGATAAAATGACCTAGACATTGAGTCAACTGTTCTGTGTTTGAACTGCTGATCAGTGACATAGGGATAATCATGTAAATTGTATATGGGGCTATTACCATGGTAATATGTTCTATGTCAGTATTATTAGATGGTTTATTACAACAGTAATAGAAGGTCTAATATATGTATGTTTTTGGACTTTATATGTCTCTAATTTAAAATATTTGCAAAGTACACAATACTCCAAAAACACTAAATAAAATAATAGTTTCTTCAAAATGACAGGAATAGCCTAGTTCCTATATCCTCAAAACCAGTGATTTCCACAACAATAATCAGTTTGACATAGGGAAAACAAAAAAAAGCATAGTTATTCATATATAATGGGGACTTTTGCTTTCAATGAGGAATATAGCTTTATGTTTATGTATTTCTGAAAAGTGATGAAAACAGACAAGGTTGCTAGTTTAGTCATATATATTTAATTTGTATTAATATATTTATTCCATAGCATGCCACAGACATGACAATATTAGCAAAATAATGAGCACTACTAATTAGTTTCCATAATATTTTCTAGAAATTTGGGAGTTGCTAGTGAGTTAAGTTCATCTGCAAAAAAATATATATATATGTGTGTGTGTGTGTATATATATGATATTGCTTATACTTTCTCTAAAATACTGAGAGATATGTGGTCTCTGTCTCTGTATATATTACATGTATACATACATATACATATGTATGTATTATATACATAATATATACATATATATTATATATGTATATATAATCTTATATATTATATATAAGATTATATATTATATATATATAAGATTACATATTATATATGTATATATATATCTTTTTTTTTTTTGAGAACAAGTCTCACTCTGTCACCTAGGCTGGAGTGCAGTGGCACGATCTTGGCTCACTGCAACCCCTGCCTCCCAGGTTCAAGCGATTCTTCTGCCTTAGCCTCCCGAGTAGCTGGGATTACAGGTGCCCACCACCACACCCAGCGAATTTTTGTATTTTTAGTAGAGACAAAGTTTCACCATGTTGGCCAGGCTGGTCTCGAACTCCTGACCTCAGGTGATCCACCCACGTTGGCCTCCCAAAGTGCTGGGATTACAGGCATGAGTCACGGGGCCCAGCCATATATTATGTATCTCCATCTATCTTATCTCCTTAGTTAAGTACCTTAGAGAAGAGATCCTTCTGGCCTCGCCAAAGTTCTACATATTAAAGAATTAGGAAAAGAAACTGGGCTTTGAATGCTTATGCCTGGTGTTTTCATTTTTGCAACTAAATCAGAATCAGATTTGAAGCATCACTGAAATGATTCTGATTTTTGGTTGTTCTATGCAAGGTATATATGACTCAAGTCTATCAAAACTCCAACAAAATGATCTAAACACAAAATTATAAAATGAATCTTTAAAATGATTTTACATATTAGACTCTGCACATGCAGGTTGGTATATACAATCTTAATGCCTCCTATGAGGAAGACTGAATATAAATTGCTAGTGGTTGGCAAATATTGAATATCTTGTTAGATGTTGCTTAATTTAAGATACGGTGTTTTATTTAGTACAGTAAAACTACAAAATTGAAGTTGCTCACCTGTTAAAAATTTGAGCACTGGGCATAAGAAATAAAGAAAGCTTCAAATGAAAACACGCTGTGTAGAAAATTTTTGTGTGCAAATTCAGGATGTGGTGGAGCTCAGGTGGGTAAAGCCTGGGTTATGTCAGACAAGGTAGGATTAGGAATCAGTTGTTAGAGAGCATGTATGCATGTGAGAGCACTTGCTTATAAAGAGAGAAAGCTTTCCACATTAATTGCTTGTGAGAAATTGTGATTACCTTTAACAGAGCCGAGACTGAAAATAACTGTCCTAGGGAGTCCGTGACACACTGGCCTGGTGCCAGGGAAGCTGTGTTCGCCTGAGGTATTGCAAATTTCCCGTGTCGCTGGAGATTTGGGGTCACAGATGCTGTGACAACTCAAGCACTCTCGAAGAAAATGAACTCATTTTAGATGACATTGAGTGGCCCGTTTAAACTCCCCATAGCAGTGTCTATTAAAGTAGAAAGTGTTTTAAATGGCCTTTTCTATTTTGTTTGTTTTATTTTGAGACAGAGTCTCACTCTGTCACCCAGGCTGGAGTGCAGTAGTGCGATCTCGGCTACTGCAACCTCCACCTCCCAGGTTCAAACAATTCTCCTGCCTCAGCCTCCCGGGTAGCTGGCAGTACAGGTGCCTGCCACCACAACTGGCTAATATTTTCTATATGTTTAGTAGAGACGGGGTTTCACCATGCTGGCCAAGCTGCTCTCGAACTGTTAACTGCAGGTAGTCTGCCCGCCTCGGCCTCCCAAAGTGCTGGGATTACAGGTGTGAGCCACTGCACTGCGCCCAAGAAACTGATTTAGAAAGAGTTAATACATTATACTTGCTGAGGAACAGCCCCAAACTGCAACAAAGAGTACTCTGTTGTAATTAGTACAGCCCACAGTAACACCTCTGTTAATAGAAAGGAAGTGTTTCAGTGACTCACTCTTTTTCAGAAATTTTACTACTTTACTTTGAAAATTATCTGCTGACTGCCTGTTCCGTTACCAAAGGTAGAATATTTCCTTTCCAATAAATAGTCCTATACTTTCTGGGATGGACAGATCTCATCCCAGCTCACAGATGCTTCATGTTCCTCTCCCAGGCCCAGCCTCGGCTATGTGAGCTCCGGGCAGCGGTTCCCACTCAGCCAAGACAGGGAGGGATACAGTGCCCTGTTCTCTACCACTAATCCCCAGACCCAGCCCTGAGAAGATAAGACGTCCCACCAGTCCTGCACTCATGCTGAGGTCACCACTCCCGAGCCCTTTCTTAGTCTCAGAGTCCCTAACCGTGTCCAACACAGGACAATTGTCACAGCAGATCTCCGCATGTCTAGGAAGGCTCTTGATAGTAGAAAGTGTTTTAAATGGCCTTTTCTATTTTGTTTTGTTTTGAGACAGAGTCTCACTCCGTCACCCAGGCTGGAGTGTAGTAGTGTGATCTCGGCAACTGCAACCTCCACCTCCCAGGTTCAAACAATTTTCCTGCTATCATCATGTGACTCTCTGCTTGGTCTGCATGTTGAAGCAATAGCAGACTTTGGGACTGGAACTTGGCTTCGGAAACACCCTCAGAGAGGGTCCACATGGCCACATGGTGTGTTTATTCTTATAATCTCTCTGAGACAACTATTTGGGTATAACACTTCCAGATGTAGTTAAAACTACAGCACTTTGGCCAGGTACGGTGCTCACGCCTGTAATCCCAGAACTTTGGGAGGCCGAGGTGGGCAGATCACCTGAGGTCAGGAGTTCAAGACCAGCCTGACCAACATGGAGAAACCCCATCTCTACTAAAAATACAAAATTAGCCAGGTATGGTGGTGCATGCCTGTAATCCCAGCTACTGGGGAGGCTGAGGCAGGAGAATTGCTTGAACCCTGGAGGCAGAGGTCGCAGTGAGCCGAGATCACGCCATTGCACTCCAGCCTGGGCAATGAGAGCTAAACTCCATCTCCAAAACAAAACAAAACAAAACAAAACAAAGAAAACTACAGCACTTACTCAACCAAGGGGGAAATCCTTATAGGAGAGAGCTTAGGTGAGAATGTACAATTATTTTTCTACCATTGTTCTATTGCTTAAGAGTTACCTCGTTACTAATAATTCAGTAAGGAATTAAGTCAACATAAAAAAATGCACCATCACCAGAAATGCCTAAACTACAGAGAGCCTAATCTCTGAGCCTCTCCCCATTACTGGAAAATAAACTGATACTGTTCAACTTCTGTGGGTATCTCAAAGACTTGTTTTCTGAGCCACTTAGCAGGTTTCATTTAAGATTTCCCCAAATTATGGGCCAGGCACAGTGGCTCACATCTGTAATTCTAGCACTTTGGGAGGCCAAGGCATACAGATGGCTTGAGCCCAGGAGTCCAAGACCAGCCTGGGCAACATGGTGACACCTCATCTCTACAAATAATACAAAAATTAACCAGGTGTGGTGGGTCACGCCTGTAGTCCCAGCTACTCAGGGGGCTGAGGTGAGAGGATCACTTGAGCCCGGGAGGTTGAGTCTGCAGTGAGCCAAGATCACACCACAGCACTCCTGCCCGGGTGATAGAATGAGACCCTGTCTCCAGAAAAAAAAAAAAAAAAAAAAAAAAAGATTCCCTGAAGTATGAGACATTGAGAGAGAAAGTGAGAGTGACATATTTTCTCCCTTGAAAAGTTCTCTTTGGCTAACCAACCCTAATATCAATATTTATTGAGAATTTACCACGAGTTTTATGTACATTTATCTCCCATTTGACCCTCAGTACAATGAGTTAGGGGGTTCCCATTTTACCAGATGAGGAAACTGAAATTTACAAGGCTTAGGTCATGTAGCTGAGCACACAGAGCTAGGATTAGCACCCAGGACTGTCTGATTCCAAAGCTTAGGTTACTAATTATTAATCATTAAGCAAGTCTTCTTCCTTCCTAGTAAACCTTGATACACCTACACCTAATTGGTAGTTAGAACCATACTTGGAGACAGGCTTCTTTCTTGCAAAGTGGCCAAATAAAGCCTATTCTCCTCCTTCTTGCTTCATCCTTTCTCAGTCTTGTAGCTCATCTTTATTGCGTGTGGTTAGTCCTTTCCGCTACGCTTCTCCTACATAAACCTTCTGTTTGAGCTTGAATTCTAGTGAAACTCATCTAGTTGCTTTCCCAGAACTGTTGTACTTTCATGCCCTAATCCTTTTGCTCAAATGTTTCACTCACTGTTATCCTGCCTATCCTTGAAGATGGATTTAATTACCACTTTTATGTTGTAGACTTCTCTGACTGCAGTTGGAGATAATCTCCCTTCTCTACATTCTTAACCCTTGATTTATATGCATAAATTATCACCATTAGCACCACCATTCCCACGTCTGTTCTGTGGCAGACATCACTGATTACAGTACTCTTCACTACTGAGCTCTGTCATGGCCTCAGAATCCTCGAAACTTTGCTCCAGGCAACCACTGTTAATCAAACAGAATTGGTGCCTAAGATGAAAAGTATTGTTTGTTGCTGGGAAAAGTTTATTCATTTGGCAATCAATTAGGAACTGAATTTAAATTGAGCAAGTACTGATGTTACTGATAAGAGAAGCAGAGTCAAAGTCTGTATTTTGTCCTCTCAGTCCATTGGTGGCAATACATCCACAATCACTAACATGATCCTGAGTGTGGTAAATGCTGCAAGGAGGCTGCAGCATGCTGTGGGCCTTCAAAGAAGGTGCAACTGGGAAAGTTCCTGGAGGAGGCCATAATTGGAATGGCCTTGAGCAGGTGTGGTAGGATTTCTGGGCTTGAAGACTGGAACGAGCAAGTCTGTATAAAGGTGATGATACACATAAGGAGGGCTTATCATCTCTTAGGTTCAATTTCAGTATTACATGGAACTATAATTTAATATATGTGTTGCTGTGCTTTCGCACTTTTTCTTACCTGTTTCCTAAGGACAAGAATGCAATACTACACAGGTCTGTCACATCATAGCATCCAGCATTGTACTTACTTCACAGGAGGTGCCCCCAGATATATCTGACTGATTACAACCTTCTTCACTGAAGAATTAAAACAGGTAAATCTTTGATGAACCAATCCCATTGATCCCCTAGAAGCCCACTCAGTTGTATGAGTTTTTGAGTGAAGACCATGAGGAACTCTTATGCTAGCCTAAGTCATCCCAAACATACTTAACTCCTGGAATGGGGACCCCAGAAGAAGAGCAAGTCTGGTTGCTAACAGTTTTGAAGCCATTTTATTGTGAGCACTGCATGACCCTGAAGCTCCCAGACTGGAGAGCATCTCTGTACCCTAAGGAAGATCTGATCTTCTCAAGAAACCAGCACCAGAACCCACCTGATCTCCAGATAATTCTCTGGGCTAATTAGAGAAAATGGAAGATCCATCTCTTTTTCCATAATTGGGCTACAGCTTGGCACTGAATCAACCCTGGATGGTAGAGCCTTTTCAGCTACGGTATTTAGCAACTCTTACACCATTCATTGAATTTATTTCTGGATTTTCCCCCTCCAAGTGTCCTTTCACATCCTTATCCAAATTCTGCCCACTTCTCTCCCTGTCTGGAGATTATTTCTATGATAAGAAATTAATTAGCCTGTCTGTACTACCTGTTCCAGGAGACTTTGAACAACTGCGTGGGTAAACACTAGATGTGGTCACCAAAGAGTCGGAAAATAAGTTTTTACTTTTTCATTAGCAAAAGTTAATTGTCAACCAGGAGATGTAACAGGCTTGCTCCATTTCTGCTGCCGCTTCTTGGATTTCTTTCTTGCATGTGGAGAATTTCCTGAGGTTTCACCAGACTGAAGAGATTCTGAGTTCTTGAAGTGATGGAGATAAAGATCTTGTTGTCATAAAACAGCAAAGAGCACTGTGATTGGGTTTGAAAGATTTTTGATTGTGTTATGGACAGTGCTCTTACTGGTTTTTAAAAAGTTGATGTTTTCTTCTGTGTAAATTTAAATAATTTCTTTAAAGGCAGTAAGCTTTTATATTTAATATACCTTTCACTGTGCAATCACAACAGGAAGATTTTCTAAATTAGACATCTTTACCTTGAAGAAGAAACTTGTCTGTTTCAGTGTCTTTTTGTAGCAAGATTGACCAAAACAAGTGGTAAATAAGTCTGTAATATTTAACTGTCATGAAATACCTTTGCTAATAAGGAAATGGCCTCGGTTTGGATTAGGTGGAGTTTCGTGTGTGCGATGTGGGGGTGTATGTGTACATATATTTCTTTTTTTTTTTTTTTTTTTGAGATACAGCCTCACTATGTCGCCCAGGCTGGAGTGCAGCGGCATGATCTTGGCTCACTGCAACCTCCGCCTCCCAGGTTCAAGCGATTCTCCTGCCTCAGCCTCCCAAGTAGCTGGGATTACAGATGTGCAACACCATGCCTAGCTAATTTTTTTGTATTTTTAATAAAGATGGGGTTTCACCATGTTGGCCAGGCTGGTCTTGAACTTCTGACCTCAGGTGATCCACCTGCCTTGGCCTCCCAAAGAGCTGGGATTACAGGGGTGAGCCACCGCACCCGGCCCATATTTCCTTTTTTTATACTGGATAGCAATATAGGGTCTTGTCTTTCACCTTTTAAGTTCACAGAACAGTTTGTCCTGACCACACATAAGTTACCAGTATAATGTTTTATGAAGGTTTAGAAATGAGCTCCCAGAAAAATAATATTTTAATATCTACAAATAAATAATCTGAGGATGTTTCTCAATTCAGCATCAATGCTGGGTTGTGCCTTGTGGATTTCCATTGGCTCTACGTGCAAAAGATTAAGTTAGTTAGAATGAGGAAGACATTTTTAATTACTGTGAAATTCTTTGTTGTTGTTGTTGTTGTTTTTCTTTTTGTTTTGGGAAGGTGTCTCACACTGTTACCCAGGCTGGAGGGCAGTGGCATGATCTTGGCTCACTTCAACCTTCACCTCCTGGGTTCAAGCAATTCTGCTGCCTCAGCCTCCCGAGTAGCTGGGATTATAGGCATGTGCCACCACGCCCAGCTAATTTTTGTACTTTTAGTTTTTGGGATGGAGAGTCTCTGTCACCCAGAATGGAGTGCAGTGGCACCAACTCAGCTCACTGCAACCTCCGCCTTCCGAGTTCAAGCGATTCTCCTGCCTCAGCTTCCCAAGTAGCTGGGATTACAGGTGCCCACCACCACGCCTGGCTAATTTTTGTATGTTTTTAGTAGAGAGGGGGTTTCACCATGTTGGCCAGGCTGGTCTTGAACTCCTGACCTCAAGTGATCCACTCACCTCTGCCTCCCAAATTGCTGGGATTACAGGCTCCTGCCGTCTGACTTAATTTTTGTACTTTTAGTAGAGACGGGGTTTCGCCATGTTAGCCAGGCTGGTCTAGAACTCATGACCTTAAGTGATCCACCTGCCTCAGCCTCCCAAAGTGCTGGGATTACAGGCATGAGCCATCATGCCCGGCCAAATTACTATGAAATTCTATCCTGCCAGTGCTTTAGAATAACTTGCATTTTAAAGTACATTTGCACATTTTACATATAATGCTATATGGTTGTGTTTGGGCTTTGTGTACAGATGACTTTTGTTATTAAGTGGAAAAGGCCTGAAATATGCTGTTCTATGTTAAGTAAATTGATATAACCTAAGAAAAGATCTTGTTGCCAATTCAGAAACCATAACCTTAAATAGCATGCCTGGGTCTCCTCTGTATCTGGTTTAACATCTGCATTGAATATTGGTATTTTCCAATAATCTCCAACTAGCTTATTTATTTTGAAAAAAAAAAATAGAAATCTACGTCTACTTTTGCTTAAGTGGAAATACTTGAGTAATGCTTGGTTGCTTTTTTAACCTCAAGTCAGTAACTGTGAAAGACTGGACTTACTGCACCTAAGATCTAGAACCCTGAAGTTATCTAATTGGTGCTCATCACTGAGCTTGTGTAGGCTTCCTGAAGCCTATTCAGGGCCCTGTGTACTAGGGAAAAGGGTTGGCAGATCACAGTGTGTGGAGTATGCAGCCAGTAATTCTTTCTTAGATTCTCTCTCCCCTCTTAGAACCTCCCCTCATTTCCCAGGGAACATCTGTTTTCCATGAGGGCAGTACTAAGGGGGCTGAAGATTCCCACAGACATATAATAAAAGGTTCCAAGAGTAGGCTGGCGGCAGTGGCTCACGCCTGTAATCCCAGCACTTCGGGAGGCCGAGGTGTGTGAATCACTAGGTCAGGAAATGGAGACCATCCTGGATAACATGGTGAAACCCCCTCTCTATTAAAAATACAAAAAAAAATTAGCTGAGCGTGGTGGTGGGCACCTGTAGTCCCAGCCACTTGGGAGGTTGAGGCAGGAGAATGGCGTGAACCCGGGAGGTGGACCTTGCAAGTGAGCCAAAGTGGCGCCACTGCACTCCAGCCTGGGTGACACAGCAAGACTCTGTCTCAAAAAAGAAAAAAAAAAATAGATTCCAAGAGTAAACAAAATCCTCAAGTGTTACTGTGCAAAGATTATACTCACCATGTTTGATTTTTTTGGTCTCTGGTGGTCATCCCAGATGCATTCACAGTCATTTCTGGACCTTTAATGTAATCCACTGTTGTTATTAAATGAGCTGATCCACATGGAGTTACTTTTTGAAATCATGAAGTTCCTTATGAATGTTTGTTATTGTGTCTTAAATTCTTTAAATTCTTAAAATATGTCTTAACTCACTTAAAGATAAAAGTAAATGTTTCTGTGGTCCTTCTGGGAGTGGGGAAAGTTACAACTCCACAAATGTTAAGAGAGAAGGGTGAACAGTTAGCAGTCAGGCAGCATGGTTGGGAGTCATGAGGAAGAGCATTCAAGATGACACAAGTTTTGTAAGCAGACCTAAGGAACGGGCTGAAGAATGTTGTGGAGACCCAGGTACTTCGACTTAGCATTCTGAGTTCAGAGTTCGCCCAGGAGTTCCAGGCTTGTGGCAGGTTTAGAAAATCCAGGATGATCGGCCACCTTCTTTCTCCCAGAGGTCGATCTGATCTTAAGTTGTACCTGACTAAAACCTGCTGCAGGAGAGATGGTCAGATTTTATTTACACACAGGGAGATGGCTTCCTAAGATTGTGTAGTGAACCAAGAAGGTGTTTACAGGCATGTGAAACTGGCTATTGTAAAGAGGCAGTGATCTGGGACACGTGATGTTAGTTAAAGTGGAGGAAAAGGTGTACCCTTCAAGCAGAGGATTCCAGGGCCTCTCCAAACCGTACAAGTCTGAGCCAAGGGACAGAAATTCCATCAGTGGCTTGGAAGCCAAATATTTGCCCTGATACTGAGGAAGGGAAAGAGTGGAACGTGACCGTGGGATAGATAAAGGGTCTTCACAGGAATGCAAACAAGATGATAGGTAGAATCACCCATGAGATTAGCAAACAAATCACTTTAAGAGGAAAAAAGTAGAATAAAGAGAGTCAACCACAGGTAGAAAATGCAAGACTTTGGAATCCACAAGTCATAGATATGTATCTCGGGAAATAATCCAAGCACACATGCATGGTACTGATACACCTGTGGGAGAGTGAGAGTCTGGTTGTCCCGAGACTGATAGATTCACCCACCTGCTGGGCTCTAAGCCAGTTGGATATTTGCTCGAGAGACTAGATTCCTGTGGGCTGGTCCTAACTTTCCCAACTAAGCTCACCCTCACTTGAGCCCAAAGGACTCCTAAGACTCCATCCCCAGGAGGCATCCCCAGGTGAGGAGCTGGGCACTTGAATTGTCATGTGTACAGCACCATAGCCATTGTAAAAGGAGAACATCTCACAAGTCAGGAGTTACTGGAGAGACTGTTTATGACACACTTCTGGGTTCGATGGCCCTGAGACAATAAATTCATCCACATTCCTGTGGCCCAGTTTTCATGCTTTGCTCATGACATCCTCCCTCAGTGATTTTCTCCTGCCTTTCATAATCAGGTTTGATGAGCAAAGGTTAGAAAGTGCAGTGGCTTCCTGGGCATGTGCATTAAATAGCAATTAAAATGCAGTCCTGGTTCGGCTCAATGCAGCAGGTGTCAATCAAACACCTACAGTGTGTCAAGCTTGATGCCGGGGCGGTGGGGTACAGGAATGAGCAGACAAATGCTTCTGCCTTGGGAGCTTGAGATGAAAGGGAAGGAGAGCACGAATTAGACCTGTTTGAGGGGGTAATAGAAATTCAGATAAAACTGAGTAGGGTCCAGAGGAGAGATTCTTTCCACCTGAGAAGACAGCCTAGGAAAGGCTTTCTGGAGGAGGTGGCTTTTTAACTAGGCTTTAAGGGGTGGGTAGGAGTTTATTAGGCAGAGATAGTGGCAAAGGGCTTTCAAGGGAGGGCGATCTGTGTGAACAAGAGTGTGAAAGCAAAAAAGCATGTAAACAAAAAAGCATGGAGCATCTTTAAGAAATAGCAAGGAGTTTGCTGTGACTGGATCTGCTGGGATTGGGGGGTGAGAAGGACATGCAGGCCTGTATTGGTTAGGGACCTGGCAGGAAGCAGACTCAAAAGAGTTTCACTGAGCAGAATTGAATCAAGGGACTATTTATAGAGTTCAGCAGGGTAAAAGGAATCAGCAAGGGATGGTGAGGCACCCAGGGATGAATAACTGGGAAGCTATTAGCTCATCTAGGCCTGAACAGACAAGAGAGGGTGATGGGGTTTCCACAGTACAGTGAGGGCTGAGTTGTGGCAGGGAACCAAAAGGCAGGGCCTATGTGGCTGCAGAAGAACAGGGGAAGGGAGGGCGGGAGAAAATAAAAAAAAAAACCCAACCTCTGTCTCTTTCTACCATTAAGATCTACAGCTACTGCCTCTCATTTGCTAAACCCAGCCAAAACCAGAGGCAAGGAACCCTGGATCAGCCCTCCCAGTGCACAGAGCAGGACAAAGAAAGACAGAGGGTGAATCGGAGGGCAAATGGAGAGTGACTAGCACAGAGCCATATGGCATGAGGTGCCATGCTGAAAGGTTTTCTCGGGACATCAAGAAGTGTTGAAAAGATACAAAGTCTAGGAATGATGGCAGGGAAATTATTATTTATTTACTGAGATGGAATCTTGCTCTGTCCCCCAGGCTGGAGTGCAGTGGTATGATCTCAGCTCACTGCAACCTCTGCCTCCCAGGTTCAAGCAATTCTCTTGCCTCGGCCTTCCAAGTAGCTGGGATTACAGGCATGTGCCACCATGCCTGGCTAATTTTTTCATTTTTAGTAGAAATGGGGTTTTGCTGTGTTGGCCAGGCTGGTTTCAAACTCCTGACCTCAAGTGATCCGCCCACCTTGGCCTCCCAAAGTGCTGGGATTACAGGCATGAGCCACTACGCCCAGTCTATTTTGATAACATCTGGTGATACTGGTGGCTGTTGCTTAAGGGCATTATGGGAAATGAGAGGTAAGAATGGCTTCCACAGCCTCTAGCTATATACCAGCAGGACCATCTCCTGCTGTTCACACAAGCCTAGCCCTAGGCCTCTACATCTAGAAAGCATTGCCCGTGCATCTACCAGCCTTTCTTCCATGCAAGGAGGGCAAATGTGGCTGGCGGAGAAGGCACCTAGAATACCAGTGGCAGCTTCTCTGTCTCCCCACTATAATTTAGGACTCTTCTAATTGTAAGCAACAGAAAATCCAGTTCAAACAGGCTTAATCCAGAAAGGTGTAAGGAGGCGGGGGTGACATATAAAATTTATGGCTCAGATACCATAAGAGTCTAGAAACAGTACCTGGCTTCCAGTACAGGGGTTTAATATCATCTGGACCTGTTGTCTCCTTACATACAGTCTCTTTACACCTGTGTCATTTTCACTCCCAAGCAAGACTCTTCCCTGGTGTTGATACAGCTGCCAGCACAGGTCAAGGTTTCTTTTTCCCAGTTCCACACCCAGCAGGAGAGATAAAGTTTCTGATCCCTATTAGTTCAAACAAGACTCCATGGCCTTAGCCTTAGGCTAACTCAGCCCTGAGTCAGAGCTCCATTCCTCAATATAGTCTTGGGACCAAAGGAACATGGTGATCTGATTGGCTAGACCAGGGTCCCTCCCTCATCCTACCATGTTCCCCCAAGCTTCTGGACTACTTAGGGCTTCAGCTCCACCGTAAACAAATTGAGAGTTAGAAGGTATGCTGTTCACTGCAGGGACAAGGGATACTGTCCCTTAGCAAGAGCAACAGACCTGCCTTTTATCTGTTATGTTCTTGAGCTATTTCCTGAAAGCAATCAATACAACACTCATAAGTTAAATTTTATTGAATTCATAGTTACAAAAGCCAGGAAGTCGTTTAGTTATTAACCACATGGTTTGAAATTGATGGAATTGAGACAGAAATCACTTTAAAAACTGAGAGAGGGTGTCATAGTCTGTTCTGGCTGCTGTAACAACATCCCACAGACTACGTAGCTTATAAACAACAGACATTTATTTCTTATAGTTCTGGAGGCCAGGATGTCCAAGATCAAGGTGCCATTAGATTCCGTGTCTGCTGAGGGCCCACCTCCTGGCTCATGAATGATGCCTTCTAGCTGTTTCCTCACACAGTGGAAGTGGCAAGGCAGCTCTCTGGGACTCTTTCAAAAAGGCACTAATCCCATTCAGGAGGGCTCTCCCCTCACGACCTAATCACCTCTCAAGGGCCCCACCTTCTAACACCATCACATTGATGATTAGGTTTCAAAATATGAATTTGAAGGAGGACATACACATTCATACCATAGCAGAGGAGAAGAAAAATTAAGCATGTTTTGCCTTAAACTCTTAAGAATTCTACACACACACACACACACACACACACACACACACTACACTACACTACAGCTTATATTTAATGCTGAAAGTCTGAATGCTTTCCCCCTAAGAGCAGGAATAAGGCAAAGGTGTCCATTCTCACCATTTCTTTTGAATATCTCACTGGAAACCTGGGCCAGTGCAACAGGGCAAGAAAAAGAAATAAAAGGCATTTTGAAAAGAAAGAAACAAAACTGTCCCTATTCACAGATGGCATGATTTTCTACACAGGAAATCCCAAGAAATTACAAAATAAATTTTAAGACTAATAAGTGATTTTAGCAGGGCTGCAAGATACAAGGTTAACACACAAAAATCACTTGTTATTTCTATATGTTAACAATGTACAACTGAAAATGGAAATTTAAATACATTGTGTGACATAGCTCCAAAAGGTAAGGATTAGGTATGTAACAAAATATATATAGGATCTATACTCTGACAATTATAAAACACTGATGAAAGAAATCAATGAATGCCAAAGTAAATGGAGAGACATAAGTTGTTCATGGATTGGATGACTCAACATAGTAATGATGTCAGTTCTCCCATAATTGATGTATAGATTTAATGCAATTCTGATCTAAATCCCAGCAGGGATTTTTGTAGATATACCAGACAAGCTGATTCTAAAATTCATATGGAGGCAGGGTGCGGTGGCTCACACCTGTAATCCCAGCACTTTGGGAGGCTGAGGTGGGCAGATTGCTTGAGCTCAGGAATTGAACACCATCTTGGGCAACGTGGCAAAACTCTACAAAAAAATACAAAACTTAGCCAGGCATGGTGGCATGCGCCTGTAGTCCCAGCTACTTGGTAGGCTGAGGTGGGAGGATTGCTTGAGCCCGGGAGATTGAAGCTGCAGCGAGCCATGATCACGCCACTGCACTCAAGCCTGGGTGACAGAGTGAGATCCTGTCTCCAAAAAAAACAAACAACAAATAAAACTCATATGGAAAGATAAAGGCATTAGAAGAGCTAAAATAATTATGAAAAAGAAGAAAGTTGGAGGAATCATCCTATCTTATTTCAATATGGTTTTCAAGATATCAAGTGTAATATTGGTGAAAAGGTAGACATGGCAAAAACTGCAATTACTTTTGCACCAACCTAATAGATGAATGAAGCAGAACAGAGATTCCAGAAATAGACCCATAGAAATATGCCCAGTTGGTCTTTTTTATTTTTTTTTAAATTGAGACAGGGTCTCACTCTGTCTCCCAGGTTGGAGTGCAGCAGCATGATTGTAGCTCATTGCAGCCTTGAACTCCTGGGCTCAAGAAGTCCTCCTGCTTCAGACTCTCAAAGTGCTGAGATTGCAGGTGTGAGCCACTGTACCTGGCCCTCCAATTGATTTTTGACAAAGGTGCAAAAGCTATTCAAAGAGCAAAGGATAGTCTTTCCAACAAATGGTATTGGAACAACTAGACATCATATGCAGAAAAAAAAATGAACCTCAACCTAAAATCACATTACATTCAAAAATTAACTCCAAAAGGAAAAGAGTAAGATATAAGACTTTTAGAAGAAAACATAGGGGTAAAATCTACATGAGCTGGAGTTAGGCAAAGAGATCTAGATGCCAAAGCACAATTCATAAAAGAAAAAAATTGGTAAGTTGGACTTTAACAAATAAATCTCTTTCTCTCCAAAAGGCACTTAAGAGAATGAACAAACAAGCTACAGACTGGGAGAAAAGAATTGCAGATCATATATCCAACTTGTCTAAATTTGTATCCAGAATATATAGAGAAACTCTCAAAACTAAGTAATAAGAAAACAAATGATCAAACTTTAAAAATAGGCAAAACCTGAACAGACACTTCACCGAAGAGGGTATACTGATGGCAAATAAACACATGAAAAAATATTCAGCATCGTTGGCCGTTAGGGAAAAGTGAATTAAAACCACAATAAGATGCCAGTAAATACCTATTAGAGTGGCTAAAAAAAAATACAACACCAAGTGCTGATGAGGATGTGGAGCAACTGGTACTATTAAACACTGCTGATATGGGAATATAAAATGGTACAGCCACTCTAAAAAACAATTTGGCACTTTCTTATCACCTTAAATACAGCTTTATGATATGGCACAGCAGTCCCACTCCTGTGTATAGGTCCTAGAGAAAGGAAAACATGTTCACACAAAAATCTGTATGTGAGTGTTTATAGCAGCACTCTGCATAATCAATCAAAATGGGAGACGAGTCAAATATTCTTCAATAAGTAAATAAACTACTGTCTATCCATAAAACGTGATCTATTCAGCAAGAGAAAGGAACATACCATTGATACGTACAAAACTCAGATGAATCTTAGAGGCATTATAGTCAGTGAAAAAACCAGTCTCACAACTTACATAGAATATGATTCCATCTGCATGATAGCCTCAAAAAGACAAAACCATAGTGGTGGAAAACAGACTAGTGGTTGCTAGAGGTTAGGAATGGAGAAAGGTGTGACTAGAAAGATACAGCATGAGAGAGCTCTTTGGCGTGATGGAGCTGTTCTATATTCTAATTTTGATGGTGGCTATAAGAATTTTAACATGTTAACCATAGAACTGTACACTAAAATAGTCAATTTTATTGTATGATCAACACATGTACACACACATACAAACATGCCCTTAAGAGTCAGTTGGTGCATACATGTCCAGCATTTGCAAGAGAGGGTCTGTGTTTACTGGTGGGGAATTCCTGTTTTCTACTGAGTTCTCATCCCTGAAAAGAGCAAAACCTTGAGTGGCCTGATGCTGCCGTAATTCCCATTGAGGATATCTGACCTAATTGTTTTGGGTATTGTTGGGCATGGAAGGTTCACTAACATCTTAAGATAACATTCACACGGCCAGCCAGAGCCTCCCTGGTTATCTGGCTTGGGGACGCACATGTCACATGGATCTTGGAGGAGGTTGGGAAGGCTTTCCAAATACACTTGGGCTGAGTTTTGAAGTCACTGAAATGGTAATCAGATAAATGAGAGAGCAGAGGGAGCAATAAATAAAGGCTCAAAGACATGAGCGCAGGGCAGAACTGACACAGTGGGCATGGTTGGGGTTGGGGCTGGGGCTAGGGTGGGTCAGAGAGCTTGCATGCCACCCTATGTTAGGGGACCACTGAAGGGGCTTTAAGCTGGAGAGTGACTCCGCCAGATTTGCATCCTGGAAAGATAGCTCTGACTTAGTTTGCAGAATGAACTGGCAGAGACAAGATTGTATGCAGAAAGAGTTTTAGGAAGTTGATGAAGTAGCCTTGGTGAGAAATGCAGCGGACCTGAACCAAGACAGTGTCAGAGGCCATCACTCACTTTACATTACATTACATTACTTTACATTACAGTGTAAAGGCCATCACTCACTTGTCTTCTGACTGGGCTGGCAGGATTCAAGCAGCCGGGGCTCCTGTATCCCTTTTCTCGCTGACTCTCTCTCTCCTCTTCTCTTTCTCTCTCTCTCTCCCCCAACCCCCACCCCCACTATACTCCCTCTTGCTCTGGTTTTCCCATGTTGCCTCTCCAGCATGGCAGCTTCAAGGCAGCTGGACTTCTTACATGATGCTTCAGGGCTTCAAAGTGAGTGTCCCAAGAAGAAAACTAATCAGATGCTGGCCTCTTCTAACCTATCTCAGATTTCACATAGCCTCACTACTGCTGCATTTTGTCTATCAAGGTGATCACGAAGGCCAACCCAGCTTCAAGAGACAGGGACAGAGCCTCCATTTTCTGATGGGAAGAGTATCAGATATTCTATAGGCCTATTTTTAAAGTACCAGGGGACCCAGAATGAAAAGTCTGAGGTTTTCTGAAGGGAGGATAGATACGTTTATTTTTCCTTTGTTGGGTCTCATGTGCAGGTATCCAGGTAGAGTCCCAGCAGGTAATTGTATATTGAGTTTGTCACTGGGGAAACAGCATGAGGCAACAGATAGAGATGGAAATGGAAGCTATAAAAACAGATGGGATCCCTGTGGGAGAGTGTGCTGCCCAAGAAGAGGGTGGAAGACAAACCCTTGATGAACATCAACAATGTCAAAGGTGGAGAGATGAGAACTTATCCAGCTGGCTGAGTTCCTCTAGACATCCAACTGGTTTTCACTCCTAGAGTACTGCAGTCTGAGACTTCTCTGGGATTCAGTATTCTCTTGGTAAAAGAGTCATCTTTCCAGCAGGACTGAACCCTTGCTTGCCCAGATCAAGGGTCCTCTTCCACCTCTCACAGCTGGCTGCTGAGTCAGAACCTCCTACCTTCCTCCCAAGGCCAGGCTGTGTTGTGGAGCCTTCTGTCCTGTGTGTTTCCAGTATGGGACAAGGCACTAGATCCTCCACCCTCTTCCCAGTTAGCTATGTTCCCTGGAGTAAAAGAGTCTTTGAACAAGTTGTTAGGAAAGTTTCTCCTCTTCAACCACTTCAAAATGTCCTTTTGAGTGTAAGCCACATCCAAATAATTAGTCTTCAGTTCCAGATCCTGTTAGAGAGCCACACTGGTACAGGAGCTTTCCTGATTCCTCTTTTGTGAGTTGCCATAAAGAAAGAGGAAATGACCTATAATCTATGAAAGAGCCAGGTTCTAAAACAGATCATTCTGACTTCAGAGCTCAGCCCTTCACCCTAGGCATCCCTCCAAGAGACACCAGCATGAACTTACCCAGAACGGGCCTGAACATTTGAACAACTGAACACAATACACCCCAGCTGGCTCCTGGCAGATTGCACTCCAGTGTGGTGAGTTTAATTTGAGCAAGCAGTTGAAATAAAACAGGGCTGGCTGTGGGGATGTGGCAGAGCCAGAATGGCTTCTCTTGATCTTTTTTTTCTCTCTGGGAAACAAGATGAATTAATGAACTGATTCATACTCCCTTTTACCCAAAGTCTGAAATAAACCACCCTTATCATCTCATCAAACCTTTACCCGACCCAAACTATGGATCTGGGATTCTTACTCTTCTCTTGCCTTCAATCTATCCCACTCCTGATGAAGTTCCTTCCCAACTTCCAATCCCATGGGCTTCACTTTCCTGCCTATAAACAGCTGTCAACTGCCTGATTTCCCTATGCTAATCCATTCTACACATTTTAACCAGGCTTTTCTCCAATCTAGGCTGGCTTTTACACAAACATGTTCAATGGCTATTCATTATCCTTAAAAACTAATCTTTGTATATTATAGTTTAACACACGGTTTATCTCATTTTATCCTCACAATGAACCCATTATATGGAAGGGAACTTAGGGTCAGAGAAGTATAAATTCTCCTCCCTGGCATTCAAGGGCTTTCATGGTGTGCCCCAAGTGATTTCCTAGTCTTGGTTTTCTAAACCACCCCTCAAGCACCAGCCAAACTACTGACTGAACACACTCTTATCACCTCTTTATGGAAGAAACAGAACTTTGGTGTCCAACAGAACTGGATATCGAAGCTGGCCATGTGACTTTGGACAAGTTTCCTAACCTGTGTTACATTATTATCTTTATCTGTAAATAACAGGCTTTTTAGATCAGATGATTAAATAAAATAACGTATTATAAAAGTGTTTGGGCCTTAGGCACCTGACACGTTAATTTCTTCTTCCCCTGCCCCTCTGTCTTTAGGTGTTCTCTCCACTCTCCACCGTCCTCAATAGTCCCCGCCTAGTGAATTCCTTCTCACTCTCACATCCAAGGTTCATCTAAAATTCTTTCTTAATCTCACCTAGTGTGAATTTCAAGGGTAGCTCTGAACTCCTACAACTTTGGGGTGGCCGTTCCTATAGACTAGCTTGTTCTCTTGTCTTCTGTCTTGTCCTGCCTACTAGAATACAATTTCTCAGTGGCAGGAGCAGCGTCCTCTCTTTGACCTCACAACATAGCACCTCTGTGGTGCTGGCACGAAGAAGTCATCCAGAAAACATTTGTAAGATTGACTCAAGACCACGGGAGGCTTCTTGTGTTCCACGTGCTGATTTCCTGATTGCTGTGATATTTGCTTTCGGCTGAACACTGGTCACCTTCCCTCTTCTGTTATTGTGTACCAGAATGAAAGATGACAGCCAGGAGGAAGTTTGCTTGCAGAGGTATGTGGGCTGAGCTCACAAAATTTAACAATTGTTTTTAGCTTTTGTTCACATTTTAAAAATTGGGTGGTCTCACACAAAGACCTAGATTTTTAGTTTCTCTTTAAAAATTCAGGAGAAAAGGCCACCATGGACCCTCACTTTCATGTGATGGGGCTTGGGCAGAGACATCAAGACCACCACAGACCCATGGGCCTGCTTCCCTCACTTCTGCCCTGATCCCTGTAGCCTTGTACGTTTGCAGTCTTTGATGTCAACTGAAAATTGTTGAAATGTATTTCAACCCTATCTTTAAGAATGAAGTTGTAGCCGAGCACGGTGGCTCACGCCTGTAATCCCAGCACTTTGGGAGGCTGAGACAGGTGGATCACTTGAGGTCAGGAGTTCAAGACCAGCCTGGCCAACATGGGGAAACTCCATCTCTACTAAAAATAAATAATAAAAAAACTTAGCCAAGCATGGTGGTGGGTGCCTGTAATCCCAGCTACTCAGGAGGCTGAGGCAGGAGAATTGCTGAACCTGGGAGGCAGAGGTTGCAGTGAGCCGAGATCTCACCATTGCACTCCAGCCTAGGTGAAAGAGCGATATTCCACCTCAAAAAAAAAAAAAAAAAAAAAAAAAGAATGAAGTCCTTACTTTTTTTTTGATTTTAGGACAGATGACCAAGGAGGTGTTACTTCCTTGAGTGGTGAAAAGGTTCTTCTACTGCATGGGGTTTTTTGTGGTTTTGTTTTTTTTTTGTTTTTGAGATAAGGTCTCACTCTGTCACCCAGGCTGGAGTGCAGTGGCATGATCTCAGCTCACTGAAGCCTCAGCAGCCTGAGCTCAAGCGATCATCCCACTTTAGCTTCCCTAATAGCTGGGATTACACACGTGGGCCACTGCGCCTGGCCTACAGTATGGTTTTTAAATATCTTTGTGCTCTCCCTCTGTAGACATCTTTCATTTGCTTAGAATCTGTGGTGATGGAGGCCTCATGCCCTATTCCAACTCCAGCTGCCTGTCAATGTAGTGTCTGTAGCTTCTTTCACATGGAGAAGCTATCAGTCCCATTCTGTCCATCAAGGTAGAGTGAAAAATATCAGGTCACTCTGCTGCCTCTACCACCTTTCAGCACTGATGGCTCCACTCCCTGAGGGGAGAGGCACAAGTGACAGGGAAGGAAGAAAGAAGAAGAATTTTCTCACTTTGTGATTTATTGCATTTAATTCTCACCCTGAGTCTGAGTTGGGTATCATTCCTTCTTGACTTATAGCAAAATCAAGGCACATAGAGGCTGTCCTTTATGCTCCATCCCAAAGCTAGAAAATAAATGATGAGTGGTTTGGGCCCGGTTGTGTCTAATTGTGTCATGTTTTTTCACTATTCTGTCTGCCTTAGGGTCTCCAACCCCTTTCAGCTGTATTTATAAGACTGATGTTTGCAGAACTGTTTATTAGTTTGCAGGACTGTTTATTAGACAACTACAAACGGAGCTGAAATAAAACTTTGGTTTCTGTTTGCTCTAAAGAGAAGTTTCTGTTCAATCCTCCACTGGGAGTGTGTCTTTAGGCCTCTAAATTTTATACCATAACTATTTGTATAATTTGAATGGTCTCCAATGAAATGGATACAAATAATAATAAATACATTCTAAAATAGCAATAATGCATGACATTGGTTTAGATCACAGTGTTTCCTATGTACATTTTCTCTTTGGGTTCACCCAACATTCTCGAGATACCCTCACTCAAGTTTTTAGATAAAGCAATCAAAAAGCAAGAGGATTTAAATGACATAGGTAAGTATGCATGTGGTAGAAATGGAATTAGAATCCAGATTCTTAGCTCCTCTTTTCATTATCTGATCCTGCTTGGTTTTTACTCACACCAGGCAATAATTTTGAAAGCTCTGCTCTCTCTACTTGTGATATTATTATCTGTTGTTATTATTCAATCATAAATATTTATTGAGCCTTCCTGCAGGCCAAGGGCAGGGCTAAGTCCTGTGCATTCATTATTTCACTTAATGCTCAGGACAGCCATATGACATAGGTACTCTTCTCATTTCTCTTTAACTGATGAGGATACAGAGGCTTAGAGGGATTCAGTAACTTATGTAAGGTCACACTGCTAGTAACTGGTAGGACATACTCAACTCCAGATAGGTGACTCATGGAAATTTCTGCTGTGTCTTACATCTTCACCTAGATTGTAAACCACATGGGGACCCGGACCACATGTCCTCCACAGAGCTTAGCAAAGTGGTTGTATGCACAGGTATGCAAGTCATTAATTAATGACAGTTGATTTTTTCTCGGCCATTAGCTTTTATTTTACTTTATCTATAGGGATTTTCAGATCACACTGTTCTCAAAATAATCCTGGTTTTCTGTTGGCTGTTTTGATTTATCTTTAGACACTGTAATTGAAAATTAAGCTCTTAAGCATCTCCTTTACAGGCTATGTTCCACAATCTGTAATCACAACTTTTCTTTAAATTGATCATCATCTTTTGAGCTGTTAATAAACATGTCTGGCTTCATTTGGGTTTTCAAATTGTTATTTCCAGACGGTGAGACTTTCAGATCTGATAGGCTCACACACATCCTGCCAAGTGGAAGTTTGAGCAAAATGTCACATCTTTGGCAATATTTGTGCTATTAGTATGATGATTAAAGGAAAAAGAAAAGTTTCACTGTGATGTCAGCAGCTTTCCCACCTCATGAAAAAGCCATCAAATTATCAACCAATCAAAATTAAATGAATCCCATTTAATTTTATTATTATCTATTTTTCTTTTTTCCCCGTTTTAAAAATGAATTTGGTTCATTTGCTTTCTGCTTCTGGATTTGCCTGTTCTGGACATTTCATATAAATGGAATCATATAATACATGGACTTTTGTGACTGGCTTCTTTGGCTTGTTTCACTTAGTGTAATGTTTTCAAGGCTCATCCATACCACAGCATGCAGCAGTGCTTTATTCCTTTTTATGGCTGAATATTATTCCATTGGATAGAGATACAATATTTTGTTTATCCAATAATAAATTGGGCACTTAGATTGTTTTCACATTTGGCTATTAGGAATAATGTTGTTGTGAACATTTCTTGTACAGTTTTTGTGTAAGGACATGTTTTCAATTCCAGAGGCTATATATCTAGGCATGCAATTGCTGGGTCACATGGTAACTCTATGTTTAATTTTTGAGGAACTGCCAAACAGTCTTCCACAGAGGCTGCAACATTTTACATTCTCACCAAAAAGGCAAAAAGATTCCAGTTTCTCCACATCCTCACCAACATATATCATTTTCTCTTTTTTGTGTTTTTTAAAAATAGCCATTCTAATGAGTACAAAGTAACATCTTATTGTGGTTTTGATTTATATTTCCCTAATGACTAATAATATTCGACATCTTTTTATATGCTTACTGTCCATTTGTATATCTTCATTGGAGAAATGTCTATTCAAATATTTTGTCTATTTTTAACAATTTGGTTGTCTTTTCATTGTTGAGTTGTAAGAATTCTTTATGTATTCTAGACCCTTACCAGATACATAATTTGCACACTTCTCTTTTTTGAATAAATTGCAAAGCAACATTTTTCAAAAAAATTTTTAATTTTTTTCTGCCATATTGTGAAGCTTGGTTGTCTCTACCAGGTACTACCTCCTATTTACCCATAAGTATTTGGAAGGTCATCAGGATTTATGCTCAAAAATGGAGTTTGGGGGTGAGAAGGAAGCACTTTGTTTGGAGAGGGTTTTACTGTTGAGGCCCTGCATTAATCCCCTCTGCCACCTCCAGGAAAGCTGTGGTCACATCTGGTATAGTAGAAAGTGCCATGGTGGCTGAGGAAGCTTGTGGGTTTATCACATTTTTATCCATGGTGGCATGGACACCTTGTTTTTGCTTCCGAATTGCTCTTAAAGAAAAATTCTGGGGCGGATGAACCCCATCATCATCCAGGAAGAATATTTGCAGCACATTTTTTCTTGTCATGATGAGTTTGCTGTTTGAGACGGTATGGTAAGAAGCTTTATAATGGCTGGCTAGTGTCATTTTCCCTCATTTAGGCTCAACCGTGACTTTATATCTGTATACTTTATGGAAGGCCTGGAGCCTCACACTGAGGCAGAAGAGGGAAGGGGCAAGTGCAGTTGATGGTGGCAGCTAAGTGGGAGAGAAAGTCAGCGAAGACAATTATTTATTCAAGACCTTTACAAAGGGAGCAGCCCCACTTGTTTGCATGTTGATTGAACCATACCTTAGTGTCCAGTTGCTTGAGGCTTGCAGCAGCATCTTTATGCTCTTCAAAGTGAGTGCTGCCATTGGTAGCAAGGTCTTATGGATGCCCTTGCTAGGCCCATTTCCTTCTTTGTTATTCCAAGTATACTTCTAATGAATCAGAACCTGCCTCTTTTTTTTTTTCTTTTTTTTTTTTTTTGAGATGGAGTCTTACTCTGTCGCCCAGGCTGGAGTGCAGTGGCACAATCTCAGCTCACTGCAAGCTCTGCCTCCTGGGTTCGTGCCATTCTCCTGCCTAAGCCTCCCGAGTAGCTGGGACTACAGGCGCCCACCACCACGCCCGGCTAATTTTTTGTATTTTCTGTAGAGATGGGGTTTCACTGAGTTAGCCAGGATGGTCTCGATCTCCTGACCTTGTGATCTGCCCGCCTCAGCCTCCCAAAGTGCTGGGATTACAGGTGTGAGCCACCACGCCTGGCCTGAACCTGCCTTTTAACAAGACCCCAAGGTGATTCAAGGCACATCAAAGTTTAAGAAGCATAGATTTACATTATATTCTGTCTATCCCTGCACATCTCACATGGTTATTCAGCCTAATGTCCGTGTGAGTCAGTCTTCCTCTTTCTTTTCATGCCTTCCATGGATTTCACCTGGTGTACTCTTGATACCATCTGTATTAGCCTGTTCTGACAAGGCTATAAAGAAATACCGGAGACTGGGTAATTTATAAAGGGAAGAGGTTTAAATAACTCAAAGTTCTGCGTGGCTGGGGAGGCCTCAGGAAACTTACAATCATGGCAAAAGGGGAAGCAGGCACCTTCTTCACAAGGCAGCAGGAGAGAGAGTGTGAGCGTGTGAAGGAGGAACTGTCAAACACTTATAAAACCATCAGATCTCATGAGAACTCATTCACTATCATGAGAACAACATGTGGGAGACCCCCACCTCCATGATCCAATCACCTTCCACCAGGTCACCTCCCTTGACACATGGAGATTATGGGGATTACAATTCAAGATGAGATTTGGGTGGGGACACTGCCAAACCATATCACCATCCTAGTACTGGCTGCAGCTTCCTTTAATTACTGGATGAAGAAACACAATCTTTTGATCAACTAGCATTTCCCTGAAGCACTTGTAAACAATTCCATAAAAATCCTGAGATAGGTACCTATTTGTGTTTACTCTTGAACTTTCCCCAGCCTCCTCCTCCCCATCCCTGTCTTCCCACAGCTCAATACTTCCACCTTCCATTGTTCAGTACCCCGCTGTGACTCCTGCCTGTGCTGAGTTGCATCTATGATTGACTCTCATTAGATGTGAGCTCCTTGAGGGAAGGGTCTTACATCATCCATTTTTATACCTTGATTCCCACCCCTGGACCTAACACAGGTCCTTGGACATAGTAAATATTTGCAGAATTTAATTAAGTTATTGAGTCACATTGGAAATAATTTCAGAAGATACCAAATGCCTTTTCTTTTTTTTTTTCCACATGCCATTTGTTCTCGTACCACTAAGACCCTAAGACTTTTATTTTGTTGATATCAAGTGGTATAAATATTAACAAACATTGTATTATATATCATAATTTTAACTCTGAAGTTTTTAATTTATAGAACAAAAGTTAATATTTCTCTACCAAAATAAATGTCATAGACTGAGGAAAGAATTTTGTTAATTTGGTCATACCAAAAATATTTAACATTAATTTCTCTCCTCAACTTCTGACTCTGCTGCTCCTTAACTCTGTAACCATGACTTACCTGTCAAAGCCAAAACTCTTTTGAGCATTTCATGAGAAAATCTATAAAGAGTATATAGCCTACAATAATAGCTAACATGTATTAGCTGTACTTACAGTGTGAGCCAGGTACTTTTTATTCTAAGTACTTTACATATAGTCTCATTTTAAAATCTCCTAATGACTCCATGAGGTTGATATTTTGTTCTTCCCATTGTTATAGGTGAGGAAACAGAGGCACAGGCTACAGGGTATTTTGTCCAAGATAACACAGCTAATAAAGTGGTGAGGCCAAGATTTGAACAGTCTCTTCTTAAAGAGCCTGCCTCCTGAAGGGTTACTGATGAATTCCTTTCTTCCTTCAAAATGCTTCATGTGATTTAACATGCCTTATTTCATTGTGTATATTAAAGGCCCTTTGTTTATACATTACTCTCATCTATATTTCCCCATTTGGCCAATGCATTGTATAAATTAGGTGATCTGTAAATGATTGTTGGCTAATTGATCCTATGTGCATACATGGGAATACTTGGAAAAGCAATGATTGTTTTAATATAACAAGTTCTTGATGTAGCAAGATTGTTCCTATACATTGTGGAACTCTCAATTTTAATATTTACTGACTCCATTATCCATCTTAAAATGGGCATATCGGAAAGGGTAAGGAATAAATAATTGATGGTGGTGTCACACATCTAGTAATATGATAGTTGAGCTAATATGAATTGGTTCTCCCACCATCTCAAACACAAAGAAATATAAAAGTCCCCTCCAGACCAATGCAGAGCCAAACCCAAACTCAAAAGCAATAAAGGAAATGCCCTTGTGCCAGAAATAAAAAGGGAACTCAAAGCCAGAAGTATAAACAAGATCTGGTGCTAAGGTCTAGACCTGTCTTAATCTGTTTTGTGTGGCTGTAATAGAAGACCTGAGACTGGGTAACTTATAAAGAAAAGATGTTTATTTAGGTCACAGCTCTGTAAGTTGGGAAGTTCAAGGGCATGGCCCTGGCTTCTGGTGAAGACTTTCGAGCTGCATCAAAATATGATAGAGAAAGTCATCTCATCTTGGGCCATGTGTATATAATTTAATTTTAATAACTAATATAAAATTATTGTTAAAATATGGTAGAGAAGATCAAAGGGGAAGCAGATCTGTACAAAGAGGAAAAACCCGAGGGGTATCCTGGCTTTATAACAACCCACTCTTGAGTATACTAATCCATTCCCATGAGAACTAATCCAGTCCTGCCAGAGTGAGAACTCGCTACTGCAAGAATAGCACCAAACTATTCATGAGGGATCCAGCTCATGACCCCAAGGGCTCCCACTGGGCCCTGCCTTCCAATACTGCCACAGTGGGGATGAAATTTCAGCATGAGTTTTGCTGAGGACAAACCAACCATAGCAAGACCCACTTACAGGCTTTAATAATGGGAGATAGGGGTCTTAATATCCACATGGGGAAAAGTGATATGATCTTGGCCCACGTGAGTGAAGGAGTCTAAACGAAACCTTGACATAAAGTCTGGAACCACAAAATTTGGCCCTGCCCTTGGAAACAAGAGCAGAGAAATTCTACCTAGTGACTAAGGAAAACCTTAAGAAAGTTTGCCATTTGTCCATGGCTAAAATAAGAGGTTAAGAGGGTACCCATGAGAAGATTAAAATCCAGATTTATACTTCCCTCAGTGCATCATCTAAATTTACACCACTGTGTAATGCCGATTTATCAAGCTGAAAAATTAATATGAAAACTGTCCTGGAGGACTTGAAACTCCTAAGTCCCCAGAAAAAATAAGTAGCCTGTAGGTAGACTTTCACAACTCAGAAAAAAGCCAACCCCCTCCTCAAAAGACAAGCCTATGATCAAAAATTACAAATTACACAGGAAAAGACCCAGTAGGAGAATAGGTATCCCCCAAACTGGAGATGATAGAACAGTCTGAAATAATATATACTAAATATGTTTAGAATAACTAAAGAAAAACAGGTGGAATAGAAACTAGATAATAGAAAAATGATAGTGTGAAAAGGATACTGTAAGTTCTAGAAATGAAACTTAGAGTGGAATTAAAAATTCAGTGAATGAATTAAACATCCAGTAAATGCAACTGATGTAAGGACTGGAAACTGCAAAATAGGTGTGAGAAAAATCAGTCAATGCATCACAGAGAGATAAAAAATGGGGAATATATAAAAACCCTCCAAGGACCCATAGATTTGGAAACTGAAACTCATATTTTTTCAAAGAATTTACAGTTCAAAGAAAAAAATCACAACATAGATTTATAAGATATTTAGAACTAAACAAAAGTAAAAATACCATATAATAATTCACAGGACATCAACACAGAATTTAGAAGGAAATGTCTTATATGCATATACTGAAAAACAAAAACAAAGCTATAATTCCAGCACTTTGGGAGGCCGAAGCAGGAGGGTCAGTTGAGGCCAAGAGTTTGAGACCAGCCTAGGCAACACAGTGAGACCCTGTCTCTACAACAAAACAAAACAACAACAAAAAAACTCACAAAGATAATGATAATGAGCTAAGCGATCAACTCCAAAAGGGAGAAAAATAACATAGTAAACCTTTAAAAATTAGATGGAAAGAATTTATTAGATAAGAGCAGAATTTAGACATATAGAAAACAAAATAGGGAATGTGATATGGAATACTGAACAGCACTTTGAATGAACTGGATCTACTTGTATTAATATTAATAAATCTCAAAAACACAAAAGAATTTCAAAAACACAAGGCAAGAGAATACATCCAGACTGATACCATGTGAGTTAGATTTTTCAAGCACAAACTGACGTGAGTAGTAGATGTATAAAGGCATGGACAAAAAGTAGGCTCAAATTAAGTGATTATCTAATCTATCTAAGAGAAGATGGAATTGGGGAGGATGCAATGGACCCTCAACCATAATGTTTTATTTGGAAAAAAAGATCTGTGGAGGATTTGTTCAGTCTGCGTGGTGGATGTATACATGTTTATGTATTTTTACTTTTCATTGAAACATTTCAGAATACTCTTTCAAAGAATCAATAATTCAGATTCTGTATACTGAATAGAATTCTAACAAAATTACAATTAAGAAATAAAGTTAATGCCAGTGTTGCATGAGGTTTTTACTCATGTGGTTTGGTTGTAGTAAGGGATCTACAATAGTTGTAGTAGGCAGTTCTGAGACGGCACCCAAGATTGCTACTTCTTGGCAAACATACCCTGCATAATCCCCTTACTTTAAGTGTGGATATGATGGGATTTCACATTCATAATTAGATTACATTCTTTGGCAAAGGTAAAGAGACTTTTGCAAATGTAATTAAAGTCCCTAATCAGTTGATTTTGAGTTAATCAAAACAGATGATCCTGGGTAGGCCTGACTTAATAAAGTGGAAGCCCTTAAAGAGACTGGGCCCATCCTGCTGACTCTGAAGAGGGAAGCCACTGTGTTGTCAGAGGGCCACATGGCAAGGAACAGTAGGACTTGCAGGAGCCGAGAGGAGCCCCTGTTGACAGCCAGTAAGAAATCCTACAACTACCAGGAAGTGAATCCTGAGAACAGCATCATGAGCCTGGAAGAGAACCCTAAGCTCCAGGAAGGAATACAGCCTAATTGACACCTTACTGAAGCCTTGTGAGACCCTGAGCAGAGGACTCAGTGTAGCTGTGCTCAGACTCCTGATCCATGGAAATTTTGAAATATTACCCGTGTGTTGTTTTAAGCTACTAAATTTGTGGTGATTTGTTACACAGCAATAGAAAACTAATGCAGTAGCTCTATCTACCCTGTTGTATGAAAGCAGTTTGTAAATTGACATGCTATATAAACAGTGCTGGTTTTGTTATGGCATTGATTATTCACATTTTATCTGAGTACTATGATCAATACACTAGACTGTTATGGTATACTACATTTGCCATTCTGCTATACCTTCTCTTAGAGCACAATTTTGATGGAGATAATCAAACCAGGTTCTCATTTTAGATAAAATTTCCACAAAAGATCTACAGAAATTGTTTCTAAGCTTATATTACAAAAATGGCAGCACCTATCCAATGCTAATGTCTATGCGAACATCTCTATTATATGGAGTTTGAGTTTTGAGACCATTTTCTTACCGTTTTGAAGCCATACTATGGGGCTCACTTCACTGATCTAGTAGATGTTCTGGGTATCTGTCATGGCAAAGTGGTAAGTCTTCTGAAAAGAAGTGGCATCTCAACTTGAACTTTAGAAAATGCAAGAAATAAAACCCTCCTGAAGTAAGACCAGGAGCACATCAGAAGACTCCCTTATTGGGGTCACAAACTAAGAACGAAAGAATACCCACCTCTTGTTACTCAGCTTATTCTGTGCATGTTATCCTCTGTGTTTATTTCCCTCTCGTCACCCCCTAGTTTTTAGTAAAGTCTCATTTAAACCTTCTAGTGTAGCTTCTGTTATGCCAGGGATATTAGGAGCATGGACACTTTGATGCATACCACGATGCGGTGATGACAGTGCTAATTGATCAGAGTCTCCCCAAGGGAAAGACATCTGCAGGAACAAGACACAAAACTGTACAGCCCACCTCCCCTTCTCACAAGAAGATACTTCCTGCATGGAAAATCTTGGAGGACTGGAGTTTGATTTTATTAAAAATGCAAGTTAGGAGGTGGGCACAGTGGCTCATGCCTGTAATCCCAGCACTTTGGGAGGCCGAGGCAGGCAGATCACGGGGTCAGGAGATCAGGACCATCCTGGCTAACATGGTGAAACCCCGTCTCTACTAAAAATACAAAAACAAAATTAGCTGGGCATGGTGGCCGGTGCCTGTAGTCCCAGCTACTCGGGAGACTGAGGCAGGAGAATGGCGTGAACCCGGGAGGCGGAGGTTGCAGTGAGCCAAGATCACGCCACTGCACTCCAGCCTGGGAGACAGAGCAGGACTCCGTCTCAAAAAACAAACAAACAAAAAAATGCAAGTTAGATTTTCTTATAGTTTGAGAGTATTCTGGTTTAAGAAGGTGGGAAGAAGTAAAATTGGTTGAGGATCTAAGGTATAAAGAGATGATACCAGAGGTTTGATAAATTGAGCCCTAACCTTAACAGTACATGCTTCTCAGTCTACATTCCGAGTTGGCTGTAATATATGCGGCCTCATCCACTCTTACCTTTCTTTGTGACACTGATACCCTTATCAACACACTTCATCCACGTCTCTTTCTTGTGCTCTATACACACATATCCGTGTCTTCATTAAGCATCTTCCCCTCAGTGTCCCATCCAAAACTGAACTCATCATCTTTAGAACTATCCATATTACCCACTTTGGTAGGTATCACCATCCACCCTGTTACCCAAGCTAGAAAACAAGAACCCCAGAACTTCACTTTCTTCCTCATCTCTACTGCCTTCCACCTTCAGACATATAATTTATCACCAAATACTAACTCGTCCACCTCCTAAATTTGTTCCCCTTCTCCACTCTTTAACACCGCTCACCTTGGATCACAGCAGCCACTTACAGGATTCGCACACTGCTTTCTAATGCAAAACTCCTTCCAATGAAGGAGTAAATCCTCCAGAGGCTTCCCACTGCCTTCAGGATCAGCTTCAAATCCTTAGCTTGGCGTATGGGATCCTTCACCACCTGCTTCTTCTTACTTGTGCAGTTACGTACATCTACCTAATTATGGGCCACACTGAATTGCTTGAAGCTGTTTAAATGTGCCAAGATATCCCAGATTTCTGACCTTTAAGCCTTTGCAGTAGTCTTACGAATTCATACTCGTCCTTTCCCAGACAAATGTCTCTACTCTTTTGATGAAACTGTACTGTCTTCCATCCTTAAGGGCAGGGGACATGCATCCAGCTGTCTTTGTAGTCACACAGTGTGCCATGATGCCTATTTCTGTAGGTGCTCAATAAGTGTTTGATGTGTATTTATTAGGATAATATACCTATGTATGAGTGAACAAATGAATATGCAGATGAATGAATAAGTGTAAGGAGGAATGAAGGATGAATTAGATAATTAAAAGCCTCTGCCATCAGTCAAAATGAAACTTTTTTTGTGTGTGTGTGTGTGTTGTAGAGATGGTGTCTCATTATGTTGCCCAGGCTGATCTCAAATTCCTGGGCTCCCACCTTGGCTTCACAAAGTACTGGAATTACAGGTGTGAGCCACCATACCTGGACTCATTTTTAAAATATATATATACTTGATTACTTCACCACAATAGTGTCCTTTTGCTCATGGCCCATGGGCCTAGTCCCTTTTAGAGTTCTCAGTCACCTGTAAGATACATGCCTTGAATGCTACCAGGTGATAAATTTGAGTTGGACAATGAAGAAAATATTGTACATGTATTTTCTTATTTATTTAGACCAAATAGGCTGAGAGAGTAACTTGAATATTTAAGAGCTTCCTTAAAATGCACCATAAATAATGGAAAGTGAATGACTTGATTACTTCCCTTATTTTTCTCTTATTTTTATTTGGGTTGATAGGAAGGAGGAGGTTTGTGGAGGGGGAGAAAATATAAAACAGTGGAACATGCAAAAAGAGGGCCCAATTCTTCCCTTTCTCTCAATTTCCATGATATAACTAACTCTGATCTCTCATGGTGGGCAATGGAATATTGTGGATAAAGTCTGGATAACTGAATTGTCAAAACCCTCCAATATGGACCACTAATTAAAGCACTGAAAGCACAACTAAGTGTACTCAGTATGTTAATGATGCAGAATACAATGTAACCTTTGATTCAGGAGCGGCTTCAAGATCCAAGCGTCCTGGGAGAAGCAGCAATCCCTCTTCCTGGGCGCAGAGATGCTGGTTTAACACAGTCATGTGTCAGAGAAAACTAGTTTTTCCTGCAGGCCCAAATCCTACCCTAGAGAAACCCATTAGACCTTTACCAAAATCAACTTTTCTTCTGAGTCAGACCGAATTCTTAATTGTAGGTGATAGACCAAAAGGGAAAGATGACTCAATGTAAATAATCGTTGCTATTGACAAAACAGTGCAAACCACATTTCCTGTTGATGGTGGAGTCACCCATGACGGAAAACATTTTTATTGCTTTAATAACACAATTATATTATTTTTTAACTCTTCCCCTTCAAATCCTCTAGCACTTAATATAGTGCTTGGGATATATTTGGATATTAATAAATGCAAAAGTGTTATTGCCTCTTTTTGAATTAACATACTACAAAGAATGTGTTTACTGTACTTTCTTACCTTAAAACTTAAACCTAAAAATGTATGCTAATATGAACCTTTGCTTGACATTTCATGCTTGCCTCTTTGGTCGCTAGGAAAAGTCAGCAACATTCAGCAAAACTGTCAAGGATTGGAGCATTTAATAGTTGGCTGATGGTCCACAGGCAAGTCCATCCAAACAGCCAAAGTTGTATTACTCAGTGTTTTTAAAAGATGAAGATTTGGGGTGGAGCCAAGATGGCCAAATAGGAAGAGCTCCAGTCTACAGCTCCCAGCGTGAGTGACTCAGAAGATGGGTGATTTCTGCATTTCCAACTGAGATACCAGGTTCATCTCACTGGGGAGTGTCGGAAAGTGGGTGCAGGACAGTGGGTGCAGTGCACCGTGCGTGAGCCGAAGCAGGGCGAGGCATCGCCTCACCCGGGAAGCACAAGGGGTCAGGGAATTCCCTTTCCTAGTCAAAGAAAGGGGTGACAGATGGCACCTGGAAAATCGGGTCACTCCCACCCTAATATTGCACTTTTCCAACGGTCTTAGCAAATGGTACACTGGGAGATTATATCCTGCGCCTGGCTCAGAGGGTCCTACGCCCGCAGAGACTCACTCATTGCTAGCACAGCAGTCTGAGATCAAACTGCAAGGCAGCAGCGAGACTGGGGGAGGGGCGCCCATCACTGTCCAGGCTTGAGTAGGTAAACAAAGCAGCCGGGAAGCTCGAACTGGGTGGAGCCCACTGCCCCTCAAGGAGGCCTGCCTGCCTCTGTACACTCCACCTCTAGGGGCAGGGCAGTGCCAAACAAAAGGCAGCAGAATCCTCTGCAGACTTAAATGTCTCTGTCTGACAGCCTTGGAGAGAATAGTGGTTCTCCCAGCACACAGCTGGACATCTGAGAACAGGCAGACAGCCTCCTCAAGTGGGTCCCTGACCCCCGAGTAGCCTAACTGGGAGGCACCCCCCAGTAGGGGCAGACTGACACCTCACATGGCAGGGTAACCCTCTGAGACAAAATTTCCAGAGAAATGATCAGGAAGCAACATCTGCTGTTCACCAATATCCACTGTTCTGCAGTCTCCGCTGCTGATACACAGGCAAAGAGGGTCTGGAGTGGACCTCAAGCAAACTCCAACAGACCTGCAGCTGAGGGTCCTGACCGTTAGAAGGAAAACTAACAAACAGAAAGGACATCCACACCAAAACCCCATCTGTACATCACCATCATCAAAGACCAAAGGTAGATAAAACCACAAAGATGGGGAAAAAACAGAGCAGAAAAACTGGAAACTCTAAAAATCAGAGCGCCTCTCCTCCTCCAAAGGAACGCAGCTCCTTACCAGCAATGGAACAAAGCTGGAGGGAGAATGAGAATGACGTTGACGAGTTGAGAGAAGAAGGCTTCAGATGATCAAACTACTCTGAGCTAAAGGAGGAAGTTCGAACCCAAGGCTAAGAAGTTAAAAACCTTGAAAAAAAAATTAGACGAATGGCTAACTAGAATAACCAATGCAGAGAAGTCCTTAAAGGACCTGATGAAGCTGAAAACCAAGGCACGAGAACTACGTGACAAATGCACAAGCCTCAGTAGCCGATTCAATCAACTGGAATAAAGGGTATCAGTGATGGAAGATGAAATGAATGAAATGAAGTGAGAAGAGAAGTTTAGAGAAAAAAGAATAAAAAGAAATGAACAAAGCCTCCAAGAAATATGGGACTATGTGAAAAGACCAAATCTACATCTGATTGTTGTACCTGAAAGTGATGGGGAGAAAGGAACCAAGTTGGAAAACACTCTGCAGAATATTATCCAGGAGAACTTCCCCAACCCAGCAAGTCAGGCCAACATTCAAATTCAGGAAATACAGAGAACGCCACAAAGATACTCCTCGAGAAGAGCAACTCCAACACACATAATTGTCAGATTCACCAAAGTTGCAATGAAGGAAAAAATGTTAAGGGCAGCCAGAGAGAAAGGTCGGGTTACCCACAAAGGGAAGCCCATCAGACTAACAGCTGATCTCTCGGCAGAAACTCTACAAGCCAGAAGAGAGTGGGGGCCAATATGCAACATTCTTATAGAAAAGAATTTTCAACCCAGAATTTCATATCCAGCCAAACTAAGCTTCATAAGTGAAGGAGAAATAAAATACTTTACAGACAAGCAAATGCTGAGAGATTTTGTCACCACTAGGCCTGCCTTACAAGAGCTCCTGAAAGAAGCACTAAACATGGAAAGGAAAAACCGGTGCCAGCCACTGCAAAAACACACCAAATTGTAAAGACCAGAGAGGCTAGGAAGAAACTGCATCAACTAACGAGCAAAATAACCAGCTAAGATCATAATGGCAGGATCAAATTCACACATAGCAATATTAACCTTAAATGTAAATGGGCTAAATGCTCCAATTAAAAGACACAGACTGGCAAATTGGATAAAGAGTCAAGACCCATCAGTGTGCTGTATTCAGGAAACCCATCTCATGGGCAGAGACACAAATAGGCTCAAAATAAAGGGATGGAGGAAGATCTACCAAGCAAATGGAAAACAAAAAAAGGCAGGGGTTGCAATCCTAGTCTCGGATAAAACAGACTTTAAACCAACAAAGATCAAAAGAGACAAAGAAGGCCATTACATAATGGTAAAGGGATCAATTCAACAAGAAGAGCTAACTATCCTAAATATATATGCACCCAATACAGGAGCACCCAGATTCATAAAGCAAATCCTTAGAGACCTAGAAAGAGACTTAGACTCCTACACAATAATAATGGGAGACTTTAACACCCCACTGTCAACATTAGACAGATCAACGAGACAGAAAGTTAACAAGGATATCCAGGAATTGAACTCAGCTCTGCACCAAGCAGACCTAACAGACATCTACAGAACTCTCCTCCCCAAATCAACAGAATATACATTCTTCTCAGCACCACACCTATTCCAAAATTGACCACTTAGTTGGAAGTAAAGCACTCCTCAGCAAATGTAAAAGAACAGAAATTATAACAAACTGTCTCTCAGACCACAGTGCAATCAAACTAGAACTCAGGATTGAGAAACTCACTCAAAACCACTCAACTACATGGAAACTGAACAACCTGCTCCTGAATGACTACTGGGTACATAACGAAATGAAGGCAGAAATAAAGATGTTCTTTGAAACCAATGAGAACAAAGACACAACACACCAGAATCTCTGGGACACGTTCAAAGCAGTGTGTAGAGGGAAATTTATACCACTAAATGCCCACAACAGAAAGCAGGAAAGATCTAAAACTGACACCCTAACATCACAATTAAAAGAACTAGAGAGGCAAGAGCAAACACATTCAAAAGCTAGCAGAAGGCAAGAAATAACTAAGATCAGAGCAGAACTGAAGGAAATAGAGACACAAAAAAACCCTTCAAAAAATCAATGAATCCAGGAGCTGGTTTTTTGAAAAGATCAACAAAATTGATAGACTGCTAGCAAGAGTAATAAAGAAGAAAAGAGAGAAGAATCAAACAGATGCAATTAAAAAATGATAAAGGGGATATCACCACTGATCCCACAGAAATACAGACTACCATCAGAGAATACTATAAACACCTCTACACAAATAAACCAGAAAATCTAGAAGAAATGGATAAATTCCTGGACACATACACCCTCCCAAGACTAAACCAGCAAGAAGTTGAATCTCTGAATAGACCAATAACAGGCTCTGAAATTGAGGCAATAATTAATAGCTTACCAACCAAAAAAAGTCCAGGACCAGATGGATTCACAGCCGAATTCTACCAGAGGTACAAGGAGGTGCTGGTACCATTCCTTCTGAAACTATTCCAATCAATAGAAAAAGAGGGAATCCTCCCTAACTCATGAGGCCAGCATCATCCTGCTACCAAAGCCTGGCAGAGACACAACAAAGAAAGAGAATTTTAGACCAATATCCCTGATGAACATCGATGCAAAAATCCTCAGTAAAATACTGGCAAACCAAATCCAGCAGCACATCAAGAAGCTTATCCACCATGATCTAGTGGGATTCATCCCTGGGATGCAAGGCTGGTTCAACATATGCAAATCAATAAACATAATCCAGCATATAAACAGAACCAACAACAAAAACCATATGATTATCTTAATAGATGCAGAAAAGGCCTTTGACAAAATTCAACAACCCTTCATTCTAAAAACTCTCAATAAATTAGGTATTGATGGGACGTATCTCAAAATAATAAGAGCTATCTATGACAAACCCACAGCCAATATCATACTGAATGGGCAAAAATTGGAAGCATTCCCTTTGAAAATTGGCACAAGACAGAGATGACCTCTCTCACCACTCCTATTCAACATAGTGTTGGAAGTTCTGGCCAGGGCAATCAGGCTGGAGAAGGAAATAAAGGGGATTCAATTAGGAAAAGAGAAGTCAAATTGTCCCTGTTTGCAGAAGACATGATTGTGTATCTAGAAAACCCCATTGTCTCAGCCCAAAATCTCCTTAGGCTGATAGGCAACTTCAGCAAAGTCTCAGGATACAAAATCAATGTGCAAAAAATCACAAGCATTCTTATACACCAATAACAGACAAACAGAGAGCCAAATCATGAGTGAACTCCCATTCACAATTGCTTCAAAGAGAATAAAATACCTAGAAATCCAACTTATAAGGGATGTGAAGGACCTCTTCAAGGAGAACTACAAACCACTGCTCAATGAAATAAAAGAGGATACAAACAAATGGAAGAACATTCCATGCTCATGGGTAGGAAGAATCAATATTGTGAAAACGGCCATACTGCCCAAGGTAATTTATAGATTCAATGCCATCCCCATCAAGCTACCAATGACTTTCTTCACAGAATTGGAAAAAACTACTTTAAAGTTCATATGGAACCAAAAAAGAGCCCACATTGCCAAGTCAATCCTAAGCCAAAAGAACAAAGCTGGAGGCATCACACTACCTGACTTCAAACTATACTACAAGGCTACAGTAACCAAAACAGCATGGTACTGGTGCCAAAACAGAGATATAGACCAATGGAAAGAAATAATGCTACCTATCTACAACCATCTGATCTTTGACAAACCTGACAAAAACAAGAAATGGGGAAAGGATTCCCTATTTAATAAATGGTGCTGGGAAAACTGGCTAGCCATATGTAGAAAGCTGAAACTGGATCCCTTCCTTACACCTTATACAAAAATTAATACAAGATGGATGAAAGACTTAAATGTTAGACCTAAAACCATAAAAACCCTAGAAGAAAACCTAGGCAATACCATTCAGGACATCGGCATGGGCAAGGACTTCATGTCTAAAACACCAAAAGCAATGGCAACAAAAGCCAAAACTGACAAATGGGATCTCATTAAACCAAAGAGCTTCTGCACAGCAAAAGAAACTGCCATCAGAGTGAATAGGCAACCTACAGAATGGGAGAAAACTTTTGCAATCTACTCATCTCACAAAGGGCTAATACCCAGAATATACAATGAACTCAAACAAATCTACAAGAAAAAAAAACAGCCCCATCAAAAAGTGGGCGAAGGATATGAACAGACACTTCTCAAAAGAAGACATTTATGCAGCCAACAGACACATGAAAAAATGCTGATCATCACTGGTCATCAGAGAAATGCAAATCAAAACCACATTGAGATACCATCTCACACCAGTTAGAATGGCAATCATTAAAAAGTCAGGAAACAACAGGTGCTGGAGAGGATGTGGAGAAACAGGAACACTTTTACACTGTTGGTGGGACTGTAAACCAGTTCAACCATTGTGGAAGTCAGTGTGGCGATTCCTCAGGGATCTTGAACTAGAAATACCATTTGACCTGGCAATCCCATTACTGGGTATATACCCAAAGGATTATAAATCATGCTGCCATAAAGACACATGCACATGTATGTTTATTGCAGCATTATTCACAATAGCAAAGACTTGCAACCAAGCCAAATGTCCAACAATGATAGACTGGATTAAGAAAATGTGGCACATATACACCATGGAATACTATGCAGCCATAAAAAATGATGAGTTCATGTCCTTTGTAGGGACATGTATGAAGCTGGAAACCATCATTCTCAGCAAACTATTGCAAGGACAAAAAACCAAACACTGCATGTTCTCACTCACAGGTGGGAATTGAACAATGAGAACACTTGGACACAGGAAGGGGAATATCACACACCAGGGCCTGTTGTGGAGTGGGGGGAGGAGGGAGGGATAGCATTAGGAGATATACCTAATGTTAAATGACGAGTTGATGGGTGCAGCACACAAACATGGCACATGTATACACATGTAACTAACCTGCACATTGTGCACATGTACCCTAAAACTTAAATAATAAAAAAAAAAGATGAAGATGTTTAATGTGGGGGAAATGCTTATGACTTAACATTAAATGAAAATTGCTTTTTAAAAAAATCACATGCGGCCGGGCGCGGTGGCTCACGCCTGTAATCCCAGCACTTTGGGAGGCCGAGGCGGGTGGATCATGAGGTCAGGAGATCGAGACCATCCTGGCTAACAAGGTGAAACCCCGTCTCTACTAAAAATACAAAAAATTAGCCGGGCGCGGTGGCGGGCGCCTGTAGTCCCAGCTACTCGGGAGGCTGAGGCAGGAGAATGGCGTGAACCCGGGAAGCGGAGCTTGCAGTGAGCCGAGATTGCGCCACTGCAGTCCACAGTCCGGCCTGGGCGACAGAGCGAGACTCCGTCTCAAAAAAATAAAATAAAATAAAATAAAATAAAATAAAAAAAAAAAAAATCACATGCTACAACATGGATGTACCTTGAAAACATGCTACGTGAAATAAGCCAGATACAAAAGGCTGCATCTTGTATGATTACATTTATAGGAAATGCCAGATTAGGCAAATCCATAGAGACAGAAAAGTAGATTAGTGGTTACCAGGAGCCCTTGGGGGTAGGGAGAAGTGGGGAGTGACTAACAGGTGTGGAATTTTGGGGGGGTAATGGAAATACTGGAACTAGACATTGGTGACAGTTGTACAACATTGTATGTTAAAAACCATGGAATTATATACTTTAAAATGGTAAATTTTATGTTATATGAATTTGATCTCAAAAAAAATTTACAAAAAACTACATATATAGCCATTAAAAATTATGAGATATTTCAGCAGAATACAGATTGTAAATAATTTTTTAAATTATAAGAGATAATACAAAAGACAATTCATTTGAAATGTTTAGTTCAAGGCCTGACATATAGTATGTGTTTAGTATATCTGAGACAGGTCTCAGTTAATTAAGAAAGCTTATTTTGCCAAAGTTAAGGACTCACCTGTGACAGCCTCAGGAGGTCCTGAGGACATGTGCCCAAGGTGGTCAGGGCACAGCTTGGTTTTGTACATTTTAGGGAGATATGAGATATCAATCAGTACATGTAAGATTTACATTGGTTCAGTCCAGAAAAGGCGTGACAACTTGAAGCAGGCAGGCAGCTTCCAGGTGACAGTTAGGTAAGAGACAAAGGTTGCATTCTTTTGAGTTTCTGATTAGCCTTTCCAAAGGAGGCAATGAGATATAAAATTATCTTTGAGCGGAGGGATAACTTTGAATAGAATGGGAGGAAGATTTGCCCTAAGCAGTTGCCAGCTTGACTTTTCCCTTTAGCTTAGGGATTTTGGGGCTCCAAGATTTATTTTCCTTTCACAGCTGCAATATATAAGGAAAAATAGAAACAATACAACCTTGGATGTATTTGAGTTGATTAGTTTGTGGATGAATTTTTGCATTTATTTTTATTGCAGGCAGAGCTGCTATAATATATTGCCAGTATAGTAAATACTTTATTTAAAGGATTTGAAAATAAAAAATAAAAGCTTTATGGACTCCAGCATCTGTGCTTTGAGCCGGAATTCCCGTGAAGAGCCTGTATTGGTGGAGCTACTCAGCTCTTTAGGGAGGCAGGAAGAGATGAGAAAGGGATACAGATTATTACAGCCTAAGGGCAGGATGGAGAAACTATCCGTCTATTTATCCACTGAATGCATGTAGTCATTTGTCAGTAAGTGTTCTTCTAAACTTATTTACTCATCATCAACGTTCATCTTAGATTAGCTCCCAAAGGGCAAAAAGACACATAATTAATTTGCTTAATGTAGTGCCTAGCATGATGACATGGTGAGATATGTTTTAGCAATAATTAAAAATACTTTTTCCTTTGCCAGTAATTCTTATTTAATCAAGCCAAAATTAATTTACATAGAGAACTACTCTATGGCTTTCATTTAAAAAAACAACAGATGATTTCAATCTCTTTTCTGCAAATACCCCAAAAGAAGAACAATGCTGTTTTCATAAATCTTAGTCAAATGAAACTCAGCTACTATCCCCAGGTTAATTTTATAACTGTAAAAAGTGTGTGTGCATAAGAACAAAGGCTGGTTAGGACCTGGAAAAAACGAGAGAGGGAGAGATAGACTGATGTAATGATATGTGACTTTTTTGTTCTTTTCTGATTCCCAGTATTGTTTCCTGAACAATATTTTTTTTATAAACTTAGCAACAAAAAACAAATCACTTCAGAACCTCTGAGACAAGGCTGTGGACTGGCAGTTGTTTTTTGAGACAACATGGAAGAAATGATATTCTGTGCATCTTCTCTTTTAAACTTTCATCTTTGAACTTAAAGATGATCCCTAGCTGAGATCATGGGTGTTTTCCTCCCATGTTTCTTTCTTTGTGTTTTACCAACTTATTTATTTATTTATTTTTTGAGATGGAATCTCACTCTGTCATCTAGGCTGGAGTACAGTGGCATGATCTCGGCTCACTGCAACCTCTGCCTCCCAGGTTCAAGCGATTCTCCTGCCTCAGCCTCCTGAGTAGCTGGGACTACAGGTACACACCACCAAGCCTGGCTAATTTTTGTATTTTTAGTAGAGATGGGGTTTCACCAGCTTGGCCAGGATGGTCTCAAACTCCTGACCTCGTGATCCATCTGCCTTGGCCTCCCAAAGTGCTGGGATTACAGCCATGAGCCACTGTACCCGACCTTACCAACTTACTTATATTTAGCATAAAAGCTGGAGAAAGCGATAGGGACAGGAGGCAGAGAAATTCTGGGCAGAAGAGGGCAGTCCCCAGCAAGGGCCTCACTCTGAAGCCTGGACCCATGGCCCAAAGTGAGAACATACATTCTTGTTTTCCTGCTCAAATGTTGCCTTTTCCAAAACCACCCATGGCCCTCCTGCCACCCATCATGTGCCCATAAAAACCCCAGTCTCCAACAGCAGAGAAAGGAGAAGAGGAGAAGCAGCTAGACATTGGAGAGAAGCAGCTTGACTTCAAAGGGATGGCTTGACAGTGTTACCTCAGGGAGGAGTCTGGCCAGGGATGGCCAGACTCTGGGGGAAGATTATCCCGCTCCATCCCCTTTTCAGCTCCCCTCCATTGAAAGCCATGTTCATCAGCAATAAAATCCTCCACATTCACCACCCTTCAATTCATTCATGTGACCTGATTATTCCTGGACACCAAACAAGAGCTCGGGTGCCATGGGTGAGGATGCTAAAGGCTGTCACACTGACCCTGTGCTCTCGGTAGAGAGCAACTGTCTCATGCAAAAAGGCAGAGGGCCCACTGAACTGTTGACACTTAAGCCGTCCGTGGATGGCAAAAGCTAAAAGAGCGCTGACTAAAACACATGCCCTCTGGGCCTTCAGGGGTAATGGGCACCCACTAGACACTGCCTCAGGACTCTGCACGGAGTTCACTCCAGCTGATGCCCAGAAGCACTCACCCTGGCTCCTGTACCTGCTCACCTGTGGACTCCCTTCTGCAAGGGGTGAAGTGCAACGGGTCCAAGTGAGTGGAGTTTGCCCCTGCCAGTGACAAAGCGGCCAGCTAGATCCAGCACCCGTGCACTGCAGTTCCCACCTGCAACGGTGTCAGGGAAATTTCCTGCTTCAAAAGCACAGGCAGCTTTCTTGGAAATGAGATAATGTGATCTCATTTTAAAGTTGAGGACATCAAGGCTCAGAGGTGATTAGAGGCATTAGAAGGGACTTCTGAAGACAGCTAATCTAACCCTTGAAAATAGGAGAAGTTAAAGTTATGGCCCAGGTTCCACACCTCACAATTGGTGGAACCAGGCTTGAGCCTGCTTGCCTAATACCAGTGTCCTTCCCAAGCTTCCCAAGCATCTGCTTGAAATTACCTGTGTCTGTGGTGGGAAGGAAGCGCAAGAATGGTGTCCTGTGTCCATTGCTGGGGCTTTGGGGGTCCAGGTACTTAGTTTACTTTTGAGAATTCCTTGTTGGCTCTGCTGAAGTCCTTCCTGCTACACCGTTCAGGGAAATTGTTGATCTTGTCAACCTGAAATAATCAAAAGGATCAGAATCCAGTTTTAAAGAGTTTATTCAAGCAAAAAGCTGGGAATAGCCATCCAAGAATCATGGACTCTAGAGAAATGGGGTCAGTGCTTCGAAGTTAAAAGTTAAGTACTTGCTTCTATACAGCAAACAAAGAAGTTTAGTAGGATTATAATATTTTCTATACAAGCCTGGTTTATGAGTGACAATTTAGTTCGTTTGTTTTCTTTTCCATACAGCTTGTTTTCGTTTCCTTTCCAATTTAAAAGCAAGTATTTAACATTCCATCCTAGTTAGTGTGATAACCATGAAGCCTTTGTGTGAAAGAGGAAAGAGGGAGGCTAGTCTATAATGAAGATCCATACTTAGAGAGAAAGGGTCTTCCCTGGCACCCTTTAGTAATTTATAACACTTTACCAAACAATGTAGGTAAGGAAAAGGCTAATCTATAATCAGAGAAACAAAGGTTACAGCTGCCTATTTATGTGACTCAGGTTCCATAATCACATTCCCTTAAGGCTCAAAATAAAGTTTCAACGGCTGAGATTTTCAATTATTTATTTTCACAATCTTTACCTTTCTTAGTTCTGGGAGTGGCCTTACCAGGTGGGCCTGGCCTGCGTACTCCCAGAAGGGCAGTTATTCCTAGCAGCCTTTGGCTTTGGGAACCTCTCCATAATTCTTAATCCAGCCCAAGGTTCTGACTCTGTTAATGGGTAAAGAAAGGTTATGCCCTATGAGACTCTGACCTCTTCTTGGGACCTGGAAAATCTTCTGGTGATTTTCCTCATCCCGAATCTGCTGTTTCTAAACTGCTTGAGACCAAGATAAAGCACACCAATTTACAAGGCATAACTCCTAGGTGAGGTCATTCACTAGCCATTTCTTGTATTTGAGGGTCTCAGTGTGACATCCCAACTTCATTTCCAGCACTAGATTGGTATTTCTATTCTTCTTTTTAGAAAGGAAAGGAGAGGGGAGGGGAAAAGGAAAGGGAGAGACACGGAGGGAGGGAGGAAGGAAGGAAGGAATATTGGAGTACAATTTGTGGCACTCAATTTCAAGAACAAGCTTGATAGAAAGTTGTAATTGCCAAATACAGTAACCTACTTGGGGTACATGTCACCTTTTATTGCTTTCAAGCTACTGTACCTGGCAACTCTTATTTCTCCCTTTAAAAAAATCCTGTATCTGGCTAAAGGCTGAAAAATAGCAAGTACATATCTTTCTAATGACCCTACATTAATTTAGCATAGAGATAATTAGAGGCACAGTTAATCATTAGTAATATAAGCCCTGAGATTGGGGCACATGGGTTTCTCTTGCTATTCAACAGAGTCCTTGTGTGGCTAGTGTTTGAGTACAGACACATCTTTATTTTTTACATACTGAGCTTTCTTTGACATACAAGCCAAAAATTTACTTGAAGCAACCTGAATAGTATGAGAGAGAATATTTGTTTTTTAAAGTCCTGGGAATTACAGCGTATCCTTAGGGCATAATATAGGTATGTTCATATAGAACAGCTGAACACAGGCAGTTTATAAAGCAGGAAGTGAGCACATCGTACTTTTTAAATTTATTTAAAATACTTTGAATTCTTGGTGTTCTTATCCATTCAAGAGTCTCTAACACTAGGGTTGTAAAATAGAAACCAAATAGCATTGATAATAGAGTTTTGTTTCATCTTTGTCTTAGCTACAATTTGGGAAATGTTTATATGTTTGTTCCAAAAATGATTTAAAATTGTGTATTCACAATGCAGTAGTGTGTAAACACTACTGAATCACCAGAAATGCATCCAGTAGTGCATGCACAAAATAGAGATCAAGGCAAAGGTAGAATAGGGAAATAAAATTAAGCTAAGGATAAGGTTAGTATACAAAATGCATCTTGTGAGGTTCATCTATTTGGTCTACTAGTGGGCATGGGAAGGATGCCTGAATTTAAATGAAAATTCTAGTACTGATTATAATTCACATATTCTTTCATTGCCCTAGAGTTTTTAATTGTGCCCAAATAAGTCTTGGTATTCACAAACTAATTACTTGAGTTTTTAGGTTCACATACCAGTGATATCCTCCTTGAATCTTTCTGCCACTTAGTCATTTTACTTCCAAATATCATGACATCCAACAGAGGCCGATGAAGGAAAAAAGATGCAAAAGTCATCCCATTTATTTTTCTGCCTTAAAATAAGAGTGTGTATATTGGGAGAAGGAAAGGGTAAAGCAGTTAGATGTTATTAGAAATACTTGGAAGAGAATAGAAATAAAAATTTGTGATTTTTAGTTATTAAAGTCATCATTAAATTGTGTTATCCATACAACTGAAGGATTTCAATATGGGCATCTTGTTAAGGAAAAGCTTTCAGAGAATGGTAACATTTCTTAATAGTGAACATGTCCCTACACTCACATAATTATAAGACTTCATGTACAAGGTACTCAAAATCAGAAACTTTGTAAAAAGCCTTTTAATCAGATAAACCTGAATATATCATTATCTAGAAATAACTGAAAAGAGTGCAAAACATTAGAGAACAGTCATTTGATAATATGGTAAATAAATCAATAGGCTATTATATTCCTATTAAAATTATAAAAGTTGCATAAACAGGAAAGATTATACAAATATACCATAAAAAGTACTTATAATAAAAATATGAGAAAAATACAAACTGATATGTAAACTATAAAATATGTAAAATAGCCAAGCATGGTGGTTCACACCTGTAATCCCAGCACTTTCGGAAGTCGAGGTGGGCAGATCACTTGAGGCCAGGAGTTCGAGACCAGCCTGGGCAACCGAATGAAACCCTCTCAAGAAAAAAATACAAAAATTAGCTGGACATGGTGGTGCGCATATAGTCCTAGCTACTCGGGAGGCTGAGGTGGGAGGATCGACTGAGCCTGGAAGGTTGAGGCTGCAGTGAGCCGAGATGGTACCACTGTACTCTAGGCTGGGTGACAGAGTGAGACCCTGTCTCAATAAAAATAATAAAATATGTAAAATATCTCTGCAGGTAGAAAAAGGTGGTGTGTGAATGCAAAAGAGTTATACTGGATTGACTAAGATGATTTTTTTTCTCACAGTATTCTTTGATATTTTGTCATAATAAGTGTAATTGATAGCGAAGAAATGACAACAAAGCTTTCATGTATAGAATACTTTTTACAGATTTACTGAATAATGTGTACTTTCTGTTCACTGTCTTTTAAAATATAATTTCAGTCTAGATTTTACAGACTCATGGGAAATGATCTAAACTATTTTTCTTGCCATTAAAATGTGCATTTGGGAGTATTTTTCCATAGACATAGATACAGGAGAACTCAATAATGTTCCTCTTCCTTCTTTCCAACTCTTGTTTTCCTTAGGCATTACCACAGGAGTCTTGGTTCGAGAACACAGCAACCTCTCAACTCTAGAGAAATTCTACTTTGCTTTTCCTGGAGAAATTCTAATGCGGATGCTGAAACTCATCATTTTGCCATTAATTATATCCAGCATGATTACAGGTACCTTGAGAAAACAGATGTTCTCTATATTAGTCCATTTTCATACTGCTGTAAAGAACTTCCTGAGACTAGGTAATTTATAAAGGAAAGAGGTTTAATTGACTCACAGTTCATCCTGGCTCAGAAGGTCTCAGGAAACTCACAATCATGGCGGAAGGCAAAGGGGAAGCAAGACAACCTCCTTCACAAGGTGGCAGGAAGGAGAAAGGCTGGGCGAAGCAGGAAGAGCCCGTTATAAAACCATAAGATCTCGTGAGAACTCACTCACTATCACGAGAACAGCATGGGAGAAACTGCCACTATGATTCAATTACCTCCACCTGGTCTCTCCCTTGACACCTGGGGATTATGGGGATTACAATTCAAGATGAGATTTGGGTGGGAACACAAAGCCTAACCATGTCATTCTCTATGATTATTTAAAAAGCTTTCACCTAAGTTGTTCTTTTCTAATTACGGGAAAAATTGAAATACATTAGATGTCTCTCTCTCTCTCTCTCTCTCTCTCTCTCCACCTCTCTCCACTTGGAATGTCTATATTTGCTTCTGTGGAAACATTTTACTGTTCTCAACATGGCATTGCTTTGTCATATGCTGTGCCTACAGCTCTGTCCACCACTGCTCAAATCTTCATTTGACCAGCATGTGATGTCTTGGGAGGAAAATGTCATTTTCAAACATATAAACAAAACGTTATCTGGGGCATGGGAAAAAAAAGCATATTTGGTCACTGAAATGTCAGCTAGTGTCCTCAGGAAAAATATAGTTGTCAATTTTGATCATGTTTTCAGCCATTCACTCATTTATTTCCCAACTGCAGCTGTGCTGCCCCCAGCCTCTCAGCAGCTGCCTTCAGGGTCTCTGCACTCCTTACCCACTTTCTACTCAAAGCCAGAACTTGCTATGTGTCTGCCCTGCATATTTGCTGTGGGGACCAGCAGTCAAGTTCTGTGAGAAGGGTTTAAATATGGAAGTGCACCATATTCGAAAAGCCTAGTATTTTTAAAACTTGTGACACAGTTGCATTTGGAAATGACTTTTCCCTTATTGATCATTACATTGCAGGGCTCCTTTGAAGAGGAAGCTTCCTTAGGTAGATAGAGATGAATTTGGTTTACAAAAATGTCATTTGTCTGGCTGTGATAAGTTTCTCTGCATTGCAGTTTCTTGTACTTAACTCTGGCAATTAGTAAAATGTGGCATGACAGTAGCTGGTGGTGTTAGATTGAAAATCAAGGTTTTATGTAAACATGCAATTAGAAGTCGTGACATGTCCCCTTCTAGAACATTTTTCTCCACTGCCACTGTAAAGGTCTGGGACTGGCCCTGGTAGAGTACTGGACGTTGGTGGGGGCACGGGAGGGTGGGGGTCAGGATCTGCTGCATTCAGGGACTGCATTGCTTGAAGAGCTGTCACATTTGGCCTTTGAATTTCCCAAATGCCAAACTCGAATTAGACTAGAGTCCCTTGGGAGCTTTGTCCTTAAATGGTCTTGATGTTCTCGGCTTATGAGAAACCTAAAGAGAACATTTAATTATTTTTATGAATGTATTTAATTACGTTTGGAAATGCCTGGTTCCTTTTAACCCTAGCAACCTGATTGACACAGCCGCAGACCAATTATTTGTCCCATGTAATATTTGTTTATTTGTTTAAATTGTCATAAGCATTTAAAATTGGAAAGATTTCATGTAAATATCCAAATTGCTGGCTTTCTCTGAAAAAAAAAAATGAAGATCTGGGAACACTGGCCCAGTATTTCCACCTATCAACGGTGGTCTGAAACCAAGAGACAACTACTCCATTTAGCTGGAGCAAATGCATTTGAGAATGCCATAGTCTCCACTACTCCCGATTGCCCAGTACTTTGTCCACTTCACTCTTACGTTACCTGCCTGGCCGCCGTAAGGATGGCAGTTATAATCCCTTAGAATCTTCTCCATATCAAAGATTCTTTAAAAAAATGTTTTTAAACATGGGGTCTTGATATGTTGCCCAGGCTGGTCTTGAATTTCTAGGCTCAAGCAATCCACCCACCTCAACCTCCCAAAGTGCTGGGATTATGGGCATGAGCCACTGCATCCAGCCCAAGATTCCTAATTTTTTCTTGGGCTCCTTTGAGAATACAATGCAAACTTTGGACTTCCTTTCGAGAAAAATCTTCACAATTGTACATATATACTATATTTTGCACGCAATTGCACAAGGTGCATAAACCACCTGATGAGCAATACTATTGAACTCATGTGTCTATGAGGGGAAGTATAGAAGATTGATCCAAATTATGCAGCAAACCCAAAACTCGAGGTAAAACAGGTTTTAGAAGAAAAGGTAAAAATACATGTATGAATGTCTAATTCTGTAATATCAGATGTTTGAAAATACATGCCACTCTTGACAGTCAATAACAAGTGAGTTTTGTTTTGGTTTGGTTTTTTTTCTGGGAAGTATAGCCTTTGGCCAGAAGCCAGAAACAGATACTTCCTCTAGTGAGATTTTTGCAGTCTGGATGTTTTGTGTGTTAGCTCAGCCTTGCAAATAATCTAGGAAAATAATTTACAACTCAGCATTCCACTGACATAGCCCAGCTACTTTTGAAGCTATAGCATGGATCAAGTAGTTTCTCCACTTTTCCTCCACCAAACCCCCAGCAGCCAGTCAAGAACTAGAGGCAGCGAGCAAAACCACCACCCCATCTTTTGATTTGGAGCAATGAAATAGTCAAAGATTCAAGGGATATGAACAAAGCAGGGTGGGGACAATGATGGCATATCCATGTTTTAAATTGTCAGATTAGAGGGAAAAGCAACAAGACTAGTGTTGGCACAGTTATAGGAAAATAAGTTCATTCATACACTTTCAGTTACCTAATAAATTGGAACAAACTTTCTGGAGAACAGTTTGGAGCATGTTCTGATCTCTTCACCCAGTAATTCTGTTTCTCAGAATTGATCATAAAGAAATAATCAGAGATATGTTCAAACTCCTAAGTACAAGGATATTCATGGTAGCATTTTTTTGTAATGGTGATAAATTATAAGCAACCTAAATGTATACAAATTTATATTGTATACATATGTATACAAATTTATCTTTTATACTATGTATACATAGTATACAAATTTTCATACTAAGCAACTATTAAAAACTTGTCTTAGAATCATATTTAATTACATGTGGGAACATTCCCAATACAGTATAAAGTGGGAAAATAAAATTACACAACAGGATAGTGTATACAATCCAAATTTTATTAAAATGTATATACATTTTTAAAAGTTGTGATCAAAACCAAAAGGTTAACATCCAGAAAGTAAGAAAACATGATCTGTTCTGCTTTCTTTACATTTTCAACTGAACCTGTGTTTTTGTTTGGTTTGTATTTTTAATGAAAGAGATGGGGATGGAGTCTGGCCTGAGATCCTCCAATTTTGCCTCTGGTCGCTTCTCTGCCTCATCTCTGCTCCCTTCCCCTGCCGGCTCAGTGCCACCTTTACCTGGTACACAGCTCCTTCCTCCAGACCCTGAAGTAGTCTTCAGCCTCCCTACCCAGAAGATGGCCGTGGAAAACACACAGGAAGGGCCATTTCACATTGCAAATGCCCTCATGAATCCAGCAGGCTGGTAGCTTAACGTATACAGTTATTAGGCCGAAGGAGGATGCAGGTGGGAAGCTGAGGAGGGTTGAATGAGTCCCCTAAGGATACGTAAATTAGAAGCAGAAACACAGCTAGAATTCAGACCCAAGATTAATAATCTGTGCTCCTGCATAAAGGAAACTCTCTTGCCAAATTAACAGGTAGAAAAAAAAATTCTGCCATCAAAGCCTCTGGTGAGATTAAAAAAATACTTTATAGCTTTTTTAAAAAACAGGAAGAACCCCTTTTTATGTGATGATAAGGTTAAGAAGCCAAATTTACCAGGGAAATTTGAACATAGACTGGCTGTTAGATGGTATCAATAATTTGTTAATGATTTTGTTAGAGATGATGATGGCATATAGTTGTATAAGAAAATGTCCTTACTTTTTAAATGCATATGGAGTTATGAAATGACATAATGTCTCAAATTTACTTTAAAACAGAAAAAAAAAATGGCACAGTTGATATAAACTCAAGACATTTTCAGAGACAATCATTGTGGGTACCAATAGAATCCTACCGATAAATTACATTGTGAAGAACATGCTCCCGCCCTGCTGAGGAATATCTGTGTTTGGGATCTGCTAACATTTAGGCTTGTAAGCCGTATTTATGTCAAAGCACCAGAGAAATAACAGGAAATAGCTTATGAATATGCCTGAGAATTGTGGCTCTGGAAAAATCCTGGTCCAGCCAGTGAGTTTAAATTCAGGTCACATTTTCTTTACTACTTCCCAAAATTAAACTATGATGATTGGAGCCTCCTATGACCAACACAGGGACAGAACAGCACCTCCAGTCCCGCTCCCAGAGGTCCCCTGAGCATCCTTCCCGGATGCTCATAACTTTGCTCAGGAAGAGGTTGCAGCTCTTCCACTTTAGCCTCTGCCACCCCCGCCTGGGCCAGAAGCACTCCAGTGGGCACAGCTGCGCCTCCTGGTGTCTGCTGTGGCTGCCACTACCCCGGTGACCTAAGGAGTTCCGCTCTTTGCTCCTCCATCCTAAGACAGGAGCAGAAGCTTAATTCTCCAAAGTGCAGCTGAGACCACACTTCTACTCAGGACATAATCTTTGCTAAAGGTAACCAAAAGCAGATGAAACACCAATGGTGACATCCAACTGCTCCCTGAAGGGGCTCCCAGGGCCTCTTAACAGGGATGCCCCTCTGCTTAGCTGCTTGCCTCCAGGAGGCTAGAGTTCATCTCTAAAGGTGTTCCAAGCTTTCCTGCACCCCAGATCCCAGAACCTGACACCAAGTTCTAAGAAGGAAAAATTCCGCTATCACACAGGCCATCCTGTCCTGACCTGGAGTGACCTCTTCCTGGGATGCTTGCCATTGTGGAATATCCACTTCAGAGAAAACCCCCCTCACGGCCACAGGGGGATAGCCTTTCCTCGTGGACCCCATCAGGAGCCTTCCATAGACTCCATACCATAGTACCTGCTGGGTTATTGCAACCACCCTGCTTGTAGAACCTGGGAGTCTGTCCAGGTCAGGCTGGGCCAAGTCCATGCCAGTTCCTGTGCACATTTCTTCCTCCAGAGCAAGGAGTTGCTCATTCCTAACCCTTCCTGTGATGTCGCAGCTCTGGATTTCCTAAAAACGCCTGCTCAAACAAGGGCACACACAGCTCCTCAAGAAACAGCACCAGTTTGCAGCTCAGTGGATGTCAAGCCAAGCAGATATCAAGCCAAGAAAACTCCCTCCTTTCCCTCCTCTCTCCCCCAGGCCACTGAGTGTGAGTCCTAGTACTGATTCTGCTTCCTGGACAAGTCACATTATTAAACACTAGACGTCAGGAGAAAATATTTGCGTTTTGTTTATCAATGACTTTCAGTTTCCACCAGACACTGGTTGGGTGACTGGATTTACAATTGAGGATCTTCTCCAAAGATAAATTTAACACTCTACCCTTGGAAGATTTAAAAAACAAAAAATGCTCCAGACTTTTAGATGATTGTTACTCCAGCTTTCATGTTAGGATTTCAAAATTTTTAGGGCTTGACCTCAACCATAGGATCAGAGGTTTTCTACTACTTTTTGTTGGGAAAGGGTGGGAAGACAGGGTCTCATTCTATGGCCCAAGCTGGAATGCAGTGGTACCAGTATAGCTCACTGTAGTCTTGAACTCCTGGACTCAAGCCATCCTTCCACCTAAGCCTTCCTAGTGGCTGGGACTACGGGTGGCCCACACCACCATGCCTGGCTAATTCTTACTTTTGTCGCGATAGGGTCTTGATATATTGCCAGGGCTGGTCTCAAACTCCTGGCCTCAAGTGAGCCTCCCACCTTGGCTTCCCAAACTGCTGTGATTACAGGAATGAGCCACCACACCTGCCCTACTTTTTAACCAAGTAAAAAAGTTTAAAGCCTTATAAAACCTTAGGTATATTCAGTATTTATTAAACAACAGCCAGATGTAGAATGCATATGTGAGTTGGTTGCCTTTCAAGCAAGGATTTTTCTATGAAGGGCCCAATAGTAAATATTCTAGGTTTTACAGGTCCTGTGTATTTTGCCCAACTACCCAACTCTGTTTGTCATGGGAAAGCAGCCACAGACCGTATGTAAATGATTGAGGGTGACTGTGTGCCAATGAAACATTCATTTACAAAAACAGGAGGCCAGCCAGGAGCTGACCCCTGCCCAGCTAGACTCTGACACTCCAGATGCAATCTAGTTGAGGTTGAATCCAGGTAACAAAATAAACTACCACATCAGGCAAGGAGTATGAATGCACTGAAGAGACTGAAGAATAGAGGGTGAGCAGAATAAAGTGCAGTTGGTGATAGTTTTAGAGCACCTTATTTGTAAACTCAGGCTTTACAGCAGATGACACACTTAAATCTTTGGGGCTGAGGAAGGCTTTTTTTTAAAGGCTATGTATTCATTTACTCAGAGGCAGCTGTGTATCTGGAAACAATCCCACATCCTCCTATGAAAAGAACCATGCCACGTGCCTCCCCGAGACAAGGTTCAGTTTTATTCAGCTAACATTTGTTAACTCCAGCTGCATGAAAACAGACTAACAGAAAACCAGGTATAAGAGGGTGAGGCCCTACCACTCACATGGTCATGGAGCTGAGGTCATCTGATAGTCAGGTCCAGGAGTCCCTCGTTAGCAAGAATTGCAAGACTTGAAGACGCATATCACTTTGTTGTACAACTTGCTATTAAATGTAAGCTACTGTTCATAAACATAGGTGGCTAAGAGCATTTAATGTCAATTTTAGCTACGAGGGAGGAGTATGCATTCTTTTCTTGAAACATTGGTGGTCCATTATACAGTTTAGTTTCTATGAAAATTGCCATTCAAGGTGGTTTATAAACTTAAAACTCCAGGCAGGAAGACAAGTTTGTTGCCTAAGACTGTACAGTCTGAGAGTGAACTTCTTGCCTCATTTGCAACATCTGGAACCAGTGGGCTCTTCATGCACTTTAAGTGCTCCTTTCCCTAAGATTATCAAGAAATTTGTGTTGAGTTAGAATACAGCTGTTGAAGCCAAAGGACTTATTGTATCAATTTGATTTCTGAAATGCCTGGCCTCCAAAGACAAAACGACCACATAGTGTATAAGGAAGAGCTCCCATAATGAACATGCCATTTGCAAGTAATAAAATGAATAGTGGCAAGAGATAAATATGCCCTGCTTTAGTCTTTCCTGAGACAGTGAAGCCCAGAGAATCAACCATGCATGAGCCTTCTTTCTGACTAAACAGGTATTAGACTTGTTCATAGCTCTGTTCAGCTGTAAGATAACCTGATTTGATTACTTAAAAAGGGATTCTAAGGACCTTCTATATATTGGAGGCATGGACCTGGAAGACCATTCGTTCATTTATTTATTTATTCATTCTATCTTTAATGAGCCAGGCTCTGCTAGACACACAAGGTGTAAAATTAAGTCTTATCTCAGCAAGAAAGAGTACATTACAATGCTGTGTGATAAGCACTTTCTGGGAATGAGGTCAGTGCAGGGGACATTGGAAGGAGCCATTTTGAAGGAAGCATAGAAATCAAGTGAAAGGAAGAGGGTGGGTATTCCAGGCAAGAGAAAATAGCATCTTTGTCCTCCCAAAATAGCATCTTGGGAGGACAGTGAGACTTGAAGTGCGATGCTGGAAACGTGGGCAAGAGGAATGGGATGGAAAGGGGGAGCACAAGGGTTTACTGGCCTCGTGTGCCTTGCCAAGGGGACTGGACTTGAGCCTGCAGGCGAGGGAAGCAATTCTAGCAGTGACTCCCACCTGTGCCATTCTCTACAGAGGGACACCTGAATAAGTATCCATCCTAGAGGGGCAAGAGAGTCCAGTGGTTAAGAGTACAGACAGGAGCCACACTGCCTGGGTTTGAATCCTGGTTCTGCCATGGATTAGCTGTGAAACCTTGGATTTTACTTAACTTGTCCTCAGCTTTAAAATATGGATAATAATAATGTTTCATAGAACATCTAGAATGCCATACAATTTTTTTACTTACTCTTTTTTGTCTGAGACCTTCAGAAGTTCCTATAAAGTACCTGAACTGGCAGCAGAATCTACAGGGCCAATATCAGAATTGAGCTACGCAGATATGAACACACTGAATGCATTCATTCTGGAAATGAGAACAATATAAAAAGACTTGCTCTGCCATCAGTTTGTAAAGTTCACCAGCATGTAAGAAGCTTTTGCCTAGAAGTCCGAGATACCAATTTTATGGATAAAGAGAAGCAAAGAGACAGCTCAGTCATATTTAGGTTGTGGCAAAAACCCAGAAAAGTCTCACTGAGCCATTAGCTAGCTGCTGCTGTCAGAGCATTCATATGGACTTTGGAAAAGAACAGTTGAGTTCCTCAGATTCTTTGGGGTATATTTAATGCTTTTACTGGACAATAAGTTCAGGGAGTCAAAAAGTTCATGGAGTCTTCTGAAAAACTGGTCCTAACTACAAATACCACCGTGTTCCATAGTAATGAAAAAAATGTTAAAACAGCTCCTGGACTGCTGAAACCAGGACACAGCCCACCGCTTCTTTTTTTTTTTTTTTTTTTTTGACAGAGTCTCACTGTGTTGCCCAGGCTGGAGTGCAGTGGTGCGATCTCAGCTCACTTGCAACCTCCACCTCCTGGGTTCAAGCGATTCTCCTGCCTCAGCCTCCCAAGTAGCTGGGACTATAGGTGTGTGCCACCACCACCGGCTAATTTTTGTATTTTTAGTAGAGATGAGGTTACACCATGTTGGCCAGGCTGGTCTTGAACTCCTGACCTCAAGTGATCCACTTGCCTCAGCCTCCCAAAGTGCTGGGATTACAGGCATGAACCACTGCACCTGGAGAGCCCACTGCTTCTTGATGCATGTTTTGAACTTCAAATGTGGACCAGCTGACAGAGGCTTCAAGGGGACCTTTAGCTGATTCTGCTCAAGGACCAGTTTATTTTGTTAACATCACCAAATAGCCTAGAGTGGTGATATTACCTATTTTAAGAGAGTTCTTCATGTCTCTAAGAAAAGTAGATGTCATAGGTGATGCATGCACAGAAAGATTTTGCATGCTCCTCTTTGCCTCTTCCTTTCCCTTTGAACATCCAGGGAGTACTAATCAAGGCTGCAGAGATTTCCCTATGCCCTGGATTAACAAAGTAAGATCATATCCTGCCTTGTTTTCTCTGGGGAATAAAAGAAACATTTTGGAATTTAAAAATCATGAACCTGTTTATTTAATCCTCATAGCAGCCCTATGAAGTCATCAAGTAGGTGGGACCTTAACTCCATCTTTAGAGATAAGGAAACAGGAGGTTGAAGACAGATTAAGCCACTTTTTCAAGATCACACAGATCATAAGGGCAGCAGCTGGAACTGGCAAGTTTTGTTCTGGCAACACTCTGCTGCCAAGGGGCCAGAGCCTGGGAGAGGGATCCAGGGCAGTCAGCCATACTTAAATACCTGTTAGTCATTCAATCAGCATGTTTACTGAGCATCTCCTATGTGCTGGGCACTGAGTATACATTCGTGAACAAGCAGATAGCTAGGTCTCCTGCCTTCATGGAGCTTAAAACCTAGCAAGAAAGAGATATAAAATAATGAACCAATGATAAAAATTGTTGAGATATGATATGCACAGGATGCCAAGCAAGGAAATCAGGACACCCTGGTTTAGGGTGGATAATCAGGGAAGGATTCTGAGGAAAGGACTTAAAAGCCAAATGAAGAGTGAGGAAGAGCACTCCAGGCAGAGGGAAGAGCCTGTGCAAAGGCCTTGGGGTGGGAAGGAGCTTGGTCTGTTCCAGAAGAGGCTGGAGGAGGGGATGAGACAGGAAGATGGCACAAAGAGGGGCTGGAGAGGCAGGCAGGTGCCTCCCCTGCAAGGCCTGTTGGCCAAGGTAAGGATTTTTTCTTTTTATCTTCAGTGCCATTGAAGGGTTATCCTGATGTATAAAATCACCTGATTTATGTTTTTAAAGGATCTCTTTAGTGACCGTGTAATGAAGGAATGAATGAGGGAGGGAATGAATGAATCAGTTAATGCTTGTTGAATACCTTCCATCTGCTCAGTGATGCACATCATCTTTATCATTTATTCAGTAATCATGCAGGCTATTTACTAAGAACACACTGTGTTCTGGGCACTGTACTAGGCCTGTTATAGACATTATTTCTAATCCTCACAACAGCTACGCAAGCTGAGGTTGTTCACTTTGTTCCTCACAATTAACCTAAAGGCGATAGAGGCATTTCAGATCCTCCAATTTATAGATGGAGAAGCTGAGTCTGGGAGGAGGCTGGGATTTGAGCCCAGTCTGTCCCACCAAAGCCCATGCCTTCTCTCTGCACAGGTGGCCTCTCTGCCGGTGACAGAGACAGGAGTCATCCACATGGCGAGTTTTAACTCCTATGCAACAATGAGTTTCTTGGATGTGGTGTCCACTTATAATGGCATAACACCACCAAATGTCAGACCTAAAAGAACTTCCAATAAGGGGTTGAATTTTGATACCTTAACAGCAATGTGGAGAGATTGTCACGAAAGCTTTGTTCTCAGTGGGTGGTTGCTTAATCAGAGAGCTCTAGGAGGAGTCTTTTGCCCTCAGATGTTTATTTTTAAAACATGCTATTGTTTAGCCAGGCAACTGCTTCCTTTGGAGTGTTTTTGTAAAAAGTTCAGATGATTACTGCTTTGGCTGGGAGCCAACACCCTTGCTCATCAGAGCCTTCTCCTGAGGTGAAAAAAGCAAATAAATGCCTTTACCTAAAATAAAGAGCTAGCAGGTGCCCCTGACTTCCAAGGACAACCGGGGATTTTATCCCTGTTTCTAGGCCACAGCCGAGCCTCAAAACTGTCCCAGGTTCTAATGGATAACCCTGGGTTCACAGGGAACTGGAATCGTGCTCTTCTTTTTCTGCCCAATTCAGGTGCCACCTGTTCCATCAAGCCTCTCCTGCTCATCTCAATCTGGTGACAGTTCAGGCTCCTCTGAAAGCCCACAGTAACTGGTCTCCGCACCAGGGCTTCACAAAACATCTAGTTTTTAAACTGGATGGAGCAAATCCAGTTGTTAAAATTTCTGATCTGTTACAGATCAATAACCTTCGTAAACTATAGTTAGAGCAAATTACTAGAAAAGTTATATTAAAAATAGACATACAAAATACTAGCCCTATTTTTTTTTTTTTTTGAGATGGAGTTTCACTCCTGTTGCCCAGGCTGAAGTGCAGTGGCATGATATCGGCTCACTGCAACCTCCACCTCCCAGGTTCAAGAGATTCTCCTGCCTCAGCCTCCTGAGTAGCTGGGATTGCAGGTGCACACCATCACACCCAGCAAATTTGTGTGTGTGTGTGGTTTTGTTTTTGTTTTTTTGTTTTTTTAAGTAGAGATGGGGTTTCACCATGTTGGCCAGGCTGGTCTCAAACTCCTGACCTCAGGTGATCCACCTGCCTGGGCCTCCCAAAGTGCTGGGATTACCGGCGTGAGCCACTACGCCCCGCCCCTATCTTTTATTATTACATTCAACAGAAATAAAGTTACTGTCCAATTACTATAAACATTTTAAATACTCACTGTTGATTTCTGTGCAGATGCCATCACACCTGCTTAGTTCATTCTCATTTATCACCCCCTATAGGACAGCTTTCAACTCCCAGGAGAAACGAGTTCTGATAGTGAACTGTAAAGAGAGGGGGTCCTTCAGACCTCGCCAGCCACCAAAGATGGCCTGAGAGCAAGAAACCCGGGGGTCCATTGAGAATAAAAACTCAGAACTAAAGGGCAAATGAGGTTTTACTTGTTTGGGACTAAGTTGGGCCTGATCTTCGACGTCAACGCCAGTTAAGAGTCTAATGCCTGGATTCTCATTCTCACAGTCAACATTCATTGCGCTAGACCACAAGTTCTCACCAAGACAATATCGTCCCCAAGGCAGCAAAAGCTGTTTTTATTTGGTGGTGGTGAGTTGGGGGAGAAAATCTTACTCTTTTTATGTAAAAAAACACATGTATCATTTACTATATAACCAGATATACAGTTTGCGGTTTTAGAATTTCAGAGGGGTGGTGATTAGGAAAACGGCTTTGGGGGGTGGTTTTGCACAACAACAACAACAATAAAACAAGGTTGAAAAAGACTGAGATGTTACATGTGTTCCCCTGTGGAGTCTTTTATGGCTGAAAAGTGTTCTCGTTGGCTGCCCTGGGAACCAAACTAAACCACCATGTATAAGCGGTTTCTAAGGGGACTACCTGCTGAGGTCCAAGTTTCGGACCCAGAAATGGATCTTTGAAATGGGGTCATTTGTAAGCAGACGATTACTTGCAAAAATGCAGCTCTTTCTGTCATGTGGAAAGCTTCAAGTACAAACATTCGTAGAGCACCTTATTTAAGGCACTGGGGGCCCAGTGAAGAATAAGCTTCAGGCCTTACAGCCATATGATCAGTGCAGTGATGGAACTACGTGCCAGGAGATTTGCGCGTAGCATCTTCCTTTCCCCTGCCCATGCTTGCAAGGCAAAGAGCTTTTCCTGAATTTGATAATGGAGTTAAGCTATAGTTTGTTCATTCGACATTGTCGAGCACCCACTAAATGCTAAACACTGGTAGGGTCTAGAGAGATTGGGCTGTCCAATATGATAGCCATTAGCCACGTGTGGCTACTTAAATTGAGATTAATTAAAACTGGCCAGGTGTGGTGGCTCACACCAATAATCCTAGCAATTTGGGAGGCCGAGGTGGGAGGATCGCTGGAGCTCAGGAGTTCAAGACCAGCCTGGGCAACATAGTGAGACCTCATCTCTACAATTAAAAAAAAAAATTAAAATAGATTAATTAAAATGAAAACTCAGTTTGTCAGTCACACTAGCCACTTTCCAAGTGCTTGCTAGCCATATGCACTTTGTGGCTACTGCAGGGGACAGCACAAAAACAGAACGTTTCTATCATCAGGAAGCTCTACTGGGCAGCGCTAGTCTAGAATTTTGTAGCACATGGATAGAGCCAATATGGAATAGTGGTTAAGAATATGGCCTTTGAGGTAAAATGTAGATTGAGATCCCAGCTCTACCACTCACCTTACCAGCTTTATGATCGTATGGTACTTAGCCTTTCTGAGCTATAGTTTTGTCCTCTGTAAAATGGGGGTAATAATGCCCGCCTCCTTGGGTTGTAATGAGAATTAAAGATGATGCATTAACATGCAGTCAATATAGTGTTTATTGTCATCATTATTATTTGTATTATGATTATCATCCTCATCATTATTGACATTACTCGCAGATGGGGTGTTTACAACCATCCAGACAGATATTTTATGGTCATTAAGTTCTGTAATGTTCCTATTTATAGAGGTTTTCAAAGATTAGGCTGTTTCCCTGTATCTGTTCTCTCCCTCTATGGTGGTCACCACCCTTATCCCCAACAATGCATTATAAATCATCCAACAGCCTGGACTTGGGGGCCAGCTCTGCCCCCATGTTGATGACTAGAGAGGTAGAGGGTAACTATAGAGTGGTAACTATACAGAGGTAGAGGTAACTATACAGTGTAGAGAAGTATAATCGTTGATTTGTGTAAATATCTGATATATCCGGGAAATTGGTAGGATGGAGGTGGATTAGAGGAATGGGAAACAAAGACCCGTGCTGAAAGTTACTACAAGATAGTTGCTGTGCTCCAGGACAGAGGGGAAATTGGATGACTACTTGGGGATGTATTTGTTTAAGATATTTTCACCAAGATCTCATTATTATCAAGCCTTTTATTGCCAGCTGAGTCCTGGAGTACAAGCAGAGGCACCAGCCCATGGCCAAATCATTAAGACAAATTAAGACATATTAACATATGCTGGGAACAATTATCCACATAGATTTAATTTGTTTCACTGCTGGAAGAAAATCCTGAGAGAGTACCAAACACATCCCCGAGAACAGCTCTGTAACTACTCTGTGACTCTCACTTGTCAGCACTTCAGGGGCTGGAATCTGCTTAAACTGGACATCTACCAAAGAAGGACGACATATCTGAAAATAGATCCCATATTAGGGCTACAGATGAGTTACTTGGAGTCTGTTAAGGTGGTGATTCTTTTTGTTTCTTTTTAACCTATGCATCTTAGAAATAATTATTACAGTTATCAAAACAATATACCAAGCTCTAAAATGAAACAGGCACATATTTTATAATCATATAATATACTTAGCAAGCTTACATATTTGTATTATGATTTGCTCTTTCTTTAAGAGACCTAAACTAAATATGAGATAGTGAACTTGTTTCTGAATTTTGGCCTTCAATCTCTCTTGACTTTTTTGTTGTTGCTGTTGTCCCTTGCCTAATTGTTATCTTTCATTGTCTTACTGGGAGGAAAAGAAAGACTCTTCAACACAGCAAACTGCATTTTTCTCAAATCGAATAGAATCTATCATCAAGATTATTCTAGAATGTGACTATTGCAGTATGCCCATTATATGGCAATTGCACAATCTTTTCTCAGTGGTTGATGAATGGCGCCTTAACAACATCCTGGGGTAGCTGCTACAGAGGCCAGAGCACCTTCTCTCAAAATATTAACTTCCAAAGGAGCAATCAACAGCCAGAGAAATGGTGTGTTTAGAGTGAGAAATGACTTGTTCTGTCATCATAATGGTGATCACTTCCTTGCAGATTTTCTTCCTGTACATCAAATATGTATGATTATATATGAGAAGCATAAACCCCCAGTCACTTAAAAAAAATGGATAGGCCTTTTAGTGTGGGAAATGAACATAAAAGTTACCTATGCATGCTGATAGCCATACAGGTTTACTGCCTTTCCCTTGGGGTTGCCTTGTGACAACCTCTTCCTTTTTCCTGCTACCCTGTACCTTAGGCTTTGCAAATGGTTATGGGACAACTCATGCGTGTTGAATATGCAAAATCATTTTCTATAATGCTCCTTTGACTCAAAATATGACCCTCATTTTGGAAATCAGGCTTGGTAGTGTCTGAAACCTCCAATGACAGCTTGCCGAAAGATGATTCAGTTGTTTCTCAACTTGGCCCATTCCCCACGTCCAAGTCCAATTGGAGAACGGCTTTTGACTCCGTTTATATGAGCATCTTTGATAGAGAGCAAAGGTTTCTGGCAAGGCGGGATGCCTGCCTTCCACCTCTAATCCAGCTGTCCTTGACACTCCAGACAGCCCTTTCAAATCTGGGCAACACTTAGTCATCTTACTGGTAGCCAAGGACCATTTGAAGTGAGATCTAACAATATGATCGTAAGTCTCTGACATTACCTGTGCCCTGGGAAATTATTTATTAATATCTTTCCTTTTTCAAATAGAAATTTTAAGATGTCTCACAATAAAAGCTATACACAATAAGGTTGTTTACACAGAAGCAATTTGAAAATCATGAAAAGAGGAAGGAAACACACTAACCAGAATGGATAATGACATTACTGTGAATGTGGCCCCGGGACCATTTAAAGATCCAGCAATAAGTGGATCATTAAATACATTCTGGTACAGCCACATGACAGATTACTGAGCCATTAAAATTATCCTCAGGGTGAGTTTGTAACAATGTGGGAAAATGCTTACAACTATAATATTAAGAAGAAGAGAGAGGGTTAGAAACTATAAAATTCTCCCAGCTGTTTACAAAAAATTGAGAAAAATATTAGAAGAAAATCACCAGAATATTAACTTGGTTGATGAGATGATGTGATTTTTGTTGTCATCTTTACCTTTTCTCCTTTTTCAGATAGTTGTAATGAATATATATTACTTTTATAATTGTATATAAACATTATTTTTTCCAGTTAAGCCTAAGCTTCCTGACAGAAAAGGCAGAAAGGAAAACTATCATGAGTTACATGATTCTCAAGTGTTAAAAAAAAAAAAAATCTCAGGCAGGACATGATGACTCACACCTGTAATCCCAGCACTTTGGGAGGCCAAGGTTGTGGATCACCTGAGGTCAGGAGTTCGAGACAAGCCTGGCCAACATGGTGGAACCTCATCTCTACTAACAATACAAAAATTAGCTGGGTGTGGTGGTGTGCACCTGTAATCCCAGCTACTCGGGAAGCTGAGGAAGGAGAATCGCTTGAACCCAGGAGATGGAGGTTGTAATGAGCCGAGATCACACCATTGCACTCCAGCCTGGGTGACAGAGTAAGACTCTGTCTCAAAACAAACAAACAAACAAACAACAACAACAACAAACGATCTCAGTTCTTTGAGATAAATTTTTCCTAGATAACTGAATTCCAAAGGAGGTTTATCACAAGGGATGTTGAATGATATAATACAAATCTTGGTAAAGTTCTTAGTGCAAATGTGGGACAGGGACTCCTTATGATTATTTCCTGACCAACTCCAGGAAGATCTGAAGGCAGGACACTCCTGGAGGTGAAGGCTGTGGGAAGCTGCCTGCAGGGGAACTTGCACCTGACTGGGCTTCCCTCTCTTAAATCTGTTTGGAATTTTGAAGTGTTGCTTTTGCCCATTGCATGTTATTGCCCATTGTCTGTAGATGAGAACGCCTCTCAGCTCTTTATTTCACAACCTGAGGATTAAATCGCGGGTCCTGGAAACCTGTCTTTTAAAATTAATGTAATTTGATTTCTGTCTCCCCTTCAGGTGTTGCTGCACTGGATTCCAACGTATCCGGAAAAATTGGTCTGCGCGCTGTCGTGTATTATTTCTGTACCACTCTCATTGCTGTTATTCTAGGTAATACTTATTTCTGAATCCTTACTACTTTATGTAATGGTGATTTTTTCATTCGAAAAGTAGTTGGTGGCCAGATGCGGTGGCTCAGGCCTGTAATCTCAGAAATCTGGGAGGCTGATGTGGGCAGATCCCTTGAGGTCAGGGGTTTGAGACCAGCCTGGCCAACATGAAAACCCGTTTCTACCAAAAATACAAAAATATTAGCCGGGTATGGTAACATGCGCCTGTAGTCCCAGCTACTTGGGAGGCTGAGGCAGGAGAATCACTTGAACCTGGCAGACAGACTTCAAAGGAAAAACTTTATGGTACTTTGACAATACTACTTTCTGATTTTAAAAAATTGTATGTTAAGAAAAGCTCAACTACTTTTTAAAATATGTATTTTTTTAATTAAAAAGAGACGTGGGGAGTCTTCTATGTTGCCCAGGCTGGTCTTGAACTCTTGGGCTCAAGGGATCTGCCTGCCTCAGCCTCCCAAAGTGCTGGAATTACCGGCATGAGCCACTGTGCCTGGCCCTAACTACTTTTTTTTTTTTTTTTTTTTTTCAAGAGGGAGTCTCACTCTTGTCACCCAGGCTAGAGTGCAGTGGCATGATCTCGGCTCACTGCAACCTCTGCCTCCTGGGTTCAAATGATTCTCCTGCCTCAGCCTCCCGAGTAGCTGGGATTACAGGTGCACACCACCATGCCCAGCTAATTTTTGTATTTTTTAAATAGAGACAGGGTTTCACCATGTTGGCCAGGCTGGTCTTGAACTCCTGACCTCAGGTGATCTACCTGCCTTGGCCTCCCAAAGTGCTGGGATTACAGGTGTGAGCCACCATGCCCAGCCACTTACATAATTCTTAAAGTGGATGATTGGTCTATAATAGTGGAGTTGAGTATAATTATAAAATATTTCCAGAAATATAGCATTTTAGTGCATTTCACGTAGTAACAAGAGCTAACAGCTAATAGATCCTTGTTAAGGATAAATCCCACTTGTAAGAGGGAGAAAATTCTAATAAGGGAGGAGCTGCTCTTATACCCTTAGCATAGTTTTTTGAAGAATGCTTGGTCTTTGTAACCCTGAGTGACATTTTAAGAAGAATGCCCAATTCCCACCTATGAGTGAGAATATGTGGTGTTTGGTTTTTTGTTCTTGCAATAGTTTACTGAGAATGATGATTTCCAATTTCAACCATGTCCCTACAAAGGACATGAACTCATCATTTTTATGGCTGCATAGTATTCCATGGTGTATATGTGCCACATTTTCTTAATCCAGTCTATCATTGTTGGACATTTGGGTTGGTTCCAAGTCTTTGCTATTGTGAATAATGCCGCAATAAACATACGTGTGCATGTGTCTTTATAGCAGCATGATTTATAGTCCTTTAGATCACATGGACACAGGAAGGGGAACATCACACTCTGGGGACTGTTGTGGGGTGGGGGGAGGGGAGAGGGATAGCATTGGGAGATATACCTAATGCTAGATGATGAGTTAGTGGGTGCAGCGCACCAGCATGGCACATGTATACATATGTAACTAACCTGCACAATGTGCACATATACCCTAAAACTTAAAGTATAATAATAAAAGAAAAAAAAAGAGAGAGAGAGAAAAAAAAAAAAGAAGAATGCCCAGAGGGGGAAGACAGAAGGAGCATATACTCAGATGTGGCAGCAGCTCGGCCCTTGTAGCCCTGCTTCAATGAGCTGATAAGAAGGGGTGGGATGTGGTGAGGCTTTAGTGGTATTAGGCCAAGGGACCCAGGAGGGCTTGAACTGTACCATAAAACAAAACCACATCATCTCATGAGTTTCCTGAGGAAGACAGACACAGAGAAAAAATAGCAATGAGAATCAAGATACTGCTCTCTTATTAGCTGGAGGCGTATAGCCCTTCTACAACCCTGAGAGAGGAAAAGAGTGGGCCATGCCCAGTCATGGCCCCTTATTGCCCAGGAGTTCCTCCCATTAGCAAAATGGACCCATTCAGCATCCCAGAGCCCTACCCCCTGGATTACCATTGCCTCTTCTTGAGGGAGGAGCAATAAAGAGCATGAGGACCTTTTTCTTCTTCACTTCCCTCCAGTCAAACACCCTCCAATGTCTTGGTCTCTTCTACAGCCTCCCATCTTGGCTTGGATACTCAAGTGACAGGAACCCATTACTTCCCAAGGCCACAATGATGCTGTCAGATGCTCTGCCATGTAGACAGTTCTTCCTTACAGAGAGATGAACCTTCTCTCCCTATAAATCCCATCTATTTGTCCTCATTCCACCCCCGGAACAGCATTTTCCTACATGACTGCTTTCTAGATACTTGAAGACCTACGGTATGGAAGGAAGGCAAGGCTTGTTTTGTATGATCCTCAGGAGAATAACCAGCATCTGGGTAAAAGTTGCAGAAAGACATCAGATGCATTCTCTGGGCTAGAAAATGGATCATCCTTACCCTAACACCTTCCTAGGCTGGTCTCATAAGTTCAAGAAAAAGAATATTCTCATCAGCAGGTGTTTCCAGAAGCAATTCTGGGATGCAGCCCCTTCATTTAAAACACACATACACACACACACAGACGCACACGCACGCACGCAAGCACATGGAGTTCTTTCTGCTTACTCATTTAAATGGAAGAGTAATTAAGGTGGCTGCTGAGGTTCCAGAGGAGGCTCAGCATTTTGGCTGGACCTCAGGGTCCTCCCCATCACACTATTGCCTGGTACAACCATGCCCATTGTTCTAAAGGTGCCAGCTGTGCCAGGTGCCCTGGAAGGTTCCTAATGCTCTGTGGACGCTGTTCTTGGCCACAGGTATTGTGCTGGTGGTGAGCATCAAGCCTGGTGTCACCCAGAAAGTGGGTGAAATTGCGAGGACAGGCAGCACCCCTGAAGTCAGTACGGTGGATGCCATGTTAGATCTCATCAGGTGAGTGTTTTGCCACAAGGTGGCTTCAAGGGCATGCGGATAGCAGCACAAGGCCTTGTATGTGGTTTAATATTCTGCTGTTACTGTATTGAAATTTTTAATAACTTTTGAATTATTGTGCACTTTCATTTTGCCCAGGAACCCACAAATTACATAGCCAGTACTGTTTGCCAAGTCTTGGTTCCAAGAGGGAAGGGAAGAAACAGGCTTCCGCATCAGGATTTAGGATGAACAGAGATGCAGCTACATGTTCCAGAGAGATGCTGGGATGGATTGGTAGTCAGTTCTGAAGCGCACTTAGAAAAATACATCTTTTAATTGTACAGGAGAAACTCTCTTATCTAAAGCAACCAGAGGGGTAAATAGGTCAGTCAATAAAAAATACCAGTTAAAGCAGAGACTCATAAAAAAAGACATAAGATACACATTACAATTTTGTTTTCACTTAAAACTTAGTGCATTTATTCACCAATTGTTTGACATAAAGCTAAGGTCTTTTCTTCAAGTTTGTTAGCTCATGGTAATTTCTTACGGGTTCTGTTGCATATACAGCCCTTATAAATATATCATCTGCAATTTCCAGGTAAAGTTTCTATAGAACAGAGCACCAAAACTTTTAGACATTGCAAAGAAAGCTAAGTGCAAATCTTTCCAGTTTTTCTTTTTAATTTCAATAATCTTCCCATACCTAATCTAACCATAAAAATTTTAGTCACTGGCCTTTATTGAGTTTCCAGGTATGTGGCTTAGATTTTATAGAAACCATACCTTCTTTTTATGCTCATATTTCACTGGTTTACATAATATGAAATGCAGTAATTATGATGATATTTGCAACTGGTATAAAGAATTTGGGAACAAATAAAATGAACCCTTGGTAAGTGTATTAGTCCATTTTCACACTGCTATAAAGAACTACCTGGGACTGGGTAATTTATAACGGGAAGAGGCTTAATTAAGTCACAGTTCCTCACGGCTGGGGAGGCCTCAAGAAACTTACAATCATGGCAGAAGGCAAAGGGGAAGCAAGGCACATCTTACATGGCTGCAGGAGAGAGAGCAAGGGCGAAGGGAGAAGTGCCACACACTTTCTAACAACCAGATCTTGTGAGAACTCACTCATGATCATGAGAATAGCATGGGAGAAACCACCCCCCATGATCCAATCACCTCCCACAAGGCCCCTCCCCTGACATGTGGGGATTACAATTTGACATGAGATTTGGGTGGGGACACAGAGCCAAACCATATCAGTAAGCATACAACCTCATTGATGAAAACAGAAGTGTTCAGAATATTAAAGAATAAATAGTCTCTTGACTGTGAGTGTCCATTTCACCAAGGAGCGTAAGCATGTCAGTTACTCAGTGAATCAATTAAGTGATGGTTGATTACAGAGCTTTCTATACTTGGGTGAAGCTCAGCAGGAAAAAAGAAATCTCAATACAAGGAAGTATTACGCAAAGCAGGGGCCAGAAGAGAAACCAGAGTACTAGTTTTATGTTATACTAATTTCTACCAATATATTAGGTATGACAAAACAATACTTTTTGCCCTAACATAATACTGCCTTTTATGTCTCCAACAGGAATATGTTCCCTGAGAATCTTGTCCAGGCCTGTTTTCAGCAGGTAATATTAATTACTTGTGCCCTTAACTTGCTACCCTCTTCCCATTATCAATTAAAAATGTTTTTTTCTGCTGTGACTCAAGAAATGGAATTAGCCCCGTGAAAATGGCAGCAGGAAGTAAACCTGTGACTGGCCAAGTTTAAGGTGATGTCTCTGTTTTGTATGCAGCCTTTCTGGCTCACAGTAAGGTGCATGTCACAATTTACACTGCTTCCTTTTCCTTTATGCTTTTTCCCCCAAAAAGGCTCAAATGGTACAAATCAGAAATCTGTCAAATAATGAGTATTTTAAAATGTGGCCTCCAGTACCTATTTTTGGAGAACCATAGTATATTTGTACTGAAGTTTAAACTTTCTGCAGAAAAAAGGTAGCTCTCTATCTCCTCTTTGCTTTTCCTCTGGTATTAGAACCCAGGATCTAACCCTCATGGTGTGGTCCACATCTGGGTTCAGTCTTCTCCTTAATCATTGTGTCCCAGAGAGGCGTGGAAGCTCACACCTGTAATCCCAGCACTTTGGGAGGCCAAGGTGGGCAGATCCCTTGAGCTCAGGAGTTCCAGACTAGCCTGGGCAACATGGCAAGACCATGTCTCTAAAAAGAAATAATTTAAAAAAAAATATAAAAAATCGTTGTATCCCCATTGCTGGAGCTCTACAATGCAGTGTAACAAAGCCATGATTTTTTTTTCTGTAGGAAAATTGAACAATCTCTTCACTCCATTTACTTCAAGCCTTTCCCTCCTATTTATCTATGTGCTTTAAGACAGCTGAGTCCATCACAAACTGCTGTATTCATTCACATAAGTTACATGAACACAGACTTCTGTGTATACCAACAAAAATGGCAACTCTGTTGCTCTCTGCCGGCCTCCACGAGGGACAGAACCTCCTCTATTACAGGGGGCCTTTGCAGATCAGTCACAGTGGTTGTTTGTAAGGTTCTCAGTGTTGGCAGAGCCTGGTAGTGGGGGACATTTATGCCTGGTGTAATAATATACTCACTCTTTCTTAAATCCCCATGTGGAAGCTCCACAGAACCAAACAGGGCTGAAAGAAGAGAATTCAACTGCAGTCTCACTCACTGAATAGCCCCAAGGGGACTGTTGATTTTGGAACAACCATATCGTTAAACCTTTCTTGATGCTTATTAAAGTTGTAGTGATGTTATCAAAGTAATGAAGTGTGTTTGCTCAGATTAAAAATCATTTATTAATTAATAAAAACAAAAATGATTGACAGGAATCCTTACAGAGTCTGTCTCTGACAGCACCTGCAGATCAAGCCTGTACTTTCTTTTGTATTATTCTTCTATCAACTTGTCGTTTATTGTGAAAGTGAAGGAACATTTTGACATAATTGAATGGTGATCGTGGGAGTCAGGGGTTTAAATTTCTGCCTCGCTTTTAGTTCCAAAACCTGATGGGAGGTACCGTTGACAACTGGAGCCAACAGAGGCATTGGATGTAGATCCCTTCAGTGGCACTGTTTGGCCAAAATAACATGTTCCTGTGATTTAGTCTCAAAAGCTTAAAAAAAATTCTTTTTTTGTTTGCTTGTCCTTGATTTTCTCCAACATGCAGTACAAAACTAAGCGTGAAGAAGTGAAGCCTCCCAGCGATCCAGAGATGAACATGACAGAAGAGTCCTTCACAGCTGTCATGACAACTGCAATTTCCAAGGTACCATTCTTATTTCCTGTTCCTCTTCCCCAGGAGACAGGCACTGAGTCATGACTGAGCAGGAAATACAATCAATCCTCGTCATTCACAGAATCGCATTTGCAAATTCACCTACTTGCTAAAATTTATGTGTGACCCCAAAATCCATACTTAAGGGGCTTTCATGGTCATCATCTCGCACACAAAGAGCGGCAAAATATTTGAGTCACCCGACAGGCACGTTCCCAGCTAAGGTGAAAAAGGCTGTGCTCTGCTTTCTTGCTTTGATTCTCATGCTGGAAACAAGTGTCCCTTTTGCAGTGTGTTTAGTGTCATATTTTTTGCATTTTTGTGATTTTTCTTGCTGATTTCGCTGTTTGAAATGGACCAAGGTGGGGTTCAGTGACTCATGTCTGTAATCCCAGCATGCTGGGATGCCGAGGCGGGAGGATCGCTTGAGCCCAGGAGTTCCAGACCAGTCTGCGCAACATAGTGACACCTCACCTCTACAAAAAATGAAAAATAGCCGGGTGTGATGGTGCACACCTATTGTCCCAGCTACTCGGGAGGCTGAAGTGGGAGGATTGCTTGTTCCAGGGAATTCAAGGCTGCAGTGAGCCATGATTGAATCATTGCACTTCAGCCTGGGTAGCAGACTGAGACCCTGTCTCAAAAAAAAAAAAAAAGGACCAGGCTGGGCATGGTGGCTCACACTTGTAATCTCAGTACTTTGGGAGGCCAAGACAGGTGGATCGCTTGAAACCAGGAGTTTGAGACCGGCCTGGGAAATATAGTGAGACCCCATATGCACAAAACATTTTAATATTACCCAGGTGTGGTGGCACATGCCTGTAGTCCCAGATACTTGAGAGGCTGAGGCAGGAGGATCGTTTGAGCTATGATTGCACCACTGCACTCAGCCTGGGTGACAGAGCAAGACTCTTGTTTCAAAAAAAAAAAAAAAAACATACACACAAAAAAGCATCATATTGAAGTGGTCTCCAGTGTTCCTAAGCACAAGAAGACTGTGATGTGCCTTAGGGAGAAAATTTGTGCTTTAGATAAGCTTCATTCAGGCATGAGTTATAGTGCTGTTGGCTGTGAGGTCAGTATTAATAAATTAACAATCTATATGAAACAAGGTGTCTTTAAAAGAAACACATACAACAATGTTATATATTGATTGTTTGCTGAAAAGGATGTGTCCAAGGTTCCCAGAAACTTAACCCTGTATTTCCCCCAGGAGCAACGGTTCAGTATTTGCTAATTCAGTGTTCATGAGCACTTTATAGAACATAACTACCAGGAATAGAGAGAGTCGACCACAAAGAGCAAAAAAAGAGCCCTGTTGCCTCTACCTCTCTGGGTCTGCTTACAGTAGAGCTGGCCATCTCTAGAAACTGCTATAGATTTGTCAGGTACATAAGCATGCAATGCAGGCCCACAATTCCTAGTCTGAATCTCTCTGCCCAGATGTAATTCAGAGTTCAGAGTTTCTCAGACTTTAGAAAGGCCATGTGGTGTATATACTGCATATTATGCAACCTTTATAAGTGGGATGGGCAACAACATGCCAGAATCAACCACATCAATGTTTTTATAACAAACTCATAAATATTCTGCCAAGGAGAGAAATGGACCCTTAGTAGCCAGTAGCCTCATCTCAGTTTAGGATGGGATTTGCTGCCAAAAGAGTTTGCTATAAACTTATCAATAAAATCAACATGCTTTGAGAGCTTTTGGGATTTCAGAATTGGAGATCAGAATGTGTGGGCCTGCATTGGTACCTCTGTAAGCCTGTAGCAGATTTCTCCCGAATGTTCTCTCAACTTCACACAGGAAGGAATGATTTAAGGAGAAAAGGAGTGTTCATTAGACTTAAGAATTCAAATTAAATAAACCACCGTTGGCTCCCTGCTTCCTACTGCAGAAAGCCTTAACTCCTCTGGCTGAGTTCAGAGGCCCTGCATGACCTGGCTTCTCTCTAGTTTTCACAGCTTACTTCCAGTGGGCACCTCTCTTCTTTCCAGATTCACCTCCTCCATCACTCCTTATTCCTGCCTTTTGATGTTGTTCCACAAATACTTTCTGAGCACCCTCTATACCCCAGGCCCTGCTGGGCATTGGGATTATAATGGTGAAAAGACAGATGCCAGGCCTCTGTCCTCACACAAAGAATGATGAGTATTATAATCAGGAAGAATGGGATGTTTGGGAGGCATTCAGCAAGGGATGTTAAATTAGTCTGGAGGCCATAATGAATGAGCAAGAATTATTCAAGCAGGGTGCAAAGGCCCAGTGCATGATCGTTTTTGCCTTTGCTTGCCATCTTTCTGAAACATGCTTTTTCTCCTGGCTGCTGATTCCTCAGCCCTAGCTTTCCCTAACCTTGAAACCCACATTCATGTCCCACTCTTCATATGACGCTTGTATCTCATAGTTTGGGCGCACAATTAATTACATACCTTCCTGCTATTATTGGCTCATGCTTCTCACAGTCAGTCTTGTCTCTCCAGCTGAATCTTAAGACCTTATGCTATAGCCAGTGCAGTAATACTCTAGCTTTTCCCTAAATATATGTTTGATCATAAGTAAGAAATGACTGGTAGCCCAGTGGGTCCTCAACATAATTTTTTTTTTTTTGAGATGGAGTCTGACTCTATCGCCCAGGCTGGAGTGCAGTGGCGTGACCTTGGCTCACTGCAGCCTCCGCCTCCTGGGTTCAAGCAATTTTCTGCCTCAGCCTCCCAAGCAGCTGGGATTACAGGCACGTGCCACAATGCCTGGCTAATTTTTGTATTTTTAGTAGAGACGGGGTTTCACCATGTTGGCCAGGCTGGTCTTGAACTCCTAACATCAGGTGATCCACCTGCCTCAGCCTCCCAAAATGCTGGGATTACAGGTGTGAGCCACCGCACCCAGCTAACATAATTCTTTATAAACATAGTTGGCACCACTCAGTTATCTCTCTGTAAATCTCAGGCTATTTTTACCCAGGATAAAGTGAAGAAATTAAGCCAGGCATGGTGGCATGCCCCCGTAGACCCAGCTACTTGGGAGGCTGAGGTGAGAGGATCACTTGAGCCCTCCTTTGAGGAGTTTGAGGCTGCAGTGAGCTATGATCATGCCACTGCACCCCAGCCTGGACAACATGAGACCCTGTCTGTTTAAAAAAAAAAAAAAGGTAAAAACATGATTCACAGTAGTAGGTATTTGGCTAATTTTTATATGTCTAAAATCCTACCAATGATAGACTGGATAAAGAAAATGTGTACATATATACCATGGAATGCTATGCTGCCATTTAAAAAGAACAAGATCATGTCCTTTGTAAGGGACACGGATGGAGCTAGAGGCCATTATCCTTAGCCAACTAACACAGGAACAGAAAACCAAATACTGCCTGTTCTTTCTTATAAGTGGGAGCTAAATGATGAGAACACATGGACACATAGAGGGGAACAACACACACTGGGGCCTATCAGAGGGTAGAGGGTGGGAGGAGGGAGAGGATCAGGAAAAATAATTAATGGATACTAGGCTTAATACCTGGGTGATAAAATAATCTATACAACAAACCCCATGACACCCTGTACATCCTGCACCACATGTACCCCTGAATGTAAAAGTTTTTTTAAAAAAATCCTGGCTGGGCACAGTGGCTCACACCTGTAATCCCAGCACTTTGAGAGGCTGAGGTGGGCGGATCACCTGAGGTCAGGAGTTCGAGACCACCCTGGCCAACACGGCGAAACCCTGTCTCTACTAAAAATACAAAAAATTAATTGGGTGTGGGGGCGGATGCCTGTAATCCCAGCTACTAGGGAGGCTGAGGCAGGAGAATTGCTTGAACCCGGGAGGTGGAGGTTGCAGTGAACTGAGATACCACCACTGCACTCCAGCCTGGGTAACAGAGCGAGACTCCATCTCAGAAAAAATAAATAAATAAATAAATAAATAATCCTATTGGTCATCCAAGACCGCAGGCATAAAGAGTGTTACTGTGCTTCATTATCAGGGTAAAACAGAAGGTAAAATGTCCTAAAAGTGTTCACACTGGTAAGTATTCTGTACTTCCTGCATTATTAATTCCTGTGTTTTTTTAAGCAGACTCCAAATGTAGCTAGCAGTTAAAATGACCCTGAAAAGTGCCTTCAATCTAAAATTCATAATAAAAATATAAACCATTCCAGAATAAGAAATCTTTATAAGAAATATTCAAATATGGACTTGTTGAAAGAAGAGAAAGCATTTTAACTTCGGGGAGCAAGGGTAAAGTTTGTTACATGCATAGGTGTTTTTATTATTGTTTTTATATTTTCTATAGTTTTGTTGACTCTGCCTGGGAGATCACCAGTTTATTATGTTTGGTCATTGTATCTTCTCATTTCTGGACCTGTGCTTTCTAACAAGATTATAATCGTGCATCAATATGTTTTCTTGGTTTTGATCCACAGAACAAAACAAAGGAATACAAAATTGTTGGCATGTATTCAGATGGCATAAACGTCCTGGGCTTGATTGTCTTTTGCCTTGTCTTTGGACTTGTCATTGGAAAAATGGGAGAAAAGGGACAAATTCTGGTGGATTTCTTCAATGCTTTGAGTGATGCAACCATGAAAATCGTTCAGATCATCATGTGGTGAGCAGACACTGTTTAATGTCATTTTGCTTCCCCTGACAATTCTGTCTCCTCAAAATTAGAAAGAAGAGGTTTTATGTTTGTCAACTGATGAAGCTAGAGAAGTTGGACATTTAATATTGAACCACCAGAGTATTTTGTGGGGGCTTTTGTTGCTGTTCTTTGTTTTTGTTTTAGAGGCAGAGTCTCACTCTGTCACCCCAGGGTGGAGTGCAGTGGTGCAATCTCGGCTCACTGCAGCCTCAACTTCCTGTGCTCAAGCGATCCTCCCGTCTCAGCTACCTGAGTAGCTGGGACTATAGGCATGTACCACCATGCCCAGCTATTTTTTTGTATTTTTTGTAGAGACAGGGTTTTGCCATGTTGCCCAGGCTGATCTCAAACTCCTAGGCTCAAGCAATCTACCCACTTCATCCTCCCAAAATGCTGGAATTACAGGCATTAGCCACCACACCCAGCCACCACTAGAGTATTAAATAATTCCACATATTACCCAGGAGTTAGTTCATGAACAGAAGTCTAGCTATCAACCATTGTCTTTTCCCTCAAAGCCTTGGGAGATCATCTTGCACTCAACCAGCCTTCGTGTAAGAAGTAATTCTTTAAAAAATGATTTGAAGGATTTCACTGTACATGAGAACACAAAGTGCTTTCCCTATTGCACCCCATGCAAAAGTGAGTTTCAAAATATTTATAACTGGCACTGCATGGGCACTAACCCATCTGAATGAAAGCTACCATCCGTGAGCATACCAGTGACACCATTTCAGTGTCTGTCCTCTCCCTGAAAATGCCAAAAAGTCCACCTTTCTTAGGATGCATCTGTCTCGCTTACCTCATATTTAATTTGTTCAACATTATTTAATCCAAAGTGTAGATACTGACAGTGATGTAAAGGGTTCAGTAAAAATGGCAAGGCAGGTCACTTAATACTGCAGAAACCTCAGCTTCATCATCTGTTAAAAAGGATAATAAAAGCTACCCCCAGGGATAGGAGAAGTACATTAAATGAAATGATGCATGTAAAATACTTTCCCTCATGCAAGATACAACGATAGCTCCACAAATAGAGCTATTATGATCACTTCCAGTACTAATACTATCGCCTCTATTGCTGATACCTGGGAAACAGATGACCGTGGCTAGAAAGAGCCATATTTGGCAGTGAGGGTCAAGCTCAAGTGAGATCTGCAGATAGGACAATCAGCAGGATATATATGCACTAGGAACACGGCATGAGGTGCGCACCCATCTAACCACATGTTCTTGCCAAGTTTGCAAACTACCCTATGGTAGTTTGGATGGGTAGAATTTAAGGTGCACACAGGTACTAAAAACTAGAGCCAATATTGTTCACCCAGGACTTGAAACAACTCTTAGCTTCAATTCCCATCCTGTGCTCCACCAAGTGTGCATGCCAAGCTGAGGGTGCCCACACTGGAGTGTTCCTTCCCCACCAACCTAGCATGAGAAAGCACTTGATGACGGAATCACGCCTCTGTTGTGCTTCCTTTCCAGTTATATGCCACTAGGTATTTTGTTCCTGATTGCTGGGAAGATCATAGAAGTTGAAGACTGGGAAATATTCCGCAAGCTGGGCCTTTACATGGCCACAGTCCTGACTGGGTATGTCAGACTCAAGAGAAGAGACAGAAACCTCCTTTGATCTAATAGGATGGCCGCTGAGAGGTTGGGTTTCAGTTGGTTAAAACTGGCTTCTGCCCTATGTGCTGGGAAAGATAGGGTTCAGAGATAAGACAGCAGGGGGAGGAGGGCTGCCCTTTAACAGCTGTACTGTAGGTGGATCATGCTGTGCTAATTGTCAGCTCTTGGCAGAACAGCCTGGACCAGGCTTTGTCACTGCCTTTATTGGTTATGTTAAAATAATTTTTTACAACAAGAGAGAAACCCACTCGTAGCCTCCCTTGGCTCTCTCCTGGCCTTCATTTCCTTAAGAATGTAAACTAGCCAAGCAAGCAAGAATAGCCTCCATGTACCCTGAACCTGAAAGAAATTAGCAAGGGCCTAAATGAAATCAGACTTGAGCAAGTAGGAGCAGGATGGCTGTTGGTTCAAACACTGTTGCTGGGGCTGTTAACCACCACCATGTCCTGCAGCATCAGAGTGTCAGAGAGGGTGCCAGGAGAATCTTGAGGCTGGGAGGAATTGTGTGGGCCTTTTTGGAAGCCATTAAACAGGAAGGCAGCAGGGGTTGGGTAGTTTCCATATTTATTACAGCCTAGCTACTGTTTCCTTGAGAAAAGATGAGGTGGGATAAGTTATGAATGGTGCCCCTGGACACCTAGACAGGGGCAGAATATGTCACATACCCTAAGAAATACAGACTAAGGGAATAAATAAATATCATTGATTTGACTCTCACAAGTCAATACCTACAAACACCCAACTTGAGCAATGAACTCACCTATTGGAACTTGATCGTATTGGAGATTTCCAACACAGCGCATTTGGTTCTTAATCTGTGTTTGCCAAAAACACAGCCCTGCCAGCCAACACAGAGGCAGATTTGGTCCCTACAGTGTGAGGCCCCTGGCGCTAAGGGAGGTGGGACCTCCAATTCACTGGAGGCCACCCTGCTGTAGGGCTGCTGAAACAGGCAGTGCCAGGGATCGTGTCTCAGCAGTGACGTGGCTGGGGTGTATGAGCTGAGCCATTTCATAACCGAGTTCTGCTGGTTTCTATTCTCTTACCCCAGCTAGGTGTCTAACAGGAAACTAAAAGTCAGTTCCTCATGGTTTTTAGCTACAAGCTCTCTATCAAGAAGATCCTCTCGCCAGAACTCCAGGATCTATATTTTTGATGGCCATTTCCTATTTCAAACACACATAACTGATCTGTAAACTCTAAGCTGCCAGTTACATATATATCTATCTGTGAAATGAGTCTCATTTCTTAAGCCTCCTAGTTCATGTAACCTGTGTATTTCCATGTGAAACAATGAACAGTTTGAGAAGGCAGGAATAACAAAGAAAGAAATAATCCTAAAGTATGGCTGTGGAAGAGCTGAGACTTTTTTCCTTACTGTAACTCTGACTTCCCTCTTAGACAGTGGGCGCCACCAGCAAGACAGCAGCTTGGTGCAGGGAATGGAGTGGGTGAGGACTGAGCGCTGTGATAAGGGGTATAATGAGGTATAAGGTAGTGGTGACATACAGGGTGCCAAGGAAGGAAGGCTCAGCCCTACCTGAGGAAGTGAGGGAAGGCTTCCTGGAGGAAGGGGGATGCCTATCTGAGTCTTAAGAGGAGAAGAACTGAGCAGCAACAGAAGGAAAAAAGGGCACTTTTGTGCATGTGGCAGGAATAGCACACACAGGGGTGTGGCAGCATGATATAATTCTGTTCTGTGAAGCCTTGAATTTGGATTCAGCTACTGGCTTTGTCATTAACTCTGACAAGATGCTTCATGTGCTGAGAGAGCCTCTAAACCCTCATACATGGAATGGGACGTATATTCCTGCCCTACTCCCATTTCTTATTGGGCCATTATGAAAGTCAAACAATTTTATAAATTAAAAAGATGTTTGATAAAAGGATTAAGTGTGGGGAGGTGGTATTATCTTTGAAACTTTAATTTCTCTTTCTTGTTTACAGGCTTGCAATCCACTCCATTGTAATTCTCCCGCTGATATATTTCATAGTCGTACGAAAGAACCCTTTCCGATTTGCCATGGGAATGGCCCAGGCTCTCCTGACAGCTCTCATGATCTCTTCCAGGTAAACAGAAGAGGGGTTTCTGGAAGAAGCCTCCAGGCTCAACGTTATCAACTCTCACCTCACTTTACAAAACAGACTCCAGCTTGCGGTTTTTGTAGCTGTCTTTGAGAAATGACCTCCGTATTCTCGGCCCCTGGCCCTGAACACATTGCTTCATGCTGTTGCATATTTCCTGCTCTCTTGGCATGACCTGCAGCTCAGGAAGGGGTTATGGAATAACTGGGAGCAGTGGTGGGCACAGCACCTTCTGATTCCTGGACCTGCCTAAAGGGCTAGCATGATTTGGATCCTTTGTTTCATTTTGTTTTGTTATTTTCTTTACTTTTCTCGACAAGATTACCTAAAAGGACCCTTTGTTTACTTTTTGGAAGACAGGCATGTCTTCAGGCAGGGACTAAGGTCCAGCATTTCTAGACATAAGTTCCTTTCTATTTTTATCACACAGTTCAGCAACACTGCCTGTCACCTTCCGCTGTGCTGAAGAAAATAACCAGGTGGACAAGAGGATCACTCGATTCGTGTTACCCGTTGGTGCAACAATCAACATGGATGGGACTGCGCTCTATGAAGCAGTGGCAGCGGTGTTTATTGCACAGTTGAATGACCTGGACTTGGGCATTGGGCAGATCATCACCATCAGGTGGGGCATGGTGTCACATTCATTGTCATCACTGATACAGGGATTACCGCCAGTAAAAATTGTCCATGAAGGGACACCAAGAATGTCGCAGTGATGAATTCTTTTTCTTGATCTATAAAGTCCCTTCCCAAGATTAAATACGACTATATCCTGGTATGCAAGATTTCTGCTTCGGGGTCTGGGTAGCCAAAGCCATCACTCTGTGCTCAGTTTACTGAAGCCAGTAGGATCTAGGCACAGGCTAGCACAAAGACTCAAGGCTGAGTAAGGGCCAGTCCCTGCTTTCAAACTATCCCTGCTAGATGGGCATGCACATATCCAAATGAATGCTGAAGACCATGATGAGGGATGTAAGAGAACTCTGTATGGTGTTCACAGAGGACTCCAGAGAGGGAAGGGCTGGTTCTAGCTGGGAAGGTGAACGATGGCTTCCCAGAGGAGGGGAACATTTAGCTGAATCTTAGAAGAATAGGAATTTAGCAGGCAAAAGAAAAGCTAGGAGCATTTGGAGTGGCAGAAATAGCTTGTGATGCAGCCATGGGCTAGTTACAGCATACAGATTTCTTGCTATGGCTGGCATAAAGGATACATAAACATTCCTTTATGTTTAAACGAATGAGGAGGCAGGGGTCATGTCATGAAAGGTTTTGTACGAAGAGCTTGTGGAAAGCTCTTAGATGCTTTGTCATATTATGGACAGATTTGCATTTTATGTATTTATTTATTTTTTGAGATGGAGTTTTGCTCTGTCGCCCAGGCTGGAGTGCAGTGGCACAATCTCGGCTCACCACAACCTCCGCCTCCAGGGTTCAAGCAATTCTCCTGCCTCAGCCTCCTGAGTAGCTGGGACTACAGGCGTGCACCACCACACCTGGCTAATTTTTGAATTTTTAGTAGAGATGGGTTTCACCATGTTGGCCAGGCTGGTCTTGAACTCCTGACCTCAGGTGATTTGCCCACCTCAGACTCCCAAAGTGCCGGGATTATAGGTGTGAGCCACCACGCCCGGCAGATTTGCATTTTACAAAGATAAGCAGCAATATGGAAGATATATTGGATGGGAGCAGGGACCAAATCTAGGAAACCAGTTAGGAGACCACTGCAGAAGTCCAGGCAGGGTATTAGAAGGCACTGACACTGAGGTTGGAGAAGAGCTAATGAATTGAAGAAGCATCAGCTGGATTCAGGGTGAAAGGCGAGGGAATGCCAGGATGACTCCCAGGATTGGCAGATGATTCTAAATTGGTGGGTGGGGCTTACCAGAACAGGAACGAGTGTAAGAGAAGCACATATAGGTGGGAAAGATAAATAGTAAATACTTTTTGACAGATTGAATTTGAAATGCCTTTAAGACTTCCAGTTGCACATATGCAATGAGAAATATAGGTCTGGCTGCAGATACAGACATCAGGAACATGGGCTTAATAATGGTCTTCAAATGTGTAAGTCACAAGTTATTGCTTGTATTGGAATCGCGGCTACATCATGATTAGCTGTGATCTTGGGCAAGTGACTTGAATTTTTAAACTTCTGTTTTCTCATCTGTAAAATGAATAATAGTACCTACAACTTATTCAAGTAGTGGCAATTAAGTAATATGCATATAAAATGTTTATAACTGTGCCTATGTAGTGAGTACTCAGTGAATGTTGAAAATGGATGACATGACGTAGGGAGAGTTTGCAGAGAAGAGAAGGAGATTAAGGACTGAGGCTTGGAAAAATCCTAATACTAGAAGCAGGTAGAGAAGGGAAAACCCAAGAGGGAGAGGGAGAAGGACAGAGAGATGGGAGGGAAGCCAGTAAACCTTGGTATCATGGAAACCCAGAAAAGAGAGATTTTCAAGGGTGAAATGGTCCACAGAGTCAGAAGCTGCAGAGAATTCTAGTGAAATGAGGATAGACATTGTCTGCCCAAGTAGATGGTAGAACTGTCATTAGTGGATTTTGCCAGATTTGTTTCTCTAGGACAGCACTATTCAATATGGTAACCACTAGCCATGTGGCCCACTGAATTGGATAGCACAGACACAGAATAGTTTCATCATTGCAGAAAGTTCTTTTGGACAGCACTATGTTAGAGTGATAGGCTGGGATTAGAGTTAACCTGAAGACTTTTGTTCAGTTTAGAATGGAAGTTTAAGACTAAACTGGTCCCTAGGCCTGCTCAAGGTTGAATCTGAACTTTTTAGAGTTAATTCATTCTTGTGTCCCAGCCTAAACATAAATTCTAGGGATAAAATCAGAGTTTGTTAACTAACAATGTTCTAATACAATGCATTTTTTAAATCCTCCCCAACCCTAAATCGCAAAGTATTTCTGTTGGCTGAAGACAAGTGCAAAATACACCATTTGGCACACCAGCTGGGGAACTATCCCAATGCTGTGTAATCTATAAAAAGTGTTAGCGGCTAAAGAAGCCTGTGCCAAAGAGATTGAGCAAAGTCCTGTAATTATAACAGCAGAGGGTATGTCAAAATTGAAACCTTGAATCATGCCTGAAAAAGTTTCTGCTCCACAACCACCCCTGTGCTTCCAACAGTTGTTACTTTTACATTTCCAAGGGTTTTTTCCCACTTCCCTCACCCTGGGCTGTGGAACCCAGTCTTCACTGAACTGATTTCCAAGGAGTGGTTTATGAAGTGCCTATTCTTTTGTGTATTTGACACTTTGTGATGAAATCCCTCCCTCTTTTTTGGTTGTAAGTTTTCTAGATCTTTCTAATCATTTTTTTAATCTCACTGCCAGAGGAATGAACTCTGGGCCTAGAAGCTAAATAGTCAATTCTCATTAAAGCCTCTCCGGCTACCTCTGGTATATTCTTAAATCAGATTTGCTGAAAACTACTGGCCCAGAGCCAATAACAACTGTGAGGCCCAAAGTAATCATTGGCTTAAAATTAAAAATCCTCACTGGCTCTACATGGAAAATAATAAAAGTTGGTTTTGCTTGACAGTTACCATTATAGTTCATGTGACTAATGGTTAAAGAGATTTTTAGACCCAAAGTATATTTCTGTGGACTGGACATCAAAGAAACATAGGTACCATCTACCCAAAACATACCCTTTTGTGGCTTTATCATAATACTCAAAGGTTACAACGGATTGAAAATTGTGTGAGAATATGTGTCAAAATGGAAAAAAAAAGGATAAATTGTCTTATAAAAATAATTAGGGCCGGAAGCGATGGCTCAGACCTGTAATCCCAGCACTTTGGGAGACCTAAGTGGGTGAATCACTTGAGTCCAGGAGTTCGAGACAAGCCTGGGCAAAATGGCAAAACCCCATGTTTACCAAAAATATTCTAAAAAAGAAAAATTAGCCAGGCATGGTGGCATGTGCCTGTAGTCCCAGCTACTCAGGAGGCTGAAGTGGGCAGACTGCTTGAGCCCAGGAGGCAGAGGTTGCAGTGAACTGAGATGGCGCCACTGCACTCTAGCCTAGGCAACAGAGTGAGATTCCATCTCAAAGAAAAGAAAGAAAGAAAGAAAGAGAGAAAAGAAAAAGAAAGAAAGAAAAGTAAAGCTAATTATACAGCAGGGCGCAGAGGCTCACACCTGTAATATCAGCACTTTAAGAGGCCAAGGCGGGCGGATCACTTTAGCCCAGGAGTTTGAGACCAGCCTGAGCAACAAGGCGAGGCCCCGTCTCTACAAAAAATACAAAAATTAGCCAGGTGTTATGGAGTGCATCTGTGGTCTCAGCTACTCAGGAGGCTGAGGCAAGAAGATCGCTTGAGCCCAATAGGTGGAGGCTGCAGTGAGCTGTGATCATGCCACTGAACTCCAGCCTGGGCAACAGAGTGAGACCTTGTCTCTGGAAAAAAAAAAAATATATATGTGTGTGTGTGTGTGTGTGTGTGTGTGTGTGTGTGTGTGTGTGTGTGTGTATAAGGAATAAAGAAGAAAGACAATTGTAGGATTTGGGGCCTAGAAAGAGCTGAGAGAAAAAAAAAGTAGCAGTAGTAATAGTAGTAGTAGTAGTTGTTGTAATAGTTGTTGTTTTGGTTGCTGCAGTAGCAGTAGTAATAATACCAGTGGCAGCAGCGACAGCAGCAATAGAGGAAGCATTAGCAGCAACTGCTGTTGTTGCAGAAGTAGCAGCAGAAATGGCACGTTTTTAATCTTTTTGTTTGTTTTTTGTTTTATTTTACTTTAAGCTCTGGGATACGTGTGCAGAACATGCAGGTTTGTTACATAGGTATACGTGTGGAAATGGCATGTTTTTAAGCATCTACTATACAAGTGCTATCCCAGATGCCTTACGTGTATTAACCTCATTTAATCTTCCCAGCAGCTTGCAGTAGACATACTGTCCCCATCTTACAGGCAAGGAATTGAGATTCAGAGAAGTAACTTGCCTGAAGAAATGCCATCAGTAAAATGGTAGAGCCCAAAGTACATCACCCAGGTGTGTCTGACACTAAAACCTGTGTTCCCTCCAAGTCACAAGCCATCCTTCAACCTGTTTAGAGAGCCAAGTCCAATGGCCGGTCCTAAAACTAGGACCTCAGTGTGAGGAAAGAACTTTGTACCACTGATATTTATGTTTTCTTCTGTGGAAATCCTCTAACTCAAAGTAGAATATGTTCAAGCAGCAGGAATAGGTTTTTATATTATTTTCTCCCATCTGAAGGTTCATAGTTCTGAGTTTCAGACCAATGCCAGTCAAACAGCAGTAGTCTGGTAAGCAAGGTCAAGGCTCAAGGACAGAGTTTTCTTTGACTAAATGAATTTTGAGTTTCAAGCCCAGCCTCAGGCTATAGAGACATGGATTACTGTGACACGTCAGGGTTTCCAAGAGGGATCAGCTGGCATGGACACAAATCACTTCTGACAAAGAAAACCTGTTGATGCATTCCATTTAAATTTTTTTCAACCAGCATTAAAATAAACTTGGGCTTTCCAAAGAGTACTTAGGTCAGAAGAGATCCAAAGGGTTATAGAGGCCAGAAACCTTTGAGACTGAGGCCTGAAACCTTTAGAGTAATTGGTACAGCCCCAGAAATCTCTAATTTACTATAATTTGGTGGTCAAAACCACTGAATGAAAATACACTTGTCAAAAAACTCTGGCCTGTGTTTGACTGTACCCTCAAATGCTTTCTGCAACACCTCAGTAGGCAGATGAATGGGCAGTAGAATCAGCTTCCTAAGAACTCTGGCTTTTTTTAGCCCCAAAGAATATGAATGTGTGGATAGAATCAGGGATTCTTCCAGTTTAAATTGCCAATTTTTACATTTTCACCTTTCAACACAGTGGAACCCGGGCAACAGTTCAGGCCTTGGCCCAAGGGCAAGGACTTGTCTCCAGAAAGCACTGTAGGTGTGGCCTCCAGCTTATCCAAGTCAAGGGATTTTTCAGGGCATGTTGAACCCTTGTTTCCTTCAGAATGATCCAATTAAAATAAGGAAGATGTTGCTGATAAAGAGACTGCACATTACAAAGAAAAAAATCCCTACTGCCTCAGCTGATCTTACCAAGAGGGATCTTTTTAAATACCTGGTAATAAAGTTCACCTGGCTGCCCCTCCTGGATTCCAGATCTTTCTTTCCCACAAAGTGCATCTACTGGCAAAAAGGAGCAGTCAGGAGTAAATGCTTGTACCTTGGACAGGATCAGCTATTTCTCAATTCAGTGCCCTGAAGAGCAGTTCCCAGAGGTAAAGAGTCCTGTGATGTCAAGAGAGTGCATAAAGCCTGCTTAACCATTGTCTCATTCCTTTGCCTTCACCTGAAATGCCCTTGCCCATCTGCCCCTACAACTATCCTTCTGTCCATCCTTCAGGGCAACTTAAATTCCTGCCATATATTAGGTGCTCAGTAAATTATTGGGTGGTGAGTAGATGGAACAAGGGAGTAGGAAGGCAGGTGCAGAGGTACCTGGCACTTATTTAGGATGAGTGTATGTATACATAGATGAGTACACGAAGCCTCCTATTAACACCCCATTTAGTAAACTCCTGCTTTCCTCTTGAGTATCTCTCTTACTTATTTTTTGGTGCCACTTATGCAGTTCTTCCTTGCATTAGAGTGATGTGCCATATCTCCGTCTGCAAGGAGATGGCATCATACCCCTCATAGTCCCCCTCCCCCCACAGCTCTAATCCTGTAATGAGGCAGAGCTGGGGCTCAGCAAGTCACAGATTCTAACTACCCAATTTAGGGACACAGCAGTAATAGCCATCGGGACTAAGCGGGAGTAACCATTTCAGGCCAGGGCTTTAACGGGAGAGGTAAGTGTCTAACTCCTTTCCTGCTGGTATGTTTCTGCAGTATCACGGCCACATCTGCCAGCATCGGAGCTGCTGGCGTGCCCCAGGCTGGCCTGGTGACCATGGTGATTGTGCTGAGTGCCGTGGGCCTGCCCGCCGAGGATGTCACCCTGATCATTGCTGTCGACTGGCTCCTGTGAGTTGGAATAAATGCACTGCCTTAGCTGGATGTGCAGGCGGGCTTCCCAGCCTCGCAGGCGCTGCAGTCTGTCATCATTCTCTCCTCAGATTGCCTAATGAGCCACCTGTTGCTGCTTTAATTTTCCTCTGACCAGGCCATCTGATAACATGCCTAAAAATTAACTCCTCATAACGTGGAGCAGTGATTTTAAAAAGCCGGTGAGCTCCATTAGCTCATTATACCTGGTAACACTCAAGCTTAGGAGCTGGGTGTGGGACAGAGATAAACACAGAACAAGGTGAGAAGCCAGGCAGGGCCCCAGAGCCATCCTGACCTATCCCAGCCCTGGTTCAGCATCATAGGCTCAGAACCACCTAGTTCAAAATCAGTCCGTCTTCCTAAGCATCTTCCGAACCATCAGGGACAGTGGCACAAGCACTTGGGTTTGAATCTCCGTCCTGTGTCTTACCAGCTTCTTGACCTCGAGCAAGTTTCCTTAACCTGAGGCCCAGTTGCATAATCTGTGAGATGGGAAAAAATCTGCCTATGTCATTGGGTTGTTTTAAGGACTGAGTGAGCTCATGTGAGTGGAGCATCTAGAACAGCGTTTGGCAGCCCATACATGCTCAATAAATGGCAAGTTTTATTGTTATGATTAGAATGAGTTGGACCATTCAGGCCCCAATCAACAACACTTCTCTCTCTCTCTCTCTCTCTCTCTCTCTCACACACACACACACACACACACACACACATATGGAATACAGCAGAACATCTGGGTGAGAAAGTACCTTCAGTGACCCTCAAGGTTAAAGTTAGAACCAGCCTGGCTCCAAGCTTTACCCTTGATGCCCACTTCTGTGCATGGATCTTACAGCATTTAGGTCTGGCTCTGTCCCCTGGCATTGCAGGTAAGTATTGCTCCACATGGAGCCTTTGCTCAGAACCAGCTCAGGCTCACTGGGGAGTCCAGTGCTATGTACTGTAGTTTGCAGGTGACAGATGAGATGGAAAGGGAAGCAGAGACATCCTATTGGGCTTGAAAACACAGATTCACATTTCAAATGGCAAAAGCCCCTGCACCTGGCTTGGAAGCTGTGCCATGAGGTGGCCCCTCAGTAGCTAACTGGGCTATAGGCCCAAATGAGGTGGCACCCTTCTTGCAAAGATATCCTATCATTGAGTCAAGATTTGGTTCTTTCTAGTGATGCTGGTGGATTTGCATTTTTCTCCTTTCCCTGAGTCTTCCTGGAACCAGTTACCTTCCCTGCCAAGATACCCAGATGAGTCAAAGGTCCAATTGGAGGTATGGGATAAAAAGACACTAGGGCCAGTTCAATCCCTGGACTTGTTCTAAATAACAGAAGGGCATCCAGGGTGGTCATGTGTAAGCATTGTCAGCCTTTTCTGTTCTGCAGGTGTAGTTTTCACAAGATTCCCCCTGCATGCAGTTCCTGTCAACAAAGTGCCAGTATCAAAATGGATCCTCTCCTCTGCAGTGTGCCTTCTCTACCTGTCTTCCTGCCACCAGTCTCTTCCCCAGGCTCTCTGGAAATTAAGACTGGATGAGGGTGGCCCACAGAGAAATCCATTCCTGGGCTGACCTGTGTTTTCTGACCCCGTGCTCTGCACCATGCCTCCTGGTTTGCTCATAAGTAGAGTGACCTAGATTGGTAAATAAACAAGTACACCATGGACCTGAACAAACACATACATACCCCACATGCACATGGTACATACTCCACCCACAAAACACCCAAGTTCTCTGACCTTTGCCCAAAGAGAGCCCACAATGGCATTTGCATTGAATCTAGAAAATCCCAAGATAGAGGTTAGGGCTGAAAAACTTACTGAATTCTGAACCTCCCTCAGTCCCCCAAAAAATATCTGGAACGACTCTATTCATGTTTCTTTGGGAGAAGAGGAAGGAATTTAGGGAGACTTAGGGGAGTCATTGCTACTTTGGGGGAGCTCATGCTGTGCCTTTATGAACAACCCCAGGCCTGTGAGGAGCCTTCAGTCAGTCAGCCATGAGGACAGCACTTTCTGCACTTACTGAAATCTAAACTGAACATGTCAGGTCCTTGCATCTCTCCAGTGATGAAGGAAAATGAAATCTGGGCCTCCTGTCTGACTCCTCCCGTCTCTCCCCAGGGACCGGTTCAGGACCATGGTCAACGTCCTTGGTGATGCTTTTGGGACGGGCATTGTGGAAAAGCTCTCCAAGAAGGAGCTGGAGCAGATGGATGTTTCATCTGAAGTCAACATTGTGAATCCCTTTGCCTTGGAATCCACAATCCTTGACAACGAAGACTCAGACACCAAGAAGTCTTATGTCAATGGAGGCTTTGCAGTAGACAAGTCTGACACCATCTCATTCACCCAGACCTCACAGTTCTAGGGCCCCTGGCTGCAGATGACTGGAAACAAGGAAGGACATTTCCGTGAGAGTCATCTCAAACACTGCTTAAGGAAAAGAGAAACACTAATGGCCAAGTGTACATTTGATTTGATATACAGACCTCCAGATTATTTTCTATATTTGGATTCACAGCCTTTGCGCTCTGGGTTTTGGGATTTGGGTGTGGGGTAAGTTGAAGGGAAATCAATTTAAAGGAAAGTTCTATTATCTGGGTTTTAGAAATTCTATAAGAGACAAAGTTTGGAAGTACATAAAGTAATAACTGTTAGAATTAGGTAATGGATATGAAAGAGAAAATGCTTTCTCATGCATAGACAAGTGTTTTGGGTTTTTAAAAAAAATATTCTGTCATTGGTTACAAATTTTTACTCAGGCTTTCTATTGGCATGGATTTCCTTTGACCTCTCACTTTTTTATAAATTATAATGCATCTAAACCACCTGTCCCCAGTTAATGTGCCAAAATGTCAATTTTTAACTTATCTCCAGCCAATTTCAAAGAAAACAGACCAGCATAGTTCTGCAATAACAGTTTTAAGATGGGCATAGGGTTTGGAAGAAAGGGAGAAGGATTCTTTTTTCAATGTACTGTATTGGGACGCTGGTAACTGTTAACCCAGTGTTCAGCATAGAGCTATATATATATATATATGTATATATTTATTATTTTCATATAATTTGCCAGACAGAGATCAGAATTGAACCGTCAATGTGAAATAAAGAGTTCTCCTTGTACTTGAATAATAACCACGATTCCAACCCAGGTCTGCTTTGGGGCTTATCAGAACTCCTTTCTAAGGAGCACTAGAATGAGAAATCATGTTGTTCGATCGTTTCACATCTGTATATCAGCTCTAAAGCAGAGATGTATTATGGTGATACTCCAAGGTGGCATAGCCATTCATTTACAACTTCCAGATTTGAGCTGCCTGGAGGGAATCCATATCAGCTCTGCATAAGATTATATACAAAGCTGTCACTCACAAAAGGCTGGATGTGCTTTCATCCAACTGGAAGGCTTTATTCTTCCAAGTTCATTCATACTCAAAGAGGCCAGTACTTTGCCATCCTTGCACTTCTGTTATCAGGGCCCAAATAACAGTGGCAAGCTACCAACTAAGTTGTATTTTAATAAAGATTCCATGGGTTGAACAAGCCACGTTGCAGAAAAAGAGCTTCCCCTAACCTGGGTTGTTGCAGAGTAAATCCCACGACATAAGCTGGTATCAGTGGTTCGGGGGAAATAGTTCCATTCTATGACTCTTGTCTCCTCCTCCAGGAGGACTGTTCTAACTAGTAATCTTGGCCCTATTCATTACATCCTCTGCTTGTCATTCTGCTAATTTATGAAGATAGTTTATTATAGTCTGTACTTCAGTTCTCATCTTGTAAATAATGCTTAACATAAACTTGTACTTACACTGAAATCCAAAATAGTCATGTTTCTGCAGTATTCTGTAGCCAACTTAAACCTGTGCTTTCATGTTTAAGAAATGAGAAATTGTGCCAAAGATAGCAGAAGAGTAGATAAGTGCTCAGTATTGACGACCTACATCTGAAATCTACAACATAATGATACTGAATTGTTATGTAAACATCATAAATAGTAAATAATGATTCAATGTGAATTTTAAAATGCAAATATTGCTATTGTTTATAGGAAATAAATCTAAATATAAATGAAATTGAATCAGTAATTTATCTTGGGCTAAATGGTTCTACCCCTTACTAGGTTGCCCCAATTAGTGGCACTAGTTGGCAGAGCTGTTCATGAGCTGCCAGTTATCATTTTGGAGTCAGTTTGAAACCAGCCTCTTAACACACTGCTGTTAACTCATAAAAGAGAAGAGTGTTCCATTTCAGTCTCAATAAACACTTCCCTCATTCTTTCCCCCTGCCTTTTTCTTCTTGTTATCTGTTGTTTTATCTTACTTGGATGGGTGTGGGAAGGCAGAGATGTGGTCAGTTGAATCAGATTTTATACAGTTTTCTTTTTCTTTTTTTGAGACATAATCTCACTCTGTCACCCAGGTTGGAGTGCAGTGACATGATCTCAGGTCACTGCAGCCTCCTCCTACCGGGCTCAAACAATCCTCCCACCTCAGCCTCTTGAGTAGGTGGAACTACAGGCACACACCATCACTCCAGCTAATTTTTCTATTTTTTATAGAAATAGGGTCTCAGTATGCCACCCATACTTGTCTTGAACTCCTGGCCTCAAGTGATTCCCCTGCCTCACCCCAACAAAGTGCTGGGATTACAAGCATGAGCCATTGTGCCTAACTGGATTATTGTTTTCAAAACTTTATACCCCAAGAATGAAAAAGCGAGGCTTGAGGAAAAATAATCTGATTGTTCATGTTAGCCAATGGGATTACAAGGCGGAAATACAGTGCCATTATGAACAGCTGCACGCATATTTTGTGGCGGAATGAAAGTAGAATTTTGTTAGAAGTTACTACAGTAAGAGATAGTCGACCAGACACAGTGGCTCACCCCTATAATCCCAGCACTTTGGGAGGCCGAGGCAGGCAGAACACTTGAGGCCAGGAATTCAAGACCAGCCTGGACAACACAGAAAGACCCCATCTCTACAAAAATGTACAAAAATTAGCCAGGAGTGAAGGTGTGTGTCTGTAGTCCCAGCTACTCAGTAGGCTTAGGTGGGAGGATCACCTGACCCTGGGGAAGTTGAGGCTGCAGTGAGCTGTGATAGCGCCACTGCACTCCAGTCTGAGCGACAGAGACCCTATATTTAAAAAAAAAAAAAAAAAAAAAAGTCTTACCTCTCAATATGATGGTGGCTTGGTTTCACTACAGGAACAATCCTGCCCTCTGAAGTAAGATTACAAGCTACAAATGGCTGTGTTCAGAGTGATCTCTGATGGGATGGTACAGTCCTGCCTGGAATACCTCAGTCATGAGGGGATTCTGCAGGGGGCGATGGACTCACTTGCTGTGATAGACAACAAAGGAATGAACAGCTCCCTGTTTCCCACGGAGAGGATCCTATCTGCTCATAAAAATGCCTATCACTACCTGGCCAAAGGAATACTGGGTAGTTTCCTTTGTGTACAACGTGGGAGAAAATACTCAACAACACAACTCCTTAGAAAAAGATATTTGTTTGGAAGAGCTGGTGCCCCTGGGTCTCCATGTGACTTTGATTTTGCCTAAAGTTTACTCATGAATAGAGAAATGGTGTTATCAGCTGACGAATGACTTTATTCTTCCAGCAACTCTTTTTTAGTCCAGTGGGTACAAGGCCCTTTATTAAAGCATACCCTGATTCTTAGAAGAGCCATGGGAAGTGTGCTTGGCTTATACTCAGGCAGTAGGCCAGCTGCAGTGTTTGCTTTGCAGGGGCTCAAGAATCTTCCCTCCTGGAACAGAAGACAGGAAATGGTCTAGCAGCCTTGGAAGGCTGCTAGAAGCTTCTATGCAACAGGATTGATATTCTGTATTCCCCAACTGCCCAGCAAGGGACTATGGAACACGATGAGTGGGCACACAGCTCTGATTCCTTACCAGCTTTGTGTCCCTTGCCAACAACCGAAACCTTGGTTTCCTCTTCCATGAAATAGGAATAAAAATTATTTCCTCACAGGACTGCTTTCAGCAGTCAATGAGAAAATGCATGTGATGCATGTAGCAAAGATTCTGTTACAGACTATGTCTAACGAATGCTAGTGCCTCTTCTCCCCACCCCTGCTTCTGGGAAAAAACTATACCCTTCTCCCTCCCCCATTTATTAACATGGGGTAATCCGTAGGGATGCAATTGCTGTTCCAGTATTTTAGGATCCGTGTCCCTGATGTGATGAAGGAATGAAGCTCCTACCACGTGGTGCTGGCTGGGTTATCACAGCAAACAGTATATCCAACCTAGTGAGACTTCGTAAACAGCCCCCATTCTATAAAGGGGAAACCCTTTCAGAAATGGGACATTTTAATCTAAAGAATATCAAACTTAATTTTTTCTATAAAGTGTCATGTAGGAGGTAAACAAAAAATAAGTGTTCGCAGTCCTTTCCTATGCCCTGAAACACAGAGAGGGGTTTGAGATGCTTGGGCTGTGTGAAGCTGAGATGTACCTTCACATAACACCCCTTCAAACATCCTGAAAATGAGAGTACAGCATGAAGTTCACTTTTGCAGTCAGCCTATAAATCTTGTGTGACTCTTCAAAAACTGTCTCCCCACCTGATGGAAGCAGGGCCCCCCGTGGGGCTTTTTAATATACCCTGTGGGAGGAAGTGTACCTCTCTGCAATCCTAGACTTTTAAAGTGAAAGCCAGATAATATAAAGAAGAAGAAGCAGGCCTTGTTAAATTAGCTTTGGGAACTATATATTTATATATTTTGACACGGAGTCTCACTCTGTCACCGAGGCTGGAGTGCAGTGGCGCGATCTTGGTTCACTGCAACCTCTGCCTCCTAGGTTCAAGTGATTCTCCCGCCTCAGCCTCCCAAGTAACTGAGATTACAGGTGTGCACCACCACGCCCAGCTAATTTTTGTATTTTTGGTACAGACAGGGTTTCACCATGTCGGCCAGGCTGGTCTCAAACTCCTGACCTCAGGTGATCTGCCTGCCTTGGCCGCCCAAAGTGCTGGGATTACAGGCTTGAACCACCGTGCCTGGCTGGGAACAAAATATTGACCTGTATATGGAATTGGGTGAGTGTACCTAAGTGTATAAAGTTATCCATCAAGGATGGAAATGATCGGGACATTTCTCAATGGCCTGGGCTGCATGCACAGTGCCACAAAACTCCTAAGCAAGCAGTGAGATCTAACCACACAATTGATGTCCCATTTCTTCCCTTACTAGGGCAAACCACTGTCATGTGTGATTTGGAAGGTGTCTCTCCAGAATTAGGGTGACACTTATGGTTTCATCTACAAATCTCCGCTTGGCCTGCCACTTTTAAGGTATCACCAAGTTCAAAACAGTTATGAGTAAACCCCCAAAAGACAAGATAAACAATTACATTCCTTTGATTATTCTGGTTGGAGAAAATGAGAAAGGAATGCCATTGCCTCTTCTAGGGGATTTCCACTGCTTTCTAGAAGGCCCCAGCAGCCTGCAGCTGGGAAGCTCTGGCCCCGCGGGGACAACTCCAGGATATTACCTAGAGAGAAACTTGCCTCACAAAAGCACTGTTTATCAAAAAATGGAGGGAGGCAAATAACCCTGGAACTAAATGCAGAATCAACTAAACTGAGCAGTAGTGTCTGGATGCCTGTCCCCCATTTTCCCTCCAAGAAGCTGCCTTTTTCTGACAGACTGCAGGCTCTGGTAGCTGCCATTCCTCCATAACTCAGGAAAGCCATTACCAAGTGTTAGCACAATGTCGCATCATCTTCTTTCGCTTCGGGGCACTTGAGGGAATGCGATGCAGAGTTGCATCATCTGAGCATTTCAGGGTCAAGGGTCTGGCTGCAGGGGAAGGTGTGAGGAGTCTGGAGATCTAACACTGGCCAGGATTTGCTTTGCCTTTGTCTGCGCCCCATGGAAAGTACCTTTTCCAAGGTGAAGGTAAGACAGATTGAAATGACTTTGGTCATCCTGGAAGGGCAGTCGCTGGAGAAAAGGTACTACTCCTTCCAGTGTATGAGCATGCCTTCACAAAGAGCTCAAGGCATGTACATTTTAAAGATGACTTTGATCCTCCTCCAAGCATTCAAACATAACTTTTATTTAAAGAGCCCTTGTGTTGTGTTTCCAAGGTTATTAGCTTAGCTTGGCAAGAATAACAAAAGGCCAGCCAAAAGGCTTTTCTGAGCCAAGGGCTTAAAAAAAATTATAAAGGTTTTCCAAAATGAATCCGAGGTTATCCTGTCCGGGTCTTTAGGAAACTAGGCAGGTCTGATGGATCTCAGAGAAGTGCTACTGTATAAATTCACGTGATAAAAGAAGGCAATACCAGTCGGCGATAGAGGGACACTGGCTGATCCATCCTCAACACCTGCTTCTGTCTTCCCAGCATGCCAAGTTGGCTTTACCTCTCAGGTACTTTGGAGCTAATCCTCCCATCTTCTAATTTAGCCAGAAAGGTTAAGGTAGAAAGAATGTGTCAACTTCACATGAATCACAAATCCAAGGCTCTCTGCTCCATCAGAAAGGGCCAGTTAAATTAGAAAAACATGCCACTGCAGTTGATGAAAAAATTAGACATGCAAATAAGGCCGACTCAGCCTGCAAGGATATTTAGTCTGCTTTTCTCACCACTGTGAAAATGTTTGCTTCTATATCAATCCAGGCAGACAGTCACCTACCCTATTCTTGGGCATCATTACCTTTCCTAGAGATGACACTCTAAGGCAAATCAACGTCCAGTTTCTTTTAAGGTGTTGACCTAACAGCTGAAGGTATCCCCTGAGCCTCCCTGCCAGGATGAGTGCCCAAGCAAGTGGGATGTCCTGAGCCCAGAAGGAAAAACAGCAACAACAAGCCAAGCACAGTGGCTCACAGCTATAATCCCAGCACTTTGGGAGGCCGAGGCGGGTGGATCATCTGAGGTCAGGAGTTCGAGACCAGCCTGGCCAACATGATGAAACCCTGTCTCTACTAAAAATACAAAAATTAGCCAGGTGTAGTGGCACATGCCTGTAGTCCCAGCTACTCGGGAGGCTGAGGCAGGAGAATGGCTTGAACCCTGGAGGTGGAGTTTGCAGTGAGCTGAGATCACGCCACTGCACTCCAGCCTGGGTGACAGAGGGAGACTCCATCTCAAAAAAAAAAAAAAAAAAATCACAGAGGAAGAACATTTTTATTTACTCAGCAGACGTTGGCATTGCAATTACTATGTGGCAAGCAGTGCTCTTACCACTTAAATATGAACTCATTTAATTTCATAACAGCATCATAAAGTGGGTACTATTATTATCCCCTTTCCACAAACGAAGAAACTAGCACAAAACATTAAGCAACTTCCCCAAAGACCACACAACAAATAGATCGCTCAGCCATGTGGCTGCAGTGTCACTGTTCTTCACCAGGCATTGTAAGGCAGAGAGTGCCAGGAGTGCTAGAATATCAATTATAACTCAAGTCTGGGGTGATCTAAAATGTTCAAAGCAGATAAGAATCATTGGCTAGATCTACTGCATAGCATAGTAGCTATAGTTAATACTGCATTGTATACTTACAAATTTGCTAATATAGTAGCTCTTACGTTGTGTTCTTATCATATCCCCCAAAATAATTAATAAATAAAGAAGGTGAGAGGAAACTTTTGGAGATGATGGATAGGTTTATGGCATAGACTTTGGTGATGGTTTCACAACTCACCAAGTTGTACATGCTAAATATGTACACCTTTAGTATGCCAATCATACCTGAATAAAGTGGTTTAAGAAAAAAAGAATCACTGCTAACACCAAGCACTAACTATGTGCTGAGATTGTACTAAATATTTTACATGCATAGTCTCATGCATTCTTCTTAACACTTCTATTAGGCAGGTCATATTACCATCTGTTTCCCAGTTGAGGAAACTGTGGCTTAGGGAGGTTAAGTACTTTGCCCAAGTTCACAGAGCTGGGACTCACATGATTCCAAGTCTTTTCCTAACTATTAAGATATAATGCTTCAAAATGCCTAAAAAGTAAGAGGAAATGCATGACAGTATCCAATCGTCACCTCTTTACAAGCTTTCTAATCATGACATTTTATTTGATACAACCAAATTTGCTCCTTCAAATTGCTGTTTGTTTTCCCATTCTAGCAAAAATTAATTTTAAATATGTCTAGATTATCTCCCACCTCATCTAGCTGCCCAGCCTCACCTCCTTTATGGTATACAATATCATTGTATCCCTCCCTTATATCACCTTTAAATCTTTCACTCAAACCCCAACTCTCCCCAAAATCCCTTTCTTTTCCAAAACCAGGGATGGGGAGTTGTCAGGATAAAAACTGGAACCCTATTTCTCTTTTCCTTTTCTTGCCAAATTTTGGGGGCTGCTTTTTATTCTTTATACTGTGACTCCATTTCCTCCCCACTCACAAACACCTAATCCCCTACAGTCGGGCTTCCACAACATTCCTGAAACTCCGAGGTCATCAGTGCCCTGCTCATGAAATCCAAAAGGCATTTTCTCAGTCATCAATTTTTACTCTTCTGCAACATATGTCACTGTTGATTAGCTTTATATTCCACTAAGTTATTTTTCCTTGGCTTCCAAGACATTACCAGATTCTGCCCCGCCTGACCGTTTTCCACCACTCTTCCACAACCTTTGTAACCTCCTCCTGCTGCTCCCTTACTGTGGGTCTCATCTCTCCCTGTGCCACACACACAGGGTCCCCTCAAATATTTGTGGAATAAATGAACAAGCTCACATCCTTCTGGTCTTCCTCTCTCCACCAGATACTCCTCCAATATTATGGATTCCACTACCATCTCTATGCAGATGATTAACAAAAATGTGTATCCACAAAGTCTACAGCTGCCCTTGGTTTCTCCTGCCCTGATCTCCAAGCCAAACCTCAGATCCCCACCTCCAACTTCTACTGACCACTTTCTGTTGGCTTTTCCACCATCTTTTTAAACTGAACTTATCCAAAATCAATCTCATCAATCTTTTCTGTAGTCTCTCTTTCCCAGATTGGGAATTGTGGGTTTTTGTTTTTTGTTTTTTGTTTTTCGGAGTCTCGCTCTGTCACCCAGGCTGGAGTGCAGTGGCGCGAACTCAGCTCACTGCAAGCTCTGCCTCCCGGGTTCATGCCATTCTCCTGCCTCAGCCTCCAGACTAGCTGGGACTACAGGCGCCCGCCAGCATGCCTGGCTAACTTTTTTTGTATTTTTTAGTAGAGACGGGGTTTCACCGTGTTAGCCAGGATGGTCTTGATCTCCTGAACTCATGATCTGCCTGCCTCAGCCTCCCAAAGTGCTGGGATTACAGGTGTGAGCCACCGCGCCCAGCGGGGAATTGTGTTTTTAAAAATCACCATTATTTCCCCTACAATCTAGGATCATAAACATTTCTTCTTGCTTTTGACCCCAAGAGGTTTGAGGTTGCAAGGCAGGTCTATAGAGGTTGGTGCATTTATTTGAATCCGTCTGCTCTGGGATTCAGGTGGGAGCCCCTGAGTGAACAGTGATGCCTCTTTGTGAAGCGAGTGACCCAAGACTTAGCCTCTGTCCAGACATGAATCACTGGACATGGTGTACTCCTGCATTTTCTCTTCCCACGTAATTCTTGAATAAACAACTTGTATTTTGATAATCCTCTAAATTCTATTTACAACCATAAGGCCTTCACGATAAGAACAAGATTCAGAGGGATTAAAAAAATACTAAACAAAATCCCAGACAAGGCCTCCATTCTTCTCAACACCCACCTTGACCCCTAGTAATTCTAAGTGTTCCCTATTCTATCTCCCTGGCCAAAAAGAGACCACAAAAAGAAAAGTCCCTAAAGGATTTCATTTGAGCTCCTATTTTGTTCTCTTAGTCGTTGAGTTCATCTTGCCTCACACATCATGAAGAATATGAATCCACAAAATGAAGGACACTGTGTCCTTATTTCTGCAGGGCAATTATTCTCTCCATCAATACCTCATTCTGCTGACTAAGTAGTTCACCTTCACTTTGTAACAAGCCCAGGCCACCGGACTTAACCACTTCTTCCTTAAAAGGGCCAGGTACCTCCCCCATACACCCACAGGTTTTTAAGCACCCCTAAAATAAGTTGTCTCATGATGTCTTCCCAGCCCTGATGTCTAATCAGCCCTTCTCTTTCCTGTGACTCTCCTACTCAGTTGAGGTTCTATTGCCCTAATTTTCAGACTTCTTCAAAGGCTTTGTCAGAGTCTCCCCACCGCCAGCCTCTACCTACTCCCAAACCATCCTGCACAAGATCATCAGATTAATACTTTGCTTTCTGGCTCCAAAACTCTAACGGCTTCTTATTGTCTACAGCACAAGTTGAAAATACTCGCCTGAATATTTAGGACACTTCAGAAGATACCCCAAAGGACATTTCCTCTTCTCTATATACATATGCTTCATTATACTCTCCCCAGTTGCCTCACTCTCCCAAATCTCTTCTCTACCTGGTCTGCCTATTTTTTAAATGCTGAAAATAAGTTCTGGGCCTCCAACACCAATACCCCACTGTTTCTAACCTCCTGAAACATACAGAAGCAACAGTATCTTGGTACATAATCAGATACTGCCTTATATTATTAAGTTAATCAATATGAGACGATTATAAAGTAATGAAATTGAGTTCCACAAACCTCACTGTAAATCAATACCATTATTTTATACTACTAAACAGGAGTCAAAACTGGTGGCTTTGGGCAAGACCCAGCTTCAGACCAGCTTTATGTGGGCCACAGAGCCTTTGGCTGGTTTAGATTTGAATTTGAAGATGAACACCTTGTGGGAGGATGGGGTGTTACATGCTCCACTTCACTCCAGCTCCCATCACTCACCATTATTTCAAACTCAACTGCTTCTGACAGTCACAAATCCTGCCTGGTCCTAAAGACATCCGAGTTTGCAACACCTTTTGGGAATCACACTTGAAATATCTCGTTTAAGGTCTCATTGCCCCAGTAAGTATGGAAACTTCAAGAGGGCACGGGTTGAATTTTACACCCCTTAGTGTGACCCCTCCCGACCCCACAGGGTCCTGCGCAATACTGAGCACACAGAAGGAGTTTAACAAATACAAGTTGAGTGGGTCCATGCGAGGCTGTGGGATCAATTTTGTTAACTGCAGGGCTGGGAGGAGACCCAGTGAACAAAGGACGTCATCCTATCCCTTAAGCAACAACAAATGAGCTTTCATAATGAAGAGTTCCCACCATGAATGCAACGCTTCCAGCAATAACACCTACTGCCACTGCCTACGGTCTGTTCCTGGAAGTCATCCCAATAAAACAAGTATGATGTTTATCTCAGTTCAAAATTCCAATTTCAGTGAGTGTCCGTTCCTGGAGAAAAAGGAACAGGAAAGTTTATTTGGGGGTGGTGGGGAGGAGGGGACTTCCTAAAAATGCCGTTTACAAACATAACATTTCAATGACAGGAAATACGAGCAGAAAGCCTCTCTTGTTGGCCTAAACAAGAAGTGGTTAATTGTTCCAACTTCTGTCAAGAGACCTTAGTTGCTCTGTTATTCTGAAATGTTCTGAGTTCATGTTTTTCAAACCCTTTAAGTTGAATTATCTGTGATGCCTCAGGGCCAACCAGGTGGCAGCAAAGGGGTGACAGGAAGTGGTACAGAGAACCTGAGGTTTGGAAACAAGACAGAGCAGGGTTTGCAAACTGGCTCTGACGCTTGCTTTTCTGAGCCTCAGTGTCCTTAGCAAGAAATAGGGGGAGCAATGCTTTCCTCAAAAAATTAAATGAGATGAGAATAAGAATAGCTAATGCTCACTGAGTGCTCATTTTGTGCCAGGCACTGATTTAATGTACTTTAAATGTATTATCTACCAACAATAACATTATTAGACAGATACTATTATTACCTCCATATTATACATAAGGACATTGAGACACAAAGAGGTTAAATTATCTGTCCAAGGCACTCAGCCTGTAAATGGCAGAACTAGGATTTAAATCCAGGTACTCGGAGGGGCGCAGTGGCTCATACCTGTAAGCCTAGCATTTTGGGAGGCCGAGGCGGCAGATCACTTGAGGCCAGGAGTTCAAGACCAGCCTGGTCAATATAGGGAGACTCCTTCTCTATTTTTTATATATATAAAAAAAGAAAACAAAATACACACACACACACACACACACACACACACACACACACACACACACACACGGTGGGGCGTGGGGGGTGAGGTGGGCGGAGCTAATGGATCACTCTAAAAGACGCAGAATCCCAAGGAAAAATTTTGGACTAGAAACTCCTCATTTTGTTGAAGAAGCTCCATCAACTCAGCCATCAAGAAAAGGACCCATCTGCACCATGTAAAAGCTCCTGTCCTAGACATGACCCTGTTTTGACCAAATTCCCTATGTGAAATTAAGCATAGGTTCTTTCCTTTGATAAACAAAGTAACTTCATTGCCATAATTTGGTGCCCCTAGATTCAGTGTGGAGGATGGGGCTCCCAGGCCAAAGGAGCAAAGGGTTGGGGCTCTCATCACTGTTGGCAGGGTTCCCAGCACAAGGGAAGAGAGAAGAGGTCTCCCTAAGACCTGCAGGTCCGCTAAGTAGTGCTAGGAGGGGTCCCCTAACCAGAGAAAGACAGCAGTCCCATCCGGTGGTACTAGTGGGTTCTCTGGTCACAGCATGGACTACAGAGCATATCCTGTTCCTCAGGCTGCCCTCCAGAGAGCCCAGCGGGCTCCTTTGATGGACCAACTCAGGGGAGTACTGGCTATACTGAGAGTAGCCTGGCATTTGGGTGCTAGGGCTGAACTCACACACATACCCATCAGTCTTCTCAAATTACACCTAAAACCCGCCACCTCTTTTATGTCAAACATATCATTTGCACTCTCATTTTTTAAAAATCTCTTTTATAATTCATGGCCTACAGGCTTCAGCTAACTTTGGGTCAGTCAGGTGACCACAGAGAACTGGCCTCATTGTACAGCAGCTTTTGTTTGGAGGGCCTAGGTTCCACAAAGGAGATTTTCTTAGGAGCCTCTGCAAACCAAGACCCCATGAAACATGCCCATAAAATATGCTCCAGGCTTTGACAGATCTGCAACCATAAAAATCAAGAAAGGAATTATAAACTGAAGCAAGACAGATGGGAATTCTTTTTATGATGTTTAATGACACAGATCTTCCCAAAGTAATCCAAACCCCAAAACATCACAAAATTATTCATACTATTATACACTCCAAAAGCAAAATACTTCAACTGCAATCCTTGCCCCAGCATGATTCCTCAAAATTGAGATAACTCCTTGAGAAACAAAAGTAAAAATAATAATAATTTAAGGAATAGAGTTAATAGATGCAAAAGTAAAGGGAAAAAAAGCGTAATTTAGTGTGAAAACCAAAAATGACTTTAAATAAGAATGGGCATTTAAGATCTTATTAAAGAGTTATGCTTAAACCATTTCAAAAAACACTGAATATTGAATGTCATGGTGTATATTTTAACAATAACTGAAATGGGATACCAATTCATTAGTGCTGCTTTCCTTTAGCTGCTTACGTAAGCAGCCCTCTCCTGAGACTTATAGCGTAACCTTAATGTAACACAATATTTTCTTACTTTTGATGACTACTTAGAGGTAACATCAAAACAACAAATTGACAACCATAGTTTCAGAGAGACTGAGAACATATTAGCATATGTAATTTAAGCTTGCTGTTGGCCTTGCCAAGGTGGAATGCTGGTTGTGATACAGGTTGAGTCTCCCTTATCTTCAGTGCTTGGGACTGACCAGAAGTATTTTAAACTTGGGTTTTGGTTTTTGTTTTTGTATTTTGGAATATTTACATAAACACAATGAAGTATCTTCAGGATAGGGGATAGGACCCAAGTCTAAACACGAAATTCATTTACGTTTTATATACACTTTATACAGGTAGCCTGAAGGTAATTTTATACATGATTTTAAATAATTTGGAGCATGAAACAAAGTTTCGAATGCATTTGACTGCACCCTGCCACATGCAGTCAGATGTGGAATTTTTCACTTATGGTGTTATATTGGTGCTCAAAAAGTTTTGGATTTTGGAGCATTTCAGATTTCAGATTTTTAGATTGGGAGGTTCAACTTGGATATACCTTTATTTGGCTGAAATTCTAAGAAGAGGATAAATGAATTTTGTTTTGTTGTTTTTGTTTTTGGAGTTCCTTTTCTGTTTTAATTTTTAATTTCATTTTCTTAATTTACCTAATGAACCAATCCCTATGATTACAGTGAGAAAAGAAAACTTGGCTCTCACTGAATCTTCTAAAAACTGAACAAGTTTTAGGGTAGTGTCTTACTCTATTCAGGCTGCTATAACAAAATGTCATAAACTGGGTAGCTTACAAACTACAGGAATTCATTTCTCACAGTTCTGGAAGCTGGGAAGTCCAAGATCAGAATGTTGGCAGATGCAGAATCTGGTGAGGGCCCTCTTCCTGGGTCAGAGATGGCGCCTTCTCGCTGTCTCCTCGCCAGTGGAAGGGGCAAACGAGCTCCCTTGAGCCTATTTATAGGGCACTAATCTCATTTATGAGGGGTCCACCCTCACAACCTCATCACCTCCCAAAAGGCCCCATTTCCTTAGAGGTTAGGATTTCAACATACAAATGTTGAGGGGACACAAACATTCACACTATAGTAGGGCTGGTAGAGGAAAATGCTATGCTTACACTATGAAGGAGGGAAATAAGTTTCCATTTTCAGGCCCCTCTTCTCTGGGTCTGTATCAATGAAGACAAATGTGCCTCTAGTCTCCCTTTATCCCAGCCCCTTCCTATTCCTGCTCCCTCACACTGTGTAAGCATTTCATAGATGCACCTTCCTAACTAACTTTAAAACCTGGCATTGGCAGTCCTATCTGTAGAACCTATTTACTTAATGTGTAGTTCTTTTGGAGAAATATTTGAGGAAGGTTTTGTTCCTCATCTAAATTTACAAAGAATTGCTGGAACGAAGGAGTAGGAAACAGAAGGAGCAGTTTAAACTACGCTCCAGAGGAGCCAGCCTCCTCTTACAAATTTATCACAGACATTCAACATCTAAAACAAGATCTGAACTACCCAGACGTAATGCTCTCTTTTCCAAGGTTTTTAGTGGACTTCACGTAAATCAAGCCTAACACTAAGAAATAAACAAACAACAACAAAAACGGATCTACCGAAAAGAGAAAGTCAGGTTGATAGTCTTTCCTGGAGGATTTATCAGGTTATTCCTGTGAATAGCAACTTCCTCTAGCTCATATATAATTAATTTGAGAGAGAGAGACAGAGAGAGCCAGAGAGAGCCAGAGAGAGAGAGAGGGGAAGTGTTCAGATAAGCACCTGCCACCCAACTACAGCGCTTTCTCTTTCATGTTCAAAACAAACATGCAAAAACACAAATTTTCCAGCTTGACAAGAAAATGTTAGCCCCCAAACAGCAAACACTTTAATCAACAACTCTTACCTGGGCACAAAAGACTGAGTACAGGGTTTGGTTTAAAGGGGATTAGACATCAGTGACTCAACACAGACAACAAAAAGTGTTCATTTCTTTAAGGATGCTTCAATTGTCTCAGTGAGTGAGCTCTTCATGATTCTCCTTAAGCTTTCATTAATTTCCCCTGCAAAATTTGAAACATCACATTCTACATGTGGTATTGAGAAAAAGGCAAACAATCAATACAAGTAAGGAGAAAAAGATAATGTCATACTACCCCAATCTTGGCATGTAGCTATGCCTTGGGATCACTTAGTCTCTGAGCTTTTTCCCCAGATTCCCACAACAGAATAACCCAGTGAGCATCTGTGTGACCTTGGACAATTTACTTGACGTCTTTGTAAAATATCAGGATGATGACAGAGTATCTACCTCTTACTATTATAGTGAAGAGTTAGCATTGCTACATAGTAAATGTGCCAAAATAGGTGTTATTCAGTTGAGCTGTTAAACGTGTTCCAATTAACTATATTCTACTGAACAAATTTCCTTCCTTCCTTCCCTTCCCTCCTTCCTCCCTTCCTTCCTTCCCTCCCTCACTCCCTTCTTTCTTCCTTTCTTTCCTTTCTTTTTGATGGAGTCTTGCTCTGTAATTTGGCACTGCACACTGGGGGCCGGGATTTCACGGCAATTATGCCTTCCAAGAGAACTAGGGATAATCTGAGGGGTTTCTTTACGGGAGGTTTTTTTTTTTGTTTGGTTTTTTGGATGTTTGGTTTTTGTGTGGTAAAATTCACCAATTTTAAATATACAAGGGATACTCTGTTTATACCAAAAGTACCAAGTCCCAAAAGATCCAGAAATAGATGTATTCCAACCCCTTCAACCCATTTCTTCCACCCATTCTCTCCCTCTACGTGGTCAGACAATGGGACTCATTGTTTTTGGCTCAAGAATCCCTGACCTTTTTGTGGTAAGAATCTACTTTTTCATCTCCCTGAGATCTCGAGATCGCTGGGGAGCCAGGACCTGGCAGTGAAACAGATATGGAGAAGGGGAGGGACAGGAATTGGTGCTGCCATTAGAAGAGAGTCCTCAAGAAAAGCCGGGACTGGGACACGTAGTGGGAGCCACTGGGTTGTGTGTGGGGGATGCCTCCTGCCTGGGGTCTGTCCTCCCAACCCACAGGAGTGGCTCTGGCTGTCCTGTTCTAGCTATTTGATCTTGCCTGTTTGGATCTTTCCTGGACTCACTGAGATGGATGCTCAGCATCTTTCAAATAAATGCCCCGTTTGCTTAAGACTAGCCAGAGTCACTTGGGTTTTTCACAATCACTAAAGCTTCACTAAAATGACCCTCCAGGATCCCAGCCTCTCCAGGAATCCATGACTCAAGAAGCGGGGTCAGGGAGGATGGTATGGAGACTTCCAGAGAAGGTATTCTAAGCGTATGCCAAACTACTGGGTGGGAATTCCTGTTGTGTGGGAAACCTATTTTCCAAGAAAGAATTGACGTTTTTTTTTTTTCTTTTCTTACCTTCTCTCTATCCCCCCACATCAATGTCCACATATCAGCTGGTTCAGGGCTCTATGTAACTTGATATTACCCATGTTGAAATTCAATGTAATTTGGCATTTGATAATCATGTGGGCTATGTTCCGTATAACCACCTAAATAATTGCCTAGACGGCAATTATTTTGGTAACCAGAGAGTAAATGGCCCAGAATCCGTCCTTTAATCTAGCAAGCAGAACGTTCTAAGGTAGAAGCCTCCAGAATGGGCCATTACTGAGCTGTCCTGCACATTCCTCTGTGCTAAAGGTGGGGAGCCCTGGCCATTCCTAAGGCAAGCCAACTTGTTCTGTAAAGCATGCATGACCCTCAAAACAGACTTTCAGGAGCCTGACTACAGTGAAAACTTAGCAGGTCATCCCACACTCCTTTATTGTTTAGAAAGACGCATAATTATTCTGATCCTGCTGACATGAGGACTATACAGGACAAAGCTATAGGATCCTAGTGGGAGCCTTCCAAAGGCCAATGCCCACGAACTCTGCTTGGGTTCCAAAGGGCCCTCCTTCACACATGGGGAGACATGGATTTCCATGTAAGATTACACTCTAGCTTTGAAAATGCAATAGAATGTAGTGGTTAAGAGAATAAAGCTCCACCATTCACTAGCCATGTCACCTTGAGCAAGGGACCTAACCTATGCCTCAGTTTTCCTATCTGTAAGATGGAACTAATGATAGTACCTATCTCATTGGGTTGTCCTGAGAATTAGATATGAATTTGTTTAATACATGTGAAGTATGTGTACTAGTCTCAGCACTCAGGCCGCATGTCATAAGGAAGAGCGATTATTATTCTGGGCTTGAATGGAAAAGAAAAGAATATATGAGAAACGATGATGTCCCACAATGTGGCTAACTACTTGCCACAGATCTGAATTCTAGAGTTGCCTTGTTACATGCATTCATAATCAATGCATATTCAACATGCATTTATAAAAACTCTTTACTGCGACCGGGCACGGTGGCTCACGCCTGTAATACCAGCACTTTGGGAGGCTGAGGCAGGCAGATCACGAGGTCAGGAGTTTGAGACCAGGCTGACCAACATGGTGAAACCCCATCTCTACTAAAAATACAAAAATTAGCTGGGTGTGGTTGTGCACACCTGTAATCCCAGCTACTCAGGAGGCTGAGGCAGGAGAATCACTTGAACCTGGGGGGTGGAGGTTGCAGTGAACCAAGATTGCGCCATTGCACTCTAGCCTGGGTGACAGAGCTCCATGTCAAAACAAAAACAAAAACAAAAAAAACCCTCTTTACTGAGCAGCAACCATTGTGGAGGGTCAGGTGATACAGAGACAGCAGCAGGGTGGAGATGGGTAGGCAGGTTCTTGTTCAGTGCACACACCTAGTACATGTGTTTGCAAAGTTAAATGTGATTCCATTGTATGGCACTAAATACTGCGTATAAAGCAGTGAACAACAGAGACAGATTCTCTGATCTCATAAGGTTTCACTCCAGTAGAAGAGACAGATTTTAAACAATCAGCCCAGATAAAAATATAATAAGAAATTGTGTCATAATTTATGAAGGAAAAATGCTGTGTACTAAAGGGTACACATCACAGAGAGAGGGAGTGTCGTGTCATAGAAAATCATAAGCCTGGAAGGACAAATAGAAGTTATCCAGGCAGAGTCAGGAAGACATATTCCAGATGGAGAAAACAACATGTGCAGAGACCCCATGGCAGGAAAAAGCTCCGTGTTCAAGAAGCTGAAAGAAGGCCGGAAAGTCTATTAGATAAAGGGTGATGTTGCGGGCAGGGGAGATGATTACAAGAGGAAGCAAGAGAGCTGGAAGGCACGTGCACTGCAGTTATCATACAGAGCAAGGGAAGAACGCAGTTCTCAGGTCTCCTCCAAGTCTCCTGTCCTCCACACTTTCTAGTTACTTCATATTGATAGGAGGAAACTGAAATTCTTTTAGCAAACCAAGATAAGGAGAAGCACTTAAGCTGCTTACTTACATAAGACAGTACCTTAAAAATATCTCTGTTCATGCAGTGAGTATTTCTTCAGAGGGTAGCTTGGTCTTTCAATGATATAATTTACTTCAGAGGTAGAATCTTCCTACAATAAAAACAAATCCAGCAATTATGTTACCCATAACATAATAGAGATGGATGATACCCAGATGTGTAGTTTTGCATGTAGGAGGTCTGTGCATCCCATTTATGCCGTTATATGGGGTTCACTATATATGTGTGTATATAGAATCTTTCTTTTTTTGTAGAGACGAGGTCTCATTATGTTGCCAGGCTGGTCTTGAACCTCCTGGCCTCAAGGGATTCTCCCTCCTCAGCCTCCCAAAGTACTAGGATTATAGATTTGAGCCCCAAACCAGGCCTTTGTTTACATTTTAAAGAGATTCCTTGCCTGAAAAGGTTGGGAATTAAAGCAAAGCCAATGACTTTGCAGAAAAGAATTAAAGTAATTCACTACCCTGATGGTTAGGGCAAACAACATTTAGTTTTAAGTGTCATCCTGCAAATCTAGCATATGTCAGTATATAATAAGTCAAGAGGACTAATTCAACTACATGGCATCATTAAATTCAGCCACTGGGGGCACTGTTGTCCTATATTTGAATTCTTTGAGCAGGTGAACTGCCACTTAGCTGTGTATCTGAATCAGTGACAAAGTACTGGGAATACCTACCAATGGATCAGAAGCACTCCCCATACCCCTGTAAAAGTCATACAGCCAAAACCACCTTATTAAATTCTAGAACAACTTTCTTCCATGTTGTGGCCTTACATAGCTCACACAAACAACTGTATTCTTCCCTGGACTGGGATTCATGTGTGCAGGGGAAAGGAATGCTCTGTGGGCCACTTAGCCTGTCTTCTCTCAGTCCTTTGAAAGGACCTCTGCTTGATGAGTGCTGTGCACCAAATTAGCTGCTACTCCTCCGTTGGATCCAAGCCCCACTGTCTCATCCTCAGGAAGCCAGCCCTGACTCCCAGCCATGTCAAATACCCGCTACCATTCAATCTCAGGACAACAGGTAATCTCCTTGGTAAGCCTCACAATTTTCCACTTATTTCTGTGGTTATTTGATTAATGTCTGTCTCCCCGACTAGACTGTAGGTCCCTGTTCACATATTATTTAGTGAGCAAAGATCTAGTTTTATAAGAAAGTCTAACCTTGTTTTGGTGCAGCTGTGCTCTGTGGGATGTCAGAAGACTGCATACCCTCTCATGGATATTCTTCCATGTGGACTGAGAACCAGGATGGAACCTGCTCAACAGATGGAACAGGGTGGAATATTAAGCAGCTACTAAAAAGGACACTTAAAGCACATGACGGTATGGATTGATATTTAAAACTTAATTATAATAAAAAACAGCAGCATGCAAAATGGTAAACATAGTGTGATTTCAATGTCTTTCTTAAACCTACCCATAGGAAAAGCACTGGGGAATAAAAACTGCTCAGATGTTAAGAATTTTTTGTGTTTCTATGTGTGGCTATGAGTGATTCTTTTCTTCTTTGTACTTTCCTGTGTTTTTCAGATATTTCTCTCATGAACAAACCCTACTTTTACATTTAAAATTTTAATCTAAAACTTTTTAATATAAAATTTAAATCCGGTTTTCGGGGAGAGCCAAGATGGCCGAATAGGAACAGCTCCGGTCTCCAGCTCCCAGCGTGAGCGACGCAGAGGACGGGTGATTTCTGCATTTCCATCTGAGGTAGCGGGTTCATCTCACTAGGGAGTGCCAGACAGTGGGCGCAGGCCAGTGTGTGCGCGCACCGTGCGCGAGCCGAAGCAGGGCGAGGCATTGCCTCACTCGGGAAGCGCAAGGGGTCAGGCAGTTCCCTTTCCGAGTCAAAGAAAGGGGTGACAGATGGCACCTGGAAAATCGGGTCACTCCCACCCAAATACTGCGCTTTTCCTACGGGCTTAAAAAATGGCGCACCACCCACCTGGCTCGGAGGGTCCTACGCCCACGGAGTCTCGCTGATTGCTAGCACAGCAGTCTGAGATCAAACTGCAAGGCGGCAGCGAGGCTGGGGGAGGGGCGCCCGCCATTGCCCAGGCTTGCTGAGGTAAACAAAGCAGCCGGAAGCTCCAACTGGGTGGAGCCCACCACAGCTCAAGGAGGCCTGCCTGCCTCTGTAGGCGCCACGTCTGGGGGCAGGGCACAGACAAACAAAAAGACAGCAGTAACCTCTGCAGACTTAAATGTCCCTGTCTGACAGCTTTGAAGAGAGCAGTGGTTCTCCCAGTACGCAGCTGGAGATCTGAGAAGGGGCAGACTGCGTCCTCAAGTGGGTGCCTGACCCCTGACCCCCGAGCAGCCTAACTGGGAGGCACCCCCCAGCAGGGGCACACTGACACCTCACACGGCCGGGTACTCCAACAGACCTGCAGCTGAGGGTCCTGTTAGAAGGAAAACTAACAAACAGAAAGGACATCCACACCAAAAACCCATCTGTACATCACCATCATCAAAGACCAAAAGTAGATAAAACCACAAAGATGGGGAAAAAACAGAACAGAAAAACTGGAAACTCTAAAAAGCAGAGCGCCTCTCCTCCTCCAAAGGAATGCAGTTCCTCACCAGCAATGGAACAAAGCTGGACGGAGAACGACTTCGACGAGCTGAGAGAAGAAGGCTTCAGACGATCAAATTACTCTGAGCTACGGGAGGACATTCAAACCAAAGGCAAAGAAGCTGAAAACTTTGAAAAAAATTTAGAAGAATGTATAACTAGAATAATCAATACAGAGAAGTGCTTAAAGGAGCTGATGGAGCTGAAAACCAAGGCTCAAGAACTACGTGAAGAATGCAGAAGCCTCAGGAGCCGATGCAATCAACTGGAAGAAAGGGTATCAGCGATGGAAGATGAAATGAATGAAATGAAGCGAGAAGGGAAGTTTAGAGAAAAAAGAATAAAAATAAATGAGCAAAGCCTCCAAGAAATATGGGACTATGTGAAAAGACCAAATCTACGTCTGATTGGTATACCTGAAAGTGACGGGGAGAATGGAACCAAGTTGGAAAACACTCTGCAGGATATTATCCAGGAGAACTTCCCCAATCTAGCAAGGCAGGCCAACATTCAGATTCAGGAAATACAGAGAATGCCACAAAGATACTCCTCGAGAAGAGCAACTCCAACACACATAATTGTCAGATTCACCAAAGTTGAAATGAAGGAAAAAATGTTAAGGGCAGCCAGAGAGAAAGGTCGGGTTACCCTCAAAGGGAAGCCCATCAGACTAACAGCGGATCTCTTGGCAGAAACCCTACAAGCCAGAAGAGAGTGGGGGCCAATATTCCACATTCTTAAAGAAAAGAATTTTCAACCCAGAATGTCATATCCAGCCAAACTAAGCTTCATAAGTGAAGGAGAAATAAAATACTTTACAGACAAGCAAATGCTCAGAGATTTTGTCACCACCAGGCCTGCCCTAAAAGAGCTCCTGAAGGAAGCGCTAAACATGGAAAGGAACAACCGGTACCAGCCGCTGCAAAATCATGCCAAAATGTAAAGACCGTCGAGACTAGGAAGAAACTGCATCAACTAACGAGCAAAATAACCAGCTAACATCATCATGACAGGATCAAATTCACACATAACAATATTAATTTTAAATGTAAATGGACTAAATGCTCCAATTAAAAGACACAGACTGGCAAATTGGATAAAGAGTCAAGACCCATCAGTGTGCTGTATTCAGGAAACCCATCTCACGTGCAGAGACACACATAGGCTCAAAATAAAAGGATGGAGGAAGATCTATCAAGCAAATGGAAAACAAAAAAAGGCAGGGGTTGCAATCCTAGTCTCGGATAAAACAGACTTTAAACCAATAAAGATCAAAAGAGACAAAGAAGGCCATTACATAATGGTAAAGGGATCAATTCAACAAGAAGAGCTAACTATCCTAAATATATATGCACCCAATACAGGAGCACCCAGATTCATAAAGCAAGTCCTGAGTGACCTACAAAGAGACTTAGACTCCCACACATTAATAATGGGAGACTTTAACACCCCACTGTCAACATTAGACAGATCAACAAGACAGAAAGTCAACAAGGATACCCAGGAATTGAACTCAGCTCTGCACCAAGCGGACCTAATAGACATCTACAGAACTCTCCACCCCAAATCAACAGAATATACATTTTTTTCAGCACCACACCACACCTATTCCAAAATTGACCACATACTTGGAAGTAAAGCTCTCCTCAGCAAATGTAAAAGAACAGAAATTATAACAAACTATCTCTCAGACCACAGTGCAATCAAACTAGAACTCAGGATTAAGAATCTCACTCAAAACCACTCAACTACATGGAAACTGAACAACCTGCTCCTGAATGACTACTGGGTACATAACGAAATGAAGGCAGAAATAAAGATGTTCTTTGAAACCAACGAGAACAAAGACACAACATACCAGAATCTCTGGGATACATTCAAAGCAGTGTGTAGAGGGAAATTTATAGCACTAAATGCCCACAAGAGAAAGCAGGAAAGATCCAAAATTGACACTCTAACATCACAATTAAAAGAACTAGAAAAGCAAGAGCAAACACATCCAAAAGCTAGCAGAAGGCAAGAAATAACTAAAATCAGAGCAGAACTGAAGGAAATAGAGACACAAAAAACCCTTCAAAAAATTAATGAATCCAGGATCTGGTTTTTTGAAAGGATCAACAAAATAGATAGACCACTAGCAAGACTAATAAAGAAAAAAAGAGAGAAGAATCAAATAGACGCAATATAAAATGATAAAGGGGATATCACCACCGATCCCACAGAAATACAAACTACCATCAGAGAATACTACAAACACCTCTACGCAAATAAACTACAAAATCTAGAAGAAATGGATAAATTCCTCGACACATACGCTCTCCCAAGACTAAACCAGGAAGAAGTTGAATCTCTGAATAGACCAATAACAGGATCTGAAATTGTGGCAATAATCAATAGCTTACCAACCAAAAAGAGTCCACGACCAGATGGATTCACAGCCGAATTCTACCAGAGGTACAAGGAGGAACTGGTACCATTCCTTCTGAAACTATTCCAATCAATAGAAAAAGAGGGAATCCTCCCTAACTCATTTTATGAGGCCAGCATCATTCTGATACCAAAGCCTGGCAGAGACACAACCAAAAAAGAGAATTTTAGACCAATATCCTTGATGAACATTGATGCAAAATTCCCCAAAAAATACTGGCAAAACGAATCCAGCAGCACATCAAAAAGCTTAACCACCATGATCAAGTGGGCTTCATCCCTGGGATGCAAGGCTAGTTCAATATACGCAAATCAATAAATGTAATCCAGCATATAAACAGAACCAAAGACAAAAACCACATGATTATCTCAATAGATGCAGAAAAGGCCTTTGACAAAATTCAACAACACTTCATGCTAAAAACTCTCAATAAATTAGGTATTGATGGGACGTATTTCAAAATAATAAGAGCTATCTGTGACAAACCCAAAGCCAATATCATACTGAATGGGCAAAAACTGGAAGCATTCCCTTTGAAAACTGGCACAAGACAGGGATGCCCTCTCTCACCACTCCTATTCAACATAGTGTTGGAAGTTCTGGCCAGGGCAATTAGGCAGGAGAAGGAAATAAAGGGTATTCAATTGGGAAAAGAAGAAGTCAAATTGTCCCTGTTTGCAGACGACATGATTGTGTGTGCAGAAAACCCCATTGTCTCAGCCCAAAATCTCCTTAAGCTGATAAGCAACTTCAGCAAAGTCTCAGGATACAAAATCAATGTACAAAAATCACAAGTATTCTTATACACCAACAACAGACAAACAGAGAGCCAAATCATGAGTGAACTCCCATTCACAATTGCTTCAAAGAGAATAAAATACCTAGGAATCCAACTTACAAGGGATGTGAAGGACCTCTTCAAGGAGAAGTATAAACCACTGCTCAATGAAATAAAAGAGGATACAAACAAATGGAAGAACATTCCATGCTCATGGGTAGGAAGACTCAATATCGTGAAAATGGCCATACTGCCCAAGGTAATTTACAGATTCAATGCCATCCCCATCAAGCTACCAATGACTTTCTTCACAGAATTGGAAAAAACTACTTTAAAGTTCATATGGAACCAAAAAACAGCCCGCATCGCCAAGTCAATCCTAAGCCAAAAGAACAAAGCTGGAGGCATCACACTACCTGACTTCAAACTATACTACAAGGCTACAGTAACCAAAACAGCATGGTACTGGTACCAAAACAGAGATATAGATCAATGGAACAGAACAGAGCCCTCAGAAATAATGCCGCATATCTACAACTATCTGATCTTTGACAAACCTGAGAAAAACAAGCAATGGGGAAAGGATTCCCTATTTAATAAATGGTGCTGGGAAAACTGGCTAGCCATATGTAGAAAGCTGAAACTGGATCCCTTCCTTACACCTTATACAAAAATCAATTCCAGATGGATTAAAGAATTAAATGTTAGACCTAAAACCATAAAAACCCTAGAAGAAAACCTAGGCAATACCATTCAGGACATAGGCATGGGCAAGGACTTCATGTCTAAAACACCAAAAGCAATGGCAACAAAAGCCAAAATTGACAAATGGGATCTAATTCAACTAAACAGCTTCTGCACAGCAAAAGAAACTACCATCAGAGTGAACAGGCAACCTACAAAATGGGAGAAAATTTTTGCAACCTACTCATCTGACAAAGGGCTAATATCCAGAATCTACAATGAACTCAAACAAATTTACAAGAAAAAAACAAACAACCCCATCAAAAAGTGGGCAAAGGACATGAACAGACACTTCTCAAAAGAAGACATTTATGCAGCCAAAAAACACATGAAAAAATGCTCATCATCACTGGCCATCAGAGAAATGCAAATCAAAACCACATTGAGATACCATCTCACACCAGTTAGAATGGCAATCATTAAAAAGTCAGGAAACAACAGGTGCTAGAGAGGATGTGGAGAAATAGGAACACTTTTACACTGTTGGTGGGACTGTAAACTAGTTCAACCATTGTGGAAGTCAGTGTGGCGATTCCTCAGGGATCTAGAACTAGAAATACCATTTGACCCAGCCATCCCATTACTGGGTATATACCCAAAGGACTATAAATCATGCTGCTATAAAGACACATGCACACCTATGTTTATTGCGGCACTACTCACAATAGCAAAGACTCGGAACCAACCCAAATGTCCAAGAATGATAGACTGGATTAAGAAAATGTGGCACATATATACCACGGAATACTATGCAGCCATAAAAAATGATGAGTTCATGTCCTTTGTAGGGACACGGATGAAATTGGAAATCACCATTCTCAGTAAACTATCGCAAGAACAAAAAACCAAACACCGCATATTCTCACTCATAGGTGGGAATTGAACAATGAGATCACATGGACACAGGAAGGGGAACATCACACTCTGGGGACTGTTGTGGGGTGGGGGGAGGGGGGAGGGATAGCAGTGGGAGATACACCTAATGCTAGATGACGAGTTAGTGGGTGCAGCGCACCAGCGTGGCACATGTATACATATGTAACTAACCTGCACAATGTGCACATGTACCCTAAAACTTAAAGTATAATAATAAAAGAAAAAAAAATTTTTAATCCAAAAAATTTTAATATAAAATTTAATCCCAGTAGTTGTTGTTTCACGGAGAGATTATCACCCAGGCTAACGTACAACTGCATGATCATAGCTCACTGCAACCTTGAACTCTTGGACTCAAGCAATCCTCCAACTTCAGCCTCCCAGGTAGAGAGGACCAACTAGGTACATGTTGCCATGCCTGGCTATTTTTTTTTTTCCTTAAGAGATAGGGTCTTGCTACCCAGGCTGGTCTCGAACTCCTGGGCTCAAGGGATCCTTCCACCTCAATCTCCCAAAGAGCTGGGACTACAGGTATGCACCACCATGCAGAGCTCACTTTCAAATATTTTGTAGAGACAGGGTCTCCCCATGCTGTCCAGGCTGGTCTCAAACTTTTGTACTCAGTGATCCTCCTGCCTCAGCCTCCCAAAGTGCTGGGATTACAGGTGTGAGCCACTACACCCAGCCTCCAATCCTGGTTGTTTCCTACCACCAGGACTTTATCTTATATCTCATTTACTTTAGGCCACCCAGACTCCAAACTGAACCATAGGTTTGACAGTCTCTTTCAGTTCCCCAAACATAGAGCATTTTCTACCTTCCATAGGCATTTGGCAACACTGTTCTCTCTTCTACCTCCCAACCCCAGGGGCTCACTACTCTTATTAACTCCTACCCACCCTTCAGAGTTCAGTTCAATTGTTGAGTTCTCAGCAAAGTCCTTTCTGAGCCCTCTCCTGTAGAGGAGGTCAGCTGCTCTGTTATACGGACTTGCAGTTTCATTTATCTATACCTCATTAATACCATTTGCACCACTGGACATTTTGTCATTATTTGGTTAATGGCGGTCTTTACTCCTAGAGTGAAATTGAGCTGAGACTCTTTGTTTAATAGCTCATCCCAGGGCAGAGTAGGAACTGAATAGCACAGTAAGTAGCTAATAAATATTTCTTGAGTGATTGAATTCATTCTCTCGTTCATTCATTCATTCATTCATCCATCCATTAATATTCAGGAGGGGGATGGTTACCAAATCCTAAAGTCTGAGGTATAACTAAGCTGAAAGTGTACATAGCAATTTGATAATGAAAGGCACAGATACAGTTTTCTAAAAACACCCAAAGAATTATAGCCACTTGGGGCCAGGCGCAGTGGCTCACACCTATAATCCCAGCACTTTGGAAGGCTGAGGCGGGCGGATCTCTTGAGGCCAAGAGTTCCAGACCAGCCTGGCTAAAGTAGTGAAACCCCATCTCTACTAAAATACAAAAAATTAGCCAGGTGTGGTGGTGGTACATCTGTAGTCCCAGATACCAGGAGGCTGAGGCATGAAAATTGCTTGAACCTGGGAGGTGGAGGTTGTAGTGAGCTGAGATGGGGCCACTGTACTCCAGCCTGGGTAACATAGCAAGATTCTATCTCAAAAAAAAAAAAGAAAGAAAGAAAGAAAGAAAATGATTCTCTTTAATTAATGTATGGTAAACACTGGAAATGACAGGAACATCTGGAAATCCAGTTGTTACTATGGCTACCATATGAATGACCTCCCTGTGCAGTTGCCCCTCTGCTTGGCTGGTTCCGGCCCACATCCAGGCCTCCACTCCAGCTCTCTCTGTGACAAGCATGTCCCACTGGTTTTTCCAGGGAGATAAGACCAACAGTATGAATGGATCTACACAAATCCATTGCCAACCCAAGAAAACAACTCATAGTAAATGGAAGCACCACCTAAAGCACTGCCCATGTTTAAGACTACAAACATTATTTCTATTCTTCTCTAAGAACTTTTTTTTTTTGACCCAGAGTCTCATTCTGTTGCCCATGCTGGAGTGCAGTGGCGCTACCTCCGCTCACTGCAACCTCTGCCTCCTATGTTCAAGCAATTCTCCTGCCTCAACCTCCCAAGTAGCTGAGACTACAGGTATAAGCCACCAAGCCCAGCGAATTTTTGTATTTTTCGTAGAGACGGGGTTTTGCCTTGTTGGCCAGGCTGGTCTTGAATTCCTGACCTCAAGTGATCCACCCACCTCGCTTCCCAAAGTGCAGGGATTCCAGGTGTGAGCCACCACGCTTGGCCCTTCTCTAAGAATGTTTAGGAGGAAGGAATAGAAATATGTTGAAGCTATAAATGAAGCTAGCATTTAAAAACAGCCACCAGCTAGATACTGTAAATTCTTTTTCATAGGTCTAGAGTAACCAATACCAAAGCGACTCTTTCATTTGTTACCATTATTGTTACATGCAATTTATTTTACATTTGAAGATCTCAGAGAATGATGAGTCAACAGATGGGAGCAGCGCTGTGCCTTTACCACAGCCTTCTCCATGGGATCTACCTTCTCCTCGAGTCATGTGGAGAGAGAGGATGTGCTGAAGGGGCATGACGCTATTCAGATGGTGGATACAGGGAACAGGCTTGGCAGTGTTTCTCCCTCCTTTAGTACTCCCATTGTTCACTCTTATAATGTGTTTTCTACCTTGTCCATTAAAACCTTGGGTTGACTCTCATTCCAAAATTTGTCTCCCAACTCATCCTTATGACCTTGATCCTTACTGACTTCAGTATTAAGTTAGCAGAAAAGCAACAGGGATTCTCATGCACCCTTGTGAACTGGACACAGAGAAAGAGTGGTCCTGATATTGCTGGTATGAAAAGAACACTGAGTGAGTGGAGACACAGTGCTGACAACCCCCAGTGTCCCAGGAATCTGCCCTAGTGATCGCTCTAAAGCCAACGGGCAATGTGTTCTGCAAGGATATGAAGGGCACATCCCTCATTCAAAAGAACTGTTTTTAAAATATTATCTTCAGAGCCACTTCTCTAGTGTGAAGGTGACCAGCTGTCTTGGTTTACCTGGGACTCAGGGGTTTCCCAGGATGCAAACTTTTGGTACTGAAACCAGGACAGCCATGGGCAAACTGGATGGCCTTTCTGTGGCTGTGTTATTATTTGCCGCTGATAATCATGGCCTTATTTACAAACTCATAGTCCAACTAGGTCCCAAGTTACCAGTTTAGAGAGACTTTGGGCACAAAGAATTTGCTGCCTCATCAGAGATGGCCAATAAAACTCTGGTCTGCAGCTAAGACTCATCTTTCTAAAGTCACTTGTGCCAACTCCTGTGACTAATGTCACAGAGCTCCTCACTCCTTCCAAGCAAAGCCCAAGCTCCTTAGGTCAGCCAACAAAGGTCCCCCTCAAACCTTTGAGTCCTGGCACTGACTTTCTCCCAAACTCCTCTAACTGCTGGAAGCTGACAGTGCCCCTGCCTCCCACCTGCCATCACTCACCTCTATGAACCCCATCATAAACCAATCTTCTCTCCTCAAGGCCACATGAAAGCATCACCTCCTCCATGAAACATTCCAGAAGTACCACCCTTCTTCTTTATACTCCAGTAACTTTTGTTCCACACTATTCACAAAGTGCTGCTTTGTAGAAAGCTCTTTGCATACTTCTTTTTTATTATTTTTTTTATATCCTCTGCTAGGTTGCAAGTTTTCAGAGATCAGGAGAAATGTCTTAAATGTTAGTGTTCCCATTGCTGGCCTAGCAGATTGAGTATCATTCCTGCTTTCCGTCTTAACCACAGATTTAACGTGCTCCCCGCCCACATACTCAATTCCAATCCCAGTTGATTTTGACTCAGTAAACATGAGGCAATTCTTCCGTTGGCCAGAGTTGAGAATTGCTGGCCTGCTGCATAAAGACACTCAGGAAAGGCTGGCTGAATGAATGCATAAACCATCTAACACATATTTAAAGAGAAAAGAGGACTTCTCAGGTCTCTCTCCTGATGTAACTGATTTCCTCTCACTCTGTCTCTCCCCTGCATTTGGATTGTACTTCTGTTAGGTACCTACCACAATCTATCTCATATTCAGTGACAAGGGGGTATGTCTGCCTTCCTGTCTAGTATGTGAGCCAGTGGAAAGCAGAGACATGTCATGATGGTGTCCATTGCCCCCAACAGTTGCCCAATAACAGCATGCTCAATACAGTCTCTCAGAAAAGCTTGCTGTACTGCTTTTAAGGAGTTTGGGAGGTGTTATAGATACCAGGCACAGAGACAAAAACCACGGGTTTTCCCCAGTTCTGGTGGCTGAGAAGCACTTTGTGGCTGTATGCAGATGGATCTTTGATCATCAAACCCATTTTAAAGATGAGGAAACTGAGGTTTAAAAGGTTGAAGCCAGGCACGGTGGCTCATGCCTGTACCCAGCACTTTGGGAGGCCAAGACAATTGCTTGAGCCCAGGAGTTTGAGAAGAGCCTGGGCAACACAGTGAGACCCCATCTTTACAAAAATAAAAATATGAAAATTAGCCGGGCATGCCGGTGCGCACCTGCAGTCCCAGTTACTCAGGAGGCTGAGGCAGGAGGATTGCTTGGGTTGGGGAGGTCAAGGCTGCAGTAAGCTGTGATTGTGCCACTGCACTCCAGCCTGGGTGACAAAGCAAGACCCCATCTCGAAAAAAAATAATAATAATTAATTTAAAAAAATAGGTGGAGTAGCTGTGTGAAATCACCCAGCACTTAGAGACACATGAGCGCTAGAGCCCATGTCTCCTGACCACTGTTAATTGAAAGTTCTTTCCGTTCTTCATTTAAAATCAATCCTCTACAAGTCTTTAAATCCAGGATGACCTCCTGTGCTTTGCCAGCCTGCTGAATTCCAGGCTGGTGGCAAAAGCATAAGACAGGAGGGGACAGAGGCCAGGCATAGAGAGGTGTAAGTGTGTCTCTGACCACTTGTCTCTGTGTGCCAGAGCCAGTTTTTTGTTTGTTTGTTTGTTTTAAACGGAATTGCGCTCTTGTTGCCCAGGCTGGAATGCAATGGCACGATCTCAGCTCACCCCAACCTCCGCCTCCCGGGTTCAAGCAATTCTCCTGCCTCAGCCTCCCGAGTAGCTGGGATTACAGGCATGCGCCACTATGCCCGGCTAATTTTGTATTTTTAGTAGAGACAGGGTTTCTCCATGTTGGTCAGGCTGGTCTCAAACTCCAGACCTCAGGTGATCCACCCACCTTGGCCTCCCAAACTGCTGGGATTATAGGCATGAGCCACCGTGCCCAGCCGGAGCCAGTTTTTTAAAAATCTATGTTGTATTATTTTCTTCTAATAAAGTAACTAATCAAAAGCTCGTCATACGTTAATGGATTTTATTAAAATATTTGATCTGGCTTCCTCAAATCCATGATTTAACATTTGAATATAGAGTTATTATGTCATTTCTGAAAAACACTAAGAAGGGATTGCCACTTTCTTAGTCTACCTCAAAGTTAATATAATTCCTGTAAAAATTTCAGGGCCACTGTGGTTCTGGGATATATTTACTCTGAGTCCCTTTGAGAGCAATTGCGTTATTTTGGTACGTGGAGTTTGCTTCTTATTCTCGTCACTAATAATGCAGAGAAAAGCAGATTGGCTTATCCTTCATTCAGAACAATGATCTTATAAATATTATTTTCAGTGCCACTTCCCCGAAGTTAAAGTAACCAACTGTCCTGGTTTGCCTAAGATTCAAGGGTTTCCCAGAATGCAGGACTTTCAGGTCTAAAATCAGGCAGACCCAAGCAAACCAGTGGTTACTTACCCTACTAGAGAGTGCTGTTTGGCAAATAAAGGTTTCTGCTTTTGCTCTCTGGCCTGCTCTCCAGACATATGCAAATGTATTTTCATTGTTTGTGAAAATAATGTAAGCAAAGAAATCATGTCTAGAAAAAGAATATATGCCCATATGTTAACATTTGTCTTTGAGTGGTAGGACTATAGGTAATTTTTTTCCACTTTTTTTTCTGTAATTTTCAAACTTTCTGTGGTGAACATTTTTATACTGGTAAAATGAAAAGGTTTAGTTTTTAAATTTATGACAAATAAAAATGGGTAGATAAATAGTACCTATGTCAAAGTTAGTTGTCTATCCCATTTACAGCAAATATTCTGAGATATGCCTCTGACTTTTGGGTAGATTTTAAAAGAAATAATCATTTTTTCATATCAAGGTGTCACCAGCTGAATATTCCTAAGAAAGGAAGCTGGTGAAATGACCCAGCTTTACCCCTGCCAGGCCACAATGCACTCGTCAGGCAAACAGATGGGTGCTTGCCACTGACCTTTCTCTGAGAAGGGGCTGATCCAAGGGGCCAGGAGAGGTGGAATGCTGGTAGGTGGCAAATGAAGCTTTCCCGTGGAAATCAGCATCCCCTTGTTTACTGGATGAAGACTTTCCAAACTGACTTGAATCTAAACATGATGATGAGTCACTCCTTAAAACAATCCGTTCATCTGGCTCTTTGATAACCTGAGTGACAATATGCATTATTTAGTTGTAATTTTGCTTCTGTTTGCTTAATTTAGAGCTGGGGGTGGGGGTTGGACAAGGAAGATAACTCGGGCTAAGATGACAGAATATTTGCCCCAGGGATCTCCTGCAAATAGAAGAGGATCTGGAGAAGAGAAGACTAGTGACAAAATGCTCAGGAGTTCAGACTGATAAAAATAACCAAAAGTCTGTATGTTTGGGATATATTAAAAAACCAAAATAAACTCATGCTCTGAACTTTGATTTCTGAGGACTAGGGATTATTGGTCTGGGAAAAATGTAACTTTAACAAAATATTTAAGCGCTATGGCATAAGAAGCATAGTATATTCCATTTTCTTTGCATAAATCTATTCTCATGTTGTTACATAGAAGTTTGAGCCTTCACTTTGACAAACCAATCAAACTTCAAGAACAAGTGATTTACCACCTCTATGTATAAAATTATTTGATTAGAGAAAAAGCAATGAAAATCACTACCAATAAAGTAGGTATTGGGTCTACATACACCCTCCTTGGTGATTCATCCTACTTATATGAGGGGCACAAACCAACTAACCCCTAAGCAAAGTATAACATGGAGTCTGGGCACATCTTCATACAAACACTAAACTACAGCAATTCCACCTAAGCAGACTAACTAGAAATATCCACCACTGATTGGAAAAAGCACAATAATTGACATAAGATATCTGGAAGTAAATCATTTTACAAATTCTACTTCTAAAATTACCTTTACGTTAGCTGCAAGGCTGTCAAGAGAAGAAGCTAGAAGAAAGAGGAACAGGCATTTCAATGACTCATTATTACCATTTAGCCTTAAAACTGCCATTATATTTATTCTACAGCAGTACAAAAATTTTAGACAATGAATTAATTATTTAAAAACTTAAATGCTCCCTTGTAAGTTACACTATCACTTTTAAGTCTCCCTTGAGCCACTTCAATTCTCCGGGTTGTGGGGGTTTTTTGCTTTGTTTTGTTTTTTGTTTTTGTCTTTTTGAGGTCAACAGTCAGGTTTTCTCTTTTTTTTTTTTTTTTTTTTGAGATGGAGTCTCACACTGTCGCCCAGGCTGGAGTGCAATGGCACAATCTCGGCTCACTGCAATCTCCGCCTCCCAGGTTCAAGAGATTCTCTGCCTCAGCCTCCCGAGTAGCTGGGATTACAGATGCCCGCCACCATGCCCGGCCAATTTTTTGTATTTTTAGTAGAAATGGGGTTTCACTACGTTGGCAAGGCTGGTCTCGAACTCCTGACCTCAGGTGACCCACCCGCCTCAGCCTCCCAAAGTCCTGGGATTACAGGTGTAAGCCTCTGGACGTTTTGTTTTCAATGACAGCACATGTGGAAGGGAGAAGGGTAAAGCAAGTCTAAAGTGAATGAGTAAGTTCAATAACCCTTAAGCAGCCTGAAAAACTCATATTTGAGCAGGCGCCCAGAACCTAAAAGAAAGTACTGTGTGTCTAATATAAAATTTATAAACTCTGTCTCCTCTGACATTTTCTTTGGTTTTCATGGAATCCCATTTATGCAGGAGCTCTTGAATATATTTGTCCAAGGTAGACACAAATGTTAAATTGAGACAACAAATATGTAAAAGCTTGGAGAAATATAGAACATAGCAAAAATGGAAATCACTATCATGACCATAAATGATCATGATAGGCAAGCAGACCTAATGCCGAAGTATGGCAAGGATGACTAGGAAATGAGGTAATAAAGACACAGAGAGAAAGTGAAGACTAGGTTGGATTTTTCCAGGTTGATTAAAAAATGTTTTTAAAATGAATATTTGTAAGGCAATTCTAAGGTCAGCATGGCTTCCCCCAGTGTGACCAGGGCTCAGGCAATGACAAGGGACTTTTTCTGGACTGCTGATCCCCCTCCCCACGTCACCGGTAGATATAAAAAGAGATTTTTAAAGCCAGGCCATTTTCATATCCTTTGGGCATATACATATGTGTGTGCCACCTTGTCCCAGGAGCTCTCTTCTCTCCCACCCCCAGCTGGGCAGGAGTCAGCAATGCTAAGGCCCTTTCAGCTATAGCCACAAACCTGCCCTGTGGCCTCATAACCTCCTTCTCATAACCTCCTTCCCCTGTGGATTCATAACATGTGGTCTCATAACCTCCTTCCTCCTGTGGCCTCATAACCCTGTGGCCTCATAACCTCCTTCCTCCTGTGGCTTCATAAACTCCTTCCTACCGGTTTTGAGCCCTACCTTTCACACGGGGGCCTGCCATCATTCCCTTGCTTCTCAAAGTGCAGTCCATAGACCAGCAGCATTCATATCACCTGGAAGCTTGTTAGAAAAGGAGAATCCTAAGCTCCACCCCAGCCCTACTGAATCAGAATCTGCAGTTTAACAAGAGCCCCAGGTGATTCAACTGCACATTCAGGTTTGAGAAGCACTGCTGTGTTCTACCTTAGGCCTGGATGAATGAGCTGACAGGTGACCTAAGCAAAGGGCTGGCTTGAAAGCTACAGGGATTCCAAGGATCTGAGCCCAGAGGTCTGAATGTCTTCTCTAAATGTAGGTATGCCAAAAACTTGGTGTGTGACCTTTACACACATTGTAATCTCTCTGGAACCTTAGTTCTCCACATGCCAGGATTAAGAAAAGACAAAGGCCGAGACCAGTGTGATGTGTGAGTCCCATCGTAATAGAGCCTGCATTAAACCCAACTTGTCCTCCCCAGGAAAGGACATTTGCTGTTGCCTGATTTCACTGCAGTAGGAAAGACAATGCTGCTTTATAAGCTACACAGGTGATTTTCAACTCAAAGAACTTAAATTAAATGTCAGAGGTGATGAAGCACATTCTGCTTCAAACTCTACTCTGTCCTTGCAGCTGCTGTCAAACAGCTACCACAGTCTAAGAACACTGGCTTAAGTTTCCATAAGAGACTTAAAAGTAGTCCCTTAAAATGTAAACCTTTAAGCCTAAGATAAAGATCTCTATTGTCAGGGATGGCAACAGATAGAAAGTCCAGTACTACCAGCAGGCAAGAGAATGGACCACCACCATTCCTTTCCAGCCTAAGAATTTTGATTAAGTTCAGGAATGACTGATCTTCACCGACATGACCTTCACTACTGGCATGATTCATGGATTTCAGTCAAAAGCCTACAAGGGGTTCCTTAACCCAGTGACTCTCAATGTGTGGTCCAGGGATCTCCCCCAGGGGTACCCAAGACCTTTCAGGAGATCTGCAACGTCAAACTGTTTTCATAATAATACTAAGACATGATTTGACTGTTTCATTCCCATTCTCTCACCACTGCACAATGGAGTTTTCCAAAAGCTACAATGATGTCATGACATCACCATCACAATGGCTAATGGAATGTGTGCTATTCTTTTTTTTTTTTTTAAGTCAGAGTTTCACTCTTGTTGCCCAGGCTGAAGTGCAATGGCACAATCTCAGCTCACTGCAACCTCTGCCTCCCGGGTTCAAGCGATTCTCCTGCCTCAGCCTCCTGAGTAGCTGGGACTACAGGCATGTGCCACCACGCCCGGCTAATTTTGTATTTTTAGTAGAGATGGGGTTTCTCTATGTTGGTCAGGCTAGTCTCAAACTCCCAACCTCAGGTGATCTGCCTGCCTCGGCCTCCCGAAGTGCTGGGATTACAGGCGTCAGTCACCGTACCCGGCCGTAGTCTGTTCTTATATTTTAAAAATGTATCAGTTTTAATTTCTAACATGCTAACTACTGATATTATCCACATCAAGAAAAGCTCTTTGGGCTCTTTAATAATATTTAAGAATGCAAAAGGGCCTGAAATTTAAAGGTTTAAGAACACTTTGCCTTCATCTAACTGCTTCAGATAGAGTTGGCTTCCCACCTCGCTGACATGAAATCTTGTAAAGCAAATGTTACATCTCCTGATCACCATCAATCTCCTGTTTTTTGCCATCCAGAAAAACGGAAAGCCTTATTTGTTAGGCATCAATGGTGACTTTGCAAGGGGTTCACAGCAGGACAAGTTGCACTCTGCTTCCCCGGAACAGCCAGGGGACAACTGCAACCACAGCACACTCAGCACGCCGCTCAGAACGGTCCCCTTCAACGGCGAGGGGAATGCTCAGACAGAAGCTTCTCAGCTGACGCTGCTTCATGGGAACACTGCCCTGGAAATTCCACAGCTGGAGAGTACTTGAGAATTAGGCTCACAGTTCTGAACATCACCTGTGATTCCTCAGAATGAAAGAGTATACTCAGGACGCATTTGTTGCCATAGGGAAATGTACAGGAGTAACAAGAAACTCGAGTACCTCTTCTCGTTGGAAACGGAAAGTCTGAAAACTTAGATTTTCTTCTAGACCTCCTCAAATGATGCTCTGAAATATTCTCACCAAAGGGCTTTGCACTGTCCACCTGAAAGTAAAGGAAAGAAATAAGACTAGAATCCACTATAGCTTCTAGTACCCTCCCCTCGTTACCGGAATGCCTGTCTCCCCCTCAATCACTGATTACACGGGTTGGAAAAAGAAGGCTGGAAAACCACCTAGAGCACAGTCTGCAAGTTTGTTACATGTTACACCTAAAAGGAGAAACTGTTTGTCCTTCACTGAGGCTAGAACATGAGGACGTAAGCTAAACATTAGCATAAAAACTAAAGTTAGACACAAATTATATTCCAACAACTGGTAAGGATCCCGCACAGAAAGAGAGCAAGTGAAGCTTTATTTCACAATCTCTTAAAATAGGACAACGTTTCACATTCCTGAAACAGTATGAGTAGTGCTGGCCTAAATGGGGTCCTCAGTGACAGCAAGGGATTCCCATAAGATGACATTTCTACTTTCCACATTCCTCTCTGGTCCGAGTATCTACATTTTTGAAAAAAGAATAAGGGTAGCTAGGCCGGGTACAGTGGCTCACACCTGTAATCCCACCACTTTGGGAGGCCGAGGAGGGTGGATCACCTGAGGTCGGGAGTTCAAGACCAGCCTGACCAGCATGGAGAAACCCCGTCTCTACTAAAAATACAAAAATTAGCTGGGCTTGGTGGCGCATGCCTGTAATCCCAGCTACTCTGGAGGCTGAGGCAGGAGAATCGCTTGAACCCGGGAGGCGAAGATTGCGGTGAGCTGAGATCATGCCATTGTACTCCAGCCTGGGCAACAAGAGTGAAACTCCGTCTCAAAAAAATAATAATAATAAATAATAATAATAATAGCAACTATATTACTATGTTATTTATCTTTGGTGACTGACCATATTCTCCTAAGGAAAAATTGGGTAACATGATCTGCAAACAGGTCAAAATACTTGAACTAGGGACTCTTCCAAATAGCTACAATATAGAGTTGCTGATTTGTTTTTTACTTTCTGTTTTTTAACATTTTAATAAGGCAGGTTATAATGTTACTTTTCATTCTACTTTAATATATTGACTTGAATTTACAGTCTTTATAACATCAGGTTTTCTAAATTTTAATGCTTCTACTTAAGGAAACATCACATATCATCAGAAAATCTGACTAAATAAAAAAATTAAATATGTAAAATCACTGATAAAAGACTTTGGCACATAGGAAAAGCTGTATAAGAATTTGTTAAATAAAATAAGTATCAAACAAGTTTTAATCCCCTAAGAAATCTATCAAGATTTTAAGATTACTTAGTTCATAATGGCATGCACTAAAGTTGTATTTTACAATAATTTATATCAAATGAAGTAAATCAGATATATTTTCAATGAAATGAAATAAATGAAGTCAATTCGATATTTTTATGGTTACATGTTTAAAGATTGGTTGTTAGATTTTTGCCAGATGTCATTATCCAGGCCACCAAGCAACAGCTGTTGTGTATTTTTTGTAGATAGCTGTTCTGAAGTTTCTAGCCAAACAGCTCTGTTTTACCTACAAACCAACTCTACATACAGTTATCTCAACAGCACCTTCACTTCGAGATTTACTACAATTCATAGTCTCTGCCTAATACACAAGCATCACCACTGATGACTTTAAATCAAAATATCAACTTAATGATACTATCAATAGTTAACATTCTGGAGAATAAGTCATTAATTAGAACACGAACTGGTGTTCACGTAGACTACAAAATAATATAGGAAATTTTTTTAATGTAATGTTAATTGGAATATATAGGAAAACTAATCTGTATATACAGTATAATTACAACTTTGTGGAAAAAATAAAGCCTATGAATGCAAGCATAAGGCAGAGAAATTGCGTCAAATTAAATCAAACAATGATTTTATTATGCTGGTGACCCAATGGATAAATTTTTTCTTGAACTTTTCTATGTTTTCCATTACTTTTATAGTAGCAAAAAAATTGTAGGCTGGTGCAGTGGCTCATGCCTGTAATCCCAGCACTTTGGGAGGCTGATGTGGGTGGATCATCTGAGGTCAGGAGTTCGAGACCAGCCTGACCAACATGGTGAAACCCTGTCTTTCCTAAAAGTACAAAAATTAGACGGGTGTGGTGGTGGGCACCTGTAATCTCAGCTACTCAGGAGGCTGAGGCAGGAGAATCACTAGAACACGGAAGGCAGAGGTTGCAGTAAGCCGAGATTGTGTCACTGCACTCCAGCCTAGGCGACAGCGCAAGACTCTGTCTCAAAAAAAAAAAAAAAAAAAAATGTAAAGAGACTAAGAGAACTAGTGTGACTAAATTTGCCTACCACTACCTGAGGACAAAATCTAAGATGACTTTAATTAAGGGCTTTGAGTATCGCACAACATTGCTTCTTCCTACAAATAAAACTTTTCTGGCTCTTCAATATATGGCCACTAAGCACCAATCTCATTAATAAAACTCATGTAGTTTTCTTTAAAACTGATGAAGCTTTAGTTTTGGATTGATATAGAGTGTGTGCCAACCTTCATTATGCATTTGCAACCTCTGTCAGTTCATTGACTCTTCAAGATAATGGCAAGTTATCATGTGTAGGCATTATACTCTGTTAATAATTTTCAAAAATTAAAAATAGGGATGGCTGACATTTACTGAGCAAGTCCCCTGTATAAGGTACCTTTCTAGGGGTTTCCTGACAACGATCTAGGAAATGAACATAATTTAATCACAATTATTATTCAATTTGAAGTACCTTTTTATTGAATATTATTCATTTGTTGTTATAACTCAACCTTCCTTTCTTCCACCCTCATCCATATCCTCACTATTGCAAAATGCTCTAAAAAATAATTTTAGGCTCACGTGTCTAACAACAAATGGAGGCTTGCTTCCTCCAGAGATTTTGAAATTATTTCCAAGGTTCAACTGAGCTGGCTGGTCCTGGAAGAAATGCCTGGTAGAATATTGAGAGGGCGCCCGGGCTTGCATGCCTTTGGGCAGTCTGTTGAGATTATTCTCCTTTAGTTTCATCTTTATAGTATTTAAGGGAAATATTGGTTCATGTGATGTAGATAAAGGCCTCCGTGACTCATGTCTTTCTTCCTGAAATAAACAAAAAAAGAATATTTTTTAAAATAAAGAAAGAAAAGAAGAAAATTCAATCAGAATATAACTGTATTTAATTGAATTTTTAAAAATTAAGGTCAAAGATAACACACCTCAGATTTATAAAACATAAACTTAAGAAGGACATTTCTCTAATTTTTTTCCTGTTCAGTTTAACATCAGTAGTATTTATAACTTGCTAGTATAATGTATTCAACTAATTAACAGTGAGATTTATTTATAATAGGGGGAAGTTAGAAAGTGTCAGACACCTCCAATAGATAGATAATAGAGAATTTGACACATAGAGGGGTCTAGCAATTTCACTTCCAGGAATGTATTATAAGGAAATAACTATGGCTATATGTATAGCTACAAAAATGCTTATGATAGTTTAAAAGTTAGAAACCAGCTGTATTGGTGAGTAAGCAATTGCGCTCAGTTGCAAATCCACCTCAGCTATATAATACTGGTCCAGGGACTCTACAAACTCCCTTTTTTGCTTTTCCACCTGGTCTCTGTAGGCTCTGCCACTGGAAGGTGCTAGAGAAAGTGCAAGGCTGGAGGAGACACAGTGACTGGCTACTTCCAGTTTTGCATTCTATTCCTGTTAGCATCATTCCTGCAACCATTCTTCGCCTTAACAGCTGCAAATGGCTCCAGATTATAGCCTTTCCCCTATTATGCCAGGACTAGCCCCATTGCACTCCTCCAGACATATCAGCGGCAGCTGACCAGAGCCCCCTGTTCAGATTTGAGTCTAGACCCACAGGAACCTTCCTCCAAGCTCCTGTGGCACCAGCAGTGAGCAGTGCCCCTCCTTTGAGATCTGAGTTCCAGCTCATCCAAGTCCCACCTTCGAATTCCTGAAGAAGCATCCAGGAAAGCAGCCCTTCTCCAGAGGTCTGGGTCCCATTTCTGTTCAGTTTCTTCTTTAAGCTTCTGTGTTCTTGCTGAACCAACATCTTCCCTTTGTTTCCCCAGCCCTAGGGGTGGAAGCTGCTTCCTGCAGTTACTCTGTCATTTCAGTGTTCCCCTTTTATCTTTCAGTCTTTCTTTCAACCCCTGTTTAGCCATTTTTAAAAATTAAATCTTTCTGTTACAGTCACAAGTTTGGTGTGGTTTCCTGACTGGACCCTGGCTGATATATCAGTTAAGTGCTCAACAAAAGGAAAATGAATGGCCAGACAGATTACAGTACTTCCATACAATGGAATACTATGAAGCCATGAAAAATTGTCTGGCACAAGAGTACCTGAGGACATGAGAAAATGTTTATCATAAATTAAGTAAAAAAAAGAAGGGTACAAAATAATATGCAATGCAGCGTGATCTCAATCTTTTTTAAAAGTGTGATGTGTGTACAGAATATACTAAAAAAATTAATGCTGATCTCTAAATGGCAAGAATGAGACAGTTTTTTTTAAGTTTTGGGTCCTTTTTGCTTATTTATCTTTGTTTTCTAATTTTCTAACATAAAGTGATACTTTTGTTTTAAGGGAAAAAAAAACAGACAGTGTGGTGGCTCATGCCTGTAATCCCAACACGTAGGGAGGCTGAAGCAGAGGATCTCTTGAGGCCAGGAGTTCAAGAAAAAAAACAATAAAACTATTTGTTTAAAAAGTTAACACTGAAAGAAGGACCTAGGAAGTTAAAACAGCATTAAGATGGTAGAATGGAAGAGAAAGAAACACTGAAAAATTGCTATGAACACATCACAAATAAATTGGAGAGAAGAGAGGATAAATAAGGCAAAACTAAAAAGCAGATAATGCCTTCCTTAAAATTAATCATTGGTCTCCCATTATATGAGTTATTTAGCTAAGAGTTTTGATAGATTTGCACAGATTATTGGCCCTTCTTTCTCATTAAGTATTCTGTAACATACAGCCCACATTTTCAAGGTCTTTTCTAGGACCCTACATGAGATCTGGGATAAGCATTTTGTTTCACTTACAGGTTTTACTCTACCCTGTCCCAAAGTATTTGGAGAAGCTTCACAAACTACCTTTATTCCTTCTCCATCTTGTTCTAGAAAGGATTTTAAGTGGCAACAACATTATATGCAATAAGGTAAAAGCAAAACAGAAAGAAATTGGGGTGAGGGAGGCAGACACTAGGACTGAAGAAGCAAGTAAAATTGAGGTAGTACACATGGATGCCCTAAGACGCTTCACGCTTACCAAAGACGGACCATGAATACAATCCGAGCATCAGCCTCAGCAAAAGAAAGGTGGCCCCATGTTTACTGCAGCACTATTCACAATAGCCAAGATTTGGAATCAACCTAAGTGTCCATCAACAGATGAATGGATAAAGAAATTATATTACATACACATAATGGAGTGCTATTCAGCCATTATTTTTTATGTCTTGCAACAACGTGGATGGAAGTTGAGGCCATTATATCAAGTGAAATAAGCCAGGCACAGAAAGACAAACTTTATATATTCTCACTTATTTGTGGGAGCTAAAGATTAAAACAATTGAACTCATGGAGACAGAGAGTAGAATGATGGTTACCAGAGGCTGGGAAGGGTCATGAGAGCTGAGGGGGAGTGGGGATGGTTAAAGGGCACAAAAAAAAAATACAAAGAATGAATAAGATCTAGTATTTGATAGAACAACAGGGTGACTATAGTCGATAATAATTTAACTGTAAATTTTAAAATAACTAAAAGAATATAATTGGATTGTTTGTAACTCAAAAGATAAATGTTTTAGGTGATGGATACACCATTTACCTTGATGTGATTATTACATACTGTATGCCTATATCAAAATATCTCATGTACCCCATAAATATATACAGGTACTACGTACCCATAAAAAATTAAAATTTCTAAATTTTTATTTTATGTTTATTATTTATTTATTTATCATTATTTTTTTCTGAGATGGAGTCTCACTCTTGTCACCCAGGCTGGAGTGCAGTGGAGCCATCTTGGCTCACTGCAGCCTTGACCTCCCAGGCTCAGGCGATTTGCATGCCTCAGCCTCCCCCGTAGCTGGGACTACAGGCGCACGCCACCATGCCCAGCTACTTTTTGTATTTTTGGTAGAGGTGGGGTTTCACCATGTTGCCCAGGCTTTTCTCTAACTCCTGACCTCAGGTGATCCACCTGCCTCGGCCTCCCAAAGTGCCACCATGCCCAGCCTAAAATTTTTAAATTTTTAAAAAAGAAAGATGGAAACTGTTGTTCATAAGATCACAAGTAAATGTCATAGAACAACAATAACAAAAGCTAATTAGCTCACTTACATCAAATTTGTAATTTTAGCTTCTGAATCACCCTGCTTCCAGCTACATCATGCTGCCAAACGTATGTACCAAACATACTCTAATATGACTGGCTGAGCAAACAGTTTGAATTATAGAAATACAAACCTAGTAAAAACTTTCCAGGTTTCTACTTGTTTAGTTTCATGTAAACTTAATAAACTGAGTTTGGGCAAAAATTCTTTAAATTTGAAAAAAAAAAATCCGGTCATTTCTATCACTAGATTTGTATTGTACTTACAAGAAATCTGTTTCTATGCAGAAACACACATTCTCTGATGGCTGTCCTTGTAGAAAACTCTATTTTGGGAGCAATGCCCTATAAAACAGCATAAAAAAAGCAAATAAAATTACTAGAAACAGTTCTTTAGCCATCTCCTTCTAACTTGAAATCATACAAGAACCTAACTGCTCTTCTGTGTGGCATAATCCACACACATTATCTAAAATATATATGTAATAAGAATAGCTAAACACTTATGTAATATATATTATGTATCAGAGCCAGGCCTAAGTAATTCATATATATTAACTCATCTAATCCTAACACAACCCCATGAAGCAGGTTTTATAATAGTATCTCCTCAACTAAGACACAGTTTAAGTAACATGTCCATCTAGTAATGAGGGCTATTAATTGAACCCAGGCATTCCGGCTCCAGTGTCCATGATGTTAGCTACTCTATTTAAAACACTGTACCATGGAATTGAATGAGATTACCTAGAGAGAGGTATGAATACAGAGCCTTCCTCTCTACCTACCTGCTTTGAAAAACTTGCTTTATATTTTATATCAGATATTTATATTCATTAGATCTAATTCCAAATTCATTTTGTTTCATTGATTTTTCTATTTCTATTTTTTGTTCTTAGTACCATACTGTCTAAAATATTGTGTTTTATATATGTGTGTGTGTGTGTATATATATATATATATATATATATATATGCCCTATCCTGTTTAATTCTTATAATCCTATAGGGTAGGTACAATTATTACAATCATCCTGTTTTACAGATGATAAAACTGAAAAATGGGCAAAAACTAGAAACAATCCAAACATCCTTAATGGGTGAACAGATGAACTGTGGTGTATTTACATAATGGAAACTACTCGGTAATAACAAGGAACAAATGAATGACACACACAACTACATGGATGGATCTCAACAGCATTCTTCTAAGTAAGAAAAGCCAGTCTCAAAAGGTTACAGACTGTATGATTCCATTTATGTGACATTCTCAAAAAAACAAAACTATGGTGATAGAGAAAAGACTAGTGCTCAGGGTGAGGGTGAGGAAGTGCCTATAAAGGGGTAACATGAGGGGGATTTTAGGAGGGATGGGATTGTTCTACATCCTGCTCGTAGCAGTGGTTTTACAAATCTATACATGTGTTAAAATTCATAGACCTGTAGACCAAAAAAGCATCAATTTTATTGTATAATAATTTTTAAAATACAACTGCTTTCCCCAAAAAACAGGCCTAAAGAGACATTAAGGCAATTTCCCCAAATTTACAAGGTTTATAAATGGCACCACAGGGACAGGACCTGGATCTGACTAAATTACACTGTCTCCACCTGACCCCATCGACTCACCAGTGGCCCCTCTGCATCACCTCTCTGCTCTACTCTCCCCCAGAGAACACCACCTGGCCAAGTTACTTCTTGCCCTGAGGGCATCTTCCTTCTTTTCTTTTCCATCCAAATTTTACCCATCTCTCAATGTCTGATCTCACTCTAACTCCTCCAGGTAAGCCCATAGTAGTCTCTCCCTCCAGTCTCTAATATTTCATTTTCATTTATACCACTTATACTCAAGATGCTTCCAAAACAAGGTTTGCCCCAGCTGAAGCCCTCAAGAGAAAAGAAGCCAACACCTACTGCATGCTTATTACATGTGCCAGTGCTATTAAGGGTTTCTATACATATACCAGGTATTGTGCTAAACACTATATATTACCTCATCTAACACTCACAATAATCCTGTAAGGGATGTACCATTACAGTCTCATTTTACAGATGAGTAAACTAAGGCACAAAGAGATTAACCTAACCAAAGTCTCATAGCCATTCATGACAAAACTGGGAATGAACCCAGACAATCTGATTCCACACTTAACCACTGTACATGCAGCTGCCTAATAGATTTTCAAATTCCTGATCGACTTTGCCCAGAGTGAAGGAAGGAAGTCCCCTGCTGGTAAGGAATCCACACTCTGTAACACACTTTTGTTCACCTTATATGACCTCCACTCCTTGCAATGACTTACAGACAATAAAGAAGAATGTATTTTCTTTTTCATACCGTGCTGTTTTTAGCATAACATTATACTTTAGAGTTGAAATTCAGAGACTATATCTCATCCAGTCTCCTTACCAATGGAACGATGGTGATAATGGTTGGTCAATAAAAGGATTTAACATAATAAATAACACAATACATAAATAAAAATAATTTTTAAATGCTTTTTATGCTCACTTTACAAAGTCAGTCTTAACCTAACATGATAATAGATAATTGTGCAATCTTCTCATTGCCTCATAGGAAAACAGTATTATTATCTTTTATTATCTATTATCTAATAGATGAGACAGTAATATTATATATTATCTGATAGATGAGACAGTAATATTATCTATTATCTAATGGATGAGACTAGATAATATTGCAAAAATAAAAAAATTCTTGACCTCACCAGGAAATAAAAAATACCATTAAGTAGCAAGTGAAATAAAACAGCAAAATACACAAATACAAAGAAAAGCCACATGCTAGTGGAGGAAATAAATCTAATTATTAATCAATTGATAAATTAGGAGAAAATAAAGTGAATGATTTGTCTCACATATATGTAATTCATTCTTACTTCCTACAATATTAATGAAAAGAAATCAGATAGTGGGCTGAAATAAATATGAGAAAATTAGCATCATTCAGTGAGTAAGAGTGCAGGCTCTGAAGCCAGTCAGGCCAGCACGAGGGTCCCTCTTCCACCACTCACCAGTTCTGTGACCCTGAGGGCATTTCTGAAACTCTTTACACCACCTTCCCTCTCCATTAAAGTGGGGAAAGAATAGCTGTCACCTCACAAGGTGAAGGAGGACTGAACAGGATAATCCATGTAATGAGCTCAACACAGTGCCTGGTATACAGTGAGCACACAGTGAACATCAGCTACTTTTTTTTTTTTTTTTTTTTTTTGAGATGCAGTCTCACTCTGTCGCCCAGGCTGGAGTGCAGTGGCATGATCTTGGCTCACTCTGACCTCTGCCTCCTGCCTCAGCATCTCAGTAGCCGGGATTACAGGTGTGCACCACCATGCTCAACTAATTTTTGTATTTTCAGTAGAGACGAGGTTTCACTGTGCTGGCCAGGCTGAAACATCAGCTATTATCGAAGTGATGGCTCTTTTTTGTGGTATCTCGGAGGCAATCAGCTGCTTCAAGATGAAGCTGAAGGCCGGGCACAGTGGCTCATGCCTGTAATCCCAGCACTTTGGGAGGCCGAGGCAGGAGAATCACCTGAGGTCAGGAGTTCGAGACCAGCCTAGCCAACATGAGGAAACCTCGTCTCTACTAAAAATACAAAAGTCAGCCAGGCGTGGTGGTGAGTGCCTGTAATCCCAGCTACTCAGGAAGCTGAGGCAGGAGAATCACTTGAACCTGGGAGGCAGAGGTTGCAGTGAGCCGAGATCGCTGCACTGCACTCCAGCCTGGGCAACAGAGCAAGACTCCATCTCAAAAAAAAAAAAAAAATTAAGTGTGTTACTCTTTCATCTTAAACACTTTTGAGGATTTGCAATGTGTCTAGCACCTAGATTACAGCCAGGGACATTGGTTAAGAGCTGTTGGAAACAAAACTAAAAGCAAACTCAACATATGTGATGTTTATGGCCCTCAGATCCTTAGTATTGTGTGATTCTCCCCCATTAACATGTCTTTCTGAAATTGTCTATTAAAGCAGAGGAAATACCTGCCAAAGGAAGTATGTATTGCATTAATCAGGACATAACTAATATTCTCCAGTTCAGAATAATACTTACTTACTTGTGAAAGCAACATGGATGTGATCCCCAACACAGAATTTTCATGACACTTTTATTGTATACAAATAAATACATTAACTGTTACTTGGTTAGACATCAAAACAAAAACAAACAAACAAAAAAAGAGACGAAGCTGAATATTTCCTTTCCAGCCACTGGCTGCCAGAAATTAATTGAAGTGGATGATGAAAGCAAACTTCATACTTTTTATGAGAAGCATATGGCCACAGAAGTTACTACTGAGATGCTCTGGGTAAAGATTGGGAGGCTTATGTGGTCCAAATCAGCGGTGGGAAAGACAAACAAGTTTTCCCCATAAAGCAGAGTATCTTGACCCATGGCCAAGTCTACCTGCTACTGAGAAGGGGCATTCCTGTTATAGACCAAGAAGAATTGGAGAAAGAAAGTGAAAATCTGTTCAGGGTCACAATGTGGTCACCAATCTGACCATTCTCAACTTGGTTATCATTAAAAAAGGAGAGAAGGATATTCCCGGAGTGACTGACACTATGGTGCCTTGTCACCTGGGGCCCAAAAGACCTAGCAGAATCTGCACTTTTCAATCACTCTAAAAAAGATGATATCTGCCAATATATTGTAATAAAGCCCTTAAACAAAGAAGGTAAGAAACCTAGAACCAAAGCACCCAAGATTCAGTGTCTCGTTACTCCACATGTCCTGTAACACAAACTCTGGCATATTACTCTGAAGAAACAGACTACTAAGGGAAATAAGAGAGAGGCTGCAGAATATGCGAAACTTTTGGCCAAAAGAATGAAGGAGACCAAAGAAAAATGCCAGGAATAGATTGCCAACAGTGCAGGTGGCCCTCTCTGTGAGCTTCTACTTCTGAGTCCAGTCAAAAATAAAACTTTTTGAGTAACAAATAAGATCAGATCCCACCCTCCAAAAACCATTGCTATGGGAATTGGTTTTATTTTGCTTTATAGAATGGTTGAGAGAAATTGAGTCCCTCTATCTATTCACAAATTATTTAAAATATAATTTGATTAAGTTAATTGTAAGAATACTTTACCTCTAATGCATGCAGGTGTTTCCACACATTTAAAAAACCCTTTCTCTAATGACTAACTGCATTTATAAATAACTATAAATACAACCTCCTATAGGTTATTTTTCCTATTTATGACCATAAAGTTAAAGAGAGATAACACTTAAGAAAATATAAGAAAGTTTGTTTCTTTTTATCTTGATACTTGGCTGGATACCAGCTCAGTGTTTGTAGATGCCTTTTCTTTAACAGAGAGCTAGACAAACCAAAGTTAATATAACAGAGTATCCCCTACCTAATTCTCATCAGTTTTTAACCCCTTTTATCTTCTGAAGAGCAATATCCCAATAACTCAAAATAAAATAAATTAAAGGCAAGCTTCTCACATGTACCATGGATTTAAATGATACATGAAGATCTTGGAGAAACAAAGATAGTTTCAGTGAAATTCATCAAACTCTGAAAGATAATGAAGGTCTTGGGGTTACAGTCATCAGGAATTCTGATTAGGACAACCTTTAATGAATGCTTGCTGTTTGATGTATTAGAAGCTCTGTCATGATAAGCTTCATAGAAACAGAGGTCCTGACTGTTATATTAAATATATTCTGCACAGTACTCTCAACAAAGTAGAAACAATAACAAATTATATTAATTGAAATTCATGGGGCAATACGAGAAACGCTGAGTATCAAAATATTTTTTATAATTCTCAAAAGTGTGGCCTTTTAAATGGAGATCATTCAAGTGATGGAAAAGTCAAGAAAATCGTCAGGGTTGCTGTGGGAATAGAAATCGTCAAAGACAACATCAAAATGAGTATCCTGAATTTGGGTTCAGATAATGCCCCCCAAAGAATTAAATTATCAACGGAATATCTGCTACATCCTTCAAGATCCTTCAGTAATATCAATTTGCGAGCCTCTGTCAGTTTCCTCTTTGTTAAATGGAGACCATATCTGCCTTGGCTAACTTGAGAATTGTTGGGAGAAAAATATCTTACGTAAAAAATTGAAAGCGCAAAATAAAGATAACTACTGTCGCTACTCTATTTAGTCATAATAGCTATAACTAAACAAACAAATCTTACTGTTAATCTGCAACAAAAGGAGGCTTTTATAACTATGTGACAATGTAAATATGGCAATGATTTCAGCCTGATTAGATAAAACTTCCACCTCTCAGATCAATACTGGAAATCAGTATAATTTGGTACCTTGAGTTGGGCATCAAAACAGAGCTACTAAACAGAACAGCAGGGGTACTAACCAAGATAAAGATCAAACCCTGTCAGGAATAAAACGTTCAGGTCCCAAGAGTTTCTCTCCTAATAGAAGCCCAGATGAGCATGAATCACTTACTGGAAAACCCAGAGCCGTCTTCATGAGCACCTCCCTACACCTCCTAGGGTGCGAAGGTGTCAGCTTGGGCTCTGGGAAAAGAAAATCTCGTGTGTTTTCTTCGTAGTAGGCCAACTCATCCCACACTAGAAAGAAAATAGAAAAAGCATAAATATCTGTATTTACACCTCCAGGCTTAACAAAATAAAAGTTCAGGCAGATGATGGCAGAGATGGCACTCAGGTAAAAATAGACATATTGATCCTAGCACATGTTATTCAAGAGGAGACTAATTTCTACTACTTTTTATCTCGTGGATAATTTTTTAAAGCCTTCCAAAGTCATAACAGAGAAAAAAAGACTAAAGAGATGTTCTACAAAATAGAACAAAAAGGAAAAACTATCTTTCCATATATCCATCCAATTTTTCCTGCAACAAATTTTTACTAATGATAAACCTTAACCCAGGCACTGAGGATAGAACAGGAACAAGGTGGACATAGCATTGTTCACACAACTTTACAGTTTAGACTGGGGTTCAATGTGTTCTGTGATGCATGGATGCCAAGGGCCCAGATGACAGCTACAGCTGTGATTCTCAGCAGGGGTACCAACCCCGAGGACATTTTGGACATTTGTGGAAATATTTCAGGGGCAGTAGCCAGAGGTGTGAGGGAGTTCTGCAGTGCTCAAGACACTCATGCACATCACACTATCTCCCCCATCCCCAGTGACTTTCTAATATTCTGCAAACATTCTTGCAGGCTAAAAACTATTTTATAATTGTCTGAGCCTAGAACTTAACTAACTATGTAACTGAAAATAATTATATAACTATGTTGCATGTAAACACAAAGCCTTTTTTTTTTGCATAATTTGGAAATACACTGAATTTTTCCAAGTACCGTGTAAATCAAGGAACAATTGTATTTTGTTTTGTTTGGATCTTTAACCAGACCTGTTTGATATTTTGGAAATCATGTCCCATCTAAATGCTTCATTATGCTTGATACTTACATATTAACATATACATTTTATTATAAACCACTTTCATTTTTCCTTTATATTACAATCAGAATATTATATTAATTTTTTACAGTGACTTGTATAAGTTGATTATATTAACTACAAATATTTTCAGTATCATAAAAGGGATACTACAAAATACTCATTACCAAAAGATCTTGGGTCTAATGGGATGAACAATTACTGAGCCGAAGGACAGAAAGCTACCATCTGAATCACCTTTGACCACACAGCAGGTGCCACACAAGTGATCTGGACTGAGAGTGGTCCCCGCACAGAGGACCATCAAAAAAGTAACTATAGCCAATGAGGCAGTTTTGCTATTTAGTGGCTGCCACTTTACTTATGAGAAGAATTCTGATGAGGGTTGCTTTGTTTTCAGTACATCAACTGTAGAACATAATTGACCTTACATCAAATAATATGATGTATTAAATTCTTCCTCCTACTAACTCCATTTAATATTAATGTTTCAGTTCTACCGAGGAAAGAATCAAAGTGCAAAAAGAAATTATTCTATATTTTTCATCATAAATAGCATTTCTTCCCACTCGTGTGCTCCCAGCCACGCTCCAGCCACAATGGATTGATGTTCCCTCCTCAGCAATGTACTTCCACCATGCATGCTCTCCTGCATTACTGCCATGGCTGTAGTTGATCTCCCTGCCTCCATTCTCCTGCACTCAAATCCATTGTCCGCACGCTGCAACGTTTTAAATACATCAGACTGCCTTTCTCCTGCTTAAAACCTTCCAATGGGCTTCCCATCGCATTAGAATAAAATCTAAGCACCCTACCCTAGATTTCAAGACTCTATATAATCAGGCTTCTAATAATCTCTCCTAATTCATTTATTGCCACTCTCCCCCTTGATCATCGTTCCCTGTCATCCCTTACCCTTCTTGCTGTCCCTCAAACACGCCAAGCTCTCCTCCACATAACGGTTTTGCCTTATTGTTCTTCCTCCCTCTAAGGTTCCCTCTCTGGGTCTCTGCATGGCTGGCTCCTTCCTACTGAATAACAGGCTTGGTTTAAATGTCATCTTATCAGAAGGTGGCAACCCAACCTAACAGAGCACTCCTTCCCAGACACTCCCCATCACAATACCCTATTTTACTTTCAACGTAAGATTTACCACTAATTGATATTTTTGTTCATGTATTTATTCGTGATCTGCTTCCATCAAGGCTCCATGAAAACAGTGACTTTGTCTTTTCTGTACATTATTCTACTGCTGGCAGGGCTGTCCCTAGAAAGGTGTGAACTCAGAGCAGTTCAATCAATACAGGGCCCAGCCAAGACAATCACACCTGAAAAGGGGCCTCACTGTCAGCATCTTCAACAAGCCCCCTGAAATATCACTAACGGTAGACATTTTAAAATTGAACTTCAATGATGTTCTGAGATGAGTGGTGAAGTGCAGCATCCTGGATGCTGCCCCCAAACCTGTAGAACAACACTTGGGACATAATGGGGACCTGACAAATGCTTCTTAAATGAATGAACATGAGGACTAAAGTAAGATAACTTGCTTAAGTTCCAGCTTACGTTAGCCACTCAATAAGCATTAGCTACCCTCTTGGAGACTCAGTTTCCACACTGTTAAAAAAAGGAGAGAGACTAAATGTTCTCTGAAAGCTTTTCCAACTCTTACCCTTCATTCATTTTCCAATAATTTATTTTCATTCATACATTCAAAAAACACTTCATTCATTGAGAACCTCCTATGTAGTAAGACTTATAGACACTGGATTTACACTAGTGAAGAAGATAAATATAATCAATGCCCTCCAGGAGCTTACAGTCTAAGAGTATTAAACAATTATACAAATAAAGGTATAATTAAAAATTAATTTCCATAAGAGTAAATTACTAGGAATAAAGAGATAGAGAGGCTAGGAAGACAGGAGGGAAGATGGGTGTAATTATTATTATTATTATTATTTTTTGAGACGGAGTCTCGCTCTTATTGCCCAGACTGGAGTGCAGTGGCACAGTTTTGGCTCACTGCTACCTCTGCCTCCTGGGTTCAAGTGATTCTCTTGCCTCAGCCTCCCAAGCAGCTGGGACTAGAGGCACCCCGCCACCAAGCCTGGCTAATTTTTGTACTTTTAGTAGACACGGGGTTTCACCACGTTGGCCAGGCTGCTCTGAAACTCCTGACCTCAGGTGGTCCGCCTGCCTCAGCCTCCCGAAGTGCTGGGATTACAGGTGTGAGCCACCACGCCCAGCCAATGGGTGTAATTGTAACATCAATTATCTGCTTCATTTACTAGTCTCATCCTGGCCTTCTTCAACCATGCTCCTCTGACAATGCTCCCTGTGATGGGTATAATCCTCCCACCCTTGTTGGCCAAAAACAGACTCTGCCTCCATCCAGAAACTCTGAAGTACAACCTGCAAATGGAAAGTGATGTGTCAATTTCCCCAGCTATCACTAGCAACAAAACCCAACTTTCTCCTGAAGCTTATAGTGTTAAGAACTCTTTTCTTTTCTTTTCTTTTCTTTTCTTTTTTTTTTTTGAGATGGAGTCTCGCCCTGTCACCCAGGCTGGAGTGCAATGGCGTAGTCTCAGCTAACTGCAACCTCCGCCTCCCGGGTTCAAGCGATTCTCCTGCCTCAGCCTCCCGAGTAACTGGGACTACAGACGCGCACCACAAATTCAAGTTCTAGGGTCAGGCAGGGTTGGGTTCAAATCCCTGCTCCACCACTTACCAACTATGTGATCTGGGGCAAATCATGTAAACTACTTAACTTCAGTCTCCTCTTCAAGAAAATGTAAAAACTGTCATTGCACCTGCCCTTTAAGACTACTGTAAAGACGAATGACAAAGCCATGTAGAATGCACAGCATAGCACCTGACATTGCCTACCATTACCACGATTGCTCCCTGACACCAGCCCAGCAGCGGCCCCAGAACTGCTTTGGTTTCTGTAAACATCATTATGTTCCTACTGGGAACAAACACCTAGATGCATGATATGATGTTCTACACAGGAGGCCTTTCCTTTTTCCTCTTTCCTTTCATATGCTTTTGGCTACTTCTTGTCCCTGCATCTAAAGGATAGCTGCTACATTATTATTCCTGTGTTTATCAAGAATTTAGATAAAAGTAAGAGGCTGGAAAATTGAAAGGGAGCTCATACCCTATCTTCAGAATCACAGGAATAAAAATAGACTGAAACAGGGTTAGACAAATAAATAGAAGGCTATGAAGCTTCTCAAGACAGTCTCTCTGGTGTGGTCATTTTCTAGAAATCCAAACTGCCACCAAGTGTGAAAACGTCAGCACACTAAGAGGATGGTACAGCAAGAGCCTAGGTTAGAAATAATAAACATATTCACAGGCTGAACAAGTCTTATAGGTCAAGGGAAGTATCTGAAAGAACTCAATGTTCTTCTTAAGAGCTAATTACACAGACAGTGACATCATCAATGGCATCAACGAACTTCTCCCCCAAAAAGGAAACAAATGAGACTTTAAGAGAAATAACAATTTTAATAACAACATTGGCTGAAGGAATATCCAACATTTTTAGAGCATGTCAGAATTGACAGCGCGCTTCCAGATGCAGGATCACATTTGATTCCCTCTTTACAGATAAGGAAACTGAGGCTCTGAGAGTTTGACCTGTCATGATGCCACACGGCTAGTGATACCACATGGCAAAGAAGGAATTCAAAACCAAATAATCTGAGGCAAAAGTTCTTTCCTTGCTAATGCCTATAAAAGTATAAAAGCATTGCTATGAAAGTATAAAATATTGCTATAAAAGCACTGCTATAAAAGTATAAAATTAAGCCCTGTTAAGTGAATGGGTGCCCACTAGAATAGGCTTTTACAGTTGGACTGAATATACCTGACTTACCCAAAGCGAAGGTATTTATCTCAGAGGTTAATAAAAAGAAAGCATCAAGCTCACTGTGGAACAGGATCACGCTGCCCCCCTGTGTCCATTCCTTTTTTCCCACCTTTGTAAACTGAAGAACAGGAAGGGTCTTTATTTCTTGGCAGCAAAGATCACTAGACTTCTTCATTCTTTAGCAGTAAAGCTATATGCACATCTGGATATTATTACTTGTATTATTAATTTACTTGTACCATTAACTTAATGATCATAACATGTCTTTTGAGTATAAGTGTGTTTGAAAGCAATGAGAAAAAATATCAAGCAATAAATACAGCTAAATGAAAAGGTAACAATTCAGCCAATAGAGAAATTGGTCCCTGAGAACCCAAATATGGCCCATGTGACCCCACAGTGCAGTCCACAGGAAACTTTAAGAAAAAAAAAAAATTTTTGCTAGTATCAAGGATCAGCAGATCATGAGGGCTCACTGCCACTACTACGTGCCCGGAGCCACCAGCATCACACTAGGAAGACTGGCACAGTGTAGATCATGTGCAAAGTATGCCTGTAAAAACATACCTTGAACAAATTAATGGATCAAACTGTACTACATCTGAAGCTAAGTAAAATCAATTGTTATTTTGAGCAATTCAAATTTAATTCCACTAAAATTATAATCTGAAATTGAGAGATTGTAAATTAAAAAAACAAGTATAACACAGTTCCCATTGTGCATCTTATTAATTTTTGAGTTATAACCAGTATTTATGCACTCAGCTAGAATATTCTGCAATCATTCTTTTCAAACAACTATTCTTGCAACCTTTTCACAGATGGGCTTCTTGTCACATGAAAAACATATAGCACTCCAAGACATATTAAGTTTTAACAAGCAAGTTGCAGAATATATATAGTCAACATATATATAGGTGTGTGTGTATATATGTTGAAAATACATATTCTGCAACTGACTTTTTAAAATGCAGTATATCTTGGACTGTCATATGTCTTTCAAGAGACCAGAAAACCAACATTTAGTATATTCAACAACCATAAAATATATACACACGTAACTATATATACTAAATACTAAATATATTCGTGTTTATATATACTGTATTTAATATATAGTCATCCCTAAGTATCCACAGGAGGTTGGTTTCAGGAACCCTTGCAGATATGAAAATATCCATGAATGCTCAAGTCCCTGATATAAAATGGTGTAGTTGCGGTGAGTTGGTCGAAGGTAAAAAGAGCATAATAATAAAACATTAAAAATAAGAAATAAAATGGTGTAATATTTGCATATAACCTATGCACATCCTCCTGTATACTTCAGATCATCTCTAGATTACTTATAATACCTAACATAATGTAAATGTTATCTAATAGTTGTTATGCTGTATTGTTAAGGGACTAATGACAAGAAAAAGTCTGTACATGTTCAGTACAGACACAACCATCATAGGCCTAACTACATTTTCGAGTAATGGTTAGCCAAATTCATGGATGTGGAACTTGACAATCAGAAGGTCCAACTATATATAGGGTATGCGCGTGCATGTGTGGTTATTTTACGGTTGGCTGAATGTACTAAATGCATTTTAGAAGGTTTAAAAAGACACACATCAAATTGTTTTGTTCTGTTTTGTTTTGTTGAGACAGGGTCTCACTCTGTTGCCCAAGCTGGAGTGCAGTGGCAAGATCACAGCTCACTGCAGCCTCAACCTCTTTGGCTCAGGTGACCTCCCCAGCCTCCCAAGTAGCTGGGACTACAGGCATGCACCAGCACACATAGCTAATTTTTTTATTTTCAGTAGAGATGAGGTTTCACCATGTTTCCCGGGCTGTACCTGAACTCCTGTGCTCAAGCAATCCACCCACCTTTGCCTCTCAAAGTGCTGGGATTACAGGCGCAAGCCACCATACCTGGCCCACATCAAATTGTTAATGGTAATTATCTGTCAGGGATTGTTGAATGGGCTTTTGACATTTTCTTTTACATACTTTCGTGTTAAATTTTTTATAGTGAGATTACTTAGGTATTGAGTAACTTTTTTAAAATCCATGTAAAATTAAATAAGACCAAAGTGGGCATGCTTCTACTTCCTCAGCATACTAAAATATAATGTGCCAGCAGTGATATATGTTTGAACATAAAATTGGGTCAAATAAGAATAAAAAACTTATGGAAAAAAACTCAATGCCCTGATTTCAGCCTGTCACTTTTAGGCTGAAAAACATTCAGTGAGAATTTCTGAAAAGTAGTCAGGAGGCACCTGCTCAGTTCCGTCTACCTATGAAGGTAATGACATCTCCAAAAGCACCTATTCTTAAATTCACAGAGTGGGGTTCTTTTCTGTCTCCAGCGGCAGCCTTTGCCAAAGAACCAAGAAGCAGAAGAAAGAACTACAGACTCCTGGGTTCACTGCACTTCACTTGGGCCCTTGACCTGCTCCAGTGATATCCACAGCAGGCAGGACTATGATCCCTATCAAAAGCCTCCTCAGTCCTCTTTGCTTTAGTTGAGACATTTGCTAGTCTCATCTTCCTTCTCCCATGCTCTCTTAAGAAAAAGAAAAGCACACACCATAAAACATCAAAATAACACAACAAAACAGGGAAAATATAACTGTTTTAAGCATAACTGATTGAAAACATTGTTAAAAATAAGAATTTATAACAAAATCAACATTTATATCCAGACATCACTCCATAAGTAATCAAAGGACAGTGACAGTCACTTTATACAGAAGGAAAGAAAGAAAACAAATCATAATATGGGAAAATGAAAATTTTTAAGAAGTTTTAAATTTAAGGTTGTCACAGTCACATCTAAAAGGGAGATAGATCATAAAATAGGATAAAATATATTTTTATCTATTTATTTATTTAGATGGAGTCTGGCTCTGTGGCCCAGGCTGGAGTGCAGTGGTGCAATCTTAGCTCATTGCAACCTCTGCCTCCCGGGTTCAAGCAGTTCTCCTGTCTCAGCCTCCCAAGTAGCTCGGATTACAGGCACCTGACATCATTCCCAGCTAATTTTTGTATTTTTAGTAGAAACAGGGTTTCACTATGTTGGCCAGGTTGGTCTCAAACTCCTGACCTCATGATCCGCCCACCTTGGCCTCCCCAAGTGCTGGGATTATAAGCGTGAGCCATGACATACTTTGCAAACACAACAAATCCAATTGACAGTATCCAGCATTAACTAGGATATGGGGAAGGGGCATGCCATGCACTCCTGGATGCAGTAGAAGTATTGGAACCTTATTGGGGATCAGTTTACCCCAGTTTAAAAGGCATGGTTCAATCTAGTAATTCTATTATTTGTAAATATACCAAGAGAGAAATATTTTTATAAAAATGTGGAAAAAAAGAAAATCTAAATGCTCAACAATATTAATTTATGGATAACACCACCACTATGGAAAAATACACAGCTATTGAAAATGACAAGTAAACTACAGGTAATAATGTAAAGTAAGAAAAGTAAAACCCAAAATACTATGGAAATACTATTTATAGACCTATAAAAAACACATATGTAAATTAATAAAATTCTTTATAGCTATCAAAATAATGATGTAGGCCGGGGGCAGTGGCTCACGTCTGTAACCCCAGCACTCTGGGAGGCCGAAGCAGGCAGATCACCTGAGGTCAGGAGTTCGACACCAGCCTGGCCAACTTGGTGAAACCCTGACTCTACAAAAAATACACAAAAATTAGCTGGACGCATTGGCAGGTGCCCATAATTCCAGCTATTCAGGAGGCTGAGGCAGGAGAATCACTTGAACACGGGAGGTGGATGTTACAGTGAGCTGAGCTTGCATCACTGCACTCCAGCCTGGGCAACAGAGCTAGATTCTGTCTCAAAAAAATCAATTTGAAAAAAAAAGATGTAGATTTATGCATTTAGAAATGACAACATAGGCAAGGCATGGTGGCTCATGCCTATAAACCCAGCACTTTGGGTGGCCAAGGTGGGAGAATCACTTGCATCCAGGAGTTTGAGACCAGCCTAGGCAACATAGTAAGATGCCATCTCTGCAAAAAAAAAAAAAAAAAAAAAAAAAAAAAAAAAAAATGTAGCTGGGCATGGTGCATGCCTGTAGTTCCAGCTACTGGGAGGCTGAGGCAGGAGAACTGCTCAAGCCCAGGAGGTCATACCACTGCATTCAGTCTGAGTGACAGAGTGAGATCTTGTCTCAAAAAATATATATAAAAAATAAAATTAAATTTAAAAAATTTAAACAACAATATAATGGTGACATACAAGGGGGAAAGCTAATAACAGAAAAAAAACTATGCTATGTAAAAATTCCATATCTATGTGTTCTTCTATCTACAGAGAAATATCAAGAAATATGTTCATCAAAATATAAATAAAGATTCTCTCAGGATTACGTGATGTGGGAATGCTTTTTACAAGTAAAAATTATGAAGCTGTTTTCATTTTGAGAAAGAAAAAAAGCAGAAATGCGTAATAGCAGAGATCAGAGGAGAATTTTCTGAGTTTTCAGTATTCTCTCTCTCTCTCTCTCTCTCTCTCTCACACACACACACACACACACACACACACACACACACACTTCTATGCCAACAACCCTAAAATCACCAGATAGCTATACTGAAAGGCTATTTATGAGAATTGGTGCCACTGGGTGGCAGGTCCTAACCTCTCTCACCAGCTCAGGTCTTATGTCACTCAAGACACACTGCATAGCAAAAGTACCACAGAACAGCTTCCTCCTAGAATCTCATGATTCTAGCACAGGGGTCACAGACTTTCTGTAAAGGGTCAGACTACTAAATGTTTTAGGCTTTGTAGGCCATCTGTTCAAATTTACTCACCTCTGTCATTGTTCTGCAAAAGTGGCTATAAACACTACTTAAACAAATGAGTATGGCTATGTTCAAAAAAGACCTGTATTTATGAATAACGAAATTTGAATTTCATATAATTTTCACATCACTAAATATTCATTTCAAAAATTATTTCCAACCATTTAAAAATGTAAAAACCAAAAATAGTTTGGCAGTTCCTCACAAAGTTAAACAGTTACCATATACCCCATTCCCAGGTATACACACAGAAGAACTAAAAGCAAATATACAACAATTTGTACATTAATATTCAAAACAGCATTATTTATAACATCCAAAAAGTAGAAATGTCTTAGTCTATTTTCTGTTGCTTATAACAGAATACCTGAAACTGGGTAATTTATTTTTAAAAAGCTATTTATTTCTTACAGTTATGGAGGCTGAGAAGTCCATGGTTGAGGGGCTGTGTCTGGTGAGGGCCTTCTTGCTGGTGGGGACTCTGCTTAGTAGCCAGGTGACACAGGGAATCACATAGTGAGGGTGCTGAGCATGCTAGCTCAGGTCTCTCATCCTCCTCTTATAAAGCCAACAGTCTGACTCCCACGATAACCCATCAGTACATTAATCCATGAATAGATTAACCCATTCACAATGGTAGAGCCCTCATTACCCAATCCATATAGAAGAATATTATTCAGGCACAAAAAGGAATTAAAATCTGATACATGCTACAACATGGCTGAACCCTGAAAACATTAGGCTAAGTGAAAGAAACTAGATATAAAAGGCCACATATTGTAGGCTTCTATTTATATGAAATGTCTAGAATGAGAAAATCAACAGAGATAGAATTAGTGGTGGCCAGGGCCTGGAGGAGGAAGGAATGGGAAATGATTGCTAATAAATACAGAATTTCGTTTTGGGGTAATGAAAATGTTCTGGAATTAGTGGTGATGGCTGTCCAATCTTATGAACATACGAAAACCAACTGAATTGTACATTTGAAAATGACGAATTATATATGATTTAAATCGCAATAAAAAATGTGGAAACCATTTCTAGTTCACGGGCCATACAACAATGGCCTACAGGCTGGATTTGGCTGGGGACTATAGTTTACCAACCCTGTTCTAGCATCTAACAATGAAAATGTCTTAGGGTTTTACACACACACACACACACACACCCCACAAATTAGAACACAGCCAAAGGCCAAAACTTGAAATCAGCTAAGCCAGGACTGAAAAAATTATTTAATAATTAGATAAAGTTATTAAAAAATGGAAAGACAAGGAGTCTGTTTAAGTTATGCTCCCTGCCATGAAACACCATAAAGTTATTATTCTGAAAATAGACAAAATTTAATAGATTGGCAGAAAAAAGGCATGTGTTATATAAACTTACAGACACATAAAGTTGTATGTTATTTTCAAACACAACTCTTAAGTACAGTCCCCATTTTGACAGGCCAAATTTATTTTAAAATCATATTAAGCTAATTTAGAAACGGATTTACTGCCACATTACCTGGAGGAACTAGCTGTATTAATTCAAACCTGGCTAGGAAGCCTAAAAAGGAAAAAATGAGATTTTAATACTTCCAAAAATTGCCACAGTCTTTCAATAATTATTAAGTTTTAAACTGTCATAAAACCCACTTAATAGTAATAATAATAAAAATAATAATTAAAAATAACTGCCAAACCAACATCAAATCAGGTATTTCTAGAATTAACCAATCAAGAGAGTGGAATGAGAATAACAGAATTATAAAAAATAGCATTTCACTAGCCATAAAAAAGAACAAGCGTTCATGTCTTTTGAAGGATCTGGAGGCCATTATCAAACTAATGCAGAAAGAGAAAACCAAATGCAGCCTGTTCTCACTTAAAAATGGGAGTTAAATGATGAGAACTCATGGACACACAGAGGGGACCAATACACACTGGGGCCTACTTGAGGGTGAAGGGTGGGAGAAGAGAGAGGATCAGAAAAAATAACTATTGGATACTAGACTTAATACCTGGGTGACAATCTGTACAACAAATCCCCATGATACGGGTTCACCTATATAACAAACCTGCACATATACCCCTAAACCTAAAAGTTAAAAAAAAAAGCATTTCACCTCCTGAAAAGTATTGAAAAAAAAAGATGCAATATTTGTCTCCTAAAAGTGTATACAATAAATAAATAAGTGTATACATACATAGAGCTCTAAAATAACAATGCAATTTTCATCTTAAATATTCAAAATCCACTTGTTATCCATTAACATACAAAAGTTTATCTTGCTTACAACATTGTGCAATATGACTATACAAATTATACATAAAATATAACTTTTCAAGGCCAGGCACAGTGGCTCGTGCCTGTAATCCCAGCACTTTGGGAGGCCGAGGTGAGCGGATCACCTGACGTCAGGAGTTCGAGACCAGCCTGGCCAACATAGTGAAACCCCGTGTCTACTAAAAATACAAAAATTAGCCAGGCATGGTGGCAGATGCCTGTAATCCCAGCTACTCGGGAGGCTGAGGCAGCAGAATTGCTTGAACCTGGGAGGTGAAGGCTGCAGTGAGCCAAGATTGTGTACTGCACTCCAGCCTTGGCAATGGAGTGAGACTCCATCTTAAAACAAAACAAACAAACAAAAAATATATATATATAAAACTTTTTAAACTTTTCTTGAGTTCAAAATATATTTAGAAATGGCAAACCTATGTAGAATGACAAGAATAAAATTAAAATAAGGACAAGAATAAAATTCAGATCTTTAAGATAACTTAAATGATATATTAGGTTGGTGCAATTATAACAATTAAAAAATCAATAAAGATAATTCTCACAAAATAACATAACAAGTGAAAACATTTTAGTTTTTTTTTTTTTTTTTGAACCAGGGCCTCACTCTGTCACCCAGGGTGGAGGGCAGTGGTGCGATCTTGGGTCACTGCAACCTCTACCTTGCAGGTTCAAGCGATTCTCCTGCCTCAGCCTCTCGAGTAGCTGGGACTACAGGCACGTACCACAGCGCCCAGCTACTTTTTGTATTTTTAGTTGAGATGGAGTTTCGCCATGTTGGCCAGGCTGGTCTCAAACTCTTGACCTCAGGTGATTTGCCCACCTCAGCCTCCCAAAGTGTTGGGATTACAGATATAAGCCACTGTGCCCAGCCATGAAAACATGTTAAACAGACAACAAAAGTAAAATTCTAACTTTGTAGATTTACGAAAAAAATTTGAATTCATAGGACAAAACTTTAATGCCAAGAAACTTAAAAACCAAGACAGACTGAAACTTTAGGCTTTCAAAATGAGAGGAGGGAATATATATTTGCCAACCATCACCCCAATAGTAATTTAAGCACTTAGTTTGATTCAGCCTCTAAATTCTTTTTTTAAAATTTTTTTATTTCCACAGGTTATTGGGGAATAGATGGTGTTTGATTATAAGTTCTTGGCTGGGCACCGTGGCTCACGCCTGTAATCCCAGCACTTTGGGAGGCCGAGGCGGGCGGATCACAAGGTCAGGAGATCGAGACCATCCTGGTCTAACTCGGTGAAACCCCGTCTCTACTAAAAATACAAAAAATTAGCCGGGCGTGGTGGCGGGAGCCTGTGGTCCCAGCTACGCGGGAGGCTGAGGCAGGAGAATGGCGTGAACCCGGGAGGCAGAGCTTGCAGTGAGCCGAGATTGCGCCACTGCACTCCAGCCTGGGCGACAGAGCGAGACCCCGTCTCGAAAAATAAATAAATTAAATAAATAAATACATAAGTTCTTTAGTGGTGATCTGTGAGATTTTGGTGCACCCATCACCCGAGCAGTACACACTGCACCCTATTTGTAGTCTTTTATCCCTCACTCCCTTCCCACCCTTTCCCCCTGAGTCCCCAAAGTCCATTATGTCATTCTTCTGTTTTTGCATCCTCATAGCTTAGCTCCCACTTATGAGTGAGAATATACGATGTTTGATTTTCCATTCCTGAGTTACTTCGCTTAGAATAATAGTCTCCAATTTCATCCAGGTCATTGCTAATGCCATTAATTCATTCCTTTTAATGGTTGAGTAGTATTCCATCATATATAATGGAATATAGAAATATACACACACACACACACACACACACACACACACATATCACAGTTTCTATATCCACTCGTTGATTGATGGGCATTTGGATTGGTTCCACATTTTTGCAATTGCAAATTGTGCTGCATAAACATGCGTGTGTAAGTATTTTTTTCATAAAATGACCTCTTTTCCTCTGGGTAGACAGATACCCTAGCAGTGGGATTGCTGGATCAAATGATAGTTCTACTTTTAGTTCTTTAAGGAATCTCTACACTATTTTCCACAGTGGTTGTACTAGTTTACATTCCCATCGGCAGTGTAGAAGTATTACCTGTTCACTGCATCTATGCCAACATCTACTATTTTTTGATTTTTTGATTATGGTCAGGCTCTAAATTCTATATAGTCAATTAATTCTCATCATAACTCTATGAGTCCAATGCAATGGCTATCCTCATTTTTATGAATGAAGAAACTAAATCTCAAAGAGGAAACTATAGTAATGTGGACAAGGTCACACTGGCTAACAGTGACAGGGCTGTATTTGAACCCAAGTAGTCAGTTCTCAGGGACTGTCCTCTTATCCGCAAGATACTTCACTGAAAAATCCTATTCTTCCACAGAGCGAGTTAATTAGGATGCTTGATAAAATAACTACACCTTTTAATTGCCTTCTGGAATGGCATCACGTAATTCATACTTGCTTTAAATATCAAGGACAAAGGAAATCATTAATGAGTGACCTAGAGAATGGTTGTTATGTCCTTTTATGCTTCATTACACCTCCCAGGGTTAATATTGGGAAATGAAATGAAAATATCCCAATTCTTGCAGGATCATTTGAAATGCTGAATTTTTTTTCTGAATTTAAAGAGGCTTGAGAGAATCAGTGTTCTTACAGATGTGACCCATCTCAGAGAGATGTTTCACCTTCCTGCTTTTTAAGATTCAGGTAGAAATATAAATGCAGGAAATCAACTTGGGTATTGAATCTACTTTTTAAAAGGTCAAATGCCAAAGCCATCATTTTTTATACCCAATTGCCTTGTTGGCTTCATGAGACACATACTTGCTCAGTGACTACCCTAACCTATGCTACCTCTGTAGGTACTTACTCACTCTTTGCCTAATGTCAAACTCTTCAATCTACCTGGTATGCCAGCCTGAGACCTAGCCTGCTCCCATTCTGACTTCTACCCAGTATGGCCTCAGCTCACTTGGTACTTGTGTCTGGTCCTTTCTCTATATTCTGCTATTATCTGTGACCTTGGTCCTAATTCTTTCAACTGAGTAACATCTCAGTTGCAAATTTCATAAAGCTTAAAAATGTAAATAAAAGTCATACCATCCACACACTTTTCACCCTTAAGACACTGGGAACACAAAAGGGCAAACTAAACCTAAAGCAAACAGAGGAAAGAAAATAATAAAGATTAAGCAGAAAGTAATGAAATAGAAAACAGAAAAGCAACACAGAAAATCAATACATCTAAAAGTTGGTTGTTTAAAATGATCAATAAAACTGACAAACCTTTAGCTACACTAACCAAGAAAAAAGAGAAAAGACTCAAATTACTAAAATCAGAAATGAAAGAAGAGACATTACCACTGATTTTACAGAAATAATTTTTTGTTTGTTTGTTTTTGAGACGGAGTCTTGCTCTGTCGCCCAGGCTAGAGTGCAGTGGCACAATCTCAGTTCACTGCCACCTCTGCCACCCAGGCTCAAGCAATTCTTCCACTTCACCCTCCCAAGTAGCTAGGATTACAGGCAAGCACCACCAAACCCAGCTTGTGTGTGTGTGTGTGTGTGTGTGTGTGTGTGTGTGTGTGTGTGTGTGTGTATTTTTGATAGAGACACGGTTTCACCATATTGGCCAGGCTGGTCTTGAACTCCTGAGCTCAAGTGATCTGCTCGCCTTGGCCTCCCAAAATGCTGGGATTACAGGCATGAGCCACCGTGCCCGGCGTAGAAATAATTTTTTTTTTAAGACAGAGTCCTGCTCTGTCACCCAAGCTGGGGTAGAGTGGTACGATCACAGCTCACTGCAGCCTCAACCTCCCTGACTCAAGCAATCCTTTCACCTCAGCCTCCTGAGAAGCAAATACCACAGGCACATGCCACCACACCCCACTAATTGTTGTTGTTGTTGTTGTATGGATGGGGGCTCCCATAAAAATATTTTTAAGGGAATACTATGAACAACTTTATGCCAATGAATTAGATAAATGAAATGGAAAAACTCCTAAAAAGACACAAACTAATAACACTGACTCAAGAAGAAACAGAAAATCTGAAGAGACTTATAATGTGTAGAGAGATTAAATTAGTAATCAAAAAACAACCCAAAGACAAGCCCAGGTCCAGATGGCTTCACTGGTAAATACTACCTTAAGAATTAACACCAATTATTCACAACCTCTTCCAAAAACAGAGAAGAGGACAGAACATACCCCAACAGATTCCATGAAGTTAGCATTACCAAAACCAGATGAAGACATAACAAGAAAACAAAACTACAGACCAATATCTCTTATGATTGTAAATCCCAAAATCCTCAACATAATACTAGCAAACCAAATCCAGCAACATATAGAAAGGCTTATATACCATAAGGTTGGTTTAATATCTAAAAATCACATATCAATGAAATAAAGGATAAAAAAATCACATGATCATCTCAATAGATGTAGAAAAGGCGTGTGATAAAATTCAACATTACTTCATGATAAAAACTCAGTAAACTAGGAATAAAGAGGAACTTCCTCAACCTGATATAGAGCACTTATAAAAAACCATATTTTAATATTACAACTAATGGTGAAAAACTGAATGCTTTTTCCCTACTATCAGGAAATAGATAAGGATGCTCACTTTCACGGCTTCTATTCAATACTGTACTGGAGATTCTAGCCAGGGAAATTAGACATGAAAATGAAATAAAATGCGCACAAACTATAAAAGAAGAAGTAAAGCTGTTTCTACTTGCAGATGACATAATTTTGCATATAGAAAATCCTAAGGAATCAGCAAAAAACTACTAAAACTAATAAACAAGTTCAGTATGTTTTCAGGATAAAATATCAGTATATAAAAATCAATTGTGGGCCAGGCGCGGTGGCTAACGCCTGTAATCCCAGCACTTTCGGAGGCCAAGGCAGGAGGATCACCTGAGGCCGGGAGTTCAAGATCAGCCTGACAAACATGGAGAAACCCCGTCTCTACTAAAAATACAAAAAATTAGCCGGGTGTGGTGGTGCATGCCTGTAATGCCAGCTACTAGGGAGGCTGAGGCAGGAGAATTGCTTGAATGAGGGAGGCAGAGATCTAGGCAACAAGAATGAAACTCTGTCTCAAACAAAAACAAAAACAAAAACAAAATCAATTGGATCTCTATAAACTTGAACAAACCTGAGAATGAAATTTTTAAAAATTCCACTTACAACAGCTTCAGAGTACTTAGGAATAAATTTAACCAAAAAATGCAACACTTGTAAACTGAAAATTACAAAACATCATTGAAAATAAATTTAAAGGCTGGGTACGGTGTCTCATACCTGTAATCCCAGCATTTTGGGAGTCCAAGGCGGGTGGATCACCTGAGTTCGAGACCAGTCTGACCAACATGCAGAAACCCCGTTTCTACTAAAAATACAAAATTAGCCAGGCGTGGTGGTGCATGCCTGTAATCCCAGCTACTTGGAAGGCTGAGGCAGCAGAATCACTTGAACCTGGGAGGCAGAGGGTGCAGTGAGCAGAGATCGCACGATTGCACTCCAGCCTAGGCAACAAGAGTGAAATTCCGTCCCAAAAAAAAAAAAAAAAAAGGAAAAAGAAATGTAAAATAACCTAAATGAATGGAAACACATCCCACATTCATGTTTCAAAAATATTGTTAAGGTGACAATACTCCCCAAATTGATCTACAGTCAATGGAATCCCTGTCAATATCCTAGCTGGCTTCTTTGCAGACATTGACAAGATGATTGAAAAATTCTTATGGAAACTCAAGTGAACCAAAATAGTAGTCTTGAAAAAGAAAAACTAAGCTGGAAGATTTACACTTCCTGGTTTTGAAATTTATTACAAAGCTACGGTAACAGGATTGTGTGTTGGCATAACAATAGACATATGAATCAATAGAATAGAACTGAGACCCTAAAAGTAAACCCTCACATTACTGTAAGCTGAATTTCAACAAGGGTACCAAGACAATTCAATGAGGGAAAGAATGGTCTTTTATCAAATGGTGCTAAAACAAATGGATATCCATATGCAAAAGAATGAAGTTGGTCCCCAACATCACACTGTCTACAAAAATCAACACAGTATAAATCATCTAGATGTAAGAGCCAAAACTATAAAACCATTAGAAGAAAACATAGATGTAAGTCTTCATGACCTTGAGTTAGGCAATGGTTTCTTAGATATGACACCAAAAGCACAAGCAACAAAGGAAAAATAGATAAACTGAAATTCATCAAAATTAAAAACTTTTGCATTTCAAAAAAATACCATCAAGAAAGTGAAAGACAATTCTAGAATGGGAGAAAATATTTGCAAATCATCTATCTAACAAAGGTCTTGTATCTAGGATATATAAAGAACATTTACAGGCCAGGCACAGCGGCTCATGTCTGTAACCCCAACACTTTGGGAAGCCCAGGAGAGAGGATCACTTAAGACCAGGAGTTCAAGACCAGCTGGGCAACATAGTGGCATCCTGTCTCTACAAAACAAAAACAAAAACAAAAAATAGCTAGGCATGGTGCTGTGCGCCTATAGTCCCAGCTACTTCAGAGGCTGAGGTGGGAAGATCACTTGAGCCCAGAAAGTTGAGGCTTCAGTAAGCTATGATCGTGCCACTGCACTCCAGGCTAGGTGACAGAGCGAGACCCTGTCTCAAAATAAACCAAAAAATAAAGACAAATGACCCCATTAAAAAGTAGGCAAAGGATCTGAATAGACATTTCCCCCAAAGAAAATACACAAATGGCCAAATATCTCATGAAAATGTGTTCAATATCATTAGCCATCAGGGAAATGCAAATCAAAACAATGACGAGATACCACTTCACACCCACAAAGATGACTACCAATCAAAATGACAGACAATAACAAGTGTCGGCCAGGATGTGGGAAAATGGAACCCTCATACATTGCTGGTGGGATGTAAAATGATTCAGCTGCTTTGGTAAATAATGTGAAACTTCTTTAAAAGGTTAAACATACAGTTACCACATTGAAATGGGAAAAGCTCCTTTGTCCCCCTCTCAGGACGTGCGATGGGGGTGTGGCTCGCTTCTTCAGTGCTCCGCTGCTCAAACCTCTAGAGGAGCAGACAGACGGGGGCAGGCTGTGGGGTTCCGACCCCATAGCACTATCTAGGGGTGAATGTTTACAGCTTGTGAAGCCCCAGTGGGTGTGTTTTACAGTTTGCCGTCTATAGGTGGCTTGTGTTAGCTCAATTAGACCCTCTACCATGTCGCAAGGACAGAGGGCTTTCTGTACCCCCGGGTTTCTTGCCTTGGTGTACTGGAAGAATAGGATCACACATGGGCTTGGAGAATGAGTGTGAGGTTTTATTGAGTGGGGGTAGCTTTCAGCAGATGGGGGAGCCAGCAGGGAGATGGTTTTCCCCTGGAGTTGGGCCACTCGGCAGCCCCGGCTCTCTTCCAACTGCCCCGGCCAAACTCCGTGTCGTTCTGCCAGTGCCAATGTACTCCTCTCGATGTCCAGCCGCTTCTGTCTCTGCCTTGCTAGGGTCTCCGTCTGTTACAGGCACAGGATGGGGGCATGGTGGGCCAGGATGGTCTTGGGAAATGCAACATTTGGGCGGGAAAGCAGGAGTGCCTGTCCTCACCTAGGTCTGTGGGGATGGAGCCCTAGCCAGGGACCACACCCTTCCTGTACCGAGCACTTCCCTTCCCTGGTCCATATCATTTAAAGGTACCACTCTCTTCTCTTCCCAGCACTCCTGTATCAATATGACCCAGCAATTTCACTCCTAGGTATACCCAAGAGGCATTAAAACATATGTTCACACAAAAACTTATACACAAATATTCACAGCATCATTATTCATCATAGCCTAAAAGTGGAAACAACCCAAATGTCCATCAATTGATGACTAGAAAAACAAAATGTGATATATTCATCCAACAGAATACTATTTGGCCATACAAAAAATTAAGTTCTGGCACATGCTATAATATGGATGAATCTTGAAAACATTACACTAAGAATTCAATCACAAAGGAGCACATGTTGTATAATCTCATTCATATGAAATATCCAGAATAAGCAAATCTATACAGACGGAAAGATTAGTGGTTACCTATAGCTAGGAGGGCTGGTGGGGAATAGGGAGTGATTGCTAATGGGCATAGGGCCGCTTTTTGTGGTGATAAAAATATTCTAATTTAATGAAACACATAAAAACAATTTTTATAAATAAACAACCAAACAGAATCATACTATCCATCAAAGCCCATCTATATTTAGTTTTTTTGTTTTTTTGTTGTTTTTTTTTTTGAGATGGAGTCTTGCTCTGCCACCCAGTCTGGAGTGCAATGGCACGATTTCGGCTCACTGTAACCTCCGCCTCCCAGGTTTAAGCGATTCTCCTGCCTCAGCCTCCCAGGTAGCTGGGACTACAGGCATGTGCCACCACATCCGGCTAATTTTGTTGTATTTTTAGTAGAGATGGGGTTTCACCATGCTGACCAGGCTGGTCTCAAACTCCTGACCTCAAGGGATTCACCCGCCTCGGCCTCCCAAAGTGCTGGGATTACAGATGTGAGCCACCGTGCCCAGCCAAGCCCATCTATATATAGAAAAGGGTATGTAACAGAATCAAAAATGTGATTCAAATTTTACGTAGGCTGTCTTGAAATAAATATTCATCAAACATGAACATATCACAGTTTAGAAAAGAGCAGAGTTTTGAATCTGTGAATTACACACAATAGTCTTTTGGTTTTTTGTTTTGTTTTTCAGAGTACCTACTTTCCAAAAGGTCTACTACAGCTCCAGGATCTACTGCACTTTCAAATACCTGCAGAGAAAAATGGGGAAAATAAATTTTCAAAGTTGTATTAATAAGCGCATATAGAAACTGTAAATGCCAGGTGCAGTAGCTCACACCTGTAATCCTAGCACTTTGGGAGGCCGAGGTGGGTGTATTGCTTAAGCTCAGGAGTTTCAGACCAGCCTGGGCAACATGGTGAAACCCTCTCTCTACAAAAAATACAAAAGTTAGCTGGGCATGGTGGCTCATGCCTGTATTCCCAGCTACTTGTGGGGCTGAGGCTGGAGGGTCACTTGAGCACAGGAGACAGAGGTTGCAGGGAGCCGAGATGGCATCACCACATTCCAGCATGGGAGAAAGAGTGAGACCCTGTGAAAGAAAGGAAGGAAGGAAGGAAGGAAGGAAGGAAGGAAGGAAGGAAGGAAGGAAGGAAGGAAGGAAGGGAGGAGCCGTAAATTATATTCTTCCAAGTAATTAACATATGTAAAATCCAGTCACATAACATTTTAGAATTCAGCAGATGCACCTTTAATAGGTGTCTGATTAAAAGTTCAAAAAGTGATTATAGAATAAATGAAGGATAATTAACACAACAATAAGAAGTGCAAGAAAATTTCAATTAGCTAAATCTACCACATGCTAAAAATATCATCGACTTGACCTAGCTCTACTGTTTGTTGCTAAAAGCCCATCTTAAATCAACCCCAGAGTGTTGTTTGACTACCTAGAAAAACATTCTGTATACAACAGATACTCATTAAATGTTAACTGAATGAATGGTTTCTCTCTCCAAGCAATTGGTTGTGCTAAAAAGGAACATAAAAAGAAATATTACCTATGCGTAACACAAAACAAAAGCTAAGTACTAGCAACTAGCAGCTACACTCCCATAGAATAAGGAAAGAAAGAGAGAAGAGTCTCAAAAGTTTTAAGTGTATCGTGAAGCACAAGAAAAACATTGTAATATCTGTCTAGCCATTGCCAAATCTTTATATTTTCTTCTTGAAACAAAAGGGCCTGGGATAGGATTGAAATAAAGGTACACCCTGTCTTTCCCCCTAAGCTCTAGGCCCTAAGAAAAACAAAACATTTTCAGCAGAGCTTGATTTCAGGCTTTAAAGTTCTGATTTAAATGGTATTCAAACTTAAACAAAAATGAAAGTGTCTCATATAATCAATTTTTGTCCTACTGACTTGGATTTATCAAGCAAATGTGGGTAAGTGGGGTTTTTTTGCCTAAATTATTTTAACAATCCTTTCATTTTACCCATTGTTATGGGTTGAATTGTGTCCCCCCAAAAATTCATGGAATGAAGTCTTAAACCCAGTATCTCAGAATGTGACCTTAGTTTGCAAATAGGGTCACTGCAGATAAAATTACTTAAATTAGAATAAGATCATACTGGGATAGGGTAGGCCTCTGATAAGACTGGTGTCCTTAGGAAGGGCAAAAATTTGAGCACAGAAACTGTTTTTTAAAAAAAAAAGAAAAAGAAAAGAAAAAAAACTTTAGGCAAAATTAAATTTATTTGAGCAAGGAGCGATTCATAAACTAGGCAGCACTCAGAACTAAAAGAGGTTCAGAGACCTCCGCTGCTGCATTATGGGCAGCAGGCTTTTACAGGTTGACATGAAAATAAGACAAAGAAAATATATTTAATTTGTTGGAGTGGAAAGACCCTAGTTAGAGATCAGCTGGCAGTTTCTGATAGGTAAAGTCTCTAGCTAAAGATTAGTTGGCAGTTTCTTATTGGTAAAATCTCTAGTTAGAGGTTCATTGGTGGCATCTGTTTGGTAAATGACTCTAGTTTTACTGTTTACATTGGGCTTCAGTTTGCTTACCTAGGAATTTAAAGCACTGGAGCCGCCCCAGCCTAATGACTTCCCCCACCCCCAATTTTTTTAACAGTACACACACAGAGTGAATGCCGTGTAAATATTGGAATTACACTGCCACAAGCCAAGGAACTATACCAGAAACTAGGAGAGAGGCCTGGAATAGGTCCTTCCCTAGTGCCTTTAAAAGGAATATGTCCCTGCTCACACTCTGATTTCAAGAATTGTAGCCTCCAGAACAGTGAGATGATATGTTTCTGTTGTTTAAGCCACTCTATTTGTGGTACTTTTGTATAGCAGCTCTAGGAAACTAATATATCCATATCTAAGGATTTTCTCAAGTATGATCTTGGGGAGTAAATAATCAACATGAACTGCTTAAACAATGACTTATATATTCTTATGAGTAACTTGTTGACCCAAATGCTTCAGAAAATTCCATTTTGAATTACACAGAAGATCCGAGGAAAAGAAAATTTTTTCACTACCTGCTGAAAGTAGTTGCAGCTAGAGAAGGAAACAGATACAAGGAAGCTAAAACCAACAGGAAGAAAGGAATATGAACCCAAACAACTCATGCAAGAGGACAATTAATTGACTGAATTTTATAAAATGAAAAAGTGGTTCCATGATTTGTTTGACTAGTAATCTCAAATGTACAGCTTTTCAACAGAGCCATAGTGGCATCTGAAATGTGACTCAGGCTCACTCTTCTCTTTGACAAATCAAGGAGGTTGGAGTTATCTAGTTGTGTGCTTCTACAGTTTTGTATCTTTGGGCTTCTTATAAAAATATTTTTAAAGACTTTTACAGGCCAGATGCAGTGGCTCATGCTGTAATCCCAGCACTTTGGAAGGCCAAGGCGGGCAGATCATTTGAGGCCAGGAGTTTGAGACCAGCCTGGCCAACATGGTGAAACCCTGTCTCTACTAAAACTACAAAAATTAGCCTGGTGTGGTGGCAGATCCCTGAACCTGGGAGGCAGAGGGTGCAGTGCCCCAAGGTCTTGCCACTGCACTCCAGCCTAGGTGACAGAGCAACACTCTGTCTCCAAAAAAAAAAAAAAAAAAGGCTTCTACAGAGCAAATTCAAAATTGATATAACTAATAAGAAAATTATTGGGATGGGGGAAAGACTGCACTTTTACCACCAACTTTTTACCATTTCTAACATCTAACTGGGAGAACTAAGTTCCTTTAGATTCTGAGTATATGTTCCAAGGTAATAGCCATTTATTTCTCTCCTCACTTATCCAGCCAGTTTGGTACATTCTTCATTTAAATTAATAGGTTGTGATTTATAAAAATGTTACATACAACCTTAGCCCTTCAGAAAATTGATCTTCATCTCCACTGTCAACCTCAGGTTGAAACAGATAGGTCACTTTCTGGGCATCACTTTCCAGACCTTTAAAAGTGACATGCTCAAGTCTCAGGATACAAAATCAATGTGCAAAAATCACAAGCATTCCTATACACCAATAACAGACAAACAGAGAGCGAAATCATGAGTGAACTCCTATTCACAATTGCTTCAAAGAGAATAAAATATCTAGGAATACAACTTACAAGGGATGTGAAGGACCTCTTCAAGGAGAACTACAAACCACTGATCAACAAAATAAAAAAGAGGACACAAACAAACGGAAGAAGATTCCATGCTCATGGATAGGAATAATCAATATCGTGAAAATGGCCATACTGCCCAGGGTAATTTATAGACTCAATGCCATCCCCATCAAGCTACCAATGACTTTCTTCACAGAATTGGAAAAAACTACTTTAAAGTTCATATGGAACCAAAAAAGAGCCCGCATTGCCAAGACAATCCTAAGCCAAAAGAACAAGGCTGGAAGCATCACGCTACCTGACTTCAAACTATACTACAAGGCTACAGTAACCAAAACAGCACAGTACTGGTACCAAAACAGAGATACAGACCAATGGAACAGAACAGAGGCCCTCAGAAATAATACCACACATCCACAACCATCTGATATTTGACAAACCTGACAAAAACAAGAAATGGGGAAAGGATTCCCTATTTAATAAATGGTGCTGGGAAAACTGGCTAACCATATGTAGAAAGCTGAAACTGGATCCTTTCCTTACACCTTATACAAAAATTAATTCAAGATGGATTAAAGACTTAAATGTTAGACCTAAAACCATAAAAACCCTAGAAGAAAACCTAAGCAATACCATTCAGGACATATGCATGGGCAAGGACTTCATGACTAAAACACCAAAAGCAATGGCAACAAAAGCCAAAATTGACAAATGGGATCTAATTAAACTAAAGAGCTTCTGCACAGCAAAAGAAACTACCATTAGAGTGAACAGGCAACCTACAGAAAGGGAGGAAATTTTTGCAATCTACTCATCTGACAAAAGGGTTAATATCCAGAATCTACAAAGAACTTAAACAAATTTACAAGAAAAAATCAAAAAACCCCATCAAAAAGTGGGTGAAGGACATGAACAGACACTTCTCAAAAGAAGACATTTACACAGCCAACAGACACATGAAAAAATACTCATCATCACTGGTCATCAGAGAAATACAAATCAAAACCACAATGAGATACCATCTCACACAGTTAGAATGGCGATCATTAAAAAGTCAGGAAACAACAGGTGCTGGAGAGAATGTGGAGAAACAGGAACACCTTTACACTGTTGGTGGGACAGTAAACTAGTTCAACCCATGTGGAAGACAGTGTGGTGATTCCTCAAGGATCTAGAACTAGAAATACCATTTGACCCAGCCATCCCATTACTGGGTATATACCCAAAGGATTATAAATCATGCTACTATAAAGACACATGCACACGTATGTTTATTGCAGCACTATTCACAATAGCAAAGACTTGGAACCAACCCAAATGTCCATCAGTGATAGACTGGATTAAGAAAATGTGGCACATATACACCGTGGAATACTATGCAGCCATAAAAAAGGATGAGTTCGTGTCCTTTGTAGGGACATGGATGAAGCTGGAAACCATCATTCTCAGCAAACTATCACAAGGACAGAAAACCAAACACCGCATGTTCTCACTGATAGGTGGGAATTGAACAATGACAACACTTGGACACAGGGTGGGGAACATCACACACAGGGGCCTGTCGTGGGGTGGGGGGAATGAGTTAATGGGTGCAGCACACCAACATGGCACATGTATACATATATAACAAACCAGCACGTTGTGCATATGTACCCTAGAACTTAAAGTATAATTTTTTTAAAAAAATGTGACATGCTCTACTCTGTAGCCTTCCTTCTCCCCAGATCTCCCTCAATGACATTGTTTGGGGCAAAATCATTAGACTTATTAAGGTTAAAATTGATTCCATCTCCAAATTCCAAAACAAAAATGTTAAGAGATTGTCAGTGATGACATAGTAATAACATCAATATTCTATGAATAGTTTAGTGTGAAGAAGGCTGGTAATGTTTTGACTATTTATATCACCATGTTATTCACCAGAATGGAATCTAGCCTTTATCACTGTAGCTAAATAATCTAGGTATGATCTGAGGAAACAGTAAATCTGAACAGCCTTTTTGTTACAGGATTTTAGTTACAGGATTTAACTAATTTCATTATTTTTTTTTCGCTATTTTTCTTGGTCTAACACAGTTTTTTCTAAGGTCCACAGTTTATTAATAATCCCTTTCGTAAATGTAATGCAATTACCTCTAACACCTCCAAAAACATTCAGAAATGCTCTCTTTGCTCCAGTTAAAAAAATGCCATGGGAGTTCCAAGAATAGGAAACATCAACCAGGGTATTTAGCACTAGATTGACAGAACTTGGCTCAGACCTGCATTACAAAAGCAAGTGTTCCGACTGCGGTTTTGCATTGTGCTGAAGTGCTTTCGGATAATTTTTTTAAAAATGAAATTTACCAAATAATGCTGTAAGAACTCTGTTCTTTATAAGAACTCTCAGGTTATCTTCAGACAACAAAAGCCAATGAGAAAGTCAAGATCACCTTTTCAAATCTCATGCTCTCCTGAATCATAATGGGGAACGCAGAGGGAAAGCTGTTGGTCTCCAGGTACTGATTCATGAGGTAGACCCCGAGGTACACATCTTGTTTGCCAGGCAGGAACACTCCTGGGCAAGAAATCTTAAAAAGAAAGAAAACAACAAACAAGGGAGAGAAAACAGACTTTGCTTTGTTTTGTTACACGGGGCTCTATTTCTCTTAAGCTCCTACAGACACTGACATTTTCCCCATCACCTCACTCCCTCACCTGTACCTCCCAACGCCAACATCCTCCCCTCTGCTCTCCTCACATTGGAAATTCCAACTCCCTCCCACGTCTCCACCAGGTGTCACAATCGCGCTCTCGCCGGCTCCTCTCCCCGCCCCTCCGGGATGGTAGTGCGGAAGCGGAAGAGGCTGCAGGGCCGGGAAGCCTCTGTTTGGTCCGGCCAGGTCCCGGGATCCGGGCCGCCAGCTGCGATGCCAAGTCCCCGGAGGAGCATGGAGGGACGGCCGCTGGGCGTCTCCGCTTCGAGCAGCAGCAGCAGCCCCGGCAGCCCAGCCCATGGCGGCGGTGGCGGCGGCAGCAGGTTTGAGTTCCAGTCCCTGCTCAGCAGCCGCGCCACGGCCGTGGACCCCACCTGCGCCCGGCTCCGTGCATCGGAGAGCCCAGTTCACCGCCGCGGCTCCTTCCCCCTGGCCGCGGCGGGCCCCTCGCAGTCGCCCGCGCCTCCGCTGCCCGAGGAGGACCGCATGGACTTGAACCCGTCCTTCCTGGGCATCGCCCTGCGCTCCCTGCTGGCCATCGACCTGTGGCTGTCCAAGAAGCTGGGGGTGTGCGCGGGAGAGAGCTCGTCGTGGGGCAGCGTGCGACCCCTTATGAAGCTGCTGGAGATCTCGGGACACGGCATCCCCTGGCTGCTGGGCACCCTCTACTGCCTGTGCAGGAGCGACAGCTGGGCCGGGCGCGAGGTGCTGATGAACCTGCTCTTCGCCCTGCTGTTGGACCTGCTGCTGGTGGCCTTGATCAAAGGGCTGGTCCGCAGGCGCCGCCCGGCCCACAACCAGATGGACATGTTTGTCACTCTCTCGGTGGACAAGTACTCCTTCCCCTCGGGCCATGCCACAAGGGCCGCCCTGATGTCGAGGTTCATCCTGAACCACCTGGTGCTGGCCATTCCACTGAGGGTGCTGGTGGTTCTGTGGGCCTTCGTCTTGGGCCTATCCAGGGTCATGCTGGGGCGGCACAATGTCACCGACGTAGCTTTTGGCTTTTTTCTGGGCTACATGCAGTACAGCATCGTGGACTATTGCTGGCTCTCACCCCATAATGCTCCGGTCCTCTTTTTACTGTGGAGTCAACGATGACACCATCTCATTGATTATGGCACCAGGAAGTCTGAAGGTTTCCACATTCGATGATGTCAACCTAAACCAGCAGCCATCCCGCTTGTCCCTCTTAGGCATTTCAGGCTTCCTTTGGGATTTCAGGTGTCCCATGATCTTGATGTGCTGCTAGGCTGGAGCACACACTGGCCATTACTGAACACAGCCATATTAGGGAAAGCAAAAAAACCCAAAAAATCCTCTATTGTATATTTATTCAACAACTGTTTATGTTTCCAGGACAACTGCAAAGAAAACAAGCTGAGGTGGTTATACTGTTGCTGTTAAAAGTTGGTATCAGTAAGATTTGTGTTTTGTGATAATCCCTAAATCAACATACCACTTGTAAACTGAACTTCGAGAAAGAAACATGATGTTCATTCTGTAAATATACATGCAGACAGGTCATGTACTAATCCTAGTCCTTTTCCTGAGGTAGATTTTAAACAGTATTTTTAAAGTCCAAGACATAGGTTTTTCTAGTTTATTCCCTGAAGATCTGTTGCCACAGTTGGGAGATTTCTTCTTAATCCTGATTTTCTTGGTAAGCTTTTTTACTTTATTATCTCTATAATTTATTATCTCTATCCATATTTGTGGATCGGGTAGTGGGAAAAGAGATTATAATACTTGTCTTTCTCTCCTCTCCCTCCATCCCTCAAAAGATCTTTATGCATTTCCCACTACTCCCTTACTGTCTTTTAGCATTCAGAGAAAAAGCCAACTTGCTTAAAGAGGAATCACTTAAAAGGTAGGCATATCTAAGATGCTCATAGAAGAGGAAGAATGGGACATGGCCCCATGCTTATTTTTGTTTACAACGTAACATGGCATGAGAGAGGGCAGAGAAACTAAGTTGCTGGGGAAAGTTAGAGGAACTGAAAGTTTGGGAATAGGCTGACCACATATTATGCCAGTGACCAGTATGACAGGAGATGGGGCCCTGCTGCCAGTCATCTCCACTGAATAAAGAATAATGCTCCTCTTTCAGGGTAATAAAGTGGGGAAAAGGAACGTCTTCTCAATGCAAGAACATAAGCTTTCTCGTATATACCTGTATGCTACAGTTTTTCACATGGAATTCCGTTTTCTGAGGTACAGCACATTTTAGGTAACAGTATTTAACTTGAAATTCATCATGGGAGTCTGCTGCTATACCAGGCACAAGATAAAACTCCAAAATTTCTGTTTACATTGACCTTTACATTTAAAGCTGTTCATCCATGGTGCCTCCCCAAATCATAAGACCAAAGACCACCAAACGCAGGGTGGACTCTGCTCATTATTCTTTGACCCAGAAAGACTGGAGAAGGTATGTGCTTTAAGTGCTGCTCTACCTGAAAAGAAATCCTTTAAATTACCTATGGAAGTGATGTCCTCAGATAATCTTAATGACTATTTTGGCATTTATAAATAGAAATGATTATGGACTTTGATCTGCCATACGGAGGTTCGGAACCTGGAGAACGGCTGTGATAAGTAGGTTTTGATTGAGTGAAAGCATGAGCTTGTTCAGAGTGAGGGGCATAGTGAAAAAGGAACAGCCATGCCTCAAAATCAAATCATTTGCATTCCCACAGCATCCTGAATACCGACTACCTCTTCACTTGCTAAAGCAGCTAAACTGTGAAGCTCTAAGTGGTTTGGGTTTGTTGTTTAACCTTAGCGAGATCCTTTAACTGCAGCAATATTCAAGCCAGATATTTGGAAGCAAATGATATTTCCTCTTGCAGTGTCCACAAATCTGAATATTAGGGGCATGAAATTAGGCTTACCATCTGATTTGTAATTACAATTTTGGAATTCTCTGTTTTAGTTGCTGAGGCCTGAGTTTTCTGGCTCTTAAAGCATAGATCATTTCACCTGATGTTTTTGAAGCATCCTAAGTACAGTAGAGTAGAAAACTGATTTCTTTGTTAATTGTACACTGAATAATGCCTTTTAAAAATCAAAATAAAATTAACAAATAATGGTGAATGAAGTGAGATGAAAACTTGCTTAATTTTTGCCTTGATGAGGAGGGAGACAGATTTATCACTTAGCTTCTCAAGAGTTCCTTCTTCCTGCACAATTTTTAGAGCTTAAAACTGGTATAGCACTACTAATAAGGTCTAGCCCTATTTGCTGTCAGCAAAGTGGGACAAATCCAGGAAATGTTGATCACCTTTCACACCCACATGTATGATGAAACCACACCATTTGCCAATTGTATGGAAGACAACCAGATTCCATGACAATTTCCTGTTAGCACTGTGCTTGTAATCATAGCCAGTAGAAAAGCCCCTAGAGGAAAAGCGGCATGATATTCTGTTACTAACTACATGGAAGGATTGGAAAATGGAAACTGAAATAAGAGGGAGTGACAGACCCCCAAGTAGAAACCATGGAGTCACTCTGCCACAGCACTTCACTTAGGAAGGATTTGGTAATTACGAAATAGTGATTGATTGATTTCCCTTTTGGAATTAGCAAGCCAGAGCTATCACTAAGGGGAAATATCATAGAAAATATCTGATTGGTTCATAGAGTTGGCAAATAATCAGGAAGTGATGGAGCTTTTTAAAATTATTCCCTGGTTATTTAAAGAAGTTGAAAATCCTTTCACAAATCTTTATCCAGGAGAAGAAAATAAATTCTACCTGGACTTAATGCAGGGTTGTTTGAAAAGAAATTAAAAATTCATGATAAAGATAAGAAACATGTTAGCTTTAGAACAGAAAAAAAAAAAAGTGGGAACAGGTGGAGCTGAATTAAAGGTTAGGAAGTCAGGGAAAACCAATATGGAGAAAAAGACAAAGGTGCGATCTGTCCCAGAAGATAATGATGTGTTTGTGGTAAGTGGGGGATGTGGGGGAGGGTTGTTGAAAACCACCTGAGACTATTTAGAGTCCGACTTGAGGTTAAGGAGGGGGAGTTCATCGATCTCTTACCGCCCGGATCTGCAGCTCCACCACCACCTCCAGAGGCATCGTTCCCTGCGTGGGCGAAAGGACTGGAATGAGAAGATCCTTTTGTGCCGAGCCTTGGACCAATTTTTCTTAGTTTAGCTGAATACCTAGAGCAAATGTTCCCAGAAGCTTCCCCAGTCCCACGCCCTTGTTCCCCTACCGTCCCCCCCAGCCCAGGTCCCTCCCACCGGGACGGGTCTCTCACACTCGAAGCTGGAGTGCAGGCTTCCAGAAGGCGGAAGCGTGGCGTTGCCAGGGACACTCAAACGCGCAGTCTTCATCGTGGAACGCGCGCGAGGCCCCAGCGCAGACGCGCGCCCTCACGGTCGCTGTTGCCCACGCAGTGCCCCCAGCCGGAGAGACTGGCCCTGTCTGGCGTGCTAGACGGATAGAGAAATGCTAACAATCCCGATCTTCTTTCCATCAGCTCCTGCTATCCCCAATTACCATGTCAGAATGTTTACCGTTTTCATTCTGAAAGTAGAATGAGATCATAGGTCTGTTATAATTTAAATAGTACACGTTTAGTAGCTGCACGACCCCAAGCCTTGTAGTTTCTGTAACAATTCTCATTTAATATAGTTGCCTGTTCCTAAAAATACTCTTTTGCTTATTAAATGTTATGTTTGCTTCGGAAAACATGGCCACCGTCAATAACAAACGTGTGCTAATTAGAAATATAAGGTTAATTCTTAAACATATTTAAAAGTTAGGTATCCCCTGTTAGCAGCAATAGAAATATGTCAGTCTTTCCATAACGGTGTCCAGCCTTTTCTGGGGTTTAGTTTAAGGCAAGCATTGAGTAGTCCAATGGGTAGTTATTGCATTTGCCAAAACCACAGTTACTGTAAACACTGTCAGAGGTGGTGCGCAGAGCAAGAGTTCTGAATGAGTAGGGGACATTCACTACATCTAATAGAGAAAAATGAAGGAAAGGAGCAGGTAGTGGCTCCTTCTAGCAATCCAAAAAATCTAGGAAGGCCAATGCTGCCTCTGAAAAAAAAATTTTAAATCCTAAATTATGTTCAGTCATTTATTACTAATATTTTGCATTAGAGAGTTATACAATTGGAAATAGTGCAGAAGGATGGTCAAGACAAGATTGGGTATTCATTTTGGTAACTGGAGTTTATTTCCCTGGAAGGGAAAAACTTGGTATGATGAAGAAGGGCATATTGTATCCTTATCCAGTTCCTAGTGCTGTGTCTCTCTGCATATCAAGAGATACAGGTGGGCACCTAACTATCTATAGTGTCCAGATCATTGATTTGTCACTCACAACTTGCTGACACCCAGAGTGATGTGGGACAGGACCTGTGATGATCCTAACAGGTAGGTCACCAACACCAATGCTAAGAAATCAAGGAGAGTGACAAGCAAAACAAATTAATAAATAGCCAGAGTTGTATTGGGAGAGAAGAATCAGTCTTTACTGAGGATCTGCAAAGTGCTAGGCACATTGCGTATGCTAATTCATCTCAACCCTACAATAACTCTATCAGGGAGATATTATCCCTATTTTACAGATGCAGAATCTGAAGCTAGACAGCCTTTTACTAAAAGCCACAGACCTAATAAGGGAGCAGCCACATTTGAATCCAGGTGTGCCCTACCACATCACTGGGTCTGCAATATAGACATCCTGTTGATCTCTAGAGACACAATGTTCCATTCTATGCTCTTCTTAGTCTTAACTCTTGATCTAACTGGACTCTCCTTGCTTGGCTGCTAGGGCACAGCTCTCTTCTGGTTTCCCTCCAACTTTCTGGCTATTCTTTCTTTGTCTGTTTATCCTCCTCTGGCTAAGCAATGTTTCTAGGTCCTTTCCTTTCCTCACTCTATACCCTTTACTTAGAGTGTCATCCATTGCAGACATTGATTAACACATGTATACAGATTTACATACCCCACCAAGACCTCTCTTCTGCTGACAAGGTGGAATCTCAATATCATATCTTATGTCATACATATAAATATATATATCTCCTCTTTGTAGCGACTGCCATAATAGCAGTTTTACATTTGTTCCTGTGACTCTTGATTACTATTTGTCTCCTTAATCTGTAAACTCTGCATGGCTAAGCGTTTATACCCTAAATAGGATAGAAGATAATAAATATTTTTGAATATTAAATGCAGAGATGGTCAAGCCAATCTGTGGGGGTTAATGTACATGGATAAAGAGAGGTCCCATCACAATGGGTAAAAGAAATCTGCAGAATTAGAAAGGACCAGGCACAGCTACTTCTGCAAATCTGCTATGGTGATATTAAATGAGTTGATGGGGATACTTCACACTCTCCTAATTGTCCCCGCCATGGTTACCTGAGGCTCTCAGCTGCTGTGGAGATGTGGCAGTTGCTATACACACCCAGTCCCTCTCACTCATCTTGCAAAGTTATTTATCATTGAGGCTGTCCACCTCTGCCGGGGGCCAACAAAGCCTTTTAAGGATTGGACTGTCACCACTTCAAGAGAAAGCCTTTATTACCTGGGTAGGTACCTCTTGGTGGCAGCAAACAGATTTCAATGAACAACTGCTATTTCCAGAGAGTATCTGCAGTGCAGCTTGGCCAGCAGTGACATCAGCATTGCAGAAATGATACAGCAGCACATCCCGTTCACATCCTGGCCCCAGACAAGAAAATGAAACATGCCCCAAATGGGGATTTTCCAAAGAGTAAATTAACAAAGAACAAGAATATGACAGATAATTATGGCTGAGATTTTTTTTTAACTAAAAAAATTAATTATAAGACAAAAATCATAAATATTTCAAATAATAAGTGTATTCATATGAAAGGAAGAAACTATTAAAGAGACAGCACTAGTGGGAAGGGTATGGGAAAACACATTGATGGGAGTGTAAATACATACAATGTATTCATTTCCTATGGCTGCTTAACAAATTTAGGGGCTTAAAGCAAGACAAATTTATTATTTAATTTTGTGAGAAGTCCAACACAGATCTCAATGGGCTAAAATCAAGGTGCCTGCAGGGCTGCATTCCTTGCCTTTCTGTTTCCTTGCTTTTCTGGAGGTTGCTCGTATTCCTTGGCTTAAAGTTTCCTTCTTTCATGTTCAAAACTGGCTACATAGAGCCAAGTCCTTCTCATGCTGCCATCTCTCTGGTTCTCCCTTTTTTTTTTTTTTTTTTTTTTTTTTTGAGACAGAGTCTCGCTCTGTCACCCAGACTGGAGTGCAGTGGTGCGATCTCAGCTCACTGCAACCTCCGCCTCCCAGGTTTAAGCCATTCTTCTGCCTCAGCCTCCCGAGTAGCTGGGAGTACAGGCACGCACCACCATGCCCAGCTAATTTTTGTATTTTTAGTAGAGACAGGGTTTCATCATATTGGCCAGGCTGGTCCTGAACTCCCGTTCTTGAGTAATACACCTGCCTCGGCCTCCCAAAGTGCTGGGATTACAGGCATGAGCCACCATGCTTGGCCTCCCTTTCACTTTTAAGGACCTTTGTGATTGCACCTTTGTGAAACACCCAGATAATCCAGGATAATTTCCCTAATTTAAGGTCAGCTGATCAGCAACCTTAATTCCATCTACAACCTTAATTTCCCCTTTACCATGTAAGGTAACATATGCACAGGTTCCAGGGATTAGGATGTGGATATCTTTGGGGGCCATTATTCTGCCTACCACATATAACTTATCTGGAGAGCAATTTGATAATGTCTATCAGAATGTTTAATTTGACTCAGCAATTCTGCTAAGAATTTATCCCATGGGTATACTTTCACAAAAACATATGGTGCACAATTATTTCTAGTTGAAAAAATGCTGGAAACCAACTAAATGTTCATTAGGTAGGATCAGATGAAATCAGTTATGGTTTAGCCATATGATGGAATATTATGCAGCATGGAAAAAGAATGAGGCAGACAGAGCTATATATTCTAATAGTAAATAGTCTCTAAAATATAGAGCCAAGAAAAAAAAGGCATAAAAAATGTATACAATGTGCTGCCATTTGGGAGAGAAGGAGAATATTGTATCTACATATATGCTTAGAATATCCCTGAAAAGATATGCTAGAAGCTGCTATTAATGTAATGTGTGCCTCTGGGGAGGGACCTGGGGTAGGGAAGCAGAGAGGAAGTTATTTTTCATTGAATATCTATAGGTCCTTAAAAAATATATTTTTGCCAAGTACTTGCATTATTTAATCCAAAAAGGAAACCACATTAAAACAAGTAGAAAATGTAAAATAATAGAAAGGATTGGTCTGGGAATATAGAAAGGAGCAGGAACTGGCTTCTTCAGCTTTTGGAGCTATATCCTATATACTGCATGCCATAAAAATATCCATGCAAGTGTGTTTGCCACTTCCGCTTCCAGTGCAGGGCTTCTTATCCTGTGATTCCTGGCTATCTCAGGGGTCTTAAACCTCCTGAAATGGTAGGCAGCATTTCCTACATGTGCATATATGCATTTTTCCAGGAAAAGAGTCTGTGGCTTTCATAATCTGAAAGGGGAAATGTTAGTCAAGTCAGGTTTTACAGCACTGTTCAGTGCATGCTGACTCCTCTTCCTGCCAGCGGTTCCCCATCTACAGCAAAAAGAAAGGCTACCTGGGTTGTCAGACAAGGCGGCAGGTAAGAAAAGAGGGCCTGTTCTCTCCGTCACACCCACACTCCCTTATTAGAGCAAAAGGACAGCTGTATTTCATAATAAGTGATTAAAAAAAGACCCTCAAAGTCCTGTTGTAAGCCATTTGTTTATATCTGGACTCAACAGACTTCATTTGTCAGGCCCTCCAATCTTTTGAGCAGTGAATTATTCATTAGCAAGTATGAATAACACCAGCAGATTGAGTTTCCAAAGTGAGTTAGTCATTTGCATTTGTAAGAAATGCCTGAAAAGGAAGAAACACAAAAACGAAAAAACACCCAAGAACATGAAATGATCTGGATTATTTCAGTAGTAGTGCATTTCCAGGTCAATGATTTTTTATTTCTTTTAAAGCATGGGCCCAGTCTCAAGACCCAAGAAATAATTGTCTTATATTTGGCCTTCTCCAAAGTCTTTCTCTAAAATGTTCTGTAATAGTTTAGTTTTCTCAAACTCTGATATACAGAGAAGAAAGTTTTACCTTTCTCACTTTTGTATGTATGAGAAAGCTCAATGAACTACACTGAGTTCTTTCCTTGATTCTAACAAACTGCCTAAAGATGAAGTATAGCAGGGTGCAGTGGCTCACGCCTGTAATCCCAGCACTTCGGGAGGCTGAGGTGGGCGGATCACCTGAGGTCAGGAGTTTGAGACCAACCTGGACAACAAGTGAAACCCTGCCTCTACTAAAAATACAGAAATTAGTGGGGTGTGGTGGCACACGCCTGTAATCCCAGCTACTTGGGAGGCTGAGGCAGGATAATCGCTTAAACCCAGGAGATAGAGTTTGCAGTGAGCTGAGATCGCGCCACTGCACTCCACCCTGGGCAACAGAGCGAGACTCCATCTCAAAAAATAAATAAATAAATAAAAAAGATGAAGTGTGTATATACATATATACATACATATATATGCACACATACATATATACATACATACATATATACACATATATAATTTATATATATTAATGTTAATATCCTGTAGGCAAACTTTACATTAGCAGAATCTGGCTGTCACCATATGAACTCACTGATCAATTCCAGCCCCACTCTGCATCATTATAGGTACATTATATGCTTCCCTATATGATTCATAGGAAGTACCTATGAAGCACATTTACCAAGAAAGTTGTAGTTGAATCTAATCAACTACACTGAGTGTTGCACTGTCTGATGATAAAAATATGGTAGCCATTTATAGCTATCTAACTGAACTAAAACTAAATACATTTATTTATTTATTTATTTAGAGATGGAGTCTCGCTCTTGTCACCCAGGCTGGGGTGCAGTGGCACAATCTTGGCTGACTGCAACCTCTGCCTACTGGGTTCAAGCAATTCTCCTGCCTCAGTCTCCTGAGTAGCTGGGTTTACAGGCATCCGCCGCCACACCCAGCTAATTTTTTGTGTTTTTAGTAGAGATGGGGTGTTGCCATGTTGGCCAGGCTGGTCTCGAACTTCTGACCTCAGGTGATCCGCCCGCCTCAGCCTCCCAAAGTGCTAGGATTACAGGTGTGAGCCACCGTGCCCGGCCAACTAAATACATTTAAAATCCAGTTCCTCATTGCATTAGTCACATTTAAAGCACACATACCCATATGTTGCCAGTGGCTACTGGTATTAGGTAATGCAGGCAGAATATTTTTATCATCACAGAAAGTTCTAATGGGCAGCATTGCTCTAGAGTTAACTTCACTTAAAGGAAATATGGAGGATAGAAAAACATGTTAATGACAACAAAAGGAAGCAGGCAGACATATTTATAACAGAACATGGGACATTCCAGCACATACGTGCAGTCCCAGCTACCTGAGAGGCTGAGGTGGGAGGATCATCTGAGCCTGGGTGGTTGAGGCTGCAGTGAGCCATGATTGTGCCATGCACTCCAGCCTGGTCCACAGAGTGAGACCTTGTCTCAATAAATAAATAAGTAAACAAACAAACAAATAAATAAATAGAGCCTGGCGCAGTGGCTCACGCCTGTAATCCCAACACTTTGGGAGGCCGAGGCAGGTGAATCACCTGAGGTCGGGAGTTCGAGATCAGCCTGACCAACATGGAGAAACCCTGTCTCTACTAAAAATGCAAAAAACTTAGCCGGGCATGGTGGTACATGTCTGTAATTCCAGCTACTCGGGAGGCTGAGGCAGAAGAATCACTTGAACCTGGGAGGCAGAAGTTGCGGTGAGCTGAGATCGTGCCATTGCACTCCAGCCTGGGCAACAAGAGTGAAACTCTGTCTATAAATAAATGAATAAATAGAATCTGGGACATTCTATAGGACCCCTAACCCAGTTAATCTGCAATAAGTCAATGGCATTTAAAAAAAAAAAAAAAAAGGAAGAGGTGAGGGAACTGATTTAGATTAAAAGATACTTAAGAGACCTCACAACCAAATGGAATATGTGGACTTTGTTGGGACATTAATTCAAACAAACCAAATGCAATATTTGAGACTATCAGGGAATTTTTTTTTTTTTTTTTTTGAGACAGAGTTTCACTCCTGTTACTCAGGCTGGAGTGCAATGGTGCACTCTTGGCTCATCTCAACCTCCGCCTCCTGGGTTCAAGTGATTCTCCTGCCTCAGCCTCCCGAGTAGATGGGATTACAGGCATGCACCACCATGCCCGGCTAATTTTTTGTAACTTTAGTAGAGACAGGGTTTCTCCACGTTGGTCAGGCTAGTCTCCAAATCCTGACCTCAGTTGATCTGCCCGCGTTGGCCTCCCAAAGTGCTGGGATTACAGGCATGAGCCACTATGCCCAGCCTATCAGGGAAATTTGTTTATGGTTTGGACATTAGATAACACCAAGCAATTAATTTTTATATACATGATAAATGGGCATTATATATATATGATAATGCCCTTGTGTTTATGTAAGGCAAATATTAACATTGTTTAGAGACATATATTAAGGTATGCAGTGGTAAAATGATTTAATGTCTAAGATTTTGCTTTTAAGTATTCCAGTCAATGAATAAAAGGAATAGATAAAGCAAATGTTGTAAAATCTTGATAATTATTGACTGTGGGTGATGGATGAATGGGGTTTCTGTAATTTTATTCTTTTTTGTGTTAAAAAGATACTCACAATAGGCTGGGCATGGTGGCTGACACCTGTAATCCCAGTGCTTTGTGAGGCAGAGGCCAGAGGATTGCTTGAGGTCAGGAGTTCAAGACCAGCCTGGACAACATAGAGAGAACCCATGTCTACATTAAAAAAAAATTAGGTGGGCATAGCAGCATGCACTCGTAGTCCTAGCTACTCAGGAGGCTGAGGTGGGAGGATCCCTTGAGCCCAGATGTTGGAAGCTGCAGTGTGCTATCATCTTGCTACTGCACTCCAGCCTGTGTGACAGAGCACAATCTTGCTCTTAAAAAAAATCATAATAACAATTTAAAAAAACCTTTAACATATAAAATTCCCTTCAATATAAGTCTTACACATACTGAAAGAGAAAATGTAATGGATCTATTCACCTCAAATGCAGATGAGATGAGAAAATTATTGTGGTGTGTAATAATGCTTTACAAGTAATTCAGAGGGACATCCACTTAAAGGGGAAAAAGTAGCGCTGGTTGTTTTGCTTTTTTTTCTTTTTTCAGGCCGAGTCTAGCTCTGTTGCCCAGGCTGGAGTGCAATGGCACAATCTCGGCTCACTGCAAGCTCCGCCTCCCAGGTCCACGCCATTCTCCTGCCTCAGCCTCCCGAGTAGCTGGGACTACAGGCGACCACCACCATGCCCAGCTAATTTTTTGTATTTTTAGTAGAGACAGGGTTTCACTGTGTTAGCCAGGATGGTCTCGATCTCCTGACCTCATGATCCGCCTGCCTCAGCCTCCCAAAGTGCTGGGATTACAGGTGTGAGCCACTGCGCCTGGCCAGCGCTGTATTATAATAGTGATCTCTGCATGAATATCCAAAACAGGAGCTGGCAATTTGAGTATTTCTTTACATATACACACTTCTCAAGAATTTTCCAGGAATCTTCCAAGGAAGGAATCAAATTGCAATTGCACAGCTTTTAACAATCTTGAAGTCATTTGGGATGTGGACCCACACATGGGTTCTGTTTCACCCAACTTTATTAGAGTTTATGAGTCAGACTCATGTTTCTCTTTGGCTTGTGCTTTCATTTACTGGCATTTGTAGGCTCAATGCTTACATAATGATGCAACACAAGTCCTTCCACAAGGGCTGCCCTTGGGCTTTTTGGACTACATAGTCTTTCCATTTAAAAGTAATTTCTACTCAGAAAAAAACCTAATTTGCTCCTTTGAGTTTCAGCTGGCTAGCTCTATGTCCATGGGAGTAATAGGCAAATTATGACCCAAAGCAATTTCCAAGGAATTTTATTTATTATCCAAAATAAGAAAGTAGAAGTGTATGATTAAGTTCCAAGACTTGTTTAAAAAGTGTCTACTGGAGCTGGGCGTGGTGGTACATGCCTGTAATCCCAGCCACTTGAGAGGCCGAAGCAGGAGGATCTCTTGAGCCCAGGAGTTTGAGACCGACCTAGGTAACATAGCAAGAACTGTTTCCAAAAATAAGTGTTTACTATGCCAGGGCACAGGATTCAGATCCTGAAGTCAGCAATGGCTCAAGATGAGGCTACTTCTGATATCATTATATCCACTCCTTATCTCCTACCAAAATATACTTCTTTCTATTCCTTTTTCACCACCTTCTGCCTTTATTTAACCTTTTCTTTTATCCTTGTTTCCATTCATTCATTCTCTATCCATTTATTCAGCCCACATTTATTGAGTGTCTACTGTAAGCCAGGTATTGTTCTGAGCCATGTAAGTACAAGAGTGAATAAGAAACAATCTGTGCTCTCATGGAGCTTACATTCTATTGGGGTAAGAAACATAATAACTAAGTGAACATAAAATAATAGTATGATGAATAGTAGAAAGGAAATATACAAGGTGGTAAAATAGAACAGGTTGAAGAAGAAACGAGAACTTCATTTAGACTCACTGGCCAGATTGGCCTAAGAGTATGAGATTTGGTCTAAGATCTAAGAAGAAAAGCATGACCACTAGCAAGCCTTTCAAAGTAAGAGAAAAGGCAAAGGGAATAGCAACTCGAAAGGGCCATGAGTTAGGAAAGGAACTGCCATGTTTGAGGAACTGAAAGGAGTCCAAGAGAGATTTTGGGGTGGGAGAGGGCAAGGAAGGTGTTAGGGAGAGGGTTTAAGAAACGACATTCAGGGCCGGGTGCAGTGGTGCACACCGGTAGTCTCAGCACTTTGGGAGGCCGAGGCGGACGGATCACCTGAGGTCAGGAGTTCGAGACCAGCCTGGCCAACATAGTAAAACCCCGTCTCTACTAAAAATACAAAAATCAGCTGGGTGTGGTGGTGCACATCTGTAATCCCAGCTACTCGGGAGGCTGAGGTAGGAGAATCGCTTGAACCCAGGAGGTGGAGGTTGCCGTGAGCTGAGATGGCGCCACTGCAGTCCATGCACTCCAGCCTGGGAGACAGAGCGAGACTCCATCTCAAAAAAAAAAAAGAAAGGAATGACACTCAGGAATTAGGGTGCCACTAGGTTTCACAGGAACTTTATCAATTATGGCAGAGAATGTGATTGCCTACCTTACTGCCACAAACTCTTCCTCCTTGCTAACAGAACTCCAGTTTTGTTTAGGTAGCAATGCATCCAGCTCCAGACAACAAATCATAATTTATGTAAGCCAGTTCTGGCCAATAAGATATAAGGATTTCACTAGAAGGTTTCGAGAAATATCTTTATTCTTCATATGAGAGCCACAAGTGAATAAAGCTGTTTTGCCTCCTTCTCTGTCTTCCTGCTTTAGCTTCTGCCATATTTTGATGTGATGTCCAGAGCTGTAGCAGCCATCCTGCAACCATGATGTAAGAAGCCTGAAGATGAAAGTAAACAGATTTAGGATGCTGGGGAGGAGGGATAGGGATTGAAAGAACCTGAATCTTCCTTTCCTTTTCCTTTCCTTCCCTTCCCTTCCCCTCCCCTCCCCTCCCCTCCTTTTCCTTTCCCTTCCTTTCCTTTCTTTCTTTTGCGACACAGTCTCGCTCTGTCACCCAGGTGGAGTACAATGCTGTGATCTCAGCTCACTGCAACCTCCACCTCCCGGGTAGCTGGGATTACAGGCATGCACCACCAGGTCTGCCTAATTTTTGTATTTTCAGTAGAGACGGGGTTTTGCCATGTTGGCCAGGCTAGTCTCGAACTCCTGGCCTCAAGTGATCCACCCGCCTTGGCCTCACAAAGTGCTGGGATTACAGGTGTAGGCTACCACGCCTGGCCTGAACCTGAATATTTAATGACATCTTCAAACTGCTAAGCCTATCCTGGGATCATTCTTTTTGTTACATACACAATAAATGTCCTTATAGTTTAGGTTTCTTTTAGCTGAGGTTTCAGTTATTTGCATTGAAAGCATATAATTGATATAGCAGGGGTGAGACATGATATGATTTATGTATTTTTTAAAAATCTCTCTGGCAACAGTATGAAGAGATTGTAAGGAGCAAGAATGGAACAGAAGCATGGAAGACTACTGCAGTAGTTCTGAGAAGCAATCATAGTGTTCTGGCCTAGGGAGTATGCAGTAAAGCAGGAAAGAACATAGATTCAAGATGTATTTGGGGGTAAAAACAGTAGGACTTGCTGTTGGTATGAGAGGTAAAGGAGAGGGAGGAACTAAGGCTGAACTCTAGGTTTTGGACTGGATGGTGATGCCATTGATTGACACGGAGAAGACCCAAAGAAGTTTGGGGAAGGCGGTGAGATCAAGGGTTTGGATGTGTTAAATTTAAGATGTGTATGAACCATTAAAATGAGATGACAAATCAGCGGGTAGACATGAGTCTGGAGCACAGGGGTAAGGTCAGGACTTGGATTTCAATTTGAGAATTATAGATACACAGATGTTATTTAAAGCCACAGGAATAAACAGGATTCTCCTCACTGGCCAAAATATGAGGAACTCTAAAGTTAGAGGTCAGCTAGAAGGGAAGAAGACTGAGGAGAAGTAGTGAAAGAGGTAGGAGAAAAACTAACAGCATTAGCGTTTATATAGGGCTTACTTTATGCCAGGCACTATTCAAAGCACTTTGTGGCTTCATGGAAGCAAAGAGAAAAATGTTTTTCTTTTCTTCCTCCCTTTCCAGTCTCTCCTGTGACTTTCACCCCTAAATTCAAAAGGTTTAGGTGCAAAAGTGATTCTCAGCTTTTATTTGTAATTAATTTTATAGTAATCTTGTACTGTTATAATCTTGTACTGTTATAATACTATAATTATAGTATACATTCATTGGAAAAATATTCAAACAGCACAGTACAGGGAAGCTAAATGTGGAAAGTAAAGATCCTCAGAAGCTTTCCTTCCTAGGCTCACCCACCAGAGGTAATCATTAACAGTTTCTTGCATATCCTCCAGGAATGTTCTGCGCAAACACACACACACACACACACACACACACACACACACACGGACGCAAACAAATACCATCCCTCTCTCTTCTCTCTCTGTATACGTACGCATATGTTTAATTCTGCAAGTTGCTTTGTTTAAAACTCAATACCTTTTGGAGGTATTTATATATCAGCATATTCAGATACAATTTACTTTTTTTAAAAAGGGTAATATGCCATTGTATTAATATTCCATACTTTAAGTTCCTCTATCGATGGACAATTAGAATGCTTTTTTTTTTCTTGCCACACACACACAAAAATTGCTGCCAGAAATCTTTGTAGTAAATCTTTGGATATTGGTGCAAAAATAATTGTTGCATACTTTCTTAGTGGTGAAATTGCTGAATCAATCCGCTCAAGCCTCTCATATTGTCAAATTACTCCTCCTAAAAGGTTATACTAATGACATTCTCACATCATTTCCTTACATCTTGGTACACATTTGGTATTAAGCGACTTCACAAGTTTGCCAGTCTAAACACATGGAAAAAAATGGCGTCATGTTGTTTTTATTTGGGTCTCTTTATGAGTAGGGCAGCAAGACCTGATTGTTAAACGTTCAAGTTTTGAAGTTAAACTCCCTGGGTCTGGATCCTACTTCTTCCTTGTAAAATGTGTGATCTCGGGCATGCTGGGTCTACTTCCTCGTCTCAAAAAAAGAGGATAAAGAGAGTACATATCTTTAGGCTTAAACAAGATACGCAGGCATACAGGAAGCCCTTCTTATGCGTTCGCTACTAGCGGTACTGATCCTAATTTTTTTGAAGCCGTGCCGGCTCCGGTACTTTATTTTTGGTGTGCTCCTCCAACCAACCAAGTTTCGCAGAATTCTGTTGTTGCCTGTAATTAGAAATGAGACGAAAATTGGCTCCGCTTGTTCAAAATTCTCCTCCCTCCGCCCCAACTCTGCCTTAGAATCACTGGTTTAAATGTCAATGTAAAGGAATGAGTTGCAATTTTTAAGCAACATGTAAAGTGCACACCTGGTCTGAGTACCTCCCGGCGGCCAGGACCCGCCGTTTTCGGTATAGGGAACACCAGATAACAATATATAACGCTACCTAACAAACGTTTCTCCACCCACAGCGCCATTAGCGGTTAGGTTTGCAGTGCCGAAGAGCTGCAAGAAAACGGGGCTTGAAACAGGAATACAATTGCAGATCCACCCACTACACGCAAAGGGCCCGGGACGCGCCTCCACAGCCCCGCCCCAACCGGAAGTGACGCACCGCGCCGACTATTTCTTCCGCCGTCCGCCGGTGGCGAGGCCCAGGCTGTCGCCGGGTGTGCAGCGGCGTCGCGGCCAGTAGAGGGATTCTGGGTAACGGCCCGGACCCCCGGCTGGGCTTCTGGCTCGGCGCAGCAGGTTCCATTCACGCCAAGTCTGTTGGCAGTGGCAGTTGTAGGGCCAAGGGCGGTTGTAGGACCCGGAGCAGCCGGACATGGAACAACCGTGGCCGCCTCCGGGACCCTGGAGCCTCCCTCGGGCCGAGGGTGAGGCTGAGGAAGAGAGTGACTTCGACGTGTTCCCCAGTTCTCCCCGCTGCCCGCAGCTGCCAGGCGGCGGCGCCCAGGTGAGAAGGGGCCTGCGTTCTGCGGAGGGATGGAGTGGTGCTGTCGCCAAACCCCTGGAATGCCGCGTCTCCCAGACCCTCTTCTACGCCTTTTTCTACGCCCACCTCACTGCCAGGGGCCGGGGACCTGGGACCTGACGCCTGATGCCATCCCACCCCTTTTATGGCATCTTCGGAGGGCAGACGGGGTGGCCATATATTACCAACCTCCACCTCCACGCACATGTTTTCTTTCGCCTTGGCTGATTCCTGTTCACTCTTGGAATACCTTCCTCCATCTCCCCTTCCTGACAGCACTCAGATTTGGGGCGGCTCATGCTGTAACATTGACCCTTTGTCCTCTTGTGAGAGGTTTTCCCCAAGCACTTTATTCTGTTAAAGGCTCTAGCATACTTGTGCACAGTTGCTAGGAACAGTGAATGATTGTAGTTCAGCATCACACTGAGTCCTGACAAAGATTTCACATGCGATTTTCACCGATGTTGACAACTGAGTAAATTCTTTAAATCTCGCTTTTGACGCTGGCGTACACCTCTCCCATTCGCGTGACCATCTTTGCCTTACTGTTTTGTTTTTTAGTTTTGCTTCACGTCATTCTCCAGTGAAAATATATACGCATATACTTGTGTTTTCCTTCAGACTTCTCTTAGGTTCCTGGTATTGTGTTTTCAATCCAGCATTCCTGCCTTCCTGCGACTGAAACGTATCCAAATGTGATATACTATTAAGGATTTTTCAGGGACCTATCTTAGGGGATACTTACATACTCGCATCACCTTGTCCTGTTTTTTTCTCCGAATCCGTGTGTGTTTTGGAAGTATATTTCAGAATCACAGACTAAACACTAATATATTCAATGGATCATAAGTGTCTGCCGCCTTCTTGCAAAATGGGGTTCCCAAGAGTGTAACAGATTTAATAGTAGTTTTCCTCTCAACTTATTTTGCTAGATGTTAATGAGAATGAGTTAAATTGCTTACCAGTAAGCGTGACATTATCAATCTTATGTCCAGCTAACAGGGTTAGTTGGCTTCACACAGAGAAAAATGCTGTTTCATAACCACTGTCTGTACTTTGGCCAGCTAAGTCACTGGGGAACTACAAGACATTTTTTAGGAGGACAGAATGAGAGTTGATGGGTCCATCATTAGTCACCCACTAATTTTGGATCACTAGTGTCATCTTTATATACAAAATGTATTATAAGCACATGATGTGCTAGGGAGGAAAGAAGAATGAACAGCAGATGCCATTGTCAATTTTGAAGGCATATGAAGAGAAAAAAGGGTGTCAAGAATTTCAGTGCATTGTGGTTGAATTACAGAAGTAATCTAGAGAAATATCTGTATGTTAATTTCTTACTTGTGCACTTCTAAATTTGTTTAGCTGGAAGAGATTTTAGAAGTGAGTAAGCTTATCTCTCTCATTAAAAGTGTTTTCCCTGAGGCCATGTAACTAGTTAGTGGCCAGGTTAAAACTAGAACCCACTTATGACTCCTAGTCCAGTATATTTTCCCACCTACTGCACTGCCCACCAGAGTTCGAGACCAGCCTGACCAACATGGAGAAACCCTGTCTCTACCAAAAATACAAAATCAGCCTGGTGTGGTGGCGCATGCCTGTGATCCCAGCTACTCGGGAGGCTGAGGCAGGAGAATTGTTGGAGGCAAAGGTTACAGTGAGCCGAGATCACACCATTGCATTCCAGCCTGGGCAACAAGAGCGAAACTCTTGTCTCAAAAAAAAAAATTTTTTTTGCAAACTGATTATTAATTCTGAGTTCATGTGTTTATTACAAACCTACTTATTGGTCTTACTGGCTTTAAGACTTAAATTTTTGGATTGGAATATTTGGAAAAAATAAAATGTTTAATTGATTAACATTTTATAATCCTAAAAAAAGCTTTGGCTTAATTTTATCAAATAAGGGGGATCTAGACTTCTTAATGTAGTATGTGATATGTAGTTCTTAGATCCAATTAATGTAAAGGCAGATCATGTTTAATGTCCCTCTAAAACTTCTGTATGGTCATGGATTAGAATGTGACCTAATATTTTATTTAATATCTGAATACATGTTGGATAGTTTGCCCAAATGGCCAAATGTTGTCTGGGTAGTTTGTGGAGAAATAAGACATACATTATTTTTAGAATTTTTCGATTTGAGAAAAGAATATTTGCTCCCAAATAATTTGAAAATGCAAGATAATTTCTATTTATCCATATTACCATATTACTTTTCTTGATATATTATCCTTTCTCTTTTTTTTTTTTTTTTTTTGAGGCAGTGTCTTGCTGTGTTGCCCAGGCTGGAGTGCAATGGCACGATATTGGCTCACCACAGCCTCCGCCTCCCAGGCTCATGTGATTCTCCTGCCTCAGCCTCCTGAGTAGCTGGGATTACAGGTGCCCACCACTGTGCCCAGCTAATTTTTTTTTTTTTTTGAGATGGAGTCTCGCTGTGTCACCCAGGCTGGAGTGCAGTGGTGCAATCTCGGCTCACTGCAACCTCTGCCATTCTGGGTTCATGCCATTCTCCTGCCTTAGCCTCCCAAGTAGCTGGGACTACAGGCACCCGCCACCATGCCCGGCTAATTTTTTGTATTTTTAGTAGAGATGAGGTTTCACCACGTTAGCCAGGATGGTCTCGAGCTCCTCCTCGTGATCCGCCCGCCTCGGCCTCCTGAAGTGCTGGGATTACAGGTGTAAGCCACCACTCCCGGCCATGCCCAGCTAAGTTTTAAAATATTTTTAGTAGAAACGGGGTTTCGCCATGTTGGCCAAGCTGGTTTCGAACTCCTGACCTCAGGTAATCCGCCCGCCTCAGCCTCCCAAAGTGCTGGGATTACAGGCGTGAGCCACTGAGCCCAGCCAAAAGAAGTTTTATATACAAAAGTTCTTACATCTTTTCTTACAAAATAAGTTATATAGCTTAATTTTTCTCCTTTTCCTGGCTCTGTTTTAAGCATAGCTAGTCTACAGTTATTCTTGATCCTATTCTAAGATAACTATTCTTGATCCTATTCTAAGATAACAAAAAGTAAAAATAAATATTTTATTTTAAAATATTATATTTTATATTAAAATATTTTATATTAAAATATAATATATATATTAAATATATATTATATTTATATATAAAATATATTTTAAAATATATTTTAAAATATACTTTATATATTTTATATATATATTTTATTTTTATATATAAAATATATTTTATATATATTTTATAATATATGAATATATATTATAAAATATACTTAGGGACATGGTTTATAGTACCTTGGCTCCAAACCTGCTGAATGAGTAAATAAAACATCTGAATAGCAAGTGTCCACATTTGTCCCAGTACAAACGTGAGTTTGCCTGAAGACTCAGCTAAGAGGTAGGGTCCTTGGTTACTACTTGCCTCAGAATTGTTTACCACCACCAGTCAGTAAACAAATAAGCATGATATTGTATGACAAACACCACAACAGAAATATGCATAACTTGGGTCGGGAGACACTGGGTCAGAAAAAGTTTAGGGCATGCCAGAATCTGGATGAAGATAGGAGTTTCTGTAGGAGTTACCTCGAAGAAAGAGGATTGCCAAATTGAAGTGAGGGACAAGGGTGGGAAAGGGAAGAATAAGCAAACAAGTAGAAGAGCAATGGGAACTGAGTCTAAAGAGGTAATGGGAAATAACATCACGAAGGGCTTTGCCACAGAGTATGTACTTTATCCCAAAGCTAAGAATGAAAAAAAAGATCAGATTCATTTTTTGGAAAGATCACTCCAGTCTAGTGGAGTGGAGAACGGCTTGGGATAAGAGTCTGCATTTGTATAATTCACATGTGAAATTATAAGGGCTTGAATAGTGATGCAGATATGGGAACAGATTGGAGAGAAATTATTCTGAAGTTGATGTACATTTGACGAAGAACTCATAAAGAATGTGCCTTCAGCTTTTGTTTTATAGAGCCAAGGAATATAGGGTATTGAATGTCTATCACAGTACTTTACATGTAGTAATTAAGTAAATAAAAGTAATTACTACTGCTTCGGAGTAGTACGGTCAGCAGGGTAGACCATTGTCACTTTTAAGAAATGTAACTTTGTGGCCAGGCGCAGTGGCTCATGCCTGTAATCCCAGCACTTTGGGAGGCCAAGGTGTGTAGATCACGAGGTCAAGAGATCAAGACCATCTTGGCCAACATGGTGAAACCCTGTCTCTACTAAAAATACAAAAATTAGCTGGGCATGGTGGCACATGCCTGTAGTCCCAGGTACTTGGGAGGCTGAGGCAGGAAAATCACGTAAACCCCAGAGGCAGAGGTTGCAGTGAACTGAGATCGCACCTTTGCACTCTAGCCTGGTGACAGAGCAAGACTCCATCACAAAATATATATATATATAATTTGCCTATTTTGATTAGGAATAAATTAAAGGATATCTGTCTGATATAATCAGTTATAAATGGAAATATCCAATAAGAACTTCTCAAATCACCAAGGATTGGAAAAATACAGATAGAAAATAGAAACCAAGAAACGATTACTTCTAGATAAAAGGAGGTTTTTTTGTAGTGAAGAATTTGGAGAACAAAATTATAAAGGCCTGGTTGTCAGCATGTTGAGTATTGAGGTGATGAACTAGATTTAAGCTTTGTTCTCATTATTCTGCTTGTTCAGGATTATGAAGACTATTAATTAAACGTTTGTTAAGCACTAGCTTTATGCAAGACACTGTGATAGTTGCCAGGCTTTTTGTTGCTGTTAGTTGTCAGGGGATAGGCCTAAATTAACAAAGAAGTTTAGAAGTTAGTTGATGAAACAAGGACTAAGATATAAAAACATGACTGCAGACCTAGAACACAGGATATACTATATACCAAAATATTGTACAGAAATCCTTTGAATTAAGAAAAATTGAACTGTGCTGCACAAACATCCATTGCTTTCTTCATTTCTTACAAATATTGTTTTTATCCAGATGTATAGCCATGGAATTGAATTGGCTTGCCAAAAGCAGAAAGAGTTTGTGAAGAGCTCTGTGGCGTGCAAATGGAATCTTGCTGAAGCTCAACAGAAACTTGGTAGCTTAGCACTGCATAATTCTGAGTCCTTGGATCAGGAGCATGCCAAAGCACAAACAGCAGTATCAGAACTGAGGCAACGGGAAGAAGAGTGGCGACAGAAAGAAGAAGCTCTAGTACAAAGAGAGAAGATGTGTCTGTGGAGCACGGATGCCATTAGCAAGGATGTTTTTAATAAGGTATGAGCTTTTACTGGGCCATAATGAAAGAAGAAAAACTGAAGTGTTTGTACAAACCAGTTGTGCGTATTTGGTAGCAAAGCAGCAGAATCCCATAAACAGTGTTCAATTTTGACAGTTTATGAAAGGTGCTTGAAAAGTTTATGAAAGTCAAAAAGTCTCAAAGCTCTTGCTGTAGAGCTGCAGACTCCAGGCAGTTAAGTGACCAGACTGAAATACATATTTATATAAATGTACTGCTGAACAAATATTACATATATTAAAAAACATTCACAAGAATTTGATATAAGGATGGGAAAATATATCAGTTATGAAATATTTTCCTCCACATATATTTTGTACCCCCTACACTGATTATCACTACTTTAGAGTTCCTTTAATGCAACTACCTTCTTTTTATAAATGAAGAAACTAAGTGGAAAAATAAGTAGAGTGACTTGATAACTTAGTGGTGGGTTAAATGTGAGAAATTCCTGACTCTGGGATTGAGAGATAAGATAAAGAGAAGTGTTGAATATCCTTTATTAAGTGCCTTTAAGAATGAAGGCTTAGACTTTTAAAATCTCATGTTTTTCAAACTTCAGGGTTTTATACCTCAGTTTTCCATTTGAAAACTAGAGTTTTTAGCGATTGATTTTCAAATGCATGAAAAGGGGAGAAAAGGCAAAACTTCATGAACTAGTATTTTAAATGTGGAATAAAATGATATTTATTGAAAAATAGGCCAGGCTTAGTTGTCCACACCTGTAATCCCAGCGCTTTGGGAGGCCAAGGCAGGCAGATCACTTAAGTCCAGGAGTTCAAAACCAGTTTGGTTGACATGATGAAACCCTGTCTCTATAAAAAATACGAAAATTAGCTGAGTATGATGGCATGTGCCTGTATTGCCTTAGTCCCAGCTACTTCGGAGGCTGAGGCTTGAGGATTACTTGAACCCAGGAGGTAGAGGTTGCAGTGAACCGAGATCGTGCCACTACACTCCAGCCTGGGCAACAGTGAAACACATCTCAAACTTCTTAATTGTCCTCTTGGCATCTGCTTTCACCCACTCTCATGAACTTTTTTAATTGCCTTTCCCTGGACCAGCTCTAGTTCTGCTACAGCAGTCAGTAACACACACAGATAAGTGTACATCGCCACTAGCCCTATCAGTACTTTAACAGTGAGTCATATCTTTCTCGACTTTCTCTGTGCCTGTACTAATTTATATATACTTTTTCTCCCCCTCCACAATGGGATCATTCTTTATCTGAGTCATTTGCTATATCTGTATATATTGTTTTAAGGGGTGCATCTTGTGTTATTTTCTGTTCTGCATTTATATCCCAAAACTATTGAAAATAATTTTTTTTCTTCCAGAAGGAATGTTCAAAGTAATATTTCTTGTTTTGTAAAGTTAATGTCTCTTCTTTAACACAGTGGTCACAAAGAAAATATTTTCATTTTGTCTCTGCTTTTAATTATTTCTTTAAACTTAGGTTCTAAGGTTCTAAGACAGCCTACATTTATCTCACAAATTAATTAGGACTATCTTTATGTTCCAGTCATTTGCTCAAAATCCTACACTGGTTTTGTCTGGGAGCTTGAGACTTGAGAGGACTGGTCTAGATCTGCACTATCCAACTTGATAGCCACTAGCCACATGTGCTATTGAGTGCTTGAAATGTGGCTAGTCCGAATTGAGATGTGCTGTAAGTGTAAAATACACACCAGATTCCAATGATGTAGTGCCAAAAAAAGTAAAATATTAATAATTGTTTTGTATTGCTTACATGTTGAAATGATAATAGGCTGGATATGTTAAGATAAATAAAATAATTTATTAATGTCATCTGTTTCTTTTTGCTTTTTAACGTGGCTAATAGAAAACTTTAAATTACATTTGTGACTTGGATTGTATTTCTATTGGACAGTGCTGGTCTAGATGTCAGACTGCATGAAGAAAAAATCTTTTATTTTGAAATATGTAAACTTTTGAGTGCTTCCTGATTATAAACTGGCAGTGATCTAGTTTGCAATTTTTATTTTTGGCAGTGATGATAACGGGGTATAAATATGATCACAGAATGTTCTAAGAAACTTCTGCCAGTTTTTCTAGCTAGATACAAACTTTATTCTTGGTATATTTTATGACTTATTTAACTGAAAATAAGTACTTCCTTAATAGAAATTTGTACTTGACTTTAAAAATCAAACTGTTTGGTCTCTTCTAAGAAGTTTATTAGAAATGCAACAAAGGGCCAGGCACAGTGGCTCATGCCTATAATCCCAGCACGTTGGAAGGCCAAGGTGAAGGGATTGCTTGAACCCACGAGTTCAAGACCAGCCTGGGCAACATAGCAAGACCACGTCTCTACAAAAAATTTAAAAATTAGCTGGGTATGGTGGCTCACACCTGTAGTCCCAGCTACTCTGGAGGCTAAGGTGGGAGGATCACTTGACCCCAAGAGGTTGAGGCTGCAGTGAGCTATGATTGTGCCACTGTACTCCAGCCTGGGTGACAGAGCAAGACCCCATCTCAAAAAAAAAAAAAAAAAAAAAAAGACACGCAACAACAACAGTCTATTTCTTGTTTATGTCTTAATAAAGAATTTACGGTAAATATCATTTATTCTCTATGTGCTTTGAATTTCTGAGTTTATTTCCAGCAAGAACTCGAAAGATTAGGCAAGAGTTGCAAATATTTATAGGAATTAAATAATGCACAAGTAAACTATGCATATAAAATATAAAGGATGTTTCTATACCTGCTTTTAATTGGGAAATTCAGCTTACCAAAAAGGTTAATTCAGTTGTTTTTCTGTATGATTTCTAAGATGAACCTATATCCACACATATATCGTATGTATTTTTTTGTGAGATGGAGTCTTGTTCTGTCGCCTGGGCTGGAGTGCAGTGGCATGATCTCAGCTCACTACAACCTCTGCCTCCTGGGTTCACGCAAGATTCTCCTGCCTCAGCCTCCCGAGTAGCCGGGATTACAGGCATCCACCACCATGCCCAGCTATTTTTTGTATTTTTAGTAGAGACGGGGTTTCACTATGTTGGCCAGGCTGGTCTTGAACTCCTGACCTCGTGATCCACCCGCCTCGGCCTCCCAAAGTGCTGGGATTACAGGCGTGAGCCACCACACCCGGCCTCATACATCATTTTAAACAAAATTAATAAGACTCCCATACAAGAAAATTTTAATTTTTAAAAATAGTTTACCAGATGAATTTAATCATGTAATATCAGTATGATACTATACCACATATATTGTCTATAGGAAGAATTGCTAGATATTCAGTATCTGAGAAAGAAGATTCAATTAGAATTTAAAATCTGATTTAAATTTCTAAAATTTTTTCTTAGAGTTTTATTAATCAAGATAAAAGAAAAGACACAGAAGATGAAGATAAATCAGAATCATTTATGCAAAAATATGAGCAAAAAATCAGACATTTTGGTAAGTCTACTACTTGGATTTCCTTCTTTGTAATGTTTGGTATCATATGTACATGTGCAAAAAATGGATTTATAAAAAGAGAGCCAAAAAGAAAAGTGGCAAACTCCAATTTTGTAGCTTCTGGCACAGCTGTATAGATCTTGTTTTAGAATTTTTTTTTTTTTTGGTTATAAATAAAATTAATTGACAGAGCAAACCAAATGGTAAAGAGAAGCAAAAGTATTATTATATAGTGTACTACCTTTAAGACAACTTTATGTATTCCATAGCCTCTTTCCATTTCCTAAGTAGTCTTTGCTTTTTTCTTTTTCCTCTTTGCTTCCTTGGAATCTGATTATCTTATGTTTTAAAGATTATTCATTTTTTTTCAGGTTTTGGATATGATGCTTTATAATTCAGGCAGATCCTTGAACTGTTACTCAGATAAATATAGTAATAGAAATGTATATATAAAGAACTGAAAAATAGGTTTTTTCTATTGGGGAAAAAGGGTAAGAGGGGGGTTGATACAAGTGAAGGCTTCCCAGAGGAGCCAGCATCTGAGCTTGATTTCAAGGAACAGATAGGAGTTTTTCATGTATAAGGGAGGCAAGCCAACAGCAACAGCATGAGACGGGCAGTTAGGAAACAGCATGGTGTGTTCTGAGAATTATAGGCAGCATGATACCGCTGGCATGAAAATGCTGCTGGGAAGTGTTAGGAGTTAAGGTTTAAAACTTTTTTTTTTTTTAATTCCAAGTAGTATGTTAATTTAGTAAACATGGTTTTTATTTGTAATATGTTCATGAACTTTTTACATGGCATTTTGAAATCTTTTTCCTGTTGGTGTTTATTTACCCAACGTTTTTTGAATTTCGTTTATGCTTCAGTTATGTCAATATAATAAATATTACTTTAAATTTTTTCCCTTCCTTTTATGTAATTTATTCGTAAAATATTCACTTTGCTCATACTTTTCATTTTAAAGAAAGAAAAAAGACTGTGTTTAACTAAAAAATAGTACCCAAGGAAATAAAGACAAAGTTTTTCTACATATAATCAATGTGGTATTATTTATAATGGAAAAAAAATGAATACACAGGCCTCCCTTGGACAGATAGTAAAATCTTAAAATGAGCAGAGCCTTGAGTCATAAGGATAGAAAGCAAAAAATTTGCACATGAATCTTAGTTGTGATATGTGAATTGCCACTCCCGCCTACAGTCCTTGCTTTCTAGGCCCATGTTTTGCTGCTGAAGGAAAAATAGTACCATATACTGATTGCTCTTTCAGAGCATGTACTGCATCTGGTGAAACAACATTCCTCAAGGTGTTTTCACCCAGCTGGCACTCTGAAAGTTGGTTGCTTTGAAGCCATGAGAAACCTAGTAAATGAGAAGCAGTTCTTTCACTTTTGCTGTAAGCTGAGTGCCTTGTTCAGAAGCAATTTTGTGTAGGAAAATATCCAAATATCACAAAGTGTTGTAACCCATCTGGCACTATGTATCTTCAGCATTTTATAAAACCTGCTTCTGGGTAGTGATGTTCGTGATGAGAACAGTGAATTTCATGAACCCTACAGTCTTCATTTCTTTTGCTGTAAAATGAGTTTCTGGGTCAAAAAATAGTGTGGTATGGTGAATAATTCATTTAGTAAGACTACAGATGTATTACTGATTAGAAGCATGGCAAGGAGGGAGGGCACTTCCACATCTAGAGTGGGCTCGTTCAAGTGAGGAATTACCAGTCCCTCTGAGATGAAGTGGGACCAGGGTAGTCAACCTGCTACTTGATGGCTGGCTGATCTCTGCAGTGCATTGTGCCGTATTGAGATTTTGGTGTTTTTCGCTACTAGTAAATTAGGTGTTCAGTGGCTAAACTGGATTAGGATACTAGAACATCCTTGAGGGGAGAGTCTACACTGTCGAATCTATGCATAATCACAAACCTATGCCACCACGACCCCTGAATTTATGAAACTATTGTGCAAATAATGAGATAGTTGAGGAAAAAAACTGACTTAACATCCACAGGTGATTAATAAGCAATCATTTTGCTGTTACGTGTTGTGAACTTCCAATATACTATCTTGTAATAAATATCAGAGCCTTGCTGTTTTCACACCCAGCCAGACCAATAGCCATTCCCAGAGTCACAATGTGCCTGTTTCTTACTGAAAATGCATGTTGTCTTTAACTTCAAAGGAGATATATTACTTGCCACAGCACACTGGATCCCCAGGAATGTTACAAAGGTAGTAGGCTCTCAAAATGTTCATGTGTTTTATTTCCCACTCTGGAATAGATATATCTTAACAAGAGACCTGGAATACCTGCAATTTCTGCTTTACCAAGTTCCATCAGTGGAGAGTGGACCAACTTGTAGTCATGGGGAATGATGAGATAATAATCCCTGTGGACTGAATTATGGCACAGAGTTGATAGAGGTGTGACACAAGACAGTGAAAATTTGTGGCTATGCCTGCTTGATGGAAGATTTCTGTTGTATGCTTATTGTGATGAAAGAAGAAAGCTTACCAAAATGATGACTATATTGGTATACTCCTTTATTTTGTTTTTTTGTTGTTGTTTAACTTTTGTTTTAAATTCAGGGGTACATGTGCAGGATGTGCAGGTTTGTTACATAGGTAAGCGTGTGTCTTGGGGATTTGTTGTACAGATTATTACATCACCCAGGTATTAAGCCTAGTATTCATTAGTTATTTTTCCTGATCCTCCCACCCTCCGCCCTTCGGTAAACTCCAGTGTGTGTTGTTCCCCTTTATGTGTGCATGTATTCTCATCATTTAGCTCCCGCTTATAGGTGAGAATATGCGGTATTTGGTTTTCTGTTCCTTTGTTAGTTTGCTTAGGATAATGGCTTCTGGTATACTCTTCTAAACACATCTGCAATAGGAGATGTAATTAAAGCTTCCAGTTGGAGGCTTTCTGGACTTGGATTGCATTCTGGACTCTTGGTTGACACGGGCCTGGTGTGTGTGGGGGCTGTATAGGGCTATAGGGGCTTTACACCCATGTTTCTCTGTGGTCTTATTTGTACTTATATTCTTCAGAGTTTTTCCTAACTTTTCCCTTATACAATTTGTTGACTGCCTTTCTTGTGCTGCTTTTACCCTTACAATTAGGTGGAATTTACCACCTAGTGGTAAATGGTACAATATATCATGGACTATTATAAAGCATTGAAATCTGACTTTTTCCTCTACATTTGTATTTAGTTTATTAATTTAGTTAATTCACGTTTTATAAATATAAAATATTAATTTAAAAACAAAGGCTTTTATCTCTTAAATTTCACAACCGTTATATTCACAGTTATATGCATGTTTGACATCACTGGCTTTATGGTCATCAGAGCTGCTTTTTGAGTCATCTAATTTTCAGAGCACATCATCTTCACTTTCAGCCAAAGTTAGCTGTGATTCAGCTTTTTTTAATCTGTGTAGGATGTTGTCACTGGAAATTTTACCAAGAGCTATAAAAGTTTGCTCAAATACTATGATAGAAGTTTTTTCGTTTGTTCTGACTATGAATATTTACAACCTCTTCAATGTAATTGTTCATTGCTTTTAAAAAACATATCAATATCTTATTTTTGAAAAACATTTAATATAAAGCACTCTTACATATGAAGTGAAATGAATAGAAAATGTATATGATTTTAATGTTTTTTTTTTTTTTGAGACGAAATCTCGCTCTTGTCCCCCAGGCTGGAGTACAGTGGTGTGATCTCAGCTCACTGCAACCTCCGCCTCCCGGGTTCAAGCGTTCCTGCTGCCTCAGCCTCCCGAGTAGCTGGGATTACAGGCGCCTGCTACCACGCCTGGCTAATTTTTGTATTTTTAGTAGAGATGGGGTTTCACCATGTTGGCCAGGCTGGCCTTGAACTCCTGACCTCAAATGATCCGCCCGCCTCGGCCTCTCAAAGTGCTGGGATTACAGGCGTGAGCCACCACTCTGAGCCTTAATTTTGGTTTTTTAAAAAGTCATTCAAAAATATGCCTGGAAGGAAATACATCAAAATGTTAACAGTAATCTCTTGTGGTAGAATTACAGCTAACTTTTATTTTCCGGATTTTAAAAATTCTTCATAATAAATAAACTTTATTTTTATAATCTGAAAAAAATTTTTCAAAGCGTTTATCCTAAGAATCAAAATGGCTTAACATTAGAAAACTCATTAATGTGATTCACTGTATTAACTGATCATAGTAGTATAACCACAGGACTTGGTGGTCAATTTGATGTGGGAGAAATGGAAATGTCAGAGGAATTTCTAGAATGCTTGATTTGGTAACATGGAGCCTAGGAAACATTGTAGGATGGCAGAGAGACAAGTATGGGTTTGGTTTCAAGTAAGATGGGTTTACGTGCAGGCATATCAGTAGAAATGCATATGGTGGTAGACGATTGGAAATAGAGGAGATCTGGAGTTTAGGAATATGGGAAATGATCATACAACTTTCCTCAAGTAATTCACAAACTACCTGGGAGATTTTTAGTACACAGAGAAATTAAAATGAATTAGTGTAGTTTGTTAAAATATATCATTCTAAGCCTGGCATAGTGGTTCTGCCTGTAATCCCAGCACTTTGAGAAACTGAGGCTGGAGGATCACTTGAGCCCAGGGATTCAAGACCAGCCTGGGCAACACAGTGAAACCTCATCTCTACAAAAAAAAAAAAAAATTCGTCAGGTGTGGAGGCTTATACCTGTAGTCCCAGCTACTGCAGAGGCTGAGGTGGGAGGATCTCTTGAGCCCAGGAGGTTGAGGCTGCAATGAGTTGTGATTGCACCAGTGTACTCTAGCCTAGACAACAGAGGAATAACCTGTCTCTCAAGATAAAGAAATAAATTAATTAATAATAATAATAATTCTATAAGTGTAATGAAAGAGGAAAGGGAAATCAGTAATAAGGAAGGACGTGTATTTCAGGACCATTTTAGGAATCAGGTGGCATATTGAAGGTTGATGATGGATTGAGATTTAGACGTTCACTAGGGAAATATATAGGTTAAAGCATATGATTAAAATATCTAAACTTGTCAAAGTGAGGTTTTCCAAGCATTCAGAGAAATTGTTTGGCTAGTTTAAATGACTGTATTATCCTTAACCAAAGGATTAGCTAAATAAACATTTTGAATGGGTGCTTATCATTTATCGAGTATTTACTATGTCTCAGGCACTGTTCTAAGTGCTTTATATGAATTAATAGCATTTAATTGTCATGAAAATCCTGAGTTAGGTACTATTTTTAGCCCTATTTTACAGAGGAGGAAATGGAGGCATATAAAGGGAACTGCAGTAGTAAAATGGTGAAGCCAGTATTTGAACCTGGGCCATTTAGCTCTAGTCTGTCTTCTCAGCCGCTGTCTTAAATTGTTACTCTCCATTTGTATACAAGTTTGTTTACAAATTCCAAAATAATATCAGTAATTTGAGGTATATGCTGTTCCACTGAGTTGTTGATTCTCCTTATGTGTTTTATTTTTGAAACAGAGTCATTTTCTGTCACCCAGGCTGGATTACAGTCACAAGATCATAGCAACTGCAGCCTCAATTTCCTAAGCTCAAGCAATCCTCTTGCCCCAGCCTTCCAAGTAGCTGGGACTACAAGTGTACTCCGCCATGCCTGGCTAATTATCTCATTTTGTGTGGAGACACGGTCTCATTTTGTTGCCTAGACTGACCTAAAACTCCTGTGCTCAGGTGATTCTCCTGCCTTGGCCTCCCAAAATGCTGGGATTACAGGTGTGAGCTACTGCGCCCCACCTGTCTTTATTTTGTTCATAAAATTCCACACTCTTTCCACAAAGGTCTGTATCGACTACCTGTAACTGAACTTCTCAATTTCATACTAATTCAATGTGCATTTTTGAAATCAAGTGATAGTATTTCTCAGATTTAAAAAAAAAATGTATTTTCAATGTCAAGTGTTAATTCGTCTCAGGTATTAAATAGGTAGTTAAAAAATATTAACATTTGGCAGGGAGTGGTGGCTCACACCTGCAATCCCAGCACTTTGGGAGGCCGAGGCAGGTGGATCATGAGGTTAGGAGTTCGAGACCAGCCTGATCAACATGGTGAAACCTTGTCTCTACTAAAAATACAAAAATTAACTGGGCGTGGTGACACACGCCTGTAATCCCAGCTTCCAGGAGGCTGAGGCAGGAGAATTACTTGAACCCAGGAGGTGGAGGTTGCAGTGAGCTGAGATCGTGTTGCTGTACTCCAGCCTGGGCAACAGAGTGAGACTCCATCTCAACAAAAAGAAAAAAAAAATTAACATTTAATGATACCCTTCCCCATGGCCCCAAGTGTCAGGAACCCTTTCATGTTATCCTTCCTGCAAAATAAACCAGAATGGATAAGGCTTTTGGTATTTCAGTAAGTCACAATGCTGCCATGAAGAAGTAAACAAGAGGAGCAATGCTTTATCGTGGATGGTAGATAGAGTTGAAAATATTACCTCTCCAGAAGTGTAAGAAAGCTAAGGCAAAACTGCTTCATAGGATTTACTTTGTGGGTTCAAGTATAAGAAATAAGGATTGTGCTTTCTTTAAATCTGAGTCCCAGGAATCATTAGGCTTTTTTAAGAGATATGGTCTTGCTCTGTCACCCAGGCTGAAGTGCAGTGGTGAGGTCATAGCTCACTGCAGCCTCCACCATCTGGGCTCAAGGTGTGCTCTCACCTCAGCCTCCCAAATAGTGGGGATTACACCACGCCTAGCAATATTCTTATACTTTAAGAAGTAGTTTTAAGTAACTTCCATAATCATTCTGTTTCTCAGAACTTCAAATGACCTAATCATTATGTCCAAAGCGTTGGGGAAATAACTTTATAAAGCTTAGAATACTCTATGAGAAAATGCTACAGTCTTTATCCTTTTTTTTAATCCTTTTAAGAGATGAGGTCTCGCTGTATTGCCCAAGCTGGAGCACAGTGGTTCCATCATACCTTCTGCAGCCTCTAGCTCCTAGGCTCCCAAGTGATCCTGCCCCCTCAGACTCCCAAGTAGCTGGGACTACAGGTGCACACTACCATGCCCAGCTAATTTTTAAGCTTTTTCTGTAGAGACAGGGTCTTACTATGTTGCTGAGGTTGGCCTGCAACTCCTGGACTCCACCATTCCTCTGGCCTCAGCCTCCAAAAGTGCTGAGATTACAAGCATGTGCCACCATGCCCAGCTTATCTCCTTTGAGACAGAGTCTCTCGCTCTGTCGCCCAGGCTGGAGTGCTGTGGTGCAATCTCGGCTCGCTGCAACCTCCGCCTCCTGGGTTCAAGTGATTCTTGTGCCTCAGCCTTCCAAGTAGCTGGGATTTACCTGCCACCATGCCCAACTAATTTTTATATTTTTAGTAGAGACAGGGTTTTACCATGTTGGCCAGGCTGGTCTCGAACTCCTGACCTCAGGTGATCCGCCTGCCTTGGCCTCCCAAAGTGCTGGGATTGCAGGCATGAGCCACCGTGGCTGGCCCCACCCCCTTTTTTTAAGTGAGGAGAAAATGAATCATTTATTTTTGATTGACTCACATTGTTGCTGTGTATTCTCAGTAGGACATTTGTCTTCAGTTTTGTTCTTTCTTGTGTACTGATGTGGAATTAAATATATAGGAGTTCATTTTGCACCTACAGGAAAAGTTTACTGCTAAACTCTTGAGTCAGCTCTACAAAATTTCCATGAATATCCAGACTTCTTTGCATGAGTCTAAGGAATCTAAACCTAACATTGCTATATTGAATTTATTCAGTTAGCCAGGCACAGTGGCTCATGCCCATAATCCCAGCACTTTGGGAGGCCTAGCCAGGAGAATATCTTGAGGCCAGGAGTTCAAGACCAGCCTGAGCAACATAATAAGCCTCTCATCTTTATGGAGAAAAAAAAGAAGAGAAAAAAAGAAAAGAAAAAAATCTATTCAGTTATGACTGACTGGACAACATTAAAAAGTCAACACTTTGCTGGTTCCGTGATTTCTTGGTGGTATTGACTTTGACCAAATTTCCTGCTAATTTAGATAAAGGTGTAGATATAACTTAAATAGTATTTGGATTTCTTTGACACCTTGAAACAAAATGACAACCATTTTCAAATATGCTTAACTAATTTTTAAAAGACTTTGTTTATAACAGACATCATGAGTAAATGGCTTACATAACTAACTCTCAATTTGCCCAAGACTGCGGGCATTCATGGATGTAGGACTTTTTAATATTGAACTGGCCACTCTGGCCTGATTAATTATCTGAAATAAAACTTCCTGTGAATTTTAGGAGCTATTTCCAGTCTACTGAGTATTGCTTTAAAGAGTACTGTCCCTCACTTGCTCTTTTACCATAATCTGTTGCTCTGGTAATATGAATTGTCTTTAAAGAGAATCATTTAAAAATACCATTGAGAGATTAATGAATTAAGAATGGTTGGTATTTCTTCCCTTATGGGAAGAAAGAAAATATTTGACACTTATGGTTCAATTCTTTTTTTTACAGGTATGTTGAGTCGATGGGATGATAGCCAGAGATTTTTGTCTGACCATCCATACCTTGTATGTGAAGAAACTGCTAAATATCTTATTTTATGGTGTTTTCACCTGGAAGCTGAGAAGGTATTATTATGTGAACCTTGAGTTTCTGGGAACCTTAGTGGAAATCTGATTTCATACTTTATTGATGTTTTGTTTTGTTTTCTACATTAAGTCCTTTAAAAGAAAGCAGGAAGGTCATTAGATGGAATTACCATTTTTTGCTTCCAGATCTACTTGAGTTTAATGTGGGATTTTGTTGTTGTTGTTGTTTCAGTTAGCATACAGAAACTTTTCCACTATGCTTTCTCTGCCACTCCACCTCCATCTCTCTTGTTTTCATATTACTATAATCCTTTTCAAACTAATTTGAAAGTCGTATTTTAAAAATCCAGACGGTAATCATGGTATTAAATCAAGTTCAGAGCATGGTCTTCCTTTAGTTATTCTGGTCCACATACAAATAATAAAAAAAAAACTAAGATATACTCTTTATATGTTTGTAAAGTATTTGACTTATAACTTAAGAGAGTAAAATCAAAAGTATTTTAAAAATTCAAAATTTGAATCAGTATGCCAATTAAATATATTTATATATTTGTTTCTTATATCATTTAAATCTTTTTCAGAAAGGGGCTTTAATGGAACAAATAGCACATCAAGCTGTTGTAATGCAGTTTATTATGGAAATGGCCAAAAACTGTAATGTGGATCCAAGAGGGTGTTTTCGTTTATTTTTCCAGAAAGCCAAAGTAAGTAGTTATTTGATATTGATAAATGGGAAGATTTGGTCCCAGCTGAGACCTCTTTGTTCTGTTCATATCAATAGAAGGCATCCAAGCAGGATGCCACAGGCTAAATTCTGTAGATTTTCTTGTGAAAAGAAAATTTATATTGCTAATTTCTTGCTAATTTAAACTTAAAAGAGCTATATAAGAGGCTGTACTACAGCATGTATATGAAATTGAGACCCATTTAAATGAATGTGTGTATTCAGGAAACTTACGTTCCATCATTAATTCATTCAGTAAATACTGAGTGCCTAATGCAAAGCACAGCTGTTTCAGATGCTCAGGATGCATTATTGAGCAAAATAGATACAGGATTCTTCATGTGTAGAACTCAGCAGTTTAATGAGAAATCAGACTTTTATAAAGAAAAAATAGGAAGCAACCTAAAAATTCAGCAATTAAGGGAATAGTTAAAAATACCCATGGTACATAGAATATCATGCACCCTTTAAAATTATATTTATGGAACTTTTGTAATGAGCTGAAGAAATGCTTACGCTATGAATTCACAGGAAGCAGTACATACTAGATGATGTTGGCTATGTTGAAGAAAAATAGATGTCTAGAAAGATTAAGTACCTTTCACACTCACAAGATTTGCAGTAATTTAAAAGCTGCCCAAGAAGTAGGGCAATAAGAATTTGCGTTCACTGCTAGTGGAAGTATAAATTGGAACAACCACTTTAAAAAATTTCCTAGTAAAGTTGAACAAGTGCCTGCCTTAACACCCAGAAATTCTCCTAGGTGTATGCATCCTAGAGAGTAGATTCTCAAGGTGGGGTCCAGGAACCCGGAGGGGCTTCAAGACCTTTTCAGGAGGTTCTCTGTCGAAACTATTTTCATAATAATACCAAGATGTTATTTTTAATTTTCATTTTCATTCCTCAGTAGTGTACAATAGAGATTAATGCGGAAGTACAAATATGAGAATCTAGCCATCTTCTGTAAAGTCAGACATTAGATTTAGAAAAATTAAAGGAAAAAGCAGCTCTCTTCTCACTAAATTTTTTTGTTTTGGAAAACTTTTTTTTTAAATAAAAATGTTATTAATGGTAGTGTAATGAGTTTGTCATTGTTATTTTTAGTTAATGTTTTAAAAATTCCTCAGTTTTCATTTCTAACAGTAAATACTGACAGATACAACTCACATAAACAGAAGCTCTTTAGGGTCCTCAATAATTTTGAAGACTGTAAAGAGAACTGCTGCGCTAGAGAAACTCTTACACATATGTACTAGATTGCCGTAATGTTCATAGTAGATTGTAATAGCTAAAAGCCTGGAAACAATAAATAAATTGTGGTGTAGGTTGAGTATTCCTAATCCAAAATCCAAAACGCTCCAAAATCCAAAACTGTTTGAGCATCGACATGACACTCAAGGGAAATACTCACAGATTTTGTGTTTTCAATTTAGAGATCTTCACTGGTAAGTATAATGCAAATATTCCCAGATCTGAAAAAACTGACAATCTGAAAAACTTCTGGTGCCAAGCATTTCAGATATTCAACCTGTATATTCATTCTGTAAAATACTAGCCAACATCAGCATGGATGGAAAAACAAGAGAGTGAATCAAACAAACCACAGAGTGATGTATCTGTTTAGATAGATGCTAAATGGATATATCTAGTATCAATGTTCGTATTTTGTATTTTTTTATAAAGTATTTTTTTAGTGACAGGCAGAACTAAATAATATATTGTTGAAGGATACATATATAAGCAGTAAAACTAAAAAGCAAAGGAATAATTAAGAAGACAAAAGTTACAATAATGATAACCTCAGGGAGGGAGGGGGAATGCTCTTGGGAACTGGTTTCTAGGATCCTAGTAATGATCCATATCCTAATTTCTATGGGTAAATAGTGGGGGTTTTGCTGAATAAACTGTGCGCATATCTTTTACATGCTCTTCTGCACATAGGATATATTTGAACATATACAATTAGAAGTTAAAAGGAAGTATACCAAAAGTTTAACTTTGGTTATACTTGTGTGGTGAAATTATAAATAATTTCCGTTTTCTTTTTCATGTACTACAATGAACATTTCCTATTATAAACATAAAATTATATTTTTATATTAAAAAAAAACTCTCAATGTGGCAGTAGTCCTAACTTAAATACCCTAAACTCTTCTGAAATGCAACCAAAATATGAAATTTTCCTGAAACAGTTGAACTTTAATAGCAAATGCTTGACTTGATATTTTAGCTAGGCTGCTTCTGGTGACTAGTCTAAACTTTTGTTTGTTTTTAGAGATAAGGTCCTGCTCTGTCACTCAGGCTAGAGTGCAGTGGTGCAATCATTGCTCACTGCAGCCTTGAACTTCTGGGCTCAAGCAATCCTCCTGCCTCAGATTCCCAGGTAGCTGGGACTATAGGCACATGCCACCATCCCCAGCTAATTTTTTGTAGAGACACGGTCTCACTGTGTTGCCCAGGCTGGTCTCGAACTTCTGGGCTCAAGCTGTCCTCCTGCCTTAACCTTCCAAAATACTGGGATTACAGACATGAGCCACCACACCCGGTCTCTTCTAAATTTTTACTTGACACTTAAGAGTAGTAAAAAACATACTTTCCTTTTTATCTTACATTAATGGATGTGTTTAAACTGGTGTTTAATAAAATAATGGAATGTGGCCAAATCATATATATTGTTTGACATTTACTTTACCAAAGTAAAACGGAAAGGCACTGGTCTTCAATCTTAACATTGTATGCTTAATAATACTTTTTTTTAAATTATGAAATAATCACTTTCATGGTATGCTTACTTTGTTCCAGGGACTATTCTAAGCACTTTACATGTATTAACTCATTAAATTCATATAACATTTTATGAGGATTACTGTTGCTATCTTATGGGTGAAGAAATTGGCATAAAGAAATTAAGTAAGTGGCCCACAAATTACTTAATAATACAAAATCTGTCATCACTCTATATCTAAATCCCTAAACCTTAAGCATGCAATGAGGACAGCAATTGTGCCTCTTAATTTTCAGAAAGAATCCTTATGGATATTACATACTCTGTGTCCACACAAGTTCTTATAAAGTGAGGTGCTAAAATGTAATTAAGGAAATTCTTCCTAAATTTACAAGAAGATAGGATGGCAGCACAGAACACTCTCTGCATTATTTCAATAGAAGCTGATGGTAGTAACTAATCCACAGGTTTTAACCTGTTACGCAACCTAAAATCCATTTGACAAGATCTCTTCCACTACTTGAACTTAAAGCCTGCATTCTATTGGTAGGATAAATCTCTGTATCATTTCTCTATATTCAGAGGAAACATAAACAGAGGCAGCTGCCAATAGGGAGTTGCCTAAGAGTTCCACTCCCTCGACCTAAGTTATCATACTTTTTCTTTCCATAATATTGAAAAGAAGGTACTTGCTTAACTAGAGCAAGATGGTTCCATAATGACGTTGACTATTGAATTCTATTTGGTTTTCGTAGCTCTTTTAAGTAGGGAATATACAGTTAGAAAATTACTAGGAACAGGTAATAGTGCCCCCTCATTAATTGTTGGAGAATTAAAAGGTTTTAAGAATATCCCTTGATTGTTTGGTAGTAGGAAGAAGATAGAATGAATTGGACAGATTAAATGACTATTTTGGATCCTGTTAAGGATCTAGATAAGTCAAGGAAAATACAGAGAAAGCCTTCTTTTCTTTTAGTTGTGTGCATATGCATAGGGAGGGGTTGTTTTTTATTAGCTTATTTTGCTGAAGCAGAAGGAAATGGAGCAAACCAATTATTAATGTTCCTATAAATCAGGTAGTTTTCACAAATGTGACAGGGATCGTGGTGGTTTCTATATTTAGACTATTCACCTTGTCATTACTTCCTCCACTTCAAACCTGTTATATGCTTTCTGGAATTTACTATGTCTAGAAATCTTGAAGAACACAGTCTTTGTTTTTTTTTTTGTTTTTTCTAGGCAGAGGAAGAAGGTTATTTTGAAGCATTCAAAAATGAACTTGAAGCTTTCAAGTCAAGAGTAAGACTTTATTCTCAATCACAAAGTTTTCAACCTATGACAGTTCAGAATCATGTTCCCCATTCTGGTGTTGGATCTATAGGTTTATTAGAATCCTTACCACAGGTAAGTTGGAAAAGTAAATATTTGTTTTATAAGCCTATTAATTCACATAATTTTTGTTATTTTGCCCCACTCTTTTTTTTTTTTAATATGTGCTACTATTTTAAATATTCCTGCCTCAGAAGATAACTGTTGAATCTTACTTCATGCCATGTTTTGGTGCTGAATCTCACCTCTTAAGTATTTAGAGATACCAGATTTCCTCTCCTTTTAATGTAGTAGTGATTAGTTATACCTAACCATTCTTAAGAACAAATCTTAGCTATTGATCATCTCAATCATAAACTCTTCAAGATGGCTCCCTCAGGAGCTTCCTTAAAACATCTCATCCTGAGTTAAAACTATGCCATTTTGAATTTTTTAGGATGATTAGCTTCAAAGTGGACATGCACATGGAACCAGTGTGATCTGTTGCTTAAGTTTATTTAGTATTTTCTTGTTAAATGTTGGGTCTACCAGATATAACATTTTTAGAACACATTAATGTAGCTGATAATATTGTATCTGGTAATACTGGCCAACTGTTTGAGCCTCTTTGAAGTCTTCAGTGGTTTGATCAAGATAAAACCATGTCGGCTGGGCGCAGTGGCTCGCGCCTGTAATCCCAGCACTTTGGAAGGCCGAGACAGGCAGATCACGAGGTCAGGAGATCGAGACCATCCTGGCTAACAAGGTGAAACCCCGTCTCTTCTAAAAAAAAAAAATACAAAAAAATTAGCCGGGCGTGGTGGCAGGCACCTGCAGTCCCAGCTACTCGGGAGGCTGAGGCAGGAGAATGGCGTGAACCCGGGAGGCAGAGCTTGCAGTGAGCCGAGATCGAGCCACTGCACTCCAGCCTGGGCGACAGAGCAAGACTCCGTCTCAAAAAAAAAAAAAAAAAAAAAAAAATCATGTCATATAGGCAGCATGAAAAAATTTACATCAAAAAGGAGACATGATCAGACCACTGGTCTGCCTGATGCTAGTTAGGATTACAAGTTTAAGTTATTATTAGATAATTCCTACCCATTTGATTTTACTAGTAGCACTTTAATAGAGCCCAGTCATCTCTCATTTCCAGGCTCCAAGATTTTAAGACCAGCTTTAGCCAGTTTAATCTGTTGTCTACATTGTGAGAAGGAAAGTCTTATTCAAAAGACAATGTGAGGAGAGTCCTATATTTAGTTTTAAACCTCATAAAGTGCTAAAAATTGGGATTTTCAGTGGCTTGACCTTATCTCACTGTAATTTCACCATTCCAATTACATGTATGTCCTTTAAGGAAAGTGATTGATCATATTTACCCCAGTCAAAAATATTATTATCAGGAGTCTCTGAGCCTACTCTGGCTGAAAAAAAAAAAAAAAAGTCTCAAGGATGGAAATAATTAATGTTTGATTTTTAAATAATTAGTAATGTTCCCCCTTAGTTAGACATGTAAAGAATATTCCCTCTACAAATTCCTACAGATTATCTCTTAATTTTATTTAAATTCAGTGATGATTTTTCTCTTCAGTTCCTAAGAAATAGCCCATAGGGAAGTAGTTTTTCCAGGGGAATTCTGTGACCAAGTCACTGTGAAATCCAATATATAAACCTCCTGCAATTAAAATGTCACATAATGCATGGGAAGGAGAAAAGAGACTTTGGAAGGATGTAACTGATTCTAAATATAAGAGGGAAAGATACACATTATAGTATCTTAAGCCTATATTATCAAGAAGTTGCCTCTGGTTTGAGAGAAGTAAGTCCTTGTTGTTATTAGATAGCAACTATATATTAGATAGCAACTGATATCAGGTGCTAGGCATCCCTTATAGTCATGGGGGGACTAGAATTATACAATTCTGACACTTCTGTATTGCTGATATTATCAGGGTTATTCAGATTTAATTAAGCTGGGCTAATCTCCTCATGGTGGGAGACCAATTCCTTATGGTAAGTAATTTGAGCATCCTGATGTGGTCCTTCTGAAGGATACAAGGGCTGGAGAAAATTTCAGTTAGATGCTTGCTACATGTGCGGAAAGGATTATCGACTAGTTGAGGGAAGTAAAATGAGAGGCCACCTGAAAGACCAAATCATCAGTTTAGAGGTTTGGAAGAAAAATCTTACCATAATAATAACATCCCATTTTTATATCAGTTTATATGTTGTAAAGCACTTTCACACATATTATTTAATTTTCTCAAACACCCTGTGATTCATTTTCATTCATTTTTATAGATGAGTAAACTGAAATTCATAGAACTTAAGAAATTTGCCTGAGGTCAACACAATAAGTGATGAATCTAATATTCTACTTTTGGATTTCTATTATGCTTCACTGCTTATTCACCTATACCACAGACTGTGAATCATATGTGTTGAGAATGTTACTAGATGAAAATATGGGACAGTCAATGAAATCTAAGTGTAGGTTAGGTCGGGTATACCGATTCCTTCTTATTTTTTAAAGTCTCTGTATGATAGTATCTTACAGTTCTTAGGAAGATGGGTGGATGAGTTTTGGAGAATCTCCTCAGCCAATTCTGTTATTAAAAGTTGTGCCATGGAAAACTGGAGCCCAGTCTTAATAGAGTAATTGTAAGCTCTGTTCCAGAGAATTAGGCTTGGATTGTTAGAAAAAGGTCTTAAAGCTGTTTTTTTGGAGAATGAGACAATGTAACAATAATATTGGTCATTTTTGATAAAGCTTAAGTGTGGGTAACCATTTAGCTTTTCATTTCTTTTTTTTAATAATTGACAGCAATCGTGTGAAATAAGCCAAATACCATTCATTATCCTTAGTTTTGAGAGGTCTAATCCAAGGCCTCTTGGATATAGAAATAATAACAGTTAACTTTAGGTTTATCCTGTAGACTAGTTTTTAATTTTACTAAATTGTGAATTTTGTTCTCCTTGAGGCTTGCTTTACTAAATAGAGGCAGGATTAAAACTGAAGCCCAGTGTGAGTGTCCCAGACCTCAGTCAGTTGTCCCTGCTACTTCCTTCATAAAGACCTGATTGGGAATAATCCGAACTCCAGCTAGCTTTTTGACTTTTAGAATAAAGGAATCTCACAAAGTGTTGTACTTTCTTAGGAGGATCTTTAGAAAACCCTGCCTCCCAACCTCCTATTGGATGGTGAGGTTTAAGACATCTATCCTGTTTGACTACTGTCCTCACTGGTGTTTATTAAATAAAATAAATATAAGTAAAACTAGTAATACAAGTGGTAAAAGTCTTAAGTAACTAGCAGATATTCGGAACAATTGAGTAGACAAAATTGAATTGGGGAAGAATTTTCTAAAGTTCTGGGTCTTAAGGGCTATACCCTTATTCATGGTGCTTTAATAATGGTTTTATTTTTGCATTTATTGAGTAAGATTTTATGTTTTCTATTCCCAGTTTTTGAAATTGACAAGCATAACATTTATGAGTTTATGCTTGTTTAACAAATCCTGTTGTTTTATTCTCAGTTTAAAAAATAAGGGTGTAAATACATCTCAAAAGTGTACAGATTTCTCACTGAGTTTGTTTTAACCTTTGGGAAACCACAATAGACCCTGAAGATATCCATAATTTTTACCCAGTAAATTTTTTCTTTATTTAGATGATTTGCAGTTTTAGTATTTACTGTTGTAATTAGATGGTAATCTTAAAAATGCATTGCTAACTTCAAACCATATTTAAATTATCAGTAGCTATGTATATATAATCACATGGAGGTTGTAGCCTTGCCTTGTATGATTAAACAGAGAAGAAAGGTGGTATTTGTTAACATTTCTGTTTTTTACATGTATCATTCTTTTATCACATCTCATAGGTGATAGCATCCTATTTTTTTCTTTATTTTCTTGGGATTCAGCCCAAGTCTGTCTCCAAAGTCCATCTTCTTTCCTACTGCTCTACTACACTGCAGAGAAATAGGACGGTGAAACTGAATATATATGTATGTACTGTCATAAAACTGGTTATAATGCGTTCTTTTTCTCCCCCCAATCTACCTTTTCTTTTTCCCCAGAATCCAGATTATCTTCAGTATTCTATCAGTACAGCTCTCTGCAGCTTAAACTCGGTGGTACATAAAGAAGATGATGAACCCAAAATGATGGACACTGTATAATTTGGTTAAGACTGCTGAGGCCAAGTGCTATTTTGTTACAAGAAAGGAAGAACTTGGCTATTTTCTTGACACTTTTATGGGTGCTGCACTTTATTTTTGTTCGGTTTTTGATGGGAGGGAAAGAGTACTGAAATGTTTTGTAAATTTTTTTTAATGTGCTGCTAGGTTTTTTGTTTTGTTTTGTTCTGAAGAGAAGAGTGGTACCATATGTTGCAGGAAGTCAAACTGGACTTTTTGTGGCTACTAAATTTGCTTTTAATCTTATTGTTCTCAATTTTGGAATCAAGTATGAAAATCTGCACAAATGCAATGTTTACAAGAACTGGTTGATTCTGGGAGGCATCTGCTACAGTCTCTTTTTATATGGATATGTACATGTCCTATTCTACAAAAATGATTAAAGATAAAAACATACTTGTATCCCACTGCTACTTTAGCTGTCAAATTTGGTGTTTCATCACATTAAAAGCAATAAATCAGTAGTTGGTAATGTACTTTACTAAATAAGTTGGGGGGTACAATTTTTAAAAGTCTTAACTCTTAAATACTTGACTTTCGGCACCATCAGTTAAATCCTTGACTATAATACAAATTTGATATATACATTACATTTACCCTCAAATTATTCTCAAAACTATATTCCTTAGAATTTGATTTTACCCTGCTGACTTTAAGAGTTATAATAATATCAAATGTGATGAGCTAATATAGATTTTCTTTTTAAATAAGAATAACTTCAAGCTCACTCTTTCTTAACATAGTCTGGGATCTCTCAGGGAGTAAGTTTTAAAAGAATACTAATGGCTTGTAAGAACAAACAGGAATAATAATCTGATTTTTAAATTTGTAGTTATTTTACTCATGTTGCCTTTTAATTTTTGTTATTTTGGTTTATTTTTTGATGTAGCCTTTTAAAAAAGGAGTCTTAAAAATGATTTTTTTTTTAAAGGCAAGAGAAATCTTGTAGTGCTAACTGCCTTGAGCTGCCAATTACCTATTTCTGAGAATTTGGTGACTCTTATTGGTAATGATGGCATTTACAACATTTGGCATTTCCCCTTTTTCAGCTCAGTTACCATAGAATACTTCCAAGCTTTACTACTTCCTCTGTAAGTCATTTCAGTTATGCCAGGATATTTGATGATTTTGTTTATGTAGAATTAGGTAACAAAGCCAATTATGCTATCCTTATTATTGAAGGATTAATCTTATGACTTAACATAAGCTTTGGTTATATTTGGGTGTAGTCTTTGGCTAAGTACCCATTAAGGCTAGTAGCAAACACTTGGAAGGTGGCTAACTGGGACTGGGAATACGTGTCTCAACTTGAGAAACCAAATAGTGCGAAGGGACTCAGGGTGGCCAGACCTGTGACCTTGGCCTCATTTGTATCTTGTTTTCGCTGAGGTGATCAGACACTTAGTACCCTAGAAATGGACTGGAATTATTGAATCTTCTTCTGTAACATCACAATCTTCCTGGTTTTCAGAATAAACGTTTTTGTGCTTTTGATATAAATATATACTCTATAATAAAATGTTTGACTAATTTATATAGTAGTGTTTGTCAGCCTGTACTTTTTTTTTTTTTAAACCCATGACCTAGTCGTAGACATTTTTTTCTTTTTGTTCTGTTCTGAAGCAAGCTCTTATTTTTCCCTTTCTACCAAATTGAGAGAATGGGCAGACACAGGAGCCATATTCCTAGTTTCACAGAAATGTTACTTGAATTATTATTTTCCCTTCTTTCCCAGGATTTGCCTGTAAGCATTCAAATTGTTTTGAATTTCATTTTGCCTTCTCTAAGTTAGAGGTATTTAATGACTGAAGACTGGCAGGAGAGAAAGTATCAACAAACTGAGTAAACTATTCTTGAGGGGCACTGAAAAGATGTTCTTTGAAACTTGATTTATATATTTTTACTTGCAAAAGAATATACTGTGTTTTGAGTATGAAAGTGTGATTGGGTCTGTTGTGGGAACCACTGACTGATGCCATAATTTGCACTTAAAGGCTATAAATTACATAGTTAGCCGTACTTTAGTACTAGAAACAGTAAATTGACATCCTTGAACTAATTCCTACCTTTTTTTTGTTTCTGAAGAAATAAAGAGTATATTAAGCAAAGGGATAATTTATATTTCAGGTTGGACAATTTACCCTAAACAAATTAAACCATGGAAAGTGCAAACACATGAATGAAACATTTTTTTACATCAAAGTATCATCAAAGATTCTTGTTTCATTTGATAAAATTAATATTTGAATAAAAAAATTTTTAAATCAAATAGCTGTCCATTTATTCTCTGTTAACTCAGTGTCATTTTTTCAGTGGTAGTGAAGATAATACTGCCTTAAAATTATTACTCTTAGGTAGATGGGTAACATTCTCTTCCAATTATACCATTAGTGAGCTCTTTCAAATTTTGCCTAATGAGCTCACAATCTCTTATAACTTCTCTTTAGGAAAATCAGGTCCTCCTCTTCTTTCAGACTGGCATATCATATTATTACCCTTTTAAAAATGAATGAACAGCCGGGCGCAGTAGCTTACGCCTGTAATCCCGGCACTTTGGGAGGCCGAGGCGGGTGGATCCTGAGGTCAGGAGATCGAGACCATCCTGGCCAACATGGTGAAACCCTGTCTCTACCCAAAATACAAAAATTAGCTGGGCATGGTGGCGCGTGGCTGTAGTCCCAGTTACTCAGGAGGCTGAGGCAGGAGAATCGCTTGAACCCCGGGAGGCAGAGGTTGCAGTGAGCCAAGATGGCGCCACTGCACTCCAGCCTGGCAACATCTAAAAATGAAAATGAACATGCTGCCCAAAGAACATGAATCTGTTTTAGTAAGTGGATTTTCTAACAGGATGAAAAAAGTTGACTGTAGGTTTAGGCAAGGTGATCCTGAAGTTAACCTTTGGGTATTTTCAGAGGAGAACGAAATGTCAGTTTACTTTTCTAAGTCAATCATGTATTTCAGTTCTTAAATTGGTGTGGGACAGAACCGAGGTACTTGTCTGGGTTGAGGTTGGGCTTTCCATTTCATGGGCTTTCCATTTCAATTTTGCCATTATAGCAAACATACTTTTAACAAAACCCTTAAATCCATCCATCTCTCATCTGTAATGGACATGTATATACAATTGCATAGTTCTGAGAAGTTGATTTATCTGAAAATTATTTGCTCACTATGTGAGCCAAGGGGGTCGGGAGGGGGACACAGGGTGAATATAAGTTCATTATGGATTGTTCACCATCTAATATGAAGTGAAACCATTCTCATAAGCTTTGAAGAATTAGACTTGTTTGATCTCTAAATATAGAAAATGATTATTAAAATTCCCACATCTTTCACACAGTTAACAGCATGATTCTTCATGTTATTTACACATCAGACATTTAACTTGGAATGCTTTAGAAAAAGATGACACAGTGCTGGACTGATTTACACTTAGGCATGACAGTTTATTCAGTGCTATATATGGAAAAATCAGTGTTTATATTATTTAGTGAGCTAAAAACAAATAAAAAGCAGGAGGGGGATAAGGGCTCTACAAAGCATACTGGCTTTTACCAGAAGCTTTAAGCACAGCTACACTATTTTAACTGTTTAAAAATTTTTTAACCATAACTTCCAAGATGAAAATCTTTAACTGCAAAGATAGAAAAGCTATTTCTACAGTTTATCAGGGCCTGAGGATTTATTTTTATTTTTATTTTTATTTTTTGGTCAATGAGAAGACACAACATATTCTAAAATACAAATTCTTGCTGTTGGTTGCAACTATAGCAATTTAACATAATTTGAGATCTATAATTACAATGATTTGTTGTTAGTATAGGGCAGTTTTGTCACAAGTTATGAGGATCCAAAATATCTTGCTAGAATGCCATTATATATAGCTGGGGGAAAAGTAGCCATAGGGTGGGGTTTAGAGATTTGAGCCAGTATTTAAACTATTTGAAATGGAACTGACAGAAATTTCTGGATGGTGCTAACAACTGCTAGTTTGCATTTCCCACAGTACACGCTGCTTACAAAAGGTATAGCAAAATAACTTTTACTCTATAAAATAAATCAGTTGAGGTGCTGTTCTCCCTGGCTTTTTTTTTTGAGACGGAGTCTCCCTCTGTCGCCCAGGCTGGAGTGCAGTGGCACGATCTCAGCTCACTGCAACCTCCGCCTCCCGGATTCACACCATTCTCCTGCCTCAACCTCCCGAGTAGCTGGGACTACAGGCGCCCGCCACCATGCCCGGCTAATTTTTTTTTTTTTTTTTTGTATTTTTAGTAGAGACGGGGTTTCACCGTGTTAGCCAGGATGGTCTCGATCTCCTGACCTCGTGATCCGCCCGCCTCGGCCTCCCAAAGTGCTGGGATTACAGGCGTGAGCCACCGCGCCCGGCCTCTCATTGGCTTTTAACAAAAGTATAGTAGTTTCTCCTAGCCATGGCATTCAGCTCCATACATGTATTTCCATGTGGTACATAAATCTTAATGATGGTCATTACAGAATTATTTTTTTGGGTGGGGGCAGTGGCTTACACCTGTAATCTCAGCACTTGGGAAGCTGAATCAGGAAGACTGTTTGAGGCCAGGAGACTAGCCTGGGCAACATATCGAGACGCCGTCTCTACAAAAAAATAAAATTAGCCAGGCATGGTGGTACATACCTGTAGTTTCAGCTACTTGGGAGGCTGAGGTAGAAGAATTGCGTGAGCCCAGGAGTTCAACGTTACAGTGACCCAATTATGCCACTGCACTCTAGTCTGGGCAACAGAGTGAGGCCCTGTCTAAAAAAAAATAAAGAAAAAAGTTGTATTACAGTCATATTCATTCCTAAAGTAATGAATGTATGTGCAAAACTTTGGGCTAAGTGTTTGCGGGTGGGGAGGGAATGGTCACAGGAAATAAGAGTCTTAATTCTCATAGCCATGTTCTTCCACTGCTCACTTTGATTTCCAAATCCCCTAAGGGTATTATGAAGGCCGGTATGGCTACCATAGCAGGAGATGAAGTATTGCATAAACTGAAACCAGCCTATGGACTGTTTTAAGATCATTTATTAGAACAGTCATTCAGAAGCCATTGAGACATCAGGCAGCAGAAAGGAAGGTGGGATGGAGCAGGCCCTGTGAAGGACCAAGAACAAAGTAATAGCCACAGTTATGAAATTTCATTTTATTCTGATAAAGACTAATATATGCTTGATAACCTAGTGATAATCCATAAGTTTGGTATTTCACAACATTTTTTAGAAAGCACATAAGATTAACATTCAAATAAGGCATTATAGAAAGTTTTATAAAGAATGAAGTGTTTCCTATATTTCTTTTAAAAAACCTTGGTTCATCTTGAAAGATCGATGAATTTTTTAAATATCAGAAGAAAAGGGAAATAAAATTTTCCCCCCAAAACACATAAGAACCACTTACTGGCACTTGTATTTTAAGTACCTGGGAAAAAAACGGAACAGATTTTTAAAGGCAATAACGACTTGTAAGACGGCTTGTTTCATTTGATTTGGCACGAAGTAAAGTAAGAGTAAATATGCCATGGAAGACATAATCAAGTTTTTCCTCCATCTCTCATATTTCCCCACTTCTACCAGACCACACAGTACATCAGCAACCATCCTTTAGATTCCAATTTTTAAATGGCTGCTCAGACGACACCAATAGAGTTCTTTCTCCTTAAAATATGGTGGCAGTGAATGCTAACAGGTATCAATTTCTTTGATCAGGAACAAAGAACTCCTTCAGGAAACTCACTTTCCTGGTCCTTGTTAACCTATCATGTAAATTCTTTTTATTGGTACACCTGTTTACTAATTATGATTGATTGCTATTTATGCCAAGGGAGCATTTCCCAGGCATGCCTCATCTATTTACTAACAACAAAGTATGCTTACTTTATTTACATAGTGCCACGGGTTTCTCTTTTTTCTTCTCTTTTTTATTGGCGGGGGAGATGGTACTATAACTTGTTATTTATCAGGGCAGATCACACATTTGGATCAAAAAGAAAAACCAGCAAGTAGATCCTAAAACACATTTCTTAACCTGAGTCATAACTGAAAACATAGACTTTAATTACATTTTGTTGAAAATTCATTCAACTTTGGTGCTTGTAAAAGCACTTATGTCAATTTTTGACACAAATCATAACCCTCAGTACACAGGTATTTTCAAAGGAAACAAGTCATCTTAAAGTAATATTTTTCTATATGCTAATTGATACATCTTTATAGCAAATTGAAAATTCTGAGTAAACTGAAAGTATGCTTAACGACAAAATAAATACAGCATATATGGTTAACATATACATTTCTTAGTGTAAAGGCAGCAGTGAATTTGTGTCTCACAATAAATCTGTAAATCCAGTTGCTTTCTTTCTGGAATTTTATATAGTGTCTCACCATGTTCCACAATGCTGGAAATGTCTTTTTTGGCATCAATCTATGCACAAATTTCTGATTACGTATTTTCTCCAAATGACATGTAACTTTTTTTAACTTTTCCAGAAAAATATGGAAACTTTATCAACCACTTATTAACTGAACAAAAAGTTAGATTACTACCAAATGCTCTTTTAATTTTGCTCTAACAGATGTTTTAAAGGTTCAGACATCGCTGATGTTTTTGAGGATAACTGCATACAACACACTAGATGATTTCAAACGATGCATCTTAGTATCCGAATCATTTGGCACATCCTTAGTATCCAAAATAAAATCAGTAGAAATAAAAGTAATATAATTTTCAAAGAATTCATACATACTAGAAGTCTTAGGAAAAGCAGCTTCTAAATGCAAGGACTAGGAGGTTTGCCCATCTTACTATTAATAGTTACACACATTTCTCCTCATGGAGTAACTGAAGCTTTCTGGCTTCTTTGTGGAACTTTAGTTTGTAGGAAAGCATATACATAGGGCCAAATCTTGTTGGTTTCTGTTCCGGAGAATGTTTCCAGCACCCCTTTTTTCCTAAAGATGAAACAAAAACAAAACAAACACACACAGGTCTGAGTCTTCCTAATAAGCTCTTTCAAAGCCTTTCTGTAAATAATGATATTGTAGATATAGGAGTCTTGGTAAGTATAGATTTGTGTAATCAGGAGAGAAAGGCACTTGGCTGGGCATTGGAAAATGTACATTTTGGTTTCAGTTGTGCTCTCTGGCTTACAAAAATGGGTGCTTAAAAAAATAACAGCACCTATCATTTATTTTATTTATTGAACATGCACTGTGTGTCAAAGGCTGTGCTACATGCTTTACATATTATAGTTTGTTTAATCCTTTCCAAAGCTCAAATTTTCTTATTTTACTAATAAAATCATCCCTTTGTAATGTAACTTAGCCCAAATCACCAAGTTGGTAGTACATTTCCAAACAGGACCTATAAGATACCAGAACACCCATCAGCCTTTTTTTTCTACTTACTCTTTTGCAAAAGCTACTTTCTAATACTTGAGTATCTTTCCTTTTTGCCCAGGCCAACATTTATGTTCTCCTCTATTCCACTCTTCTGAATATTAACAGAAAGGGGAATAAAAAGTGTTGGTTTTATTGGGTTTCCTATTGACTGTCTTCATTTCTTCCCAGGCAGATTTGTCTAGCTTGTCACTAGACCAGCAGCCAAAGTCTATTTTATTTACTCCAGTTTCCTGTGGATAACATGGTGAAGAGTGAGATCAGAATCCTGGGGGTGCTTTTCAAGCCACACAGATTCCCTCCAAAGATTCTGGCCTTCCTCTTGCTAATACCCGTCCTCTAGCCCATGCGTACACCTACGCCTACACATATACACCTCCACATATACACACCTCCACATATACACGCCTACACATATACACACCTCCACATTTACACACCTACACATATACGCCTACACATATACACCTACACATATACAGCTACACATATACATCTACACATATACACCTACACATATACACACCTACACATATACACACCTACACATATACACACCTACACATATACACACCTCCACATATACACACCTACACATATACACACCTCCACATACACACACCTCCACACATACGCCTCCACATACACACACCTCCACATATACACCTCCACACATTCGCCTCCACACATACACACTGGTGTAAAGACTGCATAAGGACAACCTAAGAACTCTGGTTTATGACTTTGTGAAAAGAGGATTCCTTATACCTGTGTGGCCCTTCTTCCGAGGTTTTCAGGGCTTTCACTAAGGACAAAAGCATTCTTCCCTTGATACCTCATAAAATTTGCCACAGTTAACTTAAATAACACCCACTGTTTTCTCGGTAAGAAACATCTGCTAAGGAAGGAAATTATGCAAATACAGCATTCTTGGGATATTAGAAACCCTCCTGCTTCTAAATTCACTGGCACCTGGTACTGCTTTCAAGGGAACAAGCTTCTTAACTGTTGTAAGCCTCTTGAAGAGCCGATTTAAAAATCAAGCCAGTGTCACAAGTGGGTTAATTACTGAGGGCACAATTGCAGGCACCTATTCGATCCTAAATCGTGGGTGAACATTTGTCATTTTAATTTCTGTGTAATAAAATGGAACCAGCTTCAACAATTGGTCCTCCAAAGAGTAAGGGCATCATGTTGTTTGTAAACATAGACCAGTTACTCTATAATGTCCCACAGCTAAAAGGTTTTTTTTAAAACAACCAACAATACAACTGTCAGCATTTCTAAATAACAATGCTGACTATTACTAACATTCTTGCAAATAAACTTTCAGTTTTTAGTCAAGTCTCGCTGAGTTCTACGTGTGGGAGCTGAGAATGAAAAGACTGAATTCGGCCGGGTGTGGTGGCTCAAGTCTGTAATCCCAGCACTTTGGGAGGCCAAGGAGGGTGGATCACTTGAGGTCAGGAGTTCAAGACCAGCCTGGCCAACATGGCGAAACCCCGTCTCTACTAAAAATACAAAAATTAGCAGGACATGGTGGCACGTGCCTGTAGTCCTAGCTACTGGGGAGGCTGAGGCATAAGAATCGCTTGAACCTGGGATGAGGAGGCTGCAGTGAGCTGGGATGGCACCACTGCACTCCAACCTGAGAGAGAGTGAGACTCCGTCTCAAAAAAAAAAAAAAAAAAAAGAAAGAAGGAAAGAAAAAGAAAAGAAAAGCTTGAATTAACAGCAAAAGGCAGCAAAAGCCAGAAGGAGCCTAGAAAGACTTCTAAAATATCTCCTAAGACAGGGGCCCGTGTCTTTCACTTCATCTTCGCAGCTTTCCTTAACTTCCCTTACTACTTTTTTTTTTTTTTTTTTTAAGACAGGGTCTCACTCTGACACCCGCGCTCTAGACTGCAGTGGAGCAATCATAGATCACTGCAGTCTTGACCCACTGGGTCCAAGCAATCTTCTTACCTCAGACTCCCCAGTAGCTGGGACTATAGGCATGTGCCACCATGCCTGGCTAATATTTTTTTTTATGTTTTGTAGAGACAGAGTTTCACCATGTTGCCCAGGCTGATCTTGAATTCCTGCCTTTTCGATCCTCCTGCCTTAGCCTCCCAAAGTGCTGGGATTACAGGCATGAGCCACTGTCCCAGGCCCCTTCCCATATTTTGATATTTTGACAGAACGAATCCCAACAACCCCTGGTACTTCACTGCTTTGGGGGATTATCATTCATAGCCTTGCAGTGGTGGTGTTATCTGCCCAGCAACAATGCATTCTCCCTTCCTCTGGTTACCTTTGGGAAATAACCTCTCCACCAAACTCAGTCGACGAGGTTCAGGAGAGACTGTCCCCACTCCCCATCTTCAAGGATGGACATGATCAGAGCTAATCGGTGCCGACCCCAAGACTTTTGCTGGCAAAAGAGGCTCTTTGCTGCTGGGGTTTCTGGCTGGTAGGAGGTAAACTGGAAAGCTGAGGGGCTGCTACACAGGGAGGGCACACCTGAGACTGAAGCCAGCACAGGACAATGGAGCGGAGTGACTGACGCCTGATGATAGGTGTTTTTGAACACCTGGACCCATCCATCTATCTTTGACTTTTCAGTTACATTACCAATAAATTCCCCTTTTGCTTAACCTGGTGTGAATTAGGTTCTTAGTTAATATAAGCACATATCATATTGTATGATAAATACTGTTTACCCAGCTCCCCACCTCACCCACAAACATAGCTTCTTGGAGCCTGACAGGGACTGGATCTAATTGTCCATGTGGACCAAGGGCCTAGCACAGTGTCAAGAGAGTGAACAATAATTGCTGACAATGAATGATTTAATAGACACCAGGGCTGTTGTAGGACTTTCCAGGATCTCTCACTTAATTCTTTTAACAACCCTATAAAGCAGATGCTATTTAATATTGCCTGATTTTACAAATAAGGGATTTGTGGCATGGAGGTTAAATAGCTTGCCTAGGGCAAAAGAGACGGTAATTTTCAGAACCAGCCTCATTAAACAAATGACAAAATTATAGTAACAGCTACTACAAAAAATGGTTTGCCAACCTTGTAATTTTATGCTCCAGAAAAAATTAAGATGGTTTGAAAGGCCAGGCATGGTGGCTCGTACCTGTAATCCCAATGTTTTGGGAGGCCGAGGCAGGAGGGTTGCCTGAAGCCAGGAGTTTGAGTAGCCCGTGCAACATGGCAAGAGCCCCAGCTCTAAAAAAAATTTTTTTAATTGGCCAGGTCTGGTGGCACGGGCCTATAGTCCTGGCTACTTGGGAGGCTGAGACAGGAGAATTGCTTGAGCCCAGGAATTCAAGGCTGTAGTGAACTATGAAAGAACCACTGCACTCCAACCTGGGTGACAGAGTGAGACCCTGTCTCTAAAATAAATAAATAAATAACAGTTTGGAAACTATTGCTTCAGATTTCTACTGCATACATACGCTATTACAACAACAATAACAATAGCTAACATTTCTATAGTGCTTTCTATGCGTCAGGCCCAGTTCTAAGAGTTACCCATATTAATCTTTCAAACCTTTATTCTCTTCCCCAATTTACAGAGGAAAAAACAGGCAGAGGTTAAGCAGAAGGTGAAGGTGAAGATGGTGAGCTGGGACTTGAACTTAGGTATTCTGGCTCCAGAGTCTGTGTTCTGCCCAAGATACTGTTCTGCCCTGATCAGGATCAGTATTCAATAAGTACATAAATGAAAGGGGAGGCAGTCAATCCTCTGTAAGAAGCAGGAAGGCTCAGTAAGAAAACTGGAGTATTTCTTAGCCTAAGTCAAATACTCATTCAGTACGGTTCCTATACGTGTTGCAGACAAAACAAGAGCAGACAAAACAATGTTAAAATGTAAGCTTTTAAAGACTGCTAGCCAATTACATAGTCTGAGGGATTAGCTGCCATCTGAGATTCTTCCACACCATAGCATCCTGTATTGGCAAATGTGGTGGGCAATATTAAGTTTGCCTCCCCAGCATTCATTCCAGCCCTGCCTCCCCTACCGACAATCCCCAGCTTACAATTATTCAATGCAGGATTTTTCAGCTTTATGATGGTGCGAAAGCAACATGCATTCAATAGAAATTGTACCTCGAGCACCTGTACAACCATCCTGCTTTTCAATTTCAGTACAATATTCAGTAAATTATGTGAGATATTCAACACTTTATTACAAAACAGGCTTTGTGTTAGATGATTTCGCCCAACTGTAGGCTAATCTAAGTGTTCTGAGCATGTTTAAGGCAGGCTAAGTTATGGTGCTTGGTATTTTCAAATTACAATGGATTTATTAGGATGTAATTTCATTGTAAATTGCGGAACATCTGCACATAGCAGAGTATGGATGAGACTGTCGCACTGCCAACTCTAGAAGTGGACTAGTCAGTGTAATCAGTGGAATCCTTCCCACCCCAATGACTGGTTCTGCAGTAGGCAGTAACCCAAGCCTGTAACAGTTAGTGCCAGGCATTCCCTGACTGTAGTTCAAGTTGGCTCCATCCGAGTGGTGCTCTGGGCTTCTATTCACTGGAGGAAAGGTTACCCCTCAGCCCTTCATAGAAGAGGAAGCCCTGGCTGTTCCTACAAATGTCTGCTACCATGCAGGAAGCCTAAGGACAAAGCCAATACACACACAGGAAGGCAAAACCAAGAGAACGGCTACACTGATCAAACCCAGGTGTGACTGAAGCCCAACCTACCTTCTGGACTTCTGTTACACAAGCTAATGTATTTCCTTTATTACTTAAGCCCATGTGAACTGGGTCTTTTGGCATTTTAGCATTTCAGCTGTAGAGGAAGGAAAATCAAAACTAGACTTAGTGCACCACTACGCAAGAGAAGTTCTGAAAAGCAAAAACTCACTGGTAATATTCCAGGACTGGCTTTGTTTGGTCTTCATAAGCCTTTAGTCTCTTGATAACCGTCTCTGGTTTATCATCCTCACGCTGAATGAGAGGCTCCCCAGTCAGGTCATCAATGCCCTAAACAGGATTAGAAGAGACTAGTATCAGATATCATATTTCTGAAAGATATTTTCATAAGCAGTTCAATTATTTTTAAACAGACATCTCTGTGCAAGTGCCAAGCACAAAAATGTGCTAACTTTTAAAAAAATGGAATCCAACCTCAAAAGAGATCATCGCAACAGAAACAGGGTACGCCAGTTTCATTTCTACAGTTATCAGTCACTTTAGCCTTAGAGTAAAAGGTTTTCTAAGCAGCCTCTAAGTAAGTTCATATATATTCAAAAAGATTCAGCTATAAACTTGGAATTTCAACTGCAAGTCCTAAATAAACCAAGGTGTTATGAATCTCTATCAGCGCAACTCCTAACACACTCCTTGGCAGAGCAGGAAATCAACAAATGTTTTTGAATGAGTAACAAACCCCTGCTGCTCCTGGGGCAACCTTTCGCACCAAGCTCAGTGGACTTGATCAGTCAACTCTACCAAGTAACCTGAGAATATACCCTCAGGAGTTTTGGTCAGAGGATTTCCAAGTTCACTCAACTTATGTCTGTTAGGGCAAGAGGACTCAGGGACAGTCTGCTATGTGACAGTTCCACAACAACTACTCACCACAGTTTTGGGAGGGTTGAATTCAATGTTATAGACTCGGCCACTGGCGGGATGAATCCAGCGAGCAGTAAGGCGTTGTTTAATGACCTCAAAGGGCACATTCAGGTTAATCACTGTGTCGATCTGATAAGCTCTATCTAGGGCTTCTGCCTGTGGAAGTGTCCTTGGAAAACCTTTATAAAGTAAAAAAGAAAAAGAAGAAGAAAAAAGAAAGGAAGTATGGGGTGGGGGTGGGGCGGGTGGAGAAAGAAGAAAGAAAAAGAAAGAATTAATGTTGGACAATCTGAACAAAAGGAATGAGGCTCACCAGGCAGGCCGATCACAGCTGCGGTGCAACTGTGATGGTTACCTGTCAACTTGACTGGGGCATGAGTGCCCAGATATTTGGCAAATATTATGCTGGGTATATCTGTCAGGCTGCTTTTGTTATGAAATTATCATGTAAATAGGCAGACTGATAAAGTACATTGCCCTTCTTAATATGGGTGGGCCTTATCTAATCAATTTTAAGGCCTGAGTAGAACAAAAGGCTGACCCTCACCCAAATAACAAAGAATTCCTCCTGCCTGCTACCTCTAACTGGGACACAGGACTTTTCCCGCCTTTAAACTCAAACTGAACTCATGATCTTCACCCAAATCCAGGGACTGGCCGGGCGCAGTGGCTCACACCTGTAATCCCAGCATTTTGGGAGGCTGAGGAGGGCGGATCACCTGAGCTCAGGAGTTCAAGACCAGCCTAGCCAACATGGTGAAATCCCATCTCTACAAAAATACAAAAATTAGCCTGGCATGATGGCAGGTCCCTGTAATCCCAGCTAGTTGGGAGGCGAGGTGGGAGAATCGCTTGAACCCGGGAGGGGAGGTTGTAGTGAACCAAAATTCTACACCAGTGCACTCCAGCCTGGGTGACAGAGCAAGACTCCTCAAAAACAAACAAACAAACACTCCAGAGGCTATTTCTGAAATATGACAAAATGAAACTAAAGTCCAGCTAAAGGAAAACTATTAATGCAAAAGGATAAAACCCTAACAGACAAAGAGATGTGTTATATAGCTAAACAATGTGGTTCAAAAACAGAGAGACAGGCAAATGTACCTAATGAGTGAATTCAGAAATACACCCAAGTATATTAGGGAATTTAAAATAATACTTTGATCACAAACTTCTGACTTTGCAATGTTGTTACTAAGGACATTTTGTCCAGAATACCAGAAAAAAATTAAAATTAGTAGAAATAATATATTTTCAAAAATGACAAAAGTTAGGCCACACATGGTGGCTCACACCTGTAATCTCAGCACTTTGAGAGGCTGAGGCGGGAGGACTGCTTGAGCCCAGGAGTTTGAGACCAGCCTGGGCAACATAGCAAGACCCCTTCTCTATAAATAACAACGACAACAAAATTAGCAGGGCGTGGTGGTGCATGCCTATGGTCCCAGCTACTCAGGAGGCTGAGGCAGGAGGATTGCCTGAGCTCAGGAGGTCAAGGCTGCAATAAGCCATGATGACTCCATTGCACTGCAGCCTGGTGACAGAGCAAGACACTGTCTCCAAAAAAAAAAAAGTGACAAAGGTTAAAACCGCACATGCATAATTTGTTAGAGCAAAAATATCATCTGAAAAATTACATTTTCTTGTTAACAATGAAATGTGGAAAAATTTGCCAGTGATCTAGACCTTACAATGTGCTAAAATGACAATGATAACGACTAAAACTATACCCAGGAAACCTGGATTCGGGAGAAATAATGGCCCTTTCCTGGGCAGCATCACCAGCCTACCTTGGTTTACCTTGTTCCTGCTGCCAAAGATAACCTGTCTCTCCACCCATGTAATCCTACTCATTCCTCAAGACCTCCCACAAATGGGAATGTTTTTCAGCCCCTTACACCTCATAAAGAAGCAAGACTTTTCATTAAACTTTTTAAAACAAAATTTTGAATTCTGAACCATGCAACATATTTTGTTTTAAAAAGGAGAAGATGCCAGGTGCGATGGCTCATACTTGCAATCCCAGCACTTTTGGAGGCTGAGGTGGGCAGATCACTTGAGGCCAGGAGTTTGAGACCAGTCTGGCCAACATAGTGAAACCCTATCTCTACTAAAAATACAAAAATTAGCCACGTGTGCTGGTGGGCACCTGTAATCCCAGCTACTCAGGAGGCTGAGGCAGGAGAATCACTTGAACTGAGGAGGAAGAGGTTGCAGTGAGAGGAGATCGCACCATCACACTCCAGCCTGGGCAACAGAGCCAGACACTGTCTCCATTAAAAAAAAAAAAAAAGTGCCTACTCCTCAACTACATTACTCTCTGTTCACATCAACTTCTTTTTTTTTTCTGAGACAGAATCTCACTCTGTCACCCAGGCTGGAGTGCAGTGGGGCAATCTCGGTTCACCGCAGCCTCTGCCTCCCAGTTCAAGCAATTCCCCTGTCTCAGCCTCCCGAGTAGCTAGGGTTACAGGTGTGCGCCATCACGCCCGGCTAATTTTTGTATTTTTAGTAGAGATGGAGTTTCACCATGTTGGCCAGGCTGGTCTTGAACTCCTGACCTCAGGTGATCCGCCCACCTTGGCCTCCCAAAGTGCTGGAATTAAAGGCGTGAGCCACTGCCTCTGGCCCACATCAACTTCTAATTTACCTCTTAGCACTTATATCTGTGCTTATCCAAGTTTTTGTTTACTTGTTTACTACTTGTCTTCTACTAGAATGTACTTTCCACAAGGACAAGACTTCAGAACCTTCTTAGATAAAGCAAGCAAGTCAGGGCTGCAGGGCTTGGCAAGGGCAACACTGAGTGCACGCGTGCCTGTGTGCGAAGGTGGGTGAATGGGGTTGAGTAGGAGAGAAGACTAGATTAGCTATCCTCTTCCAAAAAAGGATATTATGACTCAGATCTTCTTGAAGAAAAGGCTTATCCCAAGTTTATCCCAGTTTTAGTGAGAGCTGAGGACTCAACTGAAACAAATCTCTTTTGTGTCCTCTCTATATTAACAAAACTAAAAATCAACCTACCCTCAAGGATTCGGCCATACTCCTGGCTAGGGAAAGTTTACAGCTTATTGTAAATTACTCTTGGGTCTTGCTTCTTCTGTGGTGATCCTCCCATATCACAAAATATTCTCAAAGAAAGGGGAAAGGAACTAAAGTTACATCTGAAGGGAGCTTAGAAATCATGCACTTCACTTCCCTCTTTCCATTTGGATATAGAACTGGTCCCAGAGAAGATGACTGGTTTCAGGATAGTCCCAAGCACCCCTCTCCCCAAACCACCATCCTTGACGTCTGTCTGAAGCCCATGAAATGCTCATTCTCCTGCCAGCACTGATTATTTTGGGCAGGTGAAATGCTCATGAGACTCCACTTACCATCCAACAGCCAGCTATACTGGGTGAGATTTTTCAGCTCATGAAGGGCCAGCCGAGTCATGACATCATCTGGGATGAGTTTCCCTTGGTCAATGAAAGCCTTGGCTAACACGCCAATTTCTACAGCAAAGCGGGGAAAAAAATCAGTAAGTGCATTTGTTTTATCCCATTCCAGGCACCTCGGAACGAGTTGCCTAAAGGGGAAGTCTGAATGGCATACTCATCTGAAAATGTGCATCATCAACTTTTCTGATAAAAACAAAGGTTATGGCCGGGAACAGTGGTTCATACCTGTAACCCCAGCACTTTGGGAGGCCCAGGCGGGTAGATCACCTGAGGACAGGAGTTCAAGACTAGCCCGGCCAACATGGTGAAACCCAGTCTCTACAGAAATAAAAAAATTAGCCGGACATGATGGCGGGTGCCTGTAATCCCAGCTACTTGGGGGTAGCTTGAACCCAGGTGGGAGACGGGGGAATCGCTTGAACCCAGGAGGCAGAGGTTGCAGTGAGCCGAGATCGTGCCATTGCACTTCAGCCTGGGCAACAGAGTGAGACTCCGTCTCAAAAACAAAAACAAAAACAAAGGTTACAAAATAATCTAAACTTCAGATTCTTCATTATGGAAAAATATATAAATGTAAATATATAGACAGAAAAAATATTGTAAAGGTATAGACCAATATGTTAACAGTAGTTATTTCTGTGTGATAGAATTGAGTGGTTTTGAAAATATATATGTACTTTTCTGTATTTTCTACCAGAAAAAATTATGAAATAGCTGAAATTATTTTCTTTAAAAATAAGAATCTGAAATCATCATTATTTTGAAATGATTCAGTTTAAATGCCTGCTATCATGTTATTGGAGAGACTTTTCCAATCCTGTAAAACAGGTGCTGCTATCGTGACACAATTCAGTTTTTAACCAGATTAGTATTGTGATTATGTTATATTTTTATTAACAAAACACTCTGGAAAATGATTTATGAACAATTTAATAATATTACCTACAACTATATGTCACTCTTATGCAATAGTATTTTAATTTCTTCATGTTCCCTTACCAAACTATTTCTACACCTTCAGAACCGTAATTCCATCATAATCTGCGTATCTACAATTTTATGTTCTTTTTGTCACTTAGCATTATTTAATAAATACTTTTCGGTGGTTTTATATAGTCATTTTAGGTAACCATATTACACTCCAAATATAAGATATTTCGAAATAAATATATAAAACTACACTTTATGACAGCAGTACTGCTGGACATTTAAATTGTGTAAATTAGTCTTGATTTTTCCTCATCACCAAAGACTCTTGTTCTTTTGCTTTTATTTTACTCCTCTTTGGGATTATTTCCAATAAATAAATTCCCAGATGTCAGATTAAAGGGTCAAGGTATATATGAACATTTTCCTAACTGTTGGTATGAATTGCCATACTGACCCCAAAACAGATTCTAAATTGTCAGATTCATGAAACTTTAGATTTTTAACCAAGAACAGATTCTAAATTGTCAGATTCATGAAACTTCAGATTTTTAACCAAGAACAGTAACTGCATGGACACGGGCTGTCATGTGGCACGTGTGCTGCTGGATTTGCAGACTGCACTTAGAAGAGGGCTTGGCAGATGGAGAGCTCAGGACTCACTAAAACAGCCTTATACTTAATGTGTGAACTTCTCTGTCTACAGGCTTTTGACTACTGCTCTGGGGAGGGACAGCTTCAACCTCATCAACAGCATTTGGAAAAAAAAATGTAAAAACACGCAATTCTCTAGGGCCAAGTCCCAAAAACACCTGTTATTGGCCTCTCCCCTCACCTCTCACTCTTCAGGCCAAGCCCTCTTCTAAATCCGAACCAGCTGCAGCAGATGGGTTAGAAGATGGGGTTAATTAATAAAGTACTTAATTTTATCAGTATATGAATAGCTGTAAGAAAAGATTGTCTGCCCTTGCCACTTCTATACAATATTAGAGATTCTAGCCAAGGCAATTAGTCCAGAAAAAGAAATAGAAAGCATCCAGAAAAAAAGAAGTAAAACTATGTCTAAAGCCAACGGTTTGAGACCAGCTTAGGCAACATGGTGAGACCCCATCTCTACAAAAGATTAAAAAATTAGCTGGGTGTGGTGGCTCATGGCTGTAGTCTCAGCTACTCAGGAGACTGAGGTGGGAAGATTGCTTGAGCCCAAGAGGTCAAGGCTACAGTGAGCCATGATCATGCTACTGCACTCCCGCCTGGGCAACGGAGTGAGACCCTGTTTCAAAAAGAAAAAAAAAAAAATCATAGAATTGAAAGTCCAGAAATAACCTTTCAAATTTATAGTAAACTGATTTTTAATAGGATGCCAAAATAAATGAATGAAGAAAAAGTAGTCTTTTTAACAAATGCTCCTGGGACAAATAAATATCCAGATGAAAAGGAATGAAGTTAGACCTCTACCATGCATAAAAATTAACTCAATATAGGTCATAAACCTAAATGTAAGTGCTAAAGCTACTAAACTCTTTTTTTTTTTTTTTTTTGAGATGGAGTCTCACTCTTGTCACCCAGGCTAAAGTGCAATGATGTAATCTTGGCTCACTGCAACCTCCCCCCTCCCAGGTTCAAGTGATTCTCCTGCCTCAGCCTCCCAAGTAGCTGGGATTACAGGTGCCCACCACCATGCCCAGCTAATTTTTGTATTTTTAGTAGAGACAGGGTTTCACCATGTTGGCCAGGCTCGAAATCCTGACCTCGTGATCTGCCCGCCTCGGCCTCCCAAAGTGCTGGGATTACAGGTGTGAGCCACTGCGTCCAGCCTAAAAACTCTTAATAGAAAACACAGGTATAAATCTTCATCACTATGCATTAGGCAATGGTTTCTAGATAAAAAACCAAGAGCACAACTAACAAAGGAAAAAAATAGATACATTAGACTTCATTAAAATTAAAAACTTTTTGTGCTTCAAAGAACATCATTAAGAAAGTGAGGCCGGGTGCAGTGGCTCCTGCCTGTAATCCCAGCACTTTGGGAGGCTGAGGTGGGCAGATCACCTGAGGTCAGGAGTTCGAGACCAGCCTGGCCAACATGGTGAAACCCCATCTCTTAAAAAAGAAACGAAAAGAAAAGAAGTGAAAAGACAATGCATAGCATGGGATGGAAGAAAAATTTTGCAAATCATGTAGCTGGTAAGGAATTTGTATCTAGAATATCTAAAGAACTCTTACAACTCAATTTTAAAAAAATGTTAAACGGGCATAGGATCTGAATACACATTTCTTCAACGATATACAAATGGCCAATAAGCCCATGAACACATGATCAACGTCCTTAATCATTAGGGAAGTCAAATGAAAACCACAAGGAGATACTACTTCACATTCACGAACATGGTTATAGTCAAAAAGACACATACAGGCCTACCCTGGAGATATTGTGGGTTTGGTTCCAGACTACCACAATAAAGTGAATATGTGAGTCACACAAATTTTTTGGTTTCTCGGTGCATATAAAAGTTATATATTTACATTACATTGTAGTCTATTAAGTGCAATAGCATTATGTCTAAAATAACAATGTACCTACCTTAATTTAAAATAGTTTTATTGCTAAAAAATGTTAATGATCATCTGAGCCTTCAGAGAGTCTTAATCTTTTTGCTGATGGAGGGTCTTGCCTCCATGGCTGATGGCTGCTGACTGATCAGGATGGAGGTTGCTAAATGATGAGGTGGCTGTGCAATTGCATAAAATAAGACAACAGTAAAGTCTGTCTCATCAACTGACTCTTCTTTTCACCAAAAACTTCTCTGTAGCATGCAGTGTTGTGTGATAGTATTTTATCCACAGTAGAACTTCTTTCAAAACTGTAGTCTATCCTCTCAGACCCGCTGCTCCTTTTTCAACTAAGTTTAAGTCATATTCTAAATCCCTCGTTGCCAGTTGAATAATGCTCACAGCATCTTCACCAGGACTAGATTCTACCTCAAGAAACCACGTTCTTTGCTCATTCATTAAAAGCAACTCCTCATCCATTCAAGTTTTATGAGATTGCAGCAATCCAGTTACATCTTCAGGCTGCACTTCTAATTCTAGTTCTCTTGCTATTTCCACCATATGTGTAGTTACTTCCTACACTGAAGGCTTGAACCCCTTAAAGTCATCCATGAGGGTTGGAATCAACTTCTTCCAAACTCCTGTTAATGTTGACACTTTGACCTTCTTCCTGAATCATGAGTGTTCTTCCTGGCATCTAGAATGGCGCATCCTTTCCCTAAGTTTTTCTATTTACTTTGCCCAAATCCATCAGAGGAATCACTATCTATATAGCAGCTGAACCTTATGAAATGTGTTTTTTAAATAACAAAACTTGAGAGTTGAAATTACTCCTTGATGCGTGGGCTACAGAATGGATGTTGTGTCAGCAGGCATGAAAACAACATGAATTTCCGTGTACATCTCCAGCAGAGCTTTTGGGTGACCAGGTGCATTGTCAATGAGCAGTAATACTTTCAAACGAATCTTTTTCTCTCAACAATAGTTCTCAACAGTGGGCTTCAAATAGTCAGTAAACCATGCTATAAACCGATGTGCTGTCATCCAGGCTTTGTCATTCCATTTACAGAGCACAGGCAGGGTAGATTTAGATAATTCTCAAGACCCTCGGATTTTTGGAATGGTAAATGAGCATTGGCTTCAACTTAAAGTCACCAGCTGCATTAGTCCCTAGCAAGAGAGTCAGCCTGTCCTTTGAAGCTTTGAAGTCAAGCATTGACTTCTCTTCTCCAGCAATGGAAGTCCTAGATGGCATCTTTTTCCAATAGAAGGCTGTTTCGTTTACATTGAAAATCTGTTAGTGTAGACACCTTCATCAATGATCTTAGCTAGATTTTCTGGATACCTTGCTGCAGCTTCTACATCAGCACTTGCACTTTCCTGTTATAGAGACGGCTTCTTTCCTTAAACCTCATGAACCAACCTCTGCTAGCTTCAAATTTTTATTCTGCAGCTTCAACACATCTCTCAGCCTTCACTGAAATGAAGAGAATTAGGGCCTTGCTCTGGACTGGGCTTTGGCTTAATGGATGATGTGGCTGGTCTGATCTTCTTTCTAGACCACTCAAGCTTTCTCCATATCAACAACAAGGTTGTTTTGCTTTCTTGTGCTCCAGTGTTTACTGGAGCAGCACTTTTAATTTCCTTCAAGGTCTTCCTTTGCACTTACAACTTGGCTAACTGGTGCAAGAAGCCTGGTTTCAGCCTGTCTTGGTTTTCAGCATGCCTTCCTCACTAAGCTTAATCATTTCTAGCTTTTGATTTAAAGTGAGAGATGTGCCACTCTCTTCCTTTAACTTGAACACTTAGAGGCCACTGTAGGGTTATTAGTTGGCCTAATTTCAATATTGTTGTGTCTCAGGGAATAGGGAAGCTCGAGGAGAGAGAGACAAGGGAATGGCTGGTTAGTGGAACAGTCAGAACACACATAACATTTATCAATTAAGTTTGCCATCTTATATGGGTATAGTTCATGGCACCCCAAAACAATTATAATAGTAACATCAAAGATCACTGATCACAGATCACTTTAACAGATATAATAATAATGAAAATATTTTAAATATTGCAAAAGTTACTAAAAATGTAAAATAGAAATGGGAAGTGCGTACTTGTTGGGAAAATGGGGCCAATAGCCTTGCTTGACACAGAGTTGCCACAAAACTTAGATTTGTAAAAAAAGATACAGTACCTGTGAAGCACAATAAAACAACATATGCCTTTAAAAACAAGTGTTAGGCCAGGCACAATGGCTCATGCCTGTAATCCCGGCACTTTGGGAGGCCGAGGCAGGCGCATCACTTGAGGTCAGGAGTTCGAGACCAGCCTGACCAAAATGGTGAAACCCTGTCTCTACTAGTAATACAAAAATTAGCTGGGTGTGGTGGTGCATGCCTGTAGTCCCAGCTACCTGGGAGGCTGAGGCAGGAGAAGTGCTTGAACCTGGGAGGCGGAGGTTTCAGTGACCTGAATAGCTGCCACTGCACTCCAGCCTGGGCAACAGAGTGAAACTGTGTCTCAAACAAAAAAATAAATAAAAACAAGTGTTGGTAAGAATGTGGAGAAACTGTAACCCTCATATATTGCTGGTAGCATTATAAAATGGTGTAGCCAATTTGTAAAACAGTGTGGTAGTTTTTTTAAAGGTTGAACACAGTTACCAAGCCCTGTGTGGTGATTCACACCTGCAATCCCAGCACTTTGGGAGGCCAAGGAAGGAGTTTCACTTGAGGCCAGGAGTTCAAGACCAGCCTGGGCAACACAGCAAGACCATGTCTCTACATATATATATATATATATATATATATATATATATACACACACACACACACATACATATATATACACATACTTATATATATACATACATATAAATATATACATACATATATACATACATATATATACACATACATATATATACCTACATATATATACACACACACACATATATATATATATATATTTTTTTTTTTTGAGACGGAATTTTGCTCTTGTTGCCCAGGCTGGAGTGCAATGGCGCAATCTTGGCTCACTGCAACCTCTGCCTCCCGGGTTCAAGCGATTCTCCTGCCTCCACCTCCTGAGTAGCTGGGATTACAGGCATGCGCCACCACAGCCAGCTAATTCTGTATTTTTAGTAGGGACAGGGTTTCACCATGTTGGTCAGGCTGGTGCTGAACTCCTGACTTTGGGTGATCTACCCACCTTTGCCTCCCAAAGTGCTGTGATTACAGGCATGAGCCACTGCACCCAGCTTAAATAAAATTTTTTAAATTTGCTGGGTGCTTGGTATGTGTTTCTAGTTCCAGCTATTCAGGAGGCTGAGGCAGGAGGCTGAGGCCCAGGAGCTCAACGCTGCAGTGAGCCATGATCGCGCCACTGTACTCCAGCCTGAGTGACAGAGCAAGACCCTGTCTTGCAGGGAGGGGGGAAAGACAGTTACCATAAGAGATAGCAATTCCTCCCCTCGCTATATGCCCATGAGAAATAAAAACATATGGCCAGCTGTGGTGGCTCATGCCTGTAATCCCAATGTTTTGGGAGCCAACACAGGAAGACTGCTCAAGCCTAAGAGTTCCTGACCAGCCTGGGCAACACAGCAAGATCCTACATCTAAATAAAAAAAATACGGGCATGGTGGTGCATGCCTGTAGTCCCAGCTACTTGGGAGGCTCAGGTGGGAGTATCACTTGGGTGCAGGAGTTCAAGGCTGCTGCTGTTGAGTTATGATTGCACCACTGCACTCCAGCCTTGGTGACAGAGAAGAGACTGTGTCTCTTAAAAAAAAAAAAAAAAGAAATATGTCTACACAAAAACTTGTAAATGAATGTTCATAGTGGCATTATTTAAAATAACCAAGAAGTAGAAACAAGTCAAATGTCCATCAACTGATGAACAGGTAAATAAAATGTGGTATATCAAGACAGTGGAATATTATTCAGCAAAAAAAGAAATGAAGTACTGATACATGTTACAGCATAGATGAACCTTCAAACATGCTCAGTGAAAGAAGCCAGACACAAAAGACTATATATCGTATGATTCCATTTGCATAAAATGTTTAGAATAGGCAAATCTAAAGAGATGGAAAGAAGATTAGTAGTTGCCAAAGGCTGGGAGGGTTGGGGAGAAATGGGTAATGACTGCTAATGAGAACAGCGTTTCTTTTTGGAGTGATAAAAATGTTCTAAAATTGATTGAGGTGATGGTTGCACAACTTTGGATATGCTAAAAACCACTGAATCATACACTTTACAAGGGCTAATTGTATGGTATGTGAATTAAATCTCAATACAGATTTTGTTTTTTAAAAAATAGAACAGATGAAAAATTCCCAGTAAGAAAAAAAATAAAAAAACCACTCATAGTCTGATCACTACTCAGAGATAATTATTATTAATGATAATATAAAAACTTTCATTGCCTGTGGTCCCAGCTATTCAGGAAACTGAGGTGGGAGGATTGCTTGAGCCCAGGAGGTCAAGGCTGCAGTGAGCCATGACCGCACTACTGCACTCCAGCCTTGGTGACAGAGCAAGACCTTGTCTCAGGAAAAACAAAAACAAAACGAAAACCAGGTATTTTGAGTTTTGTTTATATATAGATAGATAATCCTATGTGTAGTCTAATAATCTGTTTTTCATTTATCATGAACTTTTTTATGTTTGTATGATTTAATTAGAACAAGACAGACATTGAGATTAGATTGATATCTTAAACATTCTAAATAGATTTTTGTGTGATGAGAAAGAATTGTTATTTTTCTCTTTTGTTTTATGTGTTAAATATATTATCTTGTATATAGTTATTGTGAAAAAAATCTATTTTTAAATTGCAGTACTGAATGGAAGTTACATGAGTTTTTATCTTCTCAGTTATAATTGCTCTGTGAACTTCCACTTTGATAATTATGGACCCAGTTTCTGCTACCAGATCTACACCTCTTTTGACTGCCTTACTTGGCTGGAAGGATGGTCTTGTAACTGTTGATGTTGGTTTTACCTACTGATATTGTCATTCTTTCTCAAATGTAAAGTGTTTTTATTTTATTGTTCTTGTTGTTGTTTTATAATTTCTATTATAATTTCAGGGATATATGTGCAGGTTTGTTACATGGGTGAACTTGTGTCATGGGGGTTTGTTGTACAGATTATTTCATCACCCAGGTATTAAGCTAGTATGCATTAGTTATTTTTCCTGATCCTCTCCCTCCTCCCCACCTCCATCCTCTGAAAGGCCCTAGTGTGAATTGTTCCCTCTATGCGTCCATGTGTTCTCATCATTTAGCTCCCACTTATAAGTGAGAACATGAGGTATTTGGTTTTCTTTTCCTGCGTTAGTTTGCTAAGGATAAAGGCCTCCAGCTCCATCCATGTCCCTGCAAAGGACGTAATCTTGTTCATTTTTATGGCTGCACAGTATTTAATGGTGTCTATATCATGAACTTTCTATATCAATAAGCATTTATCCACAATATTTATTAAAACCTGGAGCCTATAATGCTTCAATTGAAGCTTACTTAAAAAAAAAAAAAGACTTAACTCCCTAATCTGAGTCTAAGCAGTTAACATATTACATTTCAAATATATTTACCCCCTCCCAAAATTATATGCAAAGACTCTTAACCAGCATGTTCTCTGGAGATATGGTAAACTTTTATCCATTTGATTACCTACATTTAACATTACATCTTAACAGACTCCTCATAAAAATTCTAGAGTGGACCCTTGAACAACATGGATTTGAACCGCATGGGTCTACCTCTGCCTCTGCCACTCTTAGGCAACAAAACTGACCCCTCCTCCTCCTCAGTCTACTTGACATGAAGACAATGGGGATGAAGATCTTTATGACGATCCACTTCCATTTAACAAACAGTAAATCTATTTTCTTTTCTTATGATTTTCTTTTTTAGAGACATGGTCTCACTCTGACATCCATGCTGGACTGCAGTGGTATGATCATAGCTCACTGCAGCCTCGACGTGCTGGGTCCAAGTGATCCTCCCACCTCAACCTCCCAAGTAGCTGGGAAAACAGGCACACACCACAATGCCTGGCTAATTTTTTTTACTTTTTTGTAGAGAGGGAGTCTTGCTTTGCCCAAGCTGGTCTTGAACTCCTGGGCTTAAGTGATCCTCCCATCTTGGCTTCCCAAAGTGCTGGAATTACAGGCATGAGCCACTGCACATGGCTGATAATTTCTTAATAACATTTTTTTCTCTCACTTGGTTTATTATAAGAATACAGTATACAATACATATATCATATGAAATATGTGTGAATCAATTGTGTATGCTATTGGTAAGGCTCCTGGTCAACAGTAGGCTATTTAAATTTTGGGGATGTCAAAAGTTACATGTGGATTTTTGACTACACTAGGAATCGGCAGCCCTAACCCCAAAGTTGTTCAAGGCCAACTGTATTTCCTTTTTTGATTCAAAAGTTAACAAATTTGGGCACTTCCACAAAACACAAAAGGCAGTTTAAAAGTAAATTATTTATGATAAGCTAATTTTCTACAAAGTTATACACAAAAGTAGGAAAAGAAGGTTAGAGAAAAATAGGGAAACTCAAAACCAACTTTTAAGGATAATAACTAGAAATCCTAAAACATGGAGACATTAGTATGAGAAATAAATGTTTATATTACATAAAAAGCCATTTTAAATTCTGTATCTCCCTTAAAAGTTTCATGTTACCCAAATCAACCACACCTCATATCTGAATGAGCTTATTCAAACTTACTGTTTGAGCAGTTATGAAGCACAAAAGAGGGACCTGACCAAACTGTAAATAACAGTTCTCTCTCTCTCTCTTTTTTTTTTTTTTTCCAAAGAGCCAATGCAGTGGCATGATTATAACTCACTGCAGTCTCAAACCCCTGGGCTCAAGCATCCTCCCAGCTTAGCTTCCCAAGTAGTTAGGACTATAGACAAGCAGAATCATGCCTGGCTAATTTTTTTTTTATTTTTTGTAGAGATAGGGGTCTCACTATGTTGCCCAGGCTGGTCTCAAACTCCTGGACTCTACTGATCCTCCTGCCTTAGCCTCCCAAAGTGCTGGGATTACAGGGGTGAGCCACCCGCCAACCAGCAGTTCTCTTTCACATGTGCCAAGAGAAAAGGCTACAGAGAATTAACCTAGCTCCTGCCAAAATGCTTTTAGCATCATTATAAATGACATAAAACTTAACTTTAAAAATGTGTCAGAACAAAACAAAACTAGGAGAATGTCAGGAAATTAGTTAAATGATAGCTTTACACCCAATCAAGGGCTTTAAAAAAAAACCTTTCTCAAATAATAAACACTTGAGTCAACAAAGTGGTTACCTCTGGGAAGCAGGAAGGAGATGTGCATGGAAGGGGAACGGGAGGGCCCCCAAAGTCCTTGTTTCTCTCTGGTGATGGGTAAATCATGTTCATTTTATTCTTCTTCTAACCATACACAGACCTTATAATACTCTGATGCATGGAATATTGCACAAGAATTATATTAAAAATGAAAACCTCCCTTGACCATTGTTCCTCCCGCTCACCATCACTCAATCTCTCTCCTCTTCAGTGAAGCATCCAGAAAGAGTTCCTGTTCCAGGTCTACACTCCCCTTCCCATTCACTCTGCTTCGGATAAATTCTGATTTTGACAATTACATAAATGCCCACCTGGGTCCAGCCTCATCTTATTTCTCCTCCTCCCTCATCCTCCCCATTGGCACTTCACCCTGAAACCACACCCCCAGCAAGGAGCTCTACACACATGGATCCTCCTAGCCTTTACTCAAGCCGCATGGTAAGCTCTTATTGATTTTTCAACACACACCCTAAACGGCCCTTCATGGTCAAGTGTCCCTCAACCTCCTAGGGAACTGGAAGCTCCCCCTCTGGACTTCCAAATGTCACAGACTTGTCTCTATTGAGACACATATCACTCCAATGACCGTGTTTACATGTTGTTATAGATGGAAGTATGTCTCCCCTAAATCTGTATGTTGGAACCTAACCCCCAGGGTGACTATATTTGGAAATAGGGCTTTAAAGGAGGTAACTAAGATTAAATGAGGTCATAATGGGAGGGCACTAATCCAATAAGCCTGGTGTCTTTATAAGAGGAGGAGGAGACATCAGGGTTGCCTGCTTACAGAGGAAAGGCCATGTGAGAACAAAGTGAGAAGGCAACTAGACAGGCCAGGAAGAAGGGCCTCACCAGAAACCAACTCTACCAGTGCCTTGGTCTTGTACTTCTAGCCTCCAGAACTATAAGAAAATAAGCCCCCTAGTGTGTGGTATTGTGTTACGGCAGCCTGAGCTGACTAACACACATGTCCATCTGCCCTCCTGCTCCCATGCCCACACTCTGTGAGCACCTAGTGAAATCAGTTGCTCTCTGTGTCTCCACTACCTAGCACATATCTGATGCTTAAAGGATCCACGGATAGTTGCCTGAATGAATGGTTAGATGGACAGATGGATGAAGAGATGGATAGATGGAGAGACAAGCTCCCTGGATTCTACTAGATTCTAGCCATGGAATTTTAAAAGGCCTAACTTATTTTGTTAAAAAATACCAATCTAGCAAAAGCCTACTTTCTTTGAGACAGTATTCATGACCAGGCTTACCTTTTTAAAATTGTTCTTTAAGTTATTTAAACAAACTATGGTACACCCATAAGATAACAGAAAAAGAGAAAACAACCCAAATGTTCACCAACTTATGAATGGATAAATAAAACATGGCCCATCCATAAAATGGAATTGTATTCAGCGATAAAAAAGAATGAAGTAGTAAACATGCTATAGTGTGGATGAGCCTTGAAAACACTAAGCTAAATGAAAGAAGCCAGTCAGAAAAGACCACATATTGTATGATTGCATTTGTATGAAATGTCCAGTACAGAAAACTCAAAAGAGACAGGAGGTGAGTTGGTGTTGCCAGAGGCTCAGGTGGAGGGGTGTGGGGTAGGAACAGAAGTGACGGCTAATAGGTATGAAGTTTCTTTTATGGGGTGATGGGTATGTTCTAAAATTGATTATTAAAGAAAAAATATTAATTTTTTAAAAGGTTGGGCACTGTGGCTCATGCCTGTAATCCCAACACCTTGAGAGGCTAAAGAGGGGAGGATTACTTGAGGCTAGGAGTTCATGACAAGCCTGGACCAACATGGTGAGACCCCATATATATATATACATATATAAATATATATATATATAAATATATATATAAATATATATACATATATAAATATATATATACATATATAAATATATATATACATATATAAATATATATATACATATATAAATATATATATACATATATAAATATATATACATATATAAATATATATACATATATAAATATATATACATATATAAATATATATATACATATATAAATATATACATAGTATATGTGTATATATATATATTTTTTTTTTTTTTTTGGAAACAGAGTCTCACTGTGTTGCCCAGGCTGGAGTGCAGTGGCATGATCTTGGCTCAATGCAACCTCCGCCTCCTGGGCTTAAGCCATTCTCCTGCCTCAGCTTCCCAACAGGTGCCCGCCACCATACCCAACTAATTTTATTTTGTATTGTTAGTAGAGACGGGGTCTCACCATGTTGACCAGGCTGATCCCAAACCCCTGACCTCAAATGATCCACCTTCCTCGGCCTCCCAAAGTGCTGAGATTACAGGTGTGAGCCACCATGCCTGGCCAAAAAAATATTTTAAAAAGAAAAAAATTTTAAAAGAAAAAATATATTAATTTAAAATTGATGAAGGCCAGGTGCAGTAGCTCACGCCTGTAATCCCAGAACTTTGAGAAGCCGAGGTGGGTGGATCACTTGAGGTAGGAAGTTCGAGACCAGCCCGGCTAACATGGTGAAACCCCATCTCTACTAAAAATACAAAAATTAGCTGGGCATGGTGGCTCACAGCTGTAATCCCAGCTACTCAGGAGGCTGAGGCAGGAGAAGCACTTGAACGTGGGAGGCGGAGGTTACAGTGAGCCGAGATCGTGCCACTGCACTCCAGCCTAGGCAACAGAGCGAGACTCCATCTCAAAAAAAAAAAAAAAAAAAAGTTGATTTTGGTGATGTCTGCACAACTCTGTGAATATATTAAAGTCCACTGAGTTTTATACTTTAAATGGATACATTATATGGTATGTTAATTATATCTCAATAAAGCTATTAGAAAAAAATGAAATGGGGCACTCCATATGCAAAGCAGTATTGTTAAAGGTATAAAACAGTATATACAGCATGCTATAATCTGTGTTTTAAAAAACACATACACAAAGAGAAGCATAGGTAAACATTTGATTGTATAAGCATAAAATATCTTGGAAGAATCTTTTCATGAAATATCCTTTTATATTTTTGGAATTGCCTATTACAAATTAAATGTTTTACCATTCCAAAAAAAAAAAAAAACAACTCCGCTTTGCCATCAGTATCATTCTAATTATGCAAGCCTATGTGCCACAGGTGTACATAATAATGTTTTGAAGAAATATAGAATCCAGGGACTGACAGAAGTCTTGAAGATTATCTACTACATTCATCTCCCCCATCATATAGATGAGAATAAATGAGATTCATAAGGGTTGGCCGTCTAGTCTAGGGTTATGTCTCCTTTTTTTTTTTGAGACAGGGTCTCACTCTGTCACTGTGAGTACTGTGGTGCTATCACAGCCCACTGCAGCCTCGAACTCCTGAGTTCAAACAATCCTCTCGCCTCAGCCTCTCAGAGAGCTGAGACTTCAGGCACGTGCCACCACATCCAGCTAATGTTTTTATCTTTTGTAGAGACGGGTTCTCACCATGTTACCCAGGCTAGTCTCAATCTCCTGGGCTCAAATGACCCTCCAGCCTTGGCCTCCCAAAGTGTTGAGATTACAGGCATAAGCCACCACACCTAGCCAGGGTTATGTCTCTGAGACGCACTATGCTACAGTGCAGCTTTCTCAGACTAAGCAATCACACTTCAACCTCACGATTTCTACCATAGTTGAACTATTATTCACTATATAGTTTTTTTTACTATATAGTTCTTTACTATATAGTTTTTCTTTACTATATAGTTCTTTACTATATAGTTTTCTTTAAAGTGACTTAGCTTTAAAAATTAATAGCTATAATTTTCATGAAATACAGCTTTCATGTGCTAGATTTATGTCTGTTTCAATTCTGCTTTAAAATAAATAAAAAGTTTTTGTCTATCTAAAATGTCTATCTCATGAATCTCATCGTCTAATTCATGTCTATCTCATGAATCTCAATGTGGGAAATACTGCATAGAGAAAAGAGTATTTAACATGGAGAAATCTATGTTTTCACCCTAATCCCCCAATAAATACTGTTTACTATCAAGCAAGTTCTCCTGAACTCAGTCTCCTCATCTCTAAAAGAGAGGTCTGACTCTGAGAGGCCAAGGCGGTTGGATCACCTGAGGTCAGGAGTTCGAGACCAGCCTGCCAATACGGCAAAACCATCTCTACTGAAAATAAATTAGCCAGCCACGGTGGTGCAAGCCTGTAGTCCCAGCTACCTGAGTTCGGAAGCTGAAGCAGGAGAATCGCTTGAACCCAGGAGTCGGAGGTCGCAGTAAGCCGAGATCGTGCCACTGCACTCCAGCCTGGGCGACAGAGTGGGGACTCTGTCTCAAAAAAATAAAATACAATAAAAGAGAGGACTGGACTAAATGTCTTAAGGTCAGATTCAAGTTCCCTGACTCCAAGTTTCAGTGATGACCTACAGTTATTCCAGCTTTGCTACTGTCAATGAGTTGCCTAAAGTTTCCAGTGTCCTTATCATATCTCCTGTGATGATTTTAAACCTTAGCTATAAAATACAGCCATGGGTTATAAAATATAGCACCCTCATGAAACAATGACTGGAAACTAAATTGGCACAATCCTTCTGTTGTATTATTTGATAGTACCATATTTGTAGAAATTCCATACTAGGAATTTATTTGAAGGAAATAAGCAAAGATTTGCCAAATGTTTATGTGCAGGGATAGTCATAACAGTATTTATTACAACAAACAATAGTTAACAACATACGCGTCCAATAAAAATGTTTAATAACTATACAACTTTGATAAAATTAAACATCTTTTTTTTTGAGACAGAGTTCCGCTCTTTTCACCTAGGCTGGAATGCAATGGCGCCATCTCGGCTCGCTGCAACCTCCGCCTCCCAGTTTCAAGTGATTCTCCTGCCTCAGCCTCCCAAGTAGCTAGGATTACAAGCGCCCACCACCATGCCTGGCTAATTTTTGTATTTTTAGTAGAGACAGGGTTTTGCCATGTTGGCCAGGCTGGTCTTGAACTCCTGACCTCTGGTGATTCACCCACCTCAGCCTCCCAAAGTGCTAGGATTACAGGCGTGAGACACCCCGCCCAGCTTAAACATCATTTTTAAGACTGCTTAATGATGTGTGAACATGCTCACTATAAATGAGAATAAAAAAGTAACCTATCATTTAGAATATGACAATTTTAGAATACAACCATTTTGCAAATACAAATGCAACAGAAATAAAAAAGAAAAAGAAAAAAAAAGAATAAAAGAAAATGCACCCAAGAGTTAATTATAATCATCTCTGTGTGGCAAGGCAGAATTATGAGGGATCTTAATTTACCTTTTTTACATTTGCATGAAATAGATATAGTTTCCTTCTTTTATAATAAATATGCTTTACTTTTTTTTTTTTTTTTTTTTTTTTGAGACAGGGTATCACTCTGTCTGTCACCCAGCTTGGAGTGTAGTAGCACAATCTCGGCTCATGACAACCTCTGCATCCCGGGCTCAAGTGATACTCCCACCTCAGCCTCCAGAGAAGCTGGGACCACAGGCGCGAGCCACCATGCCCAGCTAATTTTTTGTATTTTTGGTAGAGACGGGGGTTTCGTCATGTTGCCTAGGCTGGTCTTGAATTCCTGACCTCAAGTGACCTGCCCGACTCAGCCCCCAAAGTGCTGGGATTACAAGCATGAGCCATTGCGCCAGGCCTACTCTCCTAGACTTTGGTTAACCTGACCCCAACCAGTAGCAGTATCTGGGACTGTTTAATGTTACCTAACTACTTCAGTATGTCGCATTAACAACATTTAGCAAGCAAGTCAAACAATCTCTGTTCTTTCTTTCTTTTTTTTCGAGATGGGGTCTTGCTCAGGCTGGAGTGCAGCGTTGCAATCTCGACTCACAGCAACCTCCGCCTCCCAGGTTCAAGCGATTCTCTCTCCTCAGCCTCCCGAGTAGCTAGGATCACAGGTGCCTGCCACTGCGCCTCGCTAATTGTTTTTGAATTTTTTATAGAGACGCAGTTTCACCAAGTAGCCCAGGCTGGTCTAGAACTGCTAAGGTCAAGTGATCCGCCCGCCTTGACCTCACAAAGTGCTGGGATTACAAGTGTGAACTGGTTAAATAAATCATACTAGATTCAGAAAATACATACTACAAAAACAGAATGAAATGGATTTGTCCGTTTTCATGTGAAATATATCCCAGACACAAAGTGAAACCACACTAGTGCAGAGTATATACACATAGTATGCTCACATATTACATACAAGAAAAGATACACGTTGGCCGGGCGCGGTGGCTCACGCCTGTAATCCGAGCACTTTGGAAGGCCGAGCCGGGTGGATCACGAGGTCAGGAGATGGGGACCAGCCTGGCTAACACAGTGAAACCCCATCGCTACTAAAAATACAAAAAATTAGCCCGGCGTGGTGGCATGCGCCTGTAGTCCCAGCTACTAGGGAGGCTGAGACAGGAGAATTGCTTGAACCCAGGAGGCAGACAGAGCAAGACTCCGTCTCAAAAAACAAACAAACCAAAAAGAAAAAAAGAAAAAAGGTACACGTATCTGCGCTTAAAAAGTAAACCTTTCTAGAAGGAAAACTCTGTTCCCCTCCGAAGAATGGGACTGAGGTAGGGAACGAAAGAGGGCGTTGTTTTTTATGCTATGCACGTCTATCCTGTTTGCTATCCTTACAAAAAAAAAAAAAAAAAGAAGGAAAACAAAAGAAAAAGGCCTTGTGGAAGCATTATTTCTATGTAAATGGGTTTCAAAATGAGTTTCAAAACGGGTTCTATTTTGAAAAGTAAGGTCAACATTTTTTGAGAAAAAAACTCCTGCGATTGGCTTTTCAAAAACAACCCTCTTAAGAGAGAATTTACATACCACAAATTCACCCATTGTATAGTGTAGATTGTTAACTGCCTTTCGTGCCGAGCTGTAAGAATTTATTTGGCATGAGAAACAAAATATTTTATAGAACCATGCACAAGAATAGCCTTCGTGTCTACGAAATCTAAGGATATCAAAATGAGATAATTTTATGACTGCAACAAGGGTAAATAATACTTGGCCTTGGGAATATGGGGGAAAGGTCAGAACTACAAGATCTCATAGAGCTTAACCACACCAAAAAAGAAAGAGAAAAGAAAGAAACAAAGAAAACAAAACAGAACGAGCAGACTCTAGCAGGGCTAATGACAGTCTTCCAAAGGCACCAGCACGTTGAACAAGCTGCGGCTCAGCTCGATGGACCCCCAAGAGTGGCTGCCACTGGGAGGACTTGGGCCTCTGAAACAAAGCCCGGTGGTTTCCTTTCATCTCTGAACTTCGAGCTCGACCTAACTTTCCAGTCCCTTCCCCCACCGCCACCCCATAACCCGCCCGAAGCGGCCCACGGAGGCCGGAGGTTTTGGGGCGCAGTCGCTCAGCAGCCCGAGGTCTCTGTCCCGGGCGGCGGGAGGGAAATGCCGCGCCCGCAGCCAGGGACCCGCGTGCCCAGCTTCGGCCCCTCGCCCGCGAAGTCCGACCCGGGTGACAGCGCACGGCCGGCCCTGGGCCCAGAGCTCCCACCTGTGCCCCGCAGCATGTTGTCCCGGAGCAGGTCCCCGCTGGAGAGGTGCTTCAGCTCGAAGTGTGTAGTGATGCGCGACGACACGGTGCCCTTGCCCGAGCCCGGGGCCCCCATGATCACCGCTCGCAGCAGCCGCGCGGACGCCCCCATGGCCGCAGACTGAGGCCCGCACCGCGCGGGTACCAGGGCTTTGGCCTGGCCTGCGCGCTCACCCGCTCGGCAGCCTGCGCCGGCCGGCTAGCAGCGCCACTAGCAGGCGGCTACTGCGGTTCCCCGGCGTTCCCGGAAGTGAGCCGACAGCCCCTGGGGCCGCCCAGACAGCGCGGGACCCCGCTGTTGCGTCCGCCTCTCGGCTACCCCGGCGCACCCCCCGCCCCCGACCGAGCGCCTGTTCCCGCCCAGCCGCGCAAGCCGCGCAAGCCGCGCCCCCTCTGCGCTCGCTCGGCCGCCCAGCTCCCACCTGCGCCTCTCCGCGGCCCCTCTCCACCGGCCGCTGGGCCCGGATCCCTTCGGCGCCCCTCTGCACCCACCCCCACGCGCCCTCCACTCGGCTCAGATCTACCTCCGCGCCTCTCCGCGACCCCGGAACCCCGCGCCCTGTCCGGCCCATTCCCAGCCGGATAGACCGCGCTCCCCTCTGTCCGACCTTGGCAACTCCTGCGCGCCCCCTCCCCACCTCTAGTCGCCCCTCGGAGCCGCTTGGTTTCGGGATCCACCCGCATCCACCCCTCCAACAACCCTTTCGTAGCCCTCGCCCCTAGTCCATAGCAGGCGCTGCCCTACCCAGTCCTTGCCGGACACACCGCGACCCCTTTCGTGCTCCCTTGACAACCCTGGCCCCACCTCCACCTGGCGCCCACTCGAATCCGCCCCTCCCTTCTACCCCCCTGGACCGCCAGACCCCCCGCTTCTGCACCCACTCCCGCCTTCGCCCTTCCCTCCTTCCTCCTCCTCCTCTGCTGCCGAGCGCCCTCTCTTCCCACTCCCTCTCTGTGTAGAATCACAGGGAGTGACCTTGAGCCGAGAGGGCCTACCTCATTTTACAGGAGAGGAAATCCAGCTTCCATTGAGTGAGACTCTTTTATAAATAACGTAAAAGAGTGTGTGAAACTGTGGAGGCAGGCTGTTGTAGATAGGCGGTCGGAAAAGCTTTGAAGAGATGGCATGTGTGCTGAGTGCTTAATTAGAATATGGAAGAGAGAGACATGGGCCCTTCCTATGTCCAGTTTTAGGAAAAGGCCCTAAAACTGGAGGTTTGGCATGTTTCAAGAATGGAAACAGAGGACAAAAACGTTCGAGTGAGTATCATTTTGCCTGTAAAATGGGCATAGAGGAGTAGAATGGAGGAGTTAAAATAATGTAGTACTTAGTGCAATGCCAGCTACGGGGTCAATGTTCAATAATGGTTGTCCATTTATCATCATTGCTTTGTCCCGGACACTATGCTAAGGCAGAAAGAAGGCTCTCTGAAAATAAAACACAGTTACCATTCTCCTCAGAGGTCCAGAACTGATTTCAAAGAAGATAGAAATGACTTCAGGGTGAGACAGTCAGTGAATCGTAGCTGAGTGAATGGATGGGGGATTTCAATAGGTAGACAGCCTGGTACTTAGAAAAGGCATTAGCCTTTATACTTTCTGGTGTGGAAAAGAAAGAAAGAAAATACATACCTTGTACATTTTTTTTTCTTTGAGACAGAGTTTTGCTCTTGTTGCCCAGGCTGGAGTGCAATCGGCTCACGGCAACCTCTGCCTCCCGGGTTCAAGTGATTCTCCTGCCTCAGCCTCCCGAGTAGCTGGGATTACAGGCACACGCTACCGCACCCGGCTAATTTTATATTTTTAGCAGAGACAGGGTTCCTTCATGTTGCTTAGACTGGTCTGAAACTCCCGACGTCAGGTGATCCACCCGCCTTGGCCTTCCAAAGTGCTGGGATTACAGATGTGAGCCACCGCGCCCGGCCTCGTTTTGTTTCTTTGAGACGGGGTCTTGTTTTGTTGCCCAGGCTGGAGTGCTGTGATGCGATCTCAGCTCACTGCAACCTCTACTTCCCAGGTTCAGGTGATTCTTATACCTCAGCTTCCCGAGTAGCTGGAATTACAGGCACCCGCCACCACGCCCAGCTGATTTTTATATTTTTCGTAGAGATGGGATTTCACCATGTTGGCCAGGCTGATCTCAAACTCCTGACCTCAAATGATCTGCCCGCCTTGACCTCTCCAAGTGCTGGGATTACAGGCTTGAGCCACCCCACTGTGCCCAGCAGGGCTCATACATACTCATTACTAAGCAAGAAAGAATGAAAAGAATGAAAATAAATGAATTAAACATTGAATTCATGTAATTGGGAAAAGGACATCAAAATAACCCATGGAAAGCAGAGGAAGGGATGAAGTAAACAACATAAATGAAAGGATGAGAAAACTTGAACAGAACTAACTAAAGAATGAGCAAGTCTGGACAAGTACAACTTATGCAATACTAGAAAATCTGAAGGTGTGGAGAAAGTACTTCTAATCTCCAAAGCTGGGAACATAGGAGGTTTCAGCTCCAAAAGAAACCAGAAAGAAAATCCTGGGGAAATTTGGTTTAGAAAAAAAAAATGTTCAAACAAACAAAAATAGCTGAGGAATCATCCTGTCATTGCGGGGATGAAAAGCTGAGTGTCGTGGTCATATTAACAGGCCCGCAAAACACCAATCAACTTTGGCTTTGCAAAAGGTTGTTGATTACAAATGAGTAACTGCCAGTCTGTGAAATCTCCTGGCAACTGTGCCTGGCATAGTCTTTTCGCCATTCACAGGCCTTTGTATGGATCTGTTCCTCACTGCCTACCTTGTTCCAACTGAAAAACACTGAGGTCAAATTCATTCAAATTCTAATTTAATGACCAAGTGTTTATACAGATTAGTTTGAAGCAAATAAAGCCCAGATGAGTGCTTTGCACATAGTAGGCACTCAGTAGGGTTTTGTTGATTAAATACTAAGAATTACTGTTTTGTCACTTTTGTTTGTTTGTTTTTGAGACGGAGTCTCTCTGTCACCCAGGCTGGTGCAGTGGCGAGATATTGGCTCACTGCAACCTCTGCCTCCTGGATTCAAGAGATTCTCTTGCTTCAGCCTCCCAAGTAACTGGGACTACAGGCCTGCACCACCATGCCCCGCTAATTTTTGTATTTTTAGTAGCGGTTTTGCCATTTTGGCCAGGCTGGTCTTGAACTCCTGACCTCAAATGATCCTCCTGCTTTGGCCTGCCAAAGTTCTGGGATTACAGGCATGAGCCACCATGCCCGGCCTTTGTCACATTTGAAGACTGAAATGTTTAAGTCTTCAATGTACAACTCTACAATGTACAACTGAGGGGGAAATGATAGGCATGTGTCATGGGTTGAATTGTATTCCCCCAGGAGATATATTGAAGTCCTAATCCCCAGTACCTCAGAAGATGACCTTACTTACACATAGGGTCTTTGCAGACATAAGTAGTTAAGATCAGGTCATAGTGGAAGATGGTCAGCTCTTAATCCAATATGACCTGAAAACATAGCAGGAGAATGCCATGTGACGATGGAAGCAGATATTGGGCTTATACAGCTACAAGCCGAGGAACACCAAAGATTGCTAGGGACACTAGAAGCCAAGAGAAAGACACAAAGCTGATTCTCCCCTAGGATCCTTGGGAGAGAATAACCCTGCCCTTACCTTGGCTATGAATTGTAGTCACTAGAACTGTGAGAGAATAACTTTCTATTGTTTCAAGCCCCCTAGTTTGTGGTAATTTGTTACTGTAGCTCTAGGGAACTAATACAGCTTGTTTCCAAGAAACATGTATATGTGTTTGTATGTTGCTTCACACTATGTGTTACCTAGGTGAGAACAAAAGAATAGGAGGGTTCATGTTTGAGAAATAATTACTAGGATTGTAGTGATTGTAGTAAGACAAAGAGAAGGAAGGTACATCAGTTATCCACTACTATAAAAATCCACTCCAGGCCAGGTGTGGTGGCTCACACCTGTAATCCCAGCACTTTGGGAGGCCAAGACGGGAGGATCACTAGAGTCCAGGAGTTTGAGACCAGCCTAGGCAACATAATGACACCCCCTCCTCTACAAAAAAAAAAAAAAAAAAGAAGAAGAAGAAGAACATTAGCCAGTGTGGTGGTGTGCACCTGTGGTCCCAACTATTTGGGAAGCTGAGGTGGGAGGATTGCTTGAGCCTGGAAGGTTGAGGCTGTAGTGAGCTGTGATCACACCACTGTACTCCAGCCTGGGCAACAGAGCAAGACCCTGTCTCAATAAATAAATGAATATCCTGGCCGGATGTGTTGGCTCACACCTGTAATCCCAGCACTTTGGGAAGCCAAGATGAGCGGATCACTTAAGGTCAGGAATTCGAGACCAGCCTGGCCAACATGGTGAAACCCCCATCTCTACTAAAAATACAAAAAATAGCTGGGTGGGATGGCATGTGCCTGTAGTCCCAGCTACTTGGGAAGCTGAGGCATAAGAATCACTTGAACACTTGAACCCGGGAGGCAGAGGTTGCAGTGAGCCAAGATCACGCCATTGCACTGCAGCCTGGGTGACAGAGTGAGACTCTGTCTCAATAAACAAACAAACAAACAAACAAAAATTAGCTAGGCGTGGTGGTGCACACCTGTAATCCCAACTACTCAAGAAGCCGTGGCAGGAAAATCACTTGAACCCGGGAAATGGAGGTTGCAGTGAGCCGAGATCGCACCATTGCACTCCAGCCTGGGTGATAGAGTGAGACTCTGTCTCGAAAATAAATAAATAAATAAAATATCTGGGGGAAGAATGTTCTAGAGAGAAAAAGAACAAACGCAAAGCCCCTGAGGGAGGAGCGTGCTTGAGTTTCCAAAGAAGCCATTCTGCCTGGAACAGAGAGAGCAAGAAATGAAAGTTATTCAACAAGAAAGCTCAGGGAGGTAGTGAGGGTCCAGACCTTACAGGGCCTAACAAACCACTGTGGCAAATGGTATTGTCTGAAGATGGCCACGACGCCCACTCCCAGTCCATGAGCTTATCTTCGACACTTCTCCCATCAAGAGGTGAGGTCCCTGTCCCCTCCACCTTTAACTGAATAGGCTTCTGTGACTGTTTTGACCAATTGAGCATGGTGGAAGTGATATTATGTGACTTCCAAGGCTAAGTCATAAAAGACAAAGCAGCTTCTGATTTGTTCACCAGGACACTCATTTTGGAAGCCTATAGCTGCCACATGGGGAATCTGACTGCCCTGAGGCCAACAGGCTGTAAGGAAGTCCAGATTAGCCCACATGGAGAAACCACTTAGGAACGTCCTGAGATGACATGGAGAGAGTAGTGCTTTATTCCCTGGGTGTCCCAACTCTAGCCATCTAACTGCACTTGCGTGAGACACCTCAAGCCAAAACTATCCAGCTGAGCCCTTCCTAAGTTCCTGAACCACAGAAGCCATGGGAGAAAATAAAGTGATCATGGTGGTTTTAAGTAATAATGCAAGTGAGAGAGGATGATGACTTAAGCTTGCATGGTATAGGTGATGAGAGCTAGTTGGATTCTGAATACAAATATTCATTTCCTAGAAATAATCTCAAACTTATAGAAAAGTTGCAAATACAGTACAAAGATTCTTTTTTTCTGAGCCATTTGAGATGCCCCATCATTCTTGAATACTTTCATGTATGTTTCCTACAATGACATTTTTGCATAACCACACTATAACTTTTAAAATAAGAAAAAAATCACATGACTAACATTTAATCAGACCTTATTCAGTTTTCCCCAAATGTTCCACTAATGTTCTTTATAACAGAAGTTATGAAATCATACAGTAAATTTTAGTTGTGTGATTTTCAAGATCACACATTGCATTCAGTTTCCATGTCTTTATTCTCTTTCAGTTCTCTTTCAATCTGGAGTAATTCCGTAGTCTTTCCTTGACTTTTATGACTTTGACACTCTTTGTTCATTGTTTTGTTTTCTTTTTTAACTTCCCATACTATGCCAGTGTAATGACCTTGACACTCTTGAAGATTATGGGAAGGTTATGTTGTAGAACACCCTCTCTTTGAGTTTATCTGATGTTCTCTCATGATTCTATTCAGCTTATTCATCTTTGGTAGATAATATTACAGAAGTAGTGCTGTGATTTTGTTATGTTCTATCAGATGGCATATGATTTTAATGTGTTGCATTATTGATGATGCTAACTTTGATCACCCAGTTAAGGTGGTGTCTGCAGGATCTCTCCACTATGAAATTACTCTTTTTCCATTTGTAATTAACAAGTATTCTAGGCCCGGCACGGTGGCTCACGCCTATAATCCCAGCACTTTGGGAGGCTGAGGAGGGAGGATTGCTTGAGCTCAGGAGTTTAAGACCAGCTGGGCAACAATTCAAAAAAAATTAGCTGGGCATGGTGGCCCAGCCTATATTCTTAGCCTCTCAGGGAGTGGGTTGAGTGGGGTGCTGAGGTGGGAAGATCACTTGAGCCCAGGAGGTGGAGGCTGCAGGGAGCTATGATCGTACCACTGCACTAGAGCCTGGGCAACGGTGTGAGACCCTGTCTTTAAAAAAAAAAAAAGTATTCTGTAAGAGGGTAGTTGAAGTTCAGACTTTGTAAATACCTTATCTTTCATCAAACTTTTAATTTACTCACTATCTTACATTTATTTATATGGTTTCTTATTTTATTAAATTGGTTGTAAGCCATTGTCATTATTATTTATTTTGATGTTCAAATCATTTAAGATTTGGCTAATGGAATCTCCTTCGTGTTAGCTAGCATCTGTGTCCTTTTGGCATGTCCCCATTACTCTTTGTGCACTTCTTTACTTTCTGGCATAAGAAGGTCCAGGTTCATCTTGGACTTCCTAGACCCAGCAACACATTGAAATGGCTGAGATCAACCATTTCTCCAAGAATCCCTGGTTTCCTTTAGTGGAATATGGAATTTAGAAACTGAGGCCCGTGCATTCAGTGTGCTCATTACTATTAATGTGTTGCTGCTTTAAGGCCCTCTCAGAGGACAGGGCTAAGGAATATGTAAATATGTTTGTATTCATTTACACACACGTTTACATCTACATTTATTTCTATGTTTATCTATGTATTACTGAAGCCATGAGTTTACATTGATACCTTCATTTCTGATCTAATATTCTAGGATTTATTTTCATTTTTTCCCTTCCATCCTTCACTACAATCCTAGTCTTGTCTTCTCCTCATATATTGAAGCCACCAATTTTTATTTTATTTTATTTTATTTTTTAGAGACAGAGTCTTACTCTGTCACCCAGGCTGGAGAGCAGTGGCATGATCATACCTCACTGCAGCCTCAACCTCCTGGGCTCAATTGATCCTACTGCTTCAGCCTCCCAAGTAGCTGGAACTACAGGCACATGCCATCACTCCCCACTAATTTTTATTTATTTATTTATTTTTAATTTTTTTTAGTAGAGACAAGATCTTGCTATGTTGGCCAGGTTGGTCTCAAATACCTGGGCTCCAGGGATCCTCCCACCTCAGCCTCTAAAATATTGGGATTACAGGTGTGAACCACTACATTCAGTCTTCTTTTATTCTTATCTACCTAACACAGAGTAACACATTGCTTCTGGATTTTGAGTTAGTGTCTCTAACAGACTCTCATGTCCTTCATGTATCCACATTTATGATCAGTCACTCTGTGTATACCCAACCTTCTATCACCACTGCCTACCCTTTCTCCATGCAGATGTCCTCCTCACCCCACTTGGGTTACAGAATTCCATGCCGACAATTCATCAGCCCGATATATGGACGCTGTTATCTGGCTGGGGCTCTGACACTCTATGCTGGACCAGACCACGCCCTCCAAAGACATCCTTCTCACCACTTCTGGGCTCTGACATCACAGGCCAGGCTGCTTATGACTATGAGCATTCTACTCACTCTGTGCAGACTCCAAAACCCTGAGCCACACTGTACTGCCGTCTACATGGAGAAATCTTCCTCACTCCACTCAGACTCTGGCACTTGTGCTGGGCAGCTCTCCTCTGCAGATGCCCTCTTCTTGCATATAGTTTAAATGTAGACCCAACGTGAGTCCCTGGTGGATTCGATGGATTAAAGTGAGGGAAAAAAAGAGATTTCTCCTGAGCTACTGGGAGAATAGAATTGTCATTAGCTGAGATTGGGAAGACTATAAGAGAAACAGGTTGGGTGAAAATATTAGAGTTGTTTTGGAATAAGTTAACTTCGAGATACCTGTTGGACATCCAGGCAGAGAAAATAAGGAAGGAGGCAGATGTATAAATTTTGACCACAGGGTAGAGGTCCAGGCTGGAGACATAAATTTGAGAGTTGTCAATATGTTTAAATTTTTGAGATGGTACAAGCTCACTAGGGAGCAACTTTAGATAGAGAGGAGAGGTCTGAAATCTGAGTTCTGAGGTTGTCTAACATTTTGAGGTTGGAAGATATGGAAGAAACATTGAAAAAACCTGAAAGAGAGGGAGAGGCCAATTAAGAAGAAAATTGGGTGAGTATGGTGTCGTGGAAGTCAATTGAAGAATGTGTTTCAAGAAGAATATGATGAAATGAGTCAAATTCTGCTGATAGGTAGGACTGAGAACTGATTGAAAATTATTTCTAGGCTGGGCACAGTGGCTCACGCCTGTAACCCCAGTACTTTGGGAGGCCGAAGTGGGCAGATCAGAAGGTCAGGAGTTTGAGACCAGCCTGGCCAGCATGGTGAAACCCTGTCTCCACTAAAAATACAAAAAATTAGCCAGGCATGGTGGCGCCTGCCTGTAGTCCCAGCTACTCAGGAGGCTGGGGCAGGAGAATCGCTTGAACCTGGCAGGTGGAGGTTGCAGTGAGCTGAGATCGTGCCACTCTACTCCAACCTGGGTGACAGAATGAGACTGTCTCAAAAAAAAAAAAAAAAAAAGGAAAAAGAGAAAAAAGAAAATTACTTCTAGTTGTCAAAAAAAACCCCTTATGAAATAAATTACATTTCATTTACAATTTATAGATTTAAAAAATGAGGATAATTTTGCCCCAAATTCCATAACTATTCAGCAGCTAAATTAGTGATTTCAAATTGTACTGGATGCATATAGGAAATGCTTTCTCTGAGGAGAAACTTCTGGGAGTAGAATTCAAATTATCCAGACAAGGATATTAGAGAAAAAAGAAAGATAAGGTCTAGACAAAAGTCAAGGAACAGAACAGAGAAGGTGGAACTCAGATACTACAATGTCATATTGTTTAACACTTTGCAAAAGAAACAGAAGAGGGCGCCTTAGAGCTAAGACAATTTTATTAGGACGTTCACTTGGAAAGATAAATAAGAATATCTGAGAAAGCCCTAAGAAAGACGGACAATGAGGAAGCCTGTACCATAAGAAAATAATATTGACACATATTTTAGTTTATTCTATGTCCTCCTCACCCCACTTGGGTTACAGAATTCCATACCGACCACTCATCAGCCTGATATATGGACACTCTTATCTGGCTGGGGCTCTGATACTCTATGCTGGACCAGACCACCCCCTCCACAGACATCCTTCTCACCACTTCTGGGCTCTGACATCACAGGCCAGGCTGCTTATCGCTATGAGCATTCTACTCACTCTGTGCAGACTCCAAAACCCTGAGCCACACTGTACTGCCGTCTACATGGAGACATCTTCCTCACTCCACTCAGACTGGCACTTGTGCCGGGCAGCTGTCCTCTGCGGATGCCCTCTTCTTGCATATATTTTAAATGTAGACCCAACATGAGTCCCTGGTGGATTCTGTGCTGCTATAACAAAATATTGAGACTGGATAACTTATAATGAAAAAGAAACATATTGGCTCACAGTTCTGGTGGCTGAGAAGTCCAAGATCAGGTGCTAGCATCTGGTGGGAGAGAGAGAGAGAGGGAGAGAGAGACAAAGAGACCATGCCTGAAAGCCCCTTTATTAAGGCACTAAACCCACTCAGGAGGGTGGAGCCCCATGGGCCAAATACTTAACCAAAGATCCCACCTCCCAACACTGTCTCAATGGCATAAATTTCAACGTAAGTTTTGATGGGGACAAATGTTCAAACCCATGGCAGCACATGAATAAAACAGAATAGAAAAGCCAAAAATTTTAAAAAATAAGAAAACCCAAAAATAAACTTAATGACATCTGGAAGTCTAATAAGTGGTAAATATGCCATCTCAAATCAATAGAGAAAAAGAAGACCTTCTTAATAAATAGTCCTGTCATAAATGGGTAGCCAGTGGAAGAAGATACAATCTGTCTTAGTCTGTTTTCCGTTGCTATAACAGAATACCTCAGACTGAGTAATTTATAAAGAAAATAAGCTTACTTAGCTCGTGATTCTGGGGGCTGGGAAGTCCAAGAGCAGGGTGCCAGCATCTGGTAAGGGCCTTCCTACTACATCATAATATGACAGAGTGCATCACATGGCAAGAGAGCAAGAGCATGTCAACCTCTCAGGTCTCTGGTCTTCTTATAAAGCCACCAGTCCCATTATGGAGGCCCTACCCTGATGACTTTATCTAATCCTAATTATCTCCCAAAGGCCCCACATCCAAATGCCACCAATCTATAAATTTGGGAGTTACATTTCCAACACATGAAATTAGGAGGACATGTTCAAACAAGAGCACCATCATATCTGTTTTTCCACTTAAGATAAATTCCAATGGATCAAATATCTAATTTTTTGAAAGAAGTAAAGCTATATAAATACTAGAAGAAAATATGATGAAAATTTTCTATAATCAAGAAATTGGAAACACTTTTCTAACTCTAACTCAAAATCCAGATGCAATACAGGAAAAGACCAAAATTGGAGGTATACAAAACAACAATAACATTTTTGCATAGCAAAAGACATCATAAGCAAAATTAAAAGATAAATGACAAACCGGGAATATGATTTCCAATTTATGTCATAGACAATGGGTTAATGTCCAGTAATGTGTTCTTCCCGGGAGTGGGGGTCAGGAGGATGTTATCGCATTTGCCAATTTCCATAGAGTAAATACTCCACCATAGCCAGTGTTAACTTGCCAATGTAATATCAGCTGCACTAATGCTACATCAGCGGGACTGCAAAATTCCTAAAAATTTAACAGTCAGCACTTGCAAGCTGGCACTAGCCAGCTTTAGCACACTGCTGCAAATATTCCTAATATATGATGGGCTTCTAAAGATGGAGAAGGGAAGGAAACCCATCCTATGGAAGATAGGCAAGAGATACAAACACTTTGCAGTTCACACACACACACAAAATGAAAATAAAGGACCTTTAAATATATGAAAATGTTGAATCGTACTACCCGTAAAATAAATGCAAATTTAAACTAAAATGAGATGCCATTTTTCAACTATCAGATTGGGAGAAAATCTCAAAGTTCAACAATATAATGTGTTTACCAGGCGGTGAGGAAAGAGGCACTCATATTTTGCTGGTGGGAATGCAAAAAATGGTACCATCCATGAGGAGGGTGTCAGCCTTAAGAATGAAACTGAGGTAAAATTAGTATAAATCAAAAGTGTATTTGGGCCAAATTCGAGTACTTTAATTTCGGAAATGTATGTTCAAGTTGCCCTGAAATATATGCTCCAATTAGCAGCAGTTACAAGTGGGTTTCCAAAGGAAAAAATGGGGTGGTTCCTAAATTGAACATGAGCTATTGGTTGGCTATACATTATTCTTTATATCACTAATCCCAAGAACATGAATATAATGGGTGAAGGCCACATAGTGCAATTTATGATAGCATTTTAGGTAATTTATCAGCTAGTCTGGAAACTACAAGGAAGGAAAGAAAAAACTAAATGCCATTAACCAGGCTGGGTGCAGTGGCTTATGCCTGTAATCCCAGCACTTTGGGAGTGTGAGGCGGGTGGATCACTTGAAGCCAGGACTTTGAGAACCAGCCTGGCCAACAAGGTGAAACCCCATCTCTACGAAAGAATACAAAAATTAGCCAGGTGTGGTGGTATGCACCTGTAATTACAGCTCCTCGGGAGTCTGAGGCACAAGAATTGCTTAAACCCAGAAGGCAGAGATTACAGTGAGCTGAGATGTCGTCACTGCACTCCAATCTGGGTGACAGAGCAATACTCTGTATCAAAAAAAAAAAAGAGAGAGAGAGAGAGAGGGAAGGAAAGAAAGAGAAAGGAAGAAAAAAAAGAAAGAAAGAAAGAAAAGAAAAGAAAAGAAAAGAAAAGAAAAGAAAAGAAAAAAGAAATTGCCTTTAAGCAGCTGCCCTGGTGAGGGAGAGGATGACACCTGGGAAAGGGGGCAGGCTGTGATTGAAGACTCATTCTTTTTTTTTTTTTTTTTTCTTTTCAAGACAGAGTCTCCCTGTGTCACCCAGGCTGGAGTGCACAGGTGCGATCTTGGCTCAGTGTAACCTCCGCCGCCCGGGTTCAAGCGATTCTCCTACCTCAGCCTCCAGAGTAGCTGGGATTACAGGCACCTGCCACCACGCCCGGCTAATTTTTTTATTTTTAGTGAAGACAGGGTTTCACCATGTTGGCCAGGCTAGTATTGAACTCCTGACCTCAGGTGATCCACCTGCCTTGGCCTCCCAAATTGCTGGGATTATAGGCATGAGCCACCATGCCTGGCCTGAAGACTCATTGTCATGTCTCTCTGGTCCTAATAAATTTTACATACGTCACATTCTTCAGACTGCTCTGAGCTACTTTTCTTTCTCAAGGGAAATTTGGCAAAATCTAGCAAAATTTTATATACCATTTACCAATTGATCCATCTATCTCAAAAATACAAAAAGACATATACATAAGATTATTCAGTGAGCACTACTTTTAATAGTAAGAGACTAGAAACATCCCCAAAGTTCATTCAGCACAGAATGATTGAATAAAACTGAGATTCATTAACATAGTAAAATACTGTGCACTTGTAGAACCCATAAGAAATATCTGTGGCATGACTGCCAGTGAAAAAAGTAGGGTGGCAAAAAATAAAGGTAATATCCTACCGTTTAACTAAAGGGAGAAGAGGATATGAATAGATCCTTATACTTACATTTTTTAAACCAGAAGAACAAGCCAGGCAAGGTGGCTCATGCCTGTAATTCCAGCATTTTGGGAGGCTGAGGTAGGTGGATCACCTGAGCTCACGAGTTGGAGACCAGCCTGGGTGGCATGGTGAAACCCCATCTCTACCAAAAATACAAAAATTAGCCGGGCATGGTGGTGTGCATCTGTAGTCCCAGCTACTCAAGAGGGTGAAGTGGGAGGATGGTTTGAGCCTGGGAGGCAGAGAAATAGAAAAATAAAATGAAAATGAACAACAAAAAACCCTGACTACCAGGCTGGGCGTGGTGGCTCACGCCTGTAATCCCAGCACTTTGGGAGGCCAAGGCAAGCGGATCACCTGAGAGTTTAAGACCAGCTTGACCAACATTGAGAAACCCTGTCTCTACTAAAAACACAAAAGTAGCTGGGCATGGTGGCACATGCCTGTAATTCCAGCTACTCAGGAGGCTGAGGCAGGAGAATAGCTTGAACCCAGGAGGTGGAGGTTGCAGTGAGCAGAGATCGCACCATTACACTCCAGCCTGGGCAACAAGAGCAAAACTCCATCTCAAAAAACAAAACAAACAAACAAAAAAACCTTGATTACCTCTAGGAGGAGAAGGGAATAGAGAGCTGAGGCACAGGGATGGAGGCCATGTGTCTCTGAAGATTTCACTTTGTTAATTGTGCAACAAGGTTTCCTTCCTTCCTTTCTTCCTTCCTTCCTCTCTCTCTTCTTCTTTCTCTGTTTCTCTTTCTTTCTTTCTCTCTCTCTCTTTCTCTCTTTTTCTCTTTCTTTCCCTTCCTCCCTCCCTTCCTTTCTTTTTCTTTTTTTCTTTTTTTTTTTTTTTGAGACAAGATCTCACTCTGTCACCTAGGCTGGAGTGCAGTAGTGCAATCTTGGCTCACTGCAACCTCCACTTCCTGGGCTCAAGTGATCCCCCCCACCTCAGCTTCCCGAGTAGCTGGGACTACAGGTACGCACCATCATGCCCGGCTAATTTTTGTATATTCTGTAGAGAAGGAGTCTCGCTATGTTGCTTAGGCTGGTCCCAAACTCCTAAGCTCAAGCAATCCACCCGCCTTGGCCTCCCAAAGTGCTGTGATTACAGGTATGAGCCACCTCGTCAGGCCCATTTTCTAAAACATTTAAAAAAGCAACTCCTGAAAGTCAAAGGCAAAATAAAACAAATGAAACTGGTTGTGTAATGACCAGTTCTATTTTTATAAATTGTGACTGCTCTCTGATTAGCTCATAGAAATCTAAGTACAGGTAGTGGCTTCCTTTGTAATGGAGGTAACCCATGTTCTGAAGTTTTTTCTCTTGGAATTTTCTACAAATCTCACATATCTATTTTTGGCATTCCTGACAGATGTCAGATACCGTAACCTTGGCCATAAAGCATACTTCCTTGGTTAGTTTCTCTTAGCCTGAGGCATTGCTTGTCCTCTGATACAAAACTTCCCCCACCATAGCACTGACTTCCCTCCAGAAATGAGACATCACGTTATCCTATTAATGCCCCATTAATTCACAGGCTGTGGCCCATACAGGGCATTTCTATCCCAGATCCCACGTATAATGTGTTAACAGAAAAAAAAAACAAGCTGTAAAATGTTTTAAAGAGGTTTAATCTGAACCAATATGTGTGACCATGGCCCCTGGAAACACAGCCGCAAAGCAGTCCTGAGGAAGTGAGCCCAAGGTAGTTGGTGACAGTTTGGTTTTAGACATTTCAAGGAGACAGGGATTACAGGTAAAGACAAACCAATACATGGAAGATATATATTGGTTTGGCCTGAAAAGGTGAGATATCTTGAAGCAGGAGCTTACAGGTCATAGGCGGACTCAGATATTCTTTAATTTGCAATTGGGCTGGGTACAGCGGCTCATGCCTATAATCCCAGTACTTTGGGAGGCCAAAGCAGGAGGATGGCTTGAGCTCAGGAGTTCAAGACCAGCCTGGGCAATCTAGTGAGACTCCATCTCTACAAAAAATTTAAAAATTAGATTAGTGTGGTGACATGTGCCTGTAGTCCCAGCTACTCAGGAGGCTGAAATGGGAGGATCACTTGAGCCTAGGAGGTCAAGGCTGCAGTGATCACACCACTGCACTCTAGCCTAGGTAATGAAGTGACCCCTGTCTCAAAAAAAAGAAAAAAAAAAGAAAAAGAAAAATTGGAATTGGTTAAAGGAGTAAAGGTTTGTCTAAAAATTTGAAGTCCACAGAAAGGAACATTTAAGTCAAGAAAGTCTGGGTCAGAGTGACCTGCAGGGGTTTGTGACTTAACCCTTGTCGGGCATAGCCTCAGGTCCTGTTTATAATTTGGTATCTTATTTTCACAAAGAGTCCCTCTTGTTAAGTTTCATGATCTCTATTTTAACATGAATGCTGCGCATTTGTTGTGTCTAAACTGTAAAAGCGAGGGAGTATAATGAGGCGCGCCTGACCTCCCATCCCATCATGGCCAGGGACTCAGTTTTTCAGATTTCTCTTGGCCAAGAAAGAGTCCAATCCGTCAGCTGGGAAGCTTAGGATTTTATTTTTGGTTTACAAAGGTAATCATTTACTCCCATGAGGGTAATCGTCCTCCTTGAAATTCAAGAGTTTCCTGGATCACAGGATCTGCAGTTACACACAGCTGAGTTTGACTTTCACAGGCTGAGAGACCTTGAGCAAAATCATTAACCTCTTTTAGCTTCACCAGCCTGCCTCTATGAAACAGGGGAAGGATAATACCTGCCCTATGGGGTTGTTGCAAGATTTAAATAAGATTATATATGTGTCAAAGGACAAAATTACAGCAAATTTAAAGAGCTCACCTGGTTTTAATTGTGATTCTAGAGTCGGACAACACTTCATTCTGTAAAACAGAATAAGTGTTCTAGGAGCTGAGAAAGGGCTGAATTACAGACAGGGAAAGGTGAAGAAAGCAGAGGCAAAGAACGGTGTGTATCAGGCATTGCAAAGCTGCTTTCCTGTGAGGAGGAGACAGAACAATAGAAAAATAACTGATGAGCTAACATCAGGTTACTGCAGGCTACTTCTTTTAGGTAGGAATTAAAGCAGAAGGCACTTCATTATCCTGCCAATTGAAGATTGGCCTATTTGGAAAATTGGCTATTATCTCTTTCTTCGGATTTCTAGGAAGGTCAGATAACAATTTAGTTTGGGTTTGGTGACATGGATGTGGAAATTCTTTTTAGTCTGGTCTGCTGGGGCCTAGTGCAGAAACTTAGTCTAAAACAGTGACCTCTTATAATTTTTATGTCGCATATGTAAAATGCTAGGTATATACTGGTTGCTCCCTCTCTTTTTTTGCTCTGCTTATCTTTTCTTCTCTCCTTCCTTCCCACCATCTTTTCAATGTAGTGACAAGTGTTATTAAAAAAAAAAACAAAGCAAAGGATAATGTAAATCTGCAGACAAAAAAAAAAAACAGTGTCTCTTTTCAGTCAATATTTGCAACTTCCACCTCATTAAATATTCTCTCACAGTAGAATAAGGTGGCAAAGAAATGAAGTGCAAATTAGCCTAAGGTAGCTGAGTCCTCATCCTGGTTTCATCACTAATTAGTTCTACAGACCCTGGCAAGCACTTGACCTTTCTGATCCACGCTTGTCTCAATAGCATAATGAAGATCATGCCTGTCTCAGAGGGACAGTGAGGCTCCTGTTGTTGGCATGCCTTATCATTATGTAAATGGAGGGCCTTGTATACAAATAATCTCTTCAGACAAATTGTGTAATATGACATTGAAATTATCCTTCTCTTTACCTCTATCCCCCATCTTTGGCTCCAGTTTTTAAAGACTGCTATTAAAAGACAAATACATTAGCACATTAAGATATTGTCACCTAGCAATAACTTTTTAAAAGTTAATTAATCATATTAGTCACAGCAGACAGCAGAGCCACTATGCTTTGGGCACAGGGAGGTTGGGATTTGGATGGGATGGGAAAGGAATCCAGAATAATCTGGCTCTTGGCTCATGATGCTCTCAAAGAAAACTCCTGTACAGAAAGTGGGGGAAGGAGCCTCCAGACAAACCCTGCCCTCTTTGCAGTTTTGCTTCAGGCTTGTAATTCACTTTTCCTGAGAATGGCATGGAATTTGTGGATAAGCAGGTGAAAAACCATTCTTATCAAGTGTGGAGGGAAAAGAAAAGGTTTTGTTTGTTTGTTTGTTTGTTTTAAGACAGTCTTGCTCTGTCACCCCGCTCAGTGCAAACATGGCTCACTGCAGCCTCAACCTCCTGGGCTCAAGTGATCCTCTCACCTCAGTCTCTCCAGTACCTGGGACCACAGGTGCCTGATACCACACCCAGCTAATTTCTAATTTAGTAGCGGTGGGGTCTTGACATGTTGCCCAGGCTGGTCTCAAACTCCTGAGCTCAAACAATCTGCCTGCCTTGGCCTCCCAAAGTGTTGCGATTACAGGCGCAAGTCACTGATAAAAGATAAATTTTTAATCTGAGAAATATGAACCCCTTTACATTATCAGGCCCAGAGAGGCATTGGGATGTAACTGCAGTCACATCTCACTCCTTCTCGAGCTGAATAATGATCTCTTGAAGTCTCTTGCTATGAAGACTCTAGACTAACTGATGCCAATTAGCCATGAAATGCCATACACCCTATAGTTCAACAAAGTCTAGCCAATCACTAATCAGTGTTATTTCTGTAAGCCAATGAGAAATCCTAATGATCAATTTTGTAATTGCCCCCTCTCCTGATTCGTCTTATATTCTTTAAACATTCGAGGCTCTCTTTTTGTTCTTGGGAGCACTCTCCAAGGCAACTTGAAAGTGTGTCCCAGGCTGCAGTTCTCAACCTTGACCCCAATAAACTCTCTATATTAATTTCGCCTCAGCTTCTTCCTTTTAGGTCCACAGAAGCGTCAATTGGCCAGAAAAAAAAAAAAGAAAAGAAAACAAAAGAAAAAGAAAAGTAATAAACTCTGTTAGAAGCTAGGCTGGGCGCGGTGGCTCACGCCTGTAATCCCAGCACTTTGGGAGGCCGAGGCAGGTGGATCACCTGAGGTCGGAGTTCGAGACCAGCCTGGCCAACATGGTAAAACCCCATCTCTACTAAAAAATACAAAAAATAGTTGGGCGTGGTGGTGGACAGCTGTAATCCCAGCTACTCGGGATGCTGAGGAAGGAGAATCACTTGAACCCAGGAGGTGGAGGTTGTAGTGAGCCGAGATCGTGCCATTGCACTCCAGCCTGGGCAACAAGAGCGAAACTCAAAAAAAAAAAAATCATCTGGCCTAAATATCTTGGCTGGAGTCTCCTGCAGGAAAGACCCACTGTGACTAATGGAGTCCCGAAGTGGGCATAGAAGGTCATGGTTGAGAATTCTAAGCTGCTGTGAAGATGCCAGGCCCAGTTTTATGACTTCCCTCTGGTTCTATGCCACCCTCCCCTCAAGGTCCCCTCCCTGAGATGCCTGAGGCTCGGACCCCACCAGGGATGAAGGCTGCCGCCAGCGTGTGTTGCAGTTCCTGCGCCGCACAGAAGGGGGCGCCATTCCTGCATTATTTCTCCCGACCTAACTCCGGTAACGCAGCTCCTAGTTGTAGGGCCTATCTTATATTCGTTTTACAGTGTTTATTTTTTTTCTTTTTTCTTTTCTTCTTTTCTTTTCTTTTTTTTTTTTTGAGACGGAGTCTCTGTCACGCAGGCTGTAGTGCAGTGGCGCGATGTCGGCTCACTGCCTTAGCCTCCCAAGTAGCTGGGATAACAGGTGCAGGCCACCACACCTGGCTAATTATTGTGTTTTTAGTAGGGACGGGGTTTCAACATGTTGGCCAGGCTGGTCTCGAACTCCTGACCTCAAGTGATCCACTCACCACCACCTCCCAAAGTGCTGGGATTACAGGCGTGAGCCATCGCTCCTGGCACATTTCACAGTTTCGAGAGCACTGTCTCATTTCACCCTTTAGACCAACCACGCAATGATTAAGGGCAGGCTCTATTATCCCTGTTCTACAGACAGAAAACAGAGACAGCCAGCTTAAGCGACAGTGTCAGACAATTCGGTAATTCGTTTGGTTCCTGACCAGTGCTTTTCCCACTCTGCTGTCCAGCATAAAACAGGGTTGTCAAGGACAACTGGGAAATGAACACAGACCCCAGAACTCCCTGACAAAAGGAGAGAAGACAGACTCCCTTATCCATGCCACACGATAGATGGCCTTGGGTACACTGCTTCTCTCGGGAGGTTTAGAAATCAAATTGAGTCTGCTCCTAGGTTCCAAACACAATTAAATTTAGCTTTGTTGGGTCATTCTGTGGTCAGGCTGTAAGTTCAGCTTGGTCAAGGGGAAGGAAGGGAATAAGCAGAAGCTGTGGGTTGGGCACCTGTCCTTTTGCCTACTCAGTGCCGCTCTTCTTGTGGACATAAAGACACCCATGTAACCCCTCATGGCTACAAGCTGGGAAAACTCTAAAATGATTGCTCTTTCAAAATTTTTTAACTGACAAATAAAAATTGTATATATTTATGGTGTCCCACATGATATTTGATATACGTCCACATTGTGGAATGGCAAAATCAATCTAATTAACATATACATTACCTCACATTTCTTTTTGTGTGTGGTGAGAACACTTAAAATCCACTCTCTTAGCAATTTTCTAGTATACAATACATTGTTACTAACTACAGTCTCCATGGATCTCTTGAACTTCTTCCTCCTGTGACATGAGCCACCATGCCTGGCCTCCTCTTTCCCTTTGTGTCTCTTGTTTTTTCTTTTTTTGAGACACGGTCTCACCCTGTTGCCCAGGCTGGAGTGCAGTGGTGCAATCTCAGCTCACTGCAACCTCCACCTCCTGGGTTCAAGCGATTCTCCTGCCTCAGCCTCCCAAGTAGCTGGGATTAGGGGTGAGCCACCGTGCCCAGGCTCCCTTTTGTGTCCCTTTTACTCTTCCTTGACCCACTGCCCCCAACCCTGTCCCTCCCTCTGTATACTCTTAGAAAATGACATCTGATCACCCAAGCCGGATGTCCTGCACCCTCAGCATTGCTGCCAAGAGAGATCTTCCAAAAATGCAGATCTTCTCAAGTCATTCTCCTGCTTAAAATTTCTGCATTCCCTGGATCTTTGGGGAGAAAGATAGCTTGGTATTCCAGGCACTTCGTTTTCCCTTTTTTTTTTTTTTTTTTTTTTTGAGACAGAGTCTTGCTCTGTCTCCCAGGCTGGAGTGCAGTGGTGCTATCTTGGCTCACTGCAACCTCTGCCTCCCGGATTCAAGTGATTCTCCTGCCTCAGCCTCCCGAGTAGCTGGGATTACAGGCGCCCACCACCACACCTGGCTAATTTTTGTATTTTTAGTAGAGACAGAGTTTTGCCGTGTTGGCCAGGCTGGTCTTGAAACTCCTGACCTCAAGGTAATCCTCCTGCCTTGGCCTCCCAAAGTGCTGGGATTACAGATGTGAGCCACTGTCCCTGGCCCCAGGCCCTTCATTTTCTGACACTGCCACATTCTCCTTCCTTCCAGCCTCCCACACTGCTCTCAGGGCCCATGGAGTTTCATGCCCTCTTAACTTCCATATTTTATGCCCTATGTATGATTCCCCTGCTCCCCTTCTTCATCTCACCAACTTTTATTCATCTAGAGTCTTACCTTCTGGGAAGCCTTCTCTATTCTTTTCCTTAGTCTGATTAGGCATCCCTTCTCTGTGTCCCTAGCAGACCTGTTCATACTTTGTGGCATTTGCCAGATTACATTGCAGTAACAATTCCAGACTGCAAATTCCAGTCTGCTTCTCCATCTTTAGTTCCTCTCAACATGTTATTTGTGAACTCTTTGTTTCAGAATCACCTGAGGAGTTTAAACACAAGCTCCTGGGACATACCCCAGACCCACCAACTCCGAGTCTTTGCAGGGCAGAGCCTAGGAGTCTGCATTTTAAAACTTTCTCAGCCAGGGGCGATGGCTCATGCCTGCAATCCCAGCACTTTGGGAGGCCTATACGGGCAGATTGCTTGAGTCCGGGGGTTCAACACCAGTATGTGTAACATGACGAAACCCTGTCTCTACGAAACAAAAACAAAACAAAAATTAGCCAGGCATAGTGGCTCCCGCCTGTGGTCCCAACTACCTGGGAGGCTGAGGCAGGAGGATTACCTGAGCCCACGAGGTCAAGGCTGCAGTGAACCGAGATTGCACCACTGCACTCCAGCCTGAGCAACTGAGCAAGGTCAAGTTTGAGAGCCACCACACTAGACAGGAAGTGGTCATATTTTCTTAGACCTTTAGCATCTACCATAAGCACACAGAGAATGGACTCTGAATGAAAGAGTCTAGAGCTTGAAAGGGAACTGAAATTTAAAAATAAAAAAGTGTGAAATGATGGCTGGGCACGGTGGCTCACGCTTGTAATTTCAGCACTTTGGGAGGCTGAAGCGGGCAGACCACGAGGTCAGGAGACCGAGACCACCCTGGCTAACACGGTGAAACCCCGTCTCTACTATAAATACAAAAAATTAGCTGGGCGTGGTGGCACACGCCTGTAGTCCCAGATACTCAGGAACCTGAGGCAGGAGACTCGCTTGAACCCGGGAGGCGGTGGTTGCAGGGAGCCGAGATCATGCCACTGCACTCCAGCCTTGGCGACAGAGCGAGACTCCATCACACACACACACACACAAAAAGGTGAAATGAGCAGCATAACGTTGGAATGACAGGTGACTATTTCCTGCCAAGATTCCAGTTGCCATCAGGTGGCGCTGTGTCAACAACAAATGCTTTTACCTGAAGCGAGGAGGAAGTTTGGTTGATTTACTCGAATTCAAGCCTCAAATACTACATAACTGAATTTATTTTTTCTTACTCCGTTTGTTTGCAATTGTCCCACTTGTATGAATACATTGATTTTTTTTTCTCACCTGGCCCAGAACAAAGCTGAGTAAATTGATTTCTTAAGGCATGAAGCCTTAGACAAGAAAAGCCGTGGAAGGAGGCTGGTGGCAGCAGACAGCTGGGCAGGTCATGAAGGTCAGGGGAAGGAAATTAGCAATTACCCTTATTTCCATCTTCAGTGAGGAAAACCTGCTCCCCACCAGCACTGCCTGTTGTGAAATTACCCAAGCATTCAAATGAATATGTCATTTCGCGAGGGTGGAGCCATCCTGTAATTTCTGTCATCCAGTTCCCTTTACGGGTTGTTAAATGTCTACGTGAGTAACCCTTGAATGTCGTTGCTCTCACAAACCAAAGTCTGGAAGCCCGAGTCTTTCTTCTGGGTTGAGTACTTTATTCTTCTGAGGTGTGGGAACTGAGGCACAGCAAAGGCCTGAGGCCCCACGGGCAACTCTTTCTCCCCCTCCTCCCTCCCCTCCGCGCAGGGCATCCCCGTGCACAGAACTGATAGAGCTGGCCTGGCTACTGGCAGACTATCAGGCCAGGCCAGAGCTGGAGGCTGAGCTGGTTTCCTCCGGGCAGGACAGAGCTTTCAGGCAGCGACCTCCTAGGAGGAAGGCGGGGGGAGGGTTTGCAGCCTTCCCTACTCTGGGCAGACAGAGGAATGTGGTGGACAGGAAAAAGGGGGAGGAGGCAGGACCTCTACTCTCAGCATAGACCCAGTCTCACTGAAGAGGCACTCTTTAAAGGCATCACAGAGTTTAAGAATAGTGCATGGTAGAAATAACTCTTAATTTCTGAATGACCAAGTATAAATGAAATGGAAGTGCTTAAAAGTAATAAGAGAAAAGCTATATAGTTCCTCTTTTCCTTCCTTGAAAAATCAGGTGCAAAAGTCATCAGGTGCAGGGTCGAGCAAGATAGGCAGCTATGAGTGGGGTGGAGGTGAGCTGTGGTGGCCGGAACCTGACCAGGATCAGAAAGCATACATTCAGGGGCAAGTCCAGGCCAGAGTGTCAGAACCCAATTGTGGTGAGGGGTGTCCCGGCAGAGAGGCAGTCTGCCACAGGGTGTTGGAGTCCCAGTGGGGAGAGAAAGGTATCTCCAAGGACATGTATGTAAATGTACAATATTAAGGATAATGGGAGCAAAGTTTCTCGCTGTTGGAGAAGACAGTTAACAAATCATTCCTGTAATCCCACCACATTAAGAGGCTGAGGCAGAAGGATTGTTTGAGGCCAGGAGTTTGAGACCAGCCTGGTCAACATAGCGAGATCCCGTCTCCACAGAAATTAAGAAAACATTAGCCAGGTGTGGTGGCATGCACCTGTATGCCATCTCAAGGAAAGAGGCTGAGGTGTGAGAATCACTTGAGCCCAGGAGATTGAGGCTGTACTACAGCCTGGGCAACTGAGCAAGACCCCATCTCAAAAAAATAAATTATGGACAGAAAACTAGAATGAAAACTGTGTTAGGTTGGAATGAGAAGTATTGGTATGAAGTCATGGTTTTCAATAAACAAACTAATAAGATCCATATTTTATTACGTATGTAGAGAAATATAAGGGTAAATGCATGTATGATTTTGTGTATGTGTGTACACACATCCTTATATTCCCTACTTCTGTGCCCTGAGAGGGCCTGAGATCAATGATGCCCAATACTGGTTTCTATTTATTTTATTTTTAAAAAATAGAGATGGAGTCAGGCTGGGCATGGTGGCTCATGCCTGTAATCCCAGCACTTTGGGAGGCCAAGGTGGGCAGATCACGAGGTCAGGAGTTCGAGACCAGCCTGGCCAACATGGTGAAACCCCGTCTCTACTAAAAATACAAAAAATTAGCTGGGAGTGCTGGCACGTGCTTGTAATCCCAGCTAATCGGGAGGCTGAAGCAGGAGAATAACTTGATCCCAGGAGGTGGAAGTTGCAGTGAGTGGAGATCATGCCATTGCACTCCAGCCTGGGTGACAGAGCAAGAACCTGTCTCAAAAAACAGAGATGGAGACTTGTTATGTTGGCCAAGTTGGTCTTGAACTCCTGGCCTCAAGCAGTCCTCCCATCTCAGCCTCCCAAAGTGGTGGGATTACAGACATAAGCCACTGTGCCTGGTCCCAAGTCTGGTTTCTCTTTCTGTTTTTTTTTTTTTTTTTTTTTTTTTTTGAGACGGAGTCTCACTTTGTCGCCAGGCTGGAGTACAGTGGCACAATGTCGGCACACTGCAAGCTCCGCCTCCTGGGTTCAAGCGATTCTCCTGCCTTAGCCTCCTGAGTAGCTGGGACTACAGAAGCGCACCACCATGCCCAGCTAATTTTTGTAATTTTAGTAGAGACGGGGTTTTACCATGTTGGCCAGATGGTCTCGATCTCTTCACCTCGTGATCCGCCCTCCTCGGCCTTCCAAAGTGCTGGGATTACAGGCATGAGCCACTGTGCCCAGCCATGGTTTCTGTTTTTTGTGTGTGTGGTTTTTTTTTGTTTTTGAGACAGAGTCTCACTCTGTCACCCAGGCTGGAGTGCAATGGTGTGATCTTGGCTCACTGCAAACTCCACCTCCCGGGTTCAAGCGATTCTCCTGCCTTAGCCTCCCGAGTAGCTGGGATTACAAGTGCCCACCACCACTCCTGGCTAATTTTTGTATTTTTTAGTAGAGACGGAGTTTCACCATGTTGGCCAGGCTGGTCTCAAACTCCTGACCTCAGGTGTTCCACCCGCCTCGGCTTCCCAAAGTGCTGGGATTACAGGCATGAGCCACCATCCCTGGCCCCAATCCTGCTTTCTAAATATCATTCTTCACTTAACAGGAACCAAGACCCCTTAAGAGAAATGGTTGATTCTAGGAGTTAATAAATGAAAAGTAAAAGATGAGTCTGGGATAGCTTCTGGTGTCAGAAAGTAAGAAAGTACTCAAAGAAGGACACTGAAACCAGCCTGAAATTTCCTGCTGGCCAAATCTGAGACAATCTGAACATCAAACTTAATAATGATAGTAATATAACCCATTGATAGTAATATGCCCATTGAATAATTTATAATTCATGAGTCCCTATTGATATAAAGTGATATAAGGATTAATTTTGAAGAGGAATGGAAAATTTACATATTATCAAAGTTCTTCCTTACAAAACATCTTTTTGTTACAAAGGAAAAGCGAGTAACTTCACAGCCAAGAAGCACAGTAGATGCCACCTTAATGAAATGATCAAAGTTAACATCATTAGTAATAGGACATATTGAAGTGTGGATCCAATGAGAAGAACACATGACCTCTTTTGTATTTCTGTCAAAGATACATAACCTGCATTTAATCATTAGAAAACATGAGACAGACCCAAGCTGAGAGATATTATATAAAACAATTAGTCTGTAACTGCAAAAGAGTCAAGAGTCACAAGAGTCAAGAAAAAAACTGAGGAATCTTTCTCATTTGAAGGAGACTAAAAGAGCTATGACAAATAAATGTAACGCATGATTCTGAATTGCACTCATTTGCTATAAAGACACTACTGGGACAGTTTGTGAAACCTGAATGAGTTTGAGAATTATACTGTAACAATGCATCAGTGTTAACTTCCTGATTTCGGTAGGAAGAGTGTCCTTGTTTATAAGAAAATGCTAAAGTATTTAGGGGCCACGGACACCATGTTGGTAACTTATTCTCAAAGAGATGAGGAGAAAAAAGTCTTTTGTTCTATGGTTTCAAATTTTCTATAAATCGGATATTGTTTGGAATAAAAATACACTGTTAAGAAAATAAAGAGAAAGAAAGAGTAGGCCATTGGTTGGATGAGAATTGAAGAAGCATGGAGAGGTGAGACTTGAGTTTGTCAGAAAGAAGCAGAAGCATTTCTGGTGTGTGGGGAGCACCCTGGGAAGAAGCCCCAAAAGAGGAAGAAGAATGGTGGGAATTGGAAGGAAAGTTACCCCTGCTCACCTGGCACAAATGGCTTGTGTTAGAAAGAGAGTAACCATGTAATTTATCTTGCAAACGGATGCACTTTTGATAATGAGAGAGAGCACTATTAATAATTACATTTGGTCTTTGGTGTGACCTCTTAAGAAAAAACAAAAATATATAAAGAGAAAAATAAAAGAAATAAAACTACTTTTAAAAATTACATTCTGACATGAGCACAGCATGACTATTTGGAGAACTGCCCTTAGCAAACTGGGATGTGTGACTCCAGCTAGAATTCAACAAGAGATCAGGTCATTTAGGGGAAATGGAACCAAATTGTAGAAGTTTGAAAATGGTCTTGCCTTCTGATCAGTAGTGAATAAATACATAAATAAAATAAAATAAAATAAAAATGGTCAAACCCCATGAGCTTTTGTATGTTCTCCTCTTTACTTGACCTCACAGTGGCTTTTGGTACAATCATTTTCAATGTACTCTTTTCTTGTCTTCAGTGACCCCATATTATCCTAGTTTTCCTCTCCTTACCCCAGCATTTCTCAGCTTGCTCCACCTATCTATATCTGTCTTCCCCTATTCAATCTCAGATGGTTTAGTTCTCCAGGGATCCATTCTGGACCCTCTTCTCTTTTGTCTCTATAATCTTTACCTGTTGGTTTAAAAAAATTATTTATTTTTATATTATGTTTACTGGTTTGATTTTTTTTTAAATAGAGAACTAGCTCTAATGGTTTGTTTAATTAATTAACTAATTAATTTATAGAGAACAGGTTTCACAATCTTGCTCAGGCTTGTCTTGACTCTTGAGCTCAAGCAATCCCCCTGTCTTGGCCTCCCAAAGTGCTGGGATTATAGGTGTGAGCCACCACACTTGGCCCTACTACCCTTTGATTTAATGTTCTGTGCTGATTCCCAAATATGTGTCTCCAGCCTCTCTCTCATCTGACCTCCTAGCTCCAACATTTTACTGCCTACTTGACAGTGACATGTGGAGGATTCACAGGTTTCTCAAAGTTAACATATCAAAACTAGAGCTAGTGAGTTATTGGGGTGGTTGGGGTAGGGCATTGCCCACTATCTAATCCCTCTGCAGTTCTGCAGTGGGTCTAATGTATTTCACTGTTAGACTCTTTCCTCTTGGGCCCTAATATACTCGCATCTCAGAGGGTGTTGAGGTAGTTAGTCTGCATCCTCAGGTATGATGGTTAATTTTATGTGTCACATTGACTGGGCAACAGGGTGCCCAGATATTTGGTCAAATATTATCCTGAATGTTTTGGAGAGGGTGTTTTTGGATGAGGTTAACATTTACATTGGGTATACTGAATAAAACAGATTGCTCATTCTAACATGGGTGGGTCTCATCCAGTCAGTTGAAGGCATGAATAGAACCAAAGGCTGACCTTCTCCCAAGTAAGGGGATTCCTTTTTCTGACTACCTTCAAACTAGAACAGTAGCTTTTTCCTGCCTTTGACTCAAACTGAAGCATTAGTTCTTCCTGGCAAGTGAGCCTGCCAGCCTTTGCACAGGCACTACACCATCAGCTCTCCTGGTTCTCAGGCCTTAGGACTCAGACTGGAATTAAACCATTTGCTCTTCTGGATCTCCAGTGTATTGACTCAGCCTCCAGATACTGGGACTTGCCAGCCTCCATAACCGCATGAGCCAATTTCTTATGATGCATCATATATACATATACACACACATACACACATACATATACTACATAAATAATAATAAATATATGTATTATAATCACACACACACACACACACACACACATCCTGTTGGTTCTTTTTCTGGAGGACCCTGACCAATACACTCAGGTCTCTGGTCATGGCAGGGAGCACGGTCTTGTTGGATTCTTGTTGGGGACACACAGGTCACTGATGAAGGCTGATTCTCTTTCTCAGTACAGGAGACCTGCTCTGGAAGATGCTGGTCAGGCAGTGGATAGTCAAGTCCCAGATCATCCCAGGAATCATTTTACACTTGACAATAACTCTTTGATATCCACAGAATTGGCCCATGAGGTTGGGTGACTCAGAGGAGGTCAAGAAGTAAGCTGTCCTAGTGATGATTGAGGTAAGGAGTCTAAAGGCCAAAGTGTTCATCTTGGGTGGAGTTGGAAGTGTGGTTGGTTGTCCTCATGGTGAAGGGTCAGCCCATAGCTACCTCTGGATGGTGTCAGTGGCTAGGGTGGAAAGCACAAAGTAGGAGTGCCTCAGGTGGCAGATGTTCCTGTCTTTGTCCAATGTCCCCTGCCCCAACCCAAGAGAAAGGGCTGCTCTGGGCCTGAGGGAGCCGTCTCTGTAAGCAGGGGAGCCGAGCTATCTCTCCTAGCTGCAGACACCTCTGATGTTCTCTGGCTGGCCTGAGCACTTGGCCTCAGAGAATGAGTTTTGCCTGATCTGGGCAGCCTGAGTAATAATGGCAGCAATGCAGGGAGTAATCTCTCTGTCCAGAAAGTTGAGGGCCTCGCCATGGTGCCTGAGGTGAGAGTAGCGAGCCTGGGACAGGTTCTAGGGGCCACAAAATACGTCACAGTCAGGGAGGCAGATCTGCTTCAGCTTGTCCAGGGAGGGCCACCTAGGGGGGTGGGAGGAAAGCCATCCAGCCAGAAGCCCTATTCCCATGGGCAGGCCCTGGCCAACAACACTAGACAGGACAGGGTGCCAGGACTCAGCCTCAAGATGACTGTGGACCAGGGAGGGGCTGACTTCGCCTCTCTCTGCTCCTAGCAGGGAGAGCACCTCCTCCAGATGTGAGTCAGACCTACCACTTCCTGTTCGACAGAGTATTGGATGGAGAGGTGTATGGCAATGCTTCCTTCTGGATGAAATTACTTCCAAGGGACTTCTTAGAATTCTACCCTTAGAACCATGGAAAATGAGGGCTCTCCTCTTTCTATTCCACAGGCAGTCATAAGAGAGGGTGGCCCCGCTAAACTAGGGAGTCTTCAGGAGAAATCCCCTTCTCTCTGTCCCTCCTGCCCAATAATCTGGGGAGGTATTTTGGTCACACATCTTTCTGCTCTGGAGGGTTGGAACCTCCTGTAACGCAGCAGAAGACAAATTCAATAAGCCAAGGTCAAAGCTGCTCTAAACGGGGTCCCCAGCTGGGATGAGGATCAACCACTGGCTGCTCAGAGGGTTGGGTTCTGTCTGGGAGAGCTGGGTTTAAGGGGAGGGACCGCAGGAACATGCTTCTTGTGGCTGCTACTATTGTTGTGATGGCAGAGCTGGTTCTGCTCCTTATATGGTTCGTTACATCCAAAAATGGAGCCCTTGATTTTATTTTATTTTTTATTTTTTTGAGATGGAGTCTCACTCTGTCGCCCAGGCTGGAGTGCAGTGGCACAATCTTGGCTCACTGCAACAGCTGCCTCCAACCTCTGCCTCCAGCTGAGGCAGGAGAATCACTGAGGTCCGGATTCAAGTAATTCTCCTGCCTCAGCCTCCCAAGTAGCTGGGTCTACAGGCGTGCACCACCACACCTGGCTAATTTTTGTATTTTTAGTAGAGACAGAGTTTCACCATGTTGGCCAGGCTGGTCTCGAACTCCTAACCTCAGGTGATCCACCCACCTTGGCCTCCCAAAGTGCTGGGATTACAGGCATAAGCCACTGCACCCTGTGCAGCCCTTGATTATAATTCCAAAATCCCCTCTTCTATTATATTTCTCATCTCAGTAACTAGCACCACCATCTACCCAATTGTTCAAACCAGAAAGCTGGACATGATCTTTGATTCAGCTTTTTTGCTTACTACCTTCTTGCGTCAGATTCATGAGCCAGTCCTATCACCTCTACTTCTTAACTACATCTCTAACATGACCATGTCCCTTCCTCTCCATTGCCATCACCATGATCCAGGCCATTGTCATCTGCTGCTCAGACACAGACAATGGCAGCGTTCTTTTTATTGTTCTCCCCATGTCCTCTTTCAACTCCCTCCAATCTTCACCTCACACAGCAGCCAGAGTAGACAGACTGTCTCTGTGATTCTTGGGCACAGCGCTCTGTTGATGTCCTTCAGAACACTTGTCACAAGTTAAATATTTATTTTGTTGTTTTGTTGTTGTTGTTCAATTTTTTTTATCTGTCTTCCCCACTAGATTGTAGCACCACAAGGCAGGGAATCTTGTCTGTTAAGGTCACCATTGCATCCTTCCTGCCCAGCACAGTGCCTGGCACAGAGTAGTTAAATCAATAGTTTTTGGGTGAATGGCATTAGGCCAAAGAGTTTTGATTTGAGTCAGTAAGCAATTTGGAGCTAACACACATTGTAAAGAAAAAAAGGACTGAAAACATAAGGATACTTTAGGAAGAATAATGAAGGCGGCTGGATGGAGATTAATTCTGGTTCTCCTTTATTAATAGCTTCCCAGTTGATAGGGCCTAAGGTTGTGACATGAAATTTCAAAGGGAGGGGCTGGAATCCTACAGAGGGTTTAAAGGAAGAATCAACAGAATTGCTATCTTCTTTGGCCGGGTGCAGTGGCTCATGCCTGTAATCCCAGCACTTTGGGAGGCCGAGGTGGGTGGATCACTTGAGGTCAGGAGTTTGAGACTATCCTGGCTAACATGGTGAAACCCCATCTCCACTAAAAAAAAAAATACAAAAAATTAGCCGTGCATGGTGGCGGGCGCCTGTAGTCCCAGCTACTCAGGAGGCTGAGGCAGGAGAACGGCGTGAACCCAGGAGGCGGAGCCTGCAGTGAGCTGAGATCACGCCACTGCACTCTAGCCTGGGCGCCTGGGCGACAGAGCAAAACTCCGTCTCAAAAAAAAATTAGGCATGGTATCCCACGCCTGTAGCCCCAGCTACTCAGGAGGCTGAGGCAAGATAAACCCTTGAACCCGGGAGACAGAAGTTGCAGTGAGCCGAGATCGCATCATTGCACTCCAGCCTGGGTGACAGAACGAGACTCTGTCCCCCTCCTAAAAAAAGAATTGCTATCTTCTTTAATATGACTTATTTGTTTGTTTGTTTATTCAGAGACAAGGTCTTACTCTGCCACCCAGGCTGGAGTGCAATGGCATGATCATAACTTACTACTACCTCTAACTCCTGGGCTCAAGTTATCCTCCTGTCTCAGTCTCTCAAGTTACTGGGACTACAGGTGCACACTGCCATTTCCTACTAATTTGTAATTTTTTTTGTAGAGATGGGGTCTTGCTATGTTGCCCAGGCTGGTCTCCACTCCTGGCTTCAAGTGATCCTCCTGCCTTGGCCTCCCAAAGTGCTGGGATTACAGGTATAAGCCACCACACCAGGCCCTTGAATATATTGATAAGAAGAGAGAGAGATGCATTGATGTTGTGAATCTGGTGGGCCAGAAAAATAGCATTACCTGTCTCTTCCGAAAAATGGCATGACTGGGAAGAACCTCAAATTTGAGTGGAAGATGAACTCAGTTTTTAAACATGTTGAGTTTGAAATGACCATAAATATTTTCTATGGGCTGCTGAAAAAAGCCTAGCTGGAAACATTTTTTGACATTTTGGTCAGCAATGGAACAATCACGGAGTTTATTATTACTGATTTCCTTGTTTGTAAGGTCAAGAAATTAACATAGATTCTATAATTCCAGCAGGAAGAAGAGAGTTAAATTTCTAAGAATCCTAAATTCTGTTCAACAGAATTTAAGAACACAACCAAAGTAATTTTCAACCTAGTTTTAAAAATTTTTATTTTTAGAAATGGGGCCCCACAGTGTTGCCCAGGCTGGAGTGTAGTGTCTACTCACAGGTATGACCATAGTGCATTACAGCATTGAATTCCTGGGCTCAAGCAACCCTACTGCCTCTGCCTCCTGAGTAGCTGGTACTATAGGTTTGTGCCACTGCACCTGGCTCCATTATTATTATTTTTTTTACATCAAACATGATCATTAATAAGTATACCATTATCTATTGGATAATACAAAGAATTTATTGTAAGAGTATTTGCCCTGATTTAATTTCTACTTTTGTATATTTTTCTGTGTTTTCTAAACTTTCTATGATAATGTAGTATTTTTATAAATCAGGAAAAAATAGGACACTTTTTTTAAGAAAAAGAAAAGACTCACTGTGTCAATTTCTGAATATCTTTGGGTTAAGCTTTTGCCTTACGTACACTAAACATATGTAAGCACCGAAGCTACAAAATGTTCCCAGAAATCCCTGGAAATTTCCCTCTAAGAAGTACACACATGTTGATATTTCCTGGAATTCATTGCAGCTAGTTTCCCTTTTCTGGTTTCAGACTGCTTTGGTCCCAAAACTAATTCGGCTGGAATTATGCAATAAATCCATTTTTCCAATACTTCTCCCTGAAGGGAAAATTCAGGGAATTGTCCTTTTTTAAATTATTACAGTTCCAGACCTAAATATTAGCCATTCTTCTTGATGTGGCTTTGATTTCTTAGACAACTGTCACATGAAAGGTGTTTTTTATGGGTTTGCTTTACTGTGCTAGGGCTTCTATTTTACCAGCAACCAGTTTGGGATGTGGTGGAGTTGGGGATATGACAAGGAAGGGGAGTAGAGAACAGTGCATGCCAAATGCAGAGACTTTTTTTTTTTTTTTTTGAGACAGAGTCTCACTCTGTCACCGAGGCTGGAGTGCAGTGGCACAATCTCGGGCTCACTGCAACCTCCACCTCCCGGTCCAAGCGATTCTCCTGCCTCAGCTTCCTGAGTAGCTGGGGTTACAGGCACCCGCCACCACGCCCGGCTAATTTTTTTGTATTTTTAGTAGAGACGGGGTTTCACCGTGTTAGGCAGGATGGTCTCGATCTCCTGACCTCATGATCCACCCGCCTCGGCCTCCCAAAGTGCTGAGATTACAGGCATGAGCCACTGCGCTCAGCCTCGCAGAGTCTTTTTTATTGTACTGAAGAATGGTCTACCAGACTTACAGGTGGACCCCAGGTCAATGACTGGGAAAGACAATGGTCTGGAATGACATTGAGGAATAGTGTACAAAACCGGGTATATTTCACTAGGATGAGAAGGTGGCATATTAGGGCTTTATTGCATGAGGGGTTAAGTTTGCTCCCATAACCAAAGCATTGCAATATGAGGAAGAAAGAAGTCAACTTGCCATGCAAAAAAGCATGTTTAAACAGAGTTATCAGGAAATGGACCACAATGCCTCACGTGGCATAAGCTGTCAATCCATGGGGGTTTACAATAAGACCCTAGAAGACCATGCTCTGGGTGTGGTGTATAGGGGAGCTGTGTGTTGGACAGAGTATTGGGCTTGGTCATCTCCAAGATCCCTCAAGCCCTGAAAACCTATGATTCCATGAATAATTAACAACTTAATTGACCTGTAAGCTGATATTAATTCCATAGATCATACATGTTTTTCTCTCAGTTACAGAGTAATCGTTTAGTACCTCTGTGCTGTTTCAAAGATAATACGTTTCCAATGTCTTCAATTGCATCAAAACCTGGGGTCTCCATAATATAGAGCCAAATTAAAGACTCTTTGCTTTATCAGTCAAGATAGGCTAGGTTATGTTACACTAACAAGCAACCACCAAATTTCAGTAGCTTGAAACCACCTCGGTTCATTTCTCACTCTGGCTGCTTGTCCTTGGGGAGTTGATTGTTGCAACATAGTGGTTCCTACTCCAAGACCCAGGCTGATGGAGCAGCTACTGGAAAAATACTGGTTGCCATGACAAAGGAAAAGAGGAGCTTCAGCATGAAAGTGACACAAGTAACTTCTGCTCACATTTCATTGGCCAAAGCAAAACACATAGTCACACCTAGGATTGGATAGGCAACATAGTGCATAGGCCTTATTTTAATGGGCAAATAAAAATATTTATATTATAAATAGCATATAATTTATAATTTTTAAAAATTTAGATGTGAGCCGGGTGCGGTGCCTCACATCTGTAATCCCAGCACTTTGGGAGGCCGAGGTGGGCAGATCACTTGAGTCAGGAGTTTGAAACCAGCCTGGCCAACATGGTGACACCCCATCTCTACTACAAATACAAAAAAATTAGCCAGGCATGGTGGCAGGCGCCTGTAATCCCAGCTACTTGCGAGGCTGAGGCAGGAGAATGACTTAAACCCAGGAGGTGGAGGTTGCAGTGGGCCAAGATCGCGCCACTACCCTCTAGCCTGGGCAACAGAGCGACACTCTGTCTCAAATAAAAAAAAAAAAAAAAGAGAGAAAAACTTAGATGTGAGTAGAACTTTTTTTTTCTTTCTTTGTTTTATTATTATTATTATTATACTTTAAGTTTTAGGGTACATGTGCACAATGTGCAGGTTTGTTACATATGTATACATGTGCCATGTTGGTGTGCTGCACCCATTAACTCGTCATTTAGCATTAGGTACATCTCCTAATGCTATCCCTCCCCACTCTGTGGCACATAGACACCATGGAATACTATGCAGCCATAAAAAATGATGAGTTCATGTCCTTTGTAGGGACATGGATGAAGCTGGAAACTATCATTCTCAGCAAACTATTGCAAGGACAAAAAACCAAACACCGCATGTTCTCACTCATGGGTGGGAATTGAACAATGAGAACACATGGACACAGGAAGGGGAACATCACACACCGGGGCCTGTTGTGAGTAGAACTTTTGAAATGCTTCATGGGGCTTGAAAACGATTTGGTCTTTGTCCTCTTAAGTTGTTTCAGTATTACTGCAGTTAGAGGACAAAAGTCCCCAGAGGAAGATGTAGTCCTAACTCAATGTAAGGAAAAGGCATACTTCTGAGATGAACACTAACAAGAATCCATGTATCATGGACTGGGTTGGGTTTCTAATACAGAGATTTGCAACAGGTATGGATTCCAGATGTGTGGAAATATTAAAGGTCTTCTCTTTGGGATGGCGAGGCAGAGTCTTGGGGTGGTCAGACTCTTAAGCCTGCTGTCTTTGGTGATGAGCATCCTCACTCTTCTACTCGAGAGTGCTTACAAATATTATTATATTATCTGTGTGGTTGAGAAGCACTGGCCAGAGCAATGGTTTCTATATTCTTCAGACTGATGCTGATCTGTGAACAAGTCTTCACCAGCCTAGAGAAAAATGATAAAAATGTGAACATGTAGTGAGGTTTGCATAAATCTAAATGTATTCAATTCAAAGGGCTATATTGTATTTTGAAATTATGTCCTTTTTTTGAGAGAGAAAGTTTTTGGTCAATGAAAAATACACAGAAATCTCATTTATCACCTGTCAGACTGGCAAACATATGAACGTTAAACAGTATACTTTTTTAGTGACATTGTGGAAAAAGAGGTAATTTCCTATGTTGCAGGTGAGAATGCAAAATGATTTGACTTATATTGTGATGGTTTATTTTATGTGTCAGCTTGACTGGGTTAATGGATGCCCAGATAACATTATTGGCCCGGCATGGTGCCTCATGTCTGTAATCCCAGCACTTTGGGATGCTGAGGCAGGCAGATTGCTTGAGCTCAGGAGTTTGAGACCAGCCTGGACAACATGGTGGAACCTCGTCTCTACAAAAAATACAAAAAAATTATTAATAGCTGGGCATAGTGACACATGCCTGTAGTCCCAGGTACTTGGGAGGCTGAGGTGGGCGAATTGCTTGATCCCAGGAGGTCAAGGCAGCAGTGAGTCAAGATTGTGCCACTGCACTCCAGCATGGACAACACAGCAAGACCCTGTCTCAACAACAGCAGCATTATTTATGAGTGTGTCTGTGAGAATGTTTCCAGAAGAGACTAACATTGGAATTAGTAGACTAAGTAAAGAACATCTCCCTCACCAATGTGGGTGGGCCTCATCCAATGCGCTGAGGACCCAAATAGAACAAAAGGTCACAGGAAAGACAAATTTGATCTTTCACGCTTGAGCTAGGCTAACCATCTTCTCCTGCCCTTGGACCTTTGAGCCTCCGGCTGTCAAACCTTCAGACGTGGACTAAACTACACCATTGGCCTTTCTGGGAATCTAGCTTGCAGATAGCTTATGGTGGAGGAAGACATCCAACAAGGAAAGGAATGACCTACCTGAATTCAAAGCTCCCAGGCATGCCATGCCAAGCACATGTTTAAAGTTTAAAAAATTCTAAGAAAACCTCCTTCTTGTCTCTCACCAGCAGTGAAATTGTTCAGTCCTCTGAACAGACATTTAATTTACCATGAGGTGGGGTACAGTGGCTCATGCCTGTAATCTCAGCTACTCGGGAGGCTGAGGCAGGAGGACTGTTTGAGGCCAGGAGTTTGAGACCAGCCTGGGCAATATAACAAGATCCATCTTCAAAAAATATAACAAGAATTAGCTATGCACGATGGCGTGTGCCTGTAGTACAAGCTACTTGGGATCGCATGAGCCCAGGAGTTTGAGGCTGCAGTGAGCTATCATTATGACACTGCACTCCAGCCTGGGTGACAGAGCAAGACCCCAGCTCTGAATAAATAAATAAAGCAGTGATCTTGCTATATCTAGTCTCCCTAGGCAGCAGAGAACAGAAAGGCACTAATAAAATATGCTCAGGACAAAATTTACTCTTCTATACTTTATATAAGATTACAGATAATAACTTTTATTATCAGTATAACTACCAATATGATACTCTTATTTTGAACATAACTTTCTTTCTTTTAAACGTTATTTTGAACTTTATTTTGAACATTCTTTGTCTTTATTTTGAACTTTCTTTCTTTTGAACTTTCTTTTTTTTTGAACTTTCTTTCTTTTGATCTTTCTTTCTTTGAACATTTTTTCTTTCTTTATTTTGAACTTTCTTTCCTTCTTTTTTTATTTGCCTCAGACTCCCAGGTGGATTATAGGCACCTCCCACCATGCCCGGATAATTTTTGTATTTTTTTGTAGAGGCGGGGTTTCGCTATGTTGGCCAGGCGGGTCTCGAACTCCTGACCTCAGGTGATCTGCCCACCTCGGCCTCCCAAAGTGTTGGGAATACAGGTGTGAGCCACTACACCTGGCCTGGCTTTCTTTAAATAGAGAAATATACCTTAAGCCCAGAGGGTACTCAGAAGAGTCTTCAAATCTGAAACAAGAAAAGAAAAACACATAACTTTTGGCCAGGCATGGTGGCTCACTCCTGTAATCCCAGCAGTTTGGGAGACCAAGGCGGGCAGATTACTTGAGGTCAGGAGTTCGAGACCAGCCTTGCCAACATGGAGAAACCCCATCTCTACAAAAACAAAAACAAAAATTGGCCAGGCATGGTGGCACGTCGCTATAATCCCAACTACTCTGGAGGCTGAGGCAGAAGAATTGCTTGAACCTGGGAAGGCAGAGGTTGCAGTGAGCTGAGATTGCACTGCTACACTCCAGCCTGAGTGACGGAGTGAGACTCTGCCTCAAAAAAAAAAAAAAAAAAAAAAAAAAAGGAAAGAAAAAGACATACCTTGCAAATCACCATGAACATATGTGACAATGACAGCAGGACTTTTATTTCTAAGGTTGCCAGCTGTGTGGAGGAACTAAAACAATTTCAAACATATGAATGTTAAACAATATACTTTTGTAGTGAGATTGTGGAAAAAGAGGTAATTTCCTATGTTGCAGGTGAGAATACAAAATGATTTGACCCATATTGTGATGGTTTATTTTTTGTGTCAGCTTGACTGGGTTAATGGATGCCCAGATAACATTATTGGCCAGGCATGGTGGCTCATGCCTGTAATCCCAGCACTTTGGGATGCTGAGGCAGGCAGATTGCTTGAGCTCAGGAGTTTGAGACCAGCCTGGACAACATGGAGAAACCTCGTCTCTACAAAAAATACAAAAAAAAATTATTAATAGCTGGGCATAGCAACACACGCCTGTAGTCCCAGGTACTCGGGAGGCTGAGGTGGGAGAATTGCTTGATCCCTTCTTGAAAAGGTAATCCTTTCTCCTTTCTTGAAAATAGGAACTTCTTGATGTAAAGTGTATCTACCATTTGTTCTTTTTTGTTTCCATTATTGTCATGATAAAATATGTAACTTAATGCTACATATGTATAAGCCAAATCCAGGATTTCTGTGGCAGTATCAAATGCAGCAACTTTTAAATACGGAAAGCAACCCCATGGTAATGATTTACATCATTTAAGTTTCGTTTGCTTATTCAATAAATATATATGTAGCATTTCTTATATTCCAGTATAAGGCTAGGTATTGCTTTTATTTTATTTTTTAACCTTTAAATCACATTTTTTTTTTATTGAGATAAAATTCACACAACAGGCTAAGTGCGGTGGCTCATGCCTGTAATCCCAGCACTTTGGGAGGCCGAGATGGGCTGATCGCTTGAGGTCAGGAGTTTGAGACTAGCGTAGCCAACATGGCAAAAACCTGTCTCTGCTAAAAAAAAAGCCATAAAAATTAGTCAGGCATGGTGGTGTGTGCCTACAATCCCAACTACTCAGCAGGATGAGACAGGAGAATCACTTGAACCCGGGAGGCAGAGGTTGCAGTGAGCCAAGATCCCCCTGCTGTGCTCCAGCTGGGGTAACAAAAGTGAGACTCCGTCTCAAAAAAAAAAAAAATTCACACAACATATAATTCACAATTTAAAACACTTCAAAGTATACAATGGAGTGCAGTTTGTTTTGTTTTTTTCCTAATCCTCAGATGCTGGGATTTTTTTTGTTTGTTTTTGTTTTTGTATAGTCACAATATTGTGCAACAAGGATTACTTTCTTAATTCCAGAACATTTTTGTTACTCCAAAATGAAACTGCTCCCAATTTCCTCTACATCCATCCCCTGGAATCTTTATAGATTTGCCTATTCTGTATAGTTCATATAAATGCAATCATTCAATATGTGGCCTTTTGTGTCTGGCTTCTTTCAATTAGTATAATGTTTTCAAGGTCCATCTGTATTGTAGGTATATTAATACTTCATTGTTTTTTATGACTGATTTCATTATATGTATATATTACATTTTATTTATCATTCCTTAGTTTATGGGTATTTGGGTTGTTTCTGGTTTTTGAATGTTATGATTAAGGCTGCTATTAACATTATTGTCAAGATTTTTTGGGAACGTATGTTTTTTCAAGCTTTTTGGTATATACCTTAGGAGCAGAATTGCTGGGTCATTTAAAAATTCTATTTTTTACCTTTTAAGAACTGCCATATTGTTTCCAGAGGGGCTACACCATTTTACATTTCCTCCAACAATGTATAAAGGTTCCAATTTCTCCATCTCGTCACCAATGCTTGTTGTTGTTTTTTCTTTCTTTTTTTGAGATGGAGTATCTCTCTGTCATCCAGGCTAGAATGCAGTGGCACAATCTCAGCTCACTGAAATCTCCGCCTCCCAGGTTCAAGCAATTCTCCTGTCTCAGCCCTCCAAGTAGCTGGGTCTATAGGCATGCACTACTACACCTGGCTAATTTTTGTATTTTTAGTGAAGACAGGGTTTCACCATGTTGACCAGGCTTGTCTCAAACTCCTGACCTCAGGTGATCCATTCCAGGATGATCTCAAACTCCTGACCTCAGGTGATCCAGCCTCCTAAAGTGCTGGGTTTACAGCGTGAGCCACCGTGCCTGGCCTTGTTGTTGTTTCTTAAGGTGGGTAGGAGGAGGTGGACCAAGATGGCTGAATAGAAGGCTCTACCAATCTTCTCCCTCCCCGACAAGGACACCAATTTAACAACTATCTACACAAAAGAAGCACCCTAGTAAGAACCAAAAATCAGGTGAGCACTCCCTGGATTTGGTTTTAACTTTATATTTCTGAAAGAGGCACTCAGGAGGGTAAGAGAGACAGTCTTGAATTGCTTGATGTCACCTCTCTGCCATCCCCTGGCAGCAGCTGCCTGGTGCAGAGAATCTGTGCATTTGGGAGAGGGAGAGCACAGCACTGTGAGACATTGAATTGAATTCAGTGGTGTCCCGTCATCGCAGAAAGCCAAACTAGGCTGAACTCAGCTGACGTCTACCATGGTGGGAGCAAGAGAGGAACTGTCCTTCTGAGTGGTAGGAATGCAAGTTCCAGCAAGCCTCTCACCATGGGCTAAAGTGCTCTGGGGTTCTATGTAAACCTGATAGGCAGTCTAGAACACAAGGACTGCAACTCCTAGGCAATGCCTAGGGCTGAACTGGGCTCAGAGCCAGTGGACTGGAGTGCTTGCAACCTACTGAGACACCAGCCAGGATGGCTAAGGGACTGCTTGTGCCACCCCTCCCCCAACCCCAGGGTGCACAGCTCACAGCTCCAAGACACCCCTTCCTTCTACTTAAGGTGAGGAGACAGAAGAGTAAAGAAGACTTTGTCTTGTACCTTGGATACCAGCCCAGCTCTAGGAGAATAGGGCAACGGTTAGAGTTTTGAGTCCCCTTGGAATTTGATATTTCTAGACATATCCTGGGTCAGAAGAGAACCTACTGCCTTGAAGGGTAGGACCCAGTTTTGGCAGGACTCATCGTATGCTAACTAAAGAGCCCTTGGGCCCTGATAACCAGCAGCAATACTTAGGTAGTACACCATGGGCCTTGGGTGAAACTTTGAGACTTGTTGGTTTCAGGTGAGACTCAGCACATTCCCAGCTGTAGTGGCTATGGGAAGAAACTCCTTCTGCTTGAGAAAAGTAAAGGGGATTTTTTAATGTACATATTCTTCTTCTTCTTTTCCTTCTTCTTCATCTTCCTCTTTTTTTTTTTTTTTTTTTTGGTGGGGCCACCCCAAAGGGCAGACAGGTTTATTGGACAGCAGCTGGAAATCAGTGGTTGGACTTGGCCACATGCTCTAGCTCATCCTTCTTGATGACATAGGAGTTGGAGGAGCCCCTGGTGGCATTGATGAGCTCATCTTCCAGGCACTCAGCAATGGTCTTGATGTTCTGGAAGGAAGCCTCACAAGTGCCTCTGCACAGCAGCCAGATGGCCTGATTCATGCCATGCAGTGGGTACACGTCCACAGCCTGTCATCTCATGGTCTTGGCTCACCCAATGCATGTGGAGTCCTCCCAGGGACCACTGTTGATGATGGCATTCACTAGGACTCGAAGAGTGTTCTCATTCATGAGCAGGTGGATGATCTCAAAGGCATGCTTGACAATGTGCATGGTCATGGGTTTCTTGCCATTATTGTGGCCATGCATCTTCATGGAGTTAGTGAGGTGCTCCAAGATGGGGCACTGTGTTTTGTGGAAATGCTTGGAGGGCATACCACCCTGCACTGTGAAGCAGGTACTTGGCATACTTCTCCTTCACTGCAATGTAATCCTTCAGGGAAATGTCATTGATCTGCACATCATCGGTGCTCCACCTCCCAAAGAGCTGGATGTTGGGGGTTTCTGCCATCTCTGGTGCTGCTGTCTCCCACTTGGTCATCCTAAGGGCACAGCCTGAGCATCTCTGTTGCATGGCATGGACCACATGCCACCCTGGCACAGACAGGAAGAGCTTTTTAATATACTTCTAATTCACCAAGCACAAAAGCAGACTTTTTCTTACACCTTATGTACCAGCTCAGTCACAGGGGGTTACAGCACCAAACTGGCTCTTGAGTTCCCTGATTCCATGACTGGTCTCTGACAGCGCATTTCTGGGTGTGTCCTGGGCCATAGGGGAGCCCACTGCCCTGAAGGGTGAGTCCCAGGCCAGGCAGGATGCACCACAAGCTGACTGAAGAGCCCTTGGGCCCTAAGGGAACATGGGTGGTAGCCTGGCAGTACTCCCATGGGCTTGTGGTAGCCACAGGGTGAGGCTACTCTGCCTGTGGAAAGTACAGGGAAGAGTGGGAAGCAGTGCATCTTGAGGTTTGAGTGCCAGCTCAGCCACAGTACAATAGAACACCAGGTAGACTGCTAAGGTATTTAATTCTAGTCCCTGGTCCTGGGATGACAACAATGGACCCACCTGGGGCCTGGGGGAACTTACCACCTTGAAGTGAAGGACATAGCCTGGTTGGCTTCACCACCTGCTGACTATAGAGGCCCAAGCCCTTGATTGAACATAGGTAGTAGACAGGTAGTGGTTACAGCATGTCTTGGGTAAGACCAGTCTTCAGGTCTGAACCAGCACAGTACCCGTGGTGGTGGCCACAGGAGTGCTTGCATCAATACACCCTCAACTCCAGGTGGCTCAGTACAGAGACTCCATTAGTTTGGGAGAAAGTAAGGGAAGAGAACAAGATTCTCAGCCTGGTAATCCAAAGAATTCTTCCAGATCTTATCCAAATCATCAAAGTGGTACCTCTACAAGTCTGCAAGAACCACAGCATTACTGAGCTTGAGATGCCTCCTAATTCAGATGTGGCTTAGATCACAACCCCCAAGTCCTTTTGATTTTTTTTTTTTTTTTTGAGACGGAGTCTCGCTCTGTCGCCGAGGCTGGAATGCAATGGTATGATCTCAGCTCACTGCAACCTCTGCTTCCTGGGTTCAAGTGATTGAACTCAGCCTCCGGAGTAGCTGGGATTACAAGCATGTGCCACCATGCCCAGCTAATTTTTGTATTTTTAGTAGAGACAAAGTTTCACCATGTTGGCCAGGCTGGTCTCAAACTCCTGACCTCAGGTGATCCACCCGCCTCGGTCTCCCAGAGTGCTGGGATTACAGGCATGAGCCACCACGCCCAGCCCCAAGTCCTCTTGAATACCTGGAAAGCCTTCCAAAGAAAGACAAGTACAAACAAGCCCAGACTGTGAAGACTACAATAGATACTTAACTCCTCAATGTCCAGACACAGACGAACATCCACTAGCAACAAGACCATCCAAGAAAACATGACCTCACTAGGTGAGCTAAATAAGTCACCAGGGGCCAATCCTGGAAAAACAGGATTCCTTTTCAGACAGAGACTTCAAAATAGCTGTTTTGAGGAAATACAAAGAAATTCAAAATAACACAGAGAAGGAATTCAGAATTCTGTCAGATGAATTTTAAAAAGAGATCAAAATAATTAAAAAGTATCAAGCAGAAATTCTGGAGTTGACACACTGTAGAATGCATCAGAGTCTTTTTTTTTTCTTTTTTTTTTTTTGAGACAGAGCCTTACTGTGTCGCCCAGGCTGGAGTGTAGTGGCTGTGATCTCAGCTCACTGTGACCTCCACCTCCTGGGTTCAAGTGATTCTCCTGCCTCGGCCTCCTGAGTAGCTGGGATTACAGGCATGCGCCACTACACCTGGCTAATTTTTGTATTTTTGGTAGAGATGGGGTTTCACTATGTTGGCTAGGGTGGTCTCGAACTCCTGACCTCAGGTGAGCCACCCGCCTTGGCCTCCCAAAGTCCTGGGACTACAGGTGTGAGCCACTGTGCCTGGCCACATCAGAGTCTTTTAATAGCAGAATAGATCAAGCAGAAAAAAGAATTAGTGAGCTTGAAGACAGGCTATTTGAAAATACATAGAGGAGACAAAAGAAAAAAGAATAAAAAACAATGAGGCATGTCTACAGGATCTAGAAAATAGCCCCAACAGGGCAAATCTAAGAGTTATTGGCCTTAAAGAGGAGACAGAGAAAGAGATAGGGGTAGAAAGTTTATTCAAAGGGATAATAACAGAGAACTTCCCAAACCTACAGAAAGATATCAGTATCGAAGTACAAGAAGGTTATAGAACATCCAGCAGATTTAACCGAAAGAAGACTACCTCAAGGCATTTTATCACACTCCCAAAGGTCAAAGATAAAGAAAGGATCCTAAAAGCAGAAAGAGAAAATAAATAAATAACAAAGAATGGAGCTCCAATACATCTGGCAACAGACTTTTCAGTGGAAACTTTACAGGCCAGGAGAGAATGGTATGACATATTTAAAGTGCTGAAGGAAAAAAACTTTCACCCTAGAAGAGTATATATCCAGTGAAAATATCCTTCAAACATGAAAAGGCAATAAAGACTTTCCAGGGAAAACAAAAGCTGAAGATTACATCATCACCAGACCTGCCCTACAGAAATGCTAAAGGGAGTTCTTCAATCTGAAAGAAAGAATGTTAATGACCAAGAAGAAATTATCTGAAGGTACAAAACTCACTAGTAATAGTAAGCACACAGAAAACCACAGATTATAACGCTGTAACTGTGGTGTGTAAACTACTTTTAAGTAGAAAGAACGAATGATGAATGAATCAAAAATTATAACTATAGCAACTTTTCAAGACATAGACAGCACAATAAAATATAAATAGAAAAAACAAAATGGTGAAAAATGCAGAGATGAAGTTAAAGTATAGAATTCTTATTAGGTTTTTTTGCTGGTTTATGCAAAGTGTTAAGTTGTAATCAGCTTAAAATAATGGGTTATAAGACAGTATTTGAAAGCCTCATAGTAACCTCAAATCAAAAAACATACAACAAATACGCAAAAAATAAAAAGCAAGAAATTAAATAATACCACCAGAGAAAATCACCTTCACTAAAATGAAGACAGGAAAGAAGGAAAGAAGGAGGAGAAGATCACAAAACAACCAGAAAACAGATAACAAAACGGCAGGAGTAAGTCTACTTAGCAATCATAACATTGAATGTAAATGGACTAAACTCTCCAATCAAAAGACATAGATTGGCTGAATGTATTTTTAAAAAAAGACCCAAGGATGTATTGCCTATAAGGAACACACTTCCAGTCATAAAAAAGAATGCATTCGTGTCCTTTGCAGGGACATGGATGAAGCTGGAAACCATCATTCTCAGCAAACTAACACAGGAACAGAAAACCAAACACTGCATGTTCTCACTCATAAGGGGGAGTTGAACAATGAGAACACATGGACACAGGGAGGGGAACATAACACATCGGGGCCTGTCACGGGGTGGGGGGCAAGGGGAGGGAGAGCATTAGGACAAATATCTAAAACATGTGGGGCTTAAAACCCAAATGATGGGTTGATGGATGCAGCGAACAACCATGGCACACGTATACCTATGTAACAAACCTGCATGTTCTGCACAGGTATCCCAGAACTTAAAGTTTAATTTAAAAAAAAAAGAAACATATGTCACCTATGAAGACATACATGAACTGAAAATAAAGAGATGGAAAAAAGATATTCCATGCCAATGGAAATGAAAAAAAGAGCAGGAATAGCTATACTTATATCAGACAAAATAGATTTCTAAACAAAACCCATAAAAAGAGACACAGAAGGTAACTATATAATGATAAAGGGGTGAATTCAGTAAAAGGGTATAACAATTGAAAATATATATGCACCCAACACTGGAACACTCATATATATATATATATATATATATATAAACATATAGCTAATAATATATATCTTTATAATATATAATATATAATTATATATATCTTTATGATCATATATATATCTAATAATATAAAATATTATTAGAGCTAGAGAGATAGACCCTGATATGGTTTGGCTGTTTTCCCCAGCCAAATCTCATTTTGAATTGTAATTCCCATAATCTCCATGTGTCATGGGAGGGACCTGGTGAGAGGTAATTGAATCATGGTGGGGGCAGGGGTTTCCTGTGCTGTTCTTGTGATAGTGAATAAGTCTCATGAGATCTGATGGTTTTATAAAGGGCTGTTCCCATGCACATGTTCTCTTGCCTGCTACCATGTAAGACGTGCCTTTGCTCCTCCTTCACCTTCCTCCATGATCATGTGAGGCCTCCTCAGCCACGTAGAACTGTGAGTCCATTAAAGCTCTTTTTCTTTATTTTTATTTTTTTGAGATGGAGTCTTGCTCTGTCGCCCAGGCTGGAGTGCAGTGGTGCAATCTTGGCTCACTGCAAACTGCACCTCCCGGGTTCAAGCGATTCTCATGCCGCAGCCTCCTGAGTAGCTGGGATTATAGGTGCGCACCACCATGCCTGACCAATTTTTGTAGTTTTAGTAGAGATGGGGTTTCTCTGTGTTGGCCAGGCTGGTCTCGAACTCCTGACCTTGTGATCCACCTGCCTCGGACTCCCAAAGTGCTAGAATTAGAGGCATGAGTCACCGCGCCTGGCTAGCCTCTTTTTCTTTATAAATTATCCAGTCTCAGGTATGTCTTTATTAGCAGCATGAGAACAGACTAATACAGTAAGAGGTCCAATACAATAGTAGCTGGAGACTTACCCCACTTTCAGCATTGGACAGCTCTTCCAGACATAGAATCAACAAAAAAACATCAAACTGCACTATAGACCCAATGGACGTAATAGGTATTTACACAGTATTTCATACAGTATCTACAGAATATACATTCTTTTCCTCAGCCAATGGACCATTCTCAAAGACAGACCATTTGTTAGGTTACAAAACAAGTCTTAAAACATTCTGAAAAACACTGAAATAACATCAAGCATTTTCTCTGACCACAATGCCATATAACTAGAAATCAGTAATGAGGAATTTTGGAAACACATGGAAATAAAACAGTATGCTCCTGAATGACCAGTGGGTCAGTGAGGAAGTTAAGAAATAGAAAATTTTCTTGAAACAAATGATAGTAGACATGCAACATATCGAAACCTATGGGATACAGCAAACCCAGTACTAACAGGGAAATTTATAGCTATAAGTGCCTACATCAAAAAAAGAAAAAATATTTCAAAGAAACAACCTAATGATGCATATTAAAGAACTAGAAAAGAAAGAGCAAACCAAACCCAAAATTAGTAGAAAAAAGAAATAATAAAGATCAGAGCAGAAATAAATGAATTTGAAATGAAGAAAACAAACAAAAGATCAAGAAAACAAAAAGTTGGTGTTTTGAAAACATAAACAAAATTGACAAACCTTTATCTAGACTAACTAAAAAAGAGAGAGAAGACACAAATAAATAAAATTAGAGATGAAAAAAGAGACATTACCACTGACACTGCAGAAATTCAAAGCATCATTAGTGGCTATGATGAGTGACTATATACCAACAAATTGAAAAATCTAAAAGAAAGGGATAAATTCTTGGACACATACACCCTACCAAAACTGAACTATGAAGAAATGCAAAACCTGAACAAATCAATAAGAAGTAGTGATATAGAACTAATAAAAAGTCTCCCAGCAAAGTAAAGCCCAGGACCTGATGGTTTCACTGCTGAACAAATCAATAACAAGTAATGATATAGAATTAATAAACACTCTCCCAGCAAAGTAAAGCCCAGGACCTGATGGTTTTGCTGCTGAATTCTACCAAACATTTAAAGAAGAACTAATACCAATTCTACTTACACTATTCCAAAAAATAGAGAAGAAGGGAATACTTCCAAACTCATTCTATGAGATCAGTACTACCCTGATACCAAAAACAGACAAAGACACATCAAATAAAGCAAACTTCAAGCCAATGTTTCTGATGAATACTGATCCAAAAATTCTCAATGAAACTGAATTCAACAACACATTAAAAAGATCATTCATCATGACCAAGTGTGATTCATCCCAGGGATGCAAGGGTGGTTCAACATATGCAAATTAAGTAATGTAATACATCATAGCAAGAGAATGAAGGACAAAAATGATCAAATGATCATTTCAATTGATGCTGAAAAAGCACTTGATAAAATCCAGTATCGCTTCCTCATAAAAGCCCTAACAATACTGAGTATAGAAAGACATCCCTCAATATAATAAAAGCCACATATGATATACCCACAGCTAATATCATACTGAATGGGGAAAAACTGAAAGCCTTTCATCTTTTTTTTTTTTTTTGAGACACAGTCTTGCTCTGTCACCTAGCCTGGAGTACAGTGGTGCGATCTCAGCTCGCTGCAACCTCTGCCTCCCAGATGCAAACAATTCTCATGTCTCAGCCTCACCAGTAGCTGGGATTACAGGTGCATGCTACCACACCCAAATGGAGTTTCACCGTGTTGGCCAAGCTGGTCTCAAACTCCTAGCCTTAGGTGATCTGCCCGCCTTAGCCTCCCAAAGTGCTAGGATTACAAGTGTGAGCCACCACACTGGCCACCTTTCTTCTTTGATCAGAACATGACAAGGATTCCCACTTTCACCACTCTTATTCAACATAGTACTGGAAGTTTGCAGCTACAGCAATTGGACAAGCGAAAGAAATAAAGGGGATTCAAATAGGAAATGAAGAAATTTAATTACCCTTGGGTGTGGGTGGCTCATGCCTGTAATCTCGGAACTTTGGGAGGCCGAGGCAGGCAGATTGCTTTGAGACAAGCATGGGCAACACAGTGAAATATCATCTCTACAAAAAAATTAAAAAATTAGCTGAGTGTGATGGAGCATGCCTGTACATGCCTGTAGTCCCAGCTACCAGGGAGGCTGAAGTGGGAGGATCACTTGGGCCTGGGGCGTTGAGGCTTCAGTGAGCCATGATCATGCCACTGCACTCCAGCCTGGGTGACCGAGTGAGATCCTGTCTCAAAAAAAAAAAAAAAAAAAAAGGCGGGGGGAAAGAAAAAAGAAAGAAAGAAAAGAAAGAAAAGGAAGGAAGGAAGGAAGGACGGGAGGGAGGGAGGGGAAAGAAAGAAGAAAAAATTTTCCTTGTTTTTAGATGATATAATTTTATATTTAGAAAAACCCAAAGTCCACCAAATAAATATTAGAACTAATAAACAAATTCAGTAAATTTGCAGGATACAAAATTAACACACAAAAATCAGTAGTATTTCTCTATGCCAACAATGAACAATCCAAAAAAGAAATCAAGAAAGTGATCCCATTTACAATAGCTAAAAAGAAAATAAAATACCTAGAAATGAACTTAAGAAGTGAAAGATCTCTACAATGATAACTATAAAATATTGATGTAAGATTTTGAAGAGGCCACAAAAAATAGTAAGGTATTTTATGTTGACAGGTTGGAAGAATCAACATTGGTAAAATATCCATACTACCCAAAGCAGTCTCTATTAAAATACCAATAATATTCTTCACAGATATAGAAAAAAAATCCTAAAATTTATATAAAACCACAAAAGACCCAGAATAGCCAAAGCTATCCTAAGAAAAAGAACAAAACTGGAGGAATCACATTACCTGATTTCAAATTATACTACAATTAGCTGGATGTGTTGGTGCATGCCTGTAATCTCAGCTACTCAGAAGGCTGAAACATGAGAATCGCTTGAACGTAGGAGGTGGAGGTTGCAGTGAGCTGAGATCATGCCACTGCACTCCAGCCTGGGTGACAGAGTGAGACTCTGTCTCAAAAAAAAAAAAAAAAAAAAAGAAAAATTAAAAAAAAATACTATAGTAACCAAAATGGCATGGTACTCGCATAAAAACAGACAAATGGACCAGTGGAACAGAATAGAGAACCCAAAAACAAATCTATAACCCTACAGTGAACTCATTTTCAATAAAGGTGCCAATAACATACACTGGGGAAAAAACAATCTCTTCAATAAATGGTGCTGGGAGACCTGGATATCCATATGCAGAAGAGTAAAACTAGACTGCTTTCTCTTGCCGTGTACAAAAACCAAATCAAAATGGATTAAAGACTTATATCTAAGACCTCAAACTATGAAATGGCTACAGAAAATATTGGGGAAAATCTCTAGGACATTGGTTAGGCAAAAATTTCTTGATTAATAACCCACAAGCATACGCAACCAAAGCAAAAATGGGATCATATCAAGTTAAAAAGCTTCTGCACAGCAAAGGAAACAATCAACAAACTGAAGAGACAACCCAAAGAGTGAGAAAACATATCTGCAAACTACTCATTTTGAGATATCATCTCATCCCAGTTAAGATGGCTTATATTCAAAAGACAGGCGATAACAAATACTGGTGAGGATGTGGAGAAAATGGAACCCTTGTACACTGTTGGTGGGAATGTAAATTCGTGCAACCACTATGGAGAACAGTTTGGAGGTGCCTCAAAAAACTAAAAATAGAGCTACCATATGATTCAGCAATCCCACTGCTGCGTGTATACCCAAAAGAAAGGAAATCAGCATATCAAAGAAATATCTGCACTCCCATGTTTGTTGCAGCACTCTTCACAATAGCTAAAATTTGAAAACAGTCAAAGTGTCCATCAACAGATGAATGGATAAAGAAAATGTGATACATATACACAATATAGTATTATTCAGCCATAAAAAAGAATGAAATCCTGTCATTTGCAACAACATGGATGAAACTGGAGATCATTATGTTAAGTGAAATAAGCCAGGCACAGAAAGAAAAACATCACATGTTCTCACCTATTTGTGGGATCAAACAATCAAAACAATTTAACTCATGGAAATAGAGAGTAGAAGGATGGTTACTAGAGACTGGAAAACATAGAGGGGGTGGGGATGTTGGGGGGCAGGTGGGGATAATAAATGTGTACAAAAATTAGAAAGAATAAGATCTACTATTTGATAGCACAACAAGGTGTCTGTAGTCAACAATAATTTAATTTTCATTTAAAAATAACTAAAACAGTATAATTGTTTTGTTTGTATAATAACACAAAGAATAAAATGCATGAGGGGATGAGTACCCTATCCTTCAGGATGTGATTATCACACATTGCATGCCTGTATCAAAACTTCTCCCGTACCTCATATATACATGTACCATCTACCTACAAAAATTAAAAATTAAAAAAATTATATGGAACCACAAAAGACCCAGAATAGCCAAACCTGTCCTAAGCAAAAAGAACAAAACTGGAGGAATCACATTACCTGACTTCAAATTATACTACAGAGCTAGAGTAAACAAAATGGCATGGTACTGGCATAAAAACAGACACATAGATCAGTAGAACAGAGCGGAGAACGCAGAGATAAATCCACACAGCTACGGTAAACTCATTTTCGACAAAGTTGCCAAGAACATACTCTGGGGAAAGGACAGTCTCTTCAATAAATGATGCTGAGAAAATTGGATATCCATATGCAAAAGAGTGAAACTAGATCTCTATCTCTTGCCATTTACAAAAATCAAAGAAAAATGGATTAAAGGCTGGGAGTGGTGGCTCACACTTGTGAGGCCAAGGTGGGCCAATCGCTTGAGGTTAGAAGTTTGAGACCAGCCTGGGTAACATGGCAAAAACCCATGTCTATACAAAATACAAAAATTAGCTGAGCATGGTGGTGCACACCTGTAGTTCCAGCTAATGGGGAGGCTGAGGTTGGAGGATTACTAGAACTCGGGAAGTTGAGGCTGCAGTGAGTCATGAGCATGCCACTCCACTCCACTTTATAACACACTGTTGTCTACATAAGGCTAGCTACATCCCTTAATCTTAAACTCCCACCGCTTTCAGACACTATCATACCCCGCCCCCCTTCCCCCCGCGAACCCCCGTGCATTCTGGGACTCATGGTTTGGTGAGTGTTGTCCAGGAATGGCTACAAACCCACATTACTATGATATCGGACTTCTACTTGTGTAGTCATTTGTTAGTTAACTGTACATTTTGGAAGGTTTTTGAGTAGAGAAGTGAAATAATCCAACGTTTGGGAAGATTTTCTTGTGCAGGATTGGAGGAGGACGGGAAAGAGGGAAAAAGCATTGCGCGCGTGTGTGTGTGTGAAGTTATTACAACTATCTATCTTGAAGCATGCGAGGTAGGAGGGCCTGAATTGCCATGAAACGCAATGACGATAAACGAAGGGACCCGTGAGAAAGGGGCAAAGAGGTGTCTCAATAAAATAAGCAACGGCCTGCTGTGGGAGGATTCGGGTCTCAGTATAGGCTGCCACTGTCAGCTTTGCAATATTCCTCGAGCCTTTATCCATGAGTAGGACAGGATGGCTCTACCTTGCAGGGTTACAGCATGGAGCTGCGGGACTGCGCCGGCAGTGCGCTGAGCGGCATCCCTGCGATAGGGTGAGTGCACCAACCCTTGTTGTCTCTCTTAGTAAGAAAGAGGAGGGGTAGATAATAGCATCTTCACCCCAGTAGTTGCCGTAAGTAGTAATGCTAAGAATCCGGCACGTCGTAGGCATCAATCTCAGTCCGCCATCTCCCCTTGCTACCACGCCAGGAGGTACACAGAGGAGACTGCCCCGACTGGCAACTCCCGCGCCGGGGTTCCCTGGCCATCCTCCCGCGTTCCCTCCAGCCGCGCGCTGTTGCCAGGGCCCGGGCACCGCCCAGCTCCACTACGGACCAATGGCAGCGCGGCTTGGGCACCGCCCAGCTTCAGCGGAAGCCAATGGAGGCGCGGCGCGGGCACCGCCCTGATCCGGCGCGGGCCAATAGCGGCGTGGCCCGAAGCGGGGGCCGCCCCGGTCGGGCGGGGAGGCGGGGAGGTGGCCACTGGCTCCGCCCCGCTCCCCTCTGACCCGGTGTCTAGTCTCTCCGTCTTCCTGTTCCAAACCACGTGGACGCGTCTGGGCTGCTGGAGGCAGCCCGAGCCGCCGCCGTCGGTGTCGCCGCCACCACCACCATCGGAGTCACGAGTCCCGCGTCTGTCCGAAGTCGCCGCTCTCGGGCTGCTCACGTCTCTTCGGAGAGCGCGCACATGGCGACTCAGGCGCACTCCCTCAGCTACGCAGGGTGCAACTTCTTGCGCCAACGTCTGGTCCTGTCTACCCTGAGCGGGCGCCCCGTCAAAATCCGAAAGATTCGGGCCAGAGACGACAACCCGGGCCTCCGAGGTAACTTGGTGTGGGCGGCGCGCGGCGTGGGCGCGGGGGCTGAGGGGAGACCGAGCTGATGCCGTGGGGGCCCGCGCGGTGTTGGTTGGGCGGCTCGGCGTCCGGCGAGCGCGTCGGGGAGGGCAGGTGGCGCGTCGCCTCCAAAGCCGGAGGGGCAGGCACAGTGGGGGAGGCGGGGTCGGGGCCCGAGGGGAGCGCTCAGCTGCAAGCTGCGCTCGGCGTCTCCGGGGCGCTGGTAGTAAACAGCTGCACGTTTTCCAGCTTTACGTGTAGCAACAAATCCCTGGCGTCGCCCCTTCGCGTCCCTTCGGCCCCTCTTGCCCTCGCCATAAACCTCTCAAAGGAGAAAAACAGTTTGTTGGACCGAAATATGGTGAATGAGCCGGGGGAGAGACATTGGGAGAGAAAAGTACCTTGGGTTGGTTCTCTGCCCTGTCTCAAAGCAGTTCTCAGAAGCAGCTGCCCCCTTGGACACCGGCTGTTCCTGTCGCCATGATTTCTCGGCTGCCCTCACACTTGTCCTTGGGTGTGGATAAAGAAATTTTTAAAATTCTGTGTTTGTTTTCAGCCGTGACTGTGATTGATGTGCGCAGGACAGGAGCTTTGAGATAGACTTTTAACAGTCATGGGCCTAATTGCCTTGACTTTAGAAAAGGGGTCGGTGACAATCGCTAAACTGCAGGCTTCCAAGCTCACTTCTTGCTCTGCAATGGTAGGTTAAAAAGAAATAGGCCCATTTAAACCCACATCTCATTAAATGGCGCCGGTTTTCAACTGGCCTTGGTTTACACCTGGCCCCCTGGCATGAGATACATGCATTTAAAAGCTTCTGACTGGTGGTTATCCCAAGTTGGGCGAGTCAGTAGTCAGGTGAAAAAGGAAAAAACCTGTCTGTAAATTGAAAAAGAGTGTTTGTGGTTGGTCCTGGAAGCTTCCTGAGCGGCGCTGATGTGTTTCATTTTGCACTGGCTCTTGTTTTATCTGTCTGAATGCATTTTTTGGATAGTTAGATCTCTGCCTCTCTTGGGTGGTGATTGGCTGCACATAAAGGGCAGAAGATGCCATGCTATTGACGGAGATAGGTTAGGAAGGAAAGAAGCAGAATATCCCAGGTACAGTGGTGAGAAACCTAGTGATGGTAGGAAAAACTTGTGTTGGTGGTTCCTGTCCTCTCTCTACTGCTCAAAAACACTGAGAAAGTTAGGGAGAGACCACAAATGGTTTATGCCACGACTTTTCCGTCAACAAGTGTTCCACTTAGTTTGACCCTTGGGCAAAGTGTTTGCTTGATTGCTGTGTGGCATTCTCAGCCAGCTCTCCATCCACTTTACCCTCAGGTTAGCTCAGAGAACTTGCCACTAGCTGGATATGGTAAGAAGATGGACTTCTACTTTGTATAAAAGTAGGCATAACTTTTTTTTTTTTTTCCAGAGAAATGGAAGTATAGCCTGGAAACCTGGGTTCTCTAAAATGAATCTAGTTCTATTTAGAGTTTTTCTATTGACAGGTGGCCTCCAATTTAATATTTAATGTTCCAAAGTATGCTTCTCCTTCTCCCCCTCCACTGTATGTGAGCATCTCTTCAAAGCATCTCACACATATGAGCTCCCGTTTCTTCCAAGAACAGGGCTTGGCCACTTGGCACTTTCTTGAAAGGGTGTCAGACGCTGATACCTGAGGGAGGTAGAACTGCTTGGCAGGTGTGCTGGTATTTTATGGGGAACATTACTGTAGAGCATTATTTGCCTTACCCCGTTCATATACCAGGGGAAGAAAGAGACTCCTAGTTATTTGTACATCCTTGCGCTGGCTTCAGGGCCTCAGAAACCTTGTAGATGTTTGTCTGCTTAATTTCTTTCTTTTTTTTTGAGACAGAGTCTTACTCTGTCTCCCAGGCTGGAGTGCCGTGGTGCGATCTCGGCTCACTGCAACCTCCGCCTCCTGGGTTCCTGCAATTCTCCTGCCTCAGCCTCCCTCGTAGCTGGGATTACAGGTGCCTGCCACCATGCCCAGCTAATTTTTAGTAGAGTATTTTTAGTAGAGATGGGGTTTCACCATGTTGGCCAGGCTGTATGAAACTGCTGACCTCAGGTGATCCGCCTGCCTTGGCCTCCCAGAGTGCTGGGATTACAGGTGTGAGCCGCTGCGCCCAGCCTGTCTGCTTAATTTCTTACAGAGGGAACAGAGAGATAGATATGCATTTGCAGATATACATGTATATGTGTATATGTATACACATACATGTAAGTGTATATACATATACGTGCACGCATAAATAGATGTAGTCCCTGACACATGATTTCTGGTCATAATCAAGGGAGTCCTTGGTAGCTTGATTGAAGATGTAGCCGGAAGCCTATGTTGCCCGTCATCTGTCCCTTTCTGACTTTTCCTAACTCAGATTCTCAGAGTTGGAAAAAACTCAGAGCATATCCAATAAAATCTTCAGTTCTAATGCAAGAATCACATCTCTTCAAGGTGCTTGCTTAAAACATCCCTCATGGTGTGGGCTTTGGAGGGTAGGGATAGTATGGGAGGCTTTCGGCCTCAGGAACATTTATTTAGAAAGTGTTTATTGAGCCACAGTATGTGCAAGGCTTTGTATGGGGGTGAGTGTAATATATGTGAGAAGCTGGTTGCCCCTGTTCTCATGGAGCTTGTCATGTAAGTAGGATGTTACTAAGTTTGAGTAACTTGAAGTAGGAAGGATTGAGTATTGTACAGGGGCTCAGTGGAGTTCAGAGCAGACACTTCCCTGAAAGTTACGAAGGAAGGCAGGTTTTCTGGACCTGATCTGGACAGATAGGATTGAGATGGTGGCTGCGGAAATCATTGTTTGCAAAATAAACAGTTCTTTTTTTAAAGAAATTTTATTTTAGAGTCGGGGGTACATGTGCATGTTTGTTACATGGATATATTGCCTACTGGTGGGGACTGGGCTTCTGGTGTACCCATTATCCAAATAGTGAACATCGTACCCAATAGGTAATTTTTCAATCTCCCTCAATCTTCCTCCTTTTCCAGTCCCCAATGTTTGTTATTTCCATGTTTAAGTCCATGTGTATCCATTGTTCAGCTCCCACTTATAAGTAAGAACATGGAGTATTTGATTTTCTGTTTCTGAATTAGTTCTCTTAGGATAATGGCCTCTAGCTCCATGTTGTTGCAAAGGACATTATTTCATTCTTTTTTTTGAGACAGAGTCTCACTCTGTCATGAGTGCAGTGGTGTGATCATGGCTCACTGTAGCCTCAACCTCTTGGGCTCAGGTGATCCTCTCACGTTAGCTTCCTGAGTAGCTGGAACTACAGATGTGTACCACAGCATCTAGTTGATTTTTAAAATTTTTTTTGTAGAGATGGGGTGTTGTCTATGTTGCCGAGGCTGGTCTTGAACTCCTGGACTCAAGCAGTCGTCCTGCCTCAGCCTTCCAAATTGCTGGGATTACAGGCATGAATAACCATGCCCAGCCTGATTTCATTCTTTTTTATGGCTGTGTAGTATTCCATAGTGTATATATACCACATTTTCTTTATCTAGTCAACCATTGGTGGACACTTAGGTTAGTTCCATCACTTTGGTATTGTGAATAGTGCTGCAATAAACATACAAGTACAGGTGCCTTTTTTGTATAATGATGTCTTTTCCTCTGGGTAGATACCCAGTAGTGGAATTGCTGGGCCATATGGTAGTTCTATTTTTAGTTCTTTGAGAAATCTCCATATGAAAGAAACAGTTTTTAAGTCAAAAAGTTCTTTATTTTCTTTATTTTACTGAGGTAAAATCCTTAATTTGTCATGGTCATAATACTTGGCAATTAAGAGCTTGGGGTCAGTATTGGACCTTGGTTTGAGTACGAGTTCTGCCTTTCGCTATTAGCTCTTGGTCCTTGGGCAAATTATTTTAACTATTCTCTTCTGAGCCTCAACTTTTTCACCTGTAAAGTGGGGCCAGTACTACTGACTTCACAGGGTTATTGTGAGGACTAAATGAAATAATACTTCAAAGTGTACTGAACAGTGCCTGGCACATAGGAAGAATAAATGTTAGCTGATTTTATTATTATGTAGCTTGAACCCACTGGGTATAGGTCTGCTCCCTGGCATGCCAAATCCGTTCCTGCTTCTATATGGAAATTTTTCAGATATTTGAAGAGAATTATGCCTTCTGTAAAGTTCTTCTCCTAGGTGGTTGTTTCCACGTATTTCTATGTTATATGTAAAGCACAGTAGTTTTCAACCAGGGGCACTTTTGTTCAGTGGGGGACATTTGGGAGCATTTGGAGACATTTTTGGTTGTCACAGCTTGGCAGAGGGGAATGCTACTGGCCTCTAGTGGTTAGAATCCAAGGGTGCTGCTAAATATCCTACAGGACAGCCTCCCACAACAAAGAATTATCCATTCAAAATGTCAGTAGTGCTGATGTAGAAAAACCCTGGCCTACTTGACAGTAGTAATTAAACCTTTTCTTTTCCCTGTATCCCTAATGATTAGGAATAGCAGCATGTGACACCAAGAAGACTACACAAGGATTTAGAAACAAATGAGACACAGATCAAACTCTGTGACTTCAGGCAAATCATTGAATCTCTTAAAACTGTCCCCTTCCATTGCAAAGGGGTTGTAAATACTGAAAGGAATCTGAACCCCAAAGAAGGATGGTCCCGGGCTGGTGATTATAATTGTCCAGCCACATGTATAATTTATGCTTCCGTTTTGAGGAACATGAACAATTAAGTTTATCTCATTGTACTCTTCCTTTCATTGAAGAGGAAGTAAATATTTTTTCTTGTTGCTGCTGTTTTACTCAAGGTAAAAAAGCCAACCCGTAGTTAGGTAAGATAGTTGGTGAAGACAAACGTGTAGTGAGGGACAGAGCTGGAAAGAGAATGTGGCCAGCTCCTGCCTGAAGGACCTGTTCTCTCTCATTTCACAGCGTGATGGACCTGGGTGTTCCTCATCAGTATTATAAAGCAGCTGTCCAAAGTGCCTCTATCTCTGGATTTCATGAGGACTGTGTCCTGCAGGGTTCAGTTTAACAGTCTCTGTATAATGTGAGGTCTAAATGGAAGAGAATCCCACCAGAATAATTGTTTAAAGTTGGAATAGCAGAAATAATGGACTTGAACAAGAGCAGTGACATAGGAGTCAGAAGACAGGACTGCTACTACCCAGGATCCTGAGCAGGTCATGTAACTAAGCCTTAGTGTCTTCCCCTGTGAAATTGAGAGGAGTTACTTGGTCCCATGGGGGAGTGCTCCATATGGCTTAAGCAGATAAGATTCTGAAAAAGAAGAGCTAAGTGGAGTTTTAATCAAAAGGGTCCTTTAAAATGTGCTGAGGAAGCATGCCACAAAGAGGTCCTTTGAAAGGTAAAACATGTTTTGGTAAACCAGTGCATTGTTTTGGGAATAAATCTGGCTGTTCCTAACTTGGATCCTTTAAAAGGAGGATGTGCCTATATTTTATTTCGGCCTGGTTTGGGACCCAGAATTCTTGATGGACAACTGGTTTTGGGGCGTAACAGATAACTTTACTACTAACTGTAGATTGAATATGTCCTGTTAATCAGGAACATACCCTTTTGTGCCTCTGATGACAAAGTATGCTTCCAAGTGATGATTTTTGGCTGCCCAAAATAAGACTTCTTCTTTTTTTTTTTTTTTTTTTAAAGGCAAATGCCAAGAATCCTAATGACCAGTTTTCAGATACAGTGTTGTTTGGAAGCTGTTGTATAAATGCCTTGCCTTTTCTTTTCTTTTCTTTTCCTCTCTCCCTCCCCTTCCCTCCCTCCCTGTCTTCTTTCCCCCTTCCCCCCTCTCTCCCTCCCCCATCCCTCTCCCCCTCCTTCTCTCCTTCCCTCCCCTTCCTCTCCTTCCTCTTTTTCTCCCTCCCTTCCTTCCTCTCTTTCTCTTTTCTTCTTTTTCTTAGAGATGGGATCTCACTATGTTGATCAGAGTGATCTCAAACTACTGGCGTCCAGTGAGCCTTCTGCCTAACTGTCCCAAAGTGCTGAGATTACAGGCAAGAGCCACAGTGCCTGGCCGTAAGTGCTACTTCAGATGGAACTATCTACCATCTTTTTTAAGAAAACAAACTTTTTATTTTGAGATAATCGTAGATTCACATGCAGTTGTAATAAATAATGCAGAAAGATCCTGTCTGTACTTTATCCAGTTTCCCCCAATGGTGATATATGGAAAAACTATGGTACAATGTTAGAACTAGGATATTGACATTGATACAGTGAGATACAGAACATTTCTGTCACTCCAAGGATTCTTCATGTCTGTTGCTCTTTTGTAGCCACACTCAGTTTCCTCCTTCCCCCACTTCTTCCTTAACCCTTGTCAGTCTCTAATCTGTTCTTTAATTTCTGTAATTTTGTCATTTGAAGACTGCTCCATAAATGGAATCATATAGTATGTAACCTTTGGATTGGCTTTTTTCTGTTTTCTTAAATTTTATATTATAAATTAAAAAAATTTTTAAAAAGAAAAAACTTGAAGGGCCTTGAATGAGTCCTGTATTTTTATTTTTTGTCACTACCTCCCTGGGTTGGGAGTGGGTAATTTGCATGCTTGCTACCTTCCTTGGATGTGGTAGCCATTTCTCAGACTCTGACTCTGGAATCAAACCCTGATTCCCTGTCACCCATGGTCACCGTGGTAGGCATGGTGACTATCATCAAAAGTTGATATGGCAGACGTTCATATGGGTTGTTGCTGCCACATGGGAGTGTGTGATTAGCCTGAGGTTATCTAGAGTCACTATAAGGACTGGCTTTTTTTCAGTCAGCATGATTCTCTGGAGATTTATCTAAGATGTTTTTATCAAGTTTGTTCCCTTTTGTTGCTGAGTAGTATTTCATGGTATGAAAAGATCACAAGTCTTTTTATTTACCTGTTGAAAAACATGTAGGTTGTTTCCAGTTTTTGGCTATCTCGAATAAGGCTGCTATAAAAATTTGTGGACAGGTTTTTCTTTTTTTTTTTATTTTTATTTTTTATGGTGTCTAGCTCTGTTGCCCAGGCTGGAGTGCAGTGGCACGATCTTGGCTCACTGCACCCTCCCACTCCCGGGTTCAGGCGATTCTCCCACCTCAGCTTCCCGAGTAGCTGGGATTACAGGCACCCACCACCATGCCCAGATAATTTTTGTATTTTTAGTAGAGACGGGGTTTCGGCACGTTGGCCAGGCTGGTCTCGAACTCCTGATCTTAGGTGATCCACCCACCTCAGCCTCCCAAAGTGCTGGGATTACAGGTGTGCACCACCATGCCCAGCCAGGTTTTTTTATTTTTTTATGTGAACATAGTCTTCCTTTCTCTGGAATAAATGCCCAGGAGTGCTCTTGCAGGGTTGTATGGTAGTTGCATGTTTAGTTTTTTAAGATATTGCTGCCCTGTTTTCCAGTGTGGATGTATTTTTTTTTTTTTTTTTTGAGATGGAATCTCGCTCTGACTTCCAGGCTGGAATGCAGTGATGTGATCTTGGCTCACTGCAACCTCCGCCTCCCAGGTTCAAGTGATTCTCCTGCCTCAGCCTCCAGAGCAGCTGGGATTACAGGTGTGCACCACCACACCTGGCTAATTTTTTATATTTTTGGTAGAGACGGGGTTTCACTGTGTTGGCCAGGCTGGTCTCCAACTCCTGACCTCAAGTAATCCTCCTGGCTCGGCCTCCCAGAGTGCTGGGATTACAGGCGTGAGCCACCACACTGGCCTGGATGTACCATTTTATATTCCTATCTGTAGTGTATGAGGGATTCAGTTTCTCTGCATCCTTTCTAGCATTTGGTGTTGTCACTACTTTTATTCTGATAGGTATGTAGTGATGCCCCAGGGTGGTCTTAATTTGCGTATTACAAATGACTAATGATGTCTTAAGTGAAACATCTTTCCAAGTCTTTTGTCCATTTCTAATAGGATTGTTTGTATTAACTGTTTTGTTTTGTTTTTTTGAGATAGGGTCTTGCTTTTTCATCCAGGCTTGAGTACAGTGACACGATCATGGCTCACTACTGCCTCAGCTTCCTGGGCGTAAGCAAATCTTTCATCTCAGCCTCCCGAGTAGCTGGGACTACAGGCACATACCATCATGCCCGGCTAATATTTTAACTTTTTGTAGAGATGGAGTCTCGCTATGTTGTCCAGGCTGGTCTTGAATTTGTGGCCTCAAGCCATCTTTCTGCCTCACCTTTCCAAGGTGTAATTCCTAAGGTATTACAGGTGTGAACCACGGTGCCTGGCCTCTACTGTTGCTTTTGAGACTACTTTATATATGCTAGTCTTTTGGCAGATTTGTAGTTTGTTAATATTTTCTCCCACTGTGCACCTTGTCTTCTTATTATCTTAATATGGTTTCCAGAGGAAAATATTTTAATTTTAATGATGTAGAATTTATGATTTTTTTCTTTTGTGGCAGTGCTTTTAGTGTTAAGTCTAAGAACTCTTTGCCTAGCTTTAGGTGCGAGACTTGGGTTGCGATTCTTTTTTTTTTTTTTTTTTGCCTATGGAAAGCCAATTGCCCAAGCATCATTTGTTGAAACGGCATCTTTTTTCCATTTAATTGCTTTTGTGCCTTTGTACAAAATCAGTTCAGCATTTTTGTGTGGATCTCTTTCTGGGTTCTCCATTCTGTTCCATTGATTTATATGTCTGTCTCTTGCCAACACGACACAGTCTTTTTTTCTTTTTTTTTGAGACGGAATCTCGCTCTGTTGCCGCTGGAGTGCGGTGGTGCAATCTTGGCTCACTGCAGCCTCCGCCTGCCAGGTTCCAGCGATTCTCCTGTCTCAGTCTCCCGAGCATCTGGGATTATAGGTGTGTGCCACCACGCCTGGCTATTTTTTTTTTTTTTTTTTTTTTTGTATTTTTGTAGAGGCGGGGTTTCACCATGTTGGCCAGGCTGGTCTCGAACTTCTGAGCCCAAGTAATCCACCCGCCTTGGGCTCTCAAAGTGCTGGGATTATAGGTGTGAGCCACAGCTCCTGGCCAGTATATCACACAGTCTTGATTACTTACTGTAGCTGTCTAATGAGTCTTGAAGTTGGTTAGACTGATTCCTCCCAGTTTGTTTTTCAAAATCATTTTAGTTATTCTAGTTCCTTTGCCTTTCAATATAAATTTTAGAATAATCTTGTCTAATATACAAAAAAGCTTTCCAATATTTTGACAAGAATTATATTACACCCATATGTCCATTTGGGGATAATTGTCGTCTTTATTATGTTGAGGTTTTAATCCATGAACATGATCTGTCTCTCTACTTACTTAAATCTGTTTCTTTTCCCCAGATGAAATATTATAGGTTTATTTAAAACATAATTCTCATCCTGAGATGAGAAATGTTCATTTGTTCACAAAATGTTCATTTTTCAATGTTTACAAAATGTTCATTTTTTTTTACTTTGTTATTTACAAATATACGGAAGTAGTTTACTTAAATTTTTATTACATATTTATTAAGGCAGGTAACTACATAGAAAAAAATTTTATTCTGTCTTAAGCATACTTGGGAATAAACCATTTGACAAATTATTGCACATCTGAAACCACAGTGCATAACAAACTACAAAAAATGGTAAGTTTTGTTTTGTTTTGTTTTTTTAAGACAGGGTCTTGCTCTGTCGCACAGGCTGGGGTGCAGAGGTGCGACCTTAGCCTACTGCAACCTTGAATTCCTGGGCTCAAGCAATCCTCTTGCCTCAGCCTCCTGAGTAGTTAGGACTACAGGTGTGTACCACCACACTTGGGTAATTTTTTTCTTTTTCTTTTTCCTTTTTCCTTTTTTTTTTTTTAAGAGTTAGGGTTCACTGTTTTGTCCAGGCTGGTCTAGGAACTCCTGGGCTCAAGCAGTCCTCCTGTCTTGGCCTCCCAAAGCGTCAGAATTACAGGTGTTGAGCCACTGCATCTGACCAAAATGTTAAAGACATAAACAAGGCTTATTTATCTTACTTAGGTCATAAATGTAGATCAGAAGACAAAAGTAGATTTTCCTTGTCAAAGTATGCAGCAGTTTCAGAACTTTGGCTTCCTTGTTTAGTGCTTTTAGAACCAAGACTAACCAAGCACCATTATTTAGGATATTAACACACATTTTCTGTATCTGAATTTCTTCTTCTAACATCATAATAATGATTTTTAGAAGGCAAAGAGAATACAAGGTGATCTTCATGCTTATATCGTATTAAAACACAATTCAAGGGAATTCTAGTTTTCCCTCCCCTCAACTTAGGGATTTCATGTATACCCTTATATCCACAACTTCCAGTCACCTGCTTGGTGTTTTCTAAGTCCAGGAATATTCAAGTTGGATTTAGAATTGGAGTGATAGTAGATCCAATCACAGATCCCAACTGTTCTTTGATTTTTATCTTTTGGATTCCTAATTTTTCTTGATTATTCACTCACAAGTTGACTGAGTTCAGCACTTGACCATGATTGTAGTGCTTCCCAGGTGGCCTCCTCTTCTCACTGGGGAGGCAGTGTGAAAGGTAAAAAAAAAAAAGCTACTGAATTCTCTTCTGGCGGCGTGGGTCATATCCACTGTTTGTGATTTAAAAGTGCTTCATGTGGAAGGCAAGGCAGTCTGACCTGGAAAATGCAGGGTTGTACTTCTGGCATTGGAACGGGCTGTTCCCTGTGTGTTGGCAATAGTGCCTGGTCAGTTCATCTGAGAGGACAGATTTCCACTCACGGCCATCTCAGGCCCAGTGGTAAGGTTTCTCATCTGTGTAGGTTTGCGGTGTTTCTTGAGGCGAGAGCTGTCTGTGTAGGTTTTGCCGCTGCCTATGTAATCCCAAGTGTGGGTAGTGATCTTTTTTGGCTTGTGCTCCTCCAAGATGCAGGAACAGGGTGCCACGAGCTCTTGGTAACGGAGCAGCGAGACCTGCAGCTACATCTGGTCGGGCAGGAAGAGTGGGAAGTTGGGCTGGGTGGCACAGAAGCCCAGGGGAGCAGCAGCACAGGGTGACAGTCCCTGCTGCTCAGCAGTTCCTTGGGACCCAGGGTCGGAATAGTCTTGGTAAAGGAGCTGCTATCCGGGGGGAAGTCGCCTTTGGGCATTGCTGAAAGCGGGGCCTGTGCCCAGGTGGGCCTCTATGGGCCAGACGTTGGAGGCCTGCGGCTGTAGGGTGCCCCCACTGCTGAGTGGGTGCCGGCACGGCTGCCTTTGCTCACACTGAAGACCAAAGAGCTGCCGAACTCGTTCCCAGGGGCACTCCTTGACGCTGTCCACATGGAACTTGCCTGCCAGCCTGCCGGCTGCGGTGGAACTTACACGGGTTAAGTTCTGGGCGCGGGAGCCCTGCCGTCCAGTCGCCCAGGGGTCTCACGCTGTTGAAGTCCTCCAGGTTGAAGGGAGCTGTGGGCGGGGCCCACACTCCCGGCTGTAGAGGAGGCCTCCGCCGGTGTTGCCCGGTCCAACGCCCCGATGCCCCTGGCCTGCATGGCTAGTCAAAGCGGCCGGTGGCCGGTGCGCTGGTGGGGAGGACGATCGGCTGACGCCAGCGAGGACACGGTGGCGGCCACTGACTCCTGCCGGAGCAGCGAATTGGAAGGGATGAAGTCCTGGTCCATGAGGTCATGGGACTCCTCCCATGGAATGTGGCATTGCTACCACTGAAAGCTACGCCAACTCAGCCGCTCTCCCAAGTCTGTCACCAGGTCATAGGGTGGCTGGGAAGCACCAGGGGAAGTCGCTTTATGTGGAGAGCACCTTCAACTGCCGGACGGTGTCTTCTGCTTCCCGTTGGGTGGAATGCAACATGGAGAGAGACTGGAACAGTGGGTCACTGACAGCCATGTCAGACTTGCTAGGTGGCTGCCTCATTAATGTGGGGCCCTGAAGGCCCTCAGGAGCCCGAAGCAGCAGGGGTATCTCAAAGCCAATGAAGAGGGGATAGAAAGATTAGAAATGAAGCCTCCAGCCTGGGCAATGTGGTGAGACCCCATCTCTACAGAAAACAAACAAAACAATAAGCAAAACAAAAAAAACAAACAAAACCAAAAACTTTGGTTGGTGAGGTGGGACCTGTAGTCCCAGCTACTTGAGGAGGCTGAGGCAGGAGGATCACTTGAGCCTAGGAGTTCCAGGTTACAGTGAGCCGTGATCATGCTTCTGCATTCTAGCCTGGGTCTTCCAGCCTGTCTCTAAAAAGAAGAAGAAGGAGAAGGGGAAGGGGAAGGGGAAGGCCAAAACCAAAAAACCCCAAATTTCCAGAGATCCTTCTTTGGATCCTTCTTTGGATCAAATATTAGTTGGAGACAGCTTTAAAAAAAAGTTTTATATACAAAAGTTTTTAGAAAACTAAACTCTTATAGAAATAGACAATCAGCAGGGTAAGTAGGTCAAGTGGCCAGCCTGTACTCTCTTTGACTCATCAGTTCCCTCATGCTATGGGCACAGGGACAGTGGGCAGGTAGCTGGTCAGGTGACTGGCAGTGGTGGGTGTAGCTGAGGGCTTGCGGGTGGTGCAGTGCATGCTGGTGGATGGAGGAGGGGTGAGAAGAGCATTTGACCATTCTTGGTGCTGCGACTGCCTGCCACTACCTATCACTGCCTTTGTTCCCCAGAGGCCAGCAGCTGTGCTTGCCTTGTCAGTCTGGGGAACTCAGAGTCTTTATTTCTTTTGTTGCTGTTATATAGTTTTCAGCATACAAGTACAGTACATGTTTTGTTAGAATTGTTTGTAAATATGTTGTTTTTTTGGAGCAATTGTAAATGGTGTATCATATTTTAAATTTTAGTTTCTGTGTTGATTATTAGTATATAGAAATACCATTGGGGTGTGTGTGTGTGTGTGTGTGTGTGTGTTTGTGTGTGTGTGTGTGTTTGTGTGTGTATGTTTATCTGGTATCTTCCAGCATTGCTGAATTTATTTAGGAGGTTTTTTTTTCCCTTGTCATTTCCTTGGAATTTATTTTCTGTGTAGCTGGTCATGTTGTCTACAAATAGTAACAGTTTGATTTCTTCATTTTTGATATGTACGCCTTTTATTTCCTTCTGCCTTATTGCACTGGCTAGAATTTCTAGCACCATGTTAAGTAAAATGGGTGGGAGGGAACATCCTTGCCTTGTTCCCTATCTTAGGGGGAAAGCATCCCCCTAAGTATGTTAGCTATATGTTTTATGTAGATTTTAAAAAGTCAAGTTGAGAAAGTAATCTTTTATAACAGTTTTTCTAAGTGTCTTTTTAAACAATGAATGAGTGTTGTATTTTGTCCAATGCTTTTTCTGCACCAGTTGATGTGACCATGTGATTTTTCTTCTTCAGCCTATAAATATGGTGTATTGCCTTGATTGATATTTAAATATTGAACCAGCCTTGCATTCCTGGAATAGATTCTACTTGATCTACACACACACACACACACACACACACACACACACACACACACACACATATACTTACATATATATTGCTGAATTTTATTTGCTAATGTTTTGTTAAGGACTTTTGTTTGTATGTTCGTGAGCAATATTGCTCTGTAGTTTTTTTTTTGTGCTGCTTTGGTCTGGTTTTGGTATCAGGGTAGCGCTAGTTTAAATTAAATCAATTGGAAAGTTTCCTGTTTTCTGAAAGAGATTGTGTAGAATTGTTTTTAATTCTTTAAATGTTTGGCAGAATTTCATATGGGCCAAGAGATTTCTTTTTTGGGAGTTTTTAGATTATGCATTTCATTTCCTGAATGTTTATAGGGCTATTCAAGTGATGTATTTTGTATGTGTAAGTTGTGGTAGTTTGTGTTTTTTGAAGAAGTGGTCCGTTTCATCTAACTTGTTGAATTAATATGTGTAGAGTTTACAGTGTTTCCTTATTATCCTTTTGATGTCTGCAGGATCTGTAGTGATATCTCCTGTTTTATTCCCGATGTTGCTAATTGTGTTTGTCTGTGGGGGCGTGGGGGTGTCTTGTCTGTGTCCTCACCTTTTAGTTCAGTCTTGCTGGACGTTGTCAATTTTATTGATCTCTTTAAAGACCCGGTTCTGTGTTTCTCTGATTTTTCTATCTTGCTTTTCAGTTTTCAATTTATTTCTGTTCTTTATTATTTCCTTCCTTCACTTGCTTTGAGTTTATTTTGCTCTTTTTCTAAGTGTTTGAGGTGGAGCATAGATTATTGGGAACTTTTTCTGTTTCCTAGTGTATGTATTTAAAGCAATTACATTTTTGTCTCAACATTGCCTTAGTTGTATCCCATAAATTTTGGTATATTTCATTTTAGTTTTCATTTAGGTCAACGTAATTTTTATTTTCTTTGAAACTCCTATCCTTTGACCTATGGTTATTTTTATTTTTATTTTTTTGAGACAGAGTTTCACTCTTGTTGTCCAGGCTGGAGTGCAATGGCATGATCTCAGCTCACCACAACCTTCGCCTCCCGGGTTCAAGTGATTCTCCTGCCTCAGCCTCCTGAGTAGCTGGGATTACAGGCATGCACAAACACACCTGGCTAATTTTGTATTTTTCGTAGAGACAGGGTTTCTCCGTGTTGGTCAGGTTGGCCTCAAACTCCTGACCTCAGGTGATCCGCCTGCCTGAGCCTCCCAAAATGCTGGGATTACAGGCGTGAGCCCCCGCGCCTGGCAGCTATGGGTCATTTATAAGTCTGTTGTTTAGTTTCCATGTGTTTGGATATTTTCTGCTATTGATTTTAATTTCATTCCATTACGGTCAGAAAACATTCTCTGTATGATTTCAGTTCTGTTAAATTTATTGAGTTTTTTTTAATGGTCCAAGATATAGTCTATCTTGGTGTATATTCTGTGGACACTTAGAACAAATATATGTTCTTCTCTTGTTGGGTGGAGTGCTCTATAAATGTTGATTAGATCCTATCGGTTCATGGTGGTGCTGAGTTCTTCTTTGTCCTTGCTGATTTTTCTGTCTAGTTCTATTGATTATTGAGAGAGGGGTCGCTGACAATAATTGTGGATTTGTTTCTTGTTCATTTCTATCAATTTTTCTTTGCATATTTTACAGCTTAGTTTGATACATTTAGGATTGCTAACATCCTCTTAGTGCTACATTGACTCTTTTATTATATAATGTATCACTCTGTCTCTAGTATTTTTTAATTTTTTATTATTTTTTTTAAGACAGGGTCTCCTTCTTTCATCCAAGCTGGAGTGCAGTGGTGTGATCTCGCCTCATTGCCACCTCCACCTCCTGGGCTCAAGTGATCCTCCTATTTCAGCCTCCCAAGTAGCTGGGACTATAGGTGTGCGCCATTATGCCTGGCTAATTTTTGTATTTTTTGTAGAGACAGGGTTTCGCCATGTTGCCCAGGCTGGTCTCGGATCTCCTGAGCTCAAGTGATCCACCTGCCTCGGCCTCCCAGTGTGCTGGGATTATAGGCGTGAACCACTGTCTAGTAGTTTTTTAGGGTGAAAGAAATGCTCTAGTAAAATAGGGATAGAGAGGGATTACTTTCTTCCATTGTGTTCATGAGGACTAGTATTGAAGAGTTCAGGTATAAAAAACTTGAAAGGCAGTAAAAGCAGCATAAATCAGAGGATTAGGTTGCCCTTGATTGTGAAAATTATCACAATCAAGGGTAATGTGGATTCTCATATAAGCAAAGCATGATATCTAGAAAAGTTTGAAGATAGAGGGCAAAGAAGTTTTTGATTTCATTTTTATATTATAAAAGTAATACATGTTTGTTTGGGGGAACAACTCTTAATGATTTAAAACTGAAAGTAATCTGTGCAGGTTACATCCTTTATTGCCTCTGGCTACTTAACTCTTGCTGTGTTGCTCACCAATCATATTCCCAAGAAGCAGTCTTCCAGACCTTTTTCTATATGTGCACTTTTTTTTTAAAGCACAAGAATATTATCATTATTCCATTGCAGTATATGAGCTTCTTAAGGTTTTTTTTTTAATGGCTACAGACTGTTCCATAATACAGACATACCAATTTATTTAACCATTCCCTTAGCTATAGATACTCAGTAATCTTCAGTGTTTGTCATTAAATAAAGCAGCAGTAAAGTTTTCTTACATATATCCTAACATTCTTCTGTTTCCATAGGTAGAGTCATAGATGTGAAATTGCTTGGCTAGAGACTCCTTTTTTTTTTCTTGCTTTTTTTTTAAATGGAGTCTTGCTCTGTCGCCAGGCTGGAGTGCAGTGGCAAGATCTTGGCTCACTGCAACCTCCGCCTCCTGGATTCAAGCGATTCCCCTGCCTCAGCCTCCCAAGTAGCTGGGGCTACAGGCATGTGCCACCACACCCGGCTAATTTTTTGTGTTTTAGTAGAGACGGGATTTCACCAAGTTGGCCAGGCCGGTCTCGATCTCCTGACCTTGTGATTCGCCCGCCTCGGCCTCCCAGAGTGCTGGGATTACAGGCGTGAGCCACTGCACCCGGCCAAGACTATGCTTTTTAAAAAAGAAATAGAAAAAATGGAATGCGAGATCGAATCAAAATATATGAAATTCTCTTCATTAACTGGCAACATAGCCTTTCCCTTAATTGATATTTCTTCCCTGTATTGATATCTTCTTTTACTTTTTTTCTTGAGATACCTTTAATGGCTTTTCTGTGTCATGAAGTTAGAGACATGATTGGGTTTTTTCTTTGCTTTTTGTTTGTTTTCAAGATGGAGTCTCACTCTGTCACCCAGGCTGGAATGCAGTGGCGTGATCTTGGCTCACTGCAACTTCCACCTCCTGGGTTCAAGCGATTCTTGTGCCTCAGCCTCCCAAGTAGCTGGGATTACAGATGTGCACCACTATGCCCAGCTAATTTTTGTATTTTTGGTAGAGATGGGGTTTCACCATGTTGGCCAGGCTGGTCTCGAACTCCTGGCCTCAAGTGATCCTCAAGTGATCTGCCTGCTTTGGCCTCCCAAAGTGCTAAGATTACAGGCCTGAGCCACCGCATCCTGCCAGTTTTCGTATTTTTAAAGGTATTTTTTCTTTCAACTTTGTTTTTCATTTTTTTAAGTAAATTTTTACCGAAGCGTACCATATATTAAGAAAAGTGCGTAACCAATAAATGTACAGTTTGATGAGTTATTACTGTGGACATACCGATGTAGCTATTACCCATGAAAAGAAACAGTATGCCAGCATCCTCCCATGCTTGTGCCCAGCCACACCATTCCCTCCCACTGCCAAGGTAAGCATTAAATTTTTAACACCATGGATTAGGTTTCTAAAATATTAACTATAATTTTTGTAAATGGAATCATATAGTACGTAATTGTTTGTGTGCCTGGCCTCTTTAGCTCTGTTGTATTTGTGACATATCTCCGTGTTGTAGCAGCAGTTTGTTGACTTTCTTTACTACGTCATGTTATTCTGTTTTTTTAATGTGCCACAATTTAGTTTTGATGAAAATTTGGCTTGTTTCCACTTTTAACTATTAAAAACAGTGATACCAAGAATATTCTTGTACAGTCTTTTGTGCACATATATGTGTATGTCTCTTGCCTGAATGCTGGATCGTAGGGTGTGCCTATGTTTAGTTTTCCCAAGTGGTTGTACAAAGTGACTGTAAATATATCTGAGGTCTAGTTACTCCACATCCTATTCAGCACTTGGTATTGCCAGTCTGTTTAATTTTAACCAGTTTTGTAGGTGTATTGTAGTCATTCATTGTGGTTTTAATTTATATTACCCTGTGACTAATGAGACTGAGCACCCTTTCTTTTGCTTTCATTGTTTTTAATGATCACAAATAATTGTAGGTATTTAGTATTTATTGGGCACAGTGTGATATTTTGATACATGTATACAGTATATAATGATAAAATCAGGGTAGTTAGCATATCCATCACCTCAAACATTTCTTTGTGCTGAAAACATTCAAAATCTGTTCTAGCTATTTGAAAATATACACCAGCCTGGGCAACATAGCAGACCCCATCTCCACAAAAATAAAAATAAAAAATTAGCCAGGTGTGGTGGTGCACACCTATTGTCCCAGCTACTCAGGAGGCTGAGGTGGGAGGATCACTTGAGCCCAGGAGTTGGAGGTTGCAGTGAGTCATGATCACACCACTGCACTGGGCAATAGAGCAAAACCCTGTATCTTTGCAAAAAAAAAAAAAAGGAAAAAAGAAAATATACAGTAAATTATTGTTAATTATGGTCACTCTATAGTGCTATAGAACATTAGAACTTATTTCTCTTATCTACCTGTACTTTTATATTTGTTAACCAGCCTTTGGCTATCCTTCCTTCTCCCCTCCCTTTCCCCGCCTCTAGTAACCACTATTCTATCCTCTACTTGCTATGGGATCAACTTTTTTAGCTTCCACAAGATATGTGGTATTTATCTTTCTGTGTCTGGCTTATCTTACTTAACATAATGTTCTACAAAAGCCTCTTCATGTTGCTGCCAGTGACAGAATTTCGTTCTTTTTTATAGCTAAACAGTATTCCGTTATGTATGTGTTTGTGAATAGTGGTTTAATAAACCTGAGAGTGCAGATATCTCATTGACATTGATTTCTTTCCTTTTGGTATATACCTAGTAATGGGATTGCTGGATCATATGGTAGTTCAATTTTAGTTTTTGAGGAATATCTGTACTGTTTCCCATAATGGCTATACTAATTTACATTTCCACCAACAGTGTATTTAAGTTCCTTCTTTTTGTATCCTTGCCATCATTTGTTATTTTTTGTCTTTTTAATAATTGCCATTCTAACTGGGGTGAGATGATATCTCATTGGGGTTTTGATTTGCATTTCCCTGATAATTAGTGATGCTGAGCACTTTTTCATATACCTGTTGGCCATTTGTATGTCTTTTGAGGGATGTCTATTCAGCTTTTTTGCTGACTTTTAAAATTGGATTATTTGTATTTTTGTGTGTGTACTGGTGAGTTCCTTGTATATTCTGGTTATTAATCCCTTGTTGGATGGATAGTTTGTATTTTTCTTTCATAGCTTCACTCCAATGGTTTCCTTTGCTGTGCAGAAGCTTTTTAGTTTGTTGTAATCCCTTTTGCTTTTGCCTAGTTTTTCTTTTGTTGCCTATGCTTTTGAGGTCTTCTCCAGAAAATGTTTGCCCAGAGTAAACGTCCTGTAATGCTTCCCTAATGTTTTCTTCTAGTAGTTTCATAGTATTGGATCTTACATTTAAGTCTTTAAGTTCATTTTTTTTTTTAATATGATGAGAGTAGGCATCTAGTTCCTTTCTTCTGCATATGGCTATAGTTTTCCCAGGACCATTATGTATATTTTTAAATTTTAGAAATAGAGACGAGGTTTCACTATATTGTGCAGGTTGGTCTTAATCTCCTGGGCTCAAACGATCCTCCTGCCTTGGCCTCCTGAAAGGCTGGGATTACAAAGTTTGTAGTATATTTCAAAGTCACGTAGTGTAATGCCTCTTGCTTTGTTCTTTTTTCTCAGAATTGCTTTGGCTGTTAAAGGTCTTTTGCGGGTCCATATGAATATTAGGTTTTTTTTTCTGTTTCTGTAAATAATCTCATTGGTATTTTGATAGGGATTGCATTGAATCTGTAGATAAAGATGGAATGTGTTTCCATTTTTTTTGTGTGTGTCCTAAAGTTTTCCTTTTAGAGAGCTTTCACTTCCTTGGTTAAATTTATTTCTAGGTATTTTATGGTTTTTTTTAGTTCTTGTAAATGCGATTGCTTATTGATTTCTTTTTCTGCTAATTCATTGTTAGTATGTAAAAATGTTACTGATTTTTGTGTATTGATTTTATATCTTAGAACTACTGAATTTGTTTATCAGTTCTAGGAGTTCATGGCAGTACTTTAAGAGTTTTCTATATATAAGATCATGTTGTCTGCAAACGGGAACAGCTTAACTTCCTCCTTCCCGATTTGGATGCCCTTTATTTCTGTGTCTTGCCTAATTGCTTTGGCTAGGATAGGACTTCCAGTACTATGTTCAGTAGGAGTGGTGATAGTAGGCATCCTTGAGTTGTTCCAGATCTTAGAGGAAAAGCTTTAAAATTTCCCCCATTTGATCTAATTAAACTAAAGAGCTTCTGCACAGCAAAAGAAACTACCATCAGAGTGAACAGGCAACCTACAGAATGGGAGAAAATTTTTGCAATCTACCCATCTGACAAAGGGCTAATATCCAGAATCTACAAAGAACTTAAACAAATTTACAAGAAAAAAATCAAACAACCCCATCAAAAAGTGGGCAAAGGATATGAACAGACACTTCTCAAAAGAAGATATTTATGCAGCCAACAGACACATGAAAAAATGTTCATCATCACTGGCCATCAGAGAAATGCAAATCAAAACCACAGTGAGATACCATCTCACACCAGTTAGAATGGCGATCCTTAAAAAGTCAGGAAACAACAGGTGCTGAAGAGGATGTGAAGAAATAGGAACACTTTTACACTGTTGGTGGGAGTGTAAACTAGTTCAGCCATTGTGGAAGACAGTGTGGCGATTCCTCAAGGATCTAGAACTAGAAATACCATTTGACCCAGCCATCCCATTACTGGGTATATACCCAAAGGATTATAAATCATGCTGCTACAAAGACACACGCACACGTATGTTTATTGCGGCACTATTCACAATAGGAAAGACTTGGAACCAACCCAAATGTCCATCAGTGATAGACCGGATTAAGAAAATGTGGCACATATACACCATGGAATACTGTGCAGCCATAAAAAATGATGAGTTCAGGTCCTTTGTAGGGACATGGATAAAACTGGAAACCATCATTCTGAGCAAACTGTCGCAAGGACAGAAAACCAAACACTGCATGTTCTCACTCATAGGTGGGAATTGAACAATGAGAACACTTGGACACAGAGTGGGGAACTTCACACACCGGGGCCTGTCATGGGGTGGGGGGAATGACGAGTTAATGGGTGCAGCACACCAGCATGGCACACTTATACATATATAACCAGCACGTTGTGCACATGTACCCTAGAACTTAAAGTATAATTTAAAAAAATACAATAAAATAAAATTTCCCCCATTCAGTATGTTAGCTGTGAGTTTGTCATATACAGCCTTTATTGTGTTGAGGTGTGTTCTTTCTATACCTAACGTAAGAGTTTTTATCATGAGGGGGTTTTGAAATTTAAAAAAATTTTTTTTAGAGATAGGGTCTGACTTTGTTGCCCACGCTGAAGTGCAGTGATACAAGCATAGTTTACTGCAACCTTGAACTCCTGGGCTCAAGCAATCTTTCCGGCCTGGTCTCCCTACAGGTGTTTGCCACCATGCCCGGCTTTTGTATTTTTTGTAGAGATGGCGGTCTCGCTTTGTTGCCCAGGCTGGTCGCCAACTCCTGGGCATGATCATCCTCCTGCCTTGGCTTCCCAAAGTGTTGGGATTCTAGGCATGAGCCACAGTACTTAGCCTCCTGTCCTTATAAAAATTGTTTTCTGGTTGATTCGTGTCTCCTTTTTTTCTTCCCGTCTTATTGTTTGTCATTGCAGTTTGATGGTTTTCTATAGTGATAAGGTTTGATTTTTTTCTCTTTGTCCTTTGTGTATTTGTTCTACCAGTGAGTTTTATACTTTCATGTTTTTTCATGGTAGTGATTATCATTTTTTCATTTCTAGATGTAGGACCTTCTTGAGCATTTCTTGTAAGGCCTGGCTAATAGTAATGAATTTCCTCAGTTTTTGCTTGTCTGGGAAAGACTTCATTTCTGAAGGATAGCTTTTTTGGGTATAGTGTTTTTGGTTGACGTTTTTTTTTTCTTTCAGCATTTTGAATATATCATCTTATTCTCTCATGGTCTATAAGGTTTCTCTGGAGAAATCTGTTTTTAGTGTAATGGGGATTTCCTTGTATTAACTTGATGCCTTTTTCTCTTGCTGTTTTTAGAATTCTCTTTTTATCTTTCACTTTTGACAGTTTAACTATTAATATGCCTTGGGAAGACCCTTTTGGGTTGAATCTATTTTGGAACCTTTGAGCTTCCTAGATCTGTATGTTCATACCTCTTATCAGCCTTGGGAGCTTTTCACCTATTTCATTTGGCAGGCTTTCTGTGCTTCCTTTTTTCTCCTCCTGGAACTTTCATAACATGAACATTTGTTTGCTTAATGATTTCCTGTAAGTCTTGTAGGTGTTCTCATTTCATTTTCATTCTCATTTCTTATTTCTTTGAGTAGGTAATTTTGAAAGACTTATCTTCAAGTTCAGAGATTTGTGTCTTATGCTTGATCATGTCTGCTATTTTAGTTCTATTATATTTATTTCATTCATTGAAGTCTTAAGCTGCAGTATTTTTCTTTTCTTTTTTTTTTTTGCAACTGCAAATTTTAAAATTTATCCAGGAAGCATCAGATCTGGCCCAGTGGGGTGGGGTAGGGGTAGGTGGAGTGGCTCCATCTTCATTTGGCACCATGCTGAAAGGTACAGTAGCCGCTTAAAGCTCGGCTTGAGGATGTTGGGCCACTGGTCTAGGGTGTATCCTCACGGGAAAAGGGGAGTTTTTGCTGCTTGCTCCTGGAGCAAGACACACTCCAGCCATAGTTCTAATTCCAGGATAGTGTAGCGCAGGCCACAGGGAGCTGGGCACGGTGTTGACTCCTTCTCTGTGGGGAGCACAGCTACGTATGTATACTCCAGGCAGCTTAGGCCTATGAGGACTGCAGGGTTCCTCAGTGGTGAGGTCTGTAAGTGTCTAAGGTATTGATAGGGATCGCTAGGATCCTCTTCCTTACCTCCTTGCAGCAGGGAGAAGTCCTTTTGGTTCCCAGCTGATCCTGATTGGGGATTGGGGTGATAGAAGCTTGGCATTTCCTTCTGCTCTCTCTGTGGTCATCTCGAGTTTCTTTTATAAACTCTTCTGATGCACTCTGGCACCCTTCCTCAGTTATTTGTGTTAAAGTCTAGTTGTTTAATTGTTGTTTTGGCCGTCTTTGTGAAGGATTTCTAGCTGGCCATCTTGATCTGAGCACCTTTTCTTTGATGTATTGGTCAGTTGGATATCCTCTTTTATGAAGTCTCCATTCAGATATTTTGCTCATTTTTCTGTCTTTTTCTTATTTAATTGTTGATTCATTGGTATATTCTGGATATGTTAAAGGATTGCACATATGTTATTCCACTCTGACTTGTCTTTTGACACTTTCAGTGTAGTCTTTTGATAAACAATACTTCATAGTTTTAATATCCAATTTATAAATCTTGCCTATCCTTTTACCATGAAGATACATTCTCTGTGAACTTTAAAGTCTTCTGTTTTAAAATATAAACTCTGTGTTACATTTAGCAAACTCATTTGCCATTCTTTTTAAAATAGAATTTGACTGAGAAATAGATACCAAATTTTATCAGGTGGTTTTTCTGGAATAATTAAGCCAGTTAGTTGAATTTTTCCCCCTGCTTATATAATATTATATTTAATTAATGTTGTTGTTTTCCTTGTGCTTTATCCGCAGCCCTTTTTGGGATGCATCTTTCTTAATCACAGTAGTAATTTTAAAAATGTGTAATTTAAGAATAACATACTTTCTGAGATGTTATTTAAGATTTTTCATCTGTTCTCATTAAATGAGATTAGTTTGTAATTCTGATGTTTTTTAGTGATGTTCTTAACTATACTACAATAGCCATCTTTACACATTCTTTTTTGTGCTTTGGGTAATAATAATAATAATTGTTATTTTTTTGAGATGGAGTCTCGCTCTGTCGTCCAGGCCGGAGTGCAGTGGCGCGATCTCGGCTCACTGCAAGCTCTGCCTCCCAGGTTCACGCCATTCTCCTGCCTCAGCCTCCCAGGTAGCTGGGACTACAGGCACTTGCCACCATGCCCAGCTAATTTTTTTGTATTTTTGGTAGAGACGGGGTTTCACCGTGTTAGCCAGGATGGTCTCAATCTCCTGACCTTGTAATCCGCCTGCCTCGGCCTCCCAAAATGCTGGGATTACAGGCGTGAGCCACTGTTCCCGGCCAATAATTATTTTTTTCTTTGAATGTTGGGGAAAAAAAACTTACAGTGACTTCATCAGCGACCTTTTCTGTTTATTATTTGAAAAAAATTCTTCTTGTCTTCTTTTTAGGTCCTTTTGTGTCCTTTTCATTTATTTGTTTTGGTTTGTCATTTTTTACATAGCTTTCTATCTTAATTCCAAATATATTGGTAACTAATGGAGAATCGTTTACCATAAAGCTCTTAATCTTTTTAATTAATTATATGTTTTTTATTTTTTATTTTATTGAGTCCTATCTTATTTCCTTTTACAAATAAGTAAAGTGGTCGATTTATGTTGTATGTTCTCAGTTAATTAGCTTGATTTTTTTTTAATCTTTTTTTTTTTTTCTTTTTTGAGACAGGGTCTGGCTCTGTCATCCAGGCCACAGTGCAGTGGCTCCATCATGGCTCACTTCAGCCTCAACCTCTTGGGCTCAAGGGATCCTCCTGCCTCAGCTCTACCTCAACCCTGCCCCCCTGAGTAGCTGGGACTGGGGCTACTGGTGTGCGCCACCATGCCTGGCTAATTTTTGTATTTTTTGTAGGGTCAGGGTTTGGTCATGTTGCCCATGCTGGTCTTGAACACCTGGGCTCAAGTAATTTGCCTGCCTCAGCCTCCCAAAGTGCTGGGATTACAGGCGTGAGCCACCACACCCAGCTTTATTTTTTATTTTCTTTTTCTCTTCTTTTGAGATTATCATTTTTCTTTACTGTTTGGCTTGTAATTTTGTTTCATTTCTAAACTCTCAGTTCATTTTGCTCTTACTTTTCTAAGATTTTTTTTTTTTTTTTTTTTTTTTTGAGACAGAATTTGGCTTTTGTTGCCTGGGCTGGAGTGTAGTGGTGCAATCTCGTCTCACTGCAACTTCTGCCTCCTAGGTTCAAGCTATTCTCCTGACTCAGCCTCCCAAGTAGCTGAGATTACAGTTGCCTACCACCTTGCCCAGCTCATTTTTGTATTTTTAGTAGAGACAGGGTGTCACCATGTTGGCCAGGCTGGTCTTGAACTCCTGACCTCAGGTGATCCACCCGCCTCGGCCTCCCATAGTGCTGGGATTACAGGCATAAGCCACCGCGCCCGGCCCAGTTGCTAAGATTTTTAAAGTGATAAATTTTTCTTTGGTAGAATCTCATCTGTTTTGATGAAATTTTTCTTTCTATACAATACATTTTATTATGGTCTGCATTTTTTTTTCTTGACCTCAGTATAATTTAGGAAAGATATTTGGTTCTTTACATTAAAATATTTTTTATTTATCACATTGTATATAATAATGCACATATAGAAATAAATAAACATACATATTTGCAAGTGAGTGGATGTCTTAATTTATTCCAAGAATTGAGTATGTGTTTGCAATGTCTACCTCTTTGGATTTAATGAGGAAAGGAATGACTCCTAATTTTGCATGTTAACAGCTCACTGTCTTGTCTTCTGGTTATTCGCTAAAGAAATTGAAATCCGGCCGGGCTAGGTGGCTCACGCCTGTAATCCCAGCACTTTGGGAGGCTGAGGCAGGCGGATCACGAGGTCAGGAGATCAAGACCATCCTGTCCGGCATGGTGAAACCCTGTCTCTACTAAAAATAGCTGGACATGGTGGCACGTGCCTGTAGTCCTAGCTACTCGGGAGGGTGAGGCAGGAGAATTGGTTGAACCCTGGAGGCGGAGGTTGTAGTGAGCTGAGGTCTTGCCAGTGCACTCCAGCCTGGGCAACGCAGCAAGACTCTGTCTCAAAAAAAAAAAAAAAAAGAAAAAGAAATTGAAATCACATTATATATATAACTTTTAAACTTTTCCTCACATAATTAAATAATTATTTTAAAAGCATTTCTTAGGGGCACATGGTATTATAAAGATCTGTCATAGGCCATTTAATGAAAACAGTTTTGTTGGCTATTTAAATCATGTTGGAATATCTTTGTTTTGTTTATAATTTAAATTTTGTGTATTTTAAGAAATATGCACATGACACAAAATTCAAAGGGAATAAAAGGGTTTATAGAGCAGGGGTCCTCAACCCCAGACAGGGCAGGGTTGGCAGAATGGTTGAAGGATGAAACTGTTCCACCTCAGATCGTCAGGCATTAGAGTCTCACACGGAGCCAGCAGCCTCGATCCCTTGCATGTGCAGTTCACAATAGGGTTCATGGTCCTATGAGAATCCAATGCCATCACTGATCTGATCTATGAAACTGGACCCTGGTGCCAAAAGGTTGGAGAGTGCTGGTTTAGAGAATCTTTGAATTAAACAGTGTTACTAGTTTGTTGTTTTTTTCCCCAGGCTTTTTCTTTTTCATAAATAAGCAAATATATGTACATATATGTACACTTGTTCTTTATCCGCAGAAATGGTCACTATCAATGTACACTATCTGGTGATGGTACATTAAAAACAGAATTTGCTCACGCCTGTAATCCCAGCACTTTGGGAGGTCGAGGCGGGGGGATCATGAGGTCAGGAGATTGAGACCATCCCGGCCAACATGGTGAAACCCCATCTCTACTGAAAATACAAAAATTAGCTGGGCGTGGTGGCACGCGCCTGTAGTCCCAGCTACTCGGGAGGCTGAGGCAAGAGAATCGCTTGAACCCGGGAGGCGGAGGTTGCAGTGAGCCAAGATCGCGCCACTGCACTCCAGCCTGGTGACAGAGCGAGACTCCGTCTCAAAAACAAAACAAAACAAAACACAGACTTTATCAACTTTACCACTACTCAATATATCCATGTAATACAACTACACTTGTGCCCACCAAATTTGTACAAATAAAAAAATGCATAAGATATAAAAGTAGTGCATAAGAGATCGTAAAATGAACACCTTTGTGACCCCCCCATCCACAAAAAGAAATATAACTTTGCTAACATCTGTACATCTTTTAGCTATTTACAGCTCCTTGCCATGCCTCTACTGGTAGCCACTATCCTCACCATTATAGCATTGACTTTGATTCTCTTTATAGTTTTATAACCTAATTATGTATTCATAAACAGTGTAGTAAAATTGTGCTTGTTTTTGGAGCTTTTCCCTGAACGTTTTGAGATACCTGAAATCTTGTAGCCCCAGGAGCAGTCTTGAAGAAGAGGAGTCAGCAGGGTGTGTGGGAGGTGAATGGGCAAGGAATTCTACACAGGTTGGCCTAGTAAAGTTTGGGGACTTTGATCTTACCATTATTAGGTGGACTTGAGATCTTTTCTTGTACCAGGTGATGGAGTCATATCTTCACTGTTGCCAGGGCTCCGGAACTAGCTCTGAGTCTGCTTCTTTGAAGTGCTGCTTCTGAAGCACCGGTTTGCCGTGATCAGGGATGGTCCTGCCTGGAGTTCTCTTTATGCCCATTCTCTTTCTACTTTTGTTCTGCTGGGCGTTTCTGGTTTTGTTTGTGTGTAAGAGTCCGTGTGGATTGCAAAAAACAAAATCTAGAAAGTAAAGTCATGGTTTCTTCCTTTTTTCTTTTCTAATTTGTAAAAATCTGTGGGGTTTAATCTTAGGCTTTATTTGTAGGTGCTTGTTCCTCTATCCCATTTAGACACTTAGAAAGTTTGAACAAATCAAGGGCTTTCCTTTTTTCTGCAGAGCACGTTAGATTTTCTATAAACCTAAGTAGAAAGTGGCATTGTGGTAGAGATTGTGCCTGATTTGTAAAGAATGTTAAAAAGATCGTAGAAATAATTTCTAATTCAATTCCGTCGTTCAGATACTTTCAAACTCCTGTGATGCTACTTACATCACAACCTATTACACATACACATATGTGTAAAACAGACTGAAGTTTCACGAACAGCATCCTTAGTATATACAGTTATTCCAACGTAGTTTATTCTGTTCTAATTTTTTTTAATGTTGATTAGAGATCCATTAAATTAACTATAAGATCCTTCAAGAGATCAGTGCCTATAGTTGAAGGTACCATGATTTTCTAGAGGAAGAGGTTAGCTCCAAGGAATTAAACTGAACAGAGGCAAACTAGTGTCGTGGTGTGGCTAAGAGTGTGGAACCTTTAGGTTGTGTGTAGTAGCTTATGCCTGTAATCCCAGCGTTTGTGAGCCTGAAGCAGGAGGATCACTTGAGGCCAGGAGTTTGAAACTAACCTGGGCAACATAGTGAGATCCTATTTCTTAAAAGAGAGAGAGAGAGCATGGACTTTGGAGAAGGACAGACTTGGGCTCAGATCCTGGTTTTGCCACTTTCTGGTCATATGATCAGGGCAGTCTGTTTGGCATTCTTGGGTCTCAGTGTCATTTGACTAGGGCAATCTAGTTGGCATTCTTGGATCCTAGCCTTTTGTAAAATGGCATCTTAATCCATTTCGTTTTGCTATAACAATGTCACAGGCACAGACTGGGTAATTTATAAAAGAAAAGAAATTTATCACAGTTCTGGAAGCCAAGAAATCCAATATCAAGGTGCTAGTATCTGGCAAGGGCCTTCTTGCCACAGCTTCCCATAGCAGAAAGTGGAAGAGCAAGAGAGGGAGAGCGAGAGTGACTGAGAGAGCTGGACTCATTTTTTTTTTTCCCCCCAGAGATGGGCATCTTGCTGTGTTGTCCAGTCTGGCCTTCAACTCGTGGTCACAGGTGATCCTCCCACCTCAGCCTCCTGAGTGGCTGGGACTACAGATACACACCATGGCACCCCTGGCTGGACTCATTTTTATAGCAGCCCACTCTTGTGATATAATAATAAATCCACTCCTGTGATAATGGCATTCATCTATTCATAAGGCCAGAGCCCTTGTGGCTTAATCACCTTTTAGTGGTCCCATCTCTTAATATAGTCACAATGACAACTCAGTTTCAACATGAATTTTAGAGAGAACATTCAAACCATAGCAAATGGGAATGACACTCTGTGCCTCAGGGATATGAGTATTAAATGAAAGAATAGCTAGTGGAAAGTAAGCATGCAACACACAGCAGCTTTATTAACCATTGTTATTTGTTTCAGGATTTAATGGTGTTTCTCTGATTTCTAGCCCAGTGCCCTTTGTACAAATTGCAGAATCCATTATGACAAGAGTTATGGGACAGTGTTATGTAACAGACTAGGTAGATGGGAATTGCTTAGTTGATCCACTCACCCTTTGGGATCAGTTTAGGTGACTACTGGACTGTGTCCATAAACTCTGCTGGTTTATTACAGGAGTGGGAATTGTCTAAAAGTGTCAGGCAGTCACAGTGCCTTCAGTGGCAGAAGAGTTAGTCTTTCTGTCCTTGTTCATGGGCAGGAAGTTAAAACTAAGGGGTGTGTTTGTGTGTAAGATTAGCTCAGGGGAAGGAAGACTGGAGGAGTCTTCACTTCTCCTCCCATAATCTTACATTTAAAATCTATTCTCTTCCTTTCCCCTTCTTTTTTCCTCTCCCCCTCTCTTTCTCTTTTAAACAATGACCAGCTTTTGCCCAGGCTTGGTGGCTCACGACTGTAATCCCAGCACTTTGGGAGGCTGAGGTGGGAGGATTGTTTGAGGTCAGGAGTTCAAGACCAGCCTGGTGAATATAACGAGACCCTATCTCTACAAAAATAAAATAAGAAATTAGCTGGGTGTAGTGGTGCACGTCTGTGGTCCCAGCTACTTGGGAGGCTGAGGCAGGAGGATCCTTTGAGGCCAGGAGTTCCAGGTTACAGTGAGACGTGATCACGCCACTATACTCCAGTTTGGGCAACAAACCCTGTCTCTTAAAAATAAATAAATAAACTTTTAATATAAAATTAAATTTATATAAAATCCAATCATTAAGATAAAAACATTTATTAACATTTCGCCTTTTTTCTTCCAGTATTTTCTCATGCATTAAAAAAAGAAGGCAGTAATACTGTACATTCAAACACCCTTTTAGTAAAATAAAAAACTGAACTGGTTAGATAGTTGAAATCAGTAGGATGGTAGAGGATGGGAAAAGGGAGGGATACTTTGCTGAAAGGCAGAGATAGTGATCTCTTACTGTCTCTGAGACTGAAGGGTGGTCCTCAATTTAATCTTTCCTTCCAGGCATTCTGGAGCAGGGAAGAATCTGACTTTAAAATTGTTCCCTACTTTCTACTGTTTCTCCGTTATTTGGCATGTCCTCCTGAGTTCAGAAGAATAGGTCTTAAGGGTTTTATGCTGCTGAAAGTAATATCCCATTAGATTGCTGGTGGAGCTATTTTTTTTTTTTTTTTTTTTTTACAATGTGAAAGCTGAATTGTTTCTAAGTTCTACTAAACATATATGTACCAGTCAGTGCTTTTCAACTGCGTCAGGTTCCTCAACCTGTGAACCTACCCAGTCCTTTAGGAAAGCCCAGGTGTGATGCAGGAAGTAACCTGCCCTCTACCACAGTACCTGAATCAGGCATGTGCTCTGGAAATGTTGACCTGACATGAGGACAGTCTGTCTTCTCTTTTCTTCACAGATTTTTTTTCTTCACAGATTTTGAAGCCAGCTTCATAAGGCTATTGGACAAAATAACGAATGGTTCTCGAATTGAAATAAACCAAACAGGTAAGCTCCTTTTAGATTCCTAAAAGCACCTCCATGCACTAAAGCATTCCTGTTTCTCACTCTTTTTTTTCTTTCCTTTTTTTTTCTAGTCAGTCTCTGCTTATCCAAATCACTCTTTTTAATGGTATAAATATTATGTTTAAAGCTTTACTAATCACTTTGTATTATATAAATCACCATTAAATTAGAATTTTGGGGGGACTTATATGAGGAACTCACCATATAACTTTGGAGTTATATGAGGAAGCTGTGAGTGTAGATCATAATAAAAGCATATCATTCTAGATCATTTTAAAAAATACCGTGTTCCGATGGAAAGACCCAGTTACCTCTCTGTGATATGATTTTCCAGAGACATACATGAAGTCTCCCAATTTGAAGGGCGTACATTTGATTTAAGGAAGTTAGAAGACTGAAAATTTCAGCAAAGTCTCTCCTCTTTTTTTAACAATAAATATTTTATACATAATGTTTACATGAAACTTTCCAAAGTCCATTTACTTATATTATCACATTAAATTATTTCAGCCAACTCTGTGAGGTAGTTTATGGGCTGAATTCTATTTATTTTAAATTTTGTTTGTTAAAATAAGTTTACACAAGTATATGCAAAAGATGTGAACATCCCTTCACCTCTTTCCTCTTCCATTCCCCTCTCCAGGGGTAGCCACTGTCACAGCATTTGCTTACATGGACATTTGCATAATTCAGACCATCAGCAACATCATGCTCTTCATATTGTTCTTCAGCCAGCATTTTTTTTTTTTTTTTTTTTTGCTAGTACAAATGTCTCAGAGAACTTTCCCTTCCAGCACATGCAGGTCTTCCTTAATATTTCTGTGGGTTGTAGTATAGTATTCCAGTGTATTGATGCATGATAATTTATTTAACTGCTCCCCATTGATAAACATTTAGGTTGTTTCTAGCTTTTATTTTTTCTATTAGAAACTTGTGTCTACATTGTATGGAAAACTGTGGCAAACATCCGTTGGCTGACTCCATTAACTCTCTACCTTTCCGCACACATTCCACAAATAAATCTCTGACCTTTTCCCTATCTTGGCTCTCTTAAGGCAAGCTTGGGTTCATATGTGGTCCTATACCACATGAGATATTCTGATCTATAGCTGCATTCAGCCATATCTTATGGAGAACAGGTTTCGGGAATGAGATACTCACATGTCTTTTGCCAGCTATGAGTCCCTTAATTTCCTTTAGCTTGTTTGCTTTGAAATTGCTGGAGGTTTTTTCAGTAACTTTCATTGGTGATCCAGAAGACGGATAATTCTATTCTTTTTTTGTGTCTGTGTGAGACGGAGTCTTGTTCCGTCAACTAGGCTGGAGTGCAGTGGTGCGATCTTGGCACATGGCGACTTCTGCCTCCCGGGTTCAAACGATTCTCCTGCCTTAGCCTCCCCAGTAGCTGGGATTACAGTTGCCTGCTGCCATACCTGGCTCATTTTTTTTTTTTTTTTAGTAGAGACAGGGTGATCTGTCGGGTGATCCATCCACCTCAGCCTTCCAAAGTGTTGGGATTACAGGCATGAGCCACAGTGCGTGGCCCAAGTCTATTCTTTTCTAGTCATACTGGCAATGTAGATTGAGGAGTAAGACATTTACATGATTCTGCTCCCACTACATGTCCTTTTAATTTTCCGCATCAGAGTAGTAAAAGCCTTCATTCTGATGATCTGGCCAGTTTCTCATTTGGCTAATTTGTATAAATAAACATACGGATTTGAAGCATTTAGTGAATATATAGTCTTTTTATGGTTTTTTGATCTAAAGGATGGTTTTGTGGCCCTTACAACTATTTCAGATAACTGACCCAGAGTCCATTTGAGAAGTGTTCATTACTTTGATCAGAATATGGTCCTGATTGTGATTGTTTGGATTCTAGTGTTTAATGTAGTAAAACCTACATTTATTTTATGAAAGTCCCAAGAACTTTTTCCCATTTGAGTGACTGAACATGCCTCCTTCCTCTAATGTTAAATATATTTTTGGTAAATTGTGCCAGAGGGCATTGCAAAAGATTTTGTGCAGCAGAAATACCTTGTTCAACCATTTATGTCCCCCTATGTCATTTACAGTTTTTTACATTGATATGTAAATCTAGTAAGAAGCTTTTTGGAGAGCCAGGCATGGTGGTTCATGCCTGTAATCCCAGCACTTTGGGAAGATGAGATGGGAGTAAGAAGCTTTTTGGATAGCCAGGCACAAGGTGGTTCATGTCTGTAATCCCAGCACTTTGGGAAGCTGAGCCTAGGAGTTTCAGACTAGCCTGGGCAATATAGTGAGACCCTTTCTCAAAAAAAAAAAATGATTAGCTGAGTGTGGTAGCATGTGCCTAGGGTCTCAGCACTTTGGGAGGCTGAGGTGGGAGGATCACTTGAGCCCAAGAGTTCAAGACTATCCTGGACAACATAGTGAGACCCTTTCTCTAAAATAAAGAAAAAAAAGAAAGAAAGAAAGAAAGAAAAAGAAAAAAAAAATTAGCTGGTCGTGGTCCCAGCTATTCTGGAGGCTGAGATGGGAGGATTGCTTGGCTCTGGAGGTTGAGCTGCAGCAAGCTGTGATCATGCCGCTGTACTCCAGCTTGGGGGACAGAGCAAGACCCTGTCTCAAAACAAAACAAAGCTTTTTGAATGATACGATTATGTGAGAAGTGAATAAAGATAGTAGTTTCCACTAAAGCCGTAAAATAATATTAGGCATGTCCCTGTATCAATATTAAATTAAAAGACCTACTATTAATGGCACTGAATGCCATAAAGTACTTGCCTTTTCTTGGCATCATGTTTGGTGAATGAGGTATATGAGAAATATCATTTCAGGGGCCCTAGAGGATGCTGGTTGCTGGTGTGATGATTTAAGCACATCATTTGTAATTCCCCTCTGTGGTCAGCCTAGTCTGAGAATGTGCTGTTGGGAGACTAGGGTGCTTATTAGGATCTCTTTTCTGTGCCCTGCCATGACTCTGGCAACTCAGATGGCTCAGAGAGGGGTTTACTTTATTACTGATTATTAAATTACATTCACAGTTTATTATTGTTACAGGGGCTTGACAGTAGTGAGTCAGCTTTTGGAGCGAAGTGTGGGCTCTTAGCAAGATGGCATTTCGAGCACTCTTGGATGCCCTTGTCAGGCTTTCCCCTTGGAACTCACTGCCTTCATTACCTTTGTGACATTTTAGTTTTTTTCCTGCTGAATGTGGCTCTTTTTCTTCTGGTTTAAGGAACAACCTTATATTATCAGCCTGGCCTCCTGTATGGTGGATCTGTGGAACATGACTGTAGCGTCCTTCGTGGCATTGGGTATTACCTGGAGAGTCTTCTTTGCTTGGCTCCATTTATGAAGCACCCGTTAAAAATAGTTCTACGAGGAGTGACCAATGATCAGGTTGACCCTTCAGTGAGTATTGAGAACAAACCGTGGTGTGGTTTTTGTTTTGTCTCTTGTCACAACCCAACTTGTGAGAAAAAAGTTCCTTATAAGGCACAGTTTTATTACAAATGTATATTGCTTTTGTTATTTACTTTGAGATTTAGAGGTTAATCACTCCAGGAGGCAGATGAACCAAAACTTAGGATCATCAAATTCAGGACTATTGTTAACAGTTACCAAGGTGCCTTTTGTTGTTACCTAAGAACCTTCAAAACAGATGCTCTCCGTCTCATCATAGTTGACATGAACTATAGTTCTGCTGGCTGTATATGTGAGAGTGGAGTTTTTGTAAGATCCTGTGGTAGCTGAGGCTGGAGGGCAGCTGACCAAAATTTTGGGCAGGAGATCATAGCTCCTTGGCATTGTTACAGCGTAATCTTGACTTACCCAGGCTTCAATCATAAACTCAAGGGCTTTCTTCTTCTGAGAAGAGTTTGCAGATTAGGAAAAGGGCATAAAGTCAGGAAAGGAATGTGTGAGCTTTGGTAGTTTGTGGGTGTCAGCAAGCTTTTGATTTTTATTTTATTTTTTTTCACCAAGGGTCATGCCAGAGCAAGCTTTTTATTAAACATGCTAATTTTTCTGCAGATATGGGGAGAATGGTTTAATATCAAGCAAAACTTTTTATTGTGATCACAACTGTCTTAATGCCATTCTAGGATGAAGTGTGTGTGTGTGTGTGTGTGTGTGCACGCGTGTGTGTGTGTGTGTGTGAGAGAGAGAGAGATTAGAGAAGTCTAGAGAAGTCCTGTCCAGGCCTCCCTCCCTTGTAGGAAGGGGTGGATTCCCTGCTTTTGGATGCTCTGCTGTCAGAGAAGATATCTTAAAGCTGATGGCCGGCCGGGCGCAGTGGCTTACGCCTGTAATCCCAGCACTTTGGGAGGCCGAGGCGGGCAGATCATGAGGTCAGGAGATCGAGACCAGCCTGGCTAACACAGTGAAACCCCGTCTCTACTAAAAATACAAAAAATTAGCCAGGCATGGTGGCGGGCGCCTGTAGTGCCAGCTACTCGGGAGACTGAGGCAGGAGAATGGCGTGAACCTGGGAGGCAGAGCTTGCAGTGAGCCGAGATCGGGCAACAGAGCGAGACTCCGTCTCAAAAAAAAAAAAAAAAAAAAAAAAGTTGATGGCCATGATGCAAAGTACTGAGGTGGTATGCTTGTCTTTACCATTACAGGCCAAGACCAATGAATGGATAGCTTCTGAGGCAGAATGTGAATTATGTAGCTTTTCTACTCAGGGAGGACCAATGAGGTGATGCTGTGAGCCCCAAAGTAGAGATTGCTGGTATTCATCAAGATACCTACTAGGGTATAAACATTGTTAATATGTTCTTAGGCAATAAAAACTTATTCTTCATTTCTTGGAAATTCAGCTGCATAAACTCTTTTCCCTGGGATACTGAGTATAGTACAAGATCTGAAATTCTTAAGCTGTAAAGGAATGTTGCGTAAACTGTTGAGAATATTTAATTAAGTGTTTTTTTTTTTTTGCATTTTCTAGAAGACTATAGGAAATGAGTTCTTTGGATAAAAGAATGAGAAGAGGTATAAATATATTTAGATTGGAAGAGAGAAAGGTGCCTCAAACAGTGGGAAAAGGCCCTGAAGTGTACAGCAGTGTGTGTATCTGTTTTGTGCTTTTTTTTTCTATACTTGCTAATTATCTTAAAAGCTTTTCTCACTGGCAATATTTTAAAAATTTTATATGCTAACAGTGACAAAAGATCAGTTGATGAATTTCTCAGAAATGGGACCCAAAAAGTCTGTTTTCATATGCTGTAGGAGTATCTGCTTTTGCCAGCTGCATGACTAAAATGACCTTGGTTGGTATCTGGCTCCAGGCCAGGGTAAAATAAATATACTTAATCCTGAATAAAGAGTGACTTCTTCAGCTCATTCCATGGCTCCTTCATTTCTAGCTTCTTCTTTTCTTTGTGGTTTCCTCATTAGTTCATGTCTGCATCTACTCTCTGTGTACAAGGATGAAATGAGTGATTCTGTCCTTAACAAACTCCTAGTCTCGTGGGGTGGACAGCTGGGAACTCATTTAGAGAGATTACAAGGATGAATACCCTTGGGCTCGATAGAGGTAGAAGCAAAGTGCTTAGTGTTAGAGAGCGTTTCTTGAGGAGGGAAAATCAGAATCAGTCTGGGTTTTAGGAAGATAATTCTGGAGGTTGAGTGAAAGATGAATGGAGAGGTGATAGACTAGCTTGGGCATTATGGAGATGGAAGGAGAACGGAAGGGGCAGATAGGACAACTAATTGGAGGCGGAGTGAGAGGAAGGGGCCATAGATGACTTCATGATTTCTGTCCTGGTTGCAATAAAGGATCATGATCGTAAAGATCATTCCCATTTGACAAAGGGAAGAGGAAAATTGCAGTAGGATAATGAGTGATGCTTTTTATTTTGGTCTTGTTCCCTGGGATGTTGGCAGCCTAACCATATAAGGATTTCCAGTTGGCAGTTAGAAATTATTGTCTGGAGCCTCAGAGACAGGTCATCACGATCTTACCTGCTGATACTTAAGCCTCTAGGAGTATGAGATTGATTAGGCTGAGGTTGAACACTGGTGGGTTTGGCTGAATTCATCTTTCACGTGTTTTTCCTTTGACATGTACAGTGTGGCAGTGGTGGCGGTGGTGGTGGTTGTTGGTAGTGGTGTGTGTATGCATCTGAATTGGTTGTTCATGTTTGAAACTCCAGATTTTACATTATGATAGGGCAGTGTGACAATACTGAATGGTGGTTCCTCCATGACAGCCATCAGTTGGAGGTGAGTAGCAGCTGCCTTTTTTGGATAAGGTGTGAGCTTTCAGCTGGACACAGGTCACAGCTGACCTCATCATTCATTTAAGCTTCCTCTCTGCCCTCTGTGGGCATTAGGGTTTCTGCCCCATGGTCCAAGGGACTGAGAATGGAAGAAGGAGAAATGAGTGTTTAAGGTGTGAGTGGGAGAAGAGGAGCTAGAGACAGAGTGACTGTGGAGATAGAAGTATTTGGAGAAGCCAAGCAGGAATCAAGTTCTAAGAAGTCAGGGATAATCCACAGAATCACTCTTTGCCAGAGTTGAGTCAGACTGAGCAGTGAGACATTTTTATTGACCTTTGAGAGAACAGTGTTATTGGAGTATAAGGACAGGAACAGACTGAGGAACGAGTAGGAACTAGAGCTATTGGAAAGTTAGGAGATTCTTCCAGAAGGTTTTAAGAGCTGAGGTTGGGATTTTTTTTAGACTAGGGGAAACTTGAGCTTGCTTGTAGGCTGAGGAGAAGCTGTAATGGAAAAGAAAATAATTAAAAGAGCTGAGGGTCCTTGCCGAAGTCCAGAGGGGATAAGGATTGAAAACAGAGGTGATGGAATGAGCCTTATGAAGAGGAAGAAGACATTTTTTCCTTAGAGGCAAGAGAATAGAAAGTGGGGAGAAATTTTAAAGAGAAGTTTTAGAAGGTCTCCTGACTCTTGGTAGTGTGGCACCAGAGCTCCCAGTAATTATTTGTTGGTGCCAACAAGCTGCTCCAATGGTGGATGAAGATTCCATTCTTTTCCAGTTCCCTCTTAGAGAAGGAAAAGAAGTACAATAATGTCTCCCATGTACTGGGCATTATTCTAGGTGTACATATGTATGTATGTGTATATCCATATCTGTTTAATTCTTCTACCAACCCAGTGAGGTGGGTGTTTCAGACAAGGTAACTGGAGAGCAGGTTTCTTCCTCTCTTTTTTCTTTTTTTAGCATAGATTGATTACATTTTTACCTTTTGATTGATTGACTGCGCTGTAATGGTAATACCTTTGCCCTGAGCTGCCACTTAGGGTTTGATCTTTGCCTTTTCTCTCTGACCGCAGAGTGGACCGATCACTTTCCCTTAAGCAGAACTTACAGGCCACCATCACTCTGCTAAAACTAGAATGTGCAAAGCTGCAGGAGACTGGAGAGTGTTCGGCCCAGCCTCTCATTTTACGAAGGAGGAAACTGAGGCCCAGGAGACAGGGAATTGTCTAGGGTCTAACAGCCAGTGAGAGGCAGAGTAGGTCCCAAGCCCTCATCTGCTTTTCCTGCCCTTGTCCCACCGCACCAAGTTGCCTGTCTTCCATGTCATATGGAGAGTGATAAAGGGACAGGACTACACCTGGAATTACCCTTGGGCTTCTTGCTGAACTAAGTAAATTTGGCTTCACTCTTTGTGACTCAAGGTATAGGAAGGATGAGCCAGAAGGAATGCTGTGTTTTTTCACCTTTTTTTCCCTCGAGAGAGCCGGTGGCTGCCCAGAGTAACTGCAGCATTGCATCCCCTACTTTTTCAGAATCTGACTTGGCCTTCTCCCCAGCTGCTCTTAAGCCTCGACTGTATTCTTCTTTATCTGGCAACGCCAAATGCATATATTAAGTTTTTGAGTGTGCTTTATTTTTTTATTTTTAGAGAGAGGGTCTCACTCTGTCTCCCAGGCTGGAGTGCAGTGGCATGATCGTGGCTCACCAAAGCCTTGAAGTCCTGGGCTCAAGTGATCCTCCCACCTCAGCCTCTCAAGTAGCTAGGACCACAGGCGTGCAGCATGCCCAGCTTATTTTTTTTTAGTAGAGATGAGGTCTCACTATGTTGCTCGGGCTGTAGCTTTAATATTTAAAATTAGCTAATCTTCAGTGGTTTTCCTAGTTTCCCCTGCCCCACCTGATCCATTCTAAGCATGTTCTTAGGCCTCACAGGTCATTCCTAAGTCTGGTATTTTTCTGATATCACAATATTTAGTTGGGGCTTCTTAGCCTGTTAGAGTTAGTTGTAACTTGGAGATGGCTGGGCTTGAGCCCCTTGCCTTAGAGATAAGGAAATTCAGATAGTTGTGATTTTCTTGTCTGAGGCAACATAGCTAATTAGAAGCAGAGCTGGGACCAGGACTAGGGCTTTTCCTATGCCTTCTGTGTGGTGCCTGCCCTCCCTGCCAGCTGACAGATCCAAGAAGGGAACAAGTAATGGAGTAATTTTCTTTCCCATGTAGCAGTTGAGGCAACATTTGCCAACTCGTTAGATAACAGTACCTGATTTGAATGCCATCTTTCTACTCTTATCAGGAATCCACAAATGGATCAGAAAGACCCCAGACTTCCTGGGAGCTCTGAATGCAGGAGGAGATAACAGTTACACGTGGCAAAGTCTTGCCATTAACTATGGATGTTGTAACTAATTGTAGTTTTGAGTTTGTGCTGCTTCCTGTAGTTTGAGGCTGTCATCACCCCGACTCCCCAACTCCCATGTAAAATCATCACCTTCCCTTTAGCTGCCTGTGTGGTGCTCATCATTGGCATTCTTAGGTGAGCTGTTGAATAGTTAATTTGGTTTGCTTTGACTCGGAATGCTACCGGCTCTAAACATTAAATAACCCTACTGGACAAATGTTAATGAAAAAGATGATTTTCTTCTGTACGTTTATACCTATAAGAATGAGTAGGGTTCTCCAGGCTGGGTGTGGTGGCTCACACCTGTTATCCCAGCACTTTGGGAGGCTGAGGTGGCAGATTACAAGTTCAAGAGATTGAGACCATCCTGGCCAACATGGTGAAACCCCGTCTCTACTAAAAATACAAAAATTAGCTGGGCGTGGTGGCACATGCCTGTAGTCCCAGCTACTCAGGAGGCTGAGGCAGGAGAATCGCTTGAACCTGGGAGGCAGAGGTTGCAGTGAGCCTAGATCGCGCCACTGCACTCCAGCCTGGTGACAGAGCGAGATTCCACTCAAAAAAAAAAAAAAAAAAAAAAAAAGTAGGGTTCTCCATTTGTTTTCTACAACAGTCCAGTCTCTCCATGCTTTTTGCATGATGCCTCTGATGCACACGATGACTTTAAGGTAGGTGTTGGTCTCCATGTCATGAATGAGGAAAGTGCGGCTCAGAGAAGCCCAGTGGCCTGTGAAATCACAGTGTTCCTCAGGCAGAGCCAGCCCACTCGCTCAGTTATATGCCAGCATCCTTTCTGTTTACCACACTGCATCATCTACCTGGTTGCTAAGCCTTACTTGTTTTTTTTGACTCTTGTATTCTGCTGAAGGCTTAATTAAACTTTTCTTTTCTGAAATAATTTCATAGGTTGATGTTCTTAAGGCAACAGCACTCCCTTTGTTGAAACAATTTGGGATTGATGGTGAATCATTTGAACTGAAGGTAAGAATGTTTGAACTGTTGACCATATGTTCCTGTGGAAAACATTTTCCCACTGACTCATTGGAAGAGCTGTGTGACTCAGTGTATGTGTGTCACATTTGAAGTCACCAGTTATCAGAAGACTCACAGGGCTCATGAAATAAACACTACAGACTTTGAACTGAAAGGGACCCTTTAGTAATAACAATAGTAGCTGACAGTGATGTTGCACTTCTTTTGCGGTGGGGGCCGTTCTAAGCAGTTTACAAATACTAACTCCTTTTCTCCTCACAACAGCTCCGCCCATGTGCCTCAGCTAGCAAGCAGTGGAGAATAGATTTGGGCCATATTGGCTCTCTGATCTAAATGATCTGGATATAATTTATGTTCAGGGGCTCCCAACCTGGATGTCCCTGAGAATTTTCAGTATTTCCAAAATCTAGTAGAAGTAGTTTAAGCATCTGTATTTTGTTGAATTATATCAATCCAATGTGGTAAACCGTTTAGCATCTCTGCCTTTTACATTCATGTTTTAAACAGGGGAAATGACTTCATTTTTATTTAATAATGTTTTGGTAGATCCGTTATTTGCATGGGAGGAGAAAAAGGGGTTTCTGATTATTAAGAAATGGGCTCAGATGATGGACTAGGTCAGCTCTATATTTTAAGGATAAAGAAGTGACCTGTTCAGGGTTAAAGAGATGAGTGGCAGAGCCACTTGGGTAATCGACTTGGACTTTGACACATGCTGCACAGGTACTCTCTAGGAGCCAACATAAGGTGCTGTTGGTCTTGAAGGGAATGACAGATTGAATATGGAAGAGCTATGCCTTGTAAGGAAGCATCTGCTGGTGTAAACCTTCCTGGGCAGGGTGTCAGGGTAATCCATTGCTTTGCTGCATCCTCGCCTCATCTTTCTCACTCTCTGTGTAGATTGTGCGACGGGGAATGCCTCCCGGAGGAGGAGGCGAAGTGGTTTTCTCATGTCCTGTGAGGAAGGTCTTGAAGCCCATTCAACTCACAGATCCAGGAAAAATCAAACGTATTAGAGGAATGGCGTATCCTTTCCATTTATTTGGATTTCTTTTTTTTTTGTTGTTGTTGCCTCACTAAGATAAGAATGACTAACAGCTTTACTTCTTCCCGAGGTTATTTACATTTTAGACTACAACTTTGAAAAGTCTTAACAGTGAAATTGTAATTGCTGGCTGAGTTAGGATGTTCTGTTATCTGCCTCACCATGACTAGATTGATTGAGTCATTCTTTTTTTTTTTTTTTTTTTAATTTTCCGGTTAACATTTAGGCAAATGGCTCTGATGTATGTGATCCTCTCTCAAGGGCTTTGGTTTGGGGGCCATGAATATACTGCAGTTCCTCCCTCAGAAGACGTCATCATTCGGTGAAGGAACCAAATATGAAAACACACAGTTCTGATATAACATGCAAAATGATATGTGCAGTGGGGTGGGGGCCTGGAGTAGACAGTGGTCAATTTTGTCTGGAGGACCTAGGGAGGCTGGAGTAATCATAATGAATGATATCTACTATTAAGTATTTACTCTGCATCTACTTCAGTAGTCACTTTACATGCTTTTAAGCCTCACATTGACCCTTGAGTTCACTTACATCCTTTTTTGCAGATGGGGAAACTGAAGCTTCAAAAGCTTAAGGAATTTCTTAATAATGTCACACTGCTAATAATGACAGAGCTAGGATTTGAACCTGGTCTGTGTGACTCTAAAGTACAGGCATTTAATTTTTACTTTTGCCTATAGAAAGGAGCCTTGAAGAACAGAGGATTGCAAAGTAGAGCAAGAAAGGAGGAGGGCTTCAGGCAGAAAAGTGGGCCTGAGCAGAGGTGGCAGTGCACAGTGGTTCTAGGGAGTGGCAAGTAATGAAGTGTGGCCAGATTTCAGGTTGGTCTATGGCATTTGATGGTAGAATGGGGCATGAAGACAGGCAGGGGCCAGTGAAGAGCTGAAGGTGGCTGGAATCAGATACTATGCAGAACGCAAAGAAAGGAGGGTGGAACCCTGTGAGGCCACCAAAACTTGAAAGCAAGAGTTAAGTAAGGAGGGAAGTAAGAGTGGGGAAGAGAATAAACAAAACATAGCTTCCTGGAAGCTCAGGTCAGCACTTTAAAAGGCCCTGAGGAGTTAGCATTGGGGTGGGGGAAAAGCTGAGGGACTCAGCAGCAGGCTGTCACTGATGCCCTGGGGAAGAGTGCTGGATCCCTATCCCAAGGGACTAATTCTGGGTTGTGGAGTGAAGGGGAGGGAAACAGCGGCTTGTGGGGACCACTCTTTACAGAACCTTGACAGGAAAGAGAAGGAGAAGGAAGGATGAGGGAGTAACTTGATGAAGCGAGAGTCAGGGAGACTCCCTCCCTTTTACAAAAAGATTGGTAAGGATTTGAGTGTTTTTGTAGGTTGTTAATGTAGATGAAGCAAAGTAATGAGCTGATTAAAAGCCCAGGTGCTGGAGTCAGAAAGACGTGGGTGCCGACGCCGGCTGCGCCACTTACCAATGGAAGCATTTGGCCGTAAGCCTTGGTTGCCCGTATATCTTTAGTCCTGTTATAACTGCTGTGCGAGACTGTCATGAAGGTAAAATGAGATCGTAGTTGCACAGTAGGAGGCACTGGTGTGTAAGTAGCATTGGGTAAATGGTTACTACTATTCTTTTTATTCTTACTTGAGAGGGGATGGATTCAAGGCCACAGGCATACGGTAAGGGTGGCTCCAGGTAGAGCTGTGTGGAGGTGAGTGGAAGGGGGTTGGGATGAGTTTTCAGTTGTTACCGAGTTAGGATGGGATTGAGGGTAAGGGGATGGGCGGGGTAGGATAAGAGAGTGTGACAAGGATGGTAAAGATGTGCCTTCACAGGGGAGCATCATAACTGAAGATAAGAAAAAGGCTGTGTTCCAGCAGTAAGGTCCTTGCTGAAGGTGTAATGTTAACACAGTGCCAGCTGCATGGCCATGTGGCTATATCCAGTGGCAGTTGGCAGCCTAGAGGGAGGAGTAGAGAACGTGGGAGGACCAATTTCATCCAAGGTTGGATGCAGGTTGGCAAGGTGGGTGGGTCCTACAGGAGGACAGTTGGAGGGTGGGTGCTGGAGCATTGGGAAGTACATTCCTCACTGAGGATTGTCACAGGGGCTCACCAGCCTGGACAAAGCAGGTCAAGGGATGAGAAACTTTAACAGGCTTAAAGATCAGATCTAGTGGAAATAGATACATGTACTGTGTAGGACAAGAGATTGTGTTTAGGGAGTTTTGTTTTGGGATTTCAGATATTAAAAGTGGTAAAATTCTAGGTGCTGACAGGATCTGGGTGGGAGCAGGTGTTGGAGGCCGTAGAGCAAGACAGGCTGTGGGATGACTTTCCTGGCGGGAGTGTGACAAGGAGGGCAGACCAGAAAGCCTGCTTGTCAGGGCGGGGGTGGGTGCTTAAGGTCGGGTTTTGTGTTCTCAGGAGGTTTGGCAATGGTATTACTTGGAGGAAGAAAGGTGTAGCGTGGACTGTCTTTTCAGAGGCCTCGAATAGCTTGAACAGTAAGTGGTGAAGGGCAGGGAGTAGGGTGGGCTGCAGAGCCATGTGCAGAGAGAGTGCTGGTTAAGATAGAAGCTCAAACTTGGGTTGCTGCCTGAAGTTCTTTTTAAGGATCATCAAAACCACAGGAATACATAATAACAAAGCCTTCCTGGGTTATGGTCTGTTCTCTGCATGGCTGTCCCCCAGCCCATGTAAGCGCCCAGCCTTGTGTGTACCAGGAGAGAACAGGCAAAAGGAGAAATGGTTCCTTTCCTAGGAGCCCCCAGGTTGATGCATAGTTACATTGCCCAGGTGACTTTCTAAGGTGATATTCAACTCTAGTATCCAAATCCGAGGAGCTGGAATAAGGTTAATTAGGTTACAAAGAAATGGAAATGCAATGTAACTAGGTGTGTGTTTTTGAAACCAAATGTGCCTTTTCTACTTGAATTCATTCTTATTAACAGATGCATTGTATTCCACCATATATAGAACCCAAAATCAAATCCTGTTGATGGCCATTGAGTTGTTTTTTGCTTTTCACTGTTGCCAAATACACTGCGGTTAATGGCTTTAACCACAACATTTTTGGCAATGGTGAAAAAAAGTGTAATAAGTGTATAGGAATACACTTTCCAATACATTCCAATAAGTGTACAGGAATACACTTTCAGTACTATTTTGGGTTTGTCTGGGGGGTAGTTGTTTTTTTTCCTCCTTATTTGAGATGTGTTTCCTTAATGCTGTATTGGCGGCCGTGAACTTTGTTTGGAATCCAGTCTCTGTAGTCTGGAAATGTGATTTCTGGCAGTGTGCTCTGTTTTGACACAATCTTGTCATAACAACATGGGTTTCATCACAGTGGGGTCCCCCTTGTTCTCTCTGGGTGTGCAGATGGTCGTGTCCTTTGATGATGATGCTGGGAAATGGGGAAGGGCTTTCCAGGGGAGAACATAAAAGTTAAAAGAGCTGTAGTGCCGGGCACCTTGGGTGTAACTATGTTCCTCCCTGGCTTCTCCCTCTAATGTTCTTGGAACCTTCCCTGTGTAGAATCTGAGCCAGGAAGAGACTTGTGAGGTCCCAAGTTCCTCCCTCCCTGGAGGCAGGGGATAGGACATGGAAATCATCCCCAATATATCTCTGACTGGTTGAGGCTTCCTCCTGGCTCCCCAGGAGAGTTGACACAGTGCCCTTTCTCAGATCCCTGTCTGTTAACCAAACATTTCAGCCACTGCTCTGCAGAGCTGCCCATTTCACAAACACCTCAAAGGAATGTTGGTTTGAATGGAGATCGCCCTCTTCTCCAGTTTTGGAGCCTGGGAAAAAAGAGCTGCCTTTGGAAAAAGCTTGAGTTGGTTTTGTGGTTTTTTTCCTTGCAAGGCTGGTTGACTACTGGACTAAGCTTGGAGGTTGTATTTCCCATGGGAGGGCTCAGACTGGGAGAAAGAGGCCCACTCTCTTGTGTGCATTTGTGGTTTTAACTGAATTACTTCCAAAGTGCATCTTTTCCCTCTTGCGTTCTACAAGATGACCTACCAGCCAGGGCCCAGAGGGAGCTGGTGTTGGTTCCTGCCAGCAGCTGTGACTACACAGTAGTTACCTTTTACTTAATGCCACCCACTCTTTCTCACCCCTGCCTTATGTGGGGCGTAAGAGAAAGGAACATTCTGTTTTAGTTTTGCAGTGCTGTCCTAGGAGCTCATGATTTGGTACATGAGAATTAAGTGAAAAAGCTGGCAGTAAAGGGGGATAAGTTGGAATTCGTGGGATAATCTAGTTTCTTTTCCTTGACTGTAGGAAAGGTACTTTGAGAATCAAGCTCTCTCTCCACCTACTGTAACATACACACACACACCCCTCTTAGCTTTCTCTGACATGGAACATTGGGGAAGGGGAAGAGTGGGAGTCCCATATGGACTGTAGCTATGGACTTGTACATTGGTATTGGTTCTTAATATGGTTTTCATAAATGGGCTTTAGGAGGTTCATAAACCTGAAAAATTTTCTGCAAGATTGTGAGTATATATGTTTCTCAGGAGAGGGTCCATAGCTTTCATCAGATTCTCAGAGAGTTCTCTGATTCTTGAAAGAATAAGAACCTCTGCTTGGGATTTGAATCTTGGATAAGTAATAAAGAAAAGCAATAGCTGACATTTGTTGGGCTCCTACTACACACTAGGCATTAAGAGCTTTACATGCATTTTATTTCATTTGTGCCTCCAAACTCTGTGAGGAAAGTGTTATGATTATCCTTCTTTTACTGATTAGGAAATGACAGCACAGAGAAGTTACCACAATTAACCTGGAGTGATGCAGCTTGCTGGAGCTTGGACTTGAACGGAGATAATCTGATTCTAGAACTTGGGGGCTGTTAGCCATTCCTTAGTAGGACATCCATGCCAAGCCAGATGGTTCTAAGCAACTGGCTTTAAAGTTCCTTTGCCTTCTTCATTTCATTGCCTGAGTTCTAGTATAGGATTCTGTAGGCCCTGAATTCGTACTGTTTGTTAACCTTCGTGTTTTTGTATTGGGATGGGTGAGAGGAGGAAGATGCTTTTTGGGAGTCAGATCTGTTTAATTTTGAGCAAGTGTCTTAGTTTTTTTGTCTTAGTTGTCTTTAATGTAAGTCCTAGAACTCGGAGCCATGGCCCTCAACACAGGGTTACTGTGAGCATAAAGTAAGGTGATAATAGATGTGAAAGAACTTTGGGAGCCGTGAGCTCTGTGGGATTATGTGCTAGGATGGTGACATCTCTTGTGCTTTCCTGGGGACAGTGGGCAGCCTCAGACCTCAGAAGGACAGCACCTGCTTGGTCCAAAGGGTATGAGATTCAGGACTGTTTGTCTAAGCTGTCTGTGGTCAAAAGTACATTCTGGACTGAAGAGATGGTGATGTAACTGGGCTGTGTGTGTATTGAAAAATCCCTCTTTGCTCTTTCCTCATTTCAGGTTTGTCCTTTGAGTCAAGTTAAATATTTATTGAGCATTTCTGAGTACAAAAGTGGTGTATTGGAGAGTTGGGAGGGATTACAGAGGTAAAGCCCTTGCCCTTATAGAGTGTGTGGTCTCATTGAAGAGCAAGAACAAAATGTGCATATGTGAAGAGAGATGTATGGTAAGTTCAAGTGGAGCTAACACTTGGGTGCCGGCTGGAGGGTTTCAGGAGAGAGATTGGGACCTCGGGCTGGGAGAATGGGGCAAAGCAGCTCAGGTTGAGGAATTTGGTCAGTTTGGATGGGTGGAAGGAGTTGATGGTGCAGAGCTGAAGATGGACACAACTGAGCAGGCTGGGGGCTCTAACAACAAGATATGGGAGGACCAGGAGCCACCGAGAGACTGTCACCAGCATGAGGAAGATTGGTCTTTTAGTATGAAGTTCAGGATGGGTCAAAAAAGGGAGCTAGATACCAGATCAGGTCATGTATCGTCTCTGAGCACTTTGTTTCTGCAGTTCAGATGAAAATTAAATATGTTATTGTCAGCAGTTCTTGAACATTGGGCTGGATTGGGCAGATTATATACCTCGTTCTACCTGTTGGACTTGTCACGTGGGGTTTGTATCAGGGTAGTGGGAAGGTCACATGTTATTTCTCCATTTTTTTAGTTCCAAATATATAGCCATCTCTTGACCATACATTGCACATTGAAGTGCTCAATACATACTTACTTTTTCTTTGACATGTGTGGTTGGGGAATGCCAGCTTCTGTTATAAAGTCTAGTTTTAGGCAATAATTTCCATTTCCTCAAGCACCAATCTTTTCACTTGAGTTACTAATATCTTCCTCCTTTCTTTTCTGGGGTGCCCTATTGTAGGAGTGCTAATTATCAATATTTTAACCATAAGGTAGCAGGTGTGAGGAGGCTGTGTTATCCACAAGTGGAGTAATTAATTCTTAAATAGTAGAAAATAGGCCCTGTAAATGAGAAAAACCTTTTTATATATTTATAAATAGCAGCAACCATGTTCTTTCACTGAACTTTTTCTGCTTCTCCCATCAGCATACCAGGAGTCAGATTGGGATCGCCCAGGTCCTGTGTGGTGTCTGTTCTGGGCTTAGGTTCTTAAGAGAGAGACTCATTGGCTACAGCAGTGGGAATGGACAGAGAATAGAAAGTGTTCTTAGGTGTTGTGCTTCAGAGGGAGCCTGGATCATGACCCGCAGAGAGGCAGGTGTCTTTACACCTTCCAAAATTGACTTGAACCATTTCTAGGGGAAGCGTGTGGGTAGGAAGTCAGGGGGTGGGGTTGAGGACCTCCAGCTTTATACTTTCCACTGTCTCTATTGTTTGGGTGTTTTTGCCATGACCTTTTATAATAATGAAAAAAATTTAATTATGGTACTAATTCAGTAAATTCAGTTGGAAAACAATAGATTTGGAAGTCCCAGTTTGTTACTACAGTTCCACAAATACTTGCCAGCTTTATAACTGATTTTTCTCTGTCCTGGAATTCAAGCAGAATGACATCCTTAACTCCAGGCTGCAGGTACTCTGTACGTGTGTCACCTCAGATGGCGAACCGGATTGTGGATTCTGCAAGGAGCATCCTCAACAAGTTCATACCTGATATCTATATTTACACAGATCACATGAAAGGAGTCAACTCTGGGAAGTAAGTATCTGTGTTTTTGAAGTCTGTTTCTGCAGCTTTTTCACATGCCTGTTCTAGTTGAAGTTAAAACTGCCAGCTCTGAGGTTGCGCAGCCAGAGGAAGAACAATTTCAGAATTAATTTCTTTCTGCCTTATTGCCGTTGTCACCAACAGGCATTTCTTGAGTGCCTGTCACATGGAAAGCATCCCAGTGGCTAGAGCTGGAAGCTAAGGGTCTGGTTCCTAGCCTTGGGGAATTAAAACCTTTATCTATTAATACACAATGCTTTAGGCTTTAAATTCCATCTGCACTCTGTTCCAACAAAAAAATTAAAGTGGACAGGTTCTTCCACCCTGAGTAAATAACAGTATAGGGTTAAAATCTTTTGTTATCTAAGTGTAAGTCAGCATCTCTCTTCATCAGTGGAAACAACATATTTACATCCAGAGAAAGTTGTTATTGCAGACGTGAATTTGGTTTAGTGAAAGCCTTTGCTTTGCTAAAAAATAAAAATTTTAAAAATTAGAAAAAAATTCTAAGTAAGGAAAATAAGTTCTTAAAAAATGATGCTCTATGTAATGAAGATACCTGTTTTAGGCTTTGCTTGTGTATTTAGCAACTAGGAAGTTAGAGAAGCAATTAAAGCCACTTTCTTAAAATAGGAAAGTGTTAAACATACAGAAAAGATCAAAGAATAGTACAGTGAACACGGAGATATACTCCTGCTGCCTATAGTTAACGATAAATATTTTGCCAAATTTGCTTCACTTGTTTGTGGGTTTTGTTTGTTTTTGTTTTTTACTGAATCATTTCAGTGTGAATGGGCATCATTTCACTTCACATCTGAGGCTTTGCAGGTTGTGTCTCCTAAAAATAAGAATATTAGAGTCTGGGGTTAACTGTTGTAGGTTAAGAAGTCAACTTCTTCTTAAGTGATGCCACAGCTGATCCTTTTTCACAGCTGTTTCACCTGTGGTTTCTTTTAATTTCAGCAAAAAGAGGAAAAGAGAGTAAAGGAGGGGGGTGAGTGTTTTATACAACCTTTGACCTTTATAAGGCCCAATGGAAAGATGAAGGTAGTTTTAGAAATACAGTGGAGGCTCATAGTCCAAAGCAACAAAGCTGGTGGCGTCATAACGCTGGGGTTGGGAAAGGATTTGTGGGCAAAGCTGGACTTTCTGGCTTGGAAAAGTCAATGATGTTCCTAAACCTTTGGTTTATATTCTAGTAACAACAGTATTTTCCTCATTTATGCATTGAGGGTGATGATGCCTATGTTTTGGGGTTATTGTAAAGATCACACATATAAGCCATTAATACCTTGCTTGTCACATGGTAAGTCCTACAGAAATGGTAGCTCCTGATGCTGTTCTTTCCTTTACTCTCCCTTGTTGGCCACAGGTCTGGAATTATGTGTCAGCTATTTTCTGGAGAAAGGGGATTTCCGAGGGATGGGGGAGGACAGATAGCAGCAGAAGCTGTCTAAATGGCTTCATCTCGATAGTCCCTTCTCTGCTTTGCCTCTCGCTTTATCAGAAAGTGTCCTGGCATGAAGCAGAGCAGGCCTGACAGCCATCCTGCCACCAGCTTATAGTGTGGCTTTTTGTTATACCACTGACTCAGCTGACCCTAGAGTGTGGTCAAGTCCATACTTACTAATGGTGAGTAGAAGCCTTACACGTAGATAAAGACATGGACATGATGTAGACTGTGGGCCATCAACTCCAAGCCCCATTTTAAAAATTACATGTAAAACCAATGTGGGATTTAAATTTGTGTTTGGTTTTTTTAAATCTCCAGTTACAGATGACTAATAGTGCTCTTCCTTCTCTGTTATTAAAATTATAAAGTCATGGATGGGTATTTCTCTCTTCTGATTCAGTGAAGTATCCAGTAAGTCAGGCTTGTTCAGATGTAAGAGTTTATGTTGTGGCCATGGCCTAGAACCTTAGGGGACAGCACTTCTTGGTGGCCTATGTCAGCGCTTTGGCCAGAATGCACATCAGTCCAGTGTGGTCCCATTTTAACTCTCACAGTAATTTTTTTTTTTCTTAATTGGGTCCTTTACCAAGGAAAGCTGTGGAGGCTGGCCTTTGCAAACTATACCAGTGCATATCTCTAATGAGGTCACCTGATGACCAGCAGCTTGGTCAGCCTAACTTGAAATAGGCCTGATAACACATATTTCCCACAAGTTGGGAAGAAAAATTAGAGTAATTTACATAGAACCTAATATATATTCTTTGTCTTTTCTAAAGTTACTTAAATTGTGTTAAATGGAATAATTCTGATTAAATATAAAGTTTATCGTAATGACAAATACACCTTAGAAAACTCACACAGATGGAAATTCTTGGGAAATGCAGGTAAATGGGTAAAGCAGCAGTGGCACCTTGTCTTGCTTTCTCTCCCCTTCATCTTCTAATCTTCACTTTTGTATGCCACTGCCTGCAGCCACTGCTGGACACCCTCTCACTTCTGCTGGTCAGGTGACTCAAAGGCAATTTGGGATTATGCTAAAATTCTCTAGGTGTCCCATGATGATAGGTGGATAGCACAGTGTTAGATTGTTAAGCATAACTCAGAGTGCCTCCCAGAACCTTTGATGAAATGGGTAACTCACTGCACCCCCTTTCCTTGGCAGGTGTTGTTAACCTTCGACTGCATAGACAAGCAAATTTTTTTTTTCCTTAAGAATCTAAGGACTGACTAACATAGTTCTTCTATATAGTGAGCTCATATAGTGCATTCGAAACATTAATTTTATACATAGTTTTAGTGAAACAAGTATTTTGGCTAGTCTCCTGCCAGACACATAGAAAGTATTGTGTGAGCGTGTGTTGAGTTGTGTTAAAGGGGGCAGGTCTGTGTTGTGGTTGCATACGGATTGTACTGCTGGGAAGGCCGCCACACCTTTCCTGTTGATGTGTCTACTTAACAGTCATTGGGAAAGTAGAATTGAGCTGTCAAATCTTAAAATTTTGTGGAGAGATGCTTGTTTTTGGACTGATTTTCTTTTCTGGTCAGCTAGTAAACTAGTAGCAACTCTATGAGGTTAATGCAGCCAGAAAGAAGCCTTTGAACACAGTGCCGTCAAAAAAAATGTTTGTCTTCTCTTTCCGTTTGCTGGTGAGTGGAAACCTCACTTGGTTAAACCTACTCAGTGTTTGTGCCTTTGTATCTCCAGGTCTCCGGGCTTTGGGTTGTCACTGGTTGCTGAGACCACCAGTGGCACCTTCCTCAGTGCTGAACTGGCCTCCAACCCCCAGGGCCAGGGAGCAGCAGTACTTCCAGAGGACCTTGGCAGGAACTGTGCCCGGCTGCTGCTGGAGGAAATCTACAGGGTATGTCCACAGCTTCCTCTGATAGAGGAGTGACCAGGAAGCAGTTTGTTTTCTCATTCTCATCTCTTGGCAGCTTTCGTCCTCTTCCAAGGGCTCAAGCCAAGGAGATAATCTGTTCCTGTGCATTAAGCAGTTCAGCCTTAACTAGTTTAATTGATTAGCTCAACCAGTCAGTGAGTAGAGATCTAGCCCCACTGGGTTGAGACACAGGGCAGGTAAGTTTTAACAGTGAGCCAAGGAAAGAACTGGAACAGTCATAAAGGAAAGGGAAGGTTAAAAAAAGGAAGCAGGTAAGGTAAGGTGGTGGCTGACACACTGCCCTAGCCAAAGAGAGTACCATCCCGGCACCCCCCGATTGCTGCCATGTGGGAAGATGGACTCATTCTTTTTAGATCTTTTAAGAGAAGCTAGAAATCTGGATTTGTATGTGACAGTTGATTCATATATAAAACAATAGCAACAGGCTAGATTTTGCAATGCATTCTAGAGCACAGAATCTCAGTTAACAGATAAGTATTAGAAAAGAAGAAAAAAATTTAAAAAAGCACAGAATAACTAGGGAAGGCAGGCCTGTGGCACAGCATAGCAGAAGCTTTGGAAAACCTAAGAACATGGAACAGAGAAGGGGTAAACTGATGTTGAAGACAGACTCAACCAGTTGTCATTTTGCTTCTGCAGGTCTGCTGGTGGGACACAGCTGAGACCAATTTGCCCTCTCAGTTGCCACAGTCTTTCTCTGTTGATCCTTTCATTGCAACGGGCACATATGCATGCACACACTTTTACTGTTTCCTCAAAATAGGTGAGGTGACCTAAAGTAAGGGAGAAATTTGGAAAGATGATGGCAGAAAGAATAAGATACAGTTTCCTAAAAGATATATTCCCTGAGATCCCCTATACTTGGTTAGAAGAGGGTCACAAATCTGGGTCCAAGATTTCTGTTAGTCTGCACCGTCTTTTGCCTTGGTCCCACATCAAGAAGGTGAAACCTTTTCTCTGACATGCAGAGTCCAGGAAAGGCTCTGAAGGATGGTCGTTTCTCTGCTCTGTGTGTTAGGTCCCAGATTCTTGAACTGAGCATCAGCAAGAACTATACTCTAGTTGATTTGCTGTTGTATGGTGTATAATGTTTGTAAATCATCTCTCTTCTTCCCCTAAGGAGCTGAAGAGACTTCTTTCTTTGTATTGTTCTGTGTATTTCTTCTCAGTTGTCAGGCATCTTTCTGGTCTCCAAGTAAGTTTTCTCGTTTATGGTAGCAAAAATCACATCTGAGCCAAGTTAAATAAAATCAGTAAAACAGGTAAAGTGGCAATTTAGTTTTTCTTTTAATTCTTCCTTTTGCCACTGGTTCAGTTTATTAATCAGGGTGGTAGGGTAAAGCCTGACTAGCCATAGGTATTGATCCTCAGACCAGCCTCACAGTGGAAAACAGCTTATATTTATAGTCTACTCCCTTGATCCAAGTCAGTGTTCTTGAAAATGTCTCATTGGTCCAAGATGGAACACATGAGAATGAGCTGTTTCAGAATTAATTAAATTTCCAGGTCCTAAATGGCTCTATTTAATGACCATCTAATTAAAAATGGAAGACAGTGGACCTATAGTTTTATTTTCAGGAGAGTAGCTCCAGCCCCTCTACTCGGCATTCACCTGGGAAATAGTAGAAGAAGGAGATGAAATCTTCCTGAAGGAGGAGGTATTCTTTGACAAGTCTTGTGCAGTCACGATCTGGCCTCAGATGTTTTGGTGCTAAATCAGTTTACTTTTTTATGCTAAATTTAATAATTTTGTGAAAAATGGGTAGTAACTAAAAGTTTGGGGTAGATGATCAAGAGGTTGCCCTGCCAGTTACTTAATTCACGAAGTTTGTGGTCTACTTATTTGTAGGGGGGCGGGAAACAGTGCATGCAATGTGTTTCCCTGGGTCTCTTGTTGTGCAGGATTTCTTTTCCTGGTCCTGTAGTGTCTGGCCGTGGCTGGTCCTGTAGTGGCCTTCTCTCTAACTATGGGGACACTTCCATGTCTTTCTAATAGACCTTGGGAGAATTAGAAGCATCACATTATACAGTAGTCCAGTAGGAGCCTATGGGCACAGCTAGAGTGTGGGGTTTATATCCCTATAAATAGCAGGCTATAAGCCTCAGGGTAAAAGCACCTACCACTCCACAAGAGGAAAAACATGCAGTTTAAATTAGGTTCTTTAATATTTTTCTTTTTTTTTTTGAGGAAGAGTCTCACTCTTTCCCAGGCTGGAGTGCAGTGACGTGATCTTGGCTCACTGCAACCTCTGCCTTCTGGGTTCAAGTGATCTTCCTGCCTTAGCCTCCCATGTAGCTGGAGGCATGTGCCACCACGCCTGGCTAATTTTGTATTTTTAGTAGAGATAGGGTTTCTCCATGTTGGTCAGGCTGGTCTCGAACTCCTGACCTCAGGTGTTCCACCCGCCTCGGCCTCCCAAAGTGCTGGGATTACAGACGTGAGCCACTGTGCCTGGCAATTTTTTTTCTTTAGTTGAGATCTACTTTCAGTCTTCCATTGTGCCTGGACCAAATTTCTTTCGTTTTCTTTTAGTTATTCAGAAAACTTCCTTTTTATGTCTATGATCTTTAATTATTAAAAGGATGGAAATACTTCATGTTTTTCTGAATAATTTTCTGTAGAGTTGTGATGTGACATGGATTGAATGAGTGGTAAAAAATCCATCCCTTTTGAAGGTGCTATTTATCAAGTTTTAAGCCTCTGATCTAATCCCCCCTGTTCCATTTATGCCTCATCGGTTACCAAGCCTTCTTGATTCTGTCCCAGGCTTTCTGGAACTGCCTTTTCTTTCCATCCTTTTCACTGCTCTAATCACTGCCTGCCTCCCTGCTCCACTCCACAACTGGATTATGGCCACTGGCTCTCTGCATTTCTAGCAGAGAAGTTCTTTCCAAATCCTAACATCCTTTTCAGGCTAAAATACTGATCTGATCTCTTCACTCATGTGCACAGAGACCTTCACTGGCTTCTCACTTTCCTGGGACAAAGTCAGAATTCTCGACCCATTTCGGAAAGGCTTGCCTTAATTGGGCTACCCACCTTCTCTGTGCTGTATGTGCTTCTCCACAGGCAGCAGTGGTGCCTTCCAGGCTGGTCACCTGGCCATTCCTTGCTGGCCCTGGCATTTTATTTTTCCCCATCATTCTGTTCTTCCTTCCTCCCCAAACCCTGCTCATCTCTCAAGGGCTGGCTCAAGTAGTCCTGAGTCCTAAAGCCCTCCTCAGGTATCTGGCAGGTGACACCTCCCCCCAGCATAGGTAGGGTGATAGCCCCTACCACTTCCTCCATGATGTCCTGTACAGGGACCTTAGCTATCTATTACATTAAAATACTGGTCCAGTGAATGGTGAAATAACAACAGTGATAGGAAGCAGAGACTGAAGAGAACACTTTAATTTTAGGCTGTCTTATGAAAGGGAGCAAGATCTATAAAACAGTTTTGTTGGTCGTCATATTTTCCATGGGTCAGGTTTTTCTTTTTGGGTAGAAAAGGAAAAGGAACTCTCCTTGTCCTAGAATTTGCTATGTGATCTAAATGTTGTTTTCTGTCCTTTATTAACTAAGGTAGTTTAGGGACGTGCAATAGATTTTCATAAAGGCTAGCAGTAAGATCAATCCTTATTTCCTTCACCATTATTAGGGCTACTAAATGATATCTGACAGCCAGAGAATTTCAGAGTGTCTGTATCTGAAAATGGATTTATTTCCTACCCTACATGCCTTAAAAAGGAGGCAGGGGCAGTTGTAGCCATATGAACCACACTGCTGGCCACCTATCCTGTTCAGTCTAGCCTTGGATAGTAACGTGCCTTGGTCAGACTGGATTTCTAATTTTGACCTGTGCAAAATATGTAGAAATTCAAGGTCATCCTTCTTTGACTATGTACAATATGTTTTAAAGTTATTCCAGAAAGAATGATCAGAAAGCGTGTTTGTATGCTTATGTATGCGTCTAGTGGAGGCAAAACAGTTAAAATGGCTGAGAAAATGAAAAACAAAAGAAGAAAGGCAACCTAAGCAGTTGTACCTCAGGAGAAAGTGTTTGAAGAGAAGTCTGTTCTGCTTGTTAATTTGGAAGAAAGGGAAGGAAAAGGGGGTGGAAGGCATAATTTTATACATAAGTAGTAAGAATAAAGGGATCTAACCTTAACAAGTCTTCAGTTTTAAGGAACTCAGGAAGAGATAAAGGAGAGAAGTTAATAGAGTATGGCAAGCAGTTTCCTGAATGTATTTGAATAAGTGTAAAAGTAAGGCCATGAAAAGGCCGTTTCATGTCAGATAGACTGTGTTGTTCTGTGACAGATTCAATAAATATGAGCGTCATCCACTTAACCCTTGGAATTAACTCTACATCTTCTAGAACTGATTAAGATTTTTTTTTTTTTGCATATACTCAATAAAGATGATGTCCTCCTGCTGCTGCTTTAATGATAAAGGGAAAGTTTCATTTTTTTTTTTTTTTACTAGATTCACTTAAGAAGATTTGAATCTGATAGTCTCATTCTGATAGTCTCAACTATTACAGTTGCTCTAATTAACTGTTAGTTTAACCCTCTACAGTTAGTTGATACAATGATTACTCTTATAAGACCTGTATTCTGTTTTATTGTTGCTTGAACTTTGGATTTTGATATTATGAGTGTATGTTTCTGGTTTTTTTTTTCCTCCTCTCTTTTGTTGGCTTTCCATTTTCTGGTTTGTACAATTATTAATTTGTGTTTACAGGGTGGATGCGTAGACTCGACCAACCAAAGCCTGGCGCTACTACTCATGACCCTTGGACAGCAGGATGTTTCCAAAGTCCTGCTAGGCCCTCTCTCTCCCTACACGTAAGTTATTCTTTTTCAACCTCGTTATTCTGTCCAGTGTAATTTTCTCATTGCCCAAAATGACAAAGGGTGTTGTGCTGCACAGAGCCTGCACTATGAACACCTGCTTGTGTTTATCCTCAAATCAGCCAGCAGTTGTCACTCTTAACCTGGTGTTTATTTTTACATACAAGGATTTTTGCATTTCTTTCCTTCCTTAATCCCAGGTAACTGAAATTGCATGATCTCTATTGGGCAGTTATTTTGTTCGTGCTTTAGATTTTGTTTCCAGGTTAGAGGTAAACTCCTGGTTTGGTGTAGCTTGGATTTTATTACTAGTTTTTTTTTAATCATTCTTTTCCTTAGCTGTCTAACTTGCTGTGGGAAAACAGGCTTTTTGTCTAAGATGATAGGATATGAGCTCACTGGGAAAGATGACAAAAGACAGAGTTTGTATTAATGCTACTGGACTAGTAGGGAATTGTAGAAGTGAGTTTGGATTGTTGAATGTTAGCAGAAGTTGACTGCTGTGGTGTAAAAGCAAGCACTCTTCAAAAAGAACAGTGTCAGAAGACTTGAATTATAAATGACACTGTGAAAGAAGCATTTCCTATTGATAGTAAATGAGGTTGCGGAAAACAGCCTATTTGAGTACTGACATTGTGTGTGTGTGTTTTCACGTGCTTGCATACTTGGAGATCATCATATGGCCCATCTGAGGTTGGTGAGCTGGGTGGCAGGGAATATTCAGGTAGATATGAGACTGAACTGTCCTTTTTCGGTTATCATGGTACCGATGCTGTATATCTGAAAGGTACAGTACTGTGATAACTGAAGAATGGTGGTGCCATCACATTGAGAAAGGGTTGAGGACTGCGGTGGGGCTATGCACCCTTGGGCCATGGCGTTGGGGGCATGAAAACCAGGAGCTTGAAATAAATTCTTATGGAGGCTTTTTTTTTTCTTTTTTTTTTTTTTTTTGGAATTCGTGGTGGGAGGTTTTTTTAGAACAGGAAAATGGAAGAGAATACATTCTGTTAGCAGAGAGGGAAGACTGATAAGCAGGAAACTGGTAAGGACCACATTATCTCCTGATAGCTTGTGTAAAAGTATTTCGTAGGACAGGATACCTAAAATTGAGTAATCCTAAATGGCGTGGTAACATCAGTAGTAAACAATGCTAAAATAGACTTGGTAGTTAAGTACTTGGAGAGGAGATGAGGGCTGGAAGAATGGCACCCTAGGTACAGAGACTCGCTTCCTGTAGAGAGCTCACTGGAGGCGGCTGCCAGCTGTGTGGCCACTGTGGCCCCACCGGCTTTGTAGCTGGGCTCGTAGCTGCCGTTTCCCAGCCCTTGCTTCAGGCCTGGGGAAGTCCTGCTTGCACACACGGTATGAGGTATGGGGTGTTGTCTTGAATGTGTGTGGTCCTGGGGCATGGGGTTTGGCAGAACATTCTGTGAAAATGGAATACATATATGTTTTTTTTCGTGACACTTTTTTTCTTTTGCTTTTGGAGATTTTTCAATTTGGCTCCAGGACCTGTATGATGTTTTCAAGCTTTGCAGAGATGCTCAAGATATGACTGGACATTTTTGAAAGTTCCTGTGTCCTCTTCAACACATCTTCTCACCAAACATTAATTGTAGTGTCTTTTCTTCCAGAAAACTTGCATAAAATGACTTCCTCTCCTGTGAAAACAGTGTCCTGCTCTGAATGGAGCTTTAAAGGAGTAGCACAAATTGTAAGATGATGTATCTTGAGGCTGGGGCTTAGAGATATTCTGCTGCCTCCCAGAGCTTTGTGCAGACGGGTCTGCCAGGGTGGGAAAGGGAAGCCTCCGTTCTTTTTGGTAAGCTAGCATAAAGACAGGTAAGGGAGTCTATTTTCAAGAAAGCTGGATCTGTTTCATACTCTTTCTGCCCCTAATCACTATGGACAGCTCCAGCAGCACAAAGAGATGAAGGGCAAAGGCAGGATGCAGCAGGCAAAGTTAACATTGTATTTGTGAGTACAGTTGAGGATAAAAAAGGGATGAAATCCACGGTGAGGACCATCATGGTGGGGGAATAGTTTATTCTAATGGATTCAAGAGCTTTGGAGACCAAACTAACACATTTATTTTTATGTGTAGTTAAAGTCATAGAAACCTGTTTTGTGAAACCTCAGATTTCTAAAGAAAACCAGAAGCAAGACCTTCCTTGGTTTAAAAAAAAAAAAGCATTTCTTCAAGCAGTTTGGACCTGTTTTTCGTGTGTATAAAACAGCTTTTTAAATGTCTATGTAAAGAGCATTGGGATTGCTGTTGGTGGTTTTCTGTGCTACTTGAGAAAGTAAGTCTGTATGTGTGAAACTCTTTTTTTTTTTTTGAGACAGAGTTTCGCTCTGTCGCCCAGGCTAGAGGGCAGAGGCGCAATCTCCGCCCACTGCAAGCTCCGCCTCCCGGGTTCAACGCCATTCTCCTACCTCAGCCTCCCGAGTAGCTGGGACTACAGGCACCCGCCACCGTGCCTGGCTAATTTTTTGTATTTTTAGTAGAGACGGGGTTTCACCATGTTAGCCAGGATGGTCTCGATCTCCTGACCTCGTGGTCCACCCGCCTTGGCCTCCCAAAGTGCTGGGATTGCAGGCCTGAGCCACCAAGTCCGGCCAATGTGAAACTCTTTTAGAAAGGCCCAAGAGATTTTTTTTCAGTAGAATAAAATACTGTTGGATAATCACTGGTATATGAAGATTCTATTTCTGTTAAATTTGTTGAGTTTTAGGTGGCTTACAGTTAGTGACAGTAGTTGCACCCTCCATTCAACAAGCTTAATTTTACAGTTTAGGGAGGGAGGATTTATACTTTTGGATTAACAGCAAGAAAAATAGCAAAAATTAAGATGCATCTTAATTAGCACTTTCAGAAATTATTTGTGGAATGAGACTGCAGTTACCAGAGCTCTCTGCATTCTGCCAGTGCACAAGTCTTGGAGTCCAGCCTATCTGGACTTAAGGCTCTACCACGCGCTACCAGGAGACCGTGGAAATGGTATTTAGCATCTTGGAGCCTTGGTGTCATTTGTAGATAAGGTGCGTGGTCCTGAAGTCCTGGACTTGTGGAGATGGAACGAAGCTTAGATTAAGTCAGATGCTTAGTGCTCCTGGCAACGTGCCTGAGGAGCTGTCAGTGCTGGGTGCTGTGGTTCCTGCCTGGACACCCCTTCACCCTGCTGCAGTCCAGTCCCTTGGTCAGGTCACTTTTTTTTTTTTTTAACTGCTCCTTGAGGAGCAGGACTACCCCAGAGGCAGTGTGGCTAGAGTAGCCCGGTCAGGTCACTTTGAACCCCAGGAGGCCTAGTAAACTTGCTTTGGGTGATTTTAGGGTTTAAGTCATCTGTAAGTGGTCTGCCCAGCTACCTATAAATCTATATCCATTAATTTTAAATTATGGATTAAAAAATTTTAATTTCTAGTTATTATTTTTATGACTGACTTCCCCTAGTCACATTACTGAGCAAACTACACACATCTTATTGATCCTAAGAATTCTGTAAGGTAGATGTTTATTTAAACAACACCGTGTTTACTGTGTGCAAGATGTTGTTTTAAGCACTCAGACATAATAACTTATCTGGTTTTCATCATAACTTCATAAGGGCAAAAAAGGCAAGTACTATCATGTGCACCGTCTTACAGGTGATGGGATTGAGGCACAGCGAGGTCAAGTTACGTGCCCAGGGTCACACAGACAGTAAGTGGGGTTCAGACCTGGACAGTCTCCTCCAGTCACTGCTTCCCTTACCCACTGTGCTCTTTTTTTTTTTTTTTTTGAGACGGAGTCTCCTCTGTCGCCCAGGCTGAGTGCAGTGGCGCGATCTCAGCTCACTGCAAGCTCTACCTCCCAGGTTCGTGCCATTCTCCTGCCTCAGCCTCCTGAGTAGCTGGGACTACAGGCGCCCGCCACCATGCCCGGCTAATTTTTTGTATTTTTAGTAGAGACGGGGTTTCATCGTGTTAGCCAGGATGATCTCGATCTCCTGACCTGGTGATCCACATGCTTCGGCCTCCCAAAGTGCTGGGATTACAGACGTGAGCCACCGTGCCCGGCCAACCCATTGTGCTCTTATGTAAGAGCTGGGATTCCATCCATATCGCTGGACTCCAAGCACCTTGCCTGAGGCAGGATGCCATGCTACATCTTTTCAGCAAAGTCCTCGTTTCAAATTCTGCTGTAAAATGATCTCTTTCTATCTTTAGTTGGAAATCTAAAATAAACCGTGACTTTTTTTTTTCTAACTTTAGTTAATGACCTTTTTCCATGACTGTGGAAGTGCTGAGGAGCTAGAGGACACTGTCCTTGTTAAACACCAACTGAGTGGGGCTTCCTAGCCCACTCAGCCTAAAGCTCAGCCCTCTGAAGAACCAATGAGGAAACCAGTGGGGAAACTGGGAACTGCCGGCCAAGCCTGCCTCTACTTGGGGTCAGTGGCCTCACTGCATTCCATGAGCTTGCACAGTACCACTATGTCTTAGTTTTGTGAAGCGTTTAAATTCTGTAAAGCCCTGTCACCTGATGTTTGAGCCCTAGAACATAATTGGTGTATGGTAAAAGCAAGTGATAGCCTTCCTTCTCAGATAAAAAAGAGGTCACTGACCTGCTTATGGTGAGATCCTGTCTGAACTGGGCCTGGGACCCCATCTCCTGACAGTGCAGCTAGCCTAGTTCTCTGTTTCCTGCTGCCTCAGTAACTGAATGTAGTAATTTCATTTGGAGCAGAGGTCAGCTTGTCTTTGGAAAAGCCTCTATTCAGCAGAAAAAGCATCAGCAGTATATTTAAAAGCTGCCATGTAATGACTATAGGGACTCCATTGAGCAGATCCTTTTCTTATCTCCAGATCTTTTCCCTCAACTTCCAGAGCATGTCCTTACACCTGAGATGTAGGTACCCCCAGCTCTGTCCCATATCCAGTGGCATAGTAACCAGGTGGCTTAGTGGAGGAGGACGCAGGACCCTCTGTTGTGGTTTGTGCCTGTGGGGGCTGCCAGAGAGAGGGCTCACCCCATGATTGCCTTCACCCCAATCTCTCACATGCTTCAAAAGAGGGGTCTGGTGGGAGGGGCTGTGTTTAAGGGTGGGATCTGGCAGCCTGTCAAATCCTGGTCAGTTGGGATTCAACGGACCCATGACCACAAGCCTCATGGCCTTTCCTGTTGACCAGCAGTGGCAGTGGGAACAACTCACCTTTTGAAAATACATAGGAAGGCCGGGTGCGGTGGCTCACACCTGTAATCCCAGCACTTTGGGAGGCCGAGGCGGGTAGATCACGAGGTCAGGAGTTCAAGACCAGCCTGGCCAACATGTGAAACCCCGTCTCTACTAAAAATACAAAATTAGCCGGGCGTGGTGGCACATGTCTCTAATCCCAGCTACTCGGGAGGCTGAGGCAGGAGAATCACTTGAACCTGGGAGGCAGAGGTTGCAGTTAGCTGAGATCGCACCATTGCACCCCAGCCTGGGTGACAGAGCAAGACTCCGTCTCAAAAAAAAAAAAAAAAAAAAATAGGAAAAGTTATCTCTGTGCTCCAGAATTCTCTGAAACCTGCTTGTCAGATGGACTAGAGGCTTTCGTAGAAAAGTCAGTTGCTTTTTGTTTTCTGAAAATCATTTTGTCCCGGGGAAAAAAAAAGCCTCACTGCAGATAATCATTCTCTATGTTAGGTGTTAAAATCCTTTACACAGGAGTTGCATAGAGCCCCTACTGCCTAGAATGGTTCTTCTGAAAAGCTGCTATTTGCGCTGTGTGGGTGGTTACTCATTGAGGGGCAGAGCTGCTCTCGGTGAGCGGTGGGTCTCTTTGCCCTGGGTGTGTGGCTGTGTGGTTGTGTCTAGGAAGTGTGAATCTCCAGTGTAGTGCTGTGGAAGAGAGGGGCAGGGAAATATGAACTCAAGAGGCGGTGCCTCAGTGCAGCTGCTGCTGTGGAGAGCTGTTGGGCTGTGGAGCAGGACGTGGATCAGCACTGGACAAGACTTTGTTCAAGTGCATGTAGATACAGGACGAGCTTACTCTTCATTTGCTTTTCGTTTTCTTAAGGAGGCTGTTTGCTGGGATTTAATATTGTCTGTGGTTTTTTTTCAGGTTGTGAGCATTTTTGCTCTTCAATATCCCAGCTGCCAGAGACATAGGGAGAATGGGGCTAGAGGTGGGGGAAAGATTCTGAAATGTACCTTAATCTAGTCTCTTACACAGTCTTCCTTGGACAGGCTGAGGAGTTGGCAGAACATTATGTAAAAAGTGGAACTAACTTTGCTTTTTCTAACTGTTCCAAAGGCTACAAATACCCCAAACTTGCAAATACACAGGCCTGCACACTTGAGCCTGTGTTCCTCCCATCCTTCTCCAAGAGATCAGAAGCAAGCTGAGGGCCCGTAGAAATTCTGCCAGCTGGGGAGGGTGTCTGGTTTTTCAAGCACAGTTGAGTGATTCAGAGTGAAGTAGGCTGGGTGACATCCTGGGAGCAGAGCATGCCCCAGGCCTGTGTTAGTTTGAGGCAGCAGCAAAGGAGAGACCAATCTGTTTTCTCCTTCAGATGCAGAGTGGGTGAGATGGCTGGCTTTTTCCAGGTTGCCGCCAGCTGGAAGCTTTGCCCACAGATGTGGACTGTTTATCTGTGGTTTGCTGTGTTTTCTTTTTTCCCTAGGACAGGATGGGGGAGATGGTGGGATGGATAGAAAGCAACAACGACAACAGAAATTTAATTGGTTAGTAAGACAGGAAAGCCAGCAGGGAAAGCTGACTTCCCTTAATTGCCAAGAATGTTGAAAATTGTTTCTCAAAATTACCCCAACTCCTAAATTCTATCCAGTGCCTCTTTACTGAGAACCTTTACAGTGCCTTGTTTGAATAACGGGTTCAGTGATGGAGAAGAGCCTCTTTACTGAGGCTAAATTCTATTCAGTGCCTCTTTACTGAGAACCTTATACAGTACCTTGTTTGAATAACGGGTTCAGTGTTGGAGAAAAGCATTGCTGTTGAGGTACTTAAATAATTTAATGATGGGGAAGGGGACAGTGATACATAAGCATTTAATTAGACACCATGAGCAGAGAATGCTATGGAAACCTGGAGGGGTGGGAAAGATCGTTTGGGGTAGGGTTTATGGGCTAGGAAAGACTTCATAGAAAAGTTGACAAATGGGATGTTATTTTAAAGGTCGAGATGAAGTTGCACATTCCTAGGTGGAAGGAAAGCAAGGAATTGGGGGATTTTTCTATGAGCATCCAGCACTGACCAGAACTCCTGCCCTCTAGGGTTGTTAATGTTTCATCTCTTAGCCCCTGATGCGCTGGTCACTTCAGCCACAGGGTCAGGAATTGTTCAGGCCCCCTTTTCTCCATGTAGCTGTTTCCTTCCTTTAACTAGATCAGTGCTCTTAGCACAGAGGGATGGGGATGGGAGGGAAATTCATCAAGGCAGGCTTTATATGTAGTTTGGTATACACCGAGTAGGGGTGAGAACCAGGATCAGTTGTTTTATAGCATGGCAAATATGTATTGATTTCTTTATTTTAAAAAGCTTTATTGAGAACCAATTCACATATGACACAATTTACCCATTTTAAGTACACAGTTTAAAGGTTTTTTAGTGTATTCACAGACTTGTGTAACCACAGCCACAATCTAATTTTAGCACATTTTTACTACCCCCAGAAAGAAACCCTGTGCCAGCTCACAGTGCCTCCCATTCTTCCCACTCTCCCCAGCCCCAGGCAACCACGAATCTCCTTTCTGCCTCTGTGATAGATTTGCCTGTTGTGGCTTTTTCATATTGTGTAGATAGAATCATACACTATCTGGTCCTTTGTGACTGGATTCTTTCACTTAGCATAATGTTTTCAGGGTTCATTGATGTAGCACGTATCAGTGCTTTGTTCCTTTTTTATGGCAGAAAAAAAAAAATCTTCCATTGAATGGATATACCACATTTTATGCATTCATCAGTTGGTAGACATTTGGGTTGCTTCTACGTTTTGACTCTTGTGAATAATGCCATTATGAATATTTGCGTGCAAGTTTTTGTGTGGGTGTATGTTTTCATTTCTCTTGTACATATTCCTAAGAGTAGAATTACCGTATCCTATGGTAACTCCCCGGTTAACATTTTGAGGAACTGCCAGGTTGTTTTCCACAGCGGCTGTACCGTTTTACATTCCCACCAGCAGTGTATGAGGGTTCTAGTGGTTCTGCCTCCTCACCCACACTTTTGTTATTGTATGTCTTTTTATTATAGCCATCCTATTGGATATGAAGTGATATTTCACAGTGGTTTTGATTTTCACTTCCCTAATAACCAGTGATGTTGAGCATCTTTTCATGTCCTTATTGGATATTTGTGAGGAAATATCCGTTTAGCTCTCCCACTTTTTTTTTTTTTTTTTTTCAGTGAGTCTTACTCTGTTGCCCAGGTGGGAGTGCAGTGGTGCAATCATAGCTCGAGTAGCTAGGACTACAGGCTCCTGCCATCATGCCTGGCTAATTTTAAAACAATTTTTTTGTAGAGATGGGGGTCGTAATAGACTGGTCTTGAATTCCAGGCCCCAAGCAATTTGCCTGCCTTGGCCTCCCAAACTGTTGGGATTACAGGTGTGAGGTACCATGCCTGTACTCTCCCATCGTTTAATTAGGTTATTTGTCTTTTTATTATTGAGTTGTAAGAGTTGTTTATATAGTTGAGATGCCTGACCTTTATCAGATATATGACTTGCAGATCTTTTCTCCAATCCTGTAGGTTGTTTTTTTACTTTCTTGATGGTGCACTTTGATGCACAAAGTATTTTAATTTTGATGAAGTCCAATTTATTTATTTTGTCTCTTATTGCCATCCTTTTGGTGTTGTATTTAAGAAATGGTTAAGAAACCGTTGCCTAGCCCAAGGTAATGAATATTTACTCCTGTATTTTCTTTAGTGAACTTTATAGTTTTAGCTCTTACAGCTATGACTTTGATCTCTTTTGGGTTAAGTTTTGTGTGTGATGTGAGGAAGGGGCCCAGCTTCATTCTTTCACCTGTGGATATCCAGTTGTTCCAGCATCATTTGTTGCAATGATTATGCTTTCCTCATTGAGGAAATTAGCCATAACTGTGTGGTTTATTTCTTGACTCTCAATTCTCTTCCATTGATCTATGTGTTTAGCGTCAGTGTTTTTAAAGCTCCTTAGGTTATTCCATGTGCAGTCGAGATTGAGAACCATCTGGCCAGAGTGGAGAGTTTGGCTGGTTTGATTGGGAGACAGTACAGTGCGAGGTTTTTGTAATACTTCACTATAGATGTGCAAGCCATCATTCTTCACTAAGCCAGTATTCCCTAACCTTGCCCAATGAGACTTGCCAGGGATTCTTGTTAACAACATAGATTTCTGGCCTCTATGAACTGGGGAGTACAGGGCCTGGTGGAGGGTAGGGAGGGATCAGCTTTGTGTGTGGACTGTGATTCTGGGCTCTTCCATATGGACATTTCCTACCAGTTGCAAGTTCACCATAACCTTCAGGAACCTGTGTATTTAATGAACTGTTCAGGTGAGTCTTATGGTCAGGCTAGCTGGGGTGACGCTAGGTCTGCCAGGCGAGACCATTAGAAGCCTGTGCACCTGCACTGCGGTTCATCCACAGAATTGCTCTTCCCAAGGTACTCTTGGACTGATGCCATCGCCCTGTGATGCCATTGTCCTTGTTGTGTTTACTGTGCACACTTCCCCGGCCACCTTATTTAATATTGCCTTCTGCCAAATATGTACAAATACTGTCATACCCACAGTTCTTCCCCGTCTGTGTTGTTTGCTTTGTTTACATTACATAGCACTTTTCAGGAATAAAATTAATTTATTTATCTAGTCTCTATCTATACCACTAGATTGAAATCCTCCTGAGGGAAGGATTTTTATTTTTATTTTTTTTCATTTGAGTGCAATATTCCCAGCACCAAGAACAGTGCCTAGCATACAGTAGGCACTTGATACATATTAAGTAAATGCGAGGGTATTATTGGAGAATGAAGGGAGGGACTTGTCTGTTTCAGCATCAGTAGTCATTGTGCTTGTTTTGAATGTCATGGTGCTGTGAATCATGGAAATAGGTGTTTCTGTCTTTGTATAGGCCACTCAAAAATCATTGCCTAAGCCAGGTACATTGGGACACCCATAGTCCCAGGTAGTCAGGAGGCTGAGGTGGAGGATTGCTTGAGCCCAGGAGCTTGAGGCCAGTTTGGGCAACATAGTGAGACCCCATCTCTTATAAAAAAAAGAGTCATCACCATATTTCTGTCCATTTTCTGCTAGGTCTGAACTAAATAACTTATGTGTCACGTACGAACTTCTAACCTTTCCCCCCCCAGTTTAATTTATCTTGCTGTATTGCGTGTATCTCTGCAAACTATCTAAATCTTCTTTGGAAACTGGCTGGCTGAAAGGAAGTACTATTTAATCAGATTCGATGAGAAGGTCTTAACTTCAGCCCTCTAGGTCTGGGAGATTAAAACCTTGGATTCTAGGTGGTAGAGGATAATTTTTTTTTGAATGAATTTCTTTTTATTTATTTATTTATTTTTTTCCTTTTTAGGATAGAATTTTTGCGGCATTTGAAGAGCTTTTTCCAGATTATGTTTAAAATTGAAACCAAGCCATGTGGTGAAGAACTCAAGGGTGGGGATAAAGTGCTGATGACCTGTGTTGGCATTGGTTTCTCCAACCTTAGCAAGACCCTCAAGTGATAACCATCACAAGATAAGGCCCCAATGCCTACAGACAAAGCAGAAGCTGCCACGGACACCAATGGGACCAAGTCCAAATGGATTAATCCAGGACAGAATAGCCACTTGCTTAATTTTCTGTGAAGAAATATCAATATACAAATAAAAGACATCCCTGTAGCATATGGTTTCCAGCTGTTTCTCCAGTGGCATTGCCATTGCCCAGGAGGGGCCCAGTCACCATGAGAGCTCCCTTGCCTTACCTGGAGGAAGAATGTGCCTTCAGGCCACAGTCGTGCTGCTAGAACAGTCTCGTAGCTGCAGTTCAGCTGTGCTTCCTCAGCCTACTATCATAGGCTTCCTCAGCCCTCTGTCATATGGCTGTTTTGCAAACCTGTGGAGTCTGTTACTGTTCTTTCTGCAAGGACTCACCTCCTTGAGCCTTGGTTTTTGTTGTAGGGATTAAATGAGATAATATGAGTGGCAGCTCTTCATGAGTCCTGCAGTGCTAAGCAAATGTCAGAAATTGGTGTATTAGACTATTTATCTTTGATCTTCTGAATGGATTGCTGTCATGGACACGGACACGGATCTTCATCTGGTTCATTGTATTTATATGTGAGGGATGGATGGCTGCGGGGCTCCAAGTAAGTTATTGGGATGTTTTTATATTCCAGGTGTGCTGTACATTCTTATTTTATTTTCACAATAGCTCTGTGATGTAAGTGCTATCTCCATGAGAAAATTCATAAAGGGTGTTTTGTTCCTTTGAAATGTATAATGTAAAGACATTAAATCTCCTCATTTAAGGATCTAAGTGTAATAAGTGTAATAGAGTCAGGGTCTGGGATTTTACCCTTGCAAGCTAATAAGTTAGATTATTACTTTTTTATTGATGCTACCAGAAGACATGAGGATCCTGGGTCAGAGATAAAGAACTTTACTCAGCATAGCAAGCAGCATGAACTTCGTGTTTATATTGGTTTCCCCTGTCTCACAGTGGACATGGAGGGGCCCAGGTAGATGCTATGCATGTTACAAGTTTGCATCATAGCCAAAGAACTTGTTATGTTTGGGGACTCCACCTATTTCATGGCAAGCCTGTTGTTTCACGTGCAGAGATTACTTCATCCCTTAAGACTGCCTCCTGCAAACACAGTTTTGAGAAAGAACCCAGGCAAGAGCCTGCCCAGCAAGAATATGCAGGAATACCAGGATCCATGGCAGATTTCCCCTGCCAGCTAATAGAGTCTGCATTTGATATGTGCATAGGCTTGAAGTTTGTAGAAGGGGAAAGATGTACTTCTTTCTACTTGAATTCCAAATGGTGTCCTCCCCCGGGGGTGAACTTTGCCTCATCACTCCCTCTCGGTACCTTTTGCTTTTTAAGTGAAAAGGGGCTAGAGAAAGGCTGTGCTTTGATGTCTAGGGGTGTGGGAGGATGTGGAGGTAGAGAGTTAACCTTGAGGAAGGCCAGGACATTCTGGACTATGACATTCTACTGAGAGCTTTACATACTGTATTGGTAATATGCTCTTGGTATATAACAAATGCTCACAAACTTAGTAGCTTAAAACAATACCTCTTTATCATTTCACAGTTCTGAAGGTCAGATATCCAGGCAGGGCTTGGTTGGATTCTCTGCTTAGAGTCTCATAAGGCTGATATCAGGGTGTGTGTCACCTGGGCTGGGCTCAGCTCTCATCTGAAGGCTCTGGGAAAGAATGTGCTTCCAGCTCATTCAGGTTGTCGACAGAATTCAGGGTTGTAGGACTGAAGTCACCTGTTTTCTTCCCATTTTTCTTGCTGGCTGTGAGCTGTGGACAACTCTTAGCATATAGACAGGCACTGTCCGTATTTCTGTTCACTTGGTCTCCCCTACCTTCAAGCTGGCAATGGTGCATGGAATCCTGGTACTTTGGATTCACCTTCCGTTTGATACCAGCTGGAGAAAACATTGCTTAAAAATGACTCATAGCACAATAGTCCTACCTGGATTATCTCCCTATCTTAAGGTCAACTGACAACAGCAATACTAGATTTGTGTTTAAATAACCAGGGGCTGGGAATCGTGGATTACCATCTAAGAATTTTGCCTGCCACACATACTGCAGTCTTACCTAGTGCCGCTGACGTTCGAACTCAGATCTGCCCATATAGAGCTCAAATCCAGAACTAAGGGGCACATTGCTTTTGGAATATCACATACCTGCCGTTCCTTGTACAAGCTCTGGAAATGGTGCTGTTGGTCAATGTAGGGTGGCACATAGAGGCCAGGCAGATTACTATAAGCAGTAGAGGGGATATGTGCTACTGTCTGCTGCAAACCTGGAAGTGTCTGGTGTGGTTCCAGCCCTGCATTTGGCAAAGCTGCTTCTGGAGTTGGAACATCTTGCAGGAATGGTGATGGTATTGCCAAAAAGAGGACAAATTTAATATTTATTTAAACAGCTCACTCCCAGCCCCTTCTCAAATTCCCAAGAGAAGCAATGTACCATTCCTTCGGGAAGAAGTCATCCTTTGCTGTTTGCTGGGACATCTTAGAGACTATTCAAATCCTGCATTCTCTTCCTTTTTTCTAGCTTAGCTCCTGGTCGGTCCACTTACTTGCTGGGGTAGCTTGAAGCGAGAGATTCCAGCGTTTTGGGGCTTGGTTTTCTATCTTGGTCTGTCTGTTCCTTTCTGCTGATAGAGATAGACCATTCTGAGTTAACGGCAGCAGTTGTTCAATGGGAGTGTGAGTTTTTTAGGCAGATAAACCTGTGAACTTGCTGGGGGTCATGGCAGTATCATTCTTTGCCTTCTTGTCATCTACAAGGCCCTGCTTCTGTCTTTCAACATCCTTTAACTACATTCCATGCAGACTCCAGCCAGCCTCCATCATGATGATTTTACCATAGTGGTCAAAACAGTTGCTAACGGGTGGGAGGCAGCCAGTGTGTTGCAACATGACATGTTGATTGGGAAGGAGCAACAGGAGGACCTGCTGAATTACACATTGCCCTCACTGGGCAGCTAAGCCTCAGGGGTTTTGTTCTTTTAAAAAAAAATTAAATTCTTTTTTGAGTCAGGGTCTCACCCAGGCTAGAGTGCAGTGGTGCAGTCCTAGCTCACTGTAACCTCAAACTCCTGTGCTCAAGTGATCCTCTTGCCTCAGCTTCCCAAGTAGCTGGGACTATAGGCATGAGCCACTGTACCCAGCTAATTAAAAAAAAATTTTTTAGAGATGTTGTCCAGGCTGGAGTTTTTGTGTTTTTGTTTTTGTTTTTCCAATTTAATTTTAAGTTCTGGGATACCTGTGCAGGACGTGCAGGTTTGTTACATAGATAAACATGTGCCATGGTGGTTTCCTGCACCCATCCACCCATCACCTAGGTATTAAGCCCAGGGTGCATTAGCTATTTATCCTGATGCTTTCCCTTCTGGGTTTTCTTTATTTTAAAAAATCATTTCCAAAAAAGTGGTAAAGGATAGCTAATCACAGACCCAAATTATAAAAACAAAAATTCAAGTTGTACCATGGTGCCTGTCCTCACACCAAACGGCAGAAGACCATGAGGTGGCCATTTCCTGTTAGGTCTTTGTGTTGGGAGGCTGCTAGGTGAGACCAATCCTGGCACTTAGTTTTATGGGCCCTGAGTAGAAGAGTTGAAGGTGCTAGAGGGAGGCAAAGGAAGTAGGCAGGATGTTGTACAGAAGGCTGGAAGCAGTTGATGAAATCAAAGGTAGTTGGGGACACTGGAGCATCAGTGAAACAATTTCCAAAGTTTTGGCCGTGCCTGAGGTGAGGGTGGAGTTCGGCTGGGGGAGGCGGAATCAGAGTGAGCTAAATAAGTGGATTTACTGTGCCTTCGTTCCAGGGTCTTTGGAGTAGAATGTGGGGTTCTGTTGGCCTTCCCAGTTGGTAGTGTCAGACCTGGGGTGTACAGGTGGCAATTTTAGTCTGTGATGAGTGGGAATGCAGCACTGCAGGGCCTGTGCCCACCCAGGATCTCCATTGTCCCTTACTCCAGAGTGGACGAGAAGTAGTTGGCACTTGGGTTTCCATGTTCAGATGGTGCTGGCCTGTTCTTTAGAAGTGACTGAAAGTTTAATGGGATTGTCAACAGGCAAGCTGGGCCTTTTTGTACTTTTCTTGGCCACATCTAAGAGGCCATTTGAGTGGAACGCTTTATCAGTGTTTGGCATCTAACAAAGGCCGAGCCACGTCACTCCTTTACTCCAGCAAATGAAAGCTGTCCGGTTGTCAGGGTTTGCCCGGGTGTGGGGCTGCCCTCCTTCCTGGTCGCATTTGGCCCGTACCTGTCAGGTACCCTGAGCACGGGCCTGGGATCGGCACCTGTTTTAAAACATCCTAGATATTTCAGGTATTCAAGTGTCTCTGAGGGCTCGGGACATTCTTTATTCCTGTTTCCTCCTCATTCCCACCCCTCTGAAGAGCCTTGTGTCCAAAAATCCTCAGATTGCTTAATTTGTTAATTTATTTCTGCCACAATTTGGGACATTACATATTTCAACTGATATAGAAATCAGAGGCCAACTTAAAGACAAAAGATAATGAACGAGCCTGGCTAAAAGATATGTGCCTCCGTGTGTCTGTTCCCTGAATACCCTGTTACTATGGCTGCGATAGAGCACTTGGGCTGCTGCCGGACTCCCTGGGGGCCATCTAGGCAACTGGTCTCCGTCTTGGGAGAAAATGATGCCCCAAAGGTAAGGTCGGCTGCTGCTTCCTGCTACATCTGGGATGGTGAACCATCCTGAAGTTCTTTGTAATCTTCAAGGAAGTCTGTTAGTGTTTGAAATGGTACCTGGCTTCAGTTGTGGCAACCCAACCTCAGGCTGTTTTAGGTGCTGTGTGCAAGCACTTGTTTCCTGGACCCTCCCACATGCCCCCCTCTTGGTCCTAAGCTCTGTTTTGACCACCCTGCTATTTTACCCATTCATTAGACAATGAAAGGCATCGTGCCTAAGATCTATAAGCTTTGAAGGACCTATGAAATGCTTGCAAGAAACCAGGAAAAATAATCCTGGCTGCAAATCATGCAAAGAAAAGAGCAAGAAAAATATCTACAAAATAAAACACTGTACAGCTTAATTTTTTTCAGCTTAATTGTTAAAATATTGAGAATAATATAGGTGAGAATTTCTTTTTTCACAAGATTTATAGTTTTAGTGTCTGTTCTGCCAAAGTGAGCATGTCACAAGAATTTCTAAGTGCATGCAGTGATTACCAAGGAGTCATAGCTAAGCACATTGAGTTGCTGATCACCAAGCCATTTAAAAGGTAAAATTATAAATAGCTTTTCAGAGATTTGGATAGGGCTACATTTTTTCTTTCTTTCTTTCCTTTCTTAAGTTTTTAAAAAATAGAGACAGGGTTTTGCTGTGTTCTCAAATTCCTGGGCTCAAATAATCTGCCCACCTCAGCTGCCCAAAATGTTAGGATTACTGGCATGAGCTACCACACCCGGCTGAGCTACATTTTAATATGTGTGGTTCGATAATGCTCTCATAACACACCTAGAAAGTAAAACCATCTAAGCCTGCCCCTCCTCCTATGGAGCCACCTCCTCAGTCTTAAAGCCTCAGCTGCTCGTGAGGAAACCCTCTATCCTCACAATACACCCACTGCTACATGTTCTCATAGACGCCTCTCCCCGTCCTTATCGTAGTACTCACTGCACCCTGTCGTTGCTTAATTTTCCTCTCTCTTCACCTATGGTGGTAGGGGCCATCTTTTAAGATCTGGTGTGTCCATGATCTTAAAGTTTTTAAGTTTCTATTAAAAATCAATTATATTATTTGTGAGAGAAGTTTTTTTTTTTTCTTTTTGAAATACGTAAAATAAAGCTGGCTGGCTTCTTGAATTTTAGTAGTGCATTGTGGAAATAACACAGGCTTAGGAATTAGCTATGTTTGAATCCCAGCTGTGTTAGTAGCATTGTGCTGGCCCTCTGTCCTTCTGACCCTTAGTTTGCTCATCTGAAAATGGGAATTACCTTGTGCCCACCCTGGGATTGAGAAGATTTATTAAACTTGTGTTTGTGCTTAGGATTCTTTTTAGTTGTTTGATCCTTGGTAAAGATTCAAAGCAGATTTCTGCATAACAGGTTAATGTCAGAATGAGTCACAGCATTTATCTTTAACATCTAGTACTTGGGTGTACTCAGCTAGAAGACCAGAGACAAGCTATGGCACCTACATGTGGGTTGAGGTCAAACTGTCCCATGACATATGTTACAAGAGTTAAAGAGAGGGCCTACAGGCATCTCAGTGAGTTCACCGTGTTCCAACGTGGAGTGCCAGGATCCATCTAGTCGGCACAGAGGAGAAAGCCTGGCTGACCTGGCAGGTCCTGAAGCCACTGTGTACACCAAACCAAACTGAGTCGTAAGGAACTCCATCCTTTCCTCTCCCACCAAGAAAGGAAAAGAATCATAATCTCTAGTTGCCAATTCTGAAATTTTATGTGTCAGCCTACGTTTCCTGTAGCCAGCCTGGGGCTGCATGAAACATCATGTAATAGAAAAAGTCAAACAAGCCTAAGGCTCTGGTCTTGGGTCTTCTGCCTAAGGCACACCTTTGAGCAAATCATTCAGCTCTTTGAACCTCAGTTTCCTCATTAGGATATGAACAAAACCTACTGCAAAAGACTATGAAGACTAAGCATGCGTACTGTACAGGCCCTGGCAATACTAGGCATTAAAAAACTGTGAGTTGCCTCCTTGACTGGTGGTAGAGCGAAAGATTAGGTTTCATGAGTCCAGAGATACAACAGGAATGTAGAAGTCAGTTTAACTTGGGTGAGCCCTAAGGCTTTGAATTGAATAGAACATAGTTGCAAATAAGAAATTGACTCAAACAGCAGGATTTATAGGCTTTTTAAACTGAGAAGTTTAGTAGCGCATTTAGCTTCAGGTAAAGCTGGATCTAGGGGTTCAAACAATGTCATCAGAATTCAACTCTCAGGCTGAGGTGGGAGGATCACTTCAGGCCAGGAGTTCAAGAATTGAACTCTCTCCCATCTCTGCTTTCTGTTGTGTTGTCTTCCTTCTCCAGCAGGCATTCTTTTTCATATGCTGTTTTTTTTGACAACCCTTAAGTACTGGATAGAGATTCTCTACCCAATACTGAATCCTAGCTGTGTCAGTAGCATTGGGCTGGGCCTCCATCCTTCTGACCCTTAGTACCCTCATCTGAAAATGGGAAATATCTTACCCACCCTGGGATTTATTGGGTAGTGAGTGATTCTCTCTATTCAATACTTAAAAAAAAAAAAAAAACTTTTAAAAAAGCTATCAGAATTGTGTCTCCCTCTGTTGAACACAGAGCACCCCAATTGACCAGATCTGGGTCCTGTTCTCATCCCTGGAGTGGTAATGATGTCAGCCTCACCTAAATTGTACGGACTAAGAGGAAAGGAAGAGTTGATTCTCAAAGGGAAGTCTGAATGCTTTTATAGAAGAGACAATTGATACGGGATAGGCAGAAGGAGCAGTTGTCCACTGTAGACTACATTGCCTAATTCCTTGAATATTCTCAGAAAGATGCCCCACAATACTGCCTGCCCACCACCATCTTTCACCATCCAGAATCCTCCAGCATTATGGTATAGAATCGAGTAAACAAGGATGAATTCACCTTAACAAATGATGCCCAACAAAGGCAAGATCATTGGACTCAGAAGGCCAAAGTTATCTTGGATGCTTGGCAAAGATTTGTTATATTAGCCAGTGGCATTCTTGGGCTAGAAGGGGGAGCAGTACTCTGGGTGGTAACCCAGAGGGAGGAAAAGTGGCAATGACCAATTCCATGTGTGGGAGCAGCATGGGTGTTGTGGGCCAAGAGGAGGGGCCGGGGCACAGCGTAAAGAAAAATGTCAGTTGATGTTCTTGTTCTCTATCATGGTCCTGCCTTTTCTTTTTTCCTTTTTTTTTTTTTTTTTTTTTGTCCTAAGACAGAGTTTCACCAGAGACAAGCTATAGCACCTGCAGGTGGGTTGAGGTCAAACTGTCCCATGACATATGATACAAGAGTTAAAGAGGCCCTACAGGCATCTCAGTGAGTTCACTGTGTAGACATGTTGCCCAGGCTGGAGTGCAGTGACATGATCTTGGCTCAGTGCAAACTCTGCCTCCCAGGTTCAAGTGATTCTCCTGCCTCAGCCTCCCGAGTAGCTGGGATTATAGGTGCCCACCATGACGCCTGGCTAATTTTTGTATTTTTAGTAGAGATGGGGTTCCATCATGTTGGCCAGGCTGGTCTCGAACTCCTAACCTCAGGTGATCTGCCTGCCTTTCAGCCTCCCAAATTGCTGGTATTACAGGTGTGAGCCACTGCATGGTTCTGCTTTTTCTAACCTCTGGAAAACAGATTCAGGAGCTGGGGAGGAAGACCAGGATTTTTTGCCCATTGCCAAGATCATGAATTGATGGCAACAATGTCAAGAGCTGCCGGCGGAAGAGCAATGAAGACATATCAAACCTATGACTCCTCCAGTGGGCGGGAGTGTGAGAGGTGCTTCTCATTTTCAAATGATTTGCACTATTTTTTTTTTTTGGAGATGGAGTCTCACTCACCCAGGCTGGAGTGCAGTGGCATGATCTCGGCTTACTGCAACCTCTGCCTCCTGGGTTCCAGCAATTCTCTGCTTCAGCCTCCTGAGTAGCTGGGATTACAGGTGCCCGCCACCACACCTGGCTAATGTTTTGTATTTTTAGTAGAGTCGGGGTTTCACCATATAGGCCAGGCTGGTCTTGAACTCCTGATCTTGTGATCCACCCTCCTCTGCCTCCCAAAGTGCTGAGATTACAGGCATGAGCCACTGTGCCCAGCCCGCACTATTTTTTACAGTTATATGTACACACATATATATTTGTATATGTATATATGTTAGTTTATATTAAGAATCCCAGGTAGAACTCCAGCAATTTTCCATCAGCCTCAAGGCAAATAAAGATTGGGAATCCTGGCTAGGTGTGGTGGCTCATGCCTGTAATCCTAGCACTTTGGGAGGCCAAGGCAAGTGGATCACTTGAGGTCAGGAGTTCAAGACTAGCCTGGCCAATATAGTGAAACCCTGTCTCTACTAAAAAGACAAAAGTCAGCCAGGCGTGGTGGCGGGTGCCTGTAATCCCAGGTACTCAGGAGGCTGAAGCAGGAGAGCCACTTGAACCTGGGAGGTGGAGAGGTTACAGTGAGCTGAGATCGTGCCACTGCACTCCGGCCTAGGCAACAGTGAGACTCCGTCTCAAGAAAAAAGATTAGGAATCCTCTTTGTCTCACTCCTCTGCACCCTCAAAAATCAACAACAACCAAAAACTACATATGCAATTTACCTGTGGCAGAGGCCTCAGAAGAGGCCACAAAAGATGCCTCAGGTGACCTGCTGCAATGCTGGGCAAGTGGCTTAGGCCCTTGCACATTACCCATTTTCCAGGGCTGGCTCCAGGCTTCTGAGTCAGAGCACTGTGCTCAGCCTCCAAATTAGGGTCTCTTTAGGGCCAGTGTAGTGCTTCCCAGAGGAGGTTCCATGATACACTAGCATCATGGGGTGCTTTCCCTGAAAAGGGCTTATAGAGGTTTTGAAAATGCAGCAGTCTCCATCACAGTGTACATTAACAGAGCAAACACTACAAGAAGCCTTGCAAGTGAAGCTTTGTTTTACCTGCACTGTTCAAACTCACCTAACCATGGAACTCTCCCTACCCTGGAAAAAGAGAGAGAGAGAAAGAGATTGTTTGCATTATGTAGTGCTCTTATTCTGCAGATCACACTTTGGGTGTTCCTGGTCTGATAGGATTTATTGATGAATACAGAAAATATAAGCTCTTGCATTCTTTTTTTTTTTTTTTTTTTCTGAGACACAGTCTTTCTCTGTCAGGCTGGGGTACAGCGGCGCGACCATAGCTCACTGCAGCGTCAACCTCTCCTAGGCTTAAGAGATCTTCCCACCTCAGCCTCCTGAGTAGTAGCTGGGACCACAGGTGTGTACCACCACACCTGGCTAGTTTTTAAAAATCTTTTGTAGAGATGAGGTCTTGCTCTGTTGCCCAGGCTGGTCTCAAACGCCTGAGCTCAAGTGATCCTCCTGCCTCGGCCTCTCAAAGTGCTGAAATTACAGGTGTAAGCCACGGCGCCCAGCCAGCTCTTGCATTCTTGATTGGGGTATTTGTGAGAAGCCAAGTGGTTGTCAAGAATCTAGGTGGAAAATCCAGACTCATGTCTAACCCTGGCCCCAGCCCTACAGCATTGAACACCCCCGCACATGAGCTTCGGATCAGTGGCCATCAGCCCAACTGACTCTCTGCCATCTTCCCTTATTGTCTGGGCTTCTAGAAATTAGAGGGGCCAGGTATGTGGATAGGGTTGGATTTTGTGGTGTTTATATGATTATTACAATGTCCTCATTTTCTTGAGAGTTACACAGACTGTTGTTCTTTTCCTCTTAGCTCAGAGGCTCAATATACCAGGAAAGCTCACTTTAGGTTCTCAGCAAGAAGTTGGAAGAGGTCAGGGAGAAATCCTTGGGGAGGAGGAACCAAGGAGACATGAAAGGTTTCTTGAAGTCCTATGGTTACTCTAAGGCCAAGCCTGAACCTTGAAACACCTAGATTTTTAGAGGATTCAGGCCAGGACACCACCTGCTATCACTGAGATGCAAAGACATGGTCCTTGAAGCAATGGACCTTGTTGCTCAGAATGGGGAGAGAGCTTGAGCTTTTTAAGTTGGCTTTTGAAAAGATACTCTTGTACTTAAGCCCCTGCTTGACCTGCTTCTCTGTTAATGGGCTCTCCAGAAAAGAGCTTGGCTTATACTCTCTGAGTGTCTTCTTCAAGATGTAGAGTTAATGTCAGTGCTTTTAAAATCTGTTGAACCTGTGTGCCCAGGATAAACTTTTGCACCTCTTGACAATCTGAGTGAGTTCTATTTGTAGTCCTGAGTTTTGTCTTTGGGAGTGCAGAAGGTGAAAGAGACCTTGAATCACCTGGACACCCACCTGAGAAGAAGAGTGAGAAAGGAAGTGGATAACAACCTCAGTTGGAAGTAGTGTGCTCTGAGTACCTTTGTTAACAATGCTAAGAAAACAGCTTTGGCAAAGTAAGGGGTGCTGTAGGGAGAACAGGAGTGGGTTAGCTGCTCCAGTCCGTCGAGGACTGTCCTACTTGTCTGATCTGTTTGCCGGGGATCTGCATGCCCCAAGAGGACTGTTTGAATGCTTAGCACATAATATGCTTTGTACATCTTGTGAGACTATCTTCCCAAATTTTAAGAACCATTGTTATTATGGATAATATACAAATGCATTTTAAAGCAGTATTGAATTCATACTTATTTCATTGTGTACTTTTTGTTTGTTTGAGACAGGGTTGCACTCTGCTGCCCAGGCTGGAGTGCAGTGGCATGATCGCTGCTCACTGCATACTTGGATTCCTGGGCTCAGGCGATCCTCCTGCCTCAGCCTCCCGAGTAGCTAGGACTATAGGCATGTGCCACCATACCTGGCTAATTTTTCAATTTTTTGTAGAGACGGGATCTCGCTATGCTTCCCAGGCTGGTCTTGAATGCCTCACCTCAAGCAGTCCTCCCTCTTCTGCTTCCCAAGGTGATAGGATTACAGGAATGAGCTACCATGCCTGGCCTGTATTTTCTCAATCAACAGATTCTATTGTTCTATTCTACTCTTCTATTCTATTCTATTCTATTCTATTCTATTCTATTCTATTCTATTCTATTCTATTCTATTCTATTCTATTCTATACAGAAAGAAGTCTGTGAAAATTTTAGATGCTGAAAAGAGGTCCTTGTGCTTTCTTGAAAAGTGTTATATTGTAAAATTGCTTGCCCCGCAGTAGTCATCTCTGGTTAGTTGCCTATCTTGGTTATGTAATTATTCTGAAAGGTTCTGGAAAGTTTGAACTTCTTGCCACAAACCTTGACTGTTTGCCTGCTTTGGAGGGTAGGGTTAGAAGAGAGAAGAGGGCTCATCACTCAGAGGGCTGAATTTCCATTTAGCATCACTGATCTCCTGATACTAAAACGTCCAAGCTGAGCCTCCCTGCTTTGATATAAAGTGCTGCCTCCTTCCCTCAGGATGTTTCCTCCACAAAGCAGCTGACTTCCAATGTGGCAAGAGCTCCTATTTTTCTTGACTCACAATTGCCACTGCCTTATGGATTTCAGAACACTTCCATGAACATTGTCCCATTTCATCCTCACAGATACTTCTCAGTTTAGGCTTAGAGAAACTATCAAACTTACTTAAGATCACACAATTAGTGGAGAAATTGCAGCAAGAACACAACACTTTGGGTTTCAGTAGCTCTGAACCATGACATATGAGTGTCTTTATTAGGTCATACCTTAGTGCCCTTTCAAATGGGCATTATTTAAATGTTTGCTCAATATCTGTTTAGAGATGAGAAGATGAACAGCTGTGAAAGAAGGGTAGAAAAGGGAGATGTGGAGGCAGCACCCAATTTTTCATGTTTTCCTCAGAAAGACCAAAGCCCAGCAGCTAACCGTGGATAAATTGATTATCTTTTGTTACTCAAGCATTCCCCTTAGAAATCATATTAGGACTTTTTTTCTTGAATGTAAGTGACTAAAAACAACTCAAAACAGGCTTAAGCAAATGTATTGACTCATTTAAAGGAAAAGTCCAGGGATGTACCTCACTTCAGGTATAAACTGGGTCCAGGGGCTTGAATGATGTCACCAAAACTCATCACTTTTGATCCGTCCTCTAGTAGGGTCACCCCACTGATGGCAGCAAGAAGTCATCAGAAGTTCTTGGCGTGTATCCTATCCTCTCAGCAGCCCCAATAAAAAGAATCTGACAGTTCCCAAAAATGTCCCCAAAGGGTTGAATATCATGGGATTGATTTAGTTATTTGCCCAACTCTAAATCAATCACTATAACCAGTAGTGGTTGGTCAGATTGGCCACATCTGGGTGCATGCCAGCTCCAAGAGCCCAGCGCACTTGGACCTCCCGTACCAAATGAGCTAAGAATAGGAGAGGCGGTCACCAAGGAAAATATGGCTTCTAGTGCCAAAAGACAAAGAAATGGATGCTGGGCAGGCCAAAGCAATGAATTTGTACTGAAGAAATGTTCCTCTAGCCCCGAACACCTGGCAGCTTACCAAAATACTGCTTTAGACAATATTCCAGACACTCCCTCAGCAGAATTCCAGTCAATACAATTTTCTCTATTCCACTGCATTATAGTTTGGTACCCTGGGCAGCTTCTCAGGTAAATCCCCTTTATTCCAACTCTGTCTTCACCAGGTGAGGAAGTTGCAGAGTGGAGGGATTTGGCCCAAGTCACACAGCCAGGATAAGGAGGAATTCAGACCAGATCCTGTTCCCAGACCATTGGCTACTGAAACCAGGAAGCACTGCTGACCCTGACACTTGGGCCAGCCCAGCAGCACAGCCTTGCTTGTCCCATGACCCAGCCAAGTTCTGTTAGGACCCAAGATTGGTGTAGATTATAGCACCAAAAGATCTCCAGGTTCTGGAATTGGTCCATTTTGGCCAGTGCTATGGTCTGAATATTCGTATCCTCCTCAGATTCGTCTAGTGAAATCCTAACCCCCAAGGTGATGGAATTAAGAAGTGTGGCTTTAGAGAGATAATTAAGTCTGAAGAGCAGAGTCTTCATGAATGAGATTAGTGTCCTTATAAGAGACACTTCCCCCCTTTCTTTTCCACCTTGAGGACACAGCAAGAAAGCACTACCTGCAAACTAGGAAATGGGTCCTCACTAGATACTAAACCTGCTGGCACCTTGATCTTGAACTTCCCATCCCCTAGAACTGTGAGAAATACATTTCTGTTGGTTAGAAACCATCTGGTGTATGGTCTTTTGTTATAGCAGCCTGAACAGACTAAAACCTTCCGAGGTAATCATACCCTATTTTAGGCTCTGGAGAGGGTGCATCAGTGTGGGCACTGCTGTGGACTTTGTCTAATATTCAGAATATGTGCATTGATTTAGGTAAAAAATGTTCTTAAGAGTCCCCAAAGAGTGATCATCTGGAAGGATACACATTGTGTCATTAATAGAAGTAGCACAGGCCTGTGAGATTGGGAAGGGTACTTTCACTTTTTGCTTTATCTATTCTCTGTTGTTGGAATTATTTAGCGGCAGGTGCTGAGCCCCAGTGTGATATCTGGAAGAATCACACTTGTACCTGAACACAGAGTTTGAGATAGACCAGGCAAAGTGTCTCTGATGAGGAGCTCAGGGGCAGGTTCGTTAGGGAGAAGACTCTGGACCCAAGCATAAGGCTACCACGTACCCAGAAAAATTAAGATCTTTATTTTTATCTTTTGGAGAAAAGGTCTCACTCTGTCACCAAGGCTGGAGTGTAGTGGTGTGATCTCAGCCGGCCGCAGCCGTGACCTCCTGGGCTCAAGTGATCCTCCCACCTTAGCCTCTTGAGTAGCTGGGACCACAGGCATGAGCCACTACACTTGGCTAATTTTTTTTTTTTTTTTTTTTTTTTTTGAGACAGAGTCTCACTCTGTCATCCAAGCTGGAGTGCAGTGGCATGATCTCGGCTCACTGCAACCCTGGCTAATTTTTTAAAAATTATTTTTTGTAGAGACAGGGTCTCACTATGTTGCCCAGGCTGGTCTTGTACTCCTGGACTCAAGCGATCCTCCTGACTCAGCTCCCCAAAGTGCTGGGATTACAGGCGTGAATCACTGTGCCAGCCAAAAGTTAAGGTCTTTAAAGGATGAGGACCTTTTCTTTCAGTGGCACTGACCCTAGTAGGGAATGTCACTTGCTACACTCGTCCTAACACCATCAAGACTGTTGACCAGTGGGCATGATGCTTACTGGCCTGGCCACTTCCCTTATGGGCAATCTTACAAGGCATAGGAGAAAAACAATCACTCAACTGGCCACACTTAGATTTTTTTTTTTTTCGTCTACACCTCCTCAAAGGAGCACACCTAGATTTTGACCTAAAAGGGAAATGACCAGCTTATTGTCTAGGCTTCACTCCAAATGACTTTAGACTTATTTCAATCATCAAATCTGTCCTGAAATGATAATTTGTCATTTTGAGGACATCTAGAGAATAAAGCTATGTCCTAAAGTCAACAGAGGGTTTCCTAAATTTTTATTAAAAAAAGTCTCCTTTGTTAAAATGAGGATTTTGGCAAGGTGCAGTGGCTCACGCCTGTAATCCCAGCACTTTGGGAGGCCAAGGCAGGTGGATTGCTTGAGGTCAGTAGTTCAAGACCAGCCTGGCCAACATGGTAAAACCCCATCTCTACTAAAAATACAAAAATTAGCCAGGTGTGGTGGCGGGTGCCTATAATCCCAGCTACTTGGGAGGCTGAGACAGGAGAATCGCTTCAGCCCAGGAGGCGGAGATTGCAGTGAGCTGAGATTGTGCCACTGCACCCAGCCTGGGTGACAGAGCAAGACTCTGTTTAAAAATAATAAATAAATAAATAATAATAAAATAATATTTTATTTTTAATAAAATAAAATAATATAATAAATAATAAAATAATAAATAATAAAATAAAATGGTTTTCACTTTTCCAGGTGGTTACTTTGAGGAAGATGTTGTTCCTTTGCATGAGACTCCCTTTACACCGCTGACCTGAGAATACCTGGTGGCTCCAACTTTGCTTGGAACTCACCTTCTTGCTCCACTCTCCCACTGCTGATTCCTTCCCAGAAAGGGCCTGGATCCATCCCCACCTTGACTTCATCCCTTCTTCTCTTACACTAAGTGAAATCTCCAGTGGCTGGACTGGTAGTGGCCATGGATGTGTCTTTTTAATCATTAGTAAATCTAAGGACCTTGATAGTTCTGGGCCACTAAGTTTTTTCTTATAGAGTCTACAAGAAAGAGAAAGAGGTGGTGACGGGAGATAAAATAGACTCATCTTTTCTTTCCTATTTCCCCTTATCCACATAAGCAAAACCTTTTAGAAAACTGAAAATGAGATGTACTTGGAATAAGATGGAACTCTAAACCTTCAAGAGATGGGCACTAGAAGGAGATGTCCAGAGTGGCAGGAGTGGGGCACAGGAGTGTGGAGGCAAGCTGCAGACGGGACAGTGCAGCTGGCCAGGAATATACTGCGTGTCCCTTTGGGGGCCTTTTGATTGCATTTCTATTACTCCCTCCCTCTGGCCCTCCAGTTCCCTCCTTACTCCCCTTTAATGCTCTGCCTCAGCCTGGTTTCAAAATGAAGGACTGGGAACAGGATGACCTTTTTCTCTTCTGCATTAAATTGATAGAAATGATAGCAAATATATTTTGTAAATCAATTAATGAATTGCAAACATGAAAACACAACAGGGAACTGTCTTGCTGGACCAGAAATAGCAAAGCATTCCTAAGAGAAGGATGCAGACAGGAAACCCAAAGTAAATCAGTCTTGAAACCATAAGCCAGGCTGCTCCTCTGTCAAGAAACTGTCTAAGCCCAAGACTTACTCAGAAGAGTACCAATCAAGAATTACCAAACATCTGAGACAATAATACCGTGAAAGAAAGAAAAACAACTCAGCAAATGAAAGTCCTTCCTAAGGAGGCAGTGTAGATGGGAGGTAGAGGGCTGAGCCATACCCTCCCTTAAAGAATCCCATGCGACCTGGGCATGCCCACTTCCCAGTAGACTGGCTCTTCCCAGCATGGTAACCAGTGGTGGTTGTGCTGAGCAAATGCTTCTGTGATTGGGGAGGTGCTGGCAGGGATGTAGGCACACAAAGATGCTGTGGATAGTCTGGATTTCTTGCTAACTTGGCCTGGGGTTTTGGAGCCTTGGGTCCAGGATGCTCCTGGAAGAAGGGTCAGTCTTTGCAGCCCAAACCGTGAAGTTGAACTCCCAAGTTAACACTTGCAAATTCATTCATTGCCTACTAAGCAGTGGGCAGGTTGGCTATCCACTCTTTCTCATCTCTGTGTCTTTAAAGCCATGATTCTCGAGGGAGGGGAGGGAGGGGGGAGGATGCCTTCCTAAGTAAGAGTATCAGGGTCATTTATTCTCTCCCTCTGATCCCAGCACCTATAAACTCCATCCTGCCCCCTCCTCAATTCTGATATGCTTTCTCTAGGGTGTATGTGGTGTCCACCCCCACTGAAGAGACGTGTTTTGATATTCAGCTGGGCTAAGGTAGTTAAAAATTTAGAGAACCACCATTTTTAGGTAATTGTGATTCTTTCCAATTTGTATAAATCACCTATCTGGTACAAACTATCTTCCTTATTCTGATGACCCAAACGCATCTCTCTCACCAGAGCTCTTAAACTGTTTCAGAATTACAGCCCAGCTTTCTCCCCTTGAAGACCTCACAGGAATGAGAAGCCTAAATGCTCAAAGCAGAGCTCATTTTATCTTGCTTCCAGAGCCCATCCTCGGCCTACATTTGTTTTCTTGGTGGATGATAGCTCAATCCAGAAATCTTGGACTATTTATTTTATTATTTATTTATATAGAAGATGCAAGGTGAGATCTTGGAGTCCTCTTTTGCTGTACCCTCTCTTATTTCCCATATTCTACACCCCGCTACCTCCCCTTTTCAGAGACAGGGTCTTGCTTGGTTGCCCAGGCTGGAGTGCGGTGATGCAATCATGGCTCCTTGCAACCTCAACCTCCAGGGCTCAAGCAATTCTCCCGCCTCAGCCCCCTGAGTAGCTGGGACTATAGATGCATGCCACCATGCCTGGCTAATTTTTAAATTTCTTAAGAAATGGGGTCTCACTGTATTGCTTAGGTTGGTCTCAAACTCCTGGCCTCAAGAAGTCTTCCCACTTCAGCCTCCCAAAATGCTGGGTTTACAGATGTGAGCCACCATGCCTGGCTCCTACACCCTTTTCATCAGCCTCCAGTCATATTAATTCTACCTCCTTAATAGTTCTCATCATTATCCCTTTTCTCCACATCCATGGACACTTGTTTAACCATTTCATTAATTTAAGCATCCACAGTCTCCTAATTGGTTTCTCTGACTCTAGTCTTGCTCCCTCCAATTCATTTTCCTCTCTGCTCTCCAGATCTATCTCAGTAAAACAAATCTTACCAGGCCACTTCCCTGTTAAAGTCTTCACTGTAAAGGGGAATAGAGAATTTGTATCAGAAGTTCTAAAAATCTTCATAGGCTTTGATGGGTATGATTTCCTTGCTAGAAGTTTATCCTAAGGAAGTAATCAGATGTTTGGACAAAGGTTTGAGTACAAAGATGGTCACAGGAAAAATCTAACCATTCGATATTAGGAAATTTGTCAAACCAAAGGACATTTATAAGATGAAATCTCATATAGCCATTCTATGTTGTGAGCTACAGAGAATTTAAAAATATGCTGGGGACAGCTTGGACCAGGTGGTGTCTTTGCTGATCCTCATGGTACCCTTGGCATATCTCCCTCAGAGCATCGGAGGACTTATCCCACTGTGTCTGCCTGTTCTTGGTTCTTCCCCATTGGGTTATAAGGTTCTAGAAGGGACTGTGTTATATTTGTCTCTTTACCCCCACGTCCTGTAGCAATGCTGGCATACAGTATGGTGTGGGAGTGGGATGTCCTTAAGGATAGTTGGGCTTCAAGATCTGACACACCCTTAAGTGGTATATCCAAAACTGAAATCAATGCTCCTCCCAACCCCTACCCCAAAAAATCTCAGACCCAGAATGTTATTCCTCTCCTCCATAGCAATCTCCATGAAAGAGTCATCTTTGGTGGCCTTGGAGGTACCAACCTTTCCCATACTGGTGAAGAACATGGTGTGGTGTGATCCTATCCCATAGCTCCTTAATCTTCCCTATATCCTAGTACCCAGATTTTAAAAAATAGGGCTCAGGCTGGGCTCTGAGGTGAGGGAAGAGGAAAGTTGGGGCTAGCCAGGGCCCTGAGGCATGGGCGGGGCGTGGTGTGACATGGTAAGGGGTGGGAGTGGGCAGGAGAGACTGCCTGGGTGAGGCTTGCCTCAGATGGAGAAGCCTGACCTGGATCCACTTGCTGCCTGTAGGAGCTCAGTCGCCAAAACCTGTCTGGCCTAAAGACAGGCACAGTTTGATTTAATAGTTGGTACTGACCTCACTTGAACATTAAATCAATAAATGCCAACTTAATGGAGCTGTTGCTGGGAAACTAAGGAGTATCAAATATCCAATATCTGCACAGAGGAGATTGTTTTGATCTGTTTTGTTTTTCTAAAGCTGCAACTTGCTCCTTGGTGCACTTTAGGTTATTCCTTTTTGGTAGGAAAGTGGCTCCCACACTCTCCTCTCCACCCACCCTTTGAAGAGGCTTGGAAATGCACTCAGCAGCTGCCCCCATGATAAGCCGAAGGGCCTGTCCTGTCCAGGTTGGCAGGTCCTCCCAGCAGGCAGAGTGAGGAGTTCATGAATGAGGGAGGAGACTATGGTGTCTCAGAAGGAAAACTCTAGAGGAAAAACACTTGAGTAACAATGCCCAGTTCAACCTCTGGATCTCTCTTGCAGCTTGCTGAGGCTCTATTTCCAGCTGAACTGTGTAGCTCTCAGCGTGGGTGCCTTTTATCCATCACTGGTGTCATGCCAGGTCATCTTCATCTTTTCTTAGCTAACTGAGGAGGACAGTCATCCAAGCTGGGGTCTCCTCTCCTGTGTGTCTCTCCTAGGGATGGAGTTGCCAGGCTTTGTGCTTGTTTTACTTCTTCTCCAGCCTTTCCTTCCCCTCCCTTTCCTGTTCCCTAGGTTGGTCATAGCAGAGGTTGTGTTGGAGGGTGGTACTGGCTTTTGGGAAAAAGAGGACAATCCCCATGTTCTTCAACACGGCTGCCGCAAACACTACCCAGAAACAGGCTGGGAATGGGGACTTGAATGCCAGCTGTGGGGTGCCTGCCTTGCAGCCAGCTCTGCCAAAGCTTGTGGTTATGATTGTCTCCTTTCTTCTGCTTCACAGCCAGTCATAAATGCCATCTTCCTTGGATGTCTGAGTCCCTTGGAAACTGGGCTCTGAACTCGATTCCACTGGGGTTAACCATGGGCTATGCTATCAGAATTTCCACCTAGGCCTCCAGTTTCCTTAGAGCAAAAGGAAAACAAATTGTGAAAGGGGAGTAGCAGAGTGGGAAGGTGGTCTAAGGACAGCTGTTCTGACCTGAGTAATATTACATCCCTGATGGGAGGCAGCAAGTGCAGCACCTTCCACACCTGAAACCATCACTTAAATAGCGCTTCATGGTTTGGGGACTGTGACAGTTTCCTAGGGGGCTATAACAGAGTACTGTAAACTGGGTGGCTTAAAACAACAGAAATTTATCATCTCACAGTTCTGGAGGCCAGAAGTCCAAAATTAAGTTGCTGGCAGTTGGTTCCTTCTGAGAGTTCTGAGGGAGAATCTTTTCCTTGCCTCTCTCTTAGCTTCTGGTAATCCCAGACATTCCTTGGCTTATTGATGCTTATAGATGTCCTTTGAATAGTAGACGCAATCCTCCATTTTCATATGGTGTTCTCCTTGGGTCTCTTTCTTCATGTCTGTCTTCTGTTAAAGATACCAATCATATTGAATTAGAAGTCCACCTACTCCAGTATAACCTCATCTTATCTAATTAAATCTTCAACAACCCTATTTCTAAATAATGTTACATTCTGAGGTTCTGGGATTAGGACTTCAACATATCTTTTTTTAGGGGATATATAGTTCAACCCATAATGGAGATCAAAGGCTGAAGGATTTGCAGCAAGCAGATCCGGGAGTTATGTGGGTAACTTGGAAGACCTGCCAAAACAGTGGTCTTGTTAATTCTACAGGGAAAGCCATCTGAACTCCAAGACTTCATAAAACCGTATTTGTATGTATTGTATTGGTGAAGACTTCGGTGGCAAGTCATGGAAATTAACTTAAATAAGTTTAGGTTGCAAACGATGGAAACTCAATTCCAGCTGGTTTATACAAAATAATAAGAAAAGAAATTCGGCCGGGCGCAGTAGCTCACACCTGTAATCCCAGCACTTTCGGAAGATGAGGCGGGTGGATCACTTGAGGTCAGGAGTTTGAGAACAGCCTGGCCAACATGGTGAAACCCCATCTCTACTAAAACTACAAAAATTAGTCGGGTGTGGTGGTGGGCACCTGTAATCCCAGCTACTCAGGAGGCTGAGGTAAGAGAATTGCTTGAACCCTGGAGGTGGAGGTTGCAGTGAGCCGAGATTGCACCACTGCACTCCAGTGTGGGCAAAAGAGCAAGAGAGGAAGACATCATCTCAAAAAAAAAAAAAAAAAAAGAAAGAAAGAAAGAAAGAAAGAAAGAAATTCATTGTAATGAATTGTAATTCAAATAATGACAAAAACCACGATTATTTTTGTACCAGCCTAATATAACCAGAAAAATCTGGGAATGGACCTAGTTTTAGGTAGAGCAGAATCTAAGGTTCAAATTATGCATTTGGAAGTGTCTCTCCTCCCTCCTCCCTTCTTCCCTCCTTCTCTCTCTCTCCTTCCCTTCCTCCCTCCCTTTTTTCTTCTCTCTGCTCTCTCTTTACCTGTCCTTCTCTTGGTTTGGCTTGTTTCTGCTTGGTTTCATTCTACAGGCAGGGCCTCTTCGCAAAGAGGGTTTTAAAATGGTGGCTGAACATTCTGAAAACATCATCTCAGTTTAGCTACCCCAGCAGAATGAGAACTTCTCTTCCCAACTCCCTAGATCAATCCTGGGGAAGACACTGATTGGCCTTGCTTGAATCATGTGCCCACACACAAACCAATCATTGTGGCCAGGGGGATAGGGTGACTGGCCAGTCTGGATCATGAATTCACCCTCTGGGGGCTATCCATGACAATTTGTCCTACTAGATAGGACCTCATGAGAATCTGGGGAAAACCAAAGAAGGAGGAAACAAGTTACTAGACTAACACTATAGCTACTACGGTCCACTACATATTCCAACCAGCTTAAAGGAAAGGGGGAATTTATCTTAAGGATACAGGAGTATCTTGTGGAATACGAGGGAAGGCATACAGCTGGGCCTTTGGAGAGAACTTGGAAGCTATCAGGACCCTGGCAGCTTCTTTCTGCCCAGATGCTTCATTCTCTCTCTCTGCAATCCTCCTTTTTCTGCTTCTTAGTGTACCCAGTGGGAAGAAAGTGGTGTCTCTACAACCTCCCGGTTTTGATCTTCTTCATTCAAGGGACCAGCCTAATTTAAATGTGCAAGGAAAGAAAGCTGATTGATCCAGCTTGAGTCAGATTTCCACCCCCTAATCAATTGTGTTCAGTGTGTGTGGGGGAAGGGGGCATACACCAGAAACAACATACCCAGAGGAGAAGGATCCAGTATGTGTCAGTTTTAATCTCCTGCAAGTGTAAAAGCTCCCTAGAATCATCCTAAGGATCATTTTATCCTAAGACCTTCATTTTGCAGATAAATGGAAGTCTCAAAAAGTTAAAGAGTTTGAGATCTCACCCATACAGACAGAGGCAAGATAATGACCTAGCTATAACTGGTGCCCAGGTCCCAGGATTTCCTTTCCAGCTCCTTCTACAACTCCATGTTTAGGCTTAATAATTTCCATGGCTCTTGTCTATAGAGAAAAGTACAAAGCAAGTATAATCACACAGAACACACCTATGCACACACATGCACACACGCACACACACACACACACACACCCCACTGGCCAACAGAAAACCTGCCTTTCTCCTTCATAGCCTTTGCTTCTGCTGTCCCTCTGTCTGAGTGGTCCTTCCACCTCTGACATCCAACCCTTGGCTTGGTTAATTCCTATACATCTTTTAAAGCTCAGCTCAGTTATGACTTGCTAAAAGAAGCTCTTCTGAAATCCCAAACTAGGTCAGCCCCCACCCTGTTTTGTGTTTTTCTAGTATTTCTGGATTTTCCTTCTTTTGTCATTAAGTTATCAAGAATGAAAATTTGTGTAATTTGTTCAGTAGATGCCTCCTCCTGGGTTGCAAGAGCTACAGGGCCAAGACTGTGTAGTATCCCTGTGTTGGGCACCATTCTTGCACATGGTAGGTGCTTTGTGAATATTTGTCAGGAAAACCAAAAAGAATGAAACATAAGAGAACAACAAGAAAAAGAATCTTTACCTTTACCCTTTCTCTTGGAGGAATATTTGACTTCTTATTCTTGTGAAATCTGGGAGATTAGGAAAAAAGCTTCTGAAATGAAGGTTATTTCAGAAGTAATTTTTATGGGAGAGCTTCCAGAATTCTTAGCCTCAGTAATGATAATGGCTAACATTTTGGAGCAGCTACCATCTGCCAGGCTTGGCAGTGCTAAGTGCATTGTCCCTTTTAATCCTCGCATGAACTCTTTGGAATAGGTACTATAGGTGCTGAGCCTGGCTCTTCAGAACAATAAGCATCCTGACAAATGACTGGTCCCTTGAAGACAGTACCAGGTCTTATTCTTTGCACTTGGCCGGAGACTAGCCAGATGCTGAGGTGTGCTCAGTAAATGGGGATCATGGCTGAGAGGCCCTTGCAGGAAGCTAGAACCTCACACACTTCCTCTGGTTCCAGAGCAGGGGTGTGTAGAATCTGTAGGGAGACACTGGTGGGTGTTTTCACAGGAGACTGTAGTGCCCAAGCAGCTTTAAAAGGGCTAAGGGAATTTTCTGGGATGCTCTACGCTTATGTGGGAGCTGACTTTGCTTTGGGCCAAAAATCTGTGGGTGGTGTTCAGATCTCCTTCTATGTTCTTGTAAATAAAAAACCTTTGAAATGCACAATCACACAAAAAGCACCATTTATTTGAACTTTTTGAATCTGTTCTTCCTAAGTGGGTACTTATGCTTGCCACCAGAAACTGATTGATTTCTTTCTAAAGCCCTTGGTATCTGTCTTAGTCTTTTATATGGCTGTAACCATACACAATACCATAAACTGAGTGTCTTATAAGCAATGGAAATTTCTTTTTCACAGTTCTGCAAGATGGAAGGTCCAAGATCAAGGCACTGGCAGATTTGGTGTCTGGTGAGGGCTCACTTCCTGGTTTTATAGATGGGGCCTTCTTGCTGTGTCCTCCTCACATGGTAGAAGGGGTCTGGGGTTCTCTAGGCACCCCCCAGTTTTTTTAAATAAGGATATTCACTAATCGTCTTCTGATGGCTCTGCCCCATGACATAATCATCTAAAGGCCCTACCTCCTAATACCACCACCATGGGAATCAGGTTTCAACATTGGAATTTTGAGGGGATGCAAACATTGAGGCCATAGCAGTATCTAATGTCTCACATGATCCTTGCAGGAGCAGCCTCCTGAAGTGAGGGTGGCAAGTATGTGACAGGGCACCCACAAAGGCAGACAAGGACTCTGAGAACCAACAGGACTTCTCTGGTCTTATTCTGAGGCTAAGACAAAAACCGCACCTGAGCCAGATCTCTCAGCCTGGCAGCTCCAGGACCCGTGGGCCCTGCCACTGGCCCATCTCAACGGCTAGGACCTAGAGCATCATCAAGCTGCAGGTTAAACAGGTTGGTTGGTTCTGATTTGACTGCACCTCTACAAGGACCTATGGCTGCACTTGTTGATACTTTCCCGAGGAGCCACAACACTGAGCAATGAGGGGAGGAGCATGTGTTAGTTCATTCATCAAGTCCTAAATGTTAACTACTATGTGCCAGGTGCTGAGCCAGGCACCAGAGATACCATGATGAACAAGACACATAAATCTTACCCTCATTGAGCTTACACCATGTGAAAGAGAAGTATGAAATAATTATACGTTATTTTTTTTTAGTTTTTGAGATGGAGTTTCACTTTTGTCCCCCAGGCTGGAGTGCGGTGGTGTGACCTCAGCTCACTGCAACCTCTGCCTCCCAGGTTCAAGCGATTCTCCTGCCTCAGCCTCCCAAGTAGCTGGGATTACAGGCACCTGCCACCATGCCTGGCTAAATTTTGTATTTTTAGTAGAGACGGGCTTTCACCATGTTGGTCAGGCTAGTCTTGAACTCCTGGCCTCAGGTGATCCTCCCACCTTGGCCTCCCAAAGTGCTGGGATTGCAGGCGTGAGCCACGGCACCTCACAAATTACACATTATTCAACTGTAACTGTGAAAGTGATTCTAAGGAAAAAGTACAGAGAGCTGTGGGAAAACATAATAGGAAATCTTTGTCATTCTGTCACTATTGTCTATTAGGCTGTCACTGTTGTCATTGTCACCCCTACCCTCTCGCAGAGAGTGGTTCCCATTTGCCAGAGCTCATTTATTGTCCTGAAGGTCTGTGAAAAGATGACAAAGTCGTGTTGCCTTCTTTCCACTTTCCCAAGTCTCACGTGAGCACCCCTAACTGGCAGAATCAATTCACACCCACAAGCCTAGCTGCAAGGGGACCTGGGAAATGTATTCCCAGCTTTCCAACCTCTCCACCCAGGAGATGAAACAGCCAATTTAGGCCAGGTGCAATGGCTTACACATGTAAAACCAGCACTATGGGAGGCTGAGGAGGGAAGATTACTTGAGCCCAGGAGTTTGAGACCAGCCTGGACAACAGGGCGAGACCATCATCTCTACAAAAAATACAAAAAAAATTAGCTAGGCGTGGTGTCCTGTGCCTGTGGTCCCAGCTCCTCAGGAGGCTGAGGCAGGAGGATCGCTTGAGATCGAGGCTGCAGTGAGCCGTGATCGCGCCACTGCACTCCAGTCTGGGTGACAGCGAGACCCTATCTCAAAAAAGAAAAAAAAAAGAAAGAGCCAATTTAAGTATCCAGCGCACACAGGGCAAGCCCAAATCTGTATGTTTTCTATAATCTGTTTTTTAAATGGGGGTATAATTTTCATATAAACATGCACAGATTTTAAGCATACAGTTTGACAAGTTTTGCAAATGCTCACGTAAATATATCCCAGTCAAGATACAGAACATTTCCATCATGCTAGCAAGTTCCTTCCTGCCTCTTTCTGGTTAGTCTCTCCTGTCTCCTGCTCAGAGGCGATGTTCTGATTCTACCAATTTGTTTTGTCTGATGATCACGAGTCAGTATTGCCTCTTCTAGGACTTTAAATAAATAAAACCATACAATATATCACCTTTTGTGTCTGACTCCTTTTGCTCAAACTACTAAGTCAGCCATGCTATTACATGTATCAATAGTTCAGTCCTTAGCCGGGCATGGTGGTGCACACCTGTGGTCCCAGCTACTTGGGAGGCTGAGGCAGGAGTATCACTTGAACCCAGGAGGCGGAGGCTGCAGTGAGCTGAGATGGGGCCACTGCACTCCAGCCTGGGTGATAGAGTGAGACTTGGTCTCATGAAAAAAAAAAAAATCAGTCCTTTTTTTAATGCTGAGTTGTATTCCATTGTATGAATATATCATATCCTCTCACCAGTTGATGAATGTTCATATCATTTCCAGTTTGGAGCTATTATAAAAATAACTGCTTAAGTCTGTATTTTTTAAACAAACATCCAGCTAATTCTGATGCAGGTGGACCACATGTTGAGAAACACTGCTCTAACACAGAGAATTGAAGCTTATTGCCCAAAGCCACATAACCAAGAAGGCTTTGACGCCAGAGCGTGGATTCAAGAGCCCATGCTTTTCCTACTTGGACAGTAGATGTCAGAAGGAGGGCCTTGAAGATAAGACATATGTTTCAGTTGTCAATTGAAGCATAACAAAATAACCAAACTTTGGTTTCAACATCAATGATTTCTTAAGATTCTGTCGTCCTGGCCGGGTGATTCTGTGGCAGGCCAGGTCTCACTAACAACTCTTTCAGTACTGACTGAGTGGTTAAGTTAAATATTAAAAGCCAGTGCCCTTATACGAAGGCTGGGATGTAACAAAAGCCCAGCAAGAGTTTTGCCTAGGCCTTTTCTGGGCCTTAAGGCGTGACAAAATAACAAAGGAATTCTTAACAGGACCCGTTTGGGATTAAACAAGTTTTATTGTGGGTCTGAAGAAACTCCCCAGATCTCCACAAACAAGTTTACTGGAGGCCTGAAGGAACTCCCCAAACCTCCATGATTTAGCAGGAGACAAGATAAGGGTAATCACCCCAGCACCTGGACCCATTTAGATTAAGTAAATGTACTGAGGCTCCAGAGGAAGGTTTTCAGGACTCAGATCATAGTTGTAGATTAAAAGAAGTTAATCACTTATGTCTTTAGATGAATGCGCACTTACACATAGACATATAGTTTAGAAGGTATATAAGCTCTGGAAAACTTTGTAATTTTGAGTTGGTCTGGAAATAATTTCCAGGCCTTCTCTCTGTAACTGGTTACAGAAGTAAAAGCTCTCTTCTTCCCCAGTTCATCTGCATCTCATTATTGGGCCATGAGAAATAGCAGCCCAACCCTCAGATTGGTCCAGGAACTGTTCTTTTTTTAGTCTTACCTGGGCTGTCTCATGTCACTACGTTCAGCAGCCAGGTCCACTGGATGCTGGGTGAAGCTGGGATGGCCGGGGCAGCAGGACCTTTCTTTCCATGATCTTTCATTCTTAAGGAGTCTAGACCAGCCTTCCCTTCATGGCAGTGGCAGTATTCCAAGAAAAAGCTGCAAAGCACAAGTGCTTTTCAAGCCTCCACTTGTGTCACGTTTGCTAACGCCTCCCTGCCAAAACAAGGCACATGGCCAAGCTCAGCTTCAATGTGGGAAGCAACTATCCTAGGGAATGGCATGATTCATTTGGTGCAGGATTCATTTGGAGCCATTAATGTAACAATCTACCATTGCTAGTAAGTTTATGTTTCAGAGGCAATAGGTAACTGGAGAGGGCAGAGCTAGGGAGAGCCAGGGAATTAAGAGGATTAGAGAAAATTTTGGTGGAGCCAGAAAAGGTCAAAAGGGTCTATGTTACCCCTAGTCATCTTTGAAGGAAGGACGTGTTCCCTCTAGTCATCTTTGTGGCCCCCACAGCACTACAGGGGTTTTACATATGGTAGGACCTCAGGAAGTCTTTGCGAAGTTGAATCAAAGTATCAATGATAAGTTGGGGGAGTTTAGGACCTAGAGGAAGGATGGCTAAATGATAACACACTGAAAGGAGCAAGACCCCTTAAAGCGTAGAAGGGTAAGTGCTAACAGAAGAAAAAATTAAAACTGAAATGAAGAGAGACAGATGGGATATAAAATGTAAACAAATGTTTGCTTCACAATTAAACTACGTGCCCACTCTTTCACCAATGTTTGTTTGCTAGATGCTATGCAAGGGACTAGAGCTGTGTTTCTCAAAATGTAGGTCATTAGAACAATGTGGAATACTTAGGTAGAGGGTTAGAAATGGCTGGTGGAGGTGTCCAGTGGATGGGCCTGAGACAGTGCCCCTGGCTCCATTGTCTTCTTATAACCTGTAGAGAGATCCTAGAAGTCATTGCCTGCCCCAGTCAGAGGCAACAGATATGGTCAGTGCTCTAATCATCTCATCTTGCCCTTAGCACTTCAGTGCAGGACAGAATATCGGACTGCCAACCCCTGAATGTTCTCCCTAGGGGCTTTCTCTGGCTACTCCTGCTATAGAGGGAGCAGTCCTCAATCAAAGACTGACAGGAGTTGGTGGAGATTTTAAAACCAAGCCAATTATCCATTATAAATCTGGAAGCAAAGAGTGTTCATTATCCTGCTTAGTCAAATACCAGTTCTGCTGAAAAATGCAAAAGGCTAGAGTCTTGCTCATTAAGGACCAAGTCTTTCCTTGTATTTCTGTAGCTGCCTGATAGATGGGCTCCTGACTTCAATCTTGTTTCCCTTCAACCTATTTTCTGCACTTCTGAGTGACCTTAGAAATGCAAATACATTCATTAAGCTTTGAGGATGGAGATGTTTCATATTCTCCATTGGATCTTCAGTACCTGGTAAGCACTCAGTAAATATTTATTGACTGGGTATTATAGGAGACTCCCAACTCATGAACATGTTATATCCTAACATTTCTCGTCTAAGGAGGTGATTTTGAATTTAGAATACATTTGACCATCACAATGATAGGTGGTTTTTAGCTTGACAGGCTAGCTTACAAAAACCAAGTTCAAGCCAGGTACGGTGCCTCACACCTGTAATCCCAGCACTTTGGGAGGCCGAGGTGGGAGGATCACCTGAGATTGGGAGTTCAAGACCAGCCTGGTCAACATAGTGAGACCCTGTCTCTACTAAAAATACAAAAATTAGCTGGGCATGGTAACGCATGCCTATAATCCCAGCTACTACTCGGAGGCTGAGGTGGGAGAATCGCTTGAACTTGGGTGGCGGAGGTTGCATTGAGCCGAGATCACGCCACAGCACTCCAGCCTGTGCAACAGAGAGAGACTCCGTCTCAAAAAACAAAAAAGTTCACCCATGATGCAGCCTAATCCAATCCCAGCTTTCTTGGTAGTCATGAGCAGGAGACCATAACGGGAGGGAGGGATGAAGAAGAAAAGGAAAAACAAAGCCTTTGGGAATTGGATCATTTGTTAACATCTTTCTGTTTTACACTTCTGTTTTTGCACCTCTACGTGCTCTATGAGTACCTTCTCTGCTCCTCTTCCCTACCATGCCTCATCTCCCACTGGAGCAAGCCTCCAACCCCACTCCAGGGTCCTCTTACCTTTCCCCTCTGCCAATCACAACTCCTATTCCCTGACTACAAATAATTTCAAGGATTAAGAGGAAGGTGGTCTGATTGAGCAACTTTACTCTCCACATGGATGTCTAACGGCTATTTAATCTTCCTAGAGATGCTTCCAGTTTTCCAAATTAGTTTAGATTACATGAATCTCTAATTAGTGGAATTTACTGTAACAAGATAAAATGGAAAAAAAGGTGATGAGAGATATTTTGGGGCAAGTACTCTCACTGATTCTGACTTTTTTTCAGATTCTCCCCCTAGGATTAATAATCTAGATTATTCTGGATTTTTATAACTTTTTGGGTCTTTTAAAGATCCCTCCCTGCTTCTTTTTTTCCCACAACTACCGCCATAAGCCTGGTTGAGAAGGGGCTATCTGAGTGAGCACAGCCATAGGCGCAGGCCTACAGAGTGGGCCCTTCATTGACTTTCCCGATTTGCCTCAGCAAGTGTGCACCTTTAACCTGACCCTGCCTTTGGTGACACTTGAACCAAGCCCAACACCAAAATGTGGTCAGCACTCAAAAAACAAGAACCAGGAAAATTTAAGGGATTTTCTCACTGGACAGTCTGGGGATTTCCATTCCAACATTTGTATTCTCTTTAATTATATGTTATTCAAATGGACTTCAATTCATCTACCACAAAGAACTCTAGCCAGGGGATTTCTGCTTTTGTAGCTGTAGGAAAGAAATTAGATTAGAAAAGATTAAAGCGATCCTTGCCCAAGGTCACACAGCTAGTTAGAAGAGAGCTCATCTCCTGGTTCCAAATCCTATGTTCTTTTGATAAAAACGTAATGCTTCGTATTATTTAAAATATAAGGTTTGGCCAAATAAGTTGAAGATTAGCTTTTCCCTCTTGAGTCAGAGGAAAATAATAAATCTATTTCTGCAGTATTCTTCTATTGGCCTGAGCTAGCATTTCTGAAAGTATGTTGTTCCACTGAATACTATTTTTAAAATCAGCCAGGCACAGTGGCTCATTCCTGTAATCCTAGCACTTTGGGAAGCCAAGGTGGGAGGATCAGTTGAGTCCAGGAGTCTGAGACCAGCCTGGTCAACATAAGGTGACCCCTGTTGCTAAAAAAAAAAAAAAAAAAAATTAGCCAGGTGTGGGGCCATGTGCCTGTAGTCTCAGCTACTCAGGAGGCTAAGGAGGTGGAGGCTGCAGTGAGCCATAATCATGTCCTGCACTCCAGCCTGGGCCACAGAGTTAGACCTCATCTTTTAAAGAAAATGAAGAAAAACAATTTCAACCGCAAAAGTCTACTCTCTGCCATCTTGGAGACTTACAGTGCACATTAACATAGTAAAGTTTCCAGGAAGTCCTGCAACAATAAAATAATAAAGTTTGTTGAACTCGGCAATCTCCAAACTTATTTGGTCAAGAGTTATCTCCCTTCCTCCTTCCCTCCCTCCCTCTCTTCCTTCCCTCTCTCCTTTTCATGAAACATCATTACCAACTAATACACTTTGGGAAATATTGCATTAAGGTTAACAAAATTGAACATCAATCTATAGTAGGCCAACAATTTTCTTGTAAGATTAAGAACTTTCTAATTGTTTTAGCTGTGTTCTCTACTATAGACATTATTACTAAATGTTAATATTAAGGTATATTTAGTCAATTTGTATCTTTGGGAAGGCTTTGATTTAACTTAGATCACCCATATGACCTTCTTTCATGGGTGATCTAAGTTAAATCAAAGCAGTGAAAGCATCATTATGCTTTGGTGTGTGGGGAGCAGGTATACAGATCTCAGTTGCATACAAGGGAAACCAGCAGGTGGGATGTATTTATCTTGCTTTATAGTAAATCCAAAAATTCAGTAGTTGAATTCCTCCAACTTTAAATCAACACTCTTTAGAAAAATAGAATCAAGGGACACTACGATGTATTATTCACAATGTTCGCAAAGAATTCAAAATTTCTAGGCATACAAATCAATGGAAAAATGTGATTTCATACTCAAGAAAATAGAGAATCAATGCAGACCAACATTACGATGACTCAGATGTTGGATTTAACAGAAAAGATTGTAAAGACAAAGGTTTCAGCAAATAAAGATTTTATAAGTATTATAACAATTCATGGAGGTAAACATATATATACATGCTCATCATAAAAGAACAAATAGGAAATCTCAGCAGAAAAGTAGAGATTATAAAATAGAACAAGATGGAGATTTAAGAACCAAAACATATAGTATCTTAAATAAAAATTTACTGGAGATCATAATAGGAGAATAGGGATGGCAGAACATGGCTGGGTGTGGTGGTTCATGCTTGTAATCTCAGCACTTTCAGAGGCTGAGACGGGCAGATCGTTTGAGCCCAGGAGATGAAGGCTGCAGTGAGCTATGATTGTGTCACTGAACTCTAGCCTGGGTGACAGAGCAAGACCCTGTCTCTTAAAAAAATAAATAAAATAAAATAAAATAAAATAAAAAGGAACACAGTCACAGGAACCAGCGCAGCAATATCAAAAGGTCTAACATATGTGTAATTGAAGTTCCAGGACAGTAAAGAGAAAATGGGACATAAAATTTATTTAAAGAAATAAGTGGACAAAGTGTTTCCCAATTTGCTAAAAGACATTTATTTACAGATTCAAGAAGAACCTTAATCAGGGGAAATACAAAGAAAACCATGTCTAGATACATCATAGTCAAACTTATGAAAATGAAAAATAAAGAAAAAATATTGAAAGCATCCAGAGGAAAATAACGCATGACATATAAGCAAAAAATGATTCAAATGACTGTGAACATCTCATCAGAAACTGTGGGGGCCAATGACATTTTCACGGTGTTGAAAGAAAAAACAACTGTCATCCAAGATGAAGATTTAATACATATGACAATGATATTATTAAGGATAAGGGGGAGGTGAGTAAACATATCAACCTGTAAGAGTCATACATTTTATATAAAGTAGTGTGATGTTAACTCTAAATAGAGTTAAGAGAATTTCAGGACGTATATTCCTGAGCAATCACTAGGAAATGTTGCAAAGAGGAATAGGTAAAATGCCAATAGCTGAATTGAAAATCCTAAAAACTATTCAATTAACTAAAAAGACAGCAAGAATGGAGGAAAAGAGGTATGACAAATAGGGCAAACAGAAAATCAATAGTAATATTCATACAATGGAATGCTACTTAGCAATAAAAGGAAAGAGCAACTGATCCATGCACCCACAGGAATGACTGTTAAGAACATTATGCTGAATGGAGAAAGCCAGACACAAGAGGGTAAATACTGTGATTTCATTTTTTATGAAATTTTAGAACGGGCAAAACCAATCTATAGTGAAAAATCATCACAACAGCGGTTGCCTCTTGGGTGTTGAGGAGTGAGTTTATTGGGAAAAGACTGTCATAAAAGAGTTTTCTAAGGTAATGGTCATGTTCTATATTACAATAGGAATTTGGGTTACACAAGTGTATGCATTTGCCAAACTCATCAAATTGGACACTTAAGTTATATACATTTCATTGTATGTACATTTTACCTCAAAAAAGGAGCTATAAACAAATATTAGACTCTAAGTTGAGGATATGCATGCTGAAATGTTTAGGGGTGAAATGTATGCATTTTTGCAACTTACTCTGAAATCCATCAATAAATAAGAATGATTGATACGTGATGTGATAAAGCAAATACAATAAAAAATTAATTATACGGTCTAGATTTTGGGCAGATGAATGTAAACTGTACAATTCTTTGAACTTTTCTGTTTTCTTGAACTTTTTTTAATAATAAAATGTTGGGAAAAATTAACAGACCCCAAACTGAACTCATTATCACTTCCTACTCCCTTTAAGTCTACTCTTATGCTACTATTATTTGTTTCATTAAACAGCACCAGATTTTACCTAGTTGTACAAGTCACAAACTTGACACTTGTTCTTTGTTGCTCTTTCCCTCATTCTTCAGATGCAAATTATCACCAAATATTGTAGATCGCTTTTCCTACACATTTTTTTAGTCAGTGCACTTCTTCCATCATAGCTACCAATCTAGTCCATGCCATCATCATCTGTCACATTGACTACTGTATGAGCTTCCTAATGTGGCTTTCATCATCCACTATGGCCCCTTTCTGTTCCTTGTTAGAATAATCTTTTAAAAATGCAAATATGTTATTTCATTCCTGCTTAAAATTATTCTAGGCTATCCCATTGCCATTAGGATAAATCTCCAAATCCTTCATGTGGCTTAGGAGACAGTTGTCTATCTCTTGCCTGTCAGCTTCATTTAAACCCATTCTGTACTTCATTATCTCAGCCCCAGCTCTGTTGGACTAATTTGAATCCGGCTATGTCTGACATACATGCTGTTTCCTCTGCCTGGAATATTCTTCCCCTTCAATTTTCTCTTTCTGGCAAATCCTTCCTCATTCTTCGTGTTTCAATTTAAATGAATCATCCTAGGAAGCTTAGATTCTCTTCCTATGGTATGAAGTACTCTTTCATAGCACTTATTACATCACCATTATTCACTATATTCCCAGAACTTAGCACAGTAGGCTGGCACATGATATACGCTCCAGAGATATTTGTGCTATGGGTGGTTGAATGGGAGACGGTATATCATTATACAGTGTTGACTTAGATGATTAGTTTGGGAAAATGAGAGCATGTTTTCATACACTTGTGGGGATATGCATCAGTATGTTTTGGATTGTGAACATCAGACACCAGAATCAAACTGGTAAACAATGAGGTTCATATGGGGAGATGTCTAGCAGCAGGGTAGACTTCAGGTACAGTATGATCAGGGCTTTCACTCCATTCCTCCTCAATTGTCTTGGCTCTTCCCTTCTCATATGTTTTGTTTATTGTCATGCTGGTTTCCCTCGTGGTTTCAAGATGAATGCCAGCAGCAACTGCAGCTTCTTTTCACATATTTCAGGTAAGAGACCCTTGTTTCTCATTAGTCTCTCTTAAAGCCAAGAAAGAACTTTCCTAAAAGTCTTCAGCAGCCATCTCCTTGTGTCTCATTGGCTGCCATTAAATCATATACTAATTCCTGAACCAATCACTGGTTGGCTTATGCTAATCAGCCCGCCTCTGGGATCAGCTTCCTTCAACTGAAGATGCTGCATGAAGAAAGGGTAGATACCTGAACAAAACTGAGGTTCTGTTAGTAAGGATGAAGGGGAGAATGGATTCTGGAAAGACAACCAGCAATATCCACCTCTGTGTATTATTTTCCAACGGTAGCTGCTGAGAAATTGCCTTGCTTTTTTCTTCTAGATACTTGATACTTTGCTTTGGTAACTGAGATCATATTTGACTCTGCATTGACAGTTGAAAAAGATAAATTTGTGGCCCATTCATAGAAACTGCACAGAACCCTGTGGTAAATGTTTTTAGATTAGCTTCATTTCTGCCTCCTATTTATACTCCTACTCATTTTTCTTTTGCATCTTTTTAAAAATTTAATTTTTTTCTCTATAATTCAATTTAATTACTCAAAAAAGTTTTTATTATTCAGAAGATTTTTAATAGTACCCAGAATTTCATAACATAGTATTCAAAGTGTTGAGGATACAATAGAAAATTACCTAATGTATTAAAAAAATTAACAACCCTCAAAGAAATGTTCATGGTACTTTGTGTAAATGATTTTACTTGACTCAGAACACACATAATTGAATACTTTAGGACTTTGATATACTAAAATCTACATCATCCAATAATGCTTATTGAATGCCTAGTCTGCCAAGAATTGCATATGTTTCATTCAGATTTATCATCATTTTCCTTGTAAGTTTTCACTTTTTCAAGTTGTTACTCTTTTTGAAGGCTGGTACATACTTTCTTAAGCTTCTGCCTTTGCCTCATAGAGAACATCTGACACAGAATGGCAATTCTAAGCTTATTAAGCTTGTCAGTGTTCAGGATATAGAAGTCTGTTGTTAAATTCTTAGCAGGATACTGTACAAAAAGGAGGGCCTCAATCCTGACTGATCAAGTGTGCTAGTTGCTTATATCTTTTGGAGGAACATTTCCTGAATTACATTTTGTGCTGTTGAAGTCAGCATTACTTAACTTACTACTTTAGCATGGTGTTCCTTCCTGATCCCCTTCCCTCCTCCTCAAACTCCACCAAAATAGGTACATACAGTTACTTAGTGTATGTCAGGCTCCTGTAGTCCCTTCAGTCTATCAGAAACTTCTTGCTCTAAACACAGATTGGTTTTCTCTTCTTTGCCTTGGTCACTGGTGCTCTTTTACAAGGCAGAGGGCATAATGTCCCTGACCTCATTTCTTTTTCTTTCTTTGTTTTTAAAGTTACACTTTAAGTTCTGGGGTACATGGGCAGAATGTGCAGGTTTGTTACATAGGTATACACATGCCTGGTTTGCTGCACCCATCAACCTGTCATATACATTAGGTATTTCTCCTAATACTATCCCTCCCCTAGTCCCCCACCCCACAACAGACCCCATTGTGTGATGTTCCCCTCCCTGTGTCTATGTGTTCTCATTGTTCAACTCCCACTTATGAGTGAGAACATGCAGTGTTTGGTTTTCTGTTCTTGTGTTAGTTTGCTGAGAATGATGGTTTCCAGCTGCATCCATGTCCCTGCAAAGGACATGAACTCATCCTTTTTATGGCTGCATAGTATTCCACAGTGTATATGTGCTACATTTTCTTTATCCAGTCTATCATTGATGGGTATTTGGGTTGGTTCCAAGTCTTTGCTATTGTGAACAGTGCCACAATAAATATACATGTGCATGTGTTTTTATAGTAGAATCATTGGTAATCCTTTGGGTATATACCCAGTAAGGGGATTGCTGGGTCAAATAGTATTTCTGGTTCTAGATCCATGAGGAATCACCACACTGTCTTCCGCAATGGTTGAACTAATTTACACTCCCACCAACAGTGTAAAACCATTCCTATTTCTCCACATCCACTCGAGCATCTGTTGTTTCCTGACTTTTTAATGGTCGCCATTCTAACTGGCGTGAGATGGTATCTCATTGTGGTTTTGATTTGCATTTCTCTAATGACCAGTGATGATTAGCTTTTTTATTCATATGTTTGTTGACTGCATAAATGTCTTCTTTTGAGAAGTATCTGTTCATATCCTTTGCCCACTTTTTGATGGGGTTGTTTTTTTCTTGTAAATTTGTTTAAGTTCTTTGAAGATTCTGGATATTAGCCCTTTGTCAGATGGATAGATTGCAAAAATTTTCTCCCATTTGTAGGTTGCCTGTTCACTCTGATGATAGTTTCTTTAGCTGTGCAGAAGCTCTTTAGTTTAATAAGATCCCATTTGTCAATTTTGGCTTTTGTTGCCATTGCTTTTGGTGTTTTAGTCATGAAGTCTTTGCCCATGCCTATGTCCTGAATGATATTGCCTAGGTTTTCTTCTAGGGTTTTTATAGTTTTTGGTCTTATGTTTAAGTCTTTAATCCATCTTGAGTTAAGTTTTGTATAAGGTGTAAGGAAGGGGTCCAGTTTCAGTTTTCTGCATATGGCTAGCCAGTTTTCCCCATATGGCTAGCCAGTTTTCCCAACACCATTTATTAAATAGGGAATCCTTTCCCCATTGCTTGTTTTTGTCAGGTTTGTCAAAGATCAGATGGTTGTAGATGTGTGGTGTTATTTCTGGGGCCTCTGGTCTGTTCCATTGGTCTCTATATATGTTTTGGTACCAGTACCATGCTGTTTTTGTTACTGCAGCCTTGTAGTATAGTTTGAAGTCAGGTAACAGCTTTGTGCTTTTTGCATAGGATGGTCTTGGCTATGTGGGCTCTTTTTTGGTTCCATATGAAATTTAAAGTAGATTTTTCCAATTCTCTGAAGAATGTAAAAGATAGCTTGATGGAGATAACATTGAATCTATAAATTACTTTGGGGAGTATGGCCATTTTCACAATATTGATTCTTCCTATCCATGAGCATGGAATGTTTTTCCATTTGCTTGTGTCTTGAGCAGTGGTTTATAATTCTCCTTGAAAAGGTCCTTCACATCCCTTGTAAGTTGGATTCCTAGGTATTTAATTCTCTTTGTAGCAATTGTGAATGGAAGTTCACTCATGATTTGGCTCTCTGTTTGTCTGTTATTGGTGTATAGGAATGCTTGTGAATTTTGCACATTGATTTTGTATCCTGAGACTTTGCTGAAGTTGCTCATCAGCTTAAGGAGATTTTGGGCGGAGACGATGGAGTTTTCTAAATATACAATCATGTCATCTGCAAACAGAGATAATTTGACTTCCTCCCTTCCTGTTTGAATACCCTTTATTTCTTTCTTTTGTCTGATTGTCCTGGCCAGAATTTCCAACACTATGTTGAATAGGAGTGGTGAGAGAGGGCATCCTTGTCTTGTGCGGGTTTTCAAAGGGAATGCTTCCAGTTTTTGCCCATTCAGTATAATATTTGCTGTGGGTTTGTCATAAGTAGGTCTTATTATTTTGAGATACATTCCATCAATACCTAGTTTATTGAGCGTTTTTAGCAGGAAGAGATGTTGAATTTTATCAAAGGCCTTTTCTGCATCTATTGAGATAATCACGTGTTTTTTGTCATTGTTTCTGTTTATGTGATGGATTATGTTTATTGATTTGTGTATGTTGAACTAGCCTTGCATCCCTTGGATGAAGCTGACTTAATTGTGGTGGATAAGCTTTTTGATGTGCTGCTGGATTCAGTTTGCCAGTATTTTATTGTGGATTTCTGCATCAATGTTCATCAGAGATATTGGCCTAAAATTCTCTTTTTTTGTTGTGCCTCTGCCAGGTTTTGGTATCAGGATGATGCTGGCCTCATAAAATGAGTTAGGGAGGATTCCCTCGTTTTCTATTGTTTGGAATAGTTTCAGAAGGGATGGTACCAGCTCCTCTTTGTACCTCTGGTAGAATTCAGCTGTGAATCCGTCTGGTCCTGGACTTTTTTTGGTTGGTAGGCTATTAATTACTGCATCAATTTCAGAACTTGTTGTTGGTCCATTAAGGGATTCAACTTCTTCCTGGTTGAGACTTGGGAGGGTGTATGTGTCCAGGAATTTATACATTTCTTTTAGATTTTCTAGTTTATTTGTGTAGAGTTGTTTATAGTATTCTCTGATGGTAGTTTGTATCTCTGTGGGATTGGTGATGATATCCCCTTTATCATTTTTTATTGCGTATATTTGATTTTTCTCTCTTCTTTCATTAATGTGGCTGGTGTTCTATCTATTTTGTTGGTCTTTTCAAAAAAACAGCTCCTGGATTCACTGATTTTTTTAAGGCTTTTTCATGTCTCTGTCTCCTTCAGTTCTGCTCTGTTCTCAGTTTTTTCTTGTCTTCTGCTAGCTTTTGAATTTGTTTGCTCTTGCTTTTCTAGTTCTTTGAATTGTGATGTTAGGGTGTCAGTTTTAGATCTTTCCCACTTTCTCTTGTGGGCATTTACTGCTATAAATTTCCCTCTACACACTGCTTTAAATGTGTCCCAGAGATTCTGGTACATTGTGTCTTTGTTGTCATTGGTTTCAAAGAACTTATTTATTTCTGCCTTAATTTCATTATTTACCTAGTAGTCATTCAGGAACAGGTTGTTCAGTTTCCATGTAGTTGTGCGGTTTTGAGTGCGTTTCTTAATCTTGAGTTCTAATTTGATTGCACTGTGGTCTGAGAGACTGTTATGATTTCCATTCTTTTGCATTTGCTGAGGAGTGTTTTACTTCCAATTATGTGGTCAATTTTAGAATAAGTGCGATGTGGTGCTGAGAAGAATGTATATTCTGAAGATTTGGATGATTTGGGGTGGAGAGTTCTGTAGATGTCTATTAGGTCCACTTGGTCCAGAGCTGAGTTCAAGTTCTGAACATCCTTGTTAATTTTCTGTCTTGATGATCTGTCTAATATTGACAGTGGGGTGTTAAAGTCTCCCTACTATTGTGTGGGAGTCTAAGTCTCTTTGTAGGTCTCTGAGGACTTGCTTTATGAATCTGGGTGCTCCTGTATTGGGTGCATATATATTCAGGATAGTTAGCTCTTCTTGTTGAATTGATCCCTTTACCATTATATAATGGCCTTCTTTGTCTCTTTTGATCTTTGTTGGTTTAAAGTCTGTTTTATCAGAGACTAGGATTGCAATTCCTACTTTTTCTTTGCTTTCCATTTGCTTGGTAAATATTCCTCCATTCATTTATTTTGAGTCTATGTGTGTCTTTGCACATGAGATGGGTCTCCTGAATACAGCACACTGATGGGTCTTGACTCTTTATCCAATTTGCCAGTCTGTGTCTTTTAATTGGGGATTTTAGCCCATTTACACTTAAGGTTAATATTGTTATGTGTGAATTTGATCGTGTCATTATTATGCCAGCTGGTTATTTTGTGCATTAGTTGATGCAGTTTCTTCATAGTGTCAATGGTCTTTACAATTTGGTGTGTTTTTGCAGTGGCTTGTCCTTGTTGTTTCTTTCCATGTTTAGTGCTTCCTTCAGGAGCTCTTGTAAGGCAGGCCTGGTGGTGACAAAATCTCTCAGGATTTGCTTGTCTGTAAAGGATTTTATTTCTCCTTCACGTATGAAGCTTAGTTTGGCTGGATATGAAATTCTGGGTTGAAAATTCTTTTCTTTAAGGATGTTGAATATTGGCCCCCCCTCTCTTCTGGCTTGTAGGGTTTCTGCAGAGAGATTCACTGTTAGTCTGATGGGCTTCCCTTTGTGGGTAACCCGACTTTTCCCTCTGGCTGCACTTATCATTTTCGCCTTCATTTCAACCTTGGCGAATCTGACAATTATGTGTCTTGGGGTTGCTCTTCTCAAGGAGTATCTTTATGGTGTTCTCTGTATTTCCTGAATTTGAATGTTGGCCTGTCTTGCTAGTTTAGGGAAGATCTCCTGGATAATATCCTGAAGAGTGTTTTCTAACTTGGTTCCATTCTCCCCAACACTTTCAGGTACACCAATCAAACATAGATTTGGTCTTTTCACATAGTCCCATATTTCTTGGAGGCTTTGTTCGTTCCTTTTCATTCTTTTTTCTCTACTCTTGTCTTCTCACTTTATTTCATTAAGTTGATCTTCAATCTCTAATATCCTTTCTTCCACTCGATTGATTTGGTTATTGATACTTGTGTATGCTTCACAAAGTTCTCATGCTGTGTTTTTCAGCTCCATCAGGTCATTTGTGTTCTTCTCTAAACTGGTTATTCTAGTTAGCAATTCATCTAACCTTTTTTCAAGGTTCTTAACTTCCTTGCATTGGGTTAGAACATGCTCCTTTAGCTCGGAGGAGTTTGTAATTAATCACCTTCTGAAGCTTACTTCTGTCAATTTGTCAAACTCATTCTCCGTCCAGTTTTCTTCCCTTTCTGGTGAGGAGTTGTGATCCTTTGGAGGAGAAGATGCATTCTGGTTTTTGGAATTTTCAGCCTTTTTGCACTGGTTTCTCCCCATCTTTGTGGATTTATCTACCTTTGGTCTTTGATGTTGGTGACCTTCGGATAGGGTCTCTGAGTGGATGTCCTTTTTGTTGATGTTGATGCTATTCCTTTCTGTTTGTTAGTTTTCCTTCGAATATTCAGGCCACTCTGCTGCAGGTCTGCTGGAGTTTGCTGGAGGTCCACTCCAGACCCTGTTTGCCTGGGTATCACCAGCAGAGGCTGCAGAACGGCAAAAATTGCTGCCTGTTCTTTCCTCTGGAAGCTTCATCCCAGAGGGGCATCCACCAGATTCCAGCCGGTGCTCTCCTGTATGTGGTGTCTGTCAGCCCCCACTGGGAGGTGTCTCCCAGTCAGGAGACACAGGGGTCAAGGTCCCACTTGAGGAAGCAGGCTGTCCCTTATCAGAGCTCGAACGCTGTGCTGGGAGATCCGCTGCTCTCCTCAGAGCCATCAGGCAGGGATGTTTAAGTCTGCTGACGCTGTGCCCACTGCTCCCCCTTCCCCCAGACACTCTGTCCTAGGGAAATGGGCATTTTATCTAGAAGCCCCTGACTGGGGCTGCTGCTTTTTTTTCAGAGATGCCCTGCCCAGAGAGGAGGAATCTAGAAAGGCAGTCTGGCTAAAGCGACTTTGCTGAGCTGCGGAGGGCTCTGCCCAGTTTGAACTTCCTGGCAGCTTTGTTTACACTGTGAGGGTGAAACTGCCTACTCAAGCCTCAGTAATGCCGGATGCCCCTCCCCGCACCAAGCTTGAGCACCCCAGGTCAACTGCAGACTGCTGTGCTGGCAGTGAGAATTTCAAGCCAGTGGATCTTAGCTTGCTGGGCTCCATGGGGCTGGGATCTGCTGAGCTAGACCACTTGGCTACCTGGCTTCAGCCCTCTTTCCAGGGGAGTGAACGATTTTGTCTCACTGACTTTCCAGGCACCACTGGGGTATGGAAAAAACCTCCTGCAGCTAGCTTGGTGTCTGCCCAAATGGCCGCCCAGTTTTGTGCTTGAAACCCAGGGCCCTGGTGGCGTAGGCACCAAAGAGAATCTCCTGGTCTGCGGATTGCGAAGACTGTGGGAAAAGCATAGTATCTGGGCCAAAGTGCACCGTTCCTCATGACACAGTCCCGCACGGCTTCCCTTGGCTAGGGGAGGGAGTTCCCAACCCTTTGTGCTTCCTGGGTGAGGTGATGTCCCTCCCTGCTTTGGCTTGCCCTCCGTGGGATGCACCCCCTGTCTAATCAGTCCCAATGAGATGAACTGGTTACCTCAGTTGGAAATGCTGAAATCACCCGCCTTCTGCGTTGATCTCACTGGGAGCTGCAGACCAGAGCTGTTCCTAGTTGGCCATCTTGCCAGTAATCCAAAAAATTTAATTTTTAATTTGTTCTCTATTATGTATTTTTGTTAAACTATATTAATTTAAAAAATAAAGTAGGCATAACCAAATAAAAAGCAAACATTTTGTTTGTGATAGGTTTCTCCCCCTCTTCATTATATTGCTTCATCCTTAAATATCTAGAAGTACGGATTGCTTACAGCTCCTTCCTGCCAGCAATAGATAGGAGTTAGTTGGTACAACCAGCCTGTTATTATTTTTCTTATTTTATTTTCATAGAATATTCCTTTTGGAATATTCTTCTTTAATATTTTGAGAAGATAAAATCAGTTTTTATTATTTTTGATGACAGAAACCAACGTGAACCAAGAAAATCCAATAATTTCACAGCCTTTTGAGAAAAAGCATCCATTATAGAAATTATTTATTATTTATTTTTTATTTTTTGAGATGGAGTCTCACTCTGCCACCCAGGCTAGAGGGCAGTGGTATGGTCTCGGCTCACTGCAACCTCCGCCTCCCGGGTTCAAGCAATTCTCTTGCCTCAGCTTCCCAAGTATTTGGGATTACAGACACATGCCACCACGCCTGGCTAATTTTTTGTATTTTTTCAGTGGACACGGGGTTTCACCATGTTGGCCAGGCTGGTCTCAAACTCCTGATCTCAGATGATCCACCTGCCTCGGCCTCCCAAAGTGTTGGGATTACAGGCGTGCCTGGCCAGAAATTATTTTTAAAAAGATAAAATTGAACTGGCCCCTACTTAGGAAAGTACTGCCCTGTTCTTATCCTTGCTGGGCATTGTGTTTTGTTGTTTAAAGTATTATGCCCCAAAATCATTTGGAAAAAAAAGTTAGATCCCTTTCTTTTTCCATATACTCAAATAAATTCTAAGTAGGTAAAAGATTGAAATGTAAAATGTAAGATCATAAAAGAAAATTTGAGTGAATATGTAATCTTAGGGAGAGAAAAAACTTTCATGGCATGATACCAAAGGTAGAAATCATGCAAGGAAACACTGATTACAAATATTAGTTAACATCTATTGAGGGGTTACTCTGTGCTGGGCCACGTATTGAGGACATGTACTATCTCATTTTGTTCTCACATCAAGCCTATGAAGTAGGTGTTATTATCACTGTTTTATGGTGCAAAAAATGAGGCACAGGGAAGTTGATTACCTTACTAAGGTCACACTGGCGGGAAGTGACTGAGTTAATATTTGGATCTCATTAGTCTGACTCCAAATCTTGGAAACATAATGGGATATGATACAAAATAGTGTTTATTGTGTATGCCTGCCATTTCTTCACCATAGGGGTGTTGAAAAAGCCAGAGGAGTTATCGTAGGTACAAGTGCTTGGTGAACTGTGAAAGATTACCTAGTGTTAGAGAGCAGGTCACCTCACTGCTTGTCAGGGTAGAACAAGGGACAGCAGCCAACATCTGGGTCTCCACATCTGCCTAGCAGCCTCCTCAGCTTCTTCATCTGGCTGCTTTCAGTCCCTCTCATTTACTTATTTATTTATGGAAATTTATTTTTATTTTCAGAAACAGGTTCTGGCTCTGTCACCTAGGCTAGAGTGCAGTGGTGCAATTATGGCTCACTGCAGCCTCCAACTCCTGCGCTCAAGTCATCCTCCCACCTTAGCCTCCTGAGTAGCTGGGACTACAGGCACATGCCACCAGGCTTGGCTAATTTTAATACTTTTTGTAGAGACAGGGTTTTGCTATGTTGCCCAGACTGGTCTCAAACTCCTGGGCTCAAGCAATCTTGCTGCCTCAACCTCCCAGAGTGCTGGGATTACAGGCACGAGCCACCGCTCCTGGCCAGTCCCTCTCATTTAAACAATTGTCCCTCATTTGTCTGCATGGAACCACCTCAGCTAATCCAGGTGCCTCCCTAATCCTGCCAAAAAACCTGGAAAAGGGTCTGCTTCTTATTCTCTGGGAACAAAAGGGCATAGATTTTGCATTTGAAAGATGAAAGAAAATTGAATCCAGACATGAATAGTAGCTCTCAATCACTTGGCAGTTAGCCATTTTTTCTTTCTTTCCTGCTTTTTTTCCAGGTGATAGACAAATATGCTTAACCCTCACAGCTTGCATAGAGTTGGGTACAGAGACAGACTGTTAGAAAATTGCTAATTTAAGCCAAATTTTAGTTTAAAATTTACGGGAAGGAAATATTTGTAAAGACCCTATTGCTATTGCCAAAGAGTTTGTGGAATATCACATTTGGTGATGTAATGCTGGAAACCATTCACTCCTCTAATGTTTCATTCATAGTAATTCTCCAAAGTGTTTGTTTTGGCTTATTACTACTATTTAGGTTGGTGCAAAAGGAATTGTGGTTTTTGCCATTACTTTAAAACCACAATTCATTTTGCACCAACCTAATAAAAATGTGAAAGAAAAATAAACCTTGCCCATTTCTAAAGGCATTTGTAAATACAAACTACTGTCACTGACAAACCTTGGCATGGTAAAGACACATAATTTCCAAATCTGCTACATTCCAGTGGGTAAATGAATAATCAGGAGTTATGAGTGGCTCCCCAGTGGGAAGAAAATTTTTGGGATTACTGACCACAAAAAGAAAAATTTCAAAATTTCCAGTATTTGTTACTTTAGGTTGCTTTCCATCTCTGGGAAATCTACTCTTACCAGAACTAGAGACCGTTTCCAAGGAAAAAAGGAGAAAAAAAGAAGATGCCACTTTGAAAGACATCGTTGCTTCATCCTTCAAATAGCCACATGGGGAATATGCAGCAATTTCCTTATTAACAGGTGTTCAAAGCATCTTGTGTTTCTCAACACCCAGACTGGAACTCTCCTGGGAACTAGACTGAAAAACTTACCACCCAACTATAGTTTGCTCAAGTGGGCCCCAAGGAAAAGTTGCCAAATTCAGGAATCAGTGAATCTCAGGGGTGTTTCTGAATTCTAAACCCTGAGGCCAAATGGATAAGTATTGGAGTCCTAAGTTATTTATTTTCTTATTCTTTATACAATTTTGTAGGTGATTTCATAATATGAGGGGATTATTTAATGACTCTACTGTACATTTCTTGGAAGAAATACTCTATTAATATTTAGGATATTGTTGGGTGTTGGGTGAAGACTCATTACTTAATGACACCGAGTAAATTAAGAAAAAGTGTGCCATTCACATAATTAACAGCAGAGACATAATGTAATACTCATTTGAAAAAAACCTTTAATTTGAATAATTGCTTGAAAAGACCTAACTGAACACTAGATTACTACTGTGACCTGGAAAATGGAGAGAAATATGTTGGTTTTCATACTCTAAGACCCACATGCCATTTCTGAATGATCACGTATTTTAATAGCTTGACTGTAAGTAAGTGTCATTCTAAATCATCAGAGATCATTGGCCAATTCCAGAGGTTCCTTGAATATGTTTAACTTCTAGGCTTTTGAAGGGGAAGCTGTTGGGTTTATTTATTTCATTAAAAAATATTTATTCTATTTCCTCATTAAAAAGTAATACATGTTCACTGAAGAGCGTTGGAGAGAAACACTGAAAAACAAAGGGAAAAAATATAAGGATTATGTATAATTCTTAGAGACAACTCATATCAACATTTTGGTGTTAAGAATTTGCTTTCCAGTCAGTTTTTTCCTTTTTAATTGTTTTAAAAATTACACAAGAAATATTTTCTCATTATAAAAAAATTGAGACAATATAGAACAAAATGTAGAAGTCACCCTATTATGGTCTAAATTGTACCTCCCTAAAATTCATGTGTTGAAACCCTAAGCTCCAGTTCCTCAGAATGTGATTATTTGGAGATAGGGGCTTTAACAAGGAGACGAAGTTTAAATGAGGGCTTTAGGGTAGACCCAATCTGATGTCCTTATAAGAAGAGAAAATGTGGCCTGGGCCTATAATCCCAGCACTTTGGGAGGCTAAGGTGGGCGAATCACCTGAGGTCAGGAGTTTGCAACCAGCCTGGCCAACATGGCGAAGCCCCGTCTCTACTAAAAATACAAAAATTAGCCAGGTGTGGTAGCGGACACCTGTAGTCCCAGCTACTCGGGAGGCTGAGGCAGGACAATTGGTTGAACCCAGGAGGTGGAGGTTGCAGTGAGCCAAGATCATGTCACTGCACTCCAGCCTGGACCACAGAGTGAGACTCCATCTCAAAAAAAGAAGAAAAGAAAAGAAAAGAAAAATTAAAAAACCAAGAAGAGAAAATGTGGACTCACAATGGAAAATGTTGCCTATGCACTCACACAGGGAAGGCCATATGAGGACAGAGCAAGGTGGCCACCCTGCAAGCCCAGAAGAAAGGCATCAGAAGAAACCAAGTCAACTGACACTTTCATCTTGGGCATCTAGCCTCCAGCCTGAGAAAATAAATTTCTGTTGTTTAAGCCACCCAGTGTGTGTATTTTGTTATGGTAGTCTTGACCCTTTATTCCACTGTTCTCTCAAGAGGTAACCATGACCCGCACTGATCTTCCAGACTGACTTCTTATGTTTTTGCACACACAGAGTCATCTACAGGAAGTTTCTTTGATTATACAGGTGAGACCATATTCTAAATATGACTCTGTGACTTGCTTTTTTCATTTAACAGTATATCATAGATAGCTTTCCACATCCATATCTATAGAAAACTACCCACCACATGCCTACTGAAGACTGCTTAATTTTGCATTGTATGAATGTACCATGATTTATTTTAACCGTTCCATTATTGAGCATTTAGATTGATTTAAATGTTTTATTTTATCATTAATGCTGTAATAAACATCTTTGTACATTTGTGGTTGGGCTCGTGTGCTAACGTATCTGTAAGAATGATCCTAGAAATGAAATTTCTGGATCAAAAAGCATATGCATTTAAAATTTGAAAGTAATTGTCAAATTGCCTTCCATAAAGGCTTAATTTCCAATCCTACTGATATATACAAGAGTCTCTGTGTCCCCATTCGGCCATTCAGGTTTTATTTTTTTTTCTTTCTTATTTATAGGTATAAGCATACGTGTATATAGGTAGGTAGATAAATAGATTCTTAAAAATAACATTAGAATTCTACTCTGCATATTTTTTTTGAAATATTGTTTGAGAACTTTAATCATAGTCTTTTCCCCATGAAAAGAAAACTTTGTCCTCATTTTCAGTCTTTCTGTTTAGAATCATTCTTTAGAGGAATCGTTTGCCTATATTAACCACTGTATTGTCAATTGTGATACTTGTGAATTTAGACCAACCTGAACATAGTTCTGAAGGTTTTGTCTCCTGGATGGAGGGAAAAATCAGAATGCTCTTTTTCTGGAAATGAGTGAGCAAATGCTTTGAAATGTGTGCTAAGGTGCCTTGCTGAGTGAACTTTCAGTTTTCTTTCGGAACCAGTTAAAATTATTAAAATAGTATTCAAACCCAGTAGGCTAACTAAATGCTTGTTAAATTGCATTGCAGTATGTCTGTAGTTACACCAGAATGAGTCCTAATAGGATTTTTTTTCTGCATGGATCTGAGAGAATTTCACCGTATTGGGGGGTGGGAATGATCTCTATGAAGTAAGAACAGGCTTTGGTGGGGTTAATGCCTCCTTTTTACCTTCCTATTTGGAATACTATTTTATAAAATTACAGGAAAAAATGATCAGAAAATAAAGTTAAGTGAGAGTGGTTGTTCCTTACTTATTAATATGTGTGGAAAATTTAATCTGAACTCAATCTAACCAATATTTGTTATGTCTTACCATGTGGAAGATACCGTCTAATACATTGTGAGCAATAGAAAGAAGGCATCATGGTGGCTGCCTGATAATTGTTCATGCTTTAGTTCAGCAATGACCAAACCTGGCATCAGAAGCAACTGAGAAGCAGTTTTAAAATAGATTTCATGGGCGGGTGCAGTGGTTCACGCCTGTGATCCCAGCACTTTGGGAGGCCGAGGCGGGCGGATCACCTGAGTTCAGTTCGAGACAAGCCTGGTCAACATGGTGAAACCCCATCTCTACTAAAAATACAAAAAAAATTAGCCAGGCGTGGTGGCAGGTGCCTGTAATCCCAGCTACTTGGGAGACTGAGGCAGGAGAATCGCCTGTACCTGGGAGGCGGAGGTTGCAGTGAGCAGAGATCGCACCATTGCACTCCAGCCTGGGCAACAAGAGTGAAAGTCCGTCTCACAAAAAAAATATATATATATTTTATGAAATATATATATTTATATTAAATATTATATGTGTTTTATATATTATCAGTATATATTATTATATTTTATGAAATATATATTTCATAAATATATATATTTCATACAACCATGGTTGAAAACCATTTAGGTCTAAGAGCGTCTGCCCTGAATATTTTTGAAATTTTTACTACAAATACATAAGTAACTGCTTAGACAACGTCTCCGGAATAAATTACAAAATTAGACATATAAAATAAAAACTATCATTCCAACATCTCTGCTTTTTTTCTCTCTTTTTTTTCTGAGACAAAGTCTCGCTCTGTCGCCCACGCTGGAGTGCTGCGGGGCAATCTGGGCTCAGTACGGTGCAATCTGGGCTTACTGCAACCTCCATCTCCTGGGTTCAAACGATTCTCCTGCCTCAGCCTCCTGAATATCTGGGATTACAGGCACGCACCACCATGCCTGGCTAATTTTTCTATTTTTTATTGTATTTTATTTTATTTTTTTTTTGAGACGGAGTCTCGCTCTGTCGCCCAGGCTGGAGTGCAGTGGTGCAATCTCCCCTCACTGCAAGCTCCGCCTCCCGGGTTCCCGCCATTCTCCTGCCTCAGCCTCCCGAGTAGCTGGGACTACAGGCGCCCGCCACTGCCCCCGGCTAATTTTTTGTATTTTTAGTAGAGATGGGGTTTCACCGTGGTCTCGATCTCCTGACCTCGTGATCCACCTGCTTCGGCCTCCCAAAGTGCTGGGATTACAGGCTTGAGCCACCGCGCCAGGCCTAATTTTTGTATTTTTGGTAGAGATGGGGTTTCACCATGTTGGCCAGGCTGGTCTCGAACTCTTGAGCTCAAGTAATCTGCCTCCCAAAGTGCTGGGATTATAGGCGTGAGCCACTGCACCTGGCCCAGTTTTAATCTGGTGGTTAAATTGGGAATTAAGTCTTAAATGTTAGTGTTGCTTAGCCCACACCCCCTTCCCCTACGCCTTCCTTCATCTTTCCTCTCTTTGATTTCAGGCCACAGGAGAACAGAATGGGAGAAAAAGCTGGAGTGAGTCTGTCTACCTCCTTCCTTCTTTTTCAAACATAGCTCCCTGATGAGTGCTATTTGCTGAGTACCTAGGCATTGTACCAACAGAATCTTATTTCATCCACACAGCAACTCTCTGGGAGCTGCTATTATTGTCCTCATTTTCCTGATGAGAACACTGAGGCACAGCTTATAAGCAGGGATCCTGATTTCAACTTAGCTCTGTTTAATTCTCAAATGTTCATTCTTTCCACACATGGGATGCACTCGGTAAATATCTGATCAGTTCTGACTTTTTCATTCCCACACCACAGAGCACAGGGTCACGTTAGACACAAAACCACAGCCTCTTCAAGCCCCTCTGGCCTTGTGCCTAGGTTTAATGGAAGAGAAGGGAGGAGGATCTCCTAGTTTTAGGAGAGAAGGAAGGAAGAAGGGGAGGAAAACAGAAGAAAATAAAAGCCAAATAGAAATGAGGCCAAGGAAAGAGAAAGGTATTTGGGAGAATTTATGGGGAATGGAAAAGAAAAAATTAAATTCAAGTCCTGGAAAAAATCAGGAATGCCCTCCATACTTTAGCTGCATGATATGGGGGATATTTCCTAGTCTTTTCATGATAAGTTCCCCAAATGCTGAATTCTCTACTCTAGAATTCTTACCACTTTTAAATGTAAAGTGTTCAGATAATGAGAATTTATCCATGGAAAGAAATGAGTAAGAAAGACTTATATGACTTATCTCCGTTAGCTTTTCTGACCCCTGATTCTTCCCTTCTGCTTTAACTCTTTTTTCTCTCTGTCCCTTACCTTCATGCTGTATTCAAATTGATAATCACTGTGTACCTACTGCACCCAAGATGTTGTAGGGTTGGAATACAAAGAGGAAGTTTCTTATCTCATAGAGAAAATAAGATACACAAATAATTATGATACAAAGAATAATGGTACAATTGATTATCATCAGGCATCACTCCCTATCAAAGAGAGTAAAAATCTAAGAAGCTAATTTACAATGAGGTTCTGTTGACAAAGTGTGGCAGGTGGGAATGATATATTGGTGGTGATGGTGAGATAGAGGTTTTTATGCCTCCATTTTGAATATTAATTTTCATAAAACACATATTTCTGTATAATTTGTTATTGTGGGCATTCCTGAGTCCTGAGAATTGATGTCATTTTATTTTATTTTATTTTATTTTGAGACAGTCTCACTCTCTGTTGCCCAGGCTGGAGTGCAGTGGTGTGATCTTGGCTCACTGCAACCTCTGACCCCTAGGTTCAAACGATACTTGTGCCTCAGCCTTCTGAGTAGCTGGGATTACAGGCGTGAGCCACCACACCCAGCTAAATTTTTTTGTGTGTTTTTAGTAGAGATGGGGTTTCACCATGTTGATCAGGCTGGTCTGTCTTGAACTCTTGACCTTAAATGATCTGCCCGCCTCGGCCTCCCAAAGTGCTGGGTTACAGGCATAAGCCACCGCACCTGGCCTGATGTGATTTTATATTATTATTGGTTATTGCTCATATAGGGAAACTATTGATTTCTGCATTGTCTGTCTTGAATCTTGCCATGTCATTAAATTACTTTATCTGTGCAAACGGGTTTTTAATTTTTGTAAGATTTTTAAAAATTAGATTTTTGCAAATAGTAACAGATTTACAGATTTTTCTTCCAGGGTATTTATCTTTACTTTTCTTGTCTTACATTGACTGTGTACAATGTTGAAAGATAGTGGTGAGAGAATACACATACTTCTTTTGTTTCTCTAACAGAAATGCTTCACCATTAAACGGATGGTTGTTTTAGTTTTCTGATTCTCTTTACCAAATTAAGAAAGTGTCATTTTCTTTAGAGCTTACTGAAGACACTAAAAAAAAATATGTATGGGGCCAGGCGCGGCGGCTAAAGCCTGTAATCCCAGCACTTTGGGAGGCCTAAGCAGGCAGATCTCTTGAGGTCAGGCGTTCGAGATCAGTCTGGCCAACATGGTGAAACCCCGTCTCTACTAAAAATACAAAAATTAGCTGGGCATGGTGGTGCGCGCCTGTAATCCCAGCTACTCAGGAGGCTGAGGCAGGAGAATCGCTTGAACCTGGGGAGTGGAGGCTGCAGTGAGCCAAGATCACACCACTGCACTCCAGCCTGGGCGACAAAGTTAGATCCTGTCTCGAAAAAAAAAAAGTGTGGCTGTTGCATTTTTTAAAAATATGCTGGAAACTGTTGAAGTGATGATATGATTTTCCTTCCTTAGTCTGTTAATGTGGTGAATTATGGTAAAATACACTAATAATATGTTAGGATGTATTTTACTTGGTTACGTTGTATTCTTCTTTTAATACTTTATTGAATTCAATTTGCTAATATCTTATTAAGGATTTTTATGTCTATATTCATAGGTGAGATTTGTCTACAATTTCCTCTCCCCATTGCCCCATTACTGTTTTATCTAGCTCTGGAAAGAGAGCAATACTAGTTTTGTTAACTAGCATGCTCTTTCTCTTTTTCTGTGAGCTGGAACAATTTAAATGACTCTGGAATGATCTGTCCTTTGTAAGTTTGATAGAACAGTTTGAGACTGGTACCTTTTAGGGGTGGAAGATAGATAACATTTTCAATTTAATTTGTAGTTAGTGGCATATTCAGATTTTCTAACTCTTCTTTAATCAATTTTGATAAATCACATTTTTGCTGTAGTAGACATCAGTAATTTTTGCCTGTGTAACAACATCATGTCCCTTAGGAAACTGCCCCTACATTCACAGTGATCCCATGATGGCTGCCACCCAAGGTGATCTGTTGCCTACTTAATTATAGGGATGGAGAAGACAAGATCCGAGGAGGGATAATCAGAATCTTTTCTTGGATTGATATATAGATATCAGAGGGGAAATGTTTCATTTTTCTATTTTGGTTCTTAAACTAGTAAGATGTGAGTTTGTGGCTATAGATGGCTGTGTTTCCCGGACACATGTAGAAAACCTGTCTGAGCTGAGCCAAGAGATGTAGTGGGAAAGAGTGAGAGAATTCTTAAGACACTGATACACTGGACCCAGCCAGGTATGGAGTGAGCACAGCCCTCTGGGCTTCTCAGGTTTTTGAGTCAATGTGTCATTTTTTTTTGCTTCATCTAATTTGAATTGAGTACTTGTTATTTGCATCCAAATCAGTACTAATAAATTTCTTAAATTTTCCAATTTATGTGTAGAAATAATATAGAAAACTCTTTTACAATTTAAAAAATATCTTCTGTAATTGCAGTTAAATCTCCTCTCTTGTTCCTAATATAGTATTATTTGGGAAAACATTTAAACATAGTTTTATTTGGGAAAATAATACTATATTAGGAATAAGAGAGGATATTTCTCTCTTATTCTCTTTCTCTGTTGCTTGATCATAGTTAACCATCCTTTTTGGTTCTTTAAGAACATGGATTTGTTAATCAAGACTTCAGTGATTTTGTAGGTATTTTGTTTTCTTCATTTGGGTTTCTTTTTCCTTCTATCTATTTTTATATGACTTTTCAATTTCATATAGTTTAACCATTTTTATTTTATTTTTGGAGACAGAGTCTCGCTCTGTCACCCACGCTGGAGTGCAGTGGTGCGATCTCGGCTCACTGCAACCTCCTCCTCCTGGGTTCAAGCAACTCTCCTGCCTCAGCCTCTCGAGTAGCTGGGACTACAGGCACACGCCACCACGCCCGGCTAATTTTTTGTATTTTAGTAGAGATGGGGTTTCACCATGTTGCCCAGGCTGGTCTCAAACTCCTGAGCTCAGGCGATCCGCCTGCCTTAGCTTCCCAAAGTGCTAGAATTACAGGCTTGAGCCACCGTGGCTGGCCTCCATTTTTATTTTTATATTACTTTATAGATAAGCATTTTTTAAAATTTTGTGTTTAGTTTATTTCAAAATTTATTATTTCCTAAAACGTACATTCAAGGCTGTAAGTTTTAATGTTCCTCTGCATTCTTTATCCATATTGCAGAACTTCTGAGGCATAATGCTCTTATGTTATTTATTTCTAAATTATTTGTAATTTCTCCTTGCATTTTCTCTTTGGCCCAAAAGTTATTTAGAAGGATATTTTAGGATGTCTAACTCTATAGATTTAAAACATTTAAACATTTTTTGAATAATTTTGTTTTTAGAACAGTTTTAGATTTACAGAAAAATTACAGTGATAGTACAGAGATCCAATATAGCCTACACCTAGTTTTTCTTATACACATCTTACATTACTATGGTACATTGGTTACAATTGGGTTTTTTGGGAGAGTGGGTTTTTGGGATAATGGTAAAGTGCCATTTTCATCACATCATATCAAGGATGTGTACTATTAACACAACTTATCACTGTTGATGTGAATCTTGACCACCTGACTGAGGTAATGTGTCAGATTTCTTCACTATAAAGTTACTCTTTTTTCTCTCCTTTTCGTGCTGTACTCTTTGTGATTTTCTGTTTGTTTGTTGTTGTTTCTTAGATACGGAGTCTTGCTGTCTTACCCAGGCTGGAGTGCAGCAGTTTGTTCATAGCTCACTTCAGCCTGGAACTCCTGGGCTTAAGAGATCCTCCCACCTCAGCCTCTCAAGTAGCTCGGACTACGGGTGTGCACCACCATGCCTAACTTTAAAAAGTTTTTTCTTTTTTGTAGAGATGGGGTCTCACTATGTTGCTCAGGCCGGTCTCAATTTCCTGGCCTCAGGTGATCCTCCTGCCTCCCAAAGTGTTGGGATTACAGGCATGAGCCACCATGCCCAGCCCATATTGTAGTCTTTGGAAGGAAGTCACTCTGCACAGCCCATATTTAAGGAGTGGAGAATTATGATCCACCTCCTTGAGAGCAGAATTTCTAAGTAATTTATTTGGACTTTTGTGAGGGATATCTGTCCCTTCTCATTCATTTATTTATTCAGTGCTTTATTTATCATTGTGAACTTATGGATATTTATTTTCTATACTACTGCATATATTTGTTGCTTAATTTGTTCTAGTTTTGTCCATCTGAATCTCTTTCTGCTGCTTCCTATGACCCTTTGACATAGTCTCTGTCATGGTAGGCCTCTTTTCTTTGTGTTTTGAGCACTTCCTTACTTTCTGGCATGAGAAGATGCTTCAGGTTCAACTTGTGTATTTCTTATTACAGTCCTAGAATCAGTCACTTTTTAAAGGAGCAGTACTTCCCTTTTATTGGAGAGTGGCGTTGAAAACCAACACCTGAGTGCTATCCCAACACTTCAAATGGCTTAATACAACAATAGATCTTTATTATTCATTATTATTATTATTTTTCTCTGTCTCTCTCTCTCTCTATATATATATAAATATATGTATATTTTTTAATTTTATTATTATTATACTTTAAGTTTTAGGGTACATGTGCACAACGTGCAGGTTTGTTACACATGTATACATGTGCCATGTTGGTGTGCTGCACCCATTAAGTCGTCATTTAGCATTAGGTATATCTCCTAATGCTATCCCTCCCCGCTCCCCCCACCCCACAACAAGCCCCAGTGTGTGATGTTCCCCTTCCTGTGTCCATGTGTTCTCATTGTTCAATTCCCACCTATGAGTGAGAACATGCGGTGTTTGGGTTTTTGTCCTCGCGATAGTTTGCTAAGAATGATGGTTTCCAGCTTCATCCATGTCCCTACAAAGGACATGAACTCATCGTTTTTTATGGCTGCATAGTATTCCATGGTGTATATGTGCCACATTTTCTTAATCCAGTCTATCATTGTTCGACATTTGGGTTGGTTCCAAGTCTTTGCTGTTGTGAATAGTGCCACAATAAACACATGTGCATGTGTCTTTATAGCAGCATGATTTATAATCCTTTGGGTATATACCCAGTATTGGGATGGCTGGGTCAAATGGTATTTCTAGTTCTAGATCCCTGAGGAATCGCCACACTGATTTCCACAATGGTAGCACTAGTTTACAGTCCCACCAGCAGTGTAAAAGTGTTCTTATTTCTCCACATCCTCTCCAACACCTGTTGTTTCCTGACTTTTTAATGATCTCCATTCTAACTGGTGTGAGATGGTATCTCATTGTGGTTTTGATTTGCATTTCTCTGATGGCCAGTGATGGTGACCACTTTTTCATGTGTTTTTTGCCTGCATAAATGTCTTCTTTTGAGAAGTGTCTGTTCATATCCTTTGCCCACTTTTTGATGTGGTTGTTTGTTTTTTTCTTGTAAATTTGTTTGAGTTCATTGTAGATTCTGGATATTAGCCCTTTGTCAGATGAGTAGGTTGCAAAAATGTTCTCCCATTCTGTAGGTTGCCTGTTCACTCTGATGGTAGTTTCTTTTGCTGTGCAGAAGCTCTTTAGTTTAATTAGATCCCATTTGTCAATTTTGGCTTTTGTTGCCATTGCTTTTGGTGTTTTAGACATGAAGTCCTTGCCCATGCCTATGTCCTGAATGGTATTGCCTAGGTTTTCTTCTAGGGTTTTTATGGTTTTAGGTCTAACCTGTAAGTCTTTAATCCATCTTGATTTAATTTTTGTATAAGGTGTAAGGAAGGGATCCAGTTTCAGCTTTATACATATGGCTAGCCAGTTTTCCCAGCACCATTTATTAAATAGGGAATCCTTTCCCCATTTCTTGTTTTTGTCAGGTTTGTCAAAGATCAGATAGTTGTAGATGTGTCGCATTATTTCTGAGTGCTCTGTTCTGTTCCATTGGTCTATATCTCTGTTCTGGCACCAGTACCATGGTGTTTTGGTTACTGTAGCCTTGTAGTATAGTTTGAAGTCAGGTAGCGTGATGCCTCCAGCTTTGTTCTTTTGGCTTAGGATTGACTTGGCAATGCCGGCTCTTTTTTGGTTCCATATGAACTTTAAAGTAGCTTTTTCCAATTCTGTGAAGAAAGTCATTGGTAGCTTGATGGGGATGGCATTGAATCTATCAATGAACTTGGGCAGTATGGCCATTTTCACAATATTGATTCTTCCTACCCATGAGCATGGAATGTTCTTCCATTTGTTTGTATCCTCTTTTATTTCATTGAGCAGTGGTTTGTAGTTCTTGAAGAGGTCCTTCACATCCCTTGTAAGTTGGATTCCTAGGTATTTTATTCTCTTTGAAGCAATTGTGAATGGGAGTTCACTCATTATTTGGCTCTCTGTTTGTCTGTTATTGGTGTATAAGAATGCTTGTGATTTTTGCACATTGACTTTGTATCCTGAGACTTTGCTGAAGTTGCTTATCAGCTTAAGGAGATTTTGGGCTGAGACGATGGGGTTTTCCAGATATACAATCATGTCATCTGCAAACAGGGACAATTTGACTTCCTCTTTTCCTAATTGAATGCCCTTTATTTCCTTCTCCTGCCTGATTGCCCTGGCCAGAACTTCCAACACTATGTTGAATAGGAGTGGTGAGAGAGGGCATCCCTGTCTTGTGCCAGTTTTCAAAGGGAATGCTTCCAGTTTTTGCCCATTCAGAATGATATTGGCTGTGGGTTTGTCATAGATAGCTCTTATTATTTTGAGATACGTCCCATCAATACCTAATTTATTGAGAGTTTTTAGCATGAAGGGCTGTTGAATTTTGTCAAAGGCCTTTTCTACATCTATTGAGATAATCATGTGGTTTTTGTCTTTGGTTCTGTTTATATGCTGGATTACATTTATTGATTTGCATATATTGAACCAGCTTTGCATCCCAGGGATGAAGCCCACTTGATCATGGTGGATAAGCTTTTTGATGTGCTGCTGGATTTGGTTTGCCAGTATTTTATTGATGATTTTTACATCAATGTTCATCAAGGATATTGGTCTAAAATTCTCTTTTTTGGTTGTGTCTCTGCCAGGCTTTGGTATCAGAATGATGCTGGCCTCATAAAATGAGTTAGGGAGGATTCCCTCTTTTTCTATGATTGGAATAGTTTCAGAAGGAATGGTACCAGCTCCTCCTTGTACTTCTGGTAGAATTCGGCTGTGAATCCATCTGGTCCTGGACTTTTTTTGGTTGGTAAGCTATTCAGAGCATGTTATTGGTCTATTCAGAGATTCAACTTCTTCCTGGTTTAGTCTTGGAGGGTGTATGTGTCAAGGAATTTATCCAGTTCTTCTAGATTTTCTAGTTTATTTGTATAGAGGTGTTTATAGTATTCTCTGGTAGTTTGTATTTCTGTGGAATCGGTGGTGATATCTCCTTTGTCATTTTTTATTGCGTCTATTTGATTCTTCTCTCTTTTCTTCTTTATTAGTCTTGCTAGAGGTCTATCAATTTTGTTGATCTTTTCAAAAAACCAGCTCCTGGATTCATTGATTTTTTGAAGGTTTTTTTGTGTCTCTATTTCCTTCAGTTCTGCTCTGATCTTAGTTATTTCTTGCCTTCTGCTAGCTTTTGAATGTGTTTGCTCTTGCTTCTCTAGTTTTTTAATTGTGATGTTAGGGTGTCAATTTTAGATCTTTCCTGCTTTCTCTTGTGGGCATTTAGTGGTATAAATTTCCCTCTACACACTGCTGTGAATGTGTCCCAGAGATTCTGGTATGTTGTGTCTTTGTTCTCATTGGTTTCAAAGAACATCTTTATTTCTGGCTTCATTTCGTTATGTACCCAGTAGTCATTCAGGAGCAGGTTGTTCAGTTTCCATGTAGTTGAGTGATTTTGAGTGAGTTTCTTAATCCTGAGCTCTAGTTTGTTTGCACTGTGGTCTGAGAGACAGTTTGTTATAATTTCTGTTCTTTTACATTTGCTGAGGAGTGCTTTCCTTGCAACTATGTGGTCAATTTTGGAATAGGTGTGGTGTGGTGCTGAAAAGAATGTATATTCTGTTGATTTGGGGTGGAGAGTTCTGTAGATGTCTATTAGGTCTGCGTGGTCCAGAGCTGAGTTCAATTCCTGGATATCCTTGTTAACTTTCTGTCTTGATGATCTGTCTAATATTGACAGTGGGGTGTTAAAGTCTCCCTACTATTGTGTGGGAGTCTAAGTCTCTTTGTAGGTCTCTGAGGACTTGCTTTATGAATCTGGGTGCTCCTGTATTGGGTGCATATATATTTAGGATAGTTAGCTCTTCTTGTTGAATTGATCCCTTTACCATTATGTAATGGCCTTCTTTGTCTCTTTTGATCTTTGTTGGTTTAAAGTCTGTTTTATCTGAGACTAGGATGGCAACCCCTGCCTATTTTTGTTTTCCATTTGCTTGGTAGATCTTTCTCCATCCCTTTATTTTGAGACTATGTGTGGCTCTGCACGTGAGATGGGTTTCCTGAATATAGCACACTGATAGGTCTTGACTCTTTATCCAATTTGCCAGTGTGTGTCTTTTAATTTTAGCATTTAGCCCATTTACATTTAAGGTTAATATTGTTATGTGTGAATTTGATCCTGTCATTATGATGTTAGCTGGTTATTTTGCTCATTAGTTGATGCAGTTTCTTCCTAGCCTGGATGGTCTTTACAGTTTGGCATGTTTTTGCAGTGGCTGGTACCGGTTGTTCCTTTCCATGTTTAGTGCTTCCTTCAGGAGCTCTTTTAGGGCAGGCCTGGTGGTGACAAAATCTCTCAGCATTTGCTTGTCTGTAAAGGATTTTATTTCTCCTTCACTTATGAAGCTTAGTTTGGCTGGATATTAAATTCTGGGTTGAAAATTCTTTCCTTTAAGAATGTTGAATATTGGCCCCCACTCTCTTCTGGCTTGTAGAGTTTCTGCCGAGAGATCAGCTGTTAGTCTGATGGGCTTCCCTTTGTGGGTAACCCGACCTTTCTCTCTGGCTGCCCTTAACATTTTTTCCTTCATTTCAACTTTGGTGAATCTGACAATCTTGTGTCTTGGAGTTGCTCTTGTTGAGGAATATCTTTGTGGCGTTCTCTGTATTTCCTGAATTTGAATGTTGGCCTGCCTTGCTAGAGTGGGGAAGTTCTCCTGGATAATATCCTGCAGAGTGTTTTCCAGCTTGGTTCCATTCTCCCCGTCACTTTCAGGTACACCAATCAGACATAGATTTGGTCTTTTCACATAGTCCCATATTTCTTGGAGGCTTTGTTCGTTTCTTTTTATTCTTTTTTGTCTAAACGTCTTTCTCACTTCATTTCATTCATTTCATCTTCCATCACTGATACCCTTTCTTCCAGTTGATCGAATTGGCTACTGAGGATTCTGCATTCATCATGTAGTTCTCATGCCGTGGTTTTCACCTCCATCAGGACCTTTAAGGACTTCTCTGCCTTGGTTATTCTAGTCAGCCATTCGTCTAATTTTTTTTTCAACGTTCTTAACTTCTTTGCCATGGGTTCGAACTTCCTCCTTTAGCTCGGAGTAGTTTGATCTTCTGAAGCCTTCTCTCAACTCGTCAAAGTCATTCTCCATCCAGCTTTGTTCCGTTGCTGGTGAGGAGCTGCGTTACTTTGGAGGATGAGAGGTGCTCTGATTTTTAGAGTTTCTGGTTTTTCTGTTCTGTTTTTTCCCCATCTTTGTGGTTTTATCTACCTTTGGTCTTTGATGATGGTGACATATAGATGGGTTTTTGGTGTGGATGTCCTTTCTGTTTGTTAGTTTTCCTTCTACCAGTCAGGACCCTCAGCTGCAGGTCTGTTGGAGTTTGCTGGAGGTCCACTCCAGACCCTGTTTGCCTGGGTATCAGCAGCGGTGGCTGCAGAACAGCGGATATCGGTGAACCGCAAATGCTGCTGCCTGATCGTTCCTCTGGAAGTTTTGTCTCAGAGGGTTACCCGGCCGTGTGAGGTGTCAGTCCGCCCCTATTGGGGGATGCCTCCCAGTTAGGCTACTCGGGGGTCAGGGACCCACTTGAGGAGGCAGTCTGCCCATTCTCAGATCTCATGCTGCATGCTGGGAGAACCACTACTCTCTTCAAAGCTGTCAGACAGGGACATTTAAGTCTGCAGAAGTTACTGCTGCCTTTTGTTTGTCTGTGCCATGCCCCCAGAGGTGGAGCCTACAGAGGCAGGCAGGCCTCCTTGAGCTGTGGTGGGCTCCACCCAGTTTGAGCTTCTGGGCCACTTTGTTTAGCTACTGAAGCCTCGGCTATGGTGGGCGCCCCTCCCCCAGCCTCACTGCCGCCTTGCAGTTTGATCTCAGACTGCTGTGCTAGCATTGAGTGAGGCTCCATGGGCGTAGGATTCTCTGAGCCAAGTGCGGGATATAATCTCCTGTTGTGCCGTTTGTTAAGCCCATTGGAAAAGCGCAGTATTAGGGTGGGAGTGATCCGGTTTTCCAGGTGCCATCTGTCACCCCTTTCTTTGACTAGGAACGGGAATTCCCTGACCCCTTGCACTTCCCGGGTGAGGTGATGCCTCGCCCTGCTTCGGCTCATGCATGGTGTGCTGCACCCACTGTCCTGCACCCACTGTCCGGCATTGTCCCGTGAGATGAACCTGGTACCTCAGTTGGAGATGCAGAAATCACCCATCTTCCGTGTCGCTCACTCTGGGAGCTGTAGACTGGAGCTGTTCCTATTCGGCCATCTTGGCTCCACCTCTATTTATTATTTATTTAGAGATGGAATTTCACTCTTGTTGCCCAGGCTGGAGTGCAATGGCGTGATCTCGGCTCACTACAACCTCCGCCTCCTGGGTTCAAGTGATTCTCCTGCTTCAGCCACGAGTAGCTGGGATTACAGGTGCCTGCCACTATGCCTGGCTAATTTTTTTGTATTTTTAGTAGAGACAGGGTTTCACAATGTTGGCCAGGCTGGTCTCCAACTCCTCACCTCAAGTGATCTGCCGGCCTCAGCCTCCCAAAGTGGTGGGATTACAGGTTTAATCCACCACACCTGGCTAACCATAGATCTTTATTTAGCTCAGGAGTCTATGGGATTCAGCTGACCTGGACTGAATTCACCTGGGCTTGCTTATGCATCTGTGGTGAACTGCCAGGCAACCAGGTGGCTCTGCTGATCTTAGCAAGGTATGTTTACACTTCCAGGGGTTGGCAGGCTGTTTGCTGATCTATGATGTCTCAGTTGGAGTGATTGGGATTACTGGGGTGGTTTAGGGTAGCCAGGGTGCAAGAGAAGGAGCAAGTCTGAACATGCAAGCATATTTTAAGTCTTTACTTATGTCACATTTGCTAATGTAACATAGGTCAAGTTACGTGACTGATTTTGCAGTCATTGTGTGAGAGCATTACAAAGTTCAAAGTTGCAAGGCAAAGATGTGAATAAGAGAGATGTATTAGTTAGGATTCATCAGAGAAACAGAATCAATAGGATATATGTAGATATGGAGATCTAAATCTTGATATAGACAGATATATAGGAAGAGATTTATTCTGAGGGATTGGCTCACATGATTATGTAGGTTGAGAAGTCCCACAGTCTGCCATCTGCAAGCTGGAGACCAGGAAAGTCAGTGGTGTAATTCCAGCCCAAACCCGAAGGCCTAGGAACTAGGAATGCTAATGTCTCAGGGCAGGAGAAGATGGATGTCTCAGTTCAAGTAGTGAGCAAATTCACCTTTCCTCTGCCTTTTTGCTCTATTCAGGCCCTCAATGGATTGAATGATGCCCACTCACATTGGTGAGGGTGATATTTACTCAGTCTACTGATCCAAATGCTAATCTCTTTTGGAAACATCCTCATGGACACACCCAGGAAAAATGTTTTACCTGCTACCTGGGTATCACGTAGCCCAGTCAAGTTGACACATAAAATTAATCATCACAGGACGGATGAATAACTAAGGTCATTTTTTAAACAATTGATCACAGTCTTCCCTTTTGGATAAAATTATTCACATATTTCTCATATGCAGAATATACTAAAGCCCATCCCAGACCCCCCAAAAGTGTCATCCAATCATGGAAACAGGTTTGAAATCCAGGTTCTTGTGAGCTACGTCAAGCCAAGATATGACTTCTCTTGACACAGAGACTTGTAAACTAAAAAGATAAGCTATGTGGTTTCAGACACCCAATATACAGTGATAAAACAGAGACAAGATAAATGAGAACTTTATTGCATTGGGAATTCCAGTCGGGAACTCCAATTCCCAAAGTGGAAGAATGAGGGGCACATAGCAATCATAGGTTCACAGTAGTTCTGAAATCCTACTGGGCAAATTGCTGGGTCTCTCTCCTCTAAGGGAGTGAAATGTTTTTAAATTAGGGCCCAGCTCTGCTACTTGGGAAAGGCTTGCCAGCCTATTCATCACAGCTGTTGGTTCTGCCCTCTGATAGCCCTCCATACTTTCCATTGCCCTACTTGACCTCTTCTGAAGAGGGCATTAAAAGGTATGCCCTTTGAACAACTTTCTCTGTTTGCTTCTTGTCCAGAGAAAGGTGAGGTCCTTGAGGACTTCATATGTTTTGAACAATCTCTGTCCCTTCGAGTTTTGGCTGGTGGCTACTTTTGCTTTCTGTCTTCTAAGTTACCCCAGGCTGTCCTGTTGCTAAATATTTCGCTACTACAGAATGCTGTCACAATTTCTCAGGCCACTTCTAAAAATTCCCTCACCATTTTTTTAGCCTCCATCTACTGCTTCATCTCAAAGTTAAATGTCACAAGTTTTAGGTTGTGTTACACCAGTACCACACTTTTTAGTATCAATTATCTATTGACACAATCACGTTTCAAAACAGAATGACACAAATCTCAGTAGCATGCAAAACAAACATTTGTTTAATTCAAGAGTCTATGTAGCTTTGCTAATTCAGGTTGAGCTTAGGTGATCTTGGCTGGGCTTGCCAAGCCAAGTGGACACAGAGTCCACTGGCCATTGGCTCATCTAGAATGGCCCTGGCTGGGATTATCTTATTTTTTTCTACTGTTCTGTCCTTTGCAAAATTTCTCTACTATCTATATATTATTTTAAAATGGGAAAATATGTGATGAGTATATTTTCGGGAAAAAAATTACACTGTCTTAGGTGGCCATTCTTCTCCTTGTGAGCCAGGCACTGCTCTAATTTTGCCAGAAGACTGAAGAGATGTCAGAAAAGAACTGTTTGAACCATCAGGCCAAGCTGCCTCTGAAAGGACTTTGGAATATGTTGTTGTTGGAAGAAAGAAAACAGAGGGAAAATCAAGCCTGGTGGTACATGAGAAGAGGCATGTAATGAAAGCTGATGTTAGACCTATTTTTAGAAGAGTTCATGGCTCTCAAGAAAACGGAGTCAATGGTGACATTTTACTGAGAATGATAACAAAACCAGCATGACAGGAACCTGGAGAGAAGACTACTGGAACTTTTAGGCCCTCCAGAAAACCGTATGGCAGACCCAGAGCATAATACATTGTAGCAGTTGTAATTGTGATGCAATGTGGCAGTTACAATGTGATATCTTGGGCTCCCTCACAGGGTCACAAGTGGAGTGGGGTTGTTTACAGCTTTGTCACACACTCCCTTTTAGAGGCAGTTGGGTTAGGCCAGGCAAAAGGAGAAAGAAGTCTAGGTCCCTCTAGGAAACTAGATGCAACCTCAGCTCTCCACCTAACTGGAATCCCTTTTAGTTCCTAGAACCAATTTCCAGTTCACTGGGCCTGTTACATCTTTGACATCTTTGACTACTTGGCCTGACAACTCCCCTGCTCTACTATTTCTTCTCTCCTCAAATCCCTTCTTCAGCCCTCAGTCTTGTCTTCCTCCTGCGGCCCCTCATCCCACACTCAGGGGTCATGGGACCGAGCCGTGGGCTTTTGCCTTTATCTTACTACCACCTGCTGGGGCTCAGAACTTAGAAGCATCAATCCATTTTTAGAAGTGCCCTCTGCTGGTTGTTGACAACTCAACCTAAAAATTAAAGCCTAGACAGAGTTTCAGTTTGTTTAATAGAAAAGTGGGGTGGAGGCACTAGCAGATAGGATAAAACACAGAAGAATATGTTGCTATTATAAAAGCTTTTAAATTCCGCTGAATTGTGTTTGGTGTACTGTGGCATGCAGTAAAGCAGTGGTTCTCCATCAGGGGAGATTTTTCCATTCCAGAGAACATTTGACAATATCTAGAGACATTTTTGGTTGTTACAGCTGGTAACTGAGAGGCAGGGATGGTGCCACTGGCATCTGGTGGGTAGAGGCAAAGGATGCGGCCCAACGTCCTACAATGCATAAGGGATCCCCCCACCCCCAATAAAGAATCATCTGACTCCATTAGAGTGGTCCTGACTTAAATAGGCCAGAGAAAGCTGAAATTAGACTAATGTAATTTTGGGGTTTGGCCGGGCACAGTGGCTGCTCGGGAGGCTGAGGCAGGAGGATCACTTAAGGCCAGGAGTTTGAGGCTGCAGAGAGCATTTGTCATGCCACTGCATTCCAGCCTTGGTGACAGAGTGAGACCTTGTCTCAGGAGAAAAAAAAAAAAAGTTTTGAGGTTCGAAGCAATTAGAGATTAGTTGAGGGCTTTTCAGCTTTGGTTGCCCATGAGATGACCTGGGAAGCTTTAAAATACTGATGCTTGGGTCCGATCTCTAGAGAGTTTGATTTAATTTAATTTCTGGCTTGAGGTGTGGCCTGGGCATCAGGATTTTTAAATCTGCCCAGGTGAATTCAAGATACAGCCAAAGCCGGGAAAAATTGATGTAGTTCAACCCTCATTTTTTGGATGAGGAATGAGGTTCTGGAGGATATGGTCTCACAGCTGCAGAGTGGCAGAGCTGGAACTAGTATATGGTCTCTTGGAGAAAAGAAGATACGTGGCCCTTGCTTGACTGTACACCACACTTCCAAAGCAAAAACTGTGACGATATCTTCTTATGACTTTTTGATAAAAACTCTAAAGCTTTTTTTATATTCTATTGTTTCTTTAAATAATATTTTCAATAATTTTTTTTTCTAAAAAATGACACCTGCCAAAAATTCAAGCTTAGGGAAATGCAAATTAAAACCACAAGATATTACTACACACTTGTTAGTATAACTAAATAAAAATAATAACTGGGAATATTAAGCGATGATGAGGATGCAGAGCAAGTGGAAATCTCATACATTGCTAATGGGAATGCAAAATAGTACAGCCCCTTTGGAAGACAATCTGGTAGTGTCTTATAAAATTAACCATACCCTTACCACGTGAACCAGCAGTCTCACTCCTGAGTATTTTTTCAAGAGAAATAAAAACATATTCACATGAAAACCTGTACACAAATGTTTATAGTGTCTTAATTTGTAATCACAAAAATGAGAACAACTCAAATGTCCTTGAACTAGTGAATGGATTAACAAACTATGGAATCTCCAAACAAGGGAACACTAGTCCACAATAAAAGTGAACAAACTATGATCTGTAATAAATGTGGCACAAATGAATCGCAAATGGATTATGCTGAGGGACAGAAGCCAGACTCGAAAGGCTACATACTGTATTATTCCATTTATATGAAATTCTGGAAAATTTCAAAGGCAAATGGAAAAGGTGAAATGATAGAGAAATGGATGAGTGGTTTCAGGAGTTGGTAGTGGGTAGAGCGGTTGAGTACAAAGAAGTAACATGAGGGAAGTCTGTGGGGTGATGAAACTATTCTTCTCTTGATTTTGGTGGTAGTTACATGGCTATGCATTTGTCTAAACTCAAAGAACTGTATAATAAAAAGGGTGAATTTTACAGTGTAAATTTTACAAGTGACTAAAATAATACACAAAGACTCAAGAAACATTAAAAAAAAACAAGCAACAAACCACCCAAAGTTCCATATCTCAAAATAAGAAGTGTGATATTTGGTTAACATACTTCTAGGTGTCCCTTTATGCATACAAATGAGTTTATTTTGGTTCAACTTTGGTTGGCTAGATTACATAGTTGGATAGTTTTTCCAAGAAGGGTTTTCGTCGGTACTGTAAGACCTGAGTTCTCTAAAATTTCAAGGTCTAGTGTCTGCCTGTTGCCTTTAAATAACAATTTTGCAGTCTGTAGTATTTCTGGGATACAGTTTTGTTTTTTTTTTTTCAGAACATTGTAAGTAGTGCTCTCTTATGTTGTAGCATTAAATGTTGCTAAGGAGTTTTTAAAGTCTAACTTGATTATTCCTCTTTGTAAGTGTCTTGCTTTTTTTGTCTGTATGACTGAAATAGTCTTTATTTACACTGGAAGCTTAATAACTTAATTAAAATATGAGTGAAATGTTTGTTTTTATGTCAAATTTTCATTCAACAAATGCACCATGAGTACTTTTAATCAGTTCCTTCATCATTTCAGGGAAAATTTCTTTTATTATATTTCTCAGTATTTATTTATATTCCATCAGCTTTTCCAAGAGTACCAATCATTTTCATGTAGGACTGTCTTCTTTTTTCTGGTATCTTTCCTAACTGTCTGAACTTCTTTATTTTCTCCCTCTGCATTAACTCTCATTATCGCCTGCATTTTCCTTCATTCCAGGAATTCAAATTGTCATTGTTTTACCTTCACTGGGACTAGATTGTCTATCCCCATTCTATTCCTTTTAAGAGCAAAGCACTGTTATCAATCCACTTTTCTGCAAACCAACAGTACAGATATGAGTGTAGGGGAGGAGAGCTAGGCTGCGCTGAGTGAAGTCTTTATTTAGTTTCTGCTGTGTCTGCCGAGTTTTGCTGAACCTCAGAAGAGTAAGATCTAGGAGCTCATGCCTGGCAGCCAATGGTTGGTATATCCCACTTCCAAGAGTTCTTAACTCATTCCTTCAACTCAGCACAATGCCCTGGAAACCAAGGGAAGCCACGGGAAACCCTTCCCGTCTCTGCAAATCCTGACTTCAACTTTTCTCAGGCTGCTTACTCATCTCTCCCTTCATTTACAAATTAATGAGAATCATTTTCAACTTTCTTTTCTTCAGTGTCATGCTTCTGGTTGTTCCCTGTTAGCAACCAAGTTTTGTAGTTTATGGCATAAGATTGGTTACATATTTGGTAAATTTTTACATTTTATTCTTTTTTGTTGTTTGTTTGTTTCAATAATATTAAGAGTTGAGACTCTGCAATTCTGCTTTGCTCTTTACCGGGAAGTACATTTGCACCACCACTTAATATCTGAGGTCAGTTTTCTCATCTATAAAAATAGGAGTGAAGCCTCTCATGAAGTGGTAAAAGAGTAAATGAGACTTTCTGAAGAAATCTCGCTAAATTATTTTTGGCTTAGGAATCTAAGAGTGACTTCCGCTAGGGAATTCTGTCGTTTACATATCTGATTTCAAGCGTTCGGAGATCTGTTGCTAATTAGCAGTATATTCCAGTTGTTGACAAATGTTTTCTGTAATGGGTCACATAGTAAATGGTTTGAACTTTGCCAGTCATGCAATTTCTGTTGCAACTAGTTTATTTACTCTGCTGTTGTAGTAGGAAAGCATTTATAGACAACATATAAATGAATGGGTGTGGCTGTGTTCCAGTACAATTTTATTTACAGACATTGAAGTTTGAATTTCATATAATTTTCACATGTCACAAAATAGTCTTCTTTTGATTTTTTTTTCAGCCACTTAAATATAAAAGAAGCCAGGTATGGTGGTGTGTGCCTGTAATTCCAGCTACTTAGGAGGCTGAGATGGGAGAATTGCTTGGGGCCTGGAGTTCAAGGACAGCCTGGACAACATTTAAAAAAAAGCGAAAGAAAATATTCTTACCTCATGGACCACACAAAAACAGGTGCTGGGCCAGATGTGGCCTACAGGATATCGTCTACTGACCACTGGTATATACTGTTAGCACTCCGGACCCTTGCTGGCATGAATAATCAGAACCTTTATAGCTTCTATTAAAAACCCCTTAGAGAGAAGTGAATTTAGGAAATATAATTGAAAGGACATACTATTTATATGCCCCTCTGTTAATTTTATACTCTATCTTTGGATCAAGTTAAACCACTGGATGACTATGAACTTGGACCAACTCAACTCAACTCTGAACAGTGTCCCTCACTGAATTAAATTAAATTTTTATTTATTTATTTATTTATTTTTGGAGATAAGAGTCTTGCTCTGTCACCCAAGCTAGAGTGCAGTGCTGTGATCATACCTCACTGCAACCTCGAATTCCTGGGCTCAACCAATCTTCCCACTTCAGCCTCCCAAGCAGCTAGGACTACAAGCATGTACCACTGTGCCCGGCTATTTTGTTGTTGTTGTTGTTGTTGGAGATGGAATCTTGCTGTGTTGTGCAGGCTGGTCTCAAACTCCTGGCCTCAAGCAACCCTTCTATCTTGGCTTCCCAAACACTGGGATTACAGGCATGAGCCATTGTGCCTGGCCTAACTTTTAATATTATGTTTTGTAGTTTTATCAATGGTCTATCTCAAGATAAAACAATTTAATTCAAGTTTTTTACTTGCAAAAATAACTTTTGTTGTTTTCATGTTCCAATAAATCACTTACTTTGCCTGGATGGGGTGATCTACAAGGACTTTCTCTCAGAATTCAGTATAGTAATCCTTCAGTATACACTGGGAAACCCTGTGAGGATACCAAAATCCAAGGATGCTCAAATTCCTTAGCTGGCCCTCCATATCTGCATATCTTCTGTCTAAGAAAACCTCTGCCTCCTTTCAGACACTTTCATAGTTCTTTCTTGCAGTTAACTACACACAACTGTCTGTGTGCTGTGGCTCATGCCTGTAATCCCAGCACTTTGGGAGGCCAAGGCGGGCGGATCTCTGGAGGTCAGGAGTTCAAGACCAGCTTGGCCAAAATGACGAAACTCCGTCACTACTAAAAATACAAAAAACTAGCCAGGCATGGTGATATGTGTCTGTAATCCCAGTTACTTGGGAGGCTGAGGCAGGAGAATCTGTCTCAAACAAAGCAAAACAAACAAAAAAACAAACTACACACAATTATAATCAAACTTCCCTCTTTACATTGGCTTCTGCAAAGAAGAATAGATTTTATTCTCAATCACAGCAACAGTATTCACCCAGGGCTACTGCATAGTACAACCATAGGGGACTTCAAGTCAGGCCACTATCGCAGACAGTTAGATGAGAAAGATTAATCTCTGGAAAAATGAAGTTCTTATTTCTAAGTCTGAGTCCAAACTTACTTTGAAGATTCCCCCCCACCACCCCTCCATTCCTCAACCCAGGTATCTTGAAGAGCCACTGTTCCTTGGAAGAGGGGTGTATATTTTATGCCTCTTGAAATGGATGATAATTGTCTCCTAGGGGAAGAAGAAAAAGGGCACTTGCCATTTGAAAAGTGATTATCTGAAGAGTCTCTCTGGAAGTTCAGCTTGAAAGGACTCACTTTCTCTGTTTGTTTAACTGTATGTTCACTAGGTATTAAGGGAAGTGCTAGGAAAAACTTATAGAGGAAACACTTGTCAGAAACCAACAGGCCATTACTCTACTTCCCTTATGCCAAATCTAAGTCAGAGTGCACCTGTGACTTGCCCTGGACACTGAGAGGTCACATCCACACGGGACTAGTCCTTACTATTCCACAGATACATGACGAAGCCTGTGCAAGATCTGATAGTCTACACAGAGATGCTTTATAAATTTCCCAGGAAAGGGTAACTCATTGAGTCATCAAATATTTGCACAATCTGAATCTTCCAGAGGTCAAGGAATAATTGTAAATGGTATTTGGACTGATGGCTCTGTAGTTCAGAAGGTGCTTGATTGTGCATGTGTGTGTGTATAGATTTGAGAGGAGCATAGCTCTCTATCCTCATCTACTTTCAATTTATGCTTGTACTTCTCAACTTTATTACTGTTTGATATTGGGGGAAAGAATGGTTTTGACATCAGCGGCAAAGTTGTCAAGATCTTGGATGATTTATTCCTGAATTATCTGGCACAAAGTCTCACTGAAAGGTTCATAGTTATATTTTATGTACTGAAATCAAGACATGGAAATAACTTTAGCTTACAAAATGGATATTTCTGGATCTATACTTGGACCTATAGAAATATGTGAAATCAGACAAAAGCAGAAGTGATGGTAAGATTATATTCAGTAATTCAACTAGCCGATGATAATATCTGGGACTTTGGGAGAAGGCCGTGATGAATGTTTTATGAAGCTGAAGAAATGTGGGTAATAAAAATGTAGTTGGCTATGAAGACCTTCCTAATAAAAAAAGGTTGTTAAGTCTTAGAATCACTTCTTAAGTGCTGACGGAATTTTCTGTTTTAAGACAATAGATAGCTGGCCAGTGGCTTAGGGCTTTACTACTCAAGGTGTAGTCCAAAGATCAGCAACATTAGTGTCACCTGGGAGCTTGTTAGAACTGCCTGGACACCACCACAGAGCTACCAATCGGAATCTGCGTTTTAACAAGATGCCCAAGTTATTTGTATGCATGCTAAAGTTCGAGAAGCAAACAGGCTTGGAGTACTGTTCTCAAACTTGACTGCATATTAGATAAACTGGGGAACATTAAAATATTGATGCCTGGCTGGGCGTGGTGCTTCACACCTGTAATCCCAGCACTTTGGGAGGCCGAGGCGGGTGGATCACGAAGTCGGGAGTTCAAGACCAGCCTGACCAACATGGTGAAACCCTGTCTCTACCTAAAATAACAAAAATTAGCCAGGTGTGGTGGCATGTTCCCATAGTCCCAGCTACTTGGGAGGCTGAGGCAGGAGAATTGCTTGAATCTGGGAGGCGGAGGTTGCAGTGAGCCAAGACCATGCCATTGCACTCCAGCCTAGGTGATAGAGTGAGACTCCGTCTCAAAAAAAAAAAAAAAAAAAAATTGATGCCCACCTCCAGAGATTCTGATTGAGTGGGTTCAAGATGTGGTCCTCATGTTGGGATTTTTTGAAGCTCTTCAGATAATTCTAGTGTGCAGCACTTTCCATTGCCTTAGAACTGGCTGGAAGGTTTGGCTTACAGAAGCCCTGAGCTCAGACATCCTGACAGTCGTGTTTTATTATTATTATTATTATTTTCAATAGTGGTAAAATACACATACAAAATTATATCTCTCTTTTTTTTTTTTTTTTTTGAGACAGAGTCTTGCTCTGTTGCCCAGGCTGGAGTACAGTGGCGCGATCTTGGCTCACTGCAAGCTCTGCCTCCCAGGTTCATGCCATTCTCCTGCCTCAGCCTCCCGAGTAGCTGGGACTACAGGTGCACACCACCATGCCCGGCTAGTTTTTTGTATTTTTAGTAGAGACAGGGTTTCACCATGTTAGCCAGGATGGTCTCAATCTCCTGACCTCATGATCCACCTGCTTCGGCCTCCCAAAGTACTGGGATTACAGGCGTGAGCCACCACGCCCAGCCACATAATTATATCTTAATTGTGGTGAAACAAATATAACATAGAAGTTACCATTATAATCATTTTTAAATGTACCATTCAGTGGCATTAGTTACATTCACAATGTTGTGTAAATATCACGACTATTTCCAGAATTCTTTCCATCATTCCAAAAAGAAATTCCACACTCATTAAGTAGTTGCTACCTATTCCCCCCAATCCCAATCTATGACAACCATTAGTCTGCTTTCTGTCTTTATGTGTTTACCTATTCTGGATGTTCCATATAAATGGAATAATAAAATATGTGAACATTTGTGTCTGGCTTCTTTCACTTAGCATAACGTTGTCAAGGTTAAGCCACATTGTGGCATACCTCAGAATTTCATTCCTTTTTACCACTGAAGAATATTGCATTGTATAGGTATAACACATTTTGTTTATCCTTTCATCTGTCATCTGTCGATGGACATTTGGATTGTTTTTACCTTTTAGCTATTGTGAATAATGCTGCATTGAACATTGGTGTAAAACTATCTGTTTGCTTCTCTGCTTTCAGTTCCTTTGGGCATGTACCCGGGAGTGGAATTGTGGAATCAGATGGTAATTTTATGTTTAACTTTTTGAGGAACCATCAAATTGTTTTCCATGGTGGCTGCACCATTTTACATTTCCAGCAGCAATGCATGAAGGTTCTCATTACATGGGCATATATTGCCATACTAATAAAACACTTCCATGGTGACACATTGATGGTAGATTCTCTGAAGAACTAGGTTATGTTGCTACAGTAGTTTCTGCTCTGGGTAGGGCATAGCACCAGCTGCATCACTACCATCCATGCAAGGAATTGGGAGAAATGAGAATAGGGGAGAGACAAGAAGAGCAGTGCTGCGTCTCTCTTACTGAGGGGTTCCAATTAGAGATCCCCTAGAAGTTAGAGTCCCAAATGAATGGATTACTCTCTTTTCCCCAGGCCACTTTCCCTCTTTCCTAATACCTAGGTATCCGGAACTTCCACAGGGCTGAGGTTGCATGCGAATTTCTTCAAGGTTAGTAACTGCCTCACCTGGTTGGCATCCAGCAGCCCATGGTGCAGGTACAGGATAGTTGTTTGGAGTTTTGTTCGCAAGGAGACTAATTTAAATTACTGCAAGTAAGGAGGAGGGTATTTTAAGGATACAAGGGAGGTTATATCCCTAACCATGTGAGAAAAAGCAAAACAATTGAGCTTTGGGGAGACAGGAGCCAGACAGTGGTTCTGTCTTCTGGGAGGCTCTGGAGACCTCTCTCATGAGTGAATGGAGCTTTTCTTTGGTTTTCCATCATTAATGGATCCTAGGTACTGTTTGCATGTTTGCTTTTTCTGTCTTGCAGATGTATTCTTTCTCTCTTTGATTATTTTCTTTCCTCTGTTTCAACTTGTGCTGCTTCAAATTCAGTTTGCACAAGGCTCTTCCAACTCCTACAGCTGCCAAAACTAACTGACTCATTATTTTAGCCAAAATTCCTTAGAGATACCAGAAATCTGGTTGGTCCAGTTCTACTTTCTATACCAGACGACGCAGATCACTGTCAGTCCTTCTACCTGGTCCAATCAACTATGGTCTGCGTAGTCTCCTTGGCCAGGGGCCATGTGTAGGAGAGTTGTAATTGGAAGGGCTGAAGGGAAGGGCAGACACAACTGATATGTCTTTTTCCTCTTTTTGAGACAGGGTTTCATTTCCATCGCCCAGGCTTGAGTGCAGTGGCACGATCTTGACTCACTGCAACGTCTGCCTCCCAGGCTCAAGCCATCCTCCCACCTCAGCTTCCCAAGTACCTGGGACTACAGGCGCATACCACAGTACCCAGATAATTTTAGTACTTTTTGTAGAGATGGGATTTCACAGTGTTGCCCATGATGGTCTGGATCTCTTGGGCTCAAGAGATCTGCCTGCCTTGGCCTCCCAAAGTGCTGGGATTATAGGTGAGAGCAACCACGTCTGACTTATTATTTTTTTTTTTTTAAATAGAGACAGGGTCTGGATCTGTTGCCCAGGCTGGAGTGCCATGACTCCGTCATGGCTCACTACAGCTTTGAATTTTTGGGCTTAAGCAATCCTCCTGCTTCAGCCTTCCTAGTAGCTAGAACTACAGGCATGTGGCACCACACCCAACTAATTAAAAAAAATTTTTTTTAGACATGGAGTCTTGCTATGTTGCCCAGGCTGGTCTTGAATTCCTGGCCTCAAGTACTCCTCTTGCCTTGCCCTTCCAAAGTGCTGGTATTATAGGCATGAGCCACCACTCCCGGCCAATGTATCTTGAATAGAATGTGACCCAGAGGTTGGCTTCTCCATACTCATCACTTACAGACTCAGGTTGATATGGAACATATTTTTCCATGGGGAAATACTGGTCAATCATGAAGCCTGACTTTCCCATCCAGTGTAAAGGCAAGTGTGTTCTTAAGTATGTATTGAAGAAACAATTAATGAAAGGGTCCAAATCTTCCTATGACAGGTAGGGTTGCCAAATAAATCACAGGATACCTAGTTAAACTTGAATTTCAGATAAACAATGAACACGCTTCAGATAAACAGCATTGATATTTGTGACATGCATTTAAAAGACTATTTATTGCTGGGCGTGGTGGCTCATGCCTGTAATCCCAGCACTTTGGAAGGCCAAGGCAGGCAGATCAAGAGGTCAGGAGATTGATACCATCCTGGCTAACACAGTGAAACCCTGTCTCTACTAAAAATACAAAAAATCAGCCAGGCATGGTGGTGCGTGCCTGTAGTCCCAGCTACTTGGGAGGCTGAGGCAGGAGAATTGCTTGAACACGGGAGGCGGAGGCTGCGGTGAGCCGAGATCATGCCATTGCACTCCAGCCTAAGCAACAAGAGCGAGACCCCATTTCAAAAAAAGAAAAAAAAAACTATTTATTGTTTATCGGAAATTCAAATTTAACTGGGCTTCCTGTTTGTTTTTGTCATTGTTTTCTAAATGTGGCAACCCTAATAAGAGAAGATTTTTCAAAGAGAGAGCTATTCCTCAGGGATGTTATAAAAAGGTCTAAGACATGTGGGATGGTCTGTATCTGAGGTATTTCAGCTGCCTTCTGCAGGTGGGGGAATTTATTCCCGCTTAATTATGTATTTTGCATGTCTTAAAATTCATTTGGTGCTTAATCTCATACTCGAAATAACTGCAACTGCTACTGCTCTGCTAGGGCTGTTACTGGCTACTCTATCAAACAGTGCACTCCATTTGGGTAATCTGAGCAGAGTTTAACAGAAGGACAATTTACAGTGGTTCAGCGAGCATGTAAGGAACTGCCAGGGAGAGCACAATGACCCACAGCAAGGTACCATTACCTCATCTAGGCTTGAAGGCTGTGTGGGAAGGGACACTTTGCAGGCCTTGTGTCCAACTGTCAAGAAACCTTGACAGCCCCATGGCAACCCTCCAGGGAGGGAGCTGGAGAATACACGCCTCACTTTCCCCTTCTTTCCTTCCCCCATGCTCCTACTGGGCCTCTCAGGCAAGCAAACCCAGGCAGAAGCCATATAGGCTAGCCTCCCAGGGCAAGGGAGCCTGGAGAAGGACAGAGAGCATGTGGAGAAGCCAATGGATGAATCAAGTCTGAATATGTGCTCTGTGCTTCCAGCACCATTAAGCATTTCACATAATCACCTCATTTGAACCTCATGACTGTCCTACGAGGAATGCACCATTATTGTTCCCTTTTACAGATGTGGTAAAGGATTAGTGATCTTGAATAATTTGTTCAAGGTCACAGAATCCCAATACACTCACCCCCCATCACTGTATAATACTTCCTGCTGACATCTTTAATTATCCTTATTTATTTATTTTTTTAAATTCATGGTGTTTTAACAGTTTCGTTTTTCTTGTCATGTTGCCAACTATTAAAACTTTGCCCAGACCTAGTTTAGCAGCCAGTAAACAAAATATGCTCACTCGGTGTTTGTTAATTTTTGTTTTTGTTTTTATTGTTTAATGTTTGTTAGTTTTTGTTTGATTTCTGACTTGGGAGAGCAGCAGCAGCAGGAAGTCCAGATTTAGGAGTTGGGTCATTCAGTTGTTTCCTTACAGAAAAGCGGCTAGAGGAAGGCACCCAGCTCAGAATATACCTGGCACAAGGAAAGGCTCATTAAGCCAAGGTTCGAAGAAACCCCAAAAAAGCAATTTTACAGAATCTTAGACTCGGAAGGGACTTTAGACATCACCTACAACCTCTACCCTATGTGTGATTCCTCTCCACAATTCAGTCCCTGTTCTTGTCCCTAGGGTTACCTCTTCTAAATAAACATCAAGAGAGTGTCTGGCCAAGAGATTCGTGGAGGGGTCCACAATTCCCTCGCATGATTCTTTTTGTGACCTAAGAATTCCATTTCACTTCTGAACTTTGATATGCCTTGGTTTTCCCACTCATAACATGGAGGTAGGTAATGTAAAATATATCAGTCTCCATTATCTCCTTAAACAGTTATAGTGCTTCCTGAAGAAAGTGCCAAGCTGTGCTGTTAGAAAGAGTAGGAGCAAACTAGGAAGCTGGCACCAATTGTACAGTTAGGTTTCTGACATGTAAAAATCAGGAGAAGGGAAATGTGGGTTGGAAGCTTTAATTGTGAGCGGAGAATGAAAGCTGATTCAGTTAGTGTGTAATGTAATTTGGAAAGTGGAAATAATGAAAGGGAAACAGTTTTTATTTCTGGGAAATGAAACAGAAAGAAATACAAGTAACGAGAACAACAGCAACAGCAACGACAAAGCCAAGCCCATTACCCACAAAAGCTACAATTTTTTCTTGTATTTGGGTCTTTGAATTGCTACTCTCCCCAGAAAAAAAATAGTTTTTAATTGAGTTTGCAGTTCCCTTTGAATTTCATAAGTGATTTACACTATTAAGTTTACTTTAATTTTAATTAAATATATAATATATATTTAGTTAATATGTAATATATATTTAAACACACACATATCTTTCTTCCAACATTCACATTAGGATTTTTTAATGGTCAAAGAAGATATTTCTGAGTTCAAAACTCAGTTTTAAAGTAGAGTTTGGTAAAGTAGGGACATTTTGCTTTTTGGACATGGCTTTCTCCCTCAGCCTATTTTTGGAGCATGAGATCTTGTGGGCCTAAGTTCTGCATTCACCACATCTCTCCTGAAACCCCTGACTTCCCCTCTGCTACCATCACCCAGGGATCCCCCTTCCCACTCCTGTAACACTTTATGTCTGCTGCTCTACAGTACTTACCACACATCTCCCTCCCACCTGTATCAGATGGTCCTATGGGTAGAAAAATGTCTTATATCTTAGTAGTCCAATGTACCTGGGATGTAGTAAATGTCAGAGTCCGAAACTGTCTTATTTTCCAGATTTGGGCTTTGTAATAAAGGCCTTTTGAAGATAATGCCTAGGTCTTTGATATGTAATTTTAGGTAAAAAGAAAACTGAAGGAATGACTCTAATGGTAGAGGTTTCCGGCTGGAAAAGAGGATAGTGTTATTAGAGTCTGTGGGTAATTTGGGGGACAGAATGGTCTTCCTGGTAGTCCTTGAATCATACAAAGTCAATGATAGTTAGCTTGGTGTACCTGCTTGTTAAGATGGGCCTGGACAATGCTCTGACTTGTTGGGAAATAAGTAGAGTGAACAACAGTGTCTGTTTGTCTGGGACTGTCCCCATGTTAGCATGGAAAGTTCCATATCTTGGGAAACCCCCAGTCCTGGGCAAACCAGAGCACTGGTCACCCCATACAATCCAAATATACAGTGGAGTATGGCCTCTTAACTGTCACATTAACGTGCTGATAACTTGGACTCTAGTACTTGTAGGGAAAAGATAAATCTTCAAATAAGTAAACAACTAGCCCAGTTTGGGAGGATGTCAGTTCTGCTTTCTCATTAAGATAAGGCAATCTTAAAATCATTAGAGAACTCACAAATGTGGCTATAAAAATAACAACAGTTACATAATTAGATTTCCTTGGCTGAAACCACTAATAAGACATTGCCAAATTTTAGCTTATTGTTGAAGATAAATCTCTCTCACCCATTCTCTCTCTCTCTTACACACACACGTGCACACACACACACACAATTTTTATTTTTCTGGCTTAGCATACTTTTATTTTAATTATAGGTTTTATCGTTTTTCACCATGTTAACAGAACAAAGTTGGTTTGTTGTTGAAGGATATGATTTAAATGGATAGCTATTGCTGTGGTTTACTGAAAGCACAATACTGCATTATTTTGAAAATATGTTTAATGAAGCATATTTTCATTTAAAGCATACCTGTACTTAATGGAAATTTTTGAGATCCATCATTTCTAAAGATGAAGAGAAGAGGCTGTGTAGCCACCAAATGCTTGCTGGCCCTCTAACGCCTAAAGTGCTACATTTATTTATTATAAGAATATAGAGATAATAAGACTGTTTATGAATTACAAATCAATAATGAAATAACTCTTGGGCTAAGGACAAAATCAAATGGAAATTATAAATCACATAAATATGAATGGGCACAGAAGCATTACTCTACAAAATCTGTGGGGTATGGTCAACATGTTGTTCAGAGGGAAATCTATAGCTTTCAATGTCCATATCAGAAAAGAAGAGACATGGAGAATAAATTAACCAAACTTTCAAATCAAAATTTAACTTCCTAATTCAACCATCAAACAAACAAACAAACAAACAAACAAACAAATAAAACACAAAGTAAAGAGAATGGAAAAAAATGTAATGGCAGGAAATAATGTGATAGAAAAGGATAATAGAGGCTGCTGAACTTGAGGAAATCCTCCTTTTACACAACAAGGATGTCAGCTGCCCAGACTCTGACTTGGAGACTCACCTCCCAGCCCAAGGAATATGCGTTATGAGAGTAAGAAATACATGATTACACCTCTGCATGGATGACTGCAAAGGGGACAATAATAACTAACAATAAGACCCATGTGTCAAGCATTATGCCAGGCAGCTTATATAAATTATATGGTTTAGTTGTATTTCTTCCTCATTTTCTGATAAGAATATTGAAACACAGGATGGCCTAGTAATTTCCTCAATACTGAGGGACAGTAATTAATGTAGCTGGAACTTGAACTTCAGAAGGGTTATTAAGTGGGGTTTAATTTACCACATGTTGTTAAAGATGCCATTGGCTTTAGAAACATCTTGTTTTGAAAATTCGTATCTGTTTGGGAAGATCATGATACTATCAGTCGGTCATGCTTTAGAGTGAAATGGTTCAAACAGATTGCTTTCCTTTCAACAGCTAGCTGAGGTTAGCTGTGTTAAGAGAATGGGAGTTTTGAAGTGGTTAAAGAGAAAGAAGTAATGCAGGAGTGGCACTGCTTAGAGGCTAACACCCCCATCGGAATACTGGGCAGCTGGTAAGCAAAAGTACAGAAAGGGAAGTGAGAAGATGCCAAAGATAAACTCTATTTCAAAATTCTGACTATGGTCAGCCCCACCCTCAAGAAGAGAGGGACAGGTTCTTCCTCTTTTTCTGTCCTGTACAAAGCAATCTCCTATTCCCAGGACCAGGAAGTTCAGGTCCAAGGGCCACTCTAAGGAAAATAGAGTTGGAAGGGACTTTAGGGGTCCTATCCAGTCTACTCACCACAAGGCCTCCCACACCCTCCTGCATGAATCCTCCAAACTCCTCCTGACCATCTTTGCATCTTTGTTGCTCCTTTGTTGTCTATTTGGGGCTCGAGTTAGTTGTTAGAAATTCCTTTCTATCAGCCAACAATCTTATCTCCCTTCAACTTCCCCTCATTTGTCTTATATCTGCCCCTGGAATTGCCCAGTCTGTGTGGTATTTGTTCCAATGGAATTTGATCTGTCATATACTGTTGCTTTTGGCTGATTTGCTAAATTGACTGGATCTCTCTCTAAACTCAATGATTTGGATCAAGGTAAATGCTGGTAAAATGTGCCAGCAATTTCTTTTTCAGAAAGATCTTGCTATTGCTCTGTTACTTTTGTTTGTTTGTTTTTTTTTAAAGAATGTTCCCAATAGATTCATTTTGAGGGAATAGATTCACCTATGAATCCATGGAGTGACCCACACAAAACACCTACATAAAAAAGAAACAAAAAGAGTATGTTTTCTTACTGACAAACACTACTTGAAAGCTCTTCAAGTCCTTCGTGGTATAATAAAGTAAATAGATATTGAGAAGAAGAGATCATCTAGTTAACAAACATGGAAAAATGTTCCACCTCACTTTTAATTTTAAAAGTGATAAGATACCCCTTCCATTCATTTGGCTACAAAGCATAGCAACATTTATAATAATATTTAATGTTTGTTAGTACTATAGTACATTACCAGTAGAATTAGAAACGTCTTTTAGAAATTGATTTAGCTATATGTATTGAGATCTTTTAGTTTTATTTATTTAGTAATTTTTAGAGGCAGGGTCTTGCTATGTCGCCCAAGCTGTTCTTGAACTCCTGAGCTCAAGGGATCCTTTTGCTTCAGTCTCCCAAGTAAGTAGAATGACAGGTGCAAGCCACTGCACCTGGCTATCAGGAGATTTTAAAATATTCTCATCCTTTCACCTAGTAGAATCTCCTGGGTATTTGTACTAAGGAAATAATCCAGAGATTAAAAAAATATGCCTACGGTTTGCACTTCTCACAGGAAAATTATTCATAATAGTGAAAAATTAGTCACAGCCTAAAATCTAACAACAGGAAATAGTTTAACTAGATTATGGTGCATCCACTCAATGGAAGATTATACAGCCATTTCAAATAACGATTATGAAAAAAACATTATATGTAATCTATATTGTCCTAGTGGAAATATCTTAGGTAAGTCAATGGTAGCGAATCAGAAAAATATTGAGACTCAGTAGTTTTTAGCCACATGAAAAATTCTTGCAGTATATAAAAAACAATGTATACAAAGAAATGCACCAAAATTATTATTATGACAGAAAAAGGGTGGGAGAAGTGTTTTTATATTTAATCAAGAGCTGTACTGTATAACTGAATTGTTTGCCAGCGGAGCAGAAGGCAGATGGCTTGGTTAAACTCACACATTCTTGCCCACTCCAGCTATTTTTATAAGGCTCTTACGGTTTTAGGATTTTCTTACATTTTTGTTGATTCTTGTACTCTATTTACTTCTTCTCCAACTTCATTATGGAATATTATCTAGTGTTTATTATTTGTCTGGGGTCCCCATTGATATTAGCAAAAAACACTGGTCATTGGGTTGTACTTGATTATTTGAGTCTTCAAAGCTCCTTGTCATTGCATATTGCGGGACTGAGAGTTAATATAAGGATATGATTCTATCAATCAATTTTCACAGATATATATGTCACTGAACACGAAATATGGGATATATTAGTCAGCTATTGTTACAATGCTGAGTAATAAACAGCTCCAAAACTCAGTGGCTCATAAAAATAAGCCTTTATTTTCCTTGTTCATGAGCCTGTGGATGATCTGGGATGCTCTGCTTCTTTTGCAGGACAGCTGGGCTTATATCAAAGCCTCAAGTTGGGATCAGGCCTGCTTCACATGTTCCCAAATCCCATTAGCTATCTGAGGCATATTCTTCTCCTGGTGGATTATGAAAGGCAAGAGGCCAAGTCAGGAGAATTGCTTGAACCCAAGAGGCAGAGACTGCAGTGAGCCGAGATTGTGCCACTGCACTCCAGTCTGGGTGACAGAGTAAGACCCTGTCTAAAAAAAAAAAAAAAAAAAAAAAAAAAGAGGCCAAGTCAAACTACTTAAGGCCTATGCTCATGTGTGCTATCATTTAATTGATCAAACCAAATCACATATGTAATTATGCCCAACATCAATGAGAGAGGGAAATAACTCCCATTAGAAGTTCACCTGACAGAAGGAGGGGGTAAAGAATTGAGAGCAATGATCTAATGTACCATAGGGACAATGTACAAACAGATTAATTTAAATAATTGGAAAGAAATACCTACTGACTTGCAGAATAGGTAGGATTATCTCCATGTGTGAAAAATATCCTATTTTTCGATTAGACTAATGAAAACTTAATAAAATAGTTGTTACCATATATTTCTTTTAAAGAATATGCAGTATCAATATATTTTAAGGACAGCTAAACATCCTGGGTGTTTAGCCAAGTAGAAACTGGTCCAGCTTTGACTATCCTGGGTGTTTAGCCAAGTAGAAACTGGTCTAGTTGTAAGTGGATTTTTTTGTTGTTGTTTATTCTTGGGGACCGAGTCTCGCTTGGTCACCCAGGCTGGAGTGCAGTGGTGCGATCTTGGTTCACTCCAACTTCTGCCTCTGGGGTTCAAGAAATTCTTGCGCCTCAGCCTCCCTAGTAGCTGGGACTACAGGTGTGTGCCACTACACCTAACTATTTTTTTTATTTTTATTTTTTGTATTTTTAGTAGAGATGGGGTTTCACCATGTTGGCCAGGCTGGTCTTGAACTCTTGACCTCAAGTGATCCACCCGCCTTGGCCTCTCAAAGTGCTGGGATTACAGGCATGAGCCACTGTTCCCGGCCTGTAGGTGGATTTCTGGCTTTGGGTTACACACACACACTTGTTTATAGGAGTTTGTAAGTAGGGAGTAAAATGTACTCTGAAAGGAAATCACTTGATAGGAACCACTATTTGGTAAGAAGAGGTGACTCAAGAAAAGAAGTTCCTTGTGGTTTTAAACTTTATTATGCTCCAGGTCCCTACAAAAATATGCTTTCTTTCTCCTTCTTCTTCTTCTTTTTTTTTAATAAGCTGATTTAAGGCAAAAGCTTTTAGCTAAATGTTACTGCTTTAAATTTTTCAAAACGAGAACACTTCTCAGCAAAATTTTTTATTTCTTTGTTTTAGTGTAGAAAGCAAAAGCAAGGGATAACTAAGTCTGAGTTCAAGCTAGATATATTTGTTTACATTGGAACAACAGCTTTAAAGTCTAGGAAAGAAGTGCTGATAGCTCAGAAGAAAAAGCAAGTAATGGGTTCCAGTAAAGTTGGTTAGGGAATTTTGTTTGTTTAATTTTTAAATTAGTAGGGGCCTTTCTCCAAAATGTTTGTTTTTAAGATTCAGGTTAAAATTTGCATAGATACAAGAGATGTGGGAATTAGTCAATATCAGAGAAAGATGCTGAGGTAATTTCCATTTCAGAAAATTTATCTAGCTTTGCCTAAATGGATAAATGGAGACATTTGAAGCATAAGAGTTTGGCATTTCATGTCCCAGCTTAGAGGACTTCCACTTGAAACAGAACAATTGGTTTGAAGCACAGTATCTAGATCCTTTCTCCAAAGAGAAAGAAAATTGCCCATTCAACCAGCAATTATCTCTAATTAAGGAATGGAAGCACAAGTTTTCGGTAGTATCACTACCTGGCAGTCTGCATGCAATCAAGCAAGGCAAGGTTCCTATATCCACAGGAGTTTTTTCTTGACTAGAAAAAAAAATTAGGATAATTAAGCAAGTTGTAGCAATCATTTTTTACGATCAAAAAGACTGCAACAGATTTAATTAATTCTTTGGTAGATGCAGAAAGTAGTATTTATGCTTTTCTAAAGGCCAGTATTCACCGTGGACTAACAGCAAAATGTTTCAATACCATCTCAGCAGAGTCTGTATTTGATTTCACAGTATTCTGTAAAGTGTCAGGCATTTTAGAGATATCGCTAACAGAAAGGTTATGCTTTCTAAATACAGTCACACAACTACTTCGTACCTATGATATAATTAGACTGTGACACTCTTGAGGACATCTAAACTTCAACCTGTTTAAAAATATAAATCCCTATGAACGATCAAAGAAAATGTGCTTCAGGCAATTTATCTGCAGTAAAATGATTTAACTATGGGACAATCATGTTCATTTCTTCATATCTTTAATATAAAGTTTACCATTTAAAATGATTTCATTGCTTAGCTGGAAAGCTATACTCTACTGACTAGTATAAGATTTTTTAAAATCTTGTTTGTTTCTTCTTCAGAGAAATGGTAGAGTTTTTAAAATAAAAAGTGCATTTATTTCTTTATAACATTAATATCTGTCACTATAAATAACTTGAAAAATCTTCCAAAGTGTCAACACCTGAAGTCAATTGTGTGTTTCCTTTCAGGTTTTTTTTTTTCAAGAGAATTAAATCGTTTATTGATTATGCATGATAATGGAAGGTACACAAACTTCATTCCCATCTATAATTTTATTGGGTACCATTATTCAATTTAGATATATTGCATAGGATATGCCAACAATCGTTTTAATAACCAATAATTCCATGATTTTGCTTTGCTAATCCCTTTTAATGGTGAACTTCAGGTCACAACAGTAACTATCAGTTCAACCACACCAAGGTTTCTGAAGACAATGGTTTCTCCACCCAAGCAGGTTGTATATAAATTCCAAAAAGAACCTGGCATCACCCTGAAGGAACTCTAACTTCACACTGTAGGGGAAATTTACCAAGATGGCTTCAGAGTAGAACAACTTTACACAGCACATTAAAAAAAAAAAAGACATTTATTCAGCGTCCCAATCAGGCTATTATATTTAGCAATCAACAGCATAGGTGAAAAAAAAATCTACATTAAAACCCTTTGTTGGCATGGTTTACACTTTCCACAGAACAGAAACTAAAATAACCTGTTACACAATTAGTCACAAATACAGTCCTCGAGTTTTTTGCCCACACACATGAGTATTTGTCTAAAACATGTCTGCTTTGTAGCAGCTGGGCCCTGCCACCACTGTGCTTGGCTGAGTTCACAAATCTGTTGTAACCTGTAGCTTCCCTGTCACTTCTCTGGCTCTCCTCTCCTGCTAAGCTTTGTTTCCTAATTAAAATCTTCTGCCACTGCCATAGCTACTGCTGCTACTGGAACCACCATAGCCACCTTGGTTTTGTGGTTTGGCAAAGTATTGGCCTCCACCACCACAGGGGACAGAGCTTCTGCCTCCAAAGTTTCCTCCCTTCAGGGGTCCAAAATTTGGAGACTGATTGTTGTAATTGTCAAAATCACTGTAGCTTCCGCCACCTCCAAAATTGCTTCCATCATTACCAAATCCACTGTAGTCATCCCCAGCCACCATATTCACCACCACCACAGCTGCCACCAAAGCCACCACGACCATGGAAGTTTCCTCCATGACCCAAGTTGTCATTCCCGCTGAAACCACCTCCATGACCACCACCAAAGTTTCCAGAACCACTCTTGCTTTGACAGGGCTTTCCTAGCTTCACAGCTGTGGCCATTCAAGTATGCTATTTCTGAATGACAGTCTTATCCATGGAGTCACCGTTGTCAAACGTTACAAAGGCAAAGCCCCTTTTCTTGCCAATGCCTCGGTCAGTCATGATTTCAATCACTTCAATTTTTTCCATACTGTTCAAAATGATCCCTTAGGTGATGTTCTTCAGTGTCTTCTTTAATGCCACCAACAAATATATTTTTCACAGTTAACTGGGCACCTGGTCTTTGAGAATTTTCTCTTGAGACAACTCTCTTTGCTTCTACAACTCTTTTTTTTTTTTTTTTTTTTTTTTTTTTTTTTGAGATGGAGTCTTGCTCTGTCGCCCAGGCTGGAGTGCAGTGGTGCCATCTCAGCTCACTGCAAGCTCCGCCTCTCGGGTTCATGCCATTCTCCTGCCTCAGCCTCCTGTGTGGCTGGGACTACAGGCGCCTGCCACCACATCTGGCTAAGTTTTTGTATTTTTAGTAGAGACGGGTTTCACCGTGTTAGCCAGGATGGTCTCGATCTCCTGACCTCGTGATCCGCCTGCCTTAGCCCCCCAAAGTGCTGGGATTATAGGCGTGAGGTTCTACAACTCTTCCATCTACCTTGTGTGGCCTTGCATTCATGGCTGCATCCACCTCCTCCACAGTGGCACACATGACAAACCCACAGGCCCTGGAGCGCTTGGTGTTTGGATCTCTCATTACCACACAGTCCGTGAGCGTTCCCCATTGCTCAAAATGGCTCCTCAGGCTCTCATTGGTTGTTTCAAAGCTCAACCCTCCAATGAAGAGCTTCCTTAGCTGTTTGGGCTCTTTAGGAGACTCTTGACTTAGACATGACTGACAGGGAGAAGAGAGACTTTAACCATGCTTCCTTGGTGGCCTCCACGGGCAGGTAGGTTTGTTTTGTTTTGTTTTGTTTTGTTTTGTTTTGGTAAATAGTTTTCCCACCATTTTATTATAAGCATTATCAAATATACTGAATAATTGAAATAATCAGAAACAACAAATTTGCATATATCCACCATCTTTTTTTTTTTTTTTGAGACAGAGTTTCCCTCTGTTGCACAGGCTGGAGAGCAATGGGGAATGGGGGGATCTCAGCTCACTGCAACCTCTGTCTCTTGGGTTCAACCAATTCTCATGCTTTAGCCTCCCACGTAGCTGAGATTATGTGCACTGTGCACCACCACATCCGGCTAATTTTTGTATTTTTAGTAGAGATGGGGTTTCACCATGTTGGCCAGGCTGATCTTGAACTCCTAGCCTCATGTCATCTGCCCACCTTGGCCTCTCAAAGTGCTGGGATCACAGGCGTGAGCTACCACATTCAGCCACTACCATCTAGATTCTACAATTAGCAATTAATTTGCTTTATTATACATTTATTCAACCATCTATTTGTTGATACCTCTGTCCATCCATTAATCCATCTTTTTTTTTGAGGCATTTCAAGGTAAGTTGTAGATATCAACATACTTCATTCAATACTTCAGCATGCATATCATTTAGAGTCATGTATATGAGTTTTTCTTGGTAAGATTTTACATATAGTAGATGCACAATCTGTATTTTATTTATTTATTTATTTTTGGAGACAGACCTCTGTCACCCAGGCTGGAGTGCAGTGGTGCTATCATGGCTCACTGAAGCCTCAACTTCCCAGGCTGAAGTAATCTTCCCACCTCAGCCTCCCGAGTAGCTGTGTCTCTAGGTGCATGCCACTAGGCCTAGCTAATTCTTAAAATTTTTTTGTAGAGACAGGGTCTCACAATTTTGCCCAGGCTGGTCTCAAACTCCTGGCCTCAAGTTATCCTCTCACCTTAGCCTCCCAAGTAGCTTAAATTACTGGCATAAGCCACCATGCCCAGCTTTGATGCACAATCTTAAGTATACCATTCAGTGAATTTTGACAAATGCAGACACTTATATAATCCAAACTCCTATCAAGATAGAGAATATTTATATCTTCCCAGAAAGTTCACTCACATTCCTTCCCAGAAAATCCCCACATATCCATCCCTCAAAAGGCAACCACTACTCTCACATTTTTCAACATGTCTTAATATAGTACAGTGTGTAAGAGTTTCAGTGTTCCATCACCTCACTGACATTGGTGTTGCCAATCTTTTCATTTTAGACATTCTGATATATTTATAGTAATATATCTTTGACTAATGATTTTGAGCATTTATTTATGTATTCATACCATTCTCATATCTTTCTTCGTGAAATATTGGTCTAAATATTTTGCCCATTTTAAACTGGGTTGTCTTATTTTCTTTTCTCTATTTTTGAGTTGGGATATTATTTTGTCGCCCAGGCTGGAGTGCAGTGGCACCATCATAGCTCCCTGCAGCTCAACCTCCTGGGCTCATGCTATCCTCCCACCCTAGCCTTCCAGTTTCTGAGATTACAGGTGTGAGCAACTGCACCCTGATGCCTCTTTATTATTGAGCTGTATTTTTACTTTGGATAATAGTCCTTTCTCAAATATATATATTTGCACCTTTTTCTCAGCCTGTGGCTTACCGATTCACTTTCTTAGCACTGTCTTTTGGTGCAGAATATTGGCTCAACCAGTTATGCAAATCTTTCAAGTATTGACACATTTCATTATACAAAATTAAAATGACATTCTTTTTTAAATTTTATTATTATTCTTTAAGTTTTAGGGTACATATGCACAACGTGCAGGTTTGTTACATATGTATACATGTGCCATGTTGGCGTGCTGCACCCATTAACTCGTCATTTAGCATTAGGTATATCTCCTAATGCTACCCCTCCCCACTCCCCCTACCCCACAACAGGCCCCGGTGTGTGATGTTCCCTTTCCTGTGTCCATGTGTTCTCATTGTTCAATTCCCATCTATGAGTGAGAACATGTGGTGTTTCTTTTTTGTCCTTGCGATAGTTTGCTGAGAGTGATGGTTTCCAGCTTCATCCATGTCCCTACAAAGGACATGAACTCATCGTTTTTTATGGCTGCATAGTATTCCATGGTGTATATGTGCCACATTTTCTTAATCCAGTCTATCATCATTGGACATTTGGCTTGGTTCCAAGTCTTTGCTATTGTGAATACTGCCACAATAAACATACGTGTGCATGTGTCTTTATAGCAGCATGATTTATAATCCTTTGGGTATATACCCAGTATTGGGATGGCTGGGTCAAATGGTATTTCTAGTTCTAGATCCCTGAGGAATCGCCACACTGACTTCCACAATGGTTGAACTAGTTTACAGTCCCACCAGCAGTGTAAAAGTGTTCCTATTTCTCCACATCCTCTCCAACACCTGTTGTTTCCTGACTTTTTAATGATTGCCATTCTAACTGGTGTGAGATGGTATCTCATTGTGGTTTTGATTTGCATTTCTCTGATGGCCAGTGATGATGAGCATTTTTTCATGTGTCTGTTGGCTGCATAAATGTCTTCTTTCGAGAAGTGTCTGTTCATATCCTTCACCCACTTTTTGATGGGGTTGTTTTTTTCTTGTAAATTTGTTTGAGTTCATTGTAGATTCTGGATATTAGCCCTTTGTCAGATGAGTAGGTTGCAAAAATGTTCTCCCATTCTGTAGGTTGCCTGTTCACTCTGATGGTAGTTTCTTTTGCTGTGCAGAAGCTCTTTAGTTGAATTAGATCCCATTTGTCAATTTTGGCTTTTGTTGCCATTGCTTTTGGTGTTTTAGACATGAAGTCCTTGCCCATGCCTATGTCCTGAATGGTATTGCCTAGGTTTTCTTCTAGGGTTTTTCTGGTTTTAGGTCTAACCTGTAAGTCTTTAATCCATCTTGAATTAATTTTTGTATAAGGTGTAAGGAAGGGATCCAGTTTCAGCTTTCTACATATGGCTAGCCAGTTTTCCCAGCACCATTTATTAAATAGGAAATCCTTTCCCCATTGCTTGTTTTTCTCAGGTTTGTCAAAGATCAGATAGTTGTAGATACGTGGCATTATTTCTGAGGGCTCTGTTCTGTTCCATTGGTCTATATCTCTCTTTTGGTACCAGTACCATGGTGTTTTGGTTACTGTAGCCTTGTAGTATAGTTTGAAGTCAGGTAGCGTGATGCCTCCAGCTTTGTTCTTTTGGCTTAGGATTGACTTGGCAATGTGGGCTCTTTTTTGGTTCCATATGAACTTTAAAGTAGTTTTTTCCAATACTGTGAAGAAAGTCAATGGTAGCTTGATGGGGATGGCATTGAATCTATAAATGACCTTGGGCAGTATGGCCATTTTCACGATATTGATTCTTCCTACCCATGAGCATGGAATGTTCTTCCATTTGTTTGTATCCTCTTTTATTTCATTGAGCAGTGGTTTATACTTCTCCTTGAAGAAGTCCTTCACATCCCTTGTAAGTTTGATTCCTAGGTATTTTATTCTCTTTGAAGCAATTGTGAATGGGAGTTCACTCATGATTTGGCTCTCTGTTTGTCTGTTACTGGTGTATAAGAATGCTTGTGATTTTTTACATTGATTTTTGTATCCTGAGACTTTGCTGAAGTTGCTTATCAGCTTAAGGAGATTTTGGGCTGAGACGATGGGGTTTTCCAGATATGCAATCATGTCATCTGCAAACAGGGACAATTTGACTTCCTCTTTTCCTAATTGAATGCCCTTTATTTCCTTCTCCTGCCTGATTGCCCTGGCCAGAACTTCCAACACTATGTTGAATAGGAGTGGTGAGAGAGGGCATCCCTGTCTTGTGCCAGTTTTCAAAGGGAATGCTTCCAGTTTTTGTCCATTCAGTATGATATTGGCTGTGGGTTTGTCATAGATAGCTCTTACTATTTTAAGATACGTCCTATCAATACCTAATTTATTGAGAGTTTTTAGCATGAAGGGCTGTTGAATTTTGTCAAAGGCCTTTTCTGCCTCTATTGAGATAATCATGTGGTTTTTGTCTTTGGTTCTGTTTACATGCTGGTTTATGTTTACTGATTTTCGTGTGTTGAACCAGCCTTGCATCCCAGGCATGAAGTCCACTTGATCATGGTGGATAAGCTTTTTGAGGTGCTGCTGGATTTGGTTTGCCAGTATTTTATTGAGGATTTTTGCATCAATGTTCATCAAGGATATTGGTCTAAAATTCTCTTTTTTTGTTGTGTCTCTGCCAGGCTTTGGTATCAGGATGATGCTGGCCTCATAAAATGAGTTAGGGAGGATTCCCTCTTTTTCTATTGATTGGAATAGTTTCAGAAGGAATGGTACCAGCTCCTCCTTGTACTTCTGGTAGAATTCAGGTGTGAATCCATCTGGTCCTGGACTTTTTTTGGTTGGTAGGCTATTAATTATTGCCTCAATTTCAGAGCCTGTTATTGGTCTATTCAGAGATTCAACTTCTTCCTGGTTTAGTCTTGGGTGGGTGTATGTGTCGAGGAATTTATCCATTTCTTCTAGATTTTCTAGTTTATTTGTGTAGAGGTGTTTATAGTATTCTCTGATGGTAGTTTGTATTTCTGTGGAATCGGTGGTGATATCCCCTTTGTCATTTTTTATTGCATCTGTTTGATTCTTCTCTCTTTTCTTCTTTATTAGTCTTGCTAGAGGTCTATCAATTTTGTTGATCTTTTCAAAAAACCAGCTCCTGGATTCATTGATTTTTTGAAGGGTTTTTTGTGTCTCTATTTCCTTCAGTTCTGCTCTGATCTTAGTTATTTCTTGCCTTCTGCTAGCTTTTGAATGTGTTTGCTCTTGCTTCTCTAGTTCTTTTAATTGTGATGTTAGGGTGTCAGTTTTAGATCTTTCCTGCTTTCTCTTCTGGGCATTTAGTGCTATAAATTTCCCTCTACACTCTGCTTTGAATGTGTCCCAGAGATTCTGGTATGTTGTGTCTTTGTTCTTGTTGGTTTCAAAGAACATCTTTATTTCTGCCTTCATTTCGTTATGTACCCAGTAGTCATTCAGGAGCAGGTTGTTCAGTTTCCATGTAGTTGTGCGGTTTTGAGTGAGTTTCTTAATCCTGAGCTCTAGTTTGATTGCACTGTGGTCTGAGAGACAGTTTGTTATAATTTCTGTTCTTTTACATTTGCTGAGGAGTGCTTTCCTTGCAACTATGTGGTCAATTTTGGAATAGGTGTGGTGTGGTGCTGAAAAGAATGTATATTCTGTTGATTTGGGGTGGAGAGTTCTGTAGATGTCTATTAGGTCCGCGTGGTGCAGAGCTGAGTTCAATTCCTGGATATCCTTGTTAACTTTCTGTCTCGTTGATCTGTCTAATGTTGATGGTGGGGTGTTAAAGTCTCCCATTATTATTGTGTGGGAGTCTAAGTCTCTTTGAAGGTCACTCAGGACTTGCTTTATGAATCTGGGTGCTCCTGTATTGGGTGCATTTATATTTAGGACAGTTAGCTCTTCTTGTGGAATTGATCCCTTTACCATTATGTAATGGCCTTCTTTGTTTCTTTTGATCTTTGTTGGTTTAAAGTCTGTTTTATCAGAGACTAGGATTGCAACCCCTGCCTTTTTTTGTTTTCCATTTGCTTGGTAGATCTTCCTCCATCCTTTTATTTTGAGCCTATATGTGTCTCTGCACGTGAGATGGGTTTGCTGAATTCAGCACACTGATGTGTCTTGACTCTTTATCCAATTTACCATTCTGTGTCTTTTAATTGGAGCGTTTAGCCCATTTACATTTAAGGTTAATATTATTATGTGTGAATTTGATCCTGTCATTATGATGTTAGCTGGTTATTTTGCTGATTAGTTGAGGCAGTTTCTTCCTAGCCTCGATGGTCTTTACAATTTGGCATGTTTTTGCAGTGGCTGGTACCAGTTGTTCCTTTCCATGTTTAGTGCTTCCTTCAGGAGCTCTTTTAGGGCAGGCCTGGTGGTGACAAAATCTCTCAGCATTTGCTTGTCTGTAAAGGATTTTATTTCTCCTTCACTTATGAAGCTTAGTTTGGCTGGATATTAAATTCTGGGTTGAAAATTCTTTCCTTTAAGAATGTTGAATATTGGCCCCCACTCTCTTCTGGCTTGTAGAGTTTCTGCCGAGAGATCAGCTATTAGTCTGATGGGCTTCCCTTTGTGGGTACCCGACCTTTCTCTCTGGCTGCCCTTAACATTTTTTTCCTTTATTTCAACTTTGGTGAATCTGACAATTATGTGTCTTGGAGTTGCTCTTCTCAAGGACTATCTTTGTGGCATTCTGTGTATTTCCTGAATTTGAATGTTGGCCTGCCTTGCTGGAGTGGGGAAGTTCTCCTGGATAATATTCTGCAGAGTGTTTTCCAGCTTGGTTCCATTCTCCCTGTCACTTTCAGGTACACCAATGAGACGTTGATTTGGTCTTTTCACATGGTCCCATATTTCTTGGAGGCTTTGTTCGTTTCTTTTTATTCTTTTTTTCAAAACTTCTCTTCTTGCTTCATTTCATTCATTTCGTCTTCCATCGCTGATTCCCTTTCTTCCAGTTGATCGCATCAGCTACTGAGGCTTGTGCATTCGTCACGTAGTTCTAATGCCATGGTTTTCAGCTCCATCAGGTCCTTTAAGGACTTCTCTGCATTGGTTATTCTAGTTAGCCGTTCATCTAATTTTTTTTCAAGGTTCTTAACTTCTTTGCCATGGGTTCGAACTTCCTCCTTTAGCTCGGAGTAGTTTGATCTTCTTAAGCCTTCTCTCAACTCATCAAAGTCATTCTCTGTCCAGCTTTGTTCCGTTGCTGGTGAGGAGCTGCATTGCTTTGGAGGAGGAGAGGTGCTCTGATTTTTAGAGTTTCCCGTTTTTCTGCTTTGTTTTTTCCCCATCTTTGTGGTTTTATCTACCTTTGGTCTTTGATAATGGTGACGTACAGATGGGTTTTTGGTGTGGATGTCCTTTCTGTTTGTTAGTTTTCCCTCTAACAGTCAGGACCCTCAGCTGCAGGTCTGTTGGAGTTTGCTGGAGGTCCACTCCAGACCCTGTTTGCCTGGGTATCAGCAGCGGTGGCTGCAGAACAGCGGATATTGGTGAACCGCAAATGCTACTGCCTGATCATTCCTCTGGAAGTTTTGTCTCAGAGGAGTACCCGGCCATGTGAGGTGTCAGTCCGCCCCTACTGGGGGGTGCCTCCCAGTTAGGGTACTCCGGGGTCAGGGACCCACTTGAGGAAGCAGTCTTCCCATTCTCAGATCTCAAGCTGCGTGCTGGAAGAACCACTACTCTCTTCAAAGCTGTCAGACAGGGACATTTAAGTCTGCAGAGGTTACTGCTGCCTTTTGTTTGTCTGTGCCCTACCCCCAGAGGTGGAGCCTACAGAGGCAGGCAGGCCTTCTTGAGCTGTGGTGGGCTCCACCCAGTTCGAGCTTCCGGGCTGCTTTGTTTACCTACTGAAGACTCGGCCATGGTGGGCGCCCCTCCCCCAGCCTCACTGCGGCCTTGCAGTTTGATCTCAGACTGCTGTGCTAGCATTGAGCGAGGCTCCATGGGTGTAGGACCCTCCGAGCCACGTGCGGGATATAATCTCCTGGTGTGCTGTTTGTTAAGCCCGTTGGAAAAATGCAGTATTAGGGTGGAAGTGACCCGATTTTCCAGGTGCCGTCTGTCACCCCTTTCTTTGACTGGGAAAGGGAATTACCTGACCCCTTGTGCTTCCTGGGTGAAGTGATGCCTCTCCCTGCTTTGGCTTATGCACGGTGTGCTGCACCCACTGTCCTGCACCCACTGTCCGGCACTCCCCAGTGAGATGAACCTGGTACCTCAGTTGGAAATGCAGAAATCACCCATCTTCTGCATCGCTCACACTGGGAGCTGTAGACTGGAGCTGTTCCTATTTGGCCATCATGGCTCAGACTATAATAACATTCGTTAATAGTGCACCAATCACATCAGAAAAGTTTTTATGTATTGAAAGGCCGTCAAGCTTGTGCTGGCAGATATGTGTTCCAAAATTCTGGTCAGGTTCTATGGCTTATGCCTGTAATCCCATCACTTTAGGAGGCCAAGGCAGAGGGGTTGCTTGAGCCAGAGAGGTCGGGCTGCAGTGAGCCATGATCACATCACTGTACTCTAGCCTAGGTGACACAGTGAGACCCTGTCTTTAAATAAATAAATACATGAAAAACTTGTGCTTGCATAAAACAAAAATTCTAATTTTCGCTTGAAAGCCTGAATTTTATATTTATCACTTAAGTTTTTCCTGTTGAAATAAGCTAGTTTTTTCCTTTTAAATAAAATGTTTGTCAATATCCTATTCTGAATAGCCATAGTTTAACAGTCACTCTTTCAAGTAAAAAATGGTGCTCTGTGAAAAACTCGGCTAATTCACCTCACAACTCAAACAATCACACAAGTGCTCTTCCTCAAGAAAACCGTCATATGTCTGTATACAGTAGAAGTGCTTTATGTGTACTTCTGATTTCATCATATAGAATATTAAAAATATGTATAGTTAATAACTCAATTAAAAAGCGGGTAAAATTCCTTAACAGACACCTCACCTAAGAAGATATACAAGTGGCAAATAAACATATGAAAAATGCTCAACATCATGTCATTAGAGAATTGCAATTTGAAACAATGTGATATCACTACGTATCTATTAGAATGGCCAAAATCCAAAACACTGACAACACAAAATGCTGCCAAGAATTTGGAGAAACAGGAACTCTCATTTGTTGCTGGTGGAAATGCAAAATGGTACAATGACTTTGAAAGACAGTTGGGCAATTTCTTACTGAACTATTAAACAGAGTAGTTTTAGTAAAACTAAACATACTCTTACCATATGATCTAATTATTCAGCTTCTTGGTATTTACTCAAATGGATTGAAAACATATCCACACAAAAACCTGCACATGAATGTTTATAGCAGCTTTATTCATATTTGCTAAAACTTAGAAGCTGTAAAGAAGTCTTTCAGTAGGAGAACAGATAAATAAACTGTGACACATCCAGACAATGGAGTATCATTCAGAGATAAAAAAACAAATGAGCTATCAAACCATGAAGAAACATGGAGGAAACGTAAGTGCATATTACTGAGTGAAAGAACCCAATCTGAAATGGCTATGTAATATATGATTCCAACATATGATGCTCTGGAAAAAGCAAAACTATGGATTTAGTAAAAAGATCAACGGCTGCCAGGGGCTTGGTGGGAGAAGGGAAGGGATGAATAGGAGTAGCATGGAATTTTTTTGTTTGTTTGTTTTTTGAGATGGAGTCTCGCTCTGTCACCCAGGCTAGAGTGCAGTGGTGTGATCTCGGCTCACTGGAAGCTCCGCCTCCGGGGTTCCTGCCATTCTCCTGCCTCAGCCTCCTGAGTAACTGGGACTACAGGCGCCCGCCACCGCGCCCAGCTAATTTTTTTGTATTTTTTTAGTAGAGACAGGGTTTCACCGTGTTAGCCAGGATGGTCTTGATCTCCTGACCCTGTGATCCGCCCGCCTTGGCCTCCCAAAGTGCTGGGATTACAGGCATGAGCCACTGCACCCGGCTGAAGCATGGGATTTTTAGGCAATGAAACTATTCTGTATGATCCTGTAATGGTGGAAACATAACAGTATAAAAAACTCATGGAACTGTACAACACCAAGAGTGAACCCTAATGTCAACTATAGACTTCAGTTAATTTTAATGTATCAATATTGTCTCATGATTGTAACAAATATACCACATGAATGTAAGATACTAATAATAGGGGCAACTGTCAGTGGGCGATAAAGAGGGTATGTGGAACTCTCTGTAAGATCTTCAAAATTTTTGGAAAAACCTAAAATTGCTCTAATAAATTAAGTCTGTTAATGAAAAAAAGGTGTACATTCAGGGGCTAAGAGTTAATTAAATTAATAATTTTTATTGATTCATCAAGAATATTCTTAAGTAAAACTGGTTTCTTCTTTTTTTTTTTTTAAACTGAGTTTCTAATGGTATAAAAGACAGTAATTGTTAAGTGTAGTTTGGTGACACTGCCTTGACTCATGCTAAGGCCCCAGCAGTTTGGTCCACTATTGTTTTTGCCCCATTGGTGTAAATGTCAACACAGTAAAAAAAAAAAAAAAAAGGCAAATATTATCTTCATATTATTTTGATCCCTAGGGGTCCGTGACTCATGTTTTAAGAACTATGGGACTTTCATGTTCTTACATGCAATTTTCTTCATATTTATCATCTTTGGAAGTTTTTCATATTCTCGAATCTATAAATTTATGCTTTCACTAAGTGTGGGAAATTTTCAGTGATTATTTTATCAAATACATATATTTTTTCTATTCTCTCCTTTTTTCTTGTGGGACTTCATTAGATAAATGTTAGAATATTTGATACTGTACTCTAATCCTTGAGGCTTTGTTCTCTTTTTTCACCAATGTTTTTCTCTCTTCTTCAGCTTGGATAATTTCTACCCACCTATCTTTAAGTTCAGCAACTTATCTTTCATCTTATGCTTTTAAGTTCACCCAGAGAATTTTAATTTTTTAAAAAAGAGAATTTAGGCCAGGTGCGGTGGCTCACACCTGTAATCCCAGCACTTTGGGAGGCCAAGGCAGGTGGATCACTTGAGGTCAGGAGTTCAAGACCAGCCTGGCCAACATGGCGAAACCCTGTCTCTACTAACAATACAAAAATTAGCTGGGCGTGGTACGCACCTGTAATCCCAGCTACTCGGGAGGCTGATGCAGGAGAATCCCTTGAACCCAGGAGGCGGAAGTTACAGTGAGCCGAGATCATGCCACTGCACTCCAGCCATGGTGACAGAGCAAGACTCTGTCTCAAAAAAATAAAAAAAAATTTTTAAAGAGAATTTGCGGCCGGGCGCGGTGGCTCACGCCTGTAATCCCAGCACTTTGGGAGGCCGAGGCGGGTGGATCATGAGGTCAGGAGATCGAGACCATCCTGGCTAACAAGGTGAAACCCCGTCTCTACTAAAAATACAAAAAATTAGCCGGGCGCGGTGGCGGGCGCCTGTAGTCCCAGCTACTCGGGAGGCTGAGGCAGGAGAATGGCGTGAACCCGGGAAGCGGAGCTTGCAGTGAGCCGAGATTGCGCCACTGCAGTCCGCAGTCCGGCCTGGGCGACAGAGCGAGACTCCGTCTCAAAAAAAAAAAAAAAAAAAAAAAGAGAATTTGCATAATCCCATTTTTTTGTATGCAGTCCTTTAATGAATTTAACAATGCCATACTTATTGCATGCATACACTTTCAGTTTTCTATTACTCTTTGAATAAATTAGGTTATGTCTTTTTAGAAATTATATATATAATTTAGAAATTTTATATTAATAAATAATCGTGTATATTTATAATGTATAGTGTGATGTTTTGATGTATGTATACATTGTAGAATGATTAAATCAAGCTGATTGACATATCCATAACCTCATATATTTTTTTTGTTGTGAGATAATTTAAAATCTACATTCTTAGCAGTTTTCAAATATATATTCAAATATACAATATAATTTTTTCACATAGTATATTTTTACTTCTAGAAAAAGTGTTTTGTTCCTGTTTATAGTTTTTATTTATTTAATGAGTATCCTATCTATCCATTCATTAAAAGCGTATTTTTCCCTCACATTTTTGAGCATAATATAATGGCTGCTTTAAAATTCTAGTCTTTATTCTTACAGCTAGATCATTTTGGGGTCAGGCTCCATTGATTTTTTCTTTGTATTATATCTTTGTGGGACTAGTAATTATGAATTTATCCTGGACAGTCACACCCCCCAAGGCCTGAGCTGAAGTGGCACATCATCCTCTGGGGAATTGGTGCCCTGGCCAATCTGAGCAACTGTGCATCCCAGAGATGAGATGATGTAGTACCATGCGTCCCAGGGAAGTAGGGCAGTGACTGAGCTGAGACACAACACTTATAGGCCAAATAACTCTACTGCCCTGCTTTCCTGGAGCTGGACTAGCTCTAGAGTCTGAGCTACAGAGACTCTGCTCCCTGGGGAGAGCCCTGCCCCTCTATCCAAGAAGTAGAGTCATTGTTCCATGCCCCACAGGGCTCAAAGGACAGCTGTGCTCTGCCATTTTGGGGTACTTGTTGCCATTGATCCTGGTTTCACAGAGTCTAGGATACTGCTGAGTCCCACTATCCCAGGGTCTAGAGTCACCACTGTATGATGCTTCATCCTTTGGGATATGATTTGCTACTGAGCCTTATGACTCATATTCCCAAATTGCAGCCATACCCTGCTCTGTAGGCCCAAGCCTCCAGAGTACCCCTTCTTCCCCTGAGCCAGGCCAGTGCTTTGCCCTGCCCTCCAGGGGTAGAATCACACGCTCCATGGGCCTGAGCTGCCAGAAGATGCCTGAGAGTCACAGAACCTGAGTCTGTGGGCATGATACATCCAACCTGGCCACAGAGAACAAACCTGAACCCTAAGACCCAGGTGCCACAGTGGGGTCACAAGACCCTAAGCTTAGGTCTGTGTGGCCCCTCAGCCACCCTGAGCACCTGCACCTGGAACTCAGAGCCTCTACAACTGCTTATAGGCCATGTCAGACCTGACACTAAGAGGGATCCCTTTGGCTAAGTCTCCATGTTGTGGGGAATCCCAAAATAGGAAGACCCTAAAAACTCTTGCCACTAAAGATATCAACAGCTTTCACTGCTGCTGTCACTGCCCCAAACTTCTTCAGCCTAGGTTAGTGTTAATGAATTAATTCAGCAAAGTTTCAGGATACAAAACCAACATGCAAAAATCAGTAGCATTTCTAGACACCAACAATGTACTAATGGAAAAAGAAATCAAGAATGCAATCGCAGTTATACTAGGTACAAAAACACCCCTAGGAATCAGTTTAACTAAGAGGTGAAAGATCTCTAAAAGGAAAACTATAAAACACTGATGAAAAAATTGAAGAAAACATAAATAAATGAAAAGACATGCCATGTTCATGGATTGGAAGAATTAATATTGTGAAAATAATCATACTGTCAAAAATGATCCACAGATTCAATGCAATCCCTATCAAAATACCAGTGACATTCTTCACAAAAATAGTGAAAATATAACAGCTGTACATATTTACAGGGTACGTGTGATTTTTTATATAGGCATACAATGTTTTGATCAGGGTAATTGGGGTATCCATCACCTCAAGCATTTATTATTTCTTTGTGTTAGGAGCAATTCTGTTGGCCAGTTTCTCTGGTGAAGTGCTTCTGCTGGCCAGAATGCAGAGCCACCACCAAAATTTGCATGTTAGCCACTATGAGCCCCGCCCCAGATGGCCTATCCCTGTTGATAATACCACCACCACCACCTCTGCCTGCCCTATGTTCCCCATGGGGCAAGACAGGAGTGATCTGTCTTCAAAGGGCTCCAGACTGGCGAGGAAGCTGAATGTTTGCCTCCAACTCTCTTTTCCCACAGTGGAAACTGGACCTAGGGGAGTTCTCTCTGTGTGGTGCTGTGCAGGCTTGGGGGAAGTATACTTTTCAGTCAAATTGAAGCTATTCCTTTTACCCTTTGAATGCAACTTGTCTCCATTCTCCTGTCCCAGAGGATGTCTCAGCCTTACTTTCAAGTTCTGAGGTATTCACAAAGGAATTCTTGTCCATGGATAGTTGCTAGTTGGATTTCTGTGAGGGAGACTGGAGCCAAAGAACTATTCTGACAACTTGCTCTTAGATCAAGCTTTCTTGTTTTGATTTCCTTCTCATTTCTTTTTCTGTATATTTTAAAGTTTTTTCCTTAGTGGTTATCTGGAGATTACAATTAATATCTTAACTTTACATCAGTAAAGTTTAAATTAATACCAATACCTTATTTTCAATAGTAGGTAAATACTGTACTCCTTTCCAGCCCCATCCCTTTCCCCTTTCTGTTGTTATTGTCACAATTATATCTTTATACATTGAATGCACATTAACATAGCATTTTAATAATTGTTTTATTCATTTGTCATTTAAATCATATAGAAAAGAGTTATAAACCATATATGCAATACTATTGTCCTTTATATTTACTTATGTAGCTACCTTTACCCTTGTTCTTAGTGTCCGTCCCTTTCACCCTGGAGGAGTCCCTTTAACATTTATTGTAGGGCAGGTCTACTACTGACAAACTCTCTCAATTTTTATTTTATATTATGAATATGTTTTATTTCTCCATTAAAAATAGGCTTTGTTTTCTACTCTGGTGGCTGAGGCACAAGAATCCCTTGAACCTGGGAGGCACAGGTTGCAGTGAGCCAAGATTCTGCCACTGCACTCCAGCCTGGGCAACAGGGTGAGAACGAGAGACTCCATCCTCCACCCCCACCCCTGGCAAAAAAAAGGCTTTGTTTTTAATAGTAGTAGTGAGCATTTTGCATTCCTACCAGCAATCAATGAGTTCCTGTTACTCTACATCCTTGCCAGCATTTGGTGCAGTGAGTGTTTTGGAGTTTGGTCATTCTTATAGGTAGGTAGTAGTATCTTATTGTTTTAATTTGCAATTCCTAGTGAATCTATATGTGTCTTTGTATTTAAAGTGCTTTTTTTATTTTGTAGACAACATATATTTGGGTCTTATTTTCTTTCTTTCTTTCTTTGTTTCTTTTTTGGTGGGGGACAAGGTCTCACTCTGTTGCCTAGACTGTAGTGTAGGGGCATGATCGTAGCTCACTGCAGCCTCCAACTCCTGGGCTCAAGCAACCCTCCTGCTTCAGTTTCCCCAGTAGCTAGGACTACAGGCAAGTGCCACCACACACAGCTAATTTTTAAATTTTGTGTAGAGACGGGGTCTCACTATGTTACCTAGGCTGGTCTTGAACTTCTGGTCTAAAGCAATCCTCCCATCCTGGCCTTCCTAAACACTAGGATTACAGGCATGAGCCACTGTGCACAGCCTAGGATCTTTTAATTCACTCTGGTAATCCTTTTAGTTGGTGTATTTAGACCATTGATTAGTGATTATTAATATAGTTGGATCAATTTCTACCATATTTGTTACTGTTATCCATTTTTCCATTTGTTTTTTTCCTATTTTTGTCTGCCATTCTTTCTCTACCTTTTGTGGTGTTAATTGAACATTTTATATGATTCCATTTTCTCTCCTTTCTTAGCATACCATTCTACTTTTTTAAAGGCTTTTTTTTGGTAGTTCCCCTAGCATTTGCAATATACATTTATAGCTAATCCAAGTCTCAAATAATGCTATACTGCTTTATGGATAGTACCAGTACTGTTTAACAACAGAATAATTCTAACTTCTCCCTCCAATACCTTGTGTTATTATGGTCATTCATTTCACTTTTACATAAGTATACATAGAATATATCTATATGTATATAAACATACATAATTAAATACTTCGTTGCTATTTTGACCTCCTAAAGGTCAAGCTGGGATTATAGGACTGAGCCACCACACCCAGCCTGAAAAATAAATTTTTAAATTTTACCTTGACTTATTCCTTTTCTGATGCTCTTCCTTTCTTTATGTAGATCTGAATTTCTGACCTATATAATTTTCCTTTATTTTGAAGAACTTTTAAAATTTCTTCAAGGCAGGTCTACTGGCAACAAGTCCCCTTAGTTTTTGTTTGTCTGAGAAAGTCTTTATTTCTCCTTCACTTTTGAAGGATAATTTTGTAAGGTACAGAATTCTAAGTTTGTGGGGTTTTTTTTTCTCCAAACACCGTAGATTTTACTTTTTTCTTTTCTAGCTTGCTTGGTTTCTGACAAGAAGTCAGATGCAATTCTCATTTTTCTTCCTGTATAAGTAAGATATTTTTTCCTCTGGCATCTTGGAAGGTTTTTTTTTTCTTTAAAGTTTTTTTTTTCTTTATCCTTTATTTTCTGCAGTTTGAATATGATATGTCTAGGTATACTTTTTTTAAAGTTCATTTTGCTTGGTGTCTCTGAGTTTTTTGGATCTGTAGTTTAATATTAGACATTAACTTGGGGAAATTATCAGTCATTATTGCTTCAAATATTTCTTCTGTTCATTTCTCTCTTTATTTAATATTTTCATTATATATATATTTTACTTTTTGTAGTTGTTCCAGAGGTCATAGATATTCTGTTCTGTTTTTTTCAGTCTTTTTTCTCTTTGCTTTTTCCATTTTGAAAATTTCTATCGGCATATCCTCAGGCAAGCCTTTTTTTCAGCCATGTCCAGTCTAGTAATGAGCATTCTTCATTTCTGTTACAGAATTTTTGATCTCTAGCATTTATTTTTTATTATTTCTTAGAATTTCCATCTCTCTGTTTACATTGCCCACTTGTTCTGGCATATTGTGTACTTTATCCATTAGAGCCCTTGGCGTATTAATCATACTTGTTTTGCATTCCTGGTCTGATAATTTCAACATTCCTGTCATATCTGAGTTCGGTTTTGATGCTTGCTCTGTCTCTTCAAATTATATTTTTTGTTTGTTTGTTTGGGTTTTTTTTTTTTTTTGCTTTTTAATATGTCTTGTGATTTTTAATTAAAAGCCAGATATGATATACTGAGTAAAAGAACCTCCAAAAATAGACCTCTGTTTTTGAGGTGGTAAGGTGTTGGGGCAGGGGAAGCATTCTATAGTCCTATAATTAGTTCTCAATCTTTTAGTGAGTTTTTTTCTCTGGACTATGAACTTCATAAACATTTTTCAATTTTCCTCCCATCTCCTTTCTTAGGTCACACAGAATGGCTAGAGGTATCTGGAGTCTGGTATTTTTTTTCTCCTACATAGAAGGCTAGAGGTGGCTTGAGTTGGGTATTTCCTTTCTCTTAGGTGGGTTACACTCTGATAAAACCTCAGTATTTTAGGTTATGGTAGACTATTTTCTCTCAAGGGTAGGCCTTGTTTAGAACAGGATGTTCTGGCATATTTCAAAAAGATTACTTTTCCTCTCCTCTGGCAGCAGCATTCAATGATTTCTCACAAATTTTCACTATGAAACCTGGTTGAGCTCCTAGAGTCAAAACTCACAAAAGTGTACTTCTCCCAACATAATGACTGAGTCCCTTTGACATTTTTATATCTTAGCTTTGTTCACATTGAGCCTCCAGCAATTTGTCAGTTACAGTTTAGATTTTCCTACCCTAGCACTGATTCTGGTGGAGGTTTCTGCTCTTGGGTTTCCACTCCAGGAAGTCATTATTCTCTGTATTTGCCTTTCTCTCCCTCTCTCTCTCCCTCTGTCTGTCTCTTTCTCTCTCTCTCTTTAATTTTTAGGGCAGTGGTTTGCCTTATAATCTCACTTCTCTTATACATCTAAGTAGAATTATTAATTTTTCAGTTTTCCCAGCTTTTAACTTATTGTTAGGATGAAGTGACAACTTCATGTTCCAGAAACGGAAAGTTTTTCTTCCTTTTTTTGAAGAATGAGTTTGCCAGATATCAAATTTTTAGTTCACAGTTTTTCTGTCAGCACTTTCCATATGTTATCCTACCATGTTATAGTTCCATTGTTTGTGGATGGATGTCGGATTATAATCTTATTTTGGATCCCTTGTATGTGATGAGTTGCTTCTTTCTTGCTACTTTCAAGATTCTCTATTTTTGGCCTTTGACAATTTGACTGTAATATGTCTTCATGTGGATGTCTTTTACTTTATCTTTCTTTGAGTCACTGAGTTTCTTGGATGTATAGATTCATTTCTTTAATCAATTTGGGACGTTTTTGGCCATTATTTTTTTTCAAATATTGTTTCTGACCCCTTTTCTCTTCTCCCTCTGGGACCCATATTATGTGTATGCTGGTATGCTTGATGATGTCCAAGAAGTCTCTTAGGCTCTGTTCATTTTTCTTCATTCTCTTCACTTTCTACTCCTCAGAATGGATAATTTCAATTGATTTATATTTAAATTCACTAATAATTCTTCTGCCAGCTCAAATATGCTGTTGGACCCCTTCGTGAATTTTTTATTTCAGTTATTTTAGTTTTCAGCTCTAGAATATTTATTTTTATTTAGTTCCTTTTTATAGTTTCTATTTTTTTCTTGATAGTCTCTGGTGAGAAATTATTCTTTTGGTTTTCTTTAGTTGTTTGAACACGTTATGACTGTTATTTTAAAGCCTTTGTCTAGTAAGTCCAATGCCTGAGTTTCCTGATGGACATTTTCTGTTAATTTTTTTTTTCTTGAATTGGCCATACTTATTTGTTTCTTGCATGCCTCATGTAAGTTAGACATTTAAATATTATAATGTAGCAACTCTGAAAATATGATTCTGCCTCCTCTCTATGGTTTGTTGTTCTTTGTTATAAGGTTGTTGTTTGCTTGTTTAGTGACTTTTCTAAACTATTCTTCTACAGTGTGTATTTTTTTTTTTAATGTGTGGCCACTGAAGTCTATGTTCAGTTAGCTGTCTGTTAGTGGTGTTTTAACAGAGTTGCCTTAAGTACCTGGAGCCAAGAAAGTCAAAAAGGAGGGCAAAAATCCTCTACCAGTCTTTGTAGATTGGTTCTGTGTTGGGTACTCCTTCAATGCCATGTCAGGCCATTGACATCTCTGTCTTAGCCTTCACTTTTGCTGTGCAGAGTCTGCAGACCAATTGCATGTAAATGCTTAGGGTCTTCCCAGGCCTTCTTAAAGCATATTTCTTGCCCTGGATATGGTCATGGCCTTCTGATTTCTCTGTATTTTAAAATTTCTATTCTCCCCCATATTTCTTTCCCAATGTCTTTCTTTCCAGGTTTCTCTGTCTATTTCTTGTTCAAAGTATTGTCCCTTGTCCCAGGCTGCTGTGTCCAATACATGTGTCTTTAAATGCTTTCAACAAAAGCCTCCTTGGGAGCTGCTCCAGCCCTGGGAACACTGTGAGTCAGACAAAACAGTTTTAGCCAGTTCATTAGCTGCTTTTGCAGATAGACAGAACCCTGGAGTTCTCTACTTTGCCATTTTCAGCCCATGTTATGCATTATAGTGGACATAATTTTGGTTGTTGAATAACATTCTAACTAGCAGATGTACTGTAATTTATTTATCATTTTTCTAATGTTGAACATTTTGTTTGTTTATAATTTTTTGCTTTTTTAGATAAGGCTACAATGAAAATCTTTCTACATATAGCTTTTACCATTTCCCAGATTCTTTAGGATGCGTTCCCAGAAATATAGTTACTAGGTCTGAGAATATGACCATTTTAAGATTCCTGATACTATGATCAAATTGTCAAAAAGATTTTACGGATTTTTATTTCAACCTCACGAGTAATCTTAAACTTAGAATTTTTCTGAAATAGTTTTGTCACTGGCAAAAGTCTGTGAGAAGTGATACATATTTTAACTTCCTTTTAATGTTTTAAAGAAGCGCTTCTCAAACTGCCATGTGCATAAAAATTATCCCAGGATCTTGTTGGAAAGTAGAACCCAATTCAGAGCATCTCGGGTAGAGCCTGAAACACTATGTTGCTAATAAGCTCCCAAGGTGTTCTGATACTGCTGGTCTGTAGATTACACTGTGAGTGGCAAGGCTTGAGGTTTAAACTGCAGCAAAGAACAAAGTAGGAAAACCCTTCCTGAGTTTTAAAAGAAAGCAAGTTTGAAAAACCTCATTAAAAAAATTTTTTTCCAAATAAAGTAATCTCCCACAGTTGTCTAAATTAGATCAAAGATCAAGAAAAGAACACAAGCTTATTATTGATATGAATGAAGGCTAAAAGAGAAAGTAAAATTAGAGATACTGCCTGGGGTTTTGACTGAAATACCCAGTGTAGAGAGTTCCTCTCTCTAAGAAGTGTATTGAGGCTTGAACTTTGATATTAAAATTAGTGTTAATGATACTCTTTTATCTAGGGAGGCAACATATTCAGTTTTTTCATTCAAATGCATAAGTGTCTTTGGTATCATGAATTTCTCTGTAGAAATATTACATAGTATACAAATATGTCTAGAAATGTCTTTTTTATGTTAAACAGATGTTCACCAATACCTTTATTTTTCATTAGGCCAATTTTAAATATTATTGTTATTCTAAGCAAATTCAAATTTCTTGATATTTGGGTGATATTTAATCAAGGTACTAGCAAATTTCGTCATCTATTTTGTGTCCTGGAAAATAAAGGATAAAATACTATAAAAGTTATTTTAAGTTTATATCATTTGATACGATAATTTATTTATACATTATCATCATTAACATAACAGAGGAACTGCCTTTATTGTTATCTATGACAGGAATTCTAGAAGAGTGGCATGAAAGAACTCTCTCCTTCCCTGTGGAAGACCTGGACATGCCATTTGGTCTACGTCTCAAGTCAATTCAGTAAGTATTTATTGAGAGAGCATTTTTTGTTCTAGGCATTTTGATAACTACAACAACTATAAGATAAAAAGTCCTTACCATTCAGTTGTTTCCAAATTATTTTAACTGTGAAATAATTACCACATAATCATTTTCAGAGGGAAATGTGGCACACAGATAGTTGTGACAGTCCACCTTTTGGGTTCTGCAAGTTGTTTTAGGTTGAGGCTTATAGGAAGCATTAGAGATTGCAAAGTGAAAAAAATTGAATGCCACCATTTTCAGGCCAATTTTTACTGATTACACAAACAAATGTCAAATTGTTCATTCAGAGCTATCTTCAGATGTTCAATATTTTATAAGTGACTTACCACTATGTTGAAATGGTGAGGACAGATTCTCCAGTGACGTTTCTCAGCCTGTAACTTATGGCCCTTCTTTTTATTTTTTATTATTATTTTTTTGAGACAGAGTCTCACTCTGTCACCCAGGCTGGAGTGCAATGTGCAACGGCGTGATCTCTGCTCACTGCAACTTCTGCCCCACGGGTTCCAGTGATTCTCCTGCCTCAGCCTCCTGAGTAGCTGTGATTACAGGCATGTGCCACTACTGCCCGGCTAATTATGGCCCTTTTTAATAAACATAAAATTCACACACACGTACAAACACACACCTACCCAGTGTTAAGTTTTTAAATATGTGAAGAATTCTAAATAACTTCATCTAGGCCTAATTTCGAGAGTCATGTCAATATTAAGAGTCATACCTAAAAGTAGTTTAATTTGCTGGTATAGGCATTGATGCCTTCAACTTTCATTTAGTACAATTTATCCTTAATACTTGGAAGATAAATGGTGAGCATGTTTTTGCTCTATTTTTTTTATTCAATCAATCATTCTACAGAAGGTTTTAGTTTCTTCTTCCTGCCTTTATTTACTCTGACTTCTCTTCCAAGAACCCCTGATTTTTGCCTTGTAGACCTGGACCTTCACCTTCAGGGGTGCAGGGGACTCTTGTGGTGAGGCACGCAAGGTGCTGAGAATGGTTAAGGAAAAGGGTGGAGTCTTCATCAGAGTAGGTTCTGGTGAATAATTTTCTGAGCTGTGTGGCTCTTTTTAAACAAATCAGGTGGACTCTGTGTGAATCTCAAATCTTTCAAAAACTGGTGAATGAACCAGTCTCCACACTAAATATATGCCACAGTTACAGATCTCCATCACAGCAGACATTTCTATTTATGCAGGGCCCCAGAGATTAAATATGAGTGTTCGTGAGTGTCTTTTTATGCCTGCTGGATGCCTATACCTTACAGGGCAAGGGATGATGAAGATAGTTTATCAATTCAAGTCCAGTCTTATGAATTTCTCCTTCATTTGATAGTGGGTTTGTCAGCATCATGTAGATTTGTGTGTTTCAAATATATCTGCACACTGGAATCAACTCGGAAACTTTTTATAAAACAACCCTTTGGCTCCTCCCCAGATCAGTTGAATCACAGTCCCTAGGGGTAAGGCTAAAGTGCTGAGATTTTTAAAAATTCCTTAAGTGATTCTCATACACAACCATAGACTAGGAACCTTTAATGTAGAGCAGTGGTTCTCAAACTCAGCTGCACATTAGACCCACTTGGGAATTTAAAAATATCCTGATACCCAGGCTGTACGCCAGACCAATTAAGAATCAGAATCTATGGGGGTTGAGGCTCAGACATCAGGCTTTTTTTCCTTCTTTGTTGTGGCGGAGCATTTTTTTCAACTAAATCAGTATTTTTTAACAACCCCTAGACAATCACAATATGGGGACAAGTTTGAGAACCATTGGTGAGCATCCTTTCGCTCCATGTAATAGTTCACACCTAATACAAATATGCCCCTGGCCACGAGTGAATTATGTCAGTGCTTCTCAGACATAAATGTTCATAGGATTACCTTGGGATCTTGTTTCAATGCAGATTCTGATTCAAGAGGGACGTCACTGAGAGTCTGCATTTCTAACAAGTTCCCAGGTGATGCTGATGTTGCTGGCTAAGTGACCACACTTTGATTAGCAATGAGTTTTGCCACTGAAAATGGCATCTGAATGAACCTTTAAATTAATAACTTTTAAAAAATGGAATATAGGAGTTCATATAGAGGCCCACACTTAAAAATAGTTAATTATATTTGATTAGCCTGCACTTAGATTTCTGGTAAGAGATCTTATTTTATTTTATTTTTATTTTTTTGAGACAAGATTGTAGTGATGCAGTCTCGTCTCACTGCAACCTCCATCTCCTGGGTTCAAGCTATTCTCTTCCCTCAGCTTCCCAAGTAACTGGATTACAGGCGAGCGCCACCATACCTGGCTAATTTTTTGTATTTTTAATAGAGACAGGGTTTCACCATGTTGGCCAGGCTGGTCTCAAATTCCTGACCTCAAATGATCCACCCGCCTTGGCCTCCCCAAATACTGGGATTACAGGCATGATCCACCGCGCCCAGCCCAAGAGATCATATTTTATTTAGGTAACTTAATAAGACAATTAAGGAGATTGTGTAGTCCCAGATAATACTGCAATGTTTTAGATAGACCATGTGTCAGGAAGACTTTAAAAAGATTCAAGCATTGAGTAGTTCCATGTACTAGAGTAGTGTTTTTAAATTTTTGGCAGTAACAGACCTCTTTTTATTAAAACAAATTTAATTACAAAATCCATCCCATTTTACTTACCAAACAGGAACATGTTTTCCCATATGTACGTGTGTGTGTGTGTGTGTGTGTGTGTGTGTGTGTGTGTATACATATATATATGAGTATCTGTTTGATGGGAAAATACGTCCCTGTTTCTGGAAACCCTGAACTATTTCTACACAGCCTCTGGTTCCTCAGAGAGTGGGCTGCAACCCTATGATTCAATGTATGGAGAATACAAGAAATCTATTCTGAGAATTCAGTTAAGCTTATGTTAAGCTTAAATATGAAATCTTCATTTACACGATATGGCTTGTGGTCAAAAGGTTAATGTAGTCATTCATAATTCATTAAGAAACTTTCATTGTTGGCTTATTATAAGTCAGTCATAGTTCTAGGAAATGAAAATAATAGTGGGAAGATCTATTCAAAATTAATAGAAGAAATAAATTTTTTATCCCTAAATTGAAATTTATGCTAATTATGCAAAAATTCAGAAAATTACATAAAAGCACAATGTAGAAACTAAGTTACCTATAATGTCATCCCTCAGAAATAACCACTGTTAACATCCTTTAATAGAAATATACTTCTAGATTTTCTTCACATATACATACACATTTTTTTCTTTCATTTTTTCTTCTTTCTTTTCTCTTTTTTTAAGTGAGATGATATCATGTGTGTTGCTCTGCAGCCTGCTGCTTTTACTCATTCATACGTCATGGACCTCAAAGTTTAGATTAGCCCGATCCTAGTGCATTGCCAGATGGTCGCTTAGAGGTGGTGATGGTGGCTTTAGCCTCCTAATAAACTGTATCAGACATCCCAATAAATATTTAGTTCAAGTAAAAGGTCCTCAATAAATACTTAGTTCAAGTAAAAACAGAGTGCTTGGTAAACAATGTTGCTTCAGTATAAATTCCCCTGTGGGACTGGCACTGCCCTTCCAACTAGATTGTCCCTTTTAGACCCCTTCCACAGAGCCATCACTGCCAGTCTGGAATGATAAATTTGAATAACCTGTGTGAGATTGGGTGAACAATTAAAAACTTCGTTTTACTGTTTCTCACACCTCCATTATTCTCTTGAGGTTTTTTTATTGTCGTTCTTTTCACACATACTAATAACCAAAAGTGATTTTCCCTCCAATCCACTTAAATTGACCATCTCCACTCCTTCTAGTACATGCGTTGTCAAAGCTCACAAGAAAATGGGGATGAATTAGGCTTCTTCTTTCCTGGCCTCTCTCCCATCAACATCCTTCAGACAAGACTAAACATTCCAGACAATAACATCCATACAAGAAGTTGCTTTCTTAAATCTTAAAGGAATATTACAGTGTAAAGAGAATACGTATTGAAATACTAGCTTCCGTTTAAAAAAAGTGGTGGAAGAAAGACCAAAGTTCACCCTTGTCCTTGATAATCATTCAAACACAACAAGGAGAATGAGAAACAAAAAATGCAAATGCTGGCTCGGTGGCTCATGCCTGTAATACCAGCACCTTGGGAGGCCAAGGCAGGCGGATCACTTGAGGCCAGGGATTCGAGACCAGCCTGGCCAACATGGTGAAACCCTGTTTCTGCTAAAAAATACAAAAATTAGCTGGGTATAGTGGTGCACGCCAGTAATCACAGCTACTTGGGAGGCTGAGGCATGAGAATCGCTTGAACCTGGGAAGCAGAGGTTTTTGTGAGCCAAGATTTTGCCACTGCACTCCAGCCTGGGTGACAGAGCAAATCTCTGTCTCAAAAAAACAAAGTAAATGCCATTTTTGATAAATCTAGGAGATAACTATAATTATGAACCACAAAATACAAGGAGGGACTATGGGAGAGAAGAATTCTCATGGCTGTGGAGTCTAGATTAAGGCAGCAGAGGATAGTTCTCCAAAGTAGGAGGCACACCTTGATTTGAGAGGCAACAACCTGTTTGGAATGATAGAAATATGGTGGGCAAGCTGGCAGCAGAAGCTTTCCTGCAATCTCACTGCCTTCTGCCCTTTTAGCTCCACCATTTCTAGGTCACTCTCTTACGTACCCTAACTCCAAGAATCCTTCAAACAACCTCCTTCTGGAACAAACCATTCATTCTGATCTGGTTGCCCTCACCCACCTCATATCACCTTCCTTGTTTACCCAGTTTAAATTTCTTGATCAATTATTGTATCAGTTATTTGCATACATTCTTAATTTCCTTGCCCTTTTTTCACTTCCTCTTACTCACCTGGGAAAATTCCAACCCTGCTTTATCTTAGATTCTGAGCTTTGACTTGTGCAGCTGAATGTGGGTGGCGAAAACCCCACAACCGTGCTGCTGTGTCTCAAACGTGCCGCTGAGGCATCTGGTGGGCTCTGACTGCTGCTTGATAATCAGAGTACATGTTCTTGGTCCTTTCACCCTCCTGCTCTTCTAAATGACTTCATGTTTTCACTTTTACCTTTGCACTCCAACGACTCTACATATTGTCCTCAAGCCCCCCAAAATTTACTGTCAGTTGATGAACTTGCTTCCTATATATAGAAAAAAAGAATATATCATCAAATGGAAGAATGAGTTGTCAGTCTCGTATCCCGTGACCTGCCTTCTCTTACTCTTTGGCAGCCATGGAGGTGCTCTGCTTAAGAGAATTTGCCATGAGGTGTGTAGTTGGCTGACAGCCTCCCGCTGATGAACTTGTGGTTTCACACTCAAAGCTCTTTTCAGGGTTTATAGTCAAAGCTCTTTCTTCCTCTTCCCATATGACTCTCAGGCCCCTCCCAGCCAGGATACTAGAGCTGGGTCATTTTTGCCTCACATGTGATTCTCCTAACAGGCAACCTCTGTTTTGCTATCTTTTATTGATCTGATAAAGACTTTCTCATAGTGGCACTATGGTCTAAGTCTCCTCCTACCCAATCTTCCTCCTCCTTTTTCATTCTTTAAGCCTTTTTGAGATTTAATTCACATATCACACAATTCACCTATTTACAGTGTACAATACTAGTTTTTACTATAATCAGAGTTATGCAACCATCGCCACAATCAATCTCAGAAAATTTTTATCATCCAAAAAAGAAACCCATACTCTTTAGTGGTCACTACCCAATACCCGCCTCTCCATGCTCCAAACCCTTATGGCCCCAGACATCCACTAATCTACTTTATGTCTTTATAAATTGGTTCCTTCTGGATAATTCATATAAAGGAATCATACAATACGTGGTCTTTTGTGAGTGGCTTCTTTCAGTTAGCATGATGTTTTCAAGGTTCATCCATGTTGCAGCATATATCTGTACTTTGTTCCTTTTATTGATGAATAATATTCCATTGCATGGCTTTATCACATTTTATTTATGCATTTGTCAGTTGATGGACATTTGGATTGTTTCTACTTTGGGGCTATTATGAATAATACTGCAGTGAACATTTGTGTACCGGTTTTTGTGTGGATATTTGTTTTCATTTCTTTGGGTGTATACCTAGGGGTGGAATTGTTGGTTCATATGACAACTGTGTGTTTAACATTTGGAAGTGCTACCCAGTCCTCTTCATTCCCTTTCTTCATTTACAGCCCTCAGACCTGCATCATAGTCTGAAGGATCTCCCCAACCTACACCTGCTCTCTTTTCCATTTATTCTTCACAGGTGTTTCTCCCAAAATCTCTTGCACATGTAATTCCATCCTGACATCTGCTTCTCATAGTACCCACACTTACACATCCTGGTGAATACTCTGTGCTCCCATCTAAGGCCTAGATCCTGTCACCTTTTCCTACTCAGGGACATTGCTCCAGCAATTCCTCTTCTCCTTGCCTCATCATTAATTGTTACTTTTCCAGTGGACCATTATATAACTTACATGTTATTTCTCAGAATCAATTGTTTAATTCATCGAACAATTTTTCTCTTGGCTCCACTTCTTTTTCCAGCACTTTTCACATTTCTCTCTTCTCCTTTAATAAAAACTTCTCCCTAATAGTTGTCTACACTCTATATTTACTCAATATCTTGACCCACTAGTTTATAATTGCTTTTGTCAATGGTTCAACACAATAGACAATTCTAAGCTCTTATCTTAGTTGACATAGCAATATTTCATGCAGTCAATTCCCCCTCCTCTTTAAAATATTTGGCCTTCTGCGTGTTGGCTAAAAACAAAATAAAATAAAAAACTTGGCCTTCAGATGATAATATTATTGATTTTTTTCCCTAGCATACTGGCTCCTCATCAGTCTCATTTGCTGGTTCCTTCTACTGCCTCCAAACTCTGAACATTGGATGGACTATCCCAGGTTTTTGTCATTGGATCTCTTCTCTTTTCTATCTATATCTACACTCAGTCTCTTGGTGACTTCACCCCATACCATGGTTTTAAATACCTATTTTTATGCTGATGACTGCCAGTTTTATTTCTCTAGCTCAGACATCTCTCCTGAACTCCAGTCTCATATATTTGACTGCTTATCTGATTTCTCCTCTTGCATACCTAATAAGCTTCTCATACTTATTTTGTCCAAACTGAGCTCTTAAACTTCTTCTTACCCAGTCTTCTTTATCTCAGTAAAAGACAACTTTATCTTTACAGTAGCTTGGGTCAAAACCTCAGAGTCGAGTCATCTTTGACTATTTTAGTTCTCTCACACCCTAGATCTAATCCATTAGCAAATCCTGCTGACTATCTTTGGAATGTATTCTGAATCCTGTAACTTCTCACTGCATCCAAGGACATCACCCAGGTCCAATCCAAAGTATTTTCCAACTAGCTATTGCAACAGGCCCCATATTGGTCTTGTTGCTACTCTTGGTCCCTATAGTCTTGGTCCCTATAGATATTAAGAAATTATTGTTAATTTTGGGGGCTGTGATAATTTGTGGTAATTATATTTTTAAAAAGTGCTTATTGGTTAGAAATGCGTATAGTTAGACATACATACTAAAACATCTATAGGAAAAAATCACGATATCTGGGGTCTGCAAACATTTTGGGGGAAGCAGAATAAACAAGATTGGCAAAATGTTGACAGCTATGAAGGTGAATTATGGGTTAAGGAAGGCTTAATACTATTATTGATAACAGAAGAGATTAGAGAAATACAGTAGTCCCCCCTTATCTGCAGTTTCACTTTCTATGATTTCAGTTACCTTGGTCTGAAAATATTAAATGAAAAATTCCAGAAATAAACAATTATTAAGTTTTAAATTGTGTGCTGTTTTGAGTAGCATGATGAAATCTCTACTGTCCTGCCTTGACCTGTGCAGGAAGTGAATTATCCCTTTGTCCAGCATATCCATGCTGTACATGCTAACTGCCTGTAAGTCTCTTAATAGCTGTTTTGGTTATCAGATCGTTGCAATATCACAGTGTGTGTGTTCAAGTAACCTTTGTTTTACTTAGTATTAGCCCCAAAGCTCAAGAGTAGTGATGCTGGCATATTGTTATAATTGTTCTCTTTTATTTTTAGTTATTGCTAATCTCTTACTGTGCCTAATTTATAAATTAAACTTTATCATAAGTACATATGTATAGGAAAAACATAGTATATATGGGATTCAGTACTATCCAAGGTTTCAGGTATCCACTGTGGTTCTTGGAATATATGCCCTGTGGATAAGGTGGGGACTACTGTACCTTGAAAGTTCTTAAGGAGAAGAAGCACAATCAAGAAATTTACAGCCAGGCACGGTGGCTCACGCCTGTAATCCCAGCACTTTGGGAGGCTGAGGTGGGCGGATCACGAGGTCAGGAGATCGAGACCATCCTGGCTAACATGGTGAAACCCCGTCTCTACTAAAAAATAGAAAAAATTAGTGGGGCATGGTGGCAGATGCCTGTAGTCCCAGCTACTCGGGAGGCTGAGGCAGGAGAATGGCGTGAACCCAGGAGGCGATGCTTGCAGTGAGCCGAGATTGCGCCACTGCACTCCAGTCTGGGCAACAGAGCAAGACTCCATCTCAAAAAAAAAAAAAAAAAAGAAAAGAAATTTACATGTAGCTAAACTTAAGTAGAAAGGAAACAGGAAAACATTTCTGAACATGCACCAATTAGAGATTAGTTCTCCTGAACTCTTCTTGAATAAACTAATAAAAGATGAACTGAGAGATGAACAGAGAAACTATAGCAAAATGACTTGTGAATGTTGAATGTCTTATATTGTAGGACTAAGAATAAAATAAATGTGGAGATTATAGCTACAGAACAGAATGCCAGTTTTTAGAAATGATGTAAGTTACAAAAGTAGTCTCAATATTATTCTGTTTATTTATTTATATTTTTTTGAGGCAGAGTCTTACTCTGTTGCCCAGGCTGGAGTGCGGTGACACATGATCTCTGCTCACTGCAATCTCCACCTCCTGGGTTCACAGAATTCTCCTGCCTCAGCCTCCCAAGTAGCTGGGACTACAAGCACGCACCACACCTGACTAATTTTTTGTATTTTAGTAGAGACAGGGTTTCACCATGTTGGCCAGGCTGGTCTCTAACTCCTGGCCTCAAGTGATCCGCCCACCTTGGCCTCCCAAAGTGCTAGGATTACAGGTGTGAGCCACCATGCCTGGCACTATTCATTTTTCAAACTCAAATGACATCTACTTTAAGAGAACATACTTTGTGGGGAGACAGATCTAGATTCAAATAGCAACTTTAATACTAGAAGTTATGTCAGTTTGGGTTTGAAATGAAATTCAGGCAATTTCTGTACTTTATTTTCTGTAAAATAGAGATAATAATACTTACCTAATAGGGTATAAAACCAAATAATAAAAATTTCAGTCATTTCAATATTTATTGTACCAGGCACTGTCCTACGTATTAGGTATATATGGTAATGAATAAAATAGACCTGGAACTCACCTCTCCTTGAAAGAAACAGACAAATAAATAAATGAAATATATTGTATGTGAAGTGGTAATAAGTGCAATGGAAATAAACTAATTAAGTGTTTGGTGTAGGTTGAGGATGGAGAGGCATTGAAATTTCAATTGTAATTGCATCTCACCTAAGGAGGTGATGAAGTGAGCCACGGGGATGTGAGAACGTGGGAGAGGGGCCAGGGAGAGTCACTGTTCTGATTCCTGGCTGCAGCTGTGATTACTGCCATATCTCTTGTAATTATGCATGTCGGCTTCCCTGAAACACCAACTCTGGCCTTCTACAACTTCAGACCAAGGTCTCCCAGTCGAGTGCCTTCCTGTTTGCATTCTATAACTGAGCCACAAACAGCCCTGTCTTGAGCTCTTATTTTCTTATAAAGTTTCTGGATATATCTGTATTTTATTTGGTATGCTCTTAATTATAGCCCTCTCTCCCCATTCCTCTTCTCGCTGCTGGAAGGTGGTGGATGGCTAGGCTGGAAGGCTATCCTGAGCAATACCGTCTTATGTTGGTATTTATTATTTGGTTTTATACCCTATTAGGTAAGTATTATTATCTCTATTTTACAGAAAATAAAGTACAGAAATAGCCTGAATTTCATTTCAAACCCAAACTGACATAACCTCTGGTATTAAATACCAATTATCAGTCATCACACCTCCTAATACCCAGTCATTTTATCCAGGCTAAGCTTCTGCACCTCAAGTTCTTCCCTTAAGGTGAATTTTTTCTATAGCGAGACCTCTGCCCAGGGAGTTAAGTGCTAACCTGTTTCCTGATAGCTTAGGGGTATTATTAATACGGAGGATTTGGCCACTGATCCTCATTTTGTCCTGCTATTGTTCTTATTCATTAATTCATTTATACAATGGCACTTATTTAACATATACTATGTGTCAAACTTGCATTGATACTGGATATACAATAGGGAATAAAACAAATATAGTTCTGCCCTCATGGTCTACAAGGGTTTCTTTGGATTCTTATAGAATACACTCTTCCTCTGCCTACCCTACCAGGTAACAAATAGGTATATTTCTTGGGCTGCCTCATCTCTGCACACTCCATAACTTGTTGTACATGTATTTATATCTGATGATTGTATCTAATCAATTATCTCTATGATTTGTAAGGTCTTTCAGCAGCAACATTTGTGATTTTAGAATTTGATTGATTTGTAATAAGTGTACTCAGTGCTATTTGACTTAAATTTGTTGCACTGCAACTTAGTGTAGCCCTGATAAAACTGGGGCTCCCATGTGGTCTGGCATATACAGTAAATGCCTTAAAAACACAAGCGTTATAATCAAGAATACTTGAAGAAAAAATTTAAGGTTTTATATAAAGGGAATGAAAGTAGGTCCACTTTATAAGTTAAAGCAAAATGTTTTAAAATTCTCTATTGCCATCCACTTCTTATTCCCATCTACATACTGAAGCAACTTGAAAGAAAGATCTCTTCTTTTTGTTCATTCTTCAAGTCAAGGTACTGCATCTGTGCCTCACTTATATTTTATTCCCTAACCCCTCCCCACCATATCACCTGTTATGAAAGGCAACCTAAGTTCTTTGGCTTATTTATTTTCTTTTACTTTACCCATTACAAGGATTCTCTACAACAGTGGTTCTTGAACTTTAGTGTGCCTCAGAATTGTCTGGAAGGCCTGTTAAAACACAAATGGCTGGACCCTACTTCCAGAGTTTCTGATACAGAAAGTCTGGGTTGGGGCTCAAAAATGTACATTTCTAACGTGTTCCCAGGTAATGCTGATGCTGCCTGTCCATGGACCACATTTTGAGAGCCACTCCTCTACAGTATAGCATCTGGGAGCCATTCCAGCAAATAAGAAATCTATCCATGGATAGAAGCCTTTGCTATATATTATACATAAATATTGTTACCTGATTGCCTATATATTAATATGAAGCTTATGAATTTAATGAATCATCTTCCATCACCACGTTTAAAATTCTGTGGGTTGGGGTGTATACTTGGGATAGGCTCAGCTATAAGCAAGAAGAGTAAAGGAAATAATATTTATTACTTGCTTGTCTATTCAGGAGATAGTAGAGTGTGATTGTTAGAGGAGTTAGCTGTGCAGCCAGGCCCTTTGGGGTTCAGTCTTAGCCCAGCAGGATTTCTGAGAGACACTTGAAAGACATTTAACCTTTTGTTCCTCACTTTCTTTTGAGATGAGGATAATGCAAGTAACCACCTCATAGCCTTGTGGTGAGGCTCAAATGATTTGATACATATAAAACTCTTGAAGATGCCTGATATGTTGTATGAACTGTGATGTTACCTATTATTGTTATCAGGAATTTGTTGAGTGTTTTCTACATGTTATCTCATTATAACCTCAAATCAATCCTAAATGCAAGTGCCCCTATTATTCTCATTGTAGAGACTAGAAAACAGAAGTTTAGAAAAATTGAGTAACAGATTAAAATCTCCCAGCTAGTAACAATCTCTGGTCTTTGTATTTTTCCAGCATTTTCCCAAAGGAATCATTTCCTCCTGTAAGAAAAATGGTTCAGGAAATCTGTACGATTCAAAAGCATATTTGAAGATAATTGGATAATTACTTGATCAGTATGGTTGATGAATTTTATAGTCAATATTATTGTGTCTACTTTAAAATGTAATCAAGGCAAAAATGGAGGCAACGATGGGTAAAAGAGTGGTTGTGTAACACACTAGTGAGTTTCTAACATTTACAGAGTACCGTTACATAACAGGCGTTTAATAAATACTGGTCAAACGACTGGGATGAGTGTGTTTTGGAACTAAAATTACCTAAAATTAAAGATTCATAATATTGAGTTAGTGAGATTATAGAGAAATGAGCATTGATATACTACTGTGGAACTTCTGGAAGTTGATTTGACAGTAGTCAACAAATTTTAAATTTGTATTTCCTTTGGTACAGAGAGTCTAAGTGTCTATCCCAGGAAATACATTTTTGCCCATGAAATGCATGTTCAATGCCTTCAAATTTAACACTGTGTAACTGGAGAAATTAGAAACCTAAATGTTCATAAATAAATTATTTAATAAATTATTAGCACCTGTTTTACTGACACAGTATAAGAGTTAAAATGAATGAGAAAAGCAATACATATTGACATGAAGTATCTCCAAGGTATTCTAAGTGAAAAAAATGTTAACAGAAAAACATGTGTAGAATAACCCATTTTATTTATTTACCAAGCTCAAAACTATATCTATAGGAGATATGTAAGAAAATGCATTGGAAAAAGTTTGAAAGAGTAAATCTCAGATAGTTATTAATGGTGGCCTCTGGAAATTGAAGAGGGCTGGGAGAAGAGGGTCAAGAGAAATTTCCACTTTGTACATTTTTTCTTCTATGTTGTTTGGATTTTCCACAATTGCTATGTATTTATGTTTACTTGTGAAATTAAAAATGAAAAAAAGTAGTTTGCTCAACAAATATACTTAAAAGCCCTTTAATAAATATAATAGACATTAATATGTACAACAGTAAGTTTTCATGAGCCTTAAAACATATCTATTCTGGTAATACGCATTTGTTTTCAAAAACCTCCAAAGTCATCACTGTTACTAAAATTTTATTACTTGTAATGCTATTGAGTCCCAGAATATTTCCTGTGAGTAGTAAAAGAGCTGAATTAGCATCTGAGTGGAAAGCACATGATACTAAAATTCTTGTAGGATTAGACTGCTCAGCCAAAAGAGCTTGCCTTAGCACTGTGACATCATTTTATGCTTGATCTATAACAGGTGGAGATGACAGTAAACATAACAAAGCACCATTACACAAAAGGAGAAAGCAAAGAACTGTTTTTCCCCTCCAAATGGACAGCTATATCATGTTCAGTGGGGGACACTGTTAGATGTGGATGGGAAACCTAAGTATGTGGATAAAGTAAGACCACCCTAATAAGGGCGCTCCCTTAATACCAGCTGCCTTTTCTAGAAGGAAAACACCTGCTTTCCCTCTGATCAACTCTCATGACATAGAGATAAAGAGGTACAGCCTCAAACCTCAGAAGGATAAGGCATTCAGGGAAAAAAAGGGGGAAGGAGAAGAGAAAAGTCTAGTTAAGGACAAATTATGGACATTTGGAGGTATATGGCCAAGCAGGAGTAGAAGTTAAAATGGAGAACTGTTTCATGCAGCATTTTCTGGTCCAGTTGTGTATTTTGTAGTTGAAATGGAAATACACAGTATTCCACCACATCAGTATGATACTTTAATATCAAATCAGATTTTCCTTTGGTCAATAGCATAGCTAGAGTGGAATGACCACAGCAATTCCTATAGCTACAGCCCAGAAAATTCACAAAATTATTAAGTTACAGAGAAATTAGAGTGAAGCAAGTGAGAAAAGAAAACAGAACAGGGGTGAAGGGTGTGGTGGTTGGGAGAAGGAGGCGTGGGTGAGAAAAATTTCACTGTAGTAAACGTCCATCATAATCAAAGAGGGCTTATCTTCTGCTAACCTATGGGTTATATGTAATATCTCAGATTATGACTAATACTTGCATAGTTCTGCTTGGCTTTATGATTGAAGATAGACTTCCACACTTTGTGGGTGAATCATACATTTTTTTTAAATATACATTTTCCCTGTTGTAATTTGACAGAGTATTTTTCTCTCTCATCAGCTTACTATGATGTCTCCCTTACTCCTGGTTATTTCAGTTGTGAGTACGCTGACACTACTAGATCTAACTTAAGTCAAAAGGAGAAATTTGTCATAAGGAAGTATTTTCAAGATAGAAAATGCATGAAGTTTTGGTGGACCTTATAAGAAAGAGGGAACTGAAAAGCTATGGGGACACATACTGCGCACATTCTCTCTCTCTTCTCTTCTGTGGCATTCTTCTCTCCTATAGCAAATCAGCTTTCTGTGCAAGAATGAAGATGGTAACCTCATAGTGGCAGCCTTAACTTTAGAGCATGGGTAACCTCATTTCAAGTGAACAGAAAAGTCTGATTTGCTGTTTTTGAATCCCAACTCCAAATTCCCCAGGAGTGAGACTCTGATGGCTCAGCTTGGTCCAATCAAGGGGTTGTGGGAAGCAGGGTGTCACAAACTAGAACGTAGGTGCCAGAGGCTGGCTACTCTGGGTGAAGAGGACAGTTCTCAGCAAAGAGGACAGAATCCTTAGTCTAAATTAGGACTCAGGAATTAAGTCTCTGAGTCTCTGTAAACTAACAATTATGCTAGGGATTTATTTTTATTTTTTATTTTATTTTATTTTATTTTTTGAGATGGGAGTCTTGCTCTGTTGCCCAGGCTGGAGTGCAGTAGCATGATCTCGGCTCACTGCAACCTCCACCTCCCAGGTTCAAGTGAATCTCCTGCCGCAGCCTCCTGAGTAGCTGGGACTATAGGCACATGCCACCATGCCTGGCTAATTTTTTGTATTTTTAGTAGAGACAGGGTTTCACCATGTTAGCCAGGAGATCTTGATCTCCTGACCTTGTGATCCACCCACGCTGGACTCCCAAAGTGCTGGGATTACAGGTGTGAGCCACTGCGCCTGGCCGAAATTTTGTTTTTAAGAGTGAATGCTGGCATGAATCCTTTCACACACACAAAAAATGTTTTTCGTGAATAGGCAACTATATGTCTAACAGTTTTAAGTTAAATTTTTTAAAAGTAGCACATAGTTATAATGGTCATTTTACATATTTTGCCAAATAATTATCCTCACTTGAAAGAGGTTATTAATTCTTGGCTTACAAAGGGAAAACTGTTTTGGTTTTCAAGCACCAAAGTTTAATACATCCAGTTATCTCAAGGGAATGAGGGATCTGTTCACTGGCAATATCTTTTTTGTTTTCCTTTTCTTTTTGTGATTGAAAGTAAGGATAAGGGAACTGATGTAGAGACAAGGACATGCTGAAGTACCGAGGAGGTATTGGAAAATTTCTTTGCCATAGCCAACCAAATTTTGGAATAAATGGTACTAAAATATCTGGATGATTTGTAGTAAAAAAAACATTGCTTGCTTGTCTGTCTACTTGATTAATACCCCTTGCCTTTGTCTTTTGGCTTATAATCCTACATTTGGAATAAATAAGCCTCTTTCCATATTTTATTCCTTTCTGCCTTCAGGAAAGTACATCTTCCCTGTTTTGGAAAGAAACAAACTAACTCCTGGACTTCTCCCCAGCCCTTCGTTTGAGCCTGTTTCCCTTTCCAAGGACTTTCCTGCATCTTTTTTTGTGCTCACATTTATGTCCCTCCTTAAGAATGATGTTTTCAGTCTCATCATTTAATGATATAGTTCTGTTTTTTAAAATTCAAATGGAGATCTTCACATTTATCTCTATTACAACTCAGCCCTTATCCTACCAGCCCACACAGTCCTGTGTAGTGCAATAAACTGTGACAAATACTTCAATCTTCCTAATAAAATTCAACAAATTTCTTATACCTCCCAGCTTGGTTATATCTGTAAATTGGTCCTGCCACAGATATAATAGACATTTGATAACTGTGCTAAGGGTTTTAAAATACTTTTTCACCTAATCTTCAAAATCTCTCTACAGGGGAGATTATTATCCTCATTATACTGATGAGGAAACAGAGGCTTAGAAAATCTAAATAAACTTTCCTGGCAAAAGCTGTGATTGAAAGAAACCTGGGTGGTCTGGACTCTTAAAGCGTAAGTTCTTAAACCCTTGGCCATGGATTTTCAACCGTGGCTTTATGTCAAACCACCTAAAAATGTTAAAAAGTTATAGAAGCCAATGCGCCATCTCACACTTACTGAGGCAGTCTTGTTGGGGTGGGGGGAAGGTTTGGGCATAGCAGTCAAGAATCACTGCTGCCATGCTGGCCAACACTGGAAGGACAAAACCTCAAGACACTACACACAGCCCCACAGTCAACAACTAGCTGTTAAGTTTTCCCATTAGATCTTGCCACAAAGTTTTGAATCTAAATGTGTTACCTTACAGCTCATATTTCTTGTTTCTTCATATTGTATGAATGTTTTGAAAGACTTGGTCAAATTCCTTGGAATTCTTTTCATCATTATCAAAGAATAAGGGAAATTTCCTGAAATGTTTGCCTTGAGTAGCAAATTTCTAGTGATGCCACTACCAGGAATCACATAAAGAGCTCAAAAGTTCTGTTAATACAGAGTGAAAAAAGCTCAACATTCCAGGTTAGCATTGACTTAAAATCATGTCTTAGTGATGAGGGAGGCTTTCACTTTCTGAATGACAGGAGGCAAGTTGCTTCATCTTTCTATGTGGGGAGACAGAAGATTTCTCAATTCTATAGGCTTATGAATAATATACCCCTTGTCCACCTTGTCTTCCATACCCACATCTCTAATATTAAGAAAATAACCTGCTCCCCCACAAAAATATCCTCAATATTCACCACTTCCAAATGGCTTCTCCCTGCAATTCACCAATTTCAAATGGCTTCTCCCTGCAAACAGGCTGTGGACAGTAAGAGATACCATGCCTAGTTACATAAGTATATCACTGCAAAATATAGAAACATCACTTATAATGAAAGTAATACTGTTTCAGAGTTCTAAAACAAGCATTTTCTTCCCCTCACAAAATATCACATTTCCATTTCCACAGTTGTGATGCTTTTCATTTACCCATGACGTTAAGCTCATCTTTAGCTCTTCTTCATTATGTGGGTCTGTGTTCTAGCTTTTACCTCAGTAGCAGTTTTTGTTTGCAGGAAAAAAGGAACTCTTTTGGTAGTCACTGTTTGTAATTGCGGCCTTGATATTCTAAGCCATTGAGTCACAATTAATAATTAGAAATTCTTACTAACTTTGCCCATATATTACCTATGAAGCAGTAGCCGTAGGAATGCAATTTTCCTGTAAATCCCTCCCTCTTATACAGCTCTAGTTCATTATTTAAAAGATTCAGGGTGAATTCAAGTAATTTCCTATGCTGCTATCATTTGCTTAAAGACCTTTTGCAATGGGTCTTATGTAAGAAGAAATGCAGGAGTTGCTTTGGTGAGGTTTATTTAAAGAAACCATTAAGTGCAAGACAGACCTGAAGAGCAGCATCAGTTGTGTATGGGGAAACAGGAGCTATGAATGCGTCACTTCATTTAGGTTGACAGAAAGAGGGCTAATACTTGAAAAAAATCCCTACACGATCTGGTGCCAGGCTACTTCTTTGGCCTCACCTCTTACCACTGCCCCCTCCTTCCGTGTCCTCCAGCCACAGTGACCTCTTTCCTGATCCTTGAACTTGCCAAACACTTTCCCTTCTCAAGGTCTTTGCCTTCAGGAGTCCCTCTGCCTGAAATTCTTTTCCCAGATAGTCATGGGACTGGTTCATTCTCATCCTTCAGATCTCTGCTCAAATGTCACTTATTCTAGGAAATCGTTCCTGGCCACCGTAAAATAGCACACCCCCTCCTCACTTTCTACTCCTTTTCTTTGTTATTATGTATATGGCAGCAGAAAACTATGCATTTTCTTAGTGGCAATTACACACCCCGCACATTATGCATTTAAAGCGTTGTTTGTTGTTTTGTCGCTTCCATCAGAATACAATCCAGTAGGGCAAGGAGTGTGTGGGGTCGTGTTCACCTGGTATCTCTGGGGACCTACAGCCCGGCACCTAGTAGACACTCAGTAAATATTTGAATGAATGAATGAGGCCCTTTGGCAGCCGGGAAGCCCGTCACAGCCGTTGTCTCCACCCTCTCCCGGGCTACACCAGGCCACGCCGGTAAAGTTGTTTCTCCTCTAGGAGAAACATTCGCTAGGCCTTGTTGCCAACCCGCAGGCGGCTGGGCGCTTCATCCCACCCTCACCCCTTTCCAGCCAAGGTGGCTGATGGGAGTCAGGCTCTCGAGGGCGCATTGCCACGAAACAGCGTGTGTGAGCGCGTTGTCCCCGGCCCCCGGCGCCACTTCCCCTCGGCCTAGCAGCCTGGACTGGGGAAGGACGGGTCTGCTGTACCCGGGAGGTGGAAGGAAAAGCCGAAAGCGGAGAAGTGTGCGGGAGGGGAGTCTCCGCGCGGAGGCAGCCCGGCCTCCTCCAGTGCAGGCTGCGCGCTGGGGAGCCAGCCAGGGTGAGTCACTCCCGGCCGCTTCCCTGGAGGGCGGCGGCCACACACACACCCGCCCATCTAGTGAGGGCCGGGCCCAGCGCTGGCGCCTAGCTCCAGCCGGGCACCAGCGTTTCGCGAGGCGCCGCCGCCTTAACTTCCTTGCGCGCTCACGCCCAGGGGCCGTCCCAGGAATCTCCACGCGCGCTCGCCGGCTTCCCGAGAGGCAGCTGCCCTGCGTGGCCCGCGCCTGCCGGTCCCGCGACCAGCACCGAGCGGCGCACGCGCACTGCAGGACGCGCGTCCGGCTCTCCCCCAGCCTCTATCCGGCCCGGTCTCCTGCCATTCGGGGAGACTGCAGGCCAACCGGGAGGCTGAGTTCGAAGCTAGCAGGGCGGCGAAGCCAGTGTCGCCCGCGGCGTTGAGAAGACGGTGTGGCCCCGGAGAGGGTGGAGACAACTGTGACGGGCTTCCCGGCTGCCCGAAGTGGGAGTGGTGTGGGGCTGCAGGAAGGAGAGAGGAAGAGGAGCAGAAGGGGGCAGCAGCGGACGCCGCTAACGGCCTCCCTCGGCGCTGACAGGCTGGGCCGGCGCCCGGCTCGCTTGGGTGTTCGCGTCGCCACTTCGGCTTCTCGGCCGGTCGGGCCCCTCGGCCCGGGCTTGCGGCGCGCGTCGGGGCTGAGGGCTGCTGCGGCGCAGGGAGAGGCCTGGTCCTCGCTGCCGAGGGATGTGAGTGGGAGCTGAGCCCACACTGGAGGGCCCCCGAGGGCCCAGCCTGGAGGTCGTTCAGAGCCGTGCCCGTCCCGGGGCTTCGCAGACCTTGACCCGCCGGGTAGGAGCCGCCCCTGCGGGCTCGAGGGCGCGCTCTGGTCGCCCGATCTGTGTAGCCGGTGGGTGTTATCTCTGCCTGGCTTCTGGGTGGGGGGCAGCAGCTGTCTCTCCACCCCCTTCCTACCTTTTGGTCCCGCCTGCCCCCTGCTAGTGGCAGCAAACTTCTGAGCCAGAAAAATCTTCCTCTTTAAGACGACACCTAGAACGAGTCTTGCTGGTGATATTTGCTTCCATTTGTGTCTTATAATTCCCTCGCTCCCGCCTCCTTATTCCTTTTTAAAATTTTCTAGACACTTAAACAGCCTAGAAAAAGCATTTGTTTCCCCTGGATTTATGTGGTAGTAGTTAACTGCTGCTTCTGTTTTTAGGTTTCAGAAGCAGGCAACAGGAACAAGATGTGAACTGTTTCTCTTCTGCAGAAAAAGAGGCTCTTCCTCCTCCTCCCGCGACGGTGGGTGTGCTGTCCTTTATCGCTGCAGTAAAGGCGAAGGTGTCTGGAGCTGGGAGTGCGTGCGTAGGGAAGGTTGGAAGCGTGTGAAGAGAGGCAGGGCTCATTGTTGCTTACTCTTCTGAAAATGTCAGTGCTAAACTTTTAATGTTGATCTGGGAGAGTAATTTTGGGGTGTTTTGTTGTTCGTCTTGGATCCTTTAAGAAACATTTTTTTGTTGGCTTTACACATAACGTGACTTTGCAGAGAAACGAAAAACGTTGTCCATTACCCTTTCTTCTTAAGCAGCCAGAGATTCTTAATCCTTTAAAGAGGAGTATTTCCAAGCAATAAGAGATAGCTTTTGGGAGAACACGTTAGCTATTCTTGCTGGGGTTTCTGCTACCACATTGAATGTTTCCTCATGGTTTTATCTGCCTAAGCTTGCTGTGTCGGTTGAATTTACCCAGTTTGTTTTCCAGTAATTACTAATCTGTTAGGAGAAACTCCATTTCTCTGAATGAAAGGGTAGGAGCGGCTGAGTATGGAGAAGGAAACTGGAAGTGGGAATAAGGGAAATGATTGCTTTTGGTTTCATAATAAGTTTGTACAGTGAGTTGTTGGGCTACTGCAAATAAAGATTTTGTATCCCTTCTCCAGAATGCTTGGGACCAAAAGTGTTTTGGATTTTTTTTAAAAATTTTGGAATGTTTGCATATACAAAATCAGACATCTTGAGGATGGGACCCAAGTGTAAATACGAAATTCGTTTGTTTCATATAGACCTTATTCACACAGCCACTAAGTCATTTGCAATATTTTTAATACGTCTGTGCATGAAACAAAGTTTGTATTAAGTACCTATGCGGGGAATTTTCCCCTTGTAGCATCATGTTGGTGCTCAAAATGTTTCAGATTTTGCAGCTTTTCAGATAAGGGATGATCAGCTTGTATTTTGATATAACACCCAGAACATTTGAAGATGAATAATCAATTTTTGGCCTCCCTTCCCCCATCCGCCTCACCTTATACCACTTTAAGTGTGAGAATTATTTGCTTGTACATGCATTTGTCTGTTGGTGTGTAACGTATGTACAGACTGGATGTATCCAGCACTTGCCTTAATAGTACATGTATTTACCTGAATAGGAAAGCTGCAGTACTTGCTGGCCAGAAGAGCACACCATGCTTGTTTTTGCTCTAACTGAATATCCTGTATTTGCAATTTATAGCAGTTTTAGGGACTCATTAGGGAATTTTGTGTGTGTGTGCCTTTGGTGATTTGAGACAGGTGTCTCAGATATGGGAAGGGAATATGACATTGTTTCTCTTTCACCTGGCTATTACTGAAAGGTGGGATGCTTTTGAGGCAGAATAGGAAAGTGCATTGGCTTTGGAGTGAGATCTGGATTTGAATCCTGGTGTTCTTGCCACTTAAGAGTTGCATTATTTACGGCTGGTCATGGTGGCTCACGCCTGTAATCCCAGCACTTTGGGAGGCTGAGGAAGGAGGATCACTTGAGGTGAGGAGCTTGAGACCAGCCTGGCCAACATGGTGAAACCCCATCTCTACTAAAAATACAAAAATTAGCCGGGCGTGGTGGTGCACACCTGTAATCCCAGCTACTCGGGAGGGTGAGGCAGGAGAATTGCTTGAACCTGGGAAGTGGTGGTTGCAGTGAGCCGAGATCTCACCACTGCACTCCAGGCTGGGCAACACAGCAAGACTCTGTCTAAAAAAAAAAAAAAAAAGAAAGAAAAAAAGAGTTATATTATTTACGACTCTTTTAGCTTCACTTTCTTATAAGATTGTTGTGAGAAGTGAGTAAGACACATGCAAAGTGGTAAACTGCCTGGCTGTCATAAAAGTCTTGGCTACTATCACGGCTGGGAGGCAAAGGAGATTCAGAGAAGGGCAGAATGACTGCATAAGGTGATCTGCCTGTAACTCGTGTTTCCTCCTTTCTAGTATAAAGAGATAAAGGACTTCAAGGTCTTAAACTGGTGAGGGAGTATTACAGCCTTTGTATGGAAAGGTTTGACTTTGTGTCTCTGCTTAAACCCCCATTGTGTTGCCCCTACCAATTATTGTGCTGCCCCCTTGTGGTTAACTGTGCTAAGACCTTTCTTTTGCTCTTCTCCCATTACATTTCCCACCCTTCCCCACTCCCTTTTAGACCCCTCCTCTTAGCTCCCAGTTTCCCAAACTGTGTGCCAAGGTGCCCAGAGCACCTCAGGCTTGAACTTGTGTTTTGAGTTGGTTCATGGTTTCAATATTAGATACCTACACCCGTTTCTACAATGTCATGTCTTTGTAAAGATGTATTTTCAGAGGTTGCTCCGATAAAAAGCAACTACTACATGAAAATGAATGTAGAACAGGAAATGACAGTGTGGTATTGTCCAATTTGATTCTAAGGTTTGATAAGTTCTACAGTGCTCTACACTAAGTTGTAAGGACATAACTACTAAGTAAGTTGTTCAAACCTATTTCTTTTGGCCTGGGGGTGTCGTGAAAAATTTGCTAAGACTCAGAGCTCCCTGAATGGGTTTGGAAACCTCTGCCTTAGCTTTTAGTTTGCTTTTCTGATAAAATTATTGATATAAAGCTAGTACCAGCTGATCATGGCTTAATATATTTCCTCTCCTATGTAATATGTTTATAACTTCTGCCCAGTTCTTTCATTTTAAAACTAATCCTATTGCTAACTTGTTGTACTAGTCACTTCCTGGTTTTTCCTGTACTGGTCTTCTGCTTCTACTTCTGTTCATCTCCTTAAACTCCGAATGCCCCAAGTGAAAGTTACCATTTTCTACCCCTTAATTTTCTTCTAATCATGTAGGCTTTAAATTAGGCATCATCTTTAAACTACTTCTTTCATTTACCTCTTATTCCCATTCAAAATGTCCATATTTCCTTTCTTTCTCATATCTCTGCTTTCCCTCCTTTACTGTGTGAATCCCAGGACACATTTCCTGAGCCTAGAATATTGAAAGTCATTTGAACTTCTGAGAATTCAGTGTCCCTTCCTTCTGTTTATCCTCAATAGAGATTCCACTCTAATACTCCTTATTATAGCATTCCCTTGCCCCAAAACCTTCAGTGGCTTACCATTTTCTACTTATTAAATTTTCCTGACTTTTAAGATAGTCTATTATCAATCCCTGCCCTATTTATTTAGTCTTTTGTCTAAGGATCTCTAGTCCTTAAGCTTGTAAGCTGATTTCCACACTTTCTAATAATAAGCTATGCTTCTTCTATCCTTTAATTTTTGCCCATGTTCTCCATCCCTCTTTTTTTTCCTCTATTTCTGTAGCTCTTTAGTCTTAGAACATTTTCACATGGTTTAATTATATGCCATGCTTTAGTTGTTTGATAGTTATTTCCCTAGTGTTAGCCATATCTTTTCAAGTTGATTGTGTATTCTTTGAGGAGCAGTACCTTAGATTAAAAAAAAACCACAACACACAGTGGAGAGCACATGGGCAGCATTCAAGAAATACATGTTGATTGTGTGATAAGGAACTGTAGTCACCAAACAAATATTTGTTAATACTTGCAATGTAAAAGGTACTTGGCTGTATTCAAAAGAGAAATAAAGAAATATAAAATAGGCTCCTTTCCCTAAGGACTTACAGTATAATTGGGCAGATAAGCTAAATAATAAAAGTTACAGATATTTAAGACCACTTGAGTTGAGCAGAGATTTTGCATAATAGGAAGGAACTGGTAGAGGGGGTAAGCAAAGGCAAAATATGTATATATGTATGATATGTTCAGAGAGCAGTACATAAATAACTTGACTGAAATGAAGATTTGTGTGAAAGAGTAGTAAGAAATTGTGTTAAAAATGTAGTTGGAATTTGATTATGGATGTCTTTAAATGCTAGGATGAGAAGAATGTACTTTGACCTGTAGATATGGAGAAGCTTTAAAAGTTTTGAATTGAGAAAGAGTTTGCTGAAATAAGTATTTTAGGAAAATCAAAGCAGCACCAGTGCTAGGTCTCATATGAATTGGAAAGAGAATGGTAGAAAGAGGTAGGAAAATAATTGAGCCCTGAAGTAATGAGGACTTAGAAATAAGTCAGATTGCAGAGATGTCACAAGACATTATTATGGATTGGATAAGAAGGGAGAATGGAGGGGAGAAGAGTGATTAAAGATTACCTTACCTTGAAGGTTTGCTTTTCAGTGACGGAGGAAATCAAAGAGTGTTGACTCTCCAAGACATCTTAGAACATCTAAGTCTATATGTTTTGTATATTAGGACTCAGACCAGAGAGATTTAAAAATGTGTCCAAAGTTACTCAGCTAGTTAATGACAAAGAAACTGCCGTTTGATTAATGGCAGTTACTAACAAAAATAGTTATGGCAGTGTTAGTAGCTGGTAGAGGGGATGTAGACAGTTGAGCGTATATTGTGGATATGTTGAGTTTGCGGTGGCCGTGGGATGGGCAAGTGAAAATTGATAGCATACAGTGGGACATATGACTAGAATTTGTTAGCGAAGTTAAGGCTGGTGCTGTGGTACTTAAGAGAAAAGAGTGGGATTGCCCATAATTAGCGGGTGGGTGAAAGGAGAGGAATGGGTAAAGGAGACAAAGAAAAAAACAGTATGAGAGGCAAATTAGTGGATAGGTTAGGAGGCGGAATGATCAACATGTTGATCATTGGCAAGAAATGAGAAGAATCAGATCCAAAAAAAGGTCTTAAAAAGATGTATTCGTGTTTTTCCTAATAAGAAATCTATAAAAACAGAAGAAAATTGCTTATACTTTCCCTACGTGGAAATAACCACTGTTAATATTTTGTTCTCTCCGGTTTAACAAAAGACCTTTGGATTTGACAGTTGGGTGATCAGTGGAGACTTTTCCAAAGCTCTCCATCACTAGGACTAAGGATGAGAATTTTAGGCATAATAAAACCTAGGAGATATTTTTCAACAGATTGTCATTCGTCTGTATCGTCTTATATATCACACTGTCCAGGTACTATTCTTCCTGTGTGCATTGGTTCTGTGTTTTTTTCTGAATGATAGAAGGTTAGACAAGCCATCTCTGGGTGCTTTTGTGCTGGTAAAATTTGAATAAAGTGATAAAATATTTGTTTCTAAAAGGAAGGAGAAATTCTTGGTCGATAACTTATAAATCTGAGGGTTGAATGATTGATGAAATTAGGGGTACTGGAAAGAACAAAGAGAAGCATTATTTATTTTGAAGCTTTTCTGTATAGTTACAAAGGGTTAACTAGGTTAGAATGGTCCATGGGCTGTTTACTTTGCTTGCATGTTTATTTTGATCTTCCCAAGAACATTCTTCTGTTCATCTTTTTAGTATGTTATTGGAAACAGAGTACTCATTAGTTCTTACTAAGTGGTTTTAGTTTAATAAATTATGATTATGAAATAAAATGCTATTAGGTAATATTTTTATAATATAAAGGGCCATGTGATGTGAGTAAGTGCACTGTTTTGGAAATCAGGGGATAAGGGACTGACCCTGCTCTCAGCATGGTATATGATTTCAGGCAACTCACGTAATCAGTGAGTCTTGTCTATTGAGGGAATGGACTAAATCTTTTCTAGAAAATTTAAAAAGGTGGGATCACATGGTAAAATGTGTATAAAGTTTAAAAAGGAAATGGTTTACCAATGTTTATGACAAAAACCAGCAAACTCTTTCCCACCCCCCCACCCCACATCTCCTTTTCTAGTCTCTAATTCCTGTACACCAGGCAACCACCTGTCCTCTGTACTTTGCCGTTTTCACCTTTATAATGAATGAATTGTTTAGCATCCCCTCTAAAGCCTCTCCATTCAGTTGTGTAGAAGAGCTCATCCCCTTTGCCTTCAAGGGCTTTACCATTATATTTCTCTCCTCTTTTTCTTGCCTTCTCAATTCTTCCCTCTACTGGATTATTTCCATCAGCATTACTCTGATTGCTATTGCTGTGTAACAGAAACTACCCAAAACTTAGTGATTTAAAACAACTACTTTATTAGGCTCACAGATACCATGGGTCAGTAATTGAGACAGGGCACACCAGGGATGACTTTGTTTTTGCTCCACAATGGCTACTAGGACATGAGTTGGGAAGAATTGCCAGCCAGGGGTGACTTGAAGGCAAAGGACTGGAATCATCTGGAGGTGTCTTCACTCACATGATGGGTAGTTGATGCTGGCTCTTGACTGGGATGTTAGCTGGGCTGTTAACTGGAGCATGTACATGTGGCCTGGATTTCCTCACAATATGGTGGCTTCAGGGTGGTCACCTTTCATAGTGGTGAGTAGAGAATTAAAAGTGAGTGTGTCTCAGCATAAATCTTTTATGATTTAGCCTTGGTAGCTGCACAGTATAACTTCTGCCATGTCCTACTGGTTGTAAGGGTCAGAAGCCTGTCCAGATTTGATGGGGGAGTGGCAAGTTCACACTGCAGAAGAAAAACATGTGAGATGGGAAATAGTGTTATGGCCATCTTTGGACAATTATTAATACTATTGCCATAGTTTGCCATTTTGCCAAACTTCACATCCCTCCTGTATCTGAAATACACGCAAAATACACTGAGCTTCTCCTCAAAGGTCCCTAATTCACATCCCATCATGACAGTAACTCAGAGTCCAGTATCTCATCATATAAATCAGGTCCAGGTACAGAATAGTTTTCTTGGGTATGGTTAATTGGATATGGTTCTTCTTGAACTGAGGACCCATGAAGAGACAGTTTATATGTCCCCTGCATACTTTACAAAATGGAAAAGGCACAGGTTATCTGCAGTAGACATTCCTCCTCAAGAAGCATGCAAGGTAGGCACAGTCTGTAGCAATTCTGCAACCTCACTGGGCACATGTTGCCAGTTCCTTGATTAGGTCTCAGTCCTGCTTCCTGGAAGTCATTCTTAATAGGACATAGGCTTCTTCTGTTTTTGGGTTTACCTTCTGAATTATTTATCTCCCCCACCCCTGCACCCAACCCATATAAATTGCTTTGTATTTGTAAGAGTAGCTTTCTGAGCTTGCTTCCTGCCTGTAGTGCTCCAGAGTCCAAAGGCCCCCTTTTATATAGCAACTGTCCCTTTCATTCCAAGCTAATACAACTCCTTTAAAAACTTTGTGGACTTCCTGTGTGTAAGTTTATAATCTGTACTGCCATACCCACAAATCTCTTTTGAGAGGAACTCTTTCCTCCCCTAAGCTCTGTGTGAGTCTGCTGTGGGACAACACCCTTAAGATCCTTAGATAATATTTCGTCTGAAAGGATCTATGAGGTACTGATTTAGATCTTAAGAAAGGATCTTATAATCACACTCTAGATTGGATCTTTGCTCTGAGGCCCTTTTTATTTGACACTTTGCTGGCTGAAAAGATTGTTCTGAGTCCATTACATCTCCTTGAAATTCTACTCAAAAAATGAATAGCTTATTCTTTAGTTCATCTCTCTGTTCTCTCAATTATAAGGGCAGCTAGAAGAAGCCAAATTGCTTTAACTTCCTGCTGAGAATCTCCTTAATTCATTAGGTCAGGTATGTATTTTATTTTCCATGTTAATGTAGGTGACAGTTTTGCTAAACTTTGCCCTAGTATGTAACAAGGGTGTCCTCTTATTCAGCTTTCACTATCATTTCTCTCACTTTGCTTGAAGTCCTCACTGACAGTCTCCTTGAGGGCTCTTAGGCTCCCATGAAGTTTCCTCAAGACCCTTTACATGTGTGAACACAAAGGGTCCTTATCTGTTCCTGGCTATATAGCAGGTCCTTGAATAACTGTCATTTCTTCATAACGTTGATAAGAAAAAAATGGATTCCTGGCTGGGGCCACTGTTTGTGTGGAGTTTGGACATTCTCCCCACGTCTGTGTGGGTTTTTCCGGGTGCTCCAATTTCCTCCCACATTCCAAAGATGCATATGTTAGTGGATCGGTGTGTCTAAATGGTCTCAGACTGAGTGATCATGTATGGATGAGTGTGCCTTGCAGTGGGTGATGTCCTGTCTAGGGTTGGTTCCCACCTTGTGCCTTGAGTTGCTAGGATAGGCTCTAGCCACTCGTGACTGAACTGAATTGGGTTAATAATTATCCTACTTGTTTTTATTAGTCTTTCTTAAATGTGTGTATAGCTCACATTTATTTCAGTGTTTAATAATCAGAGTGTTTGGAATCTTTACTTAGAAGTTTGATGATGTTTTTGTGGCCATAAATATGCCATAGGAACTTCCTTATCTCAATTAGCCTATGGAAAAATGGATTTTGTTACACATTGTTTCACTTAAAGTCACAGTTTCCAAGAACCTATTGAAGACAGTGAGGATTAACTGTACTAGAACTGTTTCCTAACCCACTGGTTCTTATCAGAATTACCTAAAGGACTTATTGAAACACAAATTGCCGCTGGGCCCCACCCCCAGAGTTTGTTTCATTAGCTCTGGAGTGGGACTTGAGGATTTGCATCTGTGAGTTCCCAGGTGATCTGATAATGTTGATCTGGGGCCTAGATTGTGAGAATTACTGATTTAAACCAGGGATTGGCAAGATTTTTCTATTAAGGATCATAAATAAAATATTTTAGACTTTGTGGGCAAGATTGTTTCTCTTGCACCTACTCAATTCCGCCTTTGTGGTGCAAAAGCAGTTATAGACAATACGTAAATGAACAGACGTGGCTCATGGCTGTGTTCTCATAAAGCTTTATTTACATAACAGGCAGCTGGCTAAATTTGGTATGTGTGAACTGTGCTCTGCCAATTCCCAATTTAAATCATTACTTGACTCCACATCTCTTCAAGCTATGGCCCCATTTTTCACTCCCCTTTGGAACAAAACTCTCTGAGAGTTGTCTGTATTTGTCTCTTTTTATTCTTTCATAAAAAAATTATCTATTTTTTGAACACATTTAAATGTCTTAGAATTCAAAAAGTAGTAAATATCTTTGTACATTTGTCAGGGCGTGTGTGTGTGTGTGACTATAACTAAAGATTAAGTAGAAGAGGAGTTGCTGATTCAAAAGTGGTATATGTTACTAAGTTCAACAAATATTGCCAAATTGACATAGAAATACCAAGTTATGCTTTTCTACACCTTTACTAACATTGTGTTTTCAGATGACTTGATTGTTGCCAACTTGAGACGTGAAAAATAGAATCTCATTATAATTTTAATTTGCTTTTTATTCTCCTTTTTTAGGGAACTCTTCACTCATATCTTGGCCCACTTTCTATTGGATTTGTGGTCCTTTTACTTTGCTTTGTGGGAGCTCTTATACTAAGGAAGATAGCTTTGAGTTTGCGAAATGAGTTGTTTTCCCTAGGTTGTCTCTTTATCTTTTTGATTCTGTAGATAGTGTGATTTTGTTGTTGTGCATCTAGGTAGGTTCCTTCTAACCCTGAAATTATATTTTGAGATTCTCCCTTGTTTTCTTGTTCCATCTGGAATTTATACTGATGCAAGATATAAGATGGGACGCAACTTTTTTCCCCTAGATGGTTGTCCAGTTTCAATACTATTTGTCAGATAATCCTTCTTTTCTCTGCTGCTGTGAAATGCTGGTGTTTTAAATTGTGTATGTAGTTGGATCTATTTCTGGACTTTGTTTCATTCTAAAAATGGCTCCTCTGAAACCATATTGTGAGTTCTTGGGTAGTGAACATTTCTATTTATTTGTTTCCAAGTCCTGTATAATATTTATTAGCATATGGGAGGCATTCAAGTACTTGAAAATAAAATGAATAAATCAAGCATTTAGGAATAGAAGCAGATCTTTTTGCCAATTATTCATTTTAGTTATTCTATTTAATTCTCTATTTCTGATTTTAAACTTGAATTTAACCTTGGTTTTCCATTTTAGTTTTACCTTTTTTTTAAACTTTATTGTGAAGTATTAAGTTATTTTTTGTACTTACTGAATGGGCATTTGCTAACTTATGTGTCTGCTCTTATTAGTCTATTTTTGGCCTCAAATTGTTAAAAATTCACAGTATAGTTTTATTTGTATCAAATTTGCTACTGAGGGAAGCTTGTCATTTCATAATGGCAATCCATAGGATAGGTCAAGTCATTTGAGATTGGAACCATTAAGGATAAGTTCATTTAACATTGAATTATTAGATCTGTGGTTAATTGGCCAGGTTAGAGAAGACAGAATTACAGGGAAGTCTGGATTTTACAACTTATTATTTTAGAGGGTCAAATTTAGAATAATATTTTTAAGCTTTTTAAGTAGAAGTATATGGATCACCTGAGGTCAGGAGTTCACCACCAGCCTGACTAACATGGTGAAACCCTGTCTCTACTAAATACAAAAAAATAGCCAGGTGTGGTGGTGCATGCCTGTAATCTGAGCTACTTGGGAGGCTGAGACAGGAGAATCGCTTGTACCTGGGAGGCAGAGGTTGCAGTGAGCTGAGATCGTGCCATTGCACTCTAGCCTGGGCAACAAGAGTGAAACTCTGTCTCAAAAAATAAATAAATAAATAAATAAAAATAAATACATAAATAGAAGTATACTATTCTGATTCTCTTATTTATATGTATAATTTATTTTTTTAAATACATGAGGTATTGTAGATTTTTTGGTTTTTTTGAGGAGGGGCGGGGGTGATGTGAAATATAGTTTTCATTGCATCAGATCTTCAGTTGTAATGATATTGCTGGAATCCACCATTTAGGACCCTGTCTTGTTAAAAAAAAATTATCCTTGCCTTCACCCCTACCCCTCCCTGCCACAGACTTTTAAAGGTAAGTATTCTGCGATAATTGGATTATATTTACTATTATGAAAATTTAAAATTATTAGAAGTAAAATGAAATATACCTCCATTGTAGTAAGTTTGATTCACAGTGCCTCTGGTTATGGTGGTCAGTAAAAGTAACACTGTATTAGGAACAGTCTTCATGGTGGGAGTTCTCTCCTTTTACTCTTCTGTTAGTTTGTTCTTTTTTTTTTTTTTTTTTTTTGAGATGGTTTCACTGTCACTCAGGCTGGAGGACAGTGGCTCGATCACGGCTCACTGCAGCCTTGCCTTCCCTGGGGTCCAGTGATCCTCCTACCTCAGCCTCCTGAGTAGCTGGCACTGCAGGCGAGTGCCACTAGGCCTGGCTAATTTTTATATTTTTTTTTGTAGAGATGGGGTTTCACCGTGTCACTCAGTCTGGTCTTGAACTCCTGGGCTCCAGCAATCTTTCTGCATCAGCCTCCCAAAGTGCTGGGATTATGGTTCTGGAGCCACCGCGCATGGCCTGTTAGTCTGTTCTTGCATTGCTATAAAGAAATACCTGAGGCTGAGTAATTTATAAAGAAAAGAGATTTAATTGGCTCATGGTTCTGCAGGCTTACAAGCATGGGGCTGACATTTGCTCAGCTTCTGGGGAGTCCTCCGGGAGCTTTTACTCATGGTCAAAAGCTAAGAGGGAGCAGGAATATCACATTTCAAGAGCTGGAGCAAAAGAGAATGTGGGGAAGGTGCACACACTTTTAAACAGCCAAATCTTGCAAGAACTCAGTATCTTCAGGACAGCACCAAGGGGGATGTTGCTAAACCATTCATGAGAAATCCACCCCCATGATCAAGTCACCTCCCACCAGGCCTCACCTCCAACATTGGGGATTACAGTGCAACACATGAAATTTAAAGGGGACAACATCCAAACTGTATCAACCTTGCTGTACCCCTCAGCCTCATTTTATAGGCAACAATTGAATATATTGGTTTTATAAAGGTTTGATATGGAAAGATTCATTAGGAGTGGATTTTAGGACTTGGGGAATGACTCAGAGAAGAAAATAGTGCATGATAGTATAAGTCTATCTGATTGATGAGTAACTGGAAATCCTTCCAAAACATAATGCTTCAGTGTCTGCAGAATTGTTTCATTTCCATGTTTATGTATTTCTTATTGTTTCCTTGTTTATCCATAGGTGCTTAATTTTTTTTTAATCTGAATGCATTATGATAATCTTTAAATAATTATTTCAGAGGAATATCTGAAATATTCAGTGTTCTTCTAGCATGGCAGTATTTTAAAAATCATTATGAGCTTAAATTCATACTGATTTAAACAACTTCTAGATTTTTTTGAATATCAATAGCAGAGGGTAGTTTTAAATATTTCACGAGCAGAATTAATTAAATTTCCTGTGCAATTTTATTTTTTATAGACAAACTCGTCACTTCTTAAAATCTTTTAAAAATGTCTTGGTAATACAGGCTTGGAATATGATGGTATTGAAATGAGATCTTAAGGGAAAAAAAACTCCAACGGGTTTTTTTGTTGTTGTTGTTGAGATGGAGTCTTGCTCTGTCACCCAGGCTGGAGTGCAGTGGCATTATCTCAGCTCACTGCAACTTCTGCCTCCCAGATTCAAGCAATTCTCCTACCTCAGCCTCCCGAGTAACTGGGATTATAGGCGCGCACCACCACGCCCAGCTAATTTTTGTATTTTTAGTAGAGACGGGGTTTCACCATGTTGGTCAGGCTGGTCTCGAACTCCTGACCTCGTGATCCGCCCGCCTTGGCCTCCCAAAGTGCTGGGATTACAGGCATGAGCCACCATGCCCGGCCAAAAACTCCAACTTTTAGAGGCCTATTTACAGCACTTGTCCCATATTTGTTCACACTTTTTCTGTATGTGTGTTGTGAATTATAAATCTGGCTTTTCCTACAAATGTGGCTTTTCCTGTGTAGTCATCATTAAGCATGATTCTAAGAAGTAGCTCAAAATCTCCTAAGACCAAAAACCACAAAAAACAAAAAAAAAAACAACAAAAAACCAAAACCAGAAAAGGGATACATTTTGCAGAATAATTTATATTTTCTTCTCTTCATGGCATCAGTTTTCTCAGGAGTTCTTTTTTTGAGATGGAGTCTCCCTCTGTCACCCAGGCTGTAGTGCAGTGGTGCGATCTGCAAGCTCCGCCTCCCGGGTTCACGCCATTCTCCTGCCTCAGCCTCCGGAGTAGCTGGGACTACAGGTGCCCGCCACCACGCCCGGCTATTTTTTTTTTTGTATTTTCAGTAGAGACGGGGTTTCACCGTGTTAGCCAGGATGGTCTCGATCTCCTGACCTTGTGATCCACCTGCCTCGGCCTCCCAAAGTGCTGGGATTACAGGCGTGAGCCACCGCACCCGGGCTCAGGAGGTCTTTTAAGCTTTTGCCTGTCATGTGTGTACTTCTGACGCTGGCCCAAGGTAAAATGATTACATTTGACTTCGGTAGCCCTTAAATGTATGGCTGTTCTTAATCTTTTCTAAAGCCTAAAAGTTGAATTAGTATTCATCTTAGATTTCTTGTTTCTTAAGTGAAAGAATCATGACATTGTATTAAAATATCTTATTTGCATGTATTTTATATACTGTTTTAATAGGCAGTAGTAGTATACAAGCTTTGACCAAATGTCTCTTCATATAAAAAATTCAAGTGAATAAAAACAGTCATTTAAAAATGACATTAGTCAAAGGGGCAAAAAAGATTACAAATGCTTATTGTGATTGACAGAACTTGCTTAACATATTAGGGTTCTCTAGAAGGACAGAACTAATAGGATATATATATGAGTTTATTAAATATTAACTTAAATGATCACAAGGTCCCACAATAGGCTGTCTGCAAGCTTGAGGAGCAAGGAGAGCCAGTTCAAGTCTCAAAACTGAAGAACTTGGAGTCTGATGTTCAAGGGCAGGAAGCGTCTTGGCTAATCCACCCATCTTGGCCTCCCAAAGTGCTAGGATTACAGGCGTGAGCCCCCGTGCCTGGTGTACATCATTTTTAATATCTTTATAGTATTCTGTTGGCTAAGTTGCCACAATTTATCAGACCCCTTTAATGTCATTAATTTTTTCCCAATATTTAGACTTGTTTCATAGAATTATTAGATATGCATGCTACTACTCCTGTCCTTTTTCAAAGGACAATTATTAGATATTCTTGTTTTCCTCATATCTTTGCCAACACTGGGTATTGGCATTCTTCTTGTTTACCAGTCAGCTAAGGAAGCTAAGGAAGAAACAATATCTCATTTTTATGTACTTTTCTCTGATTCTTAATTATGTTGACCATGTTTTCATTTCTTTTGTGAAATGCCTATTTATGTTCATTTTCATATTAAATTGTAAGAGTTACTTGTATAAATATATTAAACCTTTGTAGTATATATTTTTTCTGTTTTTTTTTAAAGTTTTGATTATAGTGTTTATAATATGCAGTCAAATTTACCCATCTTTTATTTCCTCTATCATTTTTCACTTAGATGTGGGGTTTAGAAAGGAGGTACATAATGTGACAGAGTTTTTGGTATAGAAATAACTGACATAGTTAGATATAAAACATACCAAGGAAATAGTCGGAAATGTCCAATTTCGAATGTGTAAGGAGACCAGTAAGAAAATCATGAAGAACAGCTAACAGCAGTAATTTTTAAAAGGGTATTTACAAACACTTGAAAATGTTTATGTAGTTTAAAGGAATGATTCAAATATAAAGAGAAGCGTAACATAAAAATGAAATAAAGGCATATATATAGTCATTGTGTAGATGGTTTTCTAGTAACAGTTATACCAAGTTTGAAATGATTTTTAGGCTTTGTTATGCCAACTTTTAGGAGTTTTCTTTTTAAACTTTTTGAGCTTATGTTTCATCATGGCCAATTTTTATAAATTTTCCCTATATGCTCAAAACATTTTTTTAGTGGAAGGTTTTAATACGTCTGTAATTTCTCCGGTGTCTTAAAAATAATTAGTTTGTGGAGCTCTTTGTGTATTGGAGATACCATCTTCTTGTTTGATATATTTGTATATGTATTAAGTAAGAACTGGATAAAGAAGGTGGTTGGGATATGTATAAATATCAGGTAAGAACTTGATAACGTATTGGTTGGTTTGCATATGAAAAGTTGCCCTCACTGTCAGGTTCTTTCCTGTTTCTAGGAATTGGCTAGCCCTGGAAGGACTGCCCCTTCCAGGGTCAGCAAATTCCCAAGATAGCAAAGCATCAAAAATACAGAATAAAAAGACATGCTTAGTAGAGTATATAGAAATACAATTGGTTTTGTTTATTTTGTGATGTATCCTGTGATACTGGTAAATTCATTTATAAGTTCTAGTAATTTTTTGGTAGAATCCTCAGCATTTTTGATAAATACAATCATGTCTGCAAATAAAAAGTTTTATTTCTTTCATTTCAATCTCTATGTCTTTTATTTCATTTTCTTACCAGATTGCATTAGGTAGAACCTCCAGTGTTGAATAGAAATGGTGGTGGTGAGCATCCTTTCCTTGTTCCTGATTTTATGGAGAAAGCATTCAATATGTAATCATTAAGTAATAGAAGGTTGTTTGTAGATGATCTTTATTTTATTGAGGAAATTCCCTTCTTTTTCTAATTTATTTCCAGAAATTTTATCATGAATTGGTGTTGACTTTTGTCAAATGCTTTTCCTGCAACAATTGGGACGATCTTATGGTTTTGCTCCATTATTCTGTTAATGAGGTAAATTGCATTGATTCATTTTCAAATGTCAAAGCAACCAGTATGACTGGAATAAAACCCACTTGGTGATGGTGTTCTGACCTTTTTATATGCTCCTGGTTCTATGTTCTATTATTTTGTTATGTTCATGAGAAACATTTGCCTGTAATTTTTTTTTTTTTTTATGATGTGTTTTTGCCAGGTTTTGGTATTAGGATAATTCTGGCCACATAAAATGATTTGGAAATTATTTCTGCCCCTCTGTTTTCTGTAAGAGTTTATACAGAATTGGTACTATTTTTTCCTTAAATAGTTGACAGACTTTCCCAGGGAAGTCACTTTGGCCAAGAGTTTTCTTTGTGGGTATGTTTTTAATGAAGAATTCAATTTATTGAAGAGATATGATACTATTCAAGGTTTCTGTTTCTTCCTATGTCAGTTTTGGTAATTTTTGTCTTTCAAGGAATTTGTTCATCAAATCTAACTTGTTAAAGTCATTGGCATGAAGTTGCTCCTATCTTTTTATATCCACTTACTGTTTATAAAATCTGTAGCGATATCCTGCTTTTTTTACATCATATGGGGCACATATTGGTAATATGTGTTCTTTTCTGTTTGTAAATTGATCATCTTAGAGGTTTATCAACTTTTTAAATCTTTTCTAAAAACAAAGTTTTGGTTTGATTGATTTTCTTTATTGTTTTATATATTATTAATTTTTGTTCTTTATTCTTTCTTCACTCTCTGGTTTTGTTTTCTAGCTACCTAGGAAGCTTACATAATTAATTTCATATCTTTCTTCTTTTCCATCATAAGCATTTATAGCTATACATTCTCTCTAACCACTATTTTAGCTGTATTCCCCCAAATTTTATTGTTTATTATCATTCAGGTGAAAATAATTTCTGATTTCCCTTTTAATTTCTTCTTCGAACCTGGGATTATTTAGAACTATGTTAATTTTGCAATACTGGGAGATTTTCTAGATAGTTTTTTGATATTTATTTCTAATTCAATTTTGCTATGGCCAAGAATATAATTCATATTAATTCAGTCTTTTCAAATGTTTGAGAATTGGTTTATGGACCAACCTATGGTATAACTTAGTGAATGTTCTGTGAGCACTTGAAAAGGATGTATGTTCTGCAGTTGTTGGGCATTGTGTTCTGTAAATGTCAGTTATATTTAGTTGGTTGATGTTTAGGTCTTCATTATTTTTACTGATTAAAAAAATTTTTTTTGTTAATTCCTGAGAAATGAGTATTGAAATTTTTAGTGTAATAGTTGTTTTATTTCCCTCTTTACATTTTTGCTTCATGTAATTGGAAACTATTATTGTGTGCATATATATTTAAGAAGAGTAATTTATAAATCTTCTATGATTAGTGTTTTTATGTTCTGCTTACAAGAGGTCACATTGGTCTGTTTTCCATCTTAAATTAATATTTGTGTACCGTATGAAGTAGATAGAAGTTAAGGTTATTTTTTGCCCCATATGAATAACCAGTTGACTAAGCCACATGTTTTGAAATGACCAATATTTCTTCACTGAAATGCAATGGCACATCTGTTCCAAATTAGGTAACTGTATGTGAGTATGTTTTTTTGGACTCTATTCTGTTCCATTTGTCTATTTGTTCATTTTTGTGCTAATACCAATCTGCTTGTTCTATCTTTATGATAAATCTTGATGTCTGATAATATAAATCTTTAGTTTGCTCTTCAAGATTGTTTTGGCTATTGTAAATCCTTTGTTTTTCACAGACTTTAGGATCAACTTGTAAATTTCCACAAAAACTGCTAGGATTTTAATTGGAAGTGGGTTGAATCTATAGATTAATTTGGAAAAGAACCGACATCTGAACCATACTGAGTTTTTCTGTATTCTTATATCAGCATGGTCTATCCCTCTCTTATTTAGCTAGCATTTATTTTTTGTAGAAATGTTTTACAGTTTTTATTGCACAGTTTTTACAGATATTTCCATAGATGTATTCCTAGGTATTTGATTTTTTGTTACTATTGTAAATGATACTATTTTTAAATGTTCATTTAAAAAATTGTTTGCTTCTGACATACAGAAATGCAGTTGATTTTTATATATTGGTCTTGCATCTTGTGACTTTGCTAAATTCACTCAGTGATTGGTAGATTCTTTTAAATTTCCTACATATACAGACATGTCCTCTATGAATACTGACAATTTTACTTATCCTTTCTAATCATCATAACTTTTATTTAGTTTTCTTGCCTTATTGCACTAGCCACAATGTCCACTATGGTATTGAATAGAAATCATGATTTTAGACATGATTGTTACGTTTTTGAACTCTAGAAGAACAAGATCAATATTTTACCATTAGGTATATTGTTTTTTTACTGTTACCCTTTATCAGAGTGAGGAAGTTTGCTTTTATTCCTAGTTTGAGATTTTAAAATCATGAACATTGGTTAAATTTTATTAGGAGTAGTTTCTGCATCTATTGAAATGATCATATGGTGTGTTTTCTCATTGTGCTAATAATGTAAAATATATTGACTATTTAAAAAATTTTTTTCTAAATTACATAAAAATTGTATATATGGTGTACAACATGACATTTTGTTATATGTATACATTGCAGAATGGCAAAATCAGTCTAATTAACATATGTATCACCTCACATACTTATCTTTTGTGGTGAGAACACTTAAAATCTACTCTTAGCAATTTTCAAGTATACGATATATTGTTATTGGTAATCACCATGATGTACAATAGATCTCTTCAGTTTACTCCTCCTATCTAACAGAAATTTCGTATCCTTTGACCAACGTCTCCCATTCCTCCTAATGGGACCCTCAGCCTCTGGTAACTGCTGTTCTACTTACTCTCTGCTTCTATGATTTCTACTTTTTTAGATTCTATGGATCAGTGAGATCATACAGTTTTGTCTTTCTGTGCCTAGCTTTATTTCACTTAATATAATGTCTTCCAGGTTCATCCATGTTGTTGTAAATGACAAGATTTTCTTCTTTTTTTAAGGCTGAATTATATTCTATTGTGTACATATGCTGTATTTTCTTTATCAGTTCATCTGTTGATGGACACTTAGGTTGATTCTTTATCTTGGCTATTAAGAATAATGCTGCAATGAGCATGGGAGTGTAGATATTGCTTTGACATATTATTTTTAGTTCCAATACCCAGAAGTGGGATTGCTAAATCATATGGTAGTTCCATTTTAATTTTTTGAGGAACCTCCATTCATTTTCCATAGTGACTGTAAAAATTTACATTTTCCCACCAAGAGTATACAAGAGTTTCTTTTTCTCCACACACTCACCAATGCTTGTTATCCTTATATCTTTTTGATAAGGCTCATTGTAACAGGCATGAGGTGAGATCTCACTATGGTTTTAATTTGCATTTAGTGATGTTGAACGTTTTTTCATGAACATGTTGGCCATTTACATATTGTCTTTTTTTTTTTTTTTTGAGACAGAGTCTTGCTCTGTTGCCTAGGCTGAAGTGCAGTGGTGTGATCATAGCTCACTGCAGCCTTGACCTCCCAAGCGCAAGTGATCCTCCTCCTTCAGCCTCTTGAGTAGTTGGGACTGCAGGCATGTGCCAGCATGCCTGGCTAATTTTTTTTTTTTTTTTTTTTTTTTTTTTTTTTTTTTTTTTTTTTTTTTTAGGTACAGGGTCTCACTGTGTTGCCCAGGCTGGTCTTGAACTCCTGGTCTCAAGTAATCCTCCCACCTTGGCCTCCCAAAGTTTTGGGATTACAGGGTTGAGCCACTGCACCCAGTCTGTATTGTCCTTTGAGGAATATCTGTTCCGGTCCTTTGCCCATTTTTAAATCAGGTTATTTGTTTTCTTGCTTTTGAGTTGTTTGCATTTCTTATCTATTTTGGATATTAACTCCTTATCATATGGATGGCTTGAAAATATTTTCTCCTGTTTTATAGGTTGTCCCTTCACTCTGTTAATTGTTTCCCTTGCTGTGTACAAGTTTTTAAATCTGGTATAATGATTGATTTCTAAATGTTAACTTTGCACTCCTGGGGGTAAATTCATTTGGTCAAGATGTATTCTTTTAAAGTGTTATTGGATTTAATTTGCTAGTATTTTGTTTAGCATTTTTTTCCAAATATGTTTATGAGAGAGATTCCAGTGTAATTTTTTTCCTTTTCATGTCCTTACATATTTTGGTATCATGTTTATACTCTCATTTTAAGAATGTGGGTAAGTGTTTTTTATTTTCTATTTCCTGAGAGAGTTTGTATAAGCTCAATGTTTCTTCCTCAGACATTTGGAAAAATTTACCAGCAAAGTCACTGGGCATTACATTTTCTATGTGGAAAAGTTTTAAATGGTATATTCTGAGGGCTCTGTTCTGTTCCATTGATCTATATCTCTGTTTTGCTACCAGTACCATGCTGTTTTGGTTACTGTAGCCTTGTAGTATAGTTTGAAGTCAGGTAGCGTGATGCCTCCAGCTTTGTTCTTTTGGCTTAGGATTGACCTGGCGATGCAGGCTCTTTTTTGGTTCCATATGAACTTTAAAGTAGTTTTTTCCAATTCTGTGAAGAAAGTCATTGGTAGCTTGATGGGGATGGCATTGAATCTATAAATGACCTTGGGCAGTATGGCCATTTTCACGATATTGATTCTTCCTACCCATGAGCATGGAATGTTCTTCCATTTGTTTGTATCCTCTTTTATTTCATTGAGCAGTGGTTTGTAGTTCTCCTTGAAGAGGTCCTTCACATCCCTTGTAAGTTGGATTCCTAGGTATTTTATTCTCTTTGAAGCAATTGTGAACGGGAGTTCACTCATGATTTGGCTCTCTGTGTGTTATTGGTGTATAAGAATGCTTGTGATTTTTGTACATTGATTTTGTATGCTGAGACTTTGCTGAAGTTGCTTATCAGCTTAAGGAGATTTTGGGCTGAGACAATGGGGTTTTCTAGATATACAATCATGGTATATTCAATTTTTAAATTACTGTATTTGTTTGTTCTCATATTGCTATAAAGAGCTATCTGAGACTGGGTAGTTTTTAAAGAAAAGTTGTTTAATTGACTCATGGTTCCATAGGCTGTACACAAGGCATGGCTGGGAAGGCCTCAGGAAATTTACAATCATGGTAGAAGGTGAAGGGGAAAAAAGTACATCTTCATACAGCAACAGGAAAGAGACAGCAAAGGACGACATGCTGCAAAAATTTAAATAACCAGATCTCATGCAAACTCACTCACTATCATGAGACTAGCAAAGCGTAAATCCATCCCATGACCCAGTCACCTCTCACCAGGCCACTCCTCTAACACTGAAGATCATAATTCAACATGAGATTTGGGTGGGGACACAGAACCAAACCATATCAATTATATATAGAATTATTCAAATTTTATATTTCTTCTTGTGCTAGTTTAGGTAAATTGTTTTAAAAGGAACTTCATTTGTTTTTAAATTGGAGAATATTCCTGTTGTCTTTTACATGTTTCAATATTGTAAGCTCTGGTAATAATGTCTACTTTTTAATTCCCGATATTGATAATTTATGTTTTATCTTCTTTTTTTCTTGATCAGTCTTTCTAGTGTTTTATCAATTTTAATGCTTTTAAAAAGCCAACGTTTTACTTTGCTTTTCTTTATTTTATTTTTATTTTTCTCTGATTTCTGCTCTTAAGTACTTTCATTTTTATGGTTTTTGGCTTAATTTGTTGCAACTTCTTGAAATGAAAATTTATTTAATAACATTGTTCAGCCTTTCTTCTCGTCTTGTGTATGAATTTAAGATTATGAATATCTTAGTATACACTTTTACTGCGTTTTACTCATTTTCATTATTGATTCAAAGTATTTTTAAAGTTATTCTTTGTACCATGGGTTCTATGAAAATATATTGATTAATTTACAAATATATGCGGGTTTCTAGTTATTTTTCTGTATATGCTGTGGTACTTTTGTCAGTGGTTATATTTTCCATAAGAGATTTTTAATTTAGGTGCCATTGGCAAATTTCCATTAATTCAAATGCAGAACTTCACATTTTTCAATGCATACGTGAGTTTTTTTTGTTGAGGTATTAAGAATAGCATAAATTTATAAAATATTAAGTAATCATTGAATGCAAAATATGTCCTATTTTGCAACTTAATATACTTTTATTAGGTTGACGCTAAAGTAATTGCGTTTTTTACTCATACTTTAATGGCAAAAACCACAATTACTTTTGCACCAGTCTAATAATGAGAATTATTATTATTATTATATTGTCTTTTTTTTTTTTGGAGTGGAGTCTCACTCTGTCACCCAGGCTGAACTGCAGTGGTGTGATATCTGAGCCTTGGCTCACTGCAATCTCTGCCTCCCAGGTTCAAGCAATTCTCCTATCTCAGCCTCCCAAGTAGCTGGGATTACAGGCACGTGCCACCACGCCTGGCTAATTTTTGTGTTTTCACTGGAGAACAGGGTCTCACTACATTGGCCTGGCTGGCCTGGAATTCCTGACCTCAAATGATCCCCCCGCCTCGGCCTCCCAAAGTGCTGGGATTACAGGCATGAGCCACCGCGCCTGGCCCTAATAATGAGAATTCTTATCAAACTGTTTACACAGAATAACATGAGTGGGTAATGGTGAAGCTGAGTTTCACATTTTTATGCGATATTCTTCAGTGTTGCTATTTGTTCAGTACTTTTAAGAATTATATAAATTTTTTATAGTCTATACATAAAGTCAATATTATGGGTCCCAAATATATAAAATGTTTGCTTGTTCCATTGTTTATGTTTTGAATACAAATTATATTTTGTATGATTTCATTAATAATTTGTTGAGAATTTTATGGCCTAACATGTGGTCTACTTTCTAAAATATTCCAGCTTCATTTGAAAAGGATATGCATTCTTCAGTTGTTAGGTGTTTGCTTTTGATTGCTTGTATTTCTCAGTCAAATGTAGGAAGTGGAGATTAAGAAAAGGGCTGGCACTTTTGGTGATTGAGGAGGAGAAAGTATGAGATAGTTGTCTTGGATAGTGGAAGAGTAAATGTTCTAAAGAAATATAAAATGATAGTTGAGCAGCACTAAGGGCCCATTTGAGTATGAATCTAAAGAGGGACCAATCTGAATGCATGTGTTTTCATCAGTGATTTTTATATGTGTGGGTAAAAGCTCTGAGTAGACAGAGATAAACTGAACTCTTTTAGAGTTTCTTTGTTATCTTTGGTGTTTGGATCCTTTGCTTTGATTTGTATCGGTACAGTTTTTAAAAAATTAAATGTTATCTCCTCTCAGCAGATCTTTTTAACATGAACCCAGCATCTTTAACACCAATAAAATTTCTTCTATTATTTTTCTTCCCTGTGTTTTCATTCGTCCTCCATCTAGAGCTTCTCTTTAGAATTGTACTCCCTGGATTGATCCTCTTATTTCTTACTTTTATGCTCATAATATTTTTTTCTTTCTGTCTGTCTCTTTCTCTTTCTGAGTCTAGGACCTGGGAGTTTGTCTTGACTGTCTTCCAAATTATGAGTTTGATCCTTTGAGTCGTATTATTCAACTCTTTCACTGAATTGTCATCTATCTCTTTTTCTTTAATGTATAGAGAATTTATTATGCACAGCCACTTGCAAACTTTAACAAGTATGATTAGAGCAGCATTTTCTATAACAGCAACACATAAGTTGGAACAACACAAATCTTAAAATAACTGGAATGGATGAGCAAATTGGGTGGTCCGAGGCTCAGACATCAGCAGGTGTTAAACACCTGTGGGAAAGGAGAGAACGATCCATTTATTTATTTCTATAGGAAATGCAAAAGAGGCAAAATTAAGAAAAATACTGCTTCATGATAAAGAATAAAGCCGTGAAGAATATCCACAAAATTGTGTATAGTGGCTACATCTGATACAGAATGGAAACAGCCAGGATAGAGCAGCACAGGAACACTATGAAATGCCCAGGCTGTCTTCATTACTAGTCAGGATTTTTTTTTTTAATTTTGTAAACTTTATTTATTCTCTGCTCCTTTTTCATAATCTAGTGATGCTTTATGTTTTCAAAATATTCTTAAATCTCTCTGAGAATACCGAGAAAGATTTTAAACCAAGTTATCTTCCCTGCATTATCTGTTTCTTCTGGGGTCAGTTGTTTTCTGGTCCATTTTGGTCTTACTCTTTTATTCCTACAACCCCTGCCCCATCCCCATCCTAACTGTAATAATCCTTGATAATCATTGCATATTTATGCTTTTTATGTGTGTGCAGACAACTGTTTTTATGCTTATAGATGCCTTCCTCTGTGTATTTTTTTTCTTCAGTTAAAATTTTTTTTTTTTGCAGTCACAGTCTTGCTCTGTTGCCCAGGCTGGAGTGAAGTGGTGCCAACCTAGCTCACTGCAGGCTCAAACTCATAAGCTTAAGCCGTCCTCCCATTTCAGCCTCCCAAGTAGCTAGTACTACAGGTGCACACTACATGCTGGCTAATTTTTAGATTTCTTTTTTGTAGAGACAGGGTCTCGCAATGTTGCCGGGGCTAGTCTTGAGCTCCA